>NC_000023.11:133429381-135929381 GCF_000001405.40 Homo sapiens
GTCTTGAACTCCTGACCTCAGCAATCCTTCCACCTCGGCCTCTCAAAGTGCTGGGATTATAGGCATGAGCCACTGTGCCTGGCCTGTTGATATACTTTTTTTAAAATAGTGAAAGACACAGTCTGTCTCTGTCACCCAGGCTAGAGTGCAGTGGCACAATCATAATTCACTGCAGCCTCATACTCCTGGGCTCAAGTGATCCTCTCACCTCAGCCTCTTGAGTAGCTGGGACTACAGACATGCACCACCATGCTCGGCTAATTTTTTTAATTTTTATTATTTTATTTTTGTAAGGATAGGGTCTCCCCATGTTGCCTAGATTGGTCTCAAACTCCTGGACTCCAGCGATCCTCCTGCCTCCGCCTCCCAAAGGGCTGGGATTGCAGGTGTGAGCCACTGTGCATGACTGACACACTTTCTTTCTCATGGATTGTGTCTGGGTGTTATAAGTGAAAGTTCTATCCTGTTTCCCTCTGTGGGGCAGTCATTGAGTAGTCTGTCAGTAGCAAATGTTGGAGGTTGGCATGATGTGAAATTATTGGGCTGTGAGTCCTATGGCTTCCAATTCAGTTCTAACTCTGCCACTTACCACTTTCTTGTCCCCAATTTTCTCATCTCTGGTATTTGAACTCTGGAAGTTCTGTCCAGCTCTGACACTCAATTTTTGCACTAGACATGATCCTGGCCCTCAAAAGGCTTACAATTTTACTGGGCAGCCAAGACATGCCCCACCAAGAGACAATTGATGGTCCACAACAGCATGTGTGCAACACCAGTAAATTAATCTTACAGGTGTTTGGAAAAAGGAGTTTTTCTTTGAGTCTACCTTCTCCATACAACATGAGGAAGCCTTTTCGATGATTTTCGAATTCCTTACTGTAACAGCTGCTGCTACACCAGTAATTTAGACGTCTTGGGCACTGCTCAGTTGGTGATATTAGCCATAGGGACCGAAGGCAGTAGTGAAAACAGAAATGTTATAAAGGTTGAATTGCGGAGCTGTCAGCAATGCCCAATTTTGGCTGCACAAAGCTAACTGTTTGCTAGGGGTTAAGGAGCAGCTGTCCTAGGTCCTCCCCCAACCTGGGGAATGGCTGCTTCCCTAAACTGAGAGAGCAGCAGCAAAAGCTTTGACCCCACTCTGCACCCGTGAAGAAACACTGCTGTACCACCTGCCTTGCAGGCCCTCTGTTCATTCCGTGAAAGCATACTACACTGCAAACTGCAGCAGCCCCTCTGTGCACTGTGTACTGCCACATCCCCTCCTTGAATTCCATTCTAAATGTTACTTGACAATTGGATAAAATCACATTTCAAAGAATGCACCGGACAACATGCAGCAGGGACCCATTAAAACATTTCTTTGGTAGATACAAAAATATACTCATTTTCCCAGATTTAAATACTTCTCAGCTCTCTCCAAAGGACTGCATAACAGATGGTTTCAAAGCGAGTCACATTTACAAACAGCAGACAAAAATATGATTTAACAGATTCTCTAAGAGTTCTTCTGAGCCTTCCAGAACCAGTCTTTTTCCATGAACTCTTTTATTTCTAATTTGTGGATTCCTAACTAAAACATCTTTCTACTTGCTAGCAACCTCTCTGTGTATTTCCTAGCTTGGGGAACATAAGAGTTGAAAGAAGTTCTAGAGCTATGGAGCTGGCTCTTGTGTTATTTTAGAAAATGCTACCTTGGCCTGAAAAATAGGAATCATTTAGCCCACCATGAACACTAGCCAAAAAACTGGGGGTGGGAGGTGGGAAGGAGGAGAGAAGAAGGAGGGAGGAATAAACTGATATAGGAATTGTCACAGGAGTTATGAATCATGTACACAGCCATTTAGTAAGACAAATGATGTTTCAGTTAAAGTCATCAAAACCAGAATCAACTCCTGGACAACACCTTGCTTTTGAAGTTTTGAAAAAAAGTCACGTCACAAGCATATACTATGATTAGGGAAAAAAACCCAGCCCTGGCCTGTACTGCAAGAGCATCCACTATTTGTGGAGACCTAAACATTAATTCACAAGGCAGGCAGTGTGTGTTAGATTCAGATAGCCAGTGGTCCTCATGGTCAGAGGAGGGGTGAGGTCATTGGGCTTTCTGTGGATGGGCTCAGGCAAGGGGAGTTATTCATACCAGAGAGGCCTCGAAGGGGTAGGAAGAGGGCTGAGGGCATACCAGATAAATAGAATGCCTTGAATAAAGGTCTAGAGCAAGTTTGTCCAATTCGCAGCCCACGGAGGCTTTGCGGCCCAACACAAATTCATAAACTTTCTTAAAACATTATGCGATTTTTTTTGAAAAAACTTTTAAGTGCATCAGCTACCGTTAGTGTTAGTGTATTTTATGCATGGTCGAAGACAATTCTTCTTCCAATATGGCCCAGAGAAGCAAAAAGATTGAACATTCCTGGCCTAGAGGATGAGGAACATTTGAGGATGGGCAGAGAGAGGAGACTGGGAGACACTTTAGCTTGGAGGAAGAGTGGACACAGAGGGAGTGAGAGGAGGAAGTGAGCAGAACCTAGGGGTTGGCAGCGTAGAACCCTGTGTGGTTGGAAGGAAAGCAGGCTTGATGATGTGTGACCAGTTGGGTTATATTCTTACTGTGCCAATGAAGACTACGTTCTTTCTCTTACGGTTAGCTTTATCTGGAAAACTAACTGTATTTACACCATCTTTAACACATGTATTGACAGGGAGAAGAAGGAGAAACCTGAGCAAAGCAACAATATATCTAGGCCTGTTTCAGATTAATAGCACAATTGTGGGTTGTCAGAGGGAAGCCATCCACAAGGAGTTGGTGCATTTTCATCTCTTACAGTGAAATTCTCCTGTTTATTCCTCCCACTCATGTTCTAGAATTTTATTTATAACACTTTTTGGCCTGCTCTTTAAAGTGTGTGTGTGCCTCTGTGTGTGAGACTGACTGAGAAACTCAAGTACTCTATTGGGCTTTGAGCTTCTGGAAAACAGGCCCCACAGACATTCCAAGTATTCTAATCATGATCCATTATGCATAAAGAGAAGCAATAGAGACAGAGACGGTGGCCCACTGTTCTGGCTGCACCGTCTGGCATAGCTGCCTCCTGGGCTGAATATCATATGGACCAGCCTCAGCTTCCTCTCTGGCCCTAGCGAGGCTACCTGGCCCTCAGGGCCATGGAGCTTTCTGGGAGCTGTCTCACTGCACTGCAAGGGGCTTCAGGGAGTTGCCAGATCCAGTCTTATGCTGCCAGGCAGGTCCAGGACAAGACACCTCAAACAGGTGGCTAGAGGTTCCTAGAGAGGGAGAGGCTACCAGCCCTGCTGGGAACTTGGCCTGGGGTTCACCCAGCCTGACAGGCAGGAAGGGCTCCCCCAGCTTCCACGGGGTTTGCCGGGGGAGGGTGGGCCTCCTCACCCTTGTGTGTGGCCTGGAGTTCGTGGCAGCAAGCTGCAGAGGGACTCGCCCACATTAGGCCAAAGTGAGCCCAGGTGTCTTGCCTGGACAGGGCTGCTGTTTCAGTGCCAATTCAAGCCTGGGTAACCACTGCCCTTTCAATGGGGTGAAGCTTAGTGACTGAAGAGTCTTCCTATTGCAGTTTAGGACCGTGGGCTCTTCCACTGGCCCACAGGAGATAAGGAGCAGCTCAGTACTCTGCCTGGGGCTCGACAGATGGAGGATAGGCTGGATAAACTGAGATTGGCCCTCAGTTCTCTCCTAGTCTGGGTTTTCTCATTAACTGAAAGGGGGCAATGTGATGTAATGGAAAGGACATTCGATTTGAGATTGGACAAACTTGTGTTTGAATCCTTGCTCTGCCATTTTGTCCAGATGTGACCTTGGGAAAGTTACTTAACCTTTCTAGGCTTCAGTTTCCTCAGTTGTAAAATGAGAATAAAAATAGCATCTTCTTCCAGCTGGGTGTGGTGGCTCACGCCTGTAAGCCCAGCATTCAGAGGTCAGGAGCTGAAGACCAGCCTGGCCAACATCTTGAAACCCCACCTCTACTAAAATTACAAAAAAAAAAAATTAGCTGGGCATGGTGGTGCACACCTGTAATCCTAGCTACTCAGGAGGCTGAGACAGGAGAATTGCTTGAACCTGGGAGGTGGAGGTTGCAGTGAGCTGAGATTGAGCCACTGCACTCCAGCCTGGGCAACAGAGTGGGACTCCATCTCATAATAATAATAATAATAATAATAATAATAATAATAATAATATCTTCCTCAAAAGTTGGCTGTGAAGATTAAAGGTATCTTGAACATAGTGTACAGATGATAAATATTAGTAAATATTAGCTTACGCCACTTTTTTTTTTTTTACCCTAATGGGTCATACAGATTTTTTTTTGAAAAAACATGCAGGGACTATCTCAATTTCTGTTGATCTAAACATTGCTTTAAATAAACGTGCCACTGCCTAGAGGTTTAGACAGCATTTTGCTATAGGGAAATGGGGCTGTGATGAGAAGTCTTACAGCAGGATCTCACTGGTATATTCAGAACTTTTCATGCCTTTGGTGTTTTCTTCAGGGCCCTCTTCGAATTTCTTTTCACCACCTCACAGAAGGGCTCCAGATTGGACTCAGAACACTGGGTAAGTTTTCATCACTGCCAAGCCAAGTGGAAGAATGCCTTCTTGTTTTTGCAGATTATTGTTTTTGAACAAATACAAAATGTTCATTTAACATAATGAACATTTTGTATTTGAAAATAATCAATATCTCAGCCTGGGCAACATGGCGAATCCCCTTTTCTCAACAAAAATCAGATGACCTGTAGTCCTGTTACCGGTGGAGGGTGTCCAGGTTCTTGGCGTTTTGAACAAAGAAGTGGAGAGAATGCACAAACAAAGCAAGAAAAGAATGAAGCAACAAAAGCAGAGATTGATTGAAAATGAAAGTACACTCCACAGGGTGGGAGCAGGCCAGAGCAGCTGCTTAAGGGCCCCAGATACAGAATCTTCTCGGGTACAAATACCCCCTAGAGGTTTCCCATTGGCCACCTGGTGTTCACTCCATGTAAATGAAGTGGTGGCCTGCAATCATTCTGATTGGCTGCTTTCTACATTCTGCTTTCTGCTGAAGTGAAGTTACAAAGGACACACTCCTATGCAAACATCTGATTGGTTGCAGGAAGCAACCAATCAGAGGCTAAAGTGAAGTTACAACGTTGCACTTCTATGCAAATGAATTCTTGGCCTGCAATCAGTGTGATTGGTTGGATACAGCAATCAATCAGAGGCTGAAGTGAAGTTACAAAGTTTCTTTCAATTTCCCATCTGCCAGTGCAGAAAAGGCGGGGCTTTGCAAAGAGAGTAGCCTCTGGTCCTTTTGTTACTCAGGAGTGGATAGTTAGGGTTTTCCTTTCTAACTAAATTGTTCTAGGAAGTCAGTGTGAAACGGCCTTAGGTTCTCTGCCTCCAGACCCTAATCTCCTGCCTCAGTCTCAGGCTACAGGCTGGAGGCAGAAGTGGGAGGATTGCTTGAGCTCAGGAGGTTGAGGCTGCAGTGAACCGACATCATGTCACCGCACTCTAGCCTGGGTAAGAGTGAGACCCTGTCTCAAAAAAGAATAAAAATAATGAATATTGTCATTTAACTTAAAAAAATTATATTGGAATAATGATATGTGAAGTTGTATTAAGTGAGATAATATAGGTAAAGTGCCCGACATGGAATAGGTATACAATAATTAGAAGCGTATGTATAGATATAAAATTTTTTTTTTTTTTTTTGTGACAGGGTCTTGCTCTGTCACCCAGCAGGCTGGAGTGCAGTGGCACAATCTCAGCTCACTGCAGCCTTGATTTCCCAGGCTCAAACAATCCTTCCGCCTCAGCCTTCTGAGTAGCTGAGACTACAGAAGCACACCACCACACCCAGCTATTTATTTTTATTTTTGTTTTTAGTAGAGATGATGTCTCGCTATGTTGCCCAAGCTGGTCTGGAACTTGTGAGCTCAAGCAATCCTCCCACCTCAGCCTCCTAAAGTGCTGGGATTACAGGCATGAGCCACCATACCTAGCCTAGCAGCTGCTATTATTATGAGTACTTCTATTATTATATTAAAGCAGAAGATGATGGGGGAGGACGCTCAAGAGGAAAGCTTTATCCTTCCTCCCCTTGACTGGAATGCTGAGCTCCAAATGGATATACATTACATCAAAGGCCTGTTCAGTCATCTTGGCGAGATTTTGAAATTCCCCCATCTGAAGTCAATGAAGTCCCCATATTTGTCAACTTGATCCTTGAGCCTGAGACCAGAGAGAAAGAGAAAGTGACTGGCCAGTCTAAAGTTCTTTGTAATTGCTCCAGACAAAAGGTTAATGAGGAAGTGGAGAGGCCCTTCCCTGGAGGACACAAAGGCCGGGCCCTCCCCTCAAGGAACTTAGACTCTCCCCTAGGCTCACTCCCCTCCCTATTATACCCACTTGTAAGTTGTTTTGTAAGTGTCCTTAAGGCTTTTCTCAAGAGAGCCGCTTGGAGATCGCTAATTAGGCCTGTAAACTCATGGGAGACAAGGGCCCCTGGCTTTGATTTCTTTTGTTTCCCTCTCGCTCTCACAGAGACTAGCACAGGGCAGGGCCTCAACAGAAGTTGCTGGCTGACCTTGGAGACATGGTCAACAGGCTAGTTAGAAGCTCCAGCTTAAGTTGTATTAAGTGGCATTCACTGATGACTGTGGCTGGCTGGTTGGCTGGCTGGCTGGTGCAGACAGAGCCAAAGAAACCGGAATCCAAGGCTGCCAAGGGCAGTTCAGGAGGGAAAGCCAGGCAGTGAGGAGATGGGGGTTTGGGGGAGGTGGCACCGGGGGTGGCTCAGTCATCTCCACCAGTAGATTACATGTAATTGCCTCTACAGCATGTGCTCAGATTACCTTCTGTGCAATTGACAGCAAACTGCCTGTTAAGAGTGATGGGAGCCAAAGGGAGTGAGGGTGAAGCAGATGGAGGGTGGGTGTATATTTTGAAAAACTCGACCTTTTAAAATGCATGTAATACTGTAAACACCTTTTGATTACTGCTCCTACCGCCACAGCAGAGGCACTGACTCTATGGGGTTTTATATGATATTTGCCTCTGTTGGCTAGGGATTCATTTCCCAGGTTAGCCAAAGCACAACTGTCGATCAGGCACAGTGGCTCACGCCTGTAATCCCAGCACTTTGGGAGGCCGGGGCAGGTAGATCACTTAAAGTCAGGAGTTCGAGACCAGCCTGGCCAACATGGTGAAACCCTGTCTCTACTAAAAATACAAAAAATTAGCCGGGCATGGTGGCACACGCCTGTAATCCCAGCTACTAAGGAGGCTGAAGCAGGAGAATCGCTTGAATGCGGGAGGCGAAAGTTGCAGTGAGCTGAGATCGTGTCATTGCACTCCAGCCTGGGCGACAGAGGGAGGCTTCGACTCAAGGAAAAAAAAAAGCACAACTGTCTGTCTGGTGGATAATGGAAATTCAGGGCAGCCTTTTTGTCTGCAGGGGATAGAAGAGGGCATACTTGGAGTAAGGAGGCATTCCTAGTAGAGCCACTGGGATACTATGTGACTTAGGGACTGTCATATCCCGCTTAGGATCACTTACCTCCCTACATAGAATCCTAAGGATGGAAAGACATCTAACCAACTGAATATGACCATAGCAGGTGCCCAACCAAATCTGAGAGTGGGAAAACAACATTGCTGAGGTCTGTTGGGGGAAGAGGAAACAGATTTAATCCGTGTGGTTCCTAAAGGCGGAGCTGGGAACAAAGGGGAGAAGGTCCAAGGAGGCGGATTTCACCTCTATCTAAGAAAGAGCTTTCGAACCCATTAGAGCCGTTACAATTTAAATAGGCTGCCTGCTAAGGTAATGAGTTCTCCAAGCAGGGAATTGTTTAAGTTTCTGATTTAGTCTCTCTAACCACATATCCTGCTTCTTTGCCAAAATTTGCGAAACCAAAGCCCCGACTGCTCATGATTCAAAGCGACTACATGTGAGACCCTGACATCCTAAGCTCAGTGGCTTTTGGCTCCAGGGCCACTGCCAGACCCTGCTCTCGTATGTGGATTTCTTTCTCTAGAAATCAAAGTAGGAGCCCCCAAGCTGGTCTCCTGCTTGGGGCGTGGCTCCCGTCCCAGCACTTCCTGGAGTAAGTTAAGATGTTCCTGCTTTGGCCCTCAGGGAATTGGACACTCCAGGTGTTGGCCCTTCCTTCTGGTGTTGGACTTTCCGGGTGCCAGGCAGGCCCTGCATTCCATCTGTTCAGCAACTCTCCAAGGCAAGTCCATTCCTCTGCCCCAAGGAAGATCTGCCACCAAGCAAGCTTGGCAAGGAAATACAACATGTTTACAAAACTACAAACCATTTTTCACTAGCTTGCCAGTCCCCTAAAGGTACTGTAAGAGCAAAAGACATGAAATTAGCATTCTTGACCTGTGACCCCACACAAATCATCATTCCCTAGAAAGAGTGGCTATTCACAAAGCAGAATTCAGCCATTCCCTCCTGATTGACACAACCTGGACATGTGCGTTTAAAGAGGCAGATTTAGAGCTATCCTGTGTTCCATCTAAGCTTTAAATGTATTCAGCCTTCAAATGAGTATTCATTACAAAGAAAGCGTTCAGGACTTTTGAATACTACTTTCAATAATAATACTTTACCTTGGGGGAGGGGAGGAGTAATCTATTTACAATTTGCAAAGCCTTTTCAAGAACCTGGACCAAAATCAAAGCAGCAAGACTCAGCACACCCCTGGAACATAAGTGCTCAATGAATATTAAGATTTCTTTCTTGTTCTAAGAAAAAAACAAGAATTTTTTTTCTTTCTTTCTCTTTCTTTCTTTCTTTTTTTTTGTTTGTTTTTGGAGACAGAGTCCCACTCTGTCACCCAGGCTGGAATGCAGTGGCACAATCATGGCTCACTGCAGCCTCGACCTCCCCAGGCTCAGGTGATCCTCCCACCTCAGCCTCCTGAGTGGCTGGGACTACAGGCGTGTACCACCACACCCAGCTAATTATTTTGTATTTTTTTGTAGAGGCAGGGTTTCTCCATGTTGCCCAAGCTGGTCTTGAACTCCTGGACTCAAGCGACCTGCCCTAGCCTCAGCCCCCCAAAGTGCTAGGATTACAGCGTGAGCCACTGTGCTAGCTAAGCCTGGCTAAATGTTAAGATTTCAACAGAAATCTTAGATGGCACTGTCCCCTTGGAGTGTGGCCAGAGCAGGTATTGTTACCCACCTTCAGTTTACAGATGAAGAAACTGAGGCCTACAGATGTTCATGACTTGTCCTCTCACCTTATCTGCTAATCTTGAGCTAAACAGAAAGCAGAAGCCATAAAAATGAACTGGCCTCCTGTGCTGTTCTGTGTAAGGAAGATCTGTTATGGGGGGTAAGGGAGGCTTCTCTCCAATACTTTCATATGGTTTTGCACACTGCCTGATCTCTAAAAAGCCACAGAGGTGTGACTGTCCTGGAGGTTTGGGGTCTGAATGTCTTCTTCCACCTCCAAATCTTAACCCAGAGGTGCAGGATCGGTCTTTATGATTTTAGTAACTCAAAAACCCAGATACTTTCTTGAGTCTGATGTTTTGTTAGATTTGAGAAAGACTTTATTATTATCAGGTTCTCTTTTGCTTTCAAAGTTTTTTAAAGTTTTTTTTTTTTGTTTTTTTTTTTTAAGATTTCTCTTCCTCTTTCTCCTTCTCTTGTAAGAGAGGGAAAGGCCAGGTGCCGTGGCTCATGCCTGTAATCCCAGCATTTTGGAGGCTGAGGCAGGAGGATTGCTTGAGACTGGGAGTTCCAGACCAACCTGGGCAACAGAGCAAGACCCTGTCTCTATAAAAAAATACAAAAATTAACTCTGTCATGCACCTGTGGTCCCAGCTACTTAGAAAGCTGAGTGGGAGGATCACTTGAGCCTGGGAGTTTGAGGCTGCAGTGGGCTATGGTCGATTGTGCCCCTGCACTCCAGCCTGGGTGATAGAGTGAGACCCTGTCTAAAAAAAAAAAATTAAAAAAATAAAAAATAAAAGAGGGAATACTTTTAAAGCTGTTTTGTTTTTTGTTTGTTTTTTGTTTTTGTTTTTTTTTTTTGACGGAGTCTTGCTCTGTCGCCAGGCTGGAGTGCAGTGGCATGATCTCGGCTCACTGCAACCTCTGCCTCCCCGGTTCAAGCAATTCCCCTGCCTCAGCCTCCCGAGTAGCTGGGACTACAGGCATGCACCACCACGCCTGGCTAATTTTAGTAGAGACGGGGTTTCACCATGTTGGCCAGGATGGTCTCCATCTTCTTACTTCGTGATCCGCCTGCCTCGGCCTCCCAAAGTGCTGGGATTACAGGCATGAGCCACCACGCCCGGCCCCTTGATTGTTTATTTCCTCTCTTGCTGGCTCAGGGCCCATGTCAATTAGCTTCTATGATGGGGTACACAGGGCAGGGGCTGCCGCATGGATCCCCTTCCAGCTACCACCTCCCCTATGGCCCTTGAGGACTTGAAGGACTTCTTCATGTGTTCCTCTGAGAGTGGCAGGGCTGAGATGATCACCAGCTTAGCCCAACCATGCTCCAAGGCTGAGCCCTTTGAAGGAAAACTGGAGGATTGGTGGCTACAGTCACTTCTACTCTGCCTCGTATAACTAATGCACAAAGAGGGGAGAGTAATAGGACAACTGTCCTGGGGTGTAGCTGGAAATAGAGTCAAAGATGTGATTCAGTGGGGGAATTTACTGATGAAATCATTGCCAATGGGGGTGGCAGAGAGTATGTTTGAGGGCGAGGCATTACCATCTGTTGAGGGCCTGCCAGGTGTTACTTGTTTGTTTCTAGGTGCTTTCTTATGCTATCTCATTTAATCCTCTTTAACAACCTTATGAGATAGAGTTACTATCCCCTATTGTAAAGAGGAAGAAACAGAGGCACCCTGAGAGGGGCAGGCACCAGCCCAAGGTCACGCAGCTGGTTTTCCAGGTACTCCTGTGTGTCTAACTTTAGTGCCCATGTTCTCTGGGCTTCGCCACAGCATTCCAGGTGTCCAGCACTGCCTGTCAGGAACGAACAAGGAGACAACGGGAGATGCTTTTCGTTCCAGGGTTCCTATCATCACCATTCACAACATTGAGCCTGGGAGGGTCTTGAGCTGCCCTGCCCCTCTGGATGGTGCCTGTCGGATTCTTCTTGTGTTTACCCCCCAGATAACCCAGGAATACACAAAGTCTTTAGTGTGCATTGCTCCCCCCTTCCTCCCTGCTCACATAAAAGCTGGAGCTCTTATCCTAGAATTCAGCCTTCCCCGGAAGCAGGAATCTATGTGCTAATGTGTTAATCCTCCTATTCAAAAGGTCGCTTCTTCCCTACTGTGGGGACCAGCAGCAGTCTATAACCCGCCCCGTACAGTATTTCTGTCCTGGGGTGAGCCTTGTTCCAGCCTAATTATAGCACAAAGGGGAGTTTAGACCCACTCATGCAGTTGTTTAAATTTACTGGGAGCAAATGGGGCTAGGGGATTTGGAAGGTAGCAATAGGGTCCTGACTTCCAAATTACTGGAGGCCACGTGACGACCAGGGCTCTTAGAGAAAGCAGGAGGGGATAGGGAGGAGAGTCATGCACGTGTGCCCTAGCCAGAGGAATCCCCCAAAGGGTCAGGAGAGTGTGGGCAAATGACCGAGGGCTAGAGCCGGCATCCTGGAGGAGCATGGTCCTCCCTTTGGCATGCCATGGGCACCCTATAAGGAGGCTGCGTCCATTGTGGGAGCCTTTCTTTCCTGTGTGGGAAAGAACTAGGATCAGATTTTCCGCCTGGCCATTCTGAGAAAGCCAGAAAGAAGGGAACGGCGGACACAAGCAGACAGAGCCTTTCATCATGGCTGTGGGTGGTGGGGAGAGACAATGGTGGCCTTGCTATCTGGCTGGGGCTTCTTGGGGGACATAGGCTAGGTACAGCTGTGGGGCACTGGCTCTTTGCTGAGCAAATGGAGCAGGGAGAATGTTTGGGAGAGAATAATGGCATTACATGCTGCCCCTCTCCTTTCGCCCCTTGGCAGCTGTGCCATGGCAGTGTCAGGAGGTGTGGGCCCCAGCCACTGGACCTGGGAGACTGCTGAAAGGATCTGTGGTTGAGTGGAAGGAGCACTGGACTGGGAGTCAAGAGTCAGACATCCAATCTCTTTCAGGTTCTGGCCATGTGTCTTCATCTGTCCTCTAAGTGGGTTGAATGAGCTCATTGCTAGAAACTTTTCTAGCTCCACAATTTTAGAATTCATCTCCTCAGGAGAGTTTCTGGAAGTTAGAAGGTAGGACAGGACATGAGACTGGAACACACAGAGGACCCTTTCCACTGGTGAGTCAAAACTGGGATGCCATGGTGGCTGCCCCACTGCTCAGCACTCCTGAAGCACTCTTAGGAGGCCACAGCTAACCAGCCATGGCTGCCCCTGAGGAGAACCGGGGCCCAGTGAAGAGTACAAGTCTATTGTTGCCCTGTGAAGTCCTTCTGACTGACAAAACGCTCAAGATCCTAATGAGTAAGCTGGGCATAGCTGGGAGACAAATGCACCAAAGTGTATCCATGGGAGTTGTAATCCTGAGATTAGGGATGGTGGATTATTTTCCCTTTCTCTTATTTTCAAACTTTTCAGGAAAGTGGTTATATTAATCTTTTTGAACACTGCTTTGCTAAAAGGAGGCTTTCCAGGGGTCACTATCGTTAGGTGGCAGGGTGACTAAAGCCTTGACTGGGCCGAGGTTTACTTTGGAATTGAACTGTCCAATAAGCTAACCAGTAGCCACATGTAGCTATTTAATTTAAGTAAAATTAAGCAAAATAAAAAAATTCAGCTTTTCAGTTGACTAGCCACATTTCAAGTGCTTAGCAGCTACAAGTGGCTAGTAACTGCCATATTGGACAGCACAAATATGGGATATTTCCATGGTCTTAGAAAGTTCTACTGGATAGTGCTGCTTTGGGATATCCATGAAAATAGTTTTGAAAAGCAAAGTTTGGCTAGACACAGTGGCTCACACCTATAATCTCAGCGCTTTGGGAGACTGAGGTGGGAGGATTGCTTGAGCCCAGGAGTTTGAGACCCCATCTCTACAAAACATAAAAGTATTAGGTGGGCACGACGGCATATGCCTGTAGTCCCAATTACTTGGGAGGCTGTAGTGAGCGAGGATCACTTGTGCCCAGGAGTTTGAAGTTGCAGTGAGCTATGATGATGCAGCACTGTACTCCAGCCTGGGTGACAGAGCCAGACTGTCTCAAAAAAAAAAATAAAATAAAAAATAAAAAAAAAAAGCAATGTTCTATTATGTGTGTGTTAACAAGCTGGGCCCGGTGATACTTCCCTGTAGTCCCAGCTACTCAGGAGGTTGAAGTGGGAGGCTTGCTTGAGCCCAGGAGTTCAAAACCAGCCTGGGCAACATAGCCTGGGCAACACAATGAGACTTATCTCTTAAAAAAAAAAAAAAAGTGTGTTGGCCTTACTAAAGAGACCAAATGTCTTTAAGTCTCCTACCTGGAAATCTGTGCTTACAGTAATGTGAATATTCCATATTATTTTCTTATATCCATTCAAAGAGGTAAATCCAAGCTCTTTGGGCAGTACTTTGTTAGTTGTTACTATTACTGCATGATTGAAAGTAATAAAATTGTATTTCTTGAAAACATAATCTTACTACTTTTAAGGTTGTGATTGACTTGATGCATCTTTCTGGATCCCAGCTTTTCCTGTCATTCTGTAAGAAAACTAGTCCATTTAAAAGCTGCTATTTTTGCAGGATAGGTAGGATCTCCTAGTATATCTTGAAATGCCTGAGAGAATTTCAGTTAGTTGTTGCTCTCATAACTCATGGAAAACTAGGCCTTATATTGGGAAGTGGGAGCATGAGGCGGAGTGGAAGTGAAGTAGAGGGGTGGGAATGAGGGACAAGCCCAGGCAACAATGGCCTTTGACTATTATCCTAATGCTCCTGGGAAATGAAAACCAATACTCCTTATAAGGAGATCAGGGGCCAGGCATGGTAGCTCACACCTGTAATCCCAGCACTTTGGGAGGCCGAGGCGGGTGGATCACGAGGTCAATAGATCAAGACCATCCTGGCCAACATGGTGAAATCCCGTCTGTACTAAAAATACAAAAAATTAGCTGGGCGTGGTGGCGGGTGCCTGTAGTCCCAGCTACTCGGGAGGCTGAGGCAGGAGAATTGCGTGAACTTGGGAGGTGGAGCTTGCAGTGAGCCGAGATGGCACCACTGCACTCCAGCCTGGGCGACAGAGCAAGACTCCATCTCAAAAAAAAAAAATTTAAATTAAAATTAAAAAAAAATTCTACTAAGATTAAAATGTGGCATTTATTTATTTGATTTTTTTTTTTTTTTTGAGACGTAGTCTTGCTCTGTTGCCCAGGCTAGAGGGCAGTGGCGCAATCTCGGCTCACTGCAACCTGTGCCTCCCAGGTTCAAGCAGTTCTCCTGCCTCAGCCTCCTGAGTAGCTGGGATTACGGGCACGTATCACCACGTCTAGCTTTTTTTTTTTTTTTTTTTTTAGTAGAGTTGGGGTCTCAAACTCCTGACCTCAGGTGATCCGCCTGCCTCAGCCTCCCAAAGTGCTGGGATTACAGGCGTGAGCCACCATGCCCGGCCAAAATGTGGTATTTAGATCACCTGATTGACCCAGAGAAGTAAGAACTTGACCAGAAGTTCATGTTAGCCAGTTCCTTCTATGGCCTTGGGCACATAACTTCTCTATAACAGTTTGTTCTTCTGAAAAATGAAGACGGATCTAACAGTGCTTCTATAGCTGACAAGGCTATATACCCTAGAAAATTTACTTTCAAGTCCCATTAACTATTTCAATATAAACTTATATATGTAAGACATTTTCCTTTATGCTCTTTTTTGTTTCCATTTTTTCCCCTTTGTTTCTCAGGAGGATCTGGTTCTCTTTCTCCCTATGATTTCCAGAATGTTTCAAAACTCGTCAAATGAAAATATGCGAGTCATGACTTGTGGGTAGCAAGCTAGGACTTGTGGGGACAGTTAGGGGGAGGGCAAACCCTGAGATCTGCCAGCAATTGTTTCTCCTCTTGATTTGAACGAAGGAAAAGATCATGTTATTTATATAGCATAAGGTTCCAGATTTTCAGGAATGAAATCTGAGCCCAGCATGTCAACATATTGGTCTGGTCTGTCTTGGAATCTACAGTAGATGGATTTCTTTGTGCTGGGAAACATTAGGAAGGTCAATATTCTTTTCTAATTTTTTCCTTTTAAGAAAAGGTTTCATTCTCACACTCTAAAGTGGTGGTATTAGATATCATCCAGATAATACACTCAATGGTTGTGCAGACTTCAGTTTCAAACATAAAGCCCCGGGGCAAACAGCTTTTATGTATTCAGTTACATGTTCTTTATTTCACAGATAATGTTTTTCAACAAATATTAACCGCCTGGGAGGAAATACAGAAGTGAACAATCAAATGAAATAAAAATAAAACTGATGTTAATAACAATAAAGCCTCAAATAGCAACGAACCCAGAGAGACATCAACCTGGGCTTCCCAATCATCCAGGAGTTGTCCCAGAAAGGATAATCCAACAGATGCAGCAGGTGAGACAGAAGCCTCCCGGCAATGGTGGGTGGTTGGCCCTGTGGAGTAGTGGAAAAAGCATGGCGCTGGGGATCAGAGGACTTGGCTTCAAGACCTTCCTTTTCTCTGATGAGTTGTACAGGAAGGTGTAATCACTCACTCTCCCTGGCTTTCAGTTTCCTCAAATCCAAAGAAAGGAGTTGGCCTAGACCTAGAGGAAAGGGCTTGGGCTCTGGTGTCAAGACAGCGGGAGGTCTCCCTCCTGGCTCTACCACTCTCCCCTGTGTAACCTCGGACAATTATTCTCTGAGCCTCAATTTCTTCCCCCTGTAAATCAAGGACAATAGTATCTTCCGGATTAAGCTACCCTGAGGATGAAAAGGGATAATGTTTTTAAAGCGTCTGGCACATAGTAGGCAGCACTCAGGAAACTTTAGTTTCTTGCCAACTTCCTCTTTAAATCTGTTCCAGCTCTAAAACACGCTAGTCCCAATCCAGTTCCTTTGTCTACGAAATCCAGTCCAAAGCTTAGAAAGATCTCTAATTCCCAATCGCGGCAAGAGCACACACACACACCTGAATTGTCTCTTTCATTTCTCCAAATTGCCACTGAAACTTTCTTCCTGGGAAGTATTTGCCCCCATTCGCTATCTCTTAAAGAACCTATCTACACAGTTTTTTCTTCCCTAACTTTACATAAACTTCCCTTTTTCAAGGCGGCCATGGAGCGAGTCTTAAGGCAAAAGAGACTGCCTGGTCTTTCCTTTGCAGCCACCAGCCGCAGGGCTGCCCCGGGGACAGAGCTCCTCTTGGCCTCTCATTTCCGCCCCTCCAGGTGTTTCATTGCAAGCCCAAGAGTTAGCTAGTGTTTCCCAGGTAAGAAGGGCACAGACCCTGCCCACCTTCCAGTCTCTGGCTTTGAGACTAGTGGATTCAAAAATAGGATCCCTTTGGCGGTTAGTTCCTTGGTGGTTTGACTAACTTGGCATGGATAGAGAACTGCTGCGTGGTGGTCCTTCTTTGGGAAAGGAACTCCTTGCTCAGAACTCCTTAATTCCAGGGAGGTTTCAGATATATGTATTTATAAAAGTAACATATAATTTATATATATATTTATAACAGGAATATAACCACATTACAGAAACTTTGAAAAGCAGAGAAAAAGAAAAGAAAAACCCTCCCTATTCATAATTACAACTCCTAAACACAGACACTGGTAGTATTTTGCTGTTTTTTTTTTTTAAGTCCTTTCCCAATGTGTAGACATGCACACACACACACACACACACACTTTTTTGTACCTTGCTTTTCACAATTATTATAAACTTTTCTATGTAGTGGCTTCATAGTTACTATTATTTGATGTACTTATTTTTTTTAGATAGAGTCTCGCTGTGTTGCCCCAGCTGGAGTGCAGTAGCCTCAACCTCCCAGGCTCAAGCCATCCTCCCGGGCACAGCCTCATGAGTAGCTGGAACTCCAGGCTCATGCCATATTATTATTTTAGTATCTACAGACTACACCTAGTAGATTCAGTATCATTTATTTTACAGTTTTTTTGTTGTCGGTCTTTTAGATGGTTTCTAATGTTTTCTATCATAACTACAATGAATATATATTAGCGTAAAGCTTTTCACTCAAATTTCTTATTATTTCCTTAAAGTTGCCTCCTAGGAATTGAGATTTGGTTTTAAACGGGTAGGAATTTTTTTTTTTTTTTTTTTTTTTTAAGATTTTAGAGACAGCATCTCCCTGTGTCACCCAGGCTGGAGTGCAGTGGCACCATCACAGCTTACTGCAGCCTCAAAATACTGGGCTCAAGGCATCCTCCCCCCTTGGCCTCCCAAAGTGCTGGGATTACAGATGTGAGCCTCCCCACCCAGACAGTACGTGTTTATCATTCCATAAATCATGCCCAAATGCCTTCCAAAGAGTGGAGCCAATATATCCTCTTATCTCCAGTGGTTGAGAGTATCCTTTAATCACATACTTCCTAGCACAGGCTATCTTTTCCTTATAAATGTTCATTGTTGGCCAGGCACGATGGCTCAAGCCTGTAATCCCAGAACTTTGTGAGGTCGAGGCGGGCGGATCACAAGGTCAGGAGTTCGAGACCAGCCTGGCCAACATGGTGAAACCCCATTTCTACTAAAAAAAAAAAATACAAAAATTAGCTGGGCACGGTGGAGCGTGACTCCATCTCAAAAAAAAAAAAGAGTTTATTTTATTTATTTTTATTTATTTATTTTTTTTGAGATGGAGTCTCGTTCTGTTGCCCAGGCTGGAGTGCAGTGGCATGATCTTGGCTCACTGCAACCTCTGCCTCCTGGGTTCAAGTGATTTTCTTGCCTTAGCCTCCCCAGTAGCTGGGATTACAGGCATCCGCCACCGTGCCCGGCTAATTTTTGTATTTTTTAGTAGAGACGGGGTTTCACCATGTTGGCCAGGTTGGTCTCGAACTCCTGACCTCAGGTGATCCACCTGCCTCGGCCTCCCAAAGTGTTGGGATTACAGGCGTGAGCCACCACACCTGGCTCGTTTTTTTTTTTCAGGGTAACTTTTCATTTTCTGTGAGAGGAATGCCCCCCCCACCCCCCTTGAGTTTTATTACAGTTTTTTTTTTTTTTCTGTTTTCGTTTTGTAAGCAAGTTTCTTGACACGAGTGAGTGGGATTTGAATGAAGAAAGAAGTCTCAGTGACTAAAAACTGGGAGTTTTTCCCAGTAATGATGTTAAAGGAGGAATGGCAAAGCAGATGGAGTGAATGAACAGGACAGAGGAGGAGATGGGTTTGGGAGGGGCCCATGATGGAGCCTAGCCCCTTGATGTGGTCCAAGCTGCAGGTGTGAGAAAGTTGTATCTAGAAGCAGCTGCTTGGAGAAATTGGAAGCAAAAGAGGCTGGGGTCCAGACATGAAATCAGTATCAAGGATTTGGCAAAGAGATGAAAAAGTGAATTTCAGATTTGTTAAAGAAAGGACAGGGTCTGTATCGGGTTCAGGGGGAAGGGATCACTCCAATCTAACTCTCATTTATTGATCACCTTCCCCATGCCCAGGTACTTTATAGAGGCTTTTTTTTTTTTTTTTTTTTTGACACAGTATCACTCTGTCACCCAGGCTGGATGCAGTGGCATGATCATAGCTCACTGAAGCCTGGAACTCCTGGTCTCAAGCAATCCTCTTGCATCAGCCCCCCAAGTAGTTGGGACTTCAGGTGCACACCACAACACCTGGCTAATTACATTTTTTTTTTTTTTTTTTTTAGATAGAGGGTCTTGCTATGTTGCCCAGGCTGCTCTCAAAATCCTGGGCTCAAGCCAGCCTCCCATCTCGGCCTCCCAAACTGCTGGTATTAAAAGCACCAGGCCCCTGGATGCTATCTTAATGAATTCTCACAATAACCCAAGAAGAGAATTACTGTTGTTATTCCTATTTTACAGATGTGGAAACAGGAGCAGAGAGAGGTTTAGTGTCACGGCCAAGGCCTCATATAGACTACAAGTGGCAGAAGTTAGGATTTGAAACCATGCCTTTCTACTTCAATCCTAAGCACCCCTGGAATCAAGAACAAGATTTGGACAAAGGAGGAAAGGGAACCCGCACTTATTCATATGATGAAACTCTGGGGATCAGGCCTGGGCAGAGAAAGACCACAGAAAAGAGTGGCCCACATTCCACATTCCTGTGGGAATGGGGGCTGGGGGCTGCCATAATCCCAGCTGGAATCTGAATGGATTGTCCCTAAAGGCTGCTGAGCAAGGCCTCACTAAGATTCTGATGTCTAAATCCTCAGCTGTTTGAAGACCTGGTGTCTTAGAGCTTTGCCAAAACCTCATTCAGGATGCCAACTCCTCTTAGGACCAGTATAATGAATGTGAGATTGCAGCTTTCTGTTTGCCTAAACATGCTTTACCCTCCCCTAGATCAATGAAAGAATGTGTCTCTTACTCAATTTCAAGTGCCTCCTCTCTCTCTCCCAGTTAAAGTGGAAACTCTGGCCGGTTTAGAGAGTCTGTGGCCGACAAAGCCAGAGTTAAGGTTTCAAAGGCACTTGCCTCCTAACCCCTCGTTTCAATTCCTCATTATTTCCCTAAAAAAAATGCCATTGGGTTTGAAACAGATTGTGTTTGACTGGTCACCAACTCAAATGTCTTCTGATGTCACCACTTTTTATTCTGTGTATAGTCTTTGAAAGTACTGCTGTGAAGCACGGGCATCACTTGGAGATTTGAGTAACAGAGGCTACCCATGGAATCAGGGAAATGTCTCAGCCTAACTGGTGTCAAGGCCTGGATTTCCAGAACCCCCACACTCATCAGCGCTCAGCAAGGAAAGCCCATTTTATTCAGAGACCACGTTTTTGTGTGAAATGCTACTTATAACAGTTATTATTACCTTCATATTCATATTCTTTCTATTTCACGTATATATTTATCTGCGACAGGCACGGTGGTTCACACCTGTAATCCCAGAACTTTGGGAAGCCAAGGCAGGTAAATTGCTTGAATCCACAAGTTCCAGACCAGCTCGGGCAACAGGGTGAAACCCCGTCTCTACTAAAAAATACAAAAATTATCTGGGTGCAGTGGCATGTATCTGTAGTCCCAGCTACTAGGGAGGCTGAGGTGTGAGAACCAATTGAGCCTAGGAGGTCGAGGCTGCAGTGAGCCCTGATCATGCCATTGTACTCCAGCCTGGGTGACAGAGTGAGACCTTTTCTCAAAAAAAAAAAAAAAAAAAAAGCCGGGCGCAGTGGCTCATGCTTGTAATCCCAGCACTTTGGGAGGTCAAAGCAGGCAGATCACCTGAGGTTGGGAGTTCAAGACCAGCCTGGCCAACATGGTGAAACCCCGCCTCTACTAAAAACACAAAAAAATTAGCTAGGTGTGGTGGCAGGCGCCTGCAATCCCAGCTACTTGGGAGGCTGAAGCAGGAGAATTGCTTGAACTCAGGAGGCGGAGGTTTCAGTGAGCCAGGATCATGCCATTGTACTCTAGCCTGAGCAACAAGAGTGAAACTCTGTCTCAAATAATAATAATAAAATAAGAATAAAAATAAAAAATAAAGAATTTGGAAGGAAATACTCCAAAACATTAGCATCAACATGTTATGTTCCTGGGTAGTGGTATTATATCACATTTTAAGGATTTTTCACTATACTTTCTTGTGTTTTTCAGAAGTATCCATAACAAAAATGATTTAACTTTGATAGTTGGAAAAACAGTAAGAAACCAATGTTAATCAAGTTTAGCCTAAAGCTGCCTCCTTACGTATTTTAAGTTCAGCCTAAAGGTTTCTCTGCTCATAATAAATTATAACCTAAATAAAACTGTAACTAGACTGTAACCTACTCTTGTGCCAGTCACCAAGTTTTGGCCAAAGGGGTCCAACTGTCCAAACCATGTTCAAATAAGATAAACACTGAGCTATAACCAATCCAATTGTTTCTGTACCTCACTTCTGTTTTCTGTATGTCACTTTCCTCTTTTTTTTTTTTTTTTTTTTTTTTTTTGAGACAGAGTCTCGCCCTGTCACCAGGCTGGAAGGCTGGAGTGCAGTGGCACGATCTCGGCTCCCTGCAACCTCTGCTTCCTGGGTTCAAGCGATTCTCCTGCCTCAGCCTCCCGAGTAGCTGGGACTGACTACAGGCACATGCCACCATGCCCAGCTAATTTTTTTTATTTTTACTAGAGACGAGGTTTCACCATGTTGGCCAGGATGGTCTCGATCTCTTGACCTCGTGATCCCCCCACCTCAGCCTCCCAAAGTGCTGGGATTACGGGCATGAGCCACCGTGCCCAGCCACTTTCCTCTTTCTATCTGTAAATCTTCTTCCACCACATAGCTGCACTGGAGTGTCTCTGAGCCTTCTCTAGCTCAGGAAGCTGCCCAATTTATGAATGGTTCTTTGCTCAATTAAACTCTGTTAATTTTTATTTGTTTATTTTGAGACAGGGTCTTGCTCTGTTACCCAGGCTAGAGTGTAGTGGCATGATCACAACTCACTGCAGCCTCAAATTCCCAGGCTGAAGAGATCCTCCCACTTCAGCCTCCTGAGTGGCTGGGACTACAAGTGCATGCCGCCACACCTGGCTCATTTTTAAATTATTTATGTATTTATGTATTTATTTATTTTTATTTTTATTTATTTATTTATTTATTGAGACAGAGTTTTGCCCTTGTTGCCCAGGCTGGAGTGCAATGGCAGGGTCTCAGCTTACCACAACCTCCACCTCCCGGGTTCAAGCAATTCTCCTACCTCAGCCTCCTGAGTAGCTGGGATTACAGGCGTCGGCCACCAAGCCCGGCTAATGTTTGTATTTTTTTTTAGTAGAGACCGGGTTTCACTATGTTGGCCAAGCTGGTCTCGAACTCCCGACCTCAGGTGATCCATCAACCTCAGCCTCCCAAAGTGCTGGGATTACAGGTGTGAGCCACTGCACCCGGCCTACACCTGGCTCATTTTTTTGTATTTTTTGTAGAGACAGGGTTTTGCCAAGTTGCCTAGGCTGGTCTCAAACTCCTGGACTCAAGCCATCCCCCTGCTTCAGCCTCTCAAAGTGCTGGGATTGCAGGCGTGAGCCACCATGCCCAGCCTAACTCTGTTAAATTTAATTTAGCTAAGGTTTTTTGTTTGTTTGTTTGTTTTTTGAGATAGAGTCTTGCTCTGTCGCCCAGGCTGGAGTGCAGTAGCACAATCTCGGCTCACTGCAGCCTCTGCCTCCTGGGTTCCAGTGATTCTCCTGCCTCAGACTCCTGGGTAGCTGGGATTACAGGCGCACACCACCACGCCCGGCTGATTTTTGTATTTTTAGTAGAGACGGGGGTTTCGCCATGTTGGCCGGGCTGGTGTCGAACTCCTGACCTCAGGCGATCCGCCCACCTCTGCCTCCCAAAGTGCTGGGATTACAGGCGTGAGCCACCGTGCCCAGCCTTTTTTTTTTTTTTTTTTTTTTTTTTTTAATAGTAAGAGTTATTTATTTAGTTTAGTTTTATTTAGGACCATTCATGTGATCAATCACTTAGCAAGTGTTTATTTTCTTTTATTCTTTTTAACACTGGTAAATCAAATAACTTTAAAATTGCTAAGTTTCTCAAAATAAAATTGTTTTTATGTGAAACGAGCTGTGTATATGAAATCTATGAAGCTCTTATAATAGCCAAACAGTAATGGTTTAGAAAATATAAAACGAGATTTCATTCACAATAGCATCAATATGTAAAAACACCTAGGAAATATTTTAATGAGAAAATTATGTGATCTACATAAAAATAATAAGAGAGGTACATATTGTAACACAGTATAAGACACTAAAATATTGTAACACTGGCAAACGTTCCAAAATGTATAAGGTTACTAGAAATGACAATAAAAATCCCACAAGACTTTTGGAACTCAACAAAATGATTCCATATTTCATCAGCAATAATAAACAGATTTAATTTTTAAAAATTTTCTAAATAAATTTAATTTTCTGGATTTTTTATTTGCAAACAAACTAGTTAAAAGAGTATGAATTTAGAAACAGACCTGGCAAACAACTACATGATAGATTGACTCAAAAGTAAATCTAATATAATAAAAATAATTTAGGCCAGGTGTGGTGGCTTATGCCTGTATTCACAGCACTTTGAGAGGCCGAGGCAGAAGGATCGCTTGAGTCCAGGAGTTTGAGACCAGCCTGAGCAACTTGGCGAAACATCTTCTCTACAAAAATACAGAAGTTAACCAGGCATATTGGGGCACACTGTAGACCCAGCTACTTGGGAGGCTGAGGTGGGAGTATCACTTTAGCACTGGAGTTCAAGGCTGCAGTGAGCCACGATCGCACCAAGGCAATGGTGTCACAGAGCGAGACCCTGTCTTGAAAAAAAAAAAGGATAAAAAATTAGTTTAATAGTAGAGGATGGAGGCCAGGCGCAGTGGCTCACACCTGTAATCCTAGCACTTTGGGAGGCTGAGGCGGGCCGATCACCTGAGGTCAGGAGTTCAAGACCACCTTGGCCAACATGGTGAAACCCTGACTCTACTAACAATATAAAAATTAGCCGGGCGTGGTGGTGTGTGCCTGTAATCCCAGCTACTCAGGAGGCTGAGGCAGGAGAATCCCTTGAACCTGGGAGGCGGAGGTTGCAGTGAGCCAGGATCACAACACTGTACTCCAACCTAGGAGACAGAGCGAGACTCTGTCTAAAAGAAAAAAAAAAAAATAGCGGACAGAGAGGAAGGGGAAATTTGTCTTTCTTTTTTTCCTTTCTCTCTCTCTCTCTCTCTCTCTCTGTTTCTTTCTTTCTTTCTTGACAGAGTGTCTCGTTTTGTCGCCCAGGCTAGAGTCCAATGGACCCATCTCAGCTCACTGCAGCCTTGACCTCCCCAACTCAAGCGATCTGTCCACCTGCGTCTCCCAAAGTGTTGGGATTACAGGAGTGAGCCACTGCACCTCGCCACGGAAAATTTCAATAAACAGCATTGGAATAACTGATCAACAATCTGATGCCCTCAAAATTAATTACAGGTATCTTTAAAAAATCTCTTTTATTTCAATAGCTTTAGGGATACAAGGGGTTTTTGGTTGCATGGATGAATTGTATAGTGGTCAAGTCTAGGATTTTAGTGCACCTGTCACCCGAATAGTGTACATTGTACCCAATAGGTAGTTTTTCTTTTTCTTTTTCTTTTTTTTTTTTTTGAGCGGAGTCTCGCTGTCACCCAGGCTGGAGTGCAGTGGCGCGATCTTGGCTCACTGCAAGCTCTGCCTCCCGGGTTCACGTTCACACCATTCTCCTGCCTCAGCCTCCCGAGTAGCTCGGACTACAGGCGCCTGCCACCTCGCCCGGCTAATTTCTTGTATTTTTAGTAGAGACGCGGTTTCACTATGTTAGCCAGGATGGTGGTCTCGATCTCCTGACCTCGTGATCCGCCCGCCTCGGCCTCCGAAAGTGCTGGGATTACAGGCGTGAGCCACCGCGCCCTGCCCCCAATAGGTAGTTTTTCATCCCTCAACCTCCTCCAACCCTACCCTCTTCTGCATCTCCAATATCCATTATACCACTCCGTATGCCTTTCTATCAGGTGTTTATTGAATATGTAAAATATGCTGGCCTGCAATGTGGTGGGTGGGGAGACTCAAAGGACAAGGGGTGACCATTTACTGAGTGCCTGTTATTTACCAGGTATATTTTGGATGTTGACTCATTTCATTATCCAACCATCCTGAGAGGTAGGTTATCACTGTAGTAGTAGCACAGATGAGGAAACTGAGGCTCAGAGAGACCAGTAGCATCATTAAGCCTACACATTAAGTCAGTGGAAATGCTGGGTTCAGGAGGCAGGTCTGCCTACATCAGAGCCTGTGCTCATTAATTATATTCCATTTTTCTTCCATTATACATACAGTCATACACATGCAATATGATTCCTGGCTTTTCAGCCTTACGGTCTAGTTGAGAAGGTGAGATAAATAAAAATACAAATACAGGCAGTTGTTGGTTTATGGATACACATTACAGATGGAAGTATTTCGCGTATCCCAGCTGGAAACTCCATCTCTTGGGATTTCTAGGAGGCCGGGCTGGGCTGCAGGAAACTTGGCTTTTATTCACACCAGCTTTGCTTCTGGGTTTTTTTAATGCTTGGACCAAGGCTGGAATCCACTGTTGTTGTCCCGAGTCTTTGGATTGCAAATCTAGGCTTCATTCCACCCTGCTTTCAGCAACTAAGACATTGCTTCTCAAACTTTAATGCACATACGAATCACCTGGGGATCTTATTAAAATGCAGATTCTGAATGAGTAGGTGTAAAGGTGGGAGCTGAGATTCTGCTTTTCTACAAAACTCCCAGGTGATGCTCATGTGACTAGTTTGAGGATTGGGTAGCAGGCACTAAGTAGTTAAATGGGTTAGCCCAGACTAAAACCTCAGTCTATCTGGCTCCAGGCAAAGTGCTGGGCTGCTCCTTATTTCCTGTGGGCTAGAGGAAGAGCATAGAACCCTGAACTGTACCAGGAAGGATCGCCAGTCACTAAGCCTCATCCAATTGAAAGGGCAGTGATTGCCCACTCATGTCAGCAGCGAAATGGCAGCTCTGTCCAGGGAAGACACCCGGGCTCACTTTGGCCTAATGTGAGTGAGTCCCTCTGCAGTCTGCCCCAAGACCTCCAGGCCACACAAGGGTGAGGAGGCCCAACGCTTCCCTTGGGAGCTGGGGGAGCCCTTCCTGTCTGTCAGGCTGGGTCAATCCTGGGCCAGTATCCTAGCAGAGCTGGTGGCCTCCCTTTCTCTAGACACCTTTAGCCACCCATCTGGGGCGTCTTGTCCTGGACCTGCCTGGCAGCAGAAGACAGAGGCAGCTATGCCAGATGGTGCAGCCAGGACAGTGGGCCACCGTCTCCGTCTCTATTGCTTCTCTTTATGCATAATGGATCATGATTAGAATACTTGGAATGTCTGTGGGGCCTGTTTTCCAGAAGCTCAAAGCCCAATAGATTATCGAGCATGCTTTTTGCTAGCCTGACCACTATCGATAACATTGTTTCTGTGGGAAATGGTTTCCAATTCCCAAACAGTGCCTAATTGCATGCTGGGAACTGGCTGCACAGAGAGGAAGAGAAGCCACGTAAGGTAGTACTCACTGAGAGTCAAAGGAATTGTTCAGAAAATGTGTACTTTTGGAGTTTAGAGCAAGGAGGGAGAACTATGGGCTGAGTGTCAACCGAAAACTTTGGAGAGCAGGGAGACATGAGCTGGGCCCTTAAGGAGAATGAGGATTTGGGTAGGTGGGATAAAAGCTTGCAAAATGCAGAGGCAGGAATGAGGTGCTCACTACACATGCTAGGAACCATGGATTAAGGCATTCTGGTTGGAGTCAAGGGACATCAGGCTGGATGGGGTTGGAAGAAGCACTGTCTACAGAGCTTTCATATGAGAGAAGAAGGGGAGGAGGAAGAGGAGGGGGAAAAAGAAGAGAAAGGGGCATCATTTATCATCACTTCTATGAGCCAGGCACTTTATCTACATTCTCTCTATTTCTCTCTCTCTCTTTCTTTTTTCCTTGAGATGGAGTCTGGCTCTGTGGCCCAGGCTGGAGTGCAGTGGCACATCTCCGCTCACTGCAACCCCTGCCTCCTGGGTTCAAGCCATTTGCTTGCCTCAGCCACCACGCCCAGCTCATTTTGTATTTTTAGTAGAGACAGGGTTTTCACCATGTTGGCCAGGCTGGTCTAGAACTCCTGACCTCAGGTGATCTGCCCACCTTGGCCTCCCAAAGTGCTGGGATTACAGGCTTGAGCCATTGTGCCGGGCTCATTCTATTTCTTATAAGACCCCCCAAATTAGGAGTATCCTTGTTGCTTAGATGAGGAAGTTGTTTCAAAAAAGTTAAGTAACATCCTTTATTTTTATTTTTATTTTTTTAAGTTCCGGGATACATGCGCAGAACGTGCAGGTTTGTTACATAGGTATACATGTGCCATGGTGGTTTGCTACACCTATCAACCCATCATCTGGGTTTTAAGCCCCACATGAATTAGGTATTTGTCCTAATGCTCTCCCTCCCCTTGCCCCCCACCTCCCGACAGGCCCCAGTGTTTGATGTTTCCCTCCCTGTGTCCATGTGTTCTCATTGTTAAATTCCCACTTATGAGTGAGAACATGCAGTGTTTGGTTTTCTGTTCCTGTGTTAGTTTGCTGAGAATGATAGTTGCCAGCTTCATCCATGTCCCTGCAAAGGACATGAACTCATTCTTTCTTATGGCTGCATAGTATTCCATGGTGTATATGTGCCACATTTTCTTTATCCAGTCTATCATTGATGGGCATTTGGGTTGGTTCCAAATCTTTGCTATTGTGAATAGTGCTGCAATAAACATACGTGTGCATGTGTCTTTATAGTAGAATGATTTAAATCCTTTGGGCATATACCCAGAAATGGGATTGCTGGGTCAAATGGTATTTCTGGTTCCTGATCCTTGAGGAGTCGCCACACTGTTCTTCCACAATGGTTGAAGTAATTTACACCCTCACCAACAGTGTAAAAGCATTCCTATTTCTCCACATCCTCTGCAGCATCTGTTGTTTCTTAACTTTTTAATAATTGCCTTTCTTACTGGCATGAGATGGTATCTCATTGTGGTTTTGATTTGCATTTCTCTAATGACCAGTAATGATGAGCTTTTTTTCATATGTTTATTGGACGCATAAATGTCTTCTGTCTTCTTTTGAGAAGTGTCTGTTCATGTCCTTCACCTACTTTTTGATGGGGTTATTTTTTTCAAGTAACATTCTTAAGCCCACCCAACTGGGGAGTGCTGGCACCAGAATTTGAGCCTAGGTCTATGCGGGTATTTGCATGACATCATGCTGTCTCACTCCTAAACGTGTCCCTGACTGATATGTTGGGTTTAAAAATACCCAGGGAAGTCCATGTTTCTAAACAGGTTCCAAAAGTCATCTGGTCTGGATCCTTGAAAAGTCAGAGGCCGTGATAGCTATACTAGTTTGCTAGGGCTGTCATGACAAATTCTCACAAACTGGATGGCTTAAAACAATGCAAATGTATTTTCTCACAGTTCTAGAAGCCAGGAATCTGAAATTCAGGTGTGGGTAGGGATGTGGTTCCCTCAGATGTCTCTAGGGGAAGAATTCTTCTGTATAGTCAGGGTTCTCCAGAGAAACAGAACCAATAGGAGTCATGCATGTTTTTGTTTTGTTTTGTTTTTTTGAGACAGGGTCTCACTCTGTAGCCTGGGCTGGAGTGCAGTGGTGCCATCATGGCTCACTGCAGCCTTGACCTACTGGGCTCAAGTGATCCTCCCATCTCAGTCTCCTGAGTAGCTGGGATCACAGGTGTGCACGACCACACTCGACTAATTTTTTTTTAATTTTATTTTTAGTAAAGAGAAAGTCTCACTATGGTTCCCAGGCTGGTCTTTAACTCCTGGGCTCAAGCAATCCCTCGCCCTGGCCTCCCAAAATGTTGACATTATAGACGTTAGCCACCGTGCCCAGCCCCGGTGATGTTTTAGTTTGAGTCTGAAGGCAGTCTTCTGTAAAACCAGGAATAGCTGATGATGCAGACAAAGTCAGAAGTCAGCCTTCTGGAGAGTTTCCTCTTGTTCAGGGAGGCCATTTTTTGTTGTTCTACTGACGCCTTCAATTGACTGGCTGAGCCCACCCACATTATAGAGGGTAATCTGCCTTACTCAAAGTTCACCAATGTAAACATTAGCCTCATCCAAAATACCCCAAAGAAACACCCAGAATAATGTTTAAACAAATATCTGGGCACCCTCTGCCTTAGCCAAGTTGACATATAAAATTAACTATCACACCTTTCTTGATTTTTTTCAGCTTCTGGTGGCTTCAGTCATTCTTTGCTTTGGAGCTGCATGATTCCAATGTCTGCCTCCATCTTCGCATGGCCTTTCCCCCTGTGTGTCTGTGTCCCAAATATCCCTCCGCCTTTCTCTTATAAGGCCACTTGTCATTGGATTTAGGGCCTACCCTAAATCTAAGATGATCTCAACTCAAGATCCTTAGCTTAAGTACATGTGCAAAGACCCATTTTTGAAATAAGATCACATTCACAGGTTCTAGGAGTTGGGACATAGAGATGTTTTTTTTGGGGGGGAAACACCATTTAATCCACTAAACTGGTATTCTCCCATGGGAATCTGAAGAGTTCTGCTGGCATAGCTACTTCCTAGCTTCAGGTAAAAAACAAAAGCACAAGGACTCCATAATATCAGTAGTAACCCCAGTGCAAGGAGTTAAATCTGCTGCCATCTAGGGTGTTTATTTTATTTTCTTTTTGAGACAGGGTATTACTCTGTGGCCCAGGCTAGAGTATAGTGGTACAATCTTAGCTCACTGCAGCCTTGGCTTCCTGGGCTCAAGTGATCCTCCCACTTCAGCCTCCTGAGTAGGTGGGACTACAGGTGCACACCACCACTCTTGGCTAATTAAATGATTTTTGAAAAATTTTTGTCAAGACAAGGGTCTCGCTATGTTGCCTAGGTTGGTCTCAAATGCCTGAGCTCAAGCGATCCTCCTGCCTTGGCCCCCCAAGCGATCCTCCTGCCTTGGCCCCCCCAAAGTGCTGTGATTGCAGGCGTGAGCCACTGCATCCAGCCTAGGGTGTTTCTTTTAGGTGTGGTGTCATGCTGGGGAGCTGGCGATACTGCTGCCCACTAAGGGGGGCAGGGAGGATGTCTAGAGAACATTTCTTTCTTTCTTTCTTTTTCTTTTCTTTCTCTCTTTTTTTTTTTTTTTTGAGATGGAATCTCGCTCTGTCACCAGGCTGGAGTGCAGTGGGTGTGATCTCGGCTGACTACAACCTCCGCCTCCTGGGTTCGAGCAATTCTCCTGCCTCAGCCTCCCAAGTAGCTGGGATTACAGGTGTGCGCCACCACACCCAGCTAATTTTTGTATTTTTAATAGAGACAGGGTTTCACCATGTTGGCCAGTAGGGTCTCAATCTCTTGACCTCATGATCCACCCGCCTCAGCCTCTCAAAGTGCTGGGATTACAGTCATGAGCCACTGCGCCCAGCCCCTCTAGAGAACATTTCTAAATTTTCTTTTAAAGTCTATTTTCTGCCTGGGCATGATGGCTCACGCCTGTAATCCCAGCACTTTGGGAGGCCAAGGCAGGCAGATCACTTGAGATCAGGAGTTAGAAACCAACCTGGCCGACATGGTGAAACCCCATCTATACTAAAAATACAAAAAATTAGCCGGGTGTGGTGGCACATGCCTGTAATCCCAGCTATTTGGGAGATTGAGGCAGGAGAATCACTTGAACCCAGGAAGTGGAAGTCAGTGAGTCGAGATCGTGCCACTGCACTACAGCCTAGGCGACAGAGCAAGACTCTGTCTCAAAAACAAAAACAAAAACAAAACAAAAACAAACAAAAAAACTATTTTCTTTTACAATATAATTGAGGTTTATTTAAACATAAAGCTTTTCCATGGTGGCCAGATATATTATAGAATGTTTCATTTAAAAATATTTTAAAATTATAAAAACATTTAACATTATAAAGAATTTGAAAAATAAATGACACATCACCTTACCACCCTAATACAACTGATTTCTTTTCTTCATATTCCTTGTCATTCTTGTCCGCAGATGTCGTACCAACTTTGTGAAGTTTTCACTTACTTCTTCAGCAGAATTTAATGTTCCTTCCACCCTCCAAAAGCATTTTGTGAATGAGAACACCTTTCAGTTTGTTTCCATGACTGTCTTCCACTTAGACTGAACCTCCTTGAGGAAGGGGACCATGTCTTCTCAGCTTTATATCTCCTACACATAGCACAACACCTGGTACACATTAAATGTTCAGTAAGATTTCTCAAATGAATGAATGCTTGTATGTGCATAGTCATGATCATGATAGACATGTAATTTTGTAATTTGCTTCTGTTAATGAACATCAGAGTACACACGTTTTTGGCCTGGTGCGGTTGCTCGCGCCTGTATTCCCAGCACTTTGGGAGGCCGAGGCGGGTGGATCACAAGGTCAGGAGTTCAAAAACAGCCTGGCCAAGATGGGGAAACCCTGTCTCTACTAAAAATACAAAAAATTAGCCAGGCATGGTGGCAGGCGCCTGTAATCCCAGCTACTTGGGAGGCTGAGGCAGAGAATTGCTTGAACCCGGGAGGCAGAGGTTGCAGTAAGCCAAGATCATGCGATTGCACTCCAGCCTGGGCAACAGAGTGAGACTCCGTCTAAAAAAAAAAAAAAAAAAAAGATTATGCACGTTTTTATACATTGTTACTAATTTTTCACATATATTTGATAGTGTCCTAATCTTCTATTCCATTAATGGACAGTCGTTTGCTTAATCATTCTCTTCTTATTGGGAATGCTTGTTTTCAGCTTCACACTACTCAGAATAATACCAAACTGAATACCCTCATACACAGGGCTTCTTGTTAGTTTTTTTCAATGAATGAAATTTCCAAGAGTGAGACAAACACTTTACTTATTTATTTAGAGACAGGATCTTGCTATGTTGCTCAGGCTCAAGTGCGGCGGCTATTCACAGGCATGATCATTGCTTACCAGAGCCTTGAATTTCTGGCATCAAACTTTCCTTCTGCCTCAGCCTCCTGAGTAGCTGTGATTATAGGCATGCACCACTGCACCCAGCTAATGACTATATTTATTAATAATTTGAGTTCTATATGTAATTTACACTTTAAAACCTAGATATATCCAGAGGTTTATGGGTGTTAGTAGGGGTGCATGTATATCCCATGAAGACAAGTGCAAGAGCAAAATTTAATGTTTAGGAAACAAATGACCCTGAAGAGAGAAGTAGCTATCCCAGTACAGACCACATATCATGAGGCAAGGCCTCCCTGAGGCATGTATGAAAGAATCCCTTCTGGACGAGCTTTAAGAAGTCTCCTTCAGCCACACTGGTTTAAGCCTCCACATATTAACAGTGAAGACAGAGATATTCTGTCTTCTATATCAGGAAACTGCTTGTGGTTTTACTGATATCGTGTGAGCCCTGTCTTTTTGATAAATTCTTTTGATTCCTTCTTTAAGTCCTTTAAACCCCTTCCAGCATTTTATATCTAGACACTTGACTAAATAAATACTTTCTGACTACAGAGTTTATATTTGGATGCTGTTGATGTTCTTTATTCCTTCCTGAATGTGTGAGTTTCCCTCTGATATTTCCTTCATCTAAAAAACTAGGAAGTTCTTTTTTTTTTTTTTTTTTTTTTTTTTTTTTTTTTTTTGATGGAGTCTCGCTCTATCGCCCAGACTGGAGTACAGTGGCGTGATCTTGGTTCACTGCAACCTCTATGCCTCCCGGGTTCAAGTGATTCTCCTGCCTCAGCCCCCCGAATAGCTGGGACTACAGGCATGCGCCACCATGCCTGGCTAATTTTTGTATTTTTAGCAGAGACGGGGTTTCACCATGTTGGCCAGGATGGTCTCCATCTCCTGACCTCATGATCCACCCACCTCGGACCTCCCAAAGTGCTGGGATTACAGGCGTGAGCCACTGCGCCCGGTAAAACTAGGAAGTTCTTTAGATAATTCCCAGTTCTCCCTTTTCTCTTGCTTCTAGTTCTCAAGAATAACTGTAAAATGTGCTAGGAATGCAGTGTCCTGCCATAAAGGGGGCTGGCCAGAACAGCCAGGGCTCTGTTCCAGTCCCCTTTATAAACAAGATGGCCTTCAACACTTTAGTGTGTCACGATACCCCGGGTTATAAAACCCAGGGTGGGATGCTTTCTGGGGTCCCTCAGCTGCAGTGTTAGTGGGGCACATGCAGTTGAGACTCCATCTACCTTGAGTGGCCTTCCTGAGCCTTGGGGAGCCAGATCTCAATGAAACTTAGGTTTCTGTTGTCACTTGCTGCTCATCTGTAAGTAATAAATACTCTTCCTGTAACTTGCTGCACGTGTGGATGTTCTGTCTCACCAGACTCAGACAAGTGGTAATCAGGGCACAGTGAACCTGCTTCACATCTTTGAAGGACTCACTCTTGAATTTCACTGGTTATAGAATTTCACTGGTTATAGAATTCTGGGTTGATAATTTTTCTTTCAGCACTTTAAAGGTGTTGTTCCACTGTCTTCCAGTCTTCATGGTTTCTGATAAGGAGACCATTGTCATTTGAATCATTATTTCCTGGCATATATTTTGTTTCTCTGCTACTTGCAAGATTAATTTTTGTTTTTTGAGACAGGGTCTCTCAGTGTCACCCAAGGCTGGAGTGCAGTGGCATGATCATGTCTCACTGCAGCCTTGAACTCCCAGTCTCAAGTGATCCTCCCATCTCAGCTTCCCATTTAGCTGGGACTACAGGAGCACACCACCATGCCAGGCTAATTTTTTTTTTTTTTTTGTAAAGACTGGGTCTCTCACTATGTTTCCCAGGCTGGTCTTGAACTCCTGGGCTCAAGCCATCCTCCTGCTTTGGCCTCCCAAAGTGCTGGTATTAAAGGCGGGAGCCACCCTGCCCAGCCATATGTAAGATCTGAGCACTGCTCATTTTATTTTTCTAATCTTTATTCCCCCTTTTCAGATTCAGATGAGAGAATTTCTATTAATCTATCTTCATGTTCACTGACCCTTTATCTTTTCCATTCTGCCATTAAGTCAATTTAGTGTCTCCCCCACCCCCACCTAAACACTGTATTTTTCAGTTCTAGAATTTGGTTAATTTTTTATTCCTATTTTCTGTCTTGAGATTTACTTCTTTTTCCAATTAATTACAAGCCTCTTATTCTTTTTTCTCTCTAGTTTAATTAGGTATTTTATTTATTTATTTATTTATATTTTTGAGACAGAGTCTCACTCTGTCACCAAGGCTGGAGTGCACTGGCGTGATCTCAGCTCACTGCAACTTCTGCCTCCCAGGTTCAAGTGATTCTCGTGCCTCAGCCTCCCAAGTAGCTGATATTATAGGCACATGCCACCATGCCCAGCTAATTTTTGTATTTTTAATAGAGACAGGGTTTCACCATGTTGGCCAGGCTGGTCTTGAACTCCTGACTTCACGTGATCCATCCACCTCGGCCTCCCAAAGTGCTGGGCTTACAAGCATGAGCCATGACTCCTGGCCAAGTATTTTATTTTAATCAAAATACCAATACACTATTATGAATTAGTGCATTATGAATCATCAGCTCCATGCCTTTAATCTTAAAAAAAAAAAACACTTTTAGTTTTGGGGGTACATGTGCAGGTTTTATGTATAGGTAAATTACGTGTCACAGGAGTTTGGTGCACAGATTATTTTGTCACCCAGGTAATAAGCATGGTCCCTGATAGGAAGGTCCAAGTGTGTTATTATTTTTTGAGACAGAGTCTTGCTCTGTTACCTATGCTGGAGTGCAGTGGCACAATCAGGCATGTTATTCTTTATCTCATTGATCATAGTTACAATAACTTTTTTTTTTTTTTTTGAGACAGTGTCTCACTCCATTACCCAGGCTGGAGTGCAGTGACGCAATCTTGGCTCACTATTACCTTCGCCTCTCAGGTTCAAGTGATTCCCATGCCTCCCGAGTAGCTGGGATTACAGGTATGTGCCACCATGACTGGCTAATGTTTTTGTATTTTTTGTAGAGACAGGGTTTTGCCATGTTGGCCAGGCTGTCTCAAACTGCTGACCTCAAGTGATCTACCTGCCTCGGCCTCCCAAAGTGCTGGGATTATAGGCGTGAGCCAATGCGTCTGGCCTACAATAATTTCTTTAAAGACCCTGACTGATAATTCCAATATCTGGGTCATCTCAGAGTTGATCTTAACTGATTGTTTTTTCTCTTGAGAACGGTGAGTCACATTTTCCTTTTTTTTAATGTCAATTTCTTTTTGCATGTTGGACATAGTAATTGCTAGCTTGAGACTCTGGATTCTAGTCATATTCCTCCAAAAATGTTGATTTTTTTTGTTTGTTTTTAAAAGCAACGAACTTTTTTACTCTGAGACTGCAAACTGTCTCACCTGTGGTGGACATCAGCTCAATTATTAAATCTTTTAGCCTTAGCTGTGTGATGATCTGAGTCTGCTCCAGGCGTGTATAGCTCAAAAAAGAAGGGGTCAGCCAAACACCTTGGCAGAGTTTATGCACAGGATATGGGCCTTTCTTGTTCTGTCTCTTTCCTTTCTAGGATTCCCCCAGCATAGTTCAAGTGGCTATAGTTACCTTAGATTCTGTTATCTGGTTCTTTAGGCTAGAAAGATGGTAGATTTTCTGTTAGAATTTTAGCTGTGTTGTGCCATGTAGTCTGCACTTAAGCTAAAGGCCATACAAAGGGAAACCCACCCCATGCCAGTCCTTTCTTGTCAGTTTCAGCTCCCATCGAAAGGCTGTTTTTTTCTCTCATTCTTCAGAATCTCTAGGTTTCTTTCTTTGTTTTCTTTTTATATTTTCTTCAAAGTTTGAGTTGTTATCGATCTGCAGAAGGCTTGCTCTGTTACCAGCATATTCCTCCATACTGAAGGTGAAAATTCTTCAATTTTTGAATGAAAATGACCTTGGGGGATTTACTCCTGGTCATAAAATTAATATATACCCATTTAAAAATCATACAACATAGAAATATGCAGAGAAGAACATAAAACTATCCATAATCTCATTTTTCTTCTCTTTTTACATTAAAAAAATTTTTTGCAGTATTATTTTATTATTTATTTCTAAAATGATTTCCACTTTTAATTTAGATTCAGGGGGTACATGTGCAGGCTTGTTACCTGGGTATATTGCGTGATGCTAAGGTTTGGGGTATGATTGATCCTGCCACCCAGATATTGAGCATAGTACCCAATAGTTAGTTGAAAAACTTGCCCCTCCCTCCAACCTCTCTCTAGCAGTCCCCAGTGTCTATTGTTGCTACCTTTATGCCCATGAGTACCCATTGTTTAACTCCCACTTATACATGAGAACATGCAGTATTTGGTTTTCTGTTCTGGCATGAGCTTGCTTAGGATAATGGCCTCCAGCTGCATACATGTTGGTGTAAAGGACCTGATTCTCTTCCTTTTTATGGCTGTATAGTATTCCATGGTGTATGTGTCTCACATTTTTTATCCAATCCGCCACTGATGGGCACCTAGGTTGATTCCATGTCATTGCTATTGTGAATAGTGCTGTGATGAACATATGAGTGCATGTGTCTTTTTGGTAGAGTGATTTATTTTCTTTTCAATATATAGCCAGTAATGAGATTGCTGGGTCAAATGGTAGTTCTAAGTTCTCTGAGAAATTTCCAAACTGCTTTCCACGAGGGCTGCACTAATTTACATTCCCACCAATGGTGTATAAGCATTCCCTTTTCTCGACAGCCTAGCCACCATCTGTTTGTTTGTTTGTTTGTTTTTACATTTTATTAATAGCCATTCTGACTGGTGTGAGTTGGTATCTCATTGTGGTTTTAATTTGCATCCCTCTGATGATTAGTGATATGGAGGATTTTTTCAAATGTTTGTTGGCTGGTTGTATGTCTTCTTTTGAGAAGTGTCTGCTCATGTCTTTGCCTATTTTTAAAATAAGGTTGTTTGCTTATTGTTTGTTTAATTGTTTAAGTTCCTTATAGATTCTGGATATTAGAGCTTTGTCGGATGCATAGTTTGTGAATATTTTCTCCCATTCTGTAGGTTGTCTGTTTACCCTGTTGATAGTTTCTCTTGCTGTGCAGAAGCTCCTTAGTTTAATTTAGGTCCCACTTGGCAGTTTTTGTTTTTGTTACAATTGCTTTTGAGGACTTATAAATTCTTTCCCAAGGCCAATGTCCAGAATGGTGTTTCCTAGGTTTGCTTCTAGGATTCTTATACTTTGAGGTATTATATTTAAGTCTTTAAACATTCTTGAGTTAGTTTTTTTTTTATATGGTGATAGGTAGGGGTCCTGTTTTATTCTTCTGCATATAGCTAGCTAGCTATCCCAGTACCATTTATTGAATAAGGAGTCCTTTCCCCCATTGCTTTTTATTGACTTTGTCAAAGATCAGATAACTGTAGGTGCATGGCTTTATTTCTGGGGACTCCAATCTGTTCCATTGGTCTATGTATCTGTTTTGCTGCCAGTACCATGCTGCTTTGGTTACTGTAGCCATATAGTGTAGTTTGAAGTTGGGTAATGTAACACCTTTGGCTTTGTTCTTTTTGCTTAGGATTGCTTTGTCTATTCGAGCTCTTTTTTGGTTCCACATGAATTTTAGAATACTTTTTTTCTAATTTTGTGGAAAACAATGTTGGTAGTTTGATAGGACTAGCATTGAATCTGTAGATTGCTTTGGGAGGTATGGCCATTACATCAATACTAATTCTTCCAATCCATGAGCATGGAATGTTTTCTGGTTTTGTTTGTTTGTTTGTTTGTTTGTTTTTTGTTTTTGTTGTTGTTTGTTTGTTTGTTTGTGACAAAATCTCACTCTGTCACCCAGGCTGGAGTGCAGTGGCGCGATCTTGGCTCACTGCAACCTCCGCCTCCCTAGTTCAGGCAATTCTTGTGCCTCAGCCTCCCGAGTAGCTGGGATTACAGGCGCATGCAACCATGTCCAGCTAATTTTGCTATTTTTAGTAGAGATGGGATTTTGCCATGTTGTCCAGGCTGGTCTCAAACTCCTGACCTCAAGTGATCTGCCTGCATTGGCCTCCCAAAGTGCTGGGATTACAGAAGTGAGCCACCACACCCAGCCAGCATGGAATGTTTTGTCATTTCTTTGCATCATCTATGATTTCTTTCTGCAGTGTTTTGTAGTTCTTCTTGTAGAGATCTTTCACCTCCTTGGTTAGATGTATTCCTAGGTATATTACTTTTTTTGCAACTATTGTGAACGGGATTGTGTTCTTCATGTGGGTCTCAGTTTGAATGTTATTGGTGTGCAGAAATGCTACTGATTTTTATACATTGACTTTGTATCTTGAAACTTTACTCTCTTTTTTTGTTAGGGTCTTGCTATATTGCCCAGGCTGATCTCGAACTTCTGGGCTCAAGTGATCCTCCTGCCTCAGCCTCAAGAGTAGTGCCCAACCATAATCTCATTATTAAAAGATACCTTCTAGTTTTTTGTTTTGTTTTGTTTTGAGACAATCTCTCTCTGTCTCCCAGGCTGAAGGACAGTAGTGTGATCTTGGCTTACTGCAACCTCTGCCTCTTGGGTTCAAGTGATTCTTGTACCTCAGCCTCCTGAGTAGCTGGGACTACAGGTGTGTGCCACCACACCTGGCTAATTTTCTTATTTTTAGTAGAGATGGGGTTTTGCCATGTTGGCCAGGCTGGACTCGAACTCCTGACCTCAAGTTATCTGCTCTCCTCAGCCTCCCAAAGTGCTGGAATTACAGTAAAGACACTGCACCTGGCCACTTTCTAGTTTTTTTTCTTGTGTACATATTCAAATGTACTTATATAAGCATAGAAATAAATATTTCTCATACTATTAATAAAAGAGGAGCACACTATAGATATTATGTTGTAACCTACTTCACTCCCTCCATTTAGCAATATATAATAAACATTGAAAAAGGGCTATTCTGGGTTTAAGAATAAAGGGTTAGAGAGCTTACAGAAGACAAATTGAAAAGTGAGACTTTTGATCTAAAAGGGAATGGTGCTGAGAGGTGCTACTTCTGAGGGCCAGATCCACAGAAGGGCCTCAGTCCCCTGCCCTTGCTGGCATAATAGAATAGAGGGAACAGTATCTTTTTATCAGTCCTAACCACCTGGGGAGGAGCTGAGGGTTTGGCATTGAGCTGTGGTTTCTTTTGCTGACTCCTGGCTATTAGAGACTAATGGGAAGAAGTACCAGCCCTGGAGTCTGCGGTGGACTAGGCAGGCCACACAGGCAGCTCTGCAGGACACTGGGTGTCACTGTGGCTCCTAGGTGGCCCCACCAGCTGTTGGTCCTGAAGAGGTGAAGGGTGGAGCACTGAGTGAGGAGAGCACAGCTAATGTTTGCTACATTGACCTGACTTTTCAGGGTCTATCAATCATCGCCGGGGATAACTTCCTTCAGAGTCACATTACCTGATTAGAATTCCACTTCCTGTTCTTCAGAAGTCTCGCCTTGGATAGATTTGACCTAAGGTATTCACTGTTCTTCCCTACCTATCCATTTGCTTCAAATGGTGACTCTTTGATCAGATATTTAGACCTGGATTCTCCACTCAATTTTGTGAGCCACCAACGTCTAACTTGGTATGTTTGAGCTCATCTTTTTGCCTCATATATATATATGTGTATATATATATATATATATATATATATATATATATATATATATATATTATTAATAGCCATTCTGTCTGGTGTGAGATGGTATCTCATTGTGGTGATGTGAAACATTTTTTCTTTTCTTTTCTTTTCTTTTTCTTTTTTTTTTTTGAGACAGAGTCTCACTCTGTCACTCAGGCTGGAGTGCAGTGGCGCAATCCTGGCTGACTTCAACATCCGCCTCCCTGGTCCAAGCGACTCTTCTGCCTCAGCCTTCCAAGTAGCTGGAATTACAAGTATGCACCACCATGCCTGGCTAATTTTTGTATTTTTAGTAGACACAGGGTTTCCCCATGTTGGCCAGGCTGGTCTCAAACTCCTGACCTCAAGTGATTGGCCCACCTCGGCCTCCCAAAGTACTGGGATTATAGGCATGAGCCACCGTGCCTGGTGTGGAGCATTTTTTCATATGTTTATTGGCCTCTTATGTGTCTTCTTTTGAGAAGTATATGTTCATGTCTTTGCCTATTTAAAATAACAAATATCTCTAAATATATATATATATATCAAATATATATATAAATATCTCTAAATATATATATACACACCATATTTGGAGATGGGGTCTTGCTCTGTTGCCCAGGCTGGAGTTCAGTGGCACAATCATAGCCCACTGCAGCCTGAACATTCAGTGCTCAAGCGACTGTCCTGCCTCAGCCTCCTGAGTAGCTAGGATGCCTTTCATATTTTTGTTCAGAATATCACCATCCCCCAAGGTCATGGAGTTGCAAAGAATTCTCACTGACTCGTCCCTTTCTCAGGCCTCCATCTTCTGATCAGTTGTGACTTGTTCTGTGAAGGGGAGCCACTAAAGGATTTTGAGCAGAGAAGTAGGATGTGATCAGATGTGGGCTTTAGTACAGAGGATAAACTGAGTGTTGAGGGAAAGAAACAAATGTGAGGCAGAGAGAACAGTTTGGAGAACAGCAATATACCATACAAAAGATGAAAGCAGTAGTTGTGAAATGGAAGAGAGGATTTCAAGAGACAACTCATAAAAGGAATACATAAAAGTTTTCAAAACAGAGGGACTTTTGAAGTTCCTCTGTTCCTCCTCTGAAGTTGAAGGCGGCCAGGTACAGTGGCTCATGCCTGTAATCCCAGCAATTTGGGAGGCCAAGGCGGGAGGATTCCTTGAGCCCAGGAGTTTGAGACCAGCCTAGGCAACATAGGGAGACCTGTCGCTACAAAAAAAAAATTTTTTTTGAGACCAAGTTTCACTGTGTTGCCCAGGCTGGAGTGCAGTGGCGCGATCTGGGCTCACTGCAACCTCTGCCTCTCAGGTTTAAGTGATTCTTGTGCCTCAGCCTCCTGAGTAGCTGGGATTACAGGCACACACCACCATGCCCAACTAATTTTTGTGTTTTTAGTAGAAACGGGGTTTCACTGTGTTGGCCAGGCTGGTCTTGAACTCCTAGGCTCAAGTGATACACCCACCTTGGCCTCCCAGAATTCTGGGATTATAGACATGAGCCACCATGCCTGGCCTACACAATTGTTTTTTTTTAAATTAGCCTCACTTGAGCCCAGGAGGTCGAGGGAGCTGTGAGCCATGATGGTGCCACTGCACTCCAGCCTAGGTGACAGAACAAGACACTGTCACAAAAATATATACAAATAAAAAATAAGTTGAAGGATAGGGCTGGTTTAACCTTCTCAAGAAGCAGAATGTTATCAAGAACTTAAAAAAAAAGTAGTTTCTTTGGGTGTAGTGGTGCATGCCTGTAGTCCCAGCTACTTGGGAGGCTGAGGCTGGAGGATCACTAGACCCCAGGAGTTCAAGACCAGCCTGGGCAACATAGTGAGATCACATCTCCATTAAAAAAAAAAAAAAAAAAAAAAAAAGTTGGAGCATGGTTAATGTTGCTCAGGTACACTTTTTTTTTTTTTTTCTTTTTGAGATAGAGTCTCGCTCTGTCGCCCAGGCTGGAGTGCTGTGGCTCAATCTCGGCTCACTGTAAGCTCCGCCTCCCGGGTTCACACCATTCTCCTGCCTCAGCCTCCTGAGTAGAGTAGCTGGGACTACAGGCGCCCGCCACCATGCCCAGCTAATTTTTTTTGTATTTTTAGTAGAGACGGGGTTTCACCGTGTTAGCCAGGATGGACACGATCTCCTGACCTCGTGATCTGCCCGCCTCGGTCTCCCAAAGTGCTGGGATTATAGGTGTGAGCCACCATGGTCGGCTGCTCAGGGTACACTTTTTAAAACTTTTTTTTTTTTTGAGACAGTGTTTTGCTCTTTCGCCCAGGCTGGAGTGCAGTGGCGTGATCTCGGCTCACTGCAATCTCTGCCTTCCGGTTTTAAGCAATTCTCCTGTCTCCCAGTTTCAAGTGCTTCCCCTGCCTCAGCCTCCTGAGTAGCTGGGATTACAGGTGCGTGACACCACACCCGGCTAATTTTTGTATTTTTAGTAGAGATGGGGTTTCACCATGTTGGTCAGGCTGGTCTCGAACTCCTGACCTCATGATCCGCCCGCCTCAGCCTCCAAAAGTGCTGGGATTACAGGCGTGAGCCACTGCACCTGGCTAAAACTTTTTAATGAGCTGTAACATACACACAAAAGTATACTAATCCTCAGTGTCAGCTTGATGAATTTTCACATCCGAACACACCTTTGTAGCTATCACCTAGATAAAGAAACAGAACACTACCCGCATCCCAGCAGTTCCCATAATTTCCCGTCAGTCACTTACTCCCCTCCAAAGGTGGTCACTAACCTGACATCTAACATCATAGAATTTTTTAACCTTTTTTTTTTTTTGCTGAGGTTTGTCTTTTATTTTTAATTTTTTTAACTTTTATTCTAGGTTCTGGGGTACATGTGCAGGTTTGTTATATAGGTAAACTCATGTCACAGGGGTTTGGTGTACAGATTATTTCATCACCCAGGTACTAAGCCTAGTACCCAATAGTTATTTTTTTTCTGCTCTTCTCCCTATTCCCACCCTCCACTCTCAAGTAGACCCCAGTGTCTGTTGTTCCCTTCTTTGCTAACACCATAGATTAATTTTGCCCATCTTTAAGCCATATATGAATGGAATCCTATAGTGTATATTCTTTTGTGTCTGGCTTCTTTCATTTAACATTATATTTGTGAGATTTTTCTATTTTTTGTTTATAGAAATTGTAATTTCCTCCTCAGTGGTATATAGCATTCATCCTGTTGGCAATAGTCATTTGAGTCTTTTCTAGTTGAAAACTGTTATTCATAGTACTATAAGAACGTTTTTTATGTATCTTTTTGGTACAAATGTGTATATATTTATGTTGGCAATATACCTAGGAGTGAACTTTCTTGTCCATGGGATATATACAACTGCTAAGTAGTTTTCCAATGTGTTTGTAACAATTTATCCTCTGCTTAGCAATGGAAGATATTTCATTTATTCCAACAATTGGTATTGTCTGCTTTGAAAATTTTAGCCATTCTGGTAGGTATGGCAACAGTGTCTACGGCTGTCCTTCCACCAGATGTAGCCAAACAGAATTGTACACATTCATTTACTCGAATTAAAGGTGAGTCAAATTAAAGAGCAAGGCTTTCCTCAGGTAGCTCACAACCTGGGGGGGGACTCATTTACATATAAACAACAGATGTTTATAACTTATAATATGTGCTATTATAAGTCATGACTTATAGTACAGGGAAGATAATGTTAGGTTAGTCCAGGGAAAGGAGAAGCTTGCTCTGGCTACAGTATAGAACACAAATTGGAGGGATCTATAGGAAGCAAGGAGGCCACTTAGGTGACTGTTAAAATAGTGCAATTGGGAGGTGAATATAGAACAAAGCTACTGGAGTTGTTAAGCAGGTAGACTTGACATAACCAAATGGCTACTAAAATGTAGAGAGAGAGTGGACTTGGCAGATGGTGATATTGAGGGCATAGAATAGACAAGTCTAGGCATCCAATGAAATGTGGAAAAGCAGAGAGGTATTAAAGATAACGCCCAGGTTTTAGACTCACGTGCCTGGATGGATGCTGGTGTCAGCAGTTGAGAGAGGGAAAACAGATAAAGAAACAGGGTGAGAGTGGAAGGTGGGAAAGATGTCTTCAAGTTGGGCAGCCTGAATTTGAAGGGCCTGTGGGATATCTAGGTGGAGCTATCATCAGTAGACATTTGGCAAGATAGGTCTGGAGCTCATAATACTTGAGGGCTATTTGGTGTGTTGGAGACATTTGAAAAGTGGGAGTGGAGGAAAATCAATAAGGATATTGTGAGCAAGCTTAGGCTAGAACCCTGTGGAACCCCTCATTTAAAGGGCATGTGGAGGCTGGGTGCAGGGGCTCAAATCTGAAATCCCAATACTTTGGGAGGCCGAGGTGGGTGGATCGCTTTGAGCTCAGGGATTCGAGGCCAGCCTGGCCAACATGGCGAAAACCCATCTCTACAAAAATTAGCCAGGCGTTGGTGGTTCACACCTGTAATCCCAGCTACTTGGGAGGCTGAGGTGAGAGGATCGCTTGAACCCAGGAAGTAGAGGTTGCAGCAAGCCGAGATTGCACCACTGCACTCCAGCCTGGGTGACAGAGTGAGACACAGTCTCAAAAAAATAAATAAATAAAAATAAAGGGCATGTGGAAAAAGCTGACCTTTCCCAAATTGAGGCTTCAGCATAATTATAGGCTGAGGGAGAAAGCAAGCAGAGAGGGAAAGCTTGAAGACACAGGAGGTAAACACGATGGGTGATTGTAACAAAGTCCCAGGAAGAGGAAAGGATTGACATCAAGACTCTGGAGCTGAAGAGGGACCCTCCTTGCTGATACTCAGGGGAAAGGAAGGAAAAAGTTCACACTGGATGGCATGTGTTTTCCCTGCAAGGACAAGTCAATCTGCTAAGAGTGAGGAAGACAGAGGTGGGGCTGGGGACTTGAAGAAGAGTAAAGCTTGGATTAGTCACTGTGGTTAATGGGAGGCATAGACTAGGGACAAAAAAAAAAAAATTGCAGAGCAGCATTGAAGGCATTACTGAGGTCAGCTACCAAGTAAGTCAAGATTCCTACTGGGAGAGAAAGCCATGGTAAAAACAAACAAATAAACAAATAAGCAAGCAAATCTAGCAACTCCTGTTGGGCCAGCATTTTAGGAATTCACTTCATGCTGAACTTCCTGAGCCTTACAATTTTGTTAAAGGGGTGACAGGGAAAGCACCTTTAGGTGGAGAGTAAAGTGGACTCAGAGAATTCCCGGTGTATTATTAAATTGAATGATGGGGCTGGGTACGGTGGCTCATGCCTATAATCCCAGCACTTTGGGAGGCTGAGGCAGGCAGATCACTTGAGGTCAGGGGTTCAAGACCAGCCTGGCCAACATGGTAAAACTTCGTCTGTACTAAAAATACAAAAATTAGCAAGGAATGGTGGTGCATGCCTGTAATCCCAGCTACTCAGAAGGCTGGGGCAGGAGAATTGCTTGAACCCAGGAGACAGAGGTTGCAGTGAACTGAGATTGTGCCACTGCACTCCAGTCTGGGCGACAGAGCAAGACTTCGTCTCAAAAATAAAATAAAATAAAATAAAATAAATAAAATAAAATAAAATAAAATAAAATAAATAAAAAAATAAAATGATGGGAAGAGGGAATGAGGCCATGTGAGGTATGGATGTCCTTCAGCCAGGTTTCTCATTTGCCTCTCCTCTGGTCACTTTTATCTTCTTATATTTGTGGCTGGCTTCTGTCAGTTTGCTTAATTAATTAATTAATTTTTGAGATAGGGTCTTGCCCTGTCTCCCAGGCTGGAGTGCAGTGGCATGATCATAGCTCACTGCAGCCTTGATCACCCAGGCTCAAGTGATCCTCCCACCTCAGCCTTCCAAGTAGCTGGGACCACAGGTGCACCACACTGCCAAATTTTTTTTTTTGTAAAGATGGGGGTCTTCCTATGTTTCCCAGGCTGGTCTCGACCTCCTGGGCTCAAGTGATCTTCTTACCTTGGCCTCCCAAAATGCTGGGATTACAGGAGTGAGCTGCCGCACCCAGCCTCTCAGCTTGCTTTAGCTCTTGGGATCCAGCCACTTCCTTTCTGCTGGCAGTATGGTAGAGTAGAACTCCCAGTTCTGTTAGTTAACATCTGGGGAAATTTTAGCAGCTGAGTCAGGATGATTTCCGTCAGCCTTCATTTCTACCTTCTATCTGCTTTTTGTGCTGGCCAATATCCTCACTCAGCCATCAGGTCAGCGTCCTGTTTTGTATGTTAACCCAGCCAGTGAAAAAGTGATGGTACCTTATTGACCATAGATTACACTTGAGACACACAGGCCTAGAAGCATCATCTTTCCAATTAGATGGGGGAAAGGGGGAGGTTGTGATCCAATGGGACCCCCAGTGAAGATCCCATTACAGTGTTAGCAACATTTTGGATGTTAACCAAAAACTGTCCATCAACTTGCAACTCCAGCAATTACAGATTCCACTTGGGAATTTGACTCTACATGGGACTACATTTCATCCAGGGAGAGCTATCTGGATGGCTCTGATTTAGGATGCAGGTGTGTTGGGAGATGTAAGTAGTTAACTTTTGTAAAACATGCCAAGGCCTTTCAATGAAAGGTGTTTTGAGAAAATCTACTATTGTTAACATCATCTTCTTTTTGAGACACTCCAGGAGCCAAAGTGCTTGTTTTCACACTAGTTTCATGAAAAAAAGGTGTCGACTGTACCAAGTTAATCCATTCTTGCAAAATGCCCATGGAGCCAGCGTGAATTGAAAAATGACTTAAAGAAAAGACCTTCCAAAGAGCCAAAGACCTTCTAGCACCAATTATGCCAAGAAATGCTAAGCCAATTAGCAAGTTGGCTAATTTAAAAAGAAATGTTAGAAGTAGTCAGTGAAAATGGACCATCACCTTGATAAATAGTCCATCTGTTTGAGTAGCATTTCCAGTGTTAATTGAGGTCTGGGTGACTCAGTGCCCTGGTGGCCAAAAATCTGTCCTGAGAAAAAGTAAAGAGAAGGTACTCAGAGGCCAAACCATGGAGCCCATGGCTTCTCACATCTGCACACAGCCCCCAGGCCAGTGCTTTAGAACACCAGATGTTTACGCTCCACTTCCTGACCTCCCTTCCAAATGGCAGTTCTTGGAGTCCCACTGAAGGGCTTTGCAGGCTGTTTGTTTTTGTGTGGAGTGCTGTGGATTTGATTTTTGCCTGCAATGACTTCCTGACAGAACTGTTTCTCCAAATGATAGTATTTCACTAGGAAATGGTTGAAAAACAAGGACCAAAATGTGAATGTGGACTTCAATGTTCTCCACAGGCCTGAGACCCCTGCCAGTGCCCTGGGTGGGTGGGCAGGGGTAAGGGTAGAGATTCCTAGGAACCAAAGATCTTAATTTTAAGGCAAAGTATTTTTTAGAGCCCCTAGGGAGATGTGAGCCTGGGAGAGTTCTGCCTTCCCCAGTATGGAAACCATGCCAAGGGTAATGAAAGAAGTAAATGAAAATGTTGAGCCTGGCAGCATGAAAGATTGAGTAAACCCATCATTTGGTCATTTGCAAAGTGGCTGGAGAAATTGCATTCTTGCTGGCAGAGCAGTCCCATGCAGGCGATGACATGCCATTAATAAAGTGCCTGTCTCTCCCACTTGCTCCAGGATTTGGTTCTGGATGCCACAGGGAAGAAGCCACTGCTTGACTTAAGGGACCAAACAGACCAAATCACTTGATTGAAAGGGTTGAGGCCAGGCATGGTGGCTCACGCCTGTAATCCTAGCATTTTGGGAGGTCGAGACAAGTGGATCGCTTCAGGCCAGGAGTTCAAGACCAGCCTGGCCAACATGGTGAAACCCCGTCTCTACTAAAAATACAAAAATGAGCCAGGCATGGTGGCACGTGCCTGTAATCCCAGCTACTCAGGAGGCTGAGTCACGAGAATCGCTTGAACCTGGGAGGTGGAGGTTGCAGTGGGCTGAGATCGCACCACTGCACTCCAGCCTGGGTGACAGAGCGAGACCCTGTCTCAAAAAAAAGAAAAGAAAAGAAAAGAAAAGAAAAGAAAAGAAAAGAAAAGAAAAGAAAAGAAAAGAAAAGAAAAGAAAAGAAAAACAAAGGCCTGATCCAGTGCTTTCAGTTCTCTAATAGCCAACTCTGACTGCAAACAAAGGAGTTGCTTTCATACAGGTCACAACCCTTCCCATAAACCCTCCTCCTTGGAGATACCCTTTTTAACATGGCACTTTATCGAATCAAGCCAAAACAGGCCAGAAAATACTAGGCATCCATTCTGTGCCCAATATGGTGCCAGACATGAGGAAAAGCAGTACACCAGTCTGTTGGGGAAAGAAGAGAGACATACAACACAACTAGAAGGATGTTGTAACACTGCACAGGCCCAAGCAGTGGATTATATGGTGCGAGAGGGCTCTCATCTTTTTGGAGTCATTTGTGAAGGTTTGGGAAGGCGATAAAGAGAGTAAAAGGCATTCCAGGCAGACGATTACAGCACAAAGATGGCAGGGCAGGAATGAGCATGACCAGTGTGGGCCAGACTCTGTGGCCTGGCCAGGTCAAAGAGGGTGAAGTGAGAGGGGAATTGTTGGAGAAAAGTTGGAGATAAGAGTGGGTCAGGGAGGGTTTTATATGGCAGGATGAGGACTTTGGAATGTGATCCCCGAGCAATACAGAAGACCCTGCAGAATGACAGGGATGTAAAGAAAGAAGCCTTTTAGGCAGATGCCTGTGGCTTTATGTGCAAGACTTGGAGGAGTTGAGTGGAGGGTTTTGCAGCCATGCAGACCCACGGTGGTCAGTGCTTGGCCAAGGCTAGGGCTGGGAGAATGGAGAACCAGCACAGCCTATGGCACAAGCAAGGGCTTTGGAACCAGACACACCTGGATTCAAATTCCCTCCACCACCCCATGTACCTACCACTTATGAGCTGTGTAACCTTGAGCAAGAAGCCTCTGTTTCCTTCCCTCTAAACTGGGGCTAACCCTCTTGCTTGCCTCCTAGGGAAGCCACTGGATCCCCAGAGCTAAAGCAAGGTGAGAGAAGCTAGCCACAAGTTTAAGAAGGTAAAAGTGACCTGGAAGGAAGTGTGTCTAAGGCACCTAGGAGGCCCCACGAAGCAGTAGCTTCTCATGTTTAGGCTCATTCAAAGAGACTTCCTGAGAAAGAACCAACAGGATCTAGTGCCAGGGAGGACTGCAATTGCCGGAGATGGGGGAGACACTGATGATTGCCATGGTTCAAAATGGGGAGGACAGTGGCCCAACGGCCTGAGCCTGGGAATTGAGCTGGGCCTGGGTGGGGGTGGTGATAAACCAAGCTCTATTTTAGACGGTGTTTTTGAGGGCAAGAGGAACTGCCTCCCAGCTGTTTGTTTTATATGTGTATTCCTTCTCGCAATGTTCAGGCTCCTAAAGGGCCTTGTTTAGAGAAGTGCTGCAGCAAAGCAGGAGAAGGTATATTTTAAAGTGACAGGTCTAAAAATACTGCTCTCTTTTTGCCCTTTCACAGCTGCAGATTCCCAATCCTGATCCTCACTGGGAGAAATAATAAAATGCATATGTTTATAATAAAAATCATATTTCCCTCTTCCCGTGATGTCTCCCAGTTGTAGGTTCCCATCCGTTTGCTGTTTGACCTATCATTTAACAAATGTATTTTAAGAAAAGTAATCTTTTCTACTGACATGTCCTATAAACGTCACATCCTCAGCATTGGTTCTCATTGAGGAACAGAGATGCATGTTTTGAATATTTCCATAAATGCTTTTCACTCCATTCCCAGGCGAGGATTTTTAAATGCTTGCTTTGAGACAAAATATACAGACCATGCACTGTACAATGATGTAGGTCTCTCGGGCCTGATTGTCAGAGGGCAAGGTGAGAGTTTGGGTTCTGGAGAAATTTGCTACAATTGGCAGCTGAAACCCAGGCCTCAGCTCTTCTGTGGGTCATCATTCAGGTGTGCTCAGCGCAAGGCATCCTGGGAAGTCAGTACTTGGGCCTTACCCTGAGTAGAGTGAATGGGACTCTGAGAGACTTCTCTTGAAGGCACTAAGTGGGATTGTGTTGACGGTGGGCTAAGTCAACATTCATTGTGCAAAGCGCAGAGAAAGCATCTCTTCCTTTGTCCTGAAGGATGAGGCCCAATCAGAGAGCAGGCACAGATCCTCTGTCATTTGGAAGGGAGCTGATGTTGTTTAGAGACATCTATCCATCGTTGTTCTATGGATTAAAGAAAATGAGTTTAATGCACTCAGTAGGGCACCTGGCACATAGTACGCACTCAAGGAAGCAAGATCTGTCCCACTTACAGAAAGAGCAAGGAAAGATATCTCAAGGCCACTGCCAACTGTGTTGGAAGTCCAGGCAGGGATTGTGGCGGGGACTAGGAATAGGAAGGAGACATGGAAATGGTGTAGTACAAGGCAGAACACAAACAGAAGAGAATTAAGGGAGCCAAGGCAGATTACCTACAGGATGGGAGAGAAAAGGGTAGGAAGAGCTGTGATTAGGTGTCAGGCAGGTAGCGAGTTAACCCCTATATACTTGGTCATTTCACAGTTCATTCATTCATTCATCCATCCAAGAAATATTTACTGAGCATCTACTATGTTCTTTTTTTTTTTTTTTTTTTTTTTTTTTGAGATGGAGTCTCGCCTAGTCACCCAGGCTGGACTGCAGTGGCGTGATCTCGGCTCACTGCAAGCTCCGCCTCCCGGGTTCACGCCATTCTCCTGCCTCAGACTCCCGAGTAGCTGGGACTACAGGTGCCCACCACCACTTCCGGCTATTTTTTTGTATTTGTAGTACAGATGGGGTTTCACTGTGTTAGCCAGGATGGTCTTGATCTCCTGACCTTGTGATCCGCCCGCCTAAGCCTCCCAAAGTGCTGGGATTACAGGCGTGAGCCACCACGTCCGGTGAGCATCTACTATGCTCTAAGCAGTGCTCTAAGCACTAGGGACACAGCAGTGAACAAAACAGAGAAGGATCATTCTCTAAGAGAATTTACAGACTCATGGCAATAGGCAGTGAGGGAGATTTGGGAGTGGGAAAATGGTGTGGGAATTCAGAGCTGGCTTTCCCAAACCTAGAACCCTCTGAATGGAGTCCCAGAAGTTGCTCATCTCAGCCCTTCCCAGGTATGGTTTGTCCTAAATAATGGTGACCATCCCACCCAAGTTTCTTGTCAGGGCTGGCTTTGCAGGAAGATAATGAGGAGTATTTCAGGGGGAAAGATGGGTTTCCCTTCCCTTATTTCACGTGGCCAGAAATATTTTTTTTGCAGAGAAGAAAGCCTTACTTTTCCCGTCTCAAGGCCCAAACAGACCGGAGGAATAAAAGCTTTACCAAGGAGGAGCTGGATGCAAGCAGGGAAGAGGAGGGAGAAGGAGGCTAGGTTCTATCAGTCATTCAACTAATACTGAGTGACTCCTCTGTGCCAAACTCTGTGCTAGATGATACCACAGTAAACATGTAACAACCTCTGTCCTCGTGAAGCTTACATTCTGGCAGATAATAAACTAACTAAATGATAAATTATCATCACTATGGAGAAAAATGAAGCAGGGAGAAGGGAAAGGGAGACTTGGGGAAAGGGTTGCAAATTCAATTAGGGGAGTCAGGGAGTCATTTACACAAGGCACTATTTGAATGAAGACCAGAAGGAGGAGAAGGGGTCAGCCTAGGAGATCTGGAGTGGGGAAGAGCATTCCAGGAAGAGAAAACAGCCTGAGCGAAGGCCCTAAAGTAAGTGTGCTAGGCAATTTTTTTTTTTTTTTGAAACAGTGTCTCGCTGTGTTGCCCAGATTGGAGTGCAGTGGCTTAATCTCAGCTCACTGCAACTTCTACCTCCTGGGTTCAATCTATTCTCCTGCCTCAGCCTCCCAAGTAGCTGGGACTACAGGTTGGCACCACCACACCTGGCCTCATTTTTGAGGAATAATATGGAAGTTGTGGCTGAAATGTAATGGGTGAGGTGGAAAGCAGTATAAGATGGCACTATGGGAGGTCAGATTGGGGCGGGGGAGGTTGTTGACCATGGTAAGGACTTTGGCTTTGACTGAATGGAATGAGAAGACATAAGAAGGTGCTGAGCAGAAGAGTGACATGCCCTGCTCTACAATTCACATGGATCGGGCTGGCTGCTGCATGGAGAATAGAGTGTACGAGAATAAAGGTGGAAGCTCAGAGCGCGCTAGTGCCATAATGCAGGCTAGAGCTGATGATGGCTCAGGCCAGGGTGGTAGAGGGGGAGGAGATGAGAAGTAGTCAGATTCTGGAGATCATTTGAAAGTGGAACCGGCTGGGTGTGGTGGCTCACAGCTGTAATCCTAGCACTTTGGGAAGCCGAGGCAGGTGGATCACGAGGTCAGGAGTTCAAGACCGGCCTGGCCAAGATGGTGAAACCCTGTCTCTACTAAAAATACAAAAATTAGCCAGGTGCGGTGGCAGGCACCTGTAATCCCAGCTGCTTGGGAGGCTGAGGAAGGAGAATCACTTGAACCTGGGGAGCAGAGGTTGCAGTGAGCTGAGATTGTGCCACTGCACTCCAGCCTGGGCAGCAGAATGAGACTCCATCTCAAAAAAAAAAAAAAAAAGAAAGAAAAGAAAAGAAAATGGAACCAACAGTATTTGCTGATGATTGAATGTAAGATTTGAGAGAAAATCAGGAGTCCAGGATGAGCTCATGTCTTTGATCTATACAAGTGGAAGAATAGAGTCACATTAAGAGTGATTGAGAAGATGGTGGATGGGGTTAGGGAAGGAGGTAGACAAAAGTCAAGAATTTGGTTTTTAGCCTGGGCACAGTGGTTCACACCTGTAATCCAAGCACTTTGGGAGGCTGAGGTGGTAGGACTGCTTGAGCCCAGGAGTTTGAGACCAGCCTGTGCAACATAGTGAGACTCTGTCTCTTAATGGAAAAAAGTTTGGTTTTTGATGCGTTATGTTTGAGGACCTTATCTGATATTTGTATGGAAACATTGATTAGGTGGTTGGATAGGTGAGCTTGGAATTCAGAGGAGAGGCCTGAGTGGACCTTTGACTGATCAATGGTAGAGGCTCAGGTGGCTATGTGGAGGCAGAGCCCTAGACCGCTTGGACTTCTCCTCCTATACCTCTGTTCTCAGGCCTGGGGCAGGACTTGGGTGTGGGATCCATCCTTAGTGGATAAAGCTATGCTTCCTCCTCCCTTTGCTGTCCTGTCTTCCTCAGCTCCTAGTCTCTCTGTGCTAGTCTTTCTTTGGGCACCCAGAGTTAGGCAACTCTGGGTGCCTCTCATGTACTTTTCCTTAGAAGTCCTAGGAGAGTAGCAGCAGAGATAAGGAGCAGGCTGAACTCCTGAGCTGAGTGGAGACTGGGTGCAGTCACCCCAGAGCTTTCAGGGTCACTGTCTATTGGCATCATCTTCAGAAACAACTTATAAGAAGAAAGTACCGGGGATGCTGCAATTAGAGTTTTCTTTGAACCAATGTGTACAATTAACATCTTCTTTGGAGGTCACATTTCTCATGTTTGCAGAAAGGATTTCTTCCCCTATGATGCTGTAGCAACATGTAGAAGTCAAGTAAAACAGTGTGTAAATACTGGAGCCTTTCTTGGATGTTTGCCTGAGTGTTTCTTTCTGATTCTCCATTTTCTATCCTGATGTTGTGAGGGCCCAGAGGGCACTATCTGCTCTTTGCTATTCCTAATGCAAAGGGTCTCTCGGTTTTTCCATACCCAGAAACTTCCAGATTGCTTAACTCCATATATTTTTAGCAGCCCAACTTGGTGCCTATGGATTGGAGAAGGAGCTGCTGTTTCCTGGGTGTGTGGCAATATCACAAATGCTCTTGCCATGTGGCCAGCAGCCAATCCCCGACAAAGTCTAGTTTGGGTGCCCTGGTACACATGGAGATGCTCTAGTTATTAATCAGAATGAGCGCTCTTCTTTCCTTGCCAACCAGCACTGTTCCTGAACCCTGCTCTTACGGAGTGTACATTATGTACATGGATACACTCGTAGGAAACATGGAATTATTTATTTTCTCATCAAGTTATCCTGACCTAATTGCATAGAAACCTTATGGAGCTTTGGAAATCTTCTGTTTATGAGTCACAGAAATTAACTTTCTCTTCATAAGAGCTCTTTATAGAAAGAAAAAAAATAGAGCCAAATGCCTTTTCTTTGAACTGAAGTTGCCTGTCTGTGACTCGCTGAAACCTGAACCTGGATGTCTGTTAGTCTTAGCCTTAGCTTTAGCTTTGAATTTAAATGATTCAGCCATGTTACCCAAGAGAAGGCCTAAAGCAAATGTCCCAACCTGGACCTCACCCATTTTTGAACTCAGTTTTTTTCTCCCTTGTCCCCATTGTCTAAGTGGCCTCCAAAAAGACTATGGGAAATCCATAGGGCTCTGTAAGTGGCCATCCAGTATCTTATAAAAACCTTCAGAGACCCCAGATATGGAGGAGATTATGATGTCTCCTGACAGTCTGTGTAAATCAACTAAAAGCAACATTAAACTGAAAATAAGTGCAACAAATTCCTGGTTTTCCCATAATGATTGCTTCATTTTTTTTTTAATTTTTTTAGTATTTATTGATCATTCTTGGGTGTTTCTCGGAGAGGGGGATTTGGCAGGGTCATAGGACAATAGTGGAGGGAGGGTCAGCAGATAAACATGTGAACAAGGGTCTCTGGTTTTCCTAGGCAGAGGGCCCTGCCGCCTTCCACAGTGTTTTGTGTCCCTGGGTAGTTGAGATTAGGGATTGGTGATGACTCTTAACGAGCATGCTGCCTTCAAGCATCTGTTTAACAAAGCACATCTTGCACCGCCCTTAATCCATTTAACCCTGAGTGGACACAGCACATGTTTCAGAGAGCACGGGGTTGGGGTTAGGGTCACCGATCAACAGGATCACAAGGCAGAAGAATTTTTCTTAGTACAGAACAAAATGGAGTCTCCTATGTCTACTTCTCTCTACACAGACACAGTAACAATCTGATCTCTCTTTCTTTTCCCCACATTTCCCCCTTTTCTATTGGACAAAACCGCCATCATCATCATGGCCCGTTCTCAATGAGCTGTTGGGTACACCTCCCAGACGGGGTGGCAGCCGGGCAGAGGGTCTCCTCACTTCCCAGACAGGGCGGCCGGGCAGAGGTGCCCCCCACCTCCCAGACGGGGCGGCAGCCGGACGGGGGCTGCCCCCCACCTCCCGGACTGGGCGGCTGCCGGGCGGAGACGCTCCTCACTTCCCAGATGGGGCGGCTGCCGGGCGGAGGGGCTCCTCACTTCTCAGAGGGGGCGGCCCGTCAGAGACGCTCCTCACCTCCCAGACGGGTTGGCGGCGGGGCAGAGACACTCCTCAGTTCCCAGACAGGGTCGCGGTCGGGCAGAGGCGCTCTTCACATCTCAGACGGGGTGGCGGGGCAGAGGCGCTCCCCACATCCCAGACGATGGGAGGCCGGGCAGAGACGCTCCTCACTTCCTAGACGGGATGACGGCCGGGAAGAGGCGCTCCTCACTTCCCAGACTGGGCGGCCGGGCAGAGGGGCTCCTTCACATCCCAGATGATGGGCGGCCAGGCAGAGATGTTCCTCACTTCCTAGATAGGGTGGCGGCCCGGCAGAGGCTGCAATCTCGGCACTTTGGGAGGCCAAGGCAGGCGGCTGGGAGGTGGAGGTTGTAGCGAGCCGAGATCACGCCACTGCACTCCAGCCTGGGCAACATTGAGCACTGAGTGAGCGAGACTCCGTCTGCAATCCCGGCACCTCGGGAGGCCGAGGCTGGCAGATCACTCTCGGTCAGGAGCTGGAGACCAGCCTAGCCAACATGGTGAAACCCCGTCTCCACCAAAAAATACGAAAAGCAGTCAGGCGTGGTGGTGCGCGCCTGCAATCCCAGGCACTCGGCAGGCTGAGGCAGGAGAATCAGGCAGGGAGGTTGCAGTGAGTCGAGATGGCGGCAGTACAGTCCAGCCTCGGCTCGCATCAGAGGGAGACTGTGCAAAGAGGGAGAGGGGGAGGGGGAGGGGGAGGGGGAGAGGGAGAGGGAGAGGGAGAGCCATTTTTTTTTTTTTTGAGACAGAGTCTCAATCTGTCACCCATGCTGTGGTGCAGTGGTGCAATCTCAGCTCACTGCAACCTCCACCTGTCAGGTTCAAAGGATTCTCCTGCCTCAGCCTCCCAAGTAGCTGGGATTACAGAAGCCTTTCACCACACCTGGCTAATTTTTGTATTTTTAGTAGAGACAGCATTTCACCATGTTGGCCAGGCTGGTCTTAAATTCCTGACCTCAGGTGATCCACCTGCCTTGGCCTTCCAAAGTGCTGGGATTAAAGGTGTGAGCCACCGTGCCCTGCCTCAATTGTATTTTTGAGCAACCAAATCAGAAGTGCTTTCAACTACTTTTTTGGGGTGCTTTCAAAGCAAAGGGGGTGTCTGTGCTTTGCAGGAACCCTAAGCATGGGTTGAATCTGTCTATTGGGATAAGTCATTACTGTTGTCAGTGAACATTTTGCGACCCCATTTAGCTCCAAAAGTAACTGGGCATAAAATGTATTCTGGGGATGTTCATGATCATTTTATAAGTTTAAGCTTCCTGGAACAACCTTTAAGCGATCTATTTTCTACTTGAAAGGACTGAGCTTACAGTTTGATTTCATTTCCATTAGAAATCAGAAGGTATCTTTTATCAGAGCTGAGGCAGTACGCAACTGTTGATCATAGGATGGGTTGGGAGAGATGAAACTTCGTCACATTGGATCTGGGGACCTCAGGCAAGTGGGTAGATTAGAGCTAAGATGCAGAGCAATATGGGTACATAAGGCAGTAGAGCAAAGCCCAGCAGGCCCAAATCAAGGGCTACACAAGCCCTGGTGGTGAGGGTGAGCAGTGAGACTGAAAGCAGGTGGGCATATGGGAACCATCCTCCAAACTGAAAAGAATATGCTAAATGGGAAGTAGCTTTATGGGCGGGGACCAGGGGTGGGACACAGTAGAAGGTCAGGAAACACAAGACTCCAATGAGAAGACCTAGAGAACTTAGACCAAATGTTAGGTTTGTCTAAAAGTTTGTTATACTCCTTGGTATTACAAGAACCAGTCACAGGCTGTGGACAGCCCAGCACAGGTAGGTGTGAATAGCTAAGTGGTGGACCCTGGCTGAAGGGGAAACTGAGGGGGCAGGGAGCCGAATAGCTACTGACTGATTCACTTGGTCTTGTGAGCCATATGTAACAGTGTGTGTTTCATGCGAGATACAGATTAAAATGAATATTTTTAAGTAAATATTTAACTGTAACTCTTTTTTATTTTGAGACAGGGTCTTGCTCTGTTGCCCAGGCTGGAATGCAGTGGCATTATCATGGCTCACTGCAGCCTCCACCTCCCGGACTCAGGTGATCCTCCCACCTTAGCCTCCCCAGTAGCTGGGACTAGTATGGCTATAATAAAAAAAAGAGGCACATGCTAAGTTTTGTATTTTTTGTAGGGACGGGGTTTCACCATGTTGCCCAGGCCTATCTTGAACTCCTGAGCTCAAGTGATCTGCCTGCTTCAGCCTCTGTTTTAGTCAGGGTCCTCTAGAGGGACAAAACTAACAGGATATATATATATATATATATATATATATATATATATATACACACACATATATATATATACACATATATATATACACATATATATATATACACATATATATATACACATATATATATATACACATATATATATACACATATATATATATACACATATATATATACACATATATATATACACATATATATATACACATATATATATACACATATATATATACACACACATATATATATACACATATATATATATACACACACACACACACACACATATATATATATATATATATATATATACACATACACACACACACATACGGGAGTTTATTAAGTATTAACTCATATGATCACAAGGTCCCACAATAGGCCATCTGCAAACTGAGGAGCAAGGAGAGCCAGTCCAAGTCCCAAAACTGAAGAACTTGGAGTCTGATGTTCAAGGGCAGGAAGCATTCAGCATGGGAGAAAGATGTAGGCCACGAGGCTAGGCCAGCCTAGCCTTTTCACATTTTTTTTTTCTGCCTGCTATATATTCTAGCTGCACTGGCTGCTGATTAGATGGTGCCCACCCACATTAAGGATGGGTCTGCCTTTCCCAGCCCACTGACTCCAGTGTTAATCTATTTTTGGCAACACCCTCACAGACACACCCAGGATCAATACTTTGCATCCTTCAATCCAATCAAGTTGACACTCAGTATTAACCATCACAGCCTCCCAAAGTGCTGGGATTACAGGTGTGAGCCACCGCACTCATCCCCTGCTTCCCCAACAGTAATTCATTTTGTCCAGGGCATCTAAGACCATGGGACAGTCCAGGACCTGAGTGTTAAACATGTTCACAGCATCCCTACTGGCAAAGGTGCTGGCTTGTCTAATATACAGACTCAATCCATGCTTAGGGCATATGGCTCTGAGCCCCACCCAGTCTCATATCTGGAAGGTCAACTCCTGGGCTTGTCACTTTCCCATGGACCCTGAGTGGCTCGCATTCCCCTTTGGAGGCCATGAAATTTGGCGCCACAGCAGTTCTGTGGTCTCACGATATGTCCTGCCAATGCCTTCTTGTGATGCTCCTGAGATCAGATAAGAGTGGATTCCCCAACTGATGATCGAGAGCTTTCTGCCACCTTTTACTGGTCTGGTCTCACAGGTCTTGTCTGAGTTTAATGGTAGCTTTTTTTTTTTTTTTCAACAAAGTCTTGCTCTATTGCCCAGGCTGGAGTGCAGTGGCACAACTTCGGCTCACTGCAACCTCTGCCTCCCAGGTTCAAGCGATTCTCCTGCCTCAGCCCCCCAAGTAGCTGGGATTACAGGTGTGTGCCACCACTCCCAGCTAATTTTTGTATTTTTGGTAGAGACAGGGTTTTGCCGTGTTGCCCAGGCTGGTCTCAAAGTCCTGAGCTCAAGTGATCCGCCCACCTCTCAAAGTGCTGGGATTACAGGCGTGAGCCACCGAGCCCGGCCAGTAGCTTTACCTTTTAAGTTTTACAGTGTCCCTCTGTCAAAAGAACTTAGGGCAAGTTCTCCAGAGACTGGACTAGGAGCACTTGAGGGACCTCATGCTGGGTTTGTTGTACTGGAAATACTGCCTCCAGACTGATGGTTAGTGGGGGTCCCAGACATGCCATGGGTCTTCTGTTCTTTCTTTCTGCAGATGGAATTCTTGTTTTTCTGATGTATATGCCTCATAATCAGCATCACCTTACTTTCTTTTCTGTTTTTTGTTTTGAGATGGCGTTTCACTCTTTTCACCCAGGCTGGAGTGCAATGGCACTATCTCAGCTCACTGCAACCTCCACCTCCCAGATTCAAGAGATTCTCCTGCCTCAGCCTACCAAGTAGCTGGGATTACAGGCGCCCGCCACTATGCCCAGCTAATTTTTGTATTTTTTAGTAGAGACGGGGTTTCACCACATTGCCCAGGCTGGTCTCGAACTCCTGACCTCAGGTGATCCACCCACCTCGGCCTCCCAAAGTGCTAGTATTACAGGCATGAGTCACCTCACCTGGCTCCTCTCTTTTCTTTATTTAGAAATTCTTAATCCAATTGACCTAGGAACTTGCTCGTTAACCCCCCAAGTCCTCTTCACCATTACATTCACTACATGTGGGTTAAAGAGGACTCCTCTTCATTTTCTTTTATTGTGATAAAAATATTAATACATAGCATAAATGTTGCCATTTTAGCCACTTTAAGTGCACAATTTAGTGGCATTAATTGCATTCACAATGTTGTGCAAATATTACCATTGTCATTTCCAAAATATTTTTATCATCCCGAACAGCAGCTCTGTACTCATTAAGCAATAATTCATTCCTTGCTCCCTCTAGCCCCTGGACATCTGTAATCTAATTTCTGTCTTTATGAATTTGCCTATTCTAGTATTTTAGATATTACACATAAGTGGAATTATGCAATATGTGGCCTTTTATATCTGACTTATTACACTTAGCCTAATTTTTTTTGTTTTTTTGTTTTGTTTTGTTTTGTTTTTGAGATGGAGTCTTGCTCTGTCGCCCAGGCTGGAGTGCAGTGGCTTGATCTCGGCTCACTGCAACCTCCGCCTCCCGGGTTCATGCCATTCTCTTGCCTCAGCCTCCCAAGTAGCTGGGACTACAGGGGCCCGCCACCAGGGCAGGCTAATTTTTTGTATTTTTAGTAGAGACGGGGTTTCACCATGTTAACCAGGATGGTCTCAATCACCTGACCTCGTGATCCACCCGCCTCAGCCTCCCAAAGTGCTGGGATTACAGGCATGAGCCACCGCACCTGGCCCACTTAGCCTAATGTTTTTAAGACTCATCCATGTTGCAGCATATATTAAAACTTTCGGCTGGGTGCGGTGGCTCACCCCTGTAATCCCAGCACTTTGGGAGGCCGAGGCGGCCAGATTGCTTGGGCTCAGGAGTTCAAGACAAGCCTGGAAGCCTGGACAACATGGTGAAACTCCATCTCTACAGAAAAAAAAAAAATACAGAAATTAGCCAGACGTGGTGGCATGTGCCTGTGGTCTCAGCTACTTGGGAGGCTGAGGCAGGAAGATGGCCTGAGCCAGGGAGGTTGAGGCTGCAGTGATCCTAGATCATGCCGCTGCACTCCAGCCTGGGCGACAGAGAGAGACCTTGTCTCAAAAATAAAATAAAATAAAACTTTATTCCTTTTTAGTGCTGAATAATGTTCCATTGTATGTGTATACCACATTTTCTTTATTCATTCATCTCTTGGTGGGCACTCAGGTTGTTCCCATTCTTAGGCTATTGTGAATAATGCTGCAACTAACACTGCTATGTCAATACCTGCTTAAGTCGTTGTTTTCAATTTTGGAGAGGGTATATATCTGGCAGTGGAATTGCAGGATCATATGGTAATTCTATGTTTAACATTGAAGAACCACCAAACTATTTTCCACAGTAGCTGCACAATTTTACTTTCCCATCAACAACGTAAGAAGGTTACAATTTCTCCATACCCTCACCAACACTTATTATTTTCTCTTTTTTTGATTATAGCCATACTAGTGGGTGTGATGTGCTGTGTCCTTGCGGTTTGTATTCACATTTCTTTGATGACTCATGATGTTGAGTATCTTTTCATATACTTATAACCATTTGCATATTTTTTTTGAGAAAGGTCTATTCAAGTCCTTTGCACATTTTAATTGGACTATTTGTCCTTTTTTTTTTTTAATGGAGTCTTGCTCTATTGCCCAGGCTGGAGTGCAATGACATGATCTCAGCTCACTGCAACCTCTGCCTCCCAGGTTCAAGCGATCCTCCTGCCTCAGCCCGCCTAGTAGCTGGGATTACAGGCATGTGCCACCATGCCCAGCTAATTTTTGTATTTTTAGTAGAGATGGAGTTTTGCCGTGTTGGTCAGGCTTGTCTCAAACTCTTGACCTCAGGTGATCAACCTGCCTTGGCCTCCCAAAAAGTGCTGGGATTATAGGTGTGAGCCACTGCGTCCAGCCTTGTCTTCTTGTTTTTGAGTTATAATTATTTATATATTCTAGATATTAAACCCCCATCTGATGATTCACAAATACTTTCTCTCATCTCTGGGTCATTTTTTTACTGTCTTGATAGAGTCTTTTGGTGCACAAATGTTATAATTTTGGTAAAGTTTAATTCATTGCTGCTGTCTGTGCTCTTGATGTCATTTTAAAAGAAACCAACAAAGTTACGCAGATTTCCCCTACGTGTTTTTCTAAGAGTTATTTTTAGCTTTAGCTATTAAATTGAGGTCTTTGATCTAAGTTAATTTTTTAATTATTATTTTATTATTTACTTATTTATTTATTTTTTGAGACAGGGTCTCACTCTGTCACCCAGGCTGGAATGCAGTGGTGCAATCTTGGCTCACTCCAACCTCTGCCTCCTGGGCTCAAGCAATCCTCTCACCTCAGCCTCCTGAGTAGCTGGGACTACAGGAGTGCGCCAACATGCCAGGCTAATTTTTGTGTTTTTTGTTGAGATAGGGTATTGCCATGTTGCCCAGGCTGGTCTCAAACTCCTGGGCTCAACCGATGTGCCCGTCTTGGCCTCTCAAAATGCTGGAATTATAGGTGTGAGCCAGCTCACTCAACCCTAAGTTAATTTTTGTATATGATGAAAGATAAGGGTCCAACTTCATTCTTTTGCCTGTGGATATCTAGTTTTCCCAGTGCCATTTGTTGAAGAGATGATTCTTTCTTCATCAAATGGGCTTATCACCCTTGTCCAACATCAATTGACTGTATATGTGAGGTTTTATTTCTGGGCAAAGATGATACTTCTATATAACAATCAGTAAAGAGACAGGTAGACTTAAGGTCTAGTTTGGTAGTTTTTCCCTACTAACAAGTACATACTTCTTTGGATTGCTTGTGTTTTCCTTTATTGCCCCCTAAAGAGAAACCCTTAGCTCATATTCTTACCTGCTTCCTTTTGGATTAAAATTTAACTTGTTCATAGTTTCCTCCTTCAGCAGCTTCATTTTACTTAAAAGCCCTCTGACCCAGCCTGTCTCTGCATTTCTGACTTTTCCTCTTTTATGAGATCCATTAGTAGAACTGCTCCCGACTAATCAGAAGACATATTTTGCCTTCCAATTTCTTGTCTGTCATTGACTTCTTAGACTCATCAAATCTTAATGTACCAGATTTGGAAGATAACTTCGTGGCAACTTGTCCAGAGGTTTTCAAACTGCTCCATAGTAACATGGAGATGCCTCAGGGATCACAATGGGGGGCATAGCAGGAAGGTATTTGGGCCCCCACCCCTGTTCAACCAAAGCTACCCAACTTTTCCGTCTTGTATAGATTGGGGCTCAATGTAGGGTCTTGCTGGGAGAAGGGGCTGATTTCTGTTTCTTACAGGTACAAGCAATAGAAATTTACTCTGGATAACAAGCAAAGGGAATGGGGGAAATATACTATTAGAAGGAAATGGGAGTAGTTGAAGGGAAAAGTAGACTACTTGGTCTCAGAAAAAAAAGTAGGAATGGGGCAGCTCTGGGGATCTCAGTTGTGGGAACTCAGTGACAGATTCATTAGGCCACTCCTGCTGATATTAATCAGCTTCAACTGCTCCTGCCCCCTTTGCAACTTTACTTTGCTAGACATTTACTATCCCTGGAGAGAGAATGGCTTATCTTAGTTCAGCTGTTCACTTTTGGCCAGAGAAAGACAAGAAATCATCAATTGACAGTCCCACCAAGACACCATGAAATGGGGGAGAAGCTGCTTCCCAAAAGAAAATGCAAGGTTTTGTTCTGTTTTGTTTACCAGGAAAAGGGGAACCTAGTCAGGTAAAACAACAGGTGTTTGCTAAAATCACTAAAAAATAAATTGAAAACCCATGATCTAGACCAGAACTTAGCAAACTATAGCCTATGGGTCAAATCTAGCCAGTGGCCAGTTTTTGTAGACCTGTGCACTAAGAATGGTTTTTACATTTTTTCCAAAAAGCAGGGGTCTTGTTATGTTGCCCAGTCTGGACTCAAACTCCTGGGCTCAGGCTAATCTCTCACTTCAGCCTCCCAAGTAGCTGGTACTACAGGCACATACCACCACAGCTGGCCTGATTTTTAACATTTTAAAGGATTTTTTAAATACCCAAAAATGGGACAAAATATTTACAAATCATATGTTTGATAAGGGATTTTAATCCAGAGTAAATAAAGAACACTTACAGCCGGGCACAGTGGCTCACGCCTGTAATCCCAACACTTTGAAAGGCTGAGGTGGGTGGATCACCTGAAGTCAGGAGTTTGAGACCAGCCTGGCCAATATGGTGAAACCCCATCTCTTCTAAAAATACAAAAATTAGCATGCCTGTAATCCCAGCTACTTGGGAGGCTGAGGCAGAGGTTGCAGCGAGCCGAGATTGCGCCACTACACTCCAGCCTGGGTGACAGAGTGAGACTCCGTCTCAAAAAAAAAAAAAAAAAAAATTGCAACTCAACATTAAAAAGACAAATAATCCAGTCTTAAAATGGGCAAAGGATTTGAATAGACATTTCTTCAAAGAAGATAAACAAGTTGTCAATAAATACATGAAAAGATGCTCAGCATCATGAATCATTATGGGAATTCAAATCAAAACCTCAGTGAGGGCCGGGCATGGTGGCTCATGCCTATAATCCCAGCACTTCAGGAGGCCAAGGCAGGCGAGTCGCTTGAGCCCAGGATTTCAAGACCAGCCTGGACAATATGGCAAAACCCAGTCTCTACCAAAAAAAAAAAAAAAAAAAAAAATTAGCTGGCCATGATGGTGTGTACCTGTAGTCCCAGCAACTCGGGAGGTTGAGGTAGGAGGATCGCTTGGGCCTGGGAGGTTGAGCCATGATCACACCACTGCACTCCAGCCTGGGTGACAGAGCGAGACTCTGTCTCAATAAATAAATAAATAAATAAATAAATAAATAAATAAATAAATAAAACCTAGAAAGTAGATTATAGGTTGCCTAGGGCTGGGGGTGATAGGAGAAAATGGGAGTGACAGCTAATGGGTGTAGGATTTTGTTTGGTTTGGTCTGCGTGGTGATGAAAATCTAAAATTCATGTGGGAATGGTTGCACAACATAATGAATATACAAAAACGCCAATGGGTGCACTACAATATGCAAATTCTATCTCCAATAAGGCTGTTAACAAATGAAGAGGTAACGAAGAATATGCTGGGATGTCTGTGGTCTGTATTACCTGTGCGATTTCCTTCCTTCTGGAAGGGTTTGCTGAGCCCTGCTCTAGTCTGATTCTCTCAGTCTACACAGACAGATACTGTGATCCAGAGAAGGCAGAGTGGAGAGCCGGCTGATTGCACTCGGCTATGTGAGTCATTCTCTCACCTGCTCCTTGTTAACACACAGTTGAACCCCAAAGAGAGGCATTTGTCTCCCCTAGAGGCTTTGGAGATGAAACCCAAAACCCTGTGGCCAAAGGTTTCCCAATCTGAAGTGGCAAACTCTTGGTTAGCCTGGAAGAAGTGAGCAACTTTCCCTTCCCATCAGATATTTCCAGTGGTGCCTGCAAGCTCCATGCTCCTTGGGATTTAAAAACACAATTTATTTTCTTCGTTAAAGCCTATTCTTCTAACACCCTGCAACATTTACAAATTACTTCAGTAGAAGAAATATTTAGAAAGTGCACTAAGTAAGACTCTGTATCCTTTTTCATAAAAGATTTAAAGTAATTTTTAAGCATGGCTTTGGAACACAGAGTGAAAGGTGTTTCATCTTGCTCCTTCAAGGATTAAAGGTGCGCATGAGCCTCTTGCCATAAAAATAGCCCCAGAGTAATGCTTTGCTTTATTCTAGGAAATGGTGGTGAGTAGGCCTTCATGCCTGCCCCTCCATTCCTAGTCTTATGTTAGATGCTTTTGGAATTGCACTTCTCCCCCAGATTGGACTGTGATCTCTCTCTGGGGGGTTGGGAGTATAAACTTCAGTATATACAACATGTAATAACATATGTGGCTGATGTTACTATCATAACCAGTGTATCCTTCACAGCACTTTTATCCTTGGACATGGGTAGGGGCCATGGAAGCAGAGCCTTGTCTGCAGAGGCCAATCTCTCTGCATCTCTGCAATCCCACCAATTTTACTTTTCACAGACCTTCTGACTTGTACACTGATTTGCAGTGGGGGTCCAGCTCTGTCTTCATTCCTGAGCCCCCTTCTTTGTTTTCCTTTTTGTACCAGCTCCACTTCATTCCTTGTGCTCAACTCGGCCCTGACTCCCAGAACAGGATCCTAGGTCAGCATCTGGGCCCCTAATTATAGGAAAATAATTCCCATCACTGTCTTCACCTCTTTCTCCAGCTGGCCTCAGTCTGGGTCTCCACTTGAACACCAGGTTTCCTATAATGAAGTGAACGAGTGGTCCAAGGTCTCCAAAATAGCAAATTTGCTTTTTCTTTTCTTTCCCCTTTCTTTCCTTTCCTTTCCTTTCTCTCTCTCTCTCTCTTTCTTTCTTTCTTTTTCCCTCTCTCTTTCTTTCCTTTCCCTCCCTCCCTTCCTCCCTCCCTCCCTCCCTCCCTCCCTTCCTTCCTTCCTTCCCTCCTTCCTTTCTCTCTCTCTCTCTCTCTCTCTTTTCCTTCACAGGGTCTCACTGTGTTGTCCAGACTGGAGTGCGATGGCACCATCATAGGTCACGGTAACCTCACCTTCTGGGCTCACGTGATCCTCCCTCCTCAGCCTCCCAAGTAGCTAGGACTACAGACGTGCACCACTATACCCACTAATTTTTTGCCTATGCTGGTCTCAAACTCCTGACTTCAAGTGATCCTCCCACTTCAGCCTCTAAAAGCACTGGGATTACAAGTGTGAGTCATCACTCTTGCTGCAAATGAGCTCTTGATACATTTTCTATCTTTGAGCTTCTAGTCAGTTGCTGAATGTACTGTTTCTTCCTCTTCCTCCCCCTACCCTCTTTTCCTTGTGAAGCATCTGCTAGAAAATCAGTCAATCCCTAATTTGAGTATTTTCGATAGGATTTTTGTTTTGTCTTGTTCTGTTTGCTTTGTTCCATTCTGTTTTTGAGACAGAGGAGACAGATAATTGACTCAAATCCAGTTCTACACAACAATGTAGGCTGAGGGAGAATGTAGGTACAGGTAGGGCCGAGAAAAACTGTACTCCTCAGACAATGCCTGGCACTCCTGTAACCTTGAAGATTAGGTCAAACTGTTTGAAGCACCCCAAACCACAGAACAAAGCCCCAGCCTTGAAATATGCATTTCAATACTGGCAGTTGAATTTTCCAGCCCAGTTCTGAGGCTGGGAAACACAGAGACAGTTGAGCTATTTGTTTGGAGATTCTTCAGTGAAGTTGATGAGCTTCTCTCTTTCCAGGAGTGCTTAAAAATGCCAAGAAACTTCATGGATCATTTCGCTGCTCTGGATTCTCTCTCGGGTCATTGTTGGCCTTCGTCCCAGGCCTCCTCTGGTAGCCAACTCCCTCATTCCAGCAATCATTTCTTTGCAGGAGTTTGCTTCTAACCTTTCAGCGTGTGTCCCAAATATTTAGAGATGGACTCAATCCAGTAGAATGATTTTTTTTTTTCTTTAACTCATTTAAATCACTTAGGAAAAATGAAAGCTGTAAGCTGAATAAACATAGCATTTGCCTCAGCCCAGTCCCTCCTGGCTGGAGCCTCTCTGATCTACCAGTTCCTGGGGCCCCTTCCGTTCTGACTCTCACCTTCCTTGCCAATCCAAGGGCACTTGGGACTTAACAATCCAGTCCCACGTGTGGGGCTTCTTTGTAACGTGCCAGCCAACAGTGCTCCTTGAGCAATCGAACCTTAAGTTTTCTCTATGATCGTCTTTGTTTCCTTGAGGTTTATTATGGGGTGTGACACCTGCCGTTGATTATCTGGCCCTGTAGCCTGGCTTGGCTCTACCGGGATGGAAAGAGTCGGCTCCTTCTGGAGGGAGCAGGCTGAGGGCTGGCACAGGGTAGAGCTGCATCAGGCTCCCTGGCTCTGTTTATTACTTGCTATTTTGAGACTTTCTTCCCATGGAAATGCCGCATGGCTCCAGTGCTAGAGAGAAGCGTGAGATGAGTTCCATGTGAGGGAAACATTTTGAGTGTGTTGACACATTATGTTTATCTTTCAAGACTCTCTTAGGTGGCGTCTGCCCACGCAGAGTGAGGAGAAATGGAGGTCTGTGGGGATTAGATGACTCCTTCAGGCTGAGAGAGAGAGAGAGAGAGAGAGAGAGAGAAGGAAGGAAGGAAAGACAAAAGAAAAGAAAAAGAAATAAAAGGAAGGAAAGAAAGAAAAAGAAAAGAAAAAGAAGGAAAGATAGAGGCTGGGTGCGGTGGCTCACACCCGTAATCCCAGCACTTTGGGAGGCCGAGGCAGGCAATCATTTGAGGTCAGAAGTTTGAGACCAGCCTGACCAACATGGTGAAACCCTGTCTCTACTAAAATACAAAAAATTAGCCGGGAGTGGTGGCGGGCGCCTGTAATCTCAGCTACTTGGGAAGCTGAGGCAGGAGAATCGCTTGAACCTGGGAGGTGGAGGTTGCAGTGAGCTGAGATCATGCCAGTGCACTCCAGCCTGGGTGACAAAGTGAGTGAGACTCTGTCTCAAATAAATAAAATAAAATAAAATGCCTAACGAAACTAGAGAGAAAAAAGAATAAGAGGCTTGTAATAAATGGGAAAAAGAAGTAAATTTCAAGAGAGCAAAACTCTGTCTCAAGATTTAAAAAAAAGTAAAAGAAGGAAAGGTAAAAAAAAATAAAGAAAAAGAAGGAAAGATGAAAGAAAGAAAAAAGAAAAGAAATATGGTCCCATATTTCTTCCACAGTCTTCCAAGGGACTACGTGTATTTAGCCTACATTAGGCATCTAACTGCTTTCACTCTCCTCAGTGCTTGATCTATGTGTGGATACAGCCCCAGTGAAGCCCTTTCTGCTTAGTGGTTATGACTGTTGAAGCTCTGGGAAAGCTGTGAGAAGAGGCTCTTTTTGATTCTAGGATCATATTATGGTTTCTAAGAGACACATATTTTATTCACATAGCCCTTACTGCTTGTAATAGGGGAAGCACACATCCAGGATTTGCAGACAAAAGAATCCACTCCAGCCTTGGAGGGAGGACAGGGAGCCATGGGCAATCAGCAAATTACCCAGAGTGCCCCCCTCCTGCCTCCAGGAAAAATAGAAAGCATATTAAGAACAGGAAGAAGCCATTTAGCCGAACTTTCCCATCTTTGGAGGATTTACTTTAATCACATCTTTCAGCTCTTTCACCATCCCCGACACTTCCTGACGCCTCCTTGAACAGATCTAGGTGTCCCTCTCTGGAGCCTGAGCCGTTCTCACGCGGGCTCCGTTGCCCTGCCTCTGATAAGCTATTCCATATGGCTAGGGCTCTTTGTTCTCACAGTGCTAGGTTTTACAACTTCCCATTGACTCGGAGTTTCTTATTTTTTCAATGGGCTCTTCGGGGATTTGCACCTCCTGCTAATATACAAATTATTTTCTCAGTTGCATCATGTCCGTTTCTAATTTTTAAGACATTTTATAAGGAGCTCTCCCATATAAGGGCCAGCCAGAGGAATACAGGAAGGAACTTATACGGAGCCTCAGTTCCCCAGGGAAACCTCTCGGACACCACCTTGTGCAGCTTGCTCAGAAGGTAAATCCTAAGGCTTTTGTCATAAGTCAAAGGAACGCAGCTAAGAATCTTTAGGGCCCACTTGTAGTCTGCTCACCCTGTATAAGTTAGGCCAGAACTGTCTTTTTTTTTTTTTTTTTTTTTTTTTTTTGAGACAGAGTTTCCCTCTTGTTGCCCAGGCTGGAGTGCAATGGGACAATCTCGGGTTCAAGCGATTCTCCTGCCTCAGTCTCCCGAGTAGCTGGAATTACAGACATGCGCCACCATGCTGGGCTAATTTTGTATTTTTAGTAGAGACAAGCTTTCTCCATGTTGGTCAGGCTGGTCTCAAACTCCCAACCTCAGGTGATCCGCCCGCCTCAGCCTCCCAAAGTGCTGGGATTACAGGCGTGAGCCACCGTGCATGGCAGGCCTGTCTTTTGGAACTCAAAATGGTCAGGGGGAAAGCACATGATTCAGGGAAATGAACAGTGGAAGTTTCCAGGGGTAGAAGTTAGAACGGAGTGGCTGCCCTCACTCCCCTATCAGAACAGGGAGCAGCAGGTTGAGGTCTCGCCATCACCATTTGTTTGATGTTAGTGCCTTAAATAACTTCAGCCTTGTCTTTTGAAGCAACCAGTGCTAAAAATATAGAGCCTAATAGTTGCATTCACATCTATGCCAGACTAATGTACCTAGGAAATTGCATGGTATAAAGTAGGGTTTTACTGCTGTATATTAGAATCACCTGGGGAGCTATTAAAACCTACTCATACTCAGACCTTACCTCCAGGGACTCTGTTTTAATTGGCTGGGGATGGGCCCTGGGCATTGGGATGCTTTAAAGCTCCCCAGGTGATTCTAATGTGCAGTCAAGGCAGTCAAGGTTAAGAACCACTAGTATGATGAAAAGAACTTGACCCTTGGTGTTGGTCAGAACTAGGTTCAAATCCTGCCTCTGCCCCTTAATAACAGTGGAACGTCTTAAGCCTCAGTTTCTTTGTTCAGAAACTAGGGATAATAATACTACCTCTATTGGAGAGAAGGAGCTAATGTATATAAAGCACTTCACAATGCCTGGCATACAGGTATCCCAATCCCAACACTCACATGCTCCAACACACCATGCTCTTTTTTTCTTTTCTTTTCTTTTCTTTTCTTTTCTTTTCTTTTCTTCTTTCTTTCTCTCTTTCTCTCTTTCTTTCTTTCTTTCTTTCTTTCTTTCTTTCTTTCTTTCTTTCTCTTTCTTTCTTTCTTTTTTTTTTGGACAGGGTCTCACTCTGTCACCCAGGAAGGAGTGCAGTGGTGTGATCACAGCTCACTGCAGCCTCAACTTTCTAGGCTCAGGTGATTATCCCACCTCAGTCCTCCCAAGTAGCTGGGACTACAGGCATGCACCACCACGCCTGGCTAATTTTTTGCATTTTTTGTAGAGAAGGGGTTTCACCATGTTGCCCAGGCTGGTCTTAAACCCCTGGGCTTAAGCAATCCACTTGTCTCAGCCTCCCAAAGTGTTCGGATTGTAGACTTGAACTACTGTGCCGGGCTTATGCTACCTTTTAAACCATTAAGCTCCAGCAGTTTGTAGAAATTATCCATATTCAACTTTTTGTATAGATCAAAATACATAAGGTAGAAAAAAGCTAATGAGGAAGAACATTGAACTCGAGGTTCAACATTTAGATCTAGGCTTTCTGGCCCAGAGGAGTTTGATGGCATTTTACTTCAGTGACCGAAACTTTGAAAGTAGAACACAAAGTAGTCTGCATAGTTTACACATACTTGGTTGTGCAAAGACCAGATGAGAGAGACACAGTTTGATAACAGTTCATATGAAAAAGACTTTGGCGGCTGAGTGCGGTGGCTCATGCCTATAATCCCAGCACTTTGGGAGCCCAAGGTGGGCGGGTTGCTTGAGCCCAGGAGTTCGAGAGCAGTCTGGCCAACATGGCAAAACCCTATCTCTACAAAACATACAAAAATTAGCTGGCCATGGTGGCGAGCATCTGTAGTCCCAGGTACTCAAGAGGCTGAGGTGGGAGGATGGCTTGAGCCCGGGAGGTCGAGGCTGCAGTGAGCTGCGATAGCACCACTGCACTAAAGCCTGGGTGACAGAGTGAGATCCTGTCAAAAAAAAAAAAAAAAAAAAAAACCTTGGGAGTTTGAACTGACCACAGACGGGCTAAATAAGGGTGGACAGTGCCACGTGACTGCTAAAACAGCCAACATGTTTAAATAACATTTAAAGGAAGGAGGAAAGGAGTCCATCATGTCCCTGCACTGGCAAGGGAAGTTGTCTCCAGAGGCTGGCAGAGAGGCATCTATCAGAGAGACCTTGAGAAATCCAGAGGAGTGTCACATGGAGAACTCTTGAAGCAACCAGGGATTTATTTGGAGAGGCTATGTTGACTGTTATCAAATCCTTATCAAAGAGAAGGATTTGGCATTTTCTGTCTTGTCCCAGAGGGCAGGACTAAAACCAGTGGGTGGCAGTTATGAGCAGGTCTGTTTCAGCTTGTTGGACAACAGGTCCAAGGAGAGCACTTTGACAATTCTAAGAGACTACAATTCTAGAAGGGTCCTGTTTTAAACTCCTTGTTTATATGAACAACCCATGACCTAGTGAAGGCTCTGTTGCTGGCCAGCTATATAATCCTGGACACGTCACTTCCTCTCTCTGTGTTTTGGCAAAATGATGTTGGGCTAATTCATAACAAAGAACCCTTACAGCTTACTCAGTAAATATTTATTGAGCATGTATTGTGAGCTAGTCACTATACTAGACTTGCACTCAGATATTTCTTCCACCTAGGACATTTCAGTACTTTTTTATTTTTTTTATTTTTTATTGTATTTTATTGTTTTTTGAGACAAGGTCTCATTCTGTCACCTAGGCTGGAGTGCAGTCATGGCTCACTGCAGCCTCAACCTCTCAGGGTCAAGTGAGTCTCCCACTTCAGCCTCTGGAGTAGCTGGGAACACAGGCATGCACCACCACACCTGGCTAATTTAAATTTTTTGTTTGTTTGTTTGTTTGTTTGTTTGTTTTTTAGAGACTGGGTCTCACTATGCTGCCCAGGCTGGCCTCCAGTGACCCTCCTGCCTTGGCCTCAAGTGATCCTCCTGCCTCTGCCTCCCAAAGTACTGGGGTTATAGGTGTGAGCCACTGTGCCTAGCCCACTTCAGTGCTTATTCACAGCACTTCCTTTTTGTCAGGTGACCCTTTAAAACACATTTACAATGACCTCCCCAGAGCATCCCACTCTAAGCCCAGGGGTTGGGATTGAACTAAAGGGAGACACATAGGGTCCTTAGACCAGAACAATAGGAGACTGTGGAAACTTGCTTATATGGTTTGATGAGGCTGAATGGGAATTAAATCCAGATTTACCACTGAAGAAGATAAATGCTTCTTAGAATAGGGCTTTTTAAGAAACTTCATTATAAGCAGATTTTCTATATCAGATTTGTGGATCAAAAGCATTTTGACACGTGTGTGTGGGTATATATGTAGGCATATGGCAGGCTTTGGGAACCTCTGGTTCGGTGCCTAATTATATCCAGTCCTGGCAAAGTTCAGTCACAAGTTTGAGAATCTGTGGGAGGGGCACAGTTAAGGCTGGGCTTCCTAGTGGATGGCCAAGTACTTTGGGGCAACCATGAAGTATAATACTTTCTGCAGCAATCAGGTTTGAGGGGCCCTGACAAAAAAGACAAACCTGAAGTGGCCTGGATCTCTCTTTTAGTCCAGAGTTGGCAGAGTGAAAAGCCCCGCCCAGAGTGAGCCAAGGGTCAGCTTAAGGTTGGGGAGACTTTACCCATCTTGCCTCTGATTTCCCAGGAACCTTTAGCATTTTCTGATTTCTGTGTCTGTGCTTGGAACTGGGAGTGGATGTGTAGGTCTGCTCTCAGGAAGAACAGATATCCAGCTTGTGGTTTAGCTTCCTTTTTCTGGCTAAGAGATCCTTGGACAACCTCAGGGGCTAAGTCCCTTTGCCTGGGTATACCTGGGGACTCCAGCAAGCCCCTTCTAGGCACCCCACTGTTCTTCAGTACCTCATGGACCTGAGGTTTCCGCTTCTGATTATGCTGTCTCTCAATTGCCTGGACTTGGTCTGGTGGGGTCTGGGGCTTTCTGCTTTCCTTCTTACATTCAGATTTATCATACAACATCGGGCCTGGAGAAATGATGTCAGAATTAGCCCAGAAAGTCTGGAGTGTAGGCTGACTGTGCTTTGATGGACATACTCCTGGCCTGGGAGTCTGTTGACCTGAGGTCTAGCCTTAGCTCAAGCATTAACCAGCAGCAAAACTTTGGCCAAATCACTTCCCCTCTCTGGGCCTCAATTTCCCCCTCAATTAAATTAGGATGTTGGCATGGCTGATACTCTGATTTTCTGTTGCATCCTTTCCCCTTTTCCTTTTTTATATCTTTCTATCTCCTTTTCTCTACTACACCCATTTACCTTTCTACCTTCCATTTTGATTTCTTTCTCCCTTTCAGTCATCCCTTGTGGCCTAACCCCTGTCTTTCTCCCCACTCCCCACCCTTCTTTTTAAGGACAGGGTCTTGCTATGTTGCTCCAGCTGAAATGGAACTCCCGGCCTCAAGTAATCCTCCCACCTCAGCCTCCCGAGTACCTAGGACTACAGGCACATGCCACCAGCTATTTTTTTTTTATATATATATAGCAGAGACAGAGTTTCACCATGTTGGCCAGGCTGGTCTCAAACTCCTGACCTCAAGCAATCCACCCACCTCAGCCTCCCAAAGTGCTGGGATTACAGATGTGAGCCACCACACCTGGCCCCTTCTGTCTTTCTCAATTGCCTTCTATCTTATTTTTTCCTTCCAATTGTCTTTTTTTATACCCCCATTCCGACTCTCTTGCATGTCCTCCCTTTCTTGCTTAAATAGCCAGCAGAAGGAATGAAGCAAATTTGTAAAATAGAACACGTTTTTCAGTAAATTGTCATGGTCCACTTTCTTAATGATCCAGTGTGTGTTGCTGAGAGGTAATAATAGGGCCCCACACCTTGCCCTTCCTTGAGAAGCAGTCACTGCCAATAGAAGTCACTTTTGATAATCGCAAGTGACCTGTAATTGGCATTTGTTTAGTGGATCAGTGGCCACCACGGAGGAGAGGTTCCCCTGCCCTTAGCTGTAGCATCTGATCCACTTGGTTAGCTCAGGCTGTGGACAGGACATTGTTAAAAATAGCTGGCTTGGGTGGGGGCATCTTATGTGTTGCTTGGGACTTGATGAGTCTGTGAGGAGAGAAGGGAGTGCCTTGCTTGCTATAGAAAGTGCAGACCTTAGACACATGTCAGCCTTCAGGTTTTTCTAAGACAGAACCCCTTGTATAACAATCAGACTCTTCGGAATCCCTGAAACTGGGAAGGAAGGGCACTTGGACTTGGTTAAAAAAAAAATCCAAATTTCAGGTTATTTATTTATTTTTTGCAGGGGGTAAGGGGAGACAGGGTATGGCTCTGTCACCCAGGCTATAGTACAGTGGCATGATCATGGCTCACTGCAGCCTCAACCCTCAACCTCCCAGGCTCAAGTGATCTTCCCAGCTCAGCTTCCCAAGTAGTTGGGACTACAGGCATGTGCCACCTTGTCTGGCTAATTTTTAAATTTTTTTTTAGAGACAGGGTTTCACCTTGTTGCCCAGGTTGGTCTCAAAGTCCTGGCCTCAAATGATCCTCCTGCCCCGACCTCCTAAAGAACTGAGATTACAGGTGTGAGCCACTGCGCCTGACCTGTGAAGCTTTTTGACTGGAACTTCCACCTCTGTTTCCTGATGCCTCCTCTCTCCACTGAGCCCTTTCCCTCAAACCTCTTCTGTGTCCCATCCCAAAGGTTCTGAGACACTTAATAGTACTATCAAAATCAACTACTAATATTATCATCTTAGGGCCTGGCCTTCCTTTCCTACAGCTGTAGCCACTTGACATACCCCTCCACCTCAGCTCAGCTCACCTCACCTCAGCAACTATTTTTCTTTTCCTTTTTCCCCTTTTTTTTTTGAGATGAGAGTATTGTTATGTTGCCCAGGCTGGTCTCAAACTCTGGGACTCAAGCGGTCCTCCTGCCTCAGTCTCTCAAGTAGCTGGGACTACAGGTGTGTGCCACAATGTTGGGCTAGTGACTATTTTTCAAATATTCAACCAATGGGTATTGAGCATCTACTCTGTGCCAGACAGTAAATAAGGTGCTGGGGGAGATGAAGAAATGCTGATGCGAGCAATCATTAGTCTCTGCCTTTGAATTGTGCTCAACCTAGTTGTTGAGCTACACAAAGAGGGAATGAGAGGTAAGGCTGCAACAGACCAGGCTAAAGGGGCCATCTATGCGATCAACCTCCTCCCCAAGACTTCCTTCCCTCCACACCTGAGGCTTCTACTTCCATGAGATTAGCGAGATGTAAGCACATCTCACTAATCTATATTTCAGTTCACAACGCTTTCCTCAGTTCCAGGCCCTAGTGTTGCCAACTGTCTACTCAACATCTTCTGGATGTTCCAAAGGTCCGTCAAACTGAACGTGTCTCAAATCAAAGTCAGGATTTTCCTTCTAAAGCTCTTTCCTTTTGCATTGTCTATGTCATTTTAAAATTTCTTTTGAGATACAGATCACATTTCCTCTCTCCATTGTACCTTTTCTGACCCCTCTGGGCGGATTTATTGGCCCCCTTCTAGGTGTTTCCATTGCCTTTTATACAAGTCTTTATCACAGCACACTGCCCTGTGATTTTTTTTTTTTTTTTTTTTGAGACAGAGTGTCATTCTGTCACCCAGGCTGAGTGCAGTGGCACCATCTTGGCTAACTGCAACCTCCGCCTCCCGGGTTCAAGTGATTCTCCTGGCTCAGCCACCATGCCCGGCTAATTTTTGTATTTTTAGTAGTGGTGGGGTTTCACCATGTTGGCCAGGCTGGTGTCAAACTCCTGACCTCAAATGATCCACCTGCCTCGGCCTCCCACAGTGCTGGGATTACAGGCATGAGCCACCACTCCTGGGTGTTATTTTTTTCTTAATGCAGCCTCCCCCACTGTACTGTGAGCTCCTTCAGGGCAGGGCCTGTATACTTTATCATTATTGTACCCTCATACTGAATATTGCATGACATGTAACAGGAGGTGAGGACATTCTAGCTGAACTAAATGGAACTGAGTGACCACCTCTGTCCAGGAAAATTCAATCCAGGTTCACAGAGATTATATTTATACTGGATATTGGAGATGAAACATTTGTTAGTTGTTGGAGCAGTGGGACAGGAAGGGAACAAGGGAAGTCTATTAGGCCATTCTTGCATTGCTATAAGGAAATACCAGAGACTGGGTGATTTATAAATAAAAGATGTTTAATTGGCTCATAGTTCTGCAAGCTTTATAGGAAGCATAATGCTGACATCTGTTCAGCTTCTGGGGAGGCTTCAGGAAGCTTACAATCATGGTGGAAGGCAAAGTGGGTGCAGGCATGTTACTTGGCCAGGGCAGAAGCAAGAGAGTGGATAGGGAGGTGCCACACACTTTTAAACGACCAGATCTTGTGTGAACTCAGAGCGAGAGCTCACTTGTCACCAAGTGGATGGCCCAAGCCATTCATAAGGAATCTGCCCCCATGATCCAATCACCTCCAACACTGGGGATTACACTGCAACATGAGATATGGGCGGGGACAAATATTCAAACTATATCGGGAAGGCTGGCTCTTCCTAGACAGATGGAACAAGAGCATGAGCAAAGGGTCAGAGGGCAACAAAGTTTAGTATATTCTCAGCATGGCAGGTAGTTTAACATGGCTGGAAGCACTAGAAAAGAGTCTGGAAGAGTAGGTATGGGCCCGATCATGAAGGGCCTTCAATACTTGCCTATGAGTTTAGATTTGGCCAGTAGGTATAGTCAAAGGGGAATCATCGAAGGGTTTCAAAAATGTGTACAACATAATCAGCGCTATGCTTCTGGAAGGTTATCCTGTTGTCAGTATAGAGAATAGATTTCAGGACCAAGGGAGACAGTTAGGAGACAGCGTTCCTGCTATCTCTTCCCTGGTCCATGCCCTCATTATCTCTCACCTAGACAACTATGAGACTCTCCTAATTGGTCTTGTAGTTGTCTAGACAACTATGAGACTCTCCTAATTGGTCTTGTAGTTGTCTAGGTGAGAGATAATGAGGGCATGGACCAGGGAAGAGATAGCAGGCATGGAGAAAAGTGAAAGTGAGCCCAGAAACAGGGTCTCTACCTCCCTACATGACCTAGGAAGTCAAGCACTTGGGCAAGTTGCAAATATTTTATGACCGTGCTCTATTTGAGTGTTTTATTGCCTAGAGTGCTAGGCCAGAAAATAATTCAATGTTTTAAGCCTTTGTTGGGCCTATGGTCTATTTGGAAACATCCAAAGCAGAATCTATAGGCTGTTGTGACTGACTAGAAATATGGAATGAGGAGCCAAAGAAGATTCCAGAGTTTGGGGCCTGTGTGACTGAGTAGGAGAGGAGTGGGTCTGGACTTGTGGGAGTGGGGTAAGTACTGTCTGGGCACATTGATTGTGTGAGGTGCTGTGAGACACCCAAGCGGAGCCATCTGGGAGGCAACTGGATATATGGGCCCGGAGCCCAGGAAAATGATCTGAAGATGAAGATCTGGGAGTTGCCAACTTGGAGACAGAGATGAAGCCATGGGGAAGATGAGATCACCTGGAGACAGTGTGTGAAGTGAGGACAAAAAACCACTTAGGAGAGGACTCCAAGGGAGATCAAATTTGAGGGGTGAGCAGAGTACAAAGAGCCCATGAAGGAGACTAAGAAGAAGGGAAGTAAGAAGATGGGGTGGGCAAGAGAGTGGTAAGAGAAAAACAAGGAGACAGAGAGGAGTTTCATGAAGAAATAGGGCTACTCCAAAGAAGAGATGCAAATGGCCAAAAAGCATGGGAAAAGATGCTCAACATTATAAGTCATTAGGGAAATGCAAATCAAAACCATAATGCCACACTACTTCACACTCACTAGGATGGCTAGAACTTTTAAAATGGAAAATAACAAGTGTTAGGCTGTGTGCTATGACACATGGCTGTAATCCCAGCACTTTGTGAGGTTGAGGCGGGTGGATCACTTGAGCCCAAGAGTTCAAGACCAGCCTAGGCAACATGGCACAACCCCGTCTCTACTAAAAATACAAAAACTAGTTGTGCATAGTGGTGCATGCCTGTAGTCCCAGATACCCAGAAGGCTGAGGTGGGAGGATAACTTGGGCCTGGGAAGTCAAGGCTGCAGTGAGTTTGATTGCACCACTGCACTCCAGCCTGGGTGACAGAGCAAGACCCTGTCTCAAAAAACGAAACAAACAAACCAACCAAACAAACAAAATAAACAAGTGTTGGCCAAGATGTGGAGAAACTGGAACCCTCATACATTGCTGGTGGGAGTGTGAAGTGGTGTAGTCACCACAGAAAACAATTTGGTGGTTCCTCAATAAGTTAAACATAGAATTACCAAGCGACCTTGCAATTCTTCTCCTAGGCATATACCCAACAGTGCTTAAAACAGGTGTTCAAACAAAAATGTGTATATAAATATTCATAGCAGCACTGTTCCCAATATCCAAAAGATGGAAGCAACCCAAGTATTCATCAACAGATGAATGGATAAACAACATTTATATCCATATAATAGAATATTATTCAGCCATACAAAGAATGAAGTACTGATACATCCTACAGCATGGACGAACCTTGTTTTTATTTATTTTTTATGAGTCAGAGCCTCACTCTGTCGCCCAGGCTGGAGTGCAGTGGTACAATCTGGGCTCACTGCCACCTCCGTCTCCCAGGTTCAAGTGGTTCTCCTGCCTCAGCTGCCCGAGTAGCTGGGATTACAGGTGCCCACCACCATGCCCAGCTAATTTTTGTATTTTTAGTAGAGACTAGGTTTCACCATGTTGGCCAGGCTGGTCTCGAACTCCTGCCCTCAAATGATCCACCCTCCTCGGCCTCCCAAAGTGCTAGGATTACAGGCATTAGCCACCCACCTGGCCCAGTGTGGATGAACTTTGAAAACATTATCCCTAAGTGAAAAAAGTCAGACACGAAATGTTACATGTCATATGACTCCATTAATATGAAATATCCAGAATAGTCAAATCCATAAAGACAGAAAGCAGATTAATAGTTGGCAAAGTGATGGGGGTCAGGGGCCAATGGGGAGCAACTACTAACAGGTACAGAGTTTCTCATAGGGGTTGGCAAAAAGGTTCTAGACTTAATGCTGATGGTTTTACAACCTGGTCAATATACAAAAAAAACACTGAATTGTATATACTAAAAGGTTTAATAGTATGGCATGTGAGTTATACCTCAATAAAGCTGTTAGCAAAAAAATACATAAATAAAAGAATGATGCCTTGATTGGGTTTTGTTAGGAAGTGGACGGAGGTGCCATTTACTGGGGCAGTACAGATGGTAGGCAAGGTGGAAATAAATAGAAGTGAACAGATCCATTCAACAGGTCAAGTTTGAGGTGCCTGTTAGTGGAGATATCAATGAGGAAAAAAGAAGAAAGGAGCCTAAGATATTTTTTTCTGGGGTGCTAGGAGAACCTGGAGAGACCCTGGCTGCTTAGCATGAGACTAGCAGAAGGCTGATGGGGCTGGCATTTATTGGAGCAACTGGAGTCATAAGTGGTTAGGAGGGGCATGAGGAGATGAAGTAGGTGCTGCACAGTTATGAAGGACAGGGCCTCGAGATGAGCCCTTTACTGGGTCTCTTGGACTAGAGTCCATTGTCACATGGGTCTACATACAGGTTTTGTACTATGGTCATTCCACGGACATTCAAAAACAGCTTCTGGTTCTTTATAGAACTCAGGATACATCAGATGGGGAGGGTTGGACCTAGGACTTGTTTTTCATGTCACACATCGCTGGTGAGTAGTGACATCACTCAGAAATGGATGCAGAGTCTTCTTTAATACAAGTGCTATTTCTCTTCCTGAATGATCATCCTTTCAGCTGATATCTATGGGGACCATGTCCCCACCACAGCAGCCATCTCCTTTCCTTCTGCATAACCTGGACTAGAGTCTCTGTCTATGTCTCTTTACCAGGCGGATAGCTCCTGGTAAAGGCATTGACTCGTGTCCACCCATAACCTTTTCTGGAAGGACAGTAGTAGTGGTTCATCTCAGCAGGGCCTGCAACCTCAGGAAGAGCACCTGCATATGGGATGACTATCTAGTCCCTAACCACAGGGCCGGGGCAAATGAAAAAAGAATGCCAAACTTATCAGTGGTGCTGGAACCTGGATTGAATGGGACCAATGAGGTAGCAATGGGTAGGTCTTATATAACGGAATCCAGGAGTCACTACCAGCAGAGCAATACCTGCCCTAAACACAACAGGGTGAGTGTGAGGTCTGAATCAGGATGAGAGACAGGAGTTCAGGAGGGTAGGGACCATCTGGGAAATGGAGTGGTGATAGGAGAAAGTGGTGGAGCCCCAGATCTGGGCTGAGTACAGTGGTGGAGGGCCCGGGGCTCACTGGTGTTGGGTACTGGCAATGTGGAAAAATAGCTGGCTGGTGTGCTTACAAGTTCACAGCCAGGTGATGCAGGAAGTGCCTGATGTGATTAGGTGGGGACAGAGGCCCTAGGCAGTTCCCTGAAATGAAGTCTAAAAGGCATGCGAACATATTCAGCCTGTGGGCTTGTAGACATCCTAGTACAAATGGCCAATGAAGTGGTTAGGGACAGAGTGTAGAGCCCAAGGTACAGATCAGAAGTGGAGGGAGAAGCCGTGGGAGTGGATGAGCTCACCAGGGAGAGCGGGCAGAGGAGACCCTAAGAGGGCTTACATCTGAACCCTGGATACTTAAGGGGCTGGCAGAGAAAATGTGGCAGGCAAAGGAGACTGAGTGGCAGGAGGAATGAGGAGGGACAGTGACAGAGTGTCAGCAGTGACAAAGTTGACTAGGATGAATGAAAAGAGGCCTTTCCATTGGCAGTACAGGAAGTGGTCTGTATTCCTGGGTTAGAGGGCAGGCAGGAGTCAGGAGAGGGAGCCTGCTTCCTCTCCATGTTCACGGGGAGTTGAAGAAGCTGTAGCTCAGTAGGTCAGCCCATCTCCTTGCTAGGCCCTTGTGGATCATTCTTGTGACCCAATCTCCTCCTCACACTGGGCTCTAGTCACTGACTTCTTGCAATCCTGGTCTTTAGCTCACTGCTTGCTGAGGGGTCTGTGCATACTGCTGGCTCCCAGAGAGCCTTGTGCCATATTGGCTCACAGCTGGCTGGGCCACTCTGATACCAGCTACCTGCTGGGGTCTGAACTGGAAGCCATAGAGCATCTCTTGGACCTCTATGATGTCCTTTAGTGTGGTGGGACTTCTTTCCATTGCTATGTATTTTTCCTCCCTCATCTCTCCTTGCCCAATGCTCTTTCCTGCCTCCCTCCCTCCCTTCCTCCCTCCCTTCCATCCTTTCTTCCTTCCTTCTTTCCTTCCTTCCTTCCTTCCTTCTGTACCTCCCTCCCTTCCTCCCTCCTTTTCTCCCTCCATTCTCCCTTCCCTCCTTCCTTCCTTCTCTGTTTTCTTCTTTCTTTCCTTTCTTCCTAGAACAAATACTTGTTTCATTTTCTCTATTCATTGTAATATTTTTATTAAAAAATAAAACACAGATCCAGAAAACCACATAAAATTTAAAAATATATGGCTCAATGAGTTACTACAAGACAAATACCCTTTTAACTACCACCCAGGAATGAGGTAAAACTTTGCCAGCCACCCCAGAAGTCCTTCCATGTCCCGCATTCCAATTATAGCCCTCCCCTCCTCTAAACATAACCACCAGAGTCTTCCTTTGTATACAGATGGAAACAGAGTTCTCATTTATTGAGCAATTACTTTCTGCCAGGACTGTTCTAAGCATGCTTCATGTGTGTTATTTCATTTAATCCTCGCAATAATCCAATGAATTCGGTAGTATTATCCCCATTTTAGAGATGCAGGAGTTGAACTTCAGAAAAGTGTGGAACTTTGTCCAAGGTCACATGATGTGGAAGCCAGGACTACAACCCTGATGTATCTGACGTCCAATCCTGTGCTTTCTCCTTTCATCCTACTATGTGCCACACCTCCCAGCTGAGCTCAAAATAATGCCCCCTGCCTGCCTGCCTGCCTGCCTGCTGCTTGCCTGATTTTGTGAGGAACTAAATCCAATGGCCTCTCTAGCAGGGAAATGGTAGAGAGAGAGAAAGAGAGAGGCAGGGAGAGGGAGAGAGAGATCATCAACACATTTGCAACTGCCTATATTTCCTCCTTGTCATCTGCTGCTAACATCCCGCCATTACCCAATGGGAAAATAAACAGTGAATGGCCACACCAGTTAAACTGTTTAATTACGTAGGTTGGGAAGAATGACATTTGTGTACATTCCCAGAAGACACGGATTAAAGAAATGACCTTTCCCTTGGTGTGAAACTCATTTGTTGTGTATTAGAACTTGGATAGCTTCAGTGGGGCCAGGCATTTTGTTGCCTCCATGTTTATGTCTAAGACTGGAGATGAGGCTGAATGAAGCTCCTTCTCCAACTGGATTGATTTGTATATTAGTGTTTTCTAAAACATTGCCATCTGAAATACATTTCCAGAGAAGTATCTCTTCCTGTAGTCATTCCTGGTATTTTGTGGATTTATTTGAATGTAAATGTATCTGAAACATCAAAGGGATAAGAAAAGCGATCTTTGCTATGAGTCACAGAGTGGGAAAAAAATTGCCCACAGATCAGTAATATCTATTCAAAAGACACAGGAGCATAATTTATGGGACGGGTGATCTTTTTATAATTAAAAAACATTTGGAACCAGAAAAAAAGTCATGGAACTAAATGTCAGGTGTCACATTGTGAGAACTGTATTAATTACTAATTAGTAAACTTCATTAATTCTTAATTAACTTCATTATAATGTTTCTCTGGAGTAGCATTTGGGCTGTTAGTTAAAGAACAAACATATTCAGATTGTATTCTTCCCCCATCAGTGTTATTTTGAAATGTATCAGGGGTATTTCCATAATAGTCAAAACGTTTGAAACATTTTAAAAGTGCACGTATGAACTCAATTTCTCTCTATTTATTTAGGTACTGGGAACTCTTAACTGATTTTTCCTGCCTGAATACAGAAAAATCAGTTAAAATTGGTTATGTCCATGAGGAAAGATTTATTGTTCCAATACACACCCTTGAATTTTAAAGAAAGCATGTGGCTCCCCAAACCTCAGGTTTCAGGGGGAGAAATAATGATGACCAAACATAATGTGTATCTGAAGCTTCAGTGAACTCCACCAGCTGCCACCAAAGACACAAAGGGCCACAATTTTCAGTGTGATAAGTTTGGGACTGTGGTTTGGATTTTTTTTTAATGAAGTGCTTTTCGGAGGGATAAAAATCACCAAAGAAAATCTATATGATGTGGCATTTAAAGAAAGAAAAACACCAATAGATTCCCCATAGATGGCAACAGTGGATTTCGAGTGAAATAAGATCAGATGTTTATTTTCAAGAGGATCTAACTCTGAACAAAATATACTCTATTTGATTAACAGAAACTTTCTTAGACAACAAAATCACTAGCTGTATAAACATGCCAGGAGCTGTTCATCTGCTTCTAACAGGAACCCTGTTACCTCAGCTGAGGGGAATGCCATTAAGTTGTAACCAAAAAAATCTGAGACTTCTTAGGCTCTGCTTTCTTGCCTGGTGCCCGCCCCCACCCTCCTTGGTTCCCCCTCCACCTCCAATCCATGTCGTCCTGGACACAGCGCTGGCCTAAGGTAGCCCCACCTGCCAATATCAGCAGGAATTGGACGGGACCAGGCCAGATCCTATTACTTCTCTTGATTGTTAAAGTCCGGATGTTCCCCCTTGGATAATGACTTCAGAGCCACCCTATTGATCCATTGCCCAACATTGAGCTCTCTGCGAGAATCTCAAAACTCTTTTTTTCTTAGCGCTTTCTCGTCTCCCAAGTTGGGCTGGAGAGGGACAGAGTCATTTTCCCACACATTCCCAGCTGAGCCCCCTTTCTCTCGCAGGACTGCTTCAGTTCTGTTATTCTTGGCTGGCCACAGAAAACTCAAATCCACCTTTTTATTATATTGGCTTCCAGTTGCTCTGTTGCAGTTATACTTTCCAGGGTAAACTAGCACCATTGGTACTGTGAATTGGGTAGCGGTAAAAACACACAAGGAAGGTGCAAATTTGGTCATGTTTTATTCAAATAGGTCTGCTTGAAGGTTCATTTTCCTCCCCTATGAGGCCTGACTGGTACTTTTCAAGGTTACCAATGTCTAGGACTTAGAACTCTGCCCTGAGTGTCAGTTACTTATAGGACAGCCTCCATTACTCAAGAGAGCCAAGAGCCAGGAAGCACTTTCGCCTCTCATGTTTGAAGATCACTGGGCCTATGACAGTAGTAGGAGTGTGAACAGCTATGAAGACTGCTAAATAGAGTTTCGTGTTGAAATAGAATTTCACAACAGAGTTCATCGGACTCATGTAACAGTTTGCATACTTGTTTCTACGGGGCATGCTAACCAAGAATAAATGATGGATCGTTATGGAAATGGTGGTGACTAGTCAGATTTCTATATAGTCAACACAGTTATTCTAGGAAGAAAACTCTGGAAAGGGAGGAGGAAGGAGGATTTGTCATCCTTAGTCCTTTTCTGCTGGAGTAGGTCAGTCATTGCCCTGGTGACATCCTACAACAGTTTTCTATCAGGATAACTGAAGCTAGGGATGCCCCTGTCTGATCTAGGGCCTGTGCTGCCTTAAATCAAGTAGTCCCAGGACCCCATGATTGCTTCTAATCCAAGGGGACCAGTGAGCCTGTCAATAGGTGGTCCTGGAGTGTCTGCCAGACAGTGACACTGTCAAATATGCAGGTCCTCCTGGATCCTCATCTTGGGGTCTTCAGAGGGGTCTCAGAAGGGCTTCTTGTTGTACACACTTACTTTTTGCCTCATCTTCCCTCTTTCCAGCCAGAGGCAGGGACTGGGTTGGAAGTGAGATTTTGAAGGATCCTTATCCTTTGTCTTCCTCCATCCCAACCTCCCAGGGTTGCATTCTATGAGGGGGTGGAACAGGCTGAGTGCTACAACTTACGCAGCAGTCCTCCACCTTGGCTGCACACCACAATCATCTAGGCAGAGAGCTTTAAAAAATACTGATACTTGGCCAGGTGCAGTGGCTCATGCCTGTAATCCCAGCACTTTGGCAGGCTGAGGTGGGCGCATCCCTTGAGGTCAGGAGTTTGAGACCAGCCTGGCCAACATGGTGAAACCCAGTTTCTACTAAAAATACAAAAATTAGCCAGGCGTCGTTCTGGGCACCTGTAATCCCAGCTACTTGAGAGGCTGAGGCAGGAGACTTGCTGGAACCTGTGAGGCTGAGATTGCAGTGAGTCGAGATGATGCCACTGCACTCCAGCCTGGGCAACAGGACGAGACTCTGTCCCAAAACAACAACCACAACAACAACAACAGCAACAACAACAACAAACTGATACCTGAATCCCATCCCCAGACCTAATTGGTCTTGGTTGCAGCTTTCTTATGGGGAATTTTAAAAGCTCCCCAGGTGATAGTAAGATGTACCCAAGGCCAAGAGGGAGAGTTTGTAGTTAATAAATAAGTTTATGAAAAATACTTTCAGGCTAACATTTTCTGAACCACCTGCCAGGAAGATTTTGAAAGCATCAGGGCCCAAGTCTCATGCCATCCACACTTGCCAATGAGTCTGCTGGGAAGTCTCAATCCTGTCACAAAGCATTTCATCACTTTGGTGTCCTCTGTAAATTTGGAATTTCTGTGACTTGAGATTAAGTAATCCACTTTTGTCTCTGGGACTCCCCAGGATTCCTGGGCCCCAAAGTCTCATCCAGGGAAGCAAAGCCTGTGTTGGCCCTATTGGTCTCCCCTGTTTGGTATGTCACAAAGGAAATAGACTTTACCTTAGGAGCCAGGTGAAGTCCCCCGCTAAGGAGGGGCCTTGCCTGAAGTTGAGGAGCATCCCTCTTATGTTAGTTTCCTGTGGCTGCTGTAACAAATTACTACAAATTTGGTGGCTTTAAAACCACTGGAATTTATTGTCTTATAGTGCTGGAGGCCAGAAATCCAAAATCAGTATTACTGATCCAAAATCAATGTGTTGGGAGGGCTGCCCTCCCTCTGGAAGCTCTAGGTACACATCCCTTCCTTGCCTCTTCCAGCTCTGGAGGTTGCCAGCATGCCTTGATTTGTGGCCATGTCACTCCAATGTCTGCCTCTATGGTCACATTGCCTTCTCTTCTGTCTGTGTCAAATCTTCCTTTTATAGGGACACTTGTAATTGCATTGAGGGTCTACCCAGATCATACAGGATAATCTTCTCATTGCAAGAGCCTTAATTTAATCACCTCTGCAAAGTTCCTAGTTCAATATAACATGATAGTCACAGGTTCTGGGGATTAAGGAGGTAGATATCTTTTGGAGTGGGACATATTTCAGCATAGTACACCTCCTGTCATGCCACTGACAGACCTGATCAAGGGTTCCTTGCTGCCCCCTACGTATTCCCACTGCGCATTCCTTCTAATACTCACACCCACAGCCCCTGTTCCCAAGCAAGCCCATGTCTCTAACTCAGCTTCCCCAAGGTCAGTCCATTGCAGTGAGAGAGGCAAGACTTTGGGCATGAAAATTTAGGATTTCCTGGGACTGCCAACTCTGTAGTTTTTACCAAAAGATTTCTCTCTTTGTAGCAAAAATGATGGGATCAGTATCAAACATTCAGTGGAAACACTTTTACTTTTTTTTTTTTTTCACTTTATAGTGCGTACGTTGACCACTATAGTGCACTGGGAAATTGTTTTGCAAAATGATTTTTTCTTTAATTTTGGCTCCCTTATAGCCATGAATGTATGTTTTCAAAAGCCAAACATTAATATCACATTTAATCTGTTATCATTTCCAAATCACCAGACGGACAAGATAGCACCTATTCCTTGGCTAAACTGCAAAACTCATGATAACATCCAAGATGCAAACTTAACAATTCAGAGAGCTGCTTTTACACATTCTTGACTCTGGCCTTGTTTCTGGATAAATGAAGAAGAGGAGTTATTTCAGAATGCCATCTTACTGTGTTGGGTGGGGCTTGGTAAGAGATTGAACCAAGGCCTCTCTCTTATTTTGAAAACTTGAAGTTACTGACGCCACTTGCCATACGTGTGGCGGCTGGCAGCTCATCCACATATTTACCCAACCACCCAATTTGCCTGGGCAGAACAGGAGGAAAAGTAACGCCCACTTTGGGAAGGAAAACTGTGTCCCACATTTAGAAGTTGCCTTTGCAGATTAGGAGCCCAGGCCTACAGAAGCTGCCCTCTGTGTTCTGCTTTCCCATAAGGACAATGCAGAGGGCTCCCAGAACATCAGTTTGAACCCTGTACTCACTGAGGCAGACAGGGTCAGGTCTGTAGTATGGAGGTTCAGGGAATGTGAAAGACAGAATGAACATCAGACAACACCTAGTTCAGATTTGCAGACTGGTGGTTCCTCAGGGGGAATAATCATGCAGATGTTTTGTTTGGGCCGAATTGTTTTGTTTTGTTTTGTTTTTGTTTTTGTTTTGAGATGGAGTCTCACTCTGTTGCCCAGGCTGAAGTGCACTTTTTGGCTCTTATGTATAATTTAATGGACATTCATGTACAAGATTTTTTTTTTCTTTTTTTAGGTATTTACTTGGTTTTGTTAAACTGCTTTACTTAGATATAGTTCACATATCATACAATTCACCCATTGAAAGTGTACTATTCAGTGGTTTGGGGGCATATTCCATTATTAATTTTAAAAGCATTGTATGAAAATACATATAACATAAAACTTGCCATTTTAACCACTTTCTAAATGCAAAATTTAGTGTCATTAATTACACAATGTTGTGCAACCATCACCACTATCTGTTTCCAAAACTATTTCATCATCTGAAATAGAAACTCTATAACTCATTTAGGAATAACTCCCTGTTCTCCCCTCCCTGGAGCCCGTGGTAACCTCTAATCCACTTTCTGTCTCTATGAATTTGCCTACTCTAGATATTTCATAAATGTGGAATCATAGACTATTTGACCTTTCACGTTTGGCTTCCTTCATTTGCAAAATGCGTTTTTTAATTATTGAGTTTTTCCCCTCTTATTTTTAGTTGATATGTAATAATTGTACATATTTAATGGGATACAGAGTGATGTTTCGATATGTGTATGTAATGTGTAATTAGCAAATGAGGGTAATTGGCTCATCCATCATCTCAAACATTTATTATTTCTTTGTGTTGTGAACATTCAAAATCTTCTCTTTCACTTAGCATAGTATTTTCAATGTCCATCAATGTTGTAGCATGTATCCAAACTTCCTGTTTATGGCTAAATAATATTTCATTGTATGGATATACTATATTTTGTTTATTTATCTGTTGATGGACACTTGGGTTGTTTCTGCCTTTCAGCTATTGTGAATAATGCTGCAATGAACACTGATGGACAAGTATCTGGTCAAGTCCCTGCTTTCAGTTTTTTTGAGTATATACCTAGGAGTTGAATTGTTGGGTCAAATGATATCTCTATGTTTAACATTTTGAGAACAGCCAGACTGTTTTCCAAAGCAGCTGCACAATTTTAGATTCCCAGCAGCAATGTAGGAGAGTTCCAATTTCTTTACACCGTCATGATCATATATTTTCCAATATTTGTATTATAGCAATTTGAGTGAGGGTGAAGTGGTGTCTTATTGTGATTTTGATTTGTGTTTCCCTAATGGCTAATGGTGGTGTTGAGCATCTTTTTATGTGCTTATTGGGTATATGTGTATGTGTGTGTGTATATATATATGTGAATATATATGCAATGAATATATGTATATATATTCATTCTTTGGTAAATGACTATTCAGATCCTTTGCCCATTATAATTGGCTTATTTCTTTTCATTATCACATTGTAAGAATTATTTATGTATTCCAGATACATGTTTCTTATCAGACATTTTATTTTAAAATATATTTTTGCATTCTGTGATTTATCTTTTCATTTTCTTCTGGTATTCTTTGAAGCACAAACTCTTTAATTTTGGTGATGTCTAATTTATCTATATTTTTGTTATAGTTGCTTGTACTTTTGGTGTTATATCTAAGTACCCATTGCCAAATCCAATGTCATAAAAATTCACCCTTATGTTTTTTTCTAAGAATGTTATAGTTTTAGCTCTCACATTTAAGTCTTTGACCAATTTTGAGTTAATTTTTGTGTATGGTGTGAGGTAGGGGTACAATTTTCTTCTTTTGCATGTAGATATCCAGATGTGTCAGCATCATTTGTTGAAGGGACTATTCTTTCCTCATTGAATGATCTTGACTCTCTTGTACAAAAAAATCAACTGACTCAAGGAGCAGGGGTTCATTTCTGGACTCAGTTCTGTTTGATTGATCTATATGTCAATGCAATGCCAATACCATGCTATCTTGATCTTGATTACTCTTGCTTTGTAGTTAAGTTTTAAAATGGGAAGATGCGATTCCTCCAACTTTGTTCTTCTTTCAATATTGTTTGAGCTATTATATGTCCTTTGCATTACCATATGAATTTTAGGATCGGCTTGTCAATTTCTGCAAAGGAAACCAGCTGGGATTTTGATAGAAATTGTGTTGAATCTGCAGATAAATTTGGAGAGCATTACCATCTTTACCCCTTCAGGCTTTTTGAAAAGCAGCAGGCTCTGCTAACTTCCCCATCAGTGCCAGGTATCTAAGGTGGCAGGTGCTATAATATCCAGATAAGCCAATTACTTGTCCATTACTTTAATTTCACATTACTCCTAGATTGCACTGTTCAGTACAGAGGCCACTGGCCATGTGTGACTGCTGAGCACTTGAAATCTGGCTAGTCCAAACTGAGATTATGCATTGAAAGACACACTGATTTCAGGCCGGGCGCAGTGGCTCACACCTGTAATCCCAGCACTTTGGGAGGCCAAGGTGGGCAGATCACCTGAGGTTGGGAGTTCGAGACCAGCCTGACCAACATGGAGAAATCCCGTGTCTATTAAAAATATAAAATTAGCCGGGCGTGGTAGCACATGTCTGTAATTCCAGCTACTCAGGAGGCTGAGGCAGGAGAATCATTTGAACCTGGGAGGCAGAGGTTGCAGTGAGCAAAGATCATGCCATTGCACTCCAGCCTGGGCAACAAGAGCAAAACTCCATCTCAAAAAGATAAAAAAAATAAAAAAAAATAAAGACACACCGGATTTCAAAGATTTGACACAAAAATATAAATGGAAAATATCTCAATAATTTAACCATATGTTGAAATGATAATATTTTAGATATGCTGGTTTAAGTAAAATATATTTACAAATTATTTTACCTATTTCTTTTTACTTTTACTTTTTTTTTTGAGACAAGGTCTTCCTCTGTTGCCCAGACTGGATGGAGTACAGTGGCATGATCATAGCTCACTGCAGCCTCAACCTTCTGGGCTCAAGTGATCCTCCCACCTCAGCCTCCTGAGTAGCTGAGACTCACAGGCATGTGCCATAATGCCTGGCTAATTTTTTTTTCTTTTTTTTTATAGAAAGAGGGTTTCATTATGTTGCCCAAACTGGTCTTGAACTCCTGGACTCAAGTGATCCTCTTGCTTTGGTCTCCCAAATGTTGGAATTACAGGAGTGAACCTGGCACTTTTTTTTTTAAGTGGCTACTAGAACATTCAAAATATCTATGTGGTTTATATTATATTTCTGTTGGTCATCACTGGTCTAGGGATTCTTAACATGGAGTCAACCTAGAAGGCAATGGTATAAGATTTAGGATGTCCTGGAATCCACTGAACATTTGGCAAAATATTTGTGTGTGTGTGTGTGTATGTGTGTAAGTTATCTATTACTGTGTAACAAATTACACCAAAATGTAGCAGCTTAAAAATATTTATTATCACATGGATCTGTGGGTCAGGAATGTGGGTGTCACTTAACAGGTGCCTCAGGTCAGGGTGTCTCACTGGTTGCAATCAAGTGTTGGCTAGGGCTGCATTTATCTCAGGGCTTGATTGAAGGTAGTTCTGCCTTTACACTCACTCACATGGCTATTGATAAGTTTCAGTTTCTTGCTAGCTAATAGACAGAGACATACTTTTTTTGCTATGTGAGCTTCTCCACAGTGCAGCACACAACATGGCAGCTAACTACACTCAACAGTGAGTGAGCAAGAGAGCAGGGAGAGTGAGCAAGATGGAAGCCAGTCTTTTATTTTATTTTTATTTATTTATTTATTTTTTTATTTGAGATGGAGTCTCCCTCTGTTGCCCAGGCTGGAGTGCAGTGGCACGGTCTCGGCTCACCGCAACCTCTGTCTCCTGGGTTCAAGGCATTCTCCTGCTTCAGCCTCCCAAGTAGCTGGGACTACAGATGCATGCCACCATGCCCAGCTAATTTTTTTTAATTTTTTGTAGAGATGGGGTTTCACCATGTTGCCCAGGCTGGTCTCAAACTCCTGGGCTCAATAAATCCACCCCACCCACCTTGGCCTTCCAAAGTTCTGGACTTACAGGTGTGAGCCATTGTGCCCAGCCAGTCTTTTTTTTTTTTAAATTGTGGGACACACATAAGGAAGCCAGAGTCTTTTTGTAAACCAATCTCATTACTTTTGCTGCATCCCATTCATTAGAAACAAGTCACTAGGTCCAGTTTACATTTAAGGGGAAGGGATTACACGAGGATGTGAATGCCAAAGGACCATTGCAAGCCATCATAGAGGCTGCTGACCACAGTGTATGTGTGCATTTTTTTCTAGAGAGACCTAAGCTTTCATCTGATTCTCAGAGAAGTCTATCTCTCAACCAAAAAAAAAAACCAAAAAAACCAAAAAAAAAACCAAAAACTTTTAGAACTGGTTTGGGGGGAATTAAAATGGAGGTTTTGACTAAGGGAGAGATTTCCTTGCCAAATTTCAGTGCTATATACAATATCTAATCACTTGGTATCAACTTAAAAAAAACATGGGAAGGGGTCCATAAAGATAAAAACTCCATGTATACATTTTTTTTTTTTTTGAGACAGAGTCTCGCTCTGTTGCCCAAGCTGGTATGGAGTGACACAGCCTCAGCTCACTGCAACCTCCGCCTCCTGGGTTCAAGTGATCTTCTGCCTCAGTCTCCCAAGTAGCTGGGATTACAGGCATGCACCAGCATGCTCAGCTAATTTTTTTTTTTTTTTTTTTTAATTTTTAGTGGAGACAGGGTTTTACCATGTTGGCCAGACTGGTCTCGGACTCCTGACCTCAGGTGATCCGCCCACCTTGTCAATATATACTTGAGTGAAATAATCACAAGATTTCTCCCTGTAATCTCTCAGGCATGGTTCTCTATACTTGAGGAGCCACCAGGGCCTTGGGAGAAGGTGTACTGAGGCCCAGGTTAGACCAAGTCTTTGTGATCCCACCCCTTGGTATTGCTGGAGTTACAGTTTGCATTCCTACTGTAGGGAGTGTGTGAGTTTCTCCTCATTCATACTTCCCTGCCATTGTCAACCTTTCTCACCAGTTCTAAGAACTAAGTGTGTGAACTTCTCCTAGAGCTGAGACTTCCAGAGAAGGGGCTTGGCCAGGCCTAAGTAATAGGTATGGATAAAAGGCAATGCCCAGCCTCCTTATGTTACCAGCAAGTAACATAAGTAGGAAAAGTGAAAAGAATAATATATTAGGCCAGATATGCTGTTATTCTTGGAAAACGGTTTCTGGAATCGGTGGCTGAATTCTGCCTCCCTATAATGAAGGGCTGAGCAGATTTGTGAGAGGCAGATCTCTGGATAATTGCATTGCTCAGCTCCCGGGGGAGAGGCCTGTGTGTAAGTTACTGCAGAAGGAAATGACCATGGCCCTTGTGCAAATGTGTTTTTTCTTCTACATCGCCCTTGAAGTAACTCTCCATGTGTTTCTGTAAGGAAAATTCATGTCTTGTAGGACTCATAGGAAATGCCTATTCTAACAGGCTCACCAGCAACTGCTCTAGCACCTGGTGCCCAGGCAATTTAGATTCTACCTGGTATTATTGGTCTGATTCTTGTTGCAAACACTCGTGACAGAAGTTAGCGATAAGAACCCGGGGACTCTGAGATGGAGAAAGTTCTAGATTCTGGCCTGGCAGATGCTGTCTTATTTCTCATCCCACTCAGGAGCTGGAAACTAAGAGAGCCTTGGGTTGGAAGCAGGAGGCACCAGGCTCTAGAACCATCCCAATGTCCCTCATTTACCTTGGGGCCTTACTTGCATCATCTGCTGGCTGAGGGGCTAGGCTAGTTGACCTCAAGGGTCTGCCTGCCTGCTCTGTCCCTGGGTGATTTCTGTCTCTTCCTGGTTGCAGCACGGAGAGTAGGACATGTGGAGAACGTGGAAACCCACCTCTGGGCCTTGTGCTGGCTGTAGCAGGGAGCTCTGCAGTGCCCTTGTTTGAAAGGCATAAGCTTAGCTGCTGCCAGGCCCTTCCCAGTCTCCTGCTGGAACACAGCACTGGAACTGGACCTCAGGCACCATCCTACCCTGCCCCTGGCAACCCCAAATCCTACACCTCCATCATCCAAATCAGCCACCCTGATTAACAATAGAAACGCAGCCAGGTGTGGTGGCTCACACCTGTAATATCAGCACTTAGGGAGTCCAAGGCGGGTGGATCACTCGAGTCCACCCTGGGCAACATGGCGAGACCCCTGTGTCTACAAAAAAAAATACAAAAAATTAGCTGGGCATGGTGGCACACACCTATAGTTCCAGCTACTCGGGAGGCTAAGGTGGGGGATCACATGAGCCTGGGTAGTCAGGGCTGCAGTGAGCCATGATTGTGCTGCTGCACTGCAGCCTGGGCGACAGAGTGAGACTCTGTCTCAAAAAAAAAAAAAAAAAAAAAAAAAAAAAAAGAAAAGAAAAAAAGAAAGAAAGAAAAACTGTGGAGGTTTTAGGCAAGAAATCAACACTCCCTGAGAGCTCAAACAAGGGCCATCAAATTCACATCCCCTTGAAAATCAGCACCTAGGAGTGAGTATGCCCTTATTCGTGTAACCAATCCTTTCCCCCCACTCTCTCTCCCCAATCTCAGTTGTTATAATAATGTTGAGTGGGTTTGGAATTATTACAAATAAAAAATGCCAGAAGATTTTTGGATAAGAAAAACTAAGCTCTGCAGCTTCCGGAGAACTCTTCAAGAGGAAGAATGTGGAAGGCACTTGAAACCAGTCCTGGCTGGCTGCCTTCTCTGAAGTCTACGGTTTCATGTGGACTCACAGGAACATTACGGATGGCACCTCTGAGACACTCAGCAACTGAGGAAGTTGGATTCAGCTGCTGTGACTTGCAATTCAGGACTTAAGGCCAAAAGCCAAATGAGAATCTCAGAAAACTGAGCCCCATGTGCTTGCTGGCTTCCATCTCACCTGGGAATACGAACTTCTGGAAGCATCCAGGCCAGATCGTATGAGAAGGCCTGTGACTCACTGTGCTTCAGAGCACACACCAGCCTGGAAGGTATTTTCTCAAGCAACAGGAGCAAGGCCTGTGGCTCACAGACTAGGTGGGGGAGTCGTGGATCAACACAGCCAAGCCCAGGTGCAAGGAGAAAGGAATCACTGCAAAGCTTCTCTATATAAGCAGCAGGCTCCTACTGGGAGCGGGTGTTGGATGTGGGTACGTGAGCGGGCAGGCTTCCTGCCTCACTGCTGGAGAAAGTCATTCTGTAACTGAAGCTCTTGTCAGGATGAATTGAGTGGACGGGCCTGGCAAGCTCTTGGAGAACATGAAGACCTTTTTCCTTAGGTCTGTGGCCGGCTCATAGCACAGGCTTCAGCTGTTCTAGTCAACTCTTGGGAGGCCTAAGCCTTCCTCATAGTGTGGCTATATAGAACCTGATCTCCTGTTAGACACTCGTTCTGCTCCCAGTGTCCCACTGAGCTGTAACCGATACTCATCTCTAAATCATTGATGGCTTTGCTATGAGCACACTCTTGCAAACCTAGATTCTGCCTAGCAGTTGAGTGGCGACTTCAGTGGGATTTCAGTATCTCCTGGGGATGACCTGTAATGGATGGCCATCCCATGGGGCCTTACCTCCTGCCCTAGCTAAGGGATGAAGCAACAATGACCAATAAGAGAGATGTTGGAAGATATCTGAGATAGACCCTTAAGCCCCAAAATACAAAAGATAGGGGGCTGGAGTCCCATTGCATTGTTAGGCAAAATCAGACCACTGGTGAGGCTTTAAAAATGCCATTTCAAGAGAAATTATTAATAATCAGTAGATGAGGCAAGACAGATTAATAGCAAGTTTCTGGCCTGGGCAAGGTACCTCATACCTGTAATCCCAGCATTCTGGGAGGCCAAAGAGGGTGGATTGCTTGAGGCCAGGAGTTCGAGACCAGCACAGGTAACATAGGGAGATCCCATCTCTACAAAAAAAAAAAAAAAAAAAAAAAATCTGGGTGTGGTAGTGCACGCCTGTAGCCCCAGCTACTCAAGAAGCTGAGGTGGGAGGATTGCTTGAGCCCAGGAGGTTGAGGCTGAGATTGCACCACTGCACTCCAGCTGCGTGACAGAGTGAGACCCTGTCTAAAGAAAAAGGCCAGGCGCGGTGGCTCACACCTGTAATCCCAGCACTTTAGGGGCCAAGGCAGGTGGATCGCTTGGAGGTCAGGAGTTCGAGACCAGCCTGGCCAACATGGGAAACCCTGTCTCTACTAAAAATACAAAAATTAGCCAGTCACAGTGGCTCATGCCTGTAATCCCAGCACTTTGGGAGGCCGAGGTGGGTGGATAATTTGATGCCAGGAGTTTAGACCAGCCTGGCCGACATGGCAAAACCATGTCTCTACTAAAAATACAAAAAAAATTAGCTGGGCATGGTGGCGTGTGCCTGTAATCCCACTACTTGGGAGGCTGAGGCATGAGAATCGCTTGAACCCAGGAGGCAGAGGTTGCTGTGAGCCGAGATCATGCCACTGCACTCCAGCCTGGGCGACAGAGTGAGACCCTGTCTCAAAAAAACAAACAAACAAATACACAAAAACCAAAACAAAACAAAAAAACCCTCCTATTCATTTCTCCATGTGAGCCTCAGAACCAGCCTGGAGCAGGCAGTACAGGACTTAATGTAATTGATAGTGTTCTTAGTGATACCGGGGCTGACCCGATGCTGGAGAGAATGTTGACAAAAACTTCCCCACTTTTCTAGAGTTTTACCAAAACTCACATAGGGCAGCCATGCTGGGGAACCATAGATTTCATATTATCAACTGCTATAGGACTAAATGAGAGTCTGAAATCACAGGAAATGAGACCATCAACATTAGAACTAACCCTTTGATGCAACAGAAAATCCCAAAGTTTAAAAGCGACTTAAAGAACTAAGGAGACGGTAAACTTACCCCTGAGAAGGAGAATTTGTGGCAATCAGTTTGGGATAGATTCTAATTTGTTGGGAGCCCTAAGCTGTGTTTGAAATATTCATGATATTAGGAAGACGACCACTAACTACAGGCTTCTCTGGACTAAAATAATGGTAACGTAGTAAACTTTTTATAATCCAACAGATTTGGCAAACTAAATATACTGTTTTCTTTTTTTTTTTTTTTTCCTTTTGAGACAAGATCTCGCTTTGTTACCCAGGCTAGAGTGCAGTGGCATGAACATAGCTCACTGCAGCCTTGACCTTTGGGGCTCAAGTGATCCTCCCACCTTGGTCTCCCAAAATGCTGGGATTACAGGCATGAGCCACTGTGCCTGGCCTATGCTGTTTTCCTTTTTATATATACATACATTGCTTATTGATTTTCATAGAATTCAAGTATGGTAAAATATGCAGAACAAAAACATACTGGAGGTGGGTGTAGTGGCATGTGCCTGTAGTCCCAGCTACTTAGGAGGCTGAGGTGGGAGATTCACTTAAGCATGGGAGGTTGAGGCTGCAGTGAGCCATGCGCTCCAGCCTGGGTGACAGAGTGAGACCCTGTCTCAAACAAACAAACAAACAAACAAGAACAAAAACAAAACACACACACTGGGAAAGCATCTAATCTTTCTTGGATGATTTAGGACTTTGATTGCTCTAAATAGAAAGTTAAGGAGGAAATTGATTCGGAAGTTTAGACAGCATGTGGCCACTTGAAAACAACTCAGTTTTTGCCGCAGTTCCTAGACAACATTTTTGCCCTGTTGGGTTTTTGCAACTGTAGCCATAAACAAGTTCTAGAAAATTGGGAGAGAATAAGGCTTTCTCGTTGGTAACATGGCAGAAAACAATATGATATCATTCTAAGTGAAATGAGCCCTAGGTTACTAATGAATGCTCCATCAGTAGCAATTGAAGCAGGTCACAGTTGAGGGATACGATTACATTTCACATTTGGCCAGTGCTTAGTGGCCTCATTGCTGTATAAGTGTGAAGGTCTGTGGTCCTGGTTGTCTGAGAGAAAGTGAGTAGTTTCTACTCCATCTGCCAGGGCTTTGGACACTCAAATTGATGTTCCTTCCATAAACATCTTCTGTGGTGTGACCAAGTGTAAGAGGTGGAGCTGAGCACTGTGGGGGATGCCAGGCTAAATGGTCCCATTGACTGCAAGCCTAAGGCAGACACTCTTATTTGGAATTCCCTATCCTCTAGAAGTTTCTCCTGTCACAGTTATGGATGGTGTCTGGAAAGCTCTGAGGACAGGATACACCTCTTCAGATTTTCCAGAAGGGCAAAACATTGTTACTACTGGCAATGTATTGTAATGGTAAAAATAAATGTAATTAGCCATGGTAATTGTGAAACACAAGTCATGCTTCTATTTATTCTGTGATAGTAAACAAATTCAAAACCGGCTGGGCATGGCGGCTCAGGCCTGTAATTTCAGCACTTTGGGAGGCCAAGGCAGGAGGATTGCTTGAGGCCAGGAGTTTGAGACCAGCCTGGGCAACATAATGAGACCCCACCTCTACAAAAAATAAAAAATTAGCCAGGTGTGGTGGCATGTGCCTATAGTTCCAGCTGCTTGGGAGGCTGAGGTGGGAGGATCCCTGAGCCTGGGAAGTCAAAGCTGCAGTGAGTCGTGATCGCACCACTGCACTCCAGCCAGGGCAACACAGTGAGATCCTGTCTCTAAAAAAACAAAAAATTTGCATCAAGATAGCACAGAAAGTGCACTGCAATTAAATCCAAGAAATCCATGCCCTGCTCTCTCCTCATACTTTTTCTTTTGCTATGCCTTTGCTCATTCAGGGTAAAGGAAAATCTACAGGTTCTTGATTGTGGAAACCTGTAAGCAACCAGTCTCTAGGATCCATGCAAAAAGCTCCTTTTCATTTCAAAATAGGCTGCATTTAGTGCCCTGGCTAACACAAAAATGTGGGCAACAAATTCATCCCAAGTACCAAAGATTATTGTGGGACGGGGAGTATTTTCAGAGACAGAACATTTCCTACCTCCTCAATTAGTGAATTCAGTCTATTCTGTGGTCGTGTTCATGAACATTTAGGTGTGGGGGCTGGGTGGGGAGGAGTGGCCTCTCAGCCTTCCCTGAGAGAACAGCACAGAAGGGGTTACCTAATTCCACTGTGGGAGTTTTATCTGCCTCCTGGATGGTTCAGTGTAGGTCTACGTCTAGACTGATTACAAAAGCACCAACAAAACAAAATAAATACCTAACATCTTACAGAAAAGGCATGAAACAAAACAGTATGAGTGGGGAGAACAATGCCTCTGTTGTGACAGGAAGTCTTCGTGAGGATGATGGAATTCCTGCACCCCAGGTTTTAATTTGTAAAAGCAACATTAAACGTCTCAAAGCAGGCCCTGGCTTGAACACATTAATTTTGAAGGCAATGTGTTTGGTTAGATAAGGGATTTTTTTTTTTCACTGCCACTAGGTCAAAATGAAGATCAGTATAACTAACTCCGTCTGCATGGGCACAGATTTCAGAAAACAGCCTTTACTCTCATTCACCAATATAACCATTTGTTAATTCTGCTCCTTCCAAGTGACAAGGTGTGTGCAATGTGATTGAAAAGGCTCTGGTTGGCTCAGTCCTGACTTGCACTCACTGTGCTGTGTGACCTTAAACAAATCTCTTAACCTTTCTGAGCCTCAATTTCTACATATGTAAAATGAGGGGGTTGGGGTTGCTAATGTATCTTTGTGAGGTGAAGACTCTAACAAAGCAAAATAAATGTAACAATCCCATTGCCTAATGGTGCTGACGACCGGACCGGGGACTTTCACCCAAAAAGAAAGCTGTAACATCATATCCAAAGTAGTTTTTAAATATGTCATTCTAAACTGAAGCTGCAGTTGAGTGATGGCTTGCTCTAGAATTCTAAGTCGAATCACCTCTCAAACTCTAAGGTCAGTGTATAACTAGGTGGCAACTATGTCACATAATTGAAGGTACATTTGTTAAGCCAGTAGTTTCAAATGGCCTGAGGCAGAACATTTTGAATGCTTGTTCATTCCCTCAATGTTCATCCCCTCAAATATCTATTGAACACCTACTATGTACCAGGCTCTGCAGACAAGATGTTTCTCCTGGAATCCTATGCCCTCTCCTCCCTTCCCACCCCTGACTTTCCCCTTTCCCTTTCTTTGCTTTTGGTTTTGTTTGTGACCCGTGGTGCAAAGGATTGAGTGAAAGCTACTGCTCAGTTCATGGTAGGCACCATAGTTGGTCCAGATAAGGCCCTTCTCTTGGTTTGTTTCATTCATTCATTTATTCTATTTTATTCCCAAAGCTCACTGCCATTTCCCTCCCTGCAAAGGTACCCATTCTAATGCTGTAAATGTATACCTTTTAGTATGTCTGTATTTTTGTAAAATATGTATTGTCTCCTGTATATATATATATACACACATATATACACATATATATGCATATATACGCATATATATGCGTATATATACATATATACGCATATACACGCGTATATATACATATATACACATATACACATGTATATATATACACATATACACGTGTATATATACATATATACGTGTATATATATACATATATACATATATACGTGTATATATATACATATATATACATATATACATATATACACGTATATACGTATATATATACATATATACATATATACGTGTATATATATACATATATACATATATACACGTATATACGTATATATATACATATATACATATATACGTGTATATATATACATATATACACGTATATACGTGTATATATATACATATATACATATATACACGTATATACGTGTATATATATACGTATATACGTGTATATATACACGTATACATATATACATGTGTATATATATATACATATACTTATATGTATATATATATATACTTGTTTTTTTTTTGAGACAGTCTCAATCTGTTGCCTAGGCTGGAGTGCAGTGGTATGATCCCAGCTCACTACAACCTCCCCCTTCTGGGTTCAAGTGACTCTCCTGCCTCAGCTTCCCAAGTAGCTGGGACTCCAAGTAGCTGGGACTACACCATGCCTGGCTAATTTTTGTAGTTTTAGTAGAGACAGGGTTTCACTATGTTGGCCAGGCTGGTCTCGAATTCCTGACCTCAGGTGATCTACCTGCTTCAGCCTCCCAAAGTGCTGGGATTACAGGTGTGAGCCGCAGTGCCCAGCCTGTGCATATATTTTAATTAATTCAAATGGTGAGATGCTATATAGCCCATGGAGTTTCTTGCCTTTTTTCTTTTTTACCCATACTAGGGTTTTAAGATCCATCCATGCTGCTGGGGGTACATATGGTCTGTTGCTTTTCACTGCTGCATGATACTCCATGGTGTGCATCCTCACGTTGTACCTCTCCTCTCTCCCAGGGAGGTACCTGGTATCCTGCAGTGCTTCACCATGGCAAGTATTCCAACAGTAACCTGCCTTGTGCATGGCCCACTATGGACCTGTGTCATATTGTTCTGCCTAAAGCACTCTTCTCCCTTAGTCTTTGTTTGTTATTTGTTTGTATTTTTGAGATGGAGTCTCGCTCTGTTGCCCAGGCTGGAGTCCAGTGGCGTGATCTTGGCTCACTGCAACCTCCACTTTCTGGGTTCAAGCGATTCTCCTGCCTCAGCCTCCTGAGTAGCTGGGATTACAGGTGTGCACCTCCATGCCCAGCTAATTTTTGTAGTTTTAGTAGAGATGGGGTTTTCACCATGTTTCCCAGGCTGGTCTAGAACTCCTGGCCTCAAGTGATCTTCCTGCCTCAGCCTCCCAAAATGCTGGAATTACAGTCGCGTGCTACTACGCCCGGCTAATGTTTGTATTTTTAGTAGAGACGGGTTTTGCCATGTTGGCCAGGCTGGTCTCAAACTCCTGACCTCAAGTGATCTGCTTGCCTTGTCTTCCCAAAGTGCTGGGATTACAGGCATGAGCCACCATGCCCAGCCCTATGCTTTATTTTTCTATGTTTTTAATGTGAATCTTTCAAACTCAATACATTAATTTCTAAATATATAAAAGTGAATAAAAAGCTATGACCTTATTTGGTTGTTTCCTTGGCAAACCTAGAAGACCTTCTACATCCAAACTAGTACTGTGACTTTCCAAGAGGCCCCCTTAGAAGGGAATCATTGCACCAGGGACAGTGTCCTCAAATTTTCTGGAACTTTTCTTTGGAAAAAAAGAGAAACTTCCATAGTCCATAGCACATTTTTTGGAATCTTCTTGGGGTGAGGGAGGGAAGGGGCTTTGTTTCTTGAAGGCAGATTTGATTTTTGGAAACAGCTAAAAGCTACTTGGCAGCAAGTGTAGTGAATGAGGTGGGTGATCAAACTGAAAAATATTCTTTTTGCTTCCAAACAAGGTGTGACTATAAAGAAATGAGGCTGATTTTCTTGTATGGCACATAAACTAGCTCAACAGCAATTCCAAAAGAGGACTTCCAAAAATGCTGTGGCCTTGGCAAGAAAAAATATTTCTCCACCCCAGTATACACACACACACACACACACACACACACACACACACACACACACACACAGTGTATGGCATCTGGCTCAATCCATAGACAAGGGAAACCAAAAGCCTTTGGAACGTATTTAGAAAACCAATTGTGCAAGTATGGGATGGAAGACACCTGGCTGGGCAGCCATTCTTGAAAAAACCTATCACAGTTGCAGTTAGCCAGAACATGGAATTATCATGCACTAAAGAGTGTGATGTGGCTGCTCAGCAAGTGTCTGAATCCTAGGACTGCTCTGGCAGAGGTCCTGGACTTCTGCGGGAACAGAGACACCCATCGGCCACACTGTTGTTCAGGCTCTCCCTGCCATGGGCTCAGCTATGGGCCTGACAGGACAAGAGGACCACTGGCCCACTGGAGCCCGGCTCACGAAGGAGCTTGTCAGCGCTGTCCAATGTGTTTGGAAAAGCAGACAACCCAGAGGAGGCAAGTGTCAGTGACTGAAAATTATTGCGAAAAGGGAGCTATGTGAAAACTAGTGCCATCTTAGTCTCTTTTTTTTTGTTTGTATAAATTTAAGGGACACAAGTGCAGTTTTGATTCATGGATGTATTGCATAGTGGTGAAGTCTGGGCTTTCAGTGTAACCATCACCCAAATAGTGTACATTGTACCCATTAAGTAATTTCTTACCCCTTACTCCCTCCCATCCTCTCACCTTTCCCAGTCTCCAGTGTTTATTATTCCACTCTCAATGTTCATGTGTACACGTTATTTAGCTCCCACTTATAAGTGAGGACATGCAGTATTTAACTTTCTATCTCTGAGTTGTTTTACTTAAGAGAATAGCCTCTAGTTCCATCAATGTTGCTAAAAATATGGAATGCTTCACAAATTTGCATGTCATTCATGCACAGGGCCCATGCTAATCTCTGTATCATTCCGATTTTAGTATGTGTGCTGCCCAAGTGAGCACGGCTATCTGAATCTCAGGATGCTCTTTATGGCAGAGCCAGAACCATAGGAGGAAATAATAGGAAGGCAGATTTAGGCTCACCCTAATAAAGACTGATTCATATTATAGAATTGTATGCTCATGCACATTCTGCACATGTATCCCAGGACTTAAAGTATAATAAAAAATAAATTAAAAATATATATATTTCTCAATAAAGCATTGGTTGTAAATACTGCAACAGTATGCAACTGCAAAAAAAAAGAATTGTATGTTCAATACAATCTCATGTGTGCGAATATACATATACAGAGAGGGGGTGAAAGACTGGAAAAATATAAATTTTTTTTTTTTTGAGACAGAGTCTCGCTCTGTCGCCCAGGCTGGAGTGCAGTGGCACAATCTTGGCTCACTGCAAGCTCCGCCTCCCAGGTTCACACTATTCTCCTGCCTCAGCCTCCCGAGTAGCTTGGACTACAGGTGCCCGCCACCACACCCGGCTAATTTTTTTTGTATGGAAAAATATAAATATTTAATAGTGGATTTCTATGTGGTATGGAATTATGGGGCAAACATCATTTTCTAAACTTTACATAATTATGTGTTGTTAGATTTTTTATTACCTGTATTTCATTTGTAATAACTCTTTTCCTTTAAGAAATGGATTTGCTAAAAATTCGAGGTATCCAACAACCAAACAGGCTACTTTGTGACCTAGTGAGAGCCCTGCCTTAGGAGGTAATCAAACAAACATTGTGGGATGAACTATCAGGTCCCTTCCAGTCTAGGGACTCAGTATCTGTTATTTTAGGAATTAACCTTACTCAAGTACCAGAGTTGAGTTGGTGGAAGTTCACTCATGCATCCAATGAGGAAGAGGCCTTCCAACACAATGGGGCAACTTCCCAGCTCCCAGGTCTCTTCTAAGAAAAAATAGTCAACATAATTCAAGTGTAGGAAGTTTAAATCAAAGGGTAGAATCAGGCCAGGTGCGGTGGCTCACACCTGTAATCCCAGCTTAAATCCAATAGGATATGGTGGAGTTTCCATGTTTTATACATGTGTATGATTATCCCAGCACCTTGGGAAGCCAAGGCAGGTGGATCACTTGAGGTCAGGAGTTTGAGACCAGCCTGGGTAACATGGTGAAATCCCATCTTTACAAAAAGATAGAAAAATCAGCCAAGCCTAGTGATGTGTGCCTATAGTCCCAGCTACTCGGGAGTCTGAGGCAGGAGAATTGCTGGAACCAAGGAGGTGGAGGCTGCAGTGAGCTGAGATTGTGCCATCATACTCCAGCCTGGGTGACGGAGACTCTGTTTAAAAAAAAAAATAAAATGGTAGAATCAACACGTCAAAGATGAAAAGCCACTAACTAGCCATGAAACTTGATTCTGAACTAGAGCAATAATAAAAAAATACATAGAGAGATAGGAAAAGACAGAGGCAAAAAGCTAAAAGAGGCCATTGATGATACATAGTTGATGCCAGTAGGATATGGTGGATTTTCCATGTTTTAAACATGTGTATGGTTACCCAGTTGTTTAATCCCATCTACATAGCTGAAGCCAGCAGGTCTTGGACGTGACAGGGGAGTTATCTTCTGGTCCTCCTCGCTCAGGCTGGATGGCCCATAGCTGCAGACAGAGTACCAGGACAGCAGAAACACAGGGTGCCTGGGGTCATGTTCTGGAAACTGAAGCAAGTCAAATATGACCTTAGGCTGGAAAAGTTCTGAGAGGCATTGGAGGGACAGCACATTCATGCCACCAGCTGGGCAGAGGGACCGGCATTTACTGCCTTTTGGGTTGAATGGTGCCACAAAATCTGAGTAACAAAGAGGTTAGAAACCTTGTCCTCATTCTCCATTTGACAATAGGGAAACTGAGGTCTAGAGAGAGGAAGTGGATGAGAAGGGTGTGCGAAAACTGACAATCTCTTTTGCCTCCCAGAGAGGAGAAATGGACTTTAAGACAGTCCTCTCCTGCTTGCAGGAGCAAAGCTTGGTCTCTGAGCCACAAATTATTTTTTGCCACATCAAATAACATTTCCATGGAATGTCAGAGACAGTTATTAGATGATAACTGGGCTTTAAATCCTTCTTCTGGGTTGGTGTTACTATATTAGACTCTGAGTCCAAGCAGCAAATCTTTGCAATGTGTAGGTTTCATAAACCAAAGCCCAAAGTTTCTTACAAACCCCATTCAAATGCACAAAGAATGATGGTTTAAAAACAAAGACAACTGGCTTCTTTCTCTTTCAGGTCTTACCCACCATTACAAATCATTGAGATCACATTAACACATACAACTGATTGATTGTAGTCTTAACTTCGATAAAACTAACCAAAGGAAACGCTAAACCAAATATTTCCAATTTGTGTTTGTGAGCATTTCTGCAAAGGATGAAGATGGATATTGGAAAATTGTGCTCTGCAGGGGACAGAAGTATGTTGGTGACAGCAGGAGAAGGAGTGCAATAACTTGTGAGAAATTACACATTCTGCTTCCCACATGGTGACCCCCTGCCATGGGACCGAAATCGGAGATCCTGACTAGGACCACCTCGTAGAATCAAAGGGGACTTCCCCGTCCATTCCTTGACCTTTGCTCACACCCCTTCAGTGCATCTCACCCTCTCTTTCTTATATTTATCAGGTGGAAGTTGAGTCCTCCCCCTTTAGAAAGAATCAATGTCTCTATTGACCTGACCTGGCAACAGGGCAATGTGCTAAGCATTATACACATTACAAAAATGGCAGGGTGGTTATTCCTGGGATCCCTCGGCAGCAGAATGTCTGAGTATCACCTAACATAAGTGCCATTATTATTGCAATGTCGTATGTGTAAAAACAGATTTTTTTTTTTTTTGAGACAGCGTCTCACTCTGTCATCCAGGCTGGAGTGCAATGGCATGATCTCAGCTCACTGCAACCTCTGCCTCCCAGGTTCAAGCGATTCTCCTGCTTCAGCCTCCTGAGTAGCTGGGATTACAGGCACCCGCCACCACACCTGGCTAAATTTTTTGTATTTTTAGTACAGACGGGGTTTTGCCATGTTGGCCAGGCTGGTCTCAAACTCCTGACCTCAAATGATCCACCCGCCTCAGCCTCCCAAAGTGTTGGGCTTACAGGTGTGAGCCACCACACCCTGCAAAAAACAGATTTTGAGTAATAATACTGGGCCTATGGTTGATGATGAAAAGCCAGTGTTGTAATTACTACTGGTGTCAGACCTTCAGTTCCATGAGAGCAGGGCTCAGTTCTGTTTTGTTTTCCACTGTCTCCAGCATCTGGTACAGTACCTGAAACCCAACAGGTATGCAAAATCTACTCGTTGAATAAATGAATGTTGAAGAAGCTCACCTGAGGCCAAGAGTGAGAGTTGCTCCCTATAAATCATGGGTTTGCTGATGACACCTTCTGCAACCTGACCCAAAGCAACGGCTGCCCATGCCATGTGGCAGCCCCTGTGGAGAGAGGCAACAGCAAGCCTGAGACAGCAGCAAAGAAGCTGGGGAGTGATTTCTTTGCACTGTTTGGGCTCACCTGTCTTGATTTGGGAGAAGGGAGAAGATGAATGGTGTAACTGTACCTGATTTACATAGAGGATTCCTATTTGGGCAAAGCATTTTTGGCAAAGTAAAAGTTGTAAAGAGAGACCAGACCAGGTAACTCTTTTGAGATACTTCGGTTTCATAGACAAGATACTCCAACCCAAGGTTTCGAAATGAAGATTGTGGATTGCGAGGGAGTGGCTCTTTCTTATTGGTTCTTGGAGTCAGGATTGATTTCCACCCAGAAGGAAGGCAGGGAGGTGGGTTTCAAGGAACCTGTTGGGGCCTGATAAGAATATGTTGGATAGAAAGTTTAGTGAGAAGGAAAAAAAAAGCATTGCGCAGTCACCATAGACGACGGTTTGCAAAAAAAGGGCCAATACATTTTTATTTGAGCAATTTATTTTTTTTCAAAGAAATCCATGCAAAGAGAGAACGATAGAAAGGGAGGGAGTGAGAGAGAAAGACATGGTAACCATGTTCTAGCAGCCAAACATAGGAGAATAATTTGGCACAACTTGATGGTTTTTTTTCTTTCTTTGCAAAAGGACAATCTATATGCTACCACTAAAATGTATCTTCCTCCAAAAGATACCATTTGATTTTCGAAAACATAACACATGGTTAGTCCTCTACTTCATGGCTGGAGGAGGTATACAGGATAACAAAAAAAAAAAAATAGAAAAAAATAAGAAAGTGGTTCCCTTTATCGAGGAAGACCACAGGGTGCTGTAGGGCAGCACATGTGCTGGGCACCAGGCAGTCAGTGCACCAGGAAGAAGAAGCACACCACCGAGATGGCCATGCTGGTGAGAAGCTTCAGCGGGGAATGAACGTTCCCGAGGTTGTGAAAGGTGCTTATCTCGTTGTCCTTCGGAGTTGCCTGCTGACTGTTTCCAGGCGCATCATCCACATCCAGATCATAGGCCAGTTCTGTCAATCAAAAGAGAAGGATTTGAAATGCAAGTCTACCCATAGCCTCAGTATAACACTATGCACAGCTCGAGCATGTGTCTGGACCACTGGAAAGCCTCAGCTTTGATTCCCTTTTTTATGGGGGAGAAAAAGGCCACTGTGAGATGGGAAAAAGAAGGATATGTGGGGGTGGGGGTGGGGAGAGGGGAGGCAGTGGAAGGAGCCAGCCAGAAGTGCTCCTTCCAGAGATCACAGCAAGCAGGAGTGGGGAGCGAACAGGCTGCACCCCACTCCCCTTTGGCTGCATCCACATTGTAGGGTGCATGCTAGCCCTTTGCAACATCTCCTCCCAGGCAAGGTTTTGCTTGAAGGGCATTTTCACCAGATCTTATGGGTATCAAAACGTAAGATGCCATATAGGTGACTATACCATGTGGTTGTGTTCTTGTGTGTATGTGTGCTGGTGGGGAGGGGGTGCTGTGGGTTCCCAGTGTACGTTTCTTAGGCCCTGCACCTTATATACATTTCCTTGTCCTGGGAGCTTTTCCTTAATTAGGGTTGAGGATAGGTAGTTTGCTGTTGAAAGTTGTTTTATTTTCCCAAATAATTCTCCTTTTATCTATAAGGTCTTTTCATTTCCCCCTAAAAAGAATCCTCGCAAAAAAGCAAAATTGATCAAAGCATAGATTTAAACTGATACCAAGTGAATGGGTGTAAGGAGAGGCTAATGGGCAAGAGCCTTTCATTCTTTGACTGCCTAGCATTTATGATATATGTTCATGATTCTGAAAAGAAATCAGGGTGTTATTTAGCTTGTCCTAAAGCAAAGGTGGCCCCAGAAGGCAAATCTAAGGAAGACAGTGGTTTATCAGGAAATTCAAGATGGCTGACCCTGGCCAAGGGCTCATTATCTTTCAGATTTGCTTTTCCAGATTTAGAGATCAAATCTACTCTCTTGGCTCTTCTAGACTCCGTTGCCAATGTTGCTATTTCAATATCTTGTGAAGGTGATATGATGTGAGCAACTTCACCAGCCAACTGTCTGGTAGCCAAGGGAGCTAGAAAGATCCTTTGGGACACTGAGATGCCCGGCAACAGGCACAGAGGAAATGACTGGGATTCTACAGAGGGAAGGAAGGAAGAGGAAGGAAGAGCTTCTCTTACAGGGGATGAAACACTCAATAAGTCACAGGAAGAAAGCGTGGGGACTCAGCTGGTCCAGTACAGAGCAGGGCCCAGGACCAAGGCTCTGCTAAGGCTAGCACTGGTTAGGGCAGGCAGCAAGGTCAAAGTGATCAAAGCCAGGGAGTCTAATTTCACAGACTAAGATACCAATTTCCAAAAGGTCTATTGCAATCTATATTGCCACCAGCAATGATGAGAGAAACAATTTTACGGCACCTCCATTGAAAAAAGATATTTTTTGCTAATATAAGGCGACATCTCAACGTTTCTTTAATTTGCAGGGATTTGATTACTAGTGCAGACAAACTTTTCCTATGTTTTAGTTTACTAATTATATTTCTCAATGTGTAGTAGTTTATACCTTTTGCCTTTTTATCTAGTGGGTATTGATATTTTTCCTATTCATTTTAATAATATATATTTTGTTGAACTTTTGCCTATATTTTATACAAATATTTTCTCCATTTTGTTATTAACTATAACTATTTTCATGGCTGTAGAAAGAAATAATGTCCTAAGGTTTAAGATATATGAATCTGGTTACATTTTACTCATTTAAAAGCAGAGAGTTTTTCTTCCTGAGTACTCGTAATAATTCAAATCAAATTTTCCAGGAAACTCTCTTACCCAGGGAGAAGCAATTGAGCAGACTACAATCTAGATTCCCTGCCTTCCAAAATAAATACCTACAAACAAAATAAAAAGAGAAAAAGAACAAAGAGCAATGCTCTACTTGGAAATTAGACCTCTTTCTTTGAAAGGTGAACTATGCAGGGTGCACAGAGAAGGCCGAGGTCAGCTGTCAGTCGGCAAGGATAGCACAGGCTTAGGTCATGATCGGGTTTCACCAAAGTGGAGAGCACATATGGCTAGATCTGTTGAAAGCCCAGCCTTGGTTCTCACAGCAACTTCTCAACTTAAATAAAGAGGAGTATTTTTAGGGTTGACCTGAATGCGAGCACTCTCAGCATTGCTTTCAGATTCCTTTTCTGGATAGTGCCCCTTGCCCAACATCAAGATGAAACAATATCTATTAATGTCACTACTCAGCTCCTACACTGTTTCTTTCTTCAAATCATCTGCTAACTTTCAACAGTTTTGTTTACTGTAGTAGTTACGGCAAACCCAGAAGTTTTGTTAAATCCAGTTGTGTCTAATTTTTTTTTTTTTTTGCCAGTAAAGACCTCTTCTGATTTTGTTTGTTTTTTGTTTTGTTTTGTTTTTTTGAGACAGGGTCTTTCTGTGTCGCCCAGGCTGCAGTATAGTGGTGCGATCATGGCTCAATGCAGCCTCGATTTCCAGGGCTCAAGCAATCCTCCCACATTGGCCTCCCAAGTAGCTGGGGCCATGGCAAAACCCCGTCTCCAGAAAAAAAAAATACAAATAATAGTCAGGCATGTGCCACCCTGCCTGGCTATTATTTGTATTTTTTTTTTTTTTTCTAGAGACGGGGTTTTGCCATGTTGCCCAGGCTGGTCTCAAACTCCTGAGCTCAAGCGATCTGACCACCTCGGCCTCCCAAAATTCTGGAATTACAAGTGTGAGCCACTGTGCCTGGCCCTCTTTTGCTATTTCTATCTCTTGGGCCCTGTATTTTTTAATTATAGTAATGACCCCCAACTACTGAGTCCTCACTGTAGGCCAGGCACTGTGTTAAACTATTTCCGTACATTATTTCATTGAATTTAACCATCTCCACGATGTTATAAGGTAGGTATTATAATTCCCATTTTACTGGAGAGGAAGCTCAAGCTCAGGTTAATTATTTTGCCCATATTTACACAGCTGGTATGGGGTAGAAGAGCTATTTGAGTCCAGGTCTGACTCTAAACCTCAAATGAAGCTACACTGCCTCTTGAAAAATTCTATATACCAAATAAACTACAGTAATTAAGTAGTAATGGATTCTTCTTGAAAACAAACTCCATTAGTGAAATACACAGTGCCAAAGAGAACTTCCAAACAGCATGAGAGCAAAGTCACTGTTTGCACATAAAATTGACCACATACTTGATTAAGTAGCCTTGTTAAACTTTTTGAAATCCTGAAAAGAGCTCTGGGTTGGAAATGGGAATTATCATATCAGTTCTATTTCCCTGAAGAAATCAACAATGATGGCCAAAGCCATTAGATACCCCAACCACAAAGGTGGCCAAGTCTTCTACCTCCAAAAGGCCCCCAGGAATATTCAGAACGCTATCTCCCTGTGTTCCATAAGCTATGGCTGCAGGTTTCCTGAGGCTCTTCATTCAGCAGTAGCAAAAGTTTATCAACCAATTCCATAGCCAGGCACCTGTGGCTTATAATTGGTGGGAATCCCAGCAAAGCCACTGTACGCTTGGGCCACCATCATGAAGATTAGAGATAAAGGGAATAGCTTAGCACAATAATGAAGCATTATGGAGACAGAGGAAATAGGATTTTTGGTGAAAGATAAATACAGACATTTCTGGACAGGGGAAATGTAATCCAATTTAATTCAACAAACAAAACTAGCCTATGATGTCTCAAGCATCACAGTTGAGGGTTAGAGAAAGACTTACTGTCTGCCTTCATGAGCCCCCTCACTGGCAAGGGAAATTGATCAAGAGACAATTCAACTAGCTACGTGGCAGAAAGTAGAAAGGGCTCAGTTAAAGGCACAAGCAAAACACCTCGGGGATAGAAGAGAAAGAGATAAAAATTCCAAATAGAAAGATCTGGGAAGACTTCTTAAAACAATTGGGATATCCCACTACTGGGTATCTACCCAAAGGAAAAGAAGTCATTCTATGAAAAAGACACATGAACACGCATGGTTATAGCAGCTCAATTTGCAATTGCAAAAATATGGATCCAGCCTAAGTGCCCATCAACCAACAAGTGGATAAAGAAAATGTGGTATACATACACCATGTAACACTACTCAGCCATAAAAATGAATGAAATAATGTCTTTTGCAGCAACTTGGATGGAGCCGGAGGCCATTATTCTAAGGGAAGTAACTCAGGAATGGAAAACCAAATATCGTATGTTTTCACTTATAAGTGGGAACTAAGCTATGAGGACACAAAGGCATAAGAATGACATAATAGACACTGGGGACTCAGGGGACAGAGTGGGAGTGAGGTGAGGGATAAAAGACTACATATTGGGTACAGTGTATACTGCTTGGACGATAGGTGCACTAAAATCTGAAAATTCACCACTAAAGAACTCATCCATGTAACTAAATAACATCTGTACCCAAAAACTATTGAAATAAAAATAAAAAATAATAAAATTAAGAATAATTGGGACATAATCTACACCATGAAGGATGGACAGAATTATGGCAGGGGCTGAATGAATGGTTATTCCAGGCAGAGGGTACAGCCTGACCAAAATCACCAAGCTCAGAGAATGTCTATGAGGCATATTCAGAAGCAGCAAGTAGCCTCCATGGTAGGAGGAGCCACAGAATGGACATTGTTGTGGTGTGTGTGTGTGTGTGTGTGTGTGTGTGTGTGTGTGTGTGCGCGCACTGTGGGGGAAGAGGTGGTGGGAGATGAAAGGTAAGGCGGAGGGACAAGTAAGAGCCAAATCATGGTGGATTAGGAAAGTAAAACTATTCTGTGAGCAACAGGGAGCCACTGAAGGTTTTGAAGTAAACAAACAACACAATCTGATTTGTGTTTTTTAGAAAGATGATTGTTAACACTGTGGAAGACAGCTCTAAGAGGGAGAGACTTGTCAGACATCTTGTGTTGAAATAAACAAGAAGCCTGTGGGAATAGTATCTGGGGAATCAGCCAGTAGCAAAGTTAAAAAAACAAAAACAAAAAAAAAACCCTACAAAGTGGCTAAATCTACATCAAACCAGAAACTTCTCAGTTTGCTACAAACCAGATGTATTATGAGAATCACCACAAACCATTCTCTTTTCAATCATTCATATCTTTATGTTTATCAGTGATTTTCCAGAATGTATTTTTGCTGTATTAGGTACATATTATAAAATGCACATAAATTGTTTCTATCTTGATCATCAGTGAGAACCTTTTGGGCCAGCAAGGAGATTTTCATGCTAAATCCAAAAATCTGTTTCTATTTGTAATCAGTTTAACTATGCCCAAAGGGTAGACTCAACATCTGTACTAATTACACATTCAGCCCCTGACTCTCATTTCGCCTTCATGTCCTTTGTGTTGTAGACTAGATAATTCTTTTTTAAAATAATTGTCAGTCATTAAGGTCTGCATTTTTTTGTGTGTTGAAAAGTTTTTCTGTATTGAGAAAAGCAATAAATAGAGAGCCCTCCATCTTTGGTTATTCAGCGTCTCCTAGCAGAGTCCCTAGGAGGCTGGTCTTAAATTCCTGGCCTCAAGTGATCCTGTGCATCCTGGCAGTCTGGAGCCCTGGGTTCCAAGCCTAGTTTAGCTACTGACTTATTATCTCACCTTAGACAAGTCATTTCCTTCTTTTCTGGGCCTCAGTTGCCCCATCTGGTAAATCAAAGTGTTGAACTGGATGACCTCTAAGTTTCCTTCTAGTTTTATTTCTCTCTGATTCCAAGGCTCTTGCAGCCCACTGAGGGACATAGCCTGCTGCAGGCTGTAATCAGTCTTCCACTTACAGCAGCCAAGGTGGCTGTCCCTGACAGGGCCTCCATAAGCAAGTCAGGTCAATCAGTTGCTTCCCTTGGGATGTTTCTCTGGTGATATTCATCAGCTACCAAATTCTGAATTCTCTTTTTTTCTTGAGCTGTTTTTTAATCTTGGATGAGAGATCCTGGCTATAAACACATCCATGCTGGATTGTTTCTGTTTTGCTTTTAAACTCTGGCATAACAACTTCCATTGGAGGCAGTACACACAGAGCTTTGGGGGAGAAGTTGCTGGACCTGGGGTGCATCAAGCAGGCATGGATAGGCATGCACAGGGGGATCTGGGAGCCAGGAAGACAAGCCTTTGGGCCCTTACAAAGCTAATGGAGTCTTGAGCACATAATAGGAAGCAAATGCTCACCCTCTGAGGGTGTGGGCTTCAAGGAGGATGATGCATTGCTATGAGGGCTTCACCCATACCAACAGGAAGACTTCACAGGGCAGACTGAAAGAAGTGCTGCTATCAAAATGCCAGGAGAGAAAACGCTACTGCTGAGCCAAGCATGGGGGTTTCTTACTTGCCAAGCTTGCATCAGCAGATGGCTTCAATCTGGCCCTAATATAGCAACAGAGCAATACTGCTATCTCTGTGTTTTGCATTTGCTGTGTACAGTTGGCCTCCAAGACATGCATACGTGAAACCTCAGGACATTGCTTGGCAACCCCCAGAGGCTGAAGCTGGGGGAAATCTCTGGAGAAATCACATTCATTGCAATACTGCTCACTCTGCTGGCTGTTCCCACAGGAGCCACTGGGCTCTGCCATTCGCTCTTGAATCCAAAACAGACCCTGGTTTCCTTGTTCTCCCTTCAGCACAACCCTCTTTCCTGCCACCTCAATACCTCCTCTTTTGTCAACTTTTAGATGTGAAATGACTAGACTTTAAAGCAGAAGAAAATGACTTTTCAAATGACCCTTGGGTCTCTGGGAGTCTAGATTTTCTTCTTCATAGATCAGATGAGGAGGACAAGAAATACTTGAGACCTCTGGTTTTTAACTGGTCTAATGGGACTTCTTTTGGGAATGGGCTCATTTAACAATCTGCCTTTTTTTTTAGACAGTCTCGCCGTGTCACCCAGGCTGGAGTGCAGTGGCGTGATCTTGGCTCACTGCAACCTCCACCTCCAGAGTTCAAGTGATTCTTGTGCCTCAGCCTCCTGAGTAGCTGGGATTACAAATACATACCACCACTCCTGGATTATTTTTGTATATTTCATAGAGACAGGGTTTCACCATGCTGTCCAGGCTGGTCTCGAACTCCTGAGCTCAAGCGATCTGCCCGCCTTGGCCTCCCAAAGTGCGTGGATTACAGGTGTGAGCCACCACACCTGGCCCACAATCTGCCTTTCTGACAAACAAATGAATTGCTAATTTTGCCCACTAAATGACAGTAACACCTGGGAATAATCCAATGGCCTCTCCTAGAAGAGGGTTTGGGCAATGAGATGTCCTCTTCATTTCTTATGGCTCATTCCAGCTTGCAAACATCTTTAGTTACAACAATAGGATGTTGAAAGAATATAATGAATTTTTCCCATTAGCTGAGGCATGGCCTCTCTTATTGTAGGCCTCTGTTTCTCAATCTGGAGTATGTGTATCTTCAGATTACACTGCAGTGGGTTGTAGGTACATGAAGCCATCACATGCTTCTTCCTAGGGAATTGGGGGAAAGCACACTTTTTTATACTAAAATATGCAAGGCTAATGATGGAGCAGAAATGTATTAGTTGCAAGCTCACTGAAGTCATCAGACATTTCCTGTTTAGCAGGTTATGTCTCAAATCCTCAGGAGTAGGGATTCACTCACCCTTCTCTGACGTAGTGGGGGGATTTAGGTAGAAAAATCTTAAAAACACTGTTAGAGGTTGGGTACGGTGGCTTACACCTTGTAATCCCAGGATTCTGGTAGGCCAAGGGGGATGGGTCACTTCAGCCCAGGAGTTTGAAACCAGCCTTGGCAACATGGTGAAACCTTGTTTCTACAAAAAACAGAAAAGTTAGCTGGGCATGGTGGCGTGTGCTTGTAGTTCCAGCTACTTGGGAGGCTGACGTGGGATGATTGCTTGAGTTCAGGAGGTTGAGGCTGCAGTGAGCTGTGATTGTGCCACTGCACTACACCCTGGGTGATAGAGTAAGACCCTGTTACAAACAAACAAACAAAAAACAATCCCAGCACTGTTAGGCAACTTGGGTCACCTGGGCTTTGTCAACTACCACGCTGGACCTTCTGACTCACAAATTCCTGATGAGTGACTTAATGTAGTCTTTTCTATGGCAACTTCCTTGTTACGAGGGAAACATCACAGTGATTGTCCTTAACTAGGGCTCAGACTGCTTCCTTTTTCTAACACAAATGTTTCCAGGGGTTTTCAACCACCAGCTATGCTTCACTATTATGTGTAGCCATTAAGAAAGAAATAAAAAAGTCATATGGGCCACCACTTACTTACATACTTACTATTTATAGAGATGGGGTCTCACTCTGTTTCCCAGTGCAGTGGCATAGTCATGGCTCACAGCAGCCTTGAATACCTGGACTCAAGCAATCCTGCCACCTCAGCCTCCCAAGTAGCTGGGACCACAGGTGTGTGCCACCACGTCTGGCTAATTTTTTTATTTTTATTTTTTGTAGAGACAGGGTCTTGCTCTGTTGCCCAGGCTGGTCTTAAACTCCTGGCCTCAAATTATCCTCCTTCCTCAGCCTCCAAAGTGCTAGGATTACAGGCGTGAGCCACTGTGCCCGGCCTACCATAGTTATTTAGGCACATCATGAGTCAAACCATATTCCCAGGAACAGAACAACCCCATCCTGGAAGCACTGACAGTATGTGTGGGTAATGTGGGTGGTGGCTCTCCTCCACCAGCCCCAGCATTCTCACCACCTTCCCCAGCAGTGTCATGACCACTCCTCTGATGTCTACAGGTCCTTCTTGCCTGAGGCTGCCTAACAGCTCCACAGAGATCGAAGCTCATCAGAGCCTTTACTTCCCACAGGAAAGGTTATCTCATTCCCATGGGAAATGATGGGCCTAACAGTCAGTAGAAGAAGAGGAGCTGAGGACAGAGACACTGTACAGCAAGGGCCAGGGAAGAAGATCAAGATAACTGATCTAGAGAAGACAAGGGATGGGAAACACTTTAAAGAGGGGTGGGTTAACACGGTCAAATGTTGTGTAGGGGTCAAGAAAAGTAAAGACTGAAAAGAAGCCACTGTAGATGTTAAATAGAAGGTTATGGGTGATTTTTGGAAGATGTTTCAGTAGGATTGTTGGGTAAGAAACCAGATGTGGCCATGGTGCCTGCCTGTAGTCCCAGCTACTTGGGTTGCTGAGGTGGGAGGCCAGGAGTTCAAGACTGTAGTGCACTATGATTACACCTATGAATAGCCACTGTATTCCAGTCTGGGCAACACAGCAAGACCCATCTGTTAAAAAAAGACAGTGATTAGTGAGTTAAGGAGAGAGGGGGAGCTAATGTGGATTCTCTGAGAAGTCTGAGAGTGAGTGAAATGAGGCATTTGCCACCCTGACTGTGCCTGGGGTGCATGGCAGTGCTGTTAGTGCCACAACACCTCACCAGTCTGTACAACCAAGTTTTGTTAGACGGTGCCTCTAGAATTCCAAAGCAAAATGGCCTTTTAAAATACTATATTCTTGCTGTCATTGATGCATAAACAACCTGTAACCAGATACTCAAACAGATACTTGTATGCCAATGTTCATTGCATTGTATTCCTAATAGCTGAAAGGTGGAAAGAACCTAAGTGTCCATCAACAGATGAATGGAGACACAAAATGTGGTACGTCCATTCAATGGACTATTAGCCAAAAAAAAAAAGGAATGATGTACTGATAAATGGCACCACATGAATGAACCTTGAGCGAGACTCTGTCTCATAAATAAACAAACAAGCAAACAAACGGGGATGTCAATTTCTAAAGGTTGACAAACACTGATAGGACTTTAACTACTTCTAATATGTTGGTGGCCCTAAATTCTCCACAAGGTAGTCATTTCTCTAACTTATCTCCTCTTGCTGTTAGTTTTTAGTTGCACCACACACATATTGAAATTAGCCTGCATTCTAGAATAACACAGAAACTTATGCTGGAATTCTTCAGCTTGTCCAATTTTCAGCCCTTACAAGTTCTGAGACATTAAGGTTATTATTACTTAAATGTTCCTCACTTTCTTTTGTGTCATTCCAGGTCAGCCAAAAGAATTATTTTCCATAATGATATGTATACACCTCTTCTACCTAGCTAAAGAACAACTTAATATACACATTAAGAAGGATGTGGAATAGCCAAGATTAAAAAAAAAAAACTTAAAAAAAAACCATTATAGTAAGTGAAAGAAGCCAGTCACAAAATGCCATATAGTATATAATTCCATTTATATGAAATGTCCAGCATAAACAAATAGAGAGAGAGAGAAAGTAGATTAGTGATTGCCAGTGGCTGGGGGTAGGGGAAGGGTGAGTTACAGCTTAAAAGTTACAGAGTTTCTTTTTGGGATGATGAAATATTTTGGAAATAGTGGTGATGGTTGCACAACATTGTAAATGAAATTAACACCACTGAATTGTATACTTTAAAATGGTTCAAATGTGAAGAAAGGGGAACCCTTGTACACTGTTGGTAGAGATGTAAACAACCACTATGGAGAACAGTTTGGAGGTTCCTCAAAAAACAAAAAATAAAACAACCATATGATCCAGCAATCCTACTGCTAGGTATATACTCAAAAGAAAGGGAATCAGTATATCGAAGAGATATCTGTACTTCCAGGTTTGTTGTAGTACTATTCACAATAGCCCAGCTTTGGAATTAACCTAAGTGTGCATCAATAGATGAATGGATAAAGAAAATGTGGTATGTATACACAGTGGAGTACTATTCAGCTATAAAAAAGAATGAGATCCTATCATTTGCAACAACGTGGATGGAATTGGAGGCCATTATGTTGAGTGAAATAAGCCAGGCACAGAAAGACAAAAATTGCATGTTCTCACTCATATGTGGGAGCTAAAAAATAGATCTCATGAAGGTAGATTGGTGGTTACCAGAGGCTGGGAAGGGGAGAAGCAGGAGGGATGAAGGAGAAAAAAAGAATACAAATGTATTTATTACCACTGAACTGCACACTCAAAATTAATAAAGATAGCAAAGTATATATGTATATTTTACCTCAATAAAAAATAAAAATTGGTTAAAATAGCAAAGTTTACATTCTATATATTTTGCCATAATTTAAAGAAAAAAAAACTTACACTAGAAACCAAGAGATAACAGCATCTGGGGATGCTCCCTAGTTCCTAAGGGGAGTGCACCACTACTCTGGTATCTTACCTTGTAGAGGGGTCTGTGTGTGAATATACCTGATACCAAAGCATCCATGCCAAATGGTACTCGTCTGTGCTTTGAAAGTCAAGTTAAGTTGTGCAAAAGAATGAAGATGAATGGATATTTGAGTGCTACCCTGGAATAGCAGATATAGATAGCTCTTCAACTGGGAATGGGGAAGAGGGTAATTTTCACCAAGAATTTTAATCTGAGGCTGCATTATTATTATTATTATTATCATCATCATCATCATTATTTTGAGACAGGGTCTGGCTCTGTTGCCCAGGCTGGAATGCAGTGGTGTGATCGTAGCTCACTGCAACCTCTGTCTCCCAGGCTCAAGCCATCCTCCTTCCTCAGCCTATAGGACTAAGATGCACATCACCACACCAGGCTAATTTTTGTATTTTTAGTACAGACATGGTTTCACCATGTTGTCCGGGCTGGTCTTGAACTCCTGAGCTCAAGCCATATGCTTGCCTCAGCCTCCCAAAGTGCTGCGATTACAGGTGTGAGCCACCACTCCCAGGCATGAGGCTGCATTTTTTTAAGAGACACTTTTATACATTCTCAGGAAACTTACATTTGCTTTTGTAACTCATACAAAGGCTGCTACGCTGAAACTGTTAAAAAAAAAGTAAATGAAAGCATACACTCTGTCCTTATAACATTTTCAAAAGTTATTTAATCATTTAGATTCACAGAGCTCTGTTTGCAATATACATTTCAGGCATGATGCAGCTACAGAGGTATGCATCATTGGGCTTTGAGCACATAGAAGAAAAACACAAAATGTCACTTATTGTAGCCAAATCCAATTGCTGGTGAGGGGTTATGGGAGTGAGGGAGTGGCCTTGCAGTCCCTTGGAGCCCAAGTATATCAGGGCTTCATCAGTGTATCAGGGTTTTAGATATACTTGGATGGGAAAACCCCAAATCAGGTAACCTTACATTTTTAATCAGCCACAATGGATCTTACAAAATAAATAAATAAATCAATAAATAAATGGACCTGAGAACTAAAATGCATGCAATGTCCTGGCAATGCCCAACAGCCAAGAAAGGTACTCATACAATAGCCAAGGGGTCAAAATGGCTCAAGGCCCTGAAAACACCCTATCCAGTAATCAACAGCAGGCAGGTATCCTTATACATGAAAGATGAATAGCCTCCCTAAGTTATTCCATTTGGATTTGTTCTTTAAATACTTTCTGAGTATGAAATCTCTCCCTCATTGATATAGTTTGGCTGTGTCCCTACCCAAATCTCATCTTGAATTCCCAAGGGTTGTGGGAAGGACCCGGTGGGAGGTAATTGAATCACGGGGGCAGGTCTTTCCTGTGCTCTTCTTGTGATAATGAATAAGTCTCATGAGATCTGATGGTTTTAAAAATGGGAGTCTCCCTGCACAAGCTCTCTTTTTGCCTGCCGCCATCCACATAAGATGTGACTTGCTCCTCCTTGCCTTCCATCATTATTGTGAGGCCTCCCCAGTCATGTGGAACTGTAAGTCCATTAAGTCTCTTTTCTTTTTGTAAATTGCCCAGGCTCAGGCATGTCTTTATCAGCAGCATAAAAATGGACTAATACACTCATCATCAATGGGATTTGGAGAATTGAGACTCATTTTCCCTCAATTTACTCGGAAGCACACACTGTCATCCTGGCTCCATCCTCCTCTCTTCCCACCTTTGGACCTGCATGTCAGCGAGTGCCCATTCTCACATTCACACAGGTGCCATCTCTTTTGATGCTGTCCATTTCTCCTCTTTCCTTCAGCTTCCCCACCACCGCCACCCACAGTCCTCAATGCCTTAGCCACATAAGAGCCATTCCTCTCCAGGGGCCCATTGCCATCCAGGAAGAAAGAATGTTCCATTCTGTGATAGCTGGAACCAGAGAAAACTCTTTTCCTGAAACATATGTTGGAACACATTTCTCTCTTCCTCAAAATCCTTTGATGGCTCCCTACTGCATGTGGGATAGAGTCCTAATTCCTGAGCATGGCATTCATGAGCCTCCCCAGCTCATCTTTTCTTGCTTTCCAGTTTCAACTGCCCATATATTTCTCCAAGTGCCATATGCTGCAGTCATACCATCCCATTCACCATTTGCTGAAAATGCCAAGCACTCTGGAGTTCCCATGTCTTTCTTCATGCTATTCCCTTAGCCTGGAATGGCCTCTCTCTCTCTCTCCCTCCCTCCCCCCTCTTTATCTCTCTCTCTCTTCTTCTCCCCTTCTCCCTCTCTTCTTTCTCTCCCTCCATCCTTCCCCCCTCTCCTGTCTCTCCTTCCCTCTCTCTCTCTTTACCATCCTCCCTCTCTCTCTCTTTACCTTCCTCCCTCTCTCTCCCTCCCTCCCTGTCCTTCTTTTTCTCCTTCCCTCCCTCTCTCTCCCTCCCTCCCTGTCCTTCTTTTTCTCCTTCCCTCCCTCTCTCTCTTCCTGTCTTCCCTCCCTCCTTCTCTCTTTCTATCCTTTTCTCTCTCTCTCCCTTTCTCTTTCTCTTTCTCTCCTTCCTCCCCCCTCTGTCTTTCTGTCTCCCACCTACCCTCTCTTTTCTATCCACAATTGTATCTTTCTGTTTGTTTGTTTTGTTTTTTTTTAGACAGAGTTTCACTCTTGTTGCCCAGGCTGGAGTGCAATGGTGTGATCTCGGCTCATTGCAACCTCTGCCTCCCGGGTTCAAGAGATTCTCCTGCCTCAGCCTCCCAAGTAGCTGGGATTACAGGCATGCACCACCATGCCAGGCTAATTTTGTATTTTGAGTAGAGATGGGGTTTCACCATGTTGGCCAGGCTGGTCTCGAACTCTTGACCTCAGGTGATCTGCCTGTCTCGGCCTCCTAAAGTGCTGGGATTACAGGAGTGAGCCACTGTGACCGGCCCCACAATTGTATCTTTCAAGCCTCAACTTACATGATAGCCTCTTCCAGGAAGCCTTCCCTTCTCACTTCAAGCCAAATAAATCACTTCTCTCTCTGAGTATTAATTGAATTGAACCTCTATTACAGTACTAATTTCCATCTGCCTCACAGTAGAGTTAGTCATTTCTATGTTCCTCTCCTCAACTAGACTGTGCTTCATTGAAGAAAGAAATTCACCTTATTCCCCTCTGTCACTCCCACACAGTGCTTGGCTAACACAAACACCTAAAAACATCAGTCATTCAGTTGAATGACTGAGTGAATGCAGGAAACAATGGCTGCATGAATGAACACACATCTCCACCCTACTGAGAATGTGCAGGTGAAGGGCTGCCTCCTTACAAGACACCCTTCCCAAGGAGTTGATCTCTACTAACTGATGATTTCCTTAGGAGAAGGAGCCACCACTGATCCATGAAGTCAAGAAAAAGGCAGGGCCAATGGTGGGTGGCTCAGGAAGCAAATGGCAGGGCTCAAGCCCTGACCTCTAGATTCCAAGGTACTTCTGAGCAATACTCAGTCCTCATTACCCACAGCATCAGTTTACCACACTCAGTGTGGATGGAATCCACAAAGATTATGTTCTTATTCCCTTTTGCTGCCTGGAACTTGATGCTTTGCTATGTGAGCAGCTGACACATGCTGGCAATCTGTGTGCCATGCTGGGCAGGAAACAGGGTTTTTGATGAGTAGGTTCTATTCATTTCTTACTTGGAACCTTCATGATTGTGTTCCCATACCTTTGACCCCTGTCCCAGCCTCACAATCTGCCCCCCCCCACCCCACCCTTCGCCCTTGGCCACACCCTGCCCTTTCCATCACCACTGATTCTCAAGTGCAGGGACTGCTGGTGATTGAAGTTTCAGTGCCTGTCTCTGTGACATCAAAACACAGGCTCGTTAATGAAGTCCCTCGCTTGGCTGTAATAGTACAAAGCAGTAAGACTTCAATCCCTGCAGTCACACATGCCGGCACCCCTTTTCCCTTGCAGAGGGCTGCAGGATGCTTGCCAGGAAAATACAATTATGTGCTGGCACAGGAATAAATGTAATTCTTTAACCTAAAAGTTCTGTGTTTTCATTCCCCCTCCTTTCCATTTCTCTATTCACTTCTTTTTCTCTTTCCATTGCTCTTTAAACTAATTTCCTGTGTCCAATTATTCCCTTCTCTTCTGTCTAGTCCTTGTTCTAGTAAACATTTTCTCCTGTCTCCATAATGCTCTTTTCCACAGCTGTAGGCAAAGGGCAACGTTGGAATCCTCTGATAGGTTTTGAATCTTAAAAATGATTTTCTGTTCCTCCCCACTTTGATTTAAACCTCTAGTCTGGGTTCCATTCCTTTTAGAAGAGATTCCAGTATCTCCTTCTTTAATTTTCCACCAGTTTCCATTCCCTTACTGTTCTCCTCTCAGCACTTCTGCCTGTCACCTCAGTTTCCCTCCTGTGCCCCTCTAGCTCCACAGACCTATTTATCTGATAATGCCTGCCTGTTTCCTGACCCCAGCACCTGCCTGCACCCTCTTTGTCATTCCTCTTCTCTCTTTCTTCATCTTAGATTCTTCTTGCCCCATAGCCATGCCATTTTAGTTAATGCTGATTCATGGCTTTGTCTTTCCCCTAAGGGGAAAATGATTTGGATTTAAAAGAAATTAAGAACTTTCTAATAACACAATCTGAAAACTGGACTTGAAAGATAAAGAACTTTCTAATAATAAGTGCAATCTGGAAATTGCATAGGCTGGCCCTAGGCAGTGAGATCTATCTCTGGGAGGCAGTCTATGAGAGTTTGGACAGCCATTAGGTAGAGATGTCGGTGAAGGGATGCAAACATGGAATGAGGGGGTGAAGGTAAATAGCTTCTGATGACCCTTGCTAGCCCTAAGAGTCTAAGATTTCATTCAGGTCTTGAGAGGTCTCATGGCAGGGAAGAAGGGTGAAAGCATAAGGGTTAAAGTGACCTTTGCTTTGACACAGACACTGGAGAGAAATCTAAAGAGACTGCTTTGCATCCTTTTCAAAGAAAGGGACCAGCGTCTTTTGGAGACCATGACTCACTTAGGGAGGAGGGCTTTAAATCAGTCAAGGAGTTATTGACCAAGACATAATTGTAGGGAAATAACCACGGACCTGCCTGGAGTGGGGAGAAAAAACCACATAATCTATCCAGCTTATTAAACTAGAGGTTAATCTCAGGGATAGTGTGAATACATATCAAGCAATACGAAATGCGCCTATACGGTAAAGATGGTCATATGAGGATACTGCCTATGGAGAAGATGGAGCAACCAACTCAGCAATTGTTTACATTGAATTTTTCTCCCTCCCAATAGGAAACTAATTCGCAGTTAGTAGATATTTTGCTCAATGCAATCACACAATGGCATCACTCAGGATCCAGAGGAAGAAAAGAAGAGGCATCAGGTGAAGAAAATTCAATTTGGGAACATGATTAGGACATAAGTTGGAAGGAACCAACAGGAAGGCAACTGAGGAGAAAAAGCTGGATGATCCTCATACAAATAGCTCTGTGGGCATTAGAACAAAGCAAGCAAGTGCAAAAGGAGGCCAGGAAAAGTAAAAAGATGCTAAGTGGCTCAAACTCACGGCTATAAAGATGTGAAAGGGAAAAAGGAAAATTCTACTACAAAGAGTGGCAGCCAGATCACTAAGCAGGACTATAATAAGCAGCAGGAAGATATTGAACCAAAATAAAAAGAAGATGCAATTGGCAAGAAACGAACACTTTAATTAAGTAGGGCCATTGACAGCCCTGGTTCCTTACAACTAAGAAGGGGCAGAAGTTTTCCATTTTGTTTTTACCTAACTATAGAATACATCACATGTGCCCATTAACCAAGACAAATACATCGTGTGATTGGCCAAGTCGAATTAAGAAGGAAAATGGCTGAGAAGGACAGGCATCATAGAAGTGTCAGAAAATGAATGATGAGATTTCAGTATGAAATCTCACTTTCTGTAGGGCCAATAAGGAATCCATGTTTAAACACATTAAAATGCAATCAACAACAACAACTAAAACAGGTATAAATTGAGGCTTTATAGCCTGGCATCCTACTTTTTTTCTAGAAATATGTGCTAAAAATACGAAATGATAAAAATAAGTAAAACAACTAATCTGCAATTATCCAGAGGAGGACAGGACATAGGTTGATAGTATCAGCTTGGTGAAAAGCAAATCAGACAATAAGCTAAATATTGATATTGCAATATAGGAGTGTTGAGGTGTAGCATCAGTAATCTCATAGACTCCCTGTCATTTTATTTCACAGGGCTTTTCCCAAACCATTTAGGAAGAGATCAGACTAGAAGTGCCCCTTGGAATAATATTTTGCCCTAAACTAAATTTCAATGGATTCTTTTTTTCCATTTATATTTTTGACAACTTTATTAAGGCATAATTTAAAACAAAATTCATAAAATTCACCCATTTCAAGTACATTTCAAGCACAGAATTCAATAATTTTTAAATTTACTGAGGTGTGCAACTATCACTATAATCCAATTTTAGATCATTTTCATTAGCCCAATAAGATCCCTCATGCTAGTTTACAGTTAATTCCTCAATGGATTCTTTTCAGGGTTTCCATCCTGAGCTCTCTACAGCATTCAATACTACAGACTATCCTCTTTCTCTCTCTCTCTCTCTCTTTTTTTTTTTTGAGATGGAGTCTTACTGTGTCGCCAGGCTGGAGTGCAGTGGCACAATCTCGGCTCACTGCAACCTCCACCTCCCAGGTTTAAGTGATTCTCCTGCCTCAGCCCCCTGAGTAGCTGGGACTACAGGTGCGCACCACCATGCCCAGCTAATTTTTGTATTTTTAGTAGAGACGGGGTTTCACCATGTTGGCCAGGATGGTCTCAATCTCTTGACCTCGGGATCCACTCACCTTGGCCTCCCAAAGTGCTAGGATTACAGGTGTGAGCCACTGTATCTGGCAATTTTTTTTTTTTTTTTTTAGAGATGGGGTCTCACTCTGTTGCCCAGGCTGGAGTGCAGTGATGCAATCATGGCTCATTGCAGCTGTTAGATACAGTGAGTTCTAGATTTCTCGTCAAAGAATTAGTATGTCAGTATGTTCAGTTCTTTGTCCTGCATTTTAAAGTTTAACTTCCTTGTAGTTTCAGTAAACAACCTTTTCCACCAGTTTTAATCAGTAGTTCACATCTGTTCCCCTGGTCACCTGCTCCATCCTGACTCACCCTGGTCACCTGCTTTGACCTGAGTCACCCCTGGTCACCTGCTTTGACCTAAGTCACCTTTAGTTACCTGTTTCTAACCGTCCTCCCCACCAAACTACTCACCCTGCTGCTCTGGCTCATACCCCTGCTCTCTTTAAAATAGCCAATTGGAATTAGCTTAGACTGTGTGGTCCAACCCTAGCCAGTAGGGGAACGACACAGCAGTAGGGGCTACCAGCGTCAGGAATAAGAACCCCTTCCCTTCCCTTGTTCAGGTGTGCTCTTGCCATTACTCCATTCATGAGTTGCACCCTTCTATAGAAGTAAAAATTGCCTTGCTGAGAAAATTAAATTTATGTTTGAGTGCTATTTCTTTGTGGCACTGAGGAACAAGCATTTTGTTTCTAACACAGCCTTGACCTCCTGGGCTCATATGATCCTCCTGCCTCAGCCTCTGGAGTAGCTGTATCTACAGGGACATGCCACTACACCCAGGTATTTTTTCTTTCTTTTTTTGAGAAAGAGTCTTACTCTATCACCCAGGTGGAGTGCAGTGATGCAAACATAGCTCACTGCAGCCTTGAACACCTGTGCTCAAGCAATCCTCCCACCTCAGCTTCCAAGTAGCTGGAACTATGGGCGCATGCCACCTGGCCAGGCTGGCCACTCTCTGTCTTGAAACTTGGTTCCCCCTTACACCACTTCCTTCTGGATGCTCCTCCTACTTCTCTGATCATTCTCAGATTCCTTTGCAGGCTCTTTTGCCTCTGCTCATTTCTTAAAGATGGATATTCTCTCATCTCTTCCTTGGCCTTCCACTCTTCTCATCTTACAAATCTTCCTAAATGCTCTCATCCATGTCCCTGATTCTGTTTATCGCTGAGGATTCTCAAATCTATCTCTAGCTCAGACATCTTTCTGAAGATCTAACTGCCCACTGGCCATTTCTACTTGGATGTCTCTCAGGCATTTCAGACTCAACATGCCACTGAAGGCTGGGTGTGGTGGCTCAAGCCTGTAATCCCAGCACTTTGGGAGGCCAAGGTGGGTGGATCCCTTGAGGCCAGAAGTTCAAGACCAGCCAGGCCAACATGGTGAAACCCTGTCTCTAATAAAAATACAAAAATTAGCCAGGTGTGGTGGCATGCACCTGTAGTCCTAGCTACTTGGGAGGCTGAGGCAGGAGAATCGCTTGAACCTGAGAGGCAGAGACTGCAGTGAGCCGAGATTGTGCCACTGCACTCCAGCCTGGGTGACAAGGCGAGACTCCATCTCAAAAAAAAAAATAAAAAAAAAAAGCCACTGAAATGATGAATGCAGCAATGCAGCATTTCTATTTCTATTCCCTTAACTGCCCCTCCTCCCAGGTTCCCCTTTTTCAGTAAATGCTTCTACTGTTGCCCAATCCAGAAACCTGCCAGCCACCCCCAGATTCCTCCTCCTTTTTCATCCTCCAGCTGTAATTAATTACCCCATCCTGTAAATTCTGTTTCCTTGATATTTTGTGAACTCTTCTTTCAATTACCATTGTTTGCTACGGCTTAGATTATGTTCTTATAATTTCTCACCTGGACTATTGTGACAGCTCCCCTGTTTTGTCCCCTCTCAAATCATCCTCCCTGAACTCTTGATAGAGTTCTTTTATTTTGTTAATTTTAAAACTACTCAACATGTGAATACATTCTTGAAGCTAAAGATTCAAACAATGCCTAAGTATATAGAGTAACAAAAGAGAGCCCCCTTTCACCTCCCCCTCCTAGCACTATCCAAGAGTAATTACTGGATTTTCCATGAATATGCATACATAGGCTCAGACTGTAATGTAATGTCTTAGAAATCTCTGCCTGTTCATACATGTGGAACTACCTCTTTCTTTCTCATTACTGCAAGGAATTTCATAGTATTAATATAACACAATTAACCATTTTCCCACTGATGGGCATTTAGGTTGTTTCTCATTTCTCCCTGTATAAACAATGCTGTAGTGAATATCCTAGAACATACCACCTTTGGGTACATGGTGATTCCTACATGCCAAGGTCCTGGCATGTAGGAATGGAGGCTGTATGGGGGACAAGTTACAAGACAGAAGGTGGTACAGATTGGTTGGAGAAAAATATTTTGAGAGAAGGGAGAGTAATGTTTTTTTTTCTTAAAAATGATGTCAAAAAGATTATGTAGAGGAGGTTATCAGGGAAATATGACATTAAAGTTTTTGGGGGGGTGGGGGGAGGGGGGAGGGATAACATTAGGAGATATACCTAATGTAAATGACGAGTTAATGGGTGCAGCACACCAACATGGCTCATGTATACATATGTAACAAACCTGCACGTTGTACACATGTACCCTAGAACTTAAAGTATAATTTAAAAAAAAAATAAAGATTTTTTTTTGAAATATCATCTTATAATGCTATCACCCTAATGCAACTGCTATTAAAAAGTATTCATTTAAGGGGCCGGGCATGGTGGCTCATGCCTGTAATCCCAGCACTTTGGGAGGCCGAGGCAGGCGGATCATGAGGTCAGGAGATCGAGACCATCCTGGCTAACACAGTGAAACCCCGTCTCTACTAAAAATACAAAAAAATTAGCCGGGCATGGTGGCGGGCGCCTGTAGTCCCAGCTACTGGGGAGGCTGAGGCAGGAGAATGGCGTGAACCTGGGAGGTGGAGCTTGCAGTGAGCCGAGATCACGCCACTGCACTCCAGCCTGGGTGACAGAGCAAGACTCCGTCTCAAAAACATAAAAAATAAAAATAAATAAATAAATAAAAAATATTTATTTGAAACAAACAGCATTTTCAACATCTGATGAATCTGGCTGGGCACAACTGCTACAGAAGATGACCTGGGAGTCACAGTGACTCACCACAGAATATGACTTGGCAATAGAGTGCTTTCATTAAAAAACAAAAACAAAAACAAACACAACACAAAACAAAACAAACCCCAGCATGACACGAGGCTATATCAGTTGGATTATGGAGCAAATCCTAGTATGTGAGCTACCACTATGGTGCTTGGTTGAACCCATTTACAATATTTCATTTTTATTTTCACAGTTTTAAGATGTTGAGAATACTTCTTTGAGAAAATAACCCAAATGATTTAAGAGGGTGGAGAATACATCTTTTGAGGAAGTGCTAAAGGAAATATAATTGTCTGGTGACCTTGGATTCACTTCCCAAAGTGGTGACATTTTGGACCTGAGACCCACTTGACCGAGAGTTTTTAATGCCAGCAGTAAATTCATTGCTCAGCCTGCAGATCCACAACTGCATAAGAAGCAGGCAACAATATAAAGAGAAAATCAAAATGAGCAAACTGTAATTAGGTATGCAATGTCACCAGAGAATGCAATTTACTAAAGGGATTACCATGATTAAAGATGCATTCCCCTTAAATAAAGATTTTTTTTTTCTCGATTGATTTCTCCCAAGTGGTTCTCCCTATGCCATGCAGAAATCCGGTCGGACAGCAATTTCTGGTTGTCTTTTTAATTTCTTTGCCAAGAGATTAGAGAAAGTAAGTTGAGCCTCTGAAGTCACTATAATTTCCTCACAAATGGAAGAAATATTTACAGAGGGCTATGGAGACAGATTATAGCTTAGGTCACCCAGGGGAGAAATGTGAAGCCCCCTTTTGACTAACAACAAGGTAAGTAACCTGCAAATCTTTCTTTTTTTCCTCAGTATGAAGCCTAAGACCAAGTTTAGGAGGCTCCCTTTTCAATTTGGGCTTTTTTTTTTTTTCTTTGTCTCATTTTTCTCATGCTTTGGCCAGGCAGCATTTAGAGGGTGCAGGGCCCTGAGAACAGACTCAGACAGCATCCTTCGCCTTCCAGGCTCTCTCACCTACCTTCTTTATCTCACTACTTTTTCTTTTCCTTTCTCTATAGCTTCTTTCTCTAAAATCTCTTCTAACCCTTACGATTTGCTTTTTGGAGTATCTTTTTGGGGAAAGATAGGGTTGAAAACGTATCAAATTCTGGATGCTGATCTTTGTCGCCATTACCTGAGGCCTGATGAAAACAGTTTGGTTTAAATGTGTCATCGGCCAGGTGCGGTGGCTCACGCCTGTAATCCCAGCACTTTGGGAGGCCTAGGTGGATGGATCACGAGGTCAGGAGTTCAAGACCAGCCTGGCCAAGATGGTGAAACCCTGTCTCTACTAAAAATACAAAAATTAGCCCGGCATGGTAGCAGGGCCTGCAATCCCAGCTACTCAGGAGGCTGAGGCAGGAGAATCGCTTGAATCCGGGAGGTGGAGGTTGCAGTGAGCCAAAGATCACACCACTGCACTCCAGCCTGGGCAACAGAGCAAGACTCTGTCTCAAAAATAAGTAAGTAAATAAATAAATAAATAAATAAATAAATAAATAAATAAAAATAAATGTGTCCTCATGAATAAGCCCTTAAAGTGGACGAGTGGTGGGTGTGGCAGCCACAGGTGAAAGGAAGGGTTTATATTGAGTATGTTTAGTATAATGTAATTAATTCATTAATTTATGTAACATTTCTTTCTTTCTTTCTTTCTTTTTTTTTCTTTTGAGACAAAATCTCGCTCTGTCATCCAGGCTGGAGTGCAGTAGTATGATCTCAGCTCACTGCAACCTCCGCCTCACAGGCGTGAGCCACCATGTCCAGCCAATTTATGTAACATTTCTTGAGTGCTGAGAACATTTATGGATGTCTGAGGAACCAGCGGGCCAGGCATTGGGGACAGGAGAACCCATGGAGCCTGCCCTCAAGGGGCTCTCCATCTAGCAGGAGATTGACACATGGCATAGGTGTTAGGAGGGCAGCGATGAACATAAATTGGGTACCTGTTGTTTGCTAGACACTGTGCCAGGTGCCATAGTGGGTACGGAGTTGAGGAAAACTCAGGAAATCTCAAGGAACTCTCTATCTTGTGGGGAAGATGGGGCAAGTACCAAAACCCCCCGTAGGCCAAGGTAGAATGTGATGAGTGCCACAAGAGAGGCATGAACAGAGTGCCATGGGGATTCTGAGCAGGGGCAGAGCCTGTGGAGTGTTCTGAGAAGAGAAACCTGGGAAAGACTGATCCACAGACCTTTCCTGCTGTGTCTATAAGCAGAGAAGACTTGATTATTTAGTATCAAACTTGTATAATACTAAATACTTGTACTCACTTCTCAAATGAGATAAGATATGTAAATAATACTTGTAAACTTTAACGTGCTCCTCAAGCGTAAGATGTTATTTTTTATTTGAGAAAGCCATTAACATTTCTGGAGAAACACTGCTCTGGAACCTAAGAAAATCTCTCATGCATTTCACATCATCTACCCGCCCACCCTTTGATGTCCTTCCTTTCTCTCTGTCTCTCTATGTCTCTGCTCCTGTCTCTTTCTCTCTCTCATCTCTCTTTTTCTCTCTCTAATCTTTATTGTTTGATGAGCCAAAGTATTCAGGGAAGAATCTGTGCTTTGGTCTTAGTCACTGACGGACAGGAATCCCAGGTCAATAACCCAGGGCCGGATGTTCGGAAGGTGTGGATTGCCGTCAGTGTCCTGTCACCCAAGGTTCACTGTGAATTCACTCAGGGTGATTTCCAATGGACCGCCTCACCCATATTCTGTGTATCAGAGCATAGGCACGGTGGGGTGTAGCTGCTCTTCAAATGAAACCCTAAACCCTTTCAAACACTCGGCAATCTTTCTACTTTCTCAGCTTGTGAGGCTCTGAAGATTTCCCTGTGTACATTTTTCCAGCATGATGTGAGATGCCAGTTATTCAAGAGAGACTTAGGACAATGTCTTTAAAAAAAGGAGTTCCCTTTCCCCCTGGAGTTTTTGCCATTAACTGTTTGTAAGTTTATTTGCACATTTTACGAACTGAAGAGCAAATGTATTCCTACTATTAAAAAGTGCCTATTTTGGCCGGGCATGGTGGCTCACGCCTGTAATCCCAACACTTTGGGAGGCCGAGGTGGGTGGATCACCTGAGGTCAGGAGATCGAGACAAACTTGGTCAACATGGCAAAACCCCGTCTGTACTAAAAATACAAAAATTAGCTGGGCGTGATGGCCCATGCCTGTAGTCCCATCTACTTGGGAGGCTGAGGCAGGAGAATTGCTTGAACTGGGGAGGTGGAGATTGCAGTGAGCTGAGATCATGCCACTGCACTCCAAACTGGGCGACACAGTGAGACTCTGTCTCAAAAAAAAAAAAAGTCCCTATTTCTTCATATATTGAAACATCACATTGTACTCCACAAATACATGCAATTATTATTTACCAATTAAAAATAAAAATTAAAAAATCTTGGATGGGTTTCTTTGCCTGTCCCAATTATTGAAATGAACACAATTAAAAGCCAGACAGAGATCATCAAAGAGGTCAGATGCAATGAGGTAAGGGAGTGACATATCCTCTGTCTCATATTCTCTCTCATTCCTGCTTAAAGAAAGAAAAGCAAAAGGCCTGTCTTACTGAGGAAGTAAAGACATATACCTCTTTTCAAAGCGTTTCTGACAGAGAAAGAGGTGCTACCATGCTGCCCATCATCAACCTCCAACTTGCTTCACTACCTTCCCCCTCCATCACTTATTTTAAAATACCAACTCACCTTAGCTGAGAAGCACATTGGTACTGTAGTGATGGGAAGGTTTTATCCAAAAGATTGGTAAACAGAAGCTATCAGCTTGAATTACTGAAATTAGCAAGGCTAATGCAATGTCACTATTCAAAACAGTGCCAATTTGGAATTTCTTAATGGCCTCAGGAGAGGGAGTCTTTATACATCCTACAATCTCTCTTCATTCTTACCTAAATTCCTTCTCATAGATGTTGTGAATGGCCTGTTTTGTAGCCAACACAAACTTTGTCCACTAAAATAATGTAAGGAACTCAGAATGAAAAGAGATTAGCTGTTCCTGGCTCCTGTTATTTTAAAGCAGAAATAACTTTGGCTTTTACTGATTCATAGACAAAGCTTGAAATGCAAAGCATGCCCAACTCCAGATTCAGCATGAAAAGGACCTTAAAATATGCCCAAGTGCAAGTAATGGACTTATTAAAGGGAAGAAAAGAGGCACTTTTCACACACTCTGAAGCTCTTTAGTCCTGTCATATCAGTAATCTTGCTTAAGAATTTCATCCTATTTACATTTCTTCTCCTTTTAAATATCCTCAGGATTCATATGGCATCAAATATTGAAGCTTGTAAGACATTAATTTCTTTATGTTAATTATGAAGAAGGCATGTGAAGTGCACAAGTGATAGAATTTGGAGCACTTGCAATGATGTCAATAGGAATTAAAAAATCAGTTCTGTAGTTTTAGTTGAACACCTGATAATTTACCCACACAGATATTTTATGACACAAACTTCAAGTATCTTCTTTGGACAATTTCTGGCATTGTTCCAGAATGAATGCATTTTCCATTAGGAAATTTAGTTTATATTCGATGACAAAAGCATGAACTGCACCATTTGGGTGATTATGAAAACATTTATAAAATCAAAATAACATAGAAGGCTTTCAAGCCACAGTACATAAAGCACACAGTTCTAAAATATGTACATGCACAGACATACAGGCATTCTGTTTTAACTTTGAGAGAATTTTAAAAAGCGAAAATAGTGCCTGAAAAATGTTTGGGTACCTTGGAATATTTATGTGAAATCAAAAAGGCGAAGGAGTCACGAGCAGTTTTCCAAGCAGCATTAAAGTAAGGAGGCAGCCTGGTCCAGTTCCCCTTAGAGGTATCAGGTTCTCATCCTGATTTTCCTGCTGATTTTTCCCAAGATTAAGAATAAATGACCTGGCTGGGCACAGTGGCACACAACTGTAATCCCAGCACTTTGGGAGGCTGAGACAGGTGGATTGCTTGAGCTCAGGAGTTTGAGACCAGCCTGACCAACATAGTGAGACCCTGTCTCTACCAAAAGTACAAAAATTAGCCAGGCACAGTGGTGGGCGCCTGTAATCCCAGCTACTCGGGTGGCTGAGGTACGAGAATTGCTTGACCCCAGGAGATGGAGGTTGCAGTGAGCTGAGATCGTGCTACTGCACTTCAGCCTGGGCGAAAGAGTGAGAATCGGTGTCAAAAGAAAAAAAAAAGAATAAATGACTTAATGTCTGCACCTCAGTCTCCATCTGCGATGTAGTTAATATAGTAAAGTAGGACTTAGATGAAATTTGCTATGGGCAGGTCCATTCTGAGTAGATACTAGTCTGTTTCCACAGGAGTCATTAGAAAGGGGGATCACCACCATAGAACCATTATGGGAGTGTTAGGATCTGGAGGGACCGCATGAGAGATTGAGTAGCTCCGGTCAACTACTAGCCATGTGACCACAGTCCTTCAAATCTGAGCCTTTTGTTGCTAATCTGCAAAATAGGGACAATATCACTGCCTTCACAGGATGGTAGAAGAAATTATATTAGATATTATAAATGTCCCAGTTTGTGGATCAAAGAGAGGGAAATGGTCAGGAACAGGGAGAGATAAAAAGGACAACTAAACTATGTTGTTGTCCCTGAAGAGGGGTAGGGGAGTATTCTGCAAGGCTGGGTTTGGAGGTATTTAAAATAATTCTTTTAAGGAACCAATAAATGAAGCTGGGCTACATGATACCAAAACACTTGAGGGGAAAAAAAAGGCAAGCTGACTATCCAATGCTATGAATTGAATACAAAAGAGCTGGATTTTGTTTGTTTTAGAGAAGGGATCTCTCTCTGCCACCCAGGCTGGAGTGTAGTGGCGTTGATCATGGCTCACTGACACCTCAAACCCCTGGGCTCAGGCGATCTTCCTGAGTAGCTGGGACTAGGCCTTAGAGCTGTTTTGTTGAATTCAACTTTCTATTTTAGAAAGGCAGTTCAACTGACTTGTGTCAAGATAGTTATACTGAGCTTTTAATATACATACTTGTACTTAGTGATAAAAACATTAGAAACAATCAGATTTATACATTTTGCTCAAAAGAGAAAATAAAAGATTATAGATAATAGCTAAATCTAAAGATATTAACTATTTTCTTGCATTAAGTTCCAGCAACTATTTTGCAATGCCAGATCCTAGATTTTCAGATATAAATCAACTTGTTGCTCCTCATAGCTTTATTACTGATGAAAAACAAGCCAGCACATGGAGCATTTCTGAGATAACAAAATTCCAATACTTGCTTTTTCAGACTACTTGGCTCTTCATTTTCTGAAAAGGTTTTCCCAAATTTTAATCCTCCATAACCAGGACCCCAGTCCCAGGTATTAATGAATGTTTTATTTAACCAAGCTAAGCCCTATTTCCCATTTCCAGTTGTGAGAAGGGGTGGGGCCCTAGCCAACTATTTCATAAGGCTGTATTTCCCACTCCCAGCCTTCGCCTAGAAGTATTTTGGAAAGAGTGTGCTGGAGAGCTTAGGCCAACTCCAAATTATGAAATCATAACCAAGCAGAGGAGTTAGGGAACTGAAAGGGGTCCTAGGATCAAGTCTGGGATTCAGGCACAAACTAGAGTGATACGCCACTGTTAGTTTGGTCTGGGCCTATTTACCAGTCTTTAACTCTGCCACCAGCCCATTGGTCTTTTAAGAGAGAGGAGAGATGGATGCACAGAAGTGATATGGATCTGTACCCACCAAGAAGCATTGTTATGCTTCTATCTGGGACAAAAATTGAGAATCAGGACTAGTGTGTTTTTGTTCCCCTCTTGATGTCATTTTCATTATAGTCCTTCCATATCCTCAGAAGAGATTTGTTGACTTCATGCTGTCTTATAGCTGATCAGGGCAACCTTCTTGGGCTGGCAGCGTTGTGTCAGTACCCAGTCCTCCCAACATGTTCCTTTCCCTCATCAAAATTTGAGGCTTGAACCCCATTTCTGCATGGCCCTGTGCTTTGTTTAAACGACAATGGGTGGTCATGAGCAAGTCAGAGACTCTCATCCCTTTCTAGTGATGCACCCTGTGTACACACACTCTAGGAGTATGATATAGATCAGTGAGAGAGGTGGGTGGTGTGGTGGTAAAAGTTCTAGACTTGGAACCAGTAAACACAGCCATCAACTTTGGCTCTACTGCATACCAATTTTGATTTGGGGTAAGTTATATAACTTCCCTGGGCCCTAGTTTCCTCACCTATAAAACAAAATTGCTGTAAGGATATGTGAAAGCATTGGCATGGTGTCTGGCACACAGTAGGTGCTGATTAAGTGTAAGCATTCCATGAAAAGGTGAACAGGGATGGAAAATTCCTGACCTCCATCGGCCCTCATGATATAAAATGACTTCCAAAATCTTATGCACTTTAACTGTGCATGCCAATGGACCAAACCTACAGAAACTTTAACTCTTACATAGATTTTAATCTCTCTAAAGTAACAATTTACAAATTCTTCTTTCTCTCAAGGATCTTTCTGGCACAATCAATAGAAATATGCTAGTAATAAAAATCACAAGAAGAATGGAAGATGAACAATCAATAGATCCACTATGAAAATATCAGGCAGCTGCTCTTCTTTCAACTGGTTCAAAGTTGCTAAGTCTTCATGCTGGTGTCTCCTTTTTAAACAAATATGTTTCTGCAGATGGTTTATATCCTTTCCATTAAACTGTGGGATTTCACATGTATGGGAGGTGCTAGGCAAAGATGCAGAAACTGTTGCATCTTTAATACCCCAGCATAGTAGAGTCTGGCTTTTTCAACGCCCACTGCCCCATCCCTCCTCAACAGCTGCTCTCTCCTGACCCCCGCAATAGCCCAGAAGGAATGAATAAAAGCATACCTTGGGAGCAGTTGTCACTTCTCTGCTCAAAAGTCACCAATGCCTCACAACTGTTCACAGAATTCAGCCCAAACTCTTTGGTTCTTCTGTGTCTTCCTTTCTCCTACAGAGCAGGTGCTGTATATATAGCCTCTTTATTCTCACTGTGCCTAACACTGTGCTAGGCATGAAGGAGATGCTCAGTAAATATCTGTGAGTTGAACTGAAATAACTGGCTGCATTGAATTCTTGCTCTCTCTCTCTCTCATCACCTTCTTTTCATTCCTCGTGCCTTCCCAAGTTAATGGTGATGAAAGTAGGTTCCTGTGCCATCAACAAGACCACTTTTATTATATGCATGCAACTGACTAAGGAGGAACTTGGGAAACTTCAAAGGTCCTCATGAACAATGGTTAAAGGGCTCATCCCCAAAGGACTTTTGTAACTGTGGAACCCTTAATAGAGTTATGCTTTTTGGTAGAACTGGGCTATGAAATAATTGGAAGTAAGAAGGAAAAAGAATTCCTGGGATGCCACAGGGCAGAATAGGGAGAGTTTGAGGAAGAGACAGACCTCAATTCAAATCCAAGCTCTACCACTTGCCAGCAGTAAGACTTCACTTCTTTAAGCCCTAATTTTATCATCTCCAAAGTTGTAAAAATTACCTCCCCAACAAAGTTGCCAAGAGAATTAAATGACAGTGTTTATGTAAAGTTTTTCATATAAGGCTTGGTATTTAATGGGACCCCAATAAGTATTTGTTGATCAAATTGGAAGAGTGACTTTAATTTTTCTAAATAAAGCAGTCAGGTCCATGAACAGATTGGCCATGGAACTTCCTTTTAAGCACAATTGAGCTTTACACATAGAACTTGTCAGGTTCCAACATGATATCACCATAATGTGCACTGCTGGCCCATTAGATACCTCCAAAGACTGCCATATGTTTGGATGATATTGCCGATTCCAGCAAGATGGCTAGACCATTTGTCTGGAGAACAGGAGCCAGGGGAGGGAGTGATGGATTCAGACATGCAGCTCAGGAAATATCATCTACCTCCAGACTCCAGTAGGGTGGTCCTACTCTGGAGAGGACATGTAAGGCTTGACCTATATTGCAGGCACTTCTGTTCATAGCATGAGACATTAGGGCTTGTTTGGCTTTTCTTTTCTTTTTTTAAATAAAAGTTCTATTCACATGGTGGTGATAGAGAAGTCAAATGAACTGGCATTAATACTTGCCTCTCCACCCTTCCAAAATCTTTAGCTGTACTGTTACCAAGCCTGAAAAACCTACAAAGATCACATAGAGTATCACATTGAACATAACATACATGTATACCTGCAGGTGTTCTATGCAAATAAAATATTCACCAATTGGTTTGAATTGGGGAAGGTGAGCAGAATCCAGGATAAAGTATGGCCCCAGGTATCTTCCTCCTACAGACAGGACCTCATCCCCTCAGCTTTATCCTACTTTTCATCACCAGATACACAGAGCCCAAGGAGACTAATACTAATGGGCCCTGTCATTTAGCTCAAGCCTGGCTTCTAGGCTAGAGAAAGAGATTTGTTCAAAGTGATGAGCAATTAACAAAAACAAAAGCCTTAACATCTGTCCAGACATCAACAGATCTCAAGTAGATAGGGAAGATTAAATAAAAATTTAAAAGGAATCTTTCCCTTTCCCTCTACCAGCTTCCAAACTTCATTGACCCTCAAGCAGGAATTGCCGTAAGAGTCAGAAGGCAGAGGAAAGGCTGATGAGTATTTCTCCAATGTTCCTCCCACACTGATGCCAGGAGGAAGCTCTAAAAAAGGCATTCTTGTAGACAAGTACTTTCCATTCATTCAAATACTTATAGGGTGCCTCCTGAGTAACAGACCATGGGTTGAATGCTGAGTTTCCCAGGTGAGCCCTGTCTTGCTCCCATCCTAGGGTGTTCAAGGTTAAGGAAGATGTATATCTATGACATAGTGTTGCATATCCAATCTGTCTCACCCACTAGGCCCTTACCATGGCTCTAAGAAAACAGCAACAACAACACAGAGTAATGTCCCACACGTTTTAAAATTATGGCTAAATTTCTGAATGTGGTCAAATCACACCCCATGAACAGCATCCTCTGGTTCTGATAGAATATTAAAGAGCTGCATATTTTCCTATGAAGGACAAAACTCATATCCCCCTTGGCAGTGAAACCAATGGCCTGTGGCAGAGCCCTTTTAGTAGGCTGCTTTTCTTCCATTTGAGTTCTCTGATCCAGGTTTGAATTTATCCTTGCCTTAGCTCCTGAAAATGTGGTCAAAATCTATCGACCAGTCCCTCTTGGCACTCAAGACATTTTTCCTTTACCCTAGGAGTATTTTTCTTAAGGAAATATAGAAATGCCGTTTGATTGAAAGTCAACTTGGAATTCAATATACTCCAGGTATCTGCCAAAAAGAGAATGGAGAGAGGCCCAAATCCAACAAATAAAAACTAAGGCCCACTTATAACACATGCTTTCCTCTTGACTTTACCAGAGGGGCAGTTTAGGAGAAAACAAAGAATTTCTCATTATATACACATAAAATATTTAATGATCTTTTGAATGTACCAAAACCTTTATGATACCTTTCAAAGACACTTTGAAAAAAGAGGAAGTCATATTTTGGCCAAGGATAAACAAACAAACTACCAAACTAGCTGAACTTGGCTGAAAACTTAACAATGCAAAATCTGAATGGATTCAAGTCCTCAGCAAAGGATGAGCTCCAGACTCTACAAAGGAGAGCGAAATCCTCAGGGAATAATCAGAGAGCTGGAATGAAGCACCAAGCACAAAATTTGCATTGCTTGACCTGACTTTTAATTTAGAAACAGAGAAGGACAGCTCCATTTTGTAGGCTGACAAGGGAGCCATTGGAAGGCAAGTGACAGACACAAAAGATCACCTCCTAAATAGCTGGAAAACACTTTGCACATCTCCACCACATTCCCATTACTAAAGGGGTACCTATTTACTCCACAAACATTCACATAGTACCACCCTGGGCCAAGTGCAATGCTAAGTGCTGAGAGTACAAAGTTGAACAAGATGTCGTCTCTGTCCTCAAGGACAGCTACAATTGAGAGCTGTGTAGGTTCTTAGCATACCTAATCTCATTTAATTCTTACAAGAATACTATGAGACAGGTATCATTGTCTCCATTGTACAAATTTAAGGTCTCAGATTCGGAGAAGAATTTTGCCCAAAGCCACACAATTCATAAGTGGCTATGCTGTTATCTATTGTGTTACAGTGTCTCAACAAGGTACAGAGAAAGAGAGGAAGTTTAGAGGAGACAGTAATCACCTCTGGATTAGGTAGGAGTGTTTTAGGATCAGAAAAGACATTATGGAGGAAGGAGCATTTAAACTGAGGCTGGAAAGCATGGGTAGCATTTGGATATATAGAGACTGAGAGGAGGAGTAAGTGGAAGGAGAGGCAAAAGTATTCTAGATAGAAAAAAATGGTATATAGAGAGGCACAGAGGCATGGAAAAATGGAAAATGCTCAGGAAATAGTTCAGCTGGACTATGTGAGAAGAAGCAAGAGATTAGACTAAAGGCCGGGCAAGGTGACTTACACCTGTAATCCTAGCACTTTGAGAGGTGGAGGCAGGTGGATTGCTTGAGCCCAGGAGTTCGAGACCAGCCTGGGCAACATGGCGAAACCCTGTATCTACAAAAAATAAAAACCTTAGCATGGGCGTGGTGGCGATGCCTGTAGTCCCAGCTACTTGGTGGGGCTGGAGCAAGAGGATCACTTGAACCCAGGAGGTTGAGGCTGCAGCGAACCATGATCACGCCACTGCACGCCAGCCTGGGGGACAAAGTGAGACCTTGTCTCACAAAATAAAAAGATTAAACTGAAAAGGCAGACGAAGATGAACTTGCAGAGGGCCATGAATATGTGAATCAAAAATGAAAAAATGAATGAACAAGCCTGAAGCAGTTGCACACTGCAGATGAGCTTTCCACTTTGGAGCCATAATCCTTTAGAAGCTGCTATGTCCCTGCCCTCTTTTTGTCTCCAGCCAAATGCCAGGAAGATTTCAAGACCAACTATGGGACACTGAGGGCAGGGGGTGGGTCTGTGTGTGACTGATTTGGAAACCATGGTCCCAGTTCCTGGAAGCTGGGGACAAGAGCTGCTTTTCCTTAGAGGAAGTCCACTGCTATGAACCCTGTTTATCATTACTGTCCCTGAGAGCTTTAACTGAAGTAAAGACACAACTTCAATTAAAACAGCCCTGAAGCATCATTCCATAAATTCTTCTCTAACCAGACAGGCTTTATATTTTTCTGAGCAAAACTAACATTTGGAAATTAAATGTTATATTTCAAATCACTCTATGCTGGATGGACGTTGGTATCTATTTTACAGTTAAATGTGAGACACATGTGGCCACAGGCATCTATCCATGTAGTGTCCCTATAAATACAAACCGTAAGCTCTTAAGAGCAATTTCCATCTTGCATAATGAGTATTAGCAAATGGAAGTTATTTCTAGATTATACAAATTTTGGTTATGCTAGAAACATCAGCCTTAATACATCTATATAGAAAAAGAATGGGTTTTTTTTTTTTTGAGATGGAGTCTTGCTCTGTCACCCAGGCTGGAGTGCAGTGGCGTGATCTTGGCTCACTGCAACCTCCACCTCCTGGGTTCATGCCATTCTCCTGACTCAGCCTCCCGAGTAGCTGGGACTACAGGCACCGACCACCATGCCTGGCTAATTTTAAATATTTTTAGTAGAGACGGGGTTTCACCGTGTTAGTCAGGATGGTCTCGATCTCCTGACCTCGTGATCCATCCGCCTTGGCCTCCCAAAGTGCTGGGATTACAGGCTTGAGCCACCGCGCCCGGCCTGTTTGTTTGCTTTTGTTTTTGTGTTTTGAAACAGAGTTTCATTCTTGTTGCCCAGGCTGGAGTGCAATGGCGTGATCTCGGGTCACCGCAACCTCCGCCTCTTAGGTTCAAGCGAGTCTCCTGCCTTGGCCTCCCGAGTAGCTGAGATTACAGGCATGTGCCACCATGCCCGCCTAATTTTGTATTTTTAGCAGAGACGGGGTTTCTCCATGTTGGTCAGGCTGGTCTCAAACTCCCGACCTCAGGTGATCCGCCTGCCTCGGCCTCCCAAAGTGCTGGGATTACAGGCATGAGCCACTGTGCCCAGCAGAAAAAGAATGTTTTAAAGCAGAGGTATAAACAAATATGAGATGAAATGGGCACATCTGTGGACGACTCATTCTAAGTTGAACAAAATAATTCCATGAAAGGCATCCATTCTTTAACCTCCCAGCAGAATTAGACCCCTTTGAGTCTGGGCTTCCTTCTTTTCTCAGCATGAGACCCACTGCCTTCACTAGCTTGATTTACTGAAGTAGAATTAGATACACAGTCTAGGTCCAAGAGCCTGGTCTTTGGCCCCATGACCAAATGCTTAAAGTGATTCACCATTCCATGTTGGTTCTTGGCCATCTTTATATTGTTATAGCCAGTGTACCCAATTTTATTACTCAGAGACAGGATATTCTGTGGTTGGATTTTAAGAGTGCTCATATAAGCACTCAAAAAAAAATCTCACAGGAGAAATGGTTCTCCTGTGTTTCAATCTTAAACCTACCTACTGTGAAAGTCTGTGATTTTATTATCGCACAGCTTTATAAACTTATACATATGTGTATGGCATAAGTATCATGAGAATTTAGAAGCATAAAAAGAGATCAAAATTTTTCTTTTTGTCTTTAAACTCACATCTTGGTTGATCATAATATTTTTATTTCTTTGATGTTTATTTGTATTACCTTATAAATCTACAAGTGAGAACGGTTTCTCTGACAAAAGGCAATATTGAACACCATTTAAAATAGGAAATTAGTTCCAGAATGTATTTTTTGAGGCATGGCCAGCTTTCAAAAATGGCATAAATGATACCAACATACAGTTAAGCATCACATTTACTTCAGCCAACCACTCACACTCAGCCATTGTGCTCTGCGCATTTAGGTTGGCTACTTTTTTTGGGGTGTCCTGATAGCCATTTTCTTTTTTTTTTGAGATGGATTCTCGCTCTGTCGCCCAGGCTGGAGTGCAGTGGCGCGATCTCGGCTCACTGCAAGCTCCGCCTCTGGGGTTCACGCCATTCTCCTGCCTCAGCCTCCTGAGTAGCTGGGACTACAGGCACCCACCACCACGCCCAGCCTGATAGCCATTTTCTAATAGCTAATCTGATTAGGTTACCAAAGAGGCTTAGAACACTAGTCAGATGGGCTTTTTGTATTTAACATATCCGGTCCCTATGGCTTCAGTGACAGTCTAACAAACCACCCTGTTCTGATATTTAAATGCCCCTCATCCGTGCTGGCTTACATCAGTGGCCTGAGCTTGGGAGGGGTGGCAGAAAGATTGAAAACTATAGGTCACTTCAGATAAGCCACAAAATAAAAAATCTCCTTGTGGATAATTAAGTGCTGCCTCTATGGTTCTAAAGGACAGTGGAATTGGAATGTCAAGAGGAGGACTTTCTGTAGTTCTGTTCTTAATCCTGAGATCTGAATGGTGATTATGAATCACATGTTCTTTTCTGAAGGACATGGGGGAAGGGATTATTGACTGAATCTTGTTTTAAAATATGAAATATAAGCTGAAAAAGTACTTTATTATAGCTTCATATTAATCCTGTAGATAAAATTAACCGGTTTATAGCAGAATACACATTCTTCTCAAGTGCACATGGAACATTCCCCAATATAGACCTTAAACTAAGCCATAAAACAAGCCTCAATAAATTAAAAATGATGGAAATCATGTCGAGTCTATTCTTCAGTCACAATGGAGGGAAATTAGACATCAATAAAGAAAACTATTTGAGAAGTTCACTAATATGTGGAAATTACAGAATACAATCCTACATAAATATCAGTCAAAGAAGAAATCACAAGGAAAATTAGAAAATACTTTGATATAAGTGAAAATGAACATACAACATACCAAGGCTTTTGGAATGCAGGGAAGTAGTCCTCAGAGGAAAATTTATGGCTATGATCACCTACATTAAACAAGAAGGAAGATTTCAAATCAATAACTCAAGCAAACTAAACCCAAAACAACCAGAAGGAAGAAAATAATAAGGATTAGAGGTAAAGATAATAAAATAGAGAACAGAAAAACAGCAGGGAAAATCAACAAAACTAAAAGTTTGTTATTTGAAAAGATCTACAAAATTGACCAACCTATAGCAAGACTGCATAAGAAAAAAATGAAATTACAAGAAGACCTAAATTACTAAAAACAGAGATAAAAAAGGGACATTACAACTAACTGTAAAGAAATAAAGAAGGATTATAAGGGAATATTATAAATAACTGTAAACCAAAAATTAGATAACCTGGATGAAATAGACAAATTTCCTAGAATTACATGAACTACCAAAACTGACTTAAGAAGAAATAGGAAATCTGAATATACAAAGCCCAGGCCCAGATGGCTTCAGTCCATCAAATGCTGAAAGAAGAATCAACAACAATCATTCACAACTCTTCCTGAAATAGAAGAGGAAGAAATACTTTTTACTTACTTGATGGGGCCAGCATTACTGTGATACCAAAGCTAGGCAGAGATATCACAAGAAAAGAAAACTACAGACCAATATATATTATAAATATAAACACAAACGTTCTCAACAAAATATGAACAAAGCAAATCCAGCAACAGGTTGAAAAGGTTATGTATCATGACCAAGCGGGATTTATCCCAGGAATGCAAGGTTGGTTTAACATACAAAATGTGAACAATGTATATACCATATTAATAGAATAAAGAAAAAAAAATCCTACATGATTATCTTGATAGAAATAGAAAAAGCATTTGACAAAATTCAGCATCCTTTCATGATGAAAACACTTAAACTAGAAATAGAAGGAAACTCCCTCAGCCCAATACAGGGCATCTATAAAAACCTCAGAGCTATTAATAATTTACTTAAGAGTGAGTGAATGAAAGCATTCCCTTTAAGATCATGAGCAAGACAAAGATATCAGTTCTTGCCTATTCTGTTCAACATGGTACTGAAGGTTCTAGCCAGTGTAAGCAGGCCAGCAAAACAAATCAAAGGCATCCAGATTGGAAAGGAAGAAGTAGAACTGTCTTTATTTGAAGACAACATGATCCTGCATGTAGAAAAACCTAAAGAAATCACAAAGTCTATTAGAACTAATAAATGAATCCATTGAGGTAGTAGGATAGAAGATCAGTATACAAAAATCAATTGTATACAAAAATCAAATATATATAGACTTGCAATAAACTCTGAAAATTAAATTAGAAAAGTGATTCCACTTACAACAGTATCAAAAAGAATAAAATACATAGGAATAAGTTTAACAAAAAAGTAGAAAACCTATACTCTGAATAATACAAAACATTGTTAAAGGAAATTAAACAAGAATTAAATAAATGTGGATGGAAATGTGTTTTGTTCCCACCTTTTAGCTATGATAAATAAGGCTGCTTGTTTTGTTCCTACTCTTTGTTCCCACTTTTTGGCTATAAACAAGTAGCCTTATCTATAATAGCCAAAAAGTGGGAAGAAAACACATTTCCATCAACTGATGAATAGTTAAGTAAAATAATACAGCCATACAATGGAATGTTATTAAGCAAAACCCCACAATGAACTACTGATACATATTTCAACATGGGTCCATCTTGAAAATGTTATGCTAAGTGAAAGAAGTCACAAAGGACTACATATAGTATGATTCCATTTATATGAAATTTCAAGAATAGGCAAACCCAAAGAGACAGAAAGTAGATTAGTGCTTATCTAGAGTTGAGGGGGTTAGGAGGGTTGGAGAGTGGTGGCTGAGGGGTAAAAGGTTTTTCTGGGGGTGGTGAACATGTTCTAAAATTGATTGTGGTAATCACTGCACAATTCTGTGAATGTACTAAAAACCACTGAATTCTACATTTAAAAATGGTTGAATTGTATGGTTATGTGAATTATATCCCAATGAAGCTATTGAGAAAAAAAGAGAGAGAGAGAGAGACCAGTTCACCAACCCACATTTAAAATGATATTTTATAGAAAGCCATATTAATATAAGCAACATTCTATATAAAGGGGAGATTATAAATTCTCATTGGCCACATGATATTGACCAAAGATAACGACTGGTTCAAAGTTATTTCAGTCTTTCTGGTTATTTCCTACTAGACATCTTTATGAACAAAATTATATTTTTCAGCTAAGGTTGTAGGTTTTTCAAACTGATATCTTCTTTATGGAACATCTCCAATCTTTGTCTTGCCAGCAAAGCTGACTGTGAATTATGTGATTATGTCTGGGCCTAAGGAGAAGAGGAGTATTTAACTAGATCAGATCTGTTTATATTTTTACAAAAGTTCCAGAAGACCAAATGAATTTAGTCATATCGCATCCCACACACTCCATCTGCATTCTTATCTTTACTGTCTTTGCTGGGAGAATGAAATGTAATGAGGCTTAAGGGTTGGCCAGCGGAGCACAATGGCATGGTTAGAATGAACAGTTTGGGTCCCTTTCTGCTGCATGCTGGTCACTACTCTTTAGCTGACCTCAACATTGGCTGAAGCACTTCCTGTGGGTCTCAGCTGGGTGCTGACTGAAGGCTTACAAGGCATAGACAGGAGTACCAAGAAGCAGCAGAAAGGGAAGTGGTAGAGCAGAGGCTACTATTAATATTTCATGGCCTTTGGAGCCAAAAAGGCATGGGTTTGAATTTTGGCTGGACCATTTATTAGTTGTGTGACCTTAAACCATTTACTTAATCTTTTTACTTAATCTCTCTGAGCTTTATATCCCTTATCTATAAAATGGGAGTTATATTACCAATGTTCCATAGGGCCTTGTAGAGATTAACTGTGGTAACACTCACTTAGACCAACGTCAGCATAGAGAAAACAATTAGCAGTAAGTGCTATTATGTTTCTGACTATTATTATTATCATTATTTTAATCAGCAATAATCATGTGTGGATAAACCTCATTGGCTACAATACTGCTACTATGTGAAGATTATTATTACAGCCAGAATGAGATTCACTCCAACATTCATTTTGACTTCCCATAACATGCAATTCTCTAACATACCAAAGACCTACTAAAAGCCAGGCTTCCTCATGAGTATGCATTTTCAAATTTAGGGATGAGCGGAAGGGATACTGAATAATTCTAAATGTGTTATTTTAGCTGGGGCACTGGACCGAAGAACAGCACATGGGGCCTCTAGCCTGGCTGCTTGCTCAGTCTCTCAGTACCAAGATTATGCAAGTTTCCAAAGCTACCTTCAGAATAAGCTGTCCAAACCAACTGCTGCCCCAGCAAATGATAGTCTAGGATATACTGAGGCCGGATGGTCATGGGGCACAAGAATGTACTGTGGATCAATAATTATAGCTCTCAAGTACAGCACAGAGGAGTAGACCTAGATCTCCTAAGCACATATAGTGACTTACTTGAATACCACATGCTCTTCAATCCCTCCTTTTCGGGTCCAGGCTCAGGCACCCAGAAGAACTATGATTCATGGGAGAGATATGGGGAAATGTATATAAAGAGAGGGAGAAAAATCTTCTGGGAATCCAGACTAGTCCCACCCAACTGAGTGGAGCAATGTACTTTCAGCTCCTCTCTATAGCACTTAACCCTAAAAGGCTACAGAGGCGCAGAACTCTTCTTGCTCAGGCTATTCTGATTCTGAGCATCAACTCCATGGAAAAAGTCAGAGGCTATTTACTAACACAAGAGGATTGTTGTCATCATCATCAACAAATACTTTTCAGCTATGTGTGCTGGGTCATACAGCATGGTGGAGAGGGAAATGAATTTGACATCAGAAAGATCTGGGCTCCAATCCTAGCTCTGTTTTTTTGTTTGTTTGTTTGTTTGTTTTTTCCTGAGATGGAGTCTCACTGTGTCACCTAGGCTGGAGTGCAGTGCTGCGATATTGGCTCACTGCAACCTCCTCCTCCTGGGTTCAAGTGATTCTCGTGCCTCATCCTCCTGAGTAGCTGGGATTACAGGCGTGTGTCACCACACTTAATTTTTGTATTTTTAGCAGAGACGGGGTTTCACCATGTTGGCCAGGCTGGTCTCGAGCTCCTGACCTCAAGTGATCCACCCGCCTCAGCCTCCCAAAGTTCTGAAATTACAGGCATGAGCTGCTGTGCCCAGCCCAATCCTAGCTCTTAATATCAATTGACTTTGGGCAAGTTATTTAATTTAACTCTCTGAAACTCAGTTTTCTCCTCTCTAAGAGCTAATATTAAAGTCTACCTTACAGGGTTGTAATGAAGATTTAATCAGATGATGAATTTCAAAGTTATTAGTAAATAACAATCTGCTAGTTGGTTATTGTTATTGTTATGTATAGAATGGTGGAGATAAGGGCTTCAGAAGAGAACGAGATGTCATGGATAGCTGAAGCCATCAAGAATATGTTTTGTGGAGGAGGAGGGTCTTGAAGTATTGGCAGGCTTCAGGACAGAAGAATTGAAGACATCACAAGCAGATGTAATGGCCTGAGTTGGGGTAAAGACATGTTTATGGGAATGGCATGTTCAGGCAAAAATTGCACATTTGTAGTTTATTTATAGCTGTTCCAGAGGACACTATGGGATAATTAGCAAATCCATGGTCTCATGATCTGAGTTCAGGGTTAACAGCAAATATGGCGGACAGGTCTGAAAACCTCAGCTGTTCAGTCCTCAGCTCACCTTGACTCTAACGTTGAGCTACATGTTCAGGCCATGGGGCATGGACATTCATCCCCTCCTGGCTAAAGTACCTGACTCTTGGTAGTGCTCACACTGCAATACTGACACAGCCCAGATAGCAAGAGAGTCAGACATGAAGCTAAGATGAAAATGGCAACACGTCTATTAGTCATTGAAATAGCCTGTTCCTTAAAGTAATTAAGCTCCTATAATACTCAAATAAACACGGCATGAGAAAGCGCTTTGCAAAGCATGAAGTTATTAAACAAATTGCATAAATATATACATTTACATACACATACATACCCATAGATGTATATAGTCTAATTATTAAAACAAGAAAGGGTTAATCGTTAGAAAAAACAGCACAATCTAATGTGATGTATTCTCTTAAAATTCAATACCCTTCCTAACCTTGCCCTTTTAATATTCAGGGTGGAGTGGGTGGAAGTGTTTTTATTACAGCATTCATCAAATGAGGTGCTCTGGGGGAGTCTGGGAAACTAGCCACCCCTCAAACTATCTCCCTTTTAATTTTAAGAATGCTGGATGTATTTTATATTTGAAGATGCATTTGGAAATCATTTAGGTCATCATTTGGACAGGCTTGTTTTAATTCCTATTCCTACTGATGTTTGCCCCTGTGAGTAGAACAGATGTGGTAAGGGCAGGAAGGATTTATACACATCGGGCTTCTTCCAAGAACGATAAATCCTTTGGTTTCCAAAACATTAAAGATGAACTGATAAACCCTAGCATGGGTGCCTAGTGACCTGGCTGGCTCTATCCATAGTCCTCCAAATGACTCAGGTGTGGGTTTTCAGCTTTTATCATTCTAACACTCTCCCTTAGTGCCCTTGATTGTGTTAGCTCTTCAGTATTCTATACCCCTCTGTGTATCTTCTTCTTCTTCTACAAAACAAATAATAATGGTACCCACACCACAGCGTTGCTGGGAGGATATAATGAGTTTATCCACACAAAATGCTTAAAACTGTGCCGGGCACATAGTAAGCACTCAAAAAATATGAGCTATTATTATTGTGCCAACCCTATCATTACCTCCTCCATGCTTTCTCTCTGAATGGCACTGGCATCTGCCCATTTGCCCAAGGTGGAAACAGTGACCTCATCCTCAACAACTCTTTCTCCCTCACTCTGCCACATCTAAATAGACAGGTCTTGCTGATTCTTCTTCTTAAATCTGCATCTTCATCCACTCCCCCAGAGAGTTTTCCAAAATGCAATTCTGACCATGTCAGCCTTCTCCCTTCACTTGCACTCACTTGCCGCCCTCAAACTCCCAACATGCTTACAACCTTTCTCTGGCTGGGCATGGTGGCTCATGCCTGTAATCCCAGCACTTTGGGAGACTGAGGTGGGTGGATCGTTTGAGCCCAGGAGTTTAAGACCAGCCTGGGCAACATGGCAAAATCTCATCTCTACAAATAAAAAAAATTAACCAGGCACATGCCTGTAGTCCCAGCTACTCAGGAGGCTGAGGTGAGAGAATTGCTTGAGCACCAGAGTTTGAGGCTGAAGTGAGCCGTGATTGTGCCACTGCACTCCAGCCTAGGTGACAGAGGGAGACCCTGTCTCAAAACAAAAAACAAAACAAAACAAAACAGAACAAAACACCAAACCAAACCAAAGGTTTGAAGGCAGCAAACCAGAATGCTGCCTTCAAGCCTTCAATCTTTTGGTGGTGTTTCCCTGTAGTGCTATGTTCAGAAGGATTAGGATGTCACATCTGGGCTCAGTGGAGTGGGGTGCTGTGATTATGAATGTCTGCTATGGAGAGGGATGGGGGTTGGGGAGGCTAATGGCCCATATGTTGTGAATTTATAGACCCTGCTACAGGATCAAGACCAAGCTCCTTAACAAGGCAGAGAAGGCCCTCATGATGTGACCCCTAACAAATCTTCCAGCCTCACCTCTTGCTTCTCTGTACTCTAGTCACACCAAAGTGCATGTCATTTTCAGAACCACCGTGCTCTTTCTCATCTCCAAGTCATTGCTCATACTATCCTGCCAGCCTACAATTTTCTTCCCTTTCCACCTGACCCCTACACATTGTTTCAGACTCAGCTCAGTTTCTGACGACCCAAGGCTGGGTGTGAAGCTTTACCTTTGTGTTTCCACAACTCCCTGTACATACTGCAATCAGTGCTTTAACCGCTTTACATTACAATGATCCAGTTAGGTGTCTGTGCCCTTCCCATTGCCCACCACCCCCCAAGACCCCCAACTACACTAGGAACTTCTATGGGCAGGTACTTTGCTTATTCATTTTTGTATGGCCAGGGCCATGCAACAAACACTTACTGAGCACCAATTAGGTCCCAGGCACTGGGAATTACCTGACCATCATGTTGGTAAATGCTTGAAGCATATTGACGGAGCACTCTGCCTAGGGCTAGGTGTCACTGAGGAAGGAGATGCATCTGAACTGAATTTTTCATTTTTATTTTTATTTTTTTGAGACATTCTCACCCTGTTGTCCAGGCTGGCTGGAGTGCAGTGGCACAATCATAGCTCACTGCACCCTTAACCTCCTGGGCTCAAGCGATCCTCTCACCTTGACCTCTGGAGTAGCTGGGACTACAGGCTCACACTACCACACCCAGCTAATTTTTTGTAGAGACAGGGTTTCACCATGTTGCCCAGGCTGGTCTCAAACTCCTGGGCTCAAGTGATCCTCCCACCTCGCCCTCCCACAGTGCCAGGATTACAGAAGCAAGCCACGACGCCCAGCCTGAACTGAGTTTTAAAGGTACAAAAGGGGAAACAAGTACGGGTTAACAGGTCAGCATGTGCAGAATATTAACAGCCACTATTTATGGGAACCTACCAAGGCATGGGCACTGGGCTAAGTGCTTTATGTATATTACAGATACAAGACTTTACAAAGGCCCAGGCACGCCTGAAGGAACAGAATAGCAAGTTTGGCAACAGTGAAAACTTTAAGGTAGTTGGAGCATAGGATGGAGTAGGGGTTAGTGAGAGAAAAGATTGGAGATGTAGGTTGGGGCCAGATTAGGAAAGGCTGAGCTAAGGGATTTGGTTTCACTACTCCTCATTTATGCCTAGAATTTAGGGACAGCAAGGAGAATGCCCTTATGACTCCAAGCTGGCTATTGGTGAGAAGACTACAACCTCTCCTCGAAGGAAGGCAGACTAACTTTCATTCCTTAAGTTGAACATGTTTCTAAACCCCTTGGAGGCACTGACCTTTAGCTGCTTTAGGCTAAATACAACTTGTGTATTTAGGTTTAGAAAGCCCCAGAGCTGAAAGAAATGTGCATGATTTCCTCAGATACTGCCCAAATCATTATTGTTGTTCTCCCAAAATATCCATCTTCTTTGTTCCAACTATCATTCCATATGAAGTGGTGTGTGGGGAGAAGGAAAGCTAGAACAAGAAAAACTAAATGGAGAGACATTCATGGCTCCATGCTCTAAAAATGCCTGAATCAAAAAGATATCAGTTCAGAAAGGTGCTATCTCTGCATGTGGACTAAAAATGATAAAGAATTTATGAACCCACAGGCATGAAATCCCTGGGTTCCTTTTCATTATCAATTTAGTCTTCTAGTGCTATGTGTCACAGACAGGTTCTGACATCTGCAGAAGCAGAGCACAGATGTTCTTACTGAACTGCTGCATATTTGTATAGAAAATCTCCAGTGATCCGACCACATTTTGGGAGAATCTCACTTCTTAGTCCTCTAGCAGTTGGTACTGTATGTGAGTATGAGTAATAATGTTGCCTCCCTGCACAAACAAGAAAGAAATGTTGAACAGGAGAGTGGGAGTGTGTTCCAAATTTAGCTTTCCTCCCAACCTCTGCCCATATGGTCGGTGGTTCAAAAAATGATTACTGAGCCAACAAAATGTAACCTGATATTAGGAGTTCCACTCGAACTCTATGAAGCCAAGGCTAATACCGGCACACGGTATACATTTGTCTTAATGCCATCTTCTACAGCGAGGCTGAACTCTAAAAGTGGTCCTCACCTGGGTGCTCCAGTGAATTGACCTGCAGGAATACCATTGAGGTTTGGGATGGGACTGATGAGATTTCCATCGGTTAGCAGAGGGATTTCAGAGGGAGCCCCCGAACCTCAACAGGGAATAAGAAGTTTTGAGGAAAAAAGTTTATGGATCTTACAGATCCAAGTTAAGAAAGTTTCCAAGTTTGGGATTCCTAGAAGTCAGTATCACTGAAAATGAGGGGCTCTTTAATTTGCCAGCATAACTTTGGAAGACAGAAATTTTCTCTCACTCATGGTAGCAAGAGCTATTGATTTAAACTTAGAAACTTTAAGGATAAACAAAGGAAAATAAATCCTCTAAATATATTGTCTTACCCAGTGGTGAGCTGGTAAATATTTAACAACTGGCTCTCAAAAAAAGGAAGTATGCATGTCAGCTTATTTTTAATTTTATTGGAATAAAGGATGTGCAGCACCTTACAATTTACAGATAAAAATATAAAATACTCTTCATTATAAATTTTATTTAGCCAATTAGTTCTCACAGAATGCTTTCATTGACTTTTGTTCAAGCTCTTGCAACTGGAGCCAAACTAGAGTTATGATCGATGAGCAAGTGTAGTTCCTACATGAATACTGGTTGATATATTGGAATACACTAAGAGGTGACACAAAAGTGAAATAACACTATTATTATTAGTGTTCCACTCCAATGGAGTCAGAACTTCACTCCATCAGTGATAGGAGCAACTTCTTTACTGAATTGGATAATAGTTTTCAAATACTGGAAGAATATTTCTTCAATTTTTTTGTGCTATTCACAATGTAATGGCTACAGAGACAACATGATTTTAAGTTTATTCTGTGCTATTAACATTTTCTCCTATCACTTTCTTAAGTCTAGAGTCTAGACAATCAACAAAACAATAAATCAAGCCCTGATTTGTAGTTTCTTCCTGATTTCTGTGGTGTAAGTATTTCTATCCTGGCCAGCTTTAAGCTACCAATGTGACCACACTGAACACAGAATTGCAAGAGTATATATTATTTCCACCACACATACACACACAATAGACATATGACCCTAAGAGTAGAGATAATTATAAAATGCAATAAAATAATTAGGATGTGATGAGTCTTCAGTGTTATTTTTGTTTGGTAGAATTTATTTCATTGTAAATTTATATAATTTAATTTTTTGTAATGGCCATGTTTAACAACTGACTCACAGGAATTCTGAAAATTTAACAATTGGCTCTCGTGAGCCAGTGCAAGCCAGCTCTAGTACACCACTGCCCTCACTCTATTTAGACTGCTTTTGAGTGTTTCCCACCATGAGATCCAAGGTGAGGAGGAATACAAGGCAGAGACACACAGAGCAGGCTACACCTCCCTACTCAATGTGTGGGCTACTGCTCTGCTATTTATTGCTAATCTGCAAGAAGATAAGTACAGACATTGAAAATAAGCACTTTGAAACTTTTATAGCAATCTGACAGAGATTTTTAGGTCTGTTGAATCTCATAATTAAAACGTGTGGCTTGTATTTTATAGGGTTTTTTTTGGTCATTTTCTTTTTCTGGTAATTTAGTTTTATTGTCTACAAAGATATTGGTCCATGACAGATTTGGGAGGAATGAAACAAACAAACAAACAAACTCTGGGTCCTTCATCATAGATAACTTGAGATGCACTGGTCTATTCTGTGTGGGCAGAATCAGAAGGGAGAGAGTGGTGCAGGGGATGAGTGTGAACTGGACAACCTTAATATTGACAATACAGCAATCAGCACTAACTGCTTGTAGCCGGGGGGAGGGCTCTGTCCTGGGTTTGCTTTTCTAACATGGGGCAGGACGGCCACAAGCCTGGAGATAATTGGGGAGAAATGAGAACTGGATTCTTGTAGTGGCAAAACAAATCTGGAGGCTGTGAATGACAGAAGATGTTGAAAAGAATTGCTCCCTGGAAAAGTCTCTGCCATTCGTAAGGATCCGTTTTCTTAGGAAAATAGTTGCAGAAAATCATAATTGGTGACATGTGCTCATAGACAAACAACCACAGAGATTCTCTTCTCCACTCCTCTTTCTTTCCCCCAGCCTGAAAAATGGCCTCATTGGTTTGCTCCACCATATTGATTCTCTTTTGTTCTATTTACATGTTTACATCATAAAAATTTAGCCCCTCAGAGCTATTCAGGACCCTGGAAGTCAAAAGTCCATCATGATGTAGGTATCTATCCACTCTCTGACACCTAAGCCCCATCCAGCCAATATTTCTTACTCTCTTTTTTTATTATTTTTATTTTTTTGAGATGCAGTCTCACTTGGTTGCCCAGGCTGGAATGAAGTGGTGCGATCTCAGCTCACTACAACCTCCACCTCCTGGGTTCAAGCAATTCTCCCACCTCAGCCTCCTGAGTAGCTGGGTTTACAGGTGTGTGCCACCATGCCTGGCTAATTTTTGTATTTTTAGTAGAGACGGGATGTTGCCATGTTAGCCAGGCTGGTCTCAAACTCCTGGCCTCAAGTGATCTGCCTGCCTCGGCCTCCCAAAGTGGTGGGACTACACATGTGAGCCACTGCACTTGGCCTGATATGCTTATTTATTCTCTAGTCAAATACCTTCAAAGTCAGGAAGCTGATTGTTTCTCAGGGCAATCCATTCAATTGAGGAATAGCTCAAAGAGATAGTTCATCTTTCTGTTAGCCAAAATATGTCTCCTTGTAAATGTCATGCATTGGCTCCAGATCTACTCTCCTCTTCCATATGCAAGACTTCTTACTATTAGAAGACAACATTCATATCTTCCTAATCCTTCTCTCATGTAGACTGAACACTGTTACTTCTTTTCACCATCCTCCCACTGTCCCTGTGTGCAGAATCTTCCCCATCTGTCTGTCTCTTCTCAAGATGCACAGGAGGCTACAAACACCCTATGTTTCACATGCCGTGCCTTCCCCCACTCAGCTGAGTCCTTACTCCTGTGTTGACTGGAACAGGAATCTCAGATCTCTTTGCTCACAAATACGGCTGCTAAAAGTTGAGGATACTTTGAGGAAGCTAGTTTAAGATGCAATGAAGGTGAAGCACACTGTTGCCCTATTGAATATGGGACCAAAGGAAGCAAATGTGAAAAGTAAATATTACAAATCCATAACTGAATATTTACTAAATACGTACTGAGAGTCACTGAGCAGCATGGAGGGAAGGAGAATAGGTGATTGAGAACTGTGAAGTGTATACACAGGATGAAAAATACTTGCTTTCGACCCTCCAAGGAGTTCACTGTTATTTGGAGAACGACTCTTCTCTGAAGCTCATCCTGAATGTGCTCATGAGATTTCCTCCTGCTCTAACCTAGACTGTCCTCGGAAACCTGAATTTGTAGAATAGCCTCTACTCCATTTTTGTTTTTTCTTTTTAAAACAGATTCTCACTCTGTCACCCAGGCCGAAGTGCAGTGGCACGATCTCAGCTCACTGCAACCTCCACCTTCCAGGTTCAAGCGATTCTCATGCCTCACCCTCCCGAGTAGCTGGGATGACAGGTGCGCACCACCATGCCCGTATAATTTTTGGATTTTTGGCAGAGACGGGGTTTCACCATGTTGCTCAGGCTAGTCTTGAACTCCTATGCTCAAGTAATCCATCCACCTTGGCCTCCCAAGCTGCTGGGATTATAGGTGTGAGCCACTGTGCCTGGCCTTCTACTCCATTTTTATTTACTTGGTAATTATATTACTGCTTCAGTCCACCAATGAGCTACAAATTAAAAGATTCTGTCTGTGCTGGTGCTCGTGTTCTCACCTTAAAAGCTTATTTACCATCAGACATTCACATTAGGATTATAAAAAGCCAAAAAAAAAAAAAAAACAAAAAAACAAAAAACAGACTAAAAGGCACTTTTTAAAAAACTCAGCAAGTATATTTGGAAATGATAAGAATCATTAAACATCTTTTAGGCAGGTGTGTACACAGGCAAGATCTATAACAAGGTTTCCCTTCAGAAAAATTAACCACACAAAAACTTGCCAGTAACTTCGTTCCTACCAGTGCGAATGGGAAATGTCCTTGTACCCGACAGACAAATAAAGAGGGGAGGTGATGGCTGCATCTTTGTTCTTTTTGCCGTGCTAGAAAAACCTAAAGGACTGCACTGTCTGAATTGGAGAGATTTGACAGCACATGCGTGCACATGTGCACAGTTTAAGGGGCCTTATGGAAAGTCAACAATTGGAGGGCATTGGATGGCTCCACATCCCTCCCCTTCTCCGAGCAGGACCTCAGCCCTCACTTTATTCCCGATCTCTACCTGCAGCCACTAGGACTATCCACACTAGATCTTTTCAGCTTCTGTCTCACTCTGCACGCTCACGATTCCTTGTTTCTGATTTGAACCCCCTAGGAGATCATTGTTTATCATGGAAACTTTGGACAACAGCACAGGTTTAATCAGACATCTCCACATTTCTCTCTTTCTGCTATGCTATTTCTTCTTGCAGGGGAGCACTTTCCTTTTGCTGGCATGTAAGTCTGCACTCCCAGATCCCTCGGGGATGTTATCCTACAGGGACTGCTTCACTTCTGTTTGGCAACCCAGCGAGAGGCTTCAGGCTTGCCACTTTCCTGCTAGATCCTTCTCTACTTTCCCACCAGCTGAATGCTGAACCTCTCCATCCCTTTCCTTTCTACCAATACTTGGCTAAATTACCACATTTTAGTTGAGGCTGTCATAAAACTGGCCAACATGGCTTCTGTCCAGAGAAAATCAATTGCACCACTTAGTCAAATTCATCTGTTCAACAGTTTCCTCTTAATTTGAAGATTGATTAGAAAATATAATACAATGGCACTAAATTGCTCACAATATCCCTAATACTTACTCAATTCTTAGAGTTATGTGTAAGGCCTACCAGCAAGTACAACTTTTACAGCATTACTCCTGATAAAAGCCTTATAGCCTAATGGCTCAGATGGGAAAGTATCACAGCGCAGCACACCTAGAAAAGCAAATCTCAGAATATCTCCTTCCAAATAATAAGAAACAAACTCCCTAAGGTATCCTGAGTTATGATAACTTTACGGGAAGTTTTAACCTTTGCTCATTCTCATCTATCACCAGATTACCTATAGTAATTCCCTAGCCAACATTAAAGCATGGGGAAGGCCTCTTTCTTGGTATACCTACTCAATTGGCAGGTAATACCACTGCTAAAGCTCACATCTAAGTCCCCTTTGTGAGCCCTGGGAGCTTCGCAAAGCTCTAGGGTGAGCTGGGATTGGCTGTCTTGTCAATTGATTAGCGAGAACCACCTGGTCTATATCTGTGTGAAAAGTGTTATTATGGTGAGCTTTGCTTCCTTCAGCTTTCCTATGACATTTGATCTCTAAAAGAAAAGACCAAAACATGAAAGCAGATTGCTTGTAGCTCAGAGCGAGATAGAATGGAAAAAATCAGGGGCCCTTTCTTGACCCTTCCCAACTCGTTGTCCACCCATGCCCTTACCGCCCCACTAGCACCAAAGAAAACAAAACATAACTAGCTGTGATTCTTTCAAGATGTAAGTGACTACTATTGTTGTGACTATGTGGTTATTTGTACAACTCAGCCGACATATTTGTCATTGTTCAAATACCTTCTCACTTCAAACCACCCTGGGCTAAAAACAAGTTAATGAGTAATTAAAAATGCCACCTTTGGGAATGGGGATGATGGAGAACATCTTTTTTTTCAGAGATTCCTTCTTTTTTTATTTTTAACTGACATGTAATAATTGTATATATTTACGGGGTACATAGTGATGTTTTGATTCATATAATATATACTGATCAGATCAGGGTCATTAGCACATCCATCATCTCAAACACTTATCATTTCTTTGTGCTGGGAACATTCAATATCCTCCTTCTGGCTATTTGAAACTATATATTATTGTTAACTATAGTCATCCTACAGTGGTTCTAGAACACCAGAACTTATTCCTCTTATCTAGCTGCAATTTTGTATCCTTTGACATGTCTCTCCCTACCCCACCTCTGTTCTACTTTTTACTTCTATGAGATCAACTTTTTTTAGTTTTCATATACGAATGAGAACATGTGGTGTTTAACTTTTTGTTACCAGCTTATTTCAATTAACACAATGTCCTCCAGTTCCATTCACGTTACCTGGAATGACAGGATTGGCAACAGTTAAACTGGAATGACAGGATTTCCTTTTTTTTTACTCCACGGCGTACATATACACCATATTTTCTTTATGCATTCATCTGTTGTTGGAAACCAAGGTTGAGTCCATATTTTGGCCATTGTGAATAGTGTTGCACTAAACATGGGGGTGCAGATGTCTCTTCAATATATTGGTTTCCTTTCCTTTGAGTAAATGCCCAGTAGTGAGATTGCTGGATCATATGGTAGTTCTATTTGTAGTTTTTTGAGGAATCTCCACACTGTTCTTTATAGTAGCTGTACTAGTGTATATTGCCACCAACAGTGTATAAGAGTAGCACATTTATAATGAAAATTATTGGCTTGGACATTTGAAAATTATTGGCTTGGACATTTGGAACTTAGTTTAGTTTTATTCACCAAAAGCCTTTAGCTAAAATTATAATTTAAGTTATAACACTAAACAATATTAATAATATTATCCTAAATGGATATGATGCTTTAAAGTTTATAAAGTATGTTACATCCATTATCTCATGTGTTTCATTCAGCAACTTATGAGGTGGGTAGGTCAGGAAATATTTTATCACCATTTTTGCAAGTGAGGAAACTGTGGCTCAGAGGAACTGACTGACTTTGTCCAAGGTCACAACATTGGGAAGTGGCAGACACAGAACTGGGACCCAGTTTGTTTGACTCTGTAGAAGTGACGCCCTTCCCTTTAGATCTCAAACTTCAACAGTCTAAGGGTAAGAAGGTGTCTCATTTGCCCAACAGATGGGATCTCCCTCCCAGTGGATGACGTGGGGTCGCTTGCACTGAGGTCACATGTTGGAGGGGCTGATATCCCAAGAAATGAGTTTGGAGGCAGTCACTACAAGATCTTGCCTGAGAGTTCCAGGGGTGGCTTACTTAGCAGGAAGCAATCTACAACTTACGTGACAAAGATCTGAATGGTGCATTTCCAAAGAGCACAAAGGAAGGGGAATTGGGATACTCACACTATAAAATACATTTTGGTAAAACTGCCATAATTTATTCCTGGACTTGTTACCAACAGGGTAGTATAAATAGATATATTACTGTATCTAATGTATTCCGAGTTCTGCATAGGACCTAACAACTTTCCCATTTAAAAAAACAAAAAACAAACAAACAAACAAAAAAACCCAGGACATTTCATTTCCCTACAAGCTTTCTACTCACTTTTCAGCAGGCAACATGATTTGTTCTAAATCATTAATATTTTGCAGTTGTCACTCATGATAAAAGGCCTATCATAAATTTCCAATGACCCTTTTCACCAGACCACTCTATTAATGAATTTATTAATGCAAAATGACTACCAGCCTACGTTTATGAAGGTTTGACTTGACACTTTAGAAGAACACTTAAGCCATTGAGGTGTCCTTCACCTTTCCTATGTGTGCAGGCTTATTAGGAGTAGAAGTGTAAGATTACACTTGATCCAGTAAAAATAAATAAATAAATAAATAAAAATAAAGATCATTGGCTTATGAAAATATTTCCTAATTGCTGTTTTACTTGAGATCGTCGTTATTTTGTGTTCAGATTATAAAGTAACTATAAAAAGGGAATATATGCTACAGACAGCTAAAATAATAAGTTATAATCCAATGATACTAAATAATACTAATAATATTACCCTAAATGGGGCTCACAGCTGTGAAATCTTAAAGGCTTCCTCCACAGTACTGCTGGGACGAAGTGACTAGCCAGGGGCAGACCACTGCTTTCCCCCATAGCACTTGGAGATGACAACAGAAGAATGGCAAAAGGGACCAGTCACCCCATGTCAAGCAACAAGTGGCAGGTTTTCTCTTTGCAGTCCCCACACTGACATCTGAGAGACTGAAAGTTTCCTGAAGGCAAGCATTTCTATGAGAAATATCTGTGTACCAAGGGCAATAAACAGCCATTTGCTTTTAGTATTGATGATATTGTTTGGCTGTATCCCCACCCAAATCTCATCTAGAATTGTAGCTCCCATAACTGCCACGTGTTGTGAGAGGGACCCTGCGGGAGGTAATTGAATCATGGTGGCAGTTTCCCCCATACCGTTCTTGTGGTAGTGAATAAGTCTCATGAGATCTGATGGTTTTATTTATGTATTTACTTATTTTATTTTTTTGAGATGGAGTCTCACTCTTGTTGTCCAGGCTGGAGTGCAATGGTGCAATCTCGGCTCACTGCAACCTCCGCCTCCCAGGTTCAAGCCATTCTCCTCCCTCAGCCTCCCGAGGAGCTGGGATTACAGGCATGCACCACCACACCTGGCTAATTTTGTATTTTTAGTAGAGGCGGGGTTTCTCCATGTTGGTCAGGCTGGTCTTGAACTCCCGACTTCAGGTTATCTGCCCACCTTGGCTTCCCAAAGTGCTGGTGTGCCTTTGCTCTCCCTTCATCTTCTGCCATGGTTGTGAGTCCTCCCCAGCCATGTGGAACCGTGAGTCCATTAAACCTGTTTCCTTTATAAATTACCCCATCTCTCATATGTCTTTATCAGCAGCACGAGAACAGACTAATACAATCGGTTTAAGCCCTAAGCCCAAGATGTTTTCTGCTCCTGTGCTAGTTTGCTGTATCTCCACTTTTTAGAAACAGAAGCAGGCTGAGAGAGATGAAGTATCCCACTGCTATGGTTTGATGAATGTTTGTGCCCCATCCAAAATTCATGTTGAAACTTAATGCCCCCGGCAATGCAACAGTATGAAGAGGTGGGGCTTTTAGGAGGTGATTAGGCCATGAGAGCTCTGCCCTCATGGAGGGAATTAGTCCCTTATAAAAGGGCTGGAGAGAACTAGATAGGCTCCTTTCTGCCTTTCCATCTCTTCTGCCATGTGAGGACACAGCATCTGTCCCTTTTTTGCCCTTTTGCCTTCCCCCAGGTGAGGACACAGCATTTGTTCCGTCTGCAACATGAGGATGCAGGAAGAAGGCATTCACCAGACACCAAATGCTGGCACCTTCATCTCGGACTTCCCAGCCACCAGAACTGTAAGTATAACTTACTAGAATGTATAAATTGTTCAGTCTAAGGTATTTTGTTATAGCAGTGCAAATGGACTAGGACACGCACCAAAAGGGAAATACATTACCCTTGGTTCTGAGAAGTGCGAGGAACAGGCGAAGATGTAACCATGGGTAAGACATCATGTAATGGTCATCCCACCAACAATTAAATTCAACAATCAGAAAGAAGAAGACTCTAAGGATTCTATGTAAAATTTATAAATAAGAAATAAGGAAAAAGAGAATACTTAGGGAACTTTGAGGTGAATAATTTTATAAATGAATATACCCCAGAAAGCCTGGAAACTACTAAAACCTTCTTATTATTAGGTTGGCGCAAAATTAATTGTGGTTTTTGCCATTACTTTTAATAGCATCCTAATGCAAAAATGTGTTGAAGACCACATGTGGGGAGCCCTTGGTAAGAAGCCCAGCTTGCCAGATTGGTGGAAAAGTCAAAGGGGTTAGAATGGGGAAAATGAGATCTTTTCTATATAGAACTATAGCTCAAGAGAAGAGAACAGAGAACCTGCAAGGTCAGATGAAAACTTACAAGAAGATGTCCTCAAAAGACTCTGATAAGCACCTTGCCAGGGATCAAAGCCAAAGAAATGAACATAATCACAGACTGCTGGCACTGGAATGCCCTGCAAGACTTGTGTGTACACTCCCTCTATTTCACAAATGGAGAAACTGACTTTTCAAAAGTGGAAGGGGCTCGCTTTAGGACATACGGGAGAAGCAAAGCCAGGAACAGAACCTGCGTGTCCTGCACTTCATTCAGTGCCTCAAAAGAAGGGAAGAAGTAAGCCAGGGAAGCCAGCCGATAGAGCTACTTGCTGGTCATGTCGCAAAAGGTCTGTTCAGGGACAAAAGGGAGATACAAGAGAGTCTTAACATATTCCGAGCCATGCTCTTTATTCCCAAGTTGTATTTTGGAGGAGGCAATTTGGAGGGCTAAATGAAATGGTGGTGAACGTGCATGGTGTTCCAAGTCTAGCTGACTAAATAAATGGATGCTGATGAATCATCAGGACCAGATGGCATCTATCCAAATTTTAGGTAAAATTGTATAACAGCTGACCAAAGCATATAGCCTGTCATTCCAAATAGCTATTATGCCAAATAGCTATTGTACCATGAGCCTGGCAGATTGGCAATGAGTCTCCTCTCCATGAGAAGCATTTTTAAAGGGGGGCCCAAGGAACTTCAGGCTGGTAGGATCACTGAATATGTTAGGCAAGTGTAATGTATTGGGGGCTAGGCATCATTTTTCCTCTCAATTAAATTAACCACCATTTATCTAATGTTTTACAGTTTATAAAGAACTTAGTGTTAATCATGCCTAACAAATTGACTAGAATTCTTTTACACGATAAATGTGTATGTGGACAAAGGGAAACCATGGATGTAATCTATTTAGATTTTGAAAAGGCCCTTGACAAGATCCCATGCCAAACACTGTTTTAACAAGTTAAGTCACCATGGAATTGTGGAGCAGTGCCTTGAAATGGATAAGGAAGTGGCTTATAGTCAGGAAAGCACAAGTAGGAATAAGCATAGACTTTTCTGGAGAAGTATGAACAGCGGTATGTCTCAGGGATCAGTGCTGGGACCAGGCAACATTTTGGTAAGTTGTCTGGGCAACTTTAGATGACCACAACTTTTCCAGGTAGCAAAATGCAAAGCTGACTTTGATCTTTTTATAGTTGTGTTGATGATCAGAGAAAAAAGAGTCAGAGTAGGCTTGTTCAAGGAGTGGCCTCTGAAACCAGACTTCTTGGCTCTGAATCCTGACTCTGCCCTTTGTGAATGTGACTTTAAGCAAGCCACTCCACCTCCTCCTGCATAATTTTCTTTTTTATTATACTTTAAGTTCTAGGGTACATGTGCACAACGTGCAGGTTTGTTACATATGTATACATGTGCCATGTTGGTGTGCTGCACCCGTTAACTGGTCATTTACATTAGGTATATCTCCTAATGCTATCCCTCCCCCCTCCCCCCTCCCCCCACCCCAGGACAGGCCCCTGTGTGTGATATTCCCCGCCCTGTGTCCAAGTGTTCTCGTTGTTCAATTCCCACTATGAGTGAGAACACCTCCAGTATAAATTTTCTCATCTGTAAAGTGAGAATAGTAATGACCCCTACCTCATAGTGGTATTGTGAAAATGATATGAGACAATGCATGCCAAGCTCTGGCACAGTGTTTAGAGCATAATAAGTGTCCAATGAACATTAGCTTCTCTTATTTTTACTTTTCATGTTTATTCAACATTCTTCTAATAGGTTGCCAGGCTCTGAGTGGTCACTTTATGTCCTATGGAACCTGGGAGCCATTGTAGACTGTTTCATGAAAGCACTGGCAGAATTCATTTTAGTAATGAATTCAGAGGACAGAGGTAACTATGGACTGAGATGGCTATGAAAGATTTCATGGAGAGAAAGTAACAATTATGGAACACCTAGCATATGCTAGATACTTGCCTAGATGTTTTATAAATGTTCCCCCTCGATTTAATAGTCCTATAAAGTTGGGGTTATGATCCCCATTTAATGGATGACAGAATGGAGACATAGAGGGGAGGCTAAGAAACTTGTCCCAGATCATGCTTGCTCATAAGTAGAGCAAGAATTTAAATAAACATTTGTCCTACCCCAAGACCTATTTTCTTTTCACTGCATCACACTTGAATTGCACCTTGAAGGATGGGTAAAATTTAAGATGAAAGAAAAAAAGGTCAATCTCTATAGAAATAAAATGGGCAGGCCGGGCACTGGGGGCTCATGCCTGTAATCCCAGCACTTTGGGAGGCCGAGGCAGGCGGGGATCACACGAGGTCAGGAGTTCGAGACCAGCCTGGCCAACATGGCAAAACCCTGTCTCTACTAAAAATACAAAAATTAGCTGGGCGTGGTTGTGTGCACCTGTAATCCCAGCTACTCAGGAGGCTGAGGCAGGGAGAATCACTTGAACCCGGGAGACAGAGGTTTCAGTGAGCCAAGATTGTGTCACTGCACTCACTCCAGCCTGGGCAACACAGTGAGACTGTCTCAAAAAAAAAAAAAAAAAAAAAAGTAAAAAAAAAAAAAAAAAGAAATAAACATAGGCAGTGGTGGGAAAACAGAAACAAGAACAGTATGTTTATGGGGTTCATGGAGCATGAATATGGCTGTTCTCACCAAAGTGGAGGGTGCTTACGGGGGCTAGTGGTGGGAAATGAAGCCAGAAGGGTAGTTGAGGCTAGACCAGAAGACCCTCAGAACTCTACTAAGGAGTCTTAGCTTTATCCTCAAGGCATGAAGACAGCTGAGCTGCGGAGAAAGTATGAAATGCCTTCAAAAGATTAACCAGGTAGCTATGCAAGATGAATTTGATGGAATCTTCTGCCTGGGTCTCAAATTCTTTGTCCTCTAATCTACTAGCCTAAGGCTCTCAATACTCCTGCCTGAGCCTAGAAGCCTGGAGACCACCTACGATGTGTCTGCAATAGTATGTGCAGGAGGGTGTGAAGGGGGGAATAGAAAGGAAGGATTGGGCTGGGCGTAGTGACTCACGCCTGTAATCCCAGCACTGTGGGAGGCTGAGGTGGGTGGATCACCTGAGGTCAGGGGTTTGAGACCAGCCTGGCCAACATGGATAAACCCCGTCTCTACCAAAAATACAAAAAACTAGTTGGGCATAGTGGTGCACACCTGTAGTCCCAGCTACTTGGGAGGTTGAGGCAGGAAAATTGCTTGAACCTGGGAGGTGGAGGTTGCAGTGAGCTGAGACTGCGCCACTGCACTCCAGCCTGGGCAACAAGAGCCAAACTCCATCTCAAAAAAAACAAAAACAAAAAACAAAAAAGTATTAACAGAAGCAGAATAAATTACAAAGAAAGAATCGACAGGGATTGGGGGCCTAATTGCATTTAAGGGCAAGAGAGAAGAAGCAAAGATGGCTTTAGGTTTAAGCCTCAGTGATCAGGAGAATGATGGTCAGTTGATAAATCTGACTTGTGACACATCACGCTGGGGGTGGTGGTGGTGAAGTCAGAAATGATTAATAAGCAGCTGGAGATGTGGGATGGTAGGAGAGCAGTTGAGACTCGTGGTAATGACTTTATGTAAGTTATTTCCCACAGTGTTATAATAGTTAAAGAATGTTCATTGTAGGATTATCCACAACAGCCAAGAGGTGGAAGCAATCTACATGTCCACTGATGGATGAATGGATAAAAAAGTGTGGTACATACATACAATGGAATATTACTCAGTCTTAAAAAGAAGGAAATCTTGTCACATGCTACAACATGGATGAACCTTGAGAAAATTATGCTAAGTGAAATAAACCAGTCACAGAAGGACAAATAGTGCATGATTCCATCATATATGAGGTGTCTAAAGTAGTCACAGAAGCAGAAAGTAAAATGGTGGTTGCTAAGGGCTGGGGGAGGGAAAAATAAGGAGTTGCTGTTCAATGGACATAGAGTTTTAGGCACACAAGATGAAAATGTTCTAGAGATCTGTTGCACAACAATGTGCATATAATTAACAGTATTGTACTGTACACTTAAAAGTTTAAGAGGGCAGATTCCATGTTAGTTTTTTTTTTTACCCTAATAAAAAATAAATAAATCATAAAAAAAAGTTGAGGCCAGCCATGGTGGCTCACACCTATAATCCCAGCACTTTGGGAAGTTGAGGTGAGAGGATCACTTGAGCCCAAGAGTTTGAGGCTGCAGTGAGGTGTGAAAGCGCCATTGCACTCCAGCCTAGGGGACAGAGAGAGACCCTATCTCAAAAAGGAAGAAAAAGTCAAAAGAGGGAGAGTAGATAAGATCTGCATTCTTTCTGGAGAAGAGAGAAAAGACAGAGGCTTAAGAAGGGACATCCGGATAATAGCCAGTTTCAGGTAGGATTAGGAAGAAGAACTAAGAAGGAAAGAGGCTGCCAGAGAAATAGGAACATTTAGCATCTCAGAGGCCATGGGTGATAGGGTTTTAAGGAGAAGGCTGTGCACCACAGAGGAAAGAGAATGGCAGTGGAAGTCTCAAGACCCGAGGTAGATTTCTAGTTCTTCCATATAGAGCAATCTCATTTCTTCTCTGAGCCCTGGTTTTAATTACCTGTAAAATCAAAGAACACCTATCCACATGAAAGTACTCTAAACTGTGATATGGAATACAAATTTAAGGAATTTTTGTTGTTGTTTTGCCTCCTTGACCCCAGCAGTACTATATTACTTTTTTCTATTGCTCTTGTTGTTTAGTTATTATTATTTTTTTTACTGAGACAGACTCTGGCTCTGTCTCCCAGGCTGGAGCACAGTGGCAGAATCTCAGCTCACTACAACCACTGCCTCCTGGACTGAAGCAATCCTCCCAAGTAGCTGGGACAATAGGCGTACCACCACACCCTGCTAATTTTTGTATTTTTGTAGAGACAGGATTTCATCATGTTGCCCAGGCTGGTCTGGAACTCCTGGGCTCAGGTGATTCTCCCACCTCAGCCTCCTAAATTGCTGCGATTACAAGCATGAACAACCGTGCCCTACCACTCTTGTCTTTATGTAGGTCTTCAGTCATATGCCATAGCCTATCTATGTTAGACTGCTTGTGAGAAAACAAAATAGACATAACGTCCTAAGAAAAGAAGGTCAGCTAATGGCTCTTCCTTTGAAAGTTATCTCACCAGTGGTTTTCAGAAGACTTCCAAGGTTGCATTTCTTTTTTTTGTTTGTTTGTTTTTAACTTTTGTTTTAAGTTCAGGGGTACATGTCTAGGTTTGTTATATAGGTAAACTTGTGTCATGGGGGTTTATGGTACAGGTTATTTCATCCCAAATTTGCATTTCTTATTATGCATTTCTTTTTATAAATGAGAAGAACCAAGGAAAACTCCAATGAGAAACAGAGCCAACTGATTAGGTCAGTTCATTTTAGATAATGAAAAACAGGAAGTTACCCTTTTAATCTACCAAAGGTTGGAAATGGTGGGAGGAAAAGAAGGAGGCTACCTGAGAACTTCACTTTCTAGAGCTTGTATAGTCTTTCCTTGAAGAGTTGATGAGATTGTGTGTTGCAGGGAATGTAAGGGAATTGCAGACAGCGGGTTCAATTTATTTTTAATTCCTGAGCATCACCATTTTTAGATTACATTTGGGTCAGCACTAATCAGTTACCTGCAAGGAAGCGGAGCTGATTCTTCACTTTTATCATTCCATCACCAGAGCCTCCAATGCACTCATCTTCATCATCACCGCAGTCTCCACTTTCAAACCCTTCCTCATCCAGGTTTTTATCCAGAACTCTACCTTTGGGCATAGACATGGTTCTCAGGAGCTGAAAGAAAACAACCAGGAATGCATCAGCTCTTCATATTTCTCAGGTGGGTCTGCACAGTGTGTTATTAACAGGAGGCATTAAAAATGTTCAATGAATTACACAGAAGCTGTAAAAAATCACTTTCAAATTTACGTAGGTGTAAACTGCTTATACTCTTTAGAGTTTCAGACTTCTGAACCTTTCCATAGCATTTGATGTGATGGTCTACTCCTTGACTCTACTTACATCATGCAGTAGCCAGAGTGTATATTGCATTAGATCTTCTCATACCATGGTATTTAAGCTCCTGAAAGTCTCCATGATACAATTCACTGATGAGGAACTTAAGACATGATAAGGCAAAGCTAAGAGGACACCAAGACCAGAAAAGATCCCTATGGAAGCCCCCAATAATCAAATTTACAGTCACTAAATTAAAACCACAAAATGCTTCCTACCAAATGAGGAGAATAGCAGTGCCATTTTATACACATGTACAATGACTACTTACAATCAATCATCATTATATATGCCTTGATCACTAGAAAAATTGTTCATTATTCTCCTCTCCCGCAATTCCAATAAGATGCTTTTAAATTTATTTTGCTTTATTGTAGATAATATGCACACTAAGAGACATGTTTGTTTCACTCTGCGGTGTCTGGCTTTTCAGTCACATGGCCAATGCATTACGAATTTCACGGGACTCCCGCCTTTCAAAAGCCTCTCCACTGACCCAGAGACCCAGCACACCGCACGAAGGGTCCCTGAGGGCCGTTGTCAGATTCCATCTTATTTTTCCTTGCCATCTCTCTCCAAGGCTTCATTCTCATATTCTGTTTTTGTCCTGGCTTCTTCCCCATCACCCATTTCTCATCCTAAATCTTAGATCCAACCCCTACTTTTAAAAGACAGCCAACAAAAGATTCTGGATATACAGAAACTGAGATCTTTGTGATTGTGGAAGAGGTATCCAGAAAGAAAAATTGCTGCAAACACAAGCTGGGGTTTCTGCGGTTTCCATCGTCCCTATGTTTATGTCATGGCTAAGTATACTTTTATGTTCTCCACCTGTGATTTAGCTGCCACCCTGAGATCTACTTGGAAAGAGCTACATACTACAGAGAAATGTGATTCTGCAGGTGGTTTTTACGTTTTTATTTTTATTTTTTAGCAAAGAAAGGAAAGTCCCAAAGAGATTTTTGTTTTTGTTTTTGTTTTTTTTCCTGGCCAACAACCTCTAATGGTATTGGAGAAGCCAATCTACCAACTGTCTCCCACTCCAGCACCACGTTCACCCTGCCACTTCCGCTGCTGCTCATCATACACAACTACATTTATATTATATATAAATACAGGCTAAGATGAGCTAGATTAGTGGTTCTCAAACTTCTTGGTCTCAGGACTCCTTTATACTTGCTGAGAACCATAGAGTTTATATAAGTTATTTTTGTTTATACAAGTTATATCTATCAACATTTGCCATCTTAGAAATTATAACTGAGAAATTTTAAAAATATTTATTTGATAGCTTCTATAAACATAACAAGAATGAACCCATGATGTGACATAAACATTTCTTTTTTTTTGACACAGGGTCTGGATCCATCACCCAGGTGGGGGTGCAGTGGCATGATCATGGCTCACTGCAGCCTCAACCTCGCAGGCTCAAGCAATCCTCCCACCTCAGCTTCCTAAGTAGCTGGGACTACAGGTGTGTGACACCATCCCCAGCTAATTTTTTTTTTTTTTTTTACTTTTTGTAGAGGCAAGGTCTCACTATGTTGCCCAGGCTAAAACACAAACATTTTTGAATGACAAACATATTTTCCCAGACATAAGATAATTCATAGGAAGAGTGGCACTATTTAACAGTTTTATAAATCTCTTTGATGTCCAGCTTAATATAAGACAGCTGGATTATCAAATCTGCTTCTCCACTCAATCTGCTGTGATATATGGTTTTGGTTGAAACATTTGCAGTTAATCCAACCTCCCACAGATATGTCATGGGAAAAGAGAGAAGTATTTTAGCAGACTTTTCAGATAATTGTGGAGATTTTTCTTTGATACTACATTAAAAACTCAACAAGTAGTTAGTTGCAGTGTGGAATATGAAACTATATAAATAAATATATCATATCCTGTTACATTTACATCCATTGGTATGTTTTGAACTTTGAACACGCATTTTACTCATTTTGTATCATCATCCATGGGTCATCTGGAAAATACTGGCTCACTGAGCAATGCAGGTCTTCCCAATGTCAACACCTTTCATTATGTGATATAAAAAATCACATTTGTTAATATTATCTCCAATCTCATCTGAAAAGTCTTTAAGTTTTGGGAAGCTCTCAAGCTCACAGTGGCAGATAAAAGTTTAAAACAATTTTTGGTTTTCTATTGAAAGCCTGAATTTTATTATTGGCAATAAATACTGCCAGTTGTTTTCCCTGAACTGACAGGCTCTCTTTGTTCCTTTCCAAGAAAATGTCTAGCAAGTATTTAAGTCTGCATAACTATAGTTTGTCAGTCATTCTCTCAAGTAAAAATGAAACAGGAAGCTCACAGCTCAAATTTCTCACAAGTGCTTTTTCTTGAGATGCACATTGACATGGTTTACTGTGTAAATACTTTCAGTGTACTTCCCATTTTATAACACGGAATCTTTTAAAAGTGCAAGAGATGAGGTTTAATAAAATTAGTAACTTTTTACAGACTCAGCAATGATATCCTTAAGTAAAACTGCCCTTTATTTTTCTGCAAGTACACACCAGTGATGAATACAATGACTACTAGTACATTTTGGTGCTATTGGCTTAATTCATCCTGTGGTGTCTTGATTCATACTGTGGCATCGAAGAGTTGTACTTGCCACTGCTTTTGAACCATTGTGCAAATATCAACACAGGGGAAAAGACAAATAACATCTTAGTACTGTTGTGCAAGTAGTTTTAACCTTGTGGATCCCTGGATTTCTTGGATTCCCAGGATCCATAAACCATTCTTTGAGAACTGCTAATCTAGCCTATAACATCACTTCAGTTTCACCAAAACCCCCAATGCCCTCCTTTATCATTATGTCTTATGAGAAATTTGCTTTCGATATAAGCATTTTTATGTTAATTTTCAAGAATGCATCTTTTGTGTACATCATGGAATACCTGAATGATAATTTTTCACATAAGTAGAATTATGTTTAGATATAGATTAGTGAACTTGCTATTTCTCAAGCACACCTTGCATCTGTCCCTTTCATTAACACCTTCAGTACACATTCATTGAGAATGTACTATGAGCTGTTCTTCATTTGTGTCTGTTCAAAGTCCTCCATACTTTCAAGCCAAGTTCTAACGCCATGTCATTAATAAAGCTTTCCTGGTAGACAGTCATTATAGCTCTCCCTCTCCCTCTTCTACCACTGTTCCCTTTATCTGTACCTCCTAAATGCCACTTTCTGTATGCAATCCGGTATTTGAACATATGACTTCTCTCCACCACCATCCTGTGAGCTGCCCAGGGGTTTAATCTTATATATCTTTGAACCCCAGAGCATTTAAGGCAGTGTCTAGCACATAGTAGGCACTCAATATATGTGCTATTGAACTGAAGCAAAATGAAGTGTTATGGTATCTTTAATTCTTTAAAAGCTATTTCCACAACCTTATGAAAAAGGAGAAAGTCAAGGCCCAGATTAATTATAGAAGAAGAATTTGTGAATGAGTAGCTAAACATTTTTGGAGGACCTTGGCTAAGACACATAGCTAATCTTTGAGAGACTGTTTCCAACCTGTGTGCAATGTCCCCACTATTCTTGAGTAGCTCAGTTTAAAACAAAGTGCAATTAAACAAAAACCCTTTAAAACTTTGCCAGTGAAGTTACTTCTTTAGGTATTAAATCACTCCCATTCTGGTGACAAATTCAGCATGGAAGAAGGATTATAGTAGACTTTTAAGCCATTTTACACAGACAGCCACTGATAAACCTAACCCTCACACATTAACAAAACAAACCCAAACCTAGAAATCTATTGTTAATGCGAAAATCTTAAAGAAGAGACTGAAGCTCCAGAGTGTTGAAAGAAGGGTAATGGGTCAGAGAGGAGGAATTGCCAGCAAGGAGTGGATTTAGGCAGCCTGGAATTTGGCCCAGAAATCCAATTGCTTAATTACAATTCACAATATTGACCTTTCTGTTCCCTCTCTCAGTCTTTCAGACTGAACACTAACTTTATGAAAAGAAAATTATGAGGGACTTACACACAAAAGCAGGTAACTTTAGGGGCCTAATGCTTTTGATTAACTGTTTGCCATTTTCAAAGGACACTGTCCTGTTAGCTTTTTAAAAGCCAAGGCACACAATAATGATTATCAATGTAAACGATCATATTAAAACCTACGTCTGAGTATTTCATTCCACTATCCCCATAGACATTCTGTTAACCTGACACTTCTGCTGTGCATTACTTTGAATACAGAGGATACCTTAGTGGAAGTGCACAAGGCCCTTCACATTCCAGCTTTTTCTACAGCCACTACTGTCTGTGCAACTCTGTTTTAGCCACTGAGACTATCACAGTTGCCTAAGCATACAATCAACTTTCTTTTAGAATCTAATATTTTAAATATGCAAGTATCAAATATAGAAACGTGAAAGGAAAAGAAACAAGGAAGAAAACCCCTAATTCCCAAACTTTAATAAACAATGTTTGTGTTTTCAAAGGTCAGCACTTTTTAATGCTTGTTTTTAAATTGAACTTGCATTTGGGAAGCAGATTGACTTGAGTTCGAACGCTACTTTTTCCACTTATTAAAACTGTATTTTCAGACAAGCTGCTTAATCTCCCTAAACCTCAGTGTCCTCATCTATAAAATGAGAGAAATAACGCCTGCCTCACAGAATTGTTGTAATAAGTAAATATGATAAATGTCATACTTTAAATGGGATGATGCATCTATCCATTAAGGGATCTATCAACATTTACTTAACCATTTTTCTAATATTGAATATTTGCATTGTTTCCTGTTATTTTGCTTTTATAAACAAAAATGTAATCATCAGGAACATTCACATAACTCTTTCCATATTTTGGATTATTTCCTTAGTAAAGATACTGGGTCAAAGGGTATGTACATACTTACACACTGTGGGAGTGATTCTCTAAATTCCATAAAAATCACCAGGATGCTTATTAAAAAATTAGCCTCGCTAAACTCTTATACATGTTGATAGGAATGTAAATTAGCACAAGCACTATGGAAAATAATATGGAGGTTTCTCAAAAAACTAGAAATAGAACTACCCTATGGTCCAGTAATCCCACTACTGGGTAGTTATTCAAAGGAAAAGAAATGAGTATATTGAAGAGATATCAGCACCCCCATGTTTATTGCAGCACTATTCACAATAGCCAAGATTTGGAATCAACCTATAATGTCTATCAACAGATGAATGGATGAAGAAAATGTGGTATATATACACAATGGAATAATATTTGGCCACAATAAATAATGAAATCCTGTTATTTGAGGCCATATGGATGAGCCTGGAGGACATTATGTTAAGTGAAATAAGTCAGGCATAGAAAGATAAATACCCCACATTCTCGCTCATATGTAGGAGCTAAAAAAAAGTTGAGCCCATAGAAGTAGAGAATAGTGGTTACTAGAGTCTGGGAAGGGGAGGATAGGGAGATATTAGCCAATAGATACAAAATTACAGCTAGATAGGAGGAATTAGTTCTAGTGTTCTATACCAGGGTCCCCATACTGCAGGAGGTGAGTAGCAGGTGAGCACCTGGGATCCTCCTTCTATCAGATCAGTGGCAGCATTAGATTCTCATAGGAATGGGAGCCCTATTATGAACTACACATGCAAAGGATCTAGGTGGCCCTCCTTATGAGAATCTAATGCCTGATGATCCGAGGTGGAACAGTTTCATTCTGAAACCATCACATCCCTGGTCCGTGGCAAAATTGTCTTCTACAAAACTGGTCCCTGGTGCCAAAAAGGTTGGGGACCACTGTTCTATACTACTGTAGGATGAATATGGTTAATAATAATTTATTGTATATTTTCTAAAAGCTAGAAGAGAGGATCTGAATGTCCACAACACAAATAATAAATGTTTGAGGTGATGGATATGCTAATTACCCTGATTTAATCACTACACATTGTATACACGTATTGAACTATCACTCTGTGTCCCATAAATATGTACAATTATGTGTCAACCAAAAATAAAAGGAAAAATAAAGAATTAAACATTTTTTAAGTTGAAAGGTATTTTATAGGAAAAACAAAAATATCTAAGATAATGCATGTTGTAGAAGTAATATTTAAATAACAAGTAATTCAATGTGTAGCCATAATTCCCCCAAACACCTAACAGAAACATAAGTTTTTTCGTGTACAAACAGTCTTGATGGCTTACATTTTTGTGTTGATATTGAGCTCTTGGCAATCATTCAATCATTCCTTTCCCAATTATATCCAGGTCAGCAATTTTGACAAAATAAATACAAATTGTGATTTCGAAAAAAATAAAAAGGCAAAAGTTAAAAAAAAAAAAAAAAGACACGCTCCCTGGCCCAATTCACTCACTGAGTTTCTGATTTGGTGAATCTGGGATGGGGCACACAGATCTGCATCTATTTTTTTTGAGCCGGGGTCTCACTATGTTGCCTAGGCTGGTCTCGAACTCCTGGGCTCAAGCAATCCTCTTGCCTCAGCTTCCTGAGTAGCTGGTACTACAGACACACGCCTAACTAGATCTGTCCCCCTCATCTTACTGTGAGTGAACCGCAGACCACTCCTTACTCTTTCAGAAAGGCTGCTCCAATGTTACTCTGCTTCCCAGAATCCCACTGAAACCATCTTTTGACAAGAGCCACCAGAGCACCATGCATGTTGGAATCCTTAGTAAACGCTCTTCAAACCATGTGTTTAAAAGTAAATATAATATGATGATTTCCTTTTCAGTTAGGTATGGATATCTTGACCTTTTGTCTTTGTAGTTACGGAAAATACCCTTGTATAAAGGTGATTGACTTCATTTGATTAGACAGGGAAACATTTAAAGTTAGCCTTGGAACAGGTACTCAGGGTTGTGTGATAAAAGGAAACAAAAAGCCTGGAATAATTACTTAAGAAAATTGGAAACACAATGAAAGGGAAAAAAGGGCTTTCTGAAGTACAGCAATTTCATATTTTTAAAGCCATAACCAATATAACAAAAGGGTATGGCAGCATGGGACAATGAGATTTGGCTGAAGCTCTTTTTGTGCTTGGTCCATGGGAGATCAAAGGACATATTTATTGTTCGGAGAGGGATCAAATATGTTGAAATTAGACCAGTGAGAGCAGCAAGTCTTGATCTGTCTATATGGTATAAATAATATGCCTCTTGGAATTGTCTTGATTGCAAAGATATGAAGCTTATCAGCCACACACTGTGCTGGGGTTTAACATATGTTCTCTCACATAATCCTCAATACTCTCCACCAGTTTGTATAACAGGGAAGACTGCCATCCCCATTTCTCACGTTAAGGGAAGACATTGAAGCTCAGTAACCTTACCAAGTTACTGAGTAAGTAATAGAGATCTCATTAACAGTAACATATTTGCCCCCCAGGTCCAGAACTCTTCAAAAGAAACATGTGTCTTAGGTAAAGACATCAACGAATGGGGCCTTCATTGTACATTTTTGCCATCTTTACTGCCTTTAGCTCAGATAATTTCCATTTCAATTCCATTTTCTCAGATGCTGGGCATTAACTATAACTTGATGGGAAAGCTTTTCACTATTGGGTGGGAGGACCAGAAGGGGGAGATAAGCACTGGGCATTGAACAACATTGGATGCTTTCTGCTTGCTTTCCCCAGGCTTGTCATCTACTGTGTTTTAAATAACCAAACTATCTCATCATGAACAGGTTTGTTTTGAAAAGCTTCAGACAGCTGGTTAGTACAGAATGAAAAATTCCATTACTGCTGCTACATGGCTAAGAGTTTGCTTGACTTTAAGCTCTTTAGCATTTAAAAAAAATAAAGGGATAAGTAACAAAATAGATACTGCAAATACGGGACTTGGTACATATTTTAAGGATTTAGCTGGTTTTATCTCTTTTGGCTACTCACATACTTTCTGTAGGCATTTTTTAATATCTGGAATCCAGGTTACATTTTAAAGCTATTAAGCTGGGCTTATAAAACTGATTTTGAACTATTTGGATGCTCAGCTTTATACAACCTGCAAAATGTGCTTTGGGGTCCTGGCTTTCCGTATCCACAGCAATGTAAACACATGCTTTACCGTTTGTATTTGAGTAGCATAAGCTAATGGAAAACAAATGTGGTGACTCCAATGAAGCCCAGCTTTTTTGGAATGCCATTATTATTTATACGTTGTGCACATCCACAAGGCCTAGCACGTGACCTGTGTTTTGCGTGCACACTCTCTTTGAACGAATGCACCAAACCACAGCCACAACTAATTGGAAACAATTGCAACTCCACACATTTGAGATAAAGCCAGAACCCAAATGTATAGGCCTAGAATTAATGGCTATATATGCACTTCACACGTGGGGGGGGGGCAATAAAGTATAGCAGTTAAGGGCATGAGCTTTGGAATCTGACCAGCATGGATGTGAATCCCTACTCAGCCTACTTACTAGCTGTGTGACTTTGGGCAAGTCACTTAAACTCTCTGAGTTTCACTTGCCTCACCTGTAAAATGGGGGATAATACTATTTATTATCTTCACAGGGCTGTTGAAATATTAAATAAAATAGCACCATTCACCTTTCATATAGTTCCATGTATTCTTCTTTTCTAGAACTTTCCACTGTTTGTAATTCTATATTCCCTGTTGCATCCCCACTAGACTAACAGAAGGGATAAAAGTGTGTTCGGTTCCCAGTGCCTAGCACAGTGTTTGGTACAAAGTAATGAACAGTAAATATTAAATGGATGAATGAACAAATAAATAGAATAATGCATGTAAAGTGCTTAGCACATTGCCTGGAAAGGTAATAAGTTATTGGACATGTTAACTCTTCTGCTCAGAATAACAATGATGATCTTGAAGAGGAAAAGAGGAGGAAGAGGGGTAGTAGTAGCAGCCATAGCAGCAGACATAAGAGCTTGTTACAAATACCTCCTAAGGCAAAAAAAAGTAATACTCCATGGCCACACACTGAAGCACTAGAAAGAAGCCTGGGTGGAATTTTTGTGGGTCTGGGAAAACCCTTCTGGATGCTCCCAGTAAGATAAGAGTCTGTGTACCAAGGATACACACAGAGATGTTTAATGACAAAGAAGAGAGACCTGCTAGAGGCTGTGCTTCCATATGGTATCAGCAAAGCTACCCACACCCACATATGTTCTTGCCTGGGCCTTGCTTCCACATCTGCCTCTGATCCACAGAACACACTTTCTCTACCACTTCCAGCTTTCCCAATTCTTACTTTATGGTTTGTGAATGCAGCAGTGAAACTTATGAAAATATGTCCCCCTGTTAAATGGACAGGAAACAAACAAACAATCAAAACACCAGGATGTGAAGAAGCCGACCCAGGATGGAATTAAATCCATTTCAGTGGGGCTCCTTCCCCAGTAGTAGAAATGGTTCTCTGTAGTTCTAAGAAACTGTCCGCTACCTCAAAGTGGAAAATTTCCAATAATATTACCAATAGCTTAGAAGTGTATAGGGTTTGATTCTTTTCCAAGAGGAGGCATAGCATGGTGGTTAAAGGTTCATACTCTGGAGTCAGAAAACTTGGATTCAAATTGACTCTATCCTTTACTAGCCTTGTTACTATAAATAAGCTATTATTTTATTTATTTTTTTTGAAACAGGGTCTTGCTCTGTTGCCCAGGCTGGAGTGTGGTGGAGTGATCACAGCTTACTGCAGCCTTGACCTCTTGGGCTAAAGCAATCCTCCTGCCTCAGCCTTCTGAGTAGCTAGGACTACAGGTGCATGCCACCATGCCTGAATACTTTTGAATTTTTTTTTGTAGAGACAGGGTCTCCCTATATTGCCCAGGCTGGTTTTGAACTCCTGGGCTCAAGTGATCCTCTCACCTTGGCCTCACAAAGTGCTTGGATTACAGGTGTGAGTCACTGTGCCCAGCCAACAAGTTATTCTTTAACCTCACTGAGTTCCATGTTTCTTCTCTATGAGTATAATAATACTTGTATCCATCTCCCACATTGTGTAATTATGGGGATTAAATGAGGTAATTTGTGTAAAGCACTGAGCTTAGTATCTGGTACACAGCATTCACAAAATATTAATATTATACATGAAAAACTATATATTTATAAAATCTGAATTTCCAAACAGGATAAATTCAGAATTTTTGGTATAGGTTAACATTCAGTTATGACCTGGGTAAGGCTAAATCTGGAGAACATGGTAAGCCCTCAATAAATCTTCATTATTGAGTCACAACTATTAGCATTTTATGATTTTTATAATTAAAAGCTGCTGTATCTGTTCTCTTAGTTGATCTATATGGGACCCCTGTGAGGCAGCAGGGCAGGTATTATTAGCCTCATTTTACAAATGAGGAAATGAGAGTCGAGAGAGATGTGGGGCAACATGTCCATTTTCAGCCTGAAAACTTTCCTCAGGGTAGCTAGTATAAAGTTGTTAGGATTTGGAATGGGGCCAGGAAGGAGGGGTTTTGAACTCCAGTATTAATCTGGAAAGGGCATAGCTCTGGGACTAGCACAATGCCTGACACATAGTGGGTGCTCAGGACATGTTTGGTAACTGAAAGAATGAATGAACCAATGGGTTAAGAAATTAGTAAGTAGCTTATTCACTGATTTTTTTTTTCTTTCTTTCTTTTTAATAGAGATGGGGGTCTCGCTATGTTGCCCAGGCTGGTCTGGGACTCCTGGGCTCAAGCAATCCTCCTGCCTTGACCTTACAAAGTTCTGGAATTACAGGCATGAGCCACTGTGCCAGCCCTATTCATTGACTTGATTTTTTTCCAACCTCTGTCCCTTTGACCAGTCTGATATGCCATTGCTGTTTTCCTGGTATGGTAATAGCTGATTCCTGCCAGGGAGCCCTGATTCCACAGCTAGATAGCAAGACAGCTGAACAGACGGACTGAGTGATTGACTACCAGCATTTACTTTATTGGGCTACCCTGAAAGACAGGTACCATCTTTCCCCACAGATGAGGGAGACTCTTCCCATGAGGGAGGAGGGCAAAGTCAAAGAGGAAGGCAGTCATTCGATCTTTTTAAGCAAAGGAAGCAGCTAACCCAAAGGGATGTGGCCAAGCAAAGCACCAAGTGGCTAAACAAGGTTACTGGACCCACCCAGGGAGCCTCTGCCAATTCCCAGATAAGTACTCTCTTTGCTAGATTAGCCTGCCTGTGTGTGTTAATTCTGGGCTCTGTAATGCCCTCCTTGAGGGTCTCCAGCCTTACTAGAGTAAAGCTCAGTTTAAGGGGCCAAAAGCCCCACACAGTCCAGTCACAGTTATAAAGGCTGGACCTGAGATTGGCCTAGGCCCAAAAAGCTTAGCCAGATCAGGCTGATTTGCCAGCTGTGGCAGCAAAGTGCAAACACAGCAAGGCACCCTTGCGGGCCACCAAGTTCAAATTCTCCCTGAAGGTCTCTGAGCCTTGCTACCCGCTTTGTGGAAGATTGGTGACATTTTTGTCCCTAAACCAGTTTTTGTGGAAAGCCACAAGGACAAAATATAACTTTTTTTCCTGGAAGAAAAACCTGCTTCAAAGACATCTATGGAACCCCACAGCCCTGCTCCATTTCCAAAGAAATCACCTCAGTTAGATGAGGGCCACTGACAGAGGGCAAGGGTCCTGGGGTGAGAGTGTACCAGGATATTACATATTTCTTCAGGGAACTGAGGTTGCACAGACATGATCTGAACATTTACTATTGTCCAAATGCATAAATGTGATTCATTCCAAATAGACATCTTGTGGTTATACTTTTGGGAAATGAGAATTCTTGCCTCTAAAAATAACATCTGTGTATGAACCACAGCAGCCATGTCATCAAGCATTGGGCTTGAAGAGTCAACCTCAATGACTGGGGGACATCGGTTCACTATTCTTCCAGAAGGCCTCTAGTCCACTGAGGATTAATGAGATGCCTCTAGTTTCTGACAAAACTTCCTTCCTTTAAAGACTAGGTCTAGATCAGGGTTTATAAATAGGTTTTCGGTGAGAGCAGTTTTCCTGTTCTGGTATACTATTTGAAGAATATGAATTTTTAAATATGTTTCAGATAATTGAGACTGGGACTTGAAAAACTCTATTTTGAGCTTCTAGTTTCCTTGGAGGTCAGAGATTTTCAAGCCTTTCTCTTCCCAAATTTTAGGTCACTGAATCCTAAGGGGGAAATGGGCTGTCTCTCAGGAAACAAGAATAAAATCATTGCAATATTCCTATCTAATCATACACCTTTACAGGCTGAAGCAACAGCAGCAAAGGAATGGTGCCCTTGTATAATTTTTAGCTTCACTCCTTAAGTAAACATTAACTTAAGAAATGCTCAGGTCATTCTTTTAAATATAAAAAACTGGGACATATCCTAAAACAGTGCTTTGTTTGGCAAATACAGCATTAAAGATGCTAAAATGATTGGGTCTCTCTGAATTCAGCATGTATAGCTTTTGTAACATGTTGGTCACAGAAGACCACTAGACTCTTATGCGGGCCATTGGCAAGCCAAGTTATATTCTGCAGCTACCAAATGATTAAGTACTTCCTTGTTGTAGTGTAGTTCTCTTTTCTGTACCTCAAGTGGTTTGACTGGCATGGCCAAACAGTAGATGAAGGAATGTGAAATTGAACAGAACTGCTGGTATTTTCGAATAGGAAAGGAATTTGAGCCCTGCTTTTGGTAATTATTTAGGACATTGGTTGAAAGGATACCACTGAACACCGTAGTTCAACTTAAGCTTAGCCATTCGCAATTTGAATATATTTACTACCTTGTTGGCATCCCATATTAGGTTAGACGGTCTTTTAACAAAATTCATAGTCATTTAACATCTACATATTATTGATATTGGTGAAGATTCTCTCAATTTTAGCTTAGTTAATTCTACTATATCCTTACATGTTTTTTCCACAGTTGTAAAATTTTCTGTTGGGTTGACTGTACAGGCTTACAAAATAATTTCTACTTAATATTGGCCTAAACTAACCTTCACAGAATAATTGCTACTTGGCATTTGCCTAAACTAACATTCACATCGACCTTTCATCCCCTAAAACACTAGCTGATTTAGTGTATCTATATACTTGCCTTGGGGTAGCATAGCTTGGGTTAATTTCACTTCTCTGAAATAAGTATACAGTTGGAACTTAGTTCAGATACAATCATTTCCATGCTCATCTGGGTGTCTCTCATCATTGCCTCTTATTCTTGAATTCCAAACCTCATCAAGCATTCCCAAGACAGCCCTCTTGTTTTTCCTAAGAAGGTTATTAGAATTTAACCACAAGGTCTGGGAAGAGCATCATGTAACCAAGTCCAGCTAATTTGTACTCAGTGTTGGGCGGTGCTTGAACTCTTCCTATTTTGGCTAGGTATAGTTTGGTAGAGATTCTGGTGAATTATTTTCTCTGTTGGCCCTCTTTGGTGGATAGGGTGTGCACATTTTGCTTGCTCCTGGGACTGAAGTGTTTGGCTGGGTTTCTTACTTGGAATCCTTCCCTATCCCACAAAATTGTTTGGTGATGATGGTGGTGATAGAGTGGTAGGAACAGCAGAAGGTAAGTGTGGGAAGGGAAAAGGACAGCTTATAACAGGCTATAGTCAACACACTTACTGTTCCACCTTTCTCTTCACTGAGCTCAGTAGGTAACAATGTCCTGATTAGTTCTAACGTGGGCTTCTCCATCATCCTCTGAGATTCCTTGTAGTCATATTCAATTAACATTTTGTTAAATAAATAGCTGTTACCCTCCCCCATAACATTTAACCCCCTTTTGATATACCAGGTAATATACACACAGTCTTAATATCATGTTCGTTCAACATAATTCTTCTGGATACAGCTATGGTAATTTCCGTCTTTGAAGAAATCAACTTGAATGCCCTAGCTAGATGCAACAGGAGAGGGGATGGCTGGGAAATGGGGCACTTGCCTCTCAGAGGATGGCATCTAGTATGAGAAATGGAGATATTAGATGTATTGAGCACCCAGAAGTGCTCAGCATTATATTCAACACCTTACAAGGGAATTAGAAAAGAGTTGGGAAGAAAGTTACAGACTGGAATGGTAAGTGAGTTAGAAAGGACCTGAGAGAGCACATGGTAAAATCCCCCTCTCACCTCCCCCCAACCCCGACTTTACAGGGGAAGACAGAAAGTCTACGAAGACAATAGATAGTAAAGCCTTTCAACCACACCAGTGCTATAAATAATGCTAGATTGCTGCCTAATCTTGGGGATAACACAGGAGAATCAGTTGAGGGCAGGTAAAGTGAAAAAGAAGCAAAAGAATGTGAGAGCTGTAAAATGAGTTTAAGTTCCAGTAGGGGAAAATGAGGTTCTTCTTCCTGAATCCTTAGCCAAACCTTGCCAAATAACAGGCTAGGGGGAGAGCAACACAGCCCCTGGGTGTGGGTGGGGTGTGGGTGGGGGTGTGGTGGGGGGTGGAGCATGAAGCAGCCAATTTCCAGGTTGGTGTGAGTAAGTGGTAGTTACAGAACATAGAGCCTACCCTCATATAGTCCACAAGGAGTTCCTTTCTGCAAGGTGTGGAAATGTAGTGGAATAAAACCAGCTCAGTGCAAGAAGAGGAAAAGGCTTGGTTCCTACACTCAAATCATCAATTCCTACAACCTTTCAAAGTTCTCATTCTGATCCACTCCTGATTAAGTGGATAAATCAAATGCCTTTTATTATTTTCTCCTATTCATTTCTTTCTATCTATTCCCAAATAATTCCAGTTGAAAGCATCTTAGGCTTAATCATACTAAAATCATTGCATTTGCATTCAATTACACAGAATTCCATTTTGTTTCCCAGTCTCTTATACACATTTAAGCATTTGATCAAGTTTGTTAATATAAATGGTAAACTCCTAAATTATCATGCCTTTCAACTAAATCAAAACTTCAAATATGTTGCTGCCCCAGAGATGAAATCTGGTGGGATGATTATAATTTATACATCTTTAAATAGCAACTATATTTAAGGACTACCATGACATTTCAGATGGTCGACATCTTGTGTTTTCATGTTTCTGGAGAGAGGCAGGAACATATACAGTGCAATCATCACTGAAGTTGTATGTAGTGATACCACAAGTTTGAACTAAATTCTAGCATTACCATCTGTGAGCTGGCAATGAAGAGACCTTTTGCCATAAATGCACCACTCACAACATCAGAGACAGAGTGCACAACAAATTCACATGCTTAGGCACTCACACTTAAGCTGATACCTTAATTAATGCAAAGGAAATACATAACTTCCCTAACAAGTAATATAAAACATGGAGGGCCATGGGAATTTGGAGGAGGTTGCTGCTGCTGCTAATCAAGTACTTCTTCTTCCCAAAACATGGCCTTGCCCCACCCCATCCCAGCTTGACTTCTGTTTCTAGGTATGCCCGCCAGGAATAAGATTTATTTTCCATCAACTCAACTGGGAAAACAGTTCCTTTATTTTTGGCATTAAAACATTCGCTCCTTTATGTAGGTCAAAACTTTACCCTTAGAAATATTATCTTGCTTTTAGAGAAGCACACTCATTCACTGTATTGCTTTGTAAAATTTCACTTTCTAGCCCTATGGTAAATAATTATCAAAGTCTGCTATTTCTCGCACCCCTCTCTCCCTCTCTCTCCGTCCTTGTAATTTACAGCACTTCTCACCACTCAGTCTAGCTGACAGGGAAACAAAGAAACAGTACCTTCAATTGGACAAGGTTGGTCTTCTCTATTTGCTTCTCCTCAGATGACCCAGTCTTTTAAAATGGCCCTTGAATGCTCAATGTCTGCCTATTCACTCATCTAACTGGGGAACCTCTTCCATGCTTCAGGTCCTCCACTCTGGCAAAATCTGTGTCAATCACTTAGGATCTTGTTCTTGGTGGTTTAAGTTTTCCATATTTGTCAAATCAAGATAATATCACCTACCTTATATGAACTGTATGAGGAAATAATTTAGCACAGTGCCTGGGCACACAATAGACTGAGAATAAATGTCAGATTCCTTTGTCTGTTAATAGAAAATAATAATGATTTCAGATATGACTTCCCCTTTGGTAAACTGTGCATTTAAACATGGCCTTCTGGGAAGAATGGCTCATCCCAAAGGAATGATTGGCAGTGGAAATTATAGAGACTGGGGAACACCGGTGAAACAGATATTTTGGTGTAGGTGGGATGTTTCTGGATATCCTTGCATTCACTCCACACTGACAGTTGTCTAGTTCTCCTATCTTCAAACTTTAACTCAAATTCCCTGTATTATAAGAAAAAGGCTTTGGTACCTTAAAAATCAAAATATCATGAGAAAAAAAAGCAACTGAAATAAGAGAACATGTAAAATAAACCTGAATACAAATGAACTTCTCCCAAATGAAGAATACTCTTAGGAGCCAGAAGTAAATCTAAGTATTTATGGCTTTTGGTGAATGTGGTTGCTCTTCTATGTAATTTGCTTCACAAAAAGAATTTAATAAGAATGTTCCAAGAGCTTTTACAACAATTTTAAACCTATTTTTGTAACAATCTGGAATAATATCAAGCCCAAAGAATGAAAGAAACCAAACTGAGCTTGTACATAAAACAACATAGTGGAATTATGAATGGCAGCAGGCTAAATGTAAAAGACAGAGGGATACATAAAATATACAGTATTATGGAAAGAGGCTTGTCATAGGAGTTTCAGTTTTCTCATCTGTAGAACAGTAATAAAAATAATCTCTGCCCTGGAAAAAGCATAGGGCTGCTTTTAGGATCAAATGTAATAAACTTAAATAAGTATTTTGGAAACTATAAAATGTAAGAGAGTGGTTTTTGTAAATACAATAGACCCACAAGTATAAAATAATTTCCAAGCATCCATGTTACTTCCTCATGAACAAATGGAGATTTAAAAAATTGAACCAAAAGAAAATATGGCTCATACACAGGGGAAAAAAGCAGCCAATAGAAACTGCCCCTGAGGAAGCACAGACATTGGACTTATTAGACAAAAACTTTAAATCAGCTATTTAAAACACATTCAAAGGACTAAAAGAAATCATGTCTAAAGAATTAAAGAAGTGTTTTATAATGATGTCCCATGACATACACAATACTAACAGAGATAAAAATTATATAAAACACCAAAATAGAAATTCTGGAGTTGAAAAGTAAAATAACAAATGAAAGTTCACTAGAAGGACTCAACAGCAAATTTGAGCAGGCAGAATAAAAAATCAGGGAATATGAAGCTTCATCAATTGAGACAATTCGGTATGAGGAAAAGAAAAAAAGAAGGAACAAAAATGAACAAATCTGCAGAGTCATGTGGGATACCATCAAGCATATCAACATATACATAATGGATATCCCAGAAGCAGGAGAGAGAAATAGGAAGAAAGAATATTTAAAGACATAATGGCTGAAAACTTCCTAAGTTTCATGAAAAACATAAATTTATGTGTCTAAGAAATTTAACAAACATCAACTAGGATAAACTCAAAGAGATCCACACCTATGTATGTCAATCAAACTGTTGAAGTCAGACAATGAAAAAATCATGAAAGCAGTGAAAGAAGAGATTCATCATGTACAAGTAATCTTCAATAAGATTAACAACTAATTTCTCATCAGAAAGCATGAAAGCCAGAAGGCAGTGAGATGACATTCAAAACACTGAAAGAAAAAAAAAAAACTGTCATCTAATAATTCTATAACCAGCAAACGTGTCCTTCAAAACTAAAGGGGAAATTAAAAGAAACAGAAACAGAAGCTGAGAGAGTTTGCTATTAGTAGACATACCCTAGGAGAAATGTTAAAAAGAGTCTTTCAGGCAGATGTAAAAGGACACTAGACAGTAACCCACACTGTAGGAAGAAATAAAGTATATTAGGAAAGGTAACTACATAGGTAAATAATAAGTACTAGAGTATAAATTAATGAAATTTAAAAATAGAGACAATTCATAAAACCCAAAGTTGCTTTTTGAAAAGATTAAAAATATTGATATGCCATTAGTTAGACTACCCAGAAACAGAGAGAAGACTCAAATTACTACAATCAAGAATGAAAGAGGGAACACTACCACTGATCTTACAGAGCTATAGAGGGTTATACTGGAATACTATAGACATCACATGCCAGCAAATTAGATAGCTTAGACGAAATAGACAAATTCCTACAAAGACACAAACTACTAAAACTGACTCAAGAAAAAACAGAAAATCTGAATAGATCTATAACAAGTAAAATAATGAATTAGTAATCAAAAACTTCCTGCAAAGAAATGCCCAGGAACAGATGGCTTCACTGGTAAATACTACCAAATGGTAAACTATAATTAACACCAATCCTCCACAAAATTTTCAAAAAATGGAAGAGAAAGGAAGAATTTCCAACTCATTCTATGAAGTCAGTGCTACCCTAACACTAAAACCAGGCAAAGACATTACAAGTAAAGAAAACTACAGATCAAAGTGTTGTGTAAATATAGACACAAAGATCCTTTAAAAATACTAGCAATCTGAATCCAGCAACATATACAAAGGATTATACACCATAACCAAGTAGCATTTAATACAGGAATTCAAGGTTGGTTGAGTATATGAAAATCAATCAATGTATACAATATATTCATAGAAATATATTATATAAATCATTATATTAATATAACTTAAGAATAGCTGGAAACCATCATTCTCAGCAAACTAACACAGGAAAGAAAACCAAACACCACATGTTCTCACTCATAAGTGGGAGCTGAACAATGAGAGCACATGGACGCAGGGAGGGGAACATCACACACTGGGGCCTGTCGGTGGGTGAGGGGCTAGGAGAGGGATAGCATTAGGAGAAATACCTAATGTAGATGACAGTTTGATGGGTGCAGCAAACCACCATGGCAGGTGTATACCTATGTAACAAACCCGCACGTTGTGAACATGTATCCTAGAACTTCAGGTATAATACAAAAAAAAAGAAAGAAAATGCAATCCAAAAAAAAAAGAAAGGTGAAAAACCACATGATTATCACAATAGATGCAGAAAAAGCATTTGACAAAATCCAACAGCCTTTTGTGATTTAAAAAAACTCAACAAACTAGTAATAAAAGGGAACTTTCTCAACCTGAGAAGCAATATCTATCTAAAACTCACAACTATCAGTATACTTAAAGGAGAAAAACTGAAAGTTTTCTCTTTAAGATGAGAAAAAAGAAAACTATGTCTGTTCTTACCACTTTTATTTGACATTGTACTGGAGGTTATAGCCAGGCAATTAGGCAATAAAAGTCCCCAGATTAGAAAGGAAAAAGTAAAATCATATTGACAAGTAACACGACTTTGTACATAGATAATTTTAAGTTATTCAGAAAAAACTATCAGCTAATCAGTTCAGCGAGATTGTAGAATACACGATTGATATAATAAATTAATTGTATAGACTAACAATGAACACTCTAAAAATGAAATTAATCAAGTAATTCTATGTACAATTACATCCAAAAAAATTAACACTTAGAGCCTAACAAAAGAAGTGTGAGACTTATACACTGAAAACTACAAAACATCACAACAAGAAATTTAAAAAGAACTAAGTAAATAAAAAGACGCCCTATATCCATGGATTAGAAGCCTCAGTAGTATGATGGAAACACTCTTCAAATTGATCTACAGATTCAATACAATTTCTATCAAAATTCCAGCTGCCTTATTTTTTTAAATGGACAAGATAATCCTAAAATTCATATGAAAGTACTGAGAATAGCCAAAACAATTTTGAAAAAACAGAACAATGTCAGAGGCCTCACAATTCCATATTTTAAAACTTACTGTAAATGTACTGTACTTAGTTCAGGGAGGTCTTGGAATAATGACAGATCAGTGGAATATAATTGAGAGTACAGAAATTGATTTTTTTTTTTTTTTTTTGAGATGGAGTCTCACTCTGTCGCCCAGGCTGGAGTGCAGTGGCGCAATCTCGGCTCACTGCAAGCTCTGTCTCCCAGGTTCACGCCATTCTCCTGCCTCAGCCTCCCGAGTAGCTGGGACTACAGGTGCCCGCCACCTCGCCCAGCTAATTTTTTGTATTTTTTAGTAGAGATGGGGTTTCACCGGGTTAGCCAGGATGGTCTCGATCTCCTGACCTCGTGATCCACCCACCTCAGCCTCCCAAAGTACTGGGATTACAGGCGTGAGCCACCGCGCCTAGCCTAGAAATTGATTTTTGACAGAGTGCCAAGAATTCAATGGGGGAAAGAATGCTCTTTTTTAAAAAATAAAAATATTTGATTTATTAATAACGAACTTAAAGTATCTCTCTTAAATGGGCCAAGAAGCAATTCTATGACAAAAGTGAACCCTACAATATAGATATTCCCAGAAGACAATTTTCCAGGACATCCAGCCAAACAATTTTCACCCAGTCACAAAGGTCATTTTCATTGAAGCCTACAGCCATTTCTTTTTCTAATTCTATTGTCTCATTTCCTTCTAAACATGATTTTAATTAAGCATATACCTGTCAAAGACTTATCTTTGCAAAAGACATGGGAATAGCAGTCAGGAAGAGGACTTTGAAGCCCAGTCACTCTACAGATCCAAAGTTTAATGGCTGTGTGCCCTTGTAACTTAGCCTCTTTGCATCTGTTTCCTTGTCTGCAATGGTATTAGGTTGGTACAAAAGTAATTGTGGGATATTTACCTTATAAGGGTGTTGATGATTAAATACATGAGTGAATAACTTAAAATGTATAGAACAGTGCCAAGCATGTACTAAATGCTCAAAAGAGTTTGAGCTATTATCATTCCGGCTTTTTCATCAAACCAAATAGTATCTTCCTAAGCAACCTAGGGATTACAATGACAAACCTAGTCAAAGGTAAATCAAAGGATTAAATATGTTCAGGAATATAGAGATCAATTTGTGAATACAGAGTAAAGATACTATAATCAATCCCTAGTTATTATTTTTCACAATGGTTTCTGAAATATGGTACCTAGTTATCATTATTATTTTTATAGCTACAGGGGTCTCGCTATGTTGCCCAGGCTGGTCTCCAACTCCTGTGCTCAAGCAATCCTCCTACCTCAGCCTCCCAAAGTGCTAAGATTACAGGTGTGAGCCACTGTGCCCAGCCCCTAGTTTTTAAAATGATTTCATTTATGTGTGTGAACCGAAACATTTTGAAAATACTAAAAATTACTATCAATATTTGTCTTACTCATTCTTCAGATTATCCTTTAGATTTTCAGTAGTGCCACATAATTTTATAACTAAATTTTATTATAGCTGAACACTTCAAAGAGTTGTAGTTTTGAAATAAATAAATTTTGCTATGATTAGAAAAAATCTATTCAGAAAGTACAATACACATGAATTTATGGCACTTGTCCAAATATTACCAGCAAACAAATTATTGTGTAAAGTTGTTTCTTACATATAGGGTCTAATATGCAAAGAAAAATGGAATTTGTATTCAAAACAAATAGAAGCAACACTGGCTCCTATATACTAAAAATATAAGACAGATTTTTTTCTTAAACCGTCTGGATACAAATGAATGAATAAATGAATGCTCTTTTCATTCATAATGAAAGAAATTCAAAATGAAATTCAAAATTCATAATGAAATAAATTCAAAATGAAAGAATGCTCTTGTCAACAAATGGTGGTGGGAGACCTGGATATCACATGCAAAAGAGTACATTTGGATCCCTATCTAATACCATATACAAAAATAAATTCAAAATAGACCAAGGGTTAAATTAGCCAGGTGTGGTAGCGGTCACCTGTAATCCCAGCTACTCGGGAGGCTGAGGCAGGAGAATCACTTGAACCCAGGAGGTGGAGGTTGCAGTGAGCCAAAATCATGCCACTGCATTCCAGCCTGGGTCACAGAGAAAGACACTGTATCAAAAAAAAAAAAAAAAAAATAGACCAAAGGTTAAAATGTAAGAGCAAAAATGACAGAACTTTGAGAAGAAAACATAGGGTTTTGTGAACTTGGGTTAAGCAAAAGCATATTTAATGGCCAAAGAAAAAATAGATAAATTGGATTTCATCAAAATTTAAAACTTTTATGAATCAAAAGATACCATCAAAAAGTGGAATGATGACCCACAGAATGGGAGAAAGTTTTTGCAAACCATATATCTGAAGAGTCTTGTATCCAGAATATCTAAAGAACTCTTACAAGTCAAAAATAAAAAGGCAAATACCCAATTTAAAAAAAAATGGACAAAGGATCTGAATAAACATTTCTCCAAAGAAGATATAGAAATTGCCAATGAAAAGATGCTTAACATCATAAGCCATAAATGAAATGAAATCAAAACCACAATGAGATACTATTTCACAACCACTTAGATGGCTGTAATAATAATTTTAAAAATGGAAAATAACAGGTGTTAGGATATGGAGAAAACAGAATCCTCATACAATGCTGGTGGGAATGTAAAATGGTGGATTCATTGCAGAAAACAGTTTGGTGGTTCTTCAATCAGATAAACATAAAATTACATATAATCCAGCAATTCTGCTCCTAGGTATATGCCCCAAATAACTGAAAGCAGGAACTCAAACAGATACTCGTACACCAATGTTTGTGGTATCATTATTCACAATAGCCAAAAGGTGGAAACAGCCAAAATGTCCAACAACAGATGCATGGATAAACATAATATATTGTTTCTATACAATGAAATACTATTCAGCCATAAAAAGGAATGAGTACTGATACATGCTACATTGTGGATGAACCTTGAAAACATTATGCTAAGAAAGCCAGACATAAAAAAAACTATATATGATATGATGCCATTTATATGAACTATCAGAATAGGTTAATCCATAGAAATATGAAGTAGATTAGGGGTTGCCAGGGGTCAGGGGTAAGGGGCATAATGGAGTTTCTTTTTGAGATGATTCAAATATTCTGGAGTTAGAGGTGATGGTTGCAGAACTTGGTCAATATACTAATAACCACTGAATTGTACATTTTAAAAGGGTGAATTTTATAGTATGTGTATTTTACTCAATAAAAAAAAGACAACAAAAAGGGCACTAACCAATTAGGAAGAATTTGCAACCCCAAATTCAGAACCAAACTTCCTATTGTCTGGTGTTAAGAAGGTGATTGAAAAATTCTACTCTTGCCGGGCATGGTAGCTCATGCCTGTAATCCCAGCACTTTGGGAGGCTGAGGTGGGCGGATCATGATGTCAGGAGATCAAGACCATCCTGGCTAACACGGTGAAACCCCATCTCTACTAAAAATATGAAAAATTAGTTGGGTGAGGTGGCGGGAACCTGTAATCCCAGCTACTTGGGAGGCTGAGGCAGGAGAATCACTTGAACCCAGGAGGTGGAGGTTGCAGTGACCCAAGATCACACCACTGCACTTCAGCCTGGGAGACAGAGCAAGACTCTGTCTCAAAAAAAAAAAAAAAAAAAAATTCTACTCTTTATAGGTATGACTTGGTATCCCCTCCTGTGAAAAGATATTTCCTTGGGATAATTCTAAGAAGGAACCTTTATTTTATTTTTCTACTTCAACTTGCCTGAGAACTATGATGCCAGCACATCAATTATCTTATTACACCAAAAATCTCAGGGGTCTCAATCTTGCAAAAGGATTTTTCACAGATTTGCTTTCAGTATTCATTTAGCCCATGGAAAGTGAGATATACAAGGAGAAGAGCCATCAAGAATGTAAACCAAAAATAAAATTCTAAGGCCCCTCAACCATCTGAATGGACCACTCCTTGCTCAGCCCAGGGTGTCCCAAAGTTAACCTGGAAAAACTAGTTCAGGCCATGATGGGAAAGGGAGCCAGATATGCCTCATTATACCCTCCTCCCACCCTTTTGGAATTACTGATAGAGCAGACTCTATAATCTGACAGGAAACACTTGCAATCTATTCTCTCCGAAGCCTGCTACCTGGAGGCTTCATCTGCACAATAAAACCTTGGTCTCCACAATTCCTTATTGTAACCCAGGTATTCCTTTCTATTGATTATAAGTGCTTCAACCAATTGCCAATCAAAAAATCTTTGAAACCATCTATGACCTGGAAGCCTACATTTCCGGTTTTCCTACCTTTCCGGACCAAACCAATGTACATCTTACATGTATTAATTGATACATATCTCCCTAAAATACATAAAACCAAGTTGTGGCCCAACCACCTTGGGTACACATTCTCAGGATCCCCTGAGGGCTGTGTCATGGGCCATTGGTCACTCATATTTGGCTCAGAATACATCTCTTCAAATATTTTACAGGGTTTGACTCTTTTCCTCAACAAGAAGCAGCAGTATAACTAGTTCTGTATGATAAGGGCCTATAGAGTTTTAGCACAAGAAGAAGCACTGGGAAAAAAAAAGAGTTCAGGGGAGAGGTTCCAAGATGGCCGAATAGGAACAGCTCCAGTCTACAGCTCCCAGCATGAGTGATGCTGAAGACAGGTGATTTCTGCATTTCCAACTGAGGTACCGGGTTCATCTCACTGGGGCTTTTCGGACAGTGGTTGCAGTCCACGGAGCGTGAGCCGAAGCAGGGCAGGGCATCACCTCACCCGGGAAGTGCAAGGGGTTGGGGAATTCCCTTTCCTAGCCAAAGGAAGCTGTGACAGACGGTATCTGGAAAATCGGGACACTCCCACCCTAATAGTGTGCTTTTCCAATGGTCTTAGCAAATGGCACACCAGGAGATTATATCCCGCGCCTGGCTTGGAGGGTCCCACGCCCACGGAGCCTTGCTCACTGCTAGCACAGCAGTCTGAGATCGAACTGCAAGGTGGCAATGAGGCTGGGGGAGGGGCGTCTGCCATTGCTGAGGCTTGACTAGGTAAACAAAGCGGCCAGGAAGCTCAAACTGGGTGGAGTCCACTGCAGCTCAAGAAGGCCTGCCTGCCTCTGCAGACTCCACCTCTGGGGGCAGGGCATAGCTGAACAAAAGGCAGCAGAAAGTTCTGCAGAGTTAAACGTTCCTGTCTGACAGCTTTGAAGAGAGTAGTGGTCCTCCCAGCATGGAGTTTGAGATCTGAGAACAGACAGACTGCCTCCTCTACTGGGTGCCTGATCCCCAAGTAGCCTAACTGGGAGGCACCTCCCAGAAGGGGCCAACTGACACCACGTACGGCCAGGTGCCCCTCTGAGATGAAGCTTCCAGAGGAACTATCAGGCAGCAACATTTGCCATTCTGCAACATTTGCTGTTCTGCAGCCTCTGCTGGTGATACCCAGGCAAACAGGGTCTGGAGTGGACCTCCAGCAAACTCCAACAGACCTGCAGCTGAGGTTTCTGACTGTTAGAAGGAAAACTCACAAACAGAAAGGACATCCACACCAAAACCCCATCTGTATGTCACCATCATCAAACACCAAAGGTAGATAAAACCACAAAGATGGGGAGAAACCAGAGCAGAAAAGCTGAAAATTCTAAAAATCGGAGCACCTCCTCTCCTCCAAAGGAATGCAGCTCCTCACCAGCAACAGAACAAAGCTGGAAGGAGAATGACTTTGACGATTTGAGAGAAGAAGGCTTCAGATGATCGGTAATAACAAACTTCTCTGAGCTAAAGGAGGATATTCAAGCCCATCGCAAAGAAGCTGAAAACCTTGAAAAAAGATTAGATGAATGGCTAAGTAGAATAAACAGTGTAGAGAAGCACTTAAATGGAGTGAGTGCTTCTCTGATGGAGAAGAAAACCATGGCACAAGAACTACGTGATGCATGCACAAGCTTTAGTAGCCGATTCGATCAACTGGAAGAAAGGGTATCAGTGACTGAAGATCAAATGAATGAAATGAAGCGAGAAGTTTAGAGAAAAAAGAGTAAAAAGAAATGAACAAAGCCTCCAAGAAATATGGGACTATGTGAAAAGACCAAATCTACGTCTGACTGGTGTACCTGAAAGTGACAGGGAGAATGGAACCAAGTTGGAAAACACTCTGCAGGATATTATTCAGGAGAACTTCCCCAACCTAGCAAGGCAGGCCAACATTCAAATTCAGGAAATACAGAGAACGCCACAAAGACACTCCTCGAGAAGAGCAACTCCAAGAAACATAATTCACCAAAGTTGAAATGAAGGAAAAAATGTTAAGGGCAGCCAGAGAGAAAGGTCGGGTTACCCACAAAGGGAAGCCCATCAGACTAACAGCTGATCTCTCGGCAAAAACTCTACAAGCCAGAAGAGAGTGGGGGCCAATATTCAACATTCTTAAAGAAAAGAATTTTTAACCCAGAATTTCATATCCAGCCAAACTAAGCTTCATCAGTGAATGAGAAATAAAATCCTTTACAGGAAAGCAAATGCTGAGAGATTTTTGTCACCACCAGGCCTGCCTTACAAGAGCTCCTGAAGGAAGCACTAAACATGGAAAGGAACAACTGGTACCAGACACTGCAAAAACATGCCAAATTATAAAGACAATCAAGGCTAGGAAGCAACTGCATCAACTAACGAGCAAAATAACCAGATAACATCATATGACAGGATTAAATTCACACATAACAATATTAACCTTAAAGGTAAATGAGCTAAATGCTCCAATTAAAAGACGCAGACTGGCAAATTGGATAAAGAGTCAAGACCCATCAGTGTGCTGTATTCAGGAGACCCATCTCACGTGCAGAGACACACATAGGCTCAAAATAAAGGGATGGAGGAAGATCTACCAAGCAAATGGAAAACAAAAAAAGGCAGGGGTTGCAATCCTAATCTCTGATAAAACAGACTTTAAACCAACAAAGATCAAAAGAGACAAAGAAGGCCATTACATAATGCCAAGGGATCAATTCAACAAGAAGAGCTAACTATCCTAAATATATATGCACTCAATACAGGAGCACCTAGATTCATAAAGCAAGTCCTTAGAGACCTACAAAGAGACTTAGACTTCCACACAATAATAATGGGAGACTTTAACACCCCACTGCCAACATTAGATGGATCAACAAGACAAAAAGTTAACAAGGATATCCAGGAATTGAACTCAGCTCTGCACCAAGCGGACCTAATAGACATCTACAGAACTCTCCACCCTAAATCAACAGAATATACATTCTTCTCAGCACCACACCACACCTATTCCAAAATTGACCACATAGTTGGAAGTAAAGCACTCCTCAGCAAATATAAAAGAACAGAAATTTTAACAAACTGTCTCTCAGACCACAGGGAATCAAACTAGAACTGAGGATTAAGAGACTCACTCAAAACTGCTCAACTACATGGAAACTGAACAACCTGCTCCTGAATGACTACTGGGTACATAACGAAATGAAGGCAGAAATAAAGATGTTCTTTGAAACCAATGAGAACAAAGACACAACATACCAGAATCTCTGGGACATATTTAAAGCAGTGTGTAGAGGGAAATTTATAGCACTAAATGCCCACAAGAGAAAGCAGGAAAGATCTAAAATTGACACCCTAACATCACAATTAAAAGAACTAGAGAAGCAAGGGCAAACACATTCAAAAGCTAGCAGAAGGCAAGAAATAACTAAGATCAGAGCAGAACTGAAGGAGATCGAGACACAAAAAACCCTTCAAAAAATCAATGAATCCAAGGTGCTGGTTTTTTGAAAAGATCAACAGAATTGACAGACCACTAGCAAGACTAATAAAGAAGAAAAGAGAGAAGAATCAAATAGACACAATAAAGAATGATAAAGGGGATAACATCACCAATCCCACAGAAATACAAACTACCATCAGAGGATACTATAAACACCTCTATGCAAATAAACTAGAAAATCTAGAAGAAATGGAAAAATTCCTGGACACATACACCCTCCCAAGACTAAACCAGGAAGAAGTTGAATCCCTGAATAGACCAATAACAGTCTCTGAAATTGAGGCAATAATTAATAGCCTACCAACCAAAAAAAAGTCCAGGACCAGAGGGATTCACAGCTGAATTCTACCAGAGGTACAAAGAGGAGCTGGTACCATTCCTTCTGAAACTATTCCAATCAACAGAAAAAGAGGGAATCCTCCCTAACTCATTTTATGAGGCCAGTAGTCTCCTGATACCAAAGCCTGGCAGTGACACAACAAAAAAAAAAAGAGAATTTTAGACCAATATCCCTGATGAACATTGATGCAAAAATCCTCACTAAAATACTGGCAAACCAAATCCAGCAGCACATCAAAAAACTTATCCACCACGATCAAGTTGGCTTCATCCTTGGGATGCAAGGCTGGTTCAACATATGCAAATCAATAAATGTAATCCATCATATAAACAGAAACAAAGACAAAAACCACATGATTATCTCAATAGACGCAGAAAAGGCCTTTGATAAAATTCAACAACGCTTCATGCTAAAAACTCTCAATAAACTAGGTACTGATGGGACGTATCTCAAAATAATAAGAGCTATTGATGGCAAACCCACAGCCAATATCATACTGAATGGGGAAAAACTGGAAGCATTTCCTTTGAAAACTGGCACAAGACAGAGATGCCCTCTCTCACCACTCCTATTCAACATAGTGTTAGAAGTTCTGGCCAGGGCAATCAGGCAGGAGAAAGAAGTAAAGGATATTCAATTAGGAAAAGAGGAAGTCAAATTGCCCCTGTTTGCAGATGACATGATTGTATATTTACAAAACCCCATCGTCTCAGCCCAAAATCTCCTTAAGCTGATAAGCAACTTCAGCGAAGTCTCAGGATACAAACTCAATGTGCAAAAATCACAAGCATTCTTATACACCAATAACAGACAAACAGAGAGCCAAATCATGAGTGAACTCCCATTCACAATTGCTACAAAGAGAATAAAATACCTAGGAATCCAACTTCCAAGGGATGTGAAGGACCTCTTCAAGGAGAACTACAAATCACTGCTCAATGAAATAAGAGGACACAAACAAATGGAAGAACATTCCATGCTCATGGATAAGAAGAATCAATATTGTGAAAATGGCCATACTGCCCAAGGTAATTTATAGATTCAATGCCATCCCCATCAAGCTACCAATGACTTTCTTCACAGAATTGGAAAAAACTACTTTAAAGTTCATATGGAACCAAAAAAGAGCCTGCATTGCCAAGACAATCCTAAGCCAAAAGAACAAAGCTGGAGGCATCACGCTACCTGACTTCAAACTATACTACAAGGCTACAGTAACCAAAACAGCATGGTACTGGTACCAAAACAGAGATATAGACCAATGGAATAGAACAGAGCCCTTAGAAATAATATCACACATCTACAACCATCTGATCTTTGACATACCTGACAAAAACAAGAAATGGGGAAAGGATTCCCTATTTAATAAGTGGTGCTGGGAAAACTTGCTAGACATATGTAGAAAGCTGAAACTGGATCCCTTCCTTACACCTTATACAAAAATTAATTCAAGATGGATTAAAGACTTAAATGTTAGACCTAAAATCATAAAAACCCTAGAAGAAAACCTAGGCAATACCATTCAGGACATAGGCATGGGCAAGGACTTTATGACTAAAACACCAAAAGCAATGGCAACAAAAGCCAAAATTGACAAATGGGATGTAATTAAACTAAAGAGCTTCTGCATAACAAAAGAAACTATCATCAGAGTGAACAGAAACCTACAGAATGGGAGAAAATTTTTACAATCTACCCATCTCTCAAGGGGTAATATCCAGAATCTACAAGGAACTTAAACAAATTTACAAGAAAAAAATCAAACAACCCCATCAAAAAGTGGGCAAAGGATATGAACAGACACTTCTCAAAAGAAGACAGTTATGCAGCCAACACACACATGAAAAAATGCTCATCATCACTGGCCATCAGAGAAATACAAATCAAAACCACAATGCGATACCATCTCACACCAGTTAGAATGGCGATCATTAAAATGTTAGGAAACAACAGGTGCTGGAGAGGATGTGGACAAATAGGAACACTTTTACACTGTTGGTGGGACTGTATACTAGATCAACCATTGTGGAAGACAGTGTGGCGATTCCTCAAGGATCTAGAAGTAGAATTATCATTTGACCCAGCCATCCCATTACTGGGTATATACCCAAAGGATTATAAATCATGCTGCTATAAAGACACATGCACACGTATGTTTATTGTGGCACTATTCACAATAGCAAAGACTTGGAACCAACCCAAATGTCCAACAATGATAGACTGGATTAAGAAAATGTGGCACATATACACCATGTAATACTATGCAGCTGTAAAAAAGGATGAGTTCATGTCCTTTGTAGGGACATGGATGAAGCTGAAACCATCATTCTGAGCAAACTATCACAAGGAGAGAAAACCAAACACCACATGTTCTCACTCAAAGGTGGGAATTTAACAATGAAAACAACTGGACACAGGGTGGGGAACATCACACACTGAGGCCTGTCGCAGGGTGGGGGGAGGGGGGAGGGATAGCATTAGGAGATATACCTAATGTAAATGACGAGTCAATGGGTGCAGCACACCAACATGGCACATGTATACATATGTAACAAACCTGCACGCTGTGCACATGTACCCTAAAACTTAAAAGTATAAAAAAAAAGAGTTCAGTAAATAGTTCTTATTTGGCTAAAATCTTAGGTTCAAAAGTCAAAAGTATTCTTAAACCATGAATAAAATATTGAAAGTTTATAGTTTCCTGGGGGAGTAAAATTCATTCCTACCGTTAATATTAACAGGGACTGTGTGAATGACTGGATACCAAGCCAGAAACATGGCATAGGAGGTTGTTATATTTCTGAAATTTCCATCATATTCCCAGCTTCATCAAATATAACCATCAAATGCTTTCAGAACATAGCTACACTCTTTCCTCTAAACTAATGTTGCTGGCTTTCTATCTGATAAGTACAAATTCAACAAAGGCCAACTTCTAAAACTGGCTAAGTGAATTTAAAGGCTTATATGTTTTGATCCGCAGGTATCTTAGGACAGCATATGCAATGTTTTGAGGCTTATTGTTACAAAAAGAGAAAAAGTACAAATTCCAAATCCATTCCAAATCCACAAAGGAAACAAATGATTCTGTGGGCAGTCTCTATGGGGAAATCTGCCTCCCTAGGCTCTGAGTAAACGCAGAGCCCTATGGGCTAAGGCTATAGGAATATAATGTTTACTGCCAAGTACTGCATTTACCAAGTCATTAATTCTCTTTACAAAGAGCCGCTTACAAGACTCCCTGTTTGCACTATTGTTTGACATCAGTAGATGAGGATCCTGGAGTCTAGAACAGAGGGAAAATATGTCTTAAGAAGTATGACTTTTTGTGTCGATGGTTTAAGCATTTTAACAATCTTTAAATCCACTCTTCTATTTGTTGTTGTTCTTTATAACCCCTCCATTCAGAGGTCGTTGTTTAGCTATCCTAAAAAAACTAGACTCCAGCTATCTCAATATTTGCATTCACAAACCAATGAGGTTGTTTACTTAGTTGTGGCTTCTCCCAAGCAACATCAAAAACAGTGTGTCCTGACATTAATTATTCTAATGTGGTAAGAATCCCTGTAGAGAACCATGAAATAAACTACTAGTTGACATCAGAATTGTTATCCTAATTGGTTGATGGATTTGAAGCTGCTTAATGACATGTGGCCTTGGCCGGGAGTGGTGGCTCACACCTGTAATCCCAGCACTTTGGGAGGCTGAGGCGGGCAGATCACCTGAGGTCAGGGGTTCAAGACCAGCCTGGCCAACATGAGGAAACCCTGTCTCTACTAAACATACAAAAATTAGCCAGGCATGGTGGCACACGCCTGTAACCCCAGCTACTCAGGAGGCTGAGTTGGGAGAATCACTTGAACCCGGGAGGTGGAGGTTGCAGTGAGCTGAGATTGCACCACTGCACTCCAGCCTGGGCAACAGAGCAAGACTCTGTCTCAAAAAAAAAAAAAAAGATATGTGGCCTCAAATACATAACACACCAATATGTTAATTAGCAAGTGATTATAAACATTACTAAAGAGCCCTCTTTTTAAAAAATTTTACGCAACCAACATTTTATCTCCATTATACTCTAGCTGACCTTTGCTATCAACTATTTCCTGCTTGCAACTTACAAATAGGGTATGGCATACAGAGTACCTATGAAGCCATATAATTCACAGTAAAAATTCTCTTCAGAATCTGCTATGGATGTCCACGCGAATCAAGGCCACCAAGTAATTCTGGTGGATGTATTTGACCTAACTGCTATATATTTACACATAAAACAAAATGTTACATTACACTTGTAATATACATTCTTACATGCTGTGAACACTGATTCATTTCAGGTTTTAAATTTCATGCTCAGCTTACAAATTGTATTACCTATGAGAAATCACATTCTGGCATTCAAATAAAACCGTTATTATTTGCTTGTCCAATACATTATAAACCAATTTGACCTGTAGTCATAGATATATTGGGCCTCCATGGATCATCTTCTAATGAAGTAACTATATTAGAAAGAGCACTAGACAAGCAGTCAGGTTTTCTCAGCTCTGTCACTCTTTGAGTATTGGGGGAAATCGCTCCACCTCTCTGCTCCTTGGTTTCCCCATATGTCCAAAAAAGGAGTTGGACTACATGAGCTCTAAGTCTTTCCCAGCTCTGACAGTCTATGATTCTTTTTTGTTTGTTTGTTTGTTTGTTTTTGAGACAAAGTCTCGCTTTGTTGCCCAGGCTGGAGTGCAGTGGCACGATCTCAGCTCACCACAACCTCCACCCCCCAGGTTCAAGCGATTCTCCTGCCTCGGCCTCCCAAGTAGCTGGGACTACGGGCACGCATCACCATGCCCGGCTAATTTTTGTATTTTTAGTAGAGACAGGGTTTCACTACGTTGGCCAGGGTGGTCTAGAACTCCTGACCTCGTGATCTGCCTGCCTCGGCCTCCCAAAGTGCTGGGATTACAGGTGTGAGCCACCACACCTGGCCTCAGTCTATGATTCTTTGAGATTGCTAAGGAAAGGGAAAGGGGAAATTATTTTGGAATGAACCTTTGTGAAAAAGAGTTGGCCGGGCGCAGTGGCTCATGCTTGTATTCCCAGCACTTTGGGAGGCCAAGGCGGGCAGATCACCTGTGGTCAGGAGTTCGAGACCAGCATGACCAACATGGATAAACCCTGCCTCTACTAAAAATACAAAATTAGTCAGGCATGGTGGTGCATGCCTGTAATCCCAGCTACTTGGGAGGCTGAGGCAGGAGAATCGCTTGAACTCAGGAGGTGGAGGTTGTGGTGAGCCGAGATCGTGCCATTGCACTCCAGCCTGGGCAACAAGAGTGAAACTCCATCTCAAAAATAAAAAAGAAAAAAGAAAAAAAGGAAAAGGAAAAGAAAAAGAATAAAGAAAGAGTTGAGTTACTTGGGGTTTGTGTTTTGTGTGTGTGTGTTTGTGGTAATGTAAGGAAACCTGATCCTAATTTCAGGTTCAACACAGTAAGGAATAATTGCTAATCAAATGTTAATAAAATGCTTACAGGCTTCAGGTCTGGAAAAGTCATTTTAAACACTTAGAAAAACAATCAGGAATGTCAGCTGTTTTTTCACCTGCTCCTAGAGGAAATGCTTGGCTTTTAACCATGACATCCTCCTTTAACTCAACTACAGTACATTTAAATCTACTAGCAAACTCTCGTTTTGAATTACACATGAAGATATTCAACCTAGAGAATTATCTTTCCCTTGACCTGAATTCTGTCCATCCAGAGTTTCCAGTACAGCATTAAAGTTCTTGCTTGGAAATGGCTGCTGTCTGTACTGGAATGACTGGATGCCTTAATGAAATTACGAAACTCTATAATCAGACACTGAAGATTGTTGCCTCCTAAGAGTAGTTTCTAAATTTGAAGGCTTCCTCTCAATTGCCAAAATGCTGGGCTGACCTTCCAGGCAGGCCGAATATTTGGCTGTCGACAAGCAGAGATCTGAGAGGTGCTGGGTGGCCTTGTGCCCCAGACCTTTTCCTTCTTAGGTATTTACAAGACTTGACATTCTATCTCTAGAGACACATTCCTTTGGAATAAACATTAATCACCCCAGGTGTCTCCTTGAAATCAAATGTCTCTTAGAGAGGTAAGACCTTAAATCACCAACATTTTGTAGTAATATTTCCTAAAGTGTGTTCCTTAATATATTTTGCTAGTCCCATAATATATTGGAAAAAGAGACCCATGGTCAGATAAGTTGGGAAAACACATTACACTGTATCTCCTCATGCAGAGTCACAATACACATTAGTATATTAAAGGTTCTGAGAAGTCTTGCTATAAACAAACTACATTAATTTTGTTTGGTCCACTGTTTCCTTACTTGAGCACATGGAACACATTTTTTAAAACATTACTTGTAGTAAAACACACAAAAATATACCATATTAACCATTTTTCAGTGTACAGTTCAGTAGTGTTAAATATATTTGCATTACTGTACAACCAATCTCCAGAACATTTTCATCTTGCAAAATTAAAACTCTGTACCTGTTAAACAACTGCCTATTTCCTTCTCCCCATAGTCCCTGGCAACCACCAACTCTGCTTCCTATTTCTATGAGTTTGACTACTCTAGATATCTTATATAAGTGAAGTCAAACAATATTTGTCCTTTTGTGGTGCTTATTTAACTTAGCATGATGTCTTTAAGGTTCATCCATGTTGTAGAATGTGACAGGATTCCCTTCTTTTTAAGGCTGAATAATATTCCATTGTATGTATATACCAAATTTTTTCTTATCCATTCATCTGTTGATAAACACTTGGGCTGCTATTATGCCAATAACTTTTGGCTATTATGAATAATGCTGCTATGAACATGAGTGTTCAAATATCTCTTGCAGACCTTGCTCTCAATTGTTTTGAATATTAAATACACCCAGAAGTGGGATTGCTGGATCATATGATAATTCTATTTTTAATTTTTTGAGGAACCACCATACTGTTTTTCATAGCAGCTACACCATTTTACTTTCCCACCAACAGTGCACAAGGGTTCTAATTTCTCCACATCCTCCCCAACACTTGTTATTTTCTGTTGTTGTTTTTTTTTATAGTAGCCATTCTAATTGGGTATGACGTGATAACTCATTGTGGTTTTAACTTACATTTACCAATTGTTCAATGATGATGAGCATTTTTCATGTGCTTGCTGAAGGAGCACGTATTAAAAAAAAAACAAACTCAAACCAACAAAAGTTCTGTGGAACACAGTTTAGGACATACTGCCAGAATGAATGAATGTGTGTGTGTGCATGCATGCTGTATTTGAGTATGTGATAATGATTTTTTTCAGGATACAGGAATTTTGGGTTATTTTTAAAACAGTTAACATTTACCACTTTAAAAATTTTTTAAAAAATTTTTTTGAGACAGTGTCTCCCTCTGTTGCCCAGGCTGGAATGCAGTGGTGCAATCTCAGCTCACTGCAACCTCTGACTCCTGGGTTCAACTGATTCTCATGTCTCAGCCTCCCAAGTAGCTAGGATTATAGATGTGTACTACCATGTCTGGCTAGTTTTTGTATTTTTAGTAAAAACGGGGTTTCGCCATGTTGGCCAGGTTGGTCTCAAACTCCTGACCTAATGTGATCCTTCTGCCTCGGTCTCCCAATGTGCTGGGATTACAGGTGTGAGCCAGCATACCCCACCAACACTTGTTACTTTAAAAGCAACACAACATATGTGCTCAAAGAGTGGTTATCTCTGTGTAGTAGGATTAGGGGTAGATTAACTTATTTTTACTTATATATAATTTCTAAATTTCTCCAATGAACATATGTAATTTTAAAAGTTTAAGATAGATGATGATGGATGAATGGATAGCTAAATAGATAGATAGTCCAACACTATGCTAGTTGCTTTGGCCACAGCACGTAGCTTCCAGTGATCTCTTCCTTTTCGTAATTCTTACTGTTTTTGTGCCCAAATTAGCAGTTGCTTAGGTTCTGCCTTATACTATTTTCTAATTGTTCTTTCTGTGTGAACATGCAGTGCTCCATAACTTGTAAGCTTTACAGGGGAAGGGACTGTGCTTTACATTTCTCTTATATGCCCCAGTAATAATAACCATATTTTCAACTCAACCAAAGCATACCATCTAACAAAGGATGTGTATATGTCTCTGTGTGTGTGTGTCTGTGTGTGTGCACGCATGCTGTATTTGAGTATGTGAGGCAGTATGTGAATTTTCATATGCATATTAAATACTGAAATTATCATGCATGTTCAATGATTTATGAGGCCAAACAGATAAAAAGCTTTAAAATGTGCCCCTGAGTGATACAGAACTGTTACTCACACACTCCCCACACCAATAAAACTTTCTTAAAACCTTAGGGAGCACTGAATATAATATATTTTAATGTCATTTCTCCAGTAATAAATATATTAGTATTCTCATTTCTATGTTTAATAATTTTAAAACAATATTTTGACCTATGCCTTAGCATTTTGTCAATTAAACATTATTTAGTTGGTTTTATGTAAACTGATTTGTACCTAAAATAATCTCCAATCAGAATATGCCATCTCATCTATTAGATTTCCTTCTCTCAACAGATGTTCTGAGTCCTCATTGTTTCCAGATTACAATCAGTTTGCTCATAACACAGAGATCCAGACATCTGGGCCAAGGGAAAATGGGCAAAGCCATTTACTCAGGTATGGGAGGAAACACTTCCTCAAAGTTTACCCAGCAGCCATTCCCACATGTGATATCCTGAAGGTGCTGGTCTGGGCTTTGCCAGAGTTCTGATACATGAAAATAAAGTGGACCTTAAGTGTGATTGCCTGCTATAGTGGAAAGAGTAGAGGATTTGGAGACCTGGGGTCAAGAGTCGGCTCTACCAATTTACCAACTGATGATCCTGGTATAAGTCACTTATCCAATCAGTCTCATCTGTAAAGAGCAGATCATAAAAGCATGTACCTCATGAAACAACTACAGAGAGTCAATGAGATAATACATATGAAAGCACTTTGTAATATCTCACCCAAAGCAGTTTAAGGTAACTTTACCTCTGCTCTAGAGGAGAGAAACTCTATTCCTACTCCATACAGAAATTCTGTTTAGTTCAATGAATTGCTATGGACCATGTCAGCCCTTTACTTGCTCAAAACAGTACAAACAAAACTCCCAAAGCCAACTACAAAAATAAACAAAGACTGATGAATACTTAGGAGGGGAGAATGCAAAAAATCTCCTGGCATAGTCATATTCTTTCCACTTTTTTCTCTCCATTGAAACTATAAAATATCCATTAAAAACTATTTGAATAGATATTTCATGAAAGAATATGTACCAGTGGATAATAGGCTTATGAAAAGATACTTAATATCATCACTTGCTAGGGAAATGCAAATTAAAACCACAATGAGATACCACTACACACCCACCAGAAAGTCTATAATCAACGAATGACAATACCATATGTAGAATAGGATATGGATAAAAAGAACCCTCATGCATTGTTAATGGGAATGTAAAATGGTACAGCCATTTTGCAAAAATAGTTTAGCAGTTTCTGAAAAAGTTAAACATATATTTATTATATGACCAAGCCATTACACTCTTAGGTATCTACCTCAAAGAAGTGCAAATATTACATCTACACAAAGATTTGTATGTGTATGTTCACAGCGGCATTATTCATACATTCCAAATCAGAAAACAATCCAAATGTCCATCAACTGGTGAATGAATATTCTTAACAAAATGTATACCTGTACAATGGAATGCTACTCAGCAACAAAAAAGAACAAAGTACAGACACATGCTACAGCACAGATTAACCTGAAAAACAATATGCTAAATGAAAGAAGCCTGACACAAAAGATTACATCTTGTAGAATTCCATTTACATGAAATATTCAGAAAAGGCAAATCTATAAGGACAGAAAGTAGATTAGTGGTTGCCTGGGGCTGGGGTGGGAATGAGAAGTGACGGAAAACAGGCCTATGGGGCAACTTGTTGGGGTGATGGAAATGTTCCAAATTGGGTTGGGGTGATGGTTGCACAATTGTATAAATTCAGGAAAACATTTTGCATTGTACATTTACAATAGGTAAATTTTATGAGATGTAAATTATACCTCAATAAAGTAACCAAAAATGTCTTTGCAAGATGGAGAGATTATGCTAGTCTGTGTGCCAAGTGAGGAACTCAAGCTTGGATTAAAATACCTGCCCTTGGAGTAAAAACCCAGTAGAAAGCTAGCTATCTTTCAGCCAGCAGTACCTTACCAGACTCCTCCCCTGTCCTAGCATTCAACCACCTATAATCATGCCGTCGGCCAGGAAACACATTAACTCCATGAAGTTCAAGTTGACACTTTTTAAAATGAAATTCCTGCTCTTCTGAAATCTCTCTTTTTCATCCCACAGCCAATATTTAATAATAATAAATCTCTATGAGAGGATCCTATCCAATGAGTAAACTCCTTGCTCTGTAGAAATTAGTCATTTCTAAGGTATACTAACTCTTTTACCTATGCAAAATACTTTTATCCAACAACACGAAAATGACAAGAAAGTGAAAATGGACCAGAAGGAGAGCACTTATTTGAGTTATGCTGTGAGGCCTGGAGGTCTCTGGGACACAGCCAAGGCCAGTAGCAGTTTAAAAGAGTGACAACTTAAAGCACCTCCATCTACAGTAGAAAGCAATCATGTGACAAAGTAGGGAAGTCTATTTTAGAAATGTTAAACTGTATTTTAAAAAACAGTTTAACATTTTGAAATTTTGGTCCTAACCTTCAGGTGTCAAAAAACAACTGAGCTTTCCAGAATCTCCAGGAATTCTAGTCATTCAGTGTTTAAAATATACCTAAGAAAGTATGCCAGACTCACACTCCATTCATCAAACCACAACCAACACACTCATCTAGTTATGGTGTGCTGAACAGACAAAGGATTTAAGGTCAGAAAACCTGGATTCCCATCTATTTTGTTTCTTCTACTTGCCAGAAGTGAGACCTTATGCAGATCCCTGAACCTCACAAATCCTTAGTTTCCTATGCTGTGAAATCAGGATAAGAGTTATACCTATCTCACATGGTTATGGGAATTCAGTGTGTGTACATAAAAAAAAAAAAAACACTTCATAAATTGCAAAGGCCCATTCAAATAGAGGCTGTCTACTTTCCAGAAAACTCCAAAATTCTTTATATGTTATTCTGAACTATAAGCCCACTCACTTAAATTACTTTTAAAAAACATTCTGTTTTCATTTCCCTATCTCTAATGGGCCCTGTTGAGCCCTGGAATACCTGGGCTTGCATATATGGTCATTGCTTACTCTGCCGTACACACTAACAATTATTCCGAACAGTGTTTAGATCTGTTTCTTACACTTACACTTCCTGGTTCACAAAAGAAAAAAAACATTGTCAATCCAACATTTCTACAGCACACTTCTCCCAAAGGATTTCCACATGCATTCTCCACTCGGTGAAATGCGATTGCTATTTAATAGCACATAGCAACACTATAGAACAGTCTAAGACAGGATGCGAGAGAGCCAATATTGTACATAGCTGAAAGGACAAGGGAAGCCAGTGTCAACAGATGCGATTACCAGATGTGAACTTTGGCCAAGGAGATCAGGGCAAACTCTCCTTTAAGAAGTGCCACAGGGGCTAGGCACAATGGCTCACACCTGTAATCCCAACGCTTTGGGAGGCCAAGGCAGGTGGATCACCTGAGGTCAGGAGTTCGAGACCAGCCTGGCCAACATGGCGAAACCCTGTCTCTACTAAAAATACAAAAATTAGCTGGACATGGTGGCATGCACATGTAGTCCCAGGTATTCGGGAGACTGAGGCAGGAGAATCGCTTGAACCCAGGAGGCAGAGGTTGCAGTGAGCCAAGATCACGCCACTGCACTCCAGCCTGGGCAACAGAGCGAGACTCTGTCTCAAAGTAAATAAATAAATAAATAGCCACAGTATCTTTCACACCTAAAAGTCATTGCAACCTTGGCATCACATCTTATTCAAAATGGAATCATTTGGAGCCCCAAACCTCTGCTGTTGCACTGATCTTGTTTTGTGGTAGGGGAGGGTGATTTGCATGGCTTCTCACTAGCAGATCTCCCCTCACTATTCAGATGGCAGGCTCTCTGAAAAACTTACTTCTAAATAAGAACTTAGCATTATTTGGGGGTGATTTAAAGGGATGATAGCTGCAATGGATATGAACACAAGCCACAATTTAACACTTCTTCCCCATGCAGCTGCCTTCCCACCACCCCTGCCCAACACGCTGGGAAAAGCAATTGTTCTCCAGTCCCACGCAAACTTGGAATGAGCCAATTGTCCTTATTTTGTTCTCACTTTGACATTTATTTCCTTTCCAATACAAGACAGGTGCACTGGTCCTTGTAGTATAGGGTGATGAAAATCAAGTGGGAAGAATGATGCTTTAAAAGGCAGCAGATGTGCGGCGTGGTGGCTCACGCCTGTAATCCTAGAACTTTGGGAGGCTGAGGCAGGCGGATCACTTCAGGTCAGGAGTTTGGTACCAGCCTGGCCAACATGGTGAAACCCTGTCTCTACTAAAAATACAAAAATTAGCCGGAAATCGCTTGAACCCGGAAGGTGGAGGTTGCAGTGAGCCAAGATCGTGCCACTGCACTCCAGCCTGGGCAACAGAGTGAGACTCCATCTCAAAAAAAAAAATAAAAAATAAAAAATAATTTTAAAAAAGGCAGCAGATGCCTTAGCCAACCAGATTCAAAGGGAGAGCTAGGAAGTTCACTTGTGGGAAATTAGACTCTTTTCCAGGACTTCTCCTATAAAGTCATTCATGGGGACTTGCATAATGTTGTCCAGAAGAAAATTCTATTGGGGACAACATTAATTCACCAAAGATTCTCTTTTGTATTATTTATTTGTTAAAATAAAATTTTTTTAGAGATAGGTTTCTCTCTGTCACCCAGGCTAGAGTGCAGTGGCTTGATCACGGCTCACTGCAGCCTTGACCTCCTTGGCTGAAGCGATCTTCCCACTTCAGCCTCTCGAGTAGCTGGGAACACAGATGCATGCCACCAAGCCTGGCTAAGTTTCTTATTTTTGGTAGAGACAGGGTTTCGGTATGTTGCCCAGGCTGGTCCCAAACTCCTGGGCTCAACTGATCCTCCCGCCTCAGCCTCCCAGACTGCTGGGATTACAGGTGTGAGCCACCGTGCCTGGTCACATTATCTTTTAAATCTATGAAATTCTTAGAGGCAAAATCATGATGTGTAAATACCTGGCCCTCAAAATGAGTCATTACTAAATATTTTAATTAAATCTATTTTCAATGCAGCACAAAGTGTCAGGTACCTATGTGTTCATAATGAGAAGGGTTTTCGTCCTTTAGGGAATCTATGTATGGGTCAGAAAAACTTCCCTTTCTCACACTTTACAAAAGCAAAGAATGAATTTGGCTTGCCTGCTTATTCCATTCTGTACTATGAGGTGTTACTTTCAAAATGTGAACACGTCCTTTATTCATGATAAAACAAGAGAAAAACCGATTACCTGGAATTTATGACCAGTTAATTTTCTTATTCTCAAGCCTAAAAATGAATTGCTTGTTCCCTCGCCTGCCAGTCTTTTCTCCTCTGTCCCCTTCCTTCCCAAACACTAGTGCTGATGAATGAAGTCTGTTTGTGGTTTGTGTCAGTATTTGTCTAGGAAGGGAGTGACACATGAGTTGGAGCGGGGGCCAAGCAACTTGGACCAACTCCAGGTTGGCCTCAAAAATGACAAGTTACCAATAATGTATTGTGCTCTCCTGCATCCACTCTTGGCTGGTGCCCATGTACACTGCATCATACAATACGTAGGTCGTTCTGTTTTCCAATGTAGATGTATATGAATGCCTTGCCTCAAATTTAGTTGTGGATCCCCAAAGAACAGATGCTGAGTTCTAATATTGTTCCTCAAGGCATGTGGTTCACAGGGAATGATACTTTTTAGACTTTTAAATCAGGGGTGTACAATCTTTTGGCTTCCCTGGGCCACACTGGAAGAAGAATTGTCTTGGGCCACACATAAAATACACTAACACTAACAATAGCTGATGAGCTAAAAAAAAAAAAAAAGAAAAAAATCGCAAAGAAATCTCATAATGTTTTAAGAAAGTTTACAAATTTATGTTGGGCCGCATTCAAAGCTGTCCTGGGACACATGAGTCCCGTGGGCCGTGGGTTGGACAAGCTTGTTTTAAGTAAAAATTCTGTTGTCTAGACTTTTCCCTCAGGCTCCTAATTCAAATTTATAACTGCCCACTGTATACTTCCACTTCATTATCCCAACCTCATCTCCCAGAATTCACCGCACACATCTCGCTAATCAACATTCTCTAAATATGCCACACAGTTTCACACCTCTGTGCTTTGTCCACGCTGTTCTCTTAGCCTTGAGTGATCCCCCCTCTGTTGAAATTCTGATTATCTTCCAGGAACCATCTCATATGTAATTTCTTCCATAAATTCTTCCCCAATTCCTGCAGGTGAATCTAATCATTTCATCTGTGCTCACAAAACATTTTGTTTGGACTTGTCTTAAAATCTCAATCACATTCTGCCTTGTATTGTAATTATTTGTGTCTGTATCTGTCTCTTCTATGAGGCCAAAGGCTTTTTGAGGGTGGTACTGTGTCTGATTCATCTTTGTGTCTCTCCCAGAGCCTACCCAAGTACCTGACACTCAGTGACTGAATAAACAATAAACATTTAGAGTAAGAACTCAAATACTATGTGTTGATCTATTGAACTGTGGGTATGTCCTCTACCTGTTAATCAAGGAGCCTGGCATAGTCCATAAACCAAATACAGAACACAGAATGTCTGTGTCAGAACAGCTCCAAACATTTTTAAATGTCAAATTTTGGGAAATTTGTTTAAATTATTTTGCTTGCATGAAAACTTTGTAGGCCTGGCAGTTAATAGGAAAAAAAAAAATCAAATCACTGACTTACCTCCAAAAGTTTTAGCCACGGAACATTTTGCAGACCATTAAGAATGAGGGCTTCTGTTTAGGCAGTACTGGTTAATTTCTAACATAGAAAGTTACTGCTGGTCACAGTGTTAGTGGATAGATTATTTTTTGCTGTTCTCAATACTGTCATGCCCTGAACAAACACTCCTTTTTGGAGAGTGTGCCTTTCTGAGGGTTCCAGTAACTTCTACTGGGAGTGCAAATGGAATCTGACACCGGCCCCCAACTCCTGCCAGTCTATCATGAGCCAGATTTCAGTTTCCCAGCAGGGTGCACTTGCCCCTGCCACTAGAAGCTGGAAATAAATTGCCTAAAGTTCTTCTGTAAAAAATATTTGGGGAAGGCACCTTGGAACATACTCCATTGATTCTAACTAAACATGTTTGCCAATATTTCCTGTCTTAGGCACAGTAAATCAGTGAGATGCTAGGTGTTGATATGTGGTGGTTTCTTTGTTCCTTTCTAAATCCTAGACATCTTGGAATCTACACTATTGATATTCCAACATGCAAGTTATTATCATGACTAACACAGACAGAATTACCTGCTGCTACATTCCAGGTATGTTTATGTATTTCCCTGTCTAACCTGCTTCCTCCCTCCAGCTGTCTCAGTGTGGAGGAAAGGGAGGCTTTTCCCCCTCCCCTGCATTTTCTCTAACAACTGTGATGTCAAATGCAATTATTTGTGGAGGAATCTGCTGTATGCGTGGATGAAAGAGACACATGCAAATCCTCAACAAGAAAGGGAAATACCAGCTATAGGGAACTATGTCCCAAAAGCACGCCGCTCTGGCAGCCTCTGCCGAAGGCCCCCTGTGCAGATATTAACAAGCTGAACACAATATGACTTTAGGAATGCAAAAGAAAAAACTGTTTAACATTTGAAAAATCTCCTCCTCAATCTGAGGTCAACCCAGCTAATAAAAAAGCTTCAAAAACTTCTGAAAAACCATGAATAAGCCCCAGATGCTCCTGTTCTCAGCTGAACTTTCCAAGTTATTTCATACCCTCTATTTTTCACACGTAGAACTATTTCAACCTCTTGTGCCGTCCTATCGCTTTCCAAAGAAAATTGCCTCCAGCCAAATTCCTTCTCCCACCCACAGTAACTAATTGTCCATACTGTTATTCATCCCCTTTTCTGAAGAAGAATTAAATTGGCAAGACCCCTTAGTGCAAGGGTGGGGACCTTTTTTTCTATCAAGGGCCACTGACCCACAGAGGAAAAAAAATCAGTTGGGGCCACACACAAGTAAGAAGCTGCTTGATTTAGTTTAGCTTTTTTTTTTTGCTTGTGTTTGTGGAAGAAATAGAAAACATTCACCTTGTTTTCTTTAAGAAAAATAAGGACAGGGAAAGGAAAACTCCATTGAATAGGTGTAGTAAATTTTAAAAAAATTCCAGGTGTATGCTATACCAAGTTTGGGGAATGAGGAGGTTAAAAAAAAAGATGTCCAGGCCAGGTGTGGTGGCTCACGCCTGTAATCTCAGCACTTTGGGAGGCCGAGGCAGGCGCATCACTTGAGTTCAGGAGTTTGAGACCAGCCTGGCCAACATGGCGAAACCCCGTGTCTACTAAAAATACAGAAATTAGCCAGGTGTGGTGACGCGCGCCTGTAATCCCAGCTACTCGAGAGGCTGAGGTGGGAGAATTGCTTGAACCCGGGAGGCAGAGTTTGCAGTGAGCCGAGATGGTGCCACTGCACTCCAGCCTGGGTGACAGAGCAAGACTGTCTCAAAGAAAAAAAAAACGTCAGGAAAGAGGAGACAGAGAGATTAGAAAAAGAAAACAAAAGGTAGAGAATAGAAAGAGAGAGGCCAGGGGATGGTGAGAGAGAAAAGGAGAAAAACTAGATACTGGGACACAGGAAAAGATGGACAAACACAGAGGAAGGTCTGGCACACTCCCTAGTTCATGTGTTAGTTGCAGTAAACAGCTTGTCCCACGCCTGGTGCTTCCTGGACCGTGGGCATTAGAGTAAGTGATCACTGCCCTTTGAAATCCTTATTAGCTTTCTAGCAGTTTAGGAAAAATTCTTTCTGTGCTGAGAAACAGCTGGCCTGCTTTGATTTTCAAACTTCAAAGCTATTTTTTGAAATAAAGGTTATTTTCTCAAGAACGTCTAAAGGTTTTACATGTGTGTAAAGAAATGACTGAAAGTCTCTGACGTTGCAAAGCTGTCAGATGGCCTTATCTTTGGTCTTTGAGAGATTAGAGCTGTCTTATTCTATAGAGCCTGCATGCTACATTTGGAATCAGCGTTTGTTTCACTGATTTGAGGGATTTCCCACTGCACCCCCACCCACCCTGCCCCACAATCAAACCTAGTTTGGGGTTCCATTAGATCCTAGTACAATGTAAAACGGAGGCCACATATACATCTCTAAGGTAAGGAAAAACAGACCAGCATTCACAGCTCTTTAATGATCACTCTTCTCCCATTGAAAGCTGAACTTGTGAATGTCTGCACCTAGCAACCCACTAAGAAAGAAGTTGCTTTCAAGCTGCGGTAACTGTTTTTAGCACTACCATATATGTGCTACTGTACCTTATTCCCAGAATATTTGGGGTTATGTTCTGCTGGTGGCACATTAAAGAAGACAAAATAGAACAGGAAAATGTCCAGAGAAGGTGAAATAAAACAATGAAGAATGGAGAACAAAGCAAAGCTATATAGGGACAAACTAAAATCACTAGCTTCTCGAGTCTGAAAATATGACGACTGAAGGGGAAAAGAAAATAAATGCATACAGGCCAGGCGCAGTGGCTCATGCCTGTAATCCCAGCACTTTGGGAGGCTGAGGTGGGCGGATCACCTGAGGTCGGGAGTTCAAGACCAACCTGACCAACATGGAGAAACCCCGTCTCTACTAAAAATACAAAAATCAGCTGGGCGTGGTGGCGCATGCCTGTAATCCCAGCTACTCGGGAGGCTGAGGCAGGAGAATCGCTTGAACCTAGGAGGCAGAGGTTGCGGTGAGCTGAGATCGCACCATTGCACTCCAGCCTGGGCAACAAGAGTGAAACTACGTCTCAAAAAAAAAAAAAAAAAAAAAGAAAGAAAGAAAGGAAAAGAAAAAGAAAAAGAAAGAAAAGAAGTGCATACAATGTGATAGGTAGAGTAACCACAATTTAAGTTCTAGAATACTGGAGTTTGAGGGGTATCCCCTTGAACTTGAAAGAGATGGTTTGGGGTTAGATAAAGGGAGGCCCTACTTTGCATATCAAATACTAAGGAATTTATTTCCCTAAGGAGTTGGACTGGCCAAAAATAGAAATAGATTCTAAAATGTTTGGGCCCATTTGTGAATGACAGAATCATACTGGGTTATTCTGAGAAGTTCAGATGCATGGGGGCTACCTCTCACTGTGCACACATCTCTGAGTGTGCCTGTCAGCTAGAATCCTGGATGGTGTAGATCATGGGGGCTGTCCCTGGGACCATGTCTCTAAAAGGTCCTTGGTGCTGCCCTCAGAATTAAGGGGATGACTTCTAGGCTATAAGGCTTGGAACACTGGGTCAGTATGCACTGGTCAGGAGGTCACCAGGCCACCAGACCAAGTGATACTGCTGTTGCCTCCTCACAGAAGCTAGGCTGCTTCTGAGACAGCCAGTAGAGATGAATACAGCTCAGTTGGGGACCAAGGAGGAAGAGCTTTGCTTTGGTCCAGCGTGGTTTCAGTCTTACATCTGTCTTTATCTATTTCAAAAAGTTTATTTAAGTGAAAATTGATTTATTTTTTCTGATTTAAAAAAATAATTTTTAAAAAGTATTTGGGCAGAGTACAGAGAGGTATAAAAAAAGAAATGAAAATTACTGTAATACTACTAATGTTTTGATATAATTCTTACAGACTTTATTCCACATACATATATACACATTAATTTTTTAAAAAATTGGATTGTACTTTACTACTGTCTCATAGTCTGCGTTGTTTTTTACTTAGCAATATATGATAGGTATCTTTCTATGCACAACTGTGTTTTAAAAAATATTTTTAAATGTCTACAGATTACTCCATTGTATGGAAACAGCATAGTTCCCATAATAAATCTGCTGTTGATGGACATTTGGATTGCTTTTGTTTTTATGTTTTTTTTTTTTTTGAGACGGGGTTTTGCTCTTTCGCCCAGGCTGGAGTGCAGTGGCGCGATCTTGGCTCAGTGCAACCTCTGCCTTCCGGTTTCAAGCGATTCTTGTGCCTCAACCTCCCGAGTAGCTGGGATTACAGGTGCCCACCACCATGCCCAGCTAATTTTTGTATTTTTAGTAGAGACGGGGTTTCGCTATGTTGGCCAGGCTGGTCTCGAACTCCTGACCTCGTGATCTGCCCGCCTCAGCCTCCCAAAGTGCTGGGATTACAGACGTGAGCCACCGAGCCCGGCCTTATTTTTTTGTTATTCATAAACAATGCTACTGAAATATCCTTATACATACATCTTTGTAGATTGTCATGTTCTTTCCTTGGGAGAAATTGTTAGAGGTGGAGCTGCTAGTTTCTGGCTACTTCAAGTGACCTCCTTGACAATGAGACTGTGCTAATGGCTCTCATTTCTTCAACAGAATAAAAAAGAAATCATAAATTTTAGAGTAATAGGACGTGGGTTCAAGTCCAAGTTTAACCTTTTAGTTACTCACAATCTGACTGCCATTTTCCTCATCTGTAAAAGAGAATATTAATGGTAGCTAACTATAATTAACAGTGGATATTATTAATCAGAGGATAGTGGTGAAAAATGTGATAATGTAAATAAAACATTTACATGTATGAGCCTATAGATTTATTGTTTTTTCTGATTTAAAAAATAATTTTAAAAAGCATTTGGGCAGAGTGCAGAGAGATATAAAAAGGAAATGAAAATTACTGTAATACTGCTAATGTTTTGATATAATTCTTACAGACTTTATTCCACATACATATATATGCATTAATTTTTAAAATATATATGTGAAATAAATGTGATAATGTAAATAAAACATTTATATTTATGGGTCTCAAAAGTGTTAAAACACTTAAATGCTGCAGGGATTCTTTCTTCTCTCTTTTTTTTTGTTTTTTGAGACAGAGTCTCAATTTGTCACCCAGGCTGGAGTGCAGTGGCACGATCTTGGCTCACTGCAACCTCCGCCTCCCAGGTTCAAGTGATTCTCGTGCCTCAGCCTCCCAGGTAGCTGGGATTATAGGCGCCTGCCACCATGCCCAGCAAATTTCTGTATTTTTAGTAGAGATGAGGTTTTGCCATGTTGCCCAAGCTGGTCTCGAACTTCTGACCTCAAGTGATCCACCCGCCTTGGCCTCCTAAAATGCTGGGATTACAGGTGTGAGCCACCACACCTAGCTGGATTCTTATTTTCTTATTAACATTTTTATGTTGTTAAGAATTAGGCAGCTTTAGAGTGGGTCTCATCTCCTAGATGTCCCCCACACAGACAGGGCCCCCAAAACTCTCTGAGATCTTGCCATCATCCAGAATAATATTTCTAACTTCTCGGACCGGATTCAACTGCTTTGAGGGGCAGGCGGGCCTCTCAGTCTAGCAGATGTCTGCTGTCACATACCTAAATGGCATTTGGCTCCCCATAGCATTCACCTGGCGATTGTTTGCCGTTGTCTACCATACTGGGGAGGAAAGCTTATCATGTTCTCTTCCTTGTTGGACCCTCTATAAATACACCCAGATTGCGTGGGCCTGAATTGAACACTCTGGCGAGAAACCAACTTTCTCAGGAAGAAGGAGATCAGTTGCATTACAACATAACTTGCAATTCCTTTCCAAACTTCTGGTGCTTTCGCTTTGAAAAAAAATAAAAGCTGCTGCTGTTCATCATTGCTAGCCAAAAGCATTTATAGATTATGGACTGTTTTTTTTTCATCTAGAAGGGAGCACATAGCAAACATGGTGTTCTTTATTAGAGGTTGTGAGACATCCAGACAAGGACTAACACTCAGCGAGTCCCAGATAAATGCTACTTGGTCTTGATCACTGTCTTTCTCCAGGTCATTTCTTCTATTACTTTCCCTTTAAGACAGAGTCACTAAGACCATAGAAAATAAATCAACCTATAAGAGGAATTCTTAAATTATGTGGAAGATGAGAGTGGGTGGATAGGAAGAAAAAAAAGTGAGGAATTGTGGGGAGAGAAGTACCTCTCCCTCAGAGAAGGTGGCATGGCATAAGTGGGAGTCAGGGAAATATGGGACTTATAAAAGGAAGGCAACATGTCTTTTTGTGGCAGAGAAAAAAGTTACACAAAAAAAATTGTTTCTGGATCAACAAAAGAAAATATATAAAGCAAAATATAAATAGAAGTTGAAGACTATAGTACTATAAGAAAACAAAGACAAAAAAAAAAAAAAAAAGATTGTGAGTCCCTAGAAGCCAAGGGCAGTGACTATCTCATTGATTTTTCTAGTTCCTGTGCCCAGCACAGGACTGATGGTGAAGCAAAGCAGGTCTGGACTAGGGCAACGACATGGGGACAGAAAAGGATCTTAGACAGAATTGTACAAAGAATGACCTGAAAGCACTGGTAATCGGCTACATAGAAGAGAGTTCAGGCCTAGTGATGTCAGCAGAGAAGTGAGTAGGACATAGTAGGTCCAGGGAATATACTGAAAGTAGAGAGGATCACAGACCCATCTGTCCTTCCTTACAGAAATGATTCTCTTAGGGAAAGCACGAGAAAGCTATGCAATAGGGGGAGGTATGCCAAAGATTTTGATCACTTCATTCACTTTTATATCCTGCAAATAAGGAAGTTTCCCAATATCTAGCTATCTATACTCGAGGCATGAATCACCACAGGACTACACTACCCAGGGAGACTGGAGTCTAAATAGAAATACGCACATGAATTGCTGTTTTGGCTCAGCTCTTCAGGCCTCAACAAGCTGAGCTTGGAGTTGAAAGGAGGCAGCCAAGAAAATGAAAGTTGCTATTACTCAGGCTTTGACAGACAAAGTAGGTTTCCCATCTTTGCTCAATACTATATTTTATAGCAACTGAATAGGCAGAGTAGGTGGGGAGTAGGCCAGAGCCTGGGGGCTCTGTCTAAAATAATTCCACTGTATGATAGCCACAGCATAGCCCCCAAGTGAAGGTCAGAAAAGGGCGACTGAACAGGAAGAGAGTTCATGGATTTTCCAGGTTCTTCGCAAGTTGAGGACCTTCTGAACTGATGTAATGAAGACTTATGGGGAAGCTGTGGTATTATTCCACTGCATTTCTCAATAAAATAGAGGAAGGGCTATTCCAGATGACTTCTTGAAGAAATAAAATATTCTGTACATACTTGAAAAGCAAAACCCCAAGGTAACATTTTGTAACTTTTTTGATGGCGAAAAGAATCCCCCTACTTTCTTGCCTTCTCTCTGTACCTGCCACTACATTTTCTCCCTGAAATTCATATCTTTTCCATGTGCAAAATATATTCACCCTGTCCACACAGCTCTAAACTGAGGATAAAGAGGAACAGAGTTTTTTACTTATTTATGCAATAAATAGTTATCAGCCACTTATTCTATACCAGGCATTGTTCAAAGAGCTGAAGATACGGTGGTGAGTGGGACAGGCAAGGTTAGCCTAACCGAGACATCCGCTCTGTCTTCTCAGCATCTGCTCTGACCAGCAAGGGCACAGGGGTGCTAAGGTGGAGAGAAGAGGCACTGTCGAGTACAAGGCAGAGCGTCTTGGTGAAATGTCAGGTCAGCTCCTTGTCAGCACATGCTTGAGTAAAATGAACAAGCGAGGTCTTATATATAACATGTGTAAAGTTCTTGGAGACTGTTCTAGTGAAACAGCACCAGCTATAAGGAGCTGCCATAATTAGAAAGACATAGGAGTTGATAACAAACAGGAAAATGTGTTCTGAGAAGGTATGGAGAAGGCGAACAGTCACTGCTTCCCTCTGGGGCCCCCACTCTTCTTTGTGAGGCTGTCACGAAACACAGTAGTCTCTCCAACACATCTAAGCACCCACAGTGGCAGCTGAAGAAAAACACTATAATCTCTCTCGATCTTTCTCACAGTTTTGGTAATTTTTGAGACTTCAGTGAATGGATGGCACTCAACATTCAACAGCCAAGGAGCTACATTTAATTGGAATTCTGACTAAAAAAAAGTGTGTAACAAATTGATTAAAAGTAATAGTTAACACATTCATCAGGGAATCTAAATACCTCATTGTGAGAACTTCTACTAAAGGTTCAATAAGGGACAAATCTCTGCAGGTACTAGAAATTTCTTTTCATTTTCTACTGTGGGACCTGGAGAAGCTACTGGTCTACTGTGGGAGGGCCGCACCCTACTACCTTCTGCGGAGACCCAAACCACTGCCTGCTCCAGCCTCTCCTATGTCCTGGCTAATGGCCAAAAGATGATTAAGTCAACTTTAGGGACAAAGCGGTTCTCATCTCCTAAACCAAGCTTGTCCAACCCGCAGCCCACGGGCTGCATACGGCTCAGGACAGCAGTGAATGAAGCCCAATGCAAATTTGTGAACTTTCTTAAAATACTATGAGGTTTTTTTTTTTTTTTTGGCAATTTTTATTTGTAGCTCATCAGTTATCGTTAGTGTTAGTGTATTTTATGTGTGGCCCAAGACAATTCTTCCTCTTCCAATATAGCCCAGGGAAGCCAAAAGATTGGATACCCCTTCCATTTTCCCATCAGGCAGTGGAAAGGAAGGGTAATGAATTTGAATAACAAACTTTCCTTCTTTGCCTTGTAAATGCTATCACTTAACTGGACTCCTTGCCTCCAATTTCTGATCTTTAAAACATCCTTCACGCTGCTGGCAGAGTTAACATTACTGATGTTAACTGATCTGACCATGTCACTCTCATGCTTCAAGCCCTTCATGGGCTCTGCACTGCCACAGAGTAAAGCTCAGATTCCTTAGTATGCTATTCATGGCCCTCCCAAATTTTTTACCACCTTTTCCATCTCATCTTTCACTGTCCACGTCCTCTTCCAATCTGGCTTGTGGCCTCAGCTCCCCAGCCACATAATGCTATCGATGTACTTTCATGTCTTTGAGCCACTGCTCATGCCATATTCCTCTGCCAGGAAGATCCTTCCTTCCAATCTCGATCTGTCAAAATTCTCCTCATCTTTCAAAGGCTGGCTTAAAGGCTACCTCCTATTTTTAAAGTCTTGTCTAATTCCCTCGGTAAGAATTAATCCTTCTCTTCTCCAGGCTAGCATAGTACTTGGTTTATATTTCTTTTATGACACACTGTGCCTTGGAGTATAGTAAGGTAGGCATGTTTTCATCACCCTCATTGAAAGTGCTTAAGTTATCTCTGTACCTTTGTCTGCAGCCCCTATGCTCAGTGCTTGGCACAGAGAGCTGCTTGCTCAATATTGAATAAATGAATGCAAATGGTGATGATATATGCATATGTGATGAGTGTGTAGGTGGGGGGGATTCTCTATGTCCTTATCAACAGACCCCATCAAATCCAGCACTACATAAAAAATGGGCATTCAATAAATAACTCCTAATAAATGACGAGGATATATATATATGTGTGTGTGTGTGTGTGTGTGTGTGTATTTTACTTTTTATTTTGCCTTGTGAATTTCATTTTGAAAAGGAGCCATAGAAGTAATCATGCTTTAAGTGACTTCCAAGAACAACAAACAAGAACAAAGACCATTAGACCAAGTAAAAGCTCAGATCTGAGTTCCATCTCAGTATATTATAATGAAACCTGCAGTTTTAACAATAATTTGGACCATGGGTTATCAGATTGCAATTACTGATCAATCAATTTGTCACACAACAGCTCGGGGAATGACATAACTGAAAAAAGAAATTGGCAATACGAAAATTGCTCCCCATGGGGATACCCTTATCCTATATTTGTGTCTGGCAAACAAAGGCGGCAGCACCACTGGGTTCTGGTCTGGAGATCTTTCAGCTCTGACTGCCTTCGAGCATCCATATGCAGCTATAACAAACTGCCTCTAGCTTGGCTTAATCTTTTGTATTAGCTCATTAATGAGTCTGGATTCCTTCCCCATTTTCCATGGTATCCCAGGCAGGCACAAAGGCTCAGGCAGCAGGGGGCAGCTTTCCTTTTGCCTGACAACAAGTGGTCACTGGTCCCAGTCTGTGGCTAACAAATTCCATAGTTCTTTGAAGGTAGAGCCCATGGTGTAGGTCTGCCCTAGGCTCTGCAATGCAAAAAAGAGCTTTGGGAATTTGGGCCTAGGCAGTGTCACTTGTAACTGTGACATCACCCCAACAGCTGAGAGTGATGGTGTCTCAAGAAAGCTCAGTAGCCACAAGCCCTGTGAATTCTTTCTGCTCTGTTGGCATGTGAAATACACACACACTCACAAACATATTATATGCTGCTCAAAATCATTCTAAATACCTCCTGTGAGACATCGGCCAATAAGGATATCATGTCAACCGGGTTTTAAATATAGGAACCTCTCACCATCTTCAACCAGAGAGCAAAATGCAAAAGGAATGCAGATTAACTTGCCCTGATCTTTATAGCTCTGAAGTCTCTCCACTTGATACCATCCTTCCATGAAAGGTCCTGGTGGGGCTGAAGATTAAAATGGGACTTCTGGATCATGTGGTAAAATCTCTAAGCTGTACTCCAAGGGCAGCCTGCCTATTTATAGAGCCTCTACTTCAGGGCAGAGTTCAAACTTGGGAAAATCTGAAGAACTTGATTTAAACACACCCACACACCCACCCACACACACACACACACACACACACACACACATATAAAAAATCGTCTTCATTTTCCATTCAGTCACTTTGAGCCAAACTAATCTTTAAATAGTTCAAAAATCTGTTGAAGGTTGGCTAGATATATTTTTCCAAGAATCTTTAGAATTTAGATTATTATATTTAGAATTTTTAAATCATTTAAACAACACTCCAAACTGGAAACGTTGTAGTCTCTCCATTTCAGAAATTGATAAACTGAGGCACAGAGACTCAAGTCACTTAAAAGGTCACTCTTGACTTGCCCTTATGCTAACTCTTCATATTGTAATAATATGAAGAAAAACAGTATCTAGAATGTATTGAGTGCCTACCACATATATTATCCCTAATATTTGTCTTAACTTTTCAAGATAGATGATAGTATACCCATTTCACAGATTAGGAAGCATGAGTATAGGAAAGTTAAGTAATTTGCCCTAAAGCCAAGTTACTACAAAATGACAAATCTGAGAATTAAAAATAGATCTATTTGGCTCTAAAGCCTTTGTTCTTTCCCCCAAACTAAATAATCCAGTGTTTTGGCTCTCAGATGTCTCACTGAGACTCTCAGTCACATACCAGTGATGCTTTACAACTAAAACAGGTAGTATTGGTGTAACAAAAACTCATGTGGAGCAGTGAACATCACAATCCCAAAACAGTCCTTTTTAACCTTTAAACAGGGTGGAGAGTATTTTTCTTTTTTCTTTTTTTCTTTTTTTTTTGAGACAGAGTCTCGCTCTGTCGCCCAGGCTGGAGTGCAGTGGCGCGATCTCGGCTCACTGCAAGCGGTGGAGAGTACTTTTCTAGTCACTTCCATGTCTCTCCCTCTCCCACCTCAACATACATGTAAATACGTATCCCTCTCTTCCCACCAAAAATGGCAACAACATCAAGAGAGTTGCCAAATTATCACAATATTTGGGGGATATTGTTTTGGGTCAGTGAAGGTTTCATAGCTGTTTCCATCATAACTAAAAACTAACATGTGTGCTAAGTTGGATTTCCCCTATCATGCTTAGGCACTCATGTTTGTGAATCTACATGTAATACTTCACATTTATCCCCATGGGGATATTACTCTGCTAGTTTTCTCCTGTCATTGCAGCCTACTGAGATATTTTTGCATCCCAATTGTGTTATCTATGTATTCACTAACCCCCACCTAGCATCATGCAGTCACTAAATATTAGAAGTATGCCTTCTCTATCTTCAGTTAAGTCACTAGCAAAAACTTTAGGCAATAAGGGGCTAAGCACAAAGTTAATAACCAAAGGCCTCACTCTGGGCTGATATTGATACATTTCATATATGATAATTAATTAGCTACACATTTATCCAAGTAGATGATCAGTTAGCCAATGTTTCTCCTTACTTATTTTAAAACAAATCATAGGAATCTCTGTCAAACACCTTGCTGAAATCTAGACCCAGCATGTCTATGCCATTCCTCTGATCAATAAGGCATGTGCATGTACGCACATATAAGGGGAAATGGCCTGATTAGTTCTGAGTAAGTCCACAGTGGCTACTTGTAACCACCATGGTTGCTTCCAAGAGCTCATGCTCTCCAAGAATCTAATCTAGAATTTCATTAAGATGTGACACCAGACTTTCTGGTTTGTGGCTTCCAGAATCCAATTTCCATCCCTTATTGAAGGTGATGGTAAACAATTGTGCCAGTCTTCAGTCTTTTGGCTCTTCACCAATTCTTTGTGATGCTTCAAAGTTTAATAACAGTGATACCATGATAATAACCATAAGAATCCTCAGTGGCCTTGAATGTAACTAACCTGAACTTGGACCTCATTTTTGTGACATACCAGAAGAGTAATTCTCTTAGCTTTTATTTGGTTTCGTCAGCTGCTTGCCCATAATACAGAACAGATATTACTCTCAGAAGTGATGACTTAGCAAAATAGGGACTATGAAAAAAATATCTAGATCAACTTATTAAACAAGGAAAAGAAGACCATACTTAAGAAATTATCCAATAAGATCCAGTGCATATAAATAATAATGTCATCTTTATTTTGGATATTAATTAGAACTCTGTTGGAGACACTCCACTTAACAGTTGCTACATAAAATCACTGTGCTCACTATCTAAGGAAAGCACATAGTTAGGAGTAAAGAATTAATCTCATTATTACCATTTTACCTTAACTATATACCAACACTGAGCCCATACAGAATTTGGAAACATTTTTTGCTATGTGTCAAATAAATCTACAGTTGAACACTAGATCTCAAATAGCCATGGGATTAAAGGACTAAGACCAAACATTTGTTTGGGCCAATTAACACAAGACTGCACCATATAGACAAGCTAGTTCAAGACAAAAGAGCTCAGCTCAGCACTTTGTTTTCATCGGATTTTGTTAGAATCCTAATGACATGGGCAAAGAAAACTCATATATGTTGGTCATCAGCTTCAAAGAAGCCACTTCTGGTTCACTAGTACTAGAGCATGGGCCTTTAGCTATCACTTCAATAATGTTACCACCAAGCCATTCACATTCTCCCATTTGGTCTCCATTCTGACCCACAGTTCATTTTAGAAAGTGGCTGATGGGGACTGGAGGGCATGCTGTGACTTCCTTGTGTATTATAGATATTTAGTACCTTCATTGACCACTCAAATTACGAAATGGCTCACGTGGGATTAAGCCTTTAATGTTAGCTTTAAGGGCATCTAAGATTTCTGTTATTTTTGCAGTTGGACCCCTTTAAGTGAAATCTTACTTAGAAGACCAATATGTGAAGAAGATTTTTAAAAACGGAGCTGCTCTGGTTAAAATAGGAATGGGGGACTTAGAACAACCTCCACAGCACCTCTCCCACATTCCCTATGGAACACAATCTGAATACACTGCCCTAAACAACTGAGCTATCTGGCACATAAGCCCACTGACTAATATGATGCTAATTTTGTCATTCTGGAAGGAGGAAGGAGGCACGAGATAAATTATTATAAGATGTCCAGGAAGGTGGAGGAGTTGAGATCCAGGGGATGAGACTGAAAGGATGACTGACCCTGAATGAGAACAGGAGCCTGAGTCAGACTCTGTGAGTGGGTAAAAGGCCATGAGCAACAGGTCTTGCTGATTCTGCCTTCCTTTGGTTCAGTGATCCCAGCAGAGACCTCCCCACCCGGTGCAACAACTGCCCAATGAGTTGAATGAGGCAGTTGGGCACTAAGGTATACTTGTTAGGCCCAAACTTAGTTAATATCCAAAATAAGTGATAAATAATTAGCAAGTTCATGATTCCTACTGTGCAGCCATTTGTTCCAAAGATGAACTTCATAACTATGGGCTTCTGCCATGATTTGGAGTACTTACTGTATAAGAAAATGTGTCTGTGTATTTGCAAGCATGTTTGCATCAAGAGCCTTTGGAAGCAGAGCAAATGGCACTATAGAATATTAACCTGTTCATTTCCCAGTCCCAGTGTTGTCATTTACTGGTAGTATGACTTTGGACAAGTCATTTCCCTCTCCTGGCTTTAACATCCTCTGTAAAATCAAAGGGTTAGACCCTATGATCCTGCACTTATATAATTCTGCCCTTTAGCACAGACACTGGTTAATATTGAATGCGAAAAGTACCTTAAATGAAATCTAAATTCAGAAATAAGGGCAGCAAAGGTTAAGTCCTTTGAATTGACTGATCAGTCAATTAATTATATATATATTGAGGGTCTACTTTGTATATGCTATTGTGTTAGGTGCCATGGGATACAAAGAATTAAATGTGTGATTCCACACTTAGGGAGTTTACAGTCTAGAAGCATGATACATATTCATAAATATATCTGGGTTAATTTCTGAAATAGTATTTGAATACACACACACATACATACACACAGACTGATATACCTCATATAGCAAATATTTGTAACTGCAAACGTTTTAGGGAATGAGCATTTGTAACTGTTTATTAAAAAATATCAGCCAGGCACGGTGGCTCACACCTGTAATCCCAGCACTTTGGGAGGCCGAGGCAGGCGGATCACCTGAGGTTAGGAGTTCGAGACCAGCCTGGCCAACATGGTGAAACCCTGTCTCTACTAAAAATACAAAAATTAGCTGGGCGCAGTGGTGGGTACCTGTAATCCCAGCTACTCGGGAGGCTGAGGCAGGAGAATTGCTTGAACCCGGGAGGTGGAGGTTGCAGTGAGCCAAGATCACGCCACTGCACTCCAGCCTGAGCGACTGAGTGAGACTCCGTCTCAAAAAACAAAAAACAAAAAACAAAAAACGATGCTGCATTTGGCCAGTGGGTAAATGTAAATACAATAGGAGACCCTATGAATTTCATAGAAAATTTAGAAATGTATTTCTAAACTTCATAAACCTGGTAGTCTATATTGTTTGACAGAATTCTCTTTTCATATGTAGAACTTGTCTTTCCATTGCTAACATGTCCAGTTAAAAATATCCTATGAAAGAATACAATAATGTAATCAGAAAAGTTCATGTATTTCCCTCCATTGCTCAATCAAGATGACCACAACACTAATACCAACAACATTTTGGCTCACCATTTCTGACTCATCTTCCATTTTTGAGTAATTTAATTTAATATGCAAGGACTAAAATACATGACCTAATTTAAGTACCTTTAATCCTGTGTATTCTAAATATAGCAAATAGTTCATTTTCAAGAAATTTAGTATGAAATACTTGGGAATTCTTCTTGGTGCAGTGTTATTAAACTGTATATAGTAATTAAGATATTAAAAACACATGCTCCCCAAAGCCACCAGACATTGTGATTATTTTTCAGGCTATTAGGCAAAGTGACAGAAGATTTTTTAATGATAAATCCGTTTTGGAATATATCAGAGAATTCCCTTTTACTTCATGAAATAATGTTTAACTCCACAGAGTCTAAGTCTGGTATTTAAGGACTAACTCACATTGTCCTTTTGTGACTCAGAAGTCATTCATTGGCTTTTGCTAACATGTCTTGTAGGTACTCTGTCCTTCACACACCCACACACACACACACACACACACACACACCCACACACACACACACACACACATTCTGGCTCCGTATGGAAATAAATGGCAATTACTAGAGTTCTGCCATGTCACTTGTGAACAAGTAAGACAGACACTGGGACATAATTCCATTTGGGAAGGTCTTTTATTTAAAGTTGACTTTCAAAAGGTTTCTCCTTTTATTTAGAAATTTTAGCTCAATATTGGCTTTTCTAGCAACCACTGCACTAGGCCAGTGTTTTACAACTCTCACTGGTGTTATTGTGAGAAGACTATGAAAACAAGTTACTTGGAGTGTTTTCCATCATGTCTGAGATTCATTTCAAACATTTTATTAAAATCACATGCTAAGGAATGTCCTGAGTGCTCCTTTGGCACTTAACAGCTTTACTAATTAACTTATTAAAAAATTTTAACTTTCTATTTCAAAAGTTAGTTTCTTCATTGCACTAGAGTCTGCCAGGCATCTTAAAAATAATTTTCTGGTGTTTACAGAGGGGGATGGAAGTGGAGACATTTCAGCATCTGTTCTAGATTTTTTAATTATCTTTGACCATTTAACATCATTCTATGAAGTAGGGCTCACTAACAGAAAGTTCTTCTGCTATTTATAACTCAAACTCATGCCACAAAGTTCCTCTGTTTCCATACAATGTGGTGGTTAGTTTTCCAAGAATCTCACCAACTGAGATTTTGTAAACAATGTGCTTAATCTTTCATTGCTGCTGATTTTAGAGCTTTGGCCATAGAAATTACCATATTTGGCACTTGAAAATTATCAGACCACAAATTAAGGAGTTTTTGTTATTTGTATTCTGCACATCTTTTCTATATAGATCTTCCTAATAGGTGTGCCATGTCTTGGTACAAGTAAAGGAAAGTGCACAGAGAATGAAATCAGTAGCTCTGGATTCTAGGTCTAGCTCTACCACTTACTGTATGGAACTCAGTAGACTTCTAATGCCCACAGTTTCTTCATCTGGGAAATGTAAGTAATAATGCCTGCCTTGCTTTCCTCTCTGAGTGGTTATAAAGATCACGTTATCTAATGGATAGGAAAGAGCTTTGCAAACTGAATTGTGCTATGTAAACATATGGCAGAATTATCATTCATATGGAATCACATGGTTAACATGATTCGAAAACAGGTCACCTATCTGGCCCTGGAGGAGGGAAACTTAGGGGTGATAAATGCAAAACTGTTTCTATAGTTTAATGTTTTCATAGCCTAATGAGAACAAGGCAGAACAGAAGAATTGGGTGGGGGGAAGGGCAAGTTTAAGTTCCATCTGCCCAGGCTGGAAGACTGGTGGGAAGGGAACAACCTTTGAAAAGATGAGAGGTTACAAAGTGGAAAGGGGTGACCTGGGAACAGGGTGTTTTAAAAAGAGTGGCAGAGCAGAGAATAAAGTCACAAGACTTGTTCACAAGAGGGTGCTGGGTTAAAGCCTGACCTTGAGCCACAAATCATGGAATCACACGGCTGGAAGGAATCTTAAGAGGCCATCTCGTCCACTCCCCCACCATTCAGCAGGACATTTCAACGATCCCAAACAGATGAGACTTTATCTAACTTTGAATGAAAAGCTCTGACACCAAGTGGGCAGGTATTGACTACTCTGGCTTCAACTGTTTACAACGGGCAGGAAAACAATTTCTGGTATTTCGTTTGAACCTGAACTGAAATGGGGAAACAATAAATGGATAGATTTTTCCTTGGGAACAATAAGTCCTGTAGCAGTTTAGGGACTACTAAATTAGCACTAACTACATAACTACTCTTAAAGAGAGAGAAAAAGTTAACAACAAAACTAGGTTAGGGGATAAATGGCCCATAGTATTATATGAGTAACGATGTGTTGTGATCGTTTTTGGTAATTGTGGAGTCTTCTCTCCATGCAGGAGCCTGGAGCAGAATGATACTAACAAAAACAAAACTTAGTTGTTGTTGTTTTAAAGCAACATGGCCTAGCAAATTCCAGGACTGACACTGAGGACATAAAAGAGTTCAATTCTTTTCCTAACACAAGAAAATAAGTCCTCACACAAATTAGAAACTGAAAAGGAAATAAAAAGGTCCTCATTTCTGATCGTGGGAATGTTACACATGAACTCTGCCTTGGAAGGAGGAGGGGAGAACATTCCACACCTGTAGGCCTTCCCAGGAAAGGGGCCTGAGCCTGGCTCTGAACCCATCCCCTCAAGGTTATACCATGGGACTATCAATATGAAAATAATGTTACTTTATTCCCTTAGTGGGTATATTCTTTCCAGCGCTATCAACAGTAACCATAACCTGCAAGGAGGCAGCTGAGAATTCCCAGGAAACAAAGTGAAAAGCTATTTTGGGATGTGCTCATAAATGGCCTAGCTATAGTTCATCTGGATGGACGCACATGGGGCATACATGCAGAGAGAGAGAGAGAGAGAGAGAGAGAGAGAGAGAGAGGAGAAGTATTTCTGTATTTATAAATATGTATGTTGGAGCATGCTATTGTAGTTTTAATAGATGCAGCACCGAGCAAGGGGCTTAGGAAAATAACATCACATTCTCAGATTCACCACTCAATTACATGTGAACTTAGAAAGTTAACTTGATTCTTCCTCCCTATCACCAAATCTTTAGGCCGATTTAGTCAGGCATTCAGTGAATCCAGATGTTTGGCAGTGTATAGGAAACATCTGGATGATTGATTGAGTTTTAAACTGAACTCACTGGATCTTTTGGCAGTATGTCTATACAGCCATTAATGGCTTTCTGCCTCAGTTTCTCTAACTATAAAAAGGACAAACATTATTTATCCCTTACCTTCTGAAAAACAGTGAAAATGAGATAAGGTTTAAGAGTAATAATGAGTTCTTGAAAAGATTCTGTCACAGTTTTATACCTTATATAATTCCAAGTTGGATTTTTTTCCTAAGCAGTTAGACTTTAGAACATGACATCACTTTGAAATATGGGTAAATGCTATACAAAGAGAACACATTATCATTATCATCATCATCGACATCATCATCATCATCATGACTTTCTTCTTTATGACTTCCCTGAAGTGTCTCACTTTCAGATCGAATCATGGCCAAAATATAAATTTTATTTAAGGACTGAAAAAATGTGTTTTGGCTATATAAAGCAACACAGATGAGAAAAAAAATCAATGTGGGTGTTTGGAGTCCAACCAATTTTAACAGCTCAACTGAAACAGGTAAAACTGGTTTATCAATGAGAATTAATTGGCTGCTCAATGGTATTTGTATAGAAACTGAAAATGTTCATGCACATATTCATGGCCAGAGGTAGGAAAAAGGAATTGTAATAGCGACTTTTCTCACTCTATGTACATCTCCCTACCTGTCAGCTGGTTTCAGCTTTTGTGGCTGAAAGTTAGAGGAGAGGAAAAGAAGGAGACAATATGGGAGAGAAAGAAGAGATGCATCAAAGGGATCTACAAACATACAAAACTGGGGGAGAAGAATTAGACTCGCAGAAAGTACTGGAACTCCCTTTCAAACTCAAGTCCTGCCTATAGAGAAAATCCTAAACACAGTCCTCACAACTAACTGCCATATATTAAGTGCCTGTCATGCACATGCAATTACATATATCTATGTGTACATATTATATATATGTATATGATAGATATACACTGGAGTTTTTGATATCTTTACCATAATACAGATGAGAGAACTAAAGCTCAGAGAGGTTAACTGATTTACCCAAAGTTATGCGCCTAGCAAAATCTATAACTGAATTCAGATCCATTTGGATACAAAGCCCAAATTCTTTCTACTGTGCCCAAAGCCTTTGCTGAAAGGACTTGCTATAAATATTTTTTAGTGACTGCCTGATCATATAGAAGCCCATGTCTGATGCAGCTTTCCCATTTTCTAGGGTGGGGTCCGCCCACAGGTCTTCACTCGATCTTTCTTATGACTGCCCCTCCCTTGCTTGTCTTTACCTACTCAAACCCTACTCATTGCTTATGGCAGATCTTAACACTTGCCCCTCTCTGCAATCTTCCCACTAGCCTAATCATACCACCCAAAACCGATGAGCAGCACTCCTCTTCAGACTCTGCATCACAGGCTGCCCTTTATCTTTATTTAACCACTTCTTATGCTTATGCTTCCTCCCTCAAGGAGGCTGTGAGGACAGAGGACTAGACTTCCTTTGAATCCCCAAAGTCCCTGGCACCTGGCTGAGTACATAGTAGGTAATCCTTAAGGTCTGTTGACACAAGGGACCTGTTGACAATATTCCTCATTTAGAATTAGGGACACAGTGATGGAAACTGAGATTTTGGCCTCACCAGTGTTGGGGTCTAACCAGTTGAACATAGCCACCTAGACACATTTTGGTTTGAGATAATTTGTACCACTGTCCCCAAGTGAAGCATATCATGCCCTCAACTCAGCAGTAAGTGTTTTACATCGTTTGTGCTCTGATCCCCTCAGAGATGCATTTTGAAATCATCACACTATATCTAGCAAGGCTTGATAGAACTTAGTGAAGTTGTACTTTCACACACAAAAATGGCTCAGTTAGGTAGACACTGCCATTACCATGTGCTCAGCAGCACTAACAGCTATTTATTAAGTGCTCACTGAGTACAGAGCACCTTATCAGGCACCAGAGGAGTTTATACCCAAGCATGTTGTCAATACTTTCACAATGCCAATTGCAGTGAAAAATATACTACTCTTAGAAAGCCCTTCTAAGTATTTTCTAGGACCCACAAAAATTTCACTGCTAAAATCCATATTTTAAAAACTCATACCAATGTCTTTGTATTAAAACCTCTGTTCTTGCATAAGGATTTCAGTTTCATTAAGTTCTTCCTAAACTACAAATAGAAGTCAGTGATGCCACAGTCCTCCCACCCATGGATCATGGGGCAGGAACACTGTCACTCTGGTATATGCCTTTTTGGTGGCATTTTTATTGTGGCCACAAAGCAATCATAAGCAGATGGTACAACTAACTTCTATTTGTGTCTTGTTACTAAACTTCTTATGAGAGGAAAAACTATGTGTACAGGTCAAGGGAATCTGTGGGTGTCTCTGTGCATGGCAGTGAGTCAGAAGCTGGCAAGGATGCAGTGAAATTGGACCTCTCCTGTCTTGCTGGTGGCAGTGAAAACTGATACATTCTCATTGAAAAGCAAATTTGGACACATGCATTTTAATTGCTCATATCCTTTGACCCAATAACTTTAGCATGTTAAGAAAATAAGCTAAGATCAGGATAAAGCACTATGTATGAGGAGGTACCTTTATTTATGATGGCAAAAAATTTGAAGCAACCTGTATATCCAGCAAAAGCATGCTGATTAATTATGATGAATACTCAACAGAATATTATGCAGCCATGACAAATAATTAATATAAAGATTTGTGGGGACCAGGCATGGTGGCTCACACCTGTAGTCCTAGCACTTTGCGGGGCTGATGCAGGAGGATTGCTTGAGCCCAGGAGTTTGAGACCAGCCTGGGCAACATAGTGAGACCTCATCTCTACAAAAAAATTAAACATTAGCCAGGTATGGTGGTGCATGCCTATAGTACCAGCTACTCGGGAGGCTGAGACACGAGAATATCTTGAGCCCAGGAGGTCAAGACTGCAGTAAGCCATGACTGTGCCACTGACCTCCAGCCTGGGCAACAGAGCAAGACCATGTCTCAAAACAATACAAAACAAAACAACAATAACAAAAAGATTTGTGACAACATGGAAAAGAAAAGTGTTTCCAAGATAGTGTTAATTTTCAGAACTACAAATCACTTGTGGATTTCTAATTATGGAAAAAGTCTGTGTGAGTGTGCCTTTCTGGACAAATATTAGAAGAGAACATGTAAAAATGAAAACAGTTGGGATAAAATAGTGGGATTGTGAGAAATATTTTTCCCTCTATTTTCCAAGCTACCCCTCAAATTGCAATATTGTCTTTATAATTTAAAAGTGGGGTGAAAAATAAGGCCAGAAGTCCTTTCTAGCAGACAGACTATTTGAAGAAATAATAGCGTCTTTCCTAAAAGCCCAAGAATATAGTTTGAACAGTGGAAGCTGGCTATATCTCTCTTTCTCTCTCTCTCTCTCTCTCTCTCTCTCTCTCTCTCTCTCTCTCTCTCTCTCTCTCTCTCTCTCTCCCCCCCCCCTCTCTCTCCCCCTCTCTCTCTCCCCCTCCTCCTCTCTCTCGGTTATTTCTACTTTTTATTATTATTATTTTTTATATTCCACATACCTGGTTAATGTGCTTCAGTTTGTCAATAATTTGACTGACCACTGGCTCAGGGCCCTTCATTTTCAGCTCATGGAGATTGAACTGGTTTTTCATTCCATTCCTTGCTGCCTTTTGGCTGTATCTGTAAAGGTGAAGGTAAAGAAAAGGTTTGTCAAAGAAAGTCCCAAACAAAGGAAAAGCTGACTGTATTTGGCATCAACAGTCAGACTGACCACAAGCTCATGAGACGACCTCATGGTGCAAAAGTAGACCACTCCACATAGTGTCTATTTACAGTAAAAAAAAATTCGTTCAACAATCAACAAATATATACAACATGCTTTTTTTCCCCTAGATGTTGGGAATACAACAATGAACAAGACAGACAAGGTCTGTGTGCCCTTATTGTGCTCTCAGTCCAGTGGGGAGTCTAGAAGAGTAAGGGCCAATGACCAGGCAGAGTGATTAGAGCTGTGCTAGGGGAGGTTCAAGGTCATGACAGTGAAGCACACAGAATGAACCTTCACTGTGTGTGAGCCTTCTACTCATTTGAAGGAGAAAGATTCTTCCATGTTCTTTACCTCTTCCTTCTCCTCTTCTTCCTCCTCCCACCATTTCCTGTAGGCTCTGGAGCTGGGTATCTATTCAGGAGACTTTCTCAAATCACTTTCACCATAAATTATACCTGTCAGCTTCCCTCTGCGTTCTCCATGAGAGGAGAGAACACCAGCCCAAGGGAAGATTTTAATGTGCTCCTGTAGGATAAACCATAGGCTTTACTCCAGAATTGAAGTTTCAAGGTAGCAATGGACATCCTCACCATCATGAGAAGGGTAACTATTTAAAGTACTAGGCAATTCTGCCTTCCAGTGTGGGGTTTTGCCAACTTCAACTGGGACAGTGATTCACAAATGAGGTGGTTTCCTTGTTGGTTCCAGACCTCTACATAGAAGTATTCCTCATTTTGCGAAACAAAGCAAACAAGAAACAGATTTCATTTATTCCTTTTGCTTTCATCATGTGGAAATACCAGAACACCATTGCCAAAGAGAGAAAAAGGTTTTGAGCTCTTTTTTACTTGCTCCTGATCCTGATAATGGAATGCTTTCTTAAAGAAATGAAAAGATTCCCAGGGCTTTTGCTCTCTCATTATATACTTTTTTTTTTCAATTACAATAGGGTAGCCAGGGTTATAAGGGCAAAATTGATATCTGTAACTCATATTTTTAATTACAAAATAATAATGTTCATTGTAAACAATTTAAGAAGTACAAAAATAAACAAGGCATAAAGTAAAAGTTGCCCCATCAATCTGTCTTTCCAAGAGTGGACCATGGTCAACAGTTTGATATACATGTAGAGGTTTTCACCTACATATACTAATAGGTAATTTTAACCAAAATTGGAATGATACTACTCATACTGATTTGCAACTTTGTATCACTTAATATACATACTTTGGACTGGACTTGTAATCCCAGCACTTTGGTAGGCCAAGGCAGGAGGATTACTTGAGCCCAGGAGTTTGAGAACAGCCTGGGCAACATGGTGAAACCCCATCTCTACAAAAAATACAAAAAATTAGCTGGGCGTTTTAGTAGAGACGGGGTTTCGCCATGTTGGCCAGGCTGGTCTTGAACTCCTGACCTCAGGTGATCCGTCCACCTCGGCCTCCCAAAGTGCTGGGATTACAGGTGTGAGCCACCGAGCCTGGCCAATTTTCCGTAGAGGCAGGGTCTCCCTGTGTTGCCCAGACTGGTCTCAAACACCTGGGCTCAAGTGATCCTCCTGCCTCAGCATCCCAAAGTGCTGAGATTACGGGCATGAGCCACGGTGCCCAGCACTTTTTTCTTTTGAACTATGACTCTCACATGATTTTCACTTCCACAGGTGGGGGTCCTCTGAGATAGTTTGTGTGTTATCTCCACAGGGTGATAGGCTGTGCTCTGGAAGTATGTTTAGGACTTGAATTTCAATTTTCAGTCACTCTCACTGGGTTCCCAAACCAGCCTAGTTTGGGACAAGAGATTATGAAACACTCCTTAGAAACACTAACTCATCTCAACTAAAATAGGGAGTGAATGAACCTGGCATACTAAAGTGTTAATAACGACAAACTGAAAAATATAAAATAACCACAAAATAATGAGGCAATCTCGATGGAATGGGCACATGTACTTGTGTGCCTCATTTTATGCAATGTAGGTATTTCAAAGAAGTTGTGTGTGAAATGAATTTCTGTGATCTGAATACTCTAAACAGGCCAAAGAAGCCTTGTTATTTAAAGAAATTCTGTAAGCAAATCTTTTTAACTGAAAAAATAAGGAAACTCCTGTTTCAGAAATCATTTAGTATATTTTGCTTAAAGTGAGGCACACTTGTATTAAACTAAGGAAAAAAAATCAGTGAATCGGGTTCTACTGTTTACATTATGTATAATTTCCAATGAGATAAGATAATGAAAAGTGAAGATGCCTAAACTGATTTGTGTTTAATTCGGCACATAGCTCAATCTACCAACAAAGAGTTTTCATTTGGCATTTGCAAACAGATTATCATTTAGATAGTACCACCAAAGCAGCTTCAATGTTGCAACTTGAACATCTTTAAAGAGACCAAAATTTTATTTTAGGAATCAATTAGCTATCCACTTAAGGTAGGCATTAAGCATTTCTAATTCTAATTAATTGATTCTAAATGATCATTTTTTAAAGCACAATCAAACTGTTTTGGTCCTATAAAAAATATGGTGGTTAATTGCGGCTTTAAAAAGCTGGACTACATTTTAATGTTCAAAAGTAGATTCAATATTTTGTAAAATGATAGTAATGACCAAAAAAATGAAACTACATTTATGGTTTAGTGCTTCTGTAATCTTGTTTATATCACCAGATACAAGTCACAACTGTCAAAAACAGCTACCAGCTGCCAAATTGTTGGATGTTATGCTTGAGAAATGAGGGAAAGGAACACTTTTTGTATTTTTCTGGCTTTTGTCTCTGATAAGAAAGTGGAAACTTTGACAAAAATATTGAGTTGCAGTATTTTAATACAAAAAAACAGAACTGCTTAAAATAAAACAATTAAGAAACCGAACCACTCAAAAAAAAAAAAAAAAATAGCCGGGCGTGGTGGTGCACACCTTTGGATGCTGCAGTGTTGAGCCCGGGAGGTCAAGGCTGCAGTGAGCTGTGCTCTAGCCTGGGTGACAGAGTGAGACCCTGTCTCAAAACAAAAATTAAAACTAAATAAATACTTTGGACATATTTTCATGTTAGAACACATGGAAATGCCTTGTTCTTATTCCTCTGTATGGCTCAGTAGCAACTTCTTTATCCAATGCCTTACTGATTAACAGTAATTTGTAATATTTTGTTAATATAAACAATGCTGCAGAGAACATCCTTGTATACTGATTTTCACACACTGGCATTTATATCTATAAAGGATAAATTTATAGATTTTGAGTCAATTTATATTTCTAATCCCAAGTTATGAAGTACAAAGAATAATTAACATTACCATATTTTTGTACAGCACTTTACAAAGCAGTTTCATATCACTCAGCTCATTTGAGCTTCTCAACCACACTGTGAAGTTGAGAGGTAGATAGGGCATTAGCTCTTTATTACTGAAAATTAGATAGGGCATTATTTCTTTATTACTAAAAATTTCACAACTTCAGAACATACTAATCTCATTCTATTAGATGTCCCCGTCCATGATACAATATATCTGCCAATATTAAGGACATACTTAGAAAAACATGCATGCTAACAGAGGAGGTCAGGAAATCTAGTTCTGACATTCATAATTAAAAGTCATCCTCTGAGAAGGAAAATATTTTGTAGCAAAGATGCTGAAGAGCACATTTGATTGCATTTCTTCTAAAATGATAGCTTAACACATTCAGATTATTTAACTTTAAAAGTTAACTCATGAATACACAGATCACCAATCATCAAATACCAATTGCCTTTGGGGGCTGTGTTAAAGAGACATAAAGGAACATTCTTTATCTGGTGGGTATCAGCTCACTACTAGCCTCCTCTTTTATGTTCATATAATGCGGTCTGTTTAAATATCATTCATCTTCTGATGATACTACCAACTCCATCTTCTCTTCTTTAACTCCTACTGATGCCTGAAGCAGAGACCCTATTTGCAGATAAAGAGGTAAGGCTCATTATAAATCTTCTGAAATGAACTTCAGGAATGTGTCCCTAGAGACATATCCTTGGTCTTTTTCATATCAAAGCTTGCCAACCACTTTTATGTCCACTTCTATAAAACAAGCGTCTTCCCAAAGCTTCTTATCCTCATTGGAATAGTGTAAAGACATCTGCCAACTTAGCGATTTTGCCCCGTACTCCAGCTTCCAAAACCATTATAAATATTAAATCAAATTAATCCCACAGCTGATCCTTTGTGGTCCTACTGTATTATTTTCTGTCATTCAGAAAAGTGCCCCTTTAGCTATGTATTTTTTTAAATTTCTTATCTCGCAGCCATGGATAAAGTGCCAGGACTAAACACTGCTCCCTGATCCCACAGTGACTCCATTTTTAAAAGACAGTTTTGGGTTTAGAAGCTTGCCAAACTTTTTGAAAGTTGAAATAGCATCTACTGTTCTGCTCTATCCATGTGCTATTTAAATCCTCAAAGGACTCTAGCAAATTAAGCATGGTTTCTGGTTACAGAAGTGTTGGGAATAGCTGCCCTGTGGCTTAGGCCTAAAGCTTGCCATTTTTGCATCTACTTCACAAGGCAGTAACCAAAAGTCCTGGTCCAACTGATGCCTATAGTTGCTTAAGTTTAGTGGCACTATTTAAAAACTCTGTGTTCTTGCACTATCCTTTAGGTATCTTGATACCTCTCCCACAGCTCTCAATACTTTTTTCTGTTTCTCATGTCTCTATCCTTTGCTCCTTAGCCAGACAAAATATTGAACCAAATTTTAAAAGTAATCAGTGTTAGAATGAAATACTATGAGCACATTAATAGGGCAAAGTAGATCTGTATGTGTTGATATGGAATCAAGTACGAGATACATTATAACAGATACAAATAGCAGCATCTGCAGTGAAAATGGGTCTACATTTGCATTACTCTTATATACTCTATACATGTTCAAATATGCCCAGAAAAATTTTAGATGGATATATAAGAAAAGGATAAGAGCAGTCACTTTCAGTGAGTGAGAATAGGGAGATGCTAGTGAAATCTTATTTTTTTATATCCTTCTATATTTTAAAATATTTTTTACCATGACCATTTTTAATCTTTATAATAGTTTAATATATAACGAATGAGATTTTATATAGCAGTTAATTAAAATGTTTTTCCAGCTTTCTTGAGGTAGAATCGATAAAAGTTAAATACATGTACACTTCCGATGTGATGTTTTGATATATGTACTCATTGTTAAACGATTATGCCAAACCAGCTAATTAACCTATTCATCACCTCACATAATTATCTTTATTTTTGTGGTGAGAACATTTAAGAACTACTCTTTTAGTGAATCTGAAATATACAATATAGTATTCTTTAATATAGTCACCATATTATACATTATATTCCTAGGCATTAGTTGTTTTAAAGGCAAAAGAGAACAAAACAAAAGAAAAACAAAAAGTGGGCCTGACTCAGATGCACATCTCAGGGCCTCTGGGAAATCCTTCCTGTTAATAAGAGTTATGTTGGCAATCACCAATGTCCTTCCTTAAAGGTGCTTTCTTATGACAGAACACATATTTGGGGCAATGTTCACAATGTCACCCTTGAGTTCCTTCAAACCTTAGGTGGTTGACATCAGGTCACCAAGTCAACTTTGTTAGGTTAAATATAGCCCATATTGGCTGGGTGTGGTGGCTCATGCCTATAATCCCAGTACTTTTGGGAGGTCAAGGTGGGCAGATCGTCTGAGTCCAGGAGTTTGAGACCCGCCTGGGCAACATGGTGAAGCCTCATCTCCACAAAAGACACAAAAATGAGCCAGGCATGTTGCCGTGTGCATGTAGTCCCAGTCCCAGCTACCCAGGAGGCTCAGGTGGGAAGATCACTTAAGCCTGGGAGGTGGGGGTTGCAGTGAGCCGAGATCACACCACTGCACTCCAGCCTGGATGACAGAGTGAAACCTTCTCTCTCTTGCTCTCTCTCTCTATATATGTATATGTATATATATTTTCTTTTCTTTTTTTTTCTTTTTGAGATGGAGTCTCGCTCTGTTGCCCAGGCTGGAGTGCAATGGTGCGATCTCGGCTCACTGCAACCTCCGCCTCCTGGGTTCACGTCATTCTCCTGCCTCAGCCTCCCGAGTAGCTGGGAGTACAGGCGCCCTGCCACCACACCTGGCTAATTTTTCGTATTTTTAGTAGAGACGGGGTTTTCACCCTGTTAGCCAGAATGGTCTTGATCTCCTGACTTCATGATCCGCCCGCCCACCTCGGCCTCCCAAAATGCTGGGATTATAGGCATGAGCCACCATGCCCGGCCCTATTTTCTACTCTTCAATGAGGTAACTCCGACCTGCCTATTTCAAAAAGATAGTATATTAGTGAGGATGTGAACATGAATGTAAATTATCAGTTGTACCCTCCCTCAAAACAGAGGCAAAGAACATATTCAAGTTCTCACTACCTTTTCCTGTAGATGCCTGAAGTCCTCACCTGATGAGAATTGAGGGCCTCCCTGAACCACCCTGAGTCATGCTGACCTCACTGCTCTCGCATTGAAATGTACTGTGGGCACTGCCCTGAGTTGCTAGTGCTCCTTTTATGTATATTCCATTTGCCACCCCATGTACTCTGTGAGGTCTTTGAAGGCAGAGGCTTGGTTAGTTTTTTTTTTTTTTAAATCACCCAAAGCACCTCATGGTACTTATACTAGCTGTCAGTTACTGAGTGCTTTCTCTGTGCCAGATACTGTTCGAAGCACTGAAGAAAAAGAAAACATGAACTTAATCCTCCTGACTACCCTATTGGCAGCCTGTTTTTGCTGCTGCTGAGGCACAGAGAAGGTAGGTCACTTGCCTAAAGTCACACAGCTTGTCTGCAGCAGAGCTGGAGTGTGAACTTTGAGAATCCATCTCCAGCTGTGTGGGTTCCATCTCCAGCTGTGTGGGTTCTTAACCACTATGCTGGTCTTGCTTTCTTAGAGAGAAATGATGTTGACTAAATATTTGACATTTCCTCACCACCCTGCTACATTGCTTCCTTGTAGGAAACAATGGATGAGCTGCTTATATTGGTCTACAAGGCTCCCAGCAGCATCGCCACAAAGCTCTCTTGGCCTACTCAGCAAGATTCTTGGACTTGCCCTTTAAGAGCCCCTGGAGAGAGCCCTGTGTATAGGGTTTCTTCTCTTACACAGAGATACGACAGTATGGCTATTTAATAGCCATACTTTGGGAGGCCAGGGTGGGCAGGTCAAAGCCATTCAGTGACATACTTGTGTTCTTGGGAGACAAGGTGTTGAAGTTAGAGAAATAAATAATCCACCACCACCACCATCCATGCCACTAGACACATACGAAAGACTATTTGAAGATTTCAACTGTCTAAGGACAATAGGAAAACAAATGCAGCATAACAATGTCTTAGTGCATCCCCTGCCTTTGTCATCTTGGCTACAGCAAGGCAACATGTGTGATGTGCCCCTGGGGAATTTCATGTAACATGTGTGCTCTGAGCTTCAAGCCCAGAGGGAAGTCAATCGATGAAGGGTGCCTCTGCAGCTTTGCATTAATTCATTAATTCAGCATTTCATTTCCTCAGGCTAGCTCTGTGCCACTGGAGCACGTGGTTCACGACAGGCCTTGAATGAGGATGAGCCAGCGTGGCCCCAATTCTTCTTATCCACAGACTGCCCAGAGGATGTCAGGAATGGGGACACTGTTGGCCATGGGGGATTGTAACAATGGGTTAGCTACTTAGTAATACTCATCTGTAATTAAATTGTCCTCCTCTGCAAAATGCTGCTTCTCTACTGAGGCTTTGACATGGTTCTGGCAATGAATACTAGCAAGTGGAGGAGGAAAAATAAACTGAGAGATGTTCCTACCTCCCAAATCTAATGTTTTCTTAACTGGACATGCTATGTTGGATGTTAGAAGTGTTACCTTACATGCGGCGTCTTCTTCTTTATCCAGTTTGGTAACTGTTTAGCACAAAGATGACTGTCATAATACTAAGAAAATCCTATTTGTGAAGTGAAAAGGGGGACATGCTTCTGTTCAGGCAGATTGGTTAGGGATTGCGGAGGGGGTTGGGGAGAGCAGGGAAAAACCTGCGCAAAAGCCATAAACAGAAAAGGAACCTCATTAAAACAGGACATCTGGGCATGCTTGTCTTGGGACAGTTGAAGCAAAGAGAGCACTTGTAGAAGAGGAATAGAGTCAAACAAGCGTAAAATAGGCGATCTTTTCTTCTCATTTCTGTTCTGGCTGAGGCAGCAATGTTGTAGTGGAGGGAAATCAACAAATTCAAATGTAGATCATTTGAAATGGAAGCACTCTCAGCGATCATCTGGTCCAATCCACTCACTGTGTAGAGGAAGAATCTGATACCCAGACAGGGACATTTGTAACAACACATAGGGTTAGTATCACAAGTCCCACATTTAGAAGAAATGCCTTTCTTTAAAAGGTCTCTCAAACAGATCTTGCTGATTTTTGACACTTGCTAGTACTGATTTAGGACAAGGGAACTGCTAGAAAATTCACTTTCCTTCTTCCCTTAAGTATCAGAATGGTTCCAAGTGCTTGAGAGCCAATCAGAAGGACTAGGTCCCCACCAAAAAAAATTTGATTTCACAAAAGTTTAATATGCTGCCCAGCTATGTATGGCTAAAAATGTTAGAGATCTCACATTCTCAGAGCGCCATCTTATGGACACGATTCAGTATTGCATGTAATCCCTAACTCAGTGATTTATCTGTTTCCTTGGAACGCATTCTGGCCACAACAATCACTGTGGGAAAAACTGGATAATTTAAAGAGCATAAATAGCTTTAAAGACAAACCAGAAAACAGGGTAGAAAAACCATCCTATTAAGAGGCCTAAGAAAACGTCCTTTTCTTTATCCATGATACAGTGTTAATTTACATAAATGCACAGTAAAATAAAGCAAAGGTGAAAAGAGCTGAGATTTGTAAATGTGCTTAATAAAGACAGAAACAATTAGCTTCTTCTTTATTTATGCACATATCTAAATAAAAATGTCTTTCTCCTCCCTGGCTGTCTGAGGATAGACAGCCATCATGAACGACACGGTAACTATCCAAACTACAAAGTTCATGACCAACCGACTACTTCAGGGGAAACAAATGGTCATTGATGTCCTTGACCCCAGGAAGGCAACAGTGCCTAAGACAGAAATTTAGAGTGCCTAAGACAGGAAAAACTAGCCAAAATGTACAAGACCACACCAGATGTCATCTTTGTATTTGGATTCAGAACTCATTTTGGTGGTGGCAAGACAACTGGCTTTGGCATGATTTATGATTCCCTGGATTATGCAAAGAAAAATGAACCCAAACATAGACTTGCAAGACATGGCCTGTATGAGAAGAAAAAGACCTCAAGAAAGCAACGAAAGGAATGCAAGAACCCAATAAAGAAAGTCAGGGGGACCGCAAAGGCCAATGTTGGTGCTGGCAAAAAGTCGAAGAAGTAAAGGGCTGCAATATGTTATCTGCGGCCATTGTGGATTTTTCATGAGAGGATTTATAAACTAAAAACTTTCATGTGAAAAAAATGTCTTTCATAATTGTTTGCATAGCAGTACTACTTCAGAGCCAATGTTAAGCTACGAGGGTGCTAGAAACAGATATATCCACTTTACTCCAAGAAGTACCTGTGTTCTCCAACAACAGCCTTTCAGAAATTACAAGTAGATTTCAGTAGAGAGGAAGCAAAATCTAGGAAAGAAACCCAGGGCATGTAAATCTGTTTCTCTTTCTTTTTCTTTTCTTTTTTTATTATACTTTAAGTGTGCAGGTTTGTTACATATGTATACATGTGCCATATTGGTTTGCTGCACCCATTAACTTGTCATTTACATTAGGTATTTCTCCTAATGCTATCCTTCCCCCATTCCCCCATCCCACGCCAGGCCCCGGTGTGTGATGTTCCCTGCCCTGTGTCCAAGTGTTCTCATTGTTCAATTCCCACCTATGAGTGAGAACATGCGGTGTTTGGTGATATAAACCTATTTCTATATTTCCGTTAGTAGCCATTAGCTATATGAGGGAATAACTGCATTAGAATCTGTTTACAGTGCAGTCTCCAACCTTACTTTGAGGAGGGACTAAAAGATTTGTCTTGGTACATAATCAGGAAGCCACTGAAACCCAGAGAAGCAAAGAATATTTTTCAGATGGTGAGGAAAGAGTGAGAGGTTAGTATTACCCACTACAAGGAGAAGAGTCTGTGGCTGTAGGGAACAGTCCCCCAGCAGAAAGGGGAAGGTAATGAGAAAATGCTTGAGATGAGGTCACCTGAATGTTAGTCTGAAGAAACCAACTTTGCAGAAGAGGCTAGAGATAAAGAGAGAGAAAAGTAAATAAGCACAGCAAAAGTGATTCTTGTGAGAATCGCAAGCTAGGCAGAGCCCAAAGTGTAAGCAAGCTGGTGAGAACTAAACATGGCGGTCAGGACACTAGGCCAGAGCAGTGTCTCTCTGATGGCTGTCCTTGAGGGGAACACACAAATGAGGAGAGGACTCCAACTGTGTTTAAAAACAGAGAAAGAAAAAGGTGTAATTCAAAGCTCAGTAATCGGGGGTGGGGAATAACAGAACAAGGAGTGTGGTAGAGACTTCTTATTCAATCACCCCAAACTCGTTTACCAAGTCCTTCTAGTCCAGAGAACTAGGACCAGACATTTTCTTGTCCTACTCAAGCTAAACCAAAAGGACACGATCTTTACCTGGTGTGTTTGTTTGTTTGTTTGTTTTTGAGACGGAGTCTTGCTCTGTCGCCCAGGCTGGAGTGCAGTGGCGCGATCTCCGCTCACTGCAAGCTCTGCCTCCTGGGTTCACGCCATTCTCCTGCCTCAGCCTCCCGAGTAGCTGGGACTACAGGCGCCCGCCACCATGCCTGGCTAATTTTTTGTATTTTTAGTAGAGACGGGGTTTCACCGGGTTAGCCAGGATGGTCTCGATCTCCTGACCTCGTGATCCGCCTGCCTCGGCCTCCCAAAGTGCTAGGATTATAGGCGTGAGCCACTGCACCCGACTGTTTGTTTTTAAGATGGAGTCTTGCTCTGTTGCCCAGGCTGGAGTGCAATGGCGCAATCTCGGCTCCCTGCAACCTCTGCCTCCTGGGTTCAAGCAATTCTCTGCCTCAGCCTCCCAAGTAGCTGGGATTACAGGCGCACACCACCATGCCTGGCTAATTTTTGTATTTTTAGTAGAGACGGGGTTTCACCATCTTGGCTAGGCTGGTCTTGAACTCCGACCTCGTGATCCACCTGCCTCGGCCTCCCAAAGTGCTGGGATTACAGGCGTGAGCCACTGCACCCAGCCTCTTTACCTATTTTTAAGTTAGATTTTAATTGATGAAAATATCAGGGTTAGAAAGGACCTTCAAAGTCATTCAGCCCAATGTTCTCCTCTTACAGAGGGGCAAACTGAGGCCCAGAGGCCAAATAACAGCAACTAAAGTTATTATTGGCATCACTGCTAGTGAGACAGGAATGAAGCTGTTACCTCCCCCAAATAGAATAGCAAAGAACAAGGGGGCAAGGAACTAGTCACATACCTCAACAACATGAGGGCATTGTGTGAAGGTAACTGACGTTCAAAATAATGATCAATAATTGTTGTAAGAGATTAAGTTCGGTTTGGCAGTCATAGTTTACTGAGGCAGCAAGTACATAATACATTTTAGGGAGGAAGAGTCACGTGGTGGAAAGAGCACTGGCCTTGGAGTCAGAGACATGGGTTCAAAGCTGGTGCCCCCACCTGCTGTGTGACTTTTGATAAATAGTGAAACCTTGCCGAACTTGAGTTTCCTCATCTATAAAATAGGAATAATGCCACCTGCACTGTTTTGAGAATTATTTGATATAATGAATGTTAGCAAATTGAGATAACGTGCTTAAGACAATGCCAGGCACATAGAAAGTTCTATATGAGGGCTGCTGTTATTATTTTTATCACGTGAAAGCACCAAACACAGCATCTCAAATGCAGTAGATGTTCAATAAAGGTTATTTGAAAAGAATCCCCTGCTAGGCATGGTGGCTCACACCTGTAATTCCAGCACTTTGGGAGGCAGAGGTGGGCGGATTGCTTGAGCCCAGGAGTTCGAGACCAGCCTGGGCAACATAGGGAGACCTCATCTCTACAAAACTTAAAAACAAATTAGCCAGGCATGGTGGTGCATGCCTGTGGTCCCAGCTACTTGGGAGGTTGAGGCAAGAGGAGCACTTGAGCCCAGGAGGTTGAGACTGCAGTTAGTTATGATGGTGTCACTGTACTCCAGCCTGGGTGGAGTACAGGAGAACCAGTCTCTAAAAAAAATAAAAAAGAGCTTCCTGAGAGAGAAGAAATAAACCTTGCAATGAATAGCCAAGGGAAGCTTCAAATCCCTTCATCCCCACATTGAGAACTTAAGAAGTGGAAGAGTCTCAGTTCTCTTATTTTGGTCCTCGGTAAAGTATGGGTCAAGGCATGAGTAGGAATGGCTTATCATCAGGGAAAATGGGCAAGGGAAAAAGCACTGGAACTTTCTTTGCCATCGCGATTGAGCAATGATGTGTGAATGGCTGGCTCTGAGCATTTAAGCCTAGCTGAGAGGAACTTTTTAGCAGAGGTGCCCTCCCAAACCTTCCAGGAGACAGGGCATCATCTGAGGGGGAAATGACCAGAAAGGGCTTCAAACGGCTCAAAATTAATTTTAGTTCACAGAAGAACTAATCATTCACCTGTGGCCCAGGGCAACCCTCCAAAGTTTCCTGAGTGACCAGCTTTGGGTGTCAGAAGCCTGTTCCCCTCCCTCCTTCTCCCACAGTTCATATTCCTCCTCTCAGTGATAGAAAATATTCTGCTTCCACTTTGGATACTGTCACAAGTAATGAATTAGATGACTCTTGAAAATGCCCACACGCTTTTTCAAATCTCTCTGCTCAGAACACTGCTTTGTTTGTCTCCAGTCGCTGCAGGGCCCACAACAAACATCCATTCTTTAATGTGGTGATCTTCAAAATGAAGAACAGGACTCTCAAAGTCCACCTAAACAATCACTCTTAACTGACTCCAGACACGTTTGGGAGAGAGGCAAGTCTGAAACAGGAAAAAGTGTGCCTGGTGGATTTTTCTCTTGTGTGGCATCTCTAGAATATGTAGTAAACAGAGGGAGGAAAGGCTCCTCAGTGTTCTTTTGGATGTCTGGCTGAACTGTGGTTAATAAATTGCCAAAGATCAGCCTCAAAGAACAAACTGTTTTCATGCAAATAGGTGCTACTGATACACTTGAAAAGAAAGCTAAACATTCCTGCCACTGTTTTCCGTCAGCTCCTCTGGCCTTAGTCACAGTCACTTCCAGGCCTCAAACCTTCAACCTGCAGAATTAGCCCTACCCAGATCCTGAGCCAGTAGTGACAAGGGCAGGAAGGTGTTAGTTTAACTGACTCACTTGTCAGGCCCCAGGCTCTGGAATTCGTTTTGTTCCTCCAAGCCAGTATTTCATGTTTTTTTGAGTGAGCCCCGGGTGTTCAGGTATGACTTCCTCTTGCCAGCTGTGTTTTCCTGAGCAAAACTCTGTCCTGGGGCTCTTGTCTGTATTCATTTCTAGGCCCACTCCCTTACCCAGTACCTGGCACCCAGTACCCACTCAATAAATGTCTACTGAACTGACCTGAGATAAAAGGCCCCATCCAATGCTCAGTTTGTGTGATGGAGACTCTAAGCTACTCTGCCTAACCCTTGTCAACCTGTTGCCCCTGGGGCCTTTCCCCCAAATCTGCAGCCACTGACTGAGGACCTATGTTACACTGGGCCCTTCGAGGTAAACCTGTCAATGTGTCCCACCTGCCAGATCACACCATTTTAGAAACCAGTGGCAACCTAGAGAACAGCAGAGTTCCTTTTCTATGCTCCACTGAGTGTCATCATCTATTCTACACTTACCTATTAAGCATCTACATAGCCCTGTTCTCAGCCACAGAACTTTAGTTGTTGGAGGTCCTGAATTTTCCAATGTTCTGGCCTACTAATTCCGGTCTGGACTTCACGAACCAGCATTTAGTTTCTGCCTTGGCAAATCTGGTCTTCAGAAAAGGAAACATCCAACTGATGACTGTGTTGGATTCCCACTGCAAACCGGTGATTGAGAGTGTGTAGCCATATTGCTTCATGAGCCATCTATACAGCCACACCATCCTACATCACAAAATCCAGAGTGCTGGTGCAGGGGGGCTGCCGTGGTTGCTGGAAGGGAGAAGGGACTACCAAGAATAAGGTAGCTAAGTGTTAGATTTGTCCAAGAACACTGGCTGGTCTTGTCTGCAGAGAGTAGAACTGCTCTTTCTATAGTCTTCCTAAACTCATGTCCAGAGATCTAGGACCAAGGCTGCAGCAAGAACCCTGAAGCAGCAGAAAGAAACACACTCAGCAAGTCTTTGCCTGGTGGAAGTGCATGGCCATGGTGGGCATGGGCAGAGACACTGGCACAGGGGAAAGAGCCTACCTTTGCCAGTGTCCATATGCAGGACAGCTCTGCACTCGACAGGCCCAAGCCTTACCCTGCCACTCTCAAGTTGCCAGCAATAACATAACATGAAAGAATAACAAAGGGGGAGAAAAGGTGAGCTGAAGTGTAAACTACACCCACTCCAACTGCCCTGGTAGCTGCAGGTGCCCTCCACTGCTCAACTCTTTGCACCTGCTCTCCTGCTGGAACAAGTGGCCTATTGTGTGAGGCTGTACACATGGAGGTGCTAAGCAAACAAGAAATGACTCTTCTGATCATAAAGTAGATGGGATTCCAGGAAAACTTTACTAAGCCAAATAAAAGTGATTGTAAAGCACTTGGTAAAATATAAACTGCTGCATAAATACTTAATAAAAGCTCACAGCCATGCACACAAGGACAACTAGGTCAAAATTTACCCAAGCCCTCTAGCCTGGAGGGTCTTGGAAAGGGTGGAAATTGTCTCTCTCCCTCTGGTTTTCTTAGCCACTTTGTATTCCTTTGCTCTTAACCTGCCCTTCAGCCCTTGGCACTCCCCCAATGTCTCTCTCCTGTCACTTATATATCTCTGTGGTTAGAGGGCTTCTAATTTTCATTCTGGACAGTTGTGTCAAATATTATTGGGAGCAACAGACATTGAATTCCATTTTCTTTTTCCTGCTCAGAAGCCCCATTGGAGTTATGCAGTGCTATGGGGGAAACATTTTCTTTAAGGTTTAATTATGTGAGTTGTACCCCAAACTCTCCAACATTAGAAATCGAGAACAACTCTGACATCTCAAACAGCCAACCTACCTGCTCCCCTGTAGCTCCAATAATACCTGGAGGAGTAAAATGAAGAGCTCACTGCTGTCGTCAGGAGAATGATTATACCCTGGGGTTCCTTTCGAATCACTTTCACTTTGGTCTACTTGGGAAGGCATCAAATTCAAAGTCATTAAGGTAGCTTTATGGTGTTCCCTTTCCTTTCATATTCCCTCCCCCATCAAATATCTTTGTTATAGGATCTCATAGCCTGTTATAGGTGGAAAGTGCTTTAGAGGTGATTTTGTCAAATTCCTTTATTTTATAAGTAAAAGAAAAAACAGAAGTGCAGTGACTTGTCCAAGGTCATGCAACAAGTTCACAGTAGAGCTAGGACTCAGGCTGGAGTCTCAGCCTAGGGCAAAGGTTTTTTGTTTGTTTGTTTGCATGGACTCCAAAGCGCCACAGGGGATGCACAGGCAATGGCTTTATTATCAGAGGCATGTGAGTAGAGGAGATTAAATGGAGAGCTAGCCTCAGAGGCAGGTGAGTGCCATTTTCTAGCAAGGGGCTGAAATATCTCTAAGAACTCCTTCTTCCAGGGGATGGCGCCTTATAGACTTGAGAGGACATGAGAGCAGAGAAGCATGGTATGAGAGGCAGGAAATGTACTTCTACTCTCAAGGAGCAAGACTGGGCAGGGAACAAGGAAAGGACAGGGTATAGCAGTACAGACCAGAGAAAAGCTGCACAGAACACTCATTCCAGGTCTGCTGGATGACAGATTAAAGCAAGCTGACGTCAGGATTTCCACCAAGAATAGGAAGAAGGTGAGAAGGCTTTAAACCTTGCAGGAGAGAAGTCAGGCATTTGACAGGCAGGACAGTACTGTGGGTAAGGGATGGATTGGATGGGTTTGAAGCCCATCTTGCTGTGGCCTTTGGTAATTTACTCAATGTCATCAGTAGAATCAGTAAAATGTAGGTAATAATACTGTCTGCTTCAAAAGGCTGTTGTTGAGAATTAGTCAATGCATACAAACTGCCTAGCATATTGTGTGGCACTTGGGAAGCTCCATAGAATGGTTAGTTATTACTATTATTAGCCACTTTACTGTCTCAGTCCTGCTTTCTGAAGTCCCACTGTACCCTTAGAATTTGAGAGAGCAAAGGGAAGAGGGCAATGATCAAAATGCATCAGGGAGGAAAAGGTAAGAGGAGTTAAAAAGTGAAGGCAGAGAAACCAACAGAATGGGTGAGCTGCAGCTCTCCCAGCTCTCCTCCACCCCTTCAATGTAAACCCCCACGACTGCATCTTTTCCCTATATTTAGTAGCTGTAAGAGTCATAGGTACCAATAGGTAACCAACCACTCCAGTTTGCTGGGACTGAGGGGTTTCCTAGGACTTGGGACCTTCTGTGCTAAACCTGGAAAGTCCTAGGCAACCTGGAAAAAGTTGATCACTGTAGGGGCCAGAGGGTATTTGCTGTTCGAGATTACTATTTGTTATAACCAGAGAGCAGGGCACTGCTGCTAGATGCTATCCACTGGGGTTTGAAAAAGCTGGGTTATCCAGAAGCCATGTATAGGAATTTGTAATGGTACTTTCTTCATGCCTATAAATGAAAAAAATAGGGGTTTCTTAAATAGATAAGCTTCTCCAGGGGAACATTAGCCAATTTGAGGAGGATGGTCTTTAGCAGGATAGCCACACAGCAATAGCCTCATTATCAATGATTCTTATTTGTATGCTTCGATTCTCTGACACAGGCTGTCTTTCTCCAAATTCAATTCCCAGCATTGTTATTATATGTGTTTGAAAGTAATAAAACTGCATTTACTTTAAAATGATCTGTCACTCAGACTTTTCATTAATTTAAACTGATGCTACCAATCTCTCAAAGTATTTCCTTATCGAGGGCCAACTGGTTTAATTCAGCACCACGGGCTGACTTGTTTAAAAATAAAATTCATGGGGATAGGTGGATTTGCTTAAAATTTTTTTTAAGTGACATTCCTCAAGTCCTTGAGAGATGTACAGAGAGAGATACTCAGGAAGCTACTAAAGGATCCATGTTTGTAAAGAGAGCCCAGTAATGCTGTGTTGATTACCCAATGTTCCATTTATTCAGGGTAAAACTTCCCCTTACATCTGATCTACTCTTCTACACTAACATCTAGTAAATGGAGGGTAATTTATAATTTTCAAAAACATCTCATATGCGTTTTCTTATTGGAGGCTCACAGCAACCCTTTGAGGTAGGCAGGGGAGGTATTAATTTCACAAAAGGAGAAAACAAAATAGAGTTTAAGTAATCTGCTTAATGGTACAGTGATACCATGGGAAGCTAGGCCTAGTACTAAGGTCTGTTACCCACAACTATGTTTGTTGGTTCATCCTACGAATTCAATAAACATGTATAGAGAGTTTACTCTATGGCAGGCACAGCTAAGCAATGAGGTTCTATAGATGGAAGACACAGTACTACTATTTATTTTTTATTTTATTTTATTTTATTTTTTGAGACAGGGGATCACTATGTCACCCAGGTTAGAGTGCAGTGGTGCGATCATAGCTCACTGCAGCCTCGACCTCTCGGGTTCAAGCAATCTTCCCGCCTCACCCTCTCGGATAATTGAAACTAGAGGCACATGCCACCACGCCCGGCTAATTTTTTGTATTTTTGGTAGAGACGGGGTTTCGACATGTTGCCCAGACTGGTCTCCAATTCCTGAGCTCAGGCAATCCACCCACCTTGGCCTCCCAAAGTGCTGGGATTACAGGCATGAGCCACTGTGCCCGGCCCACAGTACCAGTCACGAAGGAGCTACTAGAAGATTACAGACAGACATGTAAAAGCTCTCAATATAGTGTCGCTGGGGACATGCTAGAGAGAAGATAAGGTGCCAGCAAGCCTTAACCCAGACAAAGGTGTGGACAGGAGGATCCAGGGTCCTCAGAAGAGATAATGTTAAGGATAAGTAGGGGTAAGCTAGCCAATGGCTCTTTTTCTAGCCCATTCTAAGATGGTCCTTGTCTTAGTGCTCCCTAATAGTATTTGGAAATTAGCTTTTCAGCATGAGTTCTTACATAGTGCAATCCTCTATGCATCCCTCCAACCCCAACTGCTGTATCCCTACCCCAGGTGGGAACACCTTACTCTGGCTCCTGCTGAACAAGTACTCATCCCAGCTCTAGGCCCGAAGCTGTGATTAGAAGCAAAGAGAACAATGACAAAATGGGCCAACAAGTGGCTCAAACCAAGAAAAAGTTCATTTGGGTAGTTTTTAAGATCCATCTGACCATGTGGATCACTAAGATCTCAGCGGGCAAAAAATAGGAAGCTCCTGTGACACTGGAGTTACAAATTAAAACAAATTTCTTTTCCAGGGAAATGAAACTACATTCTAAATGAGACAAACCCATGGATCAAAGCCATACTCACGTAAAAGAATAAAATTCATTGGCTTGAGAAATTGGGAAATCATGACTGATTTTAATGATCTTTCTCCTTTTCTACAAAGGCTAACTCAAGGGTGACAGAAAGGACTTTAGAGCACTGAACAACTATTTTTGACCTGCAACTAGACTCATCATGGTTTTTAATGTAATTTAGGAAGATTGCCCGAGTTAATCTCTATAAAGCAGTCATAGGAGAAATGGTTTAAGATGTCTTTGCTGTGAAACAAGATGCTGAAGGTAAGAAGGCCAGCCTAGCGCACACCCTTAGATGCAAATAACTCTCACTTGATCCCCAGTGGACTCAAATGCCCACCATTTGAACCAACCATGACCAAGGATTGGGATTTTGATGTTTTTGCAGAAAAAAGAGGAAATAACATAAAAATGAGAGGGGGGTAGGTGTTCCTGAAAAGTTAAGAATGGGTTATTGAAGGGAGCCAATATCAGGCCTAACTCCATCTATCTCCCAGTAAAGATCTTCAAGGGCTTTTTTATAGGTTTTTTTGAAGAACAGCAATAATAGCTACCATTTTTGAGAGACTAACTGTGTTCCAGGCACTATACTCTGCACTTCGCAATCTCCTGGAATCTTTTCAACAATCTGTTAAGGGAGAAACTATTAACTCCATTTTACGTGTGGGGAAGCTGAGGATCAGAGAAGAAAAGGAGCTAATAGGTAATGGAAAAGGCATTCAAACCCAGGCTTTGCTGACTCTAAGGTTGTAAGTTTAAACACTCTACTACACTGCCTTAGGTTGCCACATAACTCTGTGTGCTTTTTGTTAATCCCTCAACTGTTTGGCTACATTTCTATCAGTAAAAAATCATCGGAGAAACTCAAACAAGATTTTGTACTTGCTGAAGTATAGGAAGAAAGAGCAAAAAAATAGGAGAGCTAAATTTCTTTCAAAGAAGTCACCAAGAGCTTGTACCCTAGGGAAAGAACTGTGCCAGTAGCAGCAAAGAAAGTGGCACCTGCCAGCCATTTCCTGTGGCCTGTGGAACAGAAAAACCACCACCACAATCCAACGATCACAGCCACAACAATGACAACTGCCAGAGGTGTTCTAAGAGCAGGGCCGCTAGCAGGAAGCTCCCAAGAAAGAGGCTTCCCTAACATACCTTTCCCTGTGCTTCACACTCCAAGTCCCAAGAGTCCACTTTCACTGATGCTCAGTGATTGACTATCAGAAAGAAACTTCCTGAGTCAGAGAAATTGGACAAAAATGTTTCAGGCGGGTGTTACTGTTTGTAGAGGTCAGAGGTGTTCTGATGAAGTGACACTGATAACACTAAAAGAAATTTACCAGGGAAACGTCAGGACACCTATCACACTCAGCAGCCTTGTTTCAATCAGTATTCAACTTACATGCTCTCTGAGGGGTGAATATAAAGTCATGACAGATTTCAAACTTGTATAAATCTACCAGAATGTATGCAGCCCAAACGTTGTTGCAACAATTATGCTGACATCACTCAAAACACTTCTTGCTGGGCGTGGTGGTACATGCCCATAATCTCGGCTACCTAGGAGCCTGAGGCAGGAGGATCGCTTAAACCCAGGAGTTCCAGACCAGCCTGAGCAACACAGCGAGACCCAGTCTCTACAGAAAAATTCCTGGAACTCCTCTTTGGAAACCCCATTTAAAGCCAATATAAATGTTAGAAGAAGGAAACAGCCCTATTATTTTATCCTCTCACTCCAAATGAACCCCAAATGGTATGAGCCTGCTTGATCAGCCACCTCATTTAGCAGTTTCGTTCCCAAAGACTCACATTATTTCCCAAAAAAAATCCAGTTTACCTTTATGGGAAGAAACATGGCCCACACCTCTTCACCTTTACTCTGGACATTTACATGGGCTGCTCAACCATGGTATAATAGTAATGACAACATCAACACCAGCTATCAATTATTTAAGTGCCTATGTGCCAGAACTTATCTTCACAACAGCCCTGCAGAGTAGGTATCATTACTCCCATCTTATAAATAAGGTAACAGAATGTCATATTAAATGTCCTGCCCAAAGCACACAGCTGGTGTCTGAACTAGGATTAAAATATCCATCTGGGGCCGGGCGCGGTGGCTCACGCCTGTAATCCCAGCACTTTAGGAAGCCAAGGAGGGCAGATCACTTGAGGTCAGGAGTTCGAGACCAGCCTGACCAACATGGTGAAACCCTGTCTCTACTAAAAATACAAAAATTGGCCAGGCATGGTGGCACGTGCCTATAATCCCAGCTACTTGGGAGGCTGAGGCAGGAGAATCGCTTGAATCCGGGAGGCTGAGGTTGTGGTGAGTCAAAATTGTGCCACTGCACTCCAGCCTGGGTGACAGAGCTAGACTCTGACTCAAAAAAAAAAAAAAAAAAATCCATCTGGATCATTCTAAAGACTGCACTCTTCCCAGTATGTATTAATCACCTAGTGTATGTTTCCTAACGTTTCAGGGTCTTCTCACTGAAGACCTCAGCCTGCACCACCGATAATCAACTGGTTGAGAATCAACAACTTGTAGACGGCAGGGATCAGCCATAAACCCACAAGGCTTTTTCCAAAAAGGAGGTAGAAAAATTATTTGGAAGACTGGCAGCATCAGTGGAGTCCATCTGTCACTTACCAAGGCACTACCTTTGAAGGAGGCAATAATAGTTAAGGGGCAGAGAAGCTCTAGTATGTTAATTTACCCATTTCTTAAAAGCAGATATGTTTCTTCCTGGTTCCATCTCCTAAGCCTTCCAGGCTAAAATAGAAGATTTCTGATTCATGGAGCAGTGATAGTAAAAGGAGACAGGCCTTATCCAACCATCAGAATCACATTTCCAAGAGGAAATTAGGAGGTGATGTTTATTTGTTGAGGGTGTGGATATGCTGGGACCTGCTTTGGAGGCCCCCAAATGCTCTTTGTATCACAAAATGATCCAACTGAGCTCAACAGAGGCTAGAATTGTATACTAATAGGACACAATCTGCTTAAAGTAATAAGCTATCCAGTATTCAACAGGTTGTCTATAGACATATCAATGTTGAGCCATGAAAATGTCTCTTCCTGCTACTTAAGACATGACAGTCAACCAAGTCTAACACATCCTGAATGGAGCACACTGTATTAAGCCATCCGTCAGCAGCATAAGCTGTGTTTTTCTCACTCAATTCTGAAGGTAAAGCTACTGTATATGACACCATAATCTTAAGGGATAAATGTTACTGTATTGCCACGAGAGTATGTCCTGATAAATATCTGTCATTAAAGACTACATCTAAGATAAATCGCTGCTGAAAAATATGCCAATCTAAGTCCATAGAGAGATTATTACATGGGGGTACTCTCCAAACTGATCTGTTCTGCCTTACCAGGATTTAAAAAAATTCTTAGCTGCCATAAATATTTCATGCTATACCAAATTAAGTCACTTTCTGCATAATCCATTTCTCCTTCAAAGGCTTTCCAAGAGCAATCTTGACTTATCTAAGGCAAGGTAGAATATGTAAACTGCCATACTAGCAAAGCATCATTATACTTCAGTATGTTCATTCTTGGGCACACACTCAGGCTAACATAGCAGTTCCCCAAATCGGAAAAAATGAAGTGTCATGTTTCTGCTCCTGGGAAAACTAAAGTAGAAATGAAATCCAAAAATGTCTTAGGGGGACCAGGAACTGTGGAGATAGATAGTGATAAATCAAATACCAAAGCCCTATTTGTCCCTCTGTCCCTCCCACCAGCCTTTCATAAGCAGAGCCTCCTCCAATATAGGGGCAAAGGAAGAACTAGCTATGAGAAGAGAGAGCTGGGAAGTTGAAGACTATACCTCAGTTTCTAACCCTCAAATCACCACAACAGTGGCTGAGAAGAGCTACTGAGTCTCACCTTCAGCATGACTTTAGTCTGACTTATGCCTGAATCAATGGACTTTCGGACCTGACTCAATGCTACTGAATATTATTTCCATTGTCCATTGTTTATGTTTTTCTGTACCCTCTTCCTCTTGGCTCTGTATTTTATTTATTTATTTCCCCATTGATGTTTGCATTGGCTATTCTATATTTAAAATTGTATGCATACTGCCTTGGGCACTTTGGAGAAAAGCCACCCTATAAATTAAAAAACAACAACAACAACAACAAATAATAACTTATTTTAGCACGAGAGCATGGAAGCGATGTATAGCAACTGCTGCGTACCACTGGCCTGTTCTGACATGACTAGAATGAGATGTGCATGTTTTATATGTATGTGTGAGTATATATGCACTTTGGCATATAGGTCTTTTTTTTTTTTTACTTAATCTCTTTACTACTAGATTGAAGATTCTGAAGGTCTTTCCTTGTTTCCATGTAAACCAGTGAAAGACTTTTTCGTGTTAGAAATTTTTAGGTACAACATACACTACTTGGGTGATAGATGCACTAAAATCTCAGAATTCACCACTATATAATTGATCCATGTAACAAAAACCCACTTGTACTCCAAAAGCTATAGAAATAAAAACTAAAGAAAAGAAAGAACTGTGCCCCCAACCAAATTTCTCAAAATATACCGTGTTCTTAAAATAATTGCATTATAAAAGCAGAATCAACTATTCTCCCTTGCCTTTCCTAGATCATAGGGGAAAAAAGAAGCTATTTCGGTCATTTAATTGTTTGTATGATTTTACACATCTCATGAATTGGGTGTTCATGGTTCTCTCATATTCACTTCAACTTGCTGACATGCCACAGTCTATCCTTCCAACCCAGCAGAAGAGAGAGAAAAATGTTTCCTTACTGTACTTTTCTGAAACATCCAGAAGGTTTTGAGACAACGGACAAAACTCTGAGAATTAACATAATTGCTTTGCATATTCCCACTTCTGCCTTCTCAATTAAGCAGAGAAATCCTGAAGAGGCATTAGAAACATTGGAAGACTTGTCTGGTTAATGGAAATAAGAGAATTCAAAGTGTGTGTGTGTGTGTATATATATATATATAAAATTTCTCAGGTGAAATGAGAGGTAAGATTGCATAAGATAAAGAGGAGGCAGATTCACCACAATTTTCCCCTGCAGATCTTAGGGAGTTTATTTAGTAAGGCCAGCTGCCCCATGTGACAGTCTCAGAGTCATCATGAGAGAATTAAAGATGAACATGCATTCATAACATAGTTTTTTTTTTTTTTTTTTAAGAGATGGGGTCTTGCTGTGTGCCCAGGCAGGACTGAAACTCCTGGGCTCAAATAGTCCTCCTGCCTTAGCCTTCTGAGTAGCTGGGACAACAAGCACGTGTCACCACGCCCAGCTCCAATTCATAATGAACAGAAGTGGCTATGTAGAAACTGTCAGCCAGAAAACAGCAATATCCTGGAGCTGACATCTGGAGCTAGGCCCATCTGGCCCAGCAACATGATAAAGGGGTAGCATTAGCAGCTCCAGCTGAATCACAAAGGGAACTAAGGCATCGTGCCACAAAGTAAAGCAGTTGTCTATGCAGAGTTGATAAGCCTCAAAGTCACTAGGGAAATATAAACCCCTATGGGAGGTGTGCTAATTGTAGGAGAGGCCAGCTGACTACAAACAGAAGGCTGAGACAAAGACTCAGGGGAGAATCATTGCAAAGGATTACAGAGATGAGGTCTGGTGATAGGCTAGCATTTAGATGGTGCTCAAGGATGATGGGGATGGGAGGCCTATAGGTTTGGCTGACCTGTCTTCAAGGATAAGGGTGAGCTAAGCTGAATGCAGAGGTAGTGAGAGAGATCTGACAGAGAAGTAGTTGCTCAGAGTTTATATAAAAATGAATAAAAACTGATGAATGGATAAACAAAATATGTTATATACCTACAATGAAATATTATTTGGCCATAAAATGATAAAGTACTGATATGTGCTACAACTTGGATAAACCTTAAGAACATAATGCTAAGTGAATGATTCCATTTATATGAAACCCTTAGAATAAGTAAATCTGTTGTGACAGAAAGCAGATTGTTGCTTGCCAGGGGCTGGAGGAAAGGGGAAATGGGGAGTGCCCATTAATGTACAACAAGGTTTCCTTTTGGAGTGATGAAATGTCTTGGAACTAGAGAGAGATGGTGGTTGTACAACATTGTGAATGGACTAAATGCCACTGAATCGTATACCCTAAAATGGTAATTTTGTCATGCAAATTTTACCTCAACACACACACACACACACACACACACACACACACACTTGCGCCTGCACACACACACACAATACACATGGATGGGGCCTCTGTTGTGATACCTCTAAGAGGAGCTCTCCCTGGACTGCTGGGGAAGAGATGGGGTTGATTTTCTTTTTTTGTTTGTTTGTTTGTTTGTTTTGGAGACGGATGGACTCTCGCTTTGTCACCCAGGCTGGAGTGCAGTGGTGCGATCTCGGCTCACTGCAAGCTCTGCCTCCTGGGTTCACGCCATTCTCCTACCTCAGCCTCCCAAGTAGCTGGGATTACGGGCACCTGCCACCATGGCCGGCTAATTTTTTTTTTTTTTTTTTTTTTTGTATTTTTAGTAGAGACGAGGTTTCACCGTGTTAGCCAGGATGGTCTCGATCTCCTGACCTCGTGATCCGCCTGCCTCGGCCTCCCAAAGTGCTGGGATTACAGGCGTGAGCCACCGTGCCCGGCAGAGATGGCTTGATTTTCTTTCCTCATCCTTCTCTAGGTTGTGAACTCCTTAGCAGGCGCAGGAGCTGGATTCTACTTATCAAGGTATGCCCTATTATATATTAAGTGCTCAATCTGTGTGGAATGAGCCTGAATTATCAGAGTTTTTTTTTTTTTTTTTTTTTTTTTTGAGATGGAATCTTACTCTGTCGCCCAGGCTGGAGTGCAGTGGCATGATCTCAGCTCACTGCAACCTCTGCCTCCTGGGTTCTCAGCTCACTGCAACCTCCACCTCCTGGAAAGTGATTCTCCTACCTCAGCCTCCCAAGTAGCTGGGACTACGGGTACCTGCCACGACACCCGGATAATTTTTTTAAAAAATATTTTTAGTAGAGATGGGGTTTCACTATATTGGCCAGGCTGGTCTCGAACTCCTGAACTTGTGATCTGCCTGCCTCGGCCTCCCAGAGTGCTGGGATTACAGGCGTGAGCCACCACGCCTGGCCTATCAGATATTAAATGTAAAGACAAAATACGTTTATTTTTTTTCTCACAAACTAGGGGTTTTTGAACATATATAGTTTAAACAGTTCCTGTGTTATACTAATTTAAACAAGTGTCAAACTCTGTTTACTAATTTATAGATTCTAAACTAATTTATAGAAACTAAAACTAATTTATAGTTGCTCTGTTATACTAATTTATAAAGTATCAAACTATCCAGAAAATGAATGAAAATTCAGTCAATTATCCAGATATTTGGCCTAGCAAAAAGGGTGTTTGAGAATGATTTACAAAAATGTTCACTGTTCATTTGGGTGTTATCAGGGCAAAGACATTTACTTATTGTGAAGCCCAGTGTTAACTCAGCAATCTGGGTTCCTTTATCTTTCTCTTGGTCTCAAGGACTCTCTAATTGAAATTCTCTGTAGTTTGACAAAGGCAGAAGCTGGAGGATCTTTCTGCCTTTGGCAATTTTAGGAAATCTTTGCCTGTAGGATATGCTAGTGGCTCACATAAAAGAGGATATCTCACATGGGCCCAGTTTGCTAATTTGAAGGTTTCTCAGCTAAGTCCTGGTAGACAAACCAATGTTTATCTCAAGCCCAGATAGGGTGGTGGTGGGAAGCTGAGAAGGAAGAATGATAGGCTTATGTGGTACTCTCTAAGACTGGATCGGTGAAAACATTCTCTTCATTCATATTTCAATTGATTGCATTCATAAGAGATAAAAAAGGAAAGGATGGAAAATATGACCTTATTCAGAGAGATAAGGAATTAACTCTTTAAAAGTTGAGTGATCGATACATCCATAGTAGGCTACAAACAGCTCTAATAACCCAACTGACATGAATATTGCTCAGTATTTCCCTCAACATCAATATTTTCCTTTTGATCAAGTGTCTCCACTGACAAGTCTCATTCCCTATCAGGATCCTTGATTTTCATAATTTTTCTTGACTAAAAGTAAAATTTTTCACAGGCACACAAACTTGACCTAGAAAGATAACAAAGTTACAACCCACTGGACAATAGGAAGTGGTAACTGTTACTTAAGACTAAATTAAATGAGAAATTTATTGAAAAGCTCTAGAAAGAGGTTTTCACTATAGATGAGACACGAGTGCAAAGCTAATCTTTATAAATGGTACAAATAGAAGCCATACATGTCTTCAGGCTAAAGAACTTCATATTATTAAAGGTATATTCCTGAGTAATTTTTAAAAAAATTTAGTTTGACATTATTCCCTAGTTTGATCATTGCATTAGGTCAGTAATACAAGTACAAGTTAATTATAACCTGAGGTTACTAACCAAGAAGGAGTCACTTCCTGGATTACACTACCCTTATTCTCTCTGAAAATATGTTTATTTTCTTCCTCCCTTCCTTGCCTTCATCCTTCCTTCCTTCTTACCTCCCTTCTTTCCTTTCTTTCTTTCCTGGATAGTATATATTAACAATAAAAGTCGTTTTGAAAATAAAGATTTTTCAGAAATCAGAAATATAAATAGGAGTTTGGAATATTAGCTTTTCTCCATACTACAATATTTATTTTATTATTTTGTTCAATACCCTAAGGCTTAAAGCTAGCAAATGAAACAAAAATATTTCAGTTACCATAGTTCTTTTAATGATATAAAAGTACATTTGGCTAACTTTTGGACTCATTCAAATTTAGCAGGCTTCGGAATCCACCATTTGATAGAAGAGAAATTTCTTGGTTCCAGGGCATCATTCTTCACCAAAGTGTACCAAACATGAAGTAGTCAGTATGAGCAAAATTCAATAAAAATTCCACTAATTCAAAATACATAGGCCTAGGAATAAATTATTTTACAATTAACTAAAACTGGATCGATCTGATTTTTCACCATAAACAATAGAAGATAAATCCAGCAGGGTTATAATATTTGCTTCAAACAATCACAATGAAGAAACAAATATTAGTGCTTGATATTGGATAAGTGCTCAAATATTTGTTAGAATGAATACGTGAATGAATGAACACATCAGTAAATAAATATATTTGTAAAGTAAAATTTCCTTTTTAATAAGAAACCATGGTTAGAAGATAAGCTGCTTAAAACAAATATTCAGGAGTTGTTCATTTTTCGCTAAAGTAACATAACACTGGACAAGGCACTGGAATGGTTTGTCATCAAGTTTATGTAAGAAGCACATATTTGACCTGTGGATATATTCTTTTTCAAATAGTTATTGTTTGTATCAGTTTTAAAGCATCAGCTTTTTATAAAGCCAAATACCAACTGTTTTTTTCTGAAAATTAAAAAAAAATGTTCATGATTCTTCTTAGTACCTGATGAGCTTTTAGGATGACAAATATACATTATTTCTCCAGTGCATGGAGCCATTAATCCTTCCAGGCTGATTTACATTTGCCAGAGAGAAGTGTATCTCCATACAATTTCAGTGCCTCATTCAGGGTGGCACGCAACCTTATTCTCATTGTCCCATGTCAGTAAAATAGCATAGATGAGGAACAAGCTATTTTCTGACATGTCTTTTGTTTTGTGTTGGAAAGAGGAGGAGTGAAGGGGAAAGGGGGAAAAATAGAGAAGTAATATAAATTGAGCTTCCAGCATGTGCCAGTTTGCTAGGGGCTTTTCATTTATGACCTCTCCTAACAGTTACAACAATCCTGTGAGATGCCCTTCCCTTACAGAGGAGGAGGACCTTAAGACTTTTTAGGTTAAGTGACTCACCCAAGGCCACAGTTAGTAGCAGAACTGAGAGGCAAATCCAAATTCATCTGGCTCCAAAGCCTTCCTCTTTGCACTCCATTATACTGTTAATAAATTCCATTCAGCATTCCATGTCCTGGTATTGGGTCCCACTAGAATGTAAGCTCTTCAAAGCAGCTAACTTGCCTTTTTCGCCCTTGCACCCCTACCTAGCACCTAGCTTGGTGCCTAACACATAATATCTCAAAACATAAATGTTGAAGGTATGAATGAGTGAATAAATTAATAAGAAAAAAATACAGATTGTCAGACCTGGAGGGGCTCTAATCCAACCACCTCCTTTTTTAGATGGGGGAAACCAAGGCCTAGAGAGATTAAGTCACTTGCCTTTGGTTAAACAACTAATTAGTGAAAGATTCAGACTCGATTTTGGGTCTCTTCTGTATTCTCCTCTATAACATGCTACTTGTACAAACATTTTCTAAAGCATGTTCATCAACTCTTTGTGGTTTCCTAAGCATTCTGTCCTCTTGATTTAATTTTTTAATCGCAAGCTATTCCTCCCACATGGAAAGCAATGGAGATTAGGAATACCACTAGCGCACCAGAATGAAAGCTCTGCGAGGACAGGAAATTATGTCTGTTTTGTTCATTTCAACAGGCTTGGCACTTAGAAGGTGCTCAGTAAATACCTGCTGAATAAATGAATATAATGAATATATATGATTTCCTTTTCAGTGATGAGCAAATTCTTCACACATAATGATAGCATAGATTATATTAACAAATACTCGGCTGGGTGGAGTGGCTCACACCTGTAATTTCAGCACTTTGGGAGGCCGAGGCAGGTGGATCACCCAAGATCAGGAGTTTGAGACCAGCCTGGCCAACATGGTGAAACCCCATCTATACTAAAAATACAAAAGTTAGCCAGGCATGATGGCAGGTGCCTGTAATCACAGCTACTCGGGAGGCTGAGGTGGGAGAATCACTTGATCCTGGGAGGCGGAGGTTGCAGTGAGCCAAGATCGCACCATTGTACTCCAGCCTGGGCGACAAAGTGAGACTCTGTCTCAAAAAAAAAAACAAACAAAAAAACAAAACAAGCAAACAAACAAAACCCACAAATGCTCCATAAAATATTTCAGTAAAATTGCTCAGTGAAATGGTATTCCTCTTTCCCTCCCTTTTCTTCCTTTCTCTATCTTCATCTGTATAATGGGGGAAAATAACAGTATTCATTTCATAGGATTTTTATAAAGATAAATAATACATACAAAGCACTTAGCATGGTACTTAATATACAATTAACTCTCAATAAATGATAGCTTTCAAGATGAATGTGATTTCTTCAAATCAAATAAATAAGGACCCACATAATGAGGAGATGGAAGAATCGAAGACAAAAGAAAGTTGTTTTATGCTTTAAACTCTGTAAAATTGCCTTCAGACACAGTTCTCTATGTGTTTCAAACTTTGCAACTTCTAGGAGGGCTATAAATTATAGACATCATCTGGAATGTCATAGATGTTTTCTCTTTTTCTTGGAGAGTCTTGCTCTGTCACCCAGGCTGGAGTGCAGTGATGCGATCTCAGCTCATTGCAACCTCCACCTCCCAGGTTCAAATGATCCTTCTGCCTCAGCCTCCCCAGTAGCTGGGACTACAGGCTTGCGCCATCATGCCTGGCTAACTTTTGTATTTTTAGTAGAGTTGGGGTTTCACTGTGTTAGGCTGGTCTCGAACTCCTGACCTCAGGTGATCTGCCCACCTCAGCCTCCCAAACTGCTGGGATTACAGGCATGAGCCACCGCATCCAGCCTCATAGATTTCTCTAGAATTTTTCTGGTGCAATTAATGGAGATAGAAGACATAATTAACTTTTATATAAACATATGACAATTATTCCTCAAATATTGCTATATGTAACTTTCAAAAAAGATCACCTCTCCACGAGTTCTTGTCCATTCCAGCAAAGGGTGTCGTTTTCCGCCACAGGGCTATGGCTGCAGATGTAGCCAGGCAAAGCACTATAGAAGCTGATGAAAGACTTCAACTTCTGAATTAGTTCCCTAAAAGAAAAACAAAACATCTGTGCATAAGAGGCAAGTAAACTCAGTATGAGAAAAGTTTAATTTCCTTATCAGCATGACAGAAAGGCTCTGCCAGGCTGATTAGAGCAATAAATGACTTTTAAAGACATTCTTGGCTACAAGGCCACAGTTTAGTTTTTTTTTAAAAATCAATAAAATGATATTAGAAAAAAAGTTGACTGCCATATAAGGTGCTGTTTCTATCAGAAGGATGATTTAATTCCAACATTCATTTTCTAAGACGTTCCACTTCCATTTTTCTTATTCAGAATGCTGTTACCTACATTTTCAAAGGTGCTGATTACAAGGTACACTGGAGCACTACATATCTTTTGGTTTCTGAGTGTAATTGGGTGCATTGATTGTAATTTACAATGCTATTACCCTAGAGATGGTCCGTTTCCATATAGGCTCTGGCTAATGGTTGCAGATCAGAATTGCAGGGTGCTCAGAACAGTATAAGCTCTATGAAATTCTCCTGGCAATACAGTCAGAGCAACTCACATCTGCCAGAAGAGGAAGGTTTCTTTGTTATTTGTATATTGTGGCTCCTGTGAGGGAGAGGGAGCAGGGTGGGGGACAATTCTAGTATATTTTATTATTTATTTGCTTTTGTTTTTGTGCTACATATAATAAGACAAGTGTGTGTGTGTGTGTGTGTGTGTGTGTGTGTGTGTGTGTGTGTGAGACAGAGAGAGAGAGAAAGAGAGAGTGACACAGAGAGAGAATATATTATGTCTGCAATTGTATGTAAACACACACACATATACCAGAAAAATTTCAGGTCTGTTATCTCATTTCAGATGTACATGGATACACAAAGTAATATGCCTTAGACTGGAGAGAAGTGGATATGTTTAAAAAGAAATATTAAAATATCTATGTAATAGATGTACAGTGGTAAATAAACAAAAATAAAACACACTTTATTTTCTAAAGCAATGTTACTGGTAGAAAATTAAAGCATCCTTCACATCCAAATGTACCTTATGTCTATACTAAGTTTTTGGAGACTCTATTCAGGGAATTTTCTGGCAGTGGAGTAATTATTCAATATTGTCTCCAGGCTAAGAATGGACTGGCCTGATGTACAGGCCTCTATAGGAACCAGAGGCCTGAATATCATTTGGACACTGGTGGAAGTCCTTAGCCCAGAAATGCCTTCTGGGAGTTGTTCTCAGATCTGGCCAAATGAGGAAGACTGGTGAAAATATCCTCTTGGACTTAATCCGATTCTTCATTTTATTACTCTATGGTTTAAGATGGCTTGTCCTTACCAAAACTCATGTGGAGGTGTGGTCCCCAAGGTGGCAGTGTTGGGAGGTGGTGCCTTTTAGAGGTGAAAATGGACTTATGTCTGCCTTGCAAGCCTGGGTTGGTTCTCCAGGGATTGGATTAGTTACCAGGAGAGCGGTTGTTATAAAGTGAGACTGCCTTTCATATTTGTCCTTTTCACTTGTGCTCAGTTCCCTTTCCTTTTCTCCACCATGTTTTCACACAGTATGAGGCCTTCTAAATGAAGGCCTCACAAGATGAGGCCGCCTAATCTTGAACTTCCCAGCCTAATAAATAAACCTCTTTTCTTGATAAATCATCCAGTCTTAGGAATTCTGTTACAGCAACATAAAACAAACTAGGACAATTACCATAAAACTCTTCATTTCAACTAATGATTTAAGAGGCGGGGGAGGGAGAGAAAGGGCTCTCAGCATAGATTCACAAAGGCTTGGGTCACTGCAAAGCCAAGGTGATGGACAGAACAACTCAAGAAAGGTTGTTGGGACATATTTAACTTCTGATACCCACAAGTCACTTCCTGTTATGCCTGTACCCCCTACCCCACAGCCTACCCCTGGTGTCTGAGCACCATCAATCTCCAAAAAGAAGAGGCTCAATACAGAGCTCTGAAAATAAAAGTCAACATTATAGTTCCTCACAGAGGAAAAAGATGGGTTCAATTAACAGCTAATAGGAGAGATGTTCTGTTTTACAAGGTAATAATACAGTTCCCAAGAGTGGAAGCTGAAAGAGTAAAGGCTGAGTCTAAGTAATTCCCCCCACTCCATAAGGAAATGGAATATGGCCATTAGTCTACGGGAAACAATGGCCCTCTCTTAAAGGAAAGAGTTTCCCTTAGGCCTCTCCCTACCTCCAAACCCCCTCTCACTAACACCACACATGGCAAGAAAAATTGAACCCATGCAAGGCCTTCCATTTTGATTTCCATAGAAGTTAAAAAAAAAACCAAAAAACAAACAAAAAAAAAACCACCCTGAACTTCTCCCAACCCTTGCAGTTTTCTTGGTGGATCATAAAGATTATTGACAATTTGAAGAAGATCAAGATGAGGTTCGATCTAAATGTCAAGAGCATGAGGGGCTGCAATAAACATAAGACCTCCCACTTTAGTATAGAAAGATATTACCTGGAAGGGTCAAGATAAAAGTCTAAGAAAACCACAAAGAATGTGAATATATTAGTCTGTTCTCACATCACTATGAAGAAATACCCGACTGGGTAATTTATAAAGAAAAGCCAGCTCTGCATGGCTGGGGAGGCCTCAGGAAACTCACAATTATGGCAGAAGTGGAAGCAAACGTGTCCTTCTTCACATGGTGGCAGGAAGGAGAAAAATGAGTGCCAAGCAAAGGGGGAAGCCCCTTATGAATCCATCGGATCTTGTGAGAACTAATTTACTATCATGAGAACAGGATGGGGGAACCACCTCCATGATTCAATTATCTCCACCTGGTTGGGGAATGATAGCTAAAGGGTACAGAGTTTCTTCCTGAAGTGATGAAAATGTTCCAAAATCTACTGTGATGATGGTTGCATAACTCTGTGGATATACTAAGAACAATTGAATTATACACTTTAAATGGATAGATTGTATGGTATGTGGATTAAATCTCAATAAAGCTGTTACCCCTGCCCCTAAAAAGAAAGGGTAGAGAAGAGGTGAGAAATATGTCTTAGAGAAAGAGAGGGTTCTCTAGTATGGGGAGGGACGCCCCTTGGAAGAATGAAAACAGACAGGGAGGAGAGTTGGGAACAGCCAGGCTGGATGCAAATAAAATAAACACATAGGTGGTGAGGGAAGAAAAGAGAAATTTGTAAAAGCTGCAGCTTCAGTGCCGCACCAGCTGTAAACAGTTCAAATATATTTCTTCCTCCATCTTCTAAAATAAAGTATTTTGTTTTCTTTCTCATTGTAAAAGAAATATATGTTCACTATGGAGAATTTAGAAAATAAAGAAAGATAGAAAGGGAAAAAAATTCATGGTCCCACCAGACACAGATAATCACTGTTAATATTTCAATGTAGTTTGTTCTAGATTTTTCTCTTGAGTAAAGTTTTACATTTATTTCTTTAAAACCTATTCTTCTTGATAGGCTTGTTCTCTGAGTTCTTTTTGGTTCTTAGTGTGTATTATCTCCATTAGAATCCACTTAGAATCCAAGGTAGATTTGACTACAAGAACCTCAGAATTAAATAAATCCTGGTTCTCAACTAATTCCCAGGCCCTGTGGGATGAGACAGGGAGAACAAAGAGTAGATCTCCAGCACAGTTCTCAAACTGGTCAATATCTTAGAGTCCCAAAGGACAGTGTTACGGTGAAGACCATTCCTTTATGGAAAACCTTCTGAATTACTGTGAGAAAATACATCTTGGTCTCTAAAAGAAACTGATTATTGAAAATAAGTGCAGACATACTGTTTTCGAGGGTAGGGAAGAAGACTTCAGAAACTGTTGGAGAGTTAATGAGTTTTTCAAAGGACAGCAACAACAGGTGATAATGTCCTCTGACACTACAGCAGCAGAGTTACAAGAGTAGTTTACCTCCTACCAAGTTTACTGGGCCTCTCTCATCTCTCCTCTTCTTTGTCTCTTCCTGTCATTCCTTTCTAAACTTGTTCCAGCACAGGAATTAAGCGTATTTTAATCTTTTCTTAAATAAAGGTTTATATTCCTCTGCTTATAGTTGTAAAAGAGGAGTTGAATATTTCTATTTTTCTCTTTAAAGAAAGACACATGAAACTAAGTGACATGTTAATTACCCATGTATGACACAGTCCAGATTTTTTTCCTTTGTGCTAGTAGCCCATGACAGACAACAAAAGAATCTCCACCTATGAACTAAGACAGTCTGCTCAACTGAATTGTTCCTAGGGGAAAAAAAAGAGGATAGAAAGTTTGGACAATTCGTTGCCTGGGATGGGAAAAACAATGTGATTGAAGGGAATGTTCTTTGATTGTAATTCCACTTTATTCTAATACATAAATGTCAAACATAGCATTGACATACAAAAATTCTGATGCCTACAGCTCTCAGTTAGACAAATCCAACATTTGCTTACGACAGCCTGCTCAGGAAAAAGTCTCTTCATAGAGGTTTCCATTCAATGTGTTAAATGTGGAACTAAAGGATAGGGCCCCTTTGCACGCATGAGCCATTTTCAAATATGGCAGCTGGGTGCACGTGATCATCCCTGGAGGGCTTCCATCATCCTGAAGAGGATCATCCCTTCCCTTCTTTGGTTGCAGGGGAGGAGATTGCCTTTGCTTTCTTGCAATGATTTGCTTGGGCAGGCATCAAAGCAGCACTAATTGGAAATCACTGCAAGTAAAAACAGCCTTTCATCCCTGACTGCAGACCTGGAACTTTTTCCTTTATTATTAAGGTTCGTTTTTTTCTCTTCATGTAAAGTAATATGAGCTTATTATTTTTAAAAGTTGGCAATGCAAAAAAGTACCTAAACTAAAATAACGAAAATTGGAATGATGTAAGATCATGCCTAATTCTGCTGGAGAGAGCCTTTCACAGTTTAATCCCAAACTAGAGCTTTCTACCATTCTAAAGACTTGCCCATACTTTTTCTCATAGTGTTCCCTTTGCCCAGAACGCCCTCCTTTCCTTCCTCAATCTGCTGAGCTTGTTTGAACTTATCCTTCAGGCTGAGCTCAAAAGTTACCTTTTCCAAGAAGTCTTTCTTAATGCTCCAAGGAGAGGGGCTATCTTCCCCATCTGTGACACTGCCACTCTTTTGCACCTAGCTCTGATTTGGCACTCACCCCCCAATGTATGGAAATTATTCATTTGCATGTCTCCCTCCCTAACTAAGCTAGGTGCTCCTCCATTCCTCAGAGCCTAACCCTTACACAATGTGAAGCATAGAGATGGTGTTGACAAATGTTGAAAGAAGTAGAGGCCTATTTAGGGCAGAATGACTTGTACCAGATCCAGAACTCGTTGATTCACTCAGGACATACTTTGTTGTTTTGTTCAGAGTGGGTGGGAGTAGGCATTGATTTTGGACTAGGGGAGCTGAGGTCAGCTTTTGTTCTTTTCTTTCTAGATCATTTACTAGTGTCACCTGATCCGTTGCCGCTTTAGACCAAGTCAGAGGGGAAGGAGAGGAGGGGGAGCACAGGAAGGAGAAGGCTGGAATATGTAGATATAATTTCACAAGGGTGGAGGGAACTGTGTGACTTTCTCACAAGTTAGCAGTTGGGCCAGAAGCTTGGTATCTGTAGATGCAAGATGGACTATTCAACCATAGATTCGGCATTTGAACAATGGAAAAATATTGTTCATGTACTCAACCAAACAGTATATTGTGGCAAGGTAAACAGTATCATAAGGGAAGCAGTGAAGTAGACATTCGGAAGGGCAAAGAAGGGAGAAGCTGGCAACTGAGATGTGCCAAAAATATGAAAGCTAGAAGGGGCAGTGAAGATCTGATTTCTTCTATTCTGATTGTACTAGTTGTGCATCTTGTTCTCCACTCACTGTTTTAAATCTATGACAGATATTTTCAATACTTATCCCTTAAAGGAACACTGAGTCCCACACATAGACCACCAGTTGAGTATCAAATCGCCTTGAAATTGAACTAAGCTATTTCTAAGATTAGCTGTGTGTTGCAAACTACCCAGTTGGGGGCAGACAAAACAAACAGATGACTTCTGAATACTACCAAAGGAATTCATTGTGTGTTGTTATTTTAATAAGGCAAAGGGCTTTTCAACTCATGATCAGATTCAGACAGCTTGCTCACAACCTCCACAGACTGAATACTACAATAGGGTTCCTTTGCAATTATCATATTTTTAACCACAGAGGACGGAGCTTGGGCATGGGCATGAGGAGTGCTAGAGGCACATATATTTTTCTGGACAGTGTGAAATGCTGTGCAGAACATACTGAGAGATTTATAGAGGTACTAACACTGCAAAAACAAACCCTCTTAATAACATCAGATTGCAGGGGGCAGTGCATTTAGCAAGAGATTATCTTAATTCCCACTTCTCCTCTCTCCCTAAAAGGGGTTACAATGCCTATTTGAGGGAGTTAAATAAAATCAGATACTCTCCTGTTGTTTCGTTTTCTTCTTCTGCCAGAGAATTCACAAAGAAAGGCTCCATCTCAGATTCTAATGCTTCAGTTTCAAAAAAAGTGAGTAACATCATTGGGCAGTCTCGATCTCCTAACACCAAAGAAGCTCTGCCTGACCATCATTTACTCAACTCTACAGGCTTTGTCAGTTTTTCTTACTATCCTTTCTTTTCCTTGGAGGATGAATCTAGGCCACGTGTGGTGGCTCACGAGAATGGCTTTAACCTGGGAGGCATAGGTCACAGTGAGCTGAGATCGCGCCACTGCACTCCCCCCTCAAGGTCAATAGGAACAACTCATGTCTAGCTATTCTTGAGCCAGTGGCAGGGCTGGCTACATGTGCAGTCTTTTCAGGTAGGGCACTTCTTCTAGAATTGTATTGGGCTTTTGATCCAATTTCTACCCCTTTATTGTAATCAAAAAAATAGAATGGGGATAGAGGGAACCTGGATCAGGGGAGAATGGATGAAGAGAATAAGAAACAAACGTGGATTTTGTCCCCTGACTGTTGTTTTAAGAACCAGGAACCAGATCCTTCATTTTATCATTTTTAAAAGGTGTGTAAAGTGTGCAGTGTCTGTGTATACACATGAATGTGTCTCACCAGCTTCTCTCTGGTGAATTTAACTCTGACTCACTGTTAATAATGGGAAAAGCTACAAAGCAAGCCAAGGAATCGCGAGACCAGATTGTAAGCAGAAACAATTTTGCTTAATCAATAAAAGATCTTGAATAGGGAAGTCCTTTCCACACATGTTGCTGTACTAGATATTTATGAACAGTAAATTTACATTTAAATATGCCTTGGATATAATACCATCTTTTTTTAAACATTGACAGATGATAAAATTTAATTAATCAAGCACTCTACTCAGAAGAACTAAATAACATGTATTTAAGAAGTTTCACTCTAGTGGTTTTTGACCTTAAAATACAATTGTTAATTGTATTGTGGAATAAAGAAAAAAGAAACCTCTCACCTTCTTCGGCTGGATAAGGTTTCTTCATGTTCTACATGAGCAACTTTTAATACTTTCTTGTCAATAAAGAGATCTTCAGGATAATAAGCAGATCTATATTGGCGTTGTTGAGAATGGGCACATAACTTGCCAATCTGAAAAAAGAAATGCAATATAATTATATGATACTTGTGCAGATATGATAGTAGAAACAAATTCTGAAAGGCACTTCAATTTCTTCCCCCAATTTTAAATAGCAGAACAAAGCTATGACTAGAGTCAAAAAAGGTGATAAGCTTGTAAGACAAAGAACCACTGGTGGAAAGAAGGCTGGAGACGGGGAATGGGGGCCCCATTCTAAGTACAGCCTATTCAGAGATTTCCTAAGATAAAAAATGGCTTTTTTTCTACAGTGAAGTATACATTTGAGAGGACTGTCAACGCAGGCCTCACGCTATTGATACCTTTCAATGGCACTTAGTATTAATATGTATGAAGAAGTTCACAAAAGGGAATTGCAAAATTTAGGAAGAACTGGTGCAGAAGATGGGGGTTGTGTAGTCAGTTAATAGAAGACCAGCCTCCCAAGCACAGAGTGCTCCCAATTTCTATGAGTATTTTTTTATAAGACCCAAGATAAGGTACTCTGATAAAAAGTATGATTGCTCATCTGGATTTCCTAAAAATACCCAAGGGAAGAAGGCAAGTCAACCAATCAGTAGCCAGTGACAGGCAGCTCACACCTGTAATTCCAGCACTTCGGGAGGCTGAGGCAAGAGGATCACTTGTGGCCAGGAGTTCAAAGCCAGCCTGGGCAACACAGCAAGACCCAGTCTCTGCAAAAAATAAAAAATTAGCCAGGCATGGTGGCGTACACCTGTAGTCCCAGCTACTCAGGAGGCTGAGGTGGGAGGATCGTTTGAGCCTGGGAGGTCACGGCTGCAGTGAGCCATGATTGTGCCACTGCACTCCAGCCTGAGTGATAGAGGGAGATCCTGTTTCTAATAAATAAATAAATAAATAAGCAAGCCAGTGTCATCACCTATGAATCATATATCATTAAATAAGCCCAGGATTAAAAGTATTTTAAAAACATAGGTGCTCAACAGTCTCCCTTTCTTCCTTCCTCCCTGTCTCCTTCTTTCCTCCCTTTCTTCCTTCCATCTTTTCTCATTCATTCATTCAAAAATATTTATTGGATATCTCTCGCTAAAGCTGACCTCTTTTACACTCATATAGCAATACTTTTTTTAAAATGGCATAATCTTTCTTACTTAGCTCCATTCTACTTGATTTTTTTGGTTTAATTCTTAGTAGATTTGCTACTTTTTTCACTTTCAAGCAAAAGCCTAAATGAACCTCCATATAAAGAAATATGAATATTAACATTCTTATATATCTCCCTTGTGCCAGACACTATGCCAACTATTATCATCCCCATTTTAGAGATGAGGAAATTGAGGCTTAGGGAGTTAAGTGACTTGCATGAGGCAGAAAAACAGTGGACTCACTTGTCTGACTTAGAACCCATTTATCTGACTTCAAAGATTATGCAACATTGCCTCCCTAGCAGATAATGCTTGACCTTCCAGTGGCTTACATTCTCCATTGTAGAAAAATATAAAGAACTACCAGTCCTCAAAAACATAGCCATCCAACGTAGCCAAGGTGAATATATGGACTGTAAACTTCAGGAAAAATATTAGAAATATCTGGCAAGGAGAAGGGTTGTATGTTTGTCACTTTTGTATTTCCACGCTATTCAGAATGGATTTTGTGCGTCTAAGTTAGGTGAATTAATTGAAGTGAATTGAAAGAATCTTCTATTATCAGCCTCAGTTCAGCACTCTACTTATAAGCCATGGGCTCTGTGTGGTAATCCCAGCTTCTGGATTTCTCAAGATGGCCCTGACAGCATTTACTAAGTTATCTATTTATACAGCTTTGGAAGGCTTTTCATATAAATAAATTCTCGAATTAGAAAAAAAAATCTAGAATCAGAGTAGCATCACCTTCATTTATAAAAGATAGCATCTATAGTTTGATATTCAGATGAGCTATACTCAATAGTTTATCTTAATGGGAATAAAACAAAAGCCGAAGACACTTAAAGACATTCAATTTGGCTTTGGAATGCATGATACTGAATTTTTCAGATGTGCTTATGTAATGCTATGTGACTTGAGCTAATATTAACTTCAAACGAAGCGTGTGCATTCCATGAATATGCCTTAACTAGTAGCAGTCTGGTAGGGTGCTTTAGGTCAGGGGCTGCCTAGCTGGACTGGGGAGTTAAGTTCCAATCATTTTCAAAGCATATAATGCAGATGCCAAATAAATGAGGGCAGACTGTGTATTACCACTTTCTGTCTGAAGACATATACATGTTTACTTTGTGAAAATGCAGGTAAAATTTCATGGAACAAAACCTTGATGTTTGTTCCATAAATATCTATTATTCTGTGAATAAACATTCATGTGAGAACTTATTTCAGTAGGATCAAAGTATTCTTAGCACATTCAAGAGCATAGTACACATTCTCTTGACCTACACCTGTTCCCAGTCCAGCACCAAAATCAAATCTTTCACACATCTTTCACAGTAACTTGTCTACTTGCAACCCACAGCTGTGAAATCTCCCTCCCCATTGAAAGTCAGCCCTTTGTATCAATGAATACTAATTGGTCCACAGAAAGACTTTAAAGTTTTTAACCCCCTCCCCCCTCACCAACCCCAACCTACTGGAAAGGGGTGCAGCTGAGGCAAAAGTAGGAAGGTTAAGAACAAATGATAATGTCGCCACTCTGCAGTCTGATCTTTCTTCCCAAGCCACCCAATATAGTATTATCAAGCCAACTTTCCAAGGCTCTGTGTGGGGTAAGGCGCAAACAATGGTGTCCTGCCAATAACCCTACTCCTCCATCTGAAATGTGCCACATCTTATCAGACAGGCTGCATTTTCCTCCACAAATCTACCATGAAGCAAATTCTTCTCATATACAAAGCATTTGTCAAATATATTCCCTCCTTTGGGCCCTTCTCCCTACATCTTTCACCTCCACACTATGTGAGCTATAGGTGAATATTATGAGCTTATTTTGAGAAGTGGACACTAAAAGAAAACATAACTTACAAAGAGATGCAGCATTCACATTAAAGAAGTCCTTTCAGCTTCACACTTGGGAAACATCAGGCTATGCTGGGAGACTTGAGTCTTATTCTTCAGCAGCCCTTACTGAAGAAGCCAGCCTCCCAAGTGGCATTTTAGAAATCAGTATCCTGCCCAGGAGTTTTAGGCTCTTAAATAAGAAGTGGAATCCAATTTCCTTTCGCTGACTAATGTATCTAGTCAAGGATGCTGCTACCTTTAAATTTGGTTAGTTGGAGGGAATTTATTGGATAGGTGAGTGTCTCTACCAAAAGACTGGAATATAAAACCTTTTTGTTTTCCATAGACCATGATTCCTAAAGGTGTTTTTATTTATGTGCTAGACTTTTGACAAGGAAAGCAATAGTGCTCTGCAGGGTTACAAGTCCTGAAACATAAGAAGAAGGCAGGGCCTCTGACCATATCCAGGCCAGGAAGTTTTTTTTTTTTTTTTTTAAGACAGAGTCTCACTCAGTCACCCAGGCTGGAGTGCAGTGGTGCAATCTCGGCTCACTGCAAGCTCTGCCTCCTGGGTTCACGCCATTCTCCTGCTTCAGCCTCCCGAGTAGCTGGGACTACAGGTGCCCACTACCACGCCCAGCTAATTTTTTGTATTTTTAGTAGAGACAGTGTTTCACCGTGTTAGCTAGGATGGTCTTGATCTCCTGACCTCGTGATCCACCCACCTTGGCCTCCCAAAGTGCTGGGATTACAGGCGTGAGCCACCGCGCCCAGCCAGGAAGACATTTTAGTAACCTTAGCATCATTCTTTTCTGCCAGGATCCAGAAGCACCGTCCTTGTACCTACATAAGGAAAATACACTGCTGGGACCCAGCAAGGTATAGATCAGGGGTGTCCAATCTTTTGGCTTCCCTGGGCCACATTGGAAGAAGAAGAATTGTCTTGGGCCACACATAAAATACTAATGATAGCTGATGAGATAGAAGAAAAATCACCAAAAAATATCATAATGTTTTAAGAAAGTTTATGAATTTGTGTTGGGCCACATTCAAAGCCATCTTGGGCTGCATGCAGCCTGCAAGCTGCAGGTTGGACAAGCTTGGTCTAGATCATGCAGAGCCCAGTAGGCTGGGCATCAGGAAACCTGGCCTACCACCCCACTTCCACCTCTCACCCACAGCAGGACTTCACTGTGACCTGGTCCCATAGCTTCACTCTACCTGTAAGTCTAGCCCTATACACAGGAAGAAGATAGGATATTTGAAGTGCCATATTTTCTTCTCAGTTTCCTTGAAAAAAAAAAAAAGGTGAAAATTACTTTCTGAATGGAGTATGTTATTGTAGGGCAGGGAAAATTTTATTTTCTTGACCTATGCCTGAGGAACCTGTAATAAAAGACAGATTAAAAAGAGAAATCCATACAAATATGTTTAATATAAGTTTTACGTCACACGAGATCCTTTAGAAAGGAAGACCCAAAGAAATGAGGAAAGCTGTGGATTTTTATGCTAAGTTTGTTAAGGAAATGGAGAGTGGTGAAGTGTGATTGGACAAAGAGGTTATAACTGAATGGAAATAAACTGGGGGAAACTTAGCCAGGGCAGTTTCTTCAGATTTTTCTCTGTGTCCCTGTAACTTTGGAGGTAAAGATGTTTCTTTCTTCTTGGTATAGGGTGGGCACCTCCACATGACGGTCTTACGACATACTTTAGAAGAGGGTCAGTTAGGTTTTATGACCTGCTTCATGGGAGAAGGGGTGAGGGGAAGGTGAGAGTGACTTTCTTGTTTTTGAAGTTTTCTTAAATGCAAAGGTGCCATATTTTGGGGTGGTGTGTCCTGAATCCCATTATTACCAAACATTCTGAAATCATGCAAAAATTTGATCTGATACAATTCACTCCTATACTCTATAATGAACATGTCAAGAAATGCGGCTACTCTATTGGTTAAAATCTAACTGTCATTCTCAGGCCCCTATTCACTGTTGGTTCTGGGAACTCTCAAGTGACAAAAAAATTCAGATTTGATCTTTCACTCCAGAACAGAGAAAGAGAGCCTGTATCAAAAGCTTCTCAACAATACCAACACTTCACGTTTCTTACACAATACCCTATTCCAACCTAGTGCTTCACAGATAACTTCTACATCCATTCTCCATTCTCTTCACTCAGTCCTACCAACAACCCTCTGAGGTATACAGAGCAGGTATTACTTATTTATTTATTTATTTATTGAGACAGGGTCTTGCTCTGTTGCCCAGGCTGGAGTGCCATGGTGTGGTCACGGCTCAATGCAGCCTTGATCTCCCCAGGCTCAGGTAATCCTCCCACTTAAGCCTCCTGAGCAGCTGGGACTACAGGCACACAACACCATGCCTAGCTAATGTAGCTAGACACGGGATCTCAGCATGTTGCCCAGACTGGTCTTGAACTCCTGGACTCAAGTGATCTGCCCACCTTGGTCTCCCAAAGCACTGGGATTACACAGAATGGGTATTATTAGCCCCATTTTTAGATATAAGGAAACTGAAGCTCACAAAAGTTGGGGAACTTAAAAGCAAGGTCACAATGTTAGTAAATGGTAGAGCTGAGGCTTGAATGCTGGTCTGTCTGATTCTAAAACCTATGTTTTTGTTTTCGATTTTCCCGTGTCATGGAGTTCTGTCACAGGCATAGGCTCTGGGGCTTCCCAGTATTGGGTGTGACCCAGGTCTGTGGTTATGTGGACACCTTACCTATAATTGGAGGACAGTAATAATGATGAAAAATTCTCTAAACATATTCCAAGAAATGGCTAAAGTTGTTCAACAGAAAACTGACATTCAATTTTAACCTAAGTTTCAGGTAGTATTTCAAGTGGCAGTAAGCCAATAGTGGGATGATTTAAATTCTTTGGTCTGCCAAGTAAGAGTGAATTAGTAACCATACGAAAGCACTGCATGTCAAATTCTATGGAAAAGGAGGCTCCCAAGTAGGTCTAGCTTGCCACTTGCTGCCTGCAGGATGTCCCTTGACCCTGGCTCCAGAATTCAGATTATTGGGTTGGCTACAAAATCTTCGGTAATTCCTACATTTAAAAAAATTCTGATGTCTAACCATCTGATCTTTGGCAAAGTTGACTCCCTATTCAATAAATGGTGCTAGGATAAATGGCTAGCCATATGCAAAAGATTGAAACTGGACTCCTATCTTTTACCATATACAAAAATTAACTCAAGATGGATAGATTAAAGACTTAAATATTAGACTTCGAACTATAAAAATCCTACAAGAAAACTAAGGAAATACACTTCTTGATATCACCCTTGGCAAAGCATTTATGGCTAAATCCTCAAAAGCAATTGCAACAAAAACAAAAATTGACAAGTGGAACCTAATTAAACTAAAGAGCTTCTGCACAGCAAGAGAAACTATTAAGGGAGTAAACAGACAACCTACAGAATGGGAGACAATATTTGCAAACTATGCATCTGACAAAAGCCTAATACCCAGAAGCTATAAGGAACTTAAATAAATCAACAAGCAAAAAACAAATAGCCCCATTAAAAAGTGGGCAAAGGACATGAACAGACACTTCTTAAAAGAAGACATACAAGTGGCCAATAAAGATATGAAAAAATGCTTATCATCACTAATCATCAGAGAAATGCAAATCAAAATCACAATGAGATATCATCTCACAGAATTTAGAATGGCTTTTGTTAAATAGTCTAAAAACAACAGATGCTGGTGAGGATGCAGAGAGAGGGGAACATTTACACACTGCTGGTGGGAGTGTAAATTAGTCCAGCCACTGCAGAGGGGAGTTTGGAGATTCCTCAAAGAACTAAGAGGTGAACTACCATTTGATTCAACAATACCATTACTGGGTATATAGCTAAAGGAAAACAAATCATTCTACCAAAAAGACACCTGCACCCATATGTTCATCACAGCACTATACACAATAGCAAAGACATGCTATCAACTCAGGTGCTCATCAATGGTGGACTGGATAAAGAAAATGTTGTACATATACACCATGGAATACTACTCAGCCATAAACAAGCATGAAATATTGCCCCTTGCAGCAACATGGATGCAGCTGGAGGCTATTTTCCTAAGCAAAGTAATGCCGGGACAGAAAATCAAATACTGCATGTTCTCACTTATTAGTGGGAGCTAAATGTTGAATACACTAATGAACATAAAGATGGGAATCACAGACACTGGGAACTACAAGAGGGCAGAAGGAGGAAAAGGGGCATGGGCTAAAAAACTATCTATTGGGTACTATGCTCACTACCTGGGTGATGGGACCATCCATACCCCAAACCTCAGCATCACACAATATACCCATATGACAAACCTGCACATGTACTCCCTGAATCCCAAAAAAAGTTATTTGAAACTGTGATGTTTTTATGTTTCTGAAACATATATTTAATATTTTGTAGGAGAATCCTGTCCTTATGTAACACCAGTGTAATTAAAACATCCAAAGGGAGAAAACCCAGATCAATATTCTGGGTTTAACAACGATGAGAGATTCAACAAGATGAGGACCTAGTATGTACTGTGTTTAGTAAATTTAGATGATTGATAATGATGACATGAGTCACTTCAGCAGAGAAGTTCTGAAAATAAGAATCATAAGATGTAGAATATATGGAGAGTAAGCAAATAGATGGAAAGCATAGGCAGTTATTTTACATAAAGGTTATGTCATGTATCTTATTAAGTATAATTAATATAATTAATAGTGTGTTAATTATCCGAGATAATTTTTTAATGGGGGGGCAGAGTTTATGCTGCAGTACATTACCTCTTTTGGTTGCTGTACTCTTTTTTTAATTAAATGTTTTGAGACCCAATATACATAAAATGCATCCCTAAATTGTAGTTTGATGAGATTTGTAAATGTATACACATGTGTAAACACTACCTCATAATGTAGAAAATATTGTCATAATTTTATAGTGACTGACATTTTAATCACTACAGATGAGATCTGTCTTTTTTAGGATTAGATTGATAACAGAAAGAAAGAATAGAAATATAGAAAATAAATATGGATAGATTCGGTATTTATGTCTTTGTTTCTGCTTTTTTGCTCAGGATAATTTTTTCTTTGAGGAACTCTATGTTGGTGGTTTACCAGTACTTTTTTCTTTTAATTGCTGAATAAATATACCAAATATGTTTACACATTTGGGTAGTTTCCACATTTTTGCTTTTGTGAATAAAGCTGCACTGTTTACTCAAATCTTGCCATTTCATTTTCAAATATATGTTTTGTAAATACTCCTTCCCATTATCTGGTTTTTCACTTTTCTTAGTGATGCCTTTTGCACAGAACACTTTTTAAAATTTTTTGATGCACCTGATTTTATATATTTTTGCAGCTTTATGATTGATGCTGTTTTCCATCCAAAGAAGCCTTTCCATATGGCAATGTCACAGACATATTTTCTTCAGAACCTTTATCATTTGTACATTTATGATGAGGTATTTAACCCATTTTGTGTTAATTTTTGTATATTGTGTGATGTAAAGATTGCTGTTTTCATGGCCTAGGCGATGGGATCACTGGGACCCGAAGCCTCAGCGTCGTACAATATACCCATGTAACAAATCTGCAAGTGTACCCTCTAATCTGTAATAAAAGCTGAAACTATTTAAAAAAGAAATAAAAGAAATCTATCTTAAATAAAATTTGTACATGGCTAGATATTACTTGTTGATTTCCCTTTCACTGACATTTCTACTTCATTTCACAGTGCTTAAATCATATGACCTGTTGGATTTCTACTTTCACAAAGTTAATGACATTTTTAGGCCTAATGCTTTTCCTTTAAATATTTTTCTCTGGTATTTAAAAATAATGTGTATGCTCTGTTTATCTGTCATGAATGCTATCCATTTGTTTATCTGATTAACTTGTCAAACTTTCCAAGTTATTTAACACTCAAGAAATAATGATTATGTTTTTCCAAATATTTATCAGATTGTTTCAGTACAATTTGTTAAGATCATTTCTCATTTAGTTACTTCAATTTTTTATTTCTTTAAACTTAATTGGCCATGTTTGTGGATCTATTTCTGAACTCTATTCTGTTTATTTAAATGTTTGTGCTTATGCAAATATATCATTCTCTTAATTGAAGTGTTATTATAATGTCTCGAATTCAGCTAATAAAAGTTCATCCAACTTAGAAAAAAAAGTGCTTTTCTGAGAAATGTTGCCAAATACCATTTAAATTTAGTCTTGGATCATTGATGGATTCATCAGGACCCTAAAGAATTAAAACTAAAACTTCCTTTGGGAGTTATGCAATTTAATTATCAACTCTGATCTAGTTGTCTACTTTGGATGAGTATTACCTGTGGCATTCGCTTTGTGGTACCTTGGGGCTGAAGGTGGAGTTGGGTGGGAATTTCAGTTTTTCAGTTAAAATAAAATGATGAATTTCAGTTCATTCTCTTGAATCATCTATCATACCACTATACAATTTCATTTAATTAAATCTTAAAAGTTTAAAAACAATATATACATTGAAATTATGTGATATACAACATAAACTTTTTAATAGTAGCAACCGTGCCCATTTAACAATTCTACAGGTATAATAAAAATGCTAATATATGTTAATGTTTAGACTGTGGTTAATGTTTTGTCTTGTTAATTTCCCCAGGGCTTTTATTACTGATTTAAATCTGCCACACTACTCAACTGATTGCACTGCTTCCACAAACTGCATGGAGGTAGCTCAAATGAATACTGATTAACAGAAATGAACAAACATTTGGCTAAGCAAACCATTCTTATTATATGCTTGTAATCATTACATACATTTTCTTACAATGAGATGGGCATGGCAGGCATTTTCCTCTCACTTTTCCTACAGAAAATATGCATATGAGCATTAAATTAATTTATAACCTTGTACTTCAGGAAGAACATCATTATTAATTAACTATTGATTGATCTGATATACAGCACAGAGGATAATGAACAGACCTGGTGACAATGTAAGCATTTTTTTCTTTCCTCACCTTTCAGACATTTTGCTGTGACTCATTGTTAATTGCTTGACCATTAAGATAAAAGCTCACTAATAATCTGTAATGTATTATAAATCAAGCAATTTTAAGAAATCAAGTGCTATTATTTGAACATTTCATACATGTTAGTTCTTGAAGTAAATTGGAATCCAAAAAAGGAACAAATGTCCTACAGATCAGCCTGCTGCTAAATTGAACTACAGCATGGTATTATCGTGAAAGGAACACACAATTTGGAGTCAGGATACCTGGGGCCCAGTGTCAGTTCATCCTCTTACCATTTCAATAACTCTAGACAAGTCATTTACTTTCCTTGAAACTCAGCCTCCTCATCTGCAAAATGAAGATAATTAAAATGCCTGCTGGACCTGGCTGTAATGTGAAGATCAAGCGAAACAATGGTTGAAAGTGTAATGTCTCCCCCAACCAGATAGAAATTTGATTCATTCTTAAGTGGGGACTACTTCCTTCTGCAGCCTGCTTTGTGTGTCATAATCCTGGTTCAGCTGGTCAGGAACATGGGTAGCTATATGTCCCTGAAAGGGAACCACATGGAATTTGCCCAAGTCTGGCAGTCACACAATTGGGTCCGGTCTGCTCTGGAATATCTGGAATATCCTCTTCTGTTCTTCTAATCTCGAATTACCAATAGGTGGTACGTGACTTTGGCTGTTTACCCTGTGTCTCATACCCACATGCTTTTGTCTGAGGGGCTGAATGCTGTAGGGATGGGAGACAGGTTTTAAATGCTCCTTATGTAGAAGAGACTTATATTTTGCTAATTTATATCTGCCACAAACAGAGTCTGAGCTGAAAGCAGAATCCTGCATGTGTGCCTAACACTTCTTATGCATTACCAATCCCTTTGCAGCACCAGGAGTTCATGACATTATTATTTAACCATGTGAAACCATTAATGTGCAGATTAAAAGAGAACTTTGTGTAGTAAATCAACTCAATACTGAATTCAAATACCACTCCCCCAAATATACTCATCTCCTTGTGTCCTTTGTCCCAGTGAAAAGGAATTACCTCCTACTCAATTGCTCAAGCCAGAAGAAACCAAATAATTTCTGGTGATTTCTCCCTCCCTCTAACTTCTCTACATCCAGACACGAAGTCTTGTTTATTGTCTCTTATAAATAACCATTCAATTTGTGAACTTTTCTCTACCTTTAGGTCTAGGATTCCATCAACTGTCTCTTAGAGCAGTGCTTCTCAAACTTTAATGTGTATACAAATCACCTGAAAATCTTATTCACAGAGTTTCATCTTCAATAGATCTGGGGTGAAGTCTGAGATGATTAGCAAGGCCCTAGCATAGTGGTTCTCAAAGCATGGTCCTAAAATAAGCAGCATCAATACCATCTGGGCACTTGTTGGAAATGCATTTTGGGGCCAGACTTAGACCTACTGAATCAGAAATCCTGGGAGTGGAGCCCAGCTTTTAACAAGCCCTTCAGGGGGTTCTGATGCATACAAGTTGGAGAACCACTGCCACACAGACCATCCCAACGGCCTCTTAATTGGTCTCCAAAGCTCCAGTTTTGACCTCCTCCAATCCATTCCTTCCAGTTCTCTGAGACCTCTCGGGAGGTCCTAAAGGGCAAACCTATTTTCATAATAATACTAAGACTTTATTTGTCCTTTTTACTCTTATTCTCTCACAAGTATACAGGGGAAATTTCAAGAGGCAACATGATGTAAAGTGATATCACTGTTCTGAAATATGTATTTGTGCATTCTAGAATGTTCTAAGGGAGCAAGTAAAAATACATGCATTTTCAGAGTTTACCTTATACCCAGAACTGAGTGCTCTTACTGGCTATCTAGGTTATGCAAACCATAATCTTTGTAACCTTCTTATCATTTAATAAATTGTTATTTGGAAATCTAGAAGTTTTGTATCTATGTGAAAATATATGAAGTGAAAAAATTTTGTAGTCTTGTTTTGCAATAACACTTTAAAATATTTTTTGAAGAATATAAATTTTAAATTTTTTCTGTAACTTATTGGACGTATTATACAATAAGATAAAATTTATTTGCAACATGTTTTTCTGATATTTAAGAATGGATGATTGGCTTTGAAAAAGGAGATTAGAAGACTTACTTCACCAACCCACAGCAGCAATGTCTATGTCTAAAACTGATAAAAACATGTCAAAACAACTTATCACAGAGTTCTGGCTCATGGAAGAGAGGGATCTACTCTGTAGATTACAACTGTAATTAAGAAACAAATATACAACAAAAGCTGTCTTTTCCTTGACCTTATAGACATGCATAATTTATCTTGTTTTTCTGATGCAAAAGAACATTTTGGAATAGGATATTAGAGTGTAAGTTAAATTGTAGAGTCATCTTGAAATTAATTACTTGGAGTTTAAAGAAAATGAAATTAAACATTTAAAGTAAATGTTATGAGCTCTTTAAAAGTCAAAAGTGTTTGTTATGGCTTTTCCAAATAGAAACGAAAAACGCACTGAAACATACTGTAGGGTAAGTTACTGCATTATATTAGCTGTAGAAGTACACACAATAGTGGAAAAACTAATAAACCCCTGTAGAGGCCTGCATGATGGCTCACACTTGTAATTCTAGCACTTTGGGAGGCTGAGGCGGGCGGATCACTTGAGGTCAGGAGTTTGAAACCAGCTTGGCCAACATGGTGAAACCCTGTCTCTACTAAAAATACAAAAAAAAAATTAGCCAGGCTTGGTGGCAGGCACCTGTAATCCCAGCTACTTGGGAGGCTGAGGCAGGAGAATTGCTTGAACCCAGGAGGTGGAGGTTGCGGTGAGCCGAGATCACACCACTGCACTCCAGCCTGGGGAAAAGAGCGAGACTCCCTCTCAAAAAAAATAAAAAATAAAAAATAAACCCCTGTAGATTTGACATTGCTGAATGCCTGCTGGGTGAAAAGTCATAGAAGAAATCATGCCACTCTCCAATGATGGAGAAACAAACTCATCAAATAAAAGGTTTACTTGCAAACATAAAGCCCTCTTTAGTTAATGTCTCTTCTGCAGAATGTGTTTTTGCCTTATAAATGGACAAATCTACAGATTTGGGGTGGAATTGCTGTTTTGCTTATATTCATCCAGTATTAAGCACTAACTAATCATTAAAGAAGATCTATTATGTGAAAGCTTTGGGAAAAAAAACCATGAGTGGTGCTGAAATATTCAAAATGTTAAATAGCAGTGTTAAAATTCATGGTTTTCCCTCAAACAAATGTGATGAAATTTGCACTGATGCAAAAGCTATGGTGGGTAAAACTGCTTGCACTTTATCATAAGTCAGGGTAGTGACACCAAACTGCAATAGTAGTCATTGTAGTTTTCACTGCCAAGCACACACATTTTAAAAAAAGCTAGTTTCACTTAAGAATATACTTGAAGAGGCAGTAAAAGTTAATTTCATCAAATCTTCACCCTTGACTACATGTCTTTTTTGATATTATGTGTGATGAAATGGGAAGTATGCATAAAGTACTTCTGGTACATACTAAAGTATGATGGTCATCTAGAGGAAAAGCACAAGTGTGATTGACTTGTGAGATGAACTGAACACTTTTTAAATGTAACACTATTTTTACTTGAAAGAAAAACTGACAGACAAACTCTTATTCAAACTCAAGTATTTTGTAGGCATTTTCTTGGAAATGAACAAAGCAAGCCTGTTACTTCAAGGAAAACAACTGACAGTGTTCATAGCCAATGATAGAATTTGCACTTTCAGGTGAAAATTAGAATTTGGGAAAACTTGTTATCTTCTACTATGAAACTTGACAGCTTCCCAATACCTGAAGGCTTTTCTGATGAGAACAGAGGTGACACTAATGAATATGAGTTTTGACGTTATATAATGAAGTGTGTTAATATTTGGAAAATCGGCATAACTCAGTGAGCCAAAATTTTTCAAATGACCAAGGCATCATAATGGAAAAATCACACAATGACTAATAATTCACCCAAAGTGTAAGATAGATTTTAACATAACAGAAAATGAAAAGTCAATTGATACGTTTGCAGCTTCCATATTGTAACTAACCTTTAAGAAAGTATCACTTGCCAACTTCTTGTACAGTATCAGAGAAAATATCCCTAATTGTCAAAAAAGGGTATTAGGACACAGTTCTTCTTCCAACTGTATATATTTGTGAGACCAAATTTTCCTCAGTCAAACCAGATTGAGTGCAGAAGAAGATACGAGAATCCAGCTGTCTACCATTAAGGAAAAAATTAAAGAGATTTGCAAAAATGTAAAACAATGGTATTCTTTCCACTAAAGTATTTTATTTTGGAAAGCATATCTTGAAAAAACACATATGAGTGTCTGATTCCTTTATTATTAACTTTAAATGAATTAGTAAGTAAATACTTTTAATATTCCTAGTTTTAATGTCTAATACAGCAAATAACAATAGATATAACTCCATCGACATCTCTTTGGGGTCCTGTATAGCTTTTAAGAATGTAAAGGGTCCTGATACCATAATCTCTGCTCTACACTAACATCCAAAATAATCTGAAAATAATAATTTATAAGTACATTATAAATTAAATTATTTATAAATAAATAAAATGGCATTAATGAATAACATATTAATTCATCACCTACTATGTGCTGGACAGTGTTTTAAGTGCTCCTCCATAAAAGCAATGAGAAAATTGGCAAAAACATTCAGAACCAACTTCTTTGGAGCTCTGGAATTTAATAAAAGTATTTGCAGCAATCCGAGAAGCATTTATTCAAGAAAATGGCTGAATGTCAGTAGGAACAGTGAGCGTTGTGGCATTTTAACTTCCCTATTCTCATTCCTCCTCTCCAGTTCTGAAGTACTTTTGAAAACTAACAGCCCACATTCATGGTGAAATCTAGCATCCTGGCAGCCACTGGAGGGAGCAGAATGGGGTTTGTAATGGTTAATACTGAATGTCAACTTGATTAGATTGAAGGGTGCAAAGTATTGTTCCTGGGTGTGTCTGTGAGGGTGTTGCCAAAGGAGATTAACGTTTCAGTCAGTGGACTGGGAGAGGCAGACACAACCTCAATCTCTGTGGGCACCATTTAATCAGCTGTCAGTGTGACTAGAATAAAGCAGGCAGAAGAATGTGGAAGGCACCAGACTAGCTGAGTCTTCTGGTCTTCATCTTTCTCCTGTGCTGGATGCTTCCTGCCCTTGAACATCAGACTCCAAGTTCTTCAGCTTTTGGACTCTTGGACTTAACACCAGTGGTTTGCCAGGGGCACTTGGGCCTTTGGCCACAGACTGAAGGCTGCACTGTCAGCTTCTCTACTTTTGAGGTTTTGGGACTTGGACTGGCTTCCTTGCTCCTCAGCTTGCAGATGGCCTATTGTGGGACTTCATCTTGTGACTGTGTGAGTCAATACTCCTTAATAAACTCCCTTTCATATATGCATCTATCCTATTAGTTCTGTCTCTCTAGAGAACTCTGACAGGTTGGAGTTCTTTCAAAGCTACACTCAGTAAACTGTAATTATTTGACCTGTCTGATGGTTACCTAAAATACCCCATTTGCAAGGCTGTTTTTATTTGAACTGATATTGAGCTCACCTGTGCAAAAGCCTTTTCCCTGGAGACATCTGCTGAACTCAATTAGAGGTAATTATTTTACTTTGTAGCTGCCTGAAGCAAGGGGACAATAGTTAGAGCAAATAATAGGCTAACCAAAAAATTTTCAGGAAAATCCAGGTAATGAGATGTCCATAAGTGCTATAAAAGCTACATATTCCTGGGGATCTAGTGGGTTACACTCAAGCATAAGGCTGTGTGCATGCCAGATCAAGAAAGATCTGAGAAAGCCCTATTCCCTCACCTTTGACTGACCTTGAGGTTCTGTGCAAGGAAGTGAAGGCTAAGGCAGGGTCTTCAACTGCTAGGCTGAATGTTAAAGGTGTGCCCAGCATACACAAAGAGCACTTCAGCAAAGACTGAGAGACTTACTGGTTCCAGAAAGTTAAGGAAAACACTGTTCAATCATTAACTTACTACCACTAAGCTAACTGAACAAAGACTTCAACGGCTACACATGACAAAGAATACAGACTTTACAGAATTGGTTGAGAAAAGTGACAAAGAAATAAGAACTACCACCACAATAACAAACACCAACAACAATGCCTGAGGATAGGGGAGAATCTGATTTCCAGAGATACTACATTATATTCTTTAAATATCTAGTTTTTGACAAAAAAAAATTACAAGAGATGTAAAGAAATAAGAAAGCATGGCCCATCCACAGGAAAAAAATCAATCAACAGACACTGTCTCTCAGGAAGCCCAGATATGGGCTTTATTAGACAAAAAACTTTAAACTAGCCATTTTAAATATGTTCAGACACTTAAAGGAAACAATGCCTAAAGAACTAAAAGATGGTAGGAGAATGATGCCTTGATAGGCAAAAAGATAGAAATTACTTTTTTTTAAGAAGAACCAAATAGAAATTCTGGAATTGAAAATTGTAATAACTAAAATTAAAAGTTCATTAATGGGGCTTAGCAGGAAATTTTAGCATGCAAAAGAAACAATAATCACATTTGAAGATAGATCAATTTAAATTTTCCTATCTGAGGAAGATGAAGAAAAAAGAATTAAGGAAAATGAGTAGCACCTCAGAATCCTGTGGAACACCAGTAAGTGTGCCAACATACATATAATGGAAGTTTCAGAGAGAGAAGAGAGAAAGAAAAAGGCAGAAAGAGTACTTGAAGAAATAATGGCTAAAAGCTTCCCAAATTTGATGCAAAATATTAATCCACACATCCAAGAAACTCAGTGAATTCCAAGTAGACACATAATAATCAAAATGTCAAAAGACAAAGATAATCTTGAAAGCAGCAAGAGAGAAGTAATTCATTGCATTCAAAGGGCCCTCAATAAGATTAACAGTTGCTTTTTTTTTCTTGTTTTTTAATTTTTTGAGACAATATCTTGCTCTGTCGCCCAGGCTGGAGGGCAGTGGCGTGATCTCAACTCATTGCAACCTCTTCCTCCAGGGTTCAAGCAATTCTTGTGCCTCAGCCTCACGAGTAGCTGGAATTACAAGGCACATGCCACCAAGATCGGCTAATTTTTGTATTTTTGGTAGAGATGGGGTTTCACCATGTTGGCCAGGCTGGTCTCAAACTCGTGGCATCAAGTGATCTGCCCACCTCAGCCTCCCAAAATGCTGAGATTATAGGTATGAGCCACCGCACCTGGCTATAGTTGCTTTCTCTTCAGAAAGTATAAACACAAGAAGGCAATGGGATTAAGGGAGGAGACCACCCCTCATATTGTCTTATGCCCAATTTCTGCCTCCAAAGAAAGAAGAAGTAAAAGCTAAAAGGCAGAAATGAAATCCACAAGCAGACAGCCCGGTACCACACCCTGGTCCTGGTAGTTAAAGATCGACCTCTGACCTAATTGGTTATGTTATCTATAGATTACAGACATTATATAGAAAAGCACTGTGAAAATCCCTGTCCTGTTCTGTTCCGTTCTAATTACCAGTGCATGAAGCCCCCAGTCATGCACCCCCTGCTTGCTCAATCAATCACAACCCTCTCACGAGGACCCCCTTAGAGTTGTGAGCCCTTAAAAGGGACTGGAATTGCTCACTCGGGAAGCTTGGTTGTTGGAGACGTGAGTCTTGCCAAAGCTCCTGGCTGAATAAAGCCCTTCCTTCTTTAACTCGGTGTCTGAGGGGTTTTGTCTGTGGCTTGTCCTGCTACAGGATGATATATTCAAAGCACTGAAAGGAAAAAAACATCACCCAAGAACTCTATGATCATCAGAAGTATACATGAAAAATGAAAGTGAAATTAAGGCATTCCCAGATAAAGAAAAATTGAGAGAGCTTATCACTAGCAAATATATACCACAAGGAACACTAGAAGGAGTCCTTCAGTATGCATCCTGTAATGTAATTCACACAAAGAAATAAGGCTGAGGTGGAAGGATTGCTTGATACCAGGAGGTGGAAGCTGCAGTGAGCCATGATTGTGCCACTGCCCTCCAGCCTGGGCAACAGAGTGAGACCCTGTCTCTAGAAAAAAAGAGAAAGAAAGAAGAAACATCCACAAAGTTTACTATATAGGTTAATATGGAAAACAGTATAAATATATTTTTGGTTATAACTCTTTTTTCCACCTATCTGATTTAAAACACAATGCATAAGCAATAATTATAAATCTGTGTTGATCGGAATACAATGTTTGAAAATGTAATTTGTATGACAGTAACAGCACAAGAAGGGGGAAGGGAATTAAGCTTTACAGAAAAAAAGGGATTTACATGCTATTAAAATCAAGTTGGTATTAATCCAAATTAGATTGTTATAAAATGTTAGTTGCAATTTCCAGGGCAACCCCTAAGAAAATAACTTTAAAAATATGGTTAAAAATGATAGGAGAATAAAACCATTACCCTAGAAAATAACTATTTAACACAAAAGAAGGCAATACTGGACAAACTGAGAAGCAAGACATAAAGCATTTAGAAATCAAGTAGAAAATGACAGATATAAATCTTACCTTATTTCATTACTTATTCATTATTACTCGTTTTATTACATTAAATACAAATGGATTGAACACTACAATCAGAAGGCAGGGATGGGCAAAATAGATTTAAACCAACATGATGCAAGTCTATGCTGTCTACAAGAGACACACTTTAGATTCAAAGACACAAATACGTTGAAAGTAAAGGATAGAAAAAGATATACCAACTAGAATCAATAGACATCAAGAGTGGCTGTACTAATGTTGGGGAAAATACCAGACTTTGAGACAAAACTTGTTACTAGGGACAAAGAAAGACATTTTATAAAGATAAATGTGTCAATCTATCAGGAAGATAGAATAATTATCAACATATATGTACATGAGCCCAAAATATATGAAGTAAAACTACCAGAATTGAAGGGAGAAATAGATCATACAAAAACAATATTTGGAGTCTCCAATTCCCCACTTTCAATAATGGATAGTTCAAACAACTAGGCAGAATATAAAGCAAATGGAAGATTTTAACAACACTATAAGCCAACTAGATCAAACAGACATCTATAGAACACTCCATACAACAGTGGTAAAACACAATTCTCTACTACACGTGGAACGTTCTTCAGTACAGGGTACATGTTGGGCCACAAAACGAGTCTCAAATTTAAAAAGTTTGAAATCATACATTTTCTGACCACAATGGAATAAAATTAGAAAACAATAACAGAAGAAAATTTGGGAAATTCACAAATATGTGGAAATTAAACATACATACTCCTAAATAACCAATGGGCCAAAGATGAAATGATAAGGGAAATTAGAAAACCCTATGAGGTAAATGAAAATGAAAACACAACTTAACAAAAATTATCATATGTAGAGAAGGCAGTGCTTAGAAATTTATGGCTGTATTTTTTCATGTGTTTTTTGGCTGCATAAATGTCTTCTTTTGAGAAGTGTCTGTTCATGTCCTTCACCCACTAGATGACGAGTTAGTGGGTGCAGTGCACCAGCATGGCACATGTATACATATGTAACTAACCTGCACAATGTGCACATGTACCCTAAAACTTAAAGTATAATAAAAAAAAATAAAAAATAAAAAAAAGGAAATTTATGGCTGTAAATGCCTATATTAAAGAGAAGGACTTTAAACAAAATAAATAAATGGGACCTAATTAAACTGAAAAGCTTCTGTATAGCAAAATAAATAATCAGCAGAATAAATAGACAACCCACAGAGTGGGAGAAAATATTTGCAAACTCTGCATTCAACAAAGGACTAACATCCAGAATCTACAAGGAACTCGAATCAGAAAGAAAAAACAAATAGTCCCATCAAAAGGTGGGCAAAGAACATGAATAGACAATTCTCAAAAGAAGACAAACAAATAGCCAACAAACATATGAAAAAATGCTCAACATTATATCAGAGAAATGCAAATTCAAACCACGATGAGATACCACCTTACTCCTGCAAGAATGGCCATAATTTAAAAATAAAAAAATAATAGATGTTGGTGTAGATGTGGTGAAAAGGGAACACTTCTACACTGCTGGTGGGAATGTAAACTAGTACAGCCACTATGGAAAACAGTATGGAGAGTCCTTACAGAACTACCATTTGATCCAGCAATCCCACTACTGGGTATCTATCCAATATATGAAAAAGACACTTGTACACACGTTTATAGCAGCATAATTTGCAATTGCAAAAATATGGAACCAACCTAAATGCCTGATATGGTTTCACTGTGTCCCCACCGAAATCTTATCTTGAATTCCCACATGTTGTGGGAGGGCCCTGGTGGGAGGTAATTGAATCATGGGGGCAAGTCTTTCCCATGCTGTTCTCCTGATAGTGAATAAGTCTCATGAGATCCGATGGTTTTATAAAGAGGAGTTCCTCTGTACAAGCTGTCTCTTTTTGCCTGCCGCCATCCATGTAAGATGTGACTTGCTCCTCCTTTCCTTCTGCTATGATTGTGAGGCTTCTCCAGCCACATGGAACTGTAAATCCATTAAACCTCTTTCTTTTGTAAATTGCCCAGTCTTGGGTATGTCTTTATCAGCAGCATGAAAACAAACTAATACAATGCTCATCAACTAACAAGTGGATAAAGAAAATATGATATATATACACCATGGAATACTATTCAGCCATATAAAGAAACAAAATAATGACATTTGCAGCAAGCTGGATGGAAATAAAGACCATTATTCTAAGTGAAGTAACTCAGGAATGGAAAACCAAATAGCGTATGTTCTCACTTATAAGTGGGAGCTAAGCTATGAGGACGCAAAGGCATAAGAATGATATAATGGACTTTGGGGACTCAGGGGGAAGGGTGAGGGGGGTAAGGAATAAAATACTACACATTGGGTACAGTGTACACTGCTCAGGTGATGGATGCACCAAAATCTCACAAATCATCATTAAAGAACTTCTCCATGTAACCAAAAACCACCTGTTCCCCAAAAACTATTGAAATAAAAATTTTTAAAAAATAATGAGAAGGGAGATCCCAACTCAGTAACTTAAGCTTCTACCTTAAGAAACTAGAAAAAAAAAAATAGCAAAGTAAACACCCAAACCAAGCAGACAGAAATATAGACTAAAATGGAAATAACTGAAATAGATAATAGAAAAACATTAGAGAAAATGAATAAAAGTAAAAGCTGGTTCTTTGAAAAGATCAACAAAACTGATAAACCTTTAGGTAGATTGATAAAGAAAAAAGAGAAAAGACCCAAATCACTAAAATCAGGAATGAGAGCGAGGACACTACTAGTAACTTCACAGAAATAAAAAAAAAAAATGATCATAAGAGAATACTATGAACAACTTTATGCCAAAAAGTAGATAACTTTGATGAAATGGACATATTCCTAGAAAGACTCAAGAAGAAATAGAAAATGAATAGATTCATAAATAAAGAGGCTGAATTATTAATTTAAAAAGCCCAGGTCCAGAGGCTTCACTGGTGAGTTTTAGCAAACATTCAAAGAATTAACACCAATCCTTCATAAACTCTTCCCAAAAATAGAAAAGGTAGAACACTTCCCAACCCATTCTCTGAGGCCAGTATTACCCTGATACCAAAATTAGACAAAGACATCCTAAGAAAAGAAAACTACAGACCAACATCATTTATGAAGATAGGCTTAAAAATCCCCAACAGAATCCTAGCAAGGCTATTCCAGTAACATACCCCTGAATTTGGACCCCTACTTCACACCATATACCAAAATTAAATAAAAATTAAGTGCTAAATCTGTAAAACTCTTAAATAAAAATTTTGTACATTTTTGTAATCCTGGATTTGACAATGTCCTCTTAGATATGACAATGAAAGCACAAATAACCAAAGCAAAAAATAGATGAAATGGACTTCATAAAAATTAAAGCACTTTGGGGCTTCAAAGGAAACTATTAAGAAAATGAAAAGACAACCTACAGAATGAGAGATAACGTTCTCAAATCATATATCTAATAAGGATCTAGTACTCTAAATACAAAAGGAACACTTACACCTCAACAATAAAATCATAATATTATTATGCATACGGATACAGTCTGATGAGCCCCTTTATAGTCTGTAACTTATCTGATATTGACTAATATGTACCTGTATTTCATTTTTCAAAGTTTGTTACTATTCACCTGTCTGTTCCTATTTATCATATACAATTAAGACTTGAGTCTGATTTAAGATGTTTTTTTCTGGGAATGCATGGGAATGGCATATAAAACCAGGATTGACTATCATGGAACATTACATACCACCCTATCACAGAACCCCAAATCACATAAAACAATGTCACTGCCTTTCCAATTTACAAGGTTCAGAGTACAGGATACCACCACATAGCACGGTATGTTAGAAGAGGCCAAATTTTGATCTTATTTTCTCACTGTCATTCAATTATTAAAGGCTAAAGGAGTATTACAGGCTATAAAGGAAAATATTAAAGTGCAACATATGTCGTTTTCATAATTCATTTGTCATGCAAATAGTATAAAACACTATATTTAACCGGGCATCATTCCTAAAATTGTACAGGAAGCTTTGTACCTGGTAGGCAGCAGTGCTGTTGCAAAATTGCTCTGATTGTAACTTCAGCCAATCCGATTAGCCACAGTCCATCTAAATGAAGATATCATCTCTGACCAATACCTTGGGTCTCTGTTGATTGCCTTGCACTGTAAGCAGACCTCTGCTGATTGGTTTTAGCAAAAGTTGTAATCAGAATGGCTGAGAAACACTTCTGAGATGAATTTTGAAAAGGATATGATTGAAAGGAGAGGAAAAAAAAATCAGGTGAATTGAGAAGAGTCTGACCCCTGAACAAAAACAGCACAAAGAGACTCATCTTGCACATTTCCCTCTGTGACAGCAGCATTACACATTGCTATCGTCCCGGGCCTTCCTGTCTACAGATGTTATTTTCACTTTCCTCCGATCGCTTCTTTTGATCAGTTCCTAAAATGTCAGTCATGGTTTCTTCCACTTAGAATTGACTTCTCTCTTTGTCCATTCTATCAATGAGGTGACACTATTTTGGCAGCTTGTGATTTCCCCCCTAGTATTTGCACAACTTCAGCTGCCCAATAAAACTTTGTGCATCATCTAAAACTGGCTTTCCCCTGTTGCCTTCCATATGTCTAGACTCACAGACACATGGACATCGGAGCTGGCAGAGACTGTGTGACTAGTTAGGGCAATTCTCCCTTCTACAGGTAGGGAACTGAGGCCCAGAAAAGGGCAGGGACTTGCACATGGCCTGCTTCTGGAATTCTTCCTCAGTTGAATTTCACTTTCAGCAAACAGAGTTCAGAGGCTTCCCCAAACTAAATGTATTTTAAACACAAACACAAATGGTAGAATGTTTCTGTTTTGTATTATCTGTGCTCCTCGCCTGATATGGTTTGGATGTTTGTCCCCTCCAAATCTCATGTTGAAATGTGATCTCCCATGTTGAAAGTGAAGCCAGATAGGAGGTGTTTGGGTCATGAGGGCAGATCTTTCATATATGTCTTGGTGCCCTCCTCGAGGTAATGAGTGAGTTCTTGTTCTGAGTTCATGCAAGATCTCGTTGTTTAAAAGAATGTGTCACCTTCTCCCTCTCTCCCTTGCTCCCTCCCTTGCTATGTGAAATCTCCTGCTCTCTCTTTGCCTTCTGCCATGAGTGGAAGCTTCCTGAGGCCCTCATCAGAAGCAGATGCAGGTGCCATGCTTCTTGTACAGTCTGCAGAACCGTGAGCCAATTAAACCTCTTTTCTTTATAAATTACTCAGACTCAGGTATTCCCTTATAGCAATGCAAATGGCCTAACAGATTTCCTTATCATTAGTGTGAATAATCAAGAGATAGCTGTTTTATTGCTGTGCAGAAGGAACTGAGGGCATCCCAGACTACTTTCGTGAAATACATATAGTAGATATTCTCATAACTAACACTTAGGTTGGGCAAAGTCCTTTATTCTTTACAAAGCACTTGTCCACATTACGTTATCACATGGAGCTTTGTAACCAGCCCTGTGAGGTAAGATATCATGCCTATTTTTATCAGCTTAGGTTCCAAGAGGTTAAGTGATTGCCCAAGGCCACACAACTAGTAATGGACAAAACAGGGCCCTGAAACCAGGATCTACAACTTCAAAGCCTAATGCGTTTGCTCGCAGTCTTTACTTGAGGAAACCCTTTGGGAATAACTGAGGATCAAAGATTCAACTAGCTGAAGGTAATTACTTAGAAGCTATGGTCTTCAGGAAGATGGAAATAATAATTAACAGAAAGAGAAACAGACCTGACCAAGTGTTTTCTCTATTCCTACCTTAAGAATGAATCGTCTCAAGTGATACCTACATTATAAGAATCTCCAGTTGGACATGGGGGCTAAGGAGGAGGCTCTATTTTTCTTTATGCTGAAGAATAATGAAGACTTTGCTTGAAATGTATCTTAGGAGCCCCAGTTTGAAATTTAAAAGCCACTAATCATTCTTTCTGGGACACCGAATTTGGGATGTGAATAACAAAGTCTACAGTGCTAGCCTGCTACTGAGATTGCATGCCATTGGTAAGGTCCCTTCTCTTCTCTGGGTCTCAGTTCCCCCAATTATAGAATGAAAGGGATTGAATTAAATATCACTCTCAACTCTGGAATCTTATAATTCTATTGATCTAAGAGCAGGACTAGTGAAAGGAATGGGAAGTAATTTCCCTTTGAAAATAGAGGATGCCTCCTTTTCCTATCACCCTGCCATTTTGTTCCTGAAGAATTTGCAGTAGCCATAATAAAGGTAATACTTGGACAAGAGCTTTGCTCTTTGTGCCACAATCTTTTAACAGTCTTCATAATTGAGCATAGTAATAAGATAAACGAAAAATAAAGAAATAGCTGTTTGGAGGTCATGCATGGGGCTCCTGATAGGTATTATCAGGTCAGAAAGGCTGCAGTCTGTTAGGACAACACATTACCTCAGGCAGTTGGGGTCCAGAACAGATTTGAGGGTCAGTAAAGCAACAGAGAGTCTTCCATTGATTTCAGATGCCCTTTTATGATGCCCAGAATATTGTTAATATAAATAATCTCAGTTCTGCTACTGATTCAATGTGGACAAATCACATAACACAAGAGAATTCTCAAAGCAAGTTGATTCTAAGAAGGAAAGGTGCTTTTGGCAAAAATTCTGGCCAGGCACAGTGGCTCATGCCTATAATCCCAGCACTTTGGGGAGGCCAAGATAGGAGGATCGCTTGAGCCCACGAGTTCGAGACCCGTCTGGGCAACACAGGGAGACCCTGTCTCTATTATTATAAAAAAAGAAAAAAATCCTGTTGTAACATCAGATTCTTCCCATGTGGGTATTGCCTGAACAATATCAGTGATTCCTATTACAAAATATTAGTAGACACAATTATGCTGTTTCCACAGTTTGCATGGCAGCTGCACAATTCCATTTGGACTAGGGACACCTGAAACACATTGTTCCACCTGAAGAAAATCAAATTACTTCATCTTGGAGTTGACTTACAGGGAGTGAGAGAAGAGCCTCAAAGACATAGGTCTAGAGGAGGGCAAGTGTGATAAAAAATGAGTTATTGTGAATATGACCAAACAAGGGAGGAAAAGCAACACTTGGCTACACATAACTTGTGTTAATAATTCTTCCAGCTCTTCCAAGGAATCGGCCCCCAGCCTATTATCAAGAGGAAGAGAGACAAAATGAGATTCTCACCCTTTACAACTAGGGCGCAGGTACTACTGTTGGTAACACTGCCATGGAGAACAGGCAGCTCAGACACTAGAAGTCCAATAGAGTCACTGGGAAAAGACAAGATGATGATTAGCTTCTTTTGTGTTGGCTTTCCTTTAGCAACTTTTGATGAACTGACAAATCAGCAGGCCTCTTGCTAGCATCATGAAATCACATATATCTAGATTCAAAGAAGGGGAGTGAGACTAGATACATAAACGCTCTATCTCCTAGGTTTTATTAAAAACTCATTGCTTGGTGCTAAGAAATATCGCAAAAGATTGCTTTTCTAATAAAGGCAATCTCTTCATTCTCTGTTTGCTTATCTAGGTTTCTGTAATATACAAAACAGTATCTGCCTCACGTCCTGCCATCCTGCCAGAGCTAATAACATACATGAATCAGAAATGGATTGTTTTGATCCAAACATTGGCAGCTGGGTAACAAAAAAACCTAGCATTCAGGTTACAACTCCTCTGCAAAAGGCTGCTGGGTAGGGCTCCCTTAGGACATTGTCTCAAATATCAACTGTAAGACAGGGAATCCAGATTAATGAGTCATCATAAACACTGAAAAAGCAAATAATGATAATAAAGACACAGGAAGTAGCAATGACTACATGAAGTTAGCATTCAGTTGTCTCGATCACTCTAAAAATACTGCTTGTACAAATGTCTAAGGAGCAAACCAGCCTGTTAGGAATTCCCTGGAGTCTTTTTGCTGTCCCCTAATTATTCACTTCCGTAATCACTCATCTGCCAACTCTCTCAACCTCTTCTTATGGAGTCCCTCTCAGCAGGCAGTCACTCTCTTATTACCTCACCTTCCTACTCTTGATCCCATGTGCTCAAATATTCCTTCTCCCCTTCTTCCCACCTGCTTCCAGGTTCACAAATCTTTCTGTTGGCTCTCATTTCTCCAAAAAACAAAACAAAACAAAACAAAAACAAACAAACAAAAAACAAACCGAGTGGCCACACTGGCCACTGTAAAAGCTGGAGCACCCATGTGCTCTTCCTATCAGGAAACTCCCTCCGCACCTGGATTTCCTACTTTCTGATTTGCTCCTCTCTGCATATTGACATCATGACTGACACCTGTATGTTCCTTGTATTTGCTCCTAGGTTACAGACTCAGCAACATGGGCCAGGAAGCAAGATGCTTGACTTGAGTTTCTGTTTCCAGGTCTCCTGCTTCTTCTCAAAGGGAAAGGCAATAAGGGAAAGGCAATATTTTACTCCTCTAAGCCTCAGTTTCCTCATCTGTAAAATGAGGGAAATAAGAAGTTCCACTTTATGTGTTTGTGGTGAGGGTTAAATGAATGAATATATATGAAGTGTCTAGCACAAAGTTTGGTACATGAAAGGCACTTAATAAGCTGCAGTTCCCTTCTCCCCCATCTTTATGACATGCCAACCTTCTCACACCATCTTCTAAAATTTTAAAAAGTGATATGTGGGCTGTGTGCGGTGGCTCACGCCTGTAATCCTAGCACTTCGGGAGGCTGAGGTGGGTGGATCACTTGAGGTCAGGAGTTCGAAACCAGCCTGGCAAACATGGTGAAACCCCGTCTCTACTAAAAATATATAAAAAAATTAGCCGGGCATGGTGGCAGGTGCCTGTAATCCCACCTACTCATGAGGCTGAGGCAGGAGAATCACTTGAACCCGGGAAGTAGAGGTTGCAGTGGGCCGAGATTGCGCCATTGCACTCCAGCCTGGGCAAAAAGAACGAAACACTGTCTCAAAAAAAAAAAAGTGATATGTGGCAACTTTTAACATACTTCATATTCTTCCTTTTGACTCCTTTGCCATGGTTATTTCCAGATCCCTGTTCTCCTCTACATGCATCTCCCCATCTGGTTATCTGTTTCTTCACTGGTAAAAGAATGAGATTGGACTAAATAATCTCTAAGGATCTTGCAAGTAGCACCACTGTGGCCACAGCCTGGGTTCCAATGTTTCTTAGGCAATCAAATGTTATAACTACTTCCTCATAAATAGGTTAGATAATGATAGCACATCATAAAGGAAATTATACAAAATTCTGAAAGGCATTTTTTTGTTCTGAATTTGTCTCTGATCACCGGAAACAGCATGAGAAATAGTTAAAGGAAAGGCATTTGTCATTTCAATGAAAATCTCTGGAAAGCAAATACTTATTACTACAATCTAGATGAAGCCTTGGCCTTTTGATTAAAAACGTGAAGCTGACATATGGTGCCTCCCCATGCCCAAGGAAACAAGCCTTCTAGGTTCCATTTATTTGCTTCTGAAAGTTTTACTGAGTTTCCACTTTGAGTCCTGCAACCTATCTTAAAGGCAAGGGAAAGGTGCAAGGCTGGCTTCAGTTCTCCCCACATGCAAACAGCTACACACCCATGCCAGTGGCCTACGTGTCAATGAAGACCCTTTTGGCTTCACTTCTCAGATCAGCTAAAGATTGGCCTCTGGAGACAAAACACCCTGTAGCAGGTTTTCCCTTAAAAGGACATTGCAATCTGCTCTTACCAGTGCATTTTTCTTGAAGAAGAATGAGAAGGAGAAGGAGAAAGGAGGAGGGAAGGAAAGAAGGAGTGAAGGAAAGAAGGAGAAGATGAAGGAGGAGAATTTAGATAGGAAACACAGTTACCTTCTAGGATATGTAATTCTCAAATATGAACCAGAAGTCATCATATGAATCTCTGCTGTCACAAAGTGTTGATTTAGAACACCCCCTACTCAATATGTTTATCCAACTCTATTCCTGCTAACTTAAAGTCCACCAGTCCGGCCTAGTGGCCTCTCAGCACTGTATCTATGCAGGTCATTTGGCTTAGTATCTCCTTTAGCAATGTCCTCTACAAAGACTGGCTATGGCTTGACTTTTGTGGCTATGAATCCAATTTGAGACAACAAATACATTTTACTGCAGAAGCTAGCAATTAGCTATTTGTATGCAATTTATGATTAAATATAACCTGAGTCTTGAAGGGCAATATGCTGAAAAGCTGTGCATTAGCTTTTCCACCAGTGACTTCACAGAGGCTTTTATAAAATTAACTACTCATAAAAGTTAAGTAGAAAAATATTGATGATGTTCAGGTCTCTTAATTAGTTCTATATCCCCCTAATAGTCTAAAAGCAAAGGTACACTTTTATAGAAAACAGTTTCTTTAGAAAAAGGACCAGTTTTTTCACTCCCAAACCTTTTGTTTTCTTTTCTGGAACTAGTCCAGGGCCTCCCAGACTTATAAGCTCCTGTGTCCAAACCTCCCATATATGCAGGTGGCTGGTCCAGTGTGGGAGGCCTGACTTCTCTAGCCACCATGTTACCCTCTTGCTGCCAGAGCCATCTTTAGTGGGGCTTCAGGGAAGGCAGTATAACAGCATCCTTGCTCCCAGGATCAATGTTAGGTCTCAGGATTTGAGTGGTTTGGTACTGCTCAGAACATGTATCTGGGCCATCAAATGAGTTCCGGACTGGAGTAAAAAGGACCCTATTCCCTCCATTATTCCTCAGTCTCCACCCAAGCCCTAAGTTTCCTTTGTTCCTTCCCAGCAGTCATCTATTTCTCACAGACCCTTCCCTCACCCCTTCAGTGGTTAGAAGAGTTTTCATTCAGGGGGAATTCCTCTAGGACAAGTTCCCTGTCCTACCCAGGCTGGGTTAAATAATACTCCCTTAATCTGTGCGATCATAATGCCTGGGCATAGGCTGATCTCTGTTTCTGTGACTCTCACTAGACTATGAACTCTCTTGAGGGCAGGTGCTGGCTTTTTCATCTCTCTATCTGTATTACATATCTAGTGAAGAACATATCAAAAGTACTCAACAAATATGTATTGAGTATATAGACGAAGCTGTGACCTTGGCAGTATTGGCTACTGCTACTTAGCTAAGCATTTGCTACTGGGGAGAAACCTTATCAAATGAAGTCAGTTCTCTAAAATTAACCAGGTAACAAAAGAATCTTCATACACATTGTCAAACATTTAAATGTAACATTCAAAGGTTCTTTTCTACGCATATTTTTAAGCATTAGTTTAATTAACGCTGATACTTTGAAAGTCCTAGAAATAATCAGAATCATTAATGTCAGCCTGACAAAGGTATAAAGAAAGTTTCTGTAATATAGACCAAAGTGCTTTCACAAGATTGTCTGGAAATAAATAGCTCACTGTGAAATTTATGAATTGCTTTATATATTAATCAACGATACAGTGATGCTCTAACAAGGTTAAAAGTGTTCTCTGATTTCCATTATAAAGACAATTTCAATCAAGCAGTCTAACAGTCTAATAGTGTAGGTCATTCTATAATTCAATTGTACTAATGACTGTGGCATGCATGCAAACAACAAAATAAAACAGGCTGAGAGACCAAACCTAGAAAAAATGCTTTATTAAAAAAACAATGATTTGCATCTCACATTTTCAATGACCTTTATAGTACTCATCTGCAAATGAAATAGAATCATTCCTCATGGCCCAACAGATACCTTTTGTTCCTGCCCATCCATTTCATGTAAATTATATATGTTGACCTTTAATTGGCTATAACTGAAGCACATTTTGAGAAACACTTTTATATTGATTTGCTTAGACTTATGCAACAGTCAAAGCTGAGAGAAACAAGACTGAAAGTTTTTATTCACTATTTCTATAGTGAGCCGTATTTCAGAGGTTCTCCTAGTCTCAACTGCGTATTTATATTTGATTCCTTCATCATAAACAATTTCTCAGGTAACCTGTAAAAACACAGATCCGAAAATATCTTGGCAAGAAATGTCATCTTCTGCCTATTTTATTTCTCTTTTTCACATAAAAATGCTCATAATAGTCTGTGCATTGAAATACATACTAATGTTGCATCTATTGTGATTTCTAGGAATCCTACAATCAAAAAGCAGAGAAAATCAAGAAGCATCTTAGATGCTAATTTGAATATTTTTAGGTAGCAGAAGATACAATAAGTCTAAAAATAAGCCTTAGAAGCATACAATGTCATATATAAAAAAAAAGGAAGGTATGGCAGAAAGAATACTGGTGTTATTGCCAGAAGCCATGTTTTAGTTCTGGTTTGACATTAACTGGTTGATCTTTGGCAATTCCTTTGCCTTAAATCATATGCCTCAGTTTTCTAGTCTTCAAAATGAAGAAACAAAACTAGATATTTGAGGGCCATTCCAGATGTCGTTCTCTACTTCTAAATGGAAAGTAAAGAAGAAATGATTTTTTAAAAACCACAAACTTTAGGTAAGAGGAAGGAGAGACAAGGATAAGTGAGGATACTTTACAGGATCAGAGATGAGGAGAAAATTTTGATAACAGAAACAAAGGTCCTAATCCAAGAACAGTATTTCTCTAGGATGTTTTGAAGAACAGACCATTAAGGGAAGCTTGTAATTTCAGAGGATACCTCCCATGGCACCTCTAACAGAGAAGAACCCTGGTTTATATAAATGCCATGGGGCTAATCCAAAAAAAATTTCCAGGTCATATGGCCTTTCTTGGACATGTGTGCATGGGTGACTTTGGACTATTTATCTATATTTCTAGACTTAAGCATTTCACTTTCCCCTGTAAGTTGATTTTTAAATTAGCCATATAGTACAAAAGCAAACTTCTTGAAGTATTTACAGATTTTTTTCTTTGATCATAGAACTTGTAGATGCTACAAAAATACCCATTTAGTATTTGTTTTTCCTTTCTTCACAAAAGGCAGCCATATCTCACTTGCTTACTTTGCCATATTTCTAACCCTCACTTTTCTATTTTGCTGGTTTGTCTACTACATTTTTTCTTTGATCATAGAACTTGTAGATGCTACAAAAGTACCCACTTAGTATTTGTTTTTCTTGTCTTCACAAAAGGCAGCCATATCTCACTTGATTACTTTGCCATATTTCTAACCCTCACTTTTCTACTTTGCTGGTTTGTCTACTACACCCAACCAACTAAATCTCCCTATTCTGCCTTGAAAAGACAAAACAAGGAAATGTCTGCCCTGTCTACGTTAAGCCTTCCTAGTTGCTGGGCTGATAGGTTTGTTTCCTTTTTCATCCAATAGCCTCTTTCATTCTGCAGAGTAGAGCTCCCCCAATAGATGTCTTCACTTGCTGCTTCTTGAAAACTATGCATTGCCTTACAAATTGCATTCAATGAGTATTTTGTTCTTCCTCTTTTGCTGTCACTTTCAAATCCAAGGCCAGGATCCAGGATAGTTGGCTGTGGTGGACGTGAGATAGGGTTTCTGGCTAATACTTAAGCTGGGAAGTCTAAATGCTGTATTAAGAGAAGTGTGTGAAGGAAATAAAGGAGAAACAGGTAGGTAATTTAGATCCTGGGAAGACTGATGTCCTGTACAATCAGGATGCAAGGTTCAGAGACCCAGATAAGGATCTATGAAACATGAGATCAGGGACCCAATCACAAAATCTGGGAAAAAAGAAAGCAGCATCCACACAGAGTCTGACTGGCGGGCTCATGAAAGGAGCAAAAAGGGAACTTGAATCTTAAGCCACTTACTGACAAAGCCAGAGTAATAGGTGGAAATCAAAGTTGGGAGAATGGATGAGGGAACACAGAGCATTTATAACCTGAGAAAAATCAGAGGTCTAGGTTAGTTCGTCTGGGCTGCCCCAAACCTTAAACAAACAGGATAGGCATGGAATTAATTGACTAAGGAAACTGAAGAATTGGATGGGAAAGTAAATGATAACTAACTCTTCTTTAAAAGGCAAAGGTGAGGTAAAAAAATAAGCAATTCTCAAGTGCTGAGAAACCTTTAATCATCCTTATGATAAGTCTAGTCAAGCAAAATGATGGAGAGATTAGGGCAGATATACAGATGGCTTCACTCATCCTACCACCTCCTAATTTCTGGCCAAAAAGAAAAAGAAAAACAAATACACAGTTCAGGAGAAAGAGATCTGTAGAGGATCTAAATCACCCAAATTGGCATCTAAAGTGAATGGATTCCTCCATTCCCTGTGCAGCTTTCCCCTTGCTTGGGCCTCTAATTCAGTTCTTTGGAGGCAATCCACTACAGAACCTTGGTATCAAGAGTTCACATTTCTTTCTTCCTTTTGTTTTTTTGAGACAGGATCTCACTCTGTCACCCAGGCTGCAGTGCAGTGGCACAATCGGCTCACTGCAGCCTCGACCCCCCAGCCTCAAGTGATACTCCCACCTCAGCCTCGTAAAGCTGGGACCACAGGTGCACACCACCACACCTGGCTAATTTTTGTATTTTTGTAGAGACAGAGTTTGACCATGTTGCCCAGGTTGGTCTCAACCTGAGTATACTACTCAGCCATTGAAAGGAACGAAATAAGATCTTTTGCAGCAACTTGGATGGAGCTGGAGGCCATTATTCTAAGTGAAGTAACAAAGGAGTAGAAAACCAAAAACTGTATGTTCTCACTTATAAGTGGGAGCTAAGCTATGAGTATATACAAAGGCATGCAAAGTGATATAATGGACTTTAGGGACTCAGAAGGGGGAGGGTGAAAGGAAAGCCAGAGACAAAAAAGAAAACTACACATTAGGTACAATATACACTACTCTGGTGATTCATGGACTAAAATCTCAGAATTCACCACTATATATTTCATCCATGTAACAAAAAACTACTTGTACCCCAAAAGCTATTGAAATAAAAATTTTAAAAAATCTAAATTGTTGCCTGAAGACACTAGAAAGAAGAGCACATTAAACATAAATCAAGCAGTAGGAAGGAAATAACAAATTAGAGTGAAAATCAGTGAAATCTAGAATAGAAAAACAATAGAGAAACACTGACAAAATCAAAAGTTGGTTCTATGAATAGATCAACAGGTTTGATAAACCTTTAGCTAGACTGACCAACAAAAAAAGAGAAAATACTCAAATTACTATAATCAGGAATGAAAGAGGGGGGACATTACTACTGGCCTTATATACATAAAAAGAATTATAAGAGAATATTAAAAAAAACTGTATGCCAACAAATTAGATAGCAGATGTGAAATGTACAAATTCCAAAATGATTTCTAAAAACTATCAAAACTGACTCAGGAAGAAATAAAAAATTAGAATAATCCTATAACAAAGAGTTTGAGTTAATACTTTTAAAACTTTCCACAAAAAAAAGCATAGGATCAGATGGCCTTACTGGCAAATTCTACAAAACATTTAAAGAACAGTTAATACCAATCCTTCTGAAACTCTTCCAAATAGAAGATCTTTAGAAGAGGAAGGAATACATCCCAAGTCATTCTATGAAGCCAGTATTACCCTGATACCAAAAGCAGACAAAAATCACAAGCAAACTATAGACCAATATTTCTCATAAGGACAGATATAAAAATCTTCAACAAAATCCTAGCAAATTGAATCCAGCAAAATATAAACAGCATCATATACCATGACCAGGCGAGATTTATCCCAGAAATGCAAGGTTGGTTTAACATCTGGTAATCAATGTAATATATCATATCAATAGAATAAAGGATACATTCCCATGATTATCTCATCAGTTTCTAAAGAGGGATTTAATAAAATCCAACATGCTTTGATGATAATAAAAACAATCAAAAAACTGGGAATACAAAGGAACTTCCTCAACTTGAAAAAGAGTATTTATAAAAAAGTCACAGCTAATACTATACTTAATGGGAAAAGACTGAGGCTTTTCACCTAAAATCAGGAAAAAGACAGGGATATCCATTGTTGCTAGTTCTATTTGACATTGTACTGGAGGTTCAAGCCAGAGCAATGAGGAAAGGAAAAGGAAAGAAGAAAAAAAAAGAGAGAAGGAAGGAAGGAAGAAGGGAAGGAAAGAAAAAGAAAGAAAATGCATACAGGTCAGAAAGGTAGAAATGAAACTGTATATGCATCTGTATTTGCAGATAATGTTATCTTGTGTATAGAAAACACCAAAGACTGACAATCTCTCTCTCTCTCTCTCTCACTCACTTACACACACACACAATTAAAACTAATAAACAAGTTCAGTAATGCTAGTGGGTACAAGATCAGTATGCAAAAATCAATTTATGTACTCTAGCAATAAATAACCCAAAATGAAATTAAGAAAACAATTCCATTTACAATAACTTGAAGATGATAATATTTAGGAATAAATTTAGCAAAAGAAGTGCAAGGCTTTTATACTGAAAACTACAAAACATCATTGAAAGAAATTAAAGATATAAATAAGTGAAAAGACATTAATATATTAGAAGACTTAATGTCAAGATGGCAATACCTCCTAAATTATCTACAGATTTAACACAATCGCTATCAAAATCTCAGCTGACTTCTTTGCATAAATTGACAAGTTGCTCATAAAATTCATATGGAATTGCAGGGGGCCCCAAATAGCCAAAACAATCTTGAAAAGAAGAGCAAAGTTGGAGAACTCACACTTCCCATTTTCAAAACTTGCTACAAAGTATTCAAAGCAGCATGGCACTGGCATAATGATAGACATAGAGATCAATAAAATAGAATTGAGAGTCAAAAAAAACCCTACATACATTTATGGTCAATTGAATTTTGATGATAGTGCCAAGACAATTCATGGGGGAAAGAACAGTCTTTTCAACAAATGGAACTTGGGACAAAAGGATATCCACATATAGAAGAATGAAGTTGTGCCACTACCTCATACCATATACAAAAATTAGCTCAAATGAATCATAGACCTATATTTAAGGGCTGATTCTATAAAATTCTTAGAAGAAATCATAGGTATAAATCTTTATGCCCTTGGATTAGGCAGTGATTTCTTAGATATGACACATAAAGAAATATATAAATTGAACTTCATCAAAATCATAATTTTTGAGTTAAAAAGACATTATCAGGAAAGTGAAAAGACATCCCAGAATATAGGAGAAAATAATTATAGGCTGGGGGCAGTGGCTCACACCTGTAATCCCAACACTTTGGGAGGCTGAGGGGGGTGGATTGCTTGAGCCCATGAGTTCAAGACCAGCCTGGGCAACATGGTAAAACCTCATCTCTACAAAAAATACAAAAATTAGCCTGGTGTGGTGGTGTGTGCCTGTAGTCCCAGCTACTTGGGAGACTGAGGTGGGAGGATTGCTTGAGCCCAGGAGTTTGAGGCTGCAGTGAGATGTGATCACACCACTGCATTCTAGCCTGCATGACATAGTGAGACCCTGTTTAAAAAAAAAAAAAAAGTAAATCATGTATGTGATAAGGGTCTAGTATCCAGAATATGTAAATAATCCTTACAATTGAACAATGAAATGACAAATAGCCCAGTTTAAAATTTAAGATTTCAATAGACGTTTTACCAAAAAAGATCTGGCCAATAAGCACATGAAAATCACCCAACATCATTAATCATAAGGGAAATTCAAATTAAAACTACAATGAGATACCACTTAAAATCCACTACAATGGCTGTAATAGAAAAAGGTAGATAATAACAATTGTTGGTGTGGATGTGGAGAAATTGGAACCCTCACATTGTTGGTGGGAAAGTTAAATTGCTCAGCTTCACTGGAAAACAGTTTGGCAGTTCTTCAAAAAGGTAAATATAGAGTTACCATATGACCCATGATTCTACTGCTAGGTATATTCCCAAGAGAGATGAAACATACATCCACACAAAGATCTGTGCACAAATGTTCATAGCAACACTATTCATAATAACCAAGAAGTGGAAGAAACCCAAATGTCCATCAACTGATAATAGACAAACAAAATGTGGTATATACATACAATGGAATATTATTCATCCATAAAAAGTAATGTGGTGATCCATGCTACAATGTGACTGAACCTTGAAAACATGCTAACTGAAAGAGGCAGATGCAAAAGGCCATATATTTTATGATTCCATTTATGTAAAATGTTCAGAACAGACTAATCTATAGAGACAGATAGCCAGATTAGTTTTTGCCAGGTATGGGGGACAGGGGAGATGGAGAGTAATAGGGGAGTAATAGCTAACTGGTACTAAGTTCCTTTTGGGGTGATGCAAATCTTCTAATATTGATTATGGTAATGGTTGCACAGCTCCATGAATATACTAAAAACCAATGAATTGCACATTTGAAATAGTTGAATTGATGAATTGTATTCTATATGAATTACATCTCAATAAAGCTGTTTTTAAAAAGAAGTAATGAGGTATAATTTACCACTAATGCAATGGGAATAATGATTAGGACTTGAAATTCAATTAATATAAAAGTAAAAGATGCTCCAAACAAATATTATTCAACACTAAAAAGAGATGAACTATCTAGCCACGAAAAGACATGGAGTAAACTTAAAAGCATATTACTAAGTGAAAGAAGCTAATGTGAAAATAGTATAATTCCAACTATGTGACATTCTGGAAAAGGCAAAAGCATGGAGACAGTAAAAAGGTCGGTGGTTATCAGAGGTTAGTGGAGAGGGAGGGATGAACAGGTGAAGCACAGAACATTTTTATAACAGTGAACCAATTTTGCATGATACTAGAATGGTGGATACATGCCATTATACATTTGTCAAAACCCAAAGAATGTGCCACACCAAGAGTGAAACCTAATGTAAATGACAGGCTTTGGGTGATAATGATGTGTCAATGTAGGTCCATCCATTGTAACAAATGTACCACTCTGGTGAGGGATATTGCTAGTGAGGGAGGGTGTGTGTGTGGAGGAGGTAAGAGGTATAAACAAACGCTCTGTAATTTCTGCTCAATTTTGCTACAAATCTGAAAGCACTGTAAAAAAGAAAGTCTATTAGCAAACAAACAAAAAAAGAAGGGCAAAAACATAAATAAAAGAGCACTCTTTCTTATACTTCTGATTTTGTAGGTGGAGATCCACATTCCATATGGTCTCAATGGCTCCTCACTCTCCCAAGGATGAACTCCACACCCCTTTAGCTTGATTTCTTGATTTAAGAGAAAAATTAAATACCTATTACGTGTAAGATGAGGTATACTAGGGGATGAAGAGAGAATAGTAGTCTCACATACTAAAACTGCTGTTTGATTTAAGAAAATGGCAAATATATCATAGTTGAGACATAATGTTTTTCTATATTTTTAAAATCTAGAATTTGTGACATTTGTGTTGTGGCAGCATGAGTGGGGCAATGATAACATTAAGTAAATACTGCAGAAGACATATGTCTGGAAAAAAAATCATTTTCAAAATGATCTGATTCACTTTTTGTTCTTTTCAGACAGGGTCTCACTCTGTTGCCCAGGCTGGAGTACAGTGGTGTGATCACAATTCACTGCAGTCTCAACCTCCCAGGCTCAAGCAATCCTCCCCGCTCAGGCTCCCGAGTAGCTGAGACCACAGGCATGCACCAGAACACCAGCTACTTTTTGTTGTTGTTATTTGTAGAGACAAGGTCTCGCTATGTTGCCACTGGTCTCGAACTCCTGGGCTCAAGGGATCCTCCCGCCTCAGCCTCCCAAAGTGCTGGGATTACAGGCGTGAGCCATTGCACCAGGCCTGTGATTCACCTTTCATCTTCCTTGTACTCCTGTTAAACTCCCTTCACTCCCACTGTCATTGCTTTCTCCCTTTCCTTCCATCAAAGAAACAGTGATAACCCGTAATCCCAAGAGTCAGAAAGGTAGTTGTGATTCATTATAAAAGAGGAAAGACTCTTAGTAGGCAGGATAGATAAGAACAGACAAGTAAATTTAAGGACCCAATAAAAGGAAAATATCTAAAACAAGGAGATATCATTAAATTATCCCAAAGATTTGTAATAGACATCTATTCATTTTTATACCCAACCTAAATTTAATCATCATTTAACAGTGGTACCCAGCAAAAGCAATTTAGCATTATACTGCACAATTCACACTCCAAAACAAAGGAGCCATAAACACAGCTTGAGTCTTCCCTCTATTCCCAGGGATTTCAGCACTAAATCCGAGCAAAAGAAGATGAATGCTAAAAATCCCCATAGGGAATCCAGATATATCACACTGCCCTTTATTCATGAGTCTTCTGTGAAGACCACTGTGAGTAGTTACAAAACCTGTGTGTTCAACTTGGTCTGCTTGGCTGTGAATCAATTTATCCGAACATCTGGGGGATATGATTGATTCTCCTGGTTATTAGTGGCAAAGGCTGGGCAAATAGAAGCAGAGGACTACAGCCATACATGCTGAATAAACTTGTTCAGAGACACAGCAATTTCTGAATGCAAAGACTAGCAGGAACTTCAGTAGGAAAGGGTGGAGTTGTTCTATTTATCATCATTAGTTATTGTCATTACTGTCTTAGTGTGCCTAATTTATAATAAGCTTTATCACAGGTAGGTATGTATAGGGAAAAAAAACCCACAGTATATATAGGGTTTGGAACTATCTGTGGTTTCAGGCATCCACTGGGAGTCAGGCATCCACTGGGTGTCTTGGAACATATCTCTCTGTGGACATGGGGATATTAGTGTATTTGTGTTGGCAGCTCCTGACATAGGGCCTTTGTCACAGAAGTCGGGTAAATATTTATCAATGATGGTGCTACTAATGAGAGTACCCCAAAGATGAGTGCCTCCATGTGAGAGAAGGCCTAGGAAGAAAAGGCTATTTTGCCTCACAGCAGATTAAATAGATCATGTTACATGTCAGATTTTATAGTGCTGCCACGTGGTAGGCATTGTTGCAAAATTTTCATAGTAGTTCTGCGAGGTTGGTATTTTTATCCCCATTCTATAGTTGAAGCAACCAAGGCTCAGAGATTATACTACATGTTCAGGTCACTAAGAAAAAGAACAGCTGAATAGAAATTCACAGTCTGGCCAGATGTAGTGGCTCATGCCTGTAATCCCAGCACTTTGGGAGGCTGAGGTGGGAGGATCACTTGAGCCCAGGAGTTTGAGACCAGCCTGGGCAACATAGCAAGACCCTGTCTCTACTAAAAAAAAAACAAAAACAAAAACAAAACAAAACAAAACAAAAATTAGCCAGGCATGGTGGTGCACACCTGTAGTCCCACTTATGGCATGGGGCAAGGGGTGAGGTGGGAGGATCACTTGAGCCCAGGTGGAAGAGGTTGCAGTGAGCCGAGACGGCGCCACTGCACTCCAGCCTGGGCAGCACAGTGAGACTTTGTCTCAATAAATTAAAAAACAGAGAGAGAGAAAGTCACATTTTAACTCCTGAAGCCCATGTTCTTTTCACTGCATCACACAACCTTTTCTTCCTCTGCTCCTTGCAATGCCAAGCCGATCCATTCCTGTGCAGGGTATTGACTCAGCTTTCCATCTAGAAAGGTTTGCTCTTAAAAATCTCTATGGTGCCATTAAAAATGAATGTTTGTTGTAATTTATTATTCCTGGTATCTCATAGAGTTTTCGGTCAATGCTAACCAGAACCGAGACAATTCTGAATGGGGCCTTTCAGAGCAGAGCAGTTTGAGTCATGCATTAATTGTTTTTAAATCAATGTATTACAGATTCAGGAGAAATGGTAGGGGAGGAAACAGACTTTAAAACTTGATAAACACAGATGTGTGAGGAAAACGTTTCCACCACTGTGTATTCTTTCACTCTCTGTGATCTGGGAATTGTTAACATCCTTTTCAGACTGATAGAAATCTAACATGAATTCTATAGCTTCTATCTGTCAAGTCTGATTATACCAATTTGTCACAATTATTGCTTTATTTTTAACCAGAGTAAGGACATTAGTTTAGTTCCCTGCTTTTTTGTCTAGAACTTGTGAAGAAACTGCTCAAAGATTATTTAAAGGGTTCACAATTTTTTAAAAAAATATGCTAGCAGGTTGCTACAGTCAAGAAACTCATTCATTTTGCATTAATAATTTGTTAAGAGGAATAAGCAGTTGAGTAAATCAGAAACTTAGTTAATAGGGAACTCCTTCCATGTATGGAAAGAGATCATTACAGGGTTTAAAACAGAATAAGAAAGACACAGAGCTTGGTATTTCACAATTCTTAGGATTTCTGATCTGAAAGAGAGAAAATGTAGAAGCCCTATATCTTTTAAAGTATTTTTTAAATACTTTTAAATACTTTTTAAAATACTTTTTTAAAGTATTTTTTCAAAAAGCTCATCAAGAATGAATGTGTGGGTTTTTTGTTTGTTTGTTTGTTTGTTTGTTTTAAAAAAACGTAAATGAAATAGGCCCTGATTCTGGGGGAGGCCTGAACTCCAAGCAAATTTAGAAAAATTTAGTTAGCTCATTTAATCTTAATCACTTCATTAGAGGCCTCATCTCTGAATAAGTGTGGGGCCCTGATCTAATAGGATTAGTGTCTTCATAAGAAGTGATACCAGAGAGGTTATGCTCTCTCTCTCTGTCTCTCTCTATGTCCTCCTCTTTCCCCACAGGGTTCACATGCACCAAGGGAAAGCCATGTTAAGACAGAATGAGATGGCAGCCATCTGCAAGCCAAGAAGAAAGCCCTTGCCAGAGACTGAATCTGCCAGAACCTTGATCTTGGACTTTCAACCCCTGGATTTGTGGGAAAATAAACTTCTGTTGTTTAAGCCAAAAAAAAAAAAAAAAGAAAGAAAACTTTAATTAGGATTAATTAATACAAATATGAAGAAAAGCAGAGAAGAAAAGCTAAGCCCATTGGAAGTTTCCATGCAATTCTCAAGGCCACACGTAGAAAACAGGATGAATAGTAACTGAAAGAGTAGGCAAGAATGAAAGACCCTTAATAACTTCTGGCTCCCCATCCTGCCTCATTCCAGACAACTGAGTCAGCTTATATCCATCTGCAGACAAGGCCAAGCCATGCCCATATATTCTAAGACTGGGTCTGGTTCTGGGCAAGAGATGTACCTCAAAAGTTGCTGCAGTAGAGAGCAATTAGCTGAAGCTGCCTTGTTGCTGGCACCTGCTTCCAAGTCTCTCTGTCTCAGTTCTTTAACTAGGAAAAAGGTAATGATAATCCCCGTCTCATTAGTATTGTAAACTTTAAATGAGCTGATCCATGTAAAGAGCTTAGAATTGTGTGAGGCACATAGCAAGTGCTTATTAAATAATCACTCTTGTCATCATCTTCCTCGTTGTATAGATTAAGGAACAGACACTAAGAAGTTGCTTTTCGCAGGCCACTTGCCTGTGGCAGCACAAGGCAAAGATCCTGTATCAAAATTCTGAATGAATGTTCTTTATAACTTACAATGTATAGTAGGTAATTTCATAAGGTCCCACATACACTTAAATATTTCTCCCTACAACTGCATCACAGTGACTGAGATCTACCTTTTTCAATAATCCTTTTTAAGAGTTTTCTAGCGATAACTTTGCTAATGAAGTTTGCTTCTCAAGAGAAGGAATGCATTAGAGAACTAGTAGAAGCAGAAATGGGCTTCCTGTGATGACTAAACCATAATCACACATCACCACTCTAAATAAAGTACAGGGTTTGAATGAACAGAACAGAGCAAGGTACAAATCTGAAGCAGAAGGAAAAGGGATGGGCTTAGTGTAGGCATTGGCCAGAGGTTGGGGACAGGCAGCTGGGATAGAAGGGCAAAAGCTTTCCAAAAGAGTTCAGAGGAACTCATTCACAAACACCATGCTCTTAGTGTGGGGTTTCATCCATGAAACTGAGCCTGTAACTTAGATCTGATCATTCATTATTTTCTGGAAGCATAAGAGAAACCCACACCCAGAACTCAGTAATGTGTATATGTTGCTGAGATGATTTCTAAGCCAAATCAGTCTCCTTCAGCTCCACTACATGAGATTTAATGATAAAAAATAATTCACAGCATAGGTTTGAGTTTGAAAAAGAGGGGCCCATCTATTAACTATATGAAAATACCAAGAATGACTTTTAAAAATCATATAACGTGTATAAAATTTTTTCTTTGGAAAAAAAGATAGAACATTAACTTTGAGCAGTACTTGGGCTGCATATTTTATGAGGTTTATTTGTACTGCATATCTTTGATGGGCTCTATTTGTGGCTGAAAGTACAAACACACTGATTACAATCACTCTTCCCTACATTTAGGAACAAAATTAATTATCTGCAAAAAGCAGAAAGGCTTAGATAGATTCTCAGTAAATGATAATAGACAGCACCCAAATATAATGACTCTGCTTCCTACTTTATCTGTTTTAGGCATTCTGAGTGGAACGAAAAAGGGAAAAATTAATTCACTTTCTGAATATTCTTCAGAATGAATTTGAATTGGGTAATAAGGAGGCAGCAACAACCCTCCCCTCACCCCCCGTATGAAATAAGAAAGCAGCCTTGCTGGATTATGTACTTCCCAAAGGGGCATTTTAAAAGGACATTAAGAAATCTGTAATTTCACCAAAACAAAGGCTATTTGTTTTACCCCATTAACAGTCCCCCGGACAAGGAAGGGAAAGGTAAACTGTAAGACCTAGAACAGTGCTCAGCACTCAGCACTCAGAAAATTGTGGTTGCTGGTAATGATGAAATTTGTATTTTATCTTCCAAAGGCTGCAACATGCTGGAAGACATCTGCTCAGAATTCCCTTATCTTTGACTTTTGTAAAATTCTTTATTACAGCAAGTATTAAAATTGCCACCTCCCTTGAGGAAATTACTATAGGACAGTGCAACTTCATTAAAAAATGCTTCTGTGATATTCGAATATGTTTTCCATTTTTAAGGTAGGGGCAGGACGAATGGTCCTTTTAAGAAACAGTCAAGTTAGAAAACATTTTTCTGCCAGATACCTGAGCAAGATAGCAAAATGCATGGGCATAAGAGGTCAGTGAGCCAAGGTTACTTGTGGTGCCATTGTGAGTGGATAATGCAGAACTACACTCGCCAAGAGGAACCTTGCTCCAAGTGGGGGAAATTTAATCACAGGGAAATCACAGTGTATATGACTCTGTTTTGTGTGGCATTTCAGCTTTTCTAATGAAGGGAGCAAGTATCCAGGGGCTTTTCTGCCCCCACAAGGTAGGAGGCTACTTTCACTGTACTCTGATTCCCTAGCCACTCGACATCTTTTTAAAAAGGCATTGTGGTTACTGTAGCCTTGTAGTATATAGTTTGAAGTCAGGCAGTGTGATGCCAAAACAGATATACAGACCAATGGAACAGAACAGAGGCCTCAGAAATAACGCCACACATCTACAACCATCTGATCTTTGACAAACCTGACAACAACAAGCAATGGGGAAATGATTCCCTATTTAATAAATGGTGTTCGGAAAACTGGCTAGCCATATGTAGAAAACTGAAACTGGACCCCTTCCTTACACCTTATATAAAAATTAACTCAAGGTAGATTAAAGACTTAAACGTAAAACCTAAAACCATAAAAACCCTAGAAGAAAACCTAGGCAATACCATTCAGGACATAGGCACGGGCAAAGACTTAATGACTAAAACACCAAAAGCAATGACAACAAAAGCCAAAATTGACATATGGGATCTAATTAAACTAAAGAGCTTCTGCACAGCAAAAGAAACTATCATCAGAGTGAACAGGCAACCTACAGAATGGGAGAAATTTTTGCAATCTGTCCACCTGACAAAGTGCTAATATCCGGAATCTACAAGGAACTTAAACAAATTTACAAGAAAAAAACAAATAACCCATCAAAAAGTGGGCAAAGCATATGAACAGATATTTCTCAAAAGAAGACATTTATGTGGCCAACAAACATATGAGAAAAAGCTCATCATCAGTAGTCATTAGAGAAATGCAAATCAAAACCACAATGAGATACCATCTCACGTCAGTTAGAATGGCAATCATTTAAAAGTCAGGAAACAACAGATGCTGGAGAGGATGTGGAGAAATAGGAACACTTTTACACTGTTGGTGGGAGTGTAAATTAGTTCAACCATCGTGGAAGACAGTGTGGCGATTCCTCAAGGATCTAGAACCAGAAATACCATTTGATCTAGCAATCCCATTACTGGGTATATACCCAAAGAATTATAAATCATTATACTATAAAGACACATGCACATGTATGCTTATTGCTGCACTGTTCACAATAGCAAAGACTTGGAACCAACCCAAATGCCCATCAATGTTAGACTGGATAAAGAAAATGTGGTACATATACACCATGTAATACTATGCAGCCATAAAAAAGGAGGAGTTCATGTCCTTTGCAGGGACATGGACGAAGCTGGAAACCATCATTCTCAGCAAACTAACACAGGAACAGAAAACCAAACACCATATGTTCTCATTCATAAGTAGGAGTTGAACAATGAGAACACATGGACACAGGGAGGGGAACATCACACACCGGGGCCTGTCGGTGGGTGGGGGGTTGGGGAGGGATAGCATTAGGAGAAATACCTAATGTAGATAACAGGTTGATGGGTGCAGCAAACCACCATGGCACACGTATACCTATGTAACAAACCTGCATGTTCTGCACGTGTATCCCAGAATTTAAAGTTTATTTAAAAAAAGGCATTGTTGGCTCCCTCACTGTTGTCTCAGGACCACAGGGGTACTCAGAATATCAGGCCATGGTGAGATCTTCTTGGACTTCTGCCTACTTGGGCAAATATCCCTGGCTTTCTGACCTTTCTGAATACACTCTGAGTGTCACTGCCAGCAGGCATGGATAAGCATGTGCCTACCACTCTGTGGTCATCACAATGCTTCACCCTAGAAGTTCAATAAAAGAGAAAACTTAATTCAGCCAAGTCACTTAGCAACACAAAACTCCCAACCCTATAGCCTGAACAGAGCAAGAAAGGAAATGACAGCTTAGAGACTGAAAGAGAGCAGTGGAGTAGCTGGAGGCCCACAGTAGCAGAATTTACTGCTAATGAGAAGCAACAAACAGGTGCCTCTTTGATACTTTCTCTTTAAAGTATTCTCTGAAGAGCTGAGAAAACTGCCACTGTTCTCAGTATTTAGATATGCCTTCTGCTACCCTCCAACAGGTGGCACATGGGCCTGCTTTTTGGCCAATCAGTCAGGGTTGAGCTAACTGTCTTTTACTAACTTCTAATTTCCTTGCCAGATCCTCCAAAAGCATTGAGAACTTGAAAAGTTCTTGGAGCCATCCAAGGGTGGGGGACCATGTGTTGGAAGACAATTCTCCATGGATCTCTTGTGCTTTGGCATGTCTTAGGAACAGACGAACTGACTACCCTTTGTTTCAGACTATCCTTTTCAAGTATCTTTGTATAGCCAACAGCCTTGGAAGATAGAGATGATGTTTCCCTTTAGAGTAAACAGCAGGTGGGCTTACCATCTATTATAAAATATTTGAGTTCCCTAAGTTCAAAGTTTCTCTCCTATAATACAACTCACTATGTGTACAGGAGTCATTCAGCTCTCTTTGCCTTACCCTGTGGGAATTGGGACTCAGGGATCTGGCACAAATGCTAATACTCTGGCTGCTGCTATTGCTGTAAGCAATAAACTGTCCTTCATCTCTGACTCAGGAGTCTTATGCCATTAACTAACATCGATGAAACTGCAGTAGGCTAGCTTGTTTGCTTGCAATCAGGGTAAAAATCTCAGATCTTTCACAGCTCTTGAGGATGTGTTCCTGCCACATCAGTCCACTGACCACAGAAAGGATGTAAAATTTCTCTCTAAAAATTCAGAACATATAAGCAACTGGCGATTATGCCAAGGCAAGGGCAAGCAATTCTAGATTTATGAAGAACCCATCTAATTTCTTAATATGACCTGTAATATACGTATAATTTCAGGATGAAACATTTTTAAAAAGCTCCCCTTATGTAACCACTTTTTGAAACCTACCATAAAGTTAACATTTATTGCCTAAAACATGGTGCCAATTTTTTCATTTGTATTCTTGCAATAAATAGGTAATGTGTGTTTTAAAACTACGTATTTTCTCCATGGAAATCACTGAAGCTATTTTGATTGTGAATGAAAAAATGATGGCAACCTGTAAACAGTTTTTGTCTTTCCAGAAATAAACCTTGTGTAAGTAAAGTTGCTTACCATTGTTCTAGAGGCTGACCTGCAGACACTAATTAGGTAGTGAGCCATTTACTTCTTTTTATCACTTTCAAATCACTTGGTACTGAAAACAGCTTGTATGAATTCAGACAAGGTATCTCTATCTGAGACTGAAAAATGAAAGTCCAAAGTGATAGCATGAGGAGAAAAACACTGACATTCTGACACCTGAGAAATAACCTCAGCCTTCAACAGTGGAGAGGAAGGTAAGGCTAATCTTGGAAATTCTGACGAGTTACAGTCACTCACACTGACAGCAAAATATAAGAGTTTGATGGAGTTAATTATTATTGAGGATCAACAGAGAATCTTCCCCAGAGCTTCCTGGCACACAAAAATAAATACTGACCTCAGAAATCCTAGCAAAGGAAATGGATGTATTTGGATACGTTAGGTTCTCAGTAGGCAATGTTACTATTATTAAATACCAAGGACACTCCGTACTGGAGATCTGATGTTCTTCTACTGTCCGGAATCAAAGGCAGATGCATTAAAAACTATGTGTTGGTCCAATCGGCAGATTTCCAACTTTGCAAGTGGAAGAGAACCTCTTTCTCACCACCGGCACTGCTCACATAGATTCTAGGCCAAGTCATCTGACTGTGTGACTGGACCTTCCATCACCTGCACAAACATTCCTTCTTTTCCATGAAACTACACTGTTCCTTTAAGTGTTAGGAAGATGTAAATCTCATGCCTTTTAGTACTTCATTGGGAAATACTAGAGCAAAAGTCTCCAAGGAGGGAGAATGAATTCAGAAACTGATTGTGCAGCTGGAAAAACAGTAGGGAGTAATACAGGATATTAAATAATATAATAAAAACCTACTTAGTCTGTGTTTGGGGAAAAAAGATTCTGCTGAAGAGAATGGAACTGCTTGAGAGAGCAATATAGAGTAATGGTTAAGAGCATGAGCTTTTGAGTCAGACAGGTTCAGCTTTAAATACTAGTTCTGCCACCTACTAGCCAAGTGACCGCTGAGGGCAACACAACAGAGTCATGTGCATCTTTCCAGCTACTCCCTCTGATCCCCAGTGGCTATCATAGTGCTTCCATTATTAGATGCTCAATAAATGCTTCCTGCAACGAATCGTATTTCAGATAGTGCTAAAATGAATATCACAACGAAAAAAGAAAGGGAGAAGTAATGGTGGTAGAAAAGGTTGCAATTCTACACAATATTCAAGGAAGCATAGAACAAGCCAAGGTAATGAAATTGTGGGAGAGGAAGCACTAACTCTGAGAAATGCTGAGATGAATCAATAAAGTATGTATGTGTGTACAAGTAGAAAAATAAAAGTGCAAACCACCATGTGAAGACATGTGAGTAGTTATTTTGGGGATTAAAGGAAGTAAACAAAATTACAGAAAGTTTTGGGAAAGTTTCCAGGAGAGGGATAAACATCCAACATGCTAATTATTAATCATTTAGTAAATGGATGAATTATACATGAAATGGGCAATGGCTATGCATATAGTCCACACATAGGTATATGGTAACAGCAATCAAAATGGTTTTCAGGATAAAAACAGTCATATTTTAAAAAGAAGCTGTGGCACTCAGCAGTTTGGGTGTAACAACACTGAAAATATATGTATTGCAAAATGGTACATATTTGCAGTTGCTTTAAGGTATAAGATGTGGAATTCAATAATGCACTGATAAATTTAACAGTGATACTTTCACCCAAATACTGTTAAAGATCTATTCAATTCTCACTTGGGGCCAAGATATTTATCCTAGTTTGTATAGATATTTATCTCAGTTTGCAAAACGGATCTATTTATAGTCTCATCATTAATACTTTCTTGGACTTTTCAGCACAAATCTTCTCTTTCCCCCTCCCTCCATCTCTCTTCCCCCCAACACATGTATTCACACACATACATTCTCACACATACTATTTTTATTTACTTCGTTTAGACTAAAATAACATTAAGATATCTTGGCACCTAAAAATATGTTTAAGAAAAACTCATTTTTCATTTGGCACTTAGATCACTGTAGTAAGAAAGAGTACTGGACTGGGACTTAGTGAATACTTGCCATGTTCCTGAACCTAACACTGCATTTAATCGCCATATCTTGACCCCATTTTATAGATGAAGAATTCAAGGTCCTAGCTTTGCCACTAATTGCCTGTGGAACTTAGGCCATTCACTTCCAACCTCTGGGGCTTATTTTCTTTATCTTCGAAACGAGGTGGCTGGATTTGCTCCCAAGGGAGCATCAGAATCAACTGGGACATTTCTTAAATAAAAAATAATTTGGGCACGGTGGCTCACACCTGTAATCCTAGCACTTTGGGAGGCTGAGGCAGGTGGATTGCTTGAGGCCAGGAGTTCGAGACCAGCCTGGCCAACATAGTGAAACCCCGTCTCTACAAAAAAAATACAAAAAATTAGCCAGGTATTATGGCACGCGCCTGTAATCCTAGCTACTCGGGAGGCCGAGGCATGAGAATCGCATGGGCCCAGGAGGCGGAGGTTGCAGTGAGCCAAGATCGAGCCACTGCACTCCAGCCTGGGTGACAGAGTGAGACCCTGTCTCAAAAAACAAAAGAGAACAAAACGAAACAAAATCATCTGATCTCTTCACACACCTTTGGTATTAGAATCTCTGCAGGGGTGGACTCCAGGAATGTGTCTAACAAGTAACCCAGGTGATTGTGATGATGAGCCGAGTTTGAGAACAGGATCCTTTACCACCTCCAGTGGTGCTGCCAGCGACAACACCCCAGTATTTGTCTGCCTGCCTTCACTTGGTAGTCTGAAGTATTGAGAACTATGCTAGAGAAAACTAAAGCACCAACAAGCCACACTTAAAAAAACGAACAGTACCACACTCACTTAGAAGACCAAAACAATCTTCATAATCTGGGTAGATGACAGCCACAAAAACAACTAGGCAAAGTCTCTGTGTGGCAGACCTCATGTCATGGCTTAAAGCCAGCTCGAAAGGATATCCCAGCAGAGCTCAGGAAGAGGATATTTTTAAAGAAGTCTCTCACCACAACTGAACCTCAAGCAGGACTGAATGGCAGGGTTTTACATTTTATCGCAACAGGAAGGTTAGGGTGCTACTGGAGAATCTCATTAAAGCTTTAGTTTTAAACCAGCTTTTGCTTTGGGGCATTCTGTGGGTTTGTTAATGTGAATAGAGTTCTGCAGCTCCGACTCCCCCTCGCCCTCATAAATGCCCAGTCCCTTTTTGACCCGTACTGAGTATGGGTTGGATCACATCTGGCCAGTGATTCCCCTACCCCCACCATTTGGTACGTATTACTTAGAGTTGGTGATCATAAAACATGAACAAGGCAGAGTTTACATATGTTTTCTGGTTTAGTTCAGGCATTCCCCGGGGATGGCAGAATTCACACTCTCATAACCAGCTGGGAGCTGGGAGCAATCAGGCCCTTAAAGGCCAAAACAGAAAGGGCCTGCATCACTGAGCACCTCTTGACAGCCAAAGCCTTTCTTCCTGAATGATAATGACATGAAATGCACTCCCCCTGCACGCATGTGCATGCACCTAAAATGTAGCAGGATTGGCAGCCAGAAATTGCTATCCAATTTAGGTTCACTACGTGTTTGCAAAATCCTAATGGAGCTCTTAGAGTAAAAGTCTAGGGGGGTCTAAGCGGGGACAGACTGGTATTATGGAGAAAGTATTACATTGTAGCAGCAGAAGACCTTGGATTCTACTTCTGGTTCCTCCATTAATTATATAACTTTGGGTAAGCCTCCCTGAACTTTATTTCTTCCTTTGTAAATCAATGGGATTGGACTAGCTAATCTCTCACAGCCCTTTCAACATTCACATTATGGTGAAGTGTTCACTATGGTGAAATGTATTCAGTTACACGTCTGTCTACCAACTAAACTGTGACCTTTTCAAGACTTAAGAACTATTTCTTGGGTAGTTTTGAATATCCAGCACCTAGCAAAGTGCCATACACAAAGCAGATGTTTAATAAATGTTTCCTAAATGAACCTTCATGTCTAGTGCCTGATCAAAACAGTGCGCTTAATTCTTTACAAGTTCCTCACCTCCTTTTTTCATGTGTTTAAAAGCACCACATGGCCAGGCGTGGTGGCTCATGCCTGTAGTCTCAGCACTTTGGGCGGCCTAGGTGGGTGGATCACCTGAGGTCAGGAGTTTGAGACTAGCCTGGCCAATGTGGTGAAATCCCATCTCTACTAAAAATACAGAATTAGCCAGGCATGGTGGCATGCGCCTGCAATCCCAGCTTCTCGGGAGGCTGAGGCAGGAGAATTGATTAGAAGTAGGAGGTGGAGGTTGCAGTGAGCCGAGATTACACCACTGCACTCCAGCCTGGGCGACAGAGCGAGACTCTGTCTCAAAAATAAATAAATAAATAAATAAATAAATAAATAAATAAATAAATAAATAAAAGCACCACAGGAGGATACTTGTTTTCCAGATCAATTGTGTTGCTATGAAATGACCAATATCAGAGGCAACCTTTGAACACTCCTACACCCTGTCTTTAATGTTGTCTCTTTATTTTCCTCTTACTGAAAGCATTTCCAAGCCCCTGGCATGCTTTCTTTGTGTCTTACACACAGTGGGCTCTCAATCAGTATTAGGTGAATGAACATATGAATGCATTTACTTTTTCTAGTTTTGTAAAATTTACTTTTGCAGAAGGCCCCAGAACCTGGCCTTGAATTGTGAAGCAGTCAAGGGAATAATTAGCCACTGAAGAACACCGTAATTAGATAGGACATTTTTGTTCATTTTACTATAAAATATTTTCACAGGAAATGTGTTTTAAATGACTAACATTGTGAATGGGGCAATTACAGCAACTCCGTAAGTAGCCATGCTGAGGGTTGCATCATTTTTGTCCTCTTTCCTAGTTTAATTCACCAAAGAAACTAATTACTCCTAGAGTTTAAAGACAAGCTGAAATAGCCTAATCCACCCTCCACATTTTGGATAAGCAATAGTTCAGAGTGCACAGCAGTTGCACTGTATAGATGCTAAGGGTGTCTATCAACCAAGCCAACAAAGTCTGGGTTTGAATCCCAGCTCCTCTGACTTAACTAGCTTTGAGGAAGAAATAAGACTCAGTGTTTGATAGATCAGTAGAGTGTCTACAGTGTATAGTAATCTATCATATATTTCTTTCTCTCTCTTGTTTTTTTTGTTTTTGTTTTTGTTTTTGTTTTTGAGGCAGGGTCTCACTCTTTCGCCCAGGCTGGGGTGCAGTCACGTGATCATGGCTCACTGCAGCGTTGATCCTCCCACTTCAGTCCCCCCAGTAGCATGCCACCATGCCTGGCTAATTTTTTGTATTTATTTATTTATTTATTGGTAGAGATGGGGTCTGTACGTTGCCCAGACTGGTCTTGAACTCCCAGCCTCAAACAACCCTCCCGCCTAGGCATCCCAAAGTGTTGGGATTACAGGCTTAAGCCACAGCACCTGGCCACATATATTTCAAAGTAGCTAGAAAAGAAGAATTTGAATGTTTCTAGCATAAAGACAAATATTTAGGTGATAGATACCCCAATTATATTGATTTGACCTTTACAAATTGTATGAATGTATTAAACTATCACATGTCCCCTGAAAATACGTACACATATTGTATATCAATGAAAAATAATTAGCAGAAAGCAGAAATAGAATATTTCTAAAACAGAAAAATAAAACAAAACCCAGCTTTTAGGTTTATTAAGACTGATTTCATGGGTTACTATGAAATGATATTATGTAAACTAGCCAGCATAGCACTTGAGATGTAGTGGAAGCTCAACAATGGTAGTGTAATATACTATTCTGCCACCTCCTTCTACAAAGCTGGCAGCATTCAGGAATCAGATACTACCTTAGGGAAACTGACTGGTAACTCTTGGCTACATGTTCTGCTATATATTGGAAGTTGGTATCTCCCGAGATTCCGTTACTAACAATATCTGACTGAAACCAAGGAAACTGCTGCCTCACTCACAGAACTTCCCTTCCTCCATCACGAATTTCATCAGACTTAGACTGATATAATCAAGGCTATAAACAAAACCATTGGAGAACATGGATTGTTTGCCTTGCTTATGTGCTTGTGAGGTTTAATTAGTGAACTCTAGCTGGGTCTTTTGTGTTTGAAGTCACTACTCAAAATGCTAATGTGATATACATGATTGAAAACACCAAGAGGAAATTAGAATCAGAAAAATTGGTGATAACCAAATTAAAGGGAGACCTGGTCAATTTCTGAAGCATGGCTCTTCCACTAACTTTACGTGGGTGCTCTTAGGCAAGTTGCAATTTCACTTAAGCTTCAGTTTCCTCATTTATAAAATGAAGATAATAGCTCCCACTTCACAGGCTTGTCATCTATTGTGTATCAATAATGAGGATTATGATAACTGACAATAATGCTAATAATAGCCAACATTTATCGAAGACTTACCACATACCAGACACGTGCTAAGTGCTTTAACAAATGTCATTCCCTATGAAGACGATATTCTTTTTATTTCTATTTCATGAATCAGAAAAATGAACTCATAAAGATAAAATGACTTCCCAACATCGCACAGTAAGGAAGTAGGTGGAGCCAGGCTTTACGATTGCATAGCCTGTGGTCTTAATATGCTGCCTAACTCTGTGAGGTCATTCAGTCCATCATCACCCCTTCCCCACCTTCCAATTTTGTTCTCATTTCTCTCCATCAGTACCTGCTACTGGCCACCTCACCCCAATAAGGCCCAAATCCTCTGACAACTGTAGACTGGTACTCACAGTGGTGGTCAGCTTTCCTGCATTCTTCTGGACATACTGGATAGAATCATGGATTGTTGAAAAGAGACCAAGCAGTACGTTCTCCATGTCATAGATTCTGTACATGCCATTCACAAGTTCTTCAAGGGACAGAATGTATTCTCTCCAGTACTTGTCAATCTCCACCACACCTGCCATACAGCCTTGCATGACCACATTGCAGTAACCGCCACAGGGTTTAACCATCATCAGTCCCTGGCAGTAAGAGCAGTACCACATTCTGGTGAGCATTCGGCCACAGTCCTTACTGAACTTCAGGTGATCAGTTGTGTTGATCACTTCAATTCCAAGATTCAGAGCCTGAAGGAAGATCCTAGTGACTTGCAGTGACTTGGAAACCTGGGTCATAATAAGCTTGGGGAAATTCCCAAATACTTTCAGGTCACGTCTTGCTCCTCGGAGGCACTCATTGATGTCCAAGGCTGAATCAGGCAGGCCTGGGTTCATTAGCTGGGTATAGATGACTGGAAACAGGCTGTCAAACAATTCATTGACCATGTCATCTACATTGATGTCAGAACCCAAGATGTAGAGAGACACATCTGTGAAAAATTCACCCACAAACTCAAAAGCTTGTGGAGTCAGGCTTGGGTAGTTGTTCTTGAACATGGCATTGGTGTAGTTCTTGGCATGGCGAACAACAATTTCAAAGGCCTCTGTAAAAAAAAAAAAAAAAGAGACACAAAAATGTGTACAAATTAAAGCATGAAAATCCAGTGTGAAAATGAATTTGAGACTTCTCTATTGCTGTGGTGATTAAGGTCCCATTTGCGTTAAATAATTGACTCTCATTCATTTCTGGCATTGCCTCTACTCTTGCAGTTGTTTGCTCCTATAAATCAATTTTCCTTTCTGAACATGAAGTCCAGATTCTGATGTGCACATAAATTCTTAAACACACAAATTATATTTCAAATGACAAAAGCCAAGATTCAGTTAACATTTCGGCCTTTCATGAAAATATTGATTAAAAATTGGCTAAATGAGAAGTTATTTCTCTTTCTCACACTGATTTATTCAGTTAAAAAGAAATTGTATTTCAGGACATTTCATTTTTAGACAGAGATAAATATTTGACAACAAACCATACATTGTATAAACTCACACAACAATTTAAGCCTGTTTAGCCCTGGAGGGGAGGCAAGTTCCTAGCCAAGAATAAAAGCTATCACGAATTTAATCATTTTGGTAGATTTTCTCCTGATAACTTTAAAGAGAGCTTTCTGACAGATTGCCAGACCTGGAAATGGAATCTATCCAATGCATTTGTATCTGGGTGGAAAAATAATCCATGTGCTTATCTATCATTTGGTATTGAAAACAACACCTCTGGTATTTGCAAGCTGAACATCCGGAGGGATAACTACTAAGCTTCCTTGCTAAGTTCAGCTTCCACATGGCTTGGAAGCCTTATCTGCTCTACAGAGACCACAAATTCATGATTACATCTGCTGCCCCAACCCCTTTGCATAAAGCCCAATCAGTGTCATTGGTTTGAAAGAGAAAGTAGTAATGTCACCATCTCATTTTCTCCAAACTGAAACATCCCAGACCCAAATTATTTCAAATAATCAGAGTCTACATTTACATGAGGGAAGGAAAAACAACCACAATAGGCTTTTGAAGAAATAAGACAGAGTTTAAAAACAAAAATAGCCAAGTTTCCTGAGACACTTAAAATTAACTTAGTCCTTCCTTCCATTTCCTTCCAAAGTGCAAAGGTCCATGACAGATGTACTCCAAATGATGCCAGTTCATGAGCCTTGAAAAATCGAATTATTACCACTTTTAGACTACTAGAGAGACCATACTCCAACAGTTCCTTGGGATCACTTAGTCCAACATTTCAGTCATCTGTGGCAGAAGTGAGCTCTAGGTTGTGCTACCACCATCTGCCCCAGATCCCTCCCAGAGTAGAACATGCTCCCTAGATTCTTCCCTTGGGCTTATGACATGCCCAGCAATGTTGAACAATTGCCAGTGTAGTTCTATTGGGTTTCCAAGCTCACTTGAGAAAATAATGAGTTTAAAACAAAACTTAACTTCCTACAAAAGGTTTTTGAGTATATGTGTACTGAGGGCAGTGAGAGTGTAACAGTCTCTGAGGGACACTAGCTTGCACTGATTACTTTGCAGCTGTGTGTCCCTGGGGAAAAAAAATCTGCCTTTCTGTAAGTTGTTGAATGTTCACTTGGTTTTTTTGTTTGTTTGTTTGTTTGTTTGTTTAGAACATTAAGCAATTCCTAGAAAGTTGCTCTATCTTATAACAACTCTCCAAACTCCACATGCTACTTTAGTCTCAATCCTTGTTTTCTAAAAGCTGGATGAGGCCAAGAGATTATCTAGCCCAATACAGAGGACCAGTCAACAAATTCGTTAAAATCATCAGAAATTTGGAGATTTGAAACTATTCATTCATTTTAATTTCAGCTAGCAATCACTTGTTATATATCAGACTCTGTACTAGGTGCTAGAGGCACATAAATGCTGGGTAGATGGAGATAAATGATAAACCATCCTTGTTTCAGAAGTATTCACAAGCTATATGGTTTAGAGTTTACAAAATATTCTCAAGTATATTATGGCATCTACTTTTTACAACAATCTTTTAAGTTTGGTATTACAACTCCCATTTTATATGCGACAAAATTGAGGCTCAGTAGAGTTAAAGCATTTTCCCGTGGTCACACAGGAAAGTAGAAGCAATCAGCACAAACTAGTGTCTTCCATAACAGTTACACGCTTGCTGCCTTCGACCTACAGCCAATACATATAGTCTCAAAAACCTTTGCAGAAAGTACAGTTCTATTTTAAACTCATTATTTTCCCATTGGCTTCCCATCTTCAAATGGAAACATACTAGAAGAAATTGCAACCCAAAGACCAACAAAGCAGAGTCACACCTTTCACCTTTGCCTTTGTGCAGAATGAAGAGAAGGGAAAAGACTGCTGTGGATATGCCACTCCTGTAGATCTCAATCATCCAAGCATCCCTAAAATGAATTCTATACAAGGCAAGCTTTATCTCAAGTACAGTGCATTCATTCTCCAATGTGCAAGATGTACAACAGCAAGATTCCATTGACTGTACTGTCATAACATTTTTAAAAGTTTCTGTTACTAGCACTCCTAAATCAATAGAAAAAGAAAATTATAAAAGATCATGAACTCTTCTGCAGAAAGAATAATCACAATGCATGTTGCAGGGGAAAAGGGCTAGGGGTTTACTTTGAACCTCAAGCTCATATGTGCTCCCTGCTCCAACTTCCGCAGCTCAGAATCCACTTAGCACATCTCTGGGCTTTGCCCAACCCACTTACTTCTGTATCACAGGACAACAAACCAAGCCATAACTGGTCAACTAAAGGCTCCTGGGAGACTTATAGAAACCAACACTAGGCGAAAAGCAATGCTCAGCTTTTCTTGGCAACTTAAGGTTTCATGAAATGAAATCAAGGGCTAGAATTACTGCAAAGAAGTTCAGCTCACTGATTTTTTTGGTCAGATAATAAGGTACACTTCAACTAGGGGAGGTTTCCCTCTGCCTCTTTCCTGGGAAGAAATCAAGGGTTATATCCAGGAAAAATTTGAACAAACAATGTAAAATCAGAGCTATCATGAACATTTTGGCATTGGATAGAAAATATTCTAATTTTTTACAACATAAAGAAAAATAAGTGGTGCAGGCAAATAGACTTAATAAATTCGGGTTAATACATGTCCTAATATAGCAAGGTTTCTAGATATCTAGATGCCCCATTATCATTCTGGTCACCACCCTTTGGACATGCTCCAGTGTTGTCAATGTCCTCCTTAAATTATGGTGTTCAAAAAGGGATACAATTCTCCAGATGTGGCTTGATGGTGAAGTGTACAATCAGGGTATTACCTCTCTTTAAATGGTTCAATAACTTCTACTACCCCCCAGGACATATAACCTATCACTGTAGCAAAATGACTGTCTTTAGTATTTGATACTGATGTTCCTGTATTCAGACTCAGACAGGAAGAAATGTGTTTTTATGGGCCTTTTCAGTAGTAGCTGGGTATTTAAAAAAAGGAGAATATACTTGTGTTTGGAAGAAGAGAGGAATAAATGAACCATGGAATCTCTTTCAAGCCCTTTAGGGTAAGGCAGTCCTTATAGAAGCAGGTTATTTTTTTTCAAGGCAATTTTTCCAGCACTGTAAGAATGGCAAATACTTAAGAACTTTTTATGTTCCTGGTATAAATGCCTCACAATGGGTTAGAATAAAAAATGGTCCTTGTTTTCAAGCTTAGGTACCTTAACGGAAGGAAGAAAAGTAATATTTATGAAGTAACTGCAAGGTACATGCCAGGATCTGTGGTAAAATTGGTCATATCACATGAAGTTTCTGTTTATGTCCTTTGCACACTTTTATGCAGCCAAAACACATATGAAAAAATAGCTCAAGATTACTGATCATTAGAGAAATGCAAATCAAAACCACAATGAGATACCATCTCACACCAGTCAGAATGGCAATTATTAAAAAGTCAAGAAACAACAGTTGCTGGTGAGGCTGTGGAGAAACAGGAAGGCATTTACACTGTTGGTGAGAATGTAAATAAGTTCAACCATTGTGGACGACAGTGTGGTGATTCCTCAAAGACCTAGGGGCAGAAATACTATTTGACCCAGCAATCCTAATACTTGGTATACACCCAAAGGAATATAAATCATTCTATTATAAAGATACATGCACATGTATGTTCACTGCAGCACTATTCACAAGAGCAAAGACATGGAATCAACCCAAATGGCCATCAGTGATAGAATGCATAAAGAAAATGTGGTACATACACATCTTGGAATACTATGCAGCCATAAAAATAAACAAGATCATGTCCTTTCCAGGAACATGAATGGAGCTGGAAGCTGTTATCCTCAGTAAATTAATGCAGGAACAGAAAACCTAACACCGCATGTTCTCATTTGTAAGTGGGAATTGAACAATGAGAACACATGGACACATGGGGGTAAACAACACACACTGGGGCTTGTTGAGGCAGGGAGGGAGGGAGAACATTAGGAAAAATAGCTAATGCATGCTGAGCTTAATACCTAGGTGATAGGTTGCTAAGCACAGTAAATCACCATGGCACACGTTTACCTATATAACAAACCTACACATCCTTCACATGTACCCTGAAACTTAAAATAAAATTAAAAAATAAAGAAAACTAGGGAAAAAATCAGTTAATGTAATCCATCACATCAACAGCCTAAATAAGAAAAATCATATGATCATATGAGTAAATGCAGGAAAAACATTTGCTGTTTTTCCTGCCAATATCCTACATCATTCATGATAAAATCTCTCAGCAAACTAGAAACAGAGGATAACTTTCTTCACTTGATAAAGAACGTCCACAAAAAATTTTACAGCTAGCATCATGCTTAACGGTGAGCAACTGCATGCTTTCCCCTTAACATCAGGAACTAGGCAAGAATGTCCCTATTTCAGCACTCCTATTCAACATTATACTTAAAGTACTAGCTACTGCAATGAGACAATAAAAGGAAATAAAAGGTGTACAGATTGGGAAAACTACAAAACTCTGGTAAAAGAAATAAAAAATATCTTAATAAATGAAGAGATACTCCATGTTTATGGATAGAAAGACTCAATATTATTAAGTTTTCAATTCTTTCCAACATGATCTATAAATTCAATGAATCCCAATCAAAATCCCTGCAACTTATTTTGTGGACATCAATAGTAAAGTTTATATGGAAACATAAAAGACTCAAAATAGCTGTAACAGCACTGCAAAAGAACAAAGTTGGAGGACTGGCATGACCTGAATTCAAGAATTCCCATCAAGGTACAGTAATAAAGACAGCTTGGTATTGGTGAAAGAATTGAAAAACAGATCCATGGAACAAAATACAGAGCCCAGAAATAGACCCACACAAATACAATAATCAACTGATCTTTGACAAAAGAGCAGAGACAATTCAATGGAGAAAGAATAATCTTTGCAACAAATAGTGCTGAAACAATTGGACATCCACATGCAAAAAATGAATCTAGATATAGACTTTTCACCTTTCATAAAATTAAGTCAAATATATCATAGACATAAACATAAAATGCAAAACTATAAAACTTATAGAATGTAAAGTGGGAGTTCTTGGTGACTGACCTTAAGTTTAGCAGTAAGTTTTTAGATATAACAGTAAAAGCACAATCTATGAAGTTGAAAATTGATTAGTCAGACTTATCAGGCACTAAGCAGAAAAACATCCATTCTGCAATGTTAAGAGAATGAAGAGTAAAGCATATGTCAAGAAAATGAAAAGACAAGCCACAGACTAAGAGAAAATATTTGCAAAACACATGTCTGATAAAGGCCTTGTATCCAAAACACTCAAAGAACACTTGCAATTCAACAGTAAGAAAACAACCCAATTAAAAAATGGGCAGAAGATCTGAACAGACATCTCACCAAAGAAGATATACAGATGGGGAAAAAAAACTAGAAAAAGATATTCAATATCATATGTTATTAGGGAACTGCAAATTAAAATAACAATGAGATACCATCACAAAGCCATTAGAATGGTTAAAATTCATAACACTAACAACAAATGATGGCAAAGAGGCAGAGCAACAGGCACTCTCATGCATTGCTGGAGGGAATGTTAATACAAATGGTACAGCCACTTTATAAAGCAGCTTGGCAGTTTCTTACAAAAGTAAACATACTCTTACCATGTGATCCAGCAGCTGTGTCCCTTGGTGGTTACCCAATTTATTTGAAAACTCATGTCTACAGCAAAACCTAGTGCTTATAGCAGTTTTATTTATAATCACCAAAACTGGAAGCAAACAAGATGTCCTTCAATAGGATAAATAAGCTGTGGTACATCTATACACTGGAATACTATTCAGTAATAAAAAGAAATGAGAGATTAAGACACAAACAGACATGAAGGAACTCTAAATGTCTATTGCTAAGTGAAAGAAGCTAGTCTGAAAGGCTACATACTATATGATTCCAACCATATGACATTCTGGAAAAGGCAAAACTATAGAGACACTAAAAAGATCAATGGTTGTCAGGGATTTGAGAGGGGAGAGAACATGGGAAAGTAAGTGAAGCATGGGATTTTAGGGTGGTGAAACTATACTGTATGATACTGTAATGAAAGATACAAGACATTATGCATTTGTAAAAAATTATAGAACCATGCAATACAAAGAATGAACCTTAATGTAAACATATGGGCTTTGGTTAATAATAATGTATCAATATTGGTTCATTAATCATAACAAATGTACCAAACTAATGCTAATAATGTTAATAATAGAATAAGTCCTGTGCAGGGAAGAGGGAGTACACAGAAACTCTGTACTAACTGCTCTATTTTTCTTTAAATCCAAAACTGTTCTAAACAAATAAGGTCTATTAATCTTTTAAATTTTTTTTTTTAAAAACTAGATCTTGGAAATTAGCCCTTGATGGAATTAGTGACTAGAACCACTGAAGAGTGTTAAATCACTCCCTCTTTTTCCCCCTCGATCTGCTTTGACATTTCTTTCATGATTTAGGGAGTTTTCACATACAATAGATGCCATATGGCATCAATGTAATTTTAATTGAAAAAAACCACTGGAAAAGGTTAATGGACCCAAACAGCCAAATAGGTAACACATTTCAATGTTATTTTTAAATACTAAATGATTTTTTAGAAATCAGCCACATAGAAACTGCAAGCTAAGAAAAGCCTCACATTTTAAAAACTAAATAATAGAGAAGACACTAAAAGTGTTGCTCCAATTTCTGTCAGATTTTTCTGGCATTTTATGTTTCACATTAATTTAACTAGAATGGACAAAGCTTAGAAATAAGTTGCTATTAAATATAAGCAATTTATTTGTGCAGATCCATGACCAGCCTGTAAATATATACAGTCTTGCTTTTTAAATTTCACACACTAGGCTTCTAAATACAATGTACATCAATGAGGAACAGAAGAATGAGTGAAAGAAAGAAGAAATATATGCTTTTCACAGGCTATTATATATATCATTTGATAGATAGATGGAGAGATAGATAGATACAGATATTTCCCTAAAGGCTATTATAGATCAGAGAGAACAATTAAAATAATTCAGTCAAAGGGTCCTCAGAAATGAGAAGTGAATAGCTCTAACTACTAGAAAATGTATGAGTCTGCAACAATTGACCAACTCATTAGCCCAACTAGCTCTTCTCGTTTACCCACCATTAGCTTTCCTGAACAACTAGTTTATTTTAACCTTCTGGACACCATAATTTGGGTAACTCATCATTTTTCCCTCTTCACATTTATTACTAGAACGCTTAGGGCCAAATTTATGGTCTGCTTCTATCAAGCATAATAAACTTCATTATGTACTTTGTGTCATAATCTTACACCTGGCTCCATCTTACATTCCCCTTTGCCTGATAGTTCCTATGTATTTCAGTTGCATTGCATCTTACATTTATTATGCACATATTTGTAGAGCACTTTAAATTCCTCTGGGGACAAAGTAGGATAAAAACAAATAGGTAGGTAAATAAATAAGGAGAAGGAGGGAGAGGAGCTATGCCTACCACTTAAAGAAAAAATACCATTTCAACAATGTTTTCTCACAAGTATGAGTAGCAACTATAGAAATGTTTATGTTTATAAATGGCAAACACCTTGTCAGGGACTCATTAGCAGTTCAACACTGTCTTCCCTAGCAGTGGTCAAAGCTCTTGGTTGACATTCTGGACACTGGCCTTGGGAAAGAATTTATGAGTAAGTCCTCAAAAGCCATTGCAGCAAAAACAAAAATTGACAAGTGGGACCTAATTAAACTAAAGAGCTTCTGCAAAGCAAAAGAAACTGTCAGCAGAGTGAACAGACAACCTACAGAGTAGGAGAAAATATTCGCAAACTATGCATCGACAAAGGTCTAATATCCAGAATCTATTAGGACCTTAAACATTTGAACAAGCAAAAGACAACCCCGTTAAAACATGGGCAAAATACATGAACACACACTTCTCAAAAGAAGACATAAAAGTAGCCAACAAACATACGAAAAAAAATGCTCCACATCACTAATCATCAGATAAATGCAAATCAAAACTTCGATGAGATACCATCTCACACCAGTCAGAATGACTATTATTAAAAAGTCAAAAAACAACAGCCTTTCCGCCCTGCCCACAGAGGGGTCCATACAGCGTTTTTCGGGATTCCTGTCCTAACTCAGAGGAAAACTTTCACAACGTCCGGAGCCCTTGATGTCCTGCAAATGAAATAGAAGGGTGTCCTTAAGTTCCTTGCAGCAGGAACCCACTTAGGTGGCACCAGCCCTGACTTCCAAATGAAACAGTACATCTATAAAAGGAAAAGTGATGGCATCTACATCCTAAATCTGAAGAGGACCTGGGAGAATCTTCTGCTGGCAGCTCGTACCATTGTTGCCATTGAAAACCCTGCTGATGTCAGTGTCATATCCTCCAGGAATACTGGCCAGAGGGCCGTGCTAAAGTTTGCTGCTGCCATGGGAGCCACTCCAATTGCTGGCCGCTTCACTCCTGGAATCTTCACTAACCAGATCCAGGCAGCCTTTCAGGAGCCGCAGCTTCTTGTGGTTACTGACCCCAGGGCTGACCACCAGCCTCTCACAGAGGCATCTTATGTTAATCTTCCCACCATTGCTCTGTGTCACACAGATTCTCCTCTGTGCTATGTGAACATTACCATCCCATGCAACAACAAGGGAGCTCACTCAGTGGGTTTGATGTGGTGGATGCTGGCTCAGGAAGTTCTGCACACGCGTGGTACCATTTCCTGCAAACGCCTGTGGGAGGTCATGCCTGATCTCTACTTCTACAGAGATCCTGAAGAGACTGAAAAAGAATAGCAGACTGCTGCTGAAAAGGCTGTGATGAAGGAGGAATTTCAAAGTGAATGGACTGCTCCAGCTCCTGAGTTCACTGCTACTCAGCCTGAGGTGACAGACTGGTCTGAAGGCGTGCAGGTGCCCTCTGTGCCTATTCAGCAGTTCCCTACTGAAGACTGGAGTGCTCAGCCTGCCACGGAAGACTGGTCTGCCGCTTCCACTGCTCAGGCCACTGAATGGGTAGGAGCAACCACTGGTTAGTCTTAAGCTGTTCTTATATCAGCTCTTAAGCAACATGGAAATAAGGCTGACAAAAAATAAACATCAGTTTCAAAAAAAAAAGTCAAAAAACAACAGATGTTGGTGAGGATGCAGAGAAAAGGGAATGCCTATGCACTGTTGGTGGGAATGTAAATTAGTTCAGACACTGTGGAAAGCAGTTTGGAGATTTCTCAAAGAACTAAGAGTTGAACTACCATTCAACCTAGTAATCTCATTACTGGGAATATACCCAAAGGAAAATAAATCATTCTACCAAAAAGACACATACACTCACATGTTCATCACAGCGCTATTCACAATAGCAAAGACATGGAACCAACCTAGGTGCCCATCAATGGTGGACTGGATAAAGAAAATGTGGTAGATATATACCATGGAATACTACACAGCCATAGAAAAGAATGAAATCATTTCCTTTGCAGCAACATGGATGCAACTGAAGGTCATTATCCTAAGCAAACTAATGCAGGAACAGAAAACCAAATACCACATGTTCTCAATTATAAGTGGGAGCTAAACATGGGGTACTCATGGAAATAAAGATGGTAAGAATAGAAACTGGGAACTACAGGGGTGGGGGTTTAAAAATTAACTACTGGATACCATGCTTCATACGTAGGTGATGAGATCAATCATACCCCAAACCTCAGCATCACACAATATATCTATATAACAAGCCTGCACATGTATCTCCTGAATCTAAAATAAAAGCTGAAATTAGAAAAAATGCCCTTGGTTGAATCTATGTATATGACCCTTCCAAAATCTTCCAACTTTTTACTTTTTCCACATCTTAAAAATGTGAGTCAAATGTAACAATGTTAAAATTAGGGAGTTGCTAATAAGGCTACCTTCATCATCGCTCAGAATGTGTCTGGTTTCACACTGGGTTCAGGAAAAAGACACCCTTGAAAAAGCAGGAAAGTAGCTAAACAGAACAGCGTAGGAGAATCCCACATGAAAACTTGTTTCTTAAATAGATAAAACTTTAAGAACAGTTTGTCTTGTAAAAGCCACTGGGGTTTAGAAACCCGTTTTACTGTGGACACACCAAGAATAACTCTGGATCTTGTAACAGAATCTTGGGGATCAGTATTTTTTGTGCTGTCATCTCGATGAGTTATTTCTGTTATAAGTCATGATCCTTAGCCTTTTTTCATTCTTCTCTGTCTCCCAGGATTTCATTTGGATCAGCTAATTCTTGGTTGATTGGAAAATAGTCTTACTTATTCAACATTCTCACGGCTAAGAAATGACACCTACGAAGAAGTATCAGGATCACACTCTTAGATTTTTTAGTTCATTCTTTACAAAAGAAAGCCTGATGGTACCCAAAGAAGTAAAGTTCTACTACAGTTCTTCCAATAATCCACATACTGAGTAGTTAAAAGGCTCCCAGGACTCACCAAATCATTCTATTTAATTAAAAACTTTTCTTTTTTAAAAAAGGTCATTCTCCAAAGAGTTTATGAGGAGAGGACATGGATTACTCCAAACAGCCATGCGAAGACTGGATTATATCTTAGCTAGACCAAAAAAAATCACTAACATATATTCTACATCTGGCTATTGTTTTCTCAACTTGTGAATTTTTTAATAGCGTATCACCATAATTCCACAAATCAAGGCTAAGGAGTTTCTTCTCTCAAGCACTTACTGTTACTAACCATAGCTTAGGAAAATAAAAATAGGCTTTTGAGTAAGTATTGAATGAAAGATTCTGCACCTTAAAAAAGGAATAGCTGCATTTAAAGGTTTAAATGCAAACATTCTGGTAGTGCCTTTATCTAATAAAAAACCTGTATTTCTTTTCAATATCCTGTAGTCATTGAAAAGAAAGAGCCAAACATCTAGGGGACGTTTTGTGTTATTATTAGGACAATTAATGTGTGCATTTTACATAGCCTTGCTCTTATATGCTCTTCTTTCCCTCTTAAACCACTCAGACACTAAATTAATATCCTAAGAAAGGTCAATTGCCAGTAGTGTATGCAACCATTGTTGTTGAGAGCACTGTGTCTGTAACTGTTATTAAAGATTTCCATAGCACTTTTTATTTCTGCAAGTGCTTTACAGCCAAATCTTCAGTGATTACAAAAGCAACAGACTCCTCTTACCCGTTGTTATTGGAAGGTGCATTCCAGCCCTCCTTTCCATCATTAATGAGAAGTATCATATCTGAATTGGCTTAACATTTATACACATACCCCCTCCCAAAGCCTTAGTCATTCATATACTTAACAAGTACTAACTGAGCACTCATTGTAACAATTTTCTTTTGACTCTTTACAGATAGAGAGCCATAAGACTCACTGCCTACTCTCTTGTTAATGATAAGGTAGATCTGAGATAAGCAATCCCAAGCCCCAAAGGCTTGGGCTATTGCTTCCCTTGGTGACTCATACCACAGTCTCTAAAGATGTGTCCAATACAAATTTCAACTTGTTTGGGACCTAAATTATCATAGGCCCCTGACATTAGGTAAAGTCAGCAACATTAACCACTTGCTGAAAAACTACTTAAAGACCATTTTTGAGGCATCTTTGCTGTCTCATTAGATTGACTGCACTTGTGTAAATACATTTTTTCCATTTAATATTTACTGAGTGTACACTCTCTGCTAGACTGTGAATAAAATATGCAAACAACTTATCCCTGGGTCCTAAAGGCTTGCAATAGCCAGCTATAGCCAGCTGTGATAAATACAAGATGGCCTATCTCATTTGAAAACCATAAAATACCATATAGTTATAAAAGTATTAATCTATTTTGTTCTGGGACTCTTTTATAGCTTAAGTATACATAGTATACATGGCAACAGATCACCATATCTGCAAAATGCCTCATGTAATTTCAGATTTTAAAAATCTGTGTTCTAACTTAATTTTCTCTTTCTCTATCATTGAATGTGAGCATGTGTGTATGTGTACTCGTGCATGCATGTGTTTGAACAGTCGCTAAGGGAAACATTATTATCCCAATTTCACAGACGAGGTAACCGAAACTAAGACTGGCTCCAAATCATATAGCTATGTAGTAGATGGTGGCAGCAATGAAACACAGAACTCCTATTTGTCCAATATTTTTTCCATTATGTCCATCTTCTTCAAGGGCAAATATTGCAGAGCACTTCAAGATTAGCTTTAGGTATAATAAGAACTAGCATCCTTGGAGCATTTACCATCTGCCAGGCAGTGTTTCAAGCGTTTTATGTGAATTAATTTATGTAATTATCAGAACCACCCTGTGAGGTGAGTATAGTATTGTTTTCATTTTACAGATAAGAAAACTGAGGCACAGAGAAGTAACTTAGAAAACTTATACAGACAGTAAGTAGAACAGCCAAGATTTGAATATAAGCAGTTTGAATCCAGAGCTTACCTACTAAATTACTATGTCACAATGCTTCCAGATATAGGTAGTTTGTCTATTTTTCTTTTTTCTTTTCCTTTTGGTTTGACTCTAAGTAAACTTAATACCTCAGCTGTTTGGCTACACTGGGTCTACTAAATATTTCAGGAAAATAACTCTACAACTTGGGTAAGATGTGATGAACTATGCAAAAATATGAATGATTCCAACTACTTACCAACAACAATAATTCCCCAGAAATGCATTACCTGTGTTGCCTTAGAGTCATGATGAAATGGAAATTATAAGAAAATAAGTGAAAAAGGTCAATATTGTGCATTTCCTAGGGATTACTGATACAGGTATGAAATCTCAGAGCTCTCAACTCTAACCATAAAACTCTGCTATTTAATTGGAAAGCTAGCCTTTGCAAAAAGGCCAGGCTCTCCCTTGAGTCGCAGTTCGTTCAAAGGGCTACTGGCAGAAACAAGGCTCAAGGGCCAAGATCTTGACAGTTTCTTAGGACTCAGTTTCCTGCAGGGTATTCCAACACATGAAACACAGGGAGGATGAAGGCCAGGGGACTGTTGAAGGCTGGCATAGTTAACTCAGGGGAAGAGAGCTGCTCAGGTGTACTCAATGGGCTCCGGAAGCAGGCGAAGACTTAACAGGAAGGTAACCACCACCACAGGGACTCCAGCCAAATTCAATGGCAGGTGGGCAGGGGTGGCACACAAGCAAAGTTCAACCATGCAGCTTTCCCCTGAGCCTGCCCAAAAGAAGGAATGTTTCACCTTCAGCCAACTGCTCTTATATTCTATAAACATTATAAAATGATTTTTGCATCCACATTAGAACTGAGTTGTATGTACGTGTGTGTTAGGGAGTCTGTGTGAGAGAATAGGGTGGCGGGGTGGGGGGGTAAATCTCCAGGATTAAGGTTATAACCTGACAAAATAAGTCAGCTGGTAGGAAAATAGCCGTGTTGCTCTAATGAAGTTCTTAGTCTAGCTGGGCACGTTAGTCTCTGTTTCCCCCAGTTGTCTTACAAGGCCATCGAGGCACTAAAGCAACCATGTAATTTATCATTATTTGATTGCTGAGGAGTTTGATAAATTCTGGATGCATCTCCAAAAGTCTCTAATGCCTATACGCAGAGGGGGAAGAGTTTCACAATTTACTGAGCATCGAGCGCCTAAAGTAAAGAATTCACTCTCCAGGAAGAGCTCGAGAGTAAGTAAAGATTGACTCCATGGACCTTTTCATGAAGCAAAACTTTTCTCCTTTTTCCAGCAGGTCTTTGCAACCTCTTTTTGACATTGCCTTTGCTTAAAAAGAAAATTATTGTCATGTATCCAAAACTAGAGTATATACATACCTGAACACTACCTATGATGACTCTCCTCCTTCATACCCCACTGTACCCCCTTCTCCCCTCCTTAATTTTTGGATAAAGAGCCAGTACTACTGACATCTAAAATGGAGGGAGGCAGTAGAAAAAGAGATACCCACACTCCCATGTTCATTGCAGCATTATTCATAATAGCCAAGACATAGATAACAACCCAAGTGTCCCTTGACAGATGAATGGACAAAGAAAATGTTACAGCTGGGCGCAGTGGCTCACACCTGTAATCCCAACACTTTTGGAGGCCAAGGTGGGTGGATCACCTGAGGTCAGGAGTTCGAGACCAGCCTGACCAACATGGTGAAACCCTGTCTCTACTAAAAATACAAAAAACTAGCCAGGTGTGGTGGCATGCACCTGTAATCCCAGCTACCCAGGAGGTTGAGGCAGGAGAATCACTGGAACCCGGGAGGCAGAGGCTGCAGTGAGCCGAGATTGAGCCACTGCACTCCAGCCTGGGTGACAGAGCAAGACACTGTCTCAAAAAAAAACAAAAGAAAGAAGAAAGAAAGAAAAGAAAATGTTACACGCACATATGCACACACACATGCACATGCACACTCACATGTACACACAATGGAATATTACTCAGCCTTTTAAAAGAAGAACATCCTGCTGATTGCAAAAACATGGATAAACCTGGAGAACATTATGCTAAATGAAATAAGCTAGACACAGAAGGACAAATACTACATGATACTACTTATCTGAAGAATCTTAAATAGTCAAACTCATCAAAGCAGAGAGAGGAATGGTGGTTTTCAGAGCCTGGGTGAGGGCAAAACAGAGAGGTATCATCATTCAATTGGTACAAAGTTTCAGTTACACAAGATGAAGTCCTAGAGATTTACCATACAGAATAGTGTCTATAGTCAACGATACTGTATATATTTAAAATTTCGCCAAGAGCATAGATCTTATGTCAAGTGTTCTTATCACAAAGAAAATAATAAATTAAGAGGATGGGAGGAAACTCTTGGAGAAGATGGATATGTTTATGGCACTGATTATGATGAAGGCTTCAAGGGTATATACTTATCTCCAAATTCATCAAATTGCACACATTAAATATGTACAGCTTTTTGTATGTCAACTACACCTCAATAAACTGGAAAATATACTATAATACCAGTGTGATCTAGAAGGCAGGTCATCTAATCTATGTAGGCCTAAATAAAATATTACTTGGTACCTATTTGCACCAAACCAGCTAAATTCTGAGGCTTAGCTACCACCTTAGTTCTGGTCTACAGCAGTTGTTAGGGACTTCAGCAACTATCTGAAGAGCCTAAAAGCCTAGTGCAAAGTCGAAGAAATGAATTAGAGAAACATCTTTTTTATTCAAAGCTTAACTGGATTTGTTTTTAAAAGGGACATTATATATAAAGGACATACAAATAACAGTTCTGTATACGAAATGCCAGATACCCTGCATGTAAGAGCATACATGCAGGGTGCCTGGCTTAAGAAATCTTTCTGCATAAAGCAGTGACTCAGCCACAAGAGCTGCCTGTATTGTACTATAAAACAATCACAGTTGGGTGCAGTGCCGCAGGCCAGTAATCCCAGCACTTTGGGAGGCCAAGGCAGGAGGATCACTTGAGCCCAGGAGTTTGAGACCAGTCTCTGGACAACATAGTGAGACTCTGTCTCTACAAAACATCAAAAAATTAGCCAGGGTTGGTGGCGCATGCCTGGGGTCCCAGCTACACAGGAGGCTGAGGCAGGGGGACTGCTTGAGCCCAGGAGGTCGAGGCTGCAGTGAGCCATGTTCCCACCATTGCACTCAGCCTAGGTGACAGAGGAAGACCCTGTCAAAAAAAAAAATCGCATGTGAGGTTCATGATTAAGGACCAGATGACCTAATGAAATTGGACCTTCTGAACATTCTTGAACACTTGATTATTTTAACAGAATGTGGAAACCAGTTTAATAAGAAGTTATAAAAATGGAGAGCCAGCAATGAAAGTAATCCTAGAATTAACCTGGAAGAAGAGAGGGTATGGTCAGAAAGACAAGCAACCACTCCCACAAGTATAAATGCTTGATTCAGCTTCTCTATTTTGTGTTGTCCGAGCACCTCTGGCAAGGTTCATATGCAATATTAGAATCTCCTAGAAAGTCCCAAGTTCTGAGCTAGAAACAGAAAGCAAGCCACCCACTGCTACCTCAGTGACTTGCAGGATCAGAGATGGGGCCATTTGTCCATTTGCTACCATTTGTCCCCAAGCTCCTAACAAACTACAGGTCTTTATTTGCACAAGACCAAAACCTATTATTTCAGAACTCTCTTTAGCAAACCTCTGGCAGCCCTTGTCACTACCTCCCAATTGCTATTCCAGATAAAAAGGGAAGAGCAAGCACAGAATCCACCTCGTAGCAGGATTGTTCTTCTATTTTCTTCTAGGAGTTTCACCCTCAATATCTCACAATAAGTTTCTTTCCTCGTAACTCCCCCATCTCTCACCCCCATTTAAATCTGGGAGGGGATGGGGGGAAGGAGTGAATCAGAGGAAGATAACTCCATTCGGACAGATGGACAAGGGACAGTATACACTATGAGGGCTCAATCCATCTGTGGAAAAGGAAATCCAGCTGTTGGCCAGGCCTGCCCCATTTATGTCTGCTCTCGGTACACTGACATTTTCTGTGTTCAAAGGAAACAGCACCTGAATTACTTAAAGGCCCGGGCACTATTTTAAAATAATGCTTGGAGTAATCTGATGTCTAAAGTGGCTTTCTGCCAAAAGGATCTTTTGTCACACTGCTACATTCAAGACCGCTTATTTTAAATGGGCATTTGAAAAATGGTCCATTGCTGTAATTTGGCAATGTGCCTGGAAAAGGCTGAATTTGAGATTGGGCATTTTAAACAAAATCTCTAAAATACAAGTTACAGTCACTTTCCCTAATGAGGTCGTCTGATCCTGTTGCTTAGCGCTTTCCTTAAACATGCCTGAGGGCCCCTCTGTGTGGGCCTGGAGACATCCCCAATTCCAGTGCAAAGGAAGACATGGCACAATTGCACTGTGTCTCCTCAGCTGACCTCACTAGCCTGACCCAAACGCTAAATTCCATCTCATGGGGTCTAGAATAGTGAAGTTGACATCACTGAAAATTCTATTTGTTTAAGGAAAGAAAGATGAGGCCAAACCCCTCAAAATGGTATTGTTTAGGTTTGAAACACACCACAATTAGATGAATTAAAATTCAAGTTTGTCACTTTCCCAAATCTGCATGTGGAAGTCACTACAGTCTATGCCTCTGGCCCGGAATGACCAAAACCAAACTAGAGAAGTAAATTGTTTTCTATTATATTCTCCTTAGGCTATAAATTCTCTGGGCAGAGAGGGAAGAAGGAAATATTAGTGCTGTGTGGTCTTGGCATGCCATCATGTCAATGTGTCATTGGAATACTAATGTAAATGATGTTCAAATCGCCCCTGTAATAGACCCATAATTAGCTTGCTCCATTCCTATGCTGTGTTTAAGCTCTTCAGAATTGCTCAGATCTGAGGTTTTACTATAGAACAAGACACCAGTATTCAGAGACGCTGACAAATTCCAATATCCCTCTTTTCCCTGTGTCCCTTTCCTTCTCCTGTATTTAGTTTTCAGTCTCCTTTCCACATGCCTCTCAAAGAACGCCAGGTAGAAGTCAGTCGATGTAGCCATAAAAAGAAAAAAACTAAACTAAAGAAAAGTTTGCCTGCCATCGCTCAATGCTTGTTAGAGTAAAACTACAATGGTATACAGTACATTTTTTTTTAAGCTAAGGGGTTATATGGGTCAGCTTACACACTGGCTTGCAAATCAGTTTTCTCAAAATGAGTTGGGCCAGACAAGAATGTTAATTTATTTGAGCAGACCTATGTCACTATTGATCATAAACAAAGGTGCTGGTGTGGTGCATCATGCCAGCACACACCAACACGGAGAAAGGTCTGCTCCCGACAAACAACCAGGTGAATACATTCACCATGATAGGTCCCAACCTCCCTGGAATCACGTCTCTTTCATCAGCACATTTGGGTTGATGGTATCGTCATACCCCACCCCCTAAAAATGTTATATGCTCCTTATTCATTAAATTAAAACAAAAGTTTATTTTGTCCTAAGAATGCCATGGCATTACTGGAGACAGTGCTGATATTGACAATCTGGGTTGAGTATCATGGTTAACGTGATGTCAGAAGACCAGTTTTATAATGATGACTAAATAACAGTAACAAGAACAATGATGACAATAGTAACAAGAACTAATATCAGCATAGCACATTCGTTTGGACCAGGCACTATTTCAAGTGCCCCTCACATTTTATTAATTAATTACATTATTATTTAATTATTATGATTATTTCCACTTCATAGGTGAGAAAACTGAGGCTCAGGGAGCAGAAACAACTTCCTCAAAGCCACACAACAAGTAAGTGGTGCAGAGCTGGAATTCAAAATGAGCTCTGAAGCATTCCTCTCTAATGCCTGATATGGGAGACTAGACCTTGTCCTTGGAGAAGGAAAGAGGAAGGCAGTTTCAAGTGGCATATTCACTGTTACTGAAATTTCACATAACAAAAAGGGGGTAGAAAATTTTTATTTTTATTATTATTATTATTTTGAGATGGAGTTTCGCTCTTCTTGCCCAGGCTGGAGTGCAATGGTGCAATCTCGGCTCACTGCAACCTCCACCTCCTGAGTTTGAGATTCTCCTGCCTCAGCCTCCCACTGGGATTACAGGCGCCTGCCACCACGCCCAGCTAATTATTGCATTTTTAGTAGAGATGGGGTTTCACCATGAAAATTTTTATTTTTATTAAAAGAGTGCATGAGTTAGTCATGAAGGCAGAGCCCAGGCGGCCTGCATACCAAATGTGAAGAACAGTACCAATTGACAAAGAAGCACAAAACTAGACAAAGAAAAGGACTCAATAAATAAGTAATTGAACTAACTGAAAATTGAGAGGGAAATGCAAATAAAATGGGAGCACTATGTAGAAGGCAGTCCCCTTTTAAGGAAAAAGAAGAAAGAAAAGCATTTTAGGATGAACAAAATGTCTTGGAAAAGGAGCAGAACCATGTTTTAATTTGACCTAGTTCATGAAGAGTCAGCTCTTGAACACTAGTGACAGTTATTTCTCCAGGAAAAATATCAGAATGAAGGAAAAAGCCAATAAAGTGAACATAAAAGAGCAGAGTGAAGGACTTCAGCCATGGAATATTTTCCATGTGGCAGAATAATAATGAGGTGGACCCTTCATCTTTGGGTTCTGTTTTGGGTTTCTGATACATTCTTTCAGTCCTTTATCTCTGCTTTGATGAGTAATTCAGAAAAATTTTTATGCTTTTATATGAGTATAGTGTTGTCTCAAATAAACCACCTGTCATCCTGGATAGGTCATTTTTCCTCTCTGGCCTTCAGGGAGACAGGACTACCTGAGTGTTAAGTTCCCTTCAAGCATTGTAATTCCATAATTCTGTGCTATTTCTCCATAGTTACTAGTTGGCTGATATTACACATCAACTCCAGTAACAATATAATGTAGTATCTTACTAAGGCACTGTATAAACTCATATAGGACATGTACAAAGCACAGGACTCAAGCAAATGTACACAGAAAATATGAAATGAGTTTCTGGTTTTATCCCGTACAATTTTGTGTAGAAACAGAGGGAGTTAATTGGCGGGAGAATGCTGGCAGACTGGCTGCTAGGAAACCTCATTAGGTCTGGATTCTGGCCCTCAGAGGTGGATTCACTTCAACCAAGCTCACAGAGGGCCATGTTTAAAATTTTAAAATGCCCAGGATTTGGAGGCTCAAAACTCAATTTGATAATGTTCCAGATTGATTGAACCCACACTATCAAACCCTCCAAAGACTGCTAGAATAAAGCTGAACACTAGTGTACCCATTTACAATGACATATATAATATATGTAACCCATTTATAATGATACATATAATTCATGAGGTGACAGATCCTCATATAATCTCCCTACTGATAAATAACATAGGAAGACAAAATATAATCCAAAGCTCGCTTAGTGACCGTGGAAGCAATGTCAACCCAAGGTATAAGCTTTGAATATCTAATTATGGCATCATGTTAAAATATATCTCTATAAATAGGGTATTATAAATAAAATATTATAATAATAGCTAACATTTATTGAGAGATTACTGTGTGTCAGGCACCATACTGAATACATAAATTATCTCCTTTTATTCTCACAATGGCTCTATATGGTAAGTACCATTATTAAAATTCCCATGTTATAGACAGAAACTGAGGCTCAGAAAGGTATAACCACTTGCCCAGGGTCATGAAGCTGGGGAGTGGTGGGCATGAGATATGAACTCTAATCAGTCTGGATCTGGGATCTCACTTATAACCACTTTGCTGTGTTGCCTCTGTGCCTAGCCCAGAGCCCAAGAAGGCAGTTTCTTTCTTGGTAGAAGGGCACTGATCAGTGTTACTATCTTTCTCTGTGACTTTCTCCTTTTCATCTGCTTTCATGACTGACAGCCCATGGCTCCCACTCCCTGATTGACACATTCTTTCTTCTACTGTGTTAACACTGTCAGTCAGGCTACTGTCTGGCCTTTTTTCATAGCAGCCGTTAAGTCTGTCTGTCTCTGTCTCAGTCTTGTTTTTTCTCTTTTTTTTTGAAATTAAAAAAATAAAGTTCAAAGAAGTAAAGTAATAATCACCCATATTCCCACCAACTGTTATCAACATGAGTTAACTTTTGGCAATTTGCTGCCAGCGTGTTTTTTTTTTTTTACTACATTTATACTTCACAAAATTAGACAACAAATATGCGACTCCACTGTTCTTTTGTAATTCAGTCTCTTCAAAGTGAATTTGCATAGTTCTGTTCTCATCCATAGCTTGTTGATTTTCTAGCTTAACTTTTAGGTAGTGATTTCATTTTCCTTATTTTCAGGGTCTTGGGGAGGCCCCTGTAAGTTGCTTCCATGTCTCAGCGATACATTCAAAGATATGTTGAGATTGATATGAACAGACAGGCAGATAGCCTGGCCATCTTACTAACATTAGGGCCCAAGATCATGCACTCTGTCTAGGCTGTCTAACTGCTCTAATTGTCACAAAAATCTATTTCAGTATAAGATTGTAAAAATTGGTATCGTGCCGGGGTCAGTAATTACATGGTCTTTCCCCAACACAGCAAAAGGATGTGTATATTGACAAGGAAATTACAGGATTGGACATAAACAATTCACTACACGAGGGGCTTTGGCAGAATTGAGAGCATCACTTTGAAAAAGAGATACCTTGGGAACAAAAATGTAACCCATGAAGAAGACACCTCTGGCCATCTCTGAGAATCATAAGCATAATTCATGATATCTAATAATTACAACATTAAGTCTATATTTATTTCAAAATAAAAAATTAAAAGGGGCATGGGTTTAAAGAAAGGTGCATACCCAAAACTATTTTAAAAAGTTATCAGTGGAAAAGGTAAGACTGCAAAGTTAATGGAAAATAAAAAGCCTCCCAGAAAGGAAAAACTGTGGTGTGCATAGCAAATATCAACACGTGAGCACAGTGAACAATGGTCAAACACACCCTTTCTATCAAATCAAAGAAGCCTTTTCCAGTCTGTGACATATTAAACTTCTAGGGTTGTAATTATGGAGTTATTTTTATAGTTTATCTATTCTAAATATATCTTTCTAATAATATATATAGCAGAAAACTGAGGAGATATTGTTAACCAAATTCATTGCTATTTCTGATCAAAACACATTCTCAAAGAATCTCGTTACACAGATTATAGGGTATCAATCAAATGACTGGCGCCCCCTCCTGGCCTTCCCAAGAATGACAAAACAATCCCCATGTCTCAGCCCTTCGCAGACCCCTTTTCCAGCACTACTTGGTCTGTCTCGTCTACGCATAGATCCACAGTGAGGCCTGCTGCTAGTATTCGAGATCGCTAAACTGTGATGCCCATATTTTTACTCACTTTCAACTGGAGTGGCAAAATGTACCTACCTATACAGGTCATGACTGTATGTGGAAAATCAAGTGAAGAGCCTCTCCATTAAATGCAGCCACTGATGCCAAGATCCTTCACTATTGTTTATTATTCATTGTTATCAATTTTCTGAGTCATTTGAGCTGGACATCTCAGGCTCCTTGAGATCCACCTCCATCTTCCTGTCTTTGTTCACACTGGCTATTATTCCTTTCCAGTCACAGCCATTTCCCATAGCCCTGACAGTGATAATCCAGAGGTCAGAAGAATACTAGGTCAGGTGCATCCCCAATACCTTATGACCTAAGAGACACTTCTGTTCCAATCACAGTCCACGAACTTTGCTCTCATTCTCTTACAGCAATGAGTATACTCAAAAATTAGTACAGCAAGGAAGTAGTCACGTCCTTTCTTTTCTTTTTTTTTTTTTTTTTTTGAGATGGAGTCTTACACTGTCGCCCGCGCTGGAGTGCAGTGGCGCGATCTCAGCTCACTGCAACCTCCACCTCCCAGGTTCAAGTGATTCTCCTGCCTCAGCCTCCCAAGTAGCTGGGATTACAGGTGCCCACCACCACGCCCAGCTAATTTTTTGTATTTTTAGTAGAGATGGGGTTTCACTATGTTGGCCAGGCTGGTCTCAAAATCCTGACCTCATGATCTGTCCGCTTCGACCTCCCAAAGACGTCGTTTCTTTCTTAATGCATGGACCACAGGTATTCCAAGAACAGAGATCTTATTCTTATTCTCCTGGTTTCAACCCCTCTTTCTCCACTCCTCTCTTGGTCTCCACCCTCTCTTTATTCTCTTTTTACTTTAATTCTAAGTCTCAAGCAATTCCTGTATGGTAGGCTTCTGTTCCTATTTATGCCTGCTTATCTTCCCTGGACCTCTGGAGCCCAAATTCTTGATGTGAAATTATGACTTCATGGTGCCCACCTCCTTTTCTCAAGTTAGAAGTCTGACCTCTGACTCCAGCACACTTGCTGGACCCACAACCTTGCCAACATCTTCTAGTAGTGCCTGATACCCCAAATTCTGGTTTCAGAATACAAAAGCCCATCATGAAACTATTAATATACATTTCCTCTTATCTCAGTTCTGTTTATTTTCATCTATTGTTTAGATTAGGAATCTTTGATACTAGAATTACATATGTTGAAATCTGAAAGGCCTTAGAAGTAATCTAAGTCAATGACTTCTAACTATTGTTGGTCTGCAAACCTGTTATGTCAGAATCTCCTGGGGTGCTTGTTAAATATACAGATTCTTAGGCCCTACCATAGAACTGTCAATTCAGAGTTTCTAGGCATTGGTCACAAGAATCTTTATTTTAACAAGCTCCCCAGGCAAATCTGATGCAGAGCCAAGTCTGGGCACTCTGATGATCAAAGCTCGTCAATTCACAGATGAGGAAACTGACGAGGCAGGAACTAAAACCCAAGCCTCATGAGCCCCGGTCTTTTGTTCTTTCCATCATCCAACTTTCTCTCCTCCTGGAAGAAATATGTTAGAACTGCCTTGAATAAGAACAAGTTATAAAGTCAATTAGCAATAAAACCTTGTTTTGTAAAGAACACAATGACCTATCTGTTGAACTTGCTCAAACCCCTGCTTTAAAAAGGGTTGCACACTACTAAAGACAGTCATCTTGTGGTGACACACATTAGCTACTGAAGATTTATTATTTCCCCCCCAAAAATTACATGGGTCAAAAGCAGGAGAGACTTGAACATTTCAGCAATGCATTGGAGCTTGAGAGAATTATATTGGGATGGTTACTCGAGCTATCTGAACTGCTTGTTACCCTTTCTTTATGAAGACTGTAGAAGGCAAACCAAAAACTCAAAAGCAGAATGGAAAAGAAGCAATAAAAGAGAAAGAACCTGGCCCCTCAGACAGCCCCCTTCTTTGGTTGTTTATAGTTGAGTTGTTACTTACATGTAACCATCAGAATAGATTCTTACAAAGAATTTTTTCCATTATAGATAAATATTTTGGAAACAAAATTAGTAATGGACCCACTGAGCAACTGATACGAATTGAAACAGCAATGTGATTATTAGACATTATAAACAACTGAGAATTTGAGATAGTTTTCAAGTACTGTTATGTCTGGCCAAGATGAACATAAAGTCTATTATAGCATTATCATGATCTCCCTCTTGGCAAAAATGTAAAAGGTCACTTCAGATTTAGTTAAACATGATAGCCAAAGACATGCAAGAGACACTCAACTGGGAATATCAGGTTGTCTTCTTGACCTGGGACTGCCTGGATGACTCTGAGAGCTTGGTTTGAATATAATAACAGTACAGGGCCCGTGGCTGATTCTTCCCTTCAAATACCAAGACATTTGGGGTTATGTTGCTACCCCAACCAGAGTTGAAGGACATGAAACACTTTAGATTATCGCACAACACTTGAAAAATTTACATATTTTCTGCCTTTAGTGTTTTTTTACCCTCTAAAAATATGGTCTGCAATTTTGAGAAAGTATTATCAAAGGAAATCACAAGGACTTTATTAACATCATCTCATTAATCTTCAAAAGGTAGCTGTAAAGCAATAGAAAATTTTACTGATGAGGAAACAATTACTAAGGAGGCTAAGTGACTTGCTTGAAGTTATTAAGTTAATTCCTGGCTCAGTTAACATTTGACACCATTGACACTTTCCTTCCTAAATTGCTTTCCCTTGACCCCCATGACGCTAAACTATTCTCACTCTTTTCCTCTTCTTATGAATTTAAGCTTCTTTACAGAAGAATGAATCTAACATTAAATCCAATCATTTGCATCACTGCAAATTGTCTTTAACAAGGTATTTATATGTGGGTAGCTATGCTTATGTACTTTTTATGTTCTTTTTCCTGTACAGAGACAGTTATAATACAGTAGTTAAGAACATGAACTCTGGAACCAGAACACAACCTTTCCAATCCTGGTTCCTCCACATGCTAGTTGTGTGACCTTGGGCCAGTCACTTAACCTTCCTGTACTTTGGGTTCTCTACCTGTAAAATCGGGATAATAATTGTACCTGCCCTAAGAGGGCTGTTGTCAGGGTTACATGATAAAATATATACAAAATGATTAGAACACTGTCTGGCATATAATAAGCTCATTCAGTGTTCATTGTTATTAATAGCATTATTTCATACCCACATTTTCATGTAGCTATGAGATGTTCATTCCATTGTGTTAATATATAACACCTTGCTTAGCCAATTTTATCTTGCATGGGTTTAGATGATTCATAGGAGTTTGGAAAATCACTGAAATTAAAAAAAAAACAGAAGGTGGGTCATATCCATCATTTTTGTTATTTAAAGTTTTTCTCCCCTCTCCTACCACATCCTGGTCCTGACTATCCCCACCCCCAAGCCATTGCTACAATCCTTGCCCAGGCACTCACCACCTCATAATTTTTTTAAATGGGGCCCAAATAGGAGCATGGTGAACTAATAAAGTCCCCACCAAGGTGGAGTAATGTGGCGTTAGATCACAAAACACCTAGAAGTATCTTGCACATGGCACCTTTCTATAAATGCCATATGGATGGATGAAATGAAATGGTTATGGGGTCCATATGGAAGCAGAGGCTGAAAGTAGGCTGGGGCGAGGCTGGGAAATGACCTAGACGCCATGCTAGGAGGTTTAGGTTTGATCTTGTAAGCTATGAAGAGTCACAAAATTTTTTTGTTCTTATAAACGTGGGATTAGAGAGAAAGCTATTTGGAAGCTAGAAAAAATGGTTATAGCTTCCTAATCATTCAATATTACAGCTCGTTTCTCTTTAATCTTAAGGAATATTTTTAAGTTATATTAAATTTTGAAATTTTCCCTGCCAAAACTATTTCAGAGTATCCCTTTTCTTCCTTGTGCCTCTCACAAACAGGCTTCTTTAAAGGTATAATATTTTCTTTTATACTTTGTTTTAATAACAGATTTTAGTTTTCTAGAGGGCCTAGCCATTCCTCATTTTAAATGTTTTCCTGTCTTATAACATTTAAAAGAAACGATTTGTGTCCCAGATTACCCTGACTCGAAGGTAATGACTGGTGGCCTGGGAAGCCTGGACCTGAGCTAATTGTGAGTTCCAGCTGGTCAGTTTCATGATAATTACCCAGCTCTGAAAGTAATTCATGGGAACATATAATTACCTATCAACCTGCTTTCACAGAGCCGGACCTGCAGTCTCAGTGACAGCCACCCTTCAGAAATGTGGTGCCTAGCTTAGGAATGAAGCAGGCTCTATTGCTAGTAGTGTAAAAGGAGATCAATGGGCAACATCACCTCCTCCATCAAACCCTGTACAGTCTGCTTGGGATGCTGTTATCCCAAAGGGAAAGAGAACGATGATCTTGAGTGCCTCAATAAAAACTTGCAAATAGGAGGCGCCAAAGGATTTCTGTTTAGTATCATTATAGTCTAGTCAGAGTGAATAGCAACTCATCAGAGACCTTTCTCCATGATGGCTTATTCCAAATATTTACTTTATTTTTCTCATATCCCAAGCCCTGTGGAACTGCACTGCTTTCACTAACTTATTGAAAATTATTTCAGAAATGATGTTCTCAGTATGTAGGATATTGTATTTCCTCCCCCATTACACCCTTGCATCTTGTTTCTTTTTAATTCTGTATTTCTTTCATTATTTTTCTCTCTGAATCGATCCTCTGTATCTACAAAGGTAGCTCTATATTTTCTTTCCCAACTGCCTCACTGATGAAGAGTTCTCTGGCAACACAGGCTAGAAGGAAATCTCAGTCTCATTTCCTTCACTTCAAAAGTAAATCCACTTGTCTGCCTCATCCACAAAAATGTAATGGGAGTGTTTTTCTGCCACATTAGTCAATGCTGAGGCAGGAAGAGTGAGAGACCAGGCCATATGGTGACTGTCACAGCTGGCAGGCTACACAGCCAGGATAACAGAGGCTAGAGCTGAGCCAGGTGTCGGGGCTCAAAATGCAGCAACTGGGGACTCTATGGAATGACTTTAAGGCCAGTCTGTCAGGAGACCAATAAAGCACTTTTTCTACAAACTGAGAAAACAACTTGCAACACTATCTTCATGGATTGACTTCCCTTTGCAAAGGTGAACTCCAGATAGTTTGGCAGAAGGGGTACATTAGAGCAGACTTCTTTTTCTGAAAGCCTTGAACAAGGCTGATGAAGCAGAAACTAGGTGTAAGCATGCCTAGTGGGAAGGTGGGGAAGAGGCAAATTGGAAGTCAGGGAACTGCACAAAGCCTGCAGTTGCAATGGCCAAAGCTACCCTTTAGTCTCCACTCCTACCCTTCCTTGTTTAGCCTCAACTCCTGTGTTCAGTGAGTGCCCGCTCTGTGCCAGACATGGTACTAAGGGTGCCAGGAACCTGAAAGAGAATTGGGCATGATTCCTTTCCTGAAGAAATTTACTGTCTGGTGTGAAATCCAATCTCTCTTATGCCCTCAACAGCTTATTTTGGGTTCCTGGGGCTTTAATCTTCCCAGCACTTCTGAGGACAGAAATTCATAACTTCTTTTGGATTGGAAGCACTGCCATTTGCAAAGACCTCTACAAATCATGCAGACCACAGTGACTCATCAGAGAGCCCATTCCCAAACTAGCAATTGCTCTGAGAAGTAACAGCTCTGAATGCTACCAGAGGGAATCTACTTATTGAAGATCCCAGGCATTCCCTTCCATCTCCTCTGTGGGAGACAGAGTGCTAACCCTAAACCCCTGGCCCAGCACCAAAGCAACATCATTTGTGACTACCCTGCAAACTCACATTCTCTGCTGAGGACTGAGACCTTCACCGTAATTATTACCAGTTGCTAAATTTCATCTCTACAGAAAGCGTAATAGAAAGGTGACTATCTGAGAAGCACTTCTTAGAGTAATCAAGCCTGAAACTCTGTGATAGAAATGTAAATCTGAGGTTAGCATTTACGGAACACAAGGAAAAGACAAGGCCAACAGAGCAAGTCAGTTACCTCTGGAAGCACTCAGCACTCCACCTGTTTTAACTCAAAGAAGCACTCACCTCTCAGTGTGTCTCTTCACATTTCCTATTCTATATTTCCATCCCCTTTCTGTCCTTTTTCCCTTCCTCTTGTTCTTTTCATTTTTCCCATGTCCCTTTCCTTCTCTGTTCCTAGCACCTTACTATAAAACAGAAGTCAGAACCAGACTCAGAGCAGTCTCTTTATATATGGCTGCCTGATGAAGTGTGTATGTCCATTTCAACTTCAAATACAAATGAATTTTGGATCACCCATTCTATCAGATTACCTATGTCTCTACTCCTCTCCACTAGCATTGACAAACAAGAGATGACCATAGAGAGACTGGATGCTTATCATATAAATGTCTGTGCCTAGTTCCCATGGTTACAGATAGAGATCTGCCACAAGAATAGGTATTACATCTATGCAAACAGACTGCCAAAGCTTTTGACTCAGGCAGCAAGAAGACAGGTTAGCAGGGGCCAATTCTGAGAGCTCATTAGGCCAGCAGAGTTGGGTAGATGTCAAGGGGTCAGTAGGCAGGGGGTGGACAGAGAGGGATGTGTGATCACAACAGATATCAGGCCAAAAAAGATGTCCAAGGTTCAGGTGTCCTAGGACTCAGCTTGGTCAGGAGAGCCCAAGCAGATCAGGCCAAACAGAGAGCTAGGGATCCAAGGTCTGGAGGTGCTGGAACCACAGCAACCCAAAGTACTACCTCCCCATCCCTGATCTGAACTTCCGGGCAGAATTTCTAGGAGTTATTTAACAGCCGCTACCAGTCACAACATAGGTTGCATTTCAGGAGGTGTCAAGCAATTCTAGACCACTGTGTAGTTTGCAAAGCTTTTTGAGGTTCTTTAAGATGAGATGGAAAGTGTGTTTTACAGGGCCTAGAAAGATGGGCCTGTATATCTCAGGTATCCTCGGGCAAATGACCTTGCTTTCATGTTCCTATTAGCCAAGTTAAACAAAGTAGGTGACAGGACACTTGATGTTGACGCACATGATTGCCTTGCTTCTCCTTTCACTTCTCCATGTTGGCCTGCAGCTGAGCAAGAAGGCTTTTGAACAGGAAGACACTTTTTGCTTTCCCCCTAGCTAGCAAAAGCCCCTTTGGGCTGAGAGGTGATGTTATCATTCTCCAGCATGCCCTAGAGTGGGACAAATGTCTGAAGAGGGCTTCCAGGAGGAGGTGCTGACCAGTGGGACTTCTTTATTTTCCTTTCTTTCATTCTGACACATTCTTCAGAGTCAAATGCAAAGAGATACTATTTTCAGAGGAGCCATACCATTGCTCTCCCTCATTACCATGAAAAAATCAAGAGCTGAATGCAAGCTATTGCATTTGAATCCTTGGAAAACAAAACTAAGTTTTATAAATACCTTCTGGCCATTGTTTTAAAAGGAGAAAACCTGATGTTGATTTGTATGACACTTATCCATATTCGAGTTTTGGGGACACATTAAGCAGTATCTCAAGTCAGACCAGATTGGATTCATTAATGAAACTGGACCGCCTCTCTAAACATCAGAGCAACTCTTTAGTAACGAGAAACCTTACTTCCTCCACTTAGTTGAGCTGGAAAATTAATGTAGTGTGCTTCTAAAGAAACACATAATGAACATGATGAATTTTCATCATCTTGCTGGAAAGTGATTCTTTATGTTCTTATTCCAAATTTACAGCAAGTAAATTTAACGTTCCAAAGCTGCTGCGCCTTTTTAAGACCTCACTATCAATTTGTGGGGCGCTTTAAATGATTCTGACCTGGAATTTATTAGTGCTTTCTGAAAAACGCACGTGTAGCAAATTGCTGCACTTCAAGATAAATCAAGTTATTTGCAGAAGTTACACTTTAACTATTCACATTTCTCCTAAAGGGGAAAAACCCCAGCCTTTACCTGAGTATCATGCAGAGAGGCAGAAACCCAAACTGGGTCTCCTACTTTCCTAGGAAATTTGTAATCAGGGAATTGAAAATCCCCTCTGGAATCTAGGAGCCCATACTGACCAGCTCCTCGGCAGAGCTGATTTCAAAGTTACCACTGTTCTTAAGTCAAAGGTCACAGGCCACTAATGGCATCCCCCTAAATGGCACTGTGAACCCCCAAGGACATGGACGCTTTAAACAGACATTCCATTTCTAGGACCGCTCCCCTTTAACAGCAGACTGTTTGTAACACAGAGAATGTAAGGAAATTGTTATTGTTAGAAAAGAAGAGGGGCATGATCCCTCATTTCTTTAAAAACTGACATATAATTGGCATATCATAAAATTCACTCCTTCAAAGTGTACAATTCATTGGTTTTGACATATTCACAAAGATGTGCAACCATCACCACCATCTGATTCCAGAACATTTTCATCACTTCCAAAAGAAGGCCTGTGTACAGTAACAGTCACTCTCCATTTCCTCTCTTTCCTCCCCGCCGGCCCTAGGCAACCACTACTCTACTTTCTTTCTCTATGGATTTGCCTATTCTGGACAGTCACTTCTTTTTGCATAGGGTTTTGTTTTTTATTTATTTGTGTGTGTGTTTTTTACCCCCTGCAGGAAACAGATCAGTGGAAATGCTGAGGTGGTCCCACTTAAAATTCAGGTCTTTGAATAAACCAGGATGGGAACTTTCTTGGAAGAAACTTCCTTAGGGGGCTTTACTTGTGGATGTATATAGCTGCTGACAGATAGCACTGCTTGAGCACAGACTTTTACCCCAGGTCTGATTCTCTCTTTCTCTTTTGGTTGGGGAAGTGGGGGGTCTTCTTTGCTGTTTGTCAGAAGCAGGGCAGATCTGAGTATCTCAAAGCCAGTTCCAGCCTGTTTGTGAAAAGCAGTATACCTGAGTAGACTAGAGTGTCAGGTAAACTAGGTTCCAAGCCATAGCTCTACTACTTTTTGCAGGTTATGGTGTGTGTGACTATGGGGAAGTTATATGACCTCTCAGCCTCAGTTTCTCGCCTGTAAAAGGGAAATGATAGTACCTATCTCACAGGATTTATTTTGAGGACTAAATGAGAGATCGATAAGTAGGTAGATAGCTAGACAGACAGGTACCAATATAAATATAGATACAGATAAATAGCTTCGTACTATGCCAGGCATTAGTAAGATCTCAACAAATTATATCTAAACTTAAATGCCTATTGTGTGCCAGGTACTGGTTTTTGCACTTACTCATTGTTTACTTATTGGAGCTAAGTGTACCTCATCAAAAGGAAAGATGGGATTCTGAATACAAGTATTGGCAATGCCTCTGAAAGATATCGATGTAATAAAATGACATGATGTCTAATCAAGTAGGTGAGACTGCTATATCAGTAAGCTCTAGCCACAGATTAATTTCTTGACGGGCAAGGCAAGTTGACATTCTCAGGAAATTAAAGTTCAACGTATTGTTTCTGCAAAGAATACTATAGTCCGTGAAAATCAATGTTTTACCCTGACTATATGGCAGTCTCTTCAGTAATATAGCAATAGCTATTCATGCACAGTATAATATAAAACCTATAGATCAATAAGACCTTTCTTTGATTTATAAAAATTTACAACTAATCACCGGGGACAAAAGATCTAGAAAAGATAAACGTCTCTCATCAAAAGCTACCTTAAACATAATCCTGTCAAAATAAAGAATATATATTTTATAAAGTGAGGCTGGGTGCAGTGGCTCACGCCTGTAATCCCAACACTTTGGGAGGCCGAGGTGGGTGGATCACCTGAGGTCAGGAGTTCGAGACCAGCCTGGCCAACATGGCGAAACCTATCTCTACTAAAAATACGAAAAAAATTAGCTGGGCGTGGTGGCAGGCACCTGTAATCCCAGCTACTCGGGAGGCCGAGGCAGGAGAAGTGCTTGAATCTGGGAGGCGGAGGTTGCAGTGAGCCGAGATAGCACCATTGCACTCCAGCCTGGGTGACAAGAGCGAAACTCTGCCGAAAGAAAAGAAAAGAAAGGAAGAAAGAAAGAACCCCGATAGGGTTTTTAAACACAACTGAGACAGCCAAATGCCTAGGCAGATAAAAAGGGGTCCCCGGAGAATCTCCGACCTGCCCCACAAGTGTGTATTAGACGCTTTTGTGCAGATGAGGGAACTTGCCCAGGGCTTGTCTGGGCATGCCCACAGCAGACTGGAGCCTGACATATGCACTGGGAGAAGTGAGTGGAGCCATGGGGAATGGTAGCTTATGCAGGGGAAGAGCCTGGCTTCTTCAGTTCCTGTGTGGTGGCCTGGGATTTGATCTGTGAGGTCGGGGGCCTGTTAGCAGGACTCCATCTCATTTTGCTGAGTTTTTTTTTCTTTTTTTCCTTTTCGCCCAATAAAATTCTGATCTACTCACCCTTCAATGTGTCTGCGTGCCTAAATTTTCCTGGTCATGTGACAAGAACCCAGATTTTTAACTGAACTAAGGAGCAAAATTCTGTAACACAATCAAACATCTATCTTTCCTAATAAAAAGTTCAAAGTCAAGTATTTTATAACTGCACACATAGTTGGTCTGGTAGGTGAACAAAAACAAGGAAATTATCACAGGTCTCTGTGGGTATTTCACTCCTTTCTCAGGTTTGATGGATAATAACATGACATTTAATACTATTTATAGTAATAGAAAATAATCACAAAGCAGTAGGTTCTCAACACAATTCTATTTCTGTAGGATTTCCTAAATCTTGAAAAACTTGGGCCATTCTAATCCCCAGTCCATGATACTATTCAAGCCTCAAGAAATCATATCCAGAAAGAGAAGATTAGAGCCTCTAACATTTATCAATGGCAAAGGAATGAGGAGTCTGACACAATTGTTTATCATTCACCTGATATTGGAAGGTATATTTTTTTCCCTCTCGCTCATTAGCAACAGCCATCTAAAGGAAACAGTCCTGGATACTAGTTAGGTTCTGGTGGGCCTATGCCAAGGCCCATGATTATATGAAGCAATGATTAACTTTCAGGATTTTTTTCCCCATTGTTGTAGAAGGTCTTTACTTCTTCTAGCAATCAGGTGTTGGTTCTAGAAAGGAGGAACACTGAACAAGTAATGAAGAACCCCTAGGAATTCAACTAGTCCTTTCCCTCCAACAGAAAGAAGTTTTGAATAGAATGGACTAAACAGAGAGTGGCAGGTCCCCCAGGGGCCCCAGGCTGTTACCAAGTAGAGGTGAAGTCAGTTATCTGCTCACTTCCTTCTATTCTGTTCTGTTCTGCTCTGTTCTGTTCTATTCTAATTATTCATCAACTGATCTAGCTTCTGGCCCCACCTCTGCCATTAACTGTACAACCTTGAGATGTGGCTTTAATCCCCTGGTCTTCCACGTCCACACCTGTAAAATGTGAAAGTAGACCTACATGATCTGCTTTTCTGAGCATCCCATAGTTCAATTACAATACACTTGGCTACTCTCTCTCTTCTACTCTCATCATCAACAGAACTTGGAATGAAGAAGATGGGACACAACCACTCTCAAAGAAAACTTCATTCAATAATAGGTCAGTGATTAAGGCTTTCCTTAACATTATTGCCAGGCACTGTGTTAGCCCCTGGGGATTAAAGATGAATATGCGTGTACCCTCAAAGATGTTTTATGATATATACATATACGTAATATATAATATAAAGATATCATATTATTTTATATATATATATATATATATATATATATATATATGTATGTATATATATGATACAGAAATATCTGTAGTGGTCCAAAGCAAATGTCATTAGCTTCATAATAAACTCCCCTTATCCAGCTTCCTAGGTAAAGAGACCTAGCCACCAGACAGAGGATATAACAAAAATTTCAGGTGAAAACTCTGCTCCTGGGCTCTAGGAAAAGACCTAGAAGGTGGAGAGATATAAAAACTTGAGCTTAAAGAGCTATTTGTGGGATCCCTTAAGACAGCACCAAAAGATCCAGTTGTGGGATTAGATGCTTTCTCACTATTATGAATTCTCCAATGATCTATGATCAACCCTTTCTTCCCAGGTAGAGTTCAGCCTCACTGTTTCACCTCTGACATGACAGTCACACACCCCTTACCTATTCAAGAGGTTGCCCCTTTCTTGCCTTTCTATCCCCATCTCACAAGATCACCACTTCTCAGCCCTCCATATCTCCACTGGTAGAAAAGAATACAGTGATGGTTGCCACGCTACTTTTGGCTACCATCAGCTATATATATGGTGTTGGGCAAATTGCTTTTGATGCCAAAACTCTCCTTCTCATCTCCCCCTCCTCCTCCCTCTCCTCCTCCTCCTCTTCCTCCCCCCTCCTCCTCCTATGCCCTCCTCCTCCTCCCCCCCTTCCTTTTCCTCCTCTTCTTTGTTTCTTCTTCCTTTTCTTCAGAATATTACCACCTTAGTTTTGGATAGTTTCCAAAGCACTCTAAGCATGCAGACACTGAGGCTCAGAGAGGAGAACTGAGTTGCCCAAGGTTACACAGCCTATGAAAGCAGGAATCCTTGGAGGTTCAAAAGGACATATATGTGATGATAATGAAGGATATCACCAAGGAAGGCTGACAGACCAGGCAGCCACTATGAGGCTTCACAGGGGAGGCTTCCCTTTGATAAATTTTCTATAGTCTGTAATTTGGTCCTCAGTTTTGCCCACCAGGAAATTTGATTTTGACAGTGTCCCAGTATTCATCTGACTCATGCTAAGTAAGTTCTCAAGAGACGGTCATATGCAACCAGACTACCAAAGTATTCATTTGAGGTATTAAATATTACTACTAAGAGGACTAGATTCACACATTCTCTGGCCACACTCTCCCTCCAATAGACAAGTTACATGAAAAGATGAATTATAATCAGAAGGTTGGCTGGCAAACCTGGAAGCATTACCCAGTGAGTTAGTTAAATCATCTATATGTGCAATGGCATCAAGTCTTTGTAATGTAATGAACTATTAGACACCCATGCCTTCAGACAGAACTGGACAGGCCCTTCAATGTGAGCTCTATTACTCTCTCCAGTCTCCATTCTCATTGACACATCACTGCTTTAACTTATATTAATACCTTCCAGAGACAGCTCTCTGCGTTGATCTATTGCTTCTTGCTTAAGTTTAATTGTCATGGAACAACCTACTTCCAGGATCTCCAGGGGACACCTGTCACCTCTATGGACGACTAAAAGAGGCCAGGTTTTCTGATTCTGAGTCTGCAATGCTTTCAACTACATTTTGCTGCCCCACCATCAAACAGGGATGATCCCATATCCCTCCCAGGGTTGTTACAGGAGAAAAAGGAGACACATACAAAAATGCTTTTAAAGTACTGTGCAAATATAAGCTATTATCTATTATCAATTTAAACTCCTCACAAATGGATCATTTTGCTATCTTTCAACTTTGCCAAATAAAGTGGTAAACGAGAGCAGAGAGCACTTAGTGGAAGGATTTCCAAAAGGGCAAAATTCTCAGTCAGCTGAAAACTTGGGGAACTCCTACTTAACTACTGTTTTTTTCTTTCCTTTAGCTCCCCAAGGCTATCACTTATTTCTAAAACAGTGCTGATGCCAGATATGCAATGAAATGAGGTCAGTGAATTGCAGGTTCCTCCCCAGCCAAAGCTGGGAGAAGGCTAGGGTAATCAGTGCACAATTAGTTGTTAACTGATAAATGAGGAGTCAATTGGCTGGATGACATAGAAGAAATGGATATCAGCCAAACAAGAAAAAAAAAAGACAGGCTGGCTGATTTACGAGTGAGAAAGAGAAAGAGTGAGAGGACGAAGGAGAGAGAGAATGAGAAACAATTTGAAGGCCCAGAGAAAGACGAATATGTAGCAAAGAAATTCTGGCAATTGGCAAGGACCAGAGGTAAAGGAAGAATTTCTTCCCCTCCCACCCACCCCTTGGAACATTTCTCTCTCTGGGAAGAGGAGGTGATCATTTCCTCTGGAGATTGATGACATTCACACAGACCATCCTAAAAGTTGACCTCAGATTATATTCATCACATTTCATTTCAAACTCTCATTTTTTGATTGTCACATGCATCATTTGCTGTGTTGGGGGGAGACCGAAAAGGGTATTTTATTGTAGCAGATGAAATATACATATCTTTCAAAAGAATACATTTTTTGCTGCAAAGTTCCTTACTCCAAAAATGCTGACTTAAAAAATTATCTTCAGTTGTAGAAAAATCAGAGGTAAATAAATGCTAAACCAGTTACCCACTCTACCCCTGTGCAGCCTACTGGTGTGTTTGTTAAAAGGCCTGTCCACAATTAGGCTGTCAGATATAACACCATATCTACATATGATAATAGATTTTAGAAAGAAGAAAATCAGGCTGTAAAGGTCAACTAGAGAAATTCTCCCATCCAATCTCTGAACCATTATGTTAAAAAAAAAATGAGGACAGGCAGTTATTTCTTCTGAAGAAAGATCCTGAGCACAGTATAAATCACTCCATGAAAGGAATGGGAATTGGCTACTCAAAGCTGGGGGAGCCAAGGGCATGAAAGATGGTGTGGGTGTGGCAGGGTTCAACAAAGGCAGCATCTCCTCAGTCTGTCCTAAGTGACTGGTCTACCATGTGGATGAGGGTTCCAGTTCATTAGTGCTTTGACCCTGTCTCTGAACCTGATTACCTTTGAGCATCACCACCACCACTTTGTGAATAAAAGAGACCTTCTCACCACAGAGTTCTCCTGACTTGACTTCTTTCAAAGCAAGCCAAGATAGCCTCTCCCCATGGCCAGTACAGAGTCCAGGAGATTATAAGGAGCAGCGACTCTGCTGGGGCAGTGGTTGAGGGGATAGCAAGTGACCTAATGCTGCAGCTTCCCCGGAAACTCATCCCTTAGCACACAGGGTACCTAACACTCAACTGGCTAGTCCCAGACACCACAGGTCTGCAATGTCATATTTGAGCAATAGAGTGCCATTAGTGCAGGTAGATGCCGACTTTCTGCGCAAAAGATACCTGCCAGGCACATGCATTTAGACATTAAGCTCCTTTAAAACAGGGAACTCACCATCATTCATGTTTGTGTGGCCCCTGCTGATCCAGGGTCTAGCTGTTTCCTGATACATAGAAGCAGCTCAATAATTATCTTTTTCTGTTATCTTACTTAGATGCAACTCAGAAGTAAGAACATTGGCTTTGGAATCAGGGAGTGTGCATTCTAGTCCTACTTCTACTATCAAAGAGCTATGAGACTTGAGGTATGTCTCTCCCCTTTTCCTGACCTCAGTTTTCCTGACCTAAACACATTCTAAATGGCTGTTCCCTCACCTCACTCAGAAGCTTATCCTCACCACCCTATCTAAAATGTCACCCCACCTGCATCTCTCTCTAACTCCACCCTGCTTTCCTTTTTCCTTTTTCTTTTCCTTCCTTCCTTCCTTCCTTCCTTCCTTCCTTCCTTCCTTCCTTCCTTCCTCCCTCCCTCCCTCTCTCTCTTTCTTTTCTTTCTTTCTTTTTTTTTTTTTTGACATAGCCTGGCTCTGTTACCTAGGCTGGAATGCAGTGGCACAATCTCGGGCCACTGCAACCTCTGCCTGCCACATTCAAGTGATTCTCCCAACTCAGCCTCCTGAGTAGCTGGGACTACAGACATGTGCCACCATGTCTGGTTAATTTTTGTATTTTTAGTAGACAGGGTTTTGTCATGTTGGCCAGGCTGGTCTCAAACTCCTGGCCTCAAGGGATTCACTCACCCCAGCCTCCCAAAGTGCTGTTACTTTTTCTTCATAGTACTTACCATAAATTTAAATTTGCCTTATTTATTTATTTTCTTGTTAGCCTGGCCTTTCACCAACCCCACCCCAAAATGAATGGAAGTTCCACTAAGACAAGGATTTTTGTACATCTTTTTCACTGTTATATTATTTGCTTCAGGACACAGTGCCTAGCACATAGTAGGTGTGAATAAATATCTGTTGAATTAAAAATTACAAACATAGTAGATGCTCAATAAATGGGTATAGAATGAGACAAGGAAGGTGGTGAAATGGATAAGCCCCAAGATCCTTCCCTGAGTTGAAAGACTATGGACCATGGCATTCACACCTTGGGTCCTTTTCTGATAAGGATTTGGCATTCAAACAGGCACCTCCCAAGTACCAGAGAGAAGGCTCAGGCATTTGTTTCCCCCTAAGCTCCTGGAGTTCAGAACTCCAGCTTTCGGCACCTCTCCGAGCTGGACACCAGAGGGCGGTATACCCACACTTACTGCTTCCATCCAGTAGAGGGCCAGAAGAAAGGGGAATCCAAGTTCTGGATAAATGGTGTCAAATTGGCATGTCAGGACCGGCGCCTAACTGCCCCCTGATGTGAGGAGCTGCAGACTGCAGGACAAAGGGTTCAGTAAAGACTTCATTCAAAATTTGTAACATGGAAATCAAATGTGAACAACAGACCCCAAAACCATCTGTTCTTGCCAGAGCCAAGACGGACTCCATGGCCAGCTGCCAGAATTGTCCTGGGTTGTTCTATACACACTAGGGGAGGGAGCCACGTTTCCTTCTAACAAAAGGCCATTATGCAAAGGGCTGCCTAATGAAATCGTCCTTTTGATGTATTCTCTTTAACTAGAGTAATGTAATAAAATGATAATGATAATCTTCTGGTTTATGATTATTCTGAATTAACACCAAAAAATAGAAATAAAAAAAAAAAGCCAACTCCTGGCATCAAAGTAGGCTGACATTACAAGTTGCTTATTTGCTGCTCCAAGAAATTTATCATTGTGACTTGGTGGAAATGCATTTTAATTAAAACGCTATACACATTATAAGTTGGGGAGTTTTTCAAAAGAGTATAATTAAATCCAAAAATTGAACACCTTGCTATAGTATTAAAGGTGTGCAAGAAAATATATAAAGAAAAACCCATTACAGTTAATGTGTATGGGCATATGCATATAATTTGTATTAAGAAATATAAGGGCTTAATGAATATCCAAAAACATTTAATATGAATTTTTATTGTGATGGCATAGGTTTTGGCTACTGTGATGTATGCATTTAAGTTTGACAATACCCCCTTGTGAAATAAATGCTCTGATGCTCTTAGTAAGTGTACTCCAACCCTTAAAGCGAAACAGATTTTCCTCATATTTTTTCCTAAGTCACCAAACCCAGAAATATCCTAACTCTGCACCCTGGGTGACATCCTTTTATGAACTCCAATCTTGCACACAACCCCTCAGGCCACAACTGCACGGCTGCTCACAATTCTAATAGCCTATATATTTGTGTGTAAAACCAACAATCTCTAGCTTCAGAACCAGATCACTGCCTTGGACCTCTGAGAGCCTTTTGTATGGTATTTCTTCTATAAACCTGCATAGCCTCACTGTAAGCTTTTGATGAATTAAAGTGTTCATTTGGAATGAGATAAGCTTAGCAGGCTTGTCCCTGCAAGTTCCTGTTAATAAAAAAGTTGAGAGTGTTTAAACCCTCAGGAGGTGAAAAGAAAGAGCTGGTCCATCTTGTGCTGTCAGAGGTGATCATTTTCAGTTGGGCCCCCTGATAGTGCCGGCAAATGTATCCCTTTTAGCATCACTTAAACTAAGCTAATATAGGAGGCTTCTCTTCCATCTGCACAAGAGACAACAGAATGAAAGAAAAAATAAACAGCTCCAAACTTATCAAAATAATTCCACAGAGAATTTGAAAAAGCAAGACCTTTAAAGCACTTCTTTTTCCTTTGAACAAGACGTGCAAAAGGCTGATCCCATATAGTGTTTTTATCCCAATTGCCCTGGATTCAGTTCACCTGGTCCAGGGTGTGGACACCAGTAAGCAATGCTTGGTGTCTGTTCCATTTTTAACTTATCATGTCTACAGAGGCTTTAGTTTTTAATCAAGAGAAAAGGAAATAAGCTGAGAGCAATAAAACACAGAACAGAGCAGGGCCTGTGAATTCCAAGGAAAGAACGTAAGTGCTTGAGAATGTCCCTGAGCACAAAGGAGGCCTCGTTTGTGTTTAAGTTGCTAAGAAGAAATTCAAGGAGTAGACAGCTGAATATAGCTTATTGAAAATATACAACGTTAACACCAGGGTCAGTCACCTTTTTAGCCTCAAAGGCACACATTTGGCTTTGGGTGGGGGGGCACTATTTGTGCCTTTTAGGTTCTCTATTCCTTTTTTGCGGTGCTTCTTTTTCCTCCTCTGGTCTCTACTCATTGTCTGTTTCTTCCCCATGGGGAGGAAGAGAAAGACCAAAAGTAACTACCATCAATTGGGGTTGTAAACGTGCCTTCACAACCGCCTCACATGATCTCAACAGAATCCCCACTGTAAATGCACTTCCTTATGGTAACAGGTTGGCTACTAAGTGGCTGAAGATGTCAGTGGCTTCCTATGCTAGTTGAAGGGAGAATTTTTAAAAAATCTATTTAGTGAGTAGCAAGGGGAAAAATAGATTCTATTAGTCACAGACCATGTTTTTGTATTGGCTCCAATGGCACATTTTGTATGTTTCTATCTGAGTCTATCAAAATATGTTGAAAATATCTGTCCATTTGTCTTGCCCACTGGACTATGAACCGCTAGAGGGTCAGGACTGTGTCTTTCTCATCTTTGTGTCTCTGTATTTACCTTAGAGCCTGACACAGAAGGGGCTCTTTAGAAGCATTTGTTTCACTGAACCGCTATGTATCAACAATCAACAAAAATGGTGGTCTCAGCCTAAGATATGCCAACTGAAAAGTATCTGATGTGTGGATCATGTAATGTTTTTGAAAACTAAATTGCTAAGACACATATGGCTATTCTAACCAGAAACAACTGATATAATCGAAAGAAACAAGGAACATTTAAAAAGCCATTCTATTTTTCAGGAACAATGTCCTTTGGAAAGACTATCCTTTATCTGCCTGTCAGGGACCATGTCTTCCCCTTGTGGTAATTCACATAAAGTGGTCATAGCCATGAAAAACTACAAAGGCAGAGAGTCTGCTTACGCTTTGCTAGGATTAGATATTAAATAAATGGATAAGGGTCACACATGGTCCCAATTCCAAATTCATGTTGCAGTGCCTGGTCAAGGTGGGGCGAGACAAGAGAAAATTTCCAGCTTCTATTCTCAAAAACCTGGCTTAGGTCCGATAAGATAGATTGTCATGAAAACCACCCAGTGAAGTGTAATTTTTCATTCAAATCTTCAAAAGAAAAAAAAACAGTAAAACAACTTTACTATCTTGTGTATGTATCTAAATACCTATGGACTCAAAATCTGTTTTTTAAAGGTTATGTTACAAGTAATATAAATTATCTTGAGGCTTTTGAAAAGCATATTATGTACTAGAATCCTACTCTATTTCCCTGAACTGCTACAATAGGAAAAATGGTGGACTGGCCCTCTCATAAGAGTCTCCAAGTAAACAATCATCATCAATATAGTATATTCCATGGAGCAAAAGTCTTCATGGGCAGTGACTACAGTCATTTTTCACAGTTTAATATTTTACTAATTTAGATGTATCTCTTTTAAATTTAAAAGGCTATAAGAGCCATTTTCTTTTTCCTTTTTTTTTTTTTTTTTTTTGAGATGGAGTCTCGCTTTGTCCCCCAGGCTGGAGTGCAGTGGCGCAATCTTGGCTCACTGCAAGCTCCGCCTCCCGGGTTCACGCCATTCTCCTGCCTCAGCCTGCCGAGTAGCTGGGACTACAGGCCCCGCCACCACGCCCGGCTAATTTTTTTGTATTTTTAGTAGAGACGGAGTTTCACCGTGTTAGCCAGGATGGTCTCAATCTCCTCACCTCGTGATCTGCCCGCCTTGGCCTCCCAAAGTGCTGGGATTACAGGCGTGAGCCACCGCGCCTGGCATAAGAGCCATTTTCAACACACATCAACGAAATTTCATTTCTGTATGCTGAAGTATAAGTACAAAATCAACCCTATGCTGATAGAGTTAAAAGTACCACAGTTGAAAAATATGACTTTCTACCATGTATGACAAATCCCTAAATGTGCCTGAAGAGAAATGTACTGACAAGTTAGACCCTGGCTACAGTAACACTAAGAAAGGAGGAACTGGGAGAAGACAAATGGCTTTCAGTTAAAGCACAGTAATTAGAAATTGGGTATACCTTATCTGAGACTCAAAACAGAAACTACTTAAAAGGCAGCCTTCTCTAAGTCTGGAACATTCTCTGCTCCCATAGATTAGCTCTGTGCTTATTTAGATGAGGTTTCTCTAGCACCCTCTGCCTCAATTACTTGGGGACTCACCACTCAAATAAGGATTTTAGAGGACACATTGGTCCAAACTAACCAACAGCTTAAGTGGTGCAATTTATAAAGTGTCAGAAATAACCTTTTCTTTTTTTAGTCTCCTAGAAATCATAGAACTTTTTAGCTTTGCCTTTACAGTTAAACTAACTCAACTTCACTGCCACTATTTTCTTGAATGACTACAGATGAGGCCTACTTATTACTCCCCATAGTACCCCAGCCCTACCTAGGCTCATGGTAATCTCCTAACCTAAGGAAGCTCCTAGGATACACAGTGCTCAGCATCAAGTCACCCCTCAACATCAAGTCTTCTAGTCCTGCTCTGACATTTTACCCAGTTGCAATAACTGGGCCTTTGGAATTCCTTGTGATTTACATACTTTAGTCAATTCCAGCAGTTCTGCCTCTGTCTTGATACTGTATCTCGCCTGAGTCCCTGTCTTGGTTTCTTGGCCAGAACCCTGGCTCCTGTGGACTGCCTTGCTGCTGCTGTTACAGTCCTACCCCCAAACCTTGGATTAGGAATCCAGGCTCTTAACCACAGTCCGGTGGTCTCAGCCGCAATCAGATTGTACTGACTGGGGACATGTCTATCTCCCCACCTAGACTTTGAACTCAAGAGCAAAGACCTTATTTTATTCATCTTTTTTCTATAGAACAGAACACAATGTCCAGTATATAGAAAGACTAGAGGTGATTGGATGACTAGACTTCTGCCATATTTATTACATGCTGCCATGCTTGCTTGAACCTGGTGTTGTGCCCACAAAACTACAACTTCTTCCTATTATCCATCTCTGGAATTCTCCCTGATCACCAGCTCTACCCCCCTGAGATTCCTTAAAGACTAGGGGACAAGTGTATTATTAGGTTTTGTTTCTAAAGTGCATAAATGGGCCAAGTGCGGTGGCTCCACTGGTAATACCAGCAATTTTGGAGGCCAAGGCAGGCGGATCACTTGAAACCAGGAGTTTGAGACCAGCCTGGCCAACATGTCGAAACCCTGTCTCTACTAAAAATACAAAAAATTAGCTGAGTGTGGTGGTATGTGCCTGTAGTCCCAGCTGCTTGGGAGGCTGAGGCAGAAGAATCGCTTGAACCCAGGAGGCGAAAGTTGCAGTGAGCCAAGATCATGCCACTGTACTCCAGACTGAATGACAGGGTGAGACTCTGCCTCAAAAAAAAAATTAGAAAATAAAAAATAAAGTGCATAAATGATTGTTAAATCTAATTTCTTCTCTTTCTCTTCAGCCTTCTTTCAATACCCCCTCCAAAGCTGTTAAGAAAAAAAAATGCTCTCTTTCTGAAGAAAAATTATAATAAGTTTCCTAAAGTCTCAAGTTGATAACTCTTTTCTCAACAGTGCAAGTTTGTCAAAAACTTCAAGACATCGCTTCTTACAATGCTTCTTTAACACAAGTGAAAAAAGGTCAATTTTAAATTCAACTAGGGCTCAGTAACACATTAAGATTTTATATTTCATTTTAAGCTTATCTATCTAAAATAAGAGAGCAAACCAGTTTTCCTTCCCCCAAAAGATCAGAGTGTAAATAATTAAAAGAGGACCTGGTCAGGCAGATGGTGTGATGATGGTGTTCATGAGAGACAGGTCCATGTCAGCTGTCTTAGATGGGTCCATGTAGTAAATTCCCACATGATGAATGGGACCCCTCAGCCTGATACAATCTCCCCTTCTTTTTATGCTTTAGTACTCAAAATGTTCCCCTTAATTGATGCTAGCAAGGAAAGATGGAATGGGGTACAGCCACCACCAACACTGCTAGATACCGACACTGCTAGATACTAAGTACAAGCACTTGTCTCCCGTGGGTCACAGGATAAACATGCTTGTTTTAGGGAGGTTACCCCATCCATCTAACTTGTTGATTTACCTTTTATGAATACAACACAGAAACCATCAGACTGCTTGTGCTTTGACAGTGGAATAATATGTGAGAAGCAGCTTTGTAAGCACTCAGTTCAAATGTTGTTGCTGCTGTTGCTGCTATAATTGTGATAAACACTTTATGTTTTTCAACATCCACCCTTAAATGCATTCCTTTGAGCACTGCACCCTTTGCCTGCTATCTTCTTTTAGAAGGCAAATAGTCCTTGGAAGGGAAAGCTATTAAGCCCCATCAACTTGGGTAAGAATAAGTCTATCTGAAGTTTCCCTCACTGGGACACAGCTGGGGTGGTATGTAGAAGACAAAAGGGTACTAGAAAGGGTAGTGGACATTTGTGTTTTGCCTCACGTCAGCACATTAAAGTAGCATGGACACCAGCAGGACCACCTTCATTACTTGTAGGGTCCCGTGCAAAATAAAAATGTGGTCCCCTTATTCAAAAAATATTTAGAATTTTAAAAGATGGCAATGGCAGAACATTAAACCAAGCACTGGGCGCTTCTGAGTGCAGGGCTTTGTGTGACTGCACAGTTGCACGATCCTGAAGTTGGACTGGGCACGGTGGCTCACGCCTGTAATCTCAGCACTTTGGGAGGCCAAGGCAGCAGGATCACTTGAGGCCACGTGTTTGAAACCAGCCTGGGCAACATGGTAAAACATTGTCTCTATAAAAAATACAAAAATTAGCTGGAAGTGGTAATGCATGCCTGTAGTCCCAGTTACTTGGGAGGCTGAGATGGGAGAATCCTCTGAGCCCAGGAGGCAGAGGTTGCAGTGAGCCATTATTGCACCACAGCACTCCAGCCTGGGTGACAGAGCCAGACCCTGTCTCAAAAAAAAGTCCTGAAGCTACCTCTGGGCCAAAGGCTTGAAGTTAAATCCACCATCAGGACAAAGCCATCTTAATTACTGGGAAAGGAAGTCAGAATAGGTAGCCTATTGACTGTGAGGTCTACAAGGGCAGGGCTTGGATCATATTCATCTTTCTAAATCTAGTATACAGTGCTACATAGCTTTTGTACGTGCTGTTTATTCTCTGTGCCTGAAATTCCCTTTTTTGTACTCCCTGCCTGTTTTTTACATGATAAATTTTTATTGACCCTTAAAGCTACAGTTTAGGCATTCCTTGTCCCAGAAGCTCTCCTTGATACTTCTTTCTTCACTCACATGCAAGCCCAGCATAGTTCTCTCTGATAGGATTGTGACTCTCATTCTTCTTGCTTGAGAACATATGGTAACTTAAGAGGGGCTTCAGATAGCTATAACCTCTGGAGTCTAAAAGGTCAAAGTCTGAGACTACAGATGGAAAGAATCCTCTTCTAGACCTTCATTTAGCCACCTGTCTAGAAGGATAAGCTCTACAGCTTTCCAGGTGTCCTGATGAGTCAATATGTCAACAAAAAGGAACATGAATGACTTTGGAAGGAAGCCCCTGCTTTCTGACTGACATAAAAAGTTACCTAGAATTGCAGCACCCTTTTGAACAGAGATGACCGATTAACCTTGCACTTTATTTGATCTGTGGTATCTTCAATCCATTCTTTCTTTGGCTTCCCAAAGATTGGTTCCTTTGGGGAAACTGACACAGTGCAAAAACCAATAACTAAAACATGCCCAAATAGCCAAATTCAGCGTTTGCGTCCGATAAAAATAATTATGTTGTCATGTGATTGGAAGACTATTTTGGCTTTACCTGACCTCCACCATCCACTTATTCCCCAGAGCCAAAGGGCTTTACTAAATGTATCACAGAAATGTCCATTTCTTCAACACAGAGAACAAGCAATATTTTGTGAATTCCAGACTAGACCAGATATTAGAGATTACAAACTAGGGCTTTCAGATTTCTGTGGACTTGAGCAGAGAATTCCAAGCCCCACTCTAAATCTGATTTCATCTACTCTGTTGTAACGATCAAGCATGCACAACTCTGAAATATGGTTATTATGGTGTCAGGAGACGGGTAGTAACTTGATGAGTACCGTCAATCTAGTCTGTTTGGGCTCATTTTTTTCTGAAATCGCTTTTTGTTGTCATTTTTAAAAGAGCGAAAGAAACAAAGCACATGTGAATGGCTTTGCAAGTAATACGGCGGGCTACAAATTCAAAAAGCAAAAATAGAAAAGTTCTTAAGTACATTCTGGAAAGACTGTTTAGAGAGAGCCATTAGAGCTGCATACATTAGGAAAGTCCAATTTGAGAAAAAAACAGTGCCAGTAGTCTGTTTGGAGTTCAACTAGATTGAAATGCATCATGGAAGAAGACCACCAATGTGTGTGAGGAAGACTACCAAATCAAATTGAGGTCCACCTCTTTCACCAGGGAAAGTATTAAACAGCCATTTAATGAGATAGGCAAGTCTTTTGTTCAAGCACATCTAGTCCATTTCAAATACTCTAAGCTGCAATGATACTATCTCTGCTGCTTTGATTTGAAGTCTACTCATGTAAGACATCTTCTTTTACAAGCAACTAACAGAATAAACAAAAATCCCACCCCCAGTAAATGAATTAGGATATCCAAGCACTAGTAATCAAAGTTAGTAGGAAACACAGGATTGATCAATGAATTCTGAAACTTTCTGGTAAGGAACACCTTATAAGAAAATTAATTGTGGTAACAGAGTTCACAAAGGGGGTTTCTTTTTATTCAACGAGAAATTTCTACCACCAAGAACTTTCCATCTGAAACAGCCATAGAAATTAGATAGACAGGTGGTCCCAGCCAGAGATGCTCTTTGAAATACATTTTCTACTTTTGGTCAGGTTCAGTGGAAAGTATTTTAAGCAATGGCGCTGTTGCTTACTTCCTTCCCTATCTTGGTAAATGGAGGTTCACAGTCCTATTTTTCATTAGGATATGCTTGCTAACATGTGTTTATACATGCACCTTCCTGCTTATGAATTCAATAAGGCCTTATGTAGTCGAACGCATTTTATAAAATCATGCAGGAAAAAAATCACCTCTTCCCCTTCCTCTATGGAAAGAAATAGCAAGTGTGTTTTTAAAAAACTGTTAACCAAACTGCCATTATTCTTAACAAATGCCAATCTTTGGTAAATTCAATGCAATCTATGTCATCTCTTGAAGGTTTCATTTCAAGGGATTTTAATTAAAAGGTCAAGAACACTAAAATACAACAAGACATGTATCAGCATATCTCAGTTAAACAAAGAACACTTAGAGATACATTTTGTCAAGGCTGTAAAGATTATTTATACCTCAGGCACTCAAATGAACTTCACTAATAGGTCTCTTAAGCTTTTGTTTTTTATGTGTTGTCTCCATGAAGTCTGCATTCTAAGTTTAATTGCACATGAATGAACTAACCATCTAGTGGTGTGTGTGTGTGCACATGCACATGTGTATGTGTTTAAAGATAGTGAGAAAATGCAACTGAGAAACAGAAATGGGCCTGGGGAAGAAAAAAACAAAACCTTACTGCCCTCTTCATTTCTGTTCGCCATTCCCAAGACACTTAATTATAAACTCTAACAGTCTTAATCATAAATTCCAAGCCTTATAACTCCTTCCCCAACATCAGAGTCAATACAAACAGAACATGCAGATGAATAATTAACTTTTTTGAAGGTCTGGATACAAGCATCATTTCATGGGATCATGTACTCTAATCTTAAACATGGTACATAAAATGAGCACAGTATTAAATGCAAAAGCCCTCTATCATGAGAGAAAAGTCAAGGCACTGTAGTTTGTATGCACATTCACATATACTCCCCCATCAGTTCATAAAAAATAATAGCATTTTAGGAGGAGACATTATATTAACAACAACAACAACAACAACAACAACAACATATTAAGAGCCAACTCTGTGACTCAGTCCAGCCTGCAAACTGTTTTGTATAAACTGTGTGGTTCTCAAGACTGTGCTTAATATTTTTGCCCCATGGGAAAACTCATAATGATGATCACCTGCCTGCAGATTTGCAAAACTGTTTCATAGCCATATACATATATTCTCTTGTCCATCACTCCTCCTCTTCCTGATTCCACAGGAAGGCTGAATGTCAACGACCCTTGTCCTACCCTCCGTATCTCACAGGGCTAGTTAGAAGTGAATAACACATATAAAACTGTTCTGAGAACTTCCCCCTAAATGATGCTAGAATAACATTTTATCAATATAAACAATCTATACATCACACACTAGTGACTGATCATTCCAAAGTCTTCCCAGTATTCCCATCTAATGAGAATTCCTGCCCAGAAAATAGGGACTGTGTCCAGCTCCAGATATAAAAATATCTGTCTACATCAGCAGAGAGAATGAGAGAATGAGTAAAAGACTTGGAGATGTGTAAAAAAATGCAAGGTTACAGTGGAAGGTATTCTTTTTTTTTTTTTTTTTTTTTTTGAGACAGAGTTTCACTCTTGTTGCCCATGCTGGAGAACAATGGTGTGATCTCGGCTCACTGCAACCTCCTCCTCCCAGGTCCTGGTTCAAGCAGTTCTCCTGCCTCAGCCTCCTGAGTAGCTGGGATTACAGGCATGCGCCACCACACCCAGCTAATTTTTGTATTTTTAGTAGAGACGGGGTTTCACCATGTTGGTCAGGGTGGTCTTGAACTCCTGACCTCGTGATCCGCCCACCCTGGCCTCCCAAAGTGCTGGGATTACAGGCGTGAGCCAGTGCGCCCGGTAACAGTGGAAGATATTCTAAAAGTAAAATGTGACACTAATAGGATTAAGCCAAAACAAAAATACTGGATTAAGTTAATAACTAAAGTAGATACAACTTGTTTTAATTCCATAACCAGGAATTTAGACCAACTAACATTTCCAAGTTCCCTACCATGGTCCAAAACTGTCCTATTCCAGGCTTATAGATCATCTGAAAAGGCAAGACTGGTTCATGGCCATTGCAAAGGATTCGGACTCTTTGAGGCCTGTAATAGCCATTGCTCTCTGCATTCTTCAGTTTGACTACTTGGATTGGGTTTAAATGCACCTGAAAGGAATGGCACCCTGTTCTTCCAAGACATAGTCAAAGGGGAAAAATTCTTGATGGTTCCATCTGTCTCAAATGAAAAATAGGTCTGATTCAGGAAGACCGGAGTGATCTGAGTTTACACTTAGATCTGGAGATAACCCTTACAACAAAATCCAAAAGTCAACCTCAAATAGTGTCCAGCATTTATTGAACTTCATTTAGGCTATTTCTACCAGAGTTATCATTTACCCTATATTACTGTGCAAAAACAACTTTTCTCAAATTTCAGGTATGATTTTCATAACTGCAGGGTTCTATTTCAGTGTAGAAGCCACTAATAGCTGCTAAGTATATTCTACTTATGTAGTAAAATTAGCCCAGCACTCTGAATTTTTAAAATTATTATTATTTATGTGACTTTGGAAAATATGAAAAAAATGACCCATTCAATGTCTGAGATAAATCCACACACACACACACACACACACACACACACACAGACACACAAATAATTACCCCCCCCTTTTTTAATGGACAAACAAATCAAATCCAGAAGATTGAAATGGAAGTGGCTCCACTATTTCTGGTGTTTTCACAAATATTTCCTCAAAATATATCTCTCAAACTTGCTTTGTTTTGGAAACTACCCTCTTTTGAAAGAACAGGAGAAGAATCTTTCACATTTTATGATCCCCTTTAGAGGCAACAAAGCAACAGCCAAGACCTGAGTTGATAGATGAGCCAATGCGCTAACCTGGCTGCAAATCGGAATGGCCTGGGGAGCTTGTTAAGGAAGAGGCGGGGATCGAGCCCCATTCCAGATGTGCTGAATCAGAATCTCCAAAGGCAGGACCCAAGGAATCTGTATCTTTAACCGTTTCAAGACATCTATACTAACTCATCCCATCCTAGGGTATCATCTCTGCTCTCTTCGGAAGATTCCTCAATCTCTCCCCAGCCCTGACCTTTTTTTTTTGAGCTCCAGACAAGCCCATAGGGTGTCTCAGAAGCATCTCAAATATACCAAGGCCAAAACACTAAATTCATCTCTTTTACTCTCCAACCTGTTCCTTCTTTAAGTCTAAATTTCAAGTTGTTTTTCTTAACATAATATTTCAAAAAGAGGCACGTCAAGATCCCTTGCATTTCCACAAACTAGAATTCTAACATCCCTACCTTATGCCTCTTCTTTTAAAAATAATTTCTAAAAATTGACCCAAAAATATGTTATAAAACTTTACCACTCTGCATTTGCCATTTTTCTTCACACTACATATTTTTTTTATAAGTAATGAATCCTAGGTGGTGGTGGTGGTGATGGAGGTTAAAAAAAATAGTAAAAATAAATAAAAGTAATGAGCCCTAGCAAATATCTGCTCTATTCACAAAAATCTAATAGGTATACTATATTATATCTGTGCAGAGATGGAATATTACCATTAGATACTATATGGTATCCATTTAAAATAGGTCCTGATTAAAGTATCACTGGTGCCATCAGAGGAAAATTCCACCAACAGTTTTTCAGAGAAACTTCTTATTCACCAGGTTACACAGACGCAGGCATATCTGGGTCAAAATTCGTCCTTGAGTTGTGTTGAGTATATGAGAACAGAAGTGAAGTAGTAGACTTTGTTTAATTATCTGATTATTTTGTCTTGCAAATAAAAAAGAAATATATAAAGTGGGCAAAAATCAAACAGAAAGTTATGGCAATGCCACAAACTGGACTATCTACAGGGATTTACACCAGCCCACTCCCCACCCCTCTAATTATCCTCCTCTCCATCTCACACTAGGTAGAAAACAAAGGTTGTGTCCTGGAACTCCCTCTTCCAGAATGTCTCAGAAAAGGAATTGAACCAGTAAAAGGGAGCAGGGGCAGCCTAGGACTGGGGGACAGTGGAATATGAGGTCAAGTTCTATGCCAAAGTTAGAGCTGAATGGAAGGGAGCTTACCTTTGAATGTGGTCATCAGTGAATGCTGCCTCCTATGCCTTACCATACACAATTCCCTATACTGAATTACAACATGACAATGGTGATACAGTTGAAAAAAGCCCAAGTTTGGAATCAGCTAGACTTAGGTTAGAATCTCAGCTTTGCTAATTAACGTGTATGACTTTGACCAAGTTCCTTAACCTTTCTAAGATTCAGTGTTTTCCTTTATAAAGAGGATATGAATAGTATTAACAGTACCTACCTCCTAAGGTTGTTGAGATGAGTTAATGAGGAATCACATATAAAGTATATGGCACATAGCAGGCCCTGTATAAATGCTAGCTATTATCCTTATCATCCTTATCATCATCATCGTCAAGTACCTTAAAGAATCACTTTATATTTCCATTTAAAAACTGTATTGTTTAAAAGTATTTGATCGAACCATAACAAATAGCCATTTTCACTGATGAAAAAAGGAAAATTAACAATTTTATGTGGTGCAACCTAACATTTTAAGAAGTATATCCCAGGGAAAGAGTACACTATATTTAGTAGCCAGTTATATGTGGAAAATACAAAACCTGATCCTCTGGAATTAAGGAAAGTAAATTACTTCATGCCATTGAAGAGCAATTATCTGGCACTTAGTACAACTTAGCAAAATACCTGTGGTGCTCTATGCTATATGAAACAAGAGCAGAATGTACAAGGTTTTCTACCTTGTTTTCATTGTTACTGTTGTGGTTAAACCAAGACCCATAATAATGTTATTTCCCTCTCTGCTTTTGCAATAAGACACAGACAGAAAAGAGACACAGAGACTATTGTCAGATGTAACTGGAAGTGATAAGATCACAAAAAACTTAAAATTTTATCTCTAAATTAGAATTCTTTGGGCCTATCTTGGGAGTGAAGATAAAGTCAAGGTAACAGAACAGTGACCAAAGCAGAACACTCTTCATTTGATGTGTTACTCTAAGTAAGTCTTCAAATTAAGTTAGAAAGTTGTATGCTGTACAAGCCTGAAGAAAAAACTGGTCTTGATTTAGCATCCTGATCTATGCTTTTGTTTATACCTCAGTAAATTATGCAGATTTCAAAAAACAAGATAATAGGCAATTTGTTGAAATTGAGATCACCTATTTTAATTTATTTATTTATTTATTTATTTGTTTTATTTTATTTATTTATTTATTTTTTTGAGACAGAGTCTTTCTGTCTTTCTCTGTCGCCCAGGCTGGAGTGCAGTGGTGCAATCTTGGCTCACTGCAAGTTCCGCCTCCCGGGTTCATGTCATTCTCCTGCCTCAGCCTCCCGAGTAGCTGGGACTACAGGCGCCCACCACCACGCCCGGCTAATTTTTTGTATTTTTAGTAGAGACGGGGTTTCACCGCGTTAGCCAGGATGATCTCGATCTCCTGACCTCATGATCCATCCACCTCGGCCTCCCAAAGTGCTGGGATTACAGGCGTGAGCCACCGCACCCGGCCAAGATCGCCTATTTTAAAGGAATTCTGAGGGTTCACTTACAGCAAAGAAAGGATAAACGAGTGAAAAAAAGCATCCTACTGCATGTTCTCAGATCATCAAGACCAGGTGATAGAGTTTGGATATTTATCCCCTCCACATCTCATGTTGAAATTGGATCCCCAGTGTTAGAGGTGGGGCCTGGTGGGAGGTGTTTGAGTCATGGGGGGTAGATCTCTCATGAATGGCTTGATCCCATCCTCACAGTAATGAGTGAGTTCTCACTCTATTAGTTTTTGAGAGAGCTGATTGTTGAAAAGAGTCTGGCACCACCCTCTCTCTTCTCTTCCTTCCCCTCTGACCATATGATGCCTGTTCTCCTTCACCTTCCACCAGTGGAAGCTTCCTGAGGTCCTCACCAGAAGCAGATGCTGGCACCATGTTTCTTGTATAACCTGCAGAACTATAAGCCAAACAAATGTCTTTTCTTTATAAATTACTCAGTCTCAGGTATTCCTTTATAGTAACACAAATGGACTAAGACACCAGGGGGAACAAAATGGTATGAACCTGACACAGCTGCCTGAATCACAGGCATAAGACAAAGAAAGAAATATGAGTCTCTAGAGGGTGAGTTTGCCAAACCAGGCAAATGCTGTTAAGTGCTCTTGTACAGGTAACTCTTTCTAGACTAGAAAAGGCTGGCAAAGGGAAAAGTACAGTGAATAAGTATCACTGTATACACACCAAAATAAGCAGCACTGACATGCATTGAGCACTTATTATGTGGCCAGGCACTGTGCTCAAGAGATGTACAAATCTGCAAAAAAATAATATCAAGTGGTAAAGCTAATTTCCCTTCATTCTCTACTGCCGTGATCCCCAAAGAGTAGTCTCTGGGTCAGCAGCATCAGCATCACCTGGGAGCCTGTTAGAAATGTACATTGCTTGGCCTCAGCCTAGACCTACCAAATCAGAAAATATGGGGTAAGGCCTAGAAATCTGTGTTTTACCAAGCCCTCCAGAGGATTTGGAAGGAAGATCAAGTTGAAGAACCACTGTTCCAGTGCAGTGTCATCTCCAGCTTCCCTGCCTCCCATGCATTTCTGCTGGACCAAAGCAACATCAGAATAAACATAAGACAACGCTGTTAACAATACTGGCCAAATGCCAAAGGCTAAGGCACTACAGTGACATCACCATGACTTGGGTACACTATTACGAAGCAATCATGACAGGACCCTGAGAATAGGAAGAAGACCAGGTCCACATAAAAGCAAACATTAAACATACACCCAGGCCCACAGGGTTGTTCCCTACAAAAAAGGCAAAGAACTTAATGAAAACCATGCCCTTGAGACAAAGGGAAATTTAACACACTCTGACTTTCCTTTCCTTCTTAGTCTCAAATGACAGTTTGATTTTTTCAAAGAACTCCATATGTCTTGGGGAAATAAAATGGGGGGTTATCCCATCCCAAAATACAACTCAAAGCTTAGAATGCTTTCTAAATAGAAAAACTATTCAACAGACTTTGAGATATAAAGAAATTCAATATAAGAACACTGAGCTCAGTGGGGAAATATGCCTGGTCCTTATATGCTATAATATCAGGAAGTAGAAGACCCAGAATTATTCACATTTTGAAGCAGTATGGTGTCATGGAAAAAGTCTGGAGCTTTGGAGCCAGACAAATCTGCATTCCAATTCCACTTCTACCACTTACTAGCTGTGAGACTATGAGCAAGATACCACATCTTCATGAGATTTTTGTGAGAATTAAATGAGATAATGTATTTAAAGTGCCCAGGACATGAGTATTTAAAAAAAAAAACAGAAAACAAACAAATACCTGTTCTAACTTTGAAAATGTATAATCCCACCACCTACAGTTTCTTGTACATCTTCCCCCACAAACAATGCATAATGCACAAAATGAAATTTCACACATAATAAAAAGACAGTTTTGGCTTTAGGTATTCTCAAATACAAGGACAAGACACATATATAGACATAGGCATGTTCCAAATGCATTAGAAAAGTTGTTTTTAACCCATCTTTCAAGTTATTCTCTTTTTCCTATTCATATCCTTGTTATAAGATCAACGGTGTGGAAAAGAGACAGACAATGGAGAAAAACTGTTAAGCATATGTGAATAAGGAGAAGAAGTGAACCAAAATAAGGGCCAAATGGTAAAACATCAACTATACGAAGTGTGCAAGAGGAATATGAGGAGTGCAGAAAGAAATGACTCAGGGAAAAAAATAATTGACCAATCCACAGCTATATTTATGCAATTTTGTATGCCTCCTTTCTAGGAAGTTCACTTACAATGAAGTTAGTTATGTTGGTATTCCTTTTAAATCATTTGTTAAAATTCATAACTTGTTAAGCCAAATGTCTAGTTTGCCTAGACATCCAGGTTTATTTGGAGAGGAGGGGAAAAGTATCAGGGTGATCAATTCACTATAAGGACCCACTAGGAAGAAGAAAAGCAGGGAGGACAGTGAGAAAGAGCTAGAGATACTTCCACCTCTCATCCTTCCCAGCCTCCTAGTTGATCCTTGTTGCAGCTTCCCAGACTCCTAGTTGATCCTTGTAATCCAATTTCCAGTCTCTGGTAAAACAACCACCAACAGTGTTACTGTTGGCCACAGAACATCCTCCTACTCAGAGTCATTAGACAAATGAAAGGAAGAACTCACATTGGCCTGCAGAATCAATGGCGGCATCCAGCAATGCTATTCAGTCAACAAATGATTATTGAGCTATACATAAAAGGGGAGTGAGATATTGACCTCAACATTAAGGGCCCTGTATCAGTCACATCCATATTTCCATTAGGATCTGACAGTATTTTTATTCTGCGAGTCCTTGTTTCCCTGTGTCCTAAAACTCATCTGTATGTTTTCTCTGTCATCTCTACTACTGGTAATAAAGTTTCTAACAACAAAGTGTGTTTTCAGAACCCATCCTTTTCATTAATGAGGGAATCATCATGCTGCCTGTCTATCACCAGGGCAAGCAAACCTAGTGTGTGAACAGAGATGAAAGAAGACACACAGGATAATAAAAATATGAGACAGTGAGCATTATATTTATAAACTTAATACCAGTTTCCGGCCCATTTTATTTCAGGTACATTCTGTTCAGTTTCAAAACAAAAGTCAGTCACAGCTGAGAGTTTTACTCATTCTCATCTCTCACCCAGAAGTACAAGCTCAAGTTCATTATCGAAGGAGAAACTGTACTCCATTGTCTAACCTTGTTGGTTAGCAGATGACCACTTAAGTATGGCTAGTCTGAAAAGTCTGCCTTGAAATCAATTAAGGATTCACTGGTTTTGAATTTTAAAAGGAAAAATATTTTTGAATCCAGATTATCTGAATCTTTCTATAATATCTAATTGGCTTGGGTTTTGTGAATTCGTCATCCTTCCTAAATTACAGAAAAGTGGGGGAAAGACCAAAAATGAGTTAACAGTGGGAGTTCTGCAAGTATCAGTGTAGCTGCTTAATTGTGAAGCACTGATTTGGAGGGAAGAGGAGCCTGGGATTCTGACATCTGAAATGTTTCATGTCTAAAAGTTATTCATTGGACAGTGAGGAAAAACTACAAAAACGAAGTGAGTCCACGCTATATGTACTTCCATCTTGGTAGAGAAGTGAGGCACGGGAAGTAGTTGAAAGAGGCCTGGCGCCTGGGTGCAGTGGCTCACGCTTGTAATCCCAGCACTTTGGGAGGCCGAGGCGGGTGGATCACGAGGTCAGGAGATTGAGACCATCCTGGCTAACAGAGCGAAACCCCGTCTCTACTAAAAATACAAAAAATTAGCCGGGCATATTGGCGGGCGCCTGTAGTCCCAGCTACTCGGGTGGCTGAGGCAGGAGAATGGCATGAACCCGGGAGGCGGGTGATAGAGCAAGACTCCGTCTCAAAAAAAAAAAAAAAAAAAGAAAGAGGCCTGGCCTAGAAGATAGAAGACCTAAATCAGAACCAGGCATTACTGGTTCAGTCTCCGTTTCCTCTTTCAAAGGAGGGAACACTAGATGCTTTCTGAAGCCTCTTCCACCTTAGCATCCTAATCGTCTGTGTGAATAGGGTGACCATACATCCTGATTAGCCTGCTACAGGCTTGGTTTATACCTTGCAGAGCAACTAACCTGTTAGTTATTTTTAGCACTTCCTTTCACTCTCAAAAGTATCCTTGTTTGGACAATAATTTATATTGTCACTCTATCTGTGAGTCACTTCTAAATGTAAGTTTTGTACTTTGGTATACAGCTCTAGTTAATTACATCTCTCTAGCTAACGTACTTAAAATTACAGAGCTTCATTCCTTAAGGAAGGAAGAAAAGGAGGAGGGAAGGTGGGAGGAAGGAGCTATACAAACAGTGAAATAAGAAACAAGGTTGAGTAGGGGAGCACATAGTTGAGATTCAACTGTTTGACTAAAGAGATATAAGGACTGTCCCAACTGAAATTGGTGGGGGCTGTTTTTTGTTTTTTTGTTTTGTTTTGTTTTTTGTTTTTCGGTTTTTGGTTTTTGGGTTTTTTGCTTGTTTTCTGTTTGTTTCAGAATAATTGCACAGGAAACTCTCCTATGTAATTCAGCTTCCATGGGACCATTTTAAATCTCTATTGCATATCTAGAGACAGTTATTTATATTCTGCTTAATGGGCACTGATGTTGCTGCCTAAGTGTGACTCACTCTCTTTTGTCATCAAACATCATTTGCACACAGTAGGTCAACTTGCATAAATTAAACTGAGAGAAAAATGTCTAATTCTGAAAACTAGCCATTTTAAAGCCACATAATCAACAAAGCTGCTCATGTAGGTCAAAATCTGCCCTCAGGTCTCCACAGACAATTCCCACCAGACTAATTACAGAGTTAGACTGCTAGTTTAAACTTGTCTTGAAAATCTCAGGTTTAAATAACTTCTTTAACTTGGGGGCTACTTAAAAGAAATTCTTAGACAAGTATCTAGACCTAGTTAAAATATAGAAGTCCTACAAAAAGTATTAGTTAAAAACCAAATAAGGAAAGGAGATTTTGTTGCAAACAGTGGTGCAAAATTGATATCCTCTTTTTCTGGGACTGAAAAGGGCTACAGCAAACTATTGTGAAGACCCAAAGACATATTTAAACTAATAAAGTAGTCCCAAACTTCAACAAACATTCATGTTATTTGGACAAAATTTTATTGAACCTTTATCTAAACCTAAGTATTTTAATTATTTTTCAAGCTGGAGACTGATATAAATGGGTCTAAAGGACTTCATCATATAAAAATATTTAAATACTCTGGTGAAGAGGTGCCTGACAGACAGATCTAGTCTCAAAAACATTTACCATTCTAGTCAGAAGGATCTACTTTTAAAATTTCAAAGCCACATGAGAAACAAATTGCTGTTAATATTTAAACTCGAATGTGTGTGGATGTCACTGCAGTTGATTCAGGCTATGTATACAGATATACAGATGTGTTCTGAAAGCAGTAGCCATGATTTCCATAAGCCCTATAGAAAACTGGGAGGGGGAACAGGTGAGGAGGAATAAGGAGACCTCAGTCCAGATCTTCCTGGCTTCACTGTGAATTGATCTTGCTGCCTAGGGCCTTACTCAGATTTCTCTTGTAACTGGACTCTTGCTTCCTTGGCTGTATGCCTGCCTGACAGTTTAATCTCCAACCCCTCCACCCACCCTATTCCGGCCAGGCAAAGAACTAAATCTACGACGTTTGAATATGTGTGCCTGTTTTCTTAAAAGGAGCTCTCTTTGGGAACCCAAATAGAAAAGAGCTCAGGGTGGCTACTAAATGTGATAAACACAAGGTGTCCTGGCTCCCTGTGAGCCTCTCTCTGGCTCAGCAAAGCTCAAATCCTTTGACTGTAGGAATTATACACCAGACAATCCAGAAAACAATCCTTCCCAGTGCCCAGACTCTCTGGGTCTAGGTAGATGTTGATCTAGGTTCCAGTACAATTGTCAGTGCTACCTGTTTAAGGCTTCTCTCCAGCTGCAAGCTAAGCTATTACTTGCCCCACTCTATGCCTTGGTGAAGTGAAAGAAAAGCCTCCTGAGAAGGGTTCTATGCTGAACATTTTACCTGAGAAACTCTCTTTCTGAGAATTCACTTGGCAATTTAGATGGCAGGGGTGGGAGCTCCTGACAGAGTTTTTGACTTTACAAATCTTGCCCCATGGGCCAAATCTATTTAAGTTTAAGGTTTTCCCCTTCTTGGCACAGCAAGTGCCTACCTATTCTGGCCCCTAACACTAGGCCTACAAAAGAGGGCTTCCAGCTCTTCAGGATGTCCTGATAGCTGCTTAGCCATGCTTCTGTTAGGGCAAAGAATGTCCAAGAAACAAGAGTTGTCGTAGCCCCTTAGCTAAAATGAATATCCACGTCTTATTTATAAAGTTGATCACCATTCCGATAACACTGGCTGTAGCAAAGATCAATAGACCTAATTACCCTGTCCTATGTACTCCGAAGACTAACCTCTGGGGGAAGTATTATTGGTGGAAACACTATATGCAGCATTAAGTATCAATGACATTCTCAGGTTTTCTGAAAGGATAGGTAAAGTTAGGAAATAAAAAAACTTTGATTCTCTGGCAAGCATTAGAAAACCAGCTTGCCCTTGAATGTCAATATCATGTCAATAATTCTGATGCAGAATGAATGAAGTGTGGTGCACAACCACTCATTAAATGGAAGAACATCAGGTGACATTCCTGATGAGTTTGCATAATTAGTAAAGGTTTGGAGCTAGTGGTGCACGGAGCACCCATCAGCAGACAGCCCTCTGGTTAGTTAAAATTCTGGAGGACATGCCAATGTTTCTTCTTTCCACTCTGCTCACTAGAATATCCTGAGAAAGCAAATTGCAACTTAATGTAGACCCAGATTTGGGCAGTTGGTGGAAATGGTGGGTGAATGGCATTAAGATGCTGCTCTGCAAGGCCCCAGCTTCTCAAGCATGGATGGCCTGCATCATATAAAAGCAACCCCGGATTTCCAGGAGGGGATTTCAATCGTACAAACGTCAGAAATGTAAAGGAGCCTAATATGCCCTTGTGTTAAGAAATGTCGAAGAAACATCTGCAGAATGGCATCTTGCAGGCTATTAGGGAAAATAGTGAGGCTTGAAGCATGGAGAACAGACAGCTGTGCTTTCAGGGGACACTTTCGGATGTCGAGGTCACTGGAGAAATATGTCAGTTGGCATGGTGAGTTACCCCATGCTAAGAGAAACCAGATCAAATTTTTGGCTAGTTACTCAGGACACTCCAGGATACCTCCTCTATAATATGATTTTCAACCCACATCCCCCTTCAGCAAAGGGAGTATTTGTTTACTCAGTTTTCCCTTTTCTCTGAAGCACACATACTTTGCGGGGCTCCTTGTCAGAAATAGTTCCCCACCCTGGAATGAAATCTGCTGATGTGGTTTCCGAAAACTGAGGCTTGTCTGCTCACTAGGAGAGACAAACAGTTTCAATTAAGGACAGCATGTAACCCTTGTAAGCCTTGTTTGAGATGCTACATTCTGTCAAAATCAGAGATCAAAATCCTAGGATGTCAGTGTTGGAAGGGACTTAGAGAGTTCACTATTTTTGAATTTTTATTGTTATTATTATTATTATTATTGAGATGGAGTCTCACTCTATTGCCCAGGCTGGAGTGCAATGGCGTGATCTCGGCTCACTGCAACCTCCGCCTCCCAGGACCAAGTGATTCTCCTGCCTCAGCCTCCCAAGTAGCTGGGTTTACAGGCATACACCACCACGCCCAGCTAATTTTTGTATTTTTAGTAGAGACGGGGTTTCACCATGTTGGTCAGGCTGGTCTTGAACTCCTGACCTCAGGTGATCCACCTGCCTCGGCCTCCCAAAGCGCTGGGATTACAGGCATGAGCCACTGTGCGTGACCCACTCTTGTGGCATTATATATTGTAAATCCAATGATAGCTGATCAAATCAGTGCCTCTCCTGTTCCAAACTTGACATGATTGAATTGTCAATAGAAAAGATTTTACAGTAAGAGAAGGAAAGCTGACAGTGTAAATGTCTGAAAACCCAATGAAGCTCAATATAAAATAGAACAATGAGTTAGGATATCATTTTATAATTTCCAATGGGGAAAAAAAGTGTTTAGTGAATCACAGCTGAAATTGGGGGTGATCACAGGGAGGGGGAAGCAGGAATGAAAAGCCAGCTAACTTGCATTATAATTTTTGAGAAATCTGAAATGCAAATTTGCAGATGCAAATTTTAGGAATTATGCATCATAGTCACTGAGTTGTTTATTTACAGAAATGGTTCAAATACTCTCCATCTCTTTCCTCCTCCATACACATAGTTTTTAGTGATAATACCCAGTTGCTGGGGAGAAATAAGCCTATCTTTCCCCAGGAGTCCTGCTGACTTCTAGTAAGTGGCTTGGGAACAGATCTTGTAGAACTTATCCTTGCATTCTTAAAGTCAATCAGTAGAGCACTAGTTTCATTTAAAAGATCCCTAGAAGGAGTCAGGTTTGTTTTTGTTTTTGTTTTTGTTTGAAGCTGCAGAACTTTCTCAGATATATACATCTTGCTTCACATGTGGCCAACCACACTTCCCTTAGGAAAACTAAAAAAACTAAAAAAACTTAAAAAGTTGTACTCCTTAAAACTTGAACTCCTGCCAATTTTTCAAGAGACCTGATTTGTCTGTTTGCAAATATAAGAGCATGGTACTTATTTGTATGTTGAGAAGCATATGACATCCCATAGGGAGAGACCAGGCTGTGAACTGATAAGAGAATGCTGTTTCATTTAAAAGCAGACAGAGCCTTGTTTGCATGACGTTCTTGCCTCAGTAGTTGTTCTAAATGCATGGGACCTGATTAAGGGAGAATTAGCTTCTGAGAGATGCTTGGTTTCTGAGTTTTCATCTTGAAAACTATATTCTGAGGTTGTTGGAGCATATTTTTGGAGACATCTTTAAATATAAATGAAATTCAGCATTATTCTCCTCCCTGTGGAGGTGGCACATTACACCACTGACCATCCTCTCTCTCTCCTTCTGTGATGTGCTCTTCTCCCAGGAAGCTTCTCCAATATTGCACTTTTTATTGTATTTATTTATTTTTTGAGATGGGATCTCCTTCTGTCACCCAGGCTGCAGGGCATTGGTACAATCATAGCTCACTGCAGCCCTTACCTCTTAGGCTCAAGCAGTCCTCCCACCTCAGCCTTCCAAGTAGCTGGGACTACAGCTGAACGTGCCACCATGCCTGGCTAGTAAAAAAAACATTTTTATAAAGACCAGGTCTCACTTTGTCACCCAGGCTGGTCTCAAACTCCTGGTCTCAAGGGATCCTCCTGCCTTGGTCTCCCAAAGTGCTAGGGTGACAGGTGTGAGCAACTGCACCTGACCTAATATTGCTCTTTTTTTGAAGCTTATCAAAACTTGTTCTTGATGGCTTGTTCTTCGTCTCATTCAACCAACTTCATTAATCTCTTGTTCTGACAGTGGAGTTCTTATAAAGCTCAATCAATTGCTCTCAATTTATTATCATGGCTACCCTTTACTAAGTGCTTTTTACAAGCCAAAGATTGTGCTGTTCAAATTACATGTATTATTTCATTTAATGCTCACAGAATCTCTATAAAAATCAGAGAGAAGAAAAACAGGGCCAAGAATACTCTAGATTATTGGTTAACACCCAATTTTGCTGGACAGGGAAAAGAGTAGGAGCCAACAAAAAAAATGGAAAAGTAGTGATCAGAAAGGAAGGAGGGGAACAAGGAAGAGCAAGATCCTGGAAGTCAAAGAAGTTGATGTGACACCCACCATGAACTACACTCTCCAATCTATATATCTCCACCCTCAGCTTATTGCACATGCACTGTACTAAAGGTGCTGTAGGTGGGTTTGGGGCATCATTGACCCTCTGAAATGTGATGCAAAATTTCATGCATCTACATGCATACATTTTCTGGGGCATGAGTTCACAGGTTTAATTAGGGACCCATAAACAAAACAAAGGTGTATCTTCAGGCTCTTGCCTTCAGTTTTCCATTGCACAGTTTCCATTGTACCCCGAAAGTTGACATGTCTAAAACTTCATTTAACATCTATTTTTGTATCACCTCGCTGCAAACTGGTTACTGATCTCACCTCTGTCCACTTTTTGCTAGTATAATACCATTATTCTCCTCCAAGCCATCCTCTGTTTTCCCCCATATATCTAGTACATGACCATTGCCTCTAGGATTTATCCCTCCTCTCTTCTTCCCTTCTTACTTTTTTTACCACCTTCTCTTGGGACCTTTTCTTCTAGCGTGTAGACTTTTGAGGTTGTTCTTAGCCAGCATCCTTGCTTGCTAACCCTCTTTGTATTACAGTGATGCCAGACAAATCAGGTATCCTGAAAAATTGGCAGGAGTTCTTCAAGTTTTAAGGGGTACAGCTTTTTTAGTTTTTTAGTTTTCCTAAGGGAAGTGTGGTTGGCCACATGTGAAGCAAGATGTATATATCTGAGAAAGTTCTGCAGCTTCAAACAAAAACAAAAACAAAAACAAACCTGACTCCTTCTAGGGATCTTTTAAATGAAACTAGTGCTCTACTGATTGACTTTAAGAATGCAAGGATAAGTTCTACAAGATTTGTTCCCAAGCCACTTACTAGAAGTCAGCAGGACTCCTGGGGAAAGATAGGCTTATTTCTCCCCAGCAACTGGGTATTATCACTAAAAACTATGTGTATGGAGGAGGAAAGAGATGGAGAGTATTTGAACCATTTCTGTAAATAAACAACTCAGTGACTATGATGCATAATTCCTAAAATTTGCATCTGCAAATTTGCATTTCAGATTTCTCAAAAATTATAATGCAAGTTAGCTGGCTTTTCATTCCTGCTTCCCCCTCCCTGTGATCACCCCCAATTTCAGCTGTGATTCACTAAACACTTTTTTTCCCCATTGGAAATTATAAAATGATATCCTAGCTCATTGTTTTATTTTATATTGAGCTTCATTGGGTTTTCAGACATTTACACTGTCAGCTTTCCTTCTCTTACTGTAAAATCTTTTCTATTGACAATTCAATCATGTCAAGTTTGGAACAGGAGAGGCACTGATTTGATCAGCTATCATTGGATTTACAATATATAAATGACGGCACCATATCTGGCCTTCGTGTAAAGCAGCTGCCTTTTATCGATTTATATTCCACTAGCAAGGAAGAAAAATTGCAGCACAATGTAGTGGTATGGTCCAAGATCAATACCAATTTTTTTCTTAATGACACAAAGGCCAAGATAAGGACAGCATAAGTCAAAGCTAGACAGATCAAATTTGCCCGATATCCCTTTCAATTACTGAAGAACATGCACAGGGATGTATAACATTAAAGCAAAGGAGAATATTATTCCAAGTGGTTTAAAATTACGACATCCAAAAAGACTGCATGGCCCTCTCCCTGAGATAAGGAATTGAAATGAGCTGAGAATGGAGAGCCACCCACCCTTGCACATTGGTCTAAAAGCAGCTAGGTGTTTCCAGAGTTAGTCTAACTATTAGAAGTCAGAGCACTGATCAGCTGTGTAATCCAAATGATAAGGATTTAAAGCAGGACTCCAGCACCAAACACCCTGAATTCCTTAGGTGTTGTTATTGAACAACAGGTAATGAAAAGTGCAATAGATTGGTTGTCCCCCAGAATAGAATATGTGTTATAATAAGCTAAAAAGCAAATTACCCAGTTTAACAAGCCCAATAGAGTGGTAGGCCATATAAACTCTGAGCAAGTTGTAAAGTTATAGCTGTCTGCACTATGGCAATGAACGGCTACCCAGTCCCTGTGGGAATCTGAGAAGATTCCCTATTTCAGTAAAAATAAAAGTGGGTGCAGGTCAAAGCAGTTATTTCTGAAACTGCTGTGCCATGACCCCAAACCATGTTATGTTTCCATGTTATGTTTATCATAACATGGAAAGTTAGGATGAAATCAGTTCAGGAGAATCCTAGACTGGAGACCCTTTTGGTGATTTTTCTCTACTGATGGATTTTTTTTAATTTTATTATTATTATACTTTAAGTTTTAGGGTACATGTGCGCAATGTGCAGGTTAGTTACATATGTATACATGTGCCATGCTGGTGTGCTGCACCCATTAACTCATCATTTAGCATTAGGTATATATCCTAATGCTATCCCTCCCCCCTCCCCCCACCCCACAACAGTCCCCAGAGTGTGATGTTCCCCTTCCTGTGTCCATGTGTTCTCATTGTTCAATTCCCACCTGTGAGTGAGAACAAGCGGATTTTTTTTTAACCTGCTACCAACACTTACGGCGTCAGGGGCTTCTCATTAAACTAGACTCCCATTCTACTTGCATACTTCCTGACAGTCCCTTCCCTTCTACTGGTGTCCTGTCCAACATAATATAAACATGGTTAGACACTTTAAATGACAGCAATCTTTGACATAGAGTACAATATCAGCAAAAATTATGCAAAGTATAGACAAACTAAGGTGCTCAAGAATAGCTTGAATCTTGGCAGGGCTTTGTGAGATATGCTGTGAAGGAAACTTGAATATCTGATCAGTGGTATAATAGATGACATTTGAGTTCCTTCCAGTACTAAGCATCTATATTTCTAAGTAATAACAGATCAAATGCCTTATAAATGGGAAAACAAAACAAAACACAGTAGAATAAACATGGGTCTTTGAAATCAAGCAGACTTGGATTCCAGACTGAACTCTGCCACTTACCAGCAATATAACCTTGGGCAAGTTACTTAGCCTCTCTGTAAATCAATAGCAGGCTAAGTGACAAGTGTGCTATAAACAATATCACATTTGATCTTCACAACAATCCTGTGAGTTTGTTATCTCCATTTTAAAGATAATGAAACTGAGGTTCAGTGAGTTTAAGTAAACTTGCTCAAGGTTATACATGGTTAATGGTAGAATCTAGATTCAAACCATAATCTATATGGTTCCAAAATCTATTCTTACCATTACTTCAATCACACTACAGTCCTTTCAGTCTAACCTAAACCTGAACTATTATCTTCATTGTCTCTCCGGTCACTAAGAAATAAAGTTTGGGCCACATAGCTAACCATAACAGAACTGTATAATCCCACTGACAATGAGGAAGCCAATAATAACTTAGATGCCTGGTCAGGAAATGCTTAGAAACCAAACATGGAAACCTCATTTTTTTCACACCACATTTGTTAACACTGTCACCATGATAATATATGTAACTGAAGAGAAATAAATGTTCCAACCCTAAGGACAAGAATGAAAGTTGTAACAAGAATGCAAAGGGCAGCATGAGATACATATCTTATACAGTCAATTTTGATTTGATTTTTCTACTAGTGCTGCTAATGCATTTTTTCTTGCAAATTAGTGCAATATTAGTGATCATAACATTAGATGATGCAGTTTAGCTGTGGGCAACAGAAGCAGGCAGTTCAGCCTGGTGTGGAGCAATCAGAAATGGGATGCTTTGTTTTCAAGAAAATGTCATGCTGGGACTTTGAGTGGCAGTAAAATTTGAGTTACCAGATGATTTTGGAACTAGGAGGTTTGGTAAGACCATCCTAGTAGTTAGAGTTAGCACAATTAGAAGCTCAGGAAGCCGAAGAGGTAAGACTGAGATAAAGAAATATACAAACACCACAAATCAGAGCAGCCAGTTGGGCCATAAGTTTGGGTAGAGAAAATGGGAGGAAGTCCATACAAAAATTATGAATCAGGGCACCTAGCTTGAACCTGATACTCTCACGTACTTTCTTTCACAGAAAGAATACACTAACTATCCTAAGCTAGCAGCAAAAGAGTAATCATGTCTGGCTAGCAAGGGCTCTCAAAGGTGCTGGGCAGCCTGAAAAGTGATAAGCAAAAAAGACAGAGGAGCAAATAGCTGGTAGATGGGAGATAGTACAAGAGTGTGATTTGGCCATCTAGCACTAGGATCTCAAACTGACTGTGTTCAAAGGTATGACTGAGGAAACATATGCCAGAAACTTAGTCCAATGGCCAGCACATAGCAAGAGCTCCATGCATTTCTTAAAGTTCCACAAAAGGGGTTGTGCCGAAAAGCCAAAGGATGAAAGTCTTCAAGTGTATACAAAGTGATCTTTCTAGCCACACACCTGTATAGCAACATTTTCAACAGAATCATTTTTTTCAACACCTGGTGAATGAACAATGAAGGTAAGTTAATGATCAAAGGTAACCTCAAAATAGCTTGTTTTGGAAGCATAAATGTACACTAATTATTACAAAAGTCACCAGCCAATGACATATGCACTCCATTGACTAATTAGCTTTTTGATGCCATCAGAAGGAAAAAGAACTTTGGTAAATACTATAGCCAATTATTAATACTTTCAATTTCTGTATAATCCTGGCACATTCTTAAGTGGTCCATAAAAGTAAGGAGCAACAGTGTCACAATCTTTACACAGTCAATTTTATCTATAATTTGGGAATACTGGCACATGAATAGTTCTGTTCAAACTCTTCAAACTGTTGAAATATTTATTTCCTTTTGTCTCAGATTATGTACTTGATAGAGGTAAGCTGGGGCTATAGAGATACATATATATTCGGAACACTTGAAATGGAGGCCTGGTTCTACCACTTACTAGGTGAGTAACGTCTGACTGGGCCTCAGCTCCCTCATCCACATAACAAAAGGTAATAATACCTAGTGTAGGCATTATTCATCTTTATATCCATCATGGGCCTGAAAATTATGGTAGACAAATAGCGAGCAGAAGCCAAAGAAACATTTGTTGCTTGGTGATAAAACTTTCAGGAAAATATAGAATTTTTGACCCTGGAATTTTGCATTGCTAGGAAAACATATTACAAATAAAGTATTAATAATCCTATAATTGTCACTCACAGTCAAAATCATTGTGTTGAAATAGATTGCTTTGGTTTGATTGAAGAGTCATCGTTGAATTGGCATCACTTGACCCAGAAAACAGATAACGGTATACTGCAGAGTCTATGCATTTTTACCTTTCTAAAGGGCATGCATAAATACAGTAGTCCCCCTCACCCTTATGTGCAGTTTTGCTATCTGTGGTCTGTTTCCTGCAGTCAACCACAATCTGAAAATATTAAACAAAAAATTCCAGAAATAAACAATTCATAAGTTTTAAATTGCAATACTGTTCTGAGTAGCGTGATGAAATCTCACACTGTCTTGCTGCATCCCACCTGGGATACGAATCATTCCTTTGCCCAGCATATCCACACTGTATATACTACTCACCCGTTAATCACTTAGTCTCTCAGTTATCAGATCCACTGTCACAGTATCACAGTGCCTTGTATTCATGTAACCTTTATTTTACTTACCAATGGCTCTAAAGTGCAAGAATAGTGGTGCTGGCAATTCACATATGCCAAAGAGGAGTCAGAAAGTGCTTCCTTTAAGTGAAAAGGTGAAAGTTCTTAATAAGGAAAGAGAAAAAAATCATATGCTGAGGTTGCTAAGATCTATGGTAAGGACAAATCTATCTGTGAAACTGAACAGTATATCATTGTATTCTATTTTATTATTAGGCTATTGTTGATAATCTCTCACTGTGCCCTGCGTATAAATTAAAACTGATCATAGATGTGCATGTATAGGAAAAATATAGCATATACAGGGTTCAGTACTATTTGACTGAACTAAGACTTGAGATTTCAGGCATCCACTAGGGGTCTTGAATGCATGTCCATGGATAAGGAGGGACTACTATATCATATGCCAAACATTTATATGTGTTTAAAAGATGAAATTAAACTAATTACCACAGACTAGAAACAAGACCCAGAGCCTCATAACATAATGTACAAAATGTCCAGAACACATATAAAATTACTTGGCATAAAAGGAACTAAACAGCCTGGCATGGTGGCTCATGCTTGTAATCCCAGCACTTTGGGAGGCTGAGGCAGGCGGATCACCTGAGGCCAGGAGTTCAAGACCAGCCTGGCCGATATGGCGAAACCCGGTCTCTACTAAAAATACAAAAATTAGCCAGGTGTGGTGGCGGGTGCCTGTAATCCCAGCTACTCAGGAGGCTGAGGCAGGAGATTCGCTTGAACTCAGGAGGCAGAGGTTGCAGTAAGCCAAGATCACGCCATTGCCCTCCAGCCTGGGTGACAGAGCAAGACTCCGTCTCAAAAAAAAAAAAAAAAAAAAAAAAAAAAAAAAAAAAAACTGGCTGGAAAAATGTCATATTACTTACAGGAGAATAACAATTTGAATGACTGTGGATTCTTCATAAGAAACCACAGAAGCAAGAAAGAAGTGGCACATTATTAAAGTGATGACAAAAAAAACTACTAACCCAGAATTCTGTATCCAGTGAAATATCTTTCAGAAATGAAGATGAAATTAAAAAGAAAAACATTTCCATATAATTGAAAACTAAGAGAATTCATAGCCACTGAAATGCTCTAAAGGAAGTTCTTCATATAGTAGGAAAATGATATCAGAAGGAAAATCTGAAAATAAGAACTAAAGAAAGAGCAACAGAAAAGACAAATATCCAAATAAATAAAATAGTCTATAACGGCCTTGAGGTCTTTAAAATGTTTTACCATTAAATACAAACATAATAATTTCTGATGGGATTTTGCAATATATTCATATAAAACAACTATTATACAATATAAAAGGGGGATGGAAAGGGGACTTACATAATAGAAGATTTCTGCATTCAGGTTAAATACAAATTGTAAGAAGACTGTCCAGGCACAGTGGCTGACACCTGTAACCTCAGTGCTTTGGGAGGATGAGGCGGGCAGATCACTTGAGGTCAGGAGCTCAAGAGCAGCCTAGCCAACATGGTGACACCCCATATGTACTAAAAAACTACAAAAAAAATTAGCCAGGCATGGTGGCACATGCCTGTAATCACAGCTACTCGGGAGGCTGACAGGAGAACCTGGGAGGCAGAGGTTGTAGTGAGCCAAGATCGTGCCACTGCACTCTAGCCTGGGTGACAGAGCGAGACTCCATCTCAAAAAAAAAAAAAAAATTGTAAGAAGACTGTGAAAAGTAAAGTGTGTATATGGCAATCCCCTAGAGCACTAAAAACTAAAAACACTAAAAAAAAAATACAAAGAGATATAGCCAAAAAAATAAAAAGGAATAATAAAAAATGTTCAAATAACCCAAAGGAAAACAGGAAAAGAGAAAAAGAGGAATGAGAAACAGAAAGGAAAAAACAGAAAACAGATCATAAAATGATAGATATAGATCCAAACATATCAATAATGACATTAAATGTAAATGGTCTAACAATCCAATTAAAAGATAGATATTACAAACTACAGGGTGTCTATAAGAGATCTATCTCCCATGTACTGATATAGGTACGTTTAAAATACAAAGATATAGAAGGACATCAGTGGAAATGACAGAGTAAAGAATTGACATCATAGAAGCAGAGAGTAGAGTAGTTGTTACCAGACACTGGGGAGGAGAAAAGGGAGGAGACGAAGGGGGAGAGGTTAATCAACAGGTATAAAGTTATAATTACATAGGAGGAATAAATTCTGATGTTCTATTGCATAGTAGGATGATGATGGTTAACAGTAAGATATGGTATATTACAAAACAGCTAAAAGAGAAGCTTTTGAATGTTCTTACCACAAAGAAATGGTAAATACATGAGGTGATGGCTATGCTAAATACCCTGATTTGATCATTACATAACATATATCTCTAGCGAAATATTAAATTGTACCCCATAAATATGTACAATTACAATGCATCAATTTAAAAAGTGCTCTATATACCTGTGTCCACAAAAATTTAAAATTAAAAAAAAAGTTAATACCAAAAAAATTGCTCTCCATAAAAGCAATGAAATACTGGCAAAAAAATTGCGAGAATTACTTTTTCTTTTTTTTGAGACGGAGTCTCGCTCTGTCGCCCGGGCTGGAGTGCAGTGGCGCGATCTCAGCTCACTGCAACCTGCAACCTCTGCCTCCCAGGTTAAAGCAATTCTCCTGCGTCAGCCTCCCAAGTAGCTGGGACTTCAGGCGTGTGCCACCATGCCAAGCTACTTTTTTATATTTTTAGTAGAGACGGGGTTTCACCGTGTTAGCCAGGCTGCTCTCGATCTCCTGACCTCATGATCTGCCCACCTCAGCCTCCCAAAGTGTTAGGATTACAGGCATGAGCCACTGTGCCTGGCGAAAATTACATTTCTATGAATTCTGGAAATTAATGGAAGGCTTGGAGCAACTCAGGGAGCAGTTATTCAAGTAAAATCGCTGAATCTTTGTAAGAATAGTGAATTTTGTGAAATTTTAACTTGCTCTAGGTCCATCTCCTGCTCTCCAGTTCTGCAGTAGCCTTGAAAAATAACAGTCTGCATTCCTGGTGCAGCCTGACAGCCACCTTAAGGAGCAGAATGGAAGTGGAGCTCTCACAAAGTGTCATTCTCAAATAATTGTCATTATGTGACCCATTGGGAGGTTATCTGGAAGATGCAATTTACAAGGCTGTTTGCATTTGACCTGATTTGGAAAGTACCCACTACAAAAAGCATTTTCTTGGGGAGGAGGGAGGGTTGGGAATTAGTCAAAGAGTATTACTGACAAGGCTCTGTGACTGCCTGAGGTGGTGGATACAGCTGGGACAAAGAATAAACAAAAGCTTAACAGGAAAAACTGGAAAAGAAGATATCCACAGGGGCTTTGGAAATCTTAGACATATTCATGGAAATACAGAAGGTCATGTACACATGTAGGGCTGTGCTCATCCTCGGGAAAGACCTGAGAAGGCACAAAGGTCTTACTTATGGTTGACCTTGAGACCCTGCACAAGTAAGAAATGATGGCTAAGGCAGAGTTGTCAACTGCCTAACTGTTGAAAAGATGCCCCAATATACACACAGAGCCCCTCAGCAAACATTGGAAAATTTGTTCATTCCAAGCATTTAAGGAAAATCTCTGTCCAATCATTCACTGACCACTAAGCTAACCAGACTTCAGTGGCCACACACAGACATTACAGAGTTCACTCAGAAAACTCACTAAATAAATACAATTAAAACAAATAGTAACAGCAGCAACAAACACTGGGGAAGGGAAAGAATCTGATTTCCAGAGTTACCACATTATATTATTTAAAACGCCCAATTTTTAACCAAAAAACCCACAAAAGACACGCAAAGAAACAAGAAATTATAGCCCATACACAGAAGGGAAAAGTAATCAATAGAAACTGTTCCTGAGTATGCACAGACATTAGACATACTGGACAAAGACTCTGAATCAGCTATTTTAAATATATTCAAAGAGCTAAAGAAAAGCACATCTAAAGAACTAAAGGTAAGTATCAGAATAATGTTTCACCATGTCAAAAATATAAAGCAATATAATTTTTTTAAAGAAAAACTAAATAGAAATTCTGGAGCTTAAAAGTGAAATAACTAGAATTTTAAAATTCTCTAGAGGGGCTCAAGAGCATATTTGAGCAGGCAGAATAAAGAATCAGCGAATTTGAAGATACATCAATTGAGATCATTTGGTTGGGGAAAGGAAAGAAAAAAGCATGAAGAAAAACAGCTTCAGAGACCTGTAGAATATCATCAAGCATACCAACAAAAACATAATTGTTGTCCCAGAAGAAGAGAGAGAAAAGCATGCAGAAAGAATATCTGAAGAAATAATGGCCAAAAACTTCCCAAATTTGATTTTTTGAAAAAATCAATCTACACATCCAAGAAACTCAACAGATTCTTGGGAAAAACTCAAAGATATCCACACCTAGACACATCATAATGAAACCTTTGAAAAACAAAGACAAACAGAAAACCTTGAAAGCAGCAAGAAAGAACTGATCCATGCACCAGGAATCCTCAATAAAATTAACAGCTGATTTCTTATCAGAAACCATGAAGGCCAGAAGATGGTGGATTAATATGTTCAAATTGCTGAGAATACCTGTCAAACAAAGAGTCTATATCTATCAAAACTATGCCTCTAATGAAGGGGAAATGTAGAGTAACTGCTTTATGGATACAAGATTCCATTTTGGGGTGATGAAAATGTTTTGGGAGTAGATAGAGGTGGTGGTTGAACAACATTGTGAATGAACTAAATGTCACTGAATTGTTCACTTTAAAATGGGTTCTATTGTATATGAATTTCACCTAGGTAAAAAGATGAAGGGGAAATCAAGACATTCCCAGATAAACAAAAACTGAGAGAATTTGTTACTAGCTGACTTGTGCTACAAGAAAAATTAAAGGAAGTCCTTCAGGCTGAAATATAAGGATATTAGATAGTGACTCTAATTCACATGAAGAAATAAAGAACACAGGTAACAGTCATTATATAGGTAAATATAAAAGACAATATAAATGTAGTTTTTGCGTGTAACCCCTTTTTTCTTTCTCCTGATTTAAAAACAATTACATACAGCAAAACTTATAAATCTGTGTTTATGGACACACGATATATACAGATGTAATTTGTGACAACAACAGCATAAAGGAGAGGGAGTAACCGTGCTATATAGAACCAAAGATTTTAGGCCGGGCATGGTGGCTCACACCTGTATTCCCAGCACTTTGGGAGGCCAAGGCAGGTGGATTACTTGAGGTCAGGAGCTCGAGAACAGCCTGGCCAACCTGGTGAAACCTTGTCTCTACCAAAAATACAAAAATTAGCTGGGCGTGGTGACACACACCTGTTGTCCCAGCTACTCAGGAGGCTGAGGCAGGAGAATTGCTTGAACCTGGGAGTCAGTGGTTGCAGTGAGCCGAGATCACGCCACTGCACTCCAGCCTAGGCAACAGAGTGAGACTCCATCTCAAAGAAAAAAAAATTAGCTGGGCATGGTGGTGCATACCTGTAACCCCAGCTACTCGGGAGGTTGAAGAGGGAGGATCCCTTGAACCCGGGAGGCGGAGGTTGCAGTGACCGAGATCATGCCATTGCACTCCAGCCTGGGCAACAAGAGCAAAACTCCATCCCAAAAAAAAAAAAAAAAAAAAAAAAGAACAACCAAAGTTTTTATATTTATTTAAATTTACTTGGTATTAACCTGAACTAAATTGTCATAAGCTGAGAACTTAATTGTAGTGCTGACAGCAAGCATTAAAAAATAACACAAAAATATATAGTTAAAAATGATGACAAGAAAATTAAAATGGCACAGTAGAAACTATTTTTAATTTTTATTTATTTATTTTTAATTTTTTTTCAAGCTGGAGTCTTGCTCTGTTGCTCAGTCTGGAGTACAGTGGCACAATCTAGGCTCACTGCAACCTCCACCTCCTGGCTTCAAGCCATTCTCCTGCCTCAGCCTCCAGAGTAGCTGGGACTACAGGTGAGCGCCACCACACCCAGCTAATTTTTGTATTTTTAGTAGAGATGGGGTTTCACCCATGTTGACCAGGCTGATCTTGAACTCCTGATCTCAGGTGATCCACCTGCCTCAGCCTCCCAAAGTGCTGGGATTATAGGTGTGAGCCACTGTGCCTGGCCTGAAACGATCTTTTTAAAATGGACAATGCAGGAATAGTGGAACAAGAAAAAACATAAAACATATAGAAAACAAATTAAAAATGGCAGATGGAAACCCTACTTTATCAGTAATTACATTAAATGGGAATTTATTAAAGTCTCCAATTAATCTCACTTACATGTGGAATCTGAAAAGGTTGAACTCACAGATGCAAAATCAAATGACAGTTATGAGAGCCTGGGGTGGGGGAGTGGGGAAAAGGGAGATGTCTGTCAAAGTGTATAAAGATTCAGTTAGATAGGAGAAAGAACTTTTTGAGATCTATCGCACAGCATGGTGTCTACAGTTAATAATTAAGTATTGTATTTTTCAAAATTGCTTTAAGAATAGATTTTAAATGTTCTTACCAGAAAAAAAAAAGTACATAAGTAGATGAGGTGATAGATATGTTAACTGGCTTCATTTAGTCATTCCACAATGTATACATATATTGAAACATTATGTTGTATTCCATAAATATATACAACATTTGTCAATTAAAAATATAAATAAAGTAACTGAATTAAATTGGATAGGGAAACAACAACAATAAAAACCCATGTCCAACTAAAATGCCAAAATGATCCAGCTATCTGCTGTCAACAAGAGACACATTTTAGATTCAAAGACACAAATAGATTGAAAATAAAAGGTTGGAAGAAAACATACAGATATACCATGAAAACAGTAACCAAAAGGAGAGCTAAAGTGGCTATACTAATATCAGACCAAAACGTTATTAGAGACAAAAAAATTTTATAACGGTAAAGGGTTATTCCATCAAAAAGATATAACAATTATAAGCATATATGAATTTGATAACAGAGCCCCAAAATACATGAAGAAAAGTTGGCAGAATTGAAGAAAGAAATAGACAATTCAACAGTAATAGTTGGAGACTTCAACACTTCACTTTCAATAATGCATAGTATAACTAGACAAAGGTCAGCAAGGAAACAGAAGACTTGCACAACACTATAAACCAAATAGTCCTAGCAAACATCTATAGAACATTTCTTCCAACAAGAGCAGAACACACATTCTCAAGTGAACATCAAGCATTCTCCATGGCAGACCAAAAGTCAGGACACAAAACAATTTTAAATAAATTTTAAAGAATTAAAATGACACATGAGATGTTTTCTAACCATGGTAGAATGAAATTAGAAATCAATAACAGAAGGGAATTTAATAAATTCACAAACATGGAAATTAAAAGCAAAAAGAAAAAAATAATATACTATGCAAATACTAATCAAAAGAAAGCTGGGCTAGCTATATTAAAATCAGACAAAGTAGACTACAGAGCAAAAAGAATTATCAGGGATAGAGAAGGACATTACATAATGATAAAAGAGTCAATCCACAAAGAAAGTAAAACAATCCTAAATGTGTATGCACCTAATGACAGAGCTTCAAAATTCATACAGACTTTACATAGTAAAGATGTAATCTTCCCAAATTTATCTACATTAACACAACTGATCTAATTAACACAATTCCTATCAAAATCCCTGCAAGATAATTTGCATATACAGACAAACTGATCCTAAAATTCCTGTGGAAATCCAAAATACCCAGAATAACCAAAACAATTTTGAAAAAGAAGAATAAAATTGGGGGAATCCTATTGCACAATTTTAAGTCCTATTGGAAAGCTCCAGTACTGTAAAGATTAGACAGCATGGTGTTGCTAAAGGGATAGATATATACATTCCCGGAATACAACCGAGAGTCCAGAAATATACCCACACAAATAGGGGAAAATGAGTTTAATAAAGGCTTGAAGGCAATTCAGTGGAGCAAAGATTCAACAACAGTGTTGAAAAATTACTTGTGAAAAAATAATAAATCTCTCCCTAAAATCAAACCTTTTCCAGAAATTAATTCAAACATAAAATGTAAAACTACAATTTTGGGGGCTGGGCATGGTGGCTCACGCCTGTAATCCCAGCACTTTGGGAGGCTGAGGCGGGCAGACCACCTGAGGTCAGGAGTTCGAGACCAGCCTGGCCAACATGCAAAACTCCATCTCTACCAAAAGTACAAAAATTAGTCGGGCATGGTGGCACATGCCTGTAATCCCAGCTACTCAGGAGGCTGAGGCAGGAGAATCGCTTGAACCTGGGAGACGGAGGTTACAGTTAGCTAAGACCATGCCACTGCACTCCAGCCTGGGCAACAAAAGCGAGACTCCATCTCAAAAAAAAAAAAAAAAAAAAAAAAAAAACATACAATTTTTGAAAGAAAACATAGGAGATGTTTTTTGACCTGGGGTTAGGCAAAGAGTGATTTTACATGACACCAAGAACACAATCCATAACAACACTTATAATTTGGAAGACTTCATCACAATTAAAAACTTTTGCTCTGAGAAAGACATTTATAGGACAATGAAAAGATAAGCTACAGACTGGAAGAAAATATTTGCAAATCATACATTCCACAAAGGACTTATACCCATAATATATAAAGAACTATCATGTGATGGATCTCCAAAGGCATACTGAGTGAAAAAAAAAGCCAATCTCAAAAGATTACTGTATAATTCCATTTATACAATGTTCTCAAAGTTAAAAAAGATTATAGTGATACAGAATAGACCAGTGGTTACTAGGGATTAGGTTTGAGGGAAGAGTGTGACTGTTAAGGGGTAACATGAGGGAGTTTATTTGTGGTGATGAAACAGTTCTATATCCTGATTATCATGATGTGTACTTGAATCTACACATTTAGTAAGATTTAACAAAATACATTTTTAAAGTGTATGTAAAATCTAGGTCTGTACCTGACTTAGTAGTATTGTGCCAATGTCAATTTCCTGGTTTTAACAATATATATGGTTTTGTGAGATATTATCACTGGGGGAAGCTAGGCAAAGGACACTTGAGAATTCTCGGCACTATTTTTGCATTTCTTGTGAGTCACAGACTATTTCAAAATAAAAACTTATATTTAAAAACTCAACTGTAGGCTGGGTGTGGTGGCTCACACCTGTAATCCCAGCACTTTGGGAGGCCAAGGCAGGCGGATCACCTGAGGTTTGCAGTTCAAGAACAGCCTGACCAACATGGAGAAACCCCGTCTCTACTAAAAATACAAAATTAACTGGGTATGTTGATGCATGTCTCTAATCCCAGCTACTCGGGAGGCTGAGGCAGGAGAATTGCTTAAACCCAGGAGGCGGAGGTTGCGATGAGCTGAGATCGTGCCATTGCACTCTGTCTCAAAACAAAACAAAACAAAACAAAACAAAAAAACCTCAACTGTAAAAAAATAAACAATCCAATTTAAAAATGGGCAAAAGATTTGAACAGACACTTTGCCAAAGAGGGTATGTAGATGGCCAACACCCTTGAGAAGATGTTCAACATCACTAGCCATTAGGGGAGTACAAATTAAAACATCTATTAACTCATTTAATTTTCAGAATAATCTTATGAAGTAAATACCACCATTTCCCCCCCTTTTACACACAAGTGATATACACTGAGGTTAAGCGATTTATCTAAAATGACAGAGCTGGCTGGGCAGGGAGGCTCACACCTGTAATCCCAGCATTTTGGGAGGCCAAGGTGGGTGGATCACCTGAGGTCAGTTCAAGACCAGCCTGGCCAACATGGCAAAACCCCATATCTACTAAAAATACAAAAATTAGCCAGGCGTAGTGGTACGTGCCTATAGTCCCAGCTACTCAGGAGGCTGAGGCAGGAGAATTGCTTGAACCTGGGAGGCAGACATTGCAGTGAGTGGAGATCGCACCACTGCACTCCAGCCTGGGTGATGGAGTGAGCCTCCGTCTCAAAAATAAAAAATAAATAAATAAAATAAAATGACAGAGCTTACTACCGGTGAGGCTGGGGTTAAAGTCAGCTTCAGTCTAACACCAATCTCTGCTGTTAACCATGAAACTACACTGTGCTCTATTCTATGGCTACTAGATCTTTAGGAGACACTCTACCCATGAATGAACCTACCTGAGGTACTTATTAACTGATATTTTATGGAGAAATCCCTTACAATTCAGGAAGATAAATTCACACACCCAGTTAGTCAGAAAGAGACAAAAAGAGAAAGGGAAAGATCTACCTGTCATAATTTATAACACACTTTCCTGTACTCTACTGATTAACACAGGTGGCTGGTCTCTCTCCACTCATTTCTTTGTTCCCCTTGCATAAATCCGTATGATACTTGCCATAAAAATATAGGCAAAAGTGAGCTTTTATCATTCATAAAATTGCCAAAGGAAGTTTGAGTTTCTTACAGTAGCTAAAGAAGGAGGAATTTTTGAACTTGTTTGCTGGTATTAAAATTAATTTCTAAAGGCATACAGGACAATGGTTCTAAAAAGATTATTAATTTATGCGGCCTTGATTTGTGTTTGTTCCTACCACATTGCCTTTGCCTGCATTCAGAATAGTTAATGAAAACTCACACACTCCAAAGTGCTGAGCAAAGACAAAAGGAAAATAATACAAAATCTCTCCTTGGGGAAAAGAAAGAATAGATGTTACAGAAGACCATGTTTAATTATTGTTTCAAAAATAAAATTGGCCAGAAAAATTAATTGGGTGGTGCCGTTTAAATTGTACCATCTCTGCAAGGTCTAATTTTACTTTTAGAAGAAACAGAGCCAGATATGTTTTTTCAGGAGGGAAATGGATACTGCAGGTTTTTATAGTTAGGATGTCTTACGATCATCTCTTTTTATGTGTTCAAAATAAGTCCTAAAATGAAGGTGTGCTTTCATGAAATAGATAGGGAATGAGCTTGATTAGAGGCTAAAGAATGTATAAGGGCATGAACATATATATAAGGTTCATGGTTAAACAACTCTGGACATGTTCACTGACTATCTCCAAACCCATGTTAACATATGATATAAGGTCCATAATTTGATAATTGAACAGCAGAAGTGCATCAGTGACAAGGAAGGAGGAGGGAGGGTCTGATTAAAATCGAGAGAAGAGTATATGATACATTGCCTATTCATTCAACAAACAGACGCTGAGCACTTGTTAAGCGCCAGGCACTGCACTAAGTGGAAAAGATACAGACAGGGCCACAACCCAGCCACCAACTGCTACTAGGAGTCTGCAGTCTAGTATGGGAGGGAGATCCCAGAGCATCTGGGGGAAATTCAAGTGGCCCCATGTGACTGGAGTTTGTAACGCATATAACAAAGGATGAGGGAATATTAAAACAGAAGCTAGAGGAATATGCACTGACCGCCTATTAAAAGGCTTTGTATGCCATGCCAAGGAGTTTTATATTTTTTGTTTAAACACAAATAATCCATGTTTACTATAGAAAAATTTTAAAGTACAGAGAAGCAAAATGCAAAGAAATGCAATCACCTTTAATTTTACCACCTAAAGCTGTACACTCTCTGTGTGTGTCTATGTCTGTCTGTGTGTCTGTCTCTGGGTGTGTGTGTCTTTGTGTCTCTATGTCTCACTCTCTCAATAAATGATAGGTGGATAGAAAAAAATAGATATCAAAAGAAATTCATGTATACTCACACACAGTTTTTTCCACTTAAATATATATCATGGATATTTATTCATGTCATTAAATCTTCTCAACATCTTTTCAACAGCTGCATAGTATTCCATCATATTGCTGTTTCATAATTTAACCAGTCTTTTCTTGATTGTTGTTTTCTATTTTTTGCAATATGGTAGGAGTAATTTTTGAAATGTAATTGTATTTGCATTCAAATTGTATTTGTGGCAGCTGTTGTCCAAAACATGGCAGATGCAGACTGCACAAGGGTGGAAATGGTAAAAAAGAGAAGGAAGAAGAGGAGATCACTGAGAAATGAATAAGAGAGTAGTCAGATAGTACATGGAGAAAAAAGCAGATTCACGTAAGGTGCTCCCTAGTAGAGAGAGAGTACTAAGAGGGAGGAAAGTGTCTGTCCAGGCTGTGGACCCTGGTAAGTTATTCATTTAACAAAATTTTATCGAACACCTACTCAAAGTGTATGGATAAACCTAGACCCTGGGTCCTAGAGTTACCTGACCAAGATTTCCAACATGATTCCTATGCAAGCTATAGTCAGGCAATGGTCCCCTTGAGGCATCTGACCCTTGAGAAAGAAAGAATAAAGTGGGCATGATAGCTAGATGATCAACCACATTCTCCAAGTTCTATTTCCATATTTTAAATAATCAGAAAGCCACATATCAGGACTGTATTATTTCAGCCTCCAAAGAAATGTCTAAACTGAATTATGATTTAATATTACACACTCAACCCTTATGTAGAAGGTCAATACAGGAATTTTCCATTTTAACAGGGTTATTGTTCCTTTGCAAAACTATAGTTGAAGGTGTCTACTACTACCTATTATCTTTCACATGAGAGACCATATAATAAATATCAGGATAAAATTTGTCTGGGGGAAAAGAATACATATTTTTCTGCTGCAACAATAAAAACATGCAAGCCAATATATTTTCCTGTTTACTTTTGCTGCTAGGAAACAGACTTGGATTGACTTATCTAGATACTTCATGGCATCCACGCTTTTTGGTTCCTTAGTTGGTATCCTTGATTTTTAAAATGTAAAGGCCCTATATTTTACAGTGTTTAATTTTGTACAGTACCTCTGATCCTTTTGAATGTGTAAGGAATGAAAGAATCTTAAATAAATTTGGTCACTTAAATAAAGAGCTTAAATAAATAAAAGCTGTTTTGTAACAATTGGCCCACATGCTACTAAAAATTGGCTTGATGGTTGTCAGTATCTGCGTTGGGAGCTGTGAGATTTGATATTCATAGCTGATAGTTTTGATTTTGGTATAATTAAATAGTCTCCATATGAGTAGTGCCTTGAAATGTGCCATTCTAATTTGTTTTCACAGCAGACAAATGTACACAGACAGTGCCAATAATATAGCATCTCATGATGTCTGAACTTCTAAAATAATCTATAACCCCCATATTCAATGAAGAGAACCATGAGCCATCCTTTTTCTGCACAGAAAGCAATAAACAATGGAATGAACTAATCCCAAAATTGCATAAAAACTATCTTCTCTCTTGTCTACCACTGACCTGGAGAGGGATGACTTACAGGGAAAATTACTTAAAACCCTTCACTGGCTCTCTACTTCCTTCAGGATACAGTACAATTGCTATAGTAAGATGCGCATGCTATTTTGATAAGTAAAAGGGGCAAATTACAGAACAATATGACTCCAATTTTATTACACACACAAAATAGTCTAAAATATGCACTGAAATTGGTAATAAGATTAGAAATTACTTTTAAAATCTGTAATTTCTTATTTTTCTAAAATAAACGTGTTACTTCTATTATCAGGAAAAAAAATCATCCTTTCAAAATGTTCAAATATTCACACATTCCAGAATTTAGAGACCACCAGAGGCATGTCAGAGCTAGCAGAACACTAAAAGATCATCTGGCTTCTCTCTTCTTTAGGTCTGAGTACACCTAGGCTAGAGAAGTAGTGATATCCACAAAGTCTCACAGCCCATCAGTGGCGGAGCCTAGTACAGATCCAGAGCTTTGCCCAGTCCAGCTACCTCTCTGAGAGGAACAATGATCCTCTGACAAGAAGTTACAGCAAGGACTTAGCCCTGGGGGCCAGGCTGGCCTGCAGAGCTCTAAGGTTCCTTGCAACTTTAAGAGTCCATGAAATACAATCTGACAATACAGCCTTTTCTCATGTTGAACTTCCTAGAATCCGGCAAGAAAACAAAAGGATTTTTAAGGCAAAACTTTGAAGACAGTAATTTTTGGATTTTCATGACAGCACAGCTCTATAATTCAATATTTTTTGTTAATTTCAGATTGTACAGCTTGCTGATTTAAAGATAATATTTCTACCTATGTGAAGAAAATGTGGCAGATAAACAGAGATCTTTTGGCTGGCTTCATGGCCCCTTTGCCCAGAAGCTTATTGAAGGCTATGTCAGGAGACCCATTTTTCTTCAGGGACTGGGAGTTGGCCTGAGCTTCCAAATTCCACATCTTTCCTTCCAACAGAATGGTCTTTCCCTTCAAAGCTTTGAACCGCTGAACTGGAGCTACATAAAGCTTCAATCAAGTTAGTTATTTTTTTTAAGTGAGAGATAGGAGTAAACCAAATTAGCATGTTAACTTTGTAACCATTGGCCCCCAATCTCAAGTCACAAGCCAAATTATGGTGACCAAGTTACATCCTCCCAAATCTCCTGGCTAAACCAGAGTCAGGTGCAGAGTACGGACTTTCTGTTTCGGGAAGATGAGGACAAAATTCTTCCAGGCAAGAGTAATAGTAATGATGGTGATGACTATGGTGCTTTGTCCTGTCAGCAGCAACTCCCAAGGATGGACTAGGCCAACAGTTCTTCAGAGGCCATCTTGGCCCTAGTCTGTGTTGGGAGACAATTCCCAGTGGATCTCTTGTGTTTTTGTACAGCTTGTGAGCAGATGCACTGAGTGACTTCGTTCTGGAATAATCTTTTCAAGACTGTTTAGACAGAGACAGTGTCTTACTCTGCGGGGAAAAAAAGCAGGTTTGCTTACAGCCCTTGAAGATACAGATAACTACATTGCAGTATAATAAATATAATGTCACTCTCTGGAGCAAAGGGCTGGCATGCTTACTGCCTTTTATAAAAGATTTGAGCCCCCTGAGCTTGGGGTTCTCTTCTGTAATGCAACCCAGTGAGTGAGCAGACATCATGTGGCCCTCTTCACACCATCTTGTGGGTACCGGGGCTCAGAGAAAATGCTGAGACTTTGGCTACTGCTACTGCTGTGAGTAATAAACTGTTCTTCATCTCTGATACGAGTCTTGTGTCTCCTGCCAGCAACAAGAAACTGTCTTAGCTAACTTGCTGGCTTGCAAGTAAGGTAAAAAATCCCAGATGCTTCACAGTTTTTAACAGTCTATAGTTTCTGACTGGACTCATATGAAATACATGGGAGGAATTAGAAAGAAAGTAAGGAACCTATAGCCTAAAGGTTAAAGGATTGCTAGTAGCTCAAGATAATCATTCTTGTATAATAACTGTATATGTTTTTGACAATTATTATTAAGTACTTTAATTGCAACTGGGGCCTCAGGGTCGCACAACCTCCTCATTGCCTGATTTGGAGTAATAGTGATAAAAGAACAGATTTAGACCTAACCCAACATGTCTTCAAAGGCAGGTTTAGACAGAAGCTAAACTGCCCTGTGAAGGAACTCCTTAGAAGAACCAAGAAATCTAGTCACTGATCAGTTCTGTACCTTGCTTTCGTTTAACTCTCAGACCAAATACCAAGAAGCATTTTTGACATTTTGTTCAATTTACATAGCATCACTGTTAGAAAAATAAAATATTCAGAATAACTAATTCATTGTTGAGGGTTTGTGGTACCTTTTTCATTTTTATTTCCAGCTCATTATAAACCATACAATATGCCAACGTATTCTCTTAGTGCAATTATACAAAAGGAATATAATGCACGACTGGAATTCTTTATTCAGCAGTGGCCATGTTCCAAAAACTAACTGCAAAAGATGTTACTTCCACTCCAAAAAACAAACAGTAATTCTTAAATGTCTACAGAAAACTGAATGGATTTTTAGAATTACTAGATTATTGCTTTACTCTTTTAAAAAATCAGCAATTACATCTTGCTGGGAAGTTATATTATTCAAAATATGCCATTTTAATAGCCTACTTCTCTCTATCCTAAAAAGTAACCCCATTTTTCATTTATGAATATTGTTATTTCTGCAATTAAAATCACTTGTAATTTATTTTTTCCTGAAATACTAGACTATGCCAACCAATCCTCATCTCCCTTTTTAAAGATGAAAGGAGATGAAAGGGATGTTCCCATCTTCACTTCCATGTCTTACAAATAAGTCAAGGTCCCCCACTGTCTTTGCCTCAAAGGGTCCCAAAAGTACTTGCGGAAACAGATGTGATGTGAACCTCATACTGGGTACTTGAGTCTTTTTGTTCCCTGAACACATTAACTTGACATTTGGAAATATCGTGTTTGAAAGTTATTATCACATGTAAATTTCTTAAATATTTCTGACAGAAAAAAAGATCTGCAGGGTATCAATGGAAACAATAGTTTAATTAATTTTTACATTCTGAATAAGCCTGAATTTCTCCATCCTTTATACATACTCCTGGTTTGGGGCCAAATTTCTTCTTCAAATGTGGATTCAGTAATTTGCTTTATCTGTCAAAGCCACAGCAACCCTTCTTGCTCCTGGCTTAACTGAAATATTGGTACTACCAAAGTTAAAGCAGTGCTAAAGGCCATAATCACATGGGATTTTCTCCCCCAACATCTACCCACTTTCTGCAAAGAAGGCAGTAGAAGTCTTTTTACCAGGTCCTCTTTAACACCCTTAGCGGGAGGTGGCAGAAGCAGCTCCAATGGGCTGATGGGGCAAGATTATCGACCCAGTGTTAAGGGAGCAGACTTCAACAGGCAGCTGATCCAATTCCCCCACACGGTGGCAAAAGAATGCAGCTTTGCAGGACAAAGTTCCAGCAGGAGAAGGAAATAGGTGATGAGAATACAGTGCTGACTGGTTGCTCAGAAGGACTTTATCTCTCAGGATCAAGTTTCTTCAGATAAAAGCCCCCTACCCCCATCCCATGTCCATATACAAAAACACTACCATCAGCAGCAACACCATCTACTTTTCCTTTCTGGAGACTGCTGGAAGGGCCTTACTGGCAAAAGAAACCAGAAAGGAAGCAGGATTTTCAGAACCTCTTAGTGTTTTTCATCTCCTAGCCCCCAAAGCATTTTTGGCTCCCCCTTGTGGGAAGAAGCTGTATTAAAGCATGCCTTGCAGGAAGACCCAGGACTTTTATCAGGGGGGTCTGGGAATCCTGGGATAATAGACTTATTTTAAACAAGTTGGATGTGTTCATTAGCTTGATTGTGGTAATCATTTCACAGTGTATACATATATCAAATCACCATGCTGTATACCTTAAATATACACAATTTTTTTGGTCAATTATACCTCAATAAAGTTGAAGGGAAAAAAGTTTAAAGGACTCAAGAGGGCGTTTGGGTGAAAGCAAATGAGTCATCAACACTGATATGGTAGTTCTCAAGCACATGACTGGTATTGGTCCTTTGTTCTCCCCAGTTATAAAAATCTATATCATTTAAGATATCTCAGAACAGGCCTGGCGTGGTGGCTTACACCTGTAATCCCAGCACTTTGGGAGGCTGAGGCGGGCAGATCACGAGGTCAGGAGATTGAGACCATCCCTGCTAACACGGTGAAACCCTGTCTCTACTAAAAATACAAGAAAAATTAGGCGTGGTGGTGGGCGCCTGTAGTCCCAGCTACTCGGGAGGCTGAGGCAGGAGAATGGCGTGAACCCAGGAGGCGGAGCTTGCAGTGAGCCGAGATCACGCCACTGCACTCCAGCCTGGGCAACAGAGCGAGACTCCGTTTCAAAAAAAAAAAAAAAAAAAGACATCTCAGAACAGTCATGTGTATCTTCTGGCTAATGATAATTAGAAATGTGGTTCCATACTCATAACTTTGAACACTAAAATAGAAGGAAAAAAAGGAACTAGGTATTAGGAGGCCTAGATTCTAGTTCGAGCTCTATCACAAGCTTACTGGGTGATTTTCGGCAAGTCACATATCCCCTAAGTGGTGATAATATCCTTTATAGATACTTCACTGAGCTGTTGAGAGTTTCAACTTAGAGAGGACACTAAAGTAACAGCAGAAGCTATAGTGTCTTATATCTCACATATGTAGGTTTATAGGCTATATATATGACCTTTGGAGTTTCCTCTAACTCAGTGACTTTAGGCAGTATTATATCCTTTAAGAAGGTATACAGCACTTATTAAGGTGATTGAGGCTAGGGGAGGGGGTTTGGAAGGGATTACAAAGAGATTTTGAGTAAGACAGGTGTCAATCTCAACCTGAATGCATATCTTATTCACTGTGTGATCTTGGGAGCCTCAGTGGCTTCATCCCTAAAATGGGGTTAAAGATAGTAGTACCTATCTCGCGAGGTTGTTGTGATGGTTAAATGAGATAATGCATACAGACCACTTAGCACATCATTTGGTACATAGAAGAAAATTACTATATGTTAACTATCATCATCATCATCATCATCATCATCTTCATCACCATCATCATCACCATCATCACCATCATCACCATGCTCTTTTCCTATCCTTTGACAAAAGTTTTAGTCTAAGCTTCTCAGAACCAGGGCATTATATAGACAGAGTAGGTCAAAGGAGAAAGCTGAAGTTATGCTGAGGTTGGGACAAGAGGTGATTGTAAAAGGCCACATTTGAAGAATACCCAATAAAATAATTTTTGAAAAGGTAGAGCTTTGTTTCCATCCTGATAATACCTAGGATTACGAATCCCTTATGGCAGTATTGGGCATTGAGACTTCAAGTAATAGTTGACAGTGACTCTCAGGCATCTTTTCTGGTTCATAAATAAGTGTTTGAAATGAACCATAAGTATTATATCTATGTGTATGTTTACTTTTACCCATTTATTCCTAATGTATTGCCTATATTTTTAAAAAATTCTTCTATCAAAGTTTTATTTTTTCTTTTTTGAGAAAGTTCTTGTTCTGTCACCTAGCCTGGAGTGCAGTGGCTCACTGCATGCTCAACCTCCCAGGCCCAAGCAATCCTCCCACATCAGCCTCTTGAGTAGCTGGGACCTAATAGCACCACCATGCCTGGCTAATCTTTTAATTTTTTTTTTTTTTTTTTTTTTTGGTAGAGATGGGGTCTCCCTATGTTGCCTAGGCTTGGTCTCGAACTCCTTGGCTCAAGCAATTCTCCTGCCTCAGCCTCCCAAAGTGCTAGGATTACAGGTGTGAGCCACCGTGCCCAGCCCTAAAGTTGTCTAATAATTTATTTTTGCCAGTGTGACATTTGCCCACACTGAAAAGCATAAAGATGCCTACAATTAGAGATGTCACGATGCATAAATAGATTCATTCAGTAAACACTCCAATGTCAACTTCATGTCAGATATCAGAAAGAGGGTACAGGAAGAGTAGGCTTAGAGAGAAAAGTGATCAGTTAGAATTTGAAAATGGTCAATTTGCAATATATTTTAGAGATAGATGCTGGAAATAAAAGAAGTTTAGGCAGAAAATACGGATTTGAGACCTCAGCAGTGGGCACCTGTGATGGTTAATACTGAGTGTCAACTTGATTGGATTGAGGGATACAAAGTATTAATCTTAGGTGTGTCTGTGTGGGTGTTGCCAAAAGAGATTAATATTTGAATCAGTGGGCTGGGGAAGGCAGATCCGTCTTTAATCTGGTAGGCACAATCTAATCAGCTTCCAGCAAATATAAAGCAGGCAGAGAAATGTGAAAAGAGAGATGGGCCTGGCCTCCCAGTCTACATCTTTCTCCCCTGCTGAATGCTTCCTGCCCTCATACATCAGACCCCAAGTTCTTCAGTTTTGAGACTCGGACTGGCTCTCCTTGCTCCGCAAGCTTGCAGACAGCCTATTGTGGGACCTTGTGACCATGTAAGTTATTACTTAATAAACTCCCTGCCGGGCATGGTGGCTCACGCCTGTAATCCCAGTACTTTGGGAGACAGAGGCGGGCAGATCACCCGAGGTCAGGAGCTCAGGAACAGCCTGGACAACATGGTGAAAACCCATTTCTACTAAAAATACAAAAATTAGCTGGGTGTGGTGATGGGCACCTGTAGTCCCAGCTACTTGGGAGGCTGAGGCAAGGAGAATCGCTTGAACCCGGGAAGCAGAGGTTGCAGTGAGCCGAGATTGTGCCATTGCACTCCAGCCTGGGCCACGGAGTGAGACTGTCTCAAAAAAAAAATAATAATAATAATTAAATTTTTAAAAACTCCCCTATATATATTACATTATATTATATTATATACATAATGTATTACATTATATATAATACATTATATATGTATACAGTAATATATATATTACATACCCGTTAGTTCTGTCCCTCTAAGAGAACCCTGACTAATACAGCACCCTTAATGTCACCCAGGTAAAGCATGTACAGTGAGAATAAAGAACTAAAGATAAGCCACTAAGGAAACATGTTGAAAGTGCAGACTGAAGAAAGAGTTCCATGAAAGTGATAGACAAAATAAAGGCAAGGAGGAAAGAAGAGAACCAGGAGTGCGTGCCAGCCCAGAAATTACACTAGGAGTTTCTATATAGAAATTATTAAGACAGAAAAGTAGGAGCTTCTGTTATTGTTGTTGTTATTATTATTATTATCAGATACTCAGAAGGTTTATTTCTCATTCATATGGATGGTGTGATAGCCAGCTTCCAAGATGGTCCCCAATGATGCACACCTTCTGGTATTCTTGACTTTGGATAGTCTCCTCCCACAATGAATCAGGCTTGGCCCTGCATGACCAATAGAACACAGCAGTAGTGATGATGTGTGACTTCCAAGTATAGGCCAAAAAAGACATTGTAGCTTCCATCTTGGTCTCCTGGATTGCTTGTTTTGGGAAAAATCAGTTGCCAGGCTATAAGGATATTACAGAAGACCTATGTAGAAGCCCACAAGGAGAGGAACTGAGTCTCATCACCTACAGTCAGTTCCAACTTGCAGCCATGTTATTGAGTCACTAGGAAACAGGTCTTCCAGCCCCAAACAAGCCTTCAGATGACTGCAGCCCCAGCCAACATTAGATTGCAACCTGATATGGTTTGGAAGTGTGTCCTCTCCCAAATCTCATGTTGAAATTCTATTCCCAATGTTGGAGGTGGGGCCTGGTGGGAGGTGACTGGATCATGGGGACAGATCCCTCATGAATGGTTTAGCACCATCTCCTTGGTTACAAGTGAGTTCCCACTCAGTTCAGGTGAGATATGGTTGTTTAAAAGAGCCTGACACCTCTACCTCTCTTTTGTTCCCACTTTTGCCATGTGATGCAATTGTTCTCCCTTTACCTTCTGCCATTATTGGAAGCATCCTGAGGCCCTCACCAGAAGCAAATCCCAGAACCACGCTTCCTGTACAGCCAGTAGAATCATGAGCCAATCAAACCTCTTTTCTTTATAAATTGCCCAGTCTTAGATAATTCTTCATAGCAATGCAAGAATGGCCTAATGCATGACCCCATTAGAGACCTCCAGCAGGAATCATCCAACCTAGCCATTCCCAAATTCATAACCCACAGAGACCATGAGAGATAATAAATTATTATTGTTGTTTTAAGCAATGAGTTTTGGGGTGATGCGTTATGCAGCAATAGATAACTATACAAATGGTTACCTCTCATGAATATAGACAATAATTTAAAAATCTGGAAAGTTTCTGTGGCAACTATGTAACTATGCATTTCGTGATACAAAAAAATTTCTTCCACAAAGTCATTTTTAATACATTTCATTGTACTTTTTCCCTGTTCTTTATTACATAGCTATTGCCAGGAATCTTTCCTTAGCTTATACATCCTTTTAGCAAGAGATAAAGTCTTACATAATAGATCTCACAGAAGACAATCATCACCAGAAAGTGAAAAGAGTAATCAACATGTCTTCTGAAAGAGAGAATATGGCTAGCAAAATAAACCTGTGAGGAAGGACAAGTTAACCATGGCCAGTAGAGCCTTCACAAAATGACTCGGTGAAAGGAGAAAGGGAGGTGTGAGACAGGAGGAATGAGGAATAGCTGGTCAAAGGGTACAAACTTTTAGTTATAAGATGAATAAGTTCTGTGAATCTAATGTACAGAATGGAAACTAAGTTAATAAAACTGTATACTTGAAATTTGCTAAGAGAGTAGATCTTAAGTGTTCCCACCACACACACACAAACGGTAACTAGGTGAGGTGATTGTTGTGTTAATTAGCTTGATTGTGATCATCATTTCACAATGTATATCAAATGATCACACTGTACACTTTAAACATACACATTCAGTCACACTTTAACAAAACTGGAAACACATGACTGGACACTCCCTAGTGAGGTAGGTTGTACTTATTCTTCGTAAGAAAAAGCATGAGGAGGTCACCAGCCATACAACTCCAGGGCTGTTTGTATAGGGGCCCTAGATCAATGGGAGACCGAGTACAGTTATTTGTGAAACCTTATTTGGTAAATCCATTTTGCTTTCCAGAAAAAAAGAAGAAGGGTAAAGAAAATAAAATAAAAGAATAAACCAGAACTTATTCTTCACATTCTAAGGGAGGCAAGACTTGTTTCACAAAACACTCTCACTCCCAACACATCCCCTCACCCTCCGCTGCTACCTACAGTGGAGATTATAGAAAGTGGAGTAAAGATATAGTTGAGTTACAAGAATAACAGCATATAAGGAAAAATTCTGATTTTTAATATTTGGTCCCATTTTTAGACCACATGCCCCTACCATGTTTAGTTCAAAAATATCTTCACTGTAGATAAAGAGTAAATAACTCAGTGGTCCTCAGCTGGTGGGAGCTATAGAAAAAATACCTAATCCAGGGCCAAAGCCTGAGGGTCCCAGTTCAGAAGACGGGGAGGTTGTAGGTAACAGCAGAAGGAACAGAAATACAAACTTCCCTTTTTGCACTCCCCTCACAGTCCTCCTTGGTGGGAGTAGGAAGCTACCTTCCAAGTTTAGACAAACAACTTTCTTATATATGCTAATTTGGAATAGATAAGGTGTTGGTCAGGAGAAGCACAAATGACACTTAAAATAGATCAGATGAAATGAAAGGGGAAGTCTGGCCTGAAAGGAGCTGAAAACTGCGAGGAATCAGACAAAAGTGTAAAATAAAGTATGGAGAATGCATAGCTGCAAACTAGTTGAGTCCTGCTGACTCAAAATAATGAGAATTAGGCTTGAGGTAACAATGTGGCTGGCTGAGGACAGAAAATGGGGGTTTGAGTGAAAGCTTTTCTTTCATCAAAGATGAGGGGAGTTTAGGAAAAGTTTAGCCTTCGAGCAAGAATAATAGAATACAACTAGAAAGAGAAAGTCTACTTCTCAGACACTCAGAAAAAGGTCCCAGTGTTCTGGGATCAAAGTGAGTCCCAGTAGCTAAACATAAGTACCTAAGGCCTTGGGCTCCCTCAGAATTTTCTCTTGAGCTGAACAATGCCACATTCCCTAGAATTTAGGAGACTGTGGTTACAAGTGACCCTAAGAGAACTCTTAGAAATATTTGTTAATGCTCATCAAAATAAAGCAACAGAAACAGCACATTAAGTAAAAAGAATATCAATTGTGTTTGGTAAATGAGCACTAAAGGATGCTGTACAATTAACTTTCACTTAATCCGCTGATTACAAACTTTCCAGGGTCTTCCTCTCTCACAGTTTTAATGAGATCCTTGTAAATTCACTGTTCCATGTTACAAATAAAATATTAAGAGACACTTTTTCATTGACCAATCCTCCATCCAGGTGTTAGATTTGGGGTACCTTGATAATGCTCCCAAATTCAAAACTTGGAGTGAATGGAGATTTGTATAAATCTCTATCCAAAATTCTTGAGATGATGGTGGGAAAGAAGTACATAGATGCAAGTCTGCCTAGGCTATAATTTTGATTAAGGGAATTCAGACTTAGGAAAGGATTACTGTGCATACCATAGCTAGAGTGAAATGAACAAAATGTTGCCCAGCAAGGATGTTTGCCTCACATGCAAATAACTGTTTGAAATTAGTATACCAGGCACTACCTCTAAAGTGTTTGAAAAGTTTGCTCTTTTAAGCAGTTTAAAAGCTCCCTCAGGCAATCTTGTTTACAAATTAACAGAATACTGAATTAATGAGGTTCAACTTCTTTCTTTTTAAATAACCTCAAATACAAACTAACCCTGACACATATGGAAATAATCCTCTTCCCACTCCAATGATACACTGGACCTCGAAAACATAACTTTTCTTTTGGGAGCTGCTGAAGACTTCTTGCCAGTTTCATTTTCTAATGGCATCCTTCTGAAGTGAATGACAAATACTCTAATATTTACCTCCTTTATACATGACATAGCTAATGAAAGTACATATTAGTATTCCCCACTACTCTTTCCATATTTCTCTCCAAAGACCTGAAGAAATAGTTTGGTTTCACAGTCATCATAAATTTATTATACTGAACTTTTGAACTAGTCTGGATGAGAACCAGAACGATATCCAACATGAAAAGGCAGAACTCACTCAGTTCTGTAAAACTGCCTTCCTTCTGAAATCCTAAAAAAAAGTAGTTCCTTTTATTTTCTTTACATTGTGCTTTCTAACTGCCACCAGAATAGCTTATATTTGTAGTTTAATCAGTACTAATAAATGCATACTATATTGTCTTTGTGCCTGTTAGTTATAGATGAAGAATTCTAAGATTTGCTACCACAAGCTTTGATATAGTTGTATCAATTGAAACTTCATCACCTAAACCAGCTTTGCTCATAGAATTCACTCTGAATCTTCCATTACCTGAACTTCTCCTTATAAGAACAGATAACAGATTTTTTTCCTAAGTTTTTTCCACTGATACCTTAAATGTTCTTTATTTTGAAATCTCAAATATGTGACCCCTCCAGCCACATGGCAAAGAAAAAGCCAAGAGTAGTTAATTTAGGTGGATTTATCCAATCAAATTATATGTATACATACATATAACTGAGTATATGCATATGAGACAAGATAAAGACAACAGACATCCAGCAAGGCAAACTCATAAAATGTTTCAAGACAAAATGATATAATTACATGTGATACCACATACAGGGCATTTGTCTACAGTTTGCCATCTGTAGTAAGGAGTATTTTTGTTTCTCTCGCCAAAAGGTACATTTTACGCTCTCTTACTTCATAATGGGCACAGATATCTTTTTAAAAAAAAATGCTTAAAAAGCTGATTCCTGCTTGAAGGTTTGTTTCCCTACTGCAATTTTCATTATTCAGGAAGAATATCTTATCATACGAATTGCGGATTTCACATGCTCTCAATTTCAGGTCCCACTGCGCATGCACTTGCTGAAAGCAGACATCCGACTGCCTATATAACAGTTTTATAAATGGAGCAAGTTGACTTAAATTGGAACAATTTTAGGAGACTTTTCCATTGCCTTTTTTCCATGACAGCTCTCCAGCTCAGGGCTTTCAGATTTGAAAGAAAGATCTTTTACAACAGTGAGCACACACACGTATCTACAAACAGGAAATTTTTCATAAGTCATGCTCAAACATATGAATTAACTGTTTTCCAAACTAGAACTAGTTAATCCTCAGGGTTTTGCCCACTTACAGAAAATAAGTGCAATGCAGAGTGCCTGACTTGTTGGGTGGGAGTCAGAATCATGACTAATATTTTGAGTTATTTCTCTGGTTCCTGTTTCTATTAACGTACAAGAGAACTGGTGCCTGCTTCTATTAATGTACAAGAGAAGCTGACCATAGGAAAATAAATTTGTATTAAAAATACTATTTAGAAGAGACAAAAGAACAGCTATTTGCAGGGATGTGTGTCTGATTGTTGTTTCTGAAAACAGAAGCAGAGATTAACAAAAGAAAATCAATGCTGCCACTTCAATGAAGGAAGAGAGAAGGGATGTCATTTCAAATACATGAAGTGATAGAGGAAAGGGAAATATTTTTCATATTTCTTACACAAGATCAGTCAGTATTAATAAAAACTAAGGTGGAAAGAGGTGCTGCCAATAATTATTATGAAAGCATCCATTACAGCCAAGAATTCAAAATTAGTTCAGACTCAAACCTAAATCAGAGACAAATGACACTTTATGGTTACTGACTCTATGCTTGTTTTGGGGGGTAAAGAAATATAGAGTGAGACTGAGAAAAGAGATTGGAGTTGGGGGAGTGGTTCAAGGAAAAAACAGAGAAATAATTTTTTACCTTAAAATAAATCCATCATAGCCCTGCTTCCTAAAACGTTCTGTGGAATTCATCCCATAGAGCACACAGATAGAGAAGGGTAATGGACTGGAAGATGAACTAGGAGATACACAATCTTCACATAAACCAACTGAAGTGGCCATACCAAACAAAAGCAGCATTGAAGCATGCATGCTGATAGACTGCAAGAATATCAATGCTGGTCACATTCCCATAGGAAACTGAAATCAATTGGAAATAGACAACAAATCTAGCATTTCTAGTGACACTGATTAATTTTTTTTTCATGAAAGTCATTAAAAGCATAAAGTTCAAAGGCACAACCTTCCTTTATGGTATATAGTCTCTATAAGGGCCATGCAGTCACATAAGCACAGTACCAGCAAGGTACAAATCAGTGTTGTGGGAGAAGGAGGGCTGATATGTTGCAGCACTTAGCACAGTGGCTGACCCACTCTCTAAATATGTCTGGGAGGAAGGGAATAAAGGAAAGATGCATAGAATATAGAGGTTTAGAGAAAAAGAAAGATCATCAAAGCAATGGAGAGTAAGGGGGTTGTGAGTACAGGCAATGACAGTGGGACTATGTAAGCCTAGATAAAATGGGGGAAACATTTAATAAGTCTTGCAGGATATTATAAACATGGCTGATCTCCATCTGTACTGATGACAGAACAAGATAAAATACCGTTTACAAGAGTTTGGTTAAATAGCAAATGCTTGAACAGATTACTAAGGAAAACTAAAGTTTCTTTTTTTTTTTTTTTTTTTTTTTTTTTTGAGACAGAGTCTCGCTCTGTCCCCCAGGCTGGAGTGCAGTGGCGCTACCTCGGCTTACTGCAAGCTCCGCCTCCCGGGTTCACGCCATTCTCCTGCCTCAGCCTCCCCAGTAGCTGGGACTACAGGCGCCCGCCAACACGCCCGGCTAATGAACTAAAGATGTTTTAAAAATAAAACGTATTCTCACCTAATTATAACAAACTAGGCTGGACAACAGATTAAATGAGTTCACTGAAGTTCCATAATGCTATAATAACTTCCTGATCGATTCTAGTAAGAACTCTGAAATTCAAATACAAATTTTATAGACTATGGAGGTACACCCATACTGACCTGTCAAGGTGTAACAATAATGTGTCCATAATTCACCATAATATCAGTATTCAGCTGAAGAGGTAACCATTTCTATTTCATCAGCCTCCTTTTATTTATTTATTTATGTTTTTTTGGTAAGCTTCCCTTCGACCACTTTCAAATCTTTTCCACCTGGTAATAAAGTAACAGAAAAATCTCATTTCCTGTGCCCAGCCTGCCTGATCCTTGCTGCAGACAGGACCCACTTAACTGTCACCTGATCCTTTGGTCCAGTCCTCACCTGATCTCCCTGCCCCAACTCAACTGTAATCTCTACCAAGCCTAAATTCCAGAGGGCTGTCTTTACCTCTCTTAACCACATTCAACATATTCAACTTTAGATTATTATTGGGCTTCTCCTTCCTATCAGACAAGAAGTCCTTTGAGGGCAGAGATCATGGCTGACTCATCTCTGGATCCCTCTGACTCCAAGGAAACTGCCTGAGTGCTAATGTTTAATGAGTTGAACTACAGCCATCTTCTGGGTTTAAAGAAACTGTTACCTTATCAGTAGTTCACTGATCAGAACTTACCTAATTCTCTATTTCTTTCATTTAAAGTCTGGATTATTATGCAAAATATTATGATGGATGAAATCAATAACCTTCACTTTAAGCCATGAGATTATAACTTTAAGGCCCAAGATACTAAAATTCTGTTCATTAGATATGTTCATCTTTACGATATGACTTTGTGGGGTATTTTTTTTGTTTGTTTTTTGGGTTTTGTTTTTTTTTTTTTTTTTTTGGTAAATAAAGCTAGCTGAGCTCTTCCTTACAGTTTAAGATGAAAAAGAAAAATTCAAACTTTACTGTTCAAACCCAGCAAATTCACAGGTTTCTCATTAGCTTCTCTACAGTCACTGGTAAAATGTTTTGAAGAGTAGTTTCAGAACTTCACACAATTATCAGAATCTCCAAAGCCTGGGAAGTATCATGATGAATGAGAAGAGATCATTACTGCCAAATTTCTGAGGGAGGTGAAGATCAATAGCTAATATCACTACCAAACACAGAAATAGTATTTACGTGGTAATCCTTGCTACCAAGGCTGCCAGCCTTGGTCAGAAACTTCCAACACCAGTACAAAGGAATGCTAGCTGAGGCAGTGGGCTCAGAATCATGCAAGCTCCATTTCATAACTATCAGAATGATCATGCAATTTTAAGTATGTACAAGGCATATCTATTTGGTGAGCTCATCCTTCCTCATTAATGGCAACTTCTCCGCTTAGGGTCCCAAGAATGTACTCTGGGTGACAATAGTCTTTACCTACTCTAACTTCTTTCCTTAGGCAGAATCTCCAATTAGAAGTGAAACAGTGATCATATTCAGGATTAAACACAAACTTTCTGGTGGCTCATGCCTGTAATCCCAGCAATTTGGGAGGCCAAGGCGGGTGGATCACAAGGTCAGGAGATCAAGATCATCCTGGTTACCACGGGGTAGAGAAACCCCATCTCTACTAAAAATACAAAAAAAAAAAAAATTAGCTAGGCGTGGTGGCGGGCGCCTATTGTCCCAGCTACTCGGGAGGCTGAGGCAGAAGAATTGCTTGAACCTGGGAGTTGGAGGTGCAGTGAGCTGAGATCGTGCCACTGCACTTCAGCCTGGGTGACAGAGCAAGACTCCGTCTCCAAAACAAACAAACAAATAATAATAATAAACATGAACTTTCATTTGTCTAAATGAACTATTCCAAAATCTACTCCTCAAAGATTTACTTATTTATATTCAGCTGTTCTCTAGGAAAATCTTTATCCTGGCCTACATGAATACCCACTCAAAATGGATACTTCTCAAATGTAACTTCTCATTGTGCCAAGGCCTTATAAAGGCACATCATTCCAATTACACTTTCACCAGAGTTGTTCTTTACTTGTGCTTCAAAATCAGTGGATTACTTAGCTCTCTAGGTACTATACCACCATCTTACCCTCCTGATAAACCAGTCAGTATTTTCCTGTATCTATTTCCCTTCCCTACTTCCCAATATACTTGTTATAGTGCAGATTGCATGGGTTATACAATCAATCTTGTTCTTTCTATTTAAAAATCTATCCCCTCAAATCTCTCTGAAGTGGGCCCTATCTCTTCCAATTATTTCCCATTATTGCCCTAAAAATTTTCTCCTCTACTGATTCATTTCCAATGGCATTAGTATAAGTTCTACTTTCTCTACCTGTTGTTTTCCCCCTCCCATAGACTGCTTCATCCTTATTTGCATGCAAATCCATGATGAAATCAGCTATACATTTTCATATTCTGCTTATATCTCTGCAGGCTGGCGCGATTCTTCATTGTTTCTACTGTAATCCAACTCTGAGTACTTTTCAGGAAATTTCAATGTCATGCATCTCCCTAGGATTTCTAAATTGCTCATATCAATTGGGCATAAAAGCACAGCTAGAAAAGAATTCAAACATTAGGGAGAACTTCTTGACCATGCCAGAGACTTAAACACCAGAACATACTACTGACTAAGAAGACACAAAATACCTGCATTTAGAAATATTTTCAAATGGATAAAAACCATCGCTCATTTATGATTTAGGTATTGATGTACCTAAGCAGAGGGACGAATTAAACGGCTTATATATATCCCTTCCAGGTCTTAGATCTTACATGGTCAACCTAACTGTATTTTGCAAACTTTTCTAAGAAAGCTTTAGATTCTTGTAGAATAATGATAAAATGCATTAAGGCAAAACCAAGTCAAGATATTCTACCAAATGACCTAATATTTTATTCAGTCTGAGTTCCTCTCCAGAACAGGTGGAATTTGTAACTTCATAAGGCCTTTGAGGGGTAGAGGGGTGAGACAGACCCATCTTCCTGCCTCCTCTCAAAGCTGGTACCAGGCTGCCTCCAGAAAGGAGGATGGGAATAATTAGAAAATCTTTATTGGATCTGGAACATTGTTTAGACAACTAGGTACAATAAACTGCTATGGATATTAACTTTACTTTTGAAAACACGCAGCTAAAATGGGATTCTTTGAAGATCCAGTCAAGATTTCCTCATTCTTGGGGAACTAAATACATTCTAAACGTTTAAAATCCTGGAAAGCAACTAATCACTTCTAATGAGCTGCCAATTGCTTGTGGGAAACTAAAAAATAGGAATTTTGCCAATCACAAGATAAGCAGCATGCTGAAGTGGGAATCATGGAGCTTGTGGGAAGTTCAGTAAAGCCAAGAGAGTGGCAAAAGTGCAGGAGGTGAACTGAAGGTGGCCAGGCTTCCAACAGCAGCACACACGCTGGCATTTTATCCCCTCAATGATGAGGCAAGATAATGTATGTATAACTTTGGTGCTTTCAAATACTGCTGTTCTCTTTCATTAGTACCATTACCACCTATAACTTCTACTTGACCCTATCTGGTAGAGTACTTCACAGGTAATGTTACATAAATAAAGTAGGCTAAAGAACTATCAGGGAAATTTAGGAGAAAGTTTCAAAAGAAGACATGGTATATCATTAATATTTGGTTAATTTGACGTGCAATTTTTAAATTCCAAAAAAAAAAAAAAAAAAAAAAAAGCTTTCTTCTGTTTTATTCCTTTCAATGCCAGTGAGAGGCAGCATGGAGTATTAGAAAGACACAAGGAAAAATACAGGTTTTGAAATTAGACAGACATGAATTTAGATTTCATCTCTGCCACTTCCTAACTGTGTGACTCTGGGCAAATCAGTTAACATGTCTCAGTTGTCCCATCTGTAAAGTGGGTGTGATACTACACAAAGAATTACTGTGAGATATGTATGTATATGAGAACACGTACCACAAAAGCATATGGTTAACACTAATGGCTAATTTCCCATAACATCTTCTTCTTCTATCCAGTATCTCCCTCCTCTAGTCTCCTCAGTTTTCCCTAATCTGCTCTGTTTCCCTCATATTCCTCTTCCCTAGCCTGTTGTCATTTCTCTACAGTAGTCATTTCTCTCCTCTCCAAGTACAGCCTTACTTATGGCAAAACCCTAACAATTAGCAGAAATTATTGGGAGTTACTATATACTTGGCAAATTTATTCAACTAGAAAGATTTCCAGATGCTCAGGTTTGAATGCCAAAACATAACAACACAGCTTTGGTAATTAACATGATATCTTTCATGAACTAACATTAAGCATCTAGATGAATCAAGCGTTATGCTAGATATTGAAGTTATAGAGATCAGGACTCAGTTCCTGCCCTTGAAGAACAGAATCTATTGAGGGAGGCAAAAATGAAAACAAATAATTGTAGTAGAGCATAAGAAGTGCAAGAAGAGAGTGTAAGAAGTGCAAGAAGAGATAGATATTTAAAGTATAGAGCTGGCAAGGAGAATGGAGAAATCCAAACTGCTTTGATGCACTGCTGTGAGGTGTAGGGGATAGGAGTAGGATCTCATTGAAAAAGACACTCCTCTCAGTCCTAGCTATGCTCTTATAGAAGCTACATAACCTTAGACAAGTCAGTTCACCTCTTTAAGCCTCAGTTTCCTTATCCAAAAATTTTTCCACTAGTCTTTGCAGCTTTCTTGCTCTATTTACCAAGTAGAAAAGTGAAGGAAAAATAGCTCTAGATGGCATATTTTTTTCTTTTTTCCCCCATATTTCTTCTCATCCATTCATTTTCCTTTGTAGCCATTTGCTCATTTCTAGTAGCTTTACTTTTGACTCTCCCCTATCATAATGGTGCTGTGTTTGTGGATTTGATACCATGGCTAGAAAAAGGATCCTTTGGCAAAAAGAAGTTCCCTTTTATGGAAAGATCTGTTTCTTCATTGTTCCTGGTCATATGAGATGATAGGTTGAAGCCTGAGCAATGGTTTTAAATTTTGACTCCAGGGATTCTTTTTTCACATGAAGAGATTTCAAAAGCTATTTCAGCAACTTAACATTGACCCTCACAAAAGCTCCACCTCCATATCCATTTAACAAATATTTATTAAAGCTTACACTGTGTTAGGCAATAGGCTGGGGGTTATGGGGGATGCAGAAATGATTAAGATATGGGCCTGGTTGTCAAGGAGCTTATGATTTATTTAGCGGCTGTGGCACTGAGCCCAGTGCTATATAAAATATATTAGCAAGGCAATCATTGTTCTGTCACAACTGGAGCCATGAGTCCTATACATGTATATGTGGTTTTGACTAGAAGTTGTGCATTCAGTATGCGTTGAAAGCCACATGTCAAAAACTGAGTTGTTCCAAAAAAAAGTTCAATCTCATTAGCAAAGAAATGAAAGTTCAAACAATGAGATTCCATCATTCTTCTAGCAAATTGGCAGAGACAGAAGAAGTTAAAATGCAATGACAATGAGAATGTAGTGACACAGGTCCTCTTATACACTGCTAGTGAAAATAAGAAATAAACTATGGTGCGTCCATAAGAAATTATGGTATATCCACACAAGTGAATTCTATGCAACCATTCAAGATAATGTTTTTAACTATATATAATGATATGGTGAAATACTCATGATGCCATATTAAGTGAAAATAGCAAGTATAGAACTATATATATACAGCATAATCACATTTTAATAAAACATTTTTCTTTGTGAATGCATAGGAAAAAATACTAAAAGGAAATATATCAGAATGTTAACAGTAATTATTACTTGATGGAGTAGCTACAGGTAGTTTTACTTTTCCTTTTAATTTTGGTGGATATTCCAGATGTTCTTTTTCTCTTCTCTTCTCTTCTCTTGTCTTTTCTTTGTTGAGACAGGGTCCTGTTTTGTCACCCAGGCTGGAGAGCAGAGGCACGATCATGGCTCACTGCAGCCTCAACTTTCCAGGCTGAAGTGATCCTCTTGTTTCAGCTTCCTGAATAGCTGGGACTACAAGCATGAGTTCCTACACCCGACTAATTTTTTAAATTATTTTTTGTAGAGATGAGGTCTTACATGTTGTCCAGGCTGCTCTTGCACTCCTGAGCTCAAGCGATCCGCCCACCTCAGCCTCCCAAAGTGCTGAGACTACAGGCATGAGCTACTGTACCCAGCCAGATTTTCCTTTTTTAAAATAAATTTTATCGTGTACATGTAAGTTATACAATATGCTGTTACAAGATATATATATATATATATAGTAAAATGGTCCCTATAGTGGAACAAATTAACATCTCTATCGTCTCACATAGTTACCTTCTTTCTCTGAGGCAAGAATAGATATAATCTACTCATTCAGCACAAGTCCTAAGTACAATACACTATTATTAACTATAGTCCTTATGTTTTACACTGGATCTTTTGACTTTTTCATCTTACAGGTTTGCTACTTTGTATCCTCTGACCTACATCTCCCCATTTTCTCCCCACTACTCCAATTCTGGTAACGACTGTTTTATTCTCTACCTCTACATATTTGACCTTTAGATTTTAGATTCCACATATAAATACGATCATAAAATATTTGGCTTTCTGTGCCTGGCTTATTGCACTCCGTGTAATGTCCTCCAGGTCCATCCATACTGTGGCAAATGGCAGGATCCCTTCCTTTCTTAAGGCTAAATATTAACAGTATTCCATCATACACACACAAGCAGCACATTTTCTTTATCCATTTGTCTGTCAATATTTCCATATCTTGGCTATTGTGATAATATTTCAATGAACATGAGAGTGCAGATATCTCTTCAACCTTCTGATTTCATTTCCTTTGGGCATATACACAGAAGAGCGACTGCTGAGTCATATGGTAATTCTATCTTCAGTTTTTTGTGGAATCTCCATACTGTTTTCCATAATGGATGTACTAATTTATATTCCCACCAACAGTATACAAGAGTTTCTCTTCCTCTATACCCTTGTCAACACTTGTTATCTCTTGTCTTTTTTATCATAGTTACCCTAACCAGGTATGAGGTGGTATCTCAGTGACTTTTATTTGCATTTCCCTAATGATTAGTGATGTTGAGTACCTTTCATATACCTGTTGACCAAAATTTAAAAAAAAATAAAAACATTTAAAAGAACAGTAAAATCACAGGTGAATGAACTAACATTAAGCATCTAGATGTAATCAAAATCACCTGTAATCAAAATTACAGGTGATTTTACTGCTCTTTTTAATATATTTTTGAATTTTCCACATTCTCTGCTACAATAGTGTGTATCTTTGTAATTATAAAAAGGTATTAAAATGCATAGAAAAAGGAATCTACACTAAAATGTTAATAGCAATTTTCCTCAAATAGTAGGATTATGGTATGAGTTTTATGTTATGGTTTCCATATTTTTACAATTTTGTAGAGTGACATGTACTAACTTTATAGCTACAAACTAAAACTTGATTAAGCAAAACTGGACTATCACATGAAGTAGCAAAGACTAAGGTGAACAAGCATATATTATTTAAATGAGTCTGTTGTACTGCCACAGAGCTTTGCAATACTTTTAGGCCCTATCTCCACTCCTTATGGTTTGGGTCAGGTCACTTAACTCGTGTGTGCTTTAGGGAATCAATAATTACTGCGTGCTTCTAATGGATACTGTGATGGTAAATGTGATAGCATTGGTGAAAGGCTTTGAACTCAGGAAAGAAAGATATACAGCAAGTGGTAATGGGTATTTTAATTATCTACCATGTAATGTTTCTGTTAGATTATCCCCAGCAATCTCACCCATTCTCATTTCTTTTCTTATCATCTCTCTACAGACGACTCCCAAATTTCTATCTACCCCTCTCCACCACACAAGTAACACTTCTCTCTAAATCCCCCTTCTTCTGACCTATTCTTCCTGTTCTCTGGATCCTTTTTCCTCCATCTTTTGCTCATACCACAAATATTTTCATATCAACTTAAATTGATTATTAATGAATCATGAACTTGATTAACCAGTTTCTCTTAAATCAATAAAAGTTTGTTTAATTAACTTGGATATGAAGTTTATAGAACTATTTTAAAATTATTGTTCTTTGGCTCCTGCTAGGTATAACTACCTATATAAATTTCATGTGTTAGAAAACATTCAAATAGAAATATAATCTTCCCTTTCACCCCATGAGGTCAGTGCCCAAAGCTATGAGTTCAGGAGTCCCTGCCAGAGGCCTGGGGAGCTGGATTTCATCTTGGTCCCATCACCAACACATAGTATGATTTGGGGTAAATCACATTCCCTTTCTGGGCCCATTTCCTCACCTTTAAGATGAAGGAAGCAGGTTGGATTGTCTCAAAGGTCTGAATGATAAAAGCATCTCAACAAATGGAGAACTGGGAAGCACCAACATACAAATGAGCTGCCTCTACTATATCCTTGCCTACAATGACATCAGGCACAAATCTCACCATATGACAATATAATTGGAATGACACAGGACAGCTGAGGAGCACACACCCCAAGCCAGCAAATAACCTTTTACTGGCAAGTACAGTCCACTAAGCCTTTTGACAATTATTCCTGAACAATAAAGCTGTCAGCCCTTGTTTTAAAAAGTACTTATAGATAAAGGGATAAAAGGGGGAAGGAGGAGCTAGTCATGTTATAAGAGTGGGTTAGCAGAGCTGGGGAGATATTTTAATCTGCCAGACAATGTTCTGAGATGGTGTGGTAAGTGGGAGATCAGGTTGTGATCAGGATGAATGGATATCCAGGTACACAGGGCATGACATATGTCAGAGTTTAATAAGTGGAACAATGGGAAACTCAGGAAAGGGGGGCTGCTAAAGGAGTGTCTTGCCATTATCTGGAGAAATTTCCGAACTATCACTAATATTCCCTACACTTACATCAAATAGACACTCTTGTCTTTCCACCTTCTCCTATAACCACCCTTAAGGTCACTACTAAAACATAGGGCACTATTGTGCAAATTAGGAAAAGGCGTCCCCGCTGGTGCTAAAAGGTCCCCACTCTGGGCCATCCAGCTAGAAAAGAGATGGAGGGATTGTCAAAGGTACTTTCTGTGGCTGGAGTAATAAGAAAAACAGCTTGTCTAGCAGTATCCTGGCTGGATTTCAGCTCCCACCTGGATGCCTTCACCCTGCCCTGGCATCTACCATATCTACCATATTCTGGCACTCTCATATATCTCTCTCTCCTGCCCCAGCATTAGTCTGGGGTCAGATTAATTTCTGACTGCAGATTAATTTCTGCCACTCTTGCATTTACCTGCCCCACCTCCATCACTGCTCCAATTATACTAGACACTACTGTCAGTCATCATTGCACTTTGGATTGGGACCAGATTCATCTTAATGAAAAGGATATCATTTTAGAAGACAGAAACCAGAATGAGTCTCATTTGGTTTGGGTTGGGGGGTGGGGAATCATATTTTCAAAAGAAAGTTCCATGTAACATTTTGTCCTATGAATACTTCTTAGAAAAATAACTGTCTGGCCAGGCGCGGTGGCTCACGCCTGTAATCCCAGCACTTTGGGAGGCCGAGGCGGGTGGATCACGAGGTCAGGAGATCGAGACCATCCTGGCTAACATGGTGAAACCCCGTCTCTACTAAAAATACAAAAAATTAGCCGGGCATGGTGGCAGCCGCCTGTAGTCCCAGCTATTCGGGAGGCTGAGGCAGGAGAATGGCGTGAACCCGGGAAGCGGAGCTTGCAGTGAGCCGAGATCATGCCACTGCACTCCAGCCTGGGCGACAGAGTGAGACTCTGTCTCAAAAAAAAAAAAAAAAGAAAAGAAAACTAACTGTCCTTTGATCTAATAAGTTTAGCAAACCCTATATATTATCTGTCTCAGAGATTAAAATCACACAGTAGTGAATTAAGGCTCTGTCTGACCCACCAGTTCCCAAATGTGTTAACCATGGAATCCTACCCAGAAGCCCTCATCCTCTATTCAAGGCTCCATTTCTAGGAACTTTCCCAACCATACAGGGGTGCTGAGCCAGTCTTCCTGGAGAGGACTTCCTAAGGCAGAGCTATTAGGACCTGAGGGAAGGATTCCTGGAGTGAAGCAATTCCAGACTAAAATTCCCAGGCTTGGGGTCTCCCTGGGAATTCCCTCAGAAGGCCCATATTTGCACCTGGGAAGAAAAAACAACTGTTGCCTAGGAAATCTGCTCTTCAGGGACCCCAGGGCCCACTTTAGCTGTGTGTGGGTAGGGAGAGATGAAGGCGAAAGTTCCAGCTGCTATAGATGGTGGTGAATGACTTACACAAACAAGGACGAGTCTGGGCAGGTTTCAGGTTTCTGACAAAGAGAAAATTTTGAGAGACATTTACAGATACTCTCCGCATTCATCACACAAATCTATGTCAGGATTTTGAGTTTGCAAAGCATCATCAGTATCATCTCATTGGAGCCTTGGCAATTCTGTGAGTTAAGAAGGGGAAGTAAATACTTATGTGTGTTAGTCTGTTTGTACTATTATAAAGGCTGAGTAATTTGTGAAGAAAAGAGGTTTATTTGGATAGTGGTTCTGCAGGCTGTACAAGAAGCATGGTATCAGCATCGGCTTCTGCAAGGGGACTTGGGCTGCTTCCACCCACAGTGGAAGGTGAAGGGGAGGAGAGATCACATGGCAAGAGCAGAATCGAGAGAGGAGGAGGGTGGTGCCACGCTCTTTTTAGCAATCAGTTCTGGAAACTAACAGAATGAAACTCACTCATTATCTTGAGGACAGCACCAAGCCTGTTCATGAGGGATCCTTCCCCATGGCCCAAACACCTCTCACCAGGCCCAACTCTAACACGGGATCAGATTTCAACATGAGACTTGGCAGGGACCAAACAAATCATATCCAAACCGCTGCATCGTAGGATATGTGAATCACTGAGGCTTTCGTTCATGTGTTATCATAGCAAATACTTTAAATCCTCATAACAACCCTGTTAAGTGCCATTATTAGTACCGTTTTTTTCCCCCAGATTTTGAAACTGAGGCTCAGTATTCCCACTTCGAAACACTCACTGGGCTAAGGTAAGAATACAAAGGGGAATCAGGCAGAAAAAAAAATCCTTTCCTCAAAGTATTCACAGCCCTCTTGAGGGAGAACAAAACTGAACAGCACTCGGGGAACACCGAGTGAAAAACTATGACCACTAAAAACTTGTTAACAGTTAGCATTTAATGAGTGCTTACGTCCAGGCTCTGTGCTAAGTGCTTTGAATGCATTATATTATTTAATCCTAATAACATTTCTATGAGGAAGACTCTATCATTATTCTCATTCTAAAAATGAATAAACTAAGCCTGAGACAGATGAACTGATTACTCTAGAGCTGATCAGCTAGGAGAGAGTGGAGCTATGATTCTAACTCAAATCTCTTTGACAGTAGATCTGTTGTTAATTACAAAGTTCACTGTAGAAGGTCCTATGGAATCAATGGTGAGGAGTATCTCAACCATCATCATATTCTAGCACATATGGTAAGTCATCTTTTAAAAAATTGATTGGCCAGGCACGGTGGCTCATGCCTGTAATCCTAGCACTTTCAGAGGCTGAGGCAGGTGGATCGCCTGAGCTCAGGAGTTCGAGACCAGCCTGGACAACATGGCAAAACTCTGTCTCTACAAAAAATAGAAAAATTAGCCAGGCATGGTGATATGTGCCTGTAGTTCCAGCTACTTGGGAGGCTGAGGTGAAAGGATTGCTTGAGCCTGGGAGGTTGAATCTGCAGTGGTCATGCCACTGAACTCCAGCCTGGGTGACAAAGTGAGATCCTGTCTCAAAAAAAATTGATTGAATTGAATATCCATTTTAACCCAATTGGGAAGGTGCATTATCAGCATACGTATAAAACTGCATAGACTTAAAATTTTACTTATAGATAATCACATCCTAGTAAGTGATCTAGCTGCATCTAGTTTGGTTACCCTTAATTTATGGTAACTTGGGGCCACTGGGCTCTCAAAAGAAGAGGTGCTATGGCAGGGACCACTTAATTTAAGTCACAAGAATGAAACTGACTCAGGAGTATCTGGAATTTAGATTCTAGGAGCTAGAATCTGGCCAGATTTTATGTAAAGTTTCAACTTTGGGTATGGTTTCCCCAAGATTAACAATCCTAAAGTTTGATCAACTGAAATTTGGTTACGTCTTCTGTGTTAATTTAAATGGGGACTCCAAATATACTAAATATATTTGGAGATGCTTCAAGAAACTGAAGGGTTTGGAAAGCCCAATTTCATACAGGAAGTTTTTAGCTCTGATATAGTTTGGATATTTGTGCCTACCCAAATCCCATGTTGAAATGTAATCCCTAGTGTTGGAGGCCCTGGTGGGAGGCGTTTGGGTTTTGAGGACACATCCCTCAATGGCTTGGTGCTGTCCTAGTTGATACTGAGTTCTCACGAGATCTGGCTGTTTAAAAGTGTGTGGCACCTCCTCTCCCTCTCTCTTGCTCCTGCTCTGGCCATGTGATGTGCCTGCTCCCTCTTCACCTTCCACCATGACTGTAAACTTCCTGAGGCCTCCCCAGAAGCAGATGCTAGCACAATGCTTCCTGTACAGCCTGTAGAAATACGAGCCAAACAAACCTCTTTTCTTAAATAAATTACACAGTCTTGAGTACTTCTTTATAGCAATGCAAGAACAGCCTAATATAAGCTCCTTAAACCAAAATCATAAATTAGTTTTGCATGTGATTATGGTGCTTGCATTTCCATTTCCTCTTTATTGAGTACAATCTTGGTATTTTAGAAAAAGGGGATTTTTTTTTTTTGCCACTCAATAATTGAGGAATGTTACTGTCTACTCTACTCTTGAAGAATGGAACACTTATTTACTAAGTCATACCTGTCTTTCTGTCTAATCTGCATATGCCAAAAAAATCATTTACCAGGCTCCTCCCACTACAGAAATGCAATCATTCCTACATGCCAACAGAAAGATGCGTAAATATGTGGTTAATGTTCAGCCAATAGACCACATAACAAAGGTAAAACAGGCCACCTTTACCTTTATAAGGTGCCAAGTCATAAATGATAGCCATCTCATGGCTGTATTGCTTCCTTTAAAAAAAAAAAAATAGTGGCCGGGTGTGGTGGCTCACGCCTGTAATCCCAGCACTTTGGGAGGCCAAGGCGGGCAGATCACACGGTCAGGAGTTTGAGACCAGCCTGGCCAATATGGTGAAACCCCGTCTCTACTAAAAATACAAAAAAAAAAAAAAAATCAGCTGGGCGTGGTGATGGGCACCTGTAGTCCCAGCTATTCGGCAGGCTGAGGTGGGAGAATCGCTTGAACCTAGGAGGCAGAGGTTGCAGTGAGCCGAGATCGCACCACTGCACTCCAGCCTGGGCAACAGAGCAAGACTCCATCTCAAAATAATAATAATAATAATAATAATAATACTGACTACACTTATCACAGAAGACACAGAAGTTATTCTACTGCCTCCCAGGCTTCCACATATGGTCGTGCCTTGCACAACTCTAGAGAATGCCTTTCACATGAACCACAATGTGAATGTGCAGAGCACAACCTGTACAACTGCACATAGCAGGCTGCTACCTCTCCATATCCTCCATTCTCCCAAACATCACGTAGGGTAGTTTTGAGTTTGCATACTGTAGAAGCCGTTGCTCACACAACATCCTGGCATCGAGCTTTGGCTCTGCTTAGCAGCACTGGGAAGGCCAAGAGATACATACTCACTTCTTAGCACTGCTTTTCTCTTGTCAGTTCTAAGAACATTCAACAACATTTTCATTCTTTGTTAGACATTAATGAAAACAATAAGCAAAGCTGGGTCAATAGTAATTGGTCTCATGTAGAAAATGACAGCTAGTCAATTATTTTTGATAAGCCCCTAGAAACAGCAAATAAAACATCTTTGCAATAACCCCTTGTCAATAGAATAGCCATAAATCTGAGTCTCAATACTCCAACTAATGCTCTAAGGAAAAAAATATTTTCTTTAAGCATAGTAACAGAAACATTTTGAAGAACGATGCCATCTTTCTCTCTCTAACTAGGAATGAACATTTTGATAATCTTGAAAGTTTCTTCTTGGCTTCACTGGGCAACAGGAACATTTTTAAATTGTGGTTTTGGTAGGCAGTAAATAAATGGATGTAAACATCACCTATTCAGAGATAGCCTTAGCAGGCAGAGAAAGGGGCACTCAAGTGATAGAATTTGAAGAGTGCTGAGAAGGCCACAGAACTAATAAATGCTATCATTTATGTTTCATTCCTTTGTATTAAGGGCACTGTGCAACCACCACCAACATCAACACACACACACACACACACACCCCTAGTTAACATAAAAATATTCCTTTTTTTTTTTTTTTTTTGAGACGGAGTCTCGCTCTGTCGCCCAGGTCGGACTGCGGACTGCAGTGGCGCAATCTCGGCTCACTGCAAGCTCCGCTTCCCGGGTTCACGCCATTCTCCTGCCTCAGCCTCCCGAGTAGCTGGGACTACAGGCGCCCGCCACCGCGCCCGGCTAATTTTTTGTATTTTTAGTAGAGACGGGGTTTCACCTTGTTAGCCAGGATGGTCTCGATCTCCTGACCTCATGATCCACCCGCCTCGGCCTCCCAAAGTGCTGGGATTACAGGCGTGAGCCACCGCGCCCGGCCAAAAATATTCCTAAGAGAGATAACACACTACGCCTTTTTGATTACTGGCAAATTTCCCTTCCCACAGATGGTGTCTGGAAAAATAAGAATACTTGGTTATCTTTACGTGGAGGAAGAATAGGGTCAAGTAACAGATTCAAAACCTTGCTCACAGAGTATTTTCTGGAAAGGGTGCAGTAAGGTGGTGGCATGGGGGAAGAGAGGGGACAGGAAGCAATAAGAACAGTTGAGATAATATTTTAAAGGCATAGGATACTGAGCACCTTGGGAGGAGGAAGAAGGGATGACAGATGAAGGGAAGGTTAAAGGGCAGGAAACCCAAACTGTGCGCACTTCACGGTTTTGACTAAAACTGTTCCTGATCCCATTTCACAGGGATTGACTCTGAAGAAATTTCCCATCATAGAATTAGGAAAGTAAGCTATTATTTGGTATGTGTTCCTGGAAGGCTCACATTAACTGACAGTAAGGTCCTGGGAATTTATACCAAATTGGTTCTCCAGCTGTTGGCATATCATGATGGTGGGTAGAAACAAACAGCTGCAACTCCCATCACCTCTCCTTTCCACCTGGCCCCATCACTGCTCAGCCCCATGCCTAATCTCTATGAATACCCAATGCTCACATGTCCCAGCAGCCTTGTCTGTCCTGAACTCAAGTGTAACTGACAGATTGGCTGTATTTCCCAATTTAACAGTATTTTTTCTTGGGAGTACAATTCTAAAGTTGTGGTGAAAATTTATGGAAAAATGTGTTACAATTTACCAACATGTGACTTTTTTGTTGTTGAAAACATTTCATTCATGATGCAAGGAGGTTTCTTATTCAAATATGAGTGTGAAACACAACTCTCAAAGTGTGAATAAAATGAAACTCATATGACAAGTGTTCATCCTGGATCTTCTTTCTGAATGTCACTTGCATTTAAATAGCTTATGGAAACATACCTAGTGTTTTACACAGATTACAAACTTGCCAGTGAGAAAAAGGATGTCCCTGTTCTTTCTTGCTGAATTTAAAATGTGAGGCATGCACTATAAACTTCCTCTTAGACACTCGTACTTTAAATGTGATATTGTTCTCTTTTTTTTTAATTTAGCATGTCCAGCTGTTGCCCTATTTACAAGTTCTGTTCCTTCAATAAAATGCAATTACAGTTATCTGTGGGATGTTCTTTTATTTGTATCCCACACAAAAATAAAGATATTTTAATATTTATGTTTTCTCCCTCTGTCATCAAAAATTCAAGCCTATCACTGCAACCATAGTTTCTAAAAGGGAATAACTAATTACATTGTGTGATTTTGGTACTGGGAAGCAACAAGAGTCCTTTTTTTACATATAAGCAACAAAACAATTTAACTAAGGTTATACTATTGCAGGTGGTATTTTGCCAAATAAATTACTTTTGCAATTTTTATAAAATAGATGCAAACAAAATATTGTGATTTCATATTGGAAAGTCACAGGCAATCCTCTCCATAGGGTACCTACTTCATAATGAGCTACGTATGTTCTTATTAAATGAAACGGGAGGAAAATAATGACAAGAGACATTTCACACAGGAAAATACACTGTTAGAAGGGGAAATCCATCTGGATTTTGGTTGCTGCAACAAAAATCTATACAAAGTTTGCTTACTTTAAAATGTATGGGTATATGTAAATCGGTTGATTTTGTTATCTCAGTAAAATAGAATATTTTCTAATCTTTTCCTACATGTGGTAATTGGTCAGCAACGAAGCTGATAGTTAACAAAAACCTGAAGCCCACATCCAATTAATGCACCATTTTGGCATTAAGTCTGAAGCACAATTAGGAGGGTCAGGCAATTCACTGTATTGTATACCAACAAGTTCAACCAAGCCACTTCATGTCGACCAAGAATGCTGGGCCTCACTGGTTTTAGTAGACAAAGCTACAGCGATGTCTGGAGGCATTTTCAAACAGCTTAAGTAGCTCTTTAAAGTAACTATTACTTGTCATGTAAATTTCTAGTTTTAAGCAGTAGCCAGCTACTGACATTACTATGGTATACAGACAATTTAAATATGAAAAATTGAAATAAAAATAGACCACAATATCTGGTATTTCCAGACACAATCATCTGAAGCTATTTTTCTGCCTTCCTCTATGTGAGCAATAAGGAGAGAAAGAAAATGATACTTAAATTGAGGGAAACTAAAGAGAAATGACCTCATGTTCCATTAGCCAAAATCAATACCTTATATATGCAAATGCAAGTTTCAACAGGGTATCCATATGCAAATTGTAAATGTGAAGCAGCATCCCTTTTAGTGCACAACTGAGCATTAGGTTGCTATTTATTTAGGGGATTTTCAGTAAATTGCGTGCTTTAATCTCTGTGTTATGGGAAATGGTCCCCTTCACCTCCTTCAGCAGTTACCTATGGCAGCTATTAATGCCTATAAGCAATGCAGTGACCCTGGCAGTACATAATTCCACAGTGAATATTTAATTTTGAAGGTGAAAAATGAGGTATACTCCCCTCATAACACTTCTTTTTATGACTCTCTTAATTCTTTGAAATTTATTATTTTTGCTAAAAGCACCCAGAAGGTAATTGAAATAGATTTTCCAGATACATTTCTAGATTATCTTAACCTACAGTAACATGTTAACTCATTCATAATATTCTTAGCAAATACAGGAAATACAGCTTCCCTGCTTAAAAACTATCCCAACTAACCTGATATTTTATGCTTCTTTAAGAAAAAACTAAAGTCATTTTCAAAGAACTTCTGGCTTTTTTCTTTTTTTTTGGAAGAGATCAAGCAATGCCCCCCAAACTTCTCTAGTCAATCATCAAGACTAGAAAAAAGGCATAGGTAAATAAGAGATGGAAGTGGCCCTATGGGACCAACCGTACAGAGAAAAGAACCAATTATTCTCTCTCAGGCTCCTAGCCCACCATTTAGCACCTGAATAAGATCATTTACAGCCAAGTGCAGTGGCTCACACCTGTAATCCCAGCACTTTGGGAGGCTGAGGCAGGTGGGTCATTTGAGGTCAGGAGTTCGAGACCAGCCTGGCCAACATGGTGAAACCCTGTCTCTATTAAAAATACAAAAATTAGCTGGGCATGGTGGTGCACGCCTGTAATCCCAGCTACTTGGGAGGCTGAGGCAGGAGAATCACTTGAACCCAGGTGGCGAAGGTTGCAGTGAGCCGAGATCATGCCACTGCACTCCAGCCTGGGTGACAGAGCCAGACTCTGTCTCAAAAAAAAAAAAATTGTTTATTCTAAGATTCCCTTGTGTCTTGAAATGGCTGAGTGGCTCCCAGGAAGAAGTTTGTTACCATCACTATCAGGTCTAGCAATGACTCTTCACTGAACTAGACATTGAATTATTGGGTTACTAGTCCCAGAAAATAAATGGCTGAAGAAGAATTGATAACAATTTTCAGAGCAAAGAGAGTATTTCCTAAAATTGCAACTGGGGAAATGAGAAAGACACATGAACAAGTCATCCGCTAGCAGAATCCAATGGGGCCTATGGAATCACAAGCAGAGCAGTCTTTGGCATCTATTCATCCCACCTAGATATGCAGCTGCTGGAGGGCAGGCTTCTATCTCAAAAATCCTCTCTATCCCCATAATATTGACACAAAAAGGAGACAGGGAAATACTGGGTCGGAGAGGCCGGTTCCCTGGCAAAGGCCCCATCTTCAAGCCTGAAGACCTGTGGCCCTGAATGGGGACAGGCATTCCTGTTTTTGTGCCCAAAAAGTTGCCTTTTGGCCCAGCATACCCCCGTCTTGTACCCATATAAACCCTGAACCCCAGGCTCCAGGAGCAGACAAGCAGACGAGGAGATGAGCTGAGGAGACAAGCAGATGAATGGCAGAATGGTGCGCAGAGAAAGAGAGAAGGGAAGGAACATCTAAACGCCAAGAGGAGTTCAGCTAGGGGCAGTGGGAGGGTAGTTTGGCCACTGGACAGCCAAACTCCAGGGAAGATCATCTTCCCACTCCATCCCCTTTCCAGCTCCCCGTCCATCCCACTGAGAGGCACCTCTACCACTCAATAAAACCCCATATTCACCCTTCAAGCCCATGTGTGACCCAATTCTTCTGGGATGCTAGGCAAAAGCTTGGGATACAAAAAGCTGTCACACTGGCCCTCTGTCTTTGCAAAAACGCGGAAGGTCCACTGAGCTGGTTAACACTTAAACCATCTGTGGATGGCAAGGTTAAAAGAACACTGTAACACTGAGGCTGCAGGCACCCACCCCTAGATACTACTATGGGGCCAGAGCCCAAAGCACTCACCCTAGCTCCTGCTCCTGCCTGTCTGCATGCTCCCCCTCCTGTCAGGGGTTTGAGCAGTGGTGAGCCAAACCACTGTCACAGGTCCTGTGAGGGGGATCAGGGAACTCTTCCATTTCATCAGCAGAGCTCAAATAATACTTGTGGAATCAATGCAGAAAATGGTAGACAATAGGCTACATTCACTTGTTCATTCAGTTAAAATAAGTTGTTACTATGGGCAAGGCACTGGAACAAAAGCTGCAGGAAAGAGGATATCTCCCCTCAAGGAGCTCACAGTCTACTTGGGGAGATAAGGCATGCTTGCAATTAGCTGCTAAAATACAAGATAACAACAACAAATACAAGATAATACTAAGTAATAGGCTCATTTAAAGGGGTACAGGTAAAGTCTAGAGCAAGGGAGGATGACTTCCATCCAGAAGAAAAGGATAAGACCTCATGATAATGTGCCATTTGAAAAGGGTATCCTCCCCTGGGCCCTTTCCAGAGTCCCTCAAGTCAACCCTCACTTTCTCCTCAATGGGCGGGCCTCCTCCCTCCCTTCCTCTGCTGATAACACTTATTCTTTGACTCTGCTTTCTCTTGGGCCACTGCCAAGTGGAACACAGCTATATAGTTTCCCCTCCTCCCCATCTGTATCTACTTAAGCCCAGAAACCCTTTTGAGGTTTTGTAAGGGGTTTTAGGGCTAATAACTAAAAGGGAACAGACAAGGTTTAATAACACACAGAGAGAAGTGGTAAGAAACTGAAAAAGTCTCTAGAAACAGCTCTCACAGATTTTCAGTGGAATGAAGATGAAATTAGGCCTGATATTCCTTTTTCTTTCCCTGAGCTCAAGTCTTCCTCCAGTATTCAGCAGTACCTACTTTTCTTTCTTTCCTTGTTCCCATCCTTTTCTTTCATGCACTTAAAACTTGTAGAGGAAAAGTTACCATAGGAAACTGGGTGTCTCTAGAGGTAAACATGACAGCACTCTACACTTCAGAAAATATAGACTACATTTAATATCTTCTTATGTTGCTCACAAAAAGAGTCATCTTAGATCAGATACATGGCGCCTAGGAAGAACACAGGGGTTTTGGACATAATACTTGCAAAATCAACCCTAGTAAGTAATAGCAAATATCACAAGTACAACTTCACCGAAAGCGCACCCAGAATCTAGTGCTAACAGATACTTTCCTGTATCTTTCTTTAGCATCTACATTAAGTCACACACCTGTTGGGGTTCAGTGAGCACAAGCAACTATAAGCATGATGAGGAAGGACTACTGACACAAACCATGGCAACACGAACATATTTCAAGCTTGAGTGGCATAGCCTGCTTTAACAATGAGCACAGAATAGTAACATGAAATTTCCAAGGATGGGAAAGGAGGGTAACTTTTTTTATTTTGCTTCTAAGAGTACTGGGTGGCCGGGCATGGTGGCTTACACCTGTAATCCCAGCACTTTGGGAGGCCGAGGCCGGCACATCACGAGGTCAGGAGATCAAGACAGAGACCATCCTGGCTAACACGGTGAAACCCCGTCTCTACTAAAAATACAAAAAAAATTAGCCGGGCGCGGTGGTGGGCGCCTGTAGTCCCAGCTACTTGGGAGGCTGAGGCAGGAGAATGGCATGAACCCAGGAGGCAGAGCTTGCAGTGAGCCGAGATCACGCCTCTGCACTCCAGCCTAGGCGATAGAGCGAGAGTCCGTCTCAAAAAAATAAATAAATAAATAAAAGAGTACCGGGCAACTACAGAAATCACCACTTTATGTTTCATATGGCTTCAATGAATTCTCACACACAAGAATTCAACTCTGATTTTTTAGTGATGATGTACCAACCATCACTCTAACAGCAATAAGATAGGGGGTGGAGTGAATCTTTTGTTGCTGTTGTTAATCAAGACATATTTGGAAGGAAATTGAGCTTATTTGCTGCAAAGGGAATGAATGGTCAAAAAATTGATGATTTAAATTATCACTTTTCTTATTCCAAATATTCAATGCTCTCATTAGTCTCCTAAAGTTCTTCACTGTGTGTCTTTATTCTCAAGCTGACAAATACCAAATCATGTACTTTCTCTGCTCCCATTCCCAATTTCATGACTTTTTTCTTTAGTAAGTGCCAACTGTTACTGGAGAAAGTAACGTAATTTTGCCATTTTGATGGTATAAACTTACAGTATAGCTTAACTTTAGCTGAGCCCTGGTTATTGTTTAACAAGCCTTTTTATTTATACTTTGCTGACTACTTGTCATTTCCCAGGGCAGCCAATCTAAACCTTTCCTACTTTCCATTTGTCCCACATTTCCTAAGTCCTAAACCCAATCCTGTCCTTTTCACTCTTAGCGAATGATATTTCTCTGATAAAATGAGGATCTTAAACATGATTTCCTATGATGTCCTGCCTCTTTCTCTTCACTTGATCTCTCCTTCCTTCCTGTCTCAAATTACCACACTCTTCTCCACTCTACCCCCAAATATATTAAAAGAGGAATCAACATCCTCTTCCTCAACTCCAATCAATGTGACTTTCATACCCATCTCTCTAATGAAATTTGGTACTCAAATGTCACCAATGACTTTTAGAGTTGCTAAATGGGATGGTCACGTCTAACCTCCATCCTTTTCCACCCCTATGGAGTATTTTACACTGCTTCTTCTTCAATCTCTCTGCCTTCCACATGAACATACCCTCAAGGCTTTCATTCTCATGCTCTATTTCTTTGCTGGGTCTTTTTTCTAAAATATCTTCTTTGGTAAATTTTCCTGCTTTCATGATTTCCATTATGATGAGTTATGTGGATAATTCCTGGATTTCTCTATAAGTCTCAATCTCTCTCCAGAGCTGTAGGCCTGTATTTCTGACTCCCTCTTGGACAGCTCCCCGTAAGCAGGTCACCTGTATTACAAACTCAACATGACCAAAATCCAATTCATTTTGCCTCTTGTAGTGATCATCCCACAATCCTTATTGCTTCAACCAACTTCCTTATTTCTACTCCTGACATCACTCTGCTCCTTCCCAGTTACTAACAGCTCTGAAAGTAAAAAATATTTCCTTCCTTCCTCTTGCTCATCCCCATCCATATAGTCACAAATTCTATCAGTTCTCTTTTCCTCAATGTTTCTTACATCGACCTCTAGCTTTTCCCTATCTCCACTGCTACAGCCCTAGTTAAGATCTTCATGCCTTACCTTCTATGTGAGAGACATCATGCTCAGTGCTTTACATAATGTATCTCACATAGCAGGTACACAATAAATATTTGTTCATTATACTATCCTTTTCCTACAAATGATGCTAGACAGATATTTTCAACCATCACCACAAACTGGTACCCCCAAAAGAATTTCCCTTTAAAAATGTAAAAGCCATTATTTAAAAATACCAGGCAAGAGATGATACACTTTAAACCACATACAAAGTAGGATGGAAGAAGTGATTAGGTGATATATAGTGGAAGTTCATCATCCTCAAGTAGTGCAACTGTACAGTACATGATAAGTAGAATCCTACCGCCTCACATTCAGAAAGAAAACTATATGATAGTGAAAATGGTGCCAACACATTTAGTTCCTTCCAAAGGGATCCACAAGGATGAAAAGTAAGACATAAGACATAAGGATAGCTATTAAACTGGCTTCCAGCTTGCTTAATGCCCAAGAAACTTAAAGATGATGGCAGGTAACCACAGCCACCCTCCCCACCTTTTTAAGAGATAGGGTGTCCCTCTGTCACTCAAGCTGGAGTAGAGTGGCACAATCATAGCTCACTGCAGCCTTGAACTCCTGGGCTCAAGCGATCCTCCCACCTCAGCCTCCCAAGTAGCTAGGACTATAGGCATGCACCACCACATCCAGCACCAGTTACCTTTTATGTTAAATGTCTTTGGGCACATCATAACAACATTTTTCCTCAAAGGATTTTAAGGAACATGACAGGAAGAAAAAGTTCAATTTTTTATTTCAAGTACTCATAAACCCCATGTATTTTTTTTTTCTCTGAGGTTCGGGCTTTCTACCTTGGTATATAAATGTCAAGGGGATGTTAAAAGATGCAAATAAAACTTCTTGTAGAAGAAAGCTGGTTATATGCTTACCTGCCTGACTAGCCCTGTAAGCATCTTGATGTCACTAAAACATTTAATATTATTTAAAGACACATTCCTGTTTTTGTAAGTGTAACTTACGGTCCTGTGGAGCTCAAACTGTTCATGCAACAAACAGTGCTGGAGCTTGGGTAAGGGAGAAAGCAACTCAAATAATAAAATGATTTTTCCTTCCACCCAACCATCTTTTTCTCACCCCCATATTGCTTTGGGCCTTTGGTGGAACCTTGAGAGGGATGGGGATGGAGGGAAAACAGAGATGACAGGAAAGGAGGAAGGAAGGAACATACAGATATTGTTTCTAAAAGTTTTCACAATTACTTAGACTGAACATTTGTCTACTGGCTTCAAAGTCTACCTCTTTTTTTCCCTTTAGTTGTATTTTTCTATATGGGCTGAAGAAGCTCCTGATGCCACTGATTCCTGCAGTCTCAGGCAGGACCAGCACCAATGCTAGAAGAAACATGTCTGACCTAAATGACCTGGGGTTAGGACATTTATTACTATGCTGTCTCATTTTGTGTCCCCAAACCACAGATGTTAAAACCATCTCTTCTGAATGATGGCTGCCTCCCTCACTTAGTGGCAAGTGCCAAGATGGCTAACATGTTTAAAAGGCACCTACAAAGAAAGCTTAAAAGTCTTTCCTTTCCCTTATATTTCCTGGTACAGACCGTTTTCCTGAAATAGGGGCTATGCAGTGCCTAATAAAAGGCCGAATTTACTAAGAAGTTTTTATACCCTCATAAAGTAGCCCTAGTGAAAGTCATCTAACTGGCAGGAACTGTACAGGTAACAGACGGCTAAGACCTCTACCACACAGTCTTCTAAACTCTGGTTAATGGGCCCTAGAAGGCTGCCATCCCAGAAGTTTACTACAAAAGTTAAACTCAAGGCAAATGAATTAAAAATGGTGCCAGGCATAAACATTATCCTTCGGCATTCTTTTGCCAATGAACGATTATCACAGACAACTCTGCAGGTTTCCAGGCAGGCCAGCCAATGAAAAATGCAGAGTACTATGCCAGTCCCAATATATATATTCCACATCCCCCAAGCCCCAAGAATGTTGCTGAGATGTAAATAATCCACAAATTATTGAAATAAACAAAGTGGTGTCCAGGAGTTTAAGCAAGGTACTTTTCCTCCTGGGTTACAACATACTATTCTAGGCCCCATGGGTGATGAGACAGAACAAAGCTTGAGAAAGTTAGCTGTTATCTTCTTGGGGGTGGAAATACTATCTATATAAGGGCATATTACAGAGCTCAGACACTCCAGGTTAAACAGAGGAAGTTTGAAAAGGGATGCAATCAGTTTGCCGAATAAGAATGGATATTGGCAGGGTGAACTGAATTTATTCACCAAATCCTAATACAGTAAAGATAAGGACTTCTTAAAACTAAACAAAGATAAGCTTAAAACAGATTAAAATGGGTAGTGGTATGGGAAACAGCTGGTTTAAATATATGGAACTCTATATTACTCAAAACAAGAGGTGCTAATAGTTGAAAATACACAGTTTCACCAAAACAGGGTTCAATGTGATGATAAGATTTAAATCTATGATGGCTTATTGAATGGGAACAATTTCAAACCATATTCTGCTCTTCAGGAGTAGATTACTGGAAATCACAGAAACAATACAGTTCTAATTATGGTACCCACGAAGAGTTCCCAAGAGCTCCCAAGGTTTATCTGGGATCCAACTTGCACCAAAAAAAATCACCAAATCCTATCTTCCTTCTTGTAAGTCTAAGTCAGTTAAGGGAAAAGATTATTCTCACCTGCTTTAACTTTACAATTCTCCCATTCCGTGTTCTTTAGCCACCTGGTCTCCCAAACATTTTGCAGTTCCATTTTGGAAATGCATAAACCATCTCATTTCTTTATCTCAGATAAAGTATTTTTCTCATTTTGTGTGAACTTTTCTGTTTGGTTTGACCAATAATTTCTTTAGCATTAACTGTGATGTTATCTTGGTTTTACTTCACCTCCTTTATTTCATGTAATCTTTAAAGATTTGTCTATGTCACTGATCCCCAATCCTTCCATTTTATGCACATATATATATTTTTGCTATAGTTTCCTGTACACAACCATCCTACTTTTCCTTTTTAAGTCCTTTGACCATGATGATCCCTTCCATATTTATTGAGGACAAGCTAAGAAGAAACAGCTGTAAGCCACAGAATAAAATATTTCAGTTACACATGTCAGTAGCACTTAGGATGATGCTATGTCAGTAATAGGTTGGACAACAGACGATGTTTTTACTCTCCCCAGCATGCAGCAGGTTGCAGGAAATTGGGCCAGCCTCTCAGCAGCTCAAGTCAGACCTTTATGTATGACTTCATTATTTAGTTTGAAAGTGAATTTCTAAAAAACAGACTCACCCATAGTCAAATGTAAATATAAACAGGCTTTCCAACTCACATATAAATGAGTTATTCATCATCTTCCATTTGCAATTGCCTATACTTCTGGTTCTCTGCCATTAATTCAAAGCATCACAAAATTCACCTTAGAATATTGATTTAGAAGGTAAAGTTTTAGGGTCTTGCTTTTAAAAGAACATGACAGATGAAGGTGGTGGCCAAGACAGAAAAAGAGAAAACAAGATAATGTGTCAAGGACAGATTCTGGGCTATCACTGGCTAGTGGAGTGTCTCATATGAAGGGCTCATACATGAGATCATTTGATCAATGACTTTTACTTCCAAACATCTAGAAATGCACACTACATCATTTAACTAGAGAGTAGTGAGTTTGAAATCACAAAGCTGGTTAGCTTGATCCAACAAGATCTGAATCACTCTGGCAAAATTTTCTAATCTTAGTGTCTCATTTCCAACTGGCATCACTGGGTGGCCCACATGATATACACAGAGACGAAAGAGGAGGCAGTTTAAATTGGACACCCTGAAGGGTTATTTTACAATGCCACATGTTGTACAAATTAATTTGAGATTTTGTTTCTTGGGTGTTGCTTTAAATTGGACACATTTTTAAATTTATTCATATTTATTTAGTTCTAGGCAGACAGCCCTAGAACACAGCTGGCAAATGGAAATGAGAGTATTGTATCCCCCGCCTGCCTTTTCAACTTTCTCTTCCACTATACTATTTCCTTTAAGGAATCTTTTTATTCCAGCTCAAATAGTTTTTTGGCATTCACCAAGCTCATTTTTCCTGTCTTTAAGATTTTGCTTAGACTATTATATCTACTTACAATGGATATCCCAGTCTCTCATATTCTTTTATCAATAGCCTCCCCACCATCCAGGCTCAGCTCAAAAAGGGATAGTATGTTCATGGTTTCTTTGTCACTCAGCCTATACACTCCCTTGTGAGTAGAAATTGGATCTTATATATTAGCCCCACAGTACCTAACATAGTGCATGGTACTCTGTAGATGCTCAATAAATACCTGTGGATTGATGGAACCCATCAATCATCTGTTTCAAGATGCCTACCATAACATGAACATTCTTGAGAATCTAATTTCAGCAGATGCACTCATTCAAAATATAGTCCCTGCTGTCTGAAAACAGTTAAGCAATAAGAACTTACACTATTATCACTATTTGATTTCAGTATAAGTGCCTTGATTAAAAAAAATTGTCATTTCCTGAAACACTGAAAAACTGATTCATTTAGAAATATTATTAGACTATTTAGATCTTTATTACTAAAGCCATTGAGATTTACCATCTAACCCAAAGGTTGTTCAATCAACAAAAAACAACTGAAGTGAGGAACTTTAACACCACATTTTAGGCAATTACTGTAACATGATCATAATTCTTATGCAACTTTAATTTTTGTCAAACACAACAAAATTCATATTACATAGACTCCTATTTCATTAAGATAATATGATTTGAAATAACAATGGCATTGGCCTAAAACAGAATACGGACGCTGTTAACACTTGAAGGGCTTTCTTTTTCCCAAAGGCATATCAGGATACAATAAGAAGGCTTCCAGCAATGCACTCCTAACCCCAGAAGTAATGGTACCTATTAAACACTTAGGAGGGTTCCCAGGGTAAGGTGATACTAAAGAAAGCACAGCCTCAAATAAGATAAAGTGTTATCTTGGCTTTCAGAATCTGAATGTTTTAATTCCAATTTATGTCCTATCTACCTGGGAATCAAGGGCAAAACAATGTTATCACATTTATTCTCTAAGGCAAAGAGCAAGAGGCCTTTAGCAGAGTCCAGACAGGGCTCCCTGGTGACCTGGAAGTTGTGAATGGGCTATCCTCAGACAAAAAAGGCCAAGATGCCCAGTTATTCTAAGAATTAAGTAAGTGCTATGTGAAAGAAATGAAAACTACTAATGTGGTTAGTCCTTTTGACAGTATTGTTTTGTTTTTGTTTGGGGACATGGGGTAGATGTTTGTTTTACTTCCCACACTTGGTTTGATTATGTTTCATTGGAGGAAATCACCCTTAATTGTTATATCCCATCTCATTCTGGAGTCTTGACATTAAAACTATATTTTTACCTTCATCTTCTTCCAAAAAATGAGAGTCAACAAAAGTTTCAGTCCATTTTGTAGACATTAAGGGTTACTTATGATGGTTTGAGAGCAATTTAATCCTGACAGAACTAATCTTTTCAATGTCTTGATGCTGAACTGGAAAGACTATTACTTAATAAGGAATAATACTGTAAACCAGATTTGGTGACCAAAAAGCTACAACAAAATCACTTTAGGCTATTATTTCTCAGTTAAACATAACCTCTATAGTGGATATTTTAGATGTGAGTCAGAAAACATATTGAAGATATAAAAGAATGCCTTTGGGAAGTGAGTCCTCACTATATATCAAATTCTACACATTAGAGTTTGTAATAATAATAATAGAGGTAAATTTATTTTAAGGCCATGGTTGCATTAAGTTTTCCCTCACAGTTAAATCACTATAGATCTGTCACCAAGTTTTACTACAACAGTGGTAAAGTGGAAAGAATATAGAACTGGCTCAGAAAACCAAAGGATAAGTAATATCATCATGTGACCTTAGACAAGTCTTGAATCTCTCTACACCTAAACCCTTGCATCTATAAAACAAGGATAATGCCAACCATTCTCTTCTCACACCCTGCTATTGGGACTAAACAGAAACACTTCTCAAAGTGCAATTTGGAAATGCATCAAAGAATTTTTACAACTTTATACATGTTTCTGTGGCCTAGTAGTGCTGAAATTCTAAGAATTTATTCTAATAAAAGAATCAGAAATGCACCCAAATATTTATGCACCAGAATGTTAATTATAGCATGAGCTCTAATTGCAAAAGTCAGAAACAATCTAAGATGATTAACTCAAAACAAATTACTCTATATTCATGTAACGAAGGCTATACAGCCATAAAAAAATAGGTTTTATAAAAAATTTACTGAACTAGAATGTTCACAATAAATAGTGTTGACAGTAAATAGTGGGAAAAGCGAGTTTCAAAGCAGTACATATTACATAATGCAGACTATAATACATACACAAACACACACAGAAAAAAAGACTGGAGAGAAATACACCAACATATTAACCATTGAACCACTGTTATCTTTGGGGAGAATTATGAGTGACTTTTATGTTTTTTTTTAATATTCTGCATTTTCAAATTTTCTTTTAAAGCATATATTGAATTTAAAATCAGAAAAAAAGAATTTTAACTTACTTTTTTTCTCTATTTTGAAAATTATATGAGATATTTGGAAATGTATATTTGTAAACGCTGAGATAATATTACAAGAGTTAAGATCATACTATCTTTGAGGCCGGGCGCGGTGGCTCACGCCTGTAATCCCAGCACTTTGGGAGGCTGAGGCGGGTGGATTACCTGAGGTCAGGAGGTCAAGACCAGCCTGGCCAACGTGGTGAAACTCTGTCTCTACAAAAATACAAAAATTAGCCAGGCATGGTGGCAGATGCCTGTAATCCCAACTACTTGGGAGGCCGAGGCAGGAGAATTGCTTGAACCTGGGAAACGGAGGTTGTAGTGAGCTGAGATCACGCCATTGCACTCCAGCCTGGGCGACAAGAGTGAGACTCTGTCTCAAAAAAAAAAAATCATATTATCTTTGTTAGAGAGGTCCAAATTCTCACTGTCACTAGACAAAAATTAAATAATCCAAGTGTGGAGCAAAGACCAAAAAATGTGTTTCTGAAAAGAACTGTGCTGAATTAGTTTGATTCTTTTGGCCTTAATTGACTTTTCCACACCCAAAACGTGCTTCTGCTGTTTTTGTCTTTTTTGTTTTTTTACATACACTTCAGTAACTGATAGTAGGGGTCAGAGCCTGCTGCAAACTTCTTAGCTGTTTCAGCTGCACCACATCTTGGTTTTAAAAGGTGAGAAAGGATGTGCCACTATTCTGCCCAGTTAGATACACAGCTAAAATGTCCAGTTGTCTTGGGAGTCAAATAAGGGCTAAAAGAAAAGCCAGGAAGACATGGTCAAGTCAAAAAGCATCTGTTTAGTAAGTATAATAAATGAGGACGCAGCACATGTATCTATCTCTCTCATCCTTGGCAAGGCTTCCAGTTCATCAAACAAGCTTGGAATTTATAAACTGCTAAAGAAGAGAGTAATGCTGGAAAACTGTACAAGTCGAATGTCTGCTTGGGAAAATACAGGAACATGGTGGCATATAAGACAAATATAGGGAATCGAGATATAAAACACAGAATGTTAAAATGTGTTTGCTGGATTACTGTGGCTTTGTTGGACTACATCAGCCTCAGAGAGAAAGTGTCATAGTACATCCAGGGAGAGATTTTTAAAACTGAGGAAACCAGGGTATACCAGTAAATTATTTACATAGGGTTAAGTCCCTTGCCTCCCCACCACCTCCGTAACCTGGGAGATAACAAAATTTACCCAAATTTCCATCCTAAGCTTTTAAGGTTTCATTCCATGTATAGAGTCCAGGTTTCCACAGAGCGCAGTTAGGGTGCTTGATGTTACCTAACATACTCCATGTGCAAAACTCAAACAACCCAGTGACTAACTCTGTAACATCTAAATGCAAATTCTAAAATTAGTGATATTGAGAGGTGTGTCTGTCAAATGCTCAACTAAGAAAGTTGATGAATGGAAATGATAGGGACAATCCAATCAGTATATACCAAAAAAACAAGAATGCAATCCTTGGCTGGGTGTGGTGGCTCACACCTGTAATCCCAGCACTTAAGAAGGCTGAGGCAAGCAGATCACTTGAGGTAAGGAGTTCAAGACCAGCCTTGGCCAACATGGTGAAACCCCATCTCTACTAAAAATACAAAAATTAGCCAGGCATGGTGGTGGGTGCCTGTAATCCCAGCTACTCAGGAGGCTGAGGCAGGAGAATCATTTGAACCCAGGAGGTGGAGGCTGCAGTGAGCTGAGATTGTGCCACTGCACTACAGCCTGGGCAACAGAGTGAGACTCCATCTCAAAAAAAAAAAAAAGATGCAATTCTTATTAAAACCCTTATTAGTTTTTGAATCAGCTATTGCTACCTTGCTTCACTGAAAGGCTTTTTCTTTTTACATAGTTTAAACTGTTTAAAAGACATCATCAACCATTTCCTTTTAAGAGGATTTTTCTATACAACCCCCTAAAACTGAATATAATGGGAAGGCAGAAAACAGAAGTCCACTAGGAGACAGCACTGTAAAAGGAAGACAAAAATCCAGTGATTCTTGTATCCCAATGTTTATGGCTACCTATCTGAGAGAGAAAAAATAAACACAACTTTTATGAGCACAGTAGCTGACTTTGAGGTAAATGGTAATCCAACCCTCATGTGATAAAAAATCAGGTCAAGTCCTCGTGGAGAAATTAGATATCCTGAAGGAAGCCAGCAGTGAATGATCTCTTATACTTAACAGATGCTATTAAATAATTTTTCACTCACTCAACCTCAACAACATTCACTTGAACTTTCATCAACCTATTAATATGAGTTGAAAGCGAAACACTGATGTTGCTATATGACCGCAGCTACTGCCTCAGAAATGTGAACCTACCCTGGCAAGTTACCAAACACAATGGGCCACATATTCTCTCCTACCGTTTCATAGTAAAGATCAAAGATCTAGAGGCAGCATCTTATTGTTTTCAGCTACATACACTGAAGAGATTACAACCACCACTTTGCCTATTTGAATACTGATTTTTAAAAAGACCATTCCACATTGATGTTTGTCTTGCCCACCTATTTAGCTTTGCTCATTCAATCTTCTATTTGATAACAAGGAAAAAAATCATATAATGTGATCCACCACGGTAAAAGACTGGTTGTTTCTCCAGGAAATTGTGAATGAGATTTATCCAAAGATCAGGAAAAAAGTCAGAAAGACAATAAAAATAACACAAATTGTAACAACAGGAATGTGTTTCAGCTTTTAAAATCACTGACCATAATGCTGAAATGAAGTTATTTAAAATAAGATGAGGCAGTAGTCTTCAAAACATCATCCTAAACTACAAAGCCTATTCTAAGATTTACCAAATAATAATAATAATAATATCAGCTTTCCAGCTCTGTATATCTTTAATTGGTCTATATTGCTATCTTCTAAACATAGCCAGTTGTTTAGAAAAACCCAGCAAAGTTACTTGTTTACAGCAAGTAACATGCTTTTTAAAGTAATTAACCAATTTGCAATCATTTGAGAACCTCTCTGCCCTGAGATATTTCCAGAAAGCCAAGTTTGTTAATCATTTGGTCATGCTGCAATTCAATATCAGCAGTGGAATGAAGCCTTAAACCCCTCCAAATTCTAAAATACCTTCCTGAATCCCTCATGGTATTGCAAAGGGCTTTTCCTGCTCTCACTGCGTACCCACAATCCTCATCAGTATTATGTGCACATGCACCATTTGTCGCTGACACTCATCTAGAGACACAGACAGACATGGTCCACTGGAAGACCGATTTCCAGAGAGGAGAGATACTTTAAATGAGAAAAAAATCCACCCTGCGTGCTCTAATTGACTGAGTACTGTACACAATTTGAAGGGGTGTGGGGGGAGGCAGCAAATGGATTTCAATTTACAAAGTAAAAATTAATACATGTGGCGTTTTATGTTCAAATTTAAATCATTTTCATTAAATTTAATTTACCTAATTGTTAATGAATTAGCAAACGCATTTATCAACCAAATCACCTACTAATTGGATACTAATGAAAACTACTTAGCAGTTTGTCTTCATGTTGATCATCATGTATGTTTCACCTTGGTGAACTACACCCCACACTTTTGGTTGGTGAAAACATGCTTTTTATTTGTCACTCTGTTACCTGAATTCTTAAAGGGTGAAGTGAAGAACTAAGTCCTTTTTTTCCCTCCCTCTAGGGTCAGGGACAATATGCTGTAAACTCTAAAGCAGCACAAAACATTTTTGTCAAAGAGCAAGGAGATCACTGAGCTCCAACAAACCAGAACTGCACAAACTTCACATGCCACTGTTTACTGACATACTAGTAAAAAACTCTTCCCCAAGTTGCTAGCTGAGGCTTCTAAAGATCTGCTGGTTTTCAATATAAAGGATGAAACAGGCTAGAAAATCTGGAGATGCTTTAGAAAGGTCTTCACAGAAGGCCAGAAGGGCCCTTCGCGCCGTGCCTCCTGCTCCCACCCTTATCCCTCCTTTTCCGTTGCTTCAAGGCAGAGGGATGTAGCCAGAGGCAGGACTTCTTCCTGTGGAATGTATGGCTAATTATGTGTGAGTCCTTAAAGCACTCTGGGCTCCTTTAGTCGGAGGACCAAGGCTTCAAATGAGGGTCTTCCCCTCCCCCACAATGATTCCAGCGATAACAATCTTGCAATCCATTCTCTTTCCTCTATAAACACAACCTAGTGACCTGCTTCCTTTTGTAACCAGTGCCAGACCCTGAGTCGATTTTCATCTGCCACCTTTCCTAATCTCTAGCTTGACCTGAGTAGAAACTCTTTAAATCTGGACCCTGACTAAAATTGTTTCTAGGTGCTGCTGAGCAAATGGCCCTTAGGTCCTGCTTGAATTTGCCTATTTTTGCTCCTGAAAGACACTGGACCATGGATATGCTCTTTAGAAATAACCGTTTAGATGTATCATTGTTCTTTCCCCCTAAAATGAAAAACACACAATTTTGGCTTGATTTCTATTTAAATGGCCACCAGATATTTTCTACAGTTTGTGTGTGTGTGTGTGTGTGTGTGGCTTAACCTTGAGTTGAATTAACAAGGAATTGCCCTTGTGGTACCAGTCACAGAGAGTTTACTGGAAACTTGAAGCATGCCCTTGCAACTGTGCCCCAAATCGAGAGAAAAGTTACTCACCAACTCTATGCCTACAGGGAATTTAAAATCTGGCTCTGCCATTAACTTGTGCTGTGACTTTGAACAACTTCTGCAAAGAGGAAGGGAACGATGCAGAGAAAATGGAAAGATATCCTGGTCAGAGGCAGGAGGCACGGTGGAGGAAGATCTATCCAATCCCTTGAGAATCTTATTTCCAATCTGACTCTCAGTAGGTCAGAGAATTCCAAATAAATTGGCCCACAGCTGCTCCCACTTTCCCTTCCCCAGATGGCCTAAGGTCATATCCATCTTGTGCTCAAATAGGCCCTGCAGCCCCGGCAAAATACTTCAAACTGAGCATCATTTACTTAAAGATAGATTCTGAACTTTGCCCCAAATGCCTTCACAGTCCTCCACTCTATATTTAGAAATATATTTGTGTGTGTGTGTGTGTGAATGCTTATATGTGTATATAGAGCTTTTCCCTAACCACCTTTTTAACAAATTAAAAAACCTGCAAAAGGTTAAAAATACCTTTATTCTTACTATGCCTTTATTCTGGGCCTTTCAATACTTATAGATTCTGCTTCTATTGCTTTCCAATACAAGTACAGCAGAAGGTTAGAGGTATTTACTCAGAAACACCACTGCTCTGGAATCAGCAAAATAGCCCCCTTTGTACAATTTTTTCTATACCTTTTCTGTGAGCATTTACAGTTCCCAGCTTAGCATGGCCAAACCAAAATTCTGTAGGCTTTGTAGTAGACATTTAAATAAGATTCTTAATACAACATAGTCATTTTTGCCATCCTGCCATTAAATAGAATTTTATTTGCAATATATACTGAATGCATATGGACTAAAGGACACAGAATAAAGTAGGGGAATTTAAAGTCAAGTTTTATAGAATATGGGAACTTAAGTTGAAGGATAACAGCAAGAAAGAAGGCAATTAAGCTGAAGAAATCCTTTAAGCAACTCTATTGGGGTAGAAATTAAAAGCAGACCAGGATATGTTCTAGAATCTAGACACTCAAATTCTGAATACTATCAAGTCTACTTTAAAGTACTCATTACTGATATTCTTTCCCCAGTACTCTACCCTTCTTTTATTTGTGTTCAGTTTTAGCTTTCATTACTTAATTCCATTTGTCCAGAAGAAATGTTATTCTTCAACACTGCAACCGTAATATACTAACTGCTTTAGATATGTGTTGCATGAATTGTTAAATCCCTTTAAACTATTAAAGTAAAGCTGTCTTCTTTTTTCTGGCTCGTTGTCAAAGATATGTTGAATGGTCTTTGAAATTTCTTTAATTATTTAGTTCCTGAAATTATATTATATAATCCTTATGCAATTATTAACATGTGGCTTTCAACAGTAATTAGTGAGCTTTTATAATGGTTATGATGGCTCATTCATAGATGAAGTTTATTAAGTCTATAGTCCAGAGCTCATTGAGATCCCAGAGTCAAGAAAAGTTTCTAAGGGTGATCATCTAAAGGATGAGAGAGAGACAAAGAGAACCAAATTTCAAAGTTTCATGAGCAAAAGATGTGCAGCCACTTAACTGCGTTTACCAATTGCCCTAAGAAATTTTCATTTTGGTGAGTCAAGAATTCTCCGTTATGATTATCTATCAGTTTTCTGTGAACAAGTCGTCTCTACTTCCAGAGTCTCATTCCTCCAGACTGCAACAAGCCCCTGGGCCTTCAAGAGATTTATCAAATTGCAAGAAAAAGATAGCTAGCTCAAATATTGGATGTCTCCTTACCCAGTCATCAAAGCCAAGTCTAGCTTTAGGTGGTAATATTAACTTGTCATTGAATTAATATGATGTACAAGCAGTATACTAGAAGCTTTGCACATACTAATCTTATGTAATACTCATAGCAACCGTTTGAGATAGTTATTACTCCTTCTACTATACATACTAGGAAATTAGGACACTGAGATTAAGTAACTTGCCCCAAATCACAAGCTGTAGAGCCCTAGTTTCAATGTTGTAATTGTGTATCTGTAGAGAGAACTTCAGGAATATTAACAGACCAGAATTTTCCTGAATGAAAATGATGTTATTTGTATTTAAACATACAAACGTCAAAGCTAGCATCTGGCATTCACTTGACAGTCCAATCAATGTTCAACATAAAACATACTACCAGAAAATTCACCAGAAAGTCTACCAGATATGAACTATTGATTGATTATGTTAAATTAGGAAAGTCACACGACTAATCACAAAGTCAAAACCTTGTTCAAACCTACATTGACTAATCTCTGGTATTTTTTGTTTACTCTCAAAACATTAGTCCACCACTCTTGACTATTGCACATTGGTCCTATTGTCAAACATTAACTAGACATTTTGGATACAAATATTTCTCCTTTGTCTATCAAGATGACATTATGACCATGGCACTAAATATTTTGCTCTTGCAAACACATGTCATTTAACCTAATTTCAAAAGATCCCCCTCTCCAAGACATTTGGCTCCATATCACCTATCTATCACTATTGGTCAGCTACTTTCTGGTAATTTTCGTAATGCTTAACCCAATGTAACAATTCACTGCAGCACTGGGTTACTTGTCATAGGATTACTACATGTAGTTTACTGGTTAGTTCCTTTTAATGAGTAAAAGAACATTCTTTTCATATGCTATCAGGGTCACACATTTAATCTTTAAAATATTATTTGGATTTCCCTTATATATGATCCTCAAGTGTCCAGAATGTAGATAACAATCAGAATATAATAAAGGAAAAGGTATCTCGGCAGCAAAAATGGGGACCTCTCTCTCCCCAACTCAAGGCCTCATTCATAACTGAATACTTTTGTATTACCAATAGAATCCAAATAAGTTTTGTAAACTAGTTTTCAAGCCCCCAACAGATTAAAAGCAGCAAGTTAGAGGGAGAGTGGAGTGTTATTAATAGACTTACAGTATTCTGATGAGAATTACAGAAAAAGCCACAAAGGCCTTATATTTGAAGAGGCCAAATCTATTAAGATCTAGATATGTGTTTATCATTACAAAAGTCCAAACAAAGACTGGGAAGAAAAAATAGAAAGATCAGATGACCATAAGTAGGTATGGGTTCATGATTGCTACAGGATTTGCTGGGTTTAAATGTTGTATTTGTGCATTTTGTTTTGTAACACACCAGTAGCTCCTATGTCAGTATTTCATTATTGTAATATAAAATATTCTTAAAGTCTAGACTTAAAATTTCGAGTTTTAGCAATTTTAACAATCCATTTTAGACAAAAAATCAAGGCAAGGAAATGTGAAATGTACTGAAGAGAAGAAAAAAGAACAGGAATTGTCTCCATTTTCCCCTTTAAATTCCCTTGCATTCCCATTAAAAGCACCAAATTTTATTGAGCTCTTACAATATACCATGAAATATGCTACACATATGGAAAGGATTACTTTATTCAATCTTCATTCAATTATCTAATTGAAGTATTACTTCATTCAATCAACTCTGTGAGATAGATATTATCATCCCCATTTTATTGATAGAAAATTGAGGCTCAGACAGTCTCAATCTAATCAGAGATTAGAACTCAGATTCGGGGCTGGGTGTAGTGGCTCACACTTGTAATCCCAGCACTTTGGGAGGCCAAGGTGGGAAGGCTGCTTGAGCCCAGGAGTTCAAGACCAGCCTGAGCAACATAGTGAGACTCCTGTCCCTATTTTAAAAAAAAAAAAAAAGGTAGGGGAGTAGAAAAGAACTCAGGTTGGTCTGACACGAGGTAGAATTCTTTTTAAAAAAATTCATTAGATATTGACAAATTATAATTGCATATATTTATGGGGTACAAAGTGATGTTATATGTATATACTGTAGAATGATTGAGTCAAGCTAATTAATATATCCATCACCTCAAATACTTATCATTTATTCCTCCTGTCTAACTGAAACATTGTACCCTTTGATTATCATCTCCCCATTCCAAGTCCCACCCCGCAGGGTCTGGTAACCAGCATTCTGCTCTCTCCTTCTATGAGTTCTGATTCCATATATAAGTGAGATCATGTGGTATTTTTGTCTTTCTGTATCAGGCTCATTTCACTTAGCGTAATGACCTTCGGTTTCATCCATGTTGTTGCAAATGATATAATTTCCCTCTTCTGTGTGGCAGCATATTATTTCATTTTCTATATGTACCACATTTTCTTAATCTATTAAATCTGCTGATGGATATTTAGGTCGATTCCATATCCTGGCTTTTGTGAATAATGCTGCAGTGAACATGCGGGTACAGCTATCTCTTCAACATACTAATATCAAATGTTTTGAATATATACTCGGAAGTAGGATTGGTGGATCATATGGTAATTCTATCTTCAGTTTTGTTTTGTTTCTTTTTGAAACAGGGTCTCAGCTCTGTTGCCCAGGCTGGAGTGCAGTGGCACGATCATGGCTCACTGTAGCCTCGACCTCCCAGGCTCAGATGATCCTCCCACCTCAGCCTCCCGAGCAGATGGGACTACAGGTGCCTGCCACCAGTCCTGGCTAATTTGTGTATATTTTGTAGGAACAGGGTTTTACCATGTTGCCCAGGCTTATCTTCAGTTTTTTGAGGAACCTCCATAGTGTTTTCCATAATGGCTGTACTAATTTACATTCCCACCAACAGTATATAGAAGTTTTATTTTCTCTACATCCTCAATAACACTAATCTTTCATCTTTTTGATAACAGCCATTCTGACAGATGTGAGGTGCTATCTCATTGTGATTCTACTAAGTGTTTCCCTAATGATTAGTGATGTTGAGCATTTTTTTCATATACCTGTTGGCCATTTGTATGTCTTCTTTGGAGAAATATCTATTCAGGTTATTTGCCCATTTATGAATTAATTGGGTGATCTGCTTTCTTGTTATTGAGTTGTTTGAGTTCCTCATATACTCTGGATATTAAAACCCATTTATGCCTAGTGTTCCATTATTGGAATGCTAAGCTTGTGGGAGTTATTTATATCCTACTGTTCAAAGTCATTGCCAGGGCCTGATTTTTCACAGAAAAAAATTGCAACCTCCAGCAAATATATAGGTTAACCCCTTACCAGAGGTATGACTTGCAAATATTTTCTCCCAATCTGTAGGTTGCTTCTTCACTTTGTTGATTGGTTCCTCTTTCTGCAGAAGCTTTTCAGTTTGATTTAATTTTATTTGTCTCTTTTCGTTTTTGTTGCCTGAGTTTTTGAGGTCAAATCCAAACACTCACTGACCAGACCAATGTCATATACTTTTTCTCCAGACAGAATTCTTTTTTTTTTTTTTAATACTTTAAGTTCTGGGTTACATGTGCAGAACATGCAGTTTTGTTACACAGGTATACACGTGCCCTGGTGGTTTGCTGCACCCATCAACCCGTCATCTACATTAGGTATTTCTCCTAATGTTGTCCCTCCCCTAGCCCCACACCCCACGACAGGCCCCAGTGTGTGATGTTCCCCTCCCTGTGTCCATGTGTTCTCATTGTTCAACTCCCACTTATTAGTGAGAACATGTGGTGTTTGGTTTTCTGATCTTGTGATAGTTTGCTGAGAATGATGGTTTCCAGCTTCATCCATGTCCCTGCAAAGGACATGAACTCATCCTTTATTATGGCTGCATAGTATTCCATGGTGTATATGTGCCACATTTTCTTTATCCAGTCTATCATTGATGGGTATTTGGGTTGGTTCTAAGTCTTTGCTATTGTGAATAGTGCCACAATAAACATACGTGTACATGTGTCTTTATAGTAGAATGATTTATAATCCTTTGGGTATATGCCCAGTAACGGGATTGCTTGGTCAAATGGTATTTCCAGTTCAAAATCCTTGAGGAATTGCCACACTGTCTTCCACAGTGGTTGAACTAATTTACACTCCCACCAACAGTGTAAAAGCATTCCTATTTTTCCACAACCTCTCCAGCATCTGTTGTTTCCTGACTTTTTAATGATTGCCATTCTAATTGGTGTGAGATGGTATCTCATTGTGGTTTTGATTTGCATTTCTCTAATGACCAGTGATGATGAGCATTTTTTATACATCTGTTGGCTGCATAAATGTCTCCAGACAGAATTCTTAGCTTCAATCCAACACTATATCCTGCCCACAAAAGTAACTCATGTATGTTCATAAGGAACTATACATGTTCATGTTGGGCCAAGCTGACTTGATCTCCAAACAGGCAGTCAGAATGGCTGTATGTCAACACACAAACTAATTTGACTCTTTGTGACTGACTTCTGGTGACTGTCTGGATGGCTTGATATGACAAGCCAGTGAAAGCAATGAACTGAATTTGTGTGTACTGATGTAGCTGAAGGCAAGACTAGCCTATTATTAGAATACACAAATCTCACTTATGATGTAAATGGAACACAGATTTAAATTTACCCCACACAATAATGGCATGGAATGTAGTAACACTTTCTGAAAGAGTCTACACCATGCTGATAATCAATGCTTAATGAGGTCCTTTTCTCCGGACTCAAGACCTTTATGTTACTGTCATCCTGTTAAGCATCTCATTTTTCCCCACTTGAATAGCTTTGTCCTCTTACAAAGGCCTGTCACTATGTGAAAGTGGCAGTATAATTAATTTTTCAGTAAAAGCCAAGTTGTTTGCTCTCAAACATCCTGCAGTTTAGGAAATGTCAAAGTGTCAGACCATGTAAGTGGAAATAAACTCTGCATTCCACTTCCAATCACTTCCTGCAGGGAAAGAATAGCTAGACATTCCATTGAGAAGGGAGAAATGCACAGAATCACTCCCAAAAAGTTATTCAATGTCTTTCTTATCCGATAAATATGTCATCTGTAAATCTTAATCTATTTCGAGTTAAAACATAACACTCCAGTGCTGCTTGCAAGATCCTGTTACATCCTCAGAAGTTGGTGCATGTGTATGTGTGTATACAATACATAATCCCATACATTCCCTTTTTGGATTGTTTTAACAATAACATTATTTTTTCTATTTTTTTTTTTACTACACAATACATATATACTAAACAATGTCTGTCACATACTATGTGCTCAGTAAGTAATTATGCAATACTTTCTAGAGAAATTAGAAAACACAGATAAAAAAGAAGAAAATAACCACCCCCACCCCCCGACCATAATCTCACCATCTAGAGAAGACCACGGTTTCCTATTACCTACGATTCTAGCCTTCTTTTTTTTTTTTTTTTTTTTTTGAGACAGAGTCTCACTCTGTTGCCCAGGCTGGAGTACAATGGCACAATCTCAACTCGCTACAAACTCCACTGCCTCGCTAATTTTTTTTGTATTTTTAGTAGAGACGGGGTTTCACCGTGTTAGCCAGGATGGTCTCGATCTCCTGACCTTGTGATCCACCTGCCTTGGCCTCCCAAAGTGCTGGGATTACAGGCGTGAGCCACTGCACCTGGCCTCTAGCCTTCTTTTGATGTATATAAATACATTTTTATAAAAATGGAATCACACTTTATGTACTGTTTTATCACTTAATAATAAGTTGTCAGCATTTTTCAATGTCATTATGAATTATTTCATAATACTATTTTAAGAGCTGTACAGTATTCTATCATATAGGTGTCCCATAATGAAACTAATCTCTTAATGCTGGAGACTGTGGTTATTTCTAGTTTTTCATTTTCTTGATAGCACAATAAAGATCCTTATAATCCATTCTTTATATATCATCTTGATTATTTCCTTAGGATAAATTCCTGGGTGTGCAAAAATATGCAAACAACCCAAATGTCCATCAATTGATGAATAAATAGATAAAATATATAGGCCAGGCATGGTGGTTCATACCTGTAATCCCAGCACTTTGGGAGGCCAAGGCAGGAGGATCCCTTGAGCCTAGGAACTCAAGACCAGCCTGGGCAACATAGAAAGACTCTGTCTCTGTCAAAAATAAAAATAAAAAAAAGGTCGGGTGCGGTGGCTCATGCCTGTAATCCTAGCACTTTGAGAGGCCGACGCGGGTGGATCATCTGAGATCAGGAGTTCGAGACCAGACTGCCCAAAATGGTGACACCCTGTCACTACTAAAAATACAAAAAAATTAACTGGGTGGAGTGGCACACACCTATAGTCCTAGCTACTCAGGAGGCTGAGGTAGGAGAACTGCTTGAACCCAGGAGGCAGAGGTGGCAGTGAGCCGAGATCATCCCACTGCACTCCAGCCTGGACAACAAGAGCGAAACTCCATCTCAAAAAAAAAAAAAAAAAAATTAGTTGGGTATGGTTACTGGTACGTGTAATTCCAGCCACTTGGGAGGCTGAGATGGGAGGATCACTTGAACCCAAGAGCTCAAGGTTACAGTGAGCCATGATGGCACCACTGCAGTCCAGGCTGGGTGACATAGAGGGACACTGTCTCTTAAAAAAAAATAAAGAAAAATAAATAAAATGTATATACAGGTATCCATACAATGGAATATTATATAGCCATAAAAAGGAATGAAGTTCTGATACATGCTAAAACATGGAGGCAGCTTGAAAACATTATGCTAAGTAAAAGAAGCTAGACACAAAAGGCCCCCATATTGTATGATTCCATTTAGATGAGATGTCTAGAATACAGAAATATATAGAGACCGCAAGTTGATAAATGGTTGCTCAGGGCTAGGGGTGAAGGAGATGGGGAGATATGAGGGTGATTAGCTAAAGTGTATAGTTTCTTTTTGAGGTGATAAAAATATCCCAAAACTGACTGTGGTGATAGCTACAAAATTTTGTGACTATCCTAACAACACTGAATAGTATGTACATTTTAAAAGGGTGAATTTTATAGTATGTGAATTATATCTCAATAAAGTTGTCATTTTAAAAATTCTGGGCCAGGCATGGGAGCTTACATCTATAATCCCAACACTTTGGAAGGCCAAGGCAGAAGGACTGCCTGAGCCAGGAGTTCAAGACCAGCCGGGGCAACTTAGAGAGACCCTGTTTCTACAAAAAGTAAAAATAAATAAATAAATAAATAAATAATTATTATAATAATAATAGGCACAGTCGTGCATGCCTGCAGTTCTAGCTGCTTGGGAGGCTAAGGGGGAAAGATTGCTTAAGTTCAGGAGGTGGAGGCTGCAGTGAGCTGTGATCATGCCACGACACTCCAGCCTGGGCGACAGAGCTAAGACCTTGTCTCAAAAAAAAAAAAAAAAAAATTCTGAGGCATGCTAAAAATTTTAAGCTTTTGAAGTAAAAAAATTATTTTTAAAGTAACTAAAATTAATTTTTAAATTAATTTTAAAGATCTTCCTCTAAGTAGCGAATCTGTGTGAGAACTTTGAAGATTAGGTACTTTAGATTCTTCATCTGGAAAATGGGCCCCCACCTCACCAGGTTGTTATGAGAATTAAATGAGATTGTATAATTACAAGTGCCTGAAACATAGAAACTCCGTGTTAGATAAACAAATGCATGCAGAGTATTTCCTAGCCCAGTGTCTCTGTGCCCAAAGCCCTTCTTAAGAGCTGCATCAGATGTAGTCCTTGCCTCTGAGGGTCTTCTCATCTAAGACATGTTACATTTTTTTCCAACTTCCTTCTGCTGTCTTTGAATAAAACACCATGAAAACCATTTTACTTCTGGAGCAGAGCTTTCAAAAAACCAAAACTATCGACAAACCCTTCATTGTACATTCTACTTTCCTCTTGGTGACCTCTTCGTTTCAAATGCTGTAATGAGCTCAGTTTTGCTCCTTCACTACTCCTTTCTGGTATGCTGCTCCCGTGGGCACCTCCTAAGTGGTTCAAGGAAAAGACCCATCATTGCTCAGCAGTCAGGGCAAGTTACAGCCACAAGTCAAATACCTTCCTGAGACCTTTAACCTTGCTGAATGGGGTGGGAGAGTGATGAAAGCCATTCTGCATACCAGGAAGGTCTAATGTCACAGCTTACAACCTGTCCAAACAGGATGCTTGGACTTTTTTGTTTTTTGTTTTTTTTTAACTAAATAGTGATCAGGGTGGCTCTAAAACAGTATTCCTATGGTGACACCCTCAAGTCACTCCACACCAAAAGGGAAAGAAGGTCAAGCTGGAAGGGGGGTAGATATACTTCGGAAGTTCCTGTGAGGAACTTTACATACCTTGGAGAGGACTAAAGGAAGGTGAACAGGCAGTGTCCACACAACCGGCTAGTCAGGAAAACCTTTGCAATCAGGGTGCAGGTTAGGTTAAGTAAAAGCCACAATCATAAGACACTAATTAGAAGAAACCAGAGATTTATATGCATCTTGAATTACTTTATTAGATATCCAAATATCTCTGAGTCTCAGTCTTTCGGAGAGTCATCGCACCTTTTTAAGCTCTCAGTCGGGCTGGGCACAGTGGCTCATGTCTGTAATCCCAGAACTTTGGGAGGCCAAGGCGGGCGGATCATCTGAGGTCAGGAGTTCAAGACCAGCCTGGCCAACATGGTGAAACCCTGTCTCTACTAAAAATACCAAATATTAGCCAGACGTAGTGGCGGGCACCTGTAATCCTGGCTACTTAGGAGGCTGAGACAGGAGAATCACTTGAACCCAGGAGGCAGAGGTTGCAGTGAGCCGAGGTCGCACCATTGCACTCCAGCCTGGGCAACAAGAGCAAAACTCCGTTTCAAAAAAGAGAAAGCTCTCAGTAAGGTTATATTGTTGAAGTGTCTGTCATTTCTCAATGGTTTCTAAAGCCATTGCGCTGTGAGGTATTTGGGGAAAGAGATTCAATTTTCCCATTAGATTTAGCCTATTTCATCCTTTGACAGCATCTTCACTCTATTTTTATTTTTTATTTTTTAATTTTTGTCTTTTATTTATTCTTTATTATCGTTAGAATTTAACTTACATAATTATATTTATGATTTACTAATATTTAATTCTGTTTTTAATAAGGCCACATTCAAAGTGTTTCATTTAAAAAAATAATAATGGTAGAGTCAACCAATAAAGTGATGATATGCAGGTTTCCAGCTCCTAGGTAGTAGCATTCTTACAGGGAAGATGTTTCACTGCACAAACGAACTAACCCTCAGGAAGCTTGAGGATCCTGTGAAGGACACACACCGTCTAATCATGTCAGACGATGTAAGTGTGCAATGATGAAATTTTTGATGGGGAGGGAAGTCCCTGCCTACTCACCCTCCCTTCTTTAGGATGTCTCCATAACATAATATGCCTGATCAAAAGTGGGTTTTTTGTTTGTTTTTTGTTTTGTTTTGCTTTGTTTTGTTTTTTGAGACAGGATCTCACTCTGTCACCCAGACTGGAGTGCAGTGGTACGATCTCGGCTCACTGAGACCTCTGCCTCCCGGGTTCAAGTGCTTCAGCCTCCCAAGTAGCTGGGATTACAGGCGCCCGCCATCAAGCCTGGCTTATTTTTGTATTTTTAGTAGAGACAGGGTTTCACCATGTTGGCCAGGCTGGTCTCGAACTCCTGAACTCAAGTGGTGTGCCCACCTCGGCCTACCAAAGTCCTGGGATTACAGGAGTGAGCCACTGTGCCCAGCCTGATTAAAAGTCTTGACCTTTTGATTTTACAATGCAAGTTCATGTGCCTCTGACCCTTGGAAATGCAAATACTTCTAGAATTTGCTCAGGGATCTCTCCTAAGGTATAAGTGAGACAGGCACAATGTGCATCCTCTTGTATCTCAAGAAAATGAGAAGTTTTAAATTGTTCTCTCTTCTACTTTTTTTGTATGAATGTGTGTGAAATTATTTCCAGATTTTGTAGTTGTTTTTGTACTACTTCACATGCATATAACTCTGATAATGCTTATCCAATATTAAAATCATGTTTTATCTCTATATATTAATATGGAAGGGTCTTTTGGTAACAGAATGGTTTAAGTTCTCTAACAATGACAAGGTCGCTGTTAATGAGCAGTTTGGTGTGACTGAAAATGCACAGAAACACCTGAAGAGGCCGGGCACGGTGGCTCACGCCTGTGGTCCTAGTACTTTGGGAGGCCAAGGCAGGCAGATCACTTGAGGTCAGGAGTTCGAGACCAGCCTGGCCAACATGGTGAAACCCCGTCTCTACTAAAAATACAAAAATTAGCCGGGCATCGCGGTGCGTGCCTGTAATCCCAGCTACTCGGGAGGCTGAGGCAGGAGAATTGCTTGAACCCAGGAGGCGGAGGTTGCAGTGAACTGAGATCGTGCCACAGCACTCCAGCCTGGGCCACAGAGCAAGACTCTGCCTCAAAATAAGAAAAAAGAAACACATGAAGAAAAAGTGAGACACTGTAGTTACATGGAAGCCAATTTAATACAATTGATCCTGGGACCAAAAGCATCTATTTGTTTACTTTCAAGTGCATTTTTAGCTAATTGGTCCATCAACAAACATTTTCTGAGATCCTACTATGATCAAGCTGTATGCTAAGTGTTAAGGATACAAATAAGATACAGTTTGCTAGAAGTGTTCATAGTATAGTGAAGGAATCACCAGACCACTGAATCCCTATAGGTCTATTCCAGGAAAGTGAGTCCAGATTCTACTCAAATAGACTAATTTTTCACTCCAGCTACAACTGTGAATGGGGACTGATGATGAGAATTTCACTACTTCCTTGGAGTAGCCTATTCTCTCTTTGGGCAGCTTACGTTGTTGGAAAGTTATTGCCTGGATTGAGAAAGAGATGTCTTCCTTTATCTCTCCTCTACTGATCCAAGTCTGCCTCCTCCCACCCTAAAGCCACCAAAATTAGTTTATTGTTACTTTGACTTGAGAGTCCTTCATGTTTTTGATAACAGCCACCAAGGTACCCTGAATCTCCACCCCCCGTCCCAAGTTAAAGAGATTCGGTTCCATCAACGTTTCCTCATAGAATGCGATTCTGAGTATCCCTGCCATTCCTTATTAAAGAAATCATAGGTAGCAGCAGATAGAGGAGTTATTTAGTGGGCTGGTAGCAGGGCCCTGATGACAATTTACAAACCTATTTTGATGAAGAAAAAGGAATGCATTAGGCCCTCAGATAACAGGGTCCCAGTTTGTGGCCTTCATTATCAAGTATAAGCAGAATTAATAATTCATATCCTGCTAATGCACAGCGAATCACATAAGAGCTTCAGCTTTAGAAAAGTCTTTAAACAGCGCACACACACACATAGACACAGGCACACACACATCTCAAAAGCATGAATAAAAGCAATCTATATATCCACCCCAATCAATCATGATTACTGAAGGCCTTCTGATTACCGAAGAGAGTTCCCTCGCAGGCAAGAAAAATTTCTGTCCTTGCTAAGCTTCTCCACCCTTGGACTCAGCGGCCTCTCCCCAAACTTTTCACTCTATATAAAAACTTTCATTCCCAATTAATACATACTCAAAATCCAACTGTCCCCATGAATTTAGGGTGTTGGCAAAGAATCACAGTGCTTCTCCAGTCCAACTTTTATTGGATAGAGGAAACAGCCCTAGAAAGAAAATGTCAAGGCTGGGTGTGGTGGCTCACTCCTGTAATCCCAGCATTTTGGGAGGCCAAGGCAGGTACATCACCTGAGATCAGGAGTTCGAGACCAGGCTGGCCAACATGGTGAAACCCCGTCTACTAAAAATAGAAAAAATTAGCCAGGCATGGCGGCACACGCCTGTAATCCCAGCTACTTGGGAGGCTGAAGCAGGAGAATTGCTTGAACCTGGGAGGTGGAGGTTGCAGGGAGCCAAGATCGTGCCATTGCACTCCAGCCTAGGCAACAGAGTGAGAGATTGTCTCAGAAAAAAAAAAAAAAAGAAAGAAAAAGAAAGGAAACATCCATTGTAGGTGGCAGACCCAACTAAAACTCAAGTTCCATCTCTTTTCTTTGTTCTCCATCAAAATGTCTCTAAGTTCTTTTTCAAAAGTTGGCAAAAGCATCAAGAGAAATATAATTCATTAGTAATGGTATCTTCGGAAAGTAGGTTCCTGGTAGTCAAATTTGTACTCAGTGAATTTGGGCCTCCCTTGCCCACCATCACCACTTTTTCCTCCTTTGAGCTCTCTTTACATGAATGCTTTCTGTATCTATCTAAGGCAACAAAGGATATTAAGTCCGTAAATTAAATCAGACTCAATATTTACTTAATATCTACTAAATGTCAGGCATTTCCACACAAATGATCTCATTTGTTCTTGACAACAACTCCCTGAGGTAGGTGCTATTACAGCTGTTTTCCAGATGAGCTGCTGGAGCTCTGTTCATAGAGAACACCTAGTACCTACAGGATTCAAACCCAGAACTTTTCACTCCAACTCCAATACTCTCTCTACTACTCTGTGACCTTTTTTTTTTTTTTTTTTGAGATGGAGTCTCGCTCTGTCGCCCAGGCTGGAGTGCAGTGGCGTGATCTCAGCTCACTGCAAGCTCCACCTCCCGGGTTCACGCCATTCTCCTGCCTCAGCCTCCCAAGTAGCTGGGACTACAGGCGCCCACAACCACGCCCAGCTAATTTTTTGTATTTTTAGTAGAGACAGGGTTTCACCGTGTTAGCCAGGATGGTCTCGATCTCCGGACCTCATGATCCGCCCACCTTGGCCTCCTAAAGTGCTGGGATTACAGGCGTGAGCTACCGTGCCCGGCCTTTTTTTTTTTTTTTTTTTTTTTAAATAGAGACAGGGTCTCACTATGTTGCCCAGGCTGGTCTTGAACTCCTGGACACAAGCCATCCACCCACTTTGGCCTCACAAAGTGCTGGAATTATAGGCATGAGCCACCAAGCCCAGCCTCTTTGTGCACCTTTTAATGATTTTAACAATGAGGATGATACTGATGGTGTATTCTATCCACGTTTTTGCTTGCATCACAAACTGATTTTTTTTTTTTTAGTTTAATCAAGTTGAAATTTCTTGTTAAAAGGAATAAAAGATCCAACTTCAAGCAACCCCCTTGTATATAAGGATACCGTGCTATTCTGCCTATAGCAGCAGTCAGGGCAGCAAGGTGTTTTCTTTTCTATCAGATTTCAGCAGACTAATAAAACTCAAAGCCTGAAAAAGGGAGAGATGAGGTAGTCTCTCCAAACATGCTCACGTGGATGGTGCCAGGAAGCCCCTAGGCAAGTAAAATAACTTCTTTGGAAGCCTCAAATCACTTTAGCCTCAAATAAACCTTGACACCCAAGTAGGGGTATCAGGCAACCCACCAAGGCCATATATATCTCCGGGTTGCTGTGGAAAAAGAAGGACAGAGTTTCCTAATCCAGACATTGAAACACTAAGTGGTACCCTCCCATTTGTAACCGATGAGTATTCACAAGGACAGGTGGGTAATGGAGGATGAACATTCCCTCCCAGCATTTTTAATTAACTGGTTGTTGGATTTATTGGTCAGCTCAGTGGGAAATCAGAACCTACTACTTGGGGGCTATTTTTATAGCCTTCTGGAGTTGGGTTGCCTTAGTACAGACATCTGGCACCATTCCTAGAAGTGGTTAGATTTGTATTTTTCCCTTTTAAACAGCAACCAGTGAGTAGATTTGAGCATTCTAGGCATCTGGCAGTAATCCGATATAATAAAGGTGCCTCTCTCCCTTCCCACTTTGGTAATATAGCATATGCACCACCAGTTTATCCCTTCACATCCAGCAGTAGGTCAGAGGCAAAGGGAGTGTGGTTAAAACACAAAATAAACTCTGTAAAATCTTGGAATCAAGGGGTTGTATCTATCATCAATACGTTTATAAGCTATAAAACCAGAGTAAGTCATCTCTGAATAAGCAATATTAGATCTTATCAACCCCAAATTCCTCAAATCAGAGTTTCAGCTCATTCCCTCTGTCTTCCTTCAGATGAAGTACTGTTTAGGAAAAACGGGAGCCTTTTGCCATCAAAGATCTTTTTACAGCATACAGTAACAATTTCTGTGCAGATATTTGGGTGGCAAATTGTAAACCGATACCTATTTTGCAATAAAATTACCACAGCATTAAATTGACATAATAGAGACAGAAATTCTATTCTGTTGAGTTTTGGTCATGCAGGCACTCACTTTAATGTGGGAGATGAATTAAACTCATCCTTGGGAAATCCAAGGGTAATGACCGAAACACAATGTGATTGAGCTAATTATCAACCAGGTGTGCTTTAAGGAGTTGATGGTTCAATCTATTACTGCTAAGTGCATAAGCCTGTTTTGGGGAGGAGTTTATGAGAGCAGGTCACACACTGCAACTTCCCAAAGGGCAAAAGACAATGTTTCTGCAGATCTGGCATTATGTTGAGCCCACCTAAATCCTGCTTAGGCCAGCTCAAGAACCTGAAAAGATTTCCGGACTACCTAAGATCCTAGGAAGCTGGCCATCCCTGAAGTCCACAGCAGTTACTGTCTATAAGCAGTTGGCCTGTACTGCCTGGTACTGAGAGTCAACTTCCCATTTGTATATGTTTGGTCTCAACTTAGTAAACGGCTCAAAGGCACACACATGTTTTTTAAATATCTCCCATGATGCCTGACCTTGTTAAGTATTTGCAGATTGAGATCTTCTGGATAAAAAGTAACTTTTAAAATACTTACACATTGCCGTATGGATATTTCTTACATTTGTTTGTCTCTGTAAATGAAGTACCGTATATGAAACATAAACCATTTAATGGCTCTGGTTCATTATAAGGAACATCAGTCTCATATGGTGTAGGACACAGAGCTGGGTGTATATTTACATCATGATATCCCTGATCAACATTGGCACATACTACAGAACAGAGCCCTGCTTCTCTGAGGCCACATCTACCTTCCTCCGGACATCTCCTTTCATTTATTGCTACATCATTTGTTGTTACTCCCTCCACTCACACATCTACCTTGTTCCAGCACCACAGGATCCTGACATTCACAGCTATTACCAACCAATTCCAGTACATATTTCTTCTGGTGGTCAAAGCGTCTCTTCCTCAAACTGCGTATCATCAGTCTTCTTCAATGAATCCCATTCTACTAGACTGTAAGATCCCAGAGAACAGGGACTAAGTCTGAATCATTATTGTATGTAAACTCTGCCTCCCACACTCCACCACTACCCAACCCAGAAGTCTACAGCTCAAGGAATGCTCAATAAACAGTTTAACTGAATTCCAGGATTCCAAGTTTCCCACCAGCTATTGGAAAATTCTGAATCTCTAGGTGGTTGTAAGTGATTTGACCAATGGTCTAATGGTTTTTATTTTCATTTAATTAATTAATTAATTTGTTTGTTTTTTGAGACAAGAGTCTCACTCTGTCACCCAGGCTAGAGTGCAGTGGCATGATCTCGGCTCACTGCAACCTCCACCTCCTGGGTTCAAGCAATTCTCTTGCGTCAGCCTCCTGAGTAGCTAGGATTACAGGCGCCCGCCACCACGCCTGGCTAATTTTTGTCTTTTTAGTAGAGACAGGGTTTCACCATGTTGGTCAGGTTGGTCTCAAACTTCTGAGCTCAGGTGATCCACCCGCCTCAGCCTCCCAAAGTGCTGGGATTACAGGCATGAGCCACCGCGCCCGGCCGGTCTAATGGTTTTTAAATTCAACTTAAACTAAAGCGCAGAAGGAGAACACAACACAGGCCAACTGGCCTATAGGAGCAGGCCCAAAGTATTCAAGTAGGCAACCCCCTAGCAGAGATCCCTTTGTTTTTTGGCACAGGGAAACTTCAATATTTGAATGTTAAATGTTGAATTTGCATTTAGAAGATAACAATCAATCAAATATTTATTGATTGCCTGGCACATAGAGGGCCTTGTGCAAAAAGTCCATGAGAAAACAGATGGGTTTTCAATAAAGAAGTACCATCAAGTGGTGGTAGCAAGAACATAGCAGCAACTCTACACACTTTTTCTTAAGAGTCAGAGCTCATCCAGACTGAATAGCTATGGTCCCTGAGGAAATACCAGGTACTTATTTCTTACTCCATGTGGAAGATCTGAGGATTAAACAACACAGCAATACAAGGGTTCATCTTCTTTAACTTTTTTTTTTTATCAATTTACATTTTCCTAGTCAACTGAAAATCCATTTCTTTCTCAAATGTTCCTCCAACAAAATGATAAGGAGGAAGGGGAATCTGATTCCAGGATAAGAGATCTTACCTAGGACCATTTCAAAGATTTTCTAAGGTCTGCTTATTACTTCTCTCATGGTTATCCTTCTCCTCAGTTACAGCCCATGTTCTCTGGCTTCTTGGTGGTGGCAGAGCAACCACCACTGAGTGAAATGGCTTCCCACACAAGCTCCAATTGTGCTAGAGCTGACAAACTACTGATACCAAAGGGTTTACTGAGCACCACTCAGGGGGAACTTTTTCACAGAGTAGAATTTATTTTTAAAAGTGGATTATGTTTTATATTGTCCATCTCTCTCTTTGGAAGAACGTGTCCTTAAATTGCTCATAAAGAAAACCACATGGGTTTTCCAGGAATTTCTGTTTGAATCAAACTAACCACTTCTGTTTCTGAAGCAGATATAATAAAAATAATGTTGTATTTCTGGTTAATACGACAGCATGCCACTATAAAAATTCATCAAAAGAACCATTTCTATAATAGATGTATTTAATGGCATATGAAATGTTAACATTTGATTCAGAAGTTAATTGTAAATCAAATAATACTATTTCTTTGCAAGAGGGTAGACCAAAAAAGCTTAAAAGACATTAACCTAGGTGAATTTTTATACCAAATATTTACTTAATATTAAACTTTTTCTTTAATTTGAAAACATTCTCAAACACAAGTACCTTTTTTCATGGAAGTGAAAACTTTGCTCATTTCATATCACATACATATACACATACACATATTTCTTTTTAACTTGTCTCTGGATTTTATTATTATTATTATTTCATTTTTTATTTTATTTTATTTTTGAGACAGAATCTCGCTCTGACACCAGGCTGCAGTGCAGTGGCACGGTCTCGGCTCACTGCAACCTCCACCTCCCGGGTTCAAGCGATTCTCCTGCCTTAGCCTCCCGAGTAGCTGGGACTACAGGCCCGCACCACCACACCCAGTAAATTTTTGTATTTTTAGTAGAGATGGGGTTTCACCATGTTGGCCAGGATGGTCTCAATCTCTTGACCTCGCGATCTGCCCGCCTCGGCCTCCCAAGTTGCTGGGATTACAGGCATGAGCCACTGCGCCTGGCAATCTCTGGATATTTTTGAGTTAAAGTTATACACCTGAAGAGGGGGGAAAAGGTAATTTCTTATTTCAGAAAAGAGGTTTGAGGTATGTGTTTTTAAGAATGCTACCATCTGCAGAATGTCAAAAACGTTTTTCCCCGTTGGAATTACAACTGATGGAGCAAAGTACTATCTCCCAATTTCTAGAGCTGGCTGTGTGACCTGAAGCAGGTCACTTAGACTCGCTGAGTCTCAGGGACGTTAGAACTGTGCCTGACATAGAATACTGTCAAAACCTACTCTTGAACTTTACCCAGGGGTTGGGCCAGATGATATACAATGTCCTTTCCATTTCTAAAAATCATGGATGAAGATGCCATCTAAATAAAAGAATCTGCTTTAAAATATTTTGAATTAACCAAATATTTGAGCCTTTGCTATTTTATTAGGTAACAGAAAGTACAGTGATACTTCAAATAAGCTTTTCTGAAAAAGAAATCAGTTTTATTTAAAGAAGGACACTTTAAGACAATTCACTGCTATTTTTCCTTCATATTTTTGTATGTTTTTAAAAAGTTTTAATAATTCAAATATATTACTTTTGTTCTCAGAAAAAATAATTATCTACATCTAGGCATGTGAGATGTCTTGGGTTGGAGGTTGAAGATTATGGCAAAGAACATTTTCTTCTCATTTTTCTGATTATAAAAATCATAAGTCTGCATTACAGAAATTTTAGGAGGTGCACCTATAATTCCAGAACTTTGGGAGGCCAAGGCGAGGGAATCACTTGAGGCCAGGATTTTGACACTAGCCTGGCCAACACGGTGAAACCTCGTCTCTACTAAAAATACAAAAACTAGCCAGGCGTGGTGGTGCACACCTGTAATCCCAGCTACTTGGGAGGCTAAGGCACGAGAATCACTTGAACCCAGGAGGCAGAGGTTACAGTGAGCCAAGATTGCACCACTGCAACCCAACCTGGGTGACAGAGCAAGATCCTGTCTCAAAAAGAAAAAGAAAAAAAGAAATTTTAGGATATGTAAAACAAAAAAGAAACTATCCATGATTCTACCACACAAAAACAATCTCCATTAATATTCTAGTATATTTCCTTATAGCATTTTCTATCTGTATACTATAGTCAGTTCTGAGATTAGTTATATTGCCTGATGTTTTGCTTCTTCCCATGTATTATTTTGTGAATATTTTCCACTGTCATTAAAAGTCTTTAAAAACACCATTTTAGGCCGGGTGCGGTAGCCCATGCCTGCAATCCCAGCACTTTGGGAGGCCGAGGCGGGCAGATCACTTGAGGTCAGGAGTTCAAGACCAGCCTGGCAGGAGAATCGCTTGAACCTGGGAGACAGAGATTGCAGTGAGCTGAGATTGTGCCACTGCACTCCAGCCTGGGCAATAGAGTGAGACTCTGTCTCAAAAAAAAAAAAAATCACCCATTTTAATGGCTTTATCATAGTGTCCTCTACATAACCATTCCCCTATGTTCAGACATTTAGACTGTTTTCCAATTGTTTGCTCTTACTGCATAAACAATGCTGCAGTTAACCCCCTTATAAATATGTTTTTATGGCCGGGCATGGTGGCTCATGCCTGTAATCCCAGCAATTTGGGAGGCCAAGGTGCCTGGATCACCTGAGGCTAGGAGTTCGAGATCAGTCTGGCCAACATGGTGAGACCCCGTCTCTACTAAAAAAAATGCAAAAATTAGCCAGGCGCAGTGGCGTGCACCTGTAGTCCCAGCTACTTGGGAGGCTGAGGTAGGAGAATTGCTTGAACCCGGGAGGCGGAAGTGGCAGTCAGCCAAGACCGTGCCACTGCACTCCAGCCTGGGCGACAAGAGCGAAACTCTGTCTGAAAACAAACAAACAAACAAACAAACAAATAAAATATAAATAAATAAATACATTTTTATGTACATCTCTTTGACTGAACAGAGACTTGTATTTCCTTTGCAGCAAGCCACTGGCAGAGAAGGAAAGGGGAATACTGTTAGGAGCCAAGTGGGAGCTGACTTGTATCATTCCCACTCCTCCCCTTTCTTGCTTGCCTTTATGGCACTCAGTCTTCCTCTCCCTTACTGACCTAAATCTGGGTCTGGTTTCTGATCGACCCTGACCGAGATGTACTGAGCAGAAATAGCTGAGGAGACAGGCAAAGGCACACAAGACTGTGATTGGAGGAGCAGGAAAGTCGCCAAATACCTGGCCCACAGGTACCCTGGCTCAGGGTAGCAATGGGGCCACAAGAGCTTCATCCAGGTAGTTGCTGAGCCCTGAGCAACAGCCGTGCCAGTACCGAGGTACAGATCCTCAATACAATCTAGAGGACAGTGTAGAAGGATAGCTGAAGTGTTTCAAATAACTCAGTGTACATTAACATTCTCATCAATATCCAGTTGATGTTTTCTGATATATCTGACATGATTTTAGTTCATACGTAATGAGAGAGCTTAGTGCCAACCCGTTCACTCTCTCATCATTTTTTTTCTTTGAAATCTGGGAGCCCTGTGTTTCTTACATCATTTCTTCCTCTGGTCACAAACTGTGTGACAACAAAGTGGGTCACTGGACCATATACCTCATGTTAATAAAGGAATAATTCTGTGAAACAAGGTCTCTCCCTCAGAGCCCCGCAAACAAATTGGGAAGTAAAAAGGAAAACACCAGAAAGAACCAAGGAATAATGAAATGGAGTGCTAAAACTATTATCAGGCTGGCAGTTAGTGCTCTGAGAGGTCAGAAATGGGACTGAGGCCAGTTTGAAATGGAGAGGAGGAGGTAGGACTTAGCTGTGAAGATGGGTAGTCTTTAGCTACCCAGAGAGAGAGGAAAGATTCCCAAAACCAACAAAGCCACTTAGGAGAAAATACATCCCCGTCAATAGTAATTCTAGCATGTGTCCTCTCACAGATTAAAATGTTGATGAGAAGGCAGGAGGCATTTAGGAAAAATATGCTGACTAGGTTACTGGTTCAAGTCTAGTTTATCACTGGAGTCCTTAAGAAACTGAACTATAGAGGTGGTACTCAGCCACTTCAAAGAGAAACCTAAGTCATTGATGAGGCAGCACTAAATAAGTAGCAATAAAAAAGAGAAACCAACAAACAACATTGAGGCCTAGATCTATATAAAAGCAAAAATAAAGAAAAATAGTCTTTCCTGAAAGAAAGTTGACATCTAAGTGCAAACGGCTTCAAGGGTACCTTCATTTGCTTTCTGGCCATTTGTACATGACCTTATGGACACAGCAAAGAAAGCAAATTTACCACATCGTCTCCACCCCACGGGGTACCATCTGCTCTTTTCAAAGTAAGTCTCCCCTCACCAAGCACCAACAGTTTACATGTTTAACTGTCAGTACTTATTCTTAAAACCATTGTATTAAAGAAAAAAGAGCGGTTGGAAAACCATATAATCAAGAACCCCATTTCATAAGAGAAGTTGAAACCATGGAAAGAGTACATCTTGTACTGATATTTGCCAAGATATTTTGGACATACTGGAGGGAAACATTCATAAAATTGTGCTGCCTCTGCCATAAATCACTCCAAAAGAATTCTTTCTGAATTATTCTATCTCTATCTATATGGAGATCAAAGACCTACTGGCTATTCCCCACTGAAATACTCTACAGTTTCCAATGGAGTTATCTGCAGGCAAATGATCAAGCTATTAACATTTGCCAGAGCAGTGACACTATAAAGTTAACTGTGGTGGAGGTGTAAGGAGCTTTGAAGTTCACAGCTTTCTTTCAAGTTGTCCAGATCCCCCGTTTAAGAATACCCATCCCCGGGAGATCACACCTTCAGGTTATCATGTGGAAAAATCTCTCAGTCAACTGAATCTGCAGAACACTAGTCTAAGACATCTTAAAAGAAAATGGATGTCAAATCTGTTCCCAGAGATTCTCCTTTCTTTGGCTTTGTAGAAATGTCAATCTAATACCGTATGAAACTTTTCATTTAGTGGGGATTTGGGGTTAAAAAAAAAAGGATTTGACCAGTTCTGAAGAATGGTTTGCTTCCTGTTGAGACAGAAACAAGGTGATACAAGAAAAGATGAATGAATATATTTAAAACAAAATGGAGGGTGGACAAGGAGAGAAAAAAGGCAAAAAGTAGGTAAGAAACAGAAATCGTTCTTATTAAATTCATCCTCTTAATAGTACTGTCTGCAATAACCTTAATATGTCATAAACATGAAAACAGAGGAGAAAATTAATTTCATAGAGATAGATCTACATGCTAAGCAGAACTGCAACTCACAAAGACCAGGGACATGCAACGTGAACATGTATAAAAACTCTACTTTCTTCAAACCTAGATTGTCTCCACACATTCTTAATGAAACCAGATCTATTCTGGCTGTACCCCTACTAGAATGCTGATACCCACAACATCACGGACAAAACTCAAAACCATTCTATTTCCTAAAGTCTGCAGTGTTCTTTTTCTAAGTGGTAAAGAAGAAAAAAAATGCAAGTGACAAGAATCAAGATATCTCTGCCATTATTAGGGAAAGAAGGGAGGATAGGCTGCATTAATATGCAGCCCAAAATTGACTTCAAAACATAAGAAATTAAGTTTGCATCAAATGTGCCTGTGAACATGCCTTCTACATGTAGGAGGTAAACTGTGTATTAAATTAAAATATAGATATTAAAAAGGCAACTTGTAATTTTGATAAAAGAGGTAAATTGAACTCGATTAAATGTCCAGAGTCACAGGTTAGTGCAAATTACTTGTAATAGATGCATTTTCACAGTCAACAGAGGTCTGACAGCTAGAACTTTGATATATCTGAGCAATATATAAATATCCATTAAAACAGATTTGATGTAATAAGGTAACACCTGATTTCCAGATTCTTCCAGTATACATACAGCCACTCAGTTGTATCCATTTACAGTCAAGCTCTCATTCTTCCCTACTCACCTCTAGGAGCTAGCCATTCAAAACTGTATTAAGTGCCTGCTACCTGCAAGGCACGTTTTCATTTCCGTCTGCAAAAGGTGCCTGGCTCTCTAGAATCTGGTATGATTACTTTTTTATTTTTAAAAGTTGGCCGGGCACGGTGGCTCACGCCTGTAATCCCAGCACTTTGGGAGGCCGAGGCGGGCAGATCACCAGGTCAGGAGATCGAGACCATCCTGGCTAACACGAGACCATCCTGGCTAACAAACGGTGAAACCCCATCTCTACTAAAAATACAAAAAAATTAGCTGGGCGTGGTGGCGGGCGCCTGTAGTCCCAGCTACTCGGGAGGCCGAGGAAGGAGAATCGCTTGAACCCGGGAGGCGGAGCTTGCAGTGAGCCGAGATCGCACCACTGCACTCCAGCCTGGGCGACAGAGTGAGACTCCATCTCAAAAAAAAAAAAAAAGTTGTAGTCTTTTATTCGTGAGATTCCTTAACATACCCCTGACCTAAAAGTGTTCATGACATACGTTTACATATATGTTTTAAATTAAAGTGAATTAAAATTAATTTCAATTAACTTTAGAATTAAAATCAATTTTGCCCTGAAGATGTTTGGGTTTGTTTTTTCCTCACAATTTCATAAGTCCCTTCATATAAACTGGAAATATACAGGAATGTTGAAGACCTGAACTAGAAATTCAAAACCATACAAGGTTTATTTCTAGACACAATAGGGCACACTACAAAATTTGTCTTCAATATAAAATCTTTTAAATGAAAAATTTAGAAAATAGGAAAAAAAAAGCAAAAATAATTGATCATCTCACCACTGAAAAATAGCTACTGTTCACATTGTGGTATAAGACTTCATAGAATTTTATCTATGTACAGATTTCAGTTTGTTTGTTTTCACACAGTTATATCATACTATATACACAGCTTTATATGCTTCTGAAACTACAAACTACAAAGCTTTATAACATTCTATCAAATGGACATATCATAGTTTATATAACCATTCACTCCTCTACTATGGAACATTTTGATTGTTTCCAATTTTTTGTTTTCCTAAAACACCTCCGTTCATAAAGCTTTTCTCCCCCCTGTATTCAGGATGACTTTTCTTAGGAGAAGTTCCCAGAAGTAAAATTCTTGGATCAAACAATGAATATTTTTAGGCCCTTGATAATACAGATTGCCAAATTGCTGTTCCAAAAGGGTTGTACCAGAAATGTACAAATGTGTCCATTTGACTAAATCCTTACTGATAGCAGATATTTATATATTTATATATGTTACATATATATATATATTCCTTTGCTAATTTTCGAGTAAAAAATGGTATCCCATTGTTTTTGCATCTCCTTGATACTAGTGCCAGAACTTTCTCCTATTTTAAAAAAATGCTCCTTTCGGAGAGATGACTTTTTAAGATTCCTGTTAAACCAGACATGCAAGTCTAGTATCAAGTACTATCAAAGGTCAAAAGAAAGTCAGAGAGGCCAAAAAACAAAAAGCACCATTCAAAAACTTTTAGGACCTCTTCTAAGTTCCTTGTTCGTTTTTTAATTTAATGACTATAGATGCCAGGCACTACAGTTCTTTATCATTTTTACGTAAGGCCCTCACAATTGGAAATTTCACTCACTCATTCTCTGACCATTGCTGAGGACACATCCTGTCCCATGCTAGGTCTTGTGGATATCATAGTGAACACAGAGCCCCTACCCTGCCCTAACAAAGTCCTCACAGAGCCCCTACCCTGCCCTAACAAAGTCCTTGGTCTAGTGGGGAAGGCATGAGGCTTGTTCAGAGGACTGTGGAGCACATAGCAAGGGAACCTAACCAAGACTTGAAGGGTCTAAACCGAGGCTTAAAGTAAAAGCTAATTATCCCCAGTTCTTTCTTTCAACCATTTCTCATATGACATGATTTTCAGACCCATCCTGGTCACTATCTTCTGGATACATTCAACTTTGTCAATGTTCATAAAATGTGGTGACTATACTTGAACATAATACTCCAGATGTGGTCTGAGCAGCACACATGCTTCTAATACAGCCTAAAATTGTTTTTGCTTAAAAAAAAAAATAAGCTACACCACATTGTTGGCTCATATTAAACTTGTGATCAACTAAATCCCCAAGAACTTTTTACATAAACTGCTGCCAAGTCACATCTCTCATATCCTGTACATATGCAATTTTCTTAACCTAAATTCAAGACTTTACATCTATCACTGTTAACTTTCGTCTTGTAAGTTTTGACCTAGAGTTCCTACAAGTTGAGATCATTTTAAATCTGGAGTCTGTCATCCTATATATTGAACTACGCCACCCAGCTTTGCGATATCTGCAATGCAAAAAGCCTGTCTTTGTGATCAATTATGATCAACAATCTGCTTCTTTAGGGCAGGGGCCCTGATCTGGACAGCTGTGTATTCCTCACAGTGCTTAGTAGGGTGCCCTCTATATAGTAAGTGTCTGTTATTTGTTAAATAAACGAATATTTGGGCAGAGCCAAAAAACAGTTCCTGTGGCCCTTCACTAAAAACATTTTCTTCCAGGTTGACATTGAATCCGCTGATCAACCAGCTGTGAATCTGCCTAATTACTAGTTATGCAGTCAAATTTCACAATCTATGCACAAGGATATTACAGAAGACTCTCAAATGTTCTGCTAAAATCAAGACATATTTATATTTGACATTCTGGCATGGTTGTTCTGATTCAGCCATCATGATGCAGCCATGATAAAAACAGACTACTAGGAGCTGTTTATCATTTACCTGTCTGATACTTTTTCCTCAACCCTTATCCAAATTACAGGGAACTCTCACTTTCTACTTTCTTCAATATGAATGTTTTAGATTACGCATTCCTTTTTGCCTTTAGATTCTCCATATTTCAGAAGTAAATTTTAAAGAATAATTTCATATGAAAAACTGCCTTGAGGAAGTGAAAAATTCATATATGTATAATCAGGAAACAGATGTATTTTTAAGTTTGTTTGGTATTAAAAAAAAGATAAACCTCTAAAGAGCCTAATAAACCTATTCCCTCAAACCATCAGAATATCGAAGTTTTACGATTTTAAAAATAACAGATGCATATTATTTTTTCATGGGGTTTTACAGGGAATATTAATGACAGAACTGACAGACATTGACTCAAGGACTCCCAGTGAAGCCTGGATCTGAGTATATGAGACCATACTATGACGCAAACATACTCCTCTACTCTAGAATCTTGTCTCTTGAAGGTTTGGAATCAGAAATTTTAAGACACAGACTATTCAAGAAATAAGAGAATTCTCAGAGAATGAGCAGATACTATGCCCAAAATGATTAATGGCCTTTCAAAGATGAGCAAGTGTGGGAAACATATGGCTCCTGGAGATGTGTGCTTTGCTTGCCAGATGGTGCCTGACCCCCTACTCCATCCTTCATCTCTTCTCTGAGATTCACCCCATCCATGACACCCATTCCATTTTTGACCCCTACTCCCACCTTATCCCTGATCTCCATCCTCATGGCTGGGGGATGAGGTGAAACTGAGGGCTGGGGCATGTCTGTCTGTTTTGCACATTACTTGGTAATAAAAAATTAAAAAAAAGTAGTGGAATGTTTTATTGGTTTGTTTTGCAGCTGTTGTAGAAGCACCCCCATATCAAAACAGTCTCATCAGAAAGTTCCCAGCATCAAAATGGCAGATCAATATAAGCATGTCAAAACATCATATAACCATGTATATAACAGAATGGAAAAAAAAAGGCAGACTTGAGTGCTAGTTCCAGCTTTTACCAATTGTCTTCCAGACCCTGGGAAATTCTACTTCCTAATCTGAGCTTAACTTTTTTGAAAATGGAAATTTTGGACTAAATGATCTTCATAGTTCCTTCTCAAACTATGATTCTCAAACTACCTTGTACTGTTATTTAACTATTTCATTTGTGAGTATCTTGCCTTTAAGCATCTCTGCGACAAGGACCACATCTCAAACTTTCACAGAAGGCATCACACAATCTAAGCACAAAGAAGGCACTTACAACCATCTGTCAATTGCATTGACTACCAATTTATGGGGAAAGCTAGTTGTTAGTAGGCTTCTATTCAATTACTTTTCTCTGAGGAGCATAGAACATCACATGTAACCCTAGTTGCTGATCAGATTCTAACTAGCATCAGGCCTAACTCTTTGTTTGAAGGACAAGAATTTCAGGAACAGCCCAAGAGAATATTGAGTCCCCAAATGAATCTGATGCAAGGTCCTCCATGATCTGTGTCCAGATGGAGTGATGCTTCCAAGCGACCCTGTGTTCAACCTCACCTCCTCCCCACTGTCTTTCATCCAATTGGTATGTGCTAAATGTGAAAACACTCTCTGTACTATGTTCAGGAAGAAAAAAAGTGCCCTGTAAGATACTGTTAATATTTTACATTTTAGCATAAAGCTTTCCTTAAAACATAAGCATTTCTGTGACCTTCTTTGCAAATTAGATTTTGCTCTGATCAAACTTTTATTTATGCTAACTACTATGGGAGACATTTCTTAATAATTCAGTACTTTTTAATCTTTGTTTTGCTAAAGTAACAAATTAACATTCTACAAATTTTCATTGAGCCTCAAATACATGCTAGGTACTGTGCTAGTTGTGAACAGATCACGTCTATATGCAGTACATATAGGACTAATTTACACATTTGTTCAACTCGATACAGGTTAACATCCTGGAAAACACATCAGCCTTTTATCTTCCTTTCATGACAGTGATTAAATATCCAGGCGCTCAGATTTTTTTTAAAAGGTATGTTCTAATTTCCTTATTAAGAAGACAAGTCACCAAAGGCTAATCTGAGTTTCTCTTTCAACTCTATGCTGCCATCCTAGTCAAGTCTGATTAAATAGTAGTGTCACTACAATTTGGGGCACAGATACCTTACTAATAGAAGAAACTGACATACCAAATAGATAACCGAAATTTCCCAATGGGGCTATACTTCCTTGTAGCTTGACTTCACAAGAACAGTATATAACTGAACTTTTGACCTTCTGTACTCCTCCCATTGAAAATGATGGCAGCTATGGTAGATTTCCGCTTTAAAAAATGAAGGAGTCACAGAGATGCTAGTGGAGTAAAAACAGCCCAAGTAAAGCATTTGGTTTGGCATGTGCAACATCTCAATGAGATGTTGTCACCTGGTGATCCTGTCACAGCCTTCAAAAAATGCTCAGTTTCTCAATTCTCTGATTCTTGAGTAGTATCAAGTTTAAAATTTTGTAGCATTAGGCAAATATGCCACACAGAAATGAAAGCTGACCCTCACTGATGGGCATTTGGGCCTTCCCTAATAATCTGTGGAAGTGGTTTTCAAAATCATTGTCTCAACACATTGGTATGTCCAGATCAGCTGTGAATAAGTGTTCTGCATCAGCTGTTATGAATACTAACTACCATCATTTGTAAGTAATTTTCTTTACAAAAAAAAGTGAATTGAAAGTCACACCTTTATATAGAAATACCATTGCTAAATCACTCACATTTCAATAGGCTTTCTAGCTTCTACACAGGAGGGGTGGGATTACTGCCTGTGCAAGGCGAACTACACAGAACCTAGGGCAGCCCCGCCTATGGGAAGGTCCCGTTTGGGAAGAGCAAGTCCTAAGGATTGAAGAAAGCACAGCTAAATCCTGAGAATTATGCTTAACCCTAGGCAGCCCAGAGCACGCAGTATGTGAAAGCTATCAGATTTAGCTCTCATAATGGTTGAGGATTGCTCACTGTATGATAGCTTAAACTTTAATTTTCAAGATTTGGGGTTGCAATGAATTGGGCTTGGGAGATTTTGAAGGAATTGGGTTTTTTTTTTTTTTTGGTGGGGGAAGGGGGGTGCGTGTTATTCCAAAGCAATTGCCTGACTGATTTTCAATCCTCTCAGCCTGTGAGTGATATAACAGAAGGTGGGAGAATGACACTGCCTTAAAGTGAGAAGGACAGCTAGTTAGGACCCAGAGAGGGAGGAATTCTCTTTTGGACTTGCTGAGTTTCAATTAATGTTAAGAGATTGAAATGGAAAAATAAAAACTTTTATAACTTATTTGAACTGGCTGCCTTGTCTATAACATGGGCTTAAGACTATCTGCTTTGAAGAGTGTTGTGAGGATTACAGATGATGTATATAAAGCACATATCACAATGTCTGGCTCATAAAAGATAGTTTTAATTACTATTAGGCAGTAAGAAATATAGGACTAGGCCGGGCGTGGTGGTGCACGCCTGTAGTCCCAGCTACTCGGGAGTCTGAGGCAGGAGAATTGCTTGAACCCGGGAGGTAGAGGTTGCAGTGAGCCGAGATCGTGCCACTGCACTCCAGCCTGGGCAACAGAGGGAGACTCCGTCTCAAAAAAAAAAAAAAAAAAAATAGGACTAGGCATGGGTAAGAAGTCAGAACTGGAGAAGTTAACTGCATTGAGGAAGCAGTTGAAGCTCTGAGAATGAATGAAGAGTAGAGAGACAAGGGAGCACTGCACCCCTTTGGGGAACAATCACATTTGCATAGGAGAGGCAGAGGAAGAAGACTTTCCATCACAAAGGAGAGAAGGAATACTCAGAAAGGTAGGAGGAGAGTTAAATTCATGTAGTGTCTGGAACCAAGGGAAGAGAAACATCCATGGAGAAGAAAGGGATGAGGAAAAATAAGTGCCAATGAATTTAGCAAAAAGTCAGTTGCTGGTAACCTGCAAGGGCAAAATTTTAGCAGAGAGGCAGTGGCAGAAGTCAGATTACAAGGTGTTTCAGAATTAGTGGTAAAGAAATGGAGCCAACAGATGTAAACCACTCACTTGAGAAGAAAAAGTCAATAATATCTCAGTCTGACAGCTGGACCTGGTCCAGACATGCAAGAACAGACTTTAGCTGTAAAGACTTAAACGTGGGATTTTAATATGGAATTTCTGATGGCTGCAGGTATAGAGGGGCCTCCCAAGGGAAAAACACATTCCTCCTCAATCTAAATATGGCTTTCATAAGCTCAACAAAGGGAGGCCAACCTTGGTTGTTTCGTAAATCTCCATGGCTTCAAGATAAAGCCACTCTATTCTAGGGACTGAAGAGAGGAAAGAAATAGAATGAAAAATTTAAGAACATACAAAGATTGGTGGAGAGCCTGCTCTCTTTGGTGGCCTCCCTGCAGAGCTTTTGTTCTCAAAATTCCCAGACTCTCCAAGAGTCTTTAGGGAGCATAACCCAATCAAGCCTCCTCAAGTTAAAGAGAAAAAAAAAAAAAGCTTGCCTATTAACTCCAAACCAATCACCTCCTGCTTCCCTTGTATTACACAAAGTCCCTATTTTCAGTGAGTAAATAAATACCGCCCCACCCCAAAAGCAGAGAGGTTTTCTAAAAAAGCTGGTAGGGCCCACAAAGCTGATTAAGGCTTGTTTATTTGAAAGGTTCAAATAAAAGGCATTTCAATGGTGAGGAATGTTTGAGGACTATTAAGATGTGACAGGATTCACTAGGGTAAACATGTCTTGCCTCAGGCTTCTGGGAGTCTCTAATCCCTATAACAAGCAAGGTCCTAAATAAGAGAAATAATAATACTAGCTACTATTTATTGAGCAAGCCTGTATCATGTGCCCTTTACATGAATTGTCTCATTTAATCCTCACAATAGAGCTATGAGGCTAGATATTATCAGCCCCAGGGATTCAGAGCCCCTGGGCTAACCTCTGGCACCCAAGGACCTCCCAGGTTTCACCAGCATAAATGCCCTATACCTATACCCTGGCTCTCAATTTGTACTTTCTCGTCCCAGTACTGCTTAGACTGCTCGGTTTGCAACTGGTTAAGAAAAAATAAGCCTCCTGTCTCTTGACCCCATTATATTTTATCTCACACAGTCTTTGGAAATAAACAGACCCAAGTTGAAATCCTGACTCTGCCCCATCCAATCTGTGTGGTCTTGAGCAAATGACTTCCTCAAATGGACAATAATGGTACCTTCCTCGAGGTGCTGTAAAGACTAATATGCTAGTACAGTATAGTTAGCACTTAGTTAACAATCAAAAATGTTACTTTTTAAAAGTTTTAGCATTAAGTAATGGTTTCATATTTCCCTCACTCAAATATGATTATTTCTTTTTTGTAGCAAAAGATATATATCACTATAATTTTTTGAAAAATTCAGAAAATAAAAAGAGAAACAAAAATTAACTCTTAGCCCACCATGCCAAAAAAAAAAACAACCAGATAATGCAGCATAGATGCTTATGTATTTTTTCATCAAACTGGAAATATATATATATATATATATATATATATATATATATAAAGTTTTATATTCTTTTCTTTATAAAATTTTAACAAGTATCATCATCTGGCTCATAAAAGATCATTTTTTCTTACCATAAAATATTCTTTGAAAGCATAATTGTTAACAGCATCATAATATTCCATTGTATGGATGTACCATGATTGATTAACAGTCACAACACCAATTTAACAAAAATAATTGTCTTTTTATTTATTTATTTATTTTTGAGATGGAGGTTCGCTCTTGTTGCCCAGGCTGGAGAGCAATGGCGCAATCTCAGCTCACTGCAACCTCCGCCTCCTGGGTTCAAGCAATTCTCCTGCCTCACCCTCCCAAGCAGCTAGGATTACAGGCACCCACCACCACGCCTGGCTAATTTTTTGTATTCTTAGTAGAGACAGGGTTTCACTATGTTGGCCAGGCTGTTCTTGAACTCCTGACCTCAGGTGATCCACCTGCCTCAGCCTCCCAAAGTGCTGGGATTACAGGCGTGAGCCACGGTGCCTGGTCATAATTGTCTTTTAACCTGAATCTTTAGTACTTCAACCCAGAGGACACTTCCAATGAAAATTCAAGAGAAAAAAGTGTTTCTGTTTCCCCTAATACATACATTATGTTTGGTCATCATGCATTTAACTCCCCATCAGGGGTTTCTGGCTTAGTGTTACCTGTGGATGTCTAAGCAAAAGTTTCAAAAGTTAGGCTTTTGGGCCATGTCCTAGGAAACCAGCATCTTGAAAAAGAAGTCTGCAACATTATGTACATTCAATCATAGCTACCTAATAATGAAATGCATATTCTGAACATTTTAAGAAGCCACTACTTTACCAGACATTGTGACATCAGACAGATACTCTCAAACCAGCAGACTGATTCTCATTAAGATAGTTACAATGGATTGGTTGACCAGGCATTGTGGCTCAAGCCTGTAATCCCAGCACCTTGGGAGGTGGGTGGATCACTTGAGGCCAGGAGTTCAAGACCAGCCTAGCCAACATGGTAAAACCCCGTCTCTACTAAAAATACAAAAAAATTGCCAGCGTGGTAGCACACACCTGTAATCCCAGCTACTTGGGAGGCTGAGGCAGGAGAATCGATTGAACCTGGGAGGCGAAGGTTGCAGTAAGCCGAGATCACACCACTGCACCCCAGCCTGGGTGGCAAAGTGAGACTCTGTCTCAAAAAAAAAAAAAAAAAAAAGGATTGTTTAAATATATGACAGTACACTCAAACAATATTGCATAGCCATTAAAATGGCATTGGCATCCACATAATAATACGGAAAAAATGTTCACAATATATTGTTAGGTTGTTTACAAAGCAGGGTATAAAATGGTATGTATACTACAAGACTTTTTAAAAAGTATATATACACTTTTTTCTATTAAAAAGTCTGTTAACTAAGCTGTTATGAGTAGTTATCTCTAGGTCTTAGTATTATGGGTGAATAATTTTCTTATCTGTGTTTTTCAATTTTCTAAAGTTAACAGGTATTATACCAATACATTATTAATTTTTTAAAAACAGCCAAAATTGTTAATTTTCCCACTGTCTAACCCCCCCATAGGGTATATTACCATTCCCTAAGTAGTCTGGCTTATCAAGACTTCATTGTATCAACAATAATAAATAGACTGGGCATGGTGGCTCACATCCGTAATCCGAGGACTTTGGGAGGCAAAAGCAGGGAGATCACTGGAGCCCAGAAGTTCAAGACCAGCCTGGGTAACACAGGAAGACCCAATTTCTACAAATAATAAAATATTTAGCCAAGTGTGATGGCACATGCCTGTAGTCCCAGCTACTCAGGAGGCTGAGGTAGGAGGATCACTTGAGCCCAGGAAATCAAAGCTGCAATAAGCCATGGTCACACCACTGCACTCCAACCTGGGTGACAAAGTGAGATCCTGTCTCAATGATGATGATGATAATAATAATAATAAATAACCCCAATGGAGCCAAAAGAACACTGAAATTAGAGTGAAAGTCCTGAATTGGAAACTAAACTCTACCATTTCCTAGCATTATGTCCATGGCAAATTCCTTAATCTCCCTGAGCCTCAGTCCTCATCTCTAAAGTAGAGAATAATATTACCTACGCTAAAGAGTTGTTGTGAGTTTAAATGAGACAGTGCAGGTGCAAATGCCTATCTCCATACTTAACACACAGAAAGTCGTTCTAATACCTTTCTCAGCAAGAAAGAAAGTGTGAAATGAGTCTCATTTCAATTAGTCAATTCCTGCTCTGTGTTTCTCTTTTTGTTCAATGTGTTCCATGTGTTCAGACTGGAGTCTGAGAAAGAATATACAAATAGGAGATACACCAATGACAGTGGAATTACCTGAAACAATGGAGGCAGGCAAATGCCTGAGTGGCCCACAGTCCTTGTATCATATGTAAATTAGACATACTTGATCCCAACTGAATCTAAATTAATATAGTAGATACCCCTGCCAACTCTGTAACCATGACTTAAACTGAAAAAGATGAAAACCTCAAGTTTAAATGGTCCAGTGTTAATGCAGTTAAAGAAAATCCTCACTGAGCTCATAGCAGAAGTAAAGGGCTATACAGTCAATGTTAATTATGTTCTTGTTTGCTATATGAGAGTATAAGAACAGATCTGTCCCCTACTGTACTAATGAGCACCTAAAACTAAGGATCTGTCATGTGTGTTTTATGACTGTCATTGGTTTTTCAAAAAGCAGTGTTACATTTGTCCTAGAGAGAAAAAGGGAAGATATTTTTTTAAAAAATTACAGTAATAACAATAAAAGTCTCCAACTCTTCCTTTTTCTGTTTCCCCACCACCTCTCAAATACTGCTGGTTCATCATTCTATAACTCAGAATTTCCAAACACCAAAATTGAAAAATGTGATGGTATTAAATATGAATAACCAGCTGCTCTATCCCTTTGAGGAGAGCTGGAGCTCAAAACCTCAAATATAGGACACTAAAAAAGCCCACCCTCTGGCATACTTAAGCAAAGTTTTCTTTCTGTCCACACACTACAAAATTGAAAAACGTAGGTGAAAAAGTGAGCTCTTTAATCAAAATTTTTACTTTTTAATGTCCACAATTTTATCCAACATTCAAAATTGTATCCAGGGTTAGAAACTGTATACTTCGTATATCTTTTTAAAAAAATCATATAAATAAAAAACTACCTAGAATTCTCAAAACATCAGATAACATGATTGGTTTTATTCTTTTATGACTACTTAAGCAGGAGAGGAGTGAATGGGCTTCAGAAATATCTCATTTTTCCAGCAGCTTTCTTGTAGAATAATATACTTTCATAATGAAATGTAAGATTATAAATTGCCAAATTGATTTTGCATCAGTGGTAAAAAGTCATACGTGACTAAGTATTCTAAGGTGACCTAGTATGTTATAGAAACTGAAACCATAGTATACTGACAGTTTAATTGGTTTAGCAAGAGTTCATATCACTTGGCTGAAATGCATCATTGGCCTTTTTATCGTTACATCTTATTGCAGCTTTAAAAATAAAGTGGATGACAATCTAGTGAAATGTTTCCTTTACTAAATCAGGTTCCTGTCCTTGACTTTATTGCTACGCCTAGCTTTCCAAAGCAATGTTTACAAACTGCCTCTGCCTTTTAATATATTTTGAATAGTGAGATTTATCTCCCAACTTGATCCTTTCGTGCCAGGAGATAGGAAAACACTAGTGTATGGTCCATGTGAAGAGCACCAAAACAGATGGCAGCAAGGAGTTAAATACCAGAGTGGATGGCACCTTGACATTTATTGCTATCTAGTACAAACCAGAATATATAATTTGACTCTTTTATAGCATTAGGAGGGCAATTTAAATGCGTTAGGACTTGAACTATCAAAAGATGCTGTCTCCTGTCTCCAGATGTAATTACAAGACAAGACTATTAAAGCAGTCTTATAAATACGAGAGGAGCTGAGACTGTGAAGGGCGACAGAAGCGGAAAGAACCACCTCCACTGCAGTGGCAGCTCATTTTCTGACAGAGCAGTCCCTGCTGCAGAAGAGGCCAGCAACCCAGCTAGGATACTCTCCTCCAGAAGCACAGGTGCTAAGCAAGGTCCCTGAATTCAAATGAGACCCAACACAGTGAACTAGGAGCAGAAATGGCATTCCCACCACCAAGAACATTCTAGACCCTTTTGCCTCCATTGCACCACTGCAGATTTCAGCTGTTCGTCCTGTTTATTGAGAAGGTACTTACTACCTGTGAGGAGTACAGTGCTAGGCAATGGTACATTTAGTAAATCCAAGTCATGCCAAGTTGGTGCTCTCCAACTCCAGTAGGTAGTGATTCCCTAAACTTCAACTTTCACTTGTTTTCACAACCCCTTCCCTTCGGTGACATTAAAGTGTGTATATGTAAATATAAAAACATTGTCTGTGAATTTCATAATATTACCAGAAATAATGTAAAAGACAAAGAGAATCTCCTGTTACATGTCAGTAAGATATATTCTTTAAAAAGATAATATCCCACATAGCTACCACGTTAAGGAATTACATATAAAAATGGTAAAAGGGTAAAGGAAGAGAGGGCTAAGTCTGGGTTGGCCAGACATGGTGGTTCACACCTGTAATCCCAGCACTTTGGGAGGTTAAGGTGGGAGGATTGCCTGAGCCAAGGAGTTCGAGATCAGCCTGGGTAACACAGGGAGATCCCATCTCTGTGAAAATTTAAAAAAAATATTAGCCAAGCATAGGTGGCTTGCCCCTGTGGTCCCACCTACTCAGGAGGCTGATGCAGGAGGACTGCTTGAGCTCAAGAGGTCAAGGCTGCAGTGAGCCTCGACCTCGATGTGTGTGTTCATGCCACTGCACTCCAGCCTATGTGACAGAGCAAGATCCTGTCTCAAAAAAAAAAAAAAATCTGAGTTGAAACTGAGATTCTGCCGGGTACAGTGGCTCACACCTGTAATCTCAGCACTTTTGGAAGCTGAGGTAGGAGGACTGCTTGAGCTCGGGAGTTCAAGACCAGCCTGAGCAACACAGCAAGACCTCATCTCTACTAAAAATTAAAAAAAAAAATTAGCCAGGCATGGTGGCACATGCCTGTAGTCCCAGCTACTTAGGAAACTGAAGCAGGAGAATCACTTGAGCTCAGGAGATCGAGGCTGCAGTGAGCTTGATCACACCACTACACCCCAGTCTGGGCAACAGAGTAAGATCCTGTCAAAAAAAAAAAAGAAAAAGAAAGAAACTGAAATTCCTAGAAAGGAGCTAAGTTAAAAGCAAGTACATGAAGCAGAAAGATGCTTTTTCCTAATAGACTCAATTAGGAAAAAGGAGGTAGTGGCACAGACACCACACACTGCTCATAGGTATATAAATTGATCAAATTCTTCTGGAGGATGATTTAACATTAAGCATCAAGATCTTTTTAAAAGTTCATATTCCTCAATTATTTTACTTTTAGGTCTTTACCCTCAAGGAAACATTAGAAATGAGCATAAAAATATGTGTACACAGGTGATAACTGTGGCATTATTTACACTAGCATAAAATTGGGGACAACCTACATGTATATCAATAAGGGGCTGGTTAAATACATTATACATATTAACAATCACATTTAGGTGAGCTTTTATTGGAATATGAAAATACACATGTATATTGTTAAGAGGAAAAAGGGCAGAGTTCAAAACTGAGTATATAGTAGAAATATGCTAATCCCTATCCCAATCCTATGTATTTTCAAAACGTCTTCAGACACAGTGCAATTAAATAAAAACCAAAACAGAGCTAATCACTGTTGATGGTAAGAGATTCGGCTACTTAATTTTTAAAACTTTTTATTTTAAAATAATTTTAAATTTACATAAGAGTTGCAAAATTAGTTTCATCCAGCTCCCCCTAATATTAACACCTTACATAACCATGGATTATTTGTCAAAATTTAAAAATAAACATGGGTATAACATGATTAACTGAACTACCACCTTTATTTGGATTTCCCCAGATTTCCCACTAATGTCCTTTATCTGTCCCAGGCTCTAATTCACAATACCACATTGCATTTACTTGCTCACTTAAGTTTAACAAGATAATCCAAATTTTTGCCTCACTCAAGACTCATAAAATGCCATTTCATTTAATCAGATTTTCTTTTAGCTTAGCTATTTCTATTACAAGGTTATGAAAATATAGAGAAAATACCATTTTAGAATAAGTCAGAATATTCTGTCTTCCTGATTTGCACATGAATTAACTGATCTCAGAATTCTTCCCAGAAACTTTGGTATTGTTTCTCTCCTCTGGTCTCCGGGCCCCTCTTAGCTCTATTCATGCCCCACTACCAATCAGGTCCTTGCTGGCTGGGAACCAAGGCAGCACCGGTAGCCACTCCACTCATCTTAAACAAGGGACAAAAACAAGTACTAAACCAAATGGAATAGAACTTTGAGGTGGGGAGCTACAATCAGTAACCCCAATCCTTCTAGAAACACCTCTGGATAAAAGTGATTTGCTCAGCAAACATTTCTTTAGCATCTGTACATATGATTTCAAAGTGGTGCAGACAGGCTGAGTAACTTGACAAAAAGTCATTTAGCTAATAGATGGCAGAGCAGTGATTCAAACCCCAGTTCCTATGTGATTCCAAAGTCTATGATCTTAACTATTCCATTATTGTGCCTTTCTTGAAAGATACTCAATAAATAACTGAGCTGAATCAGTCCAATTCTAGCTTTTGAGCCTTGATTTTTTCAACCTTGACTTGAACTTTGACCGTAGCACTGGTTCTGACTTGATCTTTATGGCAAATATGCTTTCTTTCTTCTTTTACTAAAACGTTGGCCCTGCCTACCCTGATATGTTGCACTGTATACCAACCCAGTTGCCTGCTCTGTGATGTGTCTCCGCCATGTTATGTTAACATTTCCTGGATGTGCCTGTCTCTCCTGGTTAGGGACCATCCTACTTCTTTCTCCCCGCAACAATGAGGGACCTCTGACGTCTTTTGCTCTGGCAGTAGTCTGGTTGCCATCTGGCCATTAAGCAGTTCTAGACCTGCTCCTGGCCCTCTGCTGCCCTCTAGCAGTCGCCGGCTACTCTGCCCCATCTGGAACAGGAACTTTACCTTTGGGCCTTGTATACTTCCACTTGGCTTGGTAACCTTAAAGCCAGGAAAAGGGAAGTCTGGCTGAAACAGCCTGGATTCCCTGGGAGAATGACACTTGGCAGCAAGTAGCTCAAGAAGAATGACTTTCTCTTCTTCCTTTTTAAGAGAAGGCTAGAGGGAAAGGAGGAAGAAAGACTGGTCCTACGCCTTTCCCACTGAGAATCTCTCAAGGGATACTGTTCCCAAAATGGCACTGTGGAAGACCTTGTGTGTCCAACTTACAAAGTGTGTTTGTACTAGTTGTGGTCCCACCTTACAAAGGAGCTTTCCAGCTCTGAGAATGGAGGATGGAGGGGGCAGCAAGTCCTTGGGCCTTTGGGAAATGGATATATCAGTGTCTTGACCCAGTGGATACTTTCTAAACTCCTCTAGCCACTATAAGGGTGACCTCAGGAACTACCAGCTGTGCACAGGTGGCAGAAGCCTTTGATGACTGGTTTCCTCTTCCCTAGAGTAATTTAGCAGCAGGAGTGGGTGCAGGGTGGAAGGAGCAGCTGTTTATTCTCATGACACTTCCCACTCCTGAAGACAGCTCTTTGATTGATTCACCACCAACCGCCCCCTTGCCCCCCGCCCCCAGAAGATCTAGCTTGGTCTCCAGGGACAGAAACAGTTTGGGCTTAGATAGGTTGTGCAACTTCCTCTGGATCAAATACTGGATCCTCAGGAAAAACAAAAACAAAAACAAAAACAACTTCCCTCAGTTCTGTCTGCTGGTAAGGATGACAGGGGTGACAATAAAGGTACCACTGCCACCACCTCCATCCCACCTTTTCCCAGCTTATTTACTTGATCCTGACTACAGCTATGTGAGGTAGAGTCTTCTATTAGCCCCATTTTAAAGACGGGGAACATGAAGGTCTAAGAGGATAAGGCTCTTGCCCAAGGTCACATAGAGGCAGAGCCAGGATTTGAACCCAAACAGTTTTAGGATGAAAAGAGCCATTAGGATTGAAAACAGACTTCCAACAAGAAGCCTTACATTCCCCATCTGAGCACCCTTTACCAACACATACACGCGTGTACACACACACACACACACACAGCATCCCAAGCGACTGTTTGTTTCTCTTTTCCAGCAAAGAGCAATTTAATCTCCTTTTAGGAAACAAAATCGGACCCATTTAGTCAGGGAGAGGAGACAGGCTGAGAAGAGAAAAGCAAGTGAAAGTAAAAATCAAACTTGCTAAACACAGGAAGTGGAGGAGGCAGGCTGGAAGCTCTGATCAGAGAGATAGGACATGGTAGGTCTCAGACACTGCTCCCTCCTTTATGAGAAGCCCTAAAGCAAGAATTCAAGAGAGAATAATCTAAAACATGTCCTCCCTAAATCCCCACCCCACCCCCATCCTGAAATAGACGGTAGGTCTTCCTGATCACTGGGAAGACAGAGGAGAGAAATTATTGCCTTTCCCTTCTAGCCTTCCATAAATTCCAGCCATTAGTCAAGGCTGAGAATCTAACACAGAAAGAGGGAAAACTGGAAGAACCTCTAAGATGAGGGCTGTACAACCCAGCCAGCAGGTCAAAGGATTGGAGGACCACCCTGAACAGCATGGGAACAACTGGATTACAACAGCTGGTTGGGCCAAGGCTTCTCAGCCCTAGGCTCGGCAGTGGCCCAGGCCTACTGTTTATTTGCATTGCAAAAGCAAGTCACCCTCAAGCTGGATCTTCCAAAGATGATAACATCAGCTCCCATTTAATTATGAAAAAGGAACAGTCAAAATAAGCAGATGACTCTCGGCTTTGCTTTACTGCCACAGGTTGAATTTCAGTACTGATTGACACTGACAAATGCCAGGTACGTGAGGAAATGGCAGTCCTGAGATGTTCTGCTTGGTTGTTCTCCGTCCTATAAATCGCCCAGGAACATTGTTTTTAAAAGGGAGAAATCACCTTGACATTCTGATGATTCTAAATTTGGGAATCACTGTCAGATACCAGTGGCTTTTACATGACATTTACATATGAAGAAATTTTTAAATGAAAAATGTATTATATATTCTTTAACATTAACACTTGGCTGAAAAATATTCCACTATGTGTGCTGGTACAGGGCTGCAATTGAAATTCCAGTCGCTTTTAGAAAATGCTCAACACTTTTGAAGCTATTTCCTACCAATGAGTTTATCGCACAATATATAGAACCCAACTGGCCACTTTAAATGGCTCTAGAAGGCAATTGTATATCAAACTCCTCCATAATGGATTTTTTTAATTGTTAAAGAAACTCATCAATCCTCAGTAATCATTTTAAAGTAAAAATGATTCACTCATAACTAGAAGCGAGTGCAGCCCCTGCTCCCACTCCAAAAGCCATGACCATGAATAACTCCAATTCACCCCCAATTCTGGAAGTGCTAATTACCTCCACGGATGCTATACAAGCAGCTAAAAAGCCAGATGACCACAAGCAATTAGCCAATCAATCTGACTTGAAATCGCCCCCAACACAATTGGCAGAAAGCCATATATGAAGTCGAAATGGGCAGCCACCTATTTGAGAGAAAGGTTTTCACCATCCACACTACATTAATAACCTGCCATGGTGTCCCAAATTACCACCATTCTAATCACACATTGGGACTTAGGCCCTGCTCAAAAAGTGAATAGGAAAAAGAAACTCATTGTCAAAAACATGTTAGCCCATTAGGACCTATTACCACACGAAGTAGCTCTCACCTAGGAAAACTGAGGGCAGTGTTCTGAATGAATGGGAAGGAGAGAGTCAGTCCATTTCTGGGAAAGGTGACAAAGAGAAAAGTATTCGTGGAAACAGAGGTGTAGAAGAGGTGGGTAAGGTGAGTGAAAACAAAGCCCATCTAGTTTCCATATTCCTTAAAGAGGAAAAGAATGTGCCTGTCATCATTTGAGCCTAGGAGGCAGAGGTTGCAATGAGCCAAGATCACACCACTGCACTCCAGCCTGGCGACAGAGTGAGACCCTGTCTCAAAGGAAAAGAAGGTGGCTGTCACAAATAATAATCACACCAGTCTAACATCAATCCCCAACAGGATTTTAGAACATGTCATCAAGCAGAAGATGTGTGAGCATTTCAAAAAGGAAGAGGCATTCAAAAGAAACTGGCACAGTTTTATAAGAACAAGTCATGGCAGAGTAACCTCATTCCCTTTTATGATAGGGGTACTGGGCTGAAAACCAGAGAAATCCAGTGGATATACTGATTCTGGATTTCAAGAGGGCCTTGGACAAAGTGAAGAGTAATGTCCAAGAGAGACTGCTCTGGACTGCAAAGAACACCACTGGCTGGTTCCCTCACTGATTTAATGGCAGTACTAAAGGTGCTAGTTAATAGATTAATGTCAACTGAAAAGGAAGTCTCTAATCAGGATTTTAAGGTATCTTCTCTGCTCAATATTTTTAATCAATGACTGGTGTGATGGCATAAATGATGCACTGATCATATTTACAAATTACTAAAGCTGGAAGAACCGTTAACTAATTTTGAAACCCTAAAATCTGGGCTCAAATTTAGTAAGATGTCATATCAATACAGGACCAAATCCCCAAAGGTGAAATGAAGGCCAGTGATAAAAGTTTGGAGAATTTTGCTTGATTATAAATACAACACTTGCTAACTCAACCATGAGTGGCTGTTAAATTGGTTGCCTCAATAAAAGTAATACTATGTAGATAATAGGAGGTAATTGCTACCCTGTGCATCACACTGGGCAATTCCGAGTACCACAATTTAGAAGGATAACAACCAAGTAGAAACCTACTTGAGTAGAAGCCACATGAAAGCAACTGGTATGGTAAAAGAGTTACATGGAGATGGATTGTGGGCCAACAAACATAAGAACTAGCAACTAAAGCTAACCAAAAATTAAACGGCTGCCTCTTAGGGGAGGGAGTTCTTGATCAGAAGAGGTTTTCACTCCAAAACCAAATGACCACTCACCCAAAATATGTTGTACAGAGGAGTCACACAGAGGTATGAGGGTTGCATTTGATGGTGTTTCTAAAGCTCCCTGACAACTCTGATATGCTGTGATTCTATGGAACCACCTCCCTAATTTACAAAACTGAAAAAGGACACACAACTAAAGCCAAGCCTCTGGGTAGTAAATTAACTCATGAAAAGAAATGTTCTGAACCCAGTAGAGAGAATAAGGAAGTGGCAGACAATCCTAGTCCTTTCTTCCTCCAAACTCCGTAGCTGTAGGGGTCTTATTTGCATGGATGGCTTGGGAGTTTAAATAAACTTCATTGGGTGGCTGAGATGTTTGTAATGAGGACAGGGGTGAAGGGAGTCAAATGGTGATGTGTAAACAACTTATTTCCCTGACTTCTGTGAAAACAGAATCTGATGTTTTTCTATAGAGTGATTTATATGGATAGGGACAAAAACAAAACAATGAACTAAACCACACTCCAAATGTGGATTATTTGTGAAATATAATTGAAACACAATCTAAAGCAAAGCATTTCTTCCATGAGCCCTTAATTGAGAAATAAAAATAACACGGAGATCATGTCCATAGACAGACTGACGTCAATGTTTGAGGAATTTAGCTGAATAGACTACCATGTGCATGTCTGAAACTACCCAGCAGTGCCTGACACACAGTAAGTGCTCACTAAATAGCTGGCTGACAGTAACAGAAAAATTAAAGTGTTTGAGGCATCTAACCAAAAATACCGTCCCCCCTCCGCCCCCCTGCCACCGCCCCGGCAAATCGGCAAATTCAAGCCTGCAATATGACAGCAGGATTCAGGTCTTTTGTTTGAGGTAGCTTAACCAGACTGGGCCTGGAGCTTGGTGTTCCTTGACCTCTGGAACGCTGAAAGGGAGAACACAATTTCCTAGGCAGACTGCTCAGGGTCACTCCTCTGGAACCACCAATTACACTCACTTCCCTAGTGAACTACGGAAAGGACTGGCTCTTTCTGCACATTGGGAGGCAGCAGAGAGTGCAATTCTGGCCTGTTGTCCCTGGAAACCCTAAGGGGTTCCGCTCCAGTACATGAAACACAGGAATTAAAATATTCCCTTTGGCACTGTAAGAGAAAAGAAAAAATAAAGAACATACCTAAATGTTTGCCAATAGGGAAGCAGATGGGTGGGAATATTATGCAGCTGTTTTTTTTTTAAAGTACAAAGTATTTAAGTACTTGTTTTGAACGATGCCAGAGATGTATAAAGTGAAAAGGTATGTTACCAAATAGTATATATGGTATGACCCCATTTATGTAGGAAAAAAAACTGTATGAGTAGTGAGTGTGTGCATATTTATACAGAAATACATGGGGAAAAGTTCAGAAGGATACACACATCAAACTCTTTACAGTGTATGCAGCTGACAATATAAATAAGATAGAGTGAGGGATAAAGGGGGGACTTTCACTTTTTTTTTTTCTTTTCTAGACAGTCTCCCTCTGTCACCCAGGCTGGAGTGCCTTGATGCAATCATGGTTCACTGCAGCCTCATCCTCCCTGGGCTCAGGTAATCCTCCTGCTTCAGCCTCCCAAGTAGCTGGGACTACAGGTGTGCACCACCAAACATGGCTAATTTTTGTATTTTTTGTAGAGACAGGGTCTCGCCATGTTGCCCAGGCTGGTCTCGAACTTCTGACCTCAAGCAATCCATCTGCCACAGCCTCCCAAAGTGTCAGAATTACAGGTGTGAGCCACCATGCCTGGCTACTTTCACTTTTTACTCTCTATATTTCTTTTATAAAATAAATTTTACAGTGTATATTTAAGGTATACAATGTGATGTAATAAATATACATATATATATATTATATATATATATTTACTATAGTGGAACAAATTAACAACTCCATCATCTCACATACACATTCCCCACTTTCCTTGTGGCAAGAACAGCTGTAATCTACTCATTTAGTAAAAATCCTGCATACAATATGCTATTATCAACTATAGTCCTCATGTATTATATATTAGATCTTTCGACTTGTTCATCCTAAATATCTGCTACTTTGTATCATCTGACCTACATCTCCCCATTTCCTTTCCCCTGCCCCAATCTTGGTAGCCACTGTTTTATTCTCTATCTCTGTATATCTCTGTATATTTGACCTTTTTCCCCTTTAATGTCCTCCAGGTCCATCCATGTTGTGGCAAAAGGAAGGTCTCCTTTTCTTAAAGGCTGAATAATGTTGCATGAAACATTTTCTATTCATGTTTCTATTCATGAAACAGTTTCTTTATCAATTCATCCATTTGGACAACCAGGTTGTTTCCATATCTTGGCTATTGTGAATAATGCAGCAATGAACATTGGGAGTGCAGATATCTCTTAGACAGACTGATTTCATTTTGAGGGGTATATACGTGCTAAAAATTGCTGGGATTGCTGGGTCATATGGGTCACATGGTAGTCCTAATTTTAATTTCCTTAGGAACCTCCATACTGTTTTCCATAATGGTTGCACCAATCTACATTTCCATCAGCAGTGTGCAAGGGTTCCCTTTTCCCTACACCCTTGTCAACACTTGTTATCTCTTGTCTTTTTGATAACAGCTATCTTAACAGGTGTGAGGTGGTACCTCATGGTGGCTTTCATTTGCAATTCCTGATGATTAGTGATGTTTAGCATTTTTTCAGGTACCTGTTGGCTATTTTTATGTCATCTTTGGAGAAATATCTATTCAAGTCCTTTGCCCATTTTTAAATCAAGTTATATGTTTTCTTCCTATTGAGTTGTATGAGTTCTTTATAAATCTTGGATATTAACCCCTTATCAGATATAAGGTTTGTAAATATTTGCAACCATTTTCCCAATCTGTAGGTTGCCTTTTCATTTTGCTGATTGTTTCCTTTGCTGTGCAGAAGCTTTTTAGTTTGATGTAGTCCCATTTACTTATTTTTGCTTTTGTAGCCTGAGCTTTTGGTGTGATATCCATAAAATCATTGCCAAGGTCAATGCCAAGGAGCTTTTCCCCTATGTTTTCTTCTAAAAGGTTTATGGTTTCAGGTCTTACTTTTAGGTCTTCATCCATTTTAAGTTGATTTTTATGTACAGTATAAGATAAGGGTCCAATTTAATTCTTTTGCATGTGGAAATCCTGTTCTCTCAGCACCATTTATTGAAAAGACTATTCTTTCTCCATTGTGTCCTTTTTGGTGCCCTTGTGGAAAATTAGTTGACCACATATGTTTGGGTTCATTTTTGGGTTCTTGATTCTGTTCCACTGGTTTTCCATATAGTTCTGTATTGTTTCTTTCTTTTTGTTTTTTCATTAAGCATGTCTAAATACTGTATGCATTTCTCCATCTTAGAAAATTACCTTTGTAATTTGAAAAAAATATCAAAAATGGAAAAGGAAGAAACCCCTACCCTTTCACCCAGCCTCCTGGGAATCCACAGAGTGACTAGGTGAAGTAGTCCAGCCAGGCCTGCTTAGCTTCCCTGCTTTCCTTGCTCCATACAAGACATTTTTACTCTTTCTTTTTGGTGGCAGGTGGTCACAGGTTGCAAGGAGACTAGTTCTTAGGGTAGTACATTGCCCTAAATGGAGAGATAATTTATTAACAAGCAATTCTCTCAGAAGTTCAAAACCCTGGGAGAAGCAACAATCTTTTCAAAGCCTTCTCATAAGAAACAGCAGCAGTGCCCACTAGTAAAACTATACAATCTATGTGCCAAATACTTCTGATGGAGAAAACATGGCATTTGAGGCAAACAGAAACTTAGTAAAGTAAAAGTGCTGATTCACATAAGCCTAAAGACAATAAAAACCTTGGCACACATGTTCTTTTCTATCAAATCCATTCAGATACCATGCACACACAAAAGTTGTTTAGGAAAACAAAATCGGGCAACATTGAATAACTAGATTCAATCAACAAAATACTCCTGTAAACCACTTGTGAACTCCTCTTTGGTTAGTCACCAAATAATTCCCACACTATACAAAGAGCATTCCATGAAAAAAAGGTTCATGTACAAACATGCCTCATGGACCAGTTTTCCCCATCAGAATGAGAATGTGAGCCAACTCAGAAAAATTAAAGAGAACTAGATTTAGAGCTAGAAGGCCAGTTTTCAAACTGTGACTTGCCAACACAAGACTTCATGCCAGTGGTTCTCAATGGAAGATGAATTTGAGCTCCCCCCAACTGCCCCAGGCCCAGGGACATTTGACAACATTTTTGGTTGTCACAACTGGAGAGAGGTACTCCTGCGTCTAGTGGGTAGAGGCCAGGGATGCTGCTAAACATTCTACAATGCACAGGACAACCTCCATGACAAAGAATTACCTTGTCCCAAATGTTCAAATGTTCATAATGCCAATATTGAAAAACCCTGCTTTAGACAAATCACTTCTCATCTCTCTATCCTTGGTTTTCCTACTTGGAAAATAGGGACTATGTGTCTCATGGAAGCAGAAATGTTTTAAAGTATTTAGTTTAATGTAAGTGTGGGATTATCTGATCTTACCATTATTTTTTAGTACTTCAAGTCTATAAGAAATGCCTGAGAACTGATCATTTTCAGCTTCAAACTTTAATGTGGAGTTTTACAAATACAATTTTATTTTTTTTCTTTTTTGAGACGGAGTCTCACTCTGTCACCAGGCTGGAGTGCAGTGGTGCGATCTTGGCTCACTGCAACCTCTGCCTCATGGGTTCAAGCGATTCTCCTGCCTCAGCCTCCTGAGTAGCTGGGACTACAGGCGCGTGTCACCACGCCTGGCTAATTTTTGTGTATTTTTAGTAGAGACGGGGTTTCACTATGTTGGCCAGGATGGTCTCAATCTCCTGACCTCATGATCCACCCGCCTCAGCCTCCCAAAGTGCTGGGATTACAGGCATGAGCCACCGTGCCCGGCCACAAATTATTTTTTAAAGTAATTTAGAAATGAGCCATAGACATCTTCCTGGTGAAAATAGTACTTGAGGCAACAGATAGTATCGAGCAGAGACTGAGAGACCAGGCACTCAAATAAGAGTGTCTGGAGTTCAAGTCATGGCAAGGTACTGAACATCTGTAAAACATGGTACTAACAGTATCTACTTTATAGGGTTGCTGTGAGGATTCAATGTGTTAATGTATATAATGAGCTTCTAACGATACTCGGTACATAGTACATACTCATTAAATATTTGCTATTGTTATTTTTAATGAAGCACACTAGAGATATACAAGGTATTATGAGACACAAAGGAGGGTAACCTAATCCAGTGGAGGGGGTAGTCAGGGAAGGTGTCCTGGAGAACGTGGTACTTCAGTTACATCTTAAAACCTGACAGATGTTAAAGGAAAGGTATAAAACTTGAGGCAGGGAGGCTGGTTAGAAAGCGATTAAATCCTCAGGATAGAGCTGAGGGCTGAAACCAGGGCAGTGATAACCAACAGGACTTGGTGACCACTGGCTATGGGGAAAGAAGGACCCAGGAAGGAGGGGGCAGAAGATAGGACATGAACAAGTTGCTTACCCTCTCTGAGCTTCCATTTCCCTCATACATCAAATGAAGACAATGCTACCTATTTAACAGGATTACTGCAGGGATTAAATAAATGTATTAAAACCCTCTAGCATAGTGGCACATAGTAGACAATAAATGGAAACTCTCACTATTATTCCTGATTATTATTAACAACAATTACAATAGCCCTGGAAGGACTAAGGACTAAGCCCTAAATGACAGCTAGCCCACAAGGCTCAGCATCAGGAAAAGACATGCCTGGTGTTACACTATTGGCTTCATAGCAGAGCCATGAATATAAACTCTATATTCCACCTCCTACTCTGTGGTATGTTTTTTTTGTTTTGTTTTGTTTTCCTCCCACTGTACTGTTCTAAATGGTTGGAGGAGGCTCCCCTCCAAAAGATCAAGGTGAGCTTACCCATATTGTCAGCAGTCTTCTCCCAGTGTCAGCAATGAATAGGATTCTAAAACACACTGGAGGACTGCTTCCTTCTGCTCAAGGTAAAAATTGCCCATACTCCTTAATCTGATCATTGTACCCCACCTCTCTTTATTAAAACAGAAAGCTCAGTGTATATAACTGAGTGGATAAACTTGCTATTTCTACAGATGCTGGGATTTTAACTGTATCACCTCCCAAGAGAACTAAATGGTAGACAGTAGCCTGATTATAATCAGAACAAACACAGCTGGATTTCTAAATGGTGCAACTCCCTTAATGCCTCCACTGGGCTATAGCTTTGCTATTGTTGTTTGGTTTCTTTAAAAGATGTTTATTATACTCAGTTGAAAACCATAAGGGTAAAGCTTCTAATTCTGCAGGCCCCAAACTAGTCCCTCTTAAAAGCAACATAGGTGAGATCAAAATAACTATGTTTGAGAAAGGACATGGGAGGCAACATGTAAAATAATAGTTCTTCCCTCAAGCCAGGTAGAAATCTGAATGGTAGCAGAATATGCCAGCAATCAGTACCCAAATGGATATTATTAAATCTAAGAATCCTGAGTTTACTGCTGTTAAAATAACTGAGACTGCTTATTTGAGTCCATTAAATAATAATAATTTGAATCTATTTGTTCAGACTGGGATTTTTCATAAAACCAAATTAGAGTGGAATGGAGTTTTAGAGATTAGCTAGCCCTGTGGTCCTTAACTGTTTGGGAGGCATAGACCCCTTTACGTATCTGACTTAAACTCTGTGCTTTCTCTTCAGAAAAAAAGTCACATATACAAAAAAATTTTACATAAAATTTCAGGGGCTTCAAGGAACCACTGTAACCTATTAATGGACCCCAGTTAAGAACCAATGTGCCAGTCTCTTCATCTCTTTGGACAGACAAAGAAAATTAATTTGCCTGATTTCCTGTTGGAAAACAGCCTTATATTTAAAATGTGAATTACACATAATAACCCTAATTAATAAGAGCCCCTTATATAAGTGTGCATATAGCGCTATTTGGTTTAATATGCAATTTTACATATACATCTTCTTATTCTTATAACTAATATAAGAATATGGACTAGACATGTAATAGCTCCATTTTATAGGTTAGAAATCCAAGGTTTTGGGAAATTAAAGCTCAACAAACATTTAGAAAATCTACCATATATATCTACCTACCAACACTGAGTAAGGGGGCAGAGATACAGAGATGAACTCAAAACGGACCCTTGAGTTGCTTTCAGTCCTGTCAAGGGGACAGACATTCTCCACCCTATCCAGAGCACATCATTTCTAGGTTACTAGAAACCTAGAGATGCCAACAATGAGCAAGGGAACATGGTGTGGGGCAGGTGGGATGGGGACTAGGGAGGATTGCAAGGAGACCTAGCCTCACCTGCAGGTTTAGAAAAGGATCCCTAAGGTGTTCAGACAGCTTGTTGCAGGATCCAGAGCCTGAAAATGACCAACTAGGAACTGCAATCTAAGTATTCTAAGACTTCCCTATGGGCTGAGCTTCCCAAAGGCCTTTGCTATAGTTTGGATATTTGTACCGGACCAAATCTCATGTTGAATTGTAATCCCCAATGCTGGAGGTGGGGCCTGGTGGGAGGCATTTGGATTGTGAGGGCAGATCCCTCATGGCTTGGTGCTGTCTTCACAATAGCGAGTTCTTTGGAGATCTGATCATTTAAAAGTGTGTGGCCCTTCTCCCCCTCACTCTCTCTCTCCTGCTCCTGCTTTCGGCACGTGATGTTGCAAGCTCCTGCTTCACCTTCCACCATGAGTAAAAGCTTCCTGAGGCCTCCCCAGAAACTGATGTCAGTACTATGCTTCCTGTACAGTCTGCATAACTGTGGGCCAATTAAACCTCTTTTCTTTTTTTTTTTGTTTTTTTTTTTTTTGAGATGGAATCTCACTCTGTTGCCCCGGCTGGAGTGCAGTGACACGATCTCAGCTCACTGCAACCTCAGCCTCCTGGGTTCAAGCAGTTCTCCTGCCTCAGCCTCCCGAGTAGCTGGGATTACAGGCGTGTGCCACCATGCCCGGCTAAATTTTTTGTATTTTTTTTTTTCAGTAGAGATGGGGTTTCACCACCTTGGCCAGGCTGGTCTTGAACTCCTGATCCACCCACCTCAGCCTCCCAAAGTGCTGAGATTACAGGTGTGAGCCACTGAGCCCAGCCTAAACCTCCTTTATAAATTTTATTTTTATTTATTATTCTTATTCCTTTTTCAGATGGAGTTTCGCTCTTGTTGCCAAGGCTGGAGTGCATGGTGCAATCTTGGCTCACTGCAACCTCCACCTCCTGGGTTCAAGCGATTCTCCTGCCTCAGCCTCCCAAGTAGCTGGGATTACAGGCACGCACCACCACGCCTGGCTAATTTTGTATTTTTAGTAGAGATGGGGTTTCATCATGCTGGTCAGGCTGGTCTCAAACTCCTGGCCTCAGATGATCCACCCGTCTTGGCCTCCCAAAGTGCTGGGATTACAGGTGTGAGCCACCAAGACCAGCCAAACTTTATTTATATATATATACATATATATTTTTTAAGACAGGATCTCACTTTGTTGCCCAGGCTAGAGTGCAGTGGGGTGATCACAGCTCACTGCAGTCTTGACCTCCCAGGCTCAGGGGATCCCCTACCTCAGCCTCTCCAGTAGCTGGGACTATAGGCATGTGCCACCACACTCAGCTAATTTTTTTTTTTGTATTTTTTTTTTTATAGAGACGGGGTTTCGCCTCATTGCTCAGGCTGGTCTTCGAACTCCTGGGTTCAAGTGGTCCTCCTCCTCAGCCTCCCAAAGTGCTGGGATTACAGGCGTGAGCCATCATGCCTGGACTTCTTTATAAATTATCCAGTCTCAGGTATTTCTTTATAGTAATGCAAGAATGACCTAATACAGCCTCGCAACTAGACGGGGCTGAAAAATCACTCCTGGAGACACAGCTTCAATCACATCAGGAATATTATAGAAAATGTCTAGCTCTTCCATTTTCAATAAAAGTCACTCTCAGAACATGCTCAGTACATACAAATTTGCTTTAGCACATGAAAGTTAATTAGCCATGACTCAACTTAAACATGAGATAATTCAGTAGGTAAATCCGAAACACTTCCTTCCTACTAGTGACCATGTTACTATACTCAAATGTTCCCCCTCCACACTTAATTTTCTAATCTTGCTTCCTTTGTGTTTTGCTTTGGAGCTAGGTATTTATCTCTTTTCTTTCCTGCTATGCTGGTAATCAGGGCCTCTGAATGGCTCGGCAGAATAAAGAAAACAAAAGTGATTCTTAGAGGGGCCATACAACTTTCTTGTAAGTACAAAGGCACATTTCTACTACAGTTTCACCGTCTGTATTAAAGATGTCTGGGAAAGGAATAATAAGTGTGTGGCGGGGGTTGGAAACAGCTACTTGGACTGACACAGAAAGAATTGTGCAGGACAGCTATATTTTAAATGTCTTTTTCTTCTGTCTTCTTCTCTCTCTGACCTCCCACTGCCAGCCGCCCACTCCCCCATCCATTCTACCCCCAAAAGGCCCTGAGCATTTTGGAAGCAAGATGAATTATTTCCCTTTTCAGAGTCTCTAGAGCTATTTTCTTAAGCATTGTATTTAATGATTTGCAGTGCTCACGTTATATTTGAAAATCATTCGTTTTTCAGTTGAATATGATTTTTTAAAGTTTGTTGAATGCTTTAATTTTTCATGACGTCTAGAGGATATAATTTTCTGTGATAATATATGAGAGTATCATGTAAGGCACAGAAGAGTTTTGATTTACAAAACTGACTTCCAACTAACTTTTCAGGACTATATATGTTATACTATGTCAGACCTACCTACATAAGGCCTAAATAACAGTGCTAATGATAATAATAAAACCTCATGCTTATATGACAACTAAGGCATTATCTTATTTGAGTTTCATAACAATCTTTTCTTGAGACGGGGTCTCGCTCTGTCACCCAGGCTGGAGTGCAGGGGCGTGATCTCGACTCACTGCAACCTCTACCTCCCAGGCTGAAGCGATCCTCCCACCTCAGTCTCCCAAGTAGCTGGGACTACAGGAATATGCCACTGTGCTCAGCTTATTATTATTATTATTATCATTATTTTGATAGAGATGGTGTTTCGCCATATTGCCCAGGCTGTTCTCGAACTTCTGAGCTCAAGCAATCCACCTACCTCAGCCTCAGAAAATGCTGGGATTAAACTTAAAGTATAATAATAATAATAATAATAATAATAAAGTGAAAAAAAAAAGAAAGAAAATGCTGGGATTACAGGAGTGAGCCACCTTGCCCGGCCTGAGTCTCATAACAATTTGAGATTTAGGTAAGATTAGAATTATCCCCATTATATAGATGAAGAAAATGAGGCTCAGACAGGTTAAGTGGTTAGCTCAAGGTCACACACCTTCCACATGACATAAACAGGACAAGAAATCAAAGGTAAAAGTTTTCCACACGTGCCTAAACCCCTAGGATAAAACATATCACAGCTCTCTCACCTTGACTTAGAAGTGCTAACAACGGCTTGTGAAAAATGAAAAGCCTTGAAGGAAGGCAGAATAAAAATCTGAGAGACAATCACTGATCTTTTATCTTCTAGACTTCAAGCTGAATCAAGTTCTTCAAAGAAAACCCAATAAAGCCCAGACATTTTCATCATAACAAAATAAATAATTCAGTCAGGCTTTAGAGGGCTCCTGCATTTTGATTGGCTATTTGATATATTTGTGACTTAGCCACCACTAAACTGATTAAAGCTAACCTGATTGACGCAGTTATGTTGACAGAGCCTCTGACACTGACAGTTATGAATGGAAAGTGTAAATAACAATAAATAACCTGGAGCTTCCACATTTATTCCTAATGGAGAATTTAGCACTTGCAAAAGTCAAACGCCTGATAGGCTAAAAATTACAGCCTTTGGTCTATCTGGCGCCAAAGAAACTGTTTAAATTCATCACCCCTCCTCTCCTTAGGAAGATATCCACAGAGCCTCGGGTTCTTCCAGGCAGACAGACAGACAGACAGGTTTGATTTTTTTTTTTTAACACTCAGACTCTTTGAGCTGCAAGGGGCAGTAGAAATTATCTGGTCTAACCCTACATCTTATATATGGGAAAACTAAAGCTCAGAGAAATGAAATTGATTGCCCAAGGTCATCCAGTGAGTCATGATGGCATCGGGGCCACAATCCATGTCCTGTTACTCCTAGTCTAATGTTCTTGTCACCAGACTCCACAACAGGGAAAAGTCTCCACCTGACACACGCAGCACATGTGCACACACAAAGACACACACATACGCATCCATTCTTAATTATAATAAACCTACAAAGATAATTGAAGCTATATTCTCTGGGCTAAATTTCTATTGGTGTCAATAGAAATAGATTTGAGGCAGACTCTGAGATATAAAATTGTATGCAGCTTTTCAACTTCAAGTCCATCTTGTGATTACAAATTAATACCCCTATTTTAAACCACATCTGAACATAACTGTAGAGAGCATGCACACTCTTTGGTTTATCACCAGCATTGCTTTGAATGTGTACAGTACAATTTTATTTTTGTAAAAAAAAAAACCTACACGTGTGAAATATGCAGGAAAAAAATGAGAAAGCCTATGCTCACCACAGTGATCTCTGGATGTTAGGATTCTGGGTGATTTTTATGTTCTATTTTATATTTATCAGAACTTAGTAACTTCTCTTCTAAAACGAACACCTATTATTTATGTAGTAAAGTGTCCTTATCAGCAGGACAGCAGAAGAGGAACAATATTAGAAATGTTGTAATAAAATATTCAGACATATAAACTCTTGATATTTTTCAGGCTCCATAATAACTTCACAATATCAACTCATGGTCAACTAAGCTTATAACATAAAACATGTTCAATTCGAATTTCCCTCCTGGGAAACTGAAAAGACTTATAGATCCAATGATCATCTCTTTCCATGTGCATATTTGGCCCATAGAACAGGTAGGCCATTTTATGAAGTTACTGTCCCCAGATGGCTGCTCATTCAAATTCAGGAACAACTAGCTCAACAAATAGGATGTTTTCCTGGATCTTCACTAAGCCAAATTGATGAAGGGGAAGGATGGTGAAGTGTGATTTATAACTACTTTCCAAAATTAACAAACACAAGCTAACATTCATTGAGCACTCACTATATACTAGGCACCACCCTAAATTAAGTTTTATATGCATCATATCATTTATTCCTCACAAAAACCATGTAAGGTTAGGTCCTATTATTGTTTTAGAGATGAAGAAATTGGGAGTTAGAGAGGTTTGGTAGACTCCCCCAGGTAACAAGATTCAAACCCAAGTCAATTTATTCCAGAATCCGTTCTCTTAAACACTACACTGCCTTTTATTATTTTTCCATACCTAGAGTAACTTAAACTCACTGCTAATAAAGTGTTTCCAAGTAGAGGTTCTATCAGGTTTGCTTTAATAGGCAAAGCTCATTGTAATTAGCAGCCTCAATTAATGGGCTTGCTCAAGTCCTTCAAGCAAGTTAAACATGACTTCCTGCAATCTTATATACACTATTAATTTGTTAGCAGATTCTTTCTTCATAAATGGGATGAAAGTAAACTTCAGCCCAAGTCAAACTATCACAATATTCAAATTAACAGAGCCCAAGTTAATGAGAGTTCACTCTAGATCATTAATTTTTACAAAATATTTACCTTCTGCCTTGAGTTCACTTCTGCCATTTCAGCATTTATTGCCTGTATAGTTAATGTACAAACATATGTTTGCACTGTTACAGTTTTCACATAAAAGACTTCTGACCGCCTTCAAAATAAGAAGAAAAAGTCCAACTATGGTCCTGCTTAATTGTGAGACATTTCTAACATAGTCTCTAAAGATCTGGGCTTTCACAATTTGTTGAAAACCTCATCTGGCACCAAGTAAATGTACAATAGAAGAAAATACTCAAGTTGGCACATGTAGCAAAAACTTCCATTCAATTTTCTTAAATAATTCTCCTTCTTTCTTAAGCAAAGTTTAATGTTACAGGATTTGGGTGCCTGAATTAGTAGCTACCCCACCTCACTCCCCAAAACAAATAAGCATAATTACATTGCTTTCTACTAGATTGCCTCTCTCATGTACATCCTACTAGCTCAAGTTCCAGACCAGCTACTGGCTCCTTATGTTGATGAAGTCAAGACACTGTCTAAATTCTTCCATGTCTACATTCAGACAGTAGAGAAAATAACAATCGTGCCACCAACTTTCAACTGGAGATGATTGAAAATACAATTACTGCATGCAAGTCACATTGAAATCCTTTAAGGAAAACTGCAGTGTATATAAATCATAGTTGATTATACCTTGAAAATATTTCTATTACTGTCTTCTTTACATGTCTAGTATAGTGTATATAAGCAAAAATTAGAGCTTCAGGAGTCTAGTTCAGTGTTTACTCTAAGAAGACTTCATGAGCAAGGAAATGACAGACCCACATGTTCCTCTAACACTACAGTGGCTACATTTTAACTAGGCCAAGAAAGAGAGGCCCTGTGTGGTATGGCTAACTACTTATGGGAGTAATTTCACCATACAACTATAGCAAATTTATTTCAGTTCCAGATATCACTTTCCCCATTAACTCAGGAGACCAAAGGAGCTTAACTGCTTTCCTTTCATCCCTGTCGAATGCAGCAAGTTTCTCAGGAAGCAAATACTATTTAAATCATTTTCATAATTCTAAAATGCCTGTAAGACAAGTCCAGGGTCTAATTATACCACTTAAATTTGTTGAAGATGTTTGGGTTTTTCTTTTTTTAATTTCAATAATGAAAGAGCCCAAGGGTTTAAAGCCCTAATAATCTAATAAACTTTGCTAAGTGAACATTGTAACAGATATGCCTGGATGGGATTTTGTAAATACCAGACAATTTCCCCTGATCTTTATCAGGGAAAAGAAGCCTAAATCTTTGGCAGGAAGAAATTAAATGTAGTGCAAAATAATAACATCTGGCCAGATTGTGTTTGTCAGGGTAGCAGCCCCTTTAGATGTCAGGCTGAAAAGTACTAAAATGAACTCTGAAGAGTGTGTGTGCGATTCTTTATGAGGCAATAGGAAAGGCTGCCACCCTGCCATAGAATACTCAGGGTACAATTAACTCACCCTAGTATGTCCCTACAGAGAATTGTTTCATATCAATGGAATTTGAAGCCTTCTGCCAAATAAAAGTTTGGGGTCATTCTTGGGGTGTTTTGTTTATTTCTCCATTACTGTACAGATTCCTAACAGCACTTTCTATTTTTCAAAACCATCTATGATCATTTCAATAAGTTTTAAAGCTTATTTTTATCTTCTAGCTCCAAGGGAGACCGTGTGGCTCAATGAAAAGGGCAATGACTTTGAAGTTAGCAACTTAATGCTGCCACTTGCTGGTTACATGGCCTTGGACAAATTGGTTAATAGCTCTTAATCCCAGTTTCCACATCTGTAAAATGGGGATAATAATACCTAATGGTGTTATTACCATTATGAAGATTACTCAAGTCTAGCACATAGTACACTTTTAGTAAGATTAGTTAACTTTATTTCTCCTTCACTTAAGTAATCCCGGTAAGTTCAAATGTCTAACCTCACCAACCTTCCAGAGGTCTCTGACCTTCAAGAAGGCTTAATTTTTTGCAAGTTTACACTATCTTCCCCTCCCATCAAAACAAAAACAAAAAACCTCAAGGTTATATTTGAAATAATATGTGCATCATTTAAGCCTCTTCTTCCACTGTAAGCCATCTCAACCATCTGGCAGAGATTGCCAGAAAGAACATACTTTGTTTTCCACTAATGATTACTTTGATGCATGAGATACTTTGTTTTTCCTGTCTCTCTGTTTTTTCTTTTTTAATCTGGCATTTAGAGAGGGAGAACTATGGTCATCTCACAATTTTTTAAGAAGGTTTTCCTAATAAACAACTCTTTCCAGAATTTGTACCACAAAACAATGCTAAGCCACTGATTTATCTGACAGGCCAGTATATCTGTTTCAAATGTTAATTGCTAGAAAGAGTACTGTTTTTCCAGGCACCAAAGAAGAGGAGTGTGGATAGCAATCTTTGGGGTTTTCCCCCACCTACTACTCTGTTGGTAGAACAAGCACTTTGGCCTCACTGGCTGGGTTTCTTAAGCTACCCTTCAAGGACTGGGGCATGTAGGAGTAAACACACATACTACATCAAAGAATAGTTCCAGGGCCCATTTCCCCAACTGGGAAGGATGTCCAGAATCCACACTCCAGGCAGAGCCTGGTGGCAGGCTACATTTCACCACTCTCTAGAGCACCTTTCCAGCTACCAGGGCACAGGCTCCAGTGCATTTCTAGACCAAAATTACTTCCTATTAAAAGGCCAGAAAGGTTTCAGATCCAGAGGAAGAAAGGCAATTCTGATATAGTACAGACTGATAAGTGCCAAGGGACAAGTGAATAACAACTACACTAGTCACTTAAACTTTCAAAACATTTTCATATATATTACCTCTTTTGATCCTCAAGAGCTCCAGCAGGTTGGCAGGTCAGGTGTTACCATCTTGCATATAAGAAAACAAACTTAGAGACTTTGAATTACCTACCTATTTCCACACAGCTGGTGTCAGAACAGGAAATAGAACACATCTTTGATTCATGCTAAGGCCAATATCAATTAGTAAAGAATCAAAGAATATATTGGAAACCAAATTAAGATATTGACACATTTGACTGAAAGTATGTTTAAACCCCCACAAAAAAAGAAAACTTGAATTAACAAATCAGTTAAAGCAACTTATACAAAATGGGCTAGCATTCTGAATATACAAAGAGCTGCTTGTTACAAATCAATAAGAAAAGGACAACTAGTAAGGGACAAGTTATACTTAAATTTTTCCAAATGATGAAAGAATATTAGTGAGAAAAATCACAAAATAAAAGGTACAAATGATCAACAAATCTCACTGGCAACCAAAGAGTACTATTTTTTTCACCCACGCTGGGATTATGATAAAATGGCAAGGGGCAGACAGGAAAATGGACATTCTTACATTGCTAATCTCCATGGTGTGCTTATTTCACATTGTATGCCTGTATCAAAACATCTAATATACCCCATAAATATATACACCTACTATGTACCCACAAAAATTAAAAGTTAAAGTATTTAAAAAGAAGTAAAGTGAAAGCACATACAAACTTTATGGAAATCAAATAGGCAATAAATGTGAGAAATCTTAAAAACTGCATAGTCTCTGACCCAGCAATTCCACTTCCAGGAATTTATCCTGAGGAAATCATTAAGGATGTGCATAAATATTTAATTACACGGACATTATTTAGTTCACTGTGGCTTACTGAAAGCAACCTTCATTTCCAACAATAGAGAGGGTTGGATTAATAACATGTGAAATATCCACAGTAGTAAGTAAAGGGTAGCCCCTAGATACTATATTTATATTGTGTTACAGAAGTACATTATTGACATGGAAAGATGGCTATATGAAAAAGCAGTATAGTCAATTTTTGAAAAACTATACATACACCTATGTATGAATAAAAAGTATGCAAGACGATATGTCAAAATGTTAACAGTAGCTATCCTCTAGTGGGTAGAATCAGGGTCGTTTTATTTTCCACTTTTTTATTTCTTTGTGGTTTTTTCATTTTCTCTAATTAAAAAAGAAATACTTATTTGTGTAGCAAAAACTTGTTTTAAAAAAAGATTATCCTGAAATAAATACTGCTGTATTACTTTCAAGGTCTCACATAATCAGGAATAAATAAATAATCCATTGGTCTCTAGAAACCTGCCTTAACAAATAGATAACAATTCTTTCTAATGAACCTATGATTATTGATTTTTTAATGCACACTAAAATTTTTATTTTAAAAATTATTCTTTTAAATCAGTTAATGATTCCTCTCTACAATTCGTTTAAACTATTCATTTATTTGACAAGTCCTTTTTTAAACTTGAGTCAACCTTAGTCCCACCTGTGTCTGATCAAATTCCTACACCCACGTCAAATCCCAATTTATTAGAGTTGATAAAGGAAGAACAACTATAAACAGATATAAGAAAGAATGAGAACCTTAATCTTTAACTTTGAAGAGTATCAATAGTTGCCATTTATTAAGCACCTATTCTATACCAAGCAATATGGTATACATGTTTTACATAATTTATGGCTCACTTTCACAGCAGTGCTGTAAGGTTGTAATTATTACCCTCATTTTGTAAAAGGGGGTTACGTAACTAGTGAGTAACAAGAGTATTTGAATACAGGACTATTTGACTTAAAAGACTATCTATTCTGACATTGTGCCTTCCACTAAAATATCAAATATAAAACTCTAAGGAAAGGTAAGGTTATGTGAATAGTCTCCAAATTTGATGCACTAGCAACAATATTGAGAGAGAACACATAGCATTATAAGAGAATAGCACAATTTAAATTCAGCAGTCTTGGGTCTAGCAACTCAATTATTTAGCATTGGGTTAACTTGCCTACATTACCAAACTCTCCTAGTTTTAGTCTCCTTATGGGATTAATACCACCTTTTTGAAGGGAAGCTGGCAAGGTCCAAATAAATACAAGTATGTCTGCCTGCTACAAGGCTTTCAAGAAAAGGGAGCTTCTCTTCCCTTCAGGTCCTTGTGAAAGGGTGGTAGGACACACAAGAATGTATTTGGACAAGCTGACAGGTGTCACCATTCTCATGGTTCTTGTTCACAAGGTGCAAATCTGTGGCACTGAATCTTGTTCACAGTGTTCTGGGAAGAGCCTAGGTCATGCTGGAAGAAAAGACAACCAGCCAGCCTCAGAGTTATGGGGCCAGAAGCTGAGGCAGAGGCTTAGAGAAACAGATGTTCCATCTCAATGGGCGAGCAAAACCCCATTATCCAGACTTTTAAGATCTTATATCTAAGCAGCTTTTAAAACCTAGAAGTAAATGCTGCAGGCAACAGGATCTATCTTTTCTTTTCTGTTTGGTCATACTGTTGCAGGGGAAGGGGAACAGTTAGAAATCTATTTCTATCAATACTACTTATTCTAATTTTGTGTGAGAGTGTATGTATATATATATATATGTGTGTGTGTTCATTCAAACATTTACTGAAAGTTTACTGTCTCACCTGGGGACAGAGGGATATGGTAGAATAGACACAAGCCCTATCCACAGAAAGCTCATTCTTTAGTAAAGGATACCCATGTTAATCAAATAACCATACATACTCCTGTAACCACTGCAACCTGATGAGTGCTAGAAAGGAAAAGCACAGGTTCCCAGGAGAGGGAAGAAATGCAATCCAATAATGACATTTCAGTTAATTGGGTTCAGAACTATATGCTAAAGAACTCTGACCAAAGGAGAGGAGTGTCATAAGCATTCCAATTTCCTTTCAACATTTTTGTTCTCCTTCTTTTCTTAATGTAATCCAGTGGAATCAGTCTCCCTTTGCTGAGTAGATCTAGAGGCTACTTTAACTCATTCAGACCACTACGGGACCATTTAGAAACTGTATATTGTACGGTTTTAAATATACACATACACACAGAAAGGGAAAGGAAGAAAACACACAAAAATGTTACAAGTGGTTATCTCTGAATGAGAGGATTATGAGTGGGTATTTAGTGCATTTTGACATTAATTATATTAAAACATAAAAAATTATTTAAAAATGTATATGTGCCAGATATGTGACATTCATTACTGCAAAGCAAAGATATTATATTTCATACATATATATGCTTATAAATGCACAAGAGGGAATAATAAAAACAATGGCTACCATGCATTTTATTCCTATGGGCCAGCATAGAGCTGAGTTCTTCACAGCACTCATCTGATTTAATTTTGTTTAATGAATGGCTCAGAGAGAAGTGGCCTGCCCTTGGTCACAAAGAGAGGAAAGGGCAAAATTGGGACTTAGACACCAGTCTGCCTGAAGCCAGACCACATAGCCATCACACTATGCCCTTTGCTGCCTCCTAGGTGTTTGCCCCTTCCAAGAGGGAAGTCTAAGTGAGAGACTACAGGTATAGACAAGGAGTCCAGAAAGGCTAGTATCTAATAGGCAATTAATAATTTGAATTTGGCCAGGCATGGTGGCTCACACCTGTAATTTTAACACTTTGGGAGGCCGAGGCGGGCAGATAGCTTGAGCCCAGGAGTTTGAGACCAGCCAGGGCAACATGGCGAAACTCCATCTCTACAAAAAATGCAAAAATTAGCCCTGTGTGGTGGCACATTCCTGTAGTCCCAGCTATTCAGGAGGCTGAGGTGGGAGGATCCCTTGAGCCCGGGAGGCGGAGGTTGCAGCGAGCTGAGATAGTGCCACTGCACTCCAGCCTGGGCAACAGAGCGAGAATCTGTCTCAAATAATAATAATAATAATTTGAGTTTGAGTTTAATTGAGAAAAAGATGTGCACTGATTTACCCAACTCCCTCATGTGTTCTTCTCTTTGATCAACAGCATGTCTATCTGGAGATTTCATACAGCCAGTCTCCTCCAGGAACCTCTACCCTCTGGTTGGAGTTAATCTCTTCCAACCCCACACTACCATAAAGAAGTGAATTTTAATACAAAAATTAGCCAGGCATGATGGCAGGCGCCTGTAATCCAAGCTACTCAGGAGTCTGAAGCAGGAGAATCGCTTGAACCCAGGAGGCGGATGTTGCAGTGAGCCAAGATCAGGCCATTGTACTCCAGCCTGGGTGACAGAGAGAGACTCCGTCTCAAAAAAAAAAAAAGAAAAGAAAAGAAAAGAAAAGTTATTTTTCTGTTAAACAATGAAACTTAAGCTACAGGGACCCTGCACTTGCACACCCTCTCACAGAAGAGCCATAGGCATTTTGTATTTTTTATTTTGTCTTCTTTTTCTTAAAGAAGGTCCCCCAATTATATAAGTTTTGAGCACTACAAAACCTGGATCCACCTCTACTCCCCTTGGAAAACTGCAAAGGTTTTTTCTTACATTTTTCTTAGGATGCCTTGCACCCAAGTTATTTGTATACAAATGTCCTGGTTTCTGAATTTTGATCTACTTGAAGGTAGCCATGAGGTAGTTTTTCTCTTTGAATCCCCCACAGTACCTGCCTTTAGACATGCTATCCAGTTGCTCAGCCAATGCTTTTTTAATTAAATACAATAGAGTTCCCTTGCAAGGAGGAAAGTTAGAATTGAGGAGACTGCTTATGACCATGAGATGAAATACACAGAGGCTGTATCACACATATAGCACTGTTTTAAGGGCACAGGCTATGGAGCTGTACTTCCTGCGTTCAATTCTTGTCTCTGCCATCTATTGGGTGCTACTTTAAACAAGTCACCTAATCTCTTTAAGCCTCCATTTTGTCAGTGATAAAATGAGGCTAATGAAAGTACCCACCTCCTAGGGTTGTTATGAGGTTTAAATGAGATAAGTAAAACACTTGAGAAGAGGAAATTTTTTATTCATCTCTCTCCAATACAGTACACTTTCAGAAAGGAGGTCTCTAATCCTCACCCAAGCCCTCAACTTTCTTCTCTCCATACCAGCCTGCCTACCCCACCCAGACTCATTCACACCCTGTCAGAATGCCCCCTAGAGCCTGCACTCTTAATCATTACACTCCATTGCTGAACTGGGAAGCAAGGGAGGCTAAAGGCATGAAACCCAGGGGTGCATTTGCTGGTAGTCTAGATGTTAGCTGATGGAGCCTGGAACTGAAATCAGAGAGGAACTAAAATCAAAAGCCATCTGCATATGATAAATGAGACAACTGAGACCGATGGGGTCTCAGTTGGAATGTAGGAAAATGATGTGAAGAAGGATGCAGGAAGAAATGAGACCTGGTGACTGAAAAGTGCAATGAAGGAAAAGGAGCAATACAGGTGCCTCAGTCCCTGGAAGTATCTCACAGTCAATAGAAGGGAAGGGGCTTTTAATTTCTATGTTACCATTTCCAGCTTAGAGGGAAATTGTTTCTACCTCCACTCTACTGACAAGAGAATTCAAATCTCTCAAACATATGCTTCATTACTCCAATATCAGGTACTGCAACTCAGTGAGACAGAAAGAAGAGGAGGAACATATGTTTTCAGAAAGTAAACAAATTCCAGTTTGGGGGCTGGTGGGGAGGTGGAGAGTAAGCACTCTAGGCAAAAGTGGTGTTTTTCCTGGAAGCTTCTAGAGGGCAGGGACAATGTCCTTTAATGTGCTTTGTTGAGCCCACTAGTGAGAAAGGTGGGCAGTGATGATGACAGCAAGAGGAGGTGAGTTCAGAGCCCTGTTAAATCAAGGGCATGAGTTCAGGACCTTGTTCAATCAAGGGCGATGGCCTGGGGTAAAAGAGTTCATCTGCATAATCTCCTCACCTCATGGTTGGCCCCAGAATGGTCTCTGGCTGCATATTGAGTCGTTTTTCTAAGCTCTTTTCATTAAACAGTTTTCAGCCTAATGACTGACTTCTAAATCAATAAAGGGCCCAGGAAAGGTTTATAACTCCCCCAGCCTCTGGCTCTACTAAAGCCACAGAATTTTGAGACCCGATTGAATCCAAAAGTTTTACTTTAAAACTGAAATGGCTTTAAACACTCAGTTTCCAGTTGGTTTTCCAATTGCCCTAATAATTAAAGAATTGCATTTTTAAAAACTTTGTAACCAAAATATGCCTTTGAGTTGGTGCCATGAAAGTCCACTAATTAATGCCAGCATCTTCTGGGCTCTAATGAGAAATTCACCCTTTTATAATGGGATTACTAGAGCTTTGCTGTACAGATGAGCGGTTTGATTAATAATTTACATTTTTGAGGATATATAACTTCACTCATGGCCATGGTTTGAGTTCCTAAAATTATCCTATTCAGTTTAATGCTATTGTATTTAGCCTCGGCAAATGAATTAAGTTTTGATTAGACATCAGTGTAATTATTCTCTCCCATACATTATTTTTAACCAAGAAAGGGGTTGTGACAGACTGGCGGACAGTTAGAGTTGGGGATGCAATGGGGCTCAGCCTGCACAGAGCTGGAGTGCGGGCAGAACTGTCAGGCTAGTCAGGGGGAAAGAATTGTGAAATGGAGAAAAATGGCTCAGTACTCACTTAAAACCCCCACTACATAATAAAAACTAAATTAGCAAATGATTGAATCTCAAAAACATGTTTATCAACATTCAAGCAATTATTGAGTCACATATTAACTGTGAAGGAAAAAAGCTTTGCTTGAATAATGTCCCTAAACAGTTATTTCAAGCAGAAATGACTGGAGAAATTGCTGTGAGCTGACAGAAAAGGGTATTCTAACCAAGGTCAATTTTATTTAGGGGGAGTGGGAGAGACAGGAATCTGACAGAAGAGAGTCTAAAAACTGCCAAGAGCTGATGAAAACAGAAAATAAGGGAGAGAAACAACAGAAGAAGCACAGAAACGCTGCCCTCCCCCCCATTCAGAGATGTCTTTTTCATCTCCACAGAAAGCAGGTAGAAGAAAGCAAGCTTGCCAATACTGAGTGAGGATCAACTGAAGATCTCTAGACTTATACCAACCTTTTTCTCCTCTCTGCCATAATAGTGTGGACCAAAAAATGCAATTAAAATATGGCCTGAACCGACAAACCTCTCCTGATCTAGCTGCTTATTCATATATGAAATACACCAGATACTAGCCAGAAGAGAAGCTTCAGGAAGCTGAAAAAAGGATTGCTCCTGGCAGTATTGACACTTCAAACAGTACAGCCTCACATCCAAGAGTGCATAAAATAAACCCCTTTCCCAAAGAGTCTTTTGCCTAAGTACTCTTTTGTCTGTACACTGGAGCTGTTTGCATATATATCATCAATAAGTGGCAAAAGTTGTTGAAATACATCATGAACTCCAGCCTTGTCGAGGTTAATGTCTGTAATGATAATGCATCATTTATTTGGCACCACCTGGGGTAAAGTGGTCCACATAAATGAGCTGTCTAGATAATGCATGCATATGGTGTTTTACAGTTTTCAAGATACTTTCACATTCATTATTTCTACTTTACAAAAGTAAGCAGGACTGCAATTTTTATGCCCATTTTGCAGATAAGAAAACTGAGGCTACTGGAGTCTAAATAACTGCCCCAAAATATAAAGCTCATAAATGCAGATCTAGAATTTGAACTTGGATTTTCTGACTCCAAGTCCAGTGTTTCTTTCGCTGATCTTAAGCACTGAGGAAATTCATTTTAGCCATTTAAAATGGAAATATTAAGAAAAGGACAGTGAATGTAAGTTGGACTTTCCTTATTTACTTGTAACCACATTGTGAACATCACTTGGACCTAACGTAATACAGGAGCCACTGTGGCCTGTAGGAGTATAGTCCTCTATTAAATGTCCCCAAGTGCCACATTTAGTGAGTTCTTGGATCCCCCCCTAGAAAGCCAGAAAATCAAGTGTGCCAAGACTACGCATAAACATGGAACAGTAGTAGGCTCTAAGCAAGGACTCAAAAACCTTTCAGATGAGATGATTTCCTGCTCGACCACTATTTTTCCTTTCTGATGAAGAGAGTTCAAGTTGTGGAATAGGCAACTTCCAGAAAAAACAAGGTATTGCTGCATATAAAAGAGTCTATTATCACTCAAAGTCAGTGGTATCTTGGGGAAATCTAGAATTATCCAACATCTAGAAAAGACCTGGATGTACCCCAAATATTTCTTGATAGTACAAGGCTGAAAATCATAATAAAATTCTACAAAGAAAATAGAACTCAAGGTTTAAAGGTATAGAGGTGGTAGTGAGATGACGAAAAATTCAGAATTCTATTCCATTTTTCTTCACAAGAACCACAAATCCAACTTCTCAATTTTGTTTTACCTCAAGGACATTAAGAACAAGGAAAGCCATGTCACGTGATGGCTCAGAAGAAGCTGTGGCATCAATGAGTTTCCTCATCTGTAAAATGGAGATAATTACAGTACAGACCTCATAGGGCTGTTGGGAAAATTAAATGAGATAATTATGTAAAAGTCAGCATCATATAGTAGGCACTTAATAAATCTTCACTATTGTTATCATCATAACTATTATAAGGTAGGGGAGAAGAAAAAGAAAAAGAGAAAGGAAAGTCTACTTTTAGTGGAGTTTTTCAGAAAGAATTAATTAAGCAGAAACAAAAAGCAATTGTGCTGCCCCATTTTACTAAGCACATCTAAGTAAATTAAATTTAGGAAACGAGGCAATGCAAAGACTGAGAATAAAGAACAACTTTTTTAAATGCTTCAATCATTATCAAAACAACATTAGCAATAGAGCACTCCAACCACTGTAGCAAAGGGCCCCAGGCTCATTTATGAGGGCAAAGGCTTCCTGCAAATGAAGACATAAAATCCAAATCGAGGCAGTAAGGATTGCTCGTGGAACTGTGCACATATTTGCAGAAAGCACTCACTGCTTAAATACCCCCAATGTGGACTAGTGAAGGAATACCAAAGAGATTGTGGATCTAGGCCAAGATCAAGATGAGCTTTCTTCAACTTCATGTGATGGAGAAAATAGCTAGCAAAAGCCGTCACATCAAATTTCACATGAGTGAAGTACTGGGATGGTTTTCTCACTAATTTGGTCTACCAGAATATTGGGGAGGGGATGTATTTTAGGGGAAAAACAATTGTGTCTCCTAATTTCAATTCAATGGAATAATAAACGGTCATAAGAAAGAAAAAAAGTGGATGCTCTCTTTTTCTTAGCAATTAATAATACATTATCTTGTAGTGGTCCCCAGTTTGAAGTCTTGTCTCTCCAAATGTTTGTTACAAAAGGATTTAGGGGCAATGTCTTCTGAAACATTGTACAAGTGCCTTGAGGTCTGGGATCATGGTTTATTTTTCCTTGTTGGGTTTATTTTTTCTAAAAGTGAGGCAGGAAAAGAATGAGAAGAGGGAGTGAAACAAGATAAAGAATGAGTACCGATGGTGACAAGGTAAAGGGCACTAGCAATAATTAGCTCAGACATAATTTCATTGTCTCCATGTTCCTTTGCTAGGGTTGTCCTTCTGTCTATCCCCACAATTCAAGAAAGTGTGTGTGTGTGTGTGTGTGTGTGTGTGTGTGTGTGTGTGTGTGTGAAGTGAAAGAGAGACAGAGAGAAAGGGAGAGAGAGATACAATTAGTAGATGCTGCCCCCATTTTCTACCCTCTGTTCACATGACTAGTATTCAGCCTCCAAGCTATAGCAGGCTTATCTGGAAGCTAATCCAACCAAAATCTTGTCAGAACTTTTTTTCTCTCCTAGTCTCACATTTTTGCAGATCTAGAAAACACAGTGGGCAAAGTGCAGAACTGGACAGAGGTGTAAATGCTGACGACCCGGGCCCTCAGATACATAGCCATGTCAGCTACTGTAAATGTTAAAATGCCAGTATGATCACTCTACCACTCCCCTCCAACCAGACAAGGATTGTAAGGTAACATCTGTGAGCTTGGATATTCTGGGAATTAAACAAATCACTAATACTCTGTTCTAAAAAGGGACCTTGATGCCCCAAAGAGTAAGATTCAGCTCTCTGCTTCAACCCAATTCTCATGTCACATCATTTCTTCTCACCCCACTTTCATCCAACAGATCAACTCCAAAACCAATCTAAGAAGTTCATGAATGCTACATGTATTTTTAAAATCTGTCTAAATTATTCATTCTATCACCAAATTGTTAGTCTCAACAAACTCTTCACAAGAGTCTGACTGCATAAATAGTTTAACAAATACTTCAAGCTTATATATTATACTTCATATAATCAACCTAATACCCCCTGAGGCTTTGACCCAAGAAACTGTTGTGAATGTAGGCTTTATTAACTAATCTGAACAATTTTCTTAGCTAATTCTAAAGATTTCATTATAATACACAAAATAAGCTATAATCAACACACCTTACAATTCAGAGGTTAATTCTTGTAACAGTGCCATAAATCTCAAGCTTTGCAATGTCAAGCAGTCAGAAGTGTTATTTTTCTATCTGACCTCGATCCTCTCTTGGTGAGGCAAGAAAAAGGTGGCTGATTCCCTCTGCTTGAGGAAGGATAGAAGAAAGACTGATAATTAATTAATTACTAATTAATTGTGAATACCCATAATTAATTTTCCCAGTTACAGGAGGCAGCCTATGGGGATAGTTAAAAGAATAGACTCTAAGAGCCATGCCATCTGGGTTCAAATCCTGCCTTCACCATTTATTTATTAATTTTGTGGCCTTGAGCAAGTTACTTAATCATTCTGTGCCTTAGATTTCCATCGACAAAATAAGGATACTAACATCTACTCATAATTATATTGTGAGGATTAAATGAATTAATACATGTAAACCACTTAAAAGAGCACCTAGCACATGGTGCCATATAAGTGTCTGCTATCATCACCACCACCACCACCTCCATCATCATCATCATCTTCCTAGCTGGGTGTTAGAATTGAAGGAGGTACTCCCCATCCTGCTATGATAGTCCTACTAAGTTAGCAAGGAGAAGTGTCATTTCCTACCCGTTCTGGCAATGCCACAACAGCTTCTCTTGCAATCATTCACAGGCATGGTAAGAAGTGAGAGTCACAAAGAGAGGAGAGGTCACCACTCACACCAATGGGAAAATCCTGGGCCAACAAGCCAGTGTCTGCCTCTTAAATGGAAATGGTCCTAGTGGTCAGAAGGAGTCCACATGTATCCCACAAGCATCTAACTCATTCCTGGAGAAAACTGGGCTCAGTATTTAAGGGAACTTTTTTGTTTTTGAATCAAGCTGAGAGAAAATATTATTTATTCTTTCTGTAGAGATTTATAACCTTTATATACAGGTAAATAGAATGTCCTTGGACAATGATTTTTTGACAATACTCACCTTTCCAAAGATTGAAATGAAGCTTCTCTGAAAATGTGTTTTTTTAAACCAGAATTTCTCACTGGGAGGTTTTTAATAGCAAGCATTAATGCTGGAATGGTAATTTATAAATTATACTTAGTATTTGAAAGCCCAGTGCCCAAATAATGATGCCACTAAGCAGCACATCTAAAATAATCCCCAGAACTCACCTTGGAAAACCGCAGCATTCTGAATAATTAAGAACTTGAGCTCCATACTTGCAGACTGAAGCAGCTGTTCCATGTTCAATCGTGCTGTTAGTTGGTATTTTTCTTCCATCTTTCTTGAGCAGCATGTTGGGCCCTTAGGGAGACATACTTGCAAATCTGATCCTGAAACAAACAAGGTTTTCATGTTTCAGTAAGCAGGATCTCTCTCTCACACACCCACACCCACACCACCCCCACCCCCTACACACACACTCACACATGGCAAACAGGGCAAACAATGCATTTCTTTTGAGATACAGTAAAATTTTGATTATTCAAAATTACGTTTCATCTTAACTAATCCCTGCTTTCTCCCAATTGTCCTTATGGCTGACTCTTTTTGAATAACCATCAGAATTAATTGCCTAGGTTTGACTCATAAATTCTGCATAAACTAATTTATAGCACCAAAAACACATCACTGAACACCGATATTTAGTTTGTCTTTTAAAAGATCAATCTTCACTCCTATAATTTATTTTTCCTGATTATAATGTATGAATGAGAAGACAACCAAGAAACAATTTTCAAAATTCCAGTTATGATTTCCAAATGAAATGTATGTCTGGCCAACCCAATACTGCTTTTCAGGATAAATGATCAAAACATCAATATCATATCAAAGCTGTGTTGTTGTTTTAACTAAAGGTCTGAAGCAAGATACAAGTCATTCAACAAATATTTATTAGGTGCCTACTATATGCCAAGCACTGTGGTTGTAACAGTATACAAAGCAAAGTCCCCGCCCTCATGGAGCTTACATTCTGGGAGATAACAAACAAACAAAAATATAAACATAATGTCAAAAGGTGATAAATACTATAGAGAAAGTAAAACAAAGTAAGGAAAGGAAAACAAACTGTGGTATATCTATAAAATGGAATTCTATTTAGCCATAAAAAGGAATGAACCATTAATGCATACTACTGGAGGGACAAAACTCAAAAACATTATGCTATGTGAAAGAAGCCAGATCAAAAAGAAGCACATACTCTATGGTTCCGTTTATACAAAAGTCTAAAAAACAGAAACTAATCTAGAGTGACAGAAAGCAGTTCAGTCGTTGTTAAGGGAGATGGTGGGCAGGAGGGGTAGGAGGAAGGGTTTATAAAGAGTAGTGGAGAAACTCTGGGGAGTGATGGATATGTTCATTATTTTTATTGTGGTAATGGTTTCACGGGTGTATATGCATGTCAAAATTATCAACTTGCACCCTTAAAATATGTAGTTTATTATATATCAATTATGCCTCAATAAAGGTGTCAATTGTTTTATTTATTTATTTTTATTTTTTATTTTTCTTGAGACGGAGTCTCACTCTCATTGCCCAGGCTGGAGTGCAGTGGCGCGATCTCAGCTCACTGCAACCTCCACCTCCTGGGTTCAAGCGATTCTCCCAGCTTGTTTTTAATTTTTAAAAAGTAAAGTAAGGGAGATACAGAATGTGATGATTGTGGAGACTATTCTGTTTTGCATATGGTAGTCAGAGAAGGCATCTTCCATAAGGTAACGTTTGAGGAGAGATGAGGAAGGTGAGTGTGAATCTGATGATTTTATATCCTCCACCAATACTAACAAATATTAGGGCTCAGTGAATATTAAGACCAATCTCCTTCCTCTCTTCAACTTCTGTCTTACTCAAACTTTCTCTTTTTTTTTTTTTTTTTTTTTTTTTTGAGATGGAGTTTCGCTCTTGTCGCCCAGGCTGGAGTGCAGTGGTGCTATCTCTGCTCACAGCAACCTCCACCTCCCGGGTTCAAGGGATTCTCCTGCCTCAGCCTCCCAAGTAGCTGGGATTACAGGCATCTGCCACCACGCCTGGCTAATTTTTTGTATTGTTAGTAGAGATGGGGTTTCGCCATGTTGGGCAGGCTGGTCTCGAACTCCTGCCCTCAGGTGATCCATCCACCTCGGCCTCCCAAAGTGCTGGGATTACAGGCATGAGCCACTGCCAGACTCTTTCTCCAATTAGCATTTGTTGATCTCCTTCTGTGGTGGCTGTGAATATGGGCATCTCAGATCTTCTACTGTGGGGAATGTAATTGACTAATGGTCCCAGCTGCTGCCCTTTGAATTCACCACCACATTGTTCCTAAGCCACATTCCCTGGGGGCTGCTCCCAGCCAATGACTGAGCATGGCAAAGATACTAAGTCCTGTAACCCAGGACTTTGCTCACAGGGGACTTTGGCTTGAGGACTCCCCATTGACCTTGCCAAACTTTCTTAAAACGGCACTGCAGTCTAAGATTCCTCCTACTCAACCTTCCTTCCTTTCCTCTCTCTTCCACAAGGGTCAGACCTGCACCATGGTCTGATGGCTTTTCCGGCCTCCTTCAGCTCCCTCCTCATTTTCCTTCATAAGTGTTTTCCCCCAATAAATCCCTTGCACATCTATTCCATATTGGATTAGATATGAATCCAACTGGCATCTGCTTCTCAGAGAACCCAGTCTAACATACCTTCTATATGCCAGGCACTGTGCTACATGCTGGAGGTACGACTTTGAACAAGAGAAATTTAATCCCTTCTCCAAAGAAGTTCACCGTCTAAAGGGACTAGCAGAGATAAATAGCTACTGCATAGTAAATGAGTGCAATAAAGCAAACTAAGAAGGTAGAATGAAAAAAAAATGTGTATATGGGATATAAGGATGACTCCCCTAAAGTTTTACAAGGTCCTCAGAAAAGCAAGTTTCAAGAAATCTTACTGAAGTCATACTAGAAAGCATATTCAGACATTTTAGACAGTTTTTCAATAATTGGATGTTTTATTTTTTTAAAAAATGAGGGGAGACTAGTTAGCCCTAAGTCACCAGAAAATTTATTTTTATTACAACATCTTATTTCCCTAGGAATTTCAGTTGATCATGTCCTTAACTTATGTGTCCAGATTTTCTTAATTTAGGAATGAAATTCATCAAGTTTTGCCTCACATGACATCACTGCTGGGGTCCAGGGTATTGACTCCAAGCTCTCCACTTCACCCTTCTCAAGGGAGCTGCTGACAAAAGCAGTAAAGGAGAACACAGATAATACATATCACCAAACTGAACCCAGCACTGTAATTTATAGTACTAGATGGAAAGGTGATATTTAATGTCAAAATACCATTTGGGGTCTGCAGACATAGAGTTCAGATTTATCTCCTATAAATTTCAATCTCATATACAAGCCTTAGACTGATTTTCAATATGGTCTAAGCTTAAAGCTTTATGATTATCTTCAGAAAAAGTAAAGAAACAGCTAGTTCTAGCTCACTGTGTTCTTACTACATGAAGTTACAAAATGTAATGCTATTCTAGGAATAGGAACTGATGCAGTTTACTGGACCAAGAAGGGAAAGAGTCTCCTTGGGTAAGAGTAGCTAATCTAAATTTAAACAATGCTGGTTGGGACACATATGTAGACATGAAAAATCCTATGTGGCAGGTACTTTCACATACAAAGTTCCTGTTCATCTAGCAAGGCTTTATTTACTTTCTTGATAAACTGATGCCTAAGTAGTACATGTTCAAAATATCATATTTAAATAAGTTCATAAAATTAATCATTATAGATAAAATCCTTTGTGTTTCTAAATTTGCATTGACAATCACTTCCAGTTTTCAGGAATGGTTGAGTTTATTTGGCAGGGTGACTGTTAGTACTGGTCCTATTCCCACCAGCTCTAGGTAGTGGGAGTTATCAAATAAAAGGGCTCAGATCTTTTCTCAGTGAAGTGCTATGAGTGGTTCAGATCTTAGATGGTAACAAATTGTTGCTTGATGTACCTACATGGGTCCGGGAATGACTCTTTGAACTACCATGACACCAGTTTGATTTGCCTTTGATATGATAATTCATATAGTAATTTAGAGCTTGCATACAGTATGTCCCTTCCCTGAGTTGGCCAAGTCTCATCATTTTATAAACTCCCACCACCTGAAGAATCAGGTAAGCCAAAAATCTTTAAAAGAATAAAATTTCAAATGAGAACTTTTGGGAAAACATGTCAGATGTCCTGAAGAAAGGTATATATGATATCCAAATATAAGTGGATATGTTGCAATATTTACCCTCCCTCCCAGTTATTACTGCTTGGTTAATGAGTGAACTGGTATAATTGATCTATGGGCTAAAAGTTAGCTATAGATTTAAGGAAATAAAACACCCATAAACTGATTAAGAATTCAGAATTTCCAAACCAGGAAGGAGAGAAATACATGCCAAAGGAAAAGATATTTTGTATTAAGTAAATTTCATATAAATTTCAGTAAATTTCACAGACCAGCTTTTAAGAAAAGCCCCATCACAAGACAGCATGAGGAAGAAGCCTAGGTGAGCTAGGCATGCCTAAATGAAATGACAATAATGAAATATAACTATTTCAATGTATGGACATGTGCATGAAATAAATAAAACAGAAAGAACACAGAAAACAGAAAGAAACAGAAAAAGAATTTAGAGGGAATTCTCATCAAGTAAACAAAGAATTAACCTGGGAACTGAATCCCAAATGGAATGAAGAAAAACTAAAACCAAAAGCAGATGACTAAGGAGATAAGCCAAGAACTGGTACGTACTTGCATGAATAAAAGCAGAAATGTAAATTCAAGAAATAAGATGCCACCTACAAAAGACATACTAAATACAAAAGCACTCTTTAAATATATGAGGGACAAAGGAAAATTAAAAGAAAATAACCCCTTTATTAGATATAAGGGACAAGTAATCGTGAAGCCCAGCTATCAAAGAGGAGTTCTCACTTTATTATTATTATTTTTTTTTTGTAAAAATGGAATTCAGCTGGGAAAAAGGAATGGAGACAAGCAATATAGCCTGGGATGGAGATAAGGAGAAGACTTAGCAATTGACTATTCAAATGAGCCAGAAAGGTTCAGCTCTTTAGGGCTTAATAACTTGCATTCCCAGACGCTAAAAAAATTAACTGAAGTCATTACAGGGCTGCTAGTTCCCATTTATATTGAAGGATTAAAAAGTACCTTCATACTATAATCTCCTCTCCTAAACTGTAAGTTCCTGAAGAGCAGAGAATGACTCCCATCTCCTTTGGGATACTCCTTCACTCCCATTCAGCCCTGTACACGTAGTGTTGAATTAATGAGGGCTGCAGATTGAGAATACTAACAAAGAACTTTGTGTCTGTCTATATCTAAGAAGAGCAAGTGGAGTCTGGGCATGGTGGCTCACACCTGTAATCCCAGCACTTTGGGAGGCTGAGGTGGGAGCATCCCTTGAGCCCAGGAGTTTGAGACCAGCCTGGGCAACATAGTGAGACCCCGTCTCTATAAAAAAATTTTTTTTTAATGTAACTAGGCATGGTAGTGCATGCCTGTGGTTGCAGCTATTTGGGAGGCTGAGGAGGGAGGATCACTTGGGCTCAGAGGTCGAGGCTATAGTGAGCCATGATGGCACCACTGCACTCCAGCCTGGACAACAGAGTGAGACCCAGTCTCAAAAAAAAAAAAAAAAGATAAAAAAGAAAAAAGATCAAGGGGAGGCAGATGACCCTGAAAACGTTACATCTGTACACTTAACTTGGATCTTGGAAAAATATTTTAAAATACCAAAAAAGTAAACTACCAACGCCTGGCCAACATGGCGAAACCCCATCTCTACTGAAAAAAAAAAAAAACAAAAAAAAAAAACAGCCAGGCAATGATGGCACACACCTGTAATCCCAGCTACTCCGGAGGTTGAGGCACGAGAATCGCTTGAACCCAGGAGGCGGAGGTTGCAGTGAGCTGAGATCGTGCCACTGCACTCCAGCCTGGGAGACAGAGTGAGACTTCGTCTCGAAAAAAAAAAAAAAAAAATTCCAAACATCTTGAAGATACAATAAATAGATGTTTCAGTTGAATGAACTATGAAGTAATTTATTACTAATTATTTTAAGACAACTTCTCGCACATTGGGTCCAGTCATACAAGTAAAAGGGGATATTTGAGCTATGGAAGCTTTTCTTCTGGGGGATTACTCCACTCCTAGAGGCTAACCACAGATGGTCCACAGAAGGCTTTCTTCTGAGGCATACTCTTGTGACAGGAGATCTTTTCAGGCCTGGCTACCTGTGGCTTGGCCTTCTTGACCTCCATCACAGACTCTTTCCTTTGGGCCCACTTCTCGCTCTTTGTTAGCTCCATTTAAATATCTGACCTTTTAGACTGCTCCTGGTTTTCTTTAGTCACCTCCCCCAGGAGTGGGACTTCAGCTTCTCTTTGCTATGAAGTCCTATGCTTACCACATTCACTTGGAGACCCCATTCCAGGCCTAATCCCTGTCCATACTTGGAAGAGGAAAGCCAACAGTGTGTATAGGGCTGTTTCAATGTGTCAGTTCTATTGGATTTTTATTCCAAATCAGCATTAATGGCTTCGAGGTCAGTATCATCACAGGCACTAGTGGGCAGCAAATAACAAAACACTTATGATTCCTCAGGTCAAGTTGTTTACAATTTAATCCTAGCCCTATCACTTGCTAGCTGCACAAGCAAGGGTAGGTTATTCAACCTCTACCTAACTTTTTGCCCTTATCTATAACATGGGATCATCAATAGTACTTAGTTATTACAAAAATTAAGTGAGATTATGCATGTGAAGCTCTTAGTCTTTTTGATACAAAGTAAATATTCAATATGCATTAATTAAAAGTAAACCAAAGATAAATTCATGCTGAGAGACTAGACTTTCACACAAAATAATAGCTAGAGAACAGTGAAAGTTGGTATACGGTTACGTGACAAAATATGCAGTGTATTTTCTGAGGTGGAAGAAATAGTCTACATTCTAATTAGGTTACTGGTTACATGGGTGTACACATTTGTCAAAACTCATCAAACTCTTCACTTAAAATGAGTGCATCTTATTGTTTGTAAATTATATCTCAATAAAGTTGACTTTTAAAATATGTGATATAGACAACATTTGCTGGATAAGGGAATGCTCACCAGAGGCTCTAGGAGTCAAAGAAGACTTCCAGGAGAAGGTGAGGCTTGAGGTAGACCATACAGAATGGAAAAGATGTGGAGAGGCCAATGGGTGAAATGTGTTTGGAAACAGTGGAATAACGGGGCAAAGCTAACATAACTGCAGACTGGCTAGACCCTGGGGCGTAATAGCTTATCAGGTAAGACAGACCCAAATTTGAAGGGCCTTGAATGCAGGCAGAGACCTGTGGGCTTGACTCCTAGGCAGTAATGGACCACTGGAGCTTCTCAAGCAGAGACATAATATGATGAAGAGTGCTGTTTAGGAAGATTAGCCATACACCTTGAAATTGGGAAATGGACTAAATAATCCCTCAAGGTCACTTCCAGGTCTCTGATTCTCTAATTACCTTTATCATGTTCTATATGTTGGTTATTTTACTAGACTGCAATTTTAGTTAATAACTACAAATTGTCAAAAATCACATTAAAGAACAGAAAAAATATTAATGTAGACCTTGATCCTTACACTTTTCTAAGAGCAGATAAAGCATATTCAAACAGCAACAGAAGAGAATGAATCATCAGGGCTCAGTAACAATGAAAATTGAAATCTTTTCTATATATATATATGATGATTTGACACATTTCATTGCCAAGGTCTGCTTTATGAATGGCAGATTATTTTTTTTTTTGCTAACAAAAGTACTTTGTGCTGAAAATAATAATGCATTATCATTAAATTAATATTAAACAAAAGAATTAATGATATCCCAAACTGGTTGCTTCATGACTTGTAGGGAAAATAATAGATGCCTATTAAAATCATCCAAAGGATTAAGTGCAGGTTGCTCTACTAATGAACCAAAAAAAGCCATAACAGGCATTTTTTAAAAGGTATCTTTTTAAATGCAGGACAAGTCAATTTGCCATCCAAAAATATGAACTAATTTCCTTAGCATATAATAGTGACTTGCTATTGGAATGACGCCTTTTCCCCTAATTAATCATTATCTAAACCACATCTTACATGCTCATTTAATTTCTCACAAATCAAGATAGGAATACAGATGAAAGAAATGGCTGCATTAAAAACCGGTGGGGAAAGTGATGATTGCTGGCGAAAGAAATCATCTTAGGGAACCCAGCTGAAGGTTACCCTTCTGTTATTTAGCCTGAAAGAACATGACTTTGCAGAGGGCGCACCTGGGTATCAGGAGCTCAGACTTTAAATCAAAGACCGTGCCTGGGGCCACCATGGACTCTGCCTCTGTAAAAGGCAGGCCAAAATGTCACTACCACACTGGAGTACTGGGAGTTTAAAGCAACCGTGGAGATAAGCCATTCTCTAAGCCCGAAAATTAAAGAAAGAATTACCTTTATCTCTACTGCCAACTGTCAATTAACTGCCTATCATTTCATGCCCAGTAAAGGTTGAATCCCCAGATCACTACACTCTCCCATAAAGAGGTTCTTCCTGGACCACTTTACCAACCAGTGGTCAACATGTGCTCTGAGAATACAAATTCACGGATTATATCCACCTTGCCAAAGTGGTGAACAATTCATTCATCCAACATTTACTGAATGCCTACTTTATGCCAAGGACTATGCCCAGCCCAAGGAATATAATAATGAACAGGACATGGTCCCTGCACCAGAGTTCATGAATTGGTATAGAAAATGGACTCTCAAATTAACTAGAAACCTTTCACTCATTCTGGATACTTCACTCACACCCTCATCTGCTATAGCCAAATGTCACCAAATGCTACTGATTTTGCTTTCTAAATGTAATCATTCCCCTCCTTTCCATTGCTCCCTCATCACCTCACCTTCTTTCACTTGGACAACTAACAACAGCCTCCAAACTGGCCTTCCTGCCTCTATACCCTTCTCCACCCAAGTCCCAGAGAAATATTTCTAAAGTACATATCTGATTATGTCATTCTACTTCTTTAAAAACCTCCAAGAAAATGGAGTAAGGGCACAGGGGTGTGAAAGTGGGTGGCATCTTCAGGCACTGCCAAGGAACCTGGCAAGGCTAAAGGGAAAATTGAAGTGGTGGAGAGTGGCAGAAGCCAGATGACAAGGAGCTATGTGAACCCTGCTATAAGATGACTACTCGTTATCTTTGGACTGGATTCCCATGGGAAAGAATGTTTATGGGAGCAGAAGGAGATGAACTCCAAAAGCTTTCTATCCATTGAATTCCCACGGAACTCTCCAGTCTTTATAAAGACACTTCTCACACTCTCCATATTGCAACAAAGTTATATATGCATGCCTTATTTCCACTAGATTTAAGTTCCTTGAGGGAAGGACCCTTGAGTGATTCATCTTTGTGTCTCAAGGGGCCCATTGTAGTTTGGGCTTGATGTTCTCCCCTTTCACTTGGAGGTAATGTCAGAATTTCAAGAGAGTTCAGTTTTAAAGGAACTGGGTCAGATTAATTGATGCTACTAGAGCAACTTTTAGAAAAGCGAAAGTATTCACACACATACACGCACATCATTGATTATTTAGATGAGGGGAAACACCCTAATAAAAAGAAAACTGGGTTGGAGAACAATGCCAGCTATGCTGGAGTTGGGATGCAGAATCTTCTAGTTTAGAATTCTGCCAGAGGGACTAAACTGAGGTAATTTTCCTGCCTCCCCTAGTCACTTCTTCACTAATTGTTATTCTACTCAGATAAGTAGCTGAGACCCTGTCTTTCAGAAGATGTTTAATTTTTATTTTTCAGATACAATCTTTAAATACGCAGACCTGAGGCAGAGCTGAGAATTTCAACACCCTAGGCCCAATCTAAGTGCTAGGTCCCTCCCCAACATGTATGAAATCACATCAGAGGGAAAAGAGCTCTTCCCTATCAAAGCTAAAATGTTATTATCTGCTCTGCTACCAAATCAGCTGTGTGACTTTATCAAGTGTGTTCCCAAATCTGGGCCTGTTTTCCTCAAAGGGATTGGACTAGCAAATCTAAGTTTCCCAATTGTAGGGTAATCAATATTCACTGAGCCCATTCTCAACCGGGCATTGGGAGGACACAAAAGAAGCAAAGGACTTGCTTTCGCCCTTTTAGGAACGCTTTGTCAATATCACTTGAAGATACATGAATACGGATATGGGGCTAAGGCAAAGACCAACAAGTTGGCCTTTATAGCATTGTATCCCAAGTAATAACCACATGTCCTTTTACATATATGCCCCTGTATCTCCAGAAGCCAACTAATGGCAGATATCCTCCTGATGGATGGCATGCAGTGGCAAAGGGAAAAACTCTGAAATCAGACAGACCAGAATGTGAACCTCAACTTGGCCATCCACTTAGCTGTGTGATCTTAGGCAAGTTACTTAATCTCTGAGCCTCAGTTTCCTTACCTATAAAATGGAGACAATAACACCTACTCTCAAGGTCGTTGTGAGAATTAAATTAAACTCTTATTTAATGTTTTCCAAACACATGCCTCCATTTCCTGCTTCCCTGTTTCGCTCATGCTTTTCCTGTCTCTGAAGCACTCTTTCCCTAGCTTCAGCTATTAAAATATTCTCATCCATAAGGTCTCTCTCAGGTGTCTTTCATGTTTCTCCCCTCCTCTCCAAATGAACTCTTTGAGCTGTTATCTCTCAGAATTTTCTGTTCATTTTGTACTTCTCTAACAATGTGTTTTGCAATCTAGGTTTTGTAGTCATTGGTATACCTTTCTTATCCCTACTATTAAGTTATAGGTTTCTGTGGGCAAGAGCTATATTTTGGCCATCTCTGTATTCCCTGACATGGCCTAGTGTCCAGTACATAGTACACACTCAATAAATGGTTGCTGAATTAATGAACAAATATTAGTCAACAATGACAGCCTACTTCCTATACATAGTAATCTCCCTGTCTCTTGAGGCATTCAGGCATAATTTGGGTAGCAATGTCATATACCACAGAATGGACTCCTACACTAGGTAGGAGGGAGGCTGAATCTGGTGACCCCCAGGGTTCCTTTCTCTCTGTTTCCATGAAGGCCACACTCTAACTCACTAATCTCTTGACACACCACAGTTGTCACTGGTATGCTCTGATAATGCATCAGAGGAGAGATGCCCCACAGCCATAAATGTTAGAACTGGTCTTTTTGTCATAAACAAGTGTGACAGCATTTCTTCAGAGAATATCTCATCTGTGAAAACCATATATTTACCACTTTGCACGCAAGTTGTACCTAAAACTCAGTATGCCTGAATCTAAAAAGGAAGGCTTTTGCTTCACAGATGTTCTGGCTTCTAAAATTCCCTGTAGCTGATCTTTCAGCAAACCACAAAGACCAGGTGGAAAGCTGCAGTAGATTGCAAGTGCACCACTGCCTTGATCCTACAGATCCTGCAAAAAGGTTTTTCAGGTGCATAATAAGCAACAATTGCCTTCCCGTGGCAAAAATGCTTAGAAAAAATATTATATTTTTTCAGGAAAAAAGTTCAACAAGAATGATGAGGTAAGACCTAAAGCCCATGGTGAAATGGCTTAACCAAAGTAGTAACTCACCAATGATGACACATGTAGACATTATTGGGCAGAAACATTTAGGTCAGGTAAAGGGGGAAAGAGTGTATTAGTTTCCTAGGGCTTCCATATCAAATTACCTCAAATTGGGTGGCTTAAAACAACTGAAATTTATTCTCTCACAGCTCTGGTGGCCAGAAGTAGATCTGTCTTGTTTCAGGCCTCTTCTTCTGATCCAGTGACTTGGGTAAGACTCATTGTTTCAGACCTCTTTTTCTGATCTTGTTCAGAACTCTTCTTCTGATCCAGTGACTTGGGTAAGTCATTTTATTTCCCAGGTCCTTAATTTAACCATTTGAAAAATGAGTTAACAGTAGTTGCCACCCACATCCCCCTCAGGAAGCACACTGACATTTTTGACACTTTACAACTAACTTTAAGTCATTTTATTTCCCAGGTCCTCAATTTAACCATTTAAAAAATGAGTTAACAGTAGTTGCCACCCACATCCCTCTCAGGAAGCGCACTGACATTTCTGACACTTTACAACTAACTTTAAGATTTCTTCAAACAAGTTCCTCCTTACAGTAGAGAGTTCTGGTAAACTGGTATGATTCAGAAGGCCCCAGAAAGCTCTCCTCTATATGGTGGGTTGAATGGTGTCACCCCCCCCCACCCCCAATATATGTCCATGTCCTAAACCCTGGAACCTGTAAATGTGACCTTATTTGGAAAAACGGGTCTTTGCAGATGTAATTAAGGATCAGGCTAGAGATCTTCCTCCAGCACAGGACAGAAGGAGTAGTGGGGAGGGAGGCAACCCAGAACACCTGGATAGGACTGGACTGGAGAGGTGTCAATCCTCCTGGATTATCTAGGTGGATCCTAAATCCAAAGACAAGTGCCCTTATAAGAGACACACAGAGGAGAGACACAAGAAGAGTAAAAGGCCATGTGAGGATGGAGGCAGAGATTGGAATGATACAACCACAAACCGAAAAATGCCTGGAGCCACCAGAAGCCGGAAGAGGCGAGGAATGATTCTCTCTGAGAATCTATGAAGAGAGCACAGCCCTGCTGACCCATTGATTTTGGACTTCTGACCATGAGGGCTGTGAGAGAATAAATTTCAGTTGTTTTAAGCCACCCAATTTGAGGTAATTTGATATGGCAGCCCTAGGAAACTAATACACTCTCTTTCCTCCTCTACCCAACCTAAATGTTTCTGCCTAATAATATCTAAATGTTTCATCATTGGTGAGTTACTACTTTGGTTAAGCCATTTCATCACGTGTTGTCTTCATGTATAGCACTCTGTGAGTAATGCCCTCATACCTCAGGGCTAAAGACTTTACTAGGAATCTTCCTCTAGCACAGGATAGAAGGAGTAGGGGGGAGAGAGGCAACCCAGAACACCTGGATAGTACTGGAGAAGTGTTAAAAAGGGGGGAAAGATCAAGAAAAAGATAAACAGGGACTAAAACCAAATTTTCTGTAAGGTCAGCTTTGAAGAAGTAATATTAATAGAGGCCGAATACTACTTTAACAGCAATAGTCCCATATAATAAGAAGGAAAAAGTCTTGCAGAAGCAAAAAATACTAATAATATTGTCTCCGTTGTTGGCCCATATTCCAGAAAGTCTGTTAGAAGAATGCTCAGACCAGTCTAAAAGCCTCATTCTCACTGCTCAAAGGCATTTCTTTTGTTATGCTTACCAAATTAGGCATATTTTGAATACATGAAAAAAATTGTTTCAAGCTATTAGCAATTGAATAATCATAAAGGGAGCTAGGCAATAATGAAAGATGCAGATCAGTCTGGGCCTCCAGCACAACTCTGAATTTGATATGAGCTTTTCTTCACATTCCCCCATCCTGGTCTTCAGCATTCCTGGAGATGTTGTTTAACAAGCTCCCAGGCAAATCTTTCCAATGCCCAACTGCCCTTACTGTTAAGATGCTTCTCCCAGCTCTAATAGCTAACTTAAATTTCAGTTTCAAGCCATTGCGCCTTGTAATTACATTCTCGGCCACTGTAAATAATCCGTGCCCTCTATTATATCTTTCCCCTTTCCCTATGATAGGAACCTGTGGAAAAAGGAATCAGTTGCCTTGTTAGTACAACATACACACTGCACCTGAGCAAAATGCAACCAAAAGAAAATCAAACACTCACTCTTGATCCCCGAGTGAGAAGCGCTGTTATTGATCTTTTCCTTTTTCCCATTCTTCAGCTTATCCGAGTGTCTATACTAACGTGCTCTAGTGCTGTGGCATTTATGCCATCTTGGGGAATAGCTGTGTAAATGCTCCAGTAATTTTATACATCTTCAACATAGTGTTGTGTTAGAACTTGAGTATCTGAAGGACTGGGAAGGATAGATTTTCCTCCTTCTCCTACCCTCATGTAATGCAAATCAGAATCCTCACTAATTCACCCTCCTTCTGCATGTTACTAAAGTCTAGACTTGGTGGCAACCCTTTGCTGTGGAAGAGATTTAATGGAGGAGAAAGTGCACAGGAGTAGAGTTGGCAAGCAAAGCACTGCAGAGCAACTATAAGAAACTTGGAGACACAAGAGTTCTTGGTAAGCTGACACTGGAAGCTAGAGGACATTGTTTCCAAAACACCCACACGTACATTAGTGAATTCACTTTTCTCTGAACCAAATGTTTCCTAAAATTGAGGGAAATATTAGGTTATGAATGCAACACATAAAAGATTTTTCAATGATGCTCAGTAATAACTTTTTTACTCCTTGCTTTCTTCAGGAGCTATGAAAAACACAAATAAATTATCCAAACAGGTGATTTGGAGATTTCCCTTCCATTCCTATGATTTTAGTGAAAAACTCAAAAACAGTTAAGAGTAACTTCATTCTCCCATCAAATCGTGGGTGATTCAGACACAGAGATCTCCAGATCCCAGTGTGGGCTCCAAGAGGTAGCACCAGGAGGGCTCTAGATCAAGCGGAATGAACCAAGCCTGGATCCAGAGTCTCCCTGTGGCTTGCCAGTCTTATATAACTTGTCTTCAGAAAACCACCAGCTCTTGAGAGGACAGCAGTTTGGTTCAGGAATATCTGCCTCATTTATTTTTTAGTTTTTTTGTTTGTTTGTTTTGTTTTGTTTTGTTTTTTTGAGACAAGATTTTACTCCCGTTGCCCAGGCTGGAGTGCAATGGTGCAATCTTGGCTCACTGCAACCTCCACCTCTCAAGCTCAAGCGATCCTCCCACCTCAGCTTCCCAAGTAACTGGGATTACAGGTGCACAGCACCCTGCCCAGCTAATTTATTTTTTATTTTTGTAGAGATGGGGGGTTTTGCCATGTTGCCCAGGCTGGTCTTGAAATCCTGAGCTCAAGTCATCTGCCCACCTCAGCCTCCCAAAGTGCTGGGTGGCATGAGCCACCGTGTCCAGCCTGCTTTTTACTTTTTAAGGGAAAACTGAAAGGGAAATGGTGACACTATGAGGCCAGTTGGCCCAAACTGTGCTGACCATGCATGTCTTAGGAGTGCTGGGTTCAAGGTAGCTGATGCTACACTGGGTTGAGGCAATGATGGAAACAGGTTGATACAATCATTGAGGCAGTTCAACTCAAAGGATGACCTTCACCAAACAGGAAAAGAAATACCTATAACCCCAGGCTGCTGGGCTGCCTTCGTGACGTAGCATTCCCACAGGTTCAAGCCACTGGTCTTCCCATTTCTTCCTCTTTCCCCCTCAATCAACGTGGGGACCACTCCATACATGGCCGTCGTCTGTCTACATGTCTGCTTCTCCTACCAAGAGCAGGGAGAGGGGAGTATTTGAATTTGAATCCCTAGCATCTCACACATACTGGGTTCTCAAAACTGAATTGAGGAGTAATTCCTACAAATGCTGAACCCATCACAAGAGTAATCATTAGGAACATGGCTCTGGAACCAGACTAACTGGGTTTGATTAATTTCATAGCTATTTGATCTTGAACAAGTCATTAAACCTCTCTAAGCCTCAGTTTCCTCATCTGTAAAATGGGGGAAACAATGCTATCCACCTGGTAGTGCTGTTGTGAGGATTAAGTAGGATGTTGCCCATAAAGAGCTTAGCACAGTGCCTGGCTCAATAAATGTTAACGATTATTAGCACCGCCCCCATCACAGGTGCTCAATAAAAACTTGCTGAATTGAAGTCACACTAGTGGGAATGACTAGCAGATGTGAAGGCAACCTAGGCTTTTTTTTTTTTTTTCCTTTTTAGTTTTTCCCACCTCACTGCACCAGATGACCTCTGTGAATGTTTTTTCTGTTTGTTTTTGTTTTTTAAGAAGAGAAAAAGGATAGAATAGGGGATACTTAGGCTGCACTTTTGCACTGATACCCATTTTTCATTCAGGGCAGAAAACCAAGTCTGGCAAAGTCAGGCACATGATTTTCCAAGAAATATAACAAGGCTATTAAAAACCCTAAATTAAATTTGTATAATGAGCATGAATCTGAATACATTTAAATGTCCTCTAGATCCAGTAATTCCAGCAACATCCTAATATATTTTTAAGTGTGTTTTTGCAACTGTGAGGAGACCAAGGCTCTAAAACAGCAGAATTTCTTCAGGGGTGGGGGTGGAGCGGCAACACACAATTGTCATGAAAATTAACCCCTGAAAATGCACAGGACTTTATTACCAAATGGATGCCTGAGGAGATTACTAGATTTTTAGGGTCTTTACTATAAAGAGAGCAACCTGCATGCCTGAAATAATTAAGAAGAAGAGACTCAATTATCCAGTAAACTGAAATTTCAAACCACCCTGCTTACCTAAATGAGAAAAGCTGCTTAGACTAAAGCGTCATTACTTCTATTTAGACGAGCCTTAGCAAAGATATACAAGGAGCTAAAGAATGGGACCCCACATTCTTCCCTAAGCCACAACAATGCCTGTTTATGTAAATAGGATTTTCAATAACACAACAGAATCTGAAAAAAAGTTTTCATTATTGTCTCTGAAAACATGCAAATGCAGAAGATGAAAGTCAAGGGGCTTTCACTATGATGGGCACTGAATACCCTAAAATATTTATTCTACGTGAATCTGAGCCTGGATTCCAAGTGCATCTAAGAAACAGGCAATGAGGATTTCTCCTTTAAAAAAAAACATCTGAGTGCAATATGAGGAGGCACAAAGGTTTCTCTGACTCCATGGCAAGTTGAATGCATATGCAAAAAAACCCCAGTTTAAAAAGAAATAAAAATAGTAGTAGATATCTATTTACCTTTATTTGGCAGCCCCTTCCAAAATCTGGGCCAAAATATAAATATCCTCGCCTCCATCATCATCACTAGATGACAATCAAACACTCCTACACGACCATAACAACCTCCAGGCACAAACTAAAAGCTCATTAAAGAGTATATGAAGGCTATTTCTAAAAGAACTAAACAAAGAAGGAAAGAACTATTAGCAAAATTAATTAGACGATTCATACTTTTGACAACTATTACTATTTGTTTGAACTCAAGTGTCTAACTCCTTTACTGACAGGTATTGATGACTATAGCGGTACCACATATCTAGAGTTTTAAACTGACCTTGTAGCTTTTTGGTTCAAGAACTCAGGTTTTGACCTGTACTCCGTATATCAGCCTTCCTGTTGCTGTTTAGGCAGCTGATAAGAGACAGAAATCCTTCTTGCTCATTAGGCCACTAGCTGCTGTTAAGCAAAGGGCTGGGGAGGGGCGTGCTCAGTGGCCCAGAGGAATGTGCCGGGCTCCACATATAAAGCCAGCTCCGATCTGGGGTTAAGAATTTAACCTTAAAAGGCTGACAAGTCATAAATTTGCTTGAGGTTCATATATATGTGTGACTTTCACAGTTTATATTTCCTAGCCAGGACCCAGAGTCAAAACATGCCTCCTGATTAATGAATGGTACTAATTGTTATTCCTGACTTGAGAACATTAGTCTTTATCCGTAATATTTTCTTAAAAAACACACAATCTCATACCTAAAACTCTCTGGCTTAAGGGAGTTTGGATAACCAGTTAGAAAAAAAAAAAAATAGGAAGAAGAACCTAATGTTATCTGTTACTTGGTGCTACTATTTTGGTAGTCAAGATTGACTAAAAGGCTTCCATTTAATTGTGTCCATCAAGCAAAGTGCAAAGGAATGTCCTCCAAATCTAAACATCTGAGATAAAGCAACTATCTGCGACTCTATGCAAAAAAATGAGCTGGGGGGTGGGGTGGTGGGAAGGTGGGGAACAGGGCTTAAATGTCTTCAAGCACATTTTGTCTAACTTATCTTGTTAAATATTTATACATAAGTGCATAACCTAACAACCTTGGCCAAGCTTGGAAGAGATAATAGATACAGGACAAACAACAGAGCCCCATAAGTATAAAGACAAAGAGAAAAAATACCAAGGAATAGTCCAATTGGAATACAATCTCTAACCTGCAGTCAAAATTGAAACTGGGACAATAAAACCCCACAAGCAAAACAATGTCCCTGAAGTGTGATAACTTCATCAGGGAAAAGCAGGTTATAATTTGGTTAGCTTACAAGGTAGGTGTCAGTTTTAACCCACACTAGCGCTGTTTCAAAGGGGCTCCCTTATCTTCAGAAAAAAGGAAAGCATTCAATGTAAGAAAAGAGATTTCTAAGAACAAAGATGCAATTTTCATTTATTGAGAGTTATGACAAGGTGAGACAGAATGTAAACTACATAGCAATGATCTGAGGTACACAAGTCAGGTCATCTAGCCTTGTTCTATCTGTATAGAAAGCTTTTTAAATACTCAGTTCTTAGAAAATGGAATGTAAATTCATTGGTGTATATTTTAGGGCTCTTCATTTTCAAACTAAAGAATAGTATTTTACAATATCTCAAGATAAGTAAACCAGGTACCCAAATAAAATATGTGGGCAGAAATTGAAAGCCTGTTTTCTCTCCATTGAGGACAGACAGAAGTGGAGAAGGCAGAGGAAAATGGAGGAAGAGAGAGGAGAGATGGAAATCAGAAGCTACGGGGAAAGGAAACACAGCTTAAAACTAAAATGCAGAGGAAAATATAAAACATTCCACTCATCTTTTTTTTAAGAGAGAACAAGAAACAAAACCATTTAATAAATATAAAAAACCATAAAGCACCTTCTGTTCTAAATTATAATCAGTTGAGAGAGGGTGTGAGGGTAGGAGGAAGGGGAGAAAGGAAGATGCGGAGAACAGTCCAACAGACAGAAGGAGGGCCCTCAGTAGCTTCAGAGGTATATTGAGCCCCAGGAGGGCTGTGATGAGAGTGCACAGAACATCCGTTGTTCCCCTTAACTGTGGGTGTTAGAGTAACCTAGGCTACTTCTTATCACTACTCTATGAAATGTTGAGGAGCTTTTCAAGAATCTTACCCATTTTACCCCGAATTATTAGTTGGTAGTAAATTTCATTACCACTAGGATCTAATTTGAAGCTAAAACTGGATATTGTTGGGAAAAGACTCTGAATGATTGAATAAATGCTGGTTCCAACATCTCCTTCAAGCTTCATAAATGAGGCAACCTTACACTCTCAAAGAACAAAGAAAAAGCAATCTGACAGCTTTTGAAGGCCAAAAAACCCTTCAGGCAACGTTATTAAATTGACCCACAGCACTGAAGTTTTAAAGCCAAGAAATGACTTAGGTTTTAGAAATTAACACTTGTATAAAACCTTCAGAATACCATGGGGAAAATAATCCTTTATTTCAGAAATAAACTTTGAAGTTTGAAAACAAAGCAGAAAACCTGTTTCTGAAAACAGAAAGGACTATTTGAAACACTGAGCACAGTTCTTCCACAGCTCTTTGAAACTCTTCAATAGTTCCACTCTGACTTCTGGAGATGGCCAAGTAAGATATACCCCAGAATGCCAGCAAAAGAAAAAGTGGGAAACCATTAGTTCCCTATGGGAAGAGCCAAATGATCTCAGGAGATAGCTGCCTCTGGTCACATTAAATTAAGCCAAGGCCAAGACTAGAGGTTCTACCCATCTAAGGCAGCAAAGGCAGTACTTTCCAACTAGTTACAAATTATTAGCCACTGAGCAGAGATCCTACTGGCTCTCCCTAGCCCATTCAATATCACATTCTCATTCATTGGCTCAGTCTGTTATACTTAAATAGAGGGCATGCACGCCAAGGCCATAAGAGTGAGAGACATAATAGACAGAGGTAGACTTGCAAGATTTAGTCACTTAATTTGGGTGTGGGATGGGTAAAAGGAGAAATCAAAGACAATTTCAAGGTTTCGAGTTGGTGCCAGACAGAGATACCATCACCAGAAATATAGAACGTTAAGGAGAGGCAGGTTTGTGTGGATGGGAAAAGAAAATAATGGACTAATTTTTGGCTCTGTTGAAAATGAAGCACTGGCAGGACTTCCAGATGGACATGTCCAGCAGACAACTGGGAAATACTGAGCTGAAGAGCAAGGAAGAGGTCAGGTTGAATCATTCAAAGAGCAAAGATAATGAAGTCATGGGAATGGATGTGGGAATAAGCAAAGAGAGAACGGAAAGGGCAAAAGACAAACACTACTGGGACACTTACATCCAAAGTGTAGGAGGAAGAGGGCAAACAAGCAAAGACTGAAGCGAGTAGGAAGGGAACCCAGAGTACACAGTGTCACAGAAGTTGACAGAGTATGGGAATTTAAGTCAAATACTTTATATCCAGACTATATCCCTTCCTCTCATACTCCAGTAGGTATTCTGGAAACAGCATGAGCTATGGAGTAAGACAAACCTGGGTGAAAATTCCGGCTCCGCCACTTACACAACCTTTGGGTAAGTAAACCTTTCTGAGCCTCAGTTTCTTCATCTGTAAAATGGAGCTGACACCACCTACCTTTCAGGTTTCCTGTGTTGATTAAATGAGAGGTTAAATATAAAGTAATTGACATATAGTAGGCACTCAGTAAAGATTAATTTCCATAATCTTCCCTCGTGGTCCTTCTAAACTATTCCACCAACCTGAAAGTGGTGTCAAAAAATCAACTGGAATACAAGGAGTTTCAAGCTTATGTTGAAAGAAACACTGATGAAGGCAATCTCTTAAACAACAGAGAAATGAAAGAAACCATTTATGCCAGAGAAACAGAAAATTATACAACCCTCCCCAACCCCTAAACCAAAAAATAATACATCTCCATAGACACTTATGAAAGATCAGCCCAATTACACAAGTATTCCTAGCGTTTACTTGGAACCACATGTTTCAGAGACCAGCCATCAGGGCCAAGTCTGAAGCAGAATACAGACCAGAGCTCCAAAAGCTACATATTGTTACAGTTTTCATTCTTTACATTGGGAAAGTACTGCCCTGGGGGAGGGACAGAGGAGCCACCATGTTGGAACCACTAAAGTTGCTGGAACTCAGAAGCTACAGACACTTTACGAGTGGTTGCACTGTGTGTACGTGAGCTATATGAGGGCAAGGCTTTCACAAGACAAATGTAATGTGTGATTGTGAAAGATCACCTACTGCTAAGAGTAACAGCTAATAACTTTCAGCGTTTTTTTTGTTTTGTTTTGTTTTGTTTTGTTTTTGAGACAAAGTCTCACTCTGTCACCCAGGCTGGAGTGCAGTGCCGTGATCTCAGCTCACTGCAACCTCTGCCTCTGGGCTCAGGCAATCCTCCAACCTCAGCCTCCTGAGTCACAGAAACTGCAGGTACATGCCACTATGCCCAGCTAATTTTTCTATTTTTTGAAGAGGCAGGGTTTCACTATGTTGCCCAGGCTGGTCTTGAACTCTTGGGCTCAATCAGTCCTCCCACCTTAGCCTTCAAAAGTGCTGGGATTACAGGTGTGAGCCACCATGTCCAGCCTTTCCATTTAAATAACATGCATAATTATTCATTATTACTATCAAGAATAATAGAAGTCTGATTCTTTGATTCTAATATATTCCTCTACATAGAGATGTGTGTGTATGCACGTGTGCACATGCACGTGTGTGTGTTTGGTAGTACATTATCTTATTTGCAGAGTCTTGGATCATGACAACATATACTCATACTTTCTCTTAATCAAGAGGGTTCTTGAAGTCTTTGGCAGGTTTTTTTTTTAAATCATCAGATGTTGGCAAAATACATTTTAATACATGCCACATGCAAAAGCCTGGAAAATATCATCCACACTCACGACTTCCAACTTAAGCCTATATGCTGATGAGTCCCAACTATGTGCTTCTCCTTAACTCCAGAAGAATATATACACTCTTTCCCAGTGAACTCATCTGTTCCCAGGGCTTCAATTACCATCTATATGCTGATAATTTCCAAGTATATATCTCCATCCCTGATTTCTCCCTCTTTTGTAATCCAAAACGCAACTTGAACTACCTAGCAGACATTTTCTACCTCCATCATCAAAGGACCTTTCAAACTCAATCTGTTTGAAACCAAACTGATTATTTCAGCCCTTAAAAACATGTTCCTCCTATATTTCAAGCACACTCATTTGTTCAACAAATATTTACCAAGCACCTATTATGTGCCACAGCACCACCACCCAGAAAAACCAAAAGTTCTAGATTCTCCCTTCTGTCCTCATATCCAGTCACTAAGTCATGTCTATTCTACTCCCTCTATTCTCTCAAGTTTAGCTTTTATTCTCCTATTTATGGTCCCCTGCCCTATCACCTGTGTTACTAAAACTCCCTGCCACCGCTCACTCTCCAGTCATCCTCCAACTGAATAATGTTTCCCTTCTTAAAATGTTTTCAAGGCTCCTCATCATCCTTGGGTATAACCCAAACTCCTCAGCATTTCCTATTTTTCTAATTCATCTTCACTCCACTTCCACATCTGTGCTCCAAGAAATCCCAACTATTCCAGTCCAACAAATGTGTCATGTGTCATTTTGCCTCTTAATTCTGTACCTTTGTACATGCTTTACATGAAAGCCCCCTCTTTTTTTTTTGAGACAGGGTCTCTCTCTGTCACCCAGGCTGGAGTGTGGTGGTATGATGGTAGCTCACTGCAGCCTTGAACTCAGCCCTCTTAAGACAACTAGGCAAATTCCTCCATAGCTCAAGAGCCCTCAGGCCTCCACATGGTGCCCAGCTCTATAGCAGGCCACAGTCATGCTGCCTTGGCATCTATGTTTTTCCTTGCCTGGATCCCTCTCTAGGCAGGGAGCTCCTTGCTGGCAGTGATTTTATCTTGTTCATCAGCTCCTAGCTCAGTACCTGGCATAGTATCAGTGCTCAATAAATGTTGGTTGAAGTAAGAATAAATTTTAAAAACTTTTAAATATTTATGCAGAAATGGCATATAAAGTTCATTATTAGTGAGTTCCTTTTCTGCAAATTTCCATCTGTTTTCCAAAACAGATAACTGTGGTCCTCAGTGCAATCACTCCATGAAACCTAACCTGGAAACTGCTTCTTGGGTCACATTCTCATTTCTATGGCACTCAACATGCAAAGCTGCCAGTGCTAGAAGTAGTTCTCCAAAGTGGGCCAAATTAGCATTATTGGTGACTGTCACTACTTAACAAGGATAACATCTGTGTACTTGGGGAAATGATGGAACTTGATTTTAAGAGTGGTAGCTCTATGATATCAGTGACGATTAGCTCTGCTACAATTTCAGGCCAATCCAACTGAAAATGGTTTACTCAATCTCTGAAAGCTGTACCCACTAGCTCTCCCCCAGAAAAATTAGGCTTAGTCTCTAGATTATTAAAGGCATAAAGATGTAGGGATATTATATATGTGTATATGAGTGTACAAATATGTGTGTGTATGTGTGCTGGAACCAGGCAGGTTGCTGGAAGTCAGAAGTGACAGACACTTTATGAGTGGTTGCCTTGTGTGTACATGAGATATATGAAAGCAAGGCTTTCATGAGACAAATGTAAGGTATGACTGTGAAATACCACCTACTGCTTAGAGTAACAATTAACTTTCAAACAGTTTAAATAACAGAAATATTTATTAATTATTGCTGTCTAAATAATAGAAATCGTTCTATACATACATAAAATCTATGAATATAAATACATAAAACATATCCAAACACCACACTTAGGTAAAGCTATAGTTAAAAAATATTTCTTTACTTGTCATCTCCTCTTCAATCGTAAGTTTTAAAGAGGGGCAACTCGCCAGGGAGCAAAATTGACTCACACCTGAAATCCCAGCACTTTGGGAGGCTGAGGCAGGCGGATCACCTGAGGTCAGGAGTTCGAGACCAGCCTGGCCAACGTGGTGAAACGCCATCTCTACTAAAAATACAAAAATTAGCCAAGTGTGGTGGTGGGCACCTGTAATCCCAGCTACTCGGGTAGCTGAGGCAGTAGAATCTCTTGAACCTGGGAAGCAGAGGTTGCACTGAGCCGAGATTGTGCCACCACACTCCAGCTCAGGCAACAGTGCAAGACTCTGTCTCAAAAAATGATAATAAATAAATAAATAAATAAATAAATAAATAAATAAATGAGGGGCAACAAGGCTCCCAGGGCCAATGAGAATAAATAAATATGCTTCAAATTCACCACCCCTTCTGTCTCTGCTGCAAATTAGTTTAGACAATGATACATTCAGAGAATCAATGTTCTATAGTTATATGCCACCCCAGGATCTCACTGGACAGTGGTCAAGCTCTCTAGACTATGTCTTTAGGTGTTTATTCTTACATTCATTCCAACTAATTAATCAATCCATTAAAAACTCTGTACAAGGCACTCTACTCACCACTCTAGAGGATATCATGATGAATCAAACATGGTCCCTGCATTCAATAAGCATAGGGTCTGGAAGAGGCCATGAATAAGCTACATATTTCAAAAAACATGGATAATAAGTGAGAAGTACAGATAAAGTATTTCTCTGAACCAAATGCAATTGGGACATCCTTCTGTATTCTCTCTGCACACATGCAAATTTCCATACTCAAATATTTTCCAATCCTTTCCATCTGTCGTATGCCAGCTAACTTTCTAATATATACCAAGTGAAGGCTTTTAAACTCCTCCCTATATCTGTCACTCTAACTCTTTCTCCCTTCACCATGTTTCCATCAGCTTCAATCATTCAAACCAAAGTTTGACAAAGAGCAATGAAGAATCCCAGGGTGACATGATACACACTGTAAGTACTGATATGCAGGGTTTGGGAGAGAGGGAGCAGAGCCATAATTAAGGAGAAGAGTATGCAAATAGAATTCTGATTTTTGTTTTCAAATGAACATCATCCCTTCGTTTTTTATCCTTTTTCCTACTTGGGCCTCTATTTGAATATTTGAAAGAACTTCCCATCAACTTTCAATTAGTTTACCTAGGCAACTAATTGAAAGTTTGGCCTAATGCAGACAGAAATTAAGAGAACTCTCATGAGGCCCTTTATCCTACCCAAATGAAATTTCCATGGCGGAAAATTCACTTTGGATTATGTCCTTTTTTAAATTTTATTTATTTATTTTTGAGACAGAGTCTTCCTCTGTCGCCCAGGCTGGAGTGCAGTGGTATGATCTCAGCTCACTGCAACCTCTGCCTCCCAGGTTCAAGCGATTCTCCTGCCTCAGCCTCCTGAGTAGCTGGGATTACAGGTATGTACCACTATGTCCAGCTAATTTTTGTATTTTTAGTAGAGATGGGGTTTCCCCATGTTGGCCAGGCTGATCTGGAACTCTTGGCCTCAAGCAATCCCCCTGCCTCGGCCTACCAAAGTGTTGGGATTACAGGTGTGAGACACCATGCCCAGCCTGGATTATGTCCTTTTAAATGTACATTTATGAAGCTTGATGCCTTAGGTAAGAAATGCCGAACACTGAGGAAAAACTTACATACATTCAGTGTATGTTTCCGTAACTGGCACCAAGTTGCATTATTTTCACAAACCTAAATACCACAGATCTGTAAGGTGAAGATAAGCATATGCATTTATACATACATGTATAATATATCTTCAATTTGTCTTGAAATTACTTATAATATCCTTATAAACAAGCACAAAATACTTACCTCTTATAAGATTTAACTAGTCTACTTCTTCCAGAGAGTTATAGTATAGCCAAATGAATTAAACTAATATCCTTTATCACTTACCTATAGAAAACAAATGGATTTTTGACCTAAAAAAAAACTGGTTACTTTTTTAAAAACCTTAGTATATTGGTAAAAATAAATCAACTACTTAAATATTGACTTTATGGAAATTTTATGTTTGTAATACATTTCTAACTCCGTTCATTCATTCAGTCTATAAATACATATTGAGTACCTATTATTTGTACCCTGTACTGTGCTAGACACTGGGATACAAAGATGAATAAAATATAGCCGCTAACCTCAAGATGATCACAGTCTAGTAGGGAAGATATCATTAGAAACATGAACTTCAAAGTTGCCATAATGGGGACTTCTAATTTTCCAGTAATAAACTTAGTTGCAAAAGGCAGACAAAAAGGCCATGTAAAATTTTACTCTAAAATTGTACCTTCTCCTGGATTTATAAGGAATAAATATATGCTTCACTGTGGAAATTTTGAAAAATACAGAATATTTTCAAAAACATCACTTCTACTGAGACATGTACATTTTTCAGCTTTCAGATGGCTGGACGGTGGAAGTTTCTTTTATAACAGCTTTTGACTTCCCTTCTTATTGCCACTTCCACTTGTATTTTATCTCCTTCCTATCAATTATTTATCAACATAAGCCTATTAAGTACGCTTCAAAGAGCTTAGTAGATTTACTAATCTAGCATATAAATACAATTTCAGCTACTAGAAGTAATTAACTGTTCGGAACACTAGCAATGCACTTTGGTCATAACATTGACTTCCTTTTATTCATGAGGAAAAATACAAACTCTCAAATTAGGCTTTGTCCAGCTACACACAAAAAGAGGGAAAAGTGAAAAATGAATCTCTTAGTAATCAATCTTGATTCATTTTTTTAAATTGCAAACAAGTATTTCTAATAATTAACACTTGTCTAATTGATCTTGAATTGCCCTAATTAGAAGTACAGAACTAAATCTTCTTTACTTTGTATATTCAACAAGATATTCAAGTAAGGCTACAATGTTCCAATGAGCATTCTCACCACCACCCCCTGATACACGTAGCATTTCAAAACACGCATTTTCTCTGCTGATATACCCACCTTCACCTTGATTTTTGAACAGCATTCTCCCTGTCATTATGTCTCAGAAGGTAAATTCCCATTACTTTATGCTGTCTCTAAAGCCAGTCTGGGGCCTGTAACTTGGATTCTATTTTCTGATGCTCATTTCCTAATGGAGTGCCAGGGATCCTGTTTCAAGCCAGACAATTTGCTAAATATGGGCAGATGAGTGGGAGATTTTTCTGCCCACACTGTCCCTTAGATCGCAGATTACCAAAAACATCTAACCCATTTACAAGATTGGCTAGGACTGAATAGACATTGGCTCCTGGAATAGGCTCTTGAATTGAGTCTGTACACGAGTTCTGATCCCAGGTTACAAAAACCTGTGAGGTACTTCAACAGGTCCATGCATGTGTTATATAGCTCAACTCCCAAATATGGTAATATCAACCTTAGCAAGAAAGGTCTAGCTGACAATAAATCAAAGAGGGCTTGATTTAAGAGATGTCCTACAATTTATGTGCTGTAATAATTGTTGATCGTTAATGATACTAAGCCAGTCATAACAATGCTGCTAATTTCAATTTGTTATTTGGGTACTCAAAATTTAATAAGCCCTACTGATGGTAAGAGTTGCCAGCTAACTGAGGTAAGCCTGCATCTGTCTCCAGCCAAAATATATGTAGGCTGAAAAGTTTGTCTACATGCCCCAATAATGTATCGTAACAATTTGGACTTAGGCTTTTAAAATATGTAAGATGACATATGGCTTAAGAAAGTATGTGAGAGTTCATAGGGAACACATAATGATCTAGAAATTCTGTTTTTGTAAATTATTTACTAAATGCTGTATGGCCTTGTGCTCAACACTGCTCAAATGCAGTGTTTTCCCTTTAAGAGGCTTATAATCTAAAACATACAAATAACCATATGCAGAAAAAAAGCTAGAGATCAGAGTAAAAGGAAGCATTCACAAAAAAATGTACAAATTCAGCATGCCAGAACTTTTCAGTTGAGCAACATGATCCCCAGTGAAATTCTTTCCAAATGATGTATCGTGTGCACAAGTTATAAGTGATTATCTTCAATTTTCTTAGAAATGAGTAATAAGATAACTCTTAAGACCCATGCTTTTGTATATGCATCAAACACTGAAGTTGGCGTGGTCATTGATAGCTGTCATTTAGGGAGAAAACATATTTTCTGTCTTGTCTCATACCAGACAAATCCAGGACTCTTTTCCCCCAGATCAGTAATAAGCCGCCTTTTTCTAGGCTACAGTGAACAGCAAACATTGCAACTCTAAAGATGGAAGTAGCAGAATGCTCAAAAATATTGCATCAAAATATTGGATACAACCTACCAGCCCATAAGAAAAAAACACATTGCAAAACTGACGCCATCTGCGTCATTTAGCAACCATTAAAATTCTTCTTATGTCTGTATTTCCTAATGCTTCCAAAATGGAATTTGCTCCAAGAATTAAGAAACTCTTTTTAAGATGGCGGCCCTATTAAGAGACTTCTCCCTATCTCCCACTTCATCTCTTCAGTTCTTTTCCCTTGCCCAGGCTGGCTATTGTGACCATTTCAGCCAATTTCCTGGAGGTATTTTCTAGCCCTTTTCACCCTTTTTAATCCTACAAGTTTCCTGGGAAGCCTGTTTACTTGTATGCTTCCCCACTAGACTGTGAGCTCCTTGACAAAAGGGATTGTGTCTCACTCCTCTCTGCAACCCCAGCACCTATTACAGAGGCTGCCAAGGAGTTGGCAGTGTTAGACTCCTTTCAGCCCAAGGTGCCCCACCAATCATCAGCCATGTCCTCCATCAGATTGATGGCTCCCTCTAAGCACAGCTTGGTATCAGTATCAGGATTCGTGTACTATTCAGACCACATTTGAAAGAATTCTCTAACTGTTCCAAGTAGCACACAATACAGAGTTTTTTGTATTGTTCAAAGTTTCAAAGTTTTAACAAATCACCTGGTCACCCAAATGTCTCGTGCAATCTCAGAAGAGAAAAAACCCTTCCACACCTCACTTATTATTCTCTCTCTGGACATTAGGACCGCTAACTGCTTCAAACTAATTGGGGAACCGCAGCTGGCAACCCAGATACGGAGGCTAGTTCTCACAGTAAAAACAACAAAAACAAATACCAAACTATCTCTTTGTTTCAAGCACATTGCTTTTTATTTTTATGTTGTTTCATCTATTTCAAGAAACTCCAAGTCAATTTTGGCTGTTCAAGACTGCCTTTTACCCATACAGGCATTTGGCCTTCTGGATTGGTTCTCGCACTTTCCAAGGCCTTCCAAGGCAAGATCCCTCAATCTTTTGGGAGTTGCAACACTACCACGGTTTGTTTGATTTTCTCATTTCCATCCATCCCTTACACTACCCCCCTCCCCCGACAAAAGTGGTGTATGGCATTCATAAAGTGAATTACACTTGATTTTTGTTTAGAGGAATTTTTTTCCAGACTTCTGTAACATTCCCTTGAGACAATTGGAAACATCATTGTCTGATTACTAGCTCACTTTCCTTGCCTAAAATTGTATCCATTCTTGATTGCGCCTGTGGGTAGGTTAAGCAAAACAAAATAAACATCTAGACTTATGAGCTCATTGGCTTTTTTCTGAATTTTTCTAAATTAAATAAGGGCAAAAGAGCTGTACTGAAAGTCAGTTATATGGATTTTTCTGCCAAATGCTAACTCTGTGCGCCTGGTTTCCATCTGTGGTGCTTTCCAAGTTACAAATCCTTAAAAAAATAAGTGGGGTATGAAGAGATCTATGGATTTTGGGGACATGCTATTTAGAACTGCTATCCTGTGACTTGAACACTCCAAAAGAAATGGGAACATGAGATTGTAAGGCTTTAGATCAGCTTTGTGGAAGTCTAGTGTAGTCCTTCAGCACCAGTGATTTATTTTTTAGGCTGGCTGATCTCAAATGCCATTTAGTCTCATCCATATTAGCATAAGAAATGTACCTTATTCAGGCTAACCCAATTCTGCTAATGGCTGAAGTTAGCAGTCAATCCCAAATGCTCCCCCTAAGTGAAACAGGACATTCTTGAGGATTTCTCCTTACTGTGACTGAATCTCATTTGATCTGGGACAAAGAAAGCTTTAATGCAGTTAATATAGTGCAGCAGGCAAACTGAACATGGCTTAAAATATGGATGCAGAGGGGGGAAAGTCAAGCGGTCATCATGATGGTTCATAACTACCAAATAATTTTCAGCTCTCTTTCAATTTCCAACCACTGAACGACAGCAGCAAATTATACATTTATTCACTTTGAAATTATACACTTACCATTGTATTTAGTCTGCCATTATTGTCTCTTCCCTAAAATACTGATGAGCTCTTTCCACACACGAACATTAGGATTTTCATGTTTTCCATATCTACAGTGACCATATTTGTCCCACTAAAATTCAGGACACGCAGTTTCATGCCAGGACAGAGTATTAGAAACCTGCACTGCCCCCGGAAAATCCAGGATATATAATGGTAGCTGTATGGGGATCACCATATTTGAAGTTTGGCTTGGCTCCAGTGCAAGTCAGGACAGTGCCTGCCATGTAGAAGATGCTCAACAGTGTTTGTGTTTGTTAAATAGAACTAAAGCAGGGAACGTTGGGTTTATATGATGAAAACCCTTGAAAAGTGATTTCTCCTATAGAGTTTGTGAAATAGTAGAGGAAAATGAAAAATCTTTATTACAAGTCCCTCTTCTCTATAAGTGTATGGCCATCCCTAGGCCTCAAGGGAGGGAAGGAGCCCAGGCCAAATCTCATACACACAGCGTGTGGGCCCTCCCAATACTTTTATACAGATGCTGCAAAGAGGCAGGCAGCCAGAGAGCTGGGGGAGAGCAAGGGAGGGCGAGTGCCTGCAGGAGTGTGTGTGTAGAGGGGGGTTGCTAAATGACTATCTGTGCTTTCTTCTGGCCTTTTTCTTCTTTTGGGCACCACCTTTACCTCCTGGCTTCGAATCAGCCAAATGTGGCCCCAACCCCAACCCTGGACCCATTCATCTTGTGGGTGCTCAGCCTGTGAGGACCAATTTTTACATTACCAACAAAAGCATGTTCTCTAGCCTTAACAATCTAATTACCATGGCACTTCCAGGGGAGAGAGATTGGCCAGTTGTTTCAGTTCTGTGGAACTGATTCATAGGTTGCCCCTTACAGCTCCTGCACATGCCCACGTGGTACATTATTAACACTTAACAGGGGATGAGGTAGTTCGACCCTCCCTTAGAGCGAAATCCTGCAAAGCAATATTTAACATATGCGCAAATGCATTTCAGTCACCAAAAAGGGTGACCAATTACCTTTGCAACTAAACAGCAGGCTCACTCGGCTCTTTTCATCAACCTAAAGAAAAGGCTGAGGGCGCGCTGGCTGCCTAGGTAACCTCCTACCAGTGAACCCTGGCTGGCAGCGCCCACGGGGTGCGCATCCGCATTCACAACTTGGTCCAACCATCGGGCCCGCCTCCATGACTTGTTGAGAGCCACCAGCCAAGTTTTGGCTAGGGCTGCTCCCCGATCCCTCGGAAGCGCGGGACGCGCGCCTCACTGGATGCCTGAGTTGAGAAGAGACCCTGGAGGCCACAAACGTCTCACGGTTACGGAATACAACTGGCCGTTTCTTCTCAGTGCACCCCTGACAAATTAACCTGTTTGAAACCGACTCTTCTTGTCCGCATTGTCAGTGTAGCAATTTGGTCTAATTGGATTCTAAGGCGGGCGTTAGGAGCCCAACCGCTGGACAGTCAATCACGCAGGGCCATTAATATTCATCTGTTGACAGCGGCAGCCCTCGGCTGATGTTAAAATACGTCGTTACGGCACGATCTGATTGTGCAGAACAAAAGGCAGGCGTTCAGAAACTTTCCTCCACCTGAAATCATCTCCCCTTTAGGATCCAGCCTGTCAAGAAGGCAGATGAATTTGGGAGGGGGAGGAGTTAAATATCTTTGGACTCCTGCTCCCTGGGCCAGCAGCACCGGTTTTAAAGCGATTTCGCTAACCTATATAAGGGATGCTGTTTTGAAGGAAAAGGTTCAGTCTCCTCATTTTGGGGACCCTCTTACTCAAAAGTTTGCCTCAGTGTGTCTTCACCCGCCACTGCAGACTCAGAAATCTGTCCTCAACTTTGCTTGCACTTGGGCCCGTGAGCTTAGGAAACCCAGGCTGGGTAAAGGCGGCGGGGGGTGGGGGTACGTTGGGGAAGGGATGGCTGGAGCTGTGGTCCAGCTAAGGCTGAAATTCTGACACGTATGTGCGAGCAAGGATGGCAAATTCATGAGGCACCAGCTCGGCTGTGGGGCGCCAGTTCGCAGAGACCCGGGAAAATAGCTCCCACCTTCTCGCCCTTCCAAAAAACGGGCGCTCACGAGAAGGCGATCCCCACGGTTCCTCCCGCTCACACCTTCCCTGACAGCAGCGTGAGACTGGGGGATGTGGGCTCCGTCCACACACACCCTCTCTCCCTCCCTCAGTAGACCCAGCCAGGCCCCAGGCACACCGACCACTCCCAAGTGCCCAGCTGCAGGGCGCACGACTACAGCCCGGCGGGGCTAGCGCGCTCAGGGTACAGCCACCACGCGCGCCTTGCTCCCCGCTGGGCGCTAGGCACGCTCAAGGGACCCCTCCTCACCTGGCACGGGAGTTTCTGGCACCCACTTGAGTCCGGGCTGCAGTCTCTGGAAGAAGGAGCGGACTTGGTGACAGGTGGCGTCCGGCGGCGGCGGCGGGGGCTGCGCCTGTCCCGGGAAGTCCAAGCTGAGCAGCATCGCCACCACCAAGCACGCGGTGCGCACGGTCCCGGCCATCCTGCTTCGCAGGGAGCTAGGAGAGCGCGGGAGAGTGGCAGCCGGAGCGAGAGCAGTCCCAGGACTCGGCAAGCCTGGCAGTGGCCCTGAGGAGCAAGAGACGTGCTGCTACCCAGCCGCTGCAAAAGTTTCCTCGCAGCTACCTGGGCGCTGGGCGAGGGCGGGAACCGCTTGGCGGCGCGGGGCAGGGCGGGGCTGACTGGGGTGGGGCGGGGCGAGGAGGGACGGGGCGGGGCGAGGCGAGCCGCGCGGCCAGGGGGCGGTGGCGGTTGTGCGGCCGGTAGCCGGCGGGGTGCGGGGGCGCGGCGTGGAGCGCGGCGGGGGCCACTGGGGCACCGCGGCGCGGGGACCGGGCGAAGGCAGTGCGAGAGGAGGGTGCGGAGCCCGCGCGGTGGCTCCCGGCAGCCGAGCCCAGCTGCCCGCTCGCAGCCGCTCTACACAGGGCGCTCTGGCATAACTACTGCAGAGGGGCTGCAGGCTCGAGCGCGCTGATTGGCTTCCCAGCAGCCGTCCGCTCTGACTGGCTCTGGGAGAAGTTCCCCAGCCTCACTCCTCCTTCCCGCCGCTCATTGGCCTACAGCCTGGAGGGCTTTTCCCTTTAGGATTTTTGTCTCCTTTTCATCCTTCCTGGGGGCAGGTGGGGGTCCCTGACTTAGGTCCCCCTCCGCTTCGCCACAGGCCTTCTTTCAGCTTGTGCCAGCTCTTTCCTGGCCACCAGAGCCACACAAGGTGTTCCTTCACACAAAATCCACCTCCTCATTCTACTCTCTGAGGAGCTTCCCGGGAACCGTTTTCCTAACGCAGCTCTGACCGGGTTCTCAAAGCCAACCTGCAAATAGTCGCGTTCAGGGACAGCCAGGGACCGCTGGGCTTTTCACAGCCTGCCTCACCTTTGAATATTGTATCTTAAAAGTCTGAAAGCCTCTGTGGCTTGCTAGATTTGATTCAGTAGAGCCACACAAAGTCAGAGAAAGCACCTGATTCTGGGGCGTTAAAAGAAAATCTACTGCACGACAGTCCCAGGTGGCCCTTCAAGAGGCAAAGCCTAACTGGTTACAACGAAATAACCAGGGGCTTAAAGCCAGCCTAACTCATTAGAAAATCATTACACAGCAAATTTACTGAGCCAAAGCTAGCCTATTTCATAGATGGAGTAGAAGGCTATTTGAAAGGTATCCTACACCCAAATCCCACCTCTCCTGCTTAGATTTCACCATTAGAAATCCAGTTCTTTAGGCCAGGCACGGTGGCTCACGCCTGTAATCCCAGCACTTTGGGAAGCCGAGGCGGGTGGATCATGAGGTCAGGAGTTCAAGACCAGCCTGGCCAAGATGGTGAAACCCCGTCTCTACCAAAAATACAAAAAATTAGCTGGGCGCGGTGGCAGGCGCCTGTAATCCCAGCTACTCGGGAGGCTGAGGCAGGAGAATCACTTGAACTCAGAGGGCAGAGGTTGCAGTGAGCTGAGATCGCACTACTGCACTCCAGCTTGGGCGACAGAGTGAGACTCCGTCTCAAAAAAAAAAAAAAAAAGAAAAAAGAAAAAAAGAAATCCAGTTCTTTGAGAATGAAATATCTCTCCAAGGAAAAATGCATTTAGTCATTACCTATATGCTGCTAAGTAGGGATCTTTAGCGTGGATTATTTTCATGATCCTCCACACCCTAGTCCAGTAGAGAACTCAATAAGTATTTGTATGATGAAATTACTTAACACCTCAGCATGAATTAGTTTGTCATCTGATGGTTTTGTTTCCGACCTAGGTGAAAGTAGGTTTTGAGGGAGAACCTCAGCACCAGGAAATTGTCTGGGGTGTGCAAGGTCCGGAGAGAGGAGGTTGTGTTCCAGGACCCATGGGCTGAGAAGGGAGACAAAGAGAGAGGAAGGTCACGGGGGAAGTTCATTCATCCATTTATTCATTCGGTAACAAATATTTGAACTCCTACTGTGTTCCAGGCACTGTAGATTACAAACAGACAATGAGGATACAAAGATTAACCAACCCGTGGTACCTGACCTCAAAGAACTGCAAACTAATGGGGAAAACAACCAAGTTAACCCACTGTGTGAATGCTAAGATGAAGTTCTAAGGGGTGAAGGGGGGGGGGGATCGGAGAAAGCATGCCAGAGGAGATGATGTCCTAAACTCAGACCAGTAGGAGTTTAGGTGAGACAAGCAGATGGGGAGAAGGGTGCTGAGGCAAAGAAAGCAGTGTAAACAAAGACACTGAGGGGAGAGGGCTTGGCATGGCCCAGTTGGAAGGTGGGAGGTGCAAGTAATGATTTCAGGTTGCGGAGTTGGAAGAGCTAAGGTGACAGAGGTAAGCAAGGGCCAGATTATGCAGTCTTGAAGCCATATGGAGGAGCCTGGGGAACCACTTAAGGAAGTTTTCAGCACAGGGGGGTGCCATGATCATATTTGCCTGATTAAAAGATCTCTCCAGCAGCACTGTGGAGAATGGCTTGAAGAAGGAAAAAGACTGGAAGCAAGGAGACCAGTTAAGAGGCTGTGAAAATAATCCAGACAAGAAATGTTAAAGTCCTGTAGCAGAGAAGATTTGGAAATGGAAATAATTACTGGAGATATTTAGCATATAGAGTTAAAAGGGCATAGTGACCTAGTCGATATGGGGGATGGGAGAGAAGGAGTCAAGGACGGAGGGCTCATTCACTCTTTTTTCAACAAACATTTGAGTGCCGCCGATGTATCTGGCATTCTTCTCCTACTTCATAATTTTGCCTGGGGCTAGGCCTGCGCCTGCATTGAACATTTGACAAATGACATATCCACTTTAAAAGAAACACCAATTAAGAGTCATAATTTGGCTGGTGAGTTTGATATGTTCCACCTGTGGAGCCCTGTGACCAAAGGGCAGATTGGAAGGCAAGCATTGATTGAATTTCATGACCTTGCAGAGGAAGACATGACCTCCCATAAATTCATGATCTTCCAGAGCTCATGCAACTAACTACAAAGGCAACAGTTGTTTTCAACTACTGGGTATTGAGTACCTGGAAAAGGGGAAATGTGACTTATTTTTAATATATGCTTTTATATTTAATATACTTTGTATGAGCTAGGTCAGTGCTTCCCAAAGGGAAGCGTGTGAATCCCTGGGTTCACTGAAGTGGACCAATGAAGTTTTTGCTTTTCATTTTAATAAATATTTATTTTAATGGTGGATTAGAAAAAATATATGTAACTAGTACATCCAACCCATGATTTTGTTAGGACAAAACTAAGTAGCTGGTGCCATGATACATTTATTTCAATAAAAATGTGAACTGGTTTGAAGAAAAATATTTAATAGTAATGGGAATATGAAGATATAACAAAATGTGTAGGGCGATATGTGAATAACTAGGATTTGGGCTGTCATAGGCAAGCTGGCCCTGAGGTTTTGGAAAATATTTCTTTGGCCTAAAAGCTTCTGCTGTCCCTCCAAGCAGCTACTTCAGAGCTTTTAGCCAACCTAAGGTAGGAGTTAATAAAACTTGCTAGGTTTAAGGAGTGGTTCCATTTTTATAAGTGCCTCTCAAAGACTTTCTAACCTTCCAGTCCCTAAGCAATGACTCTAATAGCGGAATTTCAGGCACTGAAACTGACATTGAGGAAAGCTTGCAGGAAAGCTATGAGCAGCTGTCCGCCCTGCCTACCCAGTAACTTGGAATTTTACTGATGAAAATCCAGTTCCTTAACCAAAGCATACAATCTGTTACATTACATACTGTATACTGCCCAAATGGGCGACTGTGGATTAAGACTGGGTTTTCTTTTCCTCTTTTACATAAACAACTGTCTTAACTTTCAAGGCTCCCTTCCTTGTGTTAGAAGTAAGGCCAGTGATTCATCCTTACTCTTCATAGTAGAGACAAAGAGAAACAATCAGTCTAGAAACACAAAAGGATGTGCTGATTGAGCTAGTGTTCACTTTTGACAATTCATGATTCTGTGCTTTCAGGCCCGGTTGGAAGCATTTAGATAACACCGTTGGGCCCCATCTTTCTCTTTGGACCCCAGAGGAAGGCTACCTAGCACAGCAGGCCCAGAAGAACTTTTCTTCACCTTTCACTCCTAGTCTCCAGTTTGAAAGAATTCGAGAATTCCCAGCTGTAGCCAGCAGCTATTATCTTGCTGTAGCTGGGAGGAGAGTCTGGTTCCATGGCTCCAAAAGCAGCATAAATCAAGTTTTCTGGGAGAGGGTTAAGAAAGGGTGTTCAACAGCTGCCGCCATGGGAGGAGCTCATACACAGCCGTGCACATGGCCACACACGCACACATTGTTTGTCTTGGGCCCAGTTTCCTTTGCCCTCCAGGTGATGTTCTCCTCTCCCCATATCCCTCAGGTACACAGTATCTTCTGCCCTGAACTCCACTCTCAAAACCTGCTTTCAGAAAAGAAACTTTAAAACTCGTCCGTTTACAGTGTATATGGTTGATAGGTTATAATGGGGCTGCCCACCCAGGGGTACGAGTATTTTAACAGGATCAAAGCTTTAAACCAAAGGAACAGAGCTCTAAAAACTGTGGAATTCCAGGCATCTGCCAGTGGGAAGGGAGTGTTTAAACTGAGGGGCAATGAGGCCTTTTTTGGTGCACCTGAAATCACATCATGTAGACAGTTGCTTATATGTTAGACTGGTGCTGCTCACAGTCAACACCTCCCTGGCCACACCTCTGCACTCTATGGCACACAGCCACTTTGTCTCCCCTTCTCTTGCAGTGTATGACTCCTTTGTGGGGCAGAGGGGAGGGGAGGCGCCAGGCACACTGATCCCAATGCTCCCAAATGTATAAGCTATGATCAGAGAATGAATTATGGTCCTTTGGGAAAGAGTGTTCATTCATTCATCCCAGCCAGCAGGCCAGTGCAATGTAAATGGTAACTTTGTAAGTTGAAAGACTTAGAGCCATTTTGAAAATTGCATAATAATCCCAGGCAGAATTTGGCTCCGTGTGTATGGAAAATTAATAGACCCGGCTGAGATGCTTGCATTGTGAGTTGTGGATGGATAGCCTGTCCTCAGACCAGGGACTATGCTTTGCCCTCACTAAATCCACAAAATATACTGAGCTTCTTGTAAGTCAGAGTCCAAGGCTTGAAAAAAACTATTGAAAATTTTATTTGTAGCATCATGTTGATTACCACAAATAAAAAATTATTCTATTCTGTGTTTGCTTGTATAAGGGATATTGACCTAGATTTCTAACATATTTCTTCATACACCAGTCCATTGATTTTCTTTTTCATTGGGCAGATGCACTGTATGTAAATCTAACATTTTGTGTCTCTTGCATAGGATATTTGGTTTTCTTTCAAAATTTAACGGGTTTGTAGTTTGGTGATTGAGAGCACAGTAGCTTTAAATCCAAATGCTGGTGATGCCTGAGGCATGGCTTTATGTGCCACATGGCAATTCACACATATTTTGTTTTGCTTTGAATCATTTTGGACCAAAGAACACAGTGCTTCAGGTAATGTAATATATCTGTTTTGATGTATGATGTGTAGAACCTCTAATAATTTCACTAAGTTTTTTTCTGGGTCTTTATGCTCTGGAGCGTGGGTCCCCAGTAAGCCAACACGCATTCAACAGTTGACATCTCATGTGTTTGCTTCCATTAAGGTCCTTTCCTATCACCAGAGCTCCCTGAATTTTTAGCAACTTATGATGGGAAATCAACAGCCACCATCAAAGATAACAACTCATATTTTTGATAACTTCTCTCTTTCCCTTCCCAAACCCTATCCACACTCCTAAGTCTTGTGGAATTTCAAACCTAACATCTCATAAGAAAATGCCATCCCCAGCACCACCTGTTACTCTATAGTCACCATAAAGATTATCCCTTAGGAACTGTGTTTTGTTTTGGTTTGGTTTGGTTTGTTTTGAGACAGAGTCTCTCTTTGTTGCCCAGGCTGGAGTGCAGTGGCACAATCTCGGCTCACTGCTACCTCCACCTCCCGGGTTCAAGCGATTCTCCTGCCTCAGCCTCTTGAGTAACTGGGATTACAGGTGTGCACCACCATGCCCGGCAAATGTTTGTATTTTTAGTAGAGACGGGGTTTCACCATGTTGGTCAGGCTGGTCTTTAACTCCTGACCTTATGATCTGCCCACTTCGGCCTCCCAAAGTGCTGGAATTACAGGCGTGAGCCACCGCGCCTGGCAAGAACTGTGTTCTTGAGAGGCAGTATGGTTGGGACCTGCAGTTAAAGGAGAGGGAGACAGCAGGTTCAAGCCATTCCATACCCTACCAGCCAGGCCCAGGGGCTGCCTGACTTGCAGTACCAACACTGGGGTGACCACTACACTTGCCACATTGTGCAGCAAATGTATGTTTTCCTATGTATCTCCACTGTAACTTGAGAGCTTTAAATGAGTAGGGATTCATATGCTTCTTTTATGTACTCCCTGTAGTACAGTGCTACTCAGAGTGCAGTCCGTGTACCTGTGCTGGTCGGTGCCCTGTTTCCTACTAGTCTGTGAATCTGTGACTGCTACCAAGTAAACAATTAGAAACTTTTTTTTTCTTTGAGCCAGGGTCTTGCCCAGGCTATACTGGAGTGGTGTGATCCTGGCTTGGTTAAGCCTTGACCTCCTGAACTCAAGCTATCCTCCCACCTCAGCACTCTTCCCAAAGTAGCTGGGACGACAGACACGCACCACCATGCCTGGCAAATTTTTTTTTTTATTTTGTGCAGAGATGAGGGTCTCACAATGTTGCCCAGGCTGATCTCGAACTCCTGAACTCAAGGGATCCTTCCACCTCAGCCTCCCAATGTTCTGAGATTACAGGCATGAACTACTGCACTTGGCCCCTAGAAACTTTTATAGCATTTTGATATTGCTGCCACTTGTGAGCACATGAAGAGTTGGTCACACTGTTGAGTCAAATAATTGTTTTAAAATGGCCTTGTATTTTGTATTTCTTTTACAGTTTTTCCAGTAAATCATTTTTATGATGTTTTCCCAAAGTATTTGTCCATGTCAGATAGAAAATTAAAAATAATATAAAATAAGCTGATTTTACTACAGATAGTTTGAGAAGTATCGCCCTAGTATATGCACAGTACTTTGGTCTGTAGTAGTCTCTTAGTAAAGGTTTTTCAACGAAGCCCTGTGATGCTTTTCTTTACAAAAATAAATCCACACATCCTGATTTATGGAGAGTTCCTATTAAGATCATAACATATAAAAGCTTTCCAATAATAAGTGGCTTATTTAAAGATAAATTTCTAGCTAAAATATTCCTGCTATAAAAATTATCACATAAGAATGCTTTTCTTCTTCAGCTCACTTTTATTCAAGAAACAGAAGAGAGTAAATGTGGCTTACATGAGGTTGTGCATCTCAGAAGATCTTGGTATAAATTACAAACAGAGTTTGAACTCCATAGCCTTTGTATTTTATTTTATCAATTATTTCCCTCCTAATTTATATCATGTTTTCTGTTGTAAATGAAAGAGATACTAGCCTGAGTACCAAAACATATCTTTTTAAGAGCAAGATAAGATCCAGAGGGAAGTACTGCTTCCTTGGAATGCCTTCATCTCATTCATCCTTACAACATGTCAGAAGCATAGCAAGTCTCCCCAGCCGTAAATAAATTGCATGTCATTACTCAGAAGATTTACGCTCTGTTGGATGTCTCCAGTTCTTCCCTAACTCCTGTTAAACTTATGGTTAATACCATATGTTTTGTTAGCAGTTTTTTGTCTGGTATTGTTTTGAAGTTAGCAGTTGTTTCATGTGGGAGTATCCCGTCTTCCCAAGTAGATTGGAATAATGAAAAGAACGGCAGACCAGCAGTCAAAGAGCTCATTTCTAGTTCTTGTTTTGCCACTCGGAGCATTGCGACTCTGGATCAGTAACTTAATGTTTCTGAACTACAGCCTCCTTAACTGTAAATTGATAATGGTGGACTATATGCTTTCTAAAATTCCTTCTACCTCTGACTGTCTGTGATTCTATGTCAGTGAACTCCTTGAGGGAAGGAATCTTACATTTCTGTATGTAGCCTCCAGAACCTTGCCTAGAATGCAGTATGCCCCCAATACACATCGTTGATGACATGACAAAACGTCTTCCTCATGACACAGATCCCAGTAATGGCTCCATAGGAGATGCTCAAGAAATATTAGTCGTTGATCAGTGCTCATCTTAAAGTACCGTATAATAACATTAAAAATTTAAATTTTCTCCTGGTTGGGTGTGGTAGCTCATGCCTGTAATCCCAGCACTTTGGGAGGCTGAGGCGGGTGGATTACTTGAGGTCAGGAGTTCGAGACCAACCTGGCCAACATGGTGAAGCCCCATTTCTACAAAAATACAAAAATTATCTGGGCATGGTGGCGTGTGCCTGTAATCCCAGCTACTTGGGAGGCTTAGGTCCAAGAATCGCTTGAACCCAAGAGGAGGAGGTTGCAGTGAGCCAAGATCGTGCCACTGCACTCCAGCCTGGGCGACAGAGCAAGACATCTCAAAAATAAATAAATAAATAAATAAATTTTCTCCTAATAAGCAAGATAGTAATTTTGTTGTAAGCAATTTTGCAAGAGTGGAGATATAAACAGACATACCTCTATCATATTTTCTTTATCTCCAGAAATCTAAGTCAGAGATTTAAAAAATTAATTCATTAACATTTTTAAATAACCAAGGCTTTGTTATTGATTCTTTAAGATTATAAAATACTAAAGGTGAGAGATTATATTTATCTAAATCTCACTGTATGGGAATCTAATGGATTATTTTATTGTTTGGAAATGATTATAGTAATGTTTTAGGAAGATTTATTATTAATTTTTTCCTATTAGGAAAACCTGTGTCAATCCCTTCTATGGAAATCCTTCCAAAATGTATTGCCCATTTCTCTGCCTTAGTAAATAAAGCATATGAAATCTAATATAACCTATCCTTGATGCTCTGGTTTATCATATTCAATTTTTGTGCAATGTTGTAAATATACAAAAATGGTGAGACAATGAGCTGAGTCTGTATTGGGCTTACTACACATCATGAAATTTGATTTTTAAAAATAACAAATCCTCTGAAATGAATTTTCTCTTCCTCTTTAATGTATGATTCAGCATATACAGATGCATGCTGTCCTGCATTAGTCTGCTTTTTAAAAAAATGTAATCGGAATCAAAGGCCAAAGTAGCCCTTCCTAGGTCATTCCCTTGGTTTAACCTCAGTTAAACAGCAATCATTTTCAATAACAGCTATTTCAACTCACTCTCCAGTTGACTTGCTTTAGCTTATGTTGCAACAGAGTGATCACAAGAGCCAGCACAGTGTTGTGGAATGGACATAAGTTCCACAGTCAGATAGTCCTGGGTCCAAATTCCAACTCTATTACTTACTAGCTAGATAACCTTGGGCAAGCAGCCTTATCAGTCTAAGCCTTCACTTACAAAATGAGGATTAAAAACTTAACCTTCAAAAAGACCGAAAGTATTAGTGAGGATGTGGAAATTGGAAACCTTGCATACTGTTGATGGTAATATAAAATGGTACAGCTGCTATGGAAAACAGTATGGAGGCTCTTCAAAAAATTAAAAATGGAACTATCATATGATCCAGCAATCCCACTTCTGGGTATTCATTAAAAGAATTGAAATCAGGATCCTAAACAGATATTAGCACCCCCCTGTTCATTGCTGCAGTTATTCGCAATAGCCAACATGTGAAAACAACCTAAATGACAATGGACAGATGAATAGATAAAGGCAATGTGACAGAAAACCAAATACCTCATGTTCTCACTTATAAGTGGGAGCTAAATGATGAGAACACACGGACACACAGAGGGGAACAACACACACTGGGGCCTATTGGAGGGTGGAAAATGCGAGGAGGGAGAGGATCAGGAAAAATAACTAATGGATACCAGGCTTCATACCTGCAGGATGAAATAATCTGTACAACAACCACCCATGGCACATGTTTACCTATGTAACAAACCTGCACATCCTGCACATGTAACCCTGAAGTTATGATAAAAGTTGTTAAAAAAGACAATGAGGCATACACATGCAATGGAATACTATTTGGCCTTCAAAAGGAAAGAAATCTTGCCATTTGTGACAACATGGATGAACCTGGAGGACATTATGCTAAGTGAAAAAAGCCAGGCACAGAAGGACAAATACTGCACAATTCCACTTATATAAAGTATCTAAAATGGTCAAATACATAGATACAAAGAGTAGAATAGTGTTTACCAAGGACTGGAGGTAAGGAAGAATAGGACATAAGGTATCAGTCAAGCAAGATGAATAGGCTCTAGAAATGTGCTGTACAACATTGTACCCATAGTCAACAATAGTGTATAATATGCTTAAAATTTTGTTAAGAGGGGAGATCTCATGTTAAGTGTTCTTACCACATTTTTTTAAACTTAATCTTGGTCAGTGAATGGATGGATATATAGATCCATATGATAATACACATATATTACAATGCATTGTACAGCTTCTCCACATGCTAAGAAAAATGCAACCTTGCAAAATCTTTGAGGGGACTAGAGATTATGTAGGTAAAGTGTCTGGCACATTGCAGGTATTCACATTATTGTGTGAACCTTAAGGCTACTTCTTTTAAAGGCCATCAAAGCCAAGTTTGGTTTTTGTTTGTTTTAACAAACATTACTTTATTTACTTGTTTCTTTCTTTGTCATGTATTACTAACATTTATTCAGCAGTCACTGTGTTCTAAGCACTGGTGATATAGTGATGAGGGCAAAATTCTCATCCTCATGGTCCTTAGCCAGGTTTGTTTTTAACCTCCAGAGTGATCAGACATGACTGAGATCTTGAGGTTGTAGTTATGAGTTCATTGCCAGGTTTGCCACAATGCCAGCTTTTGGGAGTGCCAGATTACCAAAGGTTTGCAGATTTGTAAGTTTGAAGGCAGGCATATGCCCCTCAAAGGGTCTCCTTTAACTTCACAGTCTTGGCTCCTGCTTAGTCTTCCTCCAGCTTCTCCTTAAAACAGGTCCGTGTGGAGATGACAGGAGCTAAGCAGTGTTCAGTGATGGCCTGGGTCCAGCAAGAGACCTGCCACAGGCCCAGGAATTCTCAGACACCGATTTGCCTTTCCATTTCCCAGGGCTTAACCTCTGTCATTTGGCCTCCCCAATTACAATTACATTTCCAGATCTTTTTTTTTTCTTTTGGCCTTACCCTCAATTCCCAGATCTTAGTAATGGCTCATATTTCCTGGACGTAACTACAGGAGCTCAAATTCACCTCTGAAAAAAAGTTTTCAAACTTGAGCTTACAGCCAGATCTACCCCAGTTTTCAACTTCACCATCAAACTTGTATATTCATACATTCATACCATTGCTAATTTATCACCTTACAGAAATATCATGCCATATTTACTTTATTTTCTTCTGCTTGGTACTAGATAACGAAGTGACTCTTCTTCAGAGGCAAAAGGCCAATGATTTCCCAGTAAATAGAAACAATGTCAGTCTCCCAGCTAATACTCTTTGGTGTGGAGGGAAAACAGTTATCTCACATATGGAAGGGAAAGTTCATCTTCCTTGGTGTAACTGCTCCTATGGCAAAGAGGTCATTTAGTCACATGCAAGCAGCTAGACAAGATGATAATATAAAGCAGATATATTACCTGTGTGCTTCTAAACCATCTGGGGCTTATCAAATGCCCTATACCACTCAAGGATGAGCCAGTTAAAGAGAAACATCAAAGAATGAAGGATGGAATCACCTACTGTTCTTCTGTGTATTTTCATAAAAAAAATGGTTTAGTTCTCATTAAGATAAAAAGATCGGAGTATCGTTCTATGAGCAGTTCAGTTTCTTTGTGTGTGTTTGTATGTTTGTTTGTTTGTTTGTTTTTTGAGATGGAGTTTTGCTCTTGTTGCCCAGGTCAGAGTGCAATGGCATGATCTCAGCTCACTGCAACCTCTGCTTCCCAGGTTCAAGCGATTCTCCTGCCTCAGCCTCTTGAGTAGCTGGGATTGCTGGGATTACAAGTGCCCGCGACCATGCCCAGTAATTTTTTTTTTTTTTTAGCAGAGACTAGGTTTCACCGTGTTGTCCAGGCTGGTTTCGAACTCTGACCTCAAGTGATCCGACCACCTCAGACTCTGAAAGTTCTAGGATTACAGGTGTGAGTCACCTTGCCCAGCCTATGAGCAGTATTCTATTCACACCTGAAGCAGTCATAACTCTGAAATCCAGAGATCTCTATTTCTCACCCTAGTTTTGCTGCAAACGGAACTCTTAATACTGATGCACTTTAACATATTCATAGTATCCCTAACTCTAAAAAAAATCAAGCCTGCCAAATGTCCTTATCCCTGTACTAATATTATTGATTCTCAAATCTTAGACAGTATATCCACTCACACAATTTTTTCCTTAGAATTTGATCTTTTGGGGTGTTTCAATTCAACAAACAGGGATTACAGTAATGGTAACACATAGTAAAATTTGGGGACCTGATAACAAACCTCTTAATCTGAGAAGGAAGAGCCAAATTTCCAGGACTACCTAATAATCCCAGTTAAATTGTCTCCTTTCAGAGCCTCTTGTATTTGTTTAAAACTTCCTATTTCTCACAGAGGACTTCCTCATACCTTATCAGATTGTTCTTTCCAACAGCCCTATCAGATAGACCAGGCAAGCAAGTATTATTACCCCCATAATATTGATGGGAAAGCCTCTGAGATTGAGAGAGATAAAGTGATGATCCCAAGGTCGCATAGCAGGTCAGCAATGAAGACAGGACCATACCCCAAGTCTAAAAGAAAAGAAAAAATCCCAACAAGCCATGTGGCAGTGCTTTAAAACGTAAATGTCATAGTCAAAAACTTTGAATGTTATCCAGATGTCTATGGAAGGCTCATGGGAATCAATACTCACCTTAAAGAGCCAGGCAGGAAAAATGACACATTATGAAAAACATGCCAATTTGGGATTTACTGGATGAGAGAGAAAAGTTGAGAACAATATAAACGGGCCAAACTTCAGAATATTTCTTGTGCTCTTCTCTTCACTGCAAACAGTGACCTTTGCACAGATAGAAAAGGTACAATGTGGGCAGTAGAAAAATGAGTTTGTGTCATACAGTTCATTCAGAATTTGTGAAAATAAAAGTGGAAGACATTTTCAAGATCACCCTTACAGTTCAATTTTAAATGTTTAGAGAATCTTTTCTTGCTCAGAAGTGAAAAACCTAAGGATAAGTCATTCAAGGAAAGTCTGTCTCTGTTCTGCTTTCATCATGTTATCAGTAAGGTGAATGAAGAAATCGAAATGATAAGTCTGAAAGAAGTAGCCTTTGAAAGCATCTGAATTGCACTTCCTCAGGCCAGTGGAATTTGACAGCTAATTATGAGAACTATAGATGGTACAAAACTCTGAATTTCTCAAAATGTACCAGTAATTGTCTGCGTAGAGAGAACTGGTTACACACATAACAGGAAACTCCCAGCTTCTCTCAGGAAAAGTGGTTACATGGGTCAGTGTCAGGCCTTATGCTTGGAATTACGGGGTATAGGTCTGACCGAAGCCCTCTCATTCCTGCCTTGCCTTTAGCAGACTGAGAGGAACACTGAGCCCCTCAAAGGAGAGCTCCCCACAGGAAGGAAAAGTCAGCCTAAGTGGGAGCGAAACCCGTGAAGCTGAGTTGCCAGAATCCCTCCACAGGCCACCCAAGCAGTGAAGAAATTCATGGAGAGAAAGAAAGAAAGAAAAGACCCACAGCCGTGAGCAGAGCCAGCTGGGAGGGATGTTATTACTTTATTTCTGTTTTCTTAACTATGTGTGTGTGTGCGTGTGTGTGTGTGTGTGTGCGCGCGCGCGTGCGTGTGTTTTGAGGGGGAGGGAGGATTGATTGCAGAAAATGTCTTGATCCACAGCACTCAAGATGGAAACTTTTGTTGATATAATTTCTCCTAACTTTCCTACACCTTCCTTCCCTTCTACTCTATTTCCCCAGTGGCTATCAAGAGCTGTATATATCTGACCACAAAACATCCAGTCAGTCAGTTCAAGTCAAAAATGCAGCCAGCCATCTGGATTGACTCAAACTCTGTCTACACACACCAATTGGCTTGGGGGTAAAAAAATGTAATTCAGTGGAACAACTGGTTATTTTTAAAACAACGAGTTGAATTCAGACAACCATCCAATTAGTTGATTTCAAAATGCCTGTTTGGCGACATGAAAAGGGTTATTTTCAAAGGGCCTTGTGTGTGCATAAACAACCTGAATGCTATTAAATTGACGAGCTATTTTAGAATCAAGGAGATAAGGCCAAGGCGGCTGGACTCTGTTTATAAAGGGGAAACCTGGTCGGATAGCAGTCCATCAAGCCCTCCAGAGGGTGACGCCTTCTGTGGCAAGGATGAAGTCTTTCACTTGACAGCGACATAACCATGGCCCTCTTTGCAGAGGCAGGCACCTCAGTTCTTTATTTTTTTTCATTTTTATTTTTTTTAGACAGGGTCTCGCTCTGTTACCTAGGATGGAGTGCAGTGGCAGGATCTCGGCTCACTTCAACCTCTGCCTCCCAGGTTCAAGTGATTCTCCTGCCTCAGCCTCCTGAGTGGCTGGGATTACAGGCACCCTCCACCATGCCTGACTGATTTTTGTATTTTTAGTAGAGATGGGGTTTCACCATGTTGGCCACGTTGGTCTCGAACTCCTGTCCTCAGGTGATCCACCCACCTCATCCTCCCAAAGTGCTGGGATTACAGGCGTTAGCCACCACACCCAGCCAGTTCTTTTTTAGAGAAGCCACCTGTGTGCCTTCTTCCTGGATGTCCTATGCTAGCCAGAAGGCCAAAGATCCCAACAGACTCTATAAAGGACCAATGTGCTTGTATTACCTATTGCCACACCACATTTCCTAATGCACACAATGATGTTAACTTGATTCTCACCTTTTATGGGTTGCAGTCTGACGACATTCAGCAAGGGAGCTTCCTCTGAGCCGTTTGACCCAATTCGTAATGAGTTCAGTCAGTTTCAACTGCACAGTTATACCTCCCTGGGCTTCCTCCCCCCACCCTAAAATGTGAACGTTCTTTTCTTGTGCTACATTACTAAGAAATGATTTAAGAAAAAAAAAAAAAGAGGGGGAGAAGGTCTCCTCCTGAAGAGAATTTTATTTGCACTCCTCATGCTTTGTCATAAAGGGCATTCAGCCGTGTTAATCATATAAGAAGTTTTAGCGAAGCTCTCTTTTTCACATTAGGCTTAAAACATCACCCCTGAGGTGGTGCTGATGGCGCCCTTAGAAAAGATTTCTTTGACATCTAAGACACAAAGGACTTCAGCAAACGCGTTCAGAGTTAAATGAGTGGTGCCTAAGTGCTGATTCTCCATCCCCAGTGACAAGCATTTACTAAGTAAAACTTTTGTTTCTGCAAATGTCTTACTTGGGTGTGTCTTAATCCCAAGTGTTGAGGAGGTTTTGTTTTATTGTCTGTGTGTGTGTGTTTTAAACATTTATTTTATCAGAAAGGATTTCCACAATGGAAGCATTCATTGCCATCGCTGTGGCTGAGTCTTTAGGTTTAAGACTAGTTAAGCTGCCCCAGGTAGAAGTGTTTGCACAGCTACAGAAGTATAGAATCGCAGCCCCGGAGTTGGAAGGGGCCCCCTTAAGCCCGTCCTTGCCTTCAGGCATTTGAGCCAGAGGAATAGTCACTCTTTTCTTTAAGATCTCCAAGGACAAAAATTCCACATGCAGTTATTTTATTATAAACGTGTGAACTGTAAAACATATTTACAAGGTAATAATATTATCATCCATATTTAAATGATTTCCTTTTTAAAACATTTGCTTGCCCAATTTAAAAAAAATTAATGAACAGTAAAGTTCTTTGAAAAAAAAATCCTTTCAAATCCTTTCAATAGAATTATTTCTCCTCTTTTTGAAGTACTTACTACAAGGGTCATTTCTCCCAGAAAATTCTACCAGAAATTGCTATGTTTCTTCTAAAAAGCGGGTTTGCTTTTATCTTGCGGATACCCTGAATCAAGATACGCTTCCTTTTTTGCTGTGGTTGTTGGAAAGCCCACAGCCAAATTTGTGTCCCCTCCCTTCTAATCAATGCACAGGACCTCACCCCAGCTTCACCTGTTTGTCTTCCTTTATTTTTCCTTCATCTACATTTCTTCACTTAGTTGTGCTTTTTGGCTTTCCTGTTGTTTCTGGGCTTTCTGGTTTTCTGGTTTGTTTTGATGTTTGGAAGCAATATAGTGAGGCAAGAGCAGAGACTCTGGGGACTAATATACTTAACGCTTGGCTCCCAGCTCTACCCTTTCCTATGTTAACCTTTCTTTTCCTCATCTGTAAAATGGAGAAAACAATAGTAGTCATGGGGTTGTTATGAGTGTTAAATGAGAAAATACAAGTGTAGTGCTAAGCCAACAGTAAGCACTCAAGATATGTTCATTATCAATATTATAACATTGCTGCCCTAAATCATTTCAGGAGCAAGAGGTGCAAAAGAGAATATAATTATTTATTCTCCTATTTCAAATGTTCAATCTTATCTCCCCTCTTATTCTTCCTGTTGCATGAATTGTCTTTCAAGCAAATTATTTGCTGCTGTTTCTGCACTTTAATGAAACTCCTTCTACTATGTTACAGGCTAGTGCTTCCTAAACTTACTCGAACTTAAGAATCAGCAGAAGCACTTACTAAAAATACAAATTTCTGTTGGGTGCAGTGACTCACGCCTGTAATCCCGGCACTGTGGGAGGCTGAGGTGGGAAGATTGCTTAAGGCCAGGAGTTGAGACCAGTCTGGACAACATGAGACCCTGTCTCTATTTTTTTAAAAATACAGATTTCTGGCCAGGCACAGTGGCTCACGCCTGTAATCCCAGCACTTTGGGAGGCCAAGGCGGGCGGATCACGAGGTCAAGAGATCAAGACCATCCTGGCTAACATGGTGAAACCCTGTCTCAAATAAAAATACAAAAAATTAGCCGGGCGTCGTGGCGGATGCCTGTAGTCCCAGCTACATTGGGAGGCTGAGGCAGGAGAATGGCGTGAACTCGGGAGGCAGAGCTTGCAGTGAGTGGAGATCGCGCCACTCCAGGCTGGGCGACAGAGCAAGACTCTGTCTCAAAAAAAAAAAAAAAATACAGATTTCTAGTCTTTTTTGTTGTTGTTGAGACAGAGTCTCGCCCTTTCACCCAGGCTGGAGTGCAATGGCACAGTCTCGGCTCACTGCAACCTCCACCTCCTGGGTTCAAGTGATTCTCCTGCCTCAGCCTCCCAAGTAGCTGGGATTACAGGCACCTGCCACCACGCCAGGCTAATTTTTGTTTTTTTAGTAGAGATGGGGTTTCACCATGTTGGCCAGACTGGTCTCGAACTCCTAATCTCGTGATTCACCCACCTCGGGCTCCCAACAGTGCTGGGATTACAGGTGTGAGCCACCATACCTGGCCCAGATTTCTAGTCTTAAACACCTAAAATTATTTTATAAATGAATAGCTCTAGAATAGGTGTTTCTGGGACTAAAGTATTTTATACCACATTGTCTATGCTTTTCTCCAAGAATGTCATCACAGACAAATTTCCACACTTGATTTCTATGTAGTTAGTGTTTCTTTATCATTTCAATTTTTGTTTCCTTGTTTTCCCTTCAGTAACTTTTTATGCTTTTTTTTTTTTTTGGTTGTTCTGTTACCTGTTGTCCTGCCACTTGTGTGAGTCTGTCTTTTTCCAACTCCTGAGGCAATAGCAGGTCTTTTCCCACCCGTCACCCCAGCATTCCTTTGGGTAAAGTATTTAAGAGCTAAATTTGTTGGCCTGTTTGGGTCTATTGGGGACTGAAGGTATATCCACATTAAGAGAAACAGTTATTCTGTAACTGTTTCAACCACTTCTTCACAGAGAAAAACATCTGTGCCTTTTTAAATTTTTATTGGCCTGCTTGATGGCTCCACAACACAGTGAAGAAAGAGCCCCACCCACCACAAGGTTCTTCGTCCTGCTGGGGAAGCCACACAGAATTGAGACCAAAAAGTACGGAAGGAAGGAAGGAAGGTAGAAAGGAAAGAAGGAAGGTTTTATCTGCCTTCCTTTGTTTTCTATGGATAAATGCCAAATCCCTCATACTTAAACTTTTTCCCCGTCCTTTACTTTGCCTCCCAGTTTTCTTTTGAATGAATGAGTAAATTGTTCAAATTTTCTCAGTAATCTCCCTCTGTAGCTCATTCCAGTGTTTAATTACTTTGACAGAAGGAAGGGAGGAAGGGAGGGAAGAAGGAAGGAAAGGAAGGAAAGGAGGGAGGGAAGGAGAGTGGATGGAAAAGAAGGAAAGAAAGAAAAAGAAAAAGAGGAAAGAAAGAAAAAAGAGAGGGAGAAAAAGAAAGGAAGAAAGAAGAAAGAAAGAAAGAGACAGAGAGAGAAAGAAAAGAAAGGGGGGGAGGGGGGAGGGATAGCATTAGGAGATATAGCTAATGTTAAATGACGAGTTAATGGGTGCAGCACACCAATATGGCACATGTATACATATGTAACAAACCTGCACATTGTGCACATGTACCCTAAAACTTAAAGTGTAATAATAATAATAAAATTTAAAAAAAGAAAAGAAAAGAGAGAGAATCCTGCCTATTAAAATCCTACAATCTGCCCTGCTTTTATCTTAGGACTGTTCTGGCAGTTTCCCCTTGTTACACGTGTGTTGCTAGGATAGTACAAGTATTTTCAAGATGAATTTTCTGCCAAAAGTTCTTGCCACTGAGTCATCACCATCTTCATATTTTTAAAAAACATGAGCAAGTCTCAGCAGCACTTCATTCACATTAGTAAACATTACCTAGGGAAAGAAAGAACAGGCCTCAAGAACATGACATCATCATTAAAAAATAAATGTTTACTGAGTCCCTATTCAGTGTGTGGCCCTGTGTTAGCCCTAGAAATATAAAAATGTGCCTGCTTTTAGGCTCACATGCACACACATATACTCCCATGTGTTAAATCTAGAGAAGTGGTGCAGACTAGAAGGATTATCGGAATTCCAAGGAGGGAGCAATTCTGCTCCAAGGGCTGGGGTGGTCACAAAAGGTAGGGCTCCAGGCCCCAAAGAAAGGGTAGAGAGCTTGAGGGAATTAATGTGAACAAAGACCAGGAAATAGTAATGAAAATAGTTTGGGGGAAAATAATTAGTAGACCATTTGATGGGAGCAGACAGATTGTGTGGACTGGAAGATGACTAGGAGATAATAATGGAATGGTAGACCATAGTCTGCTTGTAGAGGGCCTTGAATTCTAGGCTAATTAGTGTAGTCTTAGCCTATAAGCAATAAGGAGCACCACTCTCACAGATAAAAGAGAGCAGACCACTCCAGCTTCAGAGTACCTTCAATCAAAAGAAGCACGGACATTGATTACAAGAAGTTTTGTGAAATGTCTCAAGTGTGTATAACTATTTCCCATATTTGTAACTTTGTTATCTCCATGGTATCAGTGTTATTTGGGAGGACAGCAAGAAGAAGATAGCTGGCAAGATTACGTCCTACTGGAGATGAAAAGGACCCTAAGAAATGGTAAGTGGCAGTGGTTTTAAAGTAGAAAGATAGATATGAACAATCTCTGGGGCTCACAGAAGGGAGAGAAAAACAATCTCTGGGGCTCACAGAAGGGCTTGTCATATGTTCACAGCATGCAGCTCCACACTGGCATATTGGGGGCCAGCGTAGGACTGCAAAATGCCTTTGAGGGCTTAACTGAAAGGAGTCTAGATAGTTCCTGCCAGCCCCTTAACCTGCTGAATTTCTCCAATAGCATATCTCATGCCAGTTTAAAGGAAGAGACTTAAATGGACATTGTTAACTGAATGCACCATTTTGTGAACTCCAGAGAGCCCTGAGAATATTCTGTAAATACCACCTTATTGAACTAAGTGGGATTGACTGGGTACCAGGTAACATTTAGTTGAGTTTGTTCAGTCTTCTAATTTGAAGTTGCTGCTTAGACGATAGTGGTTCCCCACCTCTGCACCCAAATTTGAGGCAAAAGTGAAAAAGCAAAAAAAAAAAAATTTTCAGGCAAGAGTTGATTGTGATTGTGGCCTGTTAAAATAAACAGTTGATGTGGATAATCAGGAGCTACTTTCTGCTCTCCTCCAAATTAAAAAATGGCTTCAGTATTGGTGAATAAACAGTTGTCCATCCAGGATCAGTTGGAAAGGGCTTCTGCCTCCATTGATCTTCTCTTCTAGCTGAGTTGTTCTCTTCCAGTCCTAAATTTACCCCTATCCTCCTTTGCAAGTAAAGGGGTTGTTAACATTTAGCTGATGGGGCACAAAGTCATCAGAAAAGACCTTGTTGCCTCCTTTCATCAACTCTGCCCATTAGCCAAGCAAAAAAGAAACATTGGTTTCTTAATTGACTTTCATAATCCCTTTCATAATCATTTTGTACGTGGTACATACTAGGTACTCAATAATTATTTGCTGAACAAAAGAATGAATGAATGCTGGGCACTATCCTAGGTCCTGGACGTGCAGCAGTAAAGAAGAAATAAATAGACAAAATCCCTACCCCCATGGAGGTCAGATTCTAGTGACAGAAAAGAAGGAACCATAGGGTCCCAAGTCCTACTAGAAATAGCACTAAGCACATGATAGGTACTCAATAGATACGTAGGGAAATGGGAGACACTGTAATATAATAATGCATATAGTTTATGTTTCTCCTCAGTCTCACTGAAAAACATCATTATCCTCAAATAATTAAAAAATAGAATTATGAACCCAGGAGTTCAAGACCAGCCTGGGCAACATAGCAAGACCTCATCTCTACCAAAAATAAAAATAGAATTAACATATAATCTAGCCATTTCACTCATAGGTATATTCCCAAAAGAATTGAAAGCAGAAACTCGAACAGATAGATATGTCAGTATTCATAGCAGCATTATCCACAGTAGCCAGGAGGTGGAAGCAACCCAAGTGTCCATCAACAGATGAATGGAGAAACAAAATATGGTATATACATACAATGAAATATTATCCAGCCTTAAAAAGGAAGGAAATTCTGATACATGATACAACATGGATGAACGTGGAGAACATTATGCTAAGTGAAATAAGCCAGTCACAAAAAGACAAATTCTATATGACTCTACTTATATGAGTTATCTAGAGTAGTCAAATTCATAGAGACAGAAAGTAGAATGGGGGTTGCCAGGGACTGTGGGGAGGGAGGAATGGGGAGTTACTGTGTAATGAGTATAGAGTTTCAGTTTTGCAAAATGAAACAGTTTTGGAGATTGGTTGCACAATAATATGAATATACTTATTACTAAACCGTACACTTAGAAATGGTTGTGATGATAAATTTTATGTTATGTGTATTTTGCCACAATTAGAAAATTTTTAAAGCCACTTATTAAACATTCTTTTTTTCTGAGAATTGTACAAAGATTAACAAACACAAACCCTTTGCTGGAGTTTACATTGTAATACAGACCCTTCATGATGTGGCCAGGCATGTCAAGGCCATACAGACAAGAGAAGACAAACATTCAGCCTAGATATGGAGAGGCAGCTGAATATTTACATTACCCAACAGAGCAAAGGTGAGTGCATTTTGGGATGGAGGGAGGGCAGGCTGTCCACACAGTGTGATTTGACTAAATACTATTGGTGATCCATTTCTCAAAAATATATCAACTCCATTGCTTGTCATATGTTCTGATATTTTAGCTCTTTCTTTTGACTCTTTAAGGATTAGGAACTTCCGCAATTCCTTATGAGTAGACAAAGAACCCAGAAAGGGACAAGATTGTTTTCTAGCTAACAGTTAGCCTCCCTTTTTTTTTATATTATGGGGGTCCAAGATGAGAGAGGAAGCAATGGGAGAAGAAAGAAGATGGATGGGCAACCAAGATCAACTTCCCCCTTTCACGCCCAAGTAGACGAGGCTGGGGAGACAACACATATTGATGTAGCAAGTCCACACTCACAGACTTAGAGGAGCTGTCTGCCCATCAAGTAATGGAGAGTCAAGGAAAACCATTTCCAAATATTAGTACTGACCAGCCTCCACAGGTAATGGTCTCCATTCCTGCTGCCAGAATTACGCTGCAGAGGCTGGGGTAGGGATAGGATGTTTCTCCCAACTTTACATTCTATGCATCTCTTAATAGAGACAGCAGGGTGAACCCCCTTTACCTTACCCCATCAGTACAGTCATACCTCAGTCCCTCAGGTGCCACCAACTGTGTGTGTGAGATTGTAGAGAGAAAGATCTTTGCATTCTCCATGAGGGTAAAGTTTGCTGGGCAGGATTCTTTAAATCACATCACAAATGCCTTTTCATCTTAAAGGAACAAACTGTTTCTAAGGACTTTAGCACATTGTTTACGAGTCAGTGAATACTGCTAATAACAAATGGGTCTTATCTATTCATGAAAGCAAGTCTCTGAGGATCTCTCTTGGGAACCACTGTGAGCAGTTAGTTTGAGTTATGGTACACATAGACTTCAACTAATAAAAGGGCATGTTTTAAAACATTCCAGAATTCCAACCTGTCACTAATTCAGATTGCTCTGCCTGCCCCCACCCCCATTAGTCCAAATAGATGAGATTTTGCTGAGGCAGATTTTCAAGTAGTTTGCAAATGGTAAACACAAAGAGGGGATCTCTTTCTCTCTCTGCCTCTCTTTCTCTCTCTCTCTCTCTGAGACACATCACTTGACATCTTACTATTAGGATCAATAGGTGACAATTTCTCTCGATTTATTATTTACCTTGGTTCTCACTACAAAGTTAGATTACAACAAGAATGGACGCTGACTTTCTTGCTTGGTGCTCAACGGCTTTGTTTTCCTTACACTGACTCTCTTTTGTCATCACGAAAGTCATTATTAGGCTAATGTAAAATTAAATTAGCTTACATTCAACAAGTACAGGAAGCACAAATACTCATCAGTGGGATGGCTTAGAAGGATCCTAGAAACGAAATCAGTATCTCAAAGAGATATTAGCACACCCATGTTCATGCAGCATTATACACAACAGTGAAAACGTGAAAACAACCTAAACATGCATTGAAGGATAAATGGATAAAGAAAATTTCACACACACACACACACACACACACACACACACACACACACATATATATATATACACACAATGAAATATTATTCAGCCTTAAAAAAGGAGATCCTGCCATTTGCCATGGCATGGATGAACCTGGAGGACATTATGTCAAGTGAAATAAGCCAGACACAGGAAGAAAAATACTGTATGATGGCATTTGTATGTGGAATCTAAAACAGTTGAACTCATGGAAGCAGAGAGTAGAACAATGATTGCCAGAGGTTGGGGGGTTGGGGAAATGGGGAGATGTTGTTCAAAGGGTACAAACCTTCAGTTATAAAATGAATAAGTTCTGGGGATCTAATGTACAGCGTGGTAACTATAGTTAATAATACACTGGATTGTTTACTTGAAATTTGGTAAAAGGGCAGATTTTAAGTGTCCTCACCCCACCTCTCCACACAGAATGGCAATTACAGGTGGTGATGGATGTGTTAATTTAACTTCAGTAATCAGTACACAATGTAAATATATATCAAATCCTCATGTTGTACACCTTGAATACATACATTTTTTATTTGTCAATTAAGTTTTTTTCCAAAACTTTTTTTAAAAAGGAAGTATCCTAGAAGATGCTCTGGCCAGTCACTGTCTTGGAAACATCCCTTGGTTGCAATACCTGTTATGTGCTACTTTTGAATACTTTCCAAGATCATCAAGCTATAAGCCACATGGTAAAGAAAATATAGCTATGATCTATTTGAGGGACATGTGGAAAGAGAATATTTAAATGATAATCTAGTTTTTCAAATCAGACAAAGAGCCCTTCAGCTGTAAAGGCCTGTAGAAGCCCATCACACCGAGGGTTCCAGTTTGTGTGGAATGGTTAGTTTCTAAGGAAGATATCAAGCTAGGTTCAGAAACTATAAAAGGTCTTTGGCTTCATAGATAGATAGATAGATTGATAGTTGCATTTGCTTTCTTCATCACAGGAATTGTGACTTGCTGTTGAGAAAACATTTTGAGAGACCCAGGAATAAAAATAGAAACAGAGATGCTGCTCTGGTTTTCATTCTCATCAATAGAAAGGGAATGTCAAGGCTGTGGTAATATGAACTTCCCTGGCTCGCAGTAGGTAAGAAATGCGACTGAGGGTCTGAGGCAGTTTGGTGCTAGGAGGAAGTTATTCTGAACTGGGCTTTGCAGCCCAAATACTTTCTCATCCCTCACCTCCCAGCATGCACCTCTTGAAATAAGCTTTCAAAGCTTATCAGGCAGTTTATAAAAACAAAGGGATTCCTCTTCCAAGAAGTTTCTGGTCTGAGATGACACAGGTAGTACAGAAATGTTCCGTTGTCAAGCAACCAAATATATGCATTAACTGAGGAATAGAAGAGCATCAGCATTTTAGCTTCAAAGGCAAATTCAATGAATTTGAGATGTACAATCTTACAACTAAGACTTCAAAACTAATTTTCAAAGTACAAGTAGATCTAAGTCAGTAGAAGAGGGCTCAAATAAATGCAGAATCAAAGATGCTGTGGCCAAAACAAGTGTGAGTGAATCTTAGGGAGGCACTTTTCTTATTGAAATGGTTCTTTTTATTTGTATAGTTGAAATGGGCCACCTCCTTTATGAAGCCTTTCCTTTTCCTCACACTTTACCTGGCTACAGTGGGCTACTCCTATCTTTAGGTCTCACTATGCCCCGAACATACTCCATCATGTCACCTGTAACAATTGATTGTATCTTTTTGTTTTCATGTCTGTGTGCCCCACTAGACTTTAAGTACCTTGAGGACAGGGTTTTATTTATTTGTGTGTATGCACTCTAGCTCAATACCTGGTACATAGTAGGTGTTCAATAAACTTTCTGGAATGGATGATATCCCATGATTCCTTATGATAAAAAGAGCAACAGCTAAACAAATGTTTCTATTAGAGTTATGTCAAGCCAATTTAGGGCTCTGCAGACAAAAGAGAACTGTAAATTCCCAGCTCCTAAGTCAAAGGTTAAAGACTTGCCCCACCCTAGCCATAGCTCCTTGATATGGCTCCTGATTAATAATCTGTTACATCCTCAAAAGGGGTCATTTTAAGGTAACCCAGTAGAGCTCCCATGACCTATTGACCTTATTATATCGCCAAAAAGGAGCTAACTTTTGGTCAAAGGATGGCAGAGTACTTTCCTGTGATTTGCATATTACCCAGAAACCTTTGGTTTCCTGGAATTCATAATAAAAATTCCAAATCCCCAGCAATAACTTCCCAACCCACAATTCTTGCTAACACAGCAGAGTAACACTTGGATTCTATACCAGGCCTACTGACCTTTTGCTAATTGCAAAATAAACAGGTCTCCAGTTTAGAGGGGCCTTCTCCTTTTATGGGCCCCCTGCAGTGTAGGCACTGCTTGAATGGTATTTATTTCTGCCATATTTGCTTTCCAGCACTTGTCAGAGCAGGGGGCAGGTGTCTGGGAATAGAAGAAATAGGGATTGGAATAAGAGGAGAAAAGCAAGTGCCCCAACATCCTGAATGAAGTGCCCAGCTTATTCTTCAGAAGAAGCTGACGTCCTAGGAAGATGTGTGCAAATGAAATTTTATTTTAAAAAATTTTCAAGCATTTCTGAGACTTTACTCTTATGCCTAGCCCTGCCTCCACATAATTCACTGTCCAGTAGGGAAAACAGACACGTAAAAAGTGATAAGCACTGTTACAGACACAAAGGCTGGGGGAAGCCTAGGGGATAGATAACTGTTCTCCATTGGCCAGTGCTAGTGATTGGCCCAGAAATATGGCAGGGAAAGACTGCAGTAGCACCATGAAGATGCTGCCACAGATCGTGGGGCTCCTTCTCAGTTTTGCACGTTTAGAAACTTAATTTTATGTGTTGCTGTAGGGCTAATTAGACTCCAAGGGGTTGACCCATGATAAATCAAAAAGATACACATTAATATAAATGATAAACCAGGGGCTGGGCACGGTGGGTCATGCCTGTAATCCCAGCACTTTGGGAGGCGGAGGCAAGCAGATCACTTGAGCCCAAAGTTTGATTGAGACCAGCCAAAGCAACATGGTGAAACCCCATCTCTACCAAAAATACAAAAATTAGCGAGGCCTGGTGGCACACACCTGTAATTCAGCTACCTGAAAGGCTGAGGTGGGAAGATCGCTTGAGCACGGGAGGTCGAGGCTGCAGTGAGCTGTGATCGCACCACTGCACTCTAGCCTGGGCGACAGAACAAGACCTTGTCTCAAATAAATAAATAAATAAATAAATAAACTAAAATTGATTTACTATATATTTACTATATGCCAAGAGACATTCTAAGTGCTTTACACGAATTATCTCACACTCATGGCAACACTTTCATCACCTTCATTTTTTAAATAAACAGAGGCTCTGAAAGGTTATGACTTGCCCAAGCTGGTCAAGTTGGGATTCTTATATAAAATCTGTCTGATTCTAACGCCGATGCCCTTAGCACCTACACTCACAGACCCTCATTGTTTTATACTGAAAAACAGAGCTATTGGCTACTTTGTGCATTCTTTCCCCAAGAAGGAAGATGATGGAAACTGAGTGAGATCCTGAAGATTGTTTGATGAGTGCCAAAATCAGAGCAAAGAGCTCAATAAATATCGTACATGAATGAATATTTTAGAGTCCTCAAACTATGCTAGCCTAGTGAATTAGACTCCTTCATCCCTTCACCATAGATCCCAGACATTAAGTTGACCAGTCAGGGTACTCTTTCCCCCTCAAAACCCCAATGGTTAAGTTGAACTCTGCGTTGCTGCTTTTTCTGGCCTTAAATACACATAATTGGGCCCTGCTTGAACCCTAGTCTGTGACTAGGATCTTAAATACTATCCTTACTCAGTTTTTGCCAGCTTTCTTCTGAAAGCTGGATCCTGTTCTCCCAAAATCCTACCCCATTGCCCTAGGGTGTTCCATCTACCAGACTGGTCCTCCTAGAACTGATGATACTCAGACTTATACCTGAGTTACCTAAGTCCTTTGGACCACTCCACTATCCTAATTAAAGTTCATTAATATATTGATCTAACTAATCTTTACTGGGTACCTACGATGTTCCAAGCACTGTGCTAGGGGCTTGGGATATAGTTTAAAAACACTGAGGTTTATCCATCAAGGTCTGGACAGGAAACAGATGGCACACTCAAAGTGAGTAATCTGGGGAGCATTTCATAAAGAGGCTATTTAGAAAAGTATGGGTAGAGTATAGGAACAAGAGATGGGGTCGCACCCTAGAGATAGTAACAGCAGGGAGCCATTACCCCTCTAGGCCTGAAGGGCCAAGAAGAGGGAACAGTATGAAAAGAGTGGCTTTATAAGAGCTGTGGTCTTCAGTAGAGGGACACAGCCACTGCCAATACTTGGCCCATCAAGAAAGAGCCTGGGGAATAAACAGTCCAACTTCATTCTCTTCCTACCTACCAATCTCCATTTGGTGCCAAACATAATCAGGGGTCAGAAAGCAACGGAGCCCATTATTGTAATCCATATAGGTCAGCCTGCAGTGGCACAGGGCAGGCTGAAGAGTGATTCTGAATATCCAGTAACACTATGCAATGGGATGATTTACTTCCTAGCCCCAATCTGCCCCACTCATGATTCTTTCTACTTCCTCCCTCCTCCTTAACTCATACTGCCAAAGACTCAGCTTGTTATCATGCCACATGAGTCATCCCAGTCTTAAAATTAAGTGAGCTCCCCACAGATTCCGTGACTAATTACTCACAAAACCAGATTACAGACCTGAACTTCTAAATCTCAATCCAAAGTGTTTTCTTCTATAGTGCCTTATTATCTGTAAGATGGTGGAATGCTAGTATGAGGATGATGATGATGATGATAGCTGTCATCTGTTGAATTCTTATGATTTGCCAGAAACTGTAGTAAGTGTTTTGCATATAATGCCTCACTCTGAGAATAGTGTGGCTTCCTTAAGTGTCTAATACTCAGGCAGGAAAAAACCTGATTTCCAGGGGACAAGTGAGAATAAAGACCAACTTCTTAACTTTACAGATAGCAGAACATTTTTATGGGTCCCATTTCCATTCTGCCTCTGTCACCCTTGAATTGCCGTGTACCAGATGCAAAGAGGATGTAGTTAACACATTCTAATAATGGGCTCTAGGAAGAGAGCTGCTTTTATGGAACGCTCTCCCGCTGCCACTTTGGCTTCTGTTGCAGAGGCTGCTGAGTGTGCTAAATGCTCTCCAAATGCCCAAGGGGCACTCTCAAGATTTGAACATGCAACCAGAGGAGCTTAATTATGGTTCCTGAGAACCAGAATGATTCCATTTATAGCCGTTAAGTCCTGAAAGGCAAGGTAGGTGTTTGGGGGAAAACTCAAACTTCTCCTAAGGGTCAAAGCAGTTTCATCAGTGATTTGATATATCCATCTAGCACAGCTCCCCACAAAAGTTACAGAATCTGGAAGGAACCCAGCATCTCTACTTGCCAGACCTTCCTTGGGGAGCTGAACATAAGCAGAATACGCACTCCCACACATATGCAGAGCAGTTTACCTTTGTTCACCAAATGCGTACCCAACAGTATGTAATCTCCATTAGATTGGAGATTTTTGTCTGCTCCTCTCATCCCCAGTGCTGCATTTCTGGTACCCAGGTGCTTGGTGTATAGTTGGTGCTCAATAAATACTTGTTAAATGAATAGATCAATGAAATGGGAGGTTTCCTCTGCTGCCCAGAGACTCTGTAAAAACTCCTGATGTTATCTTTTTTTTTTTGATATGGAATCTCACTCTGTTGCCCAAGCTGGAGTGCAGTGGTGCAATCTTGGCTCACTGCAACCTCCACCTCCCAGGTTCAAGCGATTCTTCTGCCTCAGCCTCCTGAGTAGCTGGGATTACAGGCACATGCCACCACGCCTGGCTAATTTTTGTATTTTTAGTAGAGCTAAGGTTTCACCATGTTGGCCAGGCTGGTTTCGAACTCCTGACCTCAGATAATCCACCCGCTCGGCCTCCCAAATTGCTGGGATTACAGGCGTGAGCCACTGCGCCTGGCCTCCTGATGTTATCTCAATTGGATATTTCTCTGGGCCTCCAGAGGATACTGTCTTCCCATTGTCTCTCATACTGGAGTTTAAAAGTTTATCTTTCTCATGGCATTTTTTACAATCGTAGTTGAAATGAATCTCTTCCTAGCATGGGTTCAGACTAAAGCTATGCAGTTAAGTAGAATAAATATCATTAGAACACTTTTGGCCAGGCGCAGTGACTCACGCCTATAATCCCAGCACTTTGGGAGGCCGAGGCAGGTGGATCACCTGAGGACTGGAGTTCGAGAGCAGCCTGGTCAATATGGTGAAACCCCATCTCTACTAAAAGTACAAAAATTAGCTGGGCATGGTGGTGGGTGCCTGTAATCCCAGCTACTTGAGAGGCTGAGGCAGGAGAATCTCTTGAACCTGGGGGGCAGAGATTGCAGTGAGCTGAGATCATGCCATTGCACTCTAGCCTAGGCAATGAGAGCGAAACTCCAAAAAAAAAAAAAAAAGAACACTTTTAAAATATAGAGATTTACCTCTTTTCATTTGGATACCTTAGTGTTACAGTTGAGTTTGAGAGACTCTTGGGAAGGAGATAACAGGCCTAGGCCTCCCTTGACACACAGTGCCAAAGTTAATGTTAACCGTTTCTGTGAACATTGACTTTTTCTGCACTAGTGAGCTTTTCATTATTCCACTGTTGCCCCAGCTCCTGACCTTAAGCGATCTGCCTGCCTCAGCCTCCCAAAGTGCTGGTGGCATGAGCCACCGCACCTGGCAACACAGTAAATATTTTAGGCACCATCTTATTTTTTTTTGTATACTTTAAGTTCTAGGGTACATGTGCACAACGTGCAGGTTTGAAACATAGGTATACATGTGCCATGTTGGTTTGCTGCACCCATCAACTCATCATTTACATTAGGTATTTCTCCTAATGCTATCCCTCCCCCAGCCCCCCACCCCCCGACAGGCCCCGGTGTGTGATGTTCCCTGCCCTGTGTCCAAGTGATCTCATTGTTCAATTCCCACCTATGAGTGAGAACATGCGGTGTTTGGTTTTCTGTCCTTGTGATAGCTTGCTGAGAATGATGGTTTCCAGCTTCATCCATGTCCCTGCAAAGGACATGAACTCATCCTTTATTATGGCTGCATAGTATTCCATGGTGTATATCTGCCACATTTTCTTAATCCAGTCTATCACTGATGGACATTTGGGTTGATTCCAAGTCTTTGCTATTGAGGCACCATCTTAAAGAAAGACCAGTGGTGAAGGTGATGACAAGCAACAAATTCTACTCTTTGGGATCTAAACAGTCATTTGTATGGGTTCTGTGGCCATTCACTTAAAAAACATTTATTGAAACACGTACCATGTGCCACATACAGGGGATACAATGGTGAATAAACTGATATCTGCTTTCAAGGAATTCAGTCTCTCCAGGGAACAGACAATAAAATAATTACAATGCTATCTAATAATTGTTATGAGAGGGCAGGCACTGAGGACCATGAGAGACAAAGGAGGGACATCTAATTTACACTGGGAGGTCAGGGAAGGCTTCCCAAAAGAGGTGAGAATTTAATGCTGTTTTGAAGGGCAAGTGGGAGTGAGCCTGATGAAAAAGGGGGAGAAAGGCATTCCAAGCACATTTTGGATGCACACAAGTAAAACCAGCATGATGCTTCTAAAGTAGTTAATACAGTTATTACTGATATTTGGGGCTGGATAATTCTTTGTTGTGGGGGGCTGTGTATTGTAGAATGTTTACCAGCAGTATCCCTGAATTCTACTCACTAAATGTCAGTAGCACCTTACTTCTCTGAGTTGTGACAACCAAAAATATCACCAGCATTGCGAGATGTTCTCTAGGGGACAAAATTGCCCCCAGTTGAGAAATAGAGCCAAAGGTATGTGTGAGAAAGTGATGAAAAACAAGGTTGGAAAGCCAGTCAGGGTCCAGGTCATGGGAGTCATGTGTGCTGTGATAAGAAGTTTGGACTTTATCCTAAAGACCACAAGGACCCCTTGAAGGATTTCAAGCAAGAGGATAATATACTCAGATGTGTGTTAGGAATATCACTCTAGCAGCAGTGTAGAGTATAAGTTTGAAGGGGCTGTGTGGCAAGACTAGAAACAGGGTGATGAGTTAGGAGACTCTTGAAATCATCTATAAAAGAAGCAATGAGAGGCAGTGTTAAGGCAATGGCAGTGGGAATGGAGCAAAGGAAGAAGGTTTAAGAGATATTAGGAAAAGCCAAATGCTTAGGAGTTAGTGATTTAAGGATGTTAGAGAATAAGGAAAAAAGTAAGTGTGACTCTCAGATTTGTAATTTCTTTTCTTTTCTTTTCTTTTTTTTTTTTTTTTTGTTTGAGATGGAGTTTCACTCTTGTTGCCCAGGCTGGAGTGCAGTGGCGTGATCTTGGCTCACTGCAACCTCTACCTCCTGGGTTCAAGCAATTCTCCTGCCTCAGCCTCCCAAGCAGCTGGGACTACAGGCATGCACCACCATGCCCAGCTAATTTTTTTTTTTTTTTTTTGTATTTTTAGTAGAGACAGGGTTTCACCATGTTGGCCAGGCTGGTTTCGAACTCCTGACCTTAGGTGATCCACTCGCCTTGGCCTCCCAAACTGCTGGGATTACAGGCATGAGCCACCATGCCCAGCCTCTTTTTCTTTTCTCTCTCTCTCTTTTTTTTTTGAGACAGGGTGTCACTCTGTCACCCTGGCTGGAGTGCAGAAGTGTAATCATGGCTCCCTGCAGCCTTGAACTCCTAGGCTCAAGCGATCCTCCTACCTCAGCCTCCTGAGTAGCTAGGACCACAAATGTGCACTACTACCCCAGCTAATTTAAGTTTTTTTTAAAAAAAAACCGGGGGTCTCACTATGTTGGCCAGGCTGGTCTTGAATGCCTGAGCTTGAGTGACCCTCCCACCTCAGCCTCCCAAAGTGCTGTGATTACAGACATGAGCCACTGTGCCTGGCCTCTAGTATCAATAATAGCATAAATTATGGGACCATTCACAGATAAAGAGAACATGGCAAGTCTCCACAGATTCGAGGAGAACCACACATTTTGTAAGGAACATGCTGAGTTTGAGCTACTATGAGACTTTCAAGTGAAAATGTCAGTAGGGAATTTTCTCTACTGATGGGCATTAAGCAGAGGGTCATTGGAGCCACTAGGGTAGAAAGGTATTAAACTGCTTCAGAGCCTTCTCTCGCTTTCATTCATTTAATAAGCATTTACTAGGTGCCAGCGCCTAGGCTGGGTGCAAGGGATACAAAGAAAAGTAAGACAAAGCTCCTGCCTTCAAGGTTCTCACAATCCATAGAGGGAGACAGACAAGTCAATATGCAATAATGCAGTTTGATAAGTGTTATGGTGGATGTATGTAGAGAGTGCTATGAAAGCAAGAGAGGAAGGACATCAAATGGAATGAGTGTAAAGTAGAAAGGCAGGGAAAGCTTACTGGTAGGGGCAATATGACAGAGAGGTGGAGAACTACAGTGGCCCTGAGAACACACCATGCAAGCCTCCAACTATGGCAGGGTTTCTCAACCTTGTCACTATTGACATTTTGGACCAGATTATTCTTGATTATTCTTTGATGAGGGGAGCTGGCCTGTGCATCATAGGATACTGAGCAGTATCCCTGGCCTCTACTCATTGGATGCCAGGAGCCATCCTCCCCCTACTTGTGACAAGCAAAAATGTCTCTAGCTGTTGCCAACTGTCCCCTGGGGGGACAAAATCAGCTGGTTGAGAACCACTAAATTACAGGTTCATCATTGATCAAGAGCCTCAACTGCTGTGCTCTAAAATTCATTACTGTTTTTGCACAATGCCACACTTTCCATGGGCTGTTTCTAGCCAAGGGACTGAGAACAGCAGGGACACTAAGGCAATGCTATTGTGGGGAGATGCAGAGTTTGGCTCAAGGACTTAACCTTACCAAACCTTTCTTTGACTGCATGACAGGCTAGGATGCCACCACCCACCATTTCTTTCTTCCTCCTTCACCAGGGGTCAGACTTACATCAGTCTGATGGTTGTCTCTGCCTTCTCTGGCTCCCCCCACCATTTGCTCTCATACTGATATTTCCCTTACTGAAATCCTTGAACATTTAATTCCTTTTTGCTTTCTGCTTCTCAGAGGACCCAGACTAACATTAGAGGTTAGACTCTGAAATCAGAAATACCAGAATTTAAATCCTGGTTCCCCTTATTAGCTGTGCAGCCTTAAACAAGTTACCATACTTCTCTAAGCCTCAGTTCACTCATATGTAAAATGAGGGTAACGGCATCCACCTTAGAAGGTTGCTATGAGCATTAAATGAACTACTGGATTTAAGATATTTAGCATGGTGCTGGATAGCAAGTAAGAGCCCAGGAAGTCCTGATTCTTAGTAAAGGATGGATATGTGGAGAAAGAGGTGCTATGAATAGAGTGATACTGTGATACATAGGCATGATGGTGAGAAATACCATAGAAAGATTGGAAGGGATGTAAAATGTTATAAGCATTTTGGTATTGCTGGAACAAAGTGCAAAGCAGGAAGTGATGAGAGATCATATGAGAGGTAGGCAGGTCCCAAACCAAACAATTCCAACCACTTGAGACAGGGTCTAACTCTCTCTGTCACCCAGGCTGGAGTGCACTGGCGTAATCTCGGCTCATTGCAACCTCTGCCTCCCGGGTTCAAGCGATTCTCCTGCCTCAGCCTCCCAAGTAGCTGGGATTATAGGTGCCTGCCACTACACCTGGCTAATTTTTGTATTTTTGGTAGAGACAGGGTTTCACCATGTTGGCCAGGCTGGTCTTGAACTTGTGACCTCAGATGATCCACCTACCTCGCCTCAGCCTCCCAAAGTGCTGGGATTACAGGTGTGAGCCACTGCGCCTGGCCCCCTTCTACCTTTTTAATGCAAGTTATATTATTCTATCCTTTCATCATCTCCTTTGAGCCTTCTTCAACTTCACTACATCTGCCTTTAAGCTGAAAACCCAAACCTTCACACAAACGCCATCCAAATTCTCTAATTCGAATGGGGCTGACTAGTTTGGAGAGAGACTAAAGGGCTTGTTGCTTCACAGTTCCTCCCCTCAGGATTCCAATTTATGCAGCCTTGAATGGGGATTACTTGGAGGGAAAAAGATCTAATCGCTACTTGGCCCTTGCCCTGAAAACTCTTTCATTCAATCCAAAAACATTAACAGGGACCACTTTTTCCCTAACGAGAGTTAATCATTACTCCAACCTCCTACTCTGTGCTCTCTCCTCCCACCAGCACACACATGCAAGAATCATCCAGACATGCCCATGAGCATGAGAATTGAAAATCAAGCAATAATGTGACCAATGTGTGGATGTTGTGCCAGCTAAAGACTTGAATTCAAATCTCAGCTCCACCATTGAAGGACTATGCAATCTTAGGCAAGTCAGCCTCTAGACCTCAATTTTCTGTTCTATATAATGGGGGCAAGAAATCATGCCCTGGGTGGAAAGCATTTTGAAAACTACAAAACATTTGACCAGTTATTATTATTCAACTTGTGTCATTTAAGGAGTCTAAAACTACCTCTCTGATGCCTTTCAGAGTGTTCTATGCACTCCCTGATACCCTTGCCCAGGCAATAGATGTGAAGAAATTCAACTGGTCTCATACATAGGCAGAGAAACAGCCGCCCAAAGCTTCTCTGAGTAAAACAAAACAAAACAAAAGGATAAGCAGGCCGGGTGCATTGGCTCATGTCTGTAATCCCAGCACTTTGGGAGGCTGAGGTGGGCAGATCACCTGAGGTCAGGAGTTCGAGACCAGCCTGGCCAACATGGTGAAACCCTGTTTCTACTAACAATACAAAAATTAGCTGGATGTGGTGGTGGGCGCCTGCAATCCCAGCTACTTGGGAGGCTGAGGCAGGAGAATCGCTTGAACCCAGGAGGTGAAGTTTGCAGTGAGCTGAGATCACGCCATTGCACTCCAGCCTAGGCAACAGATGAAGATCAAAAAAAAAAAAAAAAGATAAGCAAAGAAGAGCTGGTGATGCCAAGCTCTGGACTGGGTTTCTCATTCAGCTTTGCAAAACTTTAAATTTCTCTTTCTATTTCCTAAACCCACTTCTGAGGTTTAGCTACTCTATTCTTATTTCCCCTACTTTACTTGGCTTAGGAGTTCACCCCTTTAGGGCTAAAATCAGTCTCTATATTTTTGTCTGCTTGTTTATTGTCTGTCACCCATATTAAAAATGTAAGCTCCATGAGAACAGATTTTTTTTGGTTTTGGTTTTTTATTTTTTTTTGGCTGTTAAATTCATTAATATATTTCCAGTACTTTTCATCATGTCTGACACATAGTAGGCATTCAATAAATCTCTTAATGAATGGATGGATGAATAAATGAATGCATCGGTGAACATCTATAGCGGCTTCCTTGCTTAGATTCCATTCCCCAGTCTCTCCAGTCCTGTATGCACCCTCCTACCAAGCTTTACCTGGGTAGTAGTAAGAGTAAGGGGATATAGACTTTGAAAAGGTGATGAAGGAGCATGAGCTCCACCCACAGGAGTGGAAGAGTAATAGTGAGAGGCCTTAAAATGTCTAGAACCATCTTTAAAAGTATATTAGAAGTGATAAAACATGAGTAGACTTTCCCAGTGTTTTCTGTGGAAAGCTAATCCTACAAATGCTTTTCAACAAAAGGGTTCTGTGGTCAAGTAAGTTTGAGAAACACTGCATGATTAACTCCACACTCAGTGCACACAAAGATTTGCAGTGTGTATTAGCATATTAAAGGCCCTGGGATGTCAGATAGTAAAGAAACTAGTTTAATTATGGAACCCTTTTATCATATAATACCTGCCGTAAATATTTTAGAAAATACTAGTCTAGGACATAACCATGATGAGAAAGTTATCAGATTTCTAAAAGCTTGAAATCACTTCCCCAGATTTGTTTTTTTTTAGAAATTACTTTCCTTTTGCCTACTTCCATTTAGTCATTGCCAGCAAAATCTTTAAAACAAAATAGAGCTTTAAGGGCAAAGAGCTTGAGTGCCCTGAAGGAGGTACTAAAATTGGGGTTGGGTAAAAGGCTTGAGAGATGGGCTCAGGCAGAGAGAAACTCAAGGAGAAAAATCAGGTAGTGGGATCTATGAGAAAAGGAAAAAATCAAGCTTCTTATGAATCTTCCTCTCAATGACTATAATCAGTCTTTTTCTTCCCACACTCCACTGAAATTGCACTCACCAATGGACTCCTTATTGCAAAACCCAATGGGCATTTTTTCAGTCCTTAGCTCTCAGATGTATCTGACGCACTCTTCCCTTCCTCTTTTTTTTTTTTTTTATGAGACGGAGATTCGCTCTTGTTGCCCAGGCTGGTGTGCAATGGTGCGATCTCGGCTCACTGCAACCTCTGCCTCCCGGGTTCAAGCGATTCTCCTGCCTCAGCCTCCAGAGTAGCTGGGATTACAGGCGCCCACCACCACACCCCGCTAATTTTTGTATTTTCAGAGACGGGGTTTCGCCATGTTGGCCAGGCTGGTTTTTAACTCCTGACCTCAGGCGATCCACCCGGCTCGGCCTCCCAAAGTTCTGAAATTACAGGTGTGAGCCACTGCATTCAGCCCCCTTCCTCATTCTTGAAACACTCTCTTCATTGGGCTTCTATAAGACCGTACCTCCTGTTTTTTGTCTTACTTCTCTGGCTCCTCTAGCTCTGTCTCCTCATATCTGCCAATCCTTAAGGTGTTCACTGGGGTGTTCACTGGGTCTGTGTCCTAGTCCCCATTCTCTTCTCACCTGACACATCCTCCTGAACACTGTCACCTACTTCCACAGCTTCTAATGCCATCTATAGACTGATAACTCCCCAAATCTGTATTTATGGCATGGTCTTTTCTCTTTTTCAGATCCCTATACCCAACTTCCTAACTCAACATCTAGACTTGAATGTCTCATGGGTACAAACATGCCTGAAGCTGAACTCATCCTCCTTCTTTGATCTCAGAAGATAGCACCGCCATCAACCCAGCTGCCCAAGGGAAAATTCTGGGAGTCAACCTCTATTCCTTCTTTCTCCCACTTCACATTCAGTCAGTCATCAAGTCCTGCCAATTAAATCTCCTAAAAATTTTTGAAATCCATTCACTTCTCTCCATCCTCATTGCAACTGCCATTCTTACTTCAGGCCCCCAAGTTCAGACCAACTTACTGAACTCACTGCCTCTGATCTTGCCACCCTGTCTCATCTCCAGTTCAGTTGGTCACATTGCAAAAGAATGCCATTGATTTTTTTCCATACAGATCTGATCTTATCACCTTTGTTTAAAACACTTCAAAGACCTTCAAGAAAAAAATTAAACTCTTTAACATGATTTTCAAGGCCCTTCATAATCAGATCTTGCTTTGACAGTGCTGTGTAATGATTAGACTTGAGCAAGACTGGCTGGGTTCAAATCTCAGCTTTAACACTTTTAGTAGCTGTGTAACTTTGAGCAAGTTAACCTCCCTGTACTTGAGTTTTCTCAGCTATAAAACGGAGTAATTACAATGCCTACCTTCCAGGGTTATTGTTTTTTTTTTGTTTGTTTTTTTCTTTACAGCGTCTCACTCTGTCACCCAGGCTGGAGTGCAGCGACTCACTCTCGGCTCACTGCAACCTCTGCCTACCAGGTTCAAGCGATTCTCCTGCCTTAGCCTCCCACGTAGCTGGGATTACAAGCACCCACCACTATGCCTGGCTAATTTTTGTATTTTCAGTAGAGTCAGGTTTCACCATGTTGGCCAGGCTGGTCTCGAACTCCTGACCTCAAGTGGTCCACCCACCTTGGCCTGCCAAAGTGCTGGGATTACAGGTCTGAGCCACCGCGTCCTGCCAATATTACCTTTTAGTAGTAGTATTCTCTCTTTAACTTTATCTCTTGCCTCTCTCTCTCTCCGTCCCCCCGTTTTTTAGCCACATCATTTTTTTTATTTCTACAGCATGCCATATTCTCTTATTTAACTGTAAAATTCAATGTCTTTTAGTATATTTACAGAATTGTACATTCATCACCACAATCAATTTTAGAACATTTTCATTACCCCAAAAAGAAGCCTCACACCCCTTAGCCTTAGGCAACCACTAATCTACTTTCTGTCTCCAAGGATTTGCCTATTCTGGACTTTTCATATACATGGAATCATACAATATGTGGTCTTTTGTGTCTGACTTCCTTCACTTGGCATAATATTTTCAAGGTTTATCCATGTTGTAGCATGGATCAGTGCTTCATCCTTTTTATGGCCGCACTATGTTCTCTTTCATTGCCCAGCCTTTGTACAGGGAATCCTTCTGTCAGTAATCCATTCCTTTTCTCCACCCCCCACTCACATGATTAAGTCTCATTCAAACTTGAGCCCTGTAGTTTAGATAGAATCAAAAGACTTCCTCCTGGAAGCCTTTGATGATCACCCTCTCCCATCCCCACCCCGCTTAGAACGGCTTAAGTAAGCTTCCTAGGTGCTCCCCCCAATATCCTGTACTTCCCCTATTGCTTGTTTATTTATCTGTCTTTCTCTTCGACTGCTGGCTGAACAACAACTGCAGCCATGTTTGTATACTGCTCATATCCAGTACTTAGCAGAGGATGTGGCAACCACTAGGCACTCAATTACTTTGCTGAATTATGAAACAGGAACAGGAGGAGCAGGGCCAGAACAGAAAAGAGGAGGCTCAATTGGTAGCAGGCCAATGGAGGTTTTCTGCTGCGCTACCAGACTAAACTTTCTAAAACACTGCTTTCTTCAAGACATGTCTTCAAGCTAGATACTGGGCCTGTTTCTCCTCTAAAAAATGTAGGGTCCACCTGAATAATCCCTATAATCCCTTTTCAGCCCCAACACTGATTGCTTACAAGTATATGTTTAATTAGTCCCATAATTATGAAGGAGAGCCAAGAGGATGCCAAGTGCATTAAAATACATTTCTCTCAAATTAATGCATAATAACACTGTACAAAATAGGACTTTTTTTCCCCTTAAAGTATTAGCAATATGGACTAACTGGGGTCAAATAAAAAAATATGATGTCTTACATGATAATAGTTAAGGAATACAGCTTCCATCCACTAGAAGCTTTTGAATCCTCTTTTAATCAGTTCTATCTTGACACTTGATTGAAATATTAGCAGTAGGTGCCTCTGCATTTATCAGCTTTTAAAGGCCTGAATTAATTTCCCTACACTGGCCTGGCTTTGTAAGATGGAATGGAAAGTAGAAGGCACCACTCCCTCTCAGAAAAGCACTTTCCAGCTCCATCAGCCAGGCCCAAGCTATTCTGAGCAAGCTTGCTGTTAATGAACATCACTGCAGTTCCTTCTAGATCTGGACTGCTCTCCATTAGAGCAGCCAGAACCAAAGATAGGCAGAAGCAAAAAAAAAGAAATAATTGCAACATACTCTATATATACCACTCTAGAGATTCAGTAATAATAACTCCCATTTATCAAACACTGTACTGACCCTTTATATCATCTCATATAATGTTCTTAACAATTCCATGGGGTATTATGATTATTATTTTCATTTTATAAATAAGGAAAGTGAGCCACAGAGAGGTTGAGCAATCACCCACAGTCATGTGACTAGTAAATGTTAGAGCCAGGATTTAAAAGTCTGTTCTGAATACAGAGGTGAAGCCTATATTGGTACAGTATACATGCCTCCCATTATTTAACAATTATTCACTTATATTTATTTCTCTCCCACTGTTCTATGAACTCCCTTTGGGTTTGTGCCACCAGCACCTAGCATAATGCTTGGCACATTGATTCATTCATCCCTTCAAAACAGATTTATCGAATGTATACCATGTGCTAACCACTGGTTATGAGCACCTGGGCATACAGGAGTGAACAAGGCAGTAAGATTCCCTGGCCTAGTAAAGCTTACAACCAGGTGAAAGAGACAGACAAGGCTGGGTGCAGTGGCTCGTGCCTGTAATCCTAACACTTCGGGAGGCGGAGATGGGGTGATTGCTTGCAGTCAGGAGTTCCAGATCAGCCTTGGGAACATGGTGAAACCCTGTCTCTACAAAAAGTACAAAAATTAGCCAGGTGTGGTGGCTCACACCTGTGGTCTCAACTACTTGGGAGGCTGAGGTAGGAGGATTGCTTGAGTCTGGGAGTTAAAGACTGTGGTGAGCCATGATTGTGGCACTGCACTCCAGCCTGGGTAACAGAGCAAGACCTGGTCGCTAAAAAAAGAGAGAGAAGAAAACAAATAAGAATTTCTATGAAGAAAATAAAGCAAAAAAAAATGGGATTAAGAGTAGCTTGGGGTTGGGGGCAGTGCTTTGTTAGGCTAAGGTGCTCAGGGGAAGGCTTCTGCAAGTAGGTGACAATTCATTTGAGCTGAGACCTAAACGATGAGAAACAGCCAACCATGAGAAAGCCAGAGGAAGCATGTTTCAGGCAGAGGTACTAGAAAGTACAAAAGTGGGAAAGGGTTTGGCAGGCTTAAGGATCAAAAAGAAGGCGAATGTGGGTGGGGCATAGGAAGTGAAGGGGCCTATTAGAGGTGTCAGATCTTATAGGGCCTTGTAGGCCATAGGCACCACCTATTATACTTACACCTAAAACTGGGACTGCTGCCCCCTACTGATTCGTAACAAGAGCCAGGGTGGGAGAAATACGTTTTTGAAGGGGGAGACTCAGAAGCAGGATGCCTGAGCTTTGGGAAGAAAAGCATGGGCCTTCCTTGCACCTGCTTCCTCTTCCCCCTGGGAATCCCTTCCTTTGTAGGTTACTCCCATTTTTTTTTTTTACCCTTCTTCTTCCTCCTCCTCCTCCTTCTCGTCCTCTTCTTTCTTTTCTTCCTCCCCGACCCCCACATCTCTAAAACAATTTAAGCTCACAAGCCATTTCCCATCAACTCCTCCTGGGACCATGAGACAGCCAATCTATGCCTTAAGCCTCTAATGCCAAAACTTTTGAGTCAGATAAGAGGAGGGAGCCGTGGTGATAGTGGCAGCAGCCATGTCGTCGCAGCTTGAGCTCAAGCTCAAAGTCTTCTTCTGTCCGACCCCTGAAGGGAGTCAGGCGATTTTGGCTTAGCTAATACAGCAGTCTGAAGAGCTGAGCTACCTAACTACTGTGACGAACAGAAAGGAAAACAAGCCTCAGAAAAAGCCAACACCAGAGAACAAGAATTACAAGCACGCATCGGCACCCACAGCAGACAGGCTGGGTGGAGGACTCCCAACTTAACATACGCACAGGTTTCGGAGCACAGCAGAATACCTTTGACTCTCCGGAAAGCTAGTTGCAACACTTCTTACTCCCTACTGCCCCACTGTGGAGAAATGCTTTGGGAAAACGCGACTTATTGTGGAGGAGCATTCACTGCCATACTCTTTTGACTTTGGACTCCTGGCAGTCTTCATTCCCTTATTCCTCCAGCATCTATCAAGCTCAGAGAAAGAGGCTTTTGACACACATACAACGACGTGGTCTTTACCTCTCCTTATTAAAATTTGAGGCCAATAAAATAAAAACATTGAGCTTAACCTTTTCCAAAAATGGTAAAAAGTTGCGCAGGAAAATAGGAGGAAGGAAATAATAAAGATAAAAGCAAAAATAAATAAATTAGAGGTTGTAAAAACAGTTGAATTAATAAATAAATTCAAGAGCTTGCTGCTTGAAAGGGCTAATAAAGTAGATAAAACTCTGGCAAATCTATGTAAGAAAAACACATACATAAAATTAGAAATGAGAAAGGGGATATAACAACCAGTATAAACAATATTTTTTAATTGTAAGAAAATGCTATGCACAATTGTATGCTAATACATTTTAAAAATATAGTGCAATAGATCCTTTTTGTCTACAAAAATATAAAATACTAAAATTCATACCACAACAAGTAGAAAAGCTGAATAAATTAATAACTGAAGAATAAATTCAGAAACTGTCACACAAAGTTCCTAAACCTAATGGTAAGTAATTTTAAACCTTCAAAGGAGAAAGCAGAAAAAGCATGTGCCTTTCACCCCACGAAACAAATATGGTCCTGATCCCAAAACGTGATAAACATAAAATAAAACATGAACACCGGAGACCAAATGTAAACTATATTATAGTTGATAGGTCCAAAAACTTTAGCCCCAATACAAGCAAACAGTTCAGCAAAGCTTGAAGGGAGCAAAACATCACAATCATAAAGAATTAATCCTCGGAAAGCAACAGTGGTTCAGCCTAAAGCAGTCTACTAGTATAATGTTAACCATAGGTTAAATCAGTTCTTCTCAACATTTTTGTGGCATACATAGAAAATGAGACTGGGTGCGGTGGCACACGCCTGCAATCCCCAGCAATTTGGGAGGCCGAGACGGGCAGATGGCTTGAGTCCAGGTGTTTGATACCTGCCTGGGCGACATGGTGAAACCCTGTCTATGCAAAAAATACGCAAATTAGCCGGGAGTAGCGGCTTGTGCCCATAGTCCTAGCTACTCAGGGGGACTAAGGTGGGAGGATCACTTAAGCCCAGGACGTCGAGGCTGCAGTGAGCCTCGACTCTGCCATTGCACTCCAGCCTGGGAGACAGACTGAGATCCTGCCTCAAGAGAAAAAAAAAAAAGAAAGAAAATAAAAATATTTGTAAGGGCCACTGAGGTATGCAAACGAGGCTGTTCTTAGCTGGAGGTGGAGAGAAGGGTTTCTGGCTGTCCCAAGCCCACTGGCCACCCTAATAGTTGAGGGGATGGATATATTGGCAGATCTATAACCAGGTATGCTATTCACAGTGTTTACCAAGTGGCAAAGCACAGGGATGGACCAATTAGAAAAGACGCTGGGCAGCAGCATTACATCAGGGTCCTGATGGTCTCTTGCTGTGCCAGGTGTTATCGCTTTAGTTGGTGGATTCTGGGAGTGTGTCCCAGGGAATAGCTGGGTCAGTGAGAGGGTACTCAGTGTGCTCAGGGCAATAGTGATTTACTATGGAAGTGTTTCAATATTTTAAGGGTCTAGCTGTCCTGGTGTGTACCTGCTGAATATCAGCATTGCCTGCAACTCCGACTCAATCTGTCATTGGCATCAGTTAGGAAGCTCTGAGTTAAACTGCATTCTGTCTGTTTTAGCATCTGCCATGCTGTATTGTCATGGTTGCCATCTTGTCCTTATTTTGACTAGCCTGTGACACTATTCATCCTCTTCTCTCCAGCACTCTCACACAGTATCTGACGCATTGTAGAAGCTTAATAAGTGTTTGCCCGATGTATCAAGAATCATTTCCAAGAGATATCCAAAAGAGCATATGATAACATTGAAAACACATTCTGTAAAATTAGGAATGGAAGGATAAGCATGATAAGGATATCCATGAAAATAATAAGGATAACATGATTAAGAACATTGATTTAAAACACAAGGCAAAATTATATGTAACTAAAGAAATATTAATGACCAGTCTTGGTGGCTCACACCTAGCATTTTGGGATGCCAAGGTAGGAGGATCACTTGAACTCAGGAGTTCAAGACCAGCATGGGCAACATTGTGAAACCTCATCTCTCAAAAAAAAAAAATAGCTGGGCATGGCGGTGCATGCTTGAAGTCCCAGCTACTCAGGAGGCTGAGGTGGGAGGATCGCCTGAGCCCAGGTCAAGGCTGCAGTGAGCCATGTTCCCACCATTGCACTCCAGCTTGGGCAACAGAGTGAGACCCTGTATCAAAAAAGGAAGGAAAGAAAGAAAGAGAAAGAGAGAGAAAGAGAAAGAAAGAAAGAAAGGCCGGGTGTGGTGGCTCATGCCTGTAATCCCAGCACTTTGGGAGGCCGAGGCAGGCAGATCACGAGGTCAGGAGTTCAAGACCAGCCTGACCAACATAGTGAAACCCCGTCTTTACTAAAAATACAAAAATTAGCCGGGCCTGGTGGTGTGCATCTGTAACCCCAGCTACTCAGGAGACTGAGGCAGGAGAATCGCTTGAACCCGGGAAGTAGAGGTTGCAGTGAGCCGAGATTGCACCACTGCACTCCAGAGTGAGACTCCATCTCAAACAAAAAAAAAAAGAAAGAAAGAAAGAAAGAAAAACATCTCTTTCTTTAAAAAAGGAAGCAAAATAGACATCTTCTATCATTTTTAATATCATTTTGAACTTCTGGTCAATTCAATAAGATATGAAAAAGAAATAAGATATAAGTATTAAATAAATTGCCATAGAAAATATAAAAAAATTTAAGAATGAATGTTTCAAGAGAGGTATATTATCCATATAAAGAAAACTACAAAACTGTTGGAAGATGTTAACAAAAAGCCTCCACTCTCACCCATATATGTGTGTTTTGATAACTATTGATATAGTGTGTGATTTTCTGAAATCCTTGTCAAATTATAACTGTAGGGAAAGGCCACACTCATGTGGATGAAGCATGGATGGAGTCTCCCTGGAAAACAGTAATTATTCCAGATTATCAATCATTTGAGCAAAAAAGACAGGTTCTTAAGTTGGCAAGAAATGAATTGCTTGTCTTTCTCTAAGTCTAGCTATCTTGGATTCAGACATTGGGGGATTCGTAAATTCTCACCTTATGCTCCTGGGTGGTGGTGGGTTGCTAAGATGATATCCACCTGATGGAAATAGGTAGAGACCTAGATGAGATGGGGTTCTGAAAAGCAAGCCTTATGTTATAAAGGACAGTTACCTGGTTTCATATTTTTCTCTGTGTTTATTTATTTACTGTTATTCCCTAGTCTCTAGAACAATATTGTCCAATGTTTCAGCCTTACCTCAACTATACTAAAAGGTACTCAGGAAAGGTTACTGTGTCTACATTTAGGCCAAAGTGCTGAATGGAAGGTGGGACCTCTTTCTTCACTGGTAGGCATAAGTGGGGTTGTCAGTAACTATTGATAATTGAGTGCCTGAGCCAGGTACAGCACTGCTTTACACACATTATCTCATTCAACCCTCTCAACAACCTGGTGAGGTAGGCAATTTTATTTCTCACCCCCACTTATAAGTGAGAAACTTGAAGCTAAAAGAGGTGTACTGGTTTATCCCACATTACACAGCAAGGAAAATGGCAGAAGTTGAATAGAAATGCAGCTCTGTCCAACTCCAAACCCCATGCTCTTAACCACTAGCTATTCCAAGAGACCCCAGGGGGAGAAAATTCTAGGGTACAGGAGTTAAGGGTTCTAGATTTAATTTACTTACCAAAGGTAGAAGTTTTATTTTCAGGAGATATAAAAGATACATTCAATAAATAAAATTCATGCCATGTTCATAGATGGAATGCTAAATATTAAAGATATCCATTTTCCTTGAGTCAACTTATCATTTTTTCAGCACCATCTCCCAGGGTAAAAATAACTCCAGAGATGCAGAAAATCTAGGTTTCTTATGAAAAGAAAATTCTTAGGTAATTATTATTATTATTATACTTTAAGTTCTGGGGTACATGTGCAGAACATGCAGTTTTGTTACATAGGTATACATGTGCCATGGTGGTTTGCTGCACCCACCAACCCATCATCTACATTACATATTTCTTCTAATGCTATCCCTCCCCTAGCCCCCAACCCCTTGACAGATCCCAGTGTGTGATGTTCCCCTCCCTATGTCCATGTGTTCTCATTGTTTAACTCCCACTTATGAGTATGAACATGTAGTGTTTGGTTTCCTGTTCTTGTGATAGTTTGCTGAGAGTGATGGTTTCCAGCTTCATCCATGTCCTTGCAAAGGATATGAAGTCATCCTTTTTTATGGCTGCATAGTATTCCATGGTGTATATGTGCCACATTTTCTTTATCCAGTCTATTATTATTAATATTATTATTTTACTTGGCACTCTTAAAAGGGACACTTCAAAGTACAGTGGGGATGCTGTCTTCTCTAAACTCTGCCCAAAACATAGACAGTTGCAAAGCTCTAGTTTCTCCCCTGATAACTTCCTGCCAGAGCTCATCAGAATATAGCAAGATCCCTGTACTTGGCTCAGTTAGGCCCTGTCACTCATATCTCAGCTCTCTTCTCCTTAAGAGACAAGAATGTAGTCCAAAGGCCTTGGTAAGTTTTGATTCTGCTTTCTCCATCTTTTCTCAAGGCTTTCTCTTCTCAGGATGAATTTTCTCCTTTTTCTAATCACTTTTAATATTCCTACCTTTTTTATTTGCTTTATAAGCCTGTCATTTTTTGCTGATGGAGGTCACTGAAACTGACTAAATCACCCCAAGACAGTCATTACCCCCGTACACACTGGGCTTCTGCGAGATTGGAGGGGGTTCACAAATAAAATACAGAGCATTAAAAGCATGGGCTAGCCGAGTGATCATGGATTTAGTCCTGGAATTGGCTCAGGAATATATAGATTCAACCATTCTCCACTGGATAACTTGAAAAAAAAGCAAAATTAGCCCTCACTCATGGAGGAACCCCAAACAGTTTAAAGCACCTCATATTACAAAATAAATCCACATACACTAAACAGGGAATAATAAGAACTACAACAAAAGAAAAATTTTAGCCTTGGGATGATGTCAAAATCCTGCTTTAGCTCTTTTTACATGGCTTCTAAAAGACTGTGTAATGTAATGGTTAAGAGCATGGACTTGAGTCCGGGCTCTGCCACTTAACTAACTGGGTAACTGGAAAAATTACTTCACTATACCTTGGCTTTCTTATTTGTAAAATCGGGTAATAATAGTAACTATATCATAGAGTTGCTGTGAAGATTAAATAAGATAATATGTATAAGATGGTGGATACACTGTTAACAATGATTGCTTGTCAAACCCAGCCTCCCCTATCAGAAACCCTATGGTTGCTTCTTCTTTCATGCTTTCCTGCACTGATTCAATTGCTTGTCCTTTTGTCATAGGCAGCTTCACTGCTGATTCCCTCCCTCCTTTCCTTCTTTTTTGACTCTTCTTATAGCCTCTTTAAACTTCCCCTCCCTGCAAAATGCCCTTTCACAAGCTGCTGTTAAAGCACCAGTGTTGTCTCAGTGCTTTTCCCCATCCCAAGATCCAAGATTGCTTTCTCTTCCAGGAGCTCCAGCCTTATTAATGAAAAATAGCCAAATCCAGGGCACAGGGAGTGTGCTGCAGAGATTTTCAGATGTAAAATAACAGCTGTTCTACCACAACTGTTGTTTTTGAGAAATTCAAACTGTTCAGACTAGACTCATGCCAAAAGGAATTCTTTCAGACCACTGAATATGCCCTAATTAATTTCTAGACTAGGTCTAACTTCATCAGTGATCTGGGGGTTTAGGAAATCTTCATTTATCTTACTTTGTACTTCTTTGCTGTCTTCTCCCAACCTTCCTATGTCCTCATACCAGCTATCACTACATAAGGATGCCATCTGTTCTTCAAATCCCTTCCATAAAGACTTCTAATATTTACCTTCAGATTTTGTCCTTTGTTTTCAACTACTCCCAAGTCTCTAAGCAGTTAAAAATAGCCAATAAAGACTTTCAGACTAAAGGACTAAATCAATATCAAAAACAGTTAGGGAAAATATATATCAAGCAGTTCAGGTTAAACAAGTTCCATAAACTTAATACAACCTTCACAATATTGCCTAGGTCAATGAGCATGAGATCACAAACTCTTCTAAGGCCAAACAAGAAACCCATTCCTCTCAAAATAGATTCATGGGTACAGCTACAATACAGGTACAGGGGCTGCATATTTCAATGACACTTCTATGTTCACATTACATTCTGAATACTACCCAATATCATTACAAGTCATTCCCAGCCATCACTGGCAAAACTTCAGAATCAGATCCAAATAAAACAAGCAGAAAGCACACTAAATTATGGACAAGCAATCCTCTAGCATTTTCCAGTAAAATCTGCTGCATCCTGTGAAGATGATTAGACTATGAGTTTCAAGATAGCAAGGATTTTTGTCTGTTTTGTTCACTGTTGTGCTCCTAGGACCTAGCACCCATAGGAGGCATTCAACAAATATTTGTTGAGTGAAAGAATGACAGCCTCCTCAATTTTACACTCTGGGGTGCTGTATCTTCCCCTGCCACTAACTACCACAGAAATTAAAATAAAATATTCTTTCTGGCCGGGCGCGGTGGCTCACACCTGTAATCCCAGCACTTTGGGAGGCCGAAGTGGGCAGATCACCTGAGGTCAGGAGTCCAAGACCATCCTGGTCAACGTGTTGAAACCTTGTCTTTACTAAAAATACAAAAAAATTAGCCAGGTGTGGTGACAGGCGCCAGTAATCCCAGCTACTTGGGAGGCTGAGGCAAGAGAATTGCTTAAACCCGGGAGACGGAGGTTTCAGTGAGCCGAGATCGCACCATTGCATTCTAGCCTGGGCAACAAGAGTGAAACTCCATCTCAAAAAAAATGAAAAATAAAAATAAAAATTGAGAATTGGTCTGGGCACAGTGGCTTATGCCTGTAATCCCAGCACTTTGGGAGGCAGAGGTGGGCTGACCACCTGAGGTCATGAGTTTGAGACCAGCCTGGCCAACATGGTGAAAGCCTGTCTCTACTAAAAATACAAAAATTAGCCAGGCACGGTGGCACATACCGATAGTCCCAGCTACTTAGGAGGCTGAGGCAGGAGAATCCCTTGAACCCAGGAGGTGGAGATTGCAGTGAGCCAAGATTGTGCCATTGCACTCCAGCCTGATCAACAAGAGTGAAACTTTGTTTCAAGAAAAAAATTGAGAATTAAAAGACAGAAACAAAGAGAATCCATACGCATTATGTCTTTGAAAAGGTGATGTATTTCAGGAAAATTTATTTACTTATTTATTTATTTATTTGAGACAGGGTCATGCTCTGTCCCCCAGGCTGGAGTGCAGTGGCACCATCATAGTTCACTGCAGCCTCAACCTCCTAGGCTCAGGCTATCCTCCCACCTCAGCCTCCTGAGTAGATAAGACCACAGGTGCATGCCACCATGTCCAGCTAGTTTTTGTGACTTTTTTTTTTTTGGTAGAGATTGAGTGTCACTATGTTGCCCAGGTTAGTCTCAAAATCCTAGGCTCAAGCAATCCTCCCATCTTGGCCTCCCAAAGTGCTGGAATTATAGGTATGATCCACTGCACCCAGCCCAGGAAAAGAAATTTCAAAGGACATGATTAACTGTTATCCTTTTGTTTTGTTTTGTTCTGTTTTTTAAGATACGGGGTCTCACTCTGTTCCCCAGGCTTGTCTTTAACTCCTGGGCTCAAGCAATCTTCCTGCCTTAGCCTCCCCAAGTAGCTGGGATCACAGGCATGAGCCACCACACCTAGGCTGATTAGCTATTTTAATTACACTATTGACATAAGCAAACCTCTGTATAATAAAATCTAAAATCCTTGTAATGGCCTACAAAGATCTGTATAATTTGGTTTCCTGGTTCCTCTGAGCTTGTCTCCTTCTCTACTCACTCTGCTGCAACCATGCTGACCTCCTTGCTGTTCCATGAATATCTCATGCAAGCTCCTTCTTCTGGGCCTTTGCACTTGCTATTTTCCTCTGCCCCAAATGCTCTTCATCCAGGTAGCTACATGCTCAAATGTTCCTTACCAGCCTGTTTGCAATAGCAACACCTCCACCCAGTACTCCCTGACCTCATTTTGACAACTATTTTTCTTGAACTATAGCATCTATCGTCATCTAACCTACCATAAATTTACTTGTTTATTTATTTTTTATATGTTGACCTTACTAGAATTTAAGCACAATAAAGGCAGGAAATTTTTTTTTAATTGCCATATGCCTGGGACCTGAAACTGAACCTGGCATGAGCTCAATAGATATTTGCTGAGTTAATGAATGAACAAAAAGGCTGAAATAAGTGGGAAACTCTACCTTAGGAAAAAATTGCATCAACTATGATAGGCAAAGGTTTAATGGCTATTCTGTATAAAGAGTTTATTTGAATTTATTTTTAAAATGTCATCAAGACTAGGCTCATAGTAGACATTCAAGACAAATTTGTTCAATGAATGAATGAACAAATAAATGAGCATATAAATGGATAAAGGACATGAACAGTCAATTCATATGAGAAAATAAAAATAGGAAGCAAACATATGGGCAGGTATTCAACTAAAACAAGATTAAGGCAATAATAAGGTATTTATTAAATTAGCAATTTAAAATACTTAATGAAGAAGTTTCAATTCAACTAATAGCAATATAAATTCATAGAACTCTTTAAAAAATATATGTCAGTATGCTTCTGCTTAGAAGTAACAGGATGCCCAATTTAAATTGACTCAAACAAAGGGGATTTATTGAATCATACAACTAAGGGCTTAGGGTAAGGAGGATTCAAGGCACAATTTAATCCTGGTTCTAGCTCTGTTTCTTTGTAACTCCTTCAGCTCTGCCTGCCTCTTTGTGTTTGCTTCATCCTCACATTGCCACCCTCATTGTTGCAAAAGGGCTGCTAAAGCAACTTTTCTCTTCCTTTTGAACATCCTGGGGAGAAGATTATGCTGCCTTCTAAAACCAGGAAAGAAGCTCTGGGCTCCACACTGACAGGGCCACCACTGAACCAATTTCTTTGGCCAGGGGAATACTATATGCTGAACAGCTTAAGCCTGGGTTACCTCAACAAAATACTATGGCAAAGGAATGGATTGCCCAGATTTGCTAAGACTAATGAGGGCTCATGATTGGAGGTGGTGGTGGTGGAGGAATCAATTCCACCCGTCAAATGGCTGTGATATGGTTTGGCTGTGTCCCCACCTAAATCTCATCTTGAATTGTAGCTCCCATAATTCCCACAAGTTTTGGGAGGGACCGGATGGGAGAAGATAATTAAATCATGGGGGCAGTTTCTCCCATAATATTCTCGTGGTAGTGAGTAAGTCTCACAAGATCTGATAGTTTTATAAAGGGTTTCCCCCTTTCACTTGGCTTTCATTCTCTCTTGCCTGCCACCATGTAAGATGTGACTTTGCTTCTCATTTGCCTTCTGCCATGATTGCGAGGCCTCCCCAGCCATGTGGAACTGTGAGTCCATTAAACTTCTTTCCTTTATAAATTACCCAGTCTCGGGTATATCTTTATTAACAATGTGAGAATGGACTAATACAGGCTGCTTGGGAGATATGTCCACTGCAGCAATTTGGATGTACCTATCAAGAGCCTTTAACCTAGTAATTACACTCTGAGAATTTATCCTAAGGAACAGATTCAAATGAAGTAAAGCTACATGCGTCAATATTTACTTTATCTCTGCATTATATGAATAATTTTATTACCTGTAACAATAAATACTGTAAAAACTTAAATGCACAAATACTGAGAAATATTTTTAAAGTATGTTATGTAAATCAATATTCCATGGATTATGATGTAACTATTAAGAATAATAATTATAGAAATATATAATGACATGAGGATACATATTACATTTTATATTATGATATAAAATAATCATAATATAATCTGTAATCACATAAAATTCTGGTATACTAATCCTGGAATGGAACTTGAAGAGATGAAAACTGTCATATTTAGGTAGGGGAATTAAGGGTCATTTTTTACAGTATTTACAATAAATTTTAAAATCAAAGGGTTACAATCCAAAGACAACTGAGAAATTTCTGAGAAGTATGTGTGCTCTAAGAATAAAATCAAATTCTCAGGGCCAGGTGCAGTGGCTCACGCCTGTAATCCCAGCACTTTGGGAGGCCGATGTGGGAAGATCACTTGAGGTCCAGGAGTTCGAGATAAGCCTGGCCAAAATGTTAAAACCTTGTCTCTATTAAAAAAAAAAATTAGATTCTAGGCTAAGCCAATAGTTCCATAAAGCCCTGGGCAAAGCTGGCCTTCAACATGCCTGCCTCTCATCATCACCAAAGCTTCCATTTCCTTTTTGGTTTCCTCTTCCCACTTTAGCATCTCCTCCACTGATATCCATGTATATTAGAACCTCCAGTCGTTATGAGAAAGATCTTAGAAATTCACTTACACTGAACTTCCTTAGTAACAGGACTTAGAGAGAGAAGTCATGCAGGGGTGGCAAATTTTAACCCAAATAAATAAATAGATCTGAATGGATACTTTGAGCCAGTTCAACCTCAGGGCTGGAAAAGGAGAGGCCATTTTGGAAACGGAAGAGAAGAGACAGTATCTGTCATCTGTCTACTAATATCTAAAAATGTATTTAATTACTAAATTCAAAGCATTGTGAGAGATATAAATATGAGTAGAAATTACAGACTAAAAAAAGGTAAGCCATGTACACAAACAACTATAATAAAATGATGAAAATATGTACCATGAATGGGATTAAATGATATAGAAAATCAAAAACAGAATATTAATTTTAGCTGGTGATATTAGGAGAGGCTTCATGAAGAAGGTGATAGTACTTCTAGAGCGTGAAAGATAGGAAAGGTTTTAGTATGCATAGAAAGGGAAACAGGATTCCAGGCAGGGGCAACTGCATGGAAAATTCACTGAGGTGTATATAAGAATAGCAAGTACTAAATTTCAGAAAATCTAAGACATCCATGATTATAAGACACATTGCTACTTTATGTAACACTAAGAAAAGATATAGACTGCCAATTAAACAATAACTCAATGCTTTCTATTCACTCAAAATTTTTATTCTATATTTGTTGAAAGAGTTATTTTAGACTTTAGACATAGACAAAGCAAAATAAAATTATTATGATATTTCTAAAACTTCTTTTCATTAAGTCCAGCTTTCTTGAGTCTTTTTGACTCATAGCCATTGAGTTCTGTGATTTTCCACATGGTATCATCCTCTGTGCCGTCAAGAGCATTGAGGGTGCTAAAGGAATGCTTCACTATTTTCTCTAGGATTATCTTCCAAGCTGTTCGGACTTATTCTGCAAATCTGGATGTTAGTGCTTTCTTGATCTTACCAGAATGTCCCAGAGGATATTTGGATTAAGTTTACTCATGTGCACATGACGACTACATCATGAATGCAGCAAGGCTGACAGTGATTGTAAGACTCATCCCAATTTCAAAGATGTAAGGAAAATATGCATTTTGAGAATCAATGAAATATGGAAGTTTAAGTAGTTTAAAATTCTTTATATATGATGTATGAAAGAAAGCAGTTACTCCTCTCCAGATTATCTTACCCAGAGTAAGTACCCTGAAAACATTGCTCTGGTTATATGACTCTTCAGCTCAACAACTGTCAATAGCTCCTCTTTGCTCCTAGAGTAAAGGCCAACCTCTTGAAGCCTGCATTTAAAGCCCTCCATAATCTAACCACAACCTATCTTACCTGTCTTATTTTCCACTAGTCATTCCTTGAACATATAAATAGGAGACTGGTTAAAAAGCTGTCATAATAAATGTCAGGGGCCTGGGGAAAGAAAGGAAAAGGGGGACAGTTGAAAATGTTTTATTTATTTTTAAAAAAAGAAGTTTGAAAGGAAATAAACAGATTTGAAAAAGAAGCACATAGAGCATATAGAAATGAAAAACACAATAGAATCAAAACTAAAACATAATTGGTAGATTAGCCAATAGATTATTCAAAGGAACTGGGAACTTGGGCCTGAGTGATGGACATCCAGGATTTATGGCATTTCCGGTAGAGAAGATAGCTACAGCAGCACTGTGATCAGGATACTAAGCCTTGGCCAGTGCAAGTAGAAAAGTTTGAGCCTGGAATTCTTTAACTGAGCTGAGATCCAATGGGCTGAATTGTTCTGGGAGAATAGTGCCCAATGACCACATGCAGAAGGATAATCATATCTACTCCAAACTTTCCCAAATTTAGAACCATGGGACCCCCACAGTTTAATATCAATCAATGAGCTCACAATTAAAATTACACAAGAAGGTAAGACATTATAAGAGAGGGTCAACTAGGAACAAGGAAATACAAAAGAGTTCTAGCTACCTAAGAAAAAAGATACTGAAATTGTTAGATACAGATTATAGAACAAAGGATAATAAAAAGCTGAACAAGCAATAAGGTACTATTAGGAATAAACAGGTAGATTTTGGAAAAATAGAATTTCTTAAAATCAAAACTAAATTAAAAAAAAAAAAAACTCAGGAGTTCGACACCAGCCTGGGCAACATAGAGAGAGCCTGTCTCTACAAAAATAAATAACTAAATAAAAACTTATTAGAATAGGTGCTTTGATGGTCTTTCTGAGGTGCAAGAAGTGGTGAGTATATGAAATGGCAATCACATGTAAACCTAAATAAATACTAGTTGTATAAAATAAAAATAATAATGATGTCTAATTTGTGGGGTTATAAAAAGGACAGAAATAAAATATGGGGCAAAAATAGCATGCAAGTCAGAAAAAAGAAGGTGATTGGATTTAAAGCACTCTAAAGCCCTTGTATTGTTTAGAAAAAAATTATACGTATTCACATAAGACTAATATGCATAGTAAAATTTCAAGGGTAATCTGTATAAATTCTAAACCCACAGAGAGAAAAACAGGAAATAGGAAAAAAACCAAAGAACAATAACCCAAAAGTTTACAATAAAAAAGACACAAAGAGAAAGTGAGATGAGGCTGGGCGTGGTGGTTCACACCCGTAATCCCAGCACTTTGGGAGGCCGAGGCGGGCAGATCACGAGGTCAGGAGATCGAGACCGTCTTGGCTAACACGGTGAGACCCCGTCTCTACTAAAAATACAAAAATTAGCTGGGCATGGTTGCAAGCGCCTGTAGTCCCAGCTACTCAGGAGACTGAGGCAGGAGAATGGCCTGAACCCAGAAGGCGGAGCTTGCAATGAGCCGAGATCTCACCACTGTACTCCAGCCTGGGCAACAGAGCAAGACTCCGTCTCAAAAAAAAAAAAAAAAGAAAAGAAAGTGAGATGAGCAGAAAGTAAAAGGTAAGATAGAAGAGACAAATCTAAAGATATTATCACAGTAAATATAAACTAAACTATCTAAAAGACAGATTGTCAGGGAGGATTTATAAACAAAAGCTAGCTATATGCTATTTACAAGAGACCAAAGAGTTGAAAGTAAAAGGATAGAAAAGTATATACCAGCTAAGAAGCAGTGAATTCATATTAAAATACACTTTAAGACAAAAAGCATCCTCGGAGTCTTTATATAACGAGAAAATGTTTAATTCACCAGGAAGATATAACTTTCCTAACTTGCATGCATGTAAAACAGTGACCTCAAGCTATATAAAGCAAAAATTATAGAACCAAAAGGAGGAGTTTACAAATTCAACAAAAATTATAAAACGATGGCAAGGAATTTATACATTCAACAAAATAATGGAATATTTTAACATACTTGTTTCAATTGATAAGACAAGCAGAAAGAAAATCAGTAAAGGTACATGCAATGATCCAAAATCCAGTTGTTGGAACTTAAACCCCAACATGATGGTATTAAGAACTGGGGTCTTTGGGAAGTGATTAGGCCTTGAGGGCTCCACTCTCATGAATGGGATTAATGTCCTTATCAAAAGAAGTTTTAGAGAGCTGCCTGGACCTTCCATTTCTTCTGCCATGACAGGACTCAGCATTCATCCCTTTTGCCCTTCTGCATGTGAGGATGCAGCAAGAAGGTACCATCTTGTAAGCAGAGAACAGCTTTCACTAGACACCAGTTCTGCCCATACCTTGATCCTGGACTTCTCAGCTTCCAGGACTGTGAGCAAGAAATTTCTGCTTATAAATTACCCAGTTTAAGGTATTTTGTTATAGCAGCAGAAATGGACTACGACAGTGTAGAAGAATATGCTATGACTAAATGTGTTTATCCCAGAAATGCAAGTTTAGTTCAATATTAGAAAAATCTATAAATGTCATTCACCACATTAACAGATTAGATGAGAAAAACATGATTATGTCAATAATGGAACTTCCTTAATGTAATAAAGGGTAACTACAAAACACCTGCAACAAATATTCCTAATGGGAAAGTTTTAGAAGCATTCCCTTTAAAATCATCAGGGGGAAAAAAACTGTTATCACTTTTTCTCAGCATGTACTGAAGGTCCTAGCTAGCACAGTAATTTCAGAAATTTAAGTTATAAAGATTAGAAGTAAATAAATAAAATTGTCATTATTCAAAGATATGATTATCGGCCAGGCACAGTGGCTTACGCCTGTAAACATAACACTTTGGGAGGCCGAGGTGGGTGGATCACTCGAGCCTAGGAATTGGAGACCAGACTGGGCAATGTGGCAAAACCCTATCTCTACAAAAGTACAAAAAATATTAGCCGGGCATGTGGTGCATGCTTGTAGTCCCAGCTACTCAGGAGGCTGGGGTGGGAGGATCACCTGAGCCCAGGGAGGTTTAGGCTGCAATGAATCATGATTGTGCCATTGCACTCCAGCCTGGGTGACAGAGCGAGACCCTGTCTCAAAATTTTTTTAAATTTTTACGATTATCTACATAGAACATGCAAAATGGTGGGTACACAATTATTCCTTTTATTAGTTTAAAAATTAAATATACACATGTTAATATATAGTACATTACTGTTTTTTGTGTTTATACAACATGTATTGTTGTATTATGTATAAATACAACATAAATTGAATATATGCATGCTACATACTCTTGTATCTTATATGTATATAAAACAATTAAAAATCATATAACAGGGTTAAAATTTTATTAAAAATTGCTTGGGGAGGGAAGCAAGTGGGACCAGAAAGTGCTGACCGTCAAAATAGGAAGAGTTGAGAGACTAAAAGTAAAGTGAACATACGTCCTGATATTCCTAATACAGTCCCAGTTTATTTTTATTTTCTTAGTGTAATTGTTAGTATAACCTGCCTCTCGCCTTCAAAAGTATTCCAGTTTAAGGGAAAAAATTATATTTCCTCCTAAGTATAATAGAAGTCATGGTAAGGAAGAAGAACAGAAGTAAGGGAATGAGAGAGGTTAAAGGGTAAGGGGTTCTGGTAAAAATGTGAGATCTTAAAGATAGAAAAGCTCTTTTTTTTTGAGGCAGGGTCTTGCTTTGTTGCCCAGGCTGGAGTGTGGTGGTGCAGTCTCGGCTCACTGCACCCTTCACGTCCCAGGCTCAAGCAATCCTCTCGCCTCAGCCTCCTGAGTAGCTGGGGCCACAGGTGCACATCACCACGCCTGGCTAATTTAAAAATTTTTTAAAATAGAGACAGGGGTCTCACTTTGTTGCCCAGGCTGGTCTCAAACTCCTGGGTTCAAGTGATCCTCTTGCTTTGGCCTCCCAAAGTGCCAGAATTACAGGCGTGAGCCACTGTGCCTGGCCAAGGTGGAAAAACTCTAGAGAGATGGCCAGAACTGGGCATGAAGTATAGTGTATGAGTAAATATAACGAGTAGGAAATAAAGATCATCAAGAGGAGAACAAGTAACAGTGAGCCCATCCTGTTGTAAGAGTTAGCTGTGTTAAATGTTAAAATCCCCAAAGACAAGGTACGCAGTGAAAAAGAAAATTGGGATTCTGTGCTAATATCATTAATCAATGTATCCCAGGGGATTATAGATAACAGCTACAAAATGGGAAGAGTATGGTATAAGTGGATGGTGTGGACTTCAAAAGAGGAAGGGCTCATGAGAGACAGTGGAAAGCATGCCAAATAAGAGCAAAAAGGAAGTCAACCCCAAATCCTTGCTCTGAGTTTAGAGGCGAGAGAAAAAGTGGTTTCTATTTTGAGAGTTGCAAGAGAAGGCCAGATTTTAATTATGACAGTGAAGACTCCAGGAAAACATTCATTATTAAGGGAAGTTTGTTCACAAAAGAATAGAGGTTCCAGGAAGGCAGATATCTTTTCAACATACCAATTTCCTTTTCTTTGGATAGATAGCCACAAGTGGGATTGTTAGATCCTACGTTAATTCTATTTTTTAGTTTTTTGAGAAACCTCCATACTGTTTTTCATAATGGCTGCACTAATTTACATTTCCACTGACAGTGTATGAGAGTTCCTTTTTCTCTGCATCCTCACCAGCATTTGTTATTTTTTGTCTTTTTGATAATAGCTATTCTAACTGGGGTGAGAGGATATCTAATTGTGATTTTGATTCGCATTTCCCTGATTATTAGTGGTGTTGAACATTTTTTTATATACATCTTGGCCATTTGTATGTCTTCTTTTGAGAAATGTCTATTCGGATCCTTTGCCCATCTTTTAATTGAATTATTTGTGTTTTGTTTTGTTTTTGTTTTTGTGTTTTTTGTTTGTTTGTTTGCTGTTGAGTTGTGTTCCATGTATATTCTGAATATATTAGTCTCTTGTCAGACGAGTTTGCAAATATTTTCTCCCATTCTGCAGGTTATCGCTTCACTATGTTAATTCTTTTGCTGTGCAGAGCTTTTAAGTTTGATATAGTCCCACTTGTCTCTTTTTGTTTTTGTTGCCTGTGTTTTTGAAGTCCTAACCATAAAATTTTTTTCTTGACCAGTGTTCTGGACTGTTTTCCCCTATGTTTTTTCCTAGCAGTTTTATAGTTTTAGGTTTTACACGTAGGTCTTTAATCCAATTTGAGTTAATTATTTTTAAATTTGAATACTTTTATTATGTTGTTGACAGAATAAATATCTGTATAACAAGTTCTGTCGTAGAAAATTATATTAAAGGAATTGTGATTAGGCTTGTCATTTCCCCAGTGTATGTACAAATGAGTTTATTTATAGCTAGATTTTACCATATTCTTTTTTTTAAAATTATACTGTAAGTTTTAGGGTACATGTGCACAACATGCAGGTTTGTTACATACGTATACATGTGCATTGTTGGTGTGCTGCACCCATTAACTCGTCATTTAACATTAGGTATAACTCCTAATGCTATCCCTCCCCCCTCCCCCCACCCCACAACAGGCCCCAGTGTGTGATATTCCCCTTCCTGTGTCCATGTGTTCTCATTGTTCAATTCCCATCTATGAGTGAGAACATGTGGTGTTTAGTTTTTTGTCCTTGTGATAGTTTGCTGAGAATGATGGTTTCCAGCTTCATCCATGTCCCTACAAAGGACATGAACTGATCATTTTTTATGGCTGCATACTATTCCACGGTGTATATGTGCCACATTTTCTTAATCCAGTCTATCATTGGTGGACATTTGGGTTGGTTCCAAGTCTTTCCTATTGTGAATAGTCCCGCAATAAACATCCGTGTGCATGTGTCTTTATACCAGTATATTTTATAATCCTTTGGGTATATACCCAGTAATGGGATGGCTGGGTCAAATGGTATTTCTAGTTCTAGATCCCTGAGGAATAGCCACACTGACTTCCACAATGGTTGAACTAGTTTACAGTCCCACCAACAGTGTAAAAGTGTTCCTATTTCTCCACACCCAGTCCAGCACCTGTTTTTTCCTGACTTTTTAATGATTGCCATTCTAACTGGTGTGAGATGGTATCTCATTGTGGTTTTGATTTGCATTTCTCTGATGGCGAGTGATGATGAGCATTTTTTCATGTGCCTTTTGGCTGCATAAATGTCTTCTTTTGAGAAGTGTCTGTTCATATCCTTTGCCCACTTTTTGATGGGGTTGTTTTTTTTTTCTTGTAAATTTGTTTGAGTTCATTGTAGATTCTGGATATAAGCCCTTTGTCAGATGGGTAGATTGCAAAAATTTTCTCCCATTCTGTAGGTTGCCTGTTCACTCTGATGGTAGTTTTTTTTTGCTGTGCAGAAGCGCTTTACTTTAATTAGATCCCATTTGTCAATTTTGGCTTTTGTTGCCATTGCTTTTGGTGCTTTAGACATGAAGTCCTTGCCCGTGCCTATGTCCTGAATGGTATTGCCTAGGTTTTCTTCTAGGGTTTTTATGGTTTTAGGTCTAACATTTAAGTCTTTAATCCATCTTGAATTAATTTTTGTATAAGGTGTAAGGAAGGGATTCAGTTTCAGCTTTCTACATATGGCTAGCCAGTTTTCCCAGCACCATTTATTAAATAGGGAATCCTTTCCCCCCATTGCTTGTTTTTGTCAGGTTTGTCAAAGATCAGATAGTTGTAAATATGCGGCATTATTTCTGAGGGCTCTGTTCTGTTCCATTGGTCTATATCTCTGTTTTAGTACCAGTACCATGCTGTTTTGGTTACTGTAGCTTTGTAGTATAGTTTGAAGTCAGGTATCATGATGCCTCCAGCTTTGTTTTTTTTGGCTTAGGATTGACTTGGCAATGCGGGCTCTTTTTTGGTTCCATATGAACTTTAAAGTAGTTTTTTCCAATTCTGTGAAGAAAGTCATTGGTAGCTTGACGGGGATGGCATTGAATCTATAAATTACCTTGGGCAGTATGGCCATTTTCACCATATTGATTCTTCCTATCCATGAGCATGGAATGTTCTTCCATTTGTTTGTATCCTCTTTTATTTCATTGAGCAGTGGTTTGTAGTTCTCCTTGAAGAGGTCCTTCCCATCCCTTGTAAGTTGGATTCCTAGGTATTTTATTCTCTTTGAAGCAATTGTGAATGGGTGTTCACTCATGATTTGGCTCTCTGTTTGCCTTTATTGCTGTAAAAGAATGCTTGTGATTTTTGCACATTGATTTTGTATCCTGAGACTTTGCTGAAGTTGCTTATCAGCTTAAGCAGATTTTGGGCTGAGACGATGGGGTTTTCTTGATATACAATCATGTCATCTGCAAACAGGGGCAATTTGACTTCCTCTTTTCCTAATTGAATACCCTTTATTTCCTTCTCCTGCCTGATTGCCCTGGCCAGAACTTCCAACACTATGTTGAATAGGAGTGGTGAGAGAGGGCATCCCTGTCTTGTACCAGTTTTCAAAGGGAATGCTTCCAGTTTTTGCCCATTCAGTATGATATTGGCTGTGGGTTTGTCATAGATAGCTCTTATTATTTTGAGATACGTCCCATCAATACCTAATTTGTTGAGAATTTTTAGCATGAAGGATTGTTGAATTTTGTCAAAGGCCTTTTCCACATCTATTGAGATAATCATGTGGTTTTTGTCGTTGATTCTGTTTATATGCTGGATTATGTTTACTGATTTGCGTATGTTGAACCAGCCTTGCATCCCAGGGATGAAGCCCACTTGATCATGGTGGATAAGCTTTTTGATGTGTTGCTGGATTTGGTTTGCCAGTATTTTATTGAGGATTTTTGCATCGATGTTCATCAGGGATATTGTTCTGAAATTCTCTTTTTATGTTGTGTCTCTGCCAGGCTTTGGTATCAGGATGATACTGGCCTCATAAAATGAGTTAGGGAGGATTCCCTCTTCTTCCATTGATTGGAATAGTTTCAGAAGGAATGGTATCAGCTCCTCCTTGTACCTCTGGTAGAATTTGGCTGTGAATCCATCTGCTCCTGGACTTTTTTTTGGTTGGTAAGCTATTAATTATTGTCTCAATTTCAGAGCCTGTTACTGGTCTACTCAGAGATTCAACTTCCTGGTTTAGTCTAGGGAGGGTGTATGTGTCGAGGAATTTATCCATTTCTTCTAGATTTTCTAGTTTATTTGCGTAGAGGCGTTTATAGTATTATCTGATGGTAGTTTGTATTTCTGTGGGATCTGTGGTGATATCCCTTTTATCATTTTTTATTTTATCTATTTGATTCTTCTCTCTTTTCTTCTTTATTAGTCTTGCTAGCAGTCTATCAATTTTGTTGATTTTTTCAAAACACCAGCTCCTGGATTCATTGATTTTTTGAAGGGTTTTTTGTGTCTCTATTTCCTTCAGTTCTGCTCTGATCTTAGTTATTTCTTGCCTTCTGCTAGCTTTTGAATGTGTTTGCTCTTGCTTCTCTAGTTCTTTAAATTGTGATGTTAGGATGTCAATTTTAGATCTTTCCTGCTTTCTCTTGTGGGCATTTAATGCTATAAATTTCCCTCTACATACTGCTTTGAATGCGTCCCAGAGATTCTGGTATGTTGTGTCTTTGTTCTCGTCGGTTTCAAAGAACATCTTTATTTCTGCCTTCATTTTGTTATGTACCCAGTAGTCATTCAGGAGCAGGTTGTTCAGTTTCCAGGTATTTGAGTGGTTTTGAGTGAGTTTCTTAATCCTGAGTTCTAGTTTGATTGCACTGTGGTCTGAGAGACAGTTTGTTATAATTTCTGTTCTTTTACACTTGCTGAGCAGTGCTTTACTTCCAACTATGTGGTCAATTTTGGAATAGGTGTGGTGTGGTGCTGAAAAGAATGTATATTCTGTTGATTTGGGGTGAAGAGTTCTGTAGATGTCTTTTAGGTCTGCGTGGTGCAGAGCTGAGTTCAGTTCCTGGATATCTTTGTTAACTTTCTGTCTCGTTGATCTGTCTAATGTTGACAGTGGGGTGTTAAAGTCTCCCATTATTATTGTGTGGGAGTCTAAGTCTCTTTGTAGGTCTCTAAGGACTTGCTTTATGAATCTGGGTGCTCCTGTATTGGGTGCATATATATTTAGGATAGTTAGCTCTTCTTGTTGAATTGATCCCTTTACCATTATTTAATGGCCTTCTTTGTCTCTTTTGATCTTTGTTGGTTTAAAGTCTGTTGTATCAGAGACTATGATTGCAATCCCTGCCTATTTTTGTTTTCCATTTGCTTGGTAGATCTTCCTCCATCCCTTTATTTTGAGCCTATGTGTGTCTCTGCATGTGAGTTGGGTTTCCTGAATACAGCACACTCATGGGTCTTGACTCTTTATCCAATTTGCCAGTCTGTGTCTTTTAATTGGAGCATTTAGCCCATTTACATTTAAGGTTAATATTGTTATGTGTGAATTTGATCCTGTCATTATGATGTTATCTGGTTATTTTGCTCGTTAGTTGATGCAGTTTCTTCCTAGCATTGATGGTCTTTACAATTTGGCATGTTTTTGCAGTGGCTGGTACCGGTTGTTCCTTTCCGTGTTTAGTGCTTCCTTCAGGAGCTCTTTTAGGGCAGGCCTGGTGGTGACAAAATCTCTCAGCATTTGCTTGTCTGTAAAGGATTTTATTTCTCCTTCACTTATGAAACTTAGTTTGGCTGGATCTGAAATTCTGGGTTGAAAATTCTTTTCTTTAAGAATGTTGAATATTGACCCCCACTCTCTTCTGGCTTGTAGAGTTTCTGCTGAGAGATCAGCTGTTAGTCTGATGGGCTTCCCTTTGTGGGTAACCCGACCTTTCTCTCTGGCTGCCCTTAACATTTTTTCCTTCATTTCAACTTTGGTGAATCTGACAATTATGTGTCTTGGAGTTGCTCTTCTCGAGGAGTATCTTTGTGGCGTTCTCTGTATTTCCTGAATTTGAATGTTGGCCTAGCTTGCTAGACTGGGGAAGTTCTCCTGGATAATATCCTGAAGAGTGTTTTCCAACTTGGTTCCATTCTCCCCGTCACTTTCTGGTACACCAATTGGACGTAGATTTGGTCTTTTCACATAGTCCCATATTTCTTGGAGGCTTTGTTCGTTTCTTTTTATTCTTTTTTCTCTAAACCTCTTCTCGCTTCATTTCATTCATTTGATCTTCCATCACTGATACCCTTTTTTCCAGTTGATCAAATCGGCTACTGAGGCTTGTGCATTCATCACATAGTTCTTGTGCTGTCGTTTTCAGCTCCATCAGGTCCTTTAAGGACTTCTCTGCATTGGTTATTCTAGTTATCCTTCGTCTAATTTTTTTTCAAGGTTTTTAACTTGTTTGCCATGGGTTCGAACTTCCTCCTTTAGCTCGGAGTAGTTTGATCGTCTGAAGCCTTCTTCTCTCAACTCGTCAAAGTCATTCTCTGTCCAGCTTTGTTCCATTGCTGGTGAGGAGCTGTTTTCCTTTGGAGGAGGAGAGCCGCTCTGATTTTTAGTTTCCAGTTTTTCTGTTCTGTTTTTCCCCATCTTTCTGGTTTTATCTACCTTTGGTCTTTGATGATGGTGACGTACAGATGGGGTTTTGGTGTGGATGTCCTTTCTGTTTGTTAGTTTTCCTTCTAACAGTCAGGACCCTCAGCTGCAGGTCTGTTGGAGTTTGCTGGAGGTCCACTCCAGACCCTGTTTGCCTGGGTATCACCAGCGGAGGCTGCAGAACAGCGGATATTGGTGAACAGCAATTGTTGCTGTCTGATCATTCCTCTGGAAGTTTTGTCTCAGAGAAGTACCCGGCCGTGTGAGGTGTCAGTCTGCCCCCACTGGGGGGTGCCTCCCAGTTAGGCTACTCGGGGGTCAGGGACCCACTTGAGGAGGCAGTCTGTCTGTTCTCAGATCTCCAGCTGTGTGCTTGGAGAACCACTACTGTCTTCAAAGCTGTCAGACAGGGACATTTAAGTCTGCAGAGGTTTCTGCTGCCTTTTGTTTGGCTATGCCCTGCCCCCAGAGGTGCAGTCTACAGAGGCAGGCAGGCCTCCTTGAGCTGCGGTGGGCTCCACCCAGTTTGAGCTTCCCAGCTGCTTTGTTTACCTACTCAAGCCTGGGCAATGGTGGGCGCCCCTCACCCAGCCTCGCTGCCACCTTCCAGTTTGATCTCAGACTGCTGTGCTAGCAATGAGCAAGGCTCTGTGGGTGTAGGACCCTCCTAGCCATGCGCGGTATATAATCTCCTGGTGTGCCGTTTGCTAAGACCGTTGGAAAAGCACAGTATTAGGGTGGGAGTGACCCGATTTTCCAGGTGCCGTCTGTCACCCCTTTCTTTGACTAGGAAAGGGAATTCCCTGACCCCTTGCACTTCCCAGGTGAGGCAATTCCTCGCCCTGCTTCGGCTCACGCTTGGTGTGCTGCACCCACTGTCCTGCACCCACTGTCGGACACTCCCCAGTGAGATGAACCCGGTACCTCAGTTGGAAATGCAGAAATCACCTGTCTTCTGCGTCACTCACACTGGGAGCTGTAGACTGGAGCTGTTCATATTCGGCCATCTTGGCTCCTCTCTCCTCAATTTTACCATATTCTTAAAATATCACAAACACAAATAACACTCCATGTTAACAATAGGAAATCAATGAATAGTTGCAAGAAAGAGTGACTTTATAATGATTTTTGACCTCCCAAGTCACCATAAGATTTCAATATTGGTTTGGTTTAATTCTTACCAGAGAGAGCCCCTTCCTCCCACCGCCCCCCAGGACCCCCTGTTTCTCTCCCTCTCTTTTTCTCTCTAAACTAGCTTTAGCTTCATGGCTCCCATTTATTGTAATAGAAGATACTTAATTAAGCCTATGCATATCACTTAAAAACTCAGTGATTAAATTATTCTGTTTTGTGCTTTCTGATCTACAGGTATTTTTTGGCTTCAAACCTTCACCAATATATTTCACAACTGCTATATGTGTTTCTAGCCAGATAATTCATGAGTTTATTTTAAAATATAATTATGTTTATGCAGTCTCCACAAGACATGATAATTGACAACAGTGGCATAAGTTCCATCAAAATGTAGAATCAGGTATAAACATTGTTATATTTGTGTATGCTGTGCATATAAGCACGCAAAATACTTCTTTTTTTTCTGAGTGACTAAGCAGTCATCATAGAGGTTCATTCTGAAAATGGACTAAGAGCTGCTGGAATTGTCTTTTTCAGTTCAAAAGCGATCGTTAAAAACTAAACTAATTTGTATCAGTTCTTACCAGAAAAGAGTTTACCCTCTTGTACACAATACTTTTAATTCTAAATATGTGTGTGTGTGCTGTAAAATTGCTTGAAATATTGGTTTGAAAATGTAATTGGTCTTTATTTAAACTGAGACAACCCAATATATGCTACAAATAGTTTATTTTAGAAAGTATAGTCTTTGATAATTTCAACTAATCTTCTTTAAACTCAGTTTACCTCCTACTTGAAAATTTCTAATGGTTGGCCAGGCACAGTGGCTCATGCCTGTAATTCCAGCAGTTTGGGAGGCTGAGGCAGGTGGATCATGAGGTCAGGAGTTCAAGACCAGCCTGGCCAACATGGTAAAACCCCGTCTCCACTAAAAATACAAAAATTATCCAGGCATGGTGGTGGGCGCCTGTAATCCCAGCTACTCAGGAGGCTGAGGCAGAGAATTGCTCGAACCCAGGAGGCAGAGGTTGCAGTGAGCTGAGATCACACCACTGCACTCCAGCCTGGGTGACAGAGCGAGACTCCATCTCAAAAAACAAAAAATTCCAATGGTTTTCTATGCACTTCCTTCTCATAAACCTCTGAAGATTTTTATGCATGATGAATAAATTTTATATTCTAAACCTAGAATTCAGGCCCTTGCACAGAAATCTCATCCTATTTATCCAAAGTCTTCTCCTCTACTCTCCAAGATAGAACTTCTCTTATGGCTAGAAAGCCTTCATATGCATCCCGACACACTTGCTCTTTCTACCCTCAATCTTATATCAAAAAATACCTCCCCTTTCTTTATACTTTGCCTACAAATTTTACTCATAGATGAAGACAAGGTTAAGTTCTGCCTTTTCCATGAAAGTTTAATTGATCTTATTAAGGCCCAAACTGAGCAGTTCTTTTATTATTATTATTATTATTAATTTTACTTTAGGTTCTGGCATATATGTGCAGAACGTGCAGGTTTTTTACATAGGTATACATGTGCCATGGTGGTTTGCTGCACCTATCAACCTGTCATCTAAGTTTTAAGCCCCACATGCATTAGGTATTTGTCCTTAATGCGCTCCCTTCCCTTGTCCCCAACCCCCGACAGGCCCTGGTGTGATGTTCCCCTCCCTGTGTCCATGTGTTCTCATTGTTCAATTCCCACTTATGAATGAGAACATGTGGTGTTTGGTTTTCTGTTCCTGTGTTAGTTTGCTGAGAATTATGGCTTCCAGCTTCATCCATGTCCCTGCAAAGGACATGAACTCATCCTTTTTATGGCTGCATAGTATTCCACGCCGTATATGTGCCACACTTTCTTTATCCAGTCTATCATTGATGGGCATTTGGGTTGGTTCCAAGTCTTTGCTATTGTAAATAGTGCTACAATAAACATACATGTGCATGTGCCTTTATAGTAGAATGATTAAATTCCTTTAGGTATATACCCAGTAATGGGACTGCTGGGTCAAATGATATTTCTGATTCTAGATCCTTGAGGAATTGCTATACTGTCTTTCACAATGGTGTAACTGATTTACACTCTCACCAACAGTGTAAAAGCATTCCTATTTCTCCACAGCCTCGCCAGCATCTGTTGTTTCCTGACTTTTTAATGATTGCTATTCTAACTGGCATGAGATGATATCTCATTGTGGTTTTGATTTGCATTTCTCTAATGACCAGTGATGATCAGCTTTTTTTTCATATTTTTGTTCGCCACATAAATATCTTCTTTGGAGAAGTGTTTGTTCATATCCTTCACCCACTTTTTGATGGTTTTTTTTTCTTGTAAATTTGTTTAAGTTCCTTGTAGATTCTGGATATTAGCCCTTTGTCAGATGGGTAGATTGCAAAAATTTTCTCCCATTCTGTAGGTTGCTTGTTCACTCTGATGATAGTTTCTTTTGCTGTGCAGAAGCTCTTTAGTTTGATTAGATCCCATTTGTTAATTTTGGCTTTTGTTGCAGTTGGTTTTGGTGTTTTAGTCATGAAGTCTTTGCCTATGCCTATGTCCTGAATGGTATTGCCTAGGTTTTCTTCCAGGGTTTTTATGGTTTTGGGTTTTACATTTTAGTCTTTAATCCATCTTGAGTTAATTTTTGTATAAGGTGTAAGGAAGGGGTCCAGTTTCTGTTTTCTGCATATGGCTAGCCAGTTTTCCCAGCACCATTTATTATATAGGGAATCCTTTCCCCATTGCTTGTTTTTGTCAGGTTTGTCGAAGATCAGATGGTTGTAGATGTATGATGTTATTTCTGAGGTCTCTGTTCTGTTCCATTGGTCTATATATCTGTTTTGGTACCAGTACCATGCTGTTTTGATTACTGTAGCCTTGTAGTATAGTTTGAAATCAGGTAGCATGATGTCTCCAGCTTTGTTCTTTTTGCTTAGGATTGTTTTGGCTATGCAGGCTCTTTTTTGGTTCCACATGAAATTTAAAGTAGTTTTTTTTTTTTAATTCTGCAAAGAAAGTCAATGGTAGCTTGATGGGAATAGCATTGAATCTATAAATCACTTTGGGCAGTATGGCCATTTTCATGATATTGATTCTTCCTATCCATGAGCATGAAACTTTTTCCCATTTGTTTGTGTCCTCTCTTATTTCCTTGAGCAGTAGTTTGTAGTTCTTTTTGAAGAGGTTCTTCACGTCCCTTGTAAGTTGTATTCCTAGGTATTTTATTCTCTTTGTAGCAATTGTGAATGGGAGTTAACTTATGATTTGGCTGCTTGTCTATTATTGGTGTATAGGAATGCTTGTGATTTTTGCACATTGATTTTGAATCCTGAGACTTTGCTGAAGTTGCTTATCAGCTTAAGGACTTTTTGGACTGAGACGATGGGGTTTTCTGAATATATAATAACGTTATCTGCATGAGTTAATTTTTGTATGCAGTGAGAGATAGGGAATCTACCTTCATTTTTCTGCATATGGATATTCACTTTTCCCAGCACCATTCACTGAGGATACTGTTCTTTCTCCAATGTATGTTCTTGGTGCTTTTATTGAAAACTTGTTGTCTGTAAATACATGGACTTATTTCTGGGTTCTTTATTCTGTCCCACTGGTCTACATGTCTGTTTTTATGCCAATAACATGCTATTTCAGTTACCATATAGCTTTGTAGTATATTTTGAAGCCAGGTAGTGTGATATCTCCAACTTTGTTCTTTTTGCTCAGTATTGCTTTGATTCTTCACGGTCCCTTTTTGGTTCCATACAAATTTTTTTTTTCTATTTTTGTGAAGAGTGTCATTGGTATTTTGATAGGGATTATATTGAATCTGTAGATCAGTTTGGTTATTATGGTCATTTTAGCAATATTAAATCTTCTGATCCATGAGAATGGAATGTCTTTCCATTTTTTAATGTTCTCTTCAATTTCCTTCATCTGCATTTTATAATTTTCACTGTAGAGATCTTTCACCTCCTTGATTAAATTTATTCCTAGGTATTTTGTGGTTTTGGTAGCTATAGTAAATGAGATTGCTTTCTCTATTCCTGAGTATGAGTAATTTATAAAAATTTATAAAGAGTAAGTTGTCCATTTTTTTTATTATTTCATTTGAAAAGTGATAGGCCAGAAGAGAACAAAGGCAGGAAGAAGAAATGGAACCATATATACTATCAAGTCATGTCAATGAAGGATGCCTAAATAAACCACAAATAAACTACATTTTACTTCTGCCATAATGACTTAGGAAGAAAATGAACACAAGTTCTGACTAACTTGGTGATTATTAATGGCCAGAAGCCCATACTTGAGAGAGTCTGAAATTGAACTGCAAAATAAAATCCCTAGCTATATAGGAAGATCAAGAAAACCATTTTATCATCAAAATGGATATTCAAAGGACATAATATTGCTTTAGCAAGGCAAGAATAGAGTTATTTGGGTTTTACTAAATTTATATATGTAATTATTTCCACAAAATGCTTTCAAAGTTTATCATATGGTAATCCCAAAATACATGCAATATACAGTTACTAAATATTGCTGAAATTAATGTACATAACAGTTTTGTTTTATGAAATTGGTGCGTTGTGTTATCTTAATTTTTACATAAATGAAAGAGCAGTTCCAGAAAATTAAAAATGTAATTTAGCATTCTAACAAGGACATAACAATCCTTTGAAAACAAACAGCTTTTAACTAAGTAGCATAACTTACCTACTTGGCACGTTAATCAAATAATACACTAAATAGTTTTCCTTACTACTGAATTTAACTTAAAAATTACAAGTTATCTTTGTACCCATACTTTTAATTAAAATTTCAATACTTTTAAAAAAGTACACTAAGCCGGTTTGTCTCCTTGAAATATATAAAACTGTTCATAATAATGGCAAATTAACATTAAAATATCTCTGAAAAAACATGTATCATAGGATTTTACAAAGAGCTGTGGAAAGTAATAGATTATAAGTAAGGGAAGAAATTATATTAAAATGGACTGACTTTTACTTCTTAGGATTATGATTACATCTATGATGAGTCTATATAGAGAACATTCAACATAATACAATATTAAATATGCTGCCACCACCTTACTCTCACACTGATTAAAGGGCAAATTAAAGTGTCATGAAGTCATCCTGCTAACCTTCAGGCTAGTGCTTCTCAGACTGCAATGTGCATGCCAAACACCTATGAATCTTATTAAAATGCCCATTCTGATTCAATAAGTCTCAATGAGAACCGTGATTCTGCATTTGCAACAAGATGCCAAGTGGTGCTAATGCTACTGGACCACAATTTGAGTAGCAAGGCTTTAAACTATAAGAAACTTTATTCTGCAAGAAATTTTTATAACAAATATGTTTTTGACTCTAGTTTTTCATTCATAATTCCAACAATTTCAACAAAAATTAAAAATATTCCTTCTAGGTGGAAATATTCTTCATTCACATTGCTGCATATTAGATACTGACTTTGGGAACACTAACCCCATATCAAACACAGAGAGGATAATAAATACTTGTTGGCTGATTCCTTAAAATAACAGATATATTAAAATATAATTAATATACCATAAAACTCACCCTTTTAAAGTATACAATCCAGTGGTTTTTAGTATATTCAAATTTGTGCAACCATCACCATTCTCTAATTTTAGAACATATTCATCATTCCAAAAAGAAATCTAATACTTGTTACTAGTCACTTCCCATTTCCCCCTAAGCCCTCCAGCTCTCAGCAACCACCAATCAGTTTTCTGTCCCTAAGGATATAACTGTTTAACATGTAGTCTTTTGTGACTGGCTTCTTTCACATCACATAATGCTTTCAAGGTTCACCTATATTGCAGCATGTATCAGTACTTCCTTCCTTTTTATGGCCAATTATATTTCATTGTATAGATGTATACAATTTGTTTATCCATTCATTAGGTGATGGACATTGAGTTGTTTCTACATTTGGCCATTAGGAATAATCCTATTATGAACATTTCTGTATACGTTCTTGGATAGATGTATATTTTTTAGTTCTTTAAAGTATATAGCTAGGAGTGGAATTGCTGGATCATATGTTAACTCTATGTTTAACTTTTTGAGGAACCACTTGTTTTCTACAGTGCCTGCACCATTTTATATTCCCACCAGCAATGGACAAAGGTTCCAATTTGTCAACATCCTGGTCAACACTTGTTACTATTTGTTGTTTTTCTTTCTTTTTTTAAATTATTATTATACTTTAAGTTCTAAGGTACATGTGCACAATGTGGAGGTTTGTTACATATGTATACATGTGCCATGTTTGTGTGCTGCACCCATTAACTCATCATTTACATTAGGTATATCTCCTAATGCTATCCCTCCCCCCTCTCCCCACCCCACAACAGGCCCCGGTGTGTGATGTTCCCCTTCCTGTGTACATGTGTTCTCATTGTTCAATTCCCACCTATGAGTGAGAACATGTGGTGTTTGGTTTTTTGTCCTTGCAATAGTTTGCTCAGAATGATGGTTTCCAGCTTCATCCACGTCCCTACAAAGGACATGAACTCATCCTTTTTTATGGCTGCATAGTATTCCATGGTGTATATGTGCCACATTTTCTTAATCCAGTCTATCATTGAGGGACACCTGGGTTGGTTCTAAGTCTTTGCTATTGTGAATAGTGCCGCAATAAACATACATGTGCATGTGACTTTATAGCAGCATGTTTTATAATCCTTGGGTATATACCCAGTAATGGGATGGCTGGGTCAAATGGTATTTCTAGTTCTAGATCCTCGAGGAATCGCCACACTGTCTTCCACGATGGTTGAACTAGTTTACAGTCCCAACAACAGTGAAAAAGCATTCCTATTTCTCCACATCCTCTCCAGCACCTATTGTTTCCTGACTTTTTAATGATTGCCATTCTAACTGGTGTGAGATGGTATCTCATTGTGGTTTTGATTTGCATTCCTCTGATGGCCAGTGATGATGAGCATGTTTTCATGTGTCTGTTGGTTGCATAAATGTCTTCTTTTGAGAAGTGTCTGTTCATATCCTTTCCCCACTTTTTGATGGGGTTGTTTGATTTTTTCTTGTAAATTTGTTTAAGTTCTTTGTAGATTCTGGATATTAGTCCTTTGTCCGATGGGTAGATTGCAAAAATTTTCTCCCATTCTGTAGGTTGCCTATTCACGCTGATGGTAGTTTCTTTTGCTGTGCAGAAGCTCTTTAGTTTAATTAGTTCTCATTTGTCAATTTTGGCTTTTGTTGCCATTGCTTTTGGTGCTTTAGACATGAAGTCCTTCTCTGTGCCTATGGCCTGAATGGTATTGCCTAGGTGTTCTTCTAGGGTTTTTATGGTTTTAGGTCTAACATTTAAGTCTTTAATCCATCTTGAATTAATTTTTGTATAAGGTGTAAGGAAGGGATTCAGTTTCAGCTTTCTACATATGGCTAGCAAGTTTTCCCAGCACCACTTATTAAATAGGGAATCTTTTCCCCCCATTGCTTGTTTCTGTCAGGTTTGTCAAAGATCAGATGGTTGTAGATGTGTGGTATTATTTCCGAGAGCTCTGTTCTGTTCCATTGATCTATATCTCTGTTTTGGTACCAGTACCATGCTGTTTTGGTTACTGTAGCCTTGTAGTATAGTTTGAAGTCAGGTAGTGTGATGCCTCCAGCTTTATTCTTTTGGCTTAGGATTGTCTTGGCAATGCGGGCTCTTTTTTGGTTCCATATAAACTTCAAAGTAGTTTTTTCCAATTCTGTGAAGAAAGTCATCGGTAGCTTGATGGGGATGGCATCGAATCTATAAATTACCTTGGGCAGTATGGCCATTTTCACAATATTGATTCTTCCTATCCATGAGCATGGAATGTTCTTCCATTTGTTTGTGTCCTCTTTTATTTCGTTGAGCAGTGGTTTGTAGTTCTCCTTGAAGAAGTCCTTCACATCCCTTGTAAGTTGGATTCCTAGGTATTTTATTCTCTTTAAAGCAATTGTGAATGGGAGTTCACTCATGATTTGGCTCTCTGTTTGTCTGTTATTGGTGTATAAGAATGCTTGTCATTTTTGCACATTGATTTTGTATCCTGAGACTTTGCTGAAGTTGCTTATCAGCTTAAGCAGATTTTGGGCTGAGATGATGGTGTTTTCTAAATATACAATCATGTCATCTGCAAACAGGGACAGTTTGACTTCCTCTTTTCCTAATTGAATACCCTTTATTTCTTTCTCCTGCCTGATTGCCCTGGCCAGAACTTCCTATGTTGAATGGGAGTGGTGAGGGAGGGCATCCCTGTCTTGTGCCAGTTTTCAAAGGGAATGCTTCCAGTTTTTGCCCATTCAGTATGATATTGGCTGTGGGTTTGTCATAGATAGCTCTTATTATTTTGAGATACGTCCCATCAATACGTAATTTATTGAGAGTTTTTAGCATGAAGGATTGTTGAATTTTGTCAAAGGCCTTTTCTGCATCTATTGAGATAATCATGTGGTTTTTGTCTTTGGTTCTGTTTATATGATGGATTACGTTTAATGATTTGCGTATGTTGAACCAGCCTTGCATCCCAGGGATGAAGCCAACTTGGTCATGGTGGATAAGCTTTTTGATGCGCTGCTGGATTCGGTTTGCCAGTATTTTAGTGAGGATTTTTGCATGGGTGTTCATCAGGGATATTGGTCTAAAATTCTCTTTTTTTCTTGTGTCTCTGCCAGGCTTTGGTATCAGGATGATGCTGGCCTCATAAAATGAATTAGGGAGGATTCCCTCTTTTTCTACTAACTGCAATAGTTTCAGAAGGAATGGTACCAGCTCCTCTTTGTACCTCTGGTAGAATTCAGCTGTGTATCCATCTGGTCCTGGATGTTTTTTTGTTGCTAGGCTATTAATTATTGCCTCAATTTCAGAACCCGTTATTGGCCTATTCAGGGATTCAACTTCTTCCTGGTTAAGGCTTGGGAGGGTGTATGTGTCCAGGAATTTATCCATTTCTTCTAGATTTTCTAGTTTATTTGCATAGAGGTGTTTATAGTATTCTCTGATGGTAGTTTGTATTTCTGTGGGATCAGTGGTGATATCCCCTTTATCATTTTTTATTGTGTCTCTTTGATTCTTGTCTATTTTCTTCTTTATTGGTCTTACTAGCAGTCTATCAATTTGTTGATCTTTTCAAAAAGCCAGCTCCTGGATACATTGATTTTTTGAAGGGTTTTTTTGTGTCTCTATCTCATACTGTTCTGATCTTAGTTATTTCTTGCCTTCTGTTAGCTTTTGAATTTGTTTGATCTTCCTTCTCTAGTTCTTTTAATTGTGATGTCAGGGTGCCAATTTTAGATCTTTCCTGCTTTCTCTTGTGGGCATTTAGTGCTATAAATTTCCCTGTACACACTGCTTTAAATGTGTTGCAGATTCTGGTATGTTGCATCTTTGTTCTCATTGGTTTCAAAGAACTCCTTTATTTCTGCCTTCATTTCGTTATGTACCCAGTAGTCATTCAGGAGCAGGTTGTTCAGTTTCCATGTAGCTGAGCGGTTTTGAGTGAGTTTCTTAATCCTGAGTTCTAGTTTGATTGCACTGTGGTCTGAGAGACAGTTTGTTATAATTTCTGTGCTTTTACATTTGCTGAGGAGTGCTTTACTTCCAACTATGTGGTCAGTTTTGGAATAAGTGTGATGTGGTGCTGAGAAGAATGTATATTCTGTTGATTTGGCGTGGAGAGTTCTGTAAATGTCTATTAGGTCGGCTTGGTGCAGAGCTGAGTTGAGTTCCTGGATATCCTTGTTAACTTTGTCTCACTGATCTGTCTAATGTTGACAGTGGGGTGTTAAAGTCTCCCCTTATTATTGTGTGGGAGTCTAAGTCTCTTTGTAGGTCTCTAAGGACTCTTTATGAATTTGGGTGCTCCTGTATTGGGTGCATATATATTTAGGATAGTTAGCTCTTCTTGTTGAATTGACCCCTTTACCATTATGTAATGGCCTTCTTTGTCTCTTCTGATCTTTGTTGGTTTAAAGTCTGTTGTATCAGAGACTAGGATTGCAACCCCTGCTTTTTTTTTTGTTTTTCATTTGCTTGGTAGATCTTCCTCCATCCCTTTATTTTGAGCCTGTGTGTGTCTCTGCATATGAGATGGGTCTCCTGAATACAGCACACTGATGGGTCTTGACTCTATCCAATTTGCCAGTCTGGGTCTTTTAATTGGAGCATTTAGCCCATTTACATTTAAGGTTAATATTGTTATGTGTGAATTTGATCCTGTCATTATGATGTTAACTGGTTATGTTGCTCATTAGTTGATGCAGTTTCTTCCTAGCATTGATGGTCTTTACAATTTGGCATGTTTTTGCAGTGGCTGGTACTGGATGTTCCTTTCCATGTTTAGTGCTTCCTTCAGGAGCTCTTTTAGCGCAGGCCTGGTGGTGACAAAATCTCTCAGCATTTGCTTGTCTGTAAAGATTTTATTTCTCCTTCACTAATGGAACTTAGTTTGGCTGGATATGAAATTCTGGGATGAAAATTCTTTTCTTTAAGAATGTTGAATATTGGCCCCCACTCTCTTCTGGCTTTAGAGTTTCTGCCAAAGAGATCCACTGTTAGCCTGATGGGCTTCCCTTTGTGGGTAACCCGACCTTTCTCTCTGGCTGCCCTTAACATTTTTTCCTTCATTTCAACTTTGGTGAATCTGACAATTATGTGTCTTGGAGTTGCTCTTCTCGAGGAGTATCTTTGTGGCGTTCTCTGTATTTCCTGAATTTGAATGTTGGCCTGCCTCACTAGGTTGGGGAAGTTCTCCTGGATAATATCCTGAAGAGTGTTTTCCAACTTGGTTCCATTCTCCCCGTCACTTTCTGGTACACCAATCGGACGTAGATTTGGTCTTTTCACATAGTCCCATATTTCTTGGAGGCCTTCTTTGTTTTTTTTTTTTTTTTTTTTTTTTTTACTCTTTTTTCTCTAAACTTCTCTTCTCGCTTCATTTCATTCAATTGATCTTCCATCACTGATACCCTTTCTTCCACTTGATCAAATCGGCTACTGAAGCTTCTGCTTGCATCACGTAGTTCTCGTGCCATGGTTTTCAGCTCTATCAGGTCATTTAAGGTCTTCTCTACACTGTTTATTCTAGCTAGCCATTCATCTGATCTTTTTTCAAGGTTTTTAGCTTCTTTGCAATGGGTTCGAACATCCTCCTTTAGCTTGGAGAAGTTTGTTATTACTGATCGTCTGAAGCCTTCTTCTCTCAACTCATCAAAGTTATTCTCCGTCCAGCTTTGTTCTGTTGCTGGTGAGGAGCTGCATTCCTTTGGAGGAGAAGAGTCACTCTGATTTTTAGAATTTTCAGCTTTTCTGCTCTGGTTTCTCCCCATCTTTGTGGTTTTATCTACCTTTGGTCTTTGATGATGGTGACGTACAGATGGGGTTTTGTTGTGGATGTCCTTTCTGTTTGTTAGTTTTCCCTCTAACAGTCAGGACCCTCAGCTGCAGGTCTGTTGGAGTTTGCTGGAGGTCCACTCCAGACCCTGTTTGCCTGGGTATCACCAGCAGAGGCTGAAGAACAGCAAATGTTGCAGAACAGCAAATGTTGCTGTCTGATTTTTCCTCTGGAAGCTTCATCTCAGAGGGGCACCTGGACGTATGAGGTGTCAGTTGGCCCCTACTGGAAGTTGCCTCACCGTTAGGCTACTTGGGGCTCAGAGATGCACTTGAGGGGGCAGTCTGTCCGTTCTCAGATCTCAAACTCCATGCTGGAAGAACCACTACTCTCTTCAAAGCTGTCAGACAGGGACGTTTAAGTCTGCAGAAGTTTCTGCTGCCTTTTGTTCTGCTATGCCCTGCCCCCAGAGATTGAGTCTACAGAGGCAGGCCGGCCTCCTTGAGCTGTGGTGGGCTCCACCCAGTTTGAGCTTCCCGGCTGCTTTGTTTACCTACTCAAGCCTCAGCAATGGTGGGTGCCCCTCCCCCAGCCTCGCTGCCACCTTGCAGTTCAATCTCAGACTGCTGTGCTAGCAGTGAGTGAGGGTCCGTGGGCTTGGGGCCCTCTGAGCGTGGCGTGGGATATGATCTCCTGGTGTGCTGTTTGCTAAGACCATTGGAAAAGCACAGCATTAGGGTGGGAGTGACCCAATTTTCCAGGTGCTGTCTGTCACTGCTTCCCGTGGCTAGGAAAGGGAATTCCCTGACCCCTTGCACTTCCCAGGTGAGGCAGTGCTCTGCCCTGCTTCGTCTCACACTCCATGGGCTGCACCCACTGTCCACCAAGCCCCAGTGAGATGAACCTGGTACCTCAGTTGGAAATGCAGAAATCACCTGTCTTCTGCATCGCTTACACTGGGAACTGTAGACTGGAGCTGTTCGTATTCTGCCATCTTGGAACTGCCTGTTGTTTTTCATTATAACCATCCTAGTGGGTGTGAAGTGATATCTCATTTGTGATTTTGATTAGCATTCTCTGATAGCTAATAATGTTGAGCATCTTTTCATGTGCTTTGGCCATTTGCCTATCTAATTAGTTTTCCTTACAATCTATATTGCTGTACTTTAATCTCTCCAATCTATAAGGCAGATGGAGTTGAGAAAAATATTGTAAACATTATTTTTGTTAGTACATACCCCTCTTGAAACAAAGTGAGAAGATACTATGAATCTCCTAGTTGGGCAAGGTGTCAACTTACCATACAATATGGGGCCCACATGGTTCTCTATTTGGCATGCATACATCAGGATCCTGTTTGAATTTCACAATGAATAGATTAATAAGTAGGCTTGTTGCAGAAAGGAGACATGTAAGTCAAAAGATAGCAAGAGAAAGAAGGCATGAGTGCTCCCAATCTGCCCATTCTACCACAGAAAGCATTGAACTAGACCTACTTTTAAGATGGCCTCTGAGATGCCTGCCTCTTCTTTTACAACCTCCATTTGTGTATGGGTGAAGGGCTGTAATTACAATGCAGTGTTGCTTCAGTGATTAGGTTATGTTATAGGGAAAAGGTGAGGGGATTTTCAGATGTAATTAATGTCCCAAATCAGTTGATTTTTCAGTTAATCAAAAAGGGAATTTGAGAGTGGGCCTGACTTAATCAGATGGCATGGACTCTACCTGAGGTGAAAAGCACTTAATGGCTGGGTATGGTGGCTCATATCTGTAATCCCAGCCCTTTAGGAGGCCGAGGTGAGAGGATCACTTGAGCCCAGAAGTTTGAGACCAGCCTGGGCAAAATAGAAAGACACTGTCTCACAAAAAAAATTAAAATAGAAAAGGAAGAAAAGCACTTAATTACCTATCTCAAAGAAGCAAATAGCATATTGTAGCATATTGTGAATTACCTATGGAAAGGGTAGTCCCTAGTAGTGGAAGCACAAAGAAATGAATGTTTGCAACAATTCCAGGAAGCTTAGAAGTGATCTTTCTCTTTCTCAAGCCTCCAAATGAGAATGCAGTCTAGTCAGCACCTTGGCATCAGCTTTGTAAGACCTCGAGCAGAGAATACAGGTAAGCTGTGCTGTCTTTTGACAAATGTAAATGATGAAATAATAAACAGGTATTGTTTTAAGCCATTAAGTTTGTGAATCTGTGCAACATAGAAAACAAATACAAGAATGATGGATTCAGGTTTTCATTGGGTCAATGTAGGGCTGAATTCCTGTAGTGAAACCCTGCTATGGTTTGAATGTTTGCCATCCAAAACTCATGTTGAAATTTAATTACCGTTGTAACAGTATTAAAAGTTGGGACTTTTAAGACGTGATTATACTATGGAAACTCGGCTTTCATGGGTGTGGATAGTGCCTTTTAAAAGGGGCTTTCAGGAGTGAGTTCTCTCTCTTGGTTCTTCCACTCTTCTGCCATGTGAGTAACAATGTTTCCTCACCTCTGGAGAATACAGCAACAAGGCTCTGTCTTGGAAGCAGAAAGCAGCCCTCATCAGACACCAAACCCACTGGTACCTTGATCTTGGACTTTATTTATTTATTTATTTATTTATTTATTTATTTTTGAGACAGAGTCTCACTCTGTCACCCAGGCTGGAGTACAGTGGCGCGATCTTGGCTCACTGCAAGCTCCGCCTCCTGGGTTCACGCCATTCTCCTGCCTCAGCCTCGCAAGTAGCTGGGGACTACAGGCTCCCACCATCACGGCTGGTTAATTTTTTTGTATTTTTAGTAGAGACGGGGTTTCATCGTGTTAGGATGGTCTCGATCTCTTGATCTTGTGATCCGCCCGCCTCGGCCTCCCAAAGTGCAGGGATTACAGGCGTGAGCCACTATGCCCGGCCGATCTTGGACTTTAAAGCCTCCAGAACTGTGAGAAATCAATTTCTGTTCTTTATAAAGTACCTAGTCTCAGGTATTCTGTAATAGCAGCACAAAATGGACTAAGACAGACCCCCTCCTATTTATGTCTCCTTCTTTTTTAGGATAGGCCTTGTCTGTGGGGAACATAAAGGGCTGCTTGGCACTAGGTTGCCTAGAATTGGTGTGGCACCAGTTTAGGCCAGTGGTCTGAAAAAGCCAGCTAACATGAGCCTGCGACCTTGAGAACCATGAGTAGGTGCAGTTTTCCCTGATGGGGGAAGAACTTCATCAATCTGGTGGGTAACTGAGCTTAGGTGAAGTTCTCCCTCTGGGAAATGGGAAAAGCAAATGCCAGATAAATCATTATTCAGAAAAACCTGGATGAGTGCCTGAATGATTTTCAGATAACTTTACTCCGTGCATCTCTTCCCTGCCAATTGTTTTTTTAAGTTACAACTTATTAAGCACTTACCATATAACAGAGCATTTTTCATTCATCGTTTCAAAAAGCTCTTACCAGCCATTTGAAAAAAATACTATTTTCAAACAACATTTGAAAGATATAATTGACATATAATAAACCAGACATATTTAAAGTGTAAATTTGATGATCTTTGACATATGTATGCACGTTTTCACCACATTCAAGATAATTAACATATCCACCATCCCTAAAAGTTTCCTTGCCCCTCTTTGCAATCCCTCCTTCCTGACCCTTCCCATCCTACCCCTCCCCACACTGCCTCTCCAAGCAACCACATATTCTTTTTTGTCTGGCTTCTTTCACTCGCATAATTATTTTGGGATTCATCCGAGTGGTTGCATGTATCAACAGTCCATTTTTAAAATACTTTCATTAAGAGATAACTCACATACCATGCCATTCACCCATTTAAAATGTACAATTCAAAGGTTTTTGATATATTACATTTTTTTGAATTGCAGTAAAATGTATATAACATAAAATTTGCTATTCTAGTCCCTTCCTCTTTATTGATGTATAGTATTCCATTGATATCACAATTTGTTTATCCATTCAGACAGGTAATATTATAGTCACAATCATTTTACAAATAAAAAAAAGTGAAGCATGGGGAAAAGTTAACTTACTTGTTTGAAATCACGGGCAAATAAGTGATAGCACTGGTTCAAATTCAGGTCTGTGCAATGCTAGAATCAATATTCTTAACTATTATGCTAAACTATCTTTCCAAACTGAAAAGACCTAGCTGTACTCTAAACCAAATATGTTTTGCCTTCATGGCCAACAACATATTAGTTCTTGTCATAGTCTAGCCTTGGAGGCTGATCATGGTCCTTCTCCTCTAATAACCTAAAAGATCCTTTCACAGAAAAATGAAAGACAAAGCAAAAGCCATTGGCAGTATAAGCCACAGACATCGAGGTGACCATACTGTAGACAGCAGACAGGGTTTCAGAATTAGGGATCAGACATGGGTCCAGAGAACTGGACATTAAGCAGGAACAGACAGATTAGTGTCAGAACAATGTGCTTTAACCAGTCATCAGAGAAATAAATTAGCTGTCCTCCTCAGTTTTGTGCAAAAGTGTTAATTGAATGTGAACAAAGGGAAGAAAAAAGTCATTTGTGTGATAACAGTTCAGTTGGGAGAAGTACCCAGAAGAGTCATTTCAGCCCTCAAGTGAGTTGATTCACTCATCCTTAGTGGTGCCTCAGATTAGGAGCATGACAAGATATATTATCTACCCTTCCTAGAAAGAAGTTTGAGAGATAATACACTAAACTACCTTCATAGGACATAAGGGCTACCATGGGAAAAGGCAGTGGCAGCCTCGCCTCTATTTTCACTAATTCAGAGAAAGAGGGAATGAGTTGTCGTAGAAATGGAAAGGCATTTCTTGAAAATATCATAAAGCACTGTAATATAAACTGTCAAAGGAGGCTGTGGAATATCTTTTCATGGAACTCATTAAGAACAAGAGAGATACCCACTCAGAATAAATCCAGGAATAGAGTCAGAGGAATGCTACCCAGACATACAGATGAACTAAATAAACATGGTCTGCAGCAAGGGCTGGCTGTAGCCAAACAACTGGATCCCAGCCAGTTGCATAGGCCAGCCATCCAAATCATCTATAGAGATCACTCAACTCCAGTGTGGCCAGACGGTACCAAGAAGTGATTCCTAGAGAACTGGGCTGTCTAATTCAGCTTAGTTTTATGTGCTTTTTTCTTCTGTAAGAATATGGCCACAATAGGGCCACTAATATGAAATCTGGAAATCAGAATATGACTTATTTTAAGCCCCAAGGACCTTGGGTTAAAAAAAAATGTATGACACTTTTACACTGTTGGTGGGACTGTAAACTAGTTCAACTATTGTGGAAGTCAGTGTGGCGATTCCTCAGGGATCTAGAACTAGAAATACCATTTGACCCAGCCATCCCATTACTGGGTATATACCCAAAAGATTATAAATCATGCTGCTATAAAGACACACGCACATGTATGCTTATTACAGCACTATTCACAATAGCAAAGACTTGGAACCAACCCAAATGTCCACCAATGATAGACTGGATTAAGAAAATGTGGCACATATACACCATGGAATACTATGCAGCCATAAAAAAGGATGAGTTCATGTCCTTTGTAGGGACATGGATGAAGCTGGAAACCATCATTCTCACCAAAGTATCGCAAGTACAAAAAACCAAACACCGCATGTTCTCACTCATAGATGGGAATTGAACAATGAGAACACATGGACACAGGAAGGGGAACATCACACTCTGGGGACTGTTGTGGGGTGGGGGGAAGAGGGAGGGATAGCATTAGGAGATATACCTAATGCTAAATGACGAGTTAATGGGTGCAGCACACCAACATGGCACATGTATACATATATAACAAACCTGCACTTTGTGCACATGTACCCTAAAACTTAAAGTATAATAAAAAAAAGTATGACACAGAAACAGTAATAGTATTTTGTTTTGTTTTGTTTTTAAAAACTGAAACACATGGACTCCAGTCACTACAGGCAGTATCCATAAAAATTAGGAGAGGGCTGATAGAATAGGTACAGCCTGAGACAAATGAAGCCCAATTTTTAACTTGGCTCTAAAATAATTTACAAGGGCCTGATTCCAGTCTCTGTAGGTCTCCTCTCTACCCACAGCTGAGACAACAATTTGATCTCAATCGCAAGCTCAGTGCTAGTCTCAGACACAACTTTGTCAACAGAATTTTAAGAAGCTCCACTCCAACACTCTAAGACTCAACGTCAGCTTGCTACAAGTCCTATCCTTTTGGCCCATTTTTTAAAAAGGAACTCCTCCCTCTCTTTCTCCCTGCTTTTCTTCCTCCCCATCACCCAGCAATTTAACTCCCAGGTTTTTACCCAAGAGAAATATCTTCACAAAAAGACTTGTATATCAATGTTCATAGCCGATTTATTTGTAATAGCTAAAAACTAGAAACAGTCCAAGTGTCAATCAACAGAAGATTGGATAAACAACCTGTGGTACATCATACAATGGAATACTTGTCAGCAATTAACAGGAAATAATCACAACCAGTTACGATCTCTTTGTTCCTTTTCCACTCCAACTGCTTCACTTGACTAGCCTTAAAGAATTTAAAAAAGGAAATAAGAATGGATACATGCAACAACATAAATGAATCTCAAAACATACTAAGTGAGAGAAGCTAGACACGAAACAGTATAGACTCTATGATAGGCCAGTTGCAGTGGCTCATGCTTGTAATCCCAGCACATTTGAAGGTCAAGGCAGGAGGATCACTGGAGGCTAGGAGTTCAAGACCAGCCTGGGAAACACAGCAAGACTCTGTCTCTACAAAAATAAAAATCAAATTAGCCAGGTGTGGTGGTGCATGCCTGGAGTCTTAGCTACTAGGGAGGCTTAGGCAGGAGGATCACTTGAGCCCAGGAGTTTGAGGCTGCAGTGAGCCATGATTGCACCACTGCACTCCAGCCTGGGCAACACAGTAAGATCCTGCCTTAAAAATAAATAAATAAGTAAAAGTAAACGACATTATTTTATTTATATAAAATTCTAGGACATGCAAACATAAGTGGTGTAAAAATCAGAACAGCAGCTGCATCTAGGGGTGTGTTATGGGTTAAATTATGTCCCCCCAAAGGAAATGTTGAAACCCTAACCCTCAGTATCTGTGAATGTGACCCTATTTGCAAATAGGATCTTTGTACATGACCCTATTTGCAAATAGGATCTTTGAGGATGTCATTAGGGTGGGCCCTAATTCAATATGACTGAAGAACACATGGACACAGGAAGGGGAACATCACACTCTGGGGACTGTTGTGGGGTGGGGGGAGGTGGGAGGGATAGCTTTAGGAGATATACCTAATGCTAAATGACAAGTTAATGGGTGCAGCACACCAGCATGGCACATGTATACATATGTAACAAACCTGCACATTGTGCACACGTACCCTAAAACTTAAAGTATAATAATAATAATAATAATAAAAAGAAGGGAAGAGACACAGAGAAAGGCACATATGAGAAGAATGCCATTGATGACAGAGACAGCTTGGAATGGTGTGTCTACAACCCAAGGAGCACCAGAGATTGCCAGCAACACCAGAAGCTAAGAGAAAGGCATGGAACATATTCTTCCCTGGAGCCTTCAGAGAGAGCATGGCCATGATGACACCTTGATTTGGGGCTTCTAGCCTTCAGAACTATGAGAGAATAAATTTCTGTTAAGACCCCAGTTTGTGGTAATTTGTTACTGTAGCCCTAGGAAACTAACACAGGATGGGTGGGTTAGGGATGGCTGGGAAGGAGCATTACAGAACTTTCTGGGGTAAAGGAAATATTCTATATCTTGATAGGGGTTTGAGTTATATGAATGTATGCATTTTTCTCAACTTATCTAATAGAACACAAGTTTGTGCATGTCACTGTATGTATGTTTTATCTCAAAAACAGAAAGCACCATAAATAAATATTGAGTTCTATTTAACACTATGCAGGCTGAAGTGTTTAGGGGTGACGTGACTGATGTCTGCAACTTACTTTGATTGATGGATGGAGGGACGAATAGATATGTCACAAAGCAAATACAGAAAGATATTAACCACTGTAGAATCTAGATGATGGGTGTATGGTGTTTGCCATACACGTCTTTCAACTTTTTTATGTATTTGAAAGTTTTTCTAATAAAATGTTACAGAAAAACACAAACTATTTGCTATGTGAAAGCATCTTCAAGACAAGTTCCTTATGCCACCACACTTCTCCTTCCAACCAGGCAAGAAATTCAGAAGCTGCCACTGCCTCAAAACATTTCACAGTTAAGGCCTGAGTTCAGGCTGATGCAGCTGTAGCTGCTGCCTGGGCAAGGAGGGATAGGGAGACTAGGCCATCCTATGAGTATCCTATGCTGTAGCTTGGGATTCCTCTCACTGGCAGGAGTATGGGTCCTTCAGGGACTCCAGAATTGTTCTGAAACAACTTTGGTGTTTCATCTTAATATGCTGCACACATTTGTCAGTACTGGCCATATTCACCAAATTAAAAAATTAATTTTACATCCTGTGAATATCTTATGCTACAGCTTATCCTATGGATATCTAGAACAATACCCATAGCTCTGCAACAGGCTGCTGTGAGACTGAGATGTGGGTGAACCACACTCCCAACAGCTCTTTGCCCATGCTGCTTGCCTGGGCAATACCCTGCCCTCCTTGGTCATAGGCCTAAGGTGTCATTTTGAGAATTTAATGCTGAGCTGTATCCTACCCTCAGCCTGAGTTTGGGCTGACACAACTGCAGCCACTGCCTAGCCAAGGAGGGACAGGGAATCCAGACTCTCCTATGTATACCCAGGACAATACCCAATGCTCTGCTGTGGGCTACTGTGAGACTGAGACTCAAGTGGCCCACTCTCCCCACATCTTCTCTTGCAAGTGAACAAGAGACGGTGTATATCCTGCTGATGCAGGGCTGAAGTTTCAAGTGGCTCCCCACCCCCCACCTCTGGAAATCACATCTTATCTCCTATATTCTTGGGGCCTTCAGTGACAGTAAACTAGCCTGAGATGATGGGTAAAAGTCAAGAGTGACCCCTTTCTTTCCTTATCAATGGCATGCCTTTTAATAGAGTCCTTCTGGAGAGAAAGCTGTTCCCAAAACCTAGCATCCCCTTCCTGTAGTCTTCTATCTACACCTTTAGGTCTCATTGGTGCTTCAAATGGAAGTAAATGCAGTCTCTCCTTCCATAAACTGTCCCTAAGAGGGGCACCCCAGTCCCTGGACTTCAGATCAGTACTCCCCTTGGGCCCCATATGTAATCATCATCCCTAGATAATCTCACCTCAAGCCTGCCTCTGTGTTCCTTTTCCTCATTCTCACTGCCGCCACCCAGGGTCAGGCCCTCCTTTTCCTGAGTTGGTGGATGGGAAATAGGCTATTTGATGGAATGCATGTTTCTGGCGATGACATTCTGCTCAAAACCTTCCAAGGACCCTGTAAAACCAGCTTATGTCATCTCCTTATGAAGCCTTCCTTGCCCCCTGCTTCTCAGAGCAGAATTGACCCTCTCCCCCTTGTGTCTCTCCTGTGCTTCATGTAGACTCGTCTCATACCATCTTTTCCTCTTTACTGCAGTGAATTGTTAGCCAGCTGCTTCACCTCTAGACTAGCAGGCCTTGAGGGTTGGATCATGTCATTTTTTATGTCCAGTACCTTAAAAAGTACCTGACTTTCATCAACGTATCAATACCTATAGTTGGTTCTTATTACTTATCCAAAACAATCCAAGACTCTTGTTCTGTCATTAACAGTCACCAGCATGTCCCTTCATCAGTCCACCATATGTCCCATCCACTCCCAGCCAGGCTGAGTGCCCCTGGGTGCCCCTGTTAGCACATGTCTGGGACCACCTAAAGGGTCCTGGAGAAAGGCCTCTAAATGGTAATGTTTAGTACATGATGGCAGATTGTACTTAAAATGTTAGATGTTAGAATATAATTAACTGGCGGGTCTAGAGCCAGACCACCTAGCTCAATCTCCCTTCTACCACTTACTAACTGTGACTTGGGAAATAATATCACCTTAACCTCTTCATGCCTTAGTTTCTTCCCTGGCAAAAAAAGGTACCAATAATAGTACCTATCTCATAAAGGTTTTTTGAGGGTTAGATTGATATAGATAAAGCTCTGAAAAAACCTTGTCACATAGTAAGCATTTAGTTAATTCTGATTATTATTGAGTGTCTGCTATATGTCAGCCACAATGCTAGAAACTTGACATATATTACTGAAATGGCAAAAGTTCCCTTGTCCCCCTCATAGGGCGGGCAGTGGAGGAGTGGCTCGCTTCTTCAGTGCCCCGTTGCTTCAGTGCCCTGCTGCTCAAACCTCTAGGGGGAGCATGCAGATGGGCAGGCTGTGGGGCTCCGACCCCACAGCAGTGTCTAGGGTTGAATGTTTACAGCTGAAGCTCCAGTGGGCATGTGTTACAGGGTGTTCTTTTAGTTTAGCCGTCTGTAGGCGGCTTGTGTTAACTCAATTAGACCCCTGCCTTATCACAAGGACAGAGGGCTTTCTGTATCCCAGAGTTCTTGCCTTAGTGTACTGGAAGAATCGGATAACATGTGGGCTTGGAGAATGAGTGCAAGGTTTTATTGAGTGGAAGTAGCTCTCAGCAGATGGGGGAGCCAGAAGATAGATGGTTTTCCCCTGGAGTTGGGCTGCTTGGCGGCCTAGGCTCTCCTCCAATTGCTGCCTTGTTCCACCTGTCGATGGCCTGCTGTCCTGCCAGCATCTGTCGTGTGCTCTTCCCCCGGTATGCTCCCCTCGATGTCCTCTCGACGTCCAGCCATTCATGTCTTCTTCCACCGATGTATTTCTCTCAACTTCCAGCCGCTTGTGTGCCTGCCTGCTAGGGCCTCGGGGTTTTTATAGGCACAGGATGGGGGCGTGGCAGGCCAGGGTGGTCTTGGGAAATGCAACATTTGGGCGAGAATGCAGGAGTGTCTGTCCTCACCTAGGTCAGTGGGCACAGGCCGAGGGTGGAGCCCTCACCAGGGACCACGACCTTCCCTTCCCAGCACTTCCCTTCCCCCTTTCCATATCATTACTTCTAATCCTTACAACACTGGAAGTGGGCAGTACTTTCTTCCTTCAACCAGTGAAAGGGCTGAAGTGCATAGAGATTAAGTACCTGTCTCAAATTCACATGGTCAGGACATTTTGAAGCAAGGATTTGAATCTACTTACGTGGTTTTTGCCATACCTGTACTATTATTTACTAAATAGCCTTTAATTTGGCTCCTTTTCCTTTAAATAAATATATTAATAAATCTAAACTTCATTTCATTTTCACAAACAAGTTTGATGTGTTCACTAATTCTCCATATTCACATTAAAATAAGTTTACAACTGTTAAATGTTTGTCCGTATTTCACCTAAAAATATCAGATATTCCACAGTAATTAGTAAAAATATTACATATTCCACAGTACATAGTACTGAGCCACGATGCCTAGCTTGTTTTTATTTATATGCATTTCACAAGAATAAAGTAATCACTTAACTTATAAATTAAAAGGACTTTAAAAGCAATCTATGCCAGGAATCAGTAGGCTTCAATTTTTATGCCAATTTTGAGGAATTGACAATGGCTGCCCAGAATAAATACTGTGTTGGACACAATAAGAAATAACACCATGCTCTCTGTGCACTGTAGGCCCAGGAGGCTGGAGTAAGGGGATCGGCCACATATTTGCCATTCTTTGTCTAGTCCAATCCACTCAACTTTTCAGAGATGATGCCCCATTAACTCTTCTTCCTCCCACCGCCATTCCTTTACTGGATAACCAGGAGAGTCATATTTTACCAAGAGACACTAGTAAATAAGCAAGGAAGGAGATGGGCAACTCCCTTGATTCTGCAATGATGGCAGCTTAGGAGACACACAGGGAACCTAGGGCCATCAAGAAGACAATTAAAAGGGCTGACAGATGATGTGCTGGATAGTACATCCAGGCAAGGAGAGTAGAAAAACATCAAGGAGCTGTAACAGCCAGACACAATAGGATTCTGGCAAGTAAATATTGTTTAATGTGATGACTGTGTACTAAACCTGAAGTCAGCATTTAGCCCCTGTTGATAAGCCAGCAGGATGCCTCTAAGTGCTTACTGGGAATCTTGCATATATATATTTTCCTGCTCCAACACATACTTAAGGCAGACACTGGGTTGTGGTAAGGGATCTCTTTTATGGCTATTTACTTGGGCCAAGTAGTTATGCCCATGCAGACAAGCCTCTACTTATTTGGTCTCATTTGAAGTATTAAAAAAAAAATTCTCCTACTGATTCTCCCTCTATAATTCTTCCTATCCTTTCTGTTGTTAAAAGGAAGGGAAGTTTGTTCAGTGGTTAGGATCTCTCCAAAATCTACAAGAGAAGAGTCAGAGGCCCTTCTTCTTCTGGCAAGACTAGATCCCTTTTTCAGAAAACATCTAAAAGATCACAGTTCAGAAAAGCGTTAACATAGCCGACTTGAAAACTGCTATCCTTAGAAAACCCTGCTTAGAAGGTTGGCCTTTGGGCTGACATCTGGAAACTTAGATTTCATAAGACTCTCACCATTCACTGGCAAGAATGACTCACTGTACCTGAACTGTGCAAATATGGTTTATGCTGAACACTCACTTTCCTTCTGGGAGTCTGGAATTTGGGTACATGCCAGGCAGAGGCAGGTAGAGAGGGCATACCCCAGGCCCCAGTAAAAAACCTGGGCACTGAGTCCCTAACGGGCTTTCCTGATGGCAACATTTCACACATGTTGTCACAACTCATTGCTGGGAAATTTAAGAGTGTCCTTTGCGACAACATTAGGAAAGGACCCCTGGAAATTTGCACCTAACTTACCCTGGACATGCACCTGTTCCCTTTGCTGATTTTTATCTGAATCCTTTCACTGTAATAAATAATCGCTGTGAGTGGGACTATACATTGAGTCCTATGAGTCCCTCCAGGGGATCGTGGAACCAGGAGCAGACCAGGGGAATCCACTGACACAAACACTTTTGCTTTTCTGTGTTCTGGGAATATAAATAGATGGGTCATGGCCAGAAAACAAACAAAAATTGAGCTAAAAATATTAAATTTAACTCTAAAGTGTGAACTCCATAATCATCAACTAGAGAGCTGATCTATGTCTTGGACAAGTGGGGAAACATCGTGAATTTCTTGTAGCAATTGGAGAAGGGGTATTTTGTCCTTGAAAAACATCATTCAATTTATGATCTGATCTTGTACAGAAGGAGAGAAGGTTGCTATATAAATAAATGCTAGTTAACACAAATAACCTCTCTTGAAGTAGAACCACCTCCAAACTAGAAAACTAAGATTCCTCCCTGCTTTTTTATAAAGGCTCTGCCTTCCATAAAGGCATTTAGAAAACCTTAGACCCGAAAGGGAGCTCAGAGCTCATCATTCCCTCTCCTCTCAGTATAGAAATCCTCTTTAGAACATTCCTATCAGGTTATCTCTTGAGCACTTCCCGTTCACCCAATGCTTCTCAAAAATTTTCTCCAAACTACCCTAAGAAAATGACTCTTATTGGCAGAGTAGTTACAGGTATAGTTCAAATCAAATTTGAAAAGATAAATATCTCTGAACATACCTTGCTTTTCCTTAAAATTTATCTGATTTTTGCTATTTCCTCACATGTCTGTGTTTTGTGGAGATATTCATCACTATTTTAAAAAGCATGCTTCAGGCCAGGCACCGTGGCTCACGCCTGTCATCCCAGCATTTTGGGAGGCCAAAGCAGGAGAATCAATTGAGCCCAGGAGTTGGGGACCAGCCAGGGCAAAATAGCAAGACCTTGTTTCTACTAAAAGTAATTTTTAAAAAACTTAGCCAGGTGTGGTAGCACATGCCTGTACTCCCACCTACTAGGGAGGCTGAGGTGGGAGGATAGATTTAGCCTGGGAGATTGAGGCTGCAGTGAGGTTTGAGCTCCATTGCACTCTAGCCTGAGAGACAGAAAAAGAGCTTGTCAAAAAAAGCCATGTCACACACATGTGAGACACGTGTCACACAGGTGTCAGTCACGAGTCACACACATCAGTCACATGTCAGTGTAACAAACATGTCAGTCATGAGTCAGACACATCACACGTGTCATCATGTGTCACTTAAGTGTCACAGACATGTCACACACGTGTCAGTCATGTCACTCATGTGCCACACATGTCAGACACATGTCAGTCATGTATCATGCACATGTCCTCCACGTGTCACACCCGTATCACACATGCCTCAAACGTGTCACTTGTCAGTCACGTGTCACACGTGCCAGTCACATGTCAGACACGTGTCACACACGCGTCACTCGTGTGACAGGTGAATGACAGGTGACTGACACGTGTTTGGCTGTGACTGACAGGTGTCTGACGTGATTGACAGGTATCTGACACGTGTGACACATGACTGACACATGTGTGGTGTGTGTGGCACGTGTGTGGCGTGTGAATGGCATGTATGTGGTGTGTGACTGACAGGTGACTGGCACGTGACTGACACATGTGACATGTATCTGCCACGTGTGTGATACATGTGACATGTGACTGACACGTGTGTGTGGCACATTACTGCCAGGTGACTGATGTGTTTGGCTGTGACTGACATGTGACTGACACGTGTGACATGTGTGTGACATGTGACTGGCCCATGTGTGACACGGGTGTGGAGCTTGTGTGGCAGGTGTGTGGCATGTGAGTGACACCTATGTGATGTGACTGACACGTGTTTTACACGTGACTGATGTGCATGACAGGTGACTGACATATGATTGACGTGTGTGACACGTGGCTGACAAGTGACTGACACACGACTGACACATGGGTGACACTTGGCTGGCAAGTGTGTGGCACATGACTGATGTGTGTGACACGTGACTGATGTGTGTGAGCTGTGTGTGACCCATGACTGACCCATGACTGACCCCTGTGTGACCCATGTGTGACCTGTGTCCAGCTAATTTTTGTATTTTTATTAGAGACAGGGTTTCACCATGTTGGCCAGGATAGTCTCAATCTCTTGACCTCGTTATCTGCCCATCTCGGCCTCCCAAATTGGTCGGTTTACAGGCGTGAGCCACCACAGCTGGCCTCAAATAATATTCTCTTGGAAAGGAGAATGGATGTATAGGTGGATATTCCTCCAAGAAGTGGTAGATACACAAAGTCATAATAGTTTCTCTTGGAGATTTCTCCCTACACGGCTTTGGCTCACAGCATGCATTGTTAAGAGGATTCTGGAAACTTGACATTGACCTTCTTGTGTTTTAGAGACATTAAAACAAAGAAGGCTTCCTTTTTCTACTTTTTACTCAGGAAACTTAGAGTATTTGGTAACATAAAATATTGGGTTCTAGGGACATAACTGTCCCTGGGATAACTGCTCTAGAGCCTGAGAATTGATTTTTTTTTTAAATTTGATGAAATGGCATAGGATAAGAATATAGACAGCTTCTTGTCTATGTTGCTTACCTGAGAGGGGCCCCACCCTCTCTGGTCACAAAATGGTCCATAGCTAGGACCATTTTGAGAGTTTAGAGACATTGTTTGGTGACCTGGCAGTGGCAACCACAACAGCCATTTTAGTCTTGCGCCAGAGATTGGAGAGCTTGCTGTGGAGCCAGGGAAGGGCTCTCATAGCCAGAATTGAGTGATGAGTGTGGACAGCGCCTCAGCAGTAGGCACTGGTATTAGTCTCTCTCCCATCATAGGACTGGAGTGGGAGGAGAGTTGCTGAAGCTGAGGTTTCTCCCAGATGGTAAGACTTGCAGCCTGGGACATCTTTGCGACCTGGAACCAATCTATATGTGTCATTACTAGGCGGCCCAGCCTGCTCCCTTGGTCAGTTGGAAGATGGTCCCCCACCAGTTCTGAGGAGCATGAGGGAGATGGACCCCACTCCCCTGGAGATCTAATCCATGGCATGTTCTGACCCAAGGGAGGGTGGGCACAGCCAGCCAAACCCCTCCTTGGGTCAAAGTAAACACAAGTGCAGCACCAGCTGCTGAAGGCAGCACCACCAAAGCCCGGGAACAAACATGGAAAGGGGGTCATCTCCTGTCCCCTCATTCCCCTCCTCAGTGCACTGTTGCAGACTCAGCAGTGGCTCTTCGCATCAGGGCCTGGGGAGCATGGGCTAAAAGAAACCCCTTCTTGGGTTTCTCCAGCAGCTCCACCCCCGTGAAGGCAAACACACACTGGAGGAGGGTGCTTGTCACACCTCTCCATTGCCTCCATTCCGGCCCCTACTTGCCAGCTCTTACTCTTAAATATCACTTACTGAGTTGCAGCCTAAATTATACTACCAAACAAAATTACATCACTACAACAAGCAACATCTGAGAAAGCCACAACTGCATGAACCTATCTGTAACTAAGGAACTAGTACAGAGCCTTGGTACCCTGAAAGCACCCAGAAAAGAAGGCAATAGATCATACACAATATACACCACAGTCATACCTCCAAGGGAGAAAGAATAAAAAATCAAGAAGCCCTATCCAAACAACAGCAAATTAAAAAAAAAAAAAAGTGCCAGCTCTCTCAGATGAGAAGAAACTAGCATGAGTTTCTCCAGTAATAAAACATGCCAGAGTGTGTTGTCACCTCCAAAGGATCCCACTAGCTCCCAAGCAATGTATCCTGACCAGAATGGAATGTCTGAAATGGCAGATATAGGATTCAGAATATGAATCACAAATAAACTCAATGAGATCCAAGAGAAAGTTGAAATCCAACCCTAAGAAGCCAGAAAAATGATCCAAGGTTGGAAGGACAACATAGACATATTAAGAAACAACCAAACAGAACTTGTGGAATTGAAAAACTCACTACTAAAACTTCAAAATACAGGTAGAAGCCTTAACAACACACTAGACCAAGTAGAAGAAAGAATTTCAGAGCTCAAAGATTGGTCCTTCAAATCAACCCAGTCAGACAAAAATAAAGAAAAAAGAATTTTAAAGAAAATGAACAAAGCCTTTGAGAAACATGGGTTATGTAAAGCAAACAAATCTATGACTTTTTGGCACTTGTAAGAGAGAAGAGAAAGTAAGCAACTTGGAAAACATATTTGAGATATAGTCCAGCAAAATTTCCCAAATCTTGCTAGATAGGTCAACATGTAGATACAAGAAATCTAGAGAACTCCTGCAAGATACTATAGAAGATGACCATCTCCAAGACACTTATTCATCAGAAGATCCAAGGTCAATGTAAAAGAAAAAAACCCAAAAATCAGTTAGAGAAAAGGGTCATTTTACCTATAAAGGGAAACTCATAAGACTAACAGCAAACTTCTCAGCAGAAACCTTACAAGCCAGAAGAGATCGGGGGCCCATTTTTAGCATTCTTAAGGAACAGAAATGCCAGCCAAGAATTCCATATCCTGCCAAACTAAGCTGCATAAATGAAGGAGAGATAAAGTCTTTCCCAAACAAGCAGTCACTAAGGGAATTTTTCATCACCAGACTGGCCCTATGAGAGATGCTTAAGGAAACGCTAAACATGGAAATGAAAGAATGATACTTGCTATCACAAAAGCACATGCAAGCACGTAGCCCACAGACCCTATAAAGCAACTACATATTAGAGACTACAAAGCAACTTAACTAACAACACTCCAACAAGAACAAAACCTCACATATCAGTATTAATCTTGAATGTAAATGGCCTCCAGTTAAAAGACACAGAGTGGCAAATTGGATTTAAAAAACAGACCAGAGGTTCCAAGATGGCCGAATAGGAACAGCTCCAGTCTGCAGCTCACAGCATGAGTGACACAGAAGACAGGTGATTTCTGCATTTCCAACTGATGTACTGGGTTCATCTCACTGGGGCTTGTCAGATGGTGAGTGCAACCCATAGAGCAGAGTGGGGCATCGCCTCACCTGGGAAGCACAACGGGTCGGGGAATTCCCTTTTCCAGCAAAGGAAAGCCGTAACAGACGGCACCTGGAAAATCGGGACACTGCCACCCTAATACTGCGCTTTTCCAATGGCCTTAGCAAATGGCACACCAGGAGATTATATCCCACGCCTGGCTCAGAGGGTCCCACGCCCACAGACCCTCACTCACTGCTAGCACAGCAGTCTGAGACTGAACTGCAAGGCAGCAGCAAGGCTGGAGGAGGGGCACTCACCATTGCTGAGGCTTGAGTAGGTAAACAAAGTGGCCTGGAAGCTCAAACTGGGTGGAGCCCACCACAGCTCAAGGAGGCCTGCCTGCCTCTGTAGACTCCACCTCTGGTGGCAGGGCATAGCTGAACAAAAGGCAGCAGAAACTTCTGCAGACTTAAACGTCCCTGTCTGACAGCTTTGAAGAGAGTAGTGGTTCTCCCAGCATGGAGTTTGAGATCTGAGAACGGACAGACTGCCTCCTCAAGTGGGTCCCTGACCCCCAAGTAGCCAAACTGGAAGACACCTCCCAGTAGGGGCCAACTGACACCTCATACAGCTGGGTGCCCCTCTGAGACAAAGCTTCCAGAGGAAGGATCAGGCAGCAACATGTGCCTTTCTGCAATATTTGCTGTTCTGCAGCCTCTGCTGCTGATACCCAGGCAAACAGGGTCTGGAGTGGACCTCCAGCAAACTCCAACAGACCTGCAGCTGAGGGTCCTGACTGTTAGAAGGAAAACTAACAAACAGATAGGACATCCACACCAAAACCCCATCTGTACATCACCATTATCAAAGACCAAAGGTAGATAAAACCACAAAGATGAGGAGAAACCAGAGCAGAAAAGCTGAAAATACTACAAATCAGAGTGCCCCTTCTCCTCCAAAGGAATGCAGCTCTTCGCCAGCAATGGAACAAAGCTGGACGGAGAATGACTTTGAAGAGTTGAGAGAAGAAGGCTTCAGACGATTGGCAATAACAAGCTTCTCCAAGCCAAAGGAGGATGTTCAAACCCATCGCAAAGAAGCTAAAAACCTTGAAAAAAGATTAGACGAATGGCTAACTAGAATAAACAGTGTAGAGAAGTCCGTAAATGACCTGATGGAGCTGAAAACCATGGCACGAGAACTATGTGATGCATGCAGAAGCTTCAGTAGCCGATTTGATCAAGTGGAAGAAAGGGTATCAGTGATGGAAGATCAATGGAATGAAATGAAGGGAGAAGACAAGTTTAGAGAAAAAAGAGTAAAAAGAAACAAAGAAAGCCTCCAAGAAATATGGGACTATGTGAAAAGACCAAATATGCATCTGATTGGTGTACCTGAAAGTGATGGGGAGAATGGAACCAAGTTGGAAAACACTCTTCAGGATATTATCCAGGAGAACTTCCCCAACCTAGCGAGGCAGGCCAACATTCAAATTCAGGAAACACAGAGAACACCACAAAGATACTCCTCAAGAACAGCAACTCCAAGACACATAACTGTCAGATTCACCAAAGTTGAAATGAAGGAAAAAATGTTAATGGTAGCCAGAGAGAAAGGTCTGGTTACCCACAAAGGGAAGCCCATCAGACTAACAGCGGATCTCTTGGCAGAAACTCTACAAGCCAGAAGAGAGTGGGGGCCAATATTCAACATTCTTAAAGAAAAGAATTTTCAACCCAGAATTTCATATCCAGCCAAACTAAGCTTCATAAGTGAAGGAGAAATAAAATCCTTTACAGACACGCAAATGCTGAGAGATTTTGTCACCAACAGGCCAGCCTTACAAGAGCTCCTGAAGGAAGCACTAAACATGGAAAGGAACAACCAGTATCAGCCACTGCAAAAACATGCCAAATTGTAAAGACCATCGAGGCTACGAAGAAACGGCATCAACTAACGAACAAAATAGCCAGCTAACATCATAATGACAGGACCAAATTCACACATAACAATATAACCTTAAATGTAAATGGGCTAAATGCTCCAATTAAAAGACCCAGACTGGCAAATTGGATAGTCAAGACCCATCAGTGTGCTGTATTCAGGAGACCCATCTCACGTGCAGAGACACACGTAGGCTCAAAATAAAGGGATGGAGGAAGATCTACCAAGCAAATGGAAAACAAAAAAAAAAAGCAGGGGTTGCAATCCTAGTCTCTGATAAAACAGACTTTAAACCAACAAAGATCAAAAGAGACAAAGAAGGCCATTACATAATGGTAAAGGGATCAATTCGACATGAAGAGCTAACTATCCTAAATATATATGCACCCAATACAGGAGCACCCAAATTCATAAAGCAAGCCCTTAGAGACCTATAAAGAGACTTAGACTCCCACACAATAATAATGGGAGACTTTAACACCCCACTGACAACATTAGACAGATTAACGACACAGAAAGTGAACAAGGATATCCAGGAATTGAACTCAGCTCTGCACCAAGTGGACCTAGAAGACATCTACAGAACTCTTCACCCCAAATCAACACAATATACATTCTTCTCAGCACCACATCGCACTTATTCCAAAATTGACCACATAGGTGGAAGTAAAGCATTCCTCAGCAAATGTAAAAGAACAGAAATCACAACAAACTGTCTCTCAGACCACAGTGCTATCAAACTAGAACTCAGGATTAAGAAACTCACTCAAAACTGCTCAACTACATGGAAACTGAACAACCTGCTCCCAAATGACTACTGGGTACATAACGAAATGAAGGCAGAAATAAAGAAGTTCTTTGAAACCAATGAGAACAAAGACACAACATACCAGAATCTCTGGGACACATTTAAAGCAGTGTGTACAGGGAAATTTATAGCACTAAATACCCACAAGAGAAAGCAGGAAAGATCTAAAATTGACATCCTAACATCACAACTAAAAGAACTAGACAAGCAAGAGCAAACAAATTTAAAAGCTAGCAGAAGGCAAGAAATAACTAAGATCAGAGCAGAACTATAGGAGATAGAGACACAAAATCCCTTCTAAAAAATCAATGAATCCAGGAGTGTGTTTTTTGAAAAGATCAACAAAATTGATAGACCGCTAGCAAGACTAATAAAGGAGAAAAGAGAGAAGAATCAAATAGACACAATAAAAAATGATAAAGGGGATATCACCACTGATCCCACAGAAATACAAACTACCATCAGAGAATACTATAAACACCTCTATGCAAATAAACTAGAAAATCTACAAGAAATGGATAAATTCCTGGACACACACACCCTCCCAAGACTAAACAGGAAGAAGTTGAATCCCTGAATAGGCCAATAACAGGTTCTGAAATCGAGGCAATAATTAATAGCCTACTAACCAAAAAGAGTCCAGGACCAGACTGATTCACAGCTGAATTCTACCAGAGGTACAAGGAGGAGCTGGTGCCATTCCTTCTGAAACTATTCCAATCAATAGAAAAAGAGGGAATCCTCCTTAACTCATTTTATGAGGCCAGCATCATCCTAATACCAAAGCCTGGCAGAGACACAAGAAAAAAAGAGAATTGTAGACCAATATCCCTGATGAACATCGATGCAAAAATCCTCAATAAAATACCGGCAAACTGAATCCAGCAGCATATCAAAAAGCTTATCCACCAATCAAGTTGGCTTCATCCCTGGGACGCAAGGCTGGTTCAACATATGCAAATCAACAAACATAATCCAGTATATAAACAGAAACAAAGACAAAAACCACATGATTATCTCAATAGATGCAGAAAAGGCCTTCAACAAAATTGAACAGCCCTTCATGCTAAAAACTCTTAATAATTAGGTATTGATGGGACGTATCTCAAAATATAAGAGCTATTTATGACAAACCCACAGCCAATATCATACTGAATGGGCAAAAACTGGAAGCATTCCCTTTGAAAACTGGCACAAGACAGGGATGCCCTCTCTCACCACTCCTATTCAACATACTGTTGGAAGTTGTGGCCAGGGCAATCAGGCAAGATAATGAAATAAAGGGTATTCAATTAGGAAAAGAGGAAGTTGAATTGTCCCTGTTTGCAGATGACATGATTGTATATTTAGAAAACACCATCGTCTCAGCCCAAAATCTGCTTAAGCTGATAAGCAACTTCAGCAAAGTGTCAGGAGACAAAATCAATGTGCAAAAATGACAAGCATTCTTATACACCAATAACAGAGAACCAAATAATGAGTGAACTCCCATTCACAACTGCTTCAAAGAGAATAAAATACCTAGGAATCCAACTTACAAGGGATGTGAAGGACGTCTTCAAGAACTACAAACCGCGGCTCAACGATATAAAAGAGGACACAAACAAATGGAAGAACATTCCATGCTCATGGATTGGAAGAATCAATATTGTGAAAATGGCCATACTGCCCAAGGTAATTTATAGATTCGATGCCATCCCCATCAAGCTACCGATGACTTTCTTCACAGAATTGGAAAAAACTACTCTAAAGTTTATATGGAACCAAAAAAGAGCCCGCATTGCCAAGACAATTCTAAGCCAAAAGAACAAAGCTGGAGGCATCACACTACCTGACTTCAAACTATACTACAAGGCTACAGTAACCAAAACATCATGGTACTGGTACTAAAACAGAGATATAGACCAATGGAACAGAACAGAGCCCTCGGAAATAATACCACACATCTACAACCATGTGATCTTTGACAAACTTGACAAAAACAAGAAATGGAGAAAGGATTCCCTATTTAATAAATGGTGCTGGGAAAACTGGCTAGCCATATGTAGAAAGCTGAAGCTGGATCCCTTCCTTACATCTTATACAAAAATTAATTCAAGATGGATTAAAGACTTAAATGTTAGACCTAAAACCGTAAAAACCCTAGAAGAAAACCTAGGCAATACCATTCAGGCCATAGGCATGGGCAAGGACTTCATGACTAAAACACCAAAAGCAATGGCAACAAAAGCCAAAATTGACAAATGGGATCTAATTAAACTAAAGAGCTTCTGCACAGCAAAAGAAACTACCATCAGAGTGAACAGGCGACCTACAGAATGGGAGAAAATTTTTGCAATCTTCCCATCTGACAAAGGGCTAATATCCAGAATCTACAAAGAACTTAAACAAATTTACAAGAAAAAATCAAACAACCCCATCAAAAAGTGGGCAAAGGATATGAACAGACACTTCTCAAAAGAAGACATTTATGCAACCAACAGACACATGAAAACATGCTCATCATCACTGGCCATCAGAGGAATGCAAATCAAAACCACAATGAGATACCATCTCACACCAGTTAGAATGGCAATCATTAAAAAGTCAGGAAACAGCAGGTGTTGGAGAGGATGTGGAGAAATAGGAATGCTTTTACACTGTTGTTGGGACAGTAAACTAATTCAACCATTGTGGAAGACAGTGTGGCAATTCCTCAAGAATCTAGAACTAGAAATACCATTTGACCCAGCCATCCCATTACTGGGCATATACCCAAAGGATTATAAATCATGCTGCTATAAAGTCACATGCACAGGTATGTTTATTGTGGCACTATTCACAATAGCAAAGACTTAGAACCAACCCAAATGTCCATCAGTGATAGACTAGATTAAGAAAATGTGGCACATATACACCATGGAATACTATGCAGCCATAAAAAAGGATGAGTTCATGTCCTTTGTAGGTACATGGATAAAGCTAGAAACCATCATTCTGAGCAAACTATCACAAGTACAGAAAACCAAACACCACATGTTCTCACTCATAGGTGGGAACTGAACAATGAGAATACTTGGACACAGAGTGGGGAACATCACACACCGGGGCCTGTCGTGGGGTGGGGGGAGGGAGGAGGGATAGCATTAGGAGATATATCTAATGTAAATCATGAGTTAACGGGTGCAGCACACCAGCATGGCACATGTATACATATGAAACAAACCTGCATGTTCTGCACATGTACCCTAGAACTTAAAGTATAATAATAAAATAAAATAAGGTAAAAACAGACCCATTCTCCTGCTGTCTTGAAGAGACCTATGTCACATGTAATGATGCCCATAAGCTCAAAGTAAAGGGATGGAGAAAGATCCATCATGCAAATGGAAAACAAAAAAGAGCAGGGGTCGCTACTCTAATATCAGATAAAATAGTCTTTAAACCAGCAACAGTAAAAAAGAACAAAGAAGGGCATTATATAATGATAAAGTGTTCAACAAGAAAATTTAGCTATCCTAAATATATATGCATCCAACATTGGAGCACCCAGATTCATAAAATGATTACTTCTTAGAGCTAAGAAAAACTTTGACAGCCACAGAATGATAGTAGAGGACTTCATTACCCCACTGATAGCATTAGACAGATCATCAAGGCAGAAAACTCACAAAGAAATTCTGGACTTAAATTCAACGCTTGACCAATTAGACCTAACAGACATCTACAGAATATTCCACCCAACAGCCATAGAATATACATTCTTCTCATCTGCACACAGAACATACTGTAAGATTGACCACATTCTTGAACACAAAGCTAGTCTCTAATACATTTTAAAAACTGAAGTCATACCAAGCATCTTCTCAGACTACAGTGGAATAAAAACAAATCAATACCAAGAGGAACTCTCAAAACCACAGAAATATATGGAAACCTAACAACTTGCTCCAGAATGACTTTTGGGTACACAACAAAATTAAGGCAGAAATTAAAAAAGTATTTGAAACAAATGGAAATTGAAACACAAAATACAAAACTTCTGGAATATAGCAAAAGCAGTGTTGAGAGGAAACTTTATAGTGCTAAATGCCTACATTGAGAAGATAGATCTCAAACTAACAACCTAACTTTGTACCTAATGGAACTAGAAAAACAAGAACAAACTAAACTCAAAGCTAGCAGAAGCTAGCAGAAGAAAAAAATAACAAAAATAAGAGCAGAACTAAATGAAATTGAGACACAAAAAACCATACATTTCATTTTTCAAAAAAAAAAGAAATTAAAAATTGATTATTTGAGAGGATAAACAAGATTGACAGTCCACTAAGTAGATTAACAAAGAAAAAGAGGGAAGATTCAAATAAGCACAATCAGAAATGACAAAGGTAACGTCACCACCAATCCCACAGAAGTACAAAAGATCTTTGGAAACTACTATGAACATCTCTAAGCACATAAACTAGAAAATCTAGAGGAAATGGATATATCCCTGGAAACACACAACCTCCCAAGATTGAACCAGGAAGAAAAAAAAAAAGAAACCCTGAACAGATCAATAACAAGTAGTAAAATTGAATCAACAGTTAAAAAAAAACCCTACCAGACAAAAAACAACAACAACAAAACCCTTGACCAGATGGATTCACAGCCTAATTCTACCAGATATACAAAGAAGAGCTAGTATCAATCCTACTAGCTATCTCCTAAAACTACTCAAAAAATTCAAGGAGGGACTCCTCTCTAACTCATTTTATAAAACCAGTATCATCCTAATGCCAAAATCTAGCAAAGACACAACAAGAAAAGAAAACTACAGGCCAATAGCTTGGATCCTCAGCAAAAATCCTCAACAAAATACTAGCAAGCCGAATCCAGCAGCACATCAAAAAGTTAATTCGCCACAATCAAGTGGGCTTTATTCCTGGGATGCAAGGATAGTTCAACATACACAAATCAATAAATATGATTCACCACATAAACAGAATTCAAAACAAAAACCATATGATCATCTCAATAGATGCAGAAAAAGCATCTGATAAAATCCAAAATCCCTTCATGAAAAAAACCCCTCAACAATGTAGGTGTTAAGGAACATACCTCAAAATAATAAGAGCCATCTATGACAAACCCACAGCCAACATCATACTGAATGAGCAAAAACTGGAAGCATTTCCACTAAGAACTGGAAGAGGACAAGGATGTCCACTTTCACCACTCTTATTCAACATAGTACTGGAAGTCCTAGCCAGAGCAATCAGGCAAGAGAGAAATAAAAGGCATGCACATAGGAAAAGAGGAAGTCAAATTACCTGTCTTTTGATGATGATATAATTCTACACCTAAAATAGAATAGAATTATTCTATTTTATTCTATACCTTAAAAAACCCTAAATATTCTGACAAAAGACTCCTAGACCTGATAAACAACTTCAGCAAAGTCTCAGGATACAAAATTGATGTACAAAAATCAGTAGTGTTTCTATACACCAGTAACGTTCAAACTAAGAACCAAATCGAGAATGAAATCCCATTTACAATAGCCACAAAAAATAAAATACCTAGGAATACATCTAACTAAGGAGGTCAAAGATCTCTACAAGGAGAACTAAAAAGCCCTGCTGAAAGAAATCATAGATGATGCAAACAAATAGAGAAACACTCCATGCTCGTGGATTGGAAGAAACAATATTAAAATGTCCATACTGCCCAAAGCAATCTACAGATTCAACACTATTCCTATCAAATTATCAATGCCATTTTTCACAGAATTAGAAAAATTATTCTAAAATTCACATGGAACCCAAAAAGAGCCCAAATACCCAAAGCAATCCTAAGCAATAAGAACAAAGCTGGAGGCATCACAATACCCAACTTCAGTGTATGCTACAAGGCTACAGTAACCAAAATAACACGCTATTGGTACAAAAATAGAAACATAGATCAATGGGACAGAATGGAGACTCCTGAAATAAAACCACACATTTACAACCAACTGATTTTTGACAAAGTTTACAAAAATAAATAATGGGGAAAGAATACCCTATTCAATAAATGGTATTGAGAAAACTGACTAACAATATACAGAAGAATGAAACTGGACCCCTACCTCTCACCATATACAAAATTTAACTCAACATGGATTAAAGACTTAAAGGTAAGAAATGAAATTATAAAAATCCTAGAAGAAAATCTAGGAAATACTCTTCTAGACATTGGCCTAGGCAAAGAATTTATGACTAAGTCTTCAGAGGCAAACGCGTAAAAACAAAAATTGACAATTCTTACCTAATTAAACTAGAAGCTCCTGCACAGCAAAAGACACTATCAACCTGGAAATCATACAACCTACAGAATGGGAGAAAATATTTCCAAACTGCATCCACCAAAGGACTAATATCCGGAATCTCAAAGGAACTGAAACAAATCAACAGCATAAAATAAATAGCCCTATTAAAAAGTGGGCAAATGACATGAACAGATACTTCTCAAAAGAAGACATACAAGCGGCCAACAAGCATGTGAAAAAATGCTTGATATCACTAACCATCAGAGAAATGCAAATGAAATCCCCAATAAGATGCCATCTCACACCAGTCAGAATGGCTATGATTAAAAAGTCAAAAAATAACAGATGTTGGTGAGGTTGTAGAGAAAAGGGAATGCTTATACACACTTGGTTGGAATGGGATTTAGTTCAGCCCCTGTGGAAAGCAGTTTGGAGATGTCTCAAAAAACTAAAAATAGAATTACCATCTGAACCATTACTGGATATATATCCAAAGGAAAATAAATCATTCTACCAAAAAGATACCTGTACTCATATGTTTATTGAAGCACTATTCACAATAGCAAATACATGCAATCAGCCTAGGTGCCCATGAATGGAAGATTGGATAAAGAAAATGTGGTACATATACACCATGAAATACTAAGCAGCCATAAAAATGAATGAAACCATATTCTTTGCAGCAACATGGATGCAGCTGGAGGCCATTATCCTAAGCAAGTCAATGTAGAAACCAAACGAAATACCACATGTTCTCACTTATAAGTAGAAGCTAAGCATTGAGTACACAATGACACAGAAATGGGAACAATAAACACTGGGGATTCCAAAAGGGAGGAAGGAAGGAGGGGGCAGGGGTTGAAAAACTACCTATTGAGTGCTCTGTCCACTTCTTGGGCGATGGGATCATTAGAAGCTCAAACTTTAGCATCACACTATAAACCCATGTAACAAACCTGCACATGTACCCCCAAATCAAAAATAAAATAAGAAATAAAAAATTTTACAGTTGAGAAAACGGAGTCACAGGGTGGTTGAGTGACTTGCCGAAGGTCACACAGCTAGCAATAGCGCTGCAGCCAATTTTATTCCCAAATTTTGCAAATGCTGGGATCATCTGGTGTTAAGTTTCATTGTGTATTAGTGTATTTTTGTATTGCTATAAAGAACTACCTGAGACTGGGTAATTCATAAAGAAAAGAGGTTTAATTGGCTCCTGGTTCTGCAGGCTGTATAGGAATCATGGTGTTGGCATCTGCTTGGCTTCTGATGAGGCCTCAGGGAGGTTTTACTCATTGTGGAAGGTGAAGCAGAAGCAGGCAGGTTACATAGTGAGAGAGGGAGCAAAAAGCAGGAGGAGGTGCCACATTCTTTTAAACAGCTAGATTTCATGTGAACTGAGAGCCAGAACCCACTCATTATTGTGAGGATAGCATCAAGCCATTCATGAAGGATTCACCCCACGGCCCAGACACCTCCCAGCAGGCCCCATCTTCAACACTGACAATTACATTTCAACATGAGATTTGGAGGGGAAAAACGTCTAAACTATATCACATTGTATATCCAGCACCTAGCCCAGTGCCTGCTGCAGGCACATTATGAAAGTTCAGGGTGAATGAAAGGTTGCAAAGCTGTGTTCTTTATCACTCTTCACACACTGTATCCCAAAGCCCAGGCCTTCCTCGTGCCTGATTCTGATCTCACAACACTAGCCTTGCTGGCTCCCCTCCTAGGAATTGAAATCTTATTCACATCCAGACTTTGATACCTGTTAACAGATTCCTACTGTCAGCCTTCCTTGATTTCTCACATATCTAACCAGATTCATCATTGCAACATTTACCCACCTATTTGGTGTTTCCTCCCATTTCTTTGGGTACACGTACTGAACTTCCCTTTCCCCACACTGACTGCCAATTATTATTACACTTGTGCTGCTGTTCTGGTCTTTGCATCAGATCTGAAGTAAAGAAAAGCAGACGTCTTCACATCAAACACTTGCAAGTATTACCTGCCGCCTAGTTGTCTCCAGCCCTATCTGATCCCAGTGTGATTTCTTCCTGGTGCTCCTCAGACCCTCATATCCCTGGAAAGGTGCCAGCCTACCTAAATTTGAGCTACAGCCTGTGGCTGAGACAATCTCACAAGTTTGAAAAGAAGGGAGGGATGACAGGGAGAGATGAGAGGGAAGGAACACAATTTTTTTCCCTTTCTCTTCAAAATGTAGGGCAGCATGTAAATACTGCAGGCTTAGGGTAGAAAGTGCATTTAATTTTAGGAGGAACAAATCTCCAAAATCACTAACCCAGTTTGTGTGTGTGTGTGTGTGTGTGTGTTGTTGTTGTTTGTTTGTTTTTCAAGACAGGGTCTTCCTTTGTAGCCCAGGCTGGAGTGCAGTGGTGCGATCACAGCTCCCTGCAGCCTGGACCTCCTTGGCTCAAGTGATCTTCCTACCTCAGCAAGCCGAGTAGCTGGGACTGCAGGTATGCACCACCATGCCCAGCTAATTTTTGTTTTTGTAGAGACAAAGTTTCACCATGTCGCCCAGGCCAGTCTTGAACTCCTGGGCTCAAGCAATCCGCCTGGCTTGGCCTCCCCAAGTGCTGGGATTACGGGCTTGAGCCACTGTGCCTGGCCTAACACAGCATTTTGAGGAGAGGGCACAGGAGAGTAAGGGGGAAAAAAACAACATAGAATGGGGAGAAATTAACAAACATTATAGGCACAAATCAACTAAGGTGTGTGAAGAAGCTGGTGTGAAAAATCTTGATTTCTATCTTTTCATCAACACATTTTGTCCTCCTAAGCTGTACTGTGACTCAGTGGGTACCTTACATAGATGCTGTTTCTGAAAAATCCCTCTTTAACCCCCAGGCTCCTTCAAGTGAATGCTTATGTTAACAGATGTGCTATAAACTTTGTATATAAATGGTAGACTCATAGTTTGCAGGTGTCTTGCGTGTGGCCAGCCTGACCAAGGTGGGAAGAAGGGCCAGGAAGGTGACTCCTTCAGCTGGAAGTGACTTGCCAATCAAAGATAATTCTACAAAAGAATTATCTTGTTACTTCAATTCACTTCTGATGAAGATAGCCTGTGACTAATACAGGATTGAGCATAATGAATTCCTTTACCTTAGATGTGCGTAAGAAAAATTAAACAACATCTCCCTCACTCCACACCCCCAGCCCTGTAAAGGCTCTAACTTAGCCGCACTGGAGGAAAACACAAGGAACTGAGTAAGGGAGAGAGCAAACCATGCCACAGGTGGACAGCGGGGTAAAGAGAACAACCCAGCATTGTTTGCTTGGCATAACGACATGAAGCTGTAGTCTTAGTGGTTGCCCCGGTGATTATAATTAGCGCCTTAATTTATAACAATCCAGTTTGAATTAATATCAACTTATTTCAATTGTATACAAAAATAGTTCCCATAAAACTCCATTTCTTCTCCCTTCCTTTATGCCTTACATCTGTATACATTGTATGCCCATGAACATGGACATAATTATTGCTTTATGCAGTTGTCTTTTAAATCAGATAAGAGAACAAACAAGTTACAAACAAAAAATACATCCATACTGTCCTTTATGTTTATCTATGTAGCTACCTTTACTGGTGCTCTTTATTTCTTCATGTGGATTCGAGTGTCCTGTCTAGTGTCTAGTGTCCTTTTGTTTTAGCCTGAAGGACACCCTTTAATATTTCTTGGAGGGCAATTCTGCTAGGGACGAAGTATTTGTTTTTATTCATCTAAGAATGTCGTGTTTTTTTTTGTTGTTTTTTTTTTAGACGGAGTTTTGCTCTTGTTGTCCAGGCCAGAGTGCAATAGCACGATCTCAGCTCACCACAACTTCTGCCTCCCGGGTTCAAGCGATTTTCCTGCCTCAGCCTCCTGAGTAGCTGGGATTAGAGGCATGTACCACCACACCCTGCTAATTTTGTATTTTTTAGTAGAGATGGGGTTTCTCCATGTTGGTCAGGCTGGTCTTGAACTCCTGACCTCAGGTGATCCGCCTGCCTCAGCCTCTCAAAGTGCTGGGATTACAGGCGTGAGCCACCGCGCCCGGCCAAGAATGTCTTAATGTCTTCTTATTTTATGAAGGATAATTGCATATATCACAGGCTGTGACACCTGTAGCCACCTACACATTTCTTCCACAGCATTTATACTTTTCCCCCAAGATATAAGCCCTGGGTCTGGAGGGTTGTGGTAGATCTGTCTATCTTGCAGCCACCGAAGACCATGCTCTGTCCATAAATTCCCCTAATACATCACCCTGTACTGACAAACTGGATTTGTCTGCCTCATCCTTTGGTTTCTTGGCTCCTTCCGGGTTTGAGGGTCACTTTGAATATATGGCCCTTTCATGGAACATATAGTTAAAATTAAAGATACTAATGACTCTATTTCCAGTAGTAAAGAGAGCACAGATAGTGCATAGCATAGCAGAGTATAACATAGCATGAACTGTTCATAGAGATATGCAAAATATCTGCATTGGATACTTCTAATCAACCATTTGTAAGAAGCAAGGAGCTGAGTGACTCTGTATATAATCCTTTTCAAAATTCTTTAAAACTAGGAAATATAAAGACAATGGTTGGTTGCTCCTAATGTTGCTCGACAAATTGATGAAAGAAGAGGATGAGCTCAGGGATTCAAATTCCAAGCTCAAGTGCTGCATAAATGACCTAAGAGCTTCTATTTGTGCCCTGAAGGAGTCCTTTATCTCCTCTAGTGGTAGGGCTAAAATTGCTGCAAATCAAACACAGAACCTCATCCTATGATTGGCTGGATTACAATACAAGTTAAACTCTCAACCTTGCAGGGTGTCTCCTATTAAAGGGAGGACATCAATTGGGAAAGAATAGGATCTTGTAAATTAGAATGGAGATGTGTAGGAAGACCCTGATGAAGCTGAGGACAGTGAGCTCCTAAATTCTGAGTCTTCTTTGCCTGTGGAAGAGAACACCCCATCCCAACCAAAAGTGGTCTCCCCAACTTTAGTGCAAGTGGCCTCCCCCAGCTAGTGGCAGCTGCATCCATGTCCTTGGGGCTGTCAGCCTCTCCACCCATAGTAGTCTTGGTCTTTCCACCTTCCTCTGAGAAGATTAACCCTGCATTGCCTTAATACACTGTAAAGGCCTCCACTGAGGCAGTTGCCATAAAAGACCATGCTGAGCCTGCCAGGACCCACCCCCACCACCCTTCTTTGCTTCTAGACCTATAACTAGACTCAAGTCTCAGCAGTTCCCTAAAAGTGAGTTACAATGTGTGACCCATGAGCAGGTCCACTACATTCCAAAAGAACTACTAGAGTTTTCTAATTTATACAGACAGAAATCCAAGAAGCATGTATGGGAATGGATTGTAAGGCATTGGGGTAATGGCAGAAGGAATATAACATTGGATCAGGCTGAATTTATTGATACAGGCTGACTAAGTAGAGATTCTGCATTTAATGTTACAGCTTGGGGAATCATAAAGGGCTCTAAAAGTTTGTTTTATTTGTTGGCTGATGCCTGGGCCAAAAGGTGGCCCACAGTGGGCAAATTGGAAATGCAGAATATGCCTTGGTTTAATGCAGAGGAACAGATTCAAAGGCTTAAGGAGATTGGAACATTAGAGCGGATTTGTCATTTAAGATCTACTCATCCACACTGGGAGGGTTCAGAAGACATACCTATTGCCAATACCATGAAAATATATGTATGAGGGCAACTCCAGGATCCTTGAAGTGCTCTGTATTCTCTCTTCTCTGTAGACCAAACCTCACACTGGGAATTGCAGTTACTGAACTGGTAAACCTAAATGCAACGGGAGTAATTGGATCATGGAGTGGAAAAGACCAAGTGGCAGCACTAACCACCAAAGGCAAGGTGAGCATATTTATCATAATGGGCAGCAGAGTCAAAGCAGCAATCAAGATAGTCTTGACTCATGCAGACCTATGGCACTGGCTAGTTAGTCATGATGCTTCATTTCCTAGTAGTAAAATAGATAGGAAATCTACTTGATCTGTTATAAGCAGAAAATGTCTGGGACAAGGGAACAAAAGCCTAACTCAAATCACCAAAATAGAAAGTCATAGCATCTCAATCAATTTCCAGACTTGAGCCAGTTTATAGACCCAGTACTTTTTTAATGAAAGGGATGTTGTATCACCTCAAGGAAGAACCCTGGTACACTACCAAAAATTTATACTATTAATCTTGCTCTCAGCCTTCCCTAAAGGGACCTGCAGCCTTTTACCTGGGTAACTGTACACTGGGGAAAAGGAAATAATCAGAATTTGGGGGCCTACTGGACACTGGTTCTGAACTGACACTACTTCCAGGAGACCCAAAACATAATGTGGCCTACCAGTCAGAGTAGGGGCTTTCAGAGGTCTGGTGATCAATGGAGTTTTAACTGAGGTCCATTTCACAGTGGGTTGCATGAACCCATGTGGTGATTATTTCACCATTGTCAGAATGCATAATTGGAATAGATATACTCAGTAGCTAGCAGAATCTTTAATATTGGTCCTCAGACATGTAGACTGAGGGATATTATGGTGGGAAAGGCCAAGTGGAAGCCACCAGAATGGCATCTACCTAGGAAAATAGTAAACCAAAGGCAATGCCATGTTCCTCAAGGGATTTTAGAGATTAATGCCACCATCAAGAACTTCAAAGATGCAGGGGTGGTAATTCCCACTACATCCCCATGCAATTCTCCTCTTTGGTTTGTGCAGAAGACAGATGGATCTTGGAGAATTACAGTGGGTTATCATAAATTTAACCAGTTGATGACTCAAATTGCAGCTGCTATACCAAATGTGGTTTCATTGCTTGAGAAAATTAACACATCCTCTGGTATCTGGTATGCAAGCTATTAATCTGTCAAATGCCTTCTTCTCCATTCCTGTCCACAAGGCAACCAGAAGCAGTTTGCTTTCAGCTGGCAAGGCTAGCAATATACCTTCACTGTCCTACCTCAGGACTATATCAACTTATTAGCCCTGTGTCATAATTTTGTTCACAGGGATCTTAATCACCTTTCCCTTCTATAAGATATCACACTGCTTCCTTACATTTATGACATTATGCTGATTGGAGCTAGTAAGCAAGAAGTAGCAACTACTCTAGACTTCATTGGAAAATATTTATGTGTCAGAGGGTGGGAAATAAATCTAAAATTCAGGGCCTTCTTCCTCAGTGAAATTTCTAGGGATCCAGTGATGTGGGGTATGTCGAGATATGCTCTCTAAGGTGAAAGATAACTTGTTGCATCAGTCCCTCTTACAACTAAGAAAGAGCCACAGCATTTAGTCGGCCTCTTTGGATTTTAGAGTCAACATAGTTTTCCTTTGCATGTGTTATTCAGACCCATTTAACCGAGTGACCTGAAAAGCTGCTAGTTTTGAGTGGGGCCCAGAGCAAGAGAAGGCTTGGTGATAGGTCCAGGCAGCTGTGCAAGCTGCTCTGCTACTTGGGCCATATGATCCAGCAGATCCAGTGGTGCCTTAAGTTTCAATGGCAGATAGGGATGCTGTTTGGGGCCCTTTTCAGGCCCCTATAGGAAATAGCAGCACAGGACTTTAGGATTTTCTAGCAAGACCCTGCCATCCTCCACAGATAACTACTCTGCTTTTGAGAAATTGCTCTTGGCATGCTTCTGGACCTGAATAGAGACTGAACACTTGACCATGGGCTACCAAGTTACCATGCAGCCTGAGTTGCCCATCATGAACTAGGAGTTATCTGACCCACCAAGCCATAAAGTTGGACATGCATGGCAAAGCTCCATCATCAAATGGAAGTGGTATATATGTGATTGGGCTGGAGCAGGACCTGAAGGCACAAGTAAGTTACATAAGAAAGAGGCCCAAATCCCCATGGTCCCCACTCCTGCTACACTTCTCTCTCCCAGCCTGCACCTATGGCTTCATCAGGGAGTTACCTACAATAAGTTCACAGAGGAAGAGAAGACTCAGGCCTGGTTTACAGATGGTTCTGCACCATATACAGGCACTGCCCAAAAGTGGAAAGTTGCCACACTAAAGGGACATCCCTGAAGGACACTGGTTATGGGAAATCATCCCAATGGGCAGAATACTGGGCAGTGCACCTGGTTGTGCACTTTGCTTGGAAGGAGAAATAGCCAGACATGTGATCATATACTGATTCAGGGGCTGTAAACAATTGTTTGGCTGTGTGGTCAGGAACTTGGAAGAAAAATGATTGGAAAATTGGTGACAAAGAAATTTGGGGAAGAGGTATGTGGATATATCTTTGTGAATGAGCCAAAAAGTGAAGATATTTGTGTTCCATGTGAATGCTCACCAAAGTGTGATTTCAGCAGAGGAGGATTTGAATAATCAAAAGGATAGGATGACTTCTTCTGTGAATACCACTCAGCTGCCTTCCCTGGCCACCCTTGTCATTGCCCATGGGCTCATAAACAAAATGGCCATGGTGACAGGGATGGAGGTTATGCATGGGCTCAGCAACATGGACTTCCATTCACCAAAGCCAACCTGGCTATAGCCACCACTGAGTGCCCAATCTGCCATAGCCAAGACCAACACTGGGCCCACAATGTGGCATCATTCCCCAGAGTGATCAGCCGAATACCTGGAGGCAGGTTGATTATATTGGACTTCTTCCATCATGGAAGAAGTATTGTTTTGCTTTTTCTGGAATAGACACTCTAGATACAGATTTGCCTTCCCTGCACACAATGCTTCTACCAAAACTACCATCTATGGACTTATGGAAAGTGTTGTCCACAATTATGATATTCCATACAGCATTGCTTCTGATCAAGAAACTCACTTTACAGAAAAAGAAGTGCAACAATGGTGCTCATGCTCCTGAAATACACTGGTCTTACCATGTCCCCTACCATCCTGAAGCAACTGACTTGATAGGCCTCTTGACTGGCCTTTTGAAAACTCAGTTACAGTACCAGCTAGGTGGCAATAGCTGAACCCAGACCTGCAAGGTTCTCCAGAAGGCTATATATGTTCTGAATTGGCATCCAATATAAGTTGCCATTTCTCTGATAGCCAGGATTCACAGGTCCAGGAATCAAGGGGTAGAAATAGGATTGGCACTAGTCACTATTATCCCTAGTGACTCACTAGCCCAACTTCTGTTTCCTCACCCTGCAATTTTATACTCTTCTGGCTTAGAGATCTGGCCTAGAGATCTGGCTTCAAAGGGAAAAATACTTCCACCAAGAGACATGACAATAATTCCATTGCACTGGAATTAAGACTGCAGCCTGGCATTATTCACAATAGCAAAGACTTGGACCAACCCAAATGTCCATCAATGATAGACTAGATTAAGAAAATGTGGCAGATATACACCACGGAATACTATGCAGCCATAAAAAAGGATGAGTTCATGTCCTTTGCAGGGACATGGATGAAGCTGAAAACCATCATTCTCAGCAAACTATCACAAGAACAGAAAATCAAACACTGCATGTTCTCACTCACAAGTGGGAGTTGAACAATGAGAACACATGGACACAGAGAGGGGAAAATAACACACCAGGGCCTGTTGGGGGATGGGAGGCTAGAGGAGGGATAACATTAGGAGAAATATCTAATGTAGATGATGGGCTGATGGGTGCAGCAAACCATCATGGCATGTGTATACCTATGTAACAAAACTGCATGTTCTGCACATGTAACCCAGAACTTAAAGTAGGAAAAAACAAAACAAAACAGACTGCCGCCTGGCCACTTTGGGCTCCTCTGAGTCAACAGGCAAAGAAGAGAGTTACTATGCTGGGTGGGGTGATTGGTACTACCAAGGGGAAATTGGACTACTACTTCACAATGGAGATAAAAAAGAGTATGCCTGGTATACAGGAGATCCCTTAGGATGCCTCTTAGTATGTGTCCTGTGATTAAGGTCAATGAAAAACGACACCAATCCAATCCAGGGAGGATTACTAATGGCGTAGACTCTTCAGAAATGAAGGTTTGGGTCACCCTGCCAGGTTAAGAATTATGACTAGCTGAGGTGCTTGCTGAAGGCAAAGGGAATGCAGAATGGGTAGTAGGAAAAGGTAGTTATAAATACAAGCTACAGAAACAAGGAATGTAATTGTCATAAATATTTCTTCTTTTTTTAATAAATACATCTGTGTGTATCAATCAGTCAATCAATCTATATAAAGCAAATATCTTTATTTTTTTCTCTTATCTCCTTCTCATGTAACATAAGATGTATTGACTTAATATCCATTTTTAAGTATTGTTAACTTTATACCATAGCATTAAAGTAACAGAGTATCAAAAGAAGGGTCAACATCACTTAAAGACTTTACCTCCTCTTCTGGGGAAGGAATTACACGTTTTTGGTTGTATGCAGGATAGTTGTATCATGTTTGGTGGAATTATCACCTTGTTATTGTCTTTATTTAGTGATTACATGTAGTTTAAGGAATGTGTATGGGTGCCAATTTGACAAGGGTGGACTTATGATGGTTAATTCTATATGTCAACTTGACTAAGCTAAGGGATATCCAGATAGCTGATAAAACATTATTTCTGGGTGTGTCTGTGAGGACATTTTCAGAACAGATTAGCATTTGAATCAGTAGACTGAGTTAAAAAAAATATGATTGTCCTCACCTATGTGGGTGGTTATCATCCAACACATTGAGAGCCTGAATAGAATAAAAAGGCAGAGGAGGGGTGAATTCACTCTCTCTGTTTGAATTGGGATATTCGTCTTCTCCTGCCCTCGGACATGAAAACTTCTGGTTATCAGGCCCTGAGACTCAGATTAGGACTTACACCACTGCCTTCCGCCCCCACCCCCCACCAATTTTCAGGCCTTCAGACTTGGACTGGAACTACACCACCAGCTTTCCTGGGCCTCCAACTTGCAGACTGCAGATCATAAGACATCTCAGCCTTCATAACCATATGTGCCAACCCCTTATAATAAATCTCTTTCTGTATATCTATATATTGCCTATTGATTATTTTTCTTAGTAGAACCCTAATTTTCCCTGTGGTTTTCCTGAAGTAATTCTGTAAAAGTTTGTATTTTTTTTCTTCTGTGACCATTAAACTCTCTGCTCAGGTAGCTTAGTGGTTCATTAATGATTGGATGGAAGTTTCCTTAAACTCCTGGAATTAATAAGTCTACCAAACTTTGCTGAGGGGCTCTGTGTGTGTATTTGGGCACTCTTTCAATGCTCCAGCATGTAGTTTAAAACTCTTGTGTTAGCCTTCACATTCTGCTTTTACAGACACTCAAGGTCAGCCAGCGGTGAAAGTTCAGGACCTTCTCAAGTCTTTCCTAAGCACATGCACCACCATGGGCATGCACCTGACCTTGTAGAGTCCCAGGAATATGTCAGAGATTCTCAAAGCCTCTAAGGACATTTTATTTCCCAGCTTTTTTTCTTAAAAAAAAGTATTTTGGTTAGCTTGTTGCTTTCTTCCAACTGTTATCACCTTCTCAGACAGCCAGGATGTTTAACAATTGCCTGAAATTGCTTTTGACAAATACCTCCTGGGGAAACACTTTCCACACTGGGCGAGTCCTGTGTCAGACACCTTTGCAAGTAGGTTCTTCCAGAGAACAACTGGACAGGTCAAATAATGACAATTCTTTTGGAATGAGTGTTTGAAAGAGCTCTAGACTTGTTCTGCCCCCTCTGTTGGTTGCTAAGATAAGAAAGTAGGAAGTAATTTTCAAAGATATTAGGGAGCTGGATAAAGAGGGATGGGACTAAAGCAAATTAAGAGGACGTTAATCTCATCATTCTTACCTAGTCAGCCATTTTTCTTGATTAAGTGCTCTTTGATTTCTGCAAACTATTGGTTAATCTCCAGTGTTCTGAAAAAAGCCAATTCTTACCTTTTTTGATATTTTCCTCATGACTTTTATGGAGGAGAGATCTTTCAGAAATCCCTGGCAGAGGCTCTGCCATTTTTGGTGACATCATTCTCTTACAGTCACTTTTGTGCCTTTTCTTCACACATTCTTTTCTTTGGGCATAAACTGAACTACAGAAGTCATCACGGCCACCGTAAACTTGAGACCTCTAGTTCTATAAAGGGGCTACTGGCAATGTTCTCAAAATGGTAGAGCCATGCATGTTGCTGAGGGATAGCATTAACAGGGCCAGAGGCAGAGAGCAGCAAAGGCCAGTGAAGAATGAGAAATGTCACAGGACAGTTCCTCTTCTACCAGTGTTTCTCAAATACTGTGGCCTGATAAGCAGAGGTGCCTATCTGGCTCAATCCTCTAAAGGTACCTGCAAATGTCTTTCCAGTACCAAACAAGGCAAGGATCTATCATGATGTGTTCACCTTAAAATGGCTACCAGTCCATTTTTTCCTTTTGATATAGAAAATGAATTTCTGGAAAAATGAAAAAGCTAATGGTATTTCCAGTCTCCAGTGTCAGTAAAGGTGGAAACATAGATGCTCAGTCTTGACCTATCAAAAAGAGAAGAGAAATTGTGTTGTGGAATGAATGATTTCCCCCTGAATTCATGTGTTGAAGTCCTAACCCCCAAAATGACTATGTTTGCAGATATCGTCTTTATAGAGGAAATTGAGTTTAAGTGAGATCATCAGGATGGGACTCTAATCCAAAAAGACTAGTGTTCTAATAAGGAAAGGAAGGGGCAACAGGAGTGCATACACACAGAGAAAAGACATGTGAGGACACAGAGGGAAAATAGCATCTGGAAGCCAAGGAAAGAGGCCTCAGGAGAAAACACACCTGCTAACACCTTGATCTTGGACTTCCAGCCTCCAGAAGTGTGAGAAAATAAATTTTTGTCGTTTAAGTGACCCAGTCTGTGATACTTTGTTACAGCAGCCCTAGAAGACTAATACAGATTTTGGTACCAAGAAGTGGGTGCTGCTGTAACAAATGCCTAAAAATGTAGTGGTTTTGGAACTGGGTAATGGATACAGGCTGGAAGAGTTTTGAGGTTCATGTTAGAAAATGTTTAGATTGCTGCTATGTTCTCAGTGTTTGTGTCTCTCCCAAAATTCATATATTGAAATCCTAACACACAAGGTGATGGTATTAGGAGGTGGGACCTTTGGGGAAGTGATTAGGCATTGAGGGTGGAGCCCTAATGAATAAAATTGTTGCACTTATAAAAGAAGCCTAAGGGAGTTTGTTCACTCCTTCCACCATGTGAGGGGACTGTGGGAGGGTACCATCTATGAAGCAGGAAATGGGCTCTCACCAGACACCAAATCTGCCTTGATCTCAGACTTCTCAGCCTTCAGAACTGTGAGAAATAAATTTTGGTTGCTTCTAAGCTACTCAGTTTGATTTTTCTTTCTTTTTCTTTTTCTTTCTTTCTTTTTTTTTTTTTTTTTTTTTTGAGATGGAGCTTCACTCTTGTTGCCCAGGCTGGAGTACAATGGCACAATCTCAGCTCACCACAACCTCTGCCTTGCGGGTTCAAGCGATTCTCCTGCCTCAGCCTCCTGAGTAGCTGGGATTACAGGCTAATATGCCACCACGCCCAGCTAATTTTGTATTTTTAGTAGAGACAGGGTTTCTCCATGTTGGTCAGGCCGGTCTCAAACTCCCGACCTCAGGTGATCTGCCCTCCCAAAGTATTGGGATTACAGGCATGAGCCACCATGCCTGGCCCAGTTTGATATTTTTTATAGCAGCCACAATGGTCTAAGAAAATTGCCTGGAAGAGACTGTTGGTAGGAATATGGATGTTAAAAGTGATTATCATGAGGTATCAGACAGAAATGAAGAACATGTTATTGGAAACTGGAGGAAAGATGATCCTTGTTATAAAAGTGATTTTTAAGCCGGGCATGGTGGCTCATGCCTATAATCCCAGAGCTTTGGGAGGCCTGGGAGGGTGGATCACTTGAGCCCAGGAGTTGAAACCAGCCTGGGCAACATAGTGAAGCCCTGTCTCTTTACAAAAATTTTTAAAATTGGCCGAGCTTGATGGCAAGAGCCTGTGTTCCCAGCTATTTGGGAGGCTGATGTGGGCAGATGGCTTGAGCCCCAGAGATTGAAGCTGCAGTCAGCCATTATTGTGCCACTGCACTCCAGCCTAGGCAACAGAATGAGATCCTGTCTCAAATAAATAAATATAGTGATTTTTTAAAACTTGGCTGAATTGCATTCTAGTGTTTGTGGAAATTAGAAGTTAAAAGTGATGAACTCAGATATCTGGCTGAAGAGATTTCAAAGCAAAGTGTTGAAGGCATGGTCTGGTTTCTCCTTACTGTTTATAGTAAAACACAGGAGGAAAAAAGATACATTGAAATAAATTATTAAATCCATCTATATTGCAAAAAACAAGAAAACATGCTGTGGAGAAAACATGAACACTGTTGCTGGAAAACCATTTGTTGGAGGCCATTATCCTCAGCAAACTAATGCAGGGACAGAAAACCAAATACCACGTGTTCTCACTTATAAGTAGGAGCTAGATGATGGGAACTCATGGACACATAGAGGGGAACAACACACACTGGGGCTTACCAGAGGTTGGAGAGTAGGAGGAGGGAGAGGAGCAGAAAAATCAACTATTGGGTACTAGGTTTAGTTTCTGGGTGATGAAATAATCTATACATCGAATCCCCATGACACGAGTTTACCTATATAACAAACCTTCACATGTACTCCTGAACCTAAAAGATTTTTTTATAAAATTCATATGTTGAAATCTTAGCTGTCAATGTGACTTTATCTGAAGATAATTTTAAAAGATAATTAAAGTTAGGCTGGGCATAGTGGCTCACGCCTGTAATCCCAGCACTTTGGGAGGCCGAGGCAGGCAGATCACTTGAGGTCAGGGTTCAAGATCAGCCTGGCCAACATTGTGAAACCCTGTTTCTACTAAAAATACAAAAATTACCCCAGTGTGGTGGTGGGTGCCTATAATCCCAGTTACTTGGGAGGCTGAGGCAGGAGAATCACTTATACCCAAGAGGCAGAGGTTGCAGTGAGCCAAGATCATGCCATTGCACTCCACCTTGGGCGACAGAGCGAAACTCTGTCTCAAAAAAAAAAAAAAAGATAATTAAGGTTAAATGAGGTCATAATGGTGGGGCTCCAATTCAATGGAACTATCATCCATCCTCATTAGAAGAGGAAAAGACACCAGGAATGTACGCACACAGAGAAAAGGCCATGTGAGGACACAGGGATAAAAAAGCCATCTGTAAATCAAAGAGAAAGGCTTTAAGAGAACAATAGCAGACTTGGAATGAACCCAAATGCCCATCAGTGAAAGGCTGAATAAAGAAAATGTGGCACATATACACATATACACCATGGAATACTATGCAGTGATAAAAAAGGATGAGTTCATGTCCTTTGCAGGGACATGGATGAAGCTGGAAATCATCATCCTCAGCAAACTAACACAGGAACAGAAAACCAAATACCGCATGTTCTCACTCATAAGTGGGAGTTGAACAATGAGAACACATGGACACAGGGAGGGGAACATCACACACTAGGGCCTGTCAGGGGGTCAGGGTAAAGGGTGGGGAGAGCATTAGGACAAATACCTAATACATGTGGTGCTTAAAACCTAGATGATGGGTTGATAGGTGCAGCAAACCACCATGGTACATGTATACCTACGTAACAAACCTGCACGTTCAGCACATGTATCCCAGAATTTAAAGTAAAATAAAATTAAAAAAAAAAAGACAAACTCAACCTGCCAACATCTTGATCTCATATTTCCAGCCTCCAGAAGTGTGCAAAATTAAATTTCTGTTGCTTGGGCCACCTAGTCTCTAGTATTTTGTTATGGCAGCCTTTACAAACTTTTAACATAGGTGGTGGCATCTTGGATGGGATCTTGGAATGGAAAGAGAATCTTTGGGAAAAATCAATGAAATCTGAATATAGTGTATCTAGGAATTCTCTGTGCTATCCTCACAACTTTTCTGTGCATCTAAAACTATTCTTGGCCAGGTGTGGTGGCTCATGCCTATAATCCCAGCACTTTGGGAGTCCAAGGCAGGTGAATCACCTGAGGTCAGGAGTTCAAGACCAGCCTGACCAGAACACGGCAAAACCTCATCTCTACTAAAAATACAAACATTAGCCAGGCATGGCAGCAGGTGCCTGTAATCCCAGCTACTCAGGGGGCTGAGGCAGGAGACTCACTTGAACCCAGGAGGTGGAGGTTGCAGTGAGCCGAGATCACACCACTGCACTCCAGCCTGGATGACAGAGCGAGACTCCATCTCAAAAAAAAAAAATAAATTAAATAAATAAATGCACAAATAAAACTATTCTTAAATTAAATGTTTATTTTAACAAAAATTGGGAGAGGAGGGCAGCAGAGGCCTGTGAACAAGATTCTGGATTTCTCAGGGCAGCAACATTTCCTCTACCACTACTTCCTCTCTCTAGACACATACCAGAGCTCTGGTATGTGGGAGCCCAAATTCTCCTTTTGGGCTGTCTTCCAGCATATGAAGCAAGGGGTGCAGCACTCTTGATCCATCTCCCTTGCAGTCAGTGCACAAATGTTTCTATTGAAAATAGATGGCACTCAAGGAAAATGCAAAATCTGACAGCATTTCCAGTCCCTGATTTCTGTGAAAACACTAAGGCAGCTGCTCTATTTTAGTCTCTCAAAAGGAGAAAAGGCAAGGTCCTCAAAACTGATGGGCCCAGGGTAGTAGAGGTCTGTGAAGGAGATGCTGGTGTTAACTGGGAAAACTTCAGGGAAAACTTTACAGCTTGTCTGAATCTGTTTGCATTGCTATAAAGGAATACTGGAGACTGCATAATTTATATAGAAAAGAGGTTTATTTGGCTCATGGTTCTGCAGGCTGCACGAGAAGCATGGCACCAGCATCTGCTTCTGGTGGGGGCTTCAGGCTGCTTCCATTCATAGAAGAAGGTGAAAGGGAGCCTGCATATGCAGAGATCACATGGTCAGGGAAAAAGCAAGAGAAAGATGGCAGAGGTGCCAGGCTCTTTTTAACACCAACTCTCAAGGAAAGGAACTGAGCAAGAACTCGCTCATTACCACCAGGATGGCACCAAGCCATTCATGAGGAATCCACCCCCATGACCCAAACATCTCCCACTAGGCTTCACCTCAAATATTGGAGGTCAGTAATAAAGTTTGGATGTGTGTCCCTCCTCAAATCCCATGTTGAATTGTAATCCTCAATGTTGGAGGTGGTGCCTAGTGGGAGGTGATTGGACCATGGGGCGAATTTCTCATGAATGGTTAGCACCATCCCCACAATGCTGTTCTCATGACAGTGAGTGAGTTCTCACAGTGGTTGTTTAATAGTGTGTGGCACCCCCCACCCTGCTCTCTTGCTCCTGCTTTCACCATGTGAAGTGCCTGCTTCCACTTTGCCTTGCACCATAAGGAAAAGCTTTCTGAGGCCTCCCTAGAAGCAGATGCCTCTATGCTTCCTGTACAGCCTGCAGAACCATGAGCCAATTCAACCTCTTTTCTTATAAATTGCCCAGCCTCAGGTATTCCTTTATAGCCATGCAAAAATGGCCTAATACAGTCATATGTCAACATGAGATTTAGAGAGAACAAATATCCAAACCACGGCACAGCCCAGCTTTCATCTGCTCCAAACCAACATAGATAGAATTACTCTGAATACCTGTCCCAAGAATTCTCCCTCTGTAAATCTTTCATTCTACCAACTAAGGCAGAATTCAGTCATCCTCAATTTCTCTTTCTATAGATTTTCCTTGCATATAACAAGAGAAAAAAAGGAAAGAGAAGTCATCAGGAACTTTAGGCCTCTAATTCTGTAAAGGGGCTACCAGAACAATATTTTTAAAACAGAAAAACCAGGTATCAAGTGATAAGATATGGTCCCTAGGGCCAGAGGTCTATGAGAAAGAAGTTGGTGTGAACAGGGCAGTTTGGCTTTCATTCCTCATCTGCCACGCTGTGCACCAACGCCAAGGTCCCCATCAGGGCCCATCTCCCGCCCAACGCTTTCTCACTTTGGACTAACTTCCATCCCAATGAGCAAGCCTGGGGTCTTTGGCCTATTCCTTTATGAACCATGACACACTTTCTCCAGAAAGGCAAGACAGGGAAGGAGACATTAGACACCATGAGCCCCCTACCTCTATAGAGGCACTAACACAGCAGTGCTGATGAAATGAGAGAGGAAATCCACAGGAACCAGAGGCACAGAGCAGCACTGACCTGTGGAGCAGCAACTACTGTGAACAAGGCTATGAAGTTACCTGTTCCTTTGTCCCTGCTGCTTTTACTGTGGAGAAAGCTGTTAACTTGTGTCTCAATCAGGGTGCTAGCAGACAACATGTTTGTGAAGAAGTTCTGCTGTGATTAGATATTCTGTTTTAAATTTTCTAAATTTTCTGTAATGCGATTTGAGAATATTGTTATCAGTCCTTAGTCTGATAATGGTGATGTATATTGTATTCTTTAGCAAACTATTATGTTCTTGTATAATATACACAGTGCTTTGCCATCTAATTTGTTAACAAAATAATCCATACTCCATTGTGCCTTAAAAGTGCAACATCAGAAGTCTGCTTTTCTTGTCTTGTTTTGACATGATTGGTACACACTAGCAAGAGAAAATATCTTACATTCCAGTAAATACTTGCAGCACTCAAAACACTGTCAAGTTATAGTTATGCCACTGCAATTTGCAGTGTATAAATTATACACTAGTCATGGCAGGAGAAAAACACATGGAACTTATAGCCCTTAGAGGTCATTTTCTATTTGTATTATTATTTTGTTGGAGATGGAGTCTCGCTCTGCAATCTCCACCTCCCAGGTTCAAGCGATTCTCCTGCCTCAGCCTCCCAAGTAGCTGGGATTACAGGCACGTGCCACCATGCCCAGCTAATTTTTGTATTTTTAGTAGAGACGGGATTTCACCATGTTGGCCAAGATGGTCTCGATCTTCTGACCACGTGAATGTTATTATTATTATGTTGTTGCATAGTATACACAGTGTTTTGCCATCTAATTTGTTAACAAAATAATCCATACTCCATTGTGCCTTAAAGGTTCAACATCAGAAGTCTGCTTTTCTTGTCTTGTTTTGACATGATTGGTACACACTAGTAAGAGAAAAGATCTTACATTTCAGTAAATACTTGCAGCACTCAAAACACTGTCAAGTTATAGTTATGCCACTGCAATTTGTGGTGTATAAATCAGGAGTGCAAAGCAATGACAGTGCCATATATGGTCTTTGTTGCAACTTCTAAATTCTGCCACTGCAACACAAAAGCAGCCACAGGCAATGTATAAACTAATGAACATGGCTATGTTCCAGTAAAATTGTATTTATAAACACTGAAATTTCAATTTATGTAATTTTTCTCATCATAAAAAATTCTTCTTTTGATTTTTTTTCAACTATTTAAAAACGTAAAAACTATTGTTAGCTCACAGGCCATACAAAAGCAGACCATGGACCAGATTTGTCCCATAGGACACAGTCTGCCAACCTCTGGTCTGAAGTGTCTAGAGTTGCTATGTTGGCAAACTATTGTCCCACTTTGACCAACTTATCCTCCTTCCATATTCATGATTGTTGAGACGATATAACCTTTCAAGGTCTGCCAAGAGATCATCTTTGAGATTAGGTAACATTTGCATAACTTGTGCACTCAAGCATGTGGGGTGTGTGAAAGAAGTCTCTGAAACAGTTCATTTCGTTGCACTTGTAGGAAAACTTGTTTCCCTACTCTAAAAGACAAGGAAAATTGGAAAGCGGTGGTGTCGGGTTGGGGGGGTCTTACTTTGGCAGCCTTTTTCTCATTCCAGCTCTGTTCACCAACTTCAGGTTAATCAAGGGAAGTTTGTACCCCAACCTCAGGTCTGCGGTGGGCCCCTAGTTACCTAAGGGCCATGAGACTTAGACTGGCACCTAAGTCCACGCAGCCGGCCCAGTAAATAGTGTGGAACAAGGAACTGCCTCCCTAGCCTCACAGCACTTCAAGGAGCAGGCCTGGCCAATTGATCCAAAGGTGTATCAGAAATACTTGAATGCAAACAGGAGGAAAGATAGAAAACGTTGGTGTTTTGCTGCATGGAAAGCCATCTCTTGGGTGAGGTTAGCTTTGGAGTGATAAAGGCTGGTCATGCAAGAAACTCCCAGCTTAGTCATAGATCTTCCTAACCCTCACCCCTCCATTGATGCCAAGGCAAAGTGCTCCCCACTGGGGATGGAAAGGGGCCAGCTCCCTGGCTTTTACACGTGCTAGGGAATGCAGGGAGCTCATCTCCTCCTCACTGTCCTGGAAGGAAAGTGGAGAGTGTAAAAAACAGGCATTTTAGAAGCAACAAAAGAAGGAAAGAAAATGTGAATTGAAGCACAATAACATACCATGCCACAGCAATTTCTATATGCTATATTTAGCAGAAGCCCACAGTCCCATCTTTGTTATATTTGTGTGAATCATCCAGACCTTCAAACTATCTGTATTATTCACAATTATTATCCTAGCTCATCTACATGTTCATTTTCCCAGGAGGGGGAAAAAACTTCTCTTGATACTTGGTTTCTGAGTTCTGGGAAATTTGACTGGGAGAGATGTGGAAACGCAAACACTTGGTAAGGCATACAATTATCACTTTCAAAGAAAACATTCACCTCCAGCTGGCCTACTTGTGTAGGTTCTAATGCCTGAAAAGAGAATTAATTAACCCAGGCAGGTCTCCAGTGCTTGCATGTACTCCTTCAAACCTATTGACAAACCTGCTTAAAAATGCTGGGTTTTTGCAAGCATAGCGTTCACTATAAATACAGCTGCAGATGGAATTCTTTGAAAATAGAAATGGAAAATTCTGAACAGGAATAACTTGACATTTGATTCTGAAACAATAGTAAACTGTCAACATCTGCCATAAAAATACAGAACTATAAAATAATGAATAAAAGTCCTTTCAGTTAGTTAAATACATTGTATATAGCACTGTTTTGGTTTGGTTGTTTGACAGCTCTGTGCAGTATCACTTTGCTTCAACAAATCCCCATTAAAGTCATGCTATTTAAGCAATAAAATATTGAAACAGGCATGCTGTAGACTTTTAATTTTATTGGAAGATAAGAATAGTCTCATTCTATTAGAATATTCCCTCTTTTCCATGTAACAGAAGCTAGTTTGTTTGACAGCCTAATGATCCCCTCTGTAGTAATCCTTTTAAAGATCTGAGGTGTCAACCAAAACATCCCAAGTTTGGTTAAAAAATCGCTCATAATTGTAGACAGACCTTTCTTAAACTTATTTACATTTTGAACCTATACCAGCTCTTGAGTGGCTAATAATGTCCTTGAGTTTGCTGCCTGTAAAGTAGAACCTCCATTTATTTTCTCTTTCCTTTTAAAGATTTTAAATTGTGGTTGAAAAAAAACACAACATAAAATTTTCCACCTTCACTCTTTCTAAGTGTAGTTTATTCATGTAAAGTATATTCACATTGTTGTGCAAGCAATCTCCAGAACATTTTCATCTCGCAAAATTGAACTACCACCACCTCATAGTCCCCTCCCCCCGAGCCCCTGGGCAGCCACCATTCTACTTTCTGTCCTTATGAACTTAACTACCTCAGATGCTTCATATAAGTAAGATCATGCAGGTATTTGTCTTTCTGTGACTCGCTTATTTTACTTAGTATAATGTTTTGAAGGTTGATCCATATTGTAGCATGTATCAGTACTTCACTCCTTTTTATGACCAAATAATATTCCACTGTATGAATAGACCACAATTTCCTCAGCTATTTATCCATTGATGAACATTTGAGTTGCTTCCATTTTTGGCTATTGTAAATAATGCTGCTATGAACATAGGTGTACAAATATCTGTTTGACTCCCTGCTTTCAATTATTTGGGTTATATACCCAGAAGTATATTTTCTGGATCATATATTAAGCCTATGTTTACTTTTTATTGATAAATAATAGTTGTACATATTTTGGGGATACATGTGATATTTTGATACATGCATACAATGTGTAATGATCAAACCAGGGCAATTGGGATATCCATCACTCCAAACATTCATTTCTTCACTGTTGGAAACATTCTAATTCCTCACCTTCAGCTATTTTGAAATATAGAAAAAATTATTGTTAACTATAGTTGCCCTACTGTACTATCAAACACTAGATCTTATTCCTTCTACCTAACTGTATTTTTGTACCCATTAACCAACCTCTCTTCATCTCCACAATCCTCTACCCTTCCCATTCTCTGATAACCACCACTCAACTCTCTACCGCCATTACATCCACTTTTTTTTTAGCTCTCACATATGAGTGAGAACATATGATATTTGTCTCTCTGTGCTTGGATTATTTCACTTAGAATAATGACCTCCAGTTCCATCCATGCTACTACACATGACAGAATTTCATTCTTTTTGTGGCTAAATAGTACTCCATTGTATTTATGTACACATTTTCTTTTTCCATTCATCTGTACATGGACACATGGGTTGATTCCATATTTTGGCTTTTGTGAATAGTGCTTCATGGGAGAGCAGATATCTCTTTGATATACTGATTTCCCTTCTTTTGGGTATATACCCAGCAGTGGGATTTTGCTGGATCATATGGTAGTTCTATTTTTAGTTTTTTGAGAAACCTCCCTACTGTTTTCCACAGTGGCTATGCTAATTTACATTCCCACCAACAGTGTATGAGTGTTCCCCTTTCTCCACATCCTCGCTAGCTTCTGTTATTTTTTTTCTTTTTGTTAAAATCCATTTTAACTGGGGTGAGATGATATTTCATTGTGGTTTTCATTTGCATTTTCCTGATGATTAGTGATATTGAACATTTTTTCATATACCTGTTAACCATTGTATATCTTCTCTTGAGAAATGTCTATTCAGAGCTTTTGCACATTTTAAAATCAGATTATTTTTGCTGTTGAGTTCCTTATATATTCTGATTATTAATCCCTTGTCAGATGGATAGTTTGCAAATATTTTTTCCCATTCTGTAGGTTGTCTCTACACTTTGTTGACTGTTTTCTAGCTTGATGTAATCACATTTGTCTATTTTTGCTTTTGTTGCCTGGGCTTTTGAGGTATTACCCAAACATCTTTGCCCAGACCAAGGTCCCGAAGCATTTCCCCAATATTCCAATATTTTCTTCCTGTAGTTTTATAATTTCAGGTCTTAAGACTTAAGTATTTAATCCATTTCATTTGATTTTTTATATAATGAGAGATGAGAGTATGACTTCCTTCTTCTGCATATAGTTATCCATCTATGTTGAATTCTTTGAGGAACTGCATGCATTTTCCACAGCAGCTGCACCATTTTACATTCCCACCAGCAGTGCACGAGGGTTCTAATTTCTCCACATCCTCACCAATACTTATAGTTTTCTGGGTTTTTTAAAATAATAGTCATCCCAATGAATGTCAACTGGTATTCATTGTGGTTTTGACTTGTATTTCCCTAACGATCAATGGTGTTGAACATCTTTTCATGTGCTTATTGGCCATGTGTATATTTTCTTTGGAGAAATGTCTGCTGAAGTCCTTTGCCCATTTGTTAATTGGGTTGTTTGTTCTGTTGTTGTTGACCTGAAAGTGTTCTTTATATATTCTGGATATTAATGCCTTATCAGACATATGCCTTTCGCATATTTTCTCCCATTCCATGAGTCGCCTTTTTATTCTGTTGATAGCATCCTTTGGTGCACAAAAGCTTTTAATTTTAATGAGGTCTGATTTATCTATTTTTCCTTTGTTGTCTGTGTTTTTGGTGTTATATCCAATAAATCATTGCCAAACCCAACGTTATGAAGATTTTCCCCTATGTTTTCTCCCAAAAGTTTTATAATTTTAGGCCTTATGATTAGGTCCTTGATCCATTTTGAGTTAGTTTTTGTATATGGTTTAAGGTAAGGATCCAACTTCATTCTTTTGCATGCGGATATCCAGTTTTCCCAACACTATTTTTTGAAGAGACTGCCTTTTTCTCTTTGGATGCTCTTGGCATCCTTAATGAAAATTGTTTGAATATATATGCAAGAGTTTATTTCTGGACTCTCTTTTCTATTTTACTCTTCTATATGTCTGTCTTTATGCCAGTACCATACTGTTTTGACTACTGTAGCTTTGTAATAATTGTTGAAATCAGGAGTTGTGGGACTTCCAGCATTGTTCTTTCTTAAGATTGTTCTTCTTTCTTAAGACTATTCATGATCCCTTGAGATTCCATATGAATTTTAGTGTCCATTTTTCTATTTCTGCAAAAAGTATCATTGGGATTTTAAATAAGGATTTCATCAACTCTGTAGATTATTTTGGATAGTATTGACATTTTAACAATGTTAAGTCTTCCAATCCATGAACACAGGACTTTTTTTTACTTGTTTGTGTCTTCTCTTTTTTAAAGTAGCTTTATTGAGATATAATTCACATACCATAAACTCCACCCTTTTAAAGAGTACAATTAAATGTTTTCTTTTTTCACTGTTAACAGCTTTATTGGGATATAATTAATATACCATAAAATTAACCTGCTTAAAGAACAGAAATCAATATTTTAAAATATATTCACAGGCTTGTGCAACCATTACCACAATTTTAGAACATTTTAAAACCTCTTAAAATAAATACTCATACCCCATTGGTAGTCATTCTGCATTCATTCCTTTGTCTTCCTAGACATAAGCAACCATTAAGCTACTTTATGTCTCTGTAAATTTGCCTATTCCGGACATTTGATAGAAACGAAATCATATAATATGTTTTTTTGTGACTGGTTTCTTTCACTTCATGTTTCATTTTTTCAAGCTTCATCCATGTTGTAGTATGTATCAGACTGTATGTCTGATTATTACTATTATTAATAATTACTACTATTAATACATAATAATTGCACATACTTATAGGATACATGTGATATTTGGATACATGTATATAATGTGTAATGTTTAGAGCAGGACAGTTGGGATATCCATCACCTCAAAGATTTCTTTGTGTTGAGAACATTTCAAATCTTCTCTGTAGCTATTATGTAATATACAATAAATTATTATTAGCTATAGTCACCCTACTGTACTACCAAACACTATAACTTATTTATTCTAACTGTATTTTTGTACCATTAGCCAATTTTTCATCATCTCACCCTCCCCCTGACCTTCCCAGTTTCTAGTAACCATGTACTCTTTTTCTTGATGAATAATATTCCATTGTATAGCTATACTATGTTTTATTTATCTATATACCAGGTGATAGACATTAGGGATGTTTCTACTTTTTGGCTATTGCAAAGTAGTCTAATTTACCTCCTTTTTCTCTTAAGTCTAATCTTTTCAAAATTGTGAAACTGGACCAAAAGTAAAGTGGGAAATGAGCAACACAACTCATTGTGCTTGTACTTTAAGTGAATCTATATATGTGAAGTAGAAAGACTGCAGGGAAAGGAGGAAGCTGTGAACAATGGGGCTCAGTTTGGGAAAACTAAATCCACTGCTGGACTTACTCCTAAAGGTGCTAGCTAACAATTTAAATTACTGGCCAAAAGGTCAAGATAGTCTAGGTCTTGATCTATACTAGCATCAGCATCTAAGGGAGTCAGTCTAGAAGGTGAAGAATGGCAACAAGAGCCTCCCAACTGAAATGAATGAGCCTGTGAATACAGTGAAAGTCAGCAATGTGGTTTGGAGTCAGCAATGTGATTTGGAGTGGCCCATCCAGTTTAGAGCAAAACTCCAATCAGCACCTTAGAATATGGAGAATGGGGGAAGGAGCTGGTGAAGGAAGCAGGAGGGCAAATCCAGGAAATCAAGGTACAATCCCAGACATGCAGACTAGCAAAAGATGGTACAGGAAACAGAAAAATATGAGGAACTGAAGAAATGAAGTGTTTAGAGCTCATTTGCTATATGACAGGCTTAGGGAAGCCAGACTCTGCTAGCCTTTGGGAGCTCCTAGATAGCCTGGCTACTTGCAGAATGCCTTACATATTGGATAAGACTGAGCTTTCAAGTTCAAAAGCGTCAGTATATGTTACAACATGGCTGGAGTAGGTCAGGAATTAAAAATTCTAATATTAGGAGGTGACAAGCCTACAGTCACCATGCTGATTTCATAGCAAACAATAATATCACTTCTTGGCCTTCATTTTTCTAGCCTGAAAATTATATAATGTTATTTATTTAGCATGGTCTCACATAACCATCGCCTCTATTTGCTTGATTTTTGAAATTTTCTTCTCTGGCTTTTCTTTTCTTTTTTCTTTTTTTTTTTTTAGATGGAGTCTCACTCTGTCTCCAGGCTAGAGTGCAGTGGTGTGATCTTGGCTCACTGCAACCTCCACCTCCCTGGTTCAAGCGATTCTTCTGCCTCAGCCTCCCGAGTAGCTGGGACTACAGGCACGCACCACCACGCCCAGCTAATTTTTGTATTTTTAGTAGAGATGAGCTTTCACCATGTTGGCCAGGATGGTCTCGATCTCTACCTCGAGATCCACCCACCTTGGCTTCCCAAAGTGCTGGGATTACAGGCGTGAGCCACCACACCCGGCCTTCTCTGGCTTTTCTTTAGCTCCATTCAGTCCTTCTCAAGGTAAAGAAATCAGAGCTTGCAATAGTGTTCCAGGTACAGAAATATCTTGGTTATGTGCAGGAAGAGGAAAATATTTTTGTTTTCTTACCCATAGACTTCTCTGTGTTTCTCACCATATTGTTGGCCTTTATTCACTATGGTTGTCTCAGGTCGGGGTGTGCTCAAAGTATTCCTGCTGACCCTGTGTAGTAGTGTTAATTCAAACAATAGGCTAGCACAAGAACACGTAATTGGATTAAGGTGTTTGATTAAGGTGTTTTCTGCTTTTTCTTTGATGACTCATCATTTAGGTGCTCCCAGAGGATTGGTCTTCCAGAATCCTTTCATTACTACCTTACTGTACCATAATACTTCAAAGGTGAAGGTACACTTCACCAAAGGGATGTTTGAATTTCTCCATAACTTCAATTTACCTTCTACCTATCTCATTGTCTACACTGAACAAACATCGAAGGAACAAAGATGAATAATATATTACAATGCCCTTCTTTCACCCCAGTAGCCTAAGATCCTATAATGGCTTTTGTAAAATCAGAATATGGTTACCTGGGTAACTATAACTCTATGTAAAAAGCTCGTATTCTCTCTCCTTTCTATACGATTCACTCTTCTGCTTCCATTTCCTTTCAAATAAATCAACCTTTAACATGCAATGAAAATTCTCAAATATGTAGACACTGGTGATTTTTAAGCAATTGCAGCTCTGTTTAAAGAGGCTTTTCCATTTTTGGTCAGGTGCAGTGGCTCACGCCTGTAATCCCAGCACTTTGGGAGGCTGAGGCAGGTGGATCATCCGAGGTCAGGAGTTCAAGACCAGCCTGGCCAACATGGCGAAACCGTGTCTCTACTAAAAATACAAAAAAATTAGCCAGGCATGGTGGTGGGAACCTGTAATCCCAGATACTTGGGAGGCTGAGGCAGGAGAATTGCTTGAACCCAGGAGGCGGAGGTTGCAGTAAGCCGAGACTGCACTACTGCACTCCAGCCTGGGTGACAAGAGCAAAACTCCATTTCAAAAAAAAGAAAAAAAAGAGAGGCTTTTCTATTTTTAAAATTTTGAAGAGAGTGACACAGTTTTCTTGCTTGAGAAGATGAATGGCAAATATGTAAACAATATTTAAGCATATTCTCAAAAAACATCATTTACTATCCCATTTGAATTTCACTTGCAGGGAAAAGAATAATTTTAAGAGGCATCAGGACATAGTCTTTCTGCCTCTTCCTGTAAATCCAAGAAAGTGAGTTGCATTCACATCTCAGCCCCTAACTTGGTAAGTGGAGCTCTCGACAATTAGATCATTAGAACTTCTGTTTGTATTTGTTTGCAATGAAATAGTAAGCAGTTTTACAGATCTGAGATTTTTTGAGGTATAATTCACATACCAAAACATTACCATTTTAAAGTATGCAATTTAGTGGTTTTTAATGTATTTACAAGGTTGTGCAACCATCACCACTACCTAATTCTAGAACATTTCATCACACCAAAACAACCCCCGTACTCATTACCAGTCACTCCTCATTCCTCCCTCCCACCAGCCACCAGCAACCACTAATGTACTCTCTGCCTCTAGAGATTTGCCTGTTCTGAACATTATATATAAAAGGGATCATATAATATTTCATCTTTCTGACTGGCTTTCTCCATGAATTATATGTTTTTAAGGTACATCAATGTTGTAGCAGATGTCAGTACTTCATTTCTTTTTATTGCCAAATAATATTCAATTGTGTGAATATATACTACAGTCTATCTATCTATTTATCAGTCAACAGACATTTGAGTTGTTTCTGCTTTTTGGATATTATGAATAATGCAGCTATGAATATTTGTGTATAAGTTTTTTGTGGATATATATATATATATATATATGAGGGGAATTGATAAATCATATTATAACTCTGTGTTTAACCATTTCAGGAATTGTCAGACTGCATTCCAGAGCAGCTGCCACATTTTATATTTTCACCAGTGTGGATAAGGGTAATTATGCTGGAGGTGGAGCCCAGATGGCCGAATAGGAACAGCTCCAGTCTACAGCTCCCAGAGTAAGTGACGCATAAGACGGGTGATTTCTGCATTTCCAACTGAGGTACTGGGTTCATCTCACTGGGGAGTGTCCAACAGTGGGTGCAGGACAGCGGGTGCACCACACCGAGTGTGAGCCAAAGCAGGGCGAGGCATCACCTCACCCAGGAAGCACAAGCAGTCGGGGAATTCCCTTTCCTAGTCAAAGAAAGGGGTGACAGACAGCACCTAGAAAATCGGGTCACTCCCACCCTAATACTGCGCTTTTCCAACGGTCTTAGCAAATGGCACACCAGGAGATTATATCCTGCACCTGGCTCTGAGGGTCCTATGCCCACGGAGCCCCACTCATTGCTAGCACAGCAGTCTGAGATCAAACTGCAAGGCAGCAGTGAGGCTGGGGGAGGGGCGCCTGCCATTGCCCAGGCTTGAGTAGGTAAACAAAGCAGCCAGGAAGCTCAAACTGGGTGGAGCCCACTGCACTCAAGGAGGCCTGCCTGCCTCTGTAGACTGCACCTCTGGGGGCAAGGCATAGCCAAACAAAAGGCAGCAGAAACCTCTGCAGACTTAAATGTCCCTGTCTGACAGCTTCGAAGACAGTAGTGGTTCTCCAAGCACGCAGCTGGAGATCTGAGAACAGACAGACTGCCTCCTCAAGTGGGTCCCTGACCCCCGAGTAGCCTAACTGGGAGGCACCCCCAGTAGGGGCAGACTGACACCTCACACGGCCAGGTACTACTCTGAGACAAAACTTCCAGAGGAATGATCAGGCAGCAACATTTGCTGTTCACCAATATCCGCTGTTCTGCAGCCTCCGCTGGTGATACCCAGGCAAACAGGGTCTGGAGTGGACCTCCAGCAAACTCCAACAGACCTGCAGCTGAGGGTCCTGACTGTTAGAAGGAAAACTAACAAACAGGAAGGACATCCACACCAAAACCCCATCTGTACGTCACCATCATCAAAGACCAAAGGTAGATAAAACCACAAAGATGGCGAAAAACAGAACAGAAAAACTGGAAACTAAAAATCAGAGCGGCTCTCCTCCTCCAAAGGAAAACAGCTCCTCAACAGCAATGGAACAAAGCTGGATGGAGAATGACTTTGACGAGTTGAGAGAAGATGGCTTCAGACAATCAAACTACTCCGAGCTAAAGGAGGAAGTTCGAACCCATGGCAAAGAAGTTAAAAACCTTGAGAAAAAATTAGATGAATGGATAACTAGAATAACCAATGCAGAGAAGTCCTTAAAGGACCTGATGGAGCTGAAAACCACAGCATGAGATCTACGTGATGAATGCACAAGCCTCAGTAGCCGATTTGATCAACTGGAAGAAAGGGTATCAGTGATGGAAGACCAAATGAATGAAATGAAGCGAGAAGAGAAGTTTAGAGAAAAAAGAATTAAAAGAAACGAACAAAGCCTCCAAGAAATATGGGACTATGTGAAAAGACCAAATCTACGTCTGATTGGTGTACCTGAAAGTGACAGGGAGAATGGAACCAAGTTGGAAAACACTCTGCAGGATATTATCTAGGAGAACTTCCCCAATCTAGCAAGGCAGGCCAATATTCAAATTCAGGAAATACAGAGAACGCCACAAAGATACTCCTCCAGAATAGCACCTCCAAGAAACATAATTGTCAGATTCACCGAAGTTGAAATGAAGGAAAAAATGTTAAGGGCAGCCAGAGAGAAAGGTCTGGTTACCCACAAAGGGAAGCCCATCAGACTAACAGCGGATCTCTTGGCAGAAACTCTACAAGCCAGAAGAGAGTGGGGGCCAATATTCAACATTCTTAAAGAAAAGAATTTTCAACCCAGAATTTCATATCCAGCCAAACTAAGCTTCATAAGTGAAGGAGAAATAAAATACTTTACAGACAAGCAAATGCTGAGAGATTTTGTCACCACCAGGCCTGCCCTAAAAGAGCTCCTGAAGGAAGCACTAAACACGGAAAGGAACAACCGGTATCAGCCACTGCAAAAACATGCCAAATTGTAAAGACCATCAATGCTAGGAAGAAACTGCATCAACTAACGAGCAAAATAACCAGCTAACATCATAATGACAGGATCAAATTCACACATAACAATATTAACCTTAAATGTAAATGGGCTAAATGCTCCAATTAAAAGACACAGACCAGCAAATTGGATAAAGAGTCAAGACCCATCAGTGTGCTGTATGCAGGAAACCCATCTCACATGCAGAGACACACATAGGCTCAAAATAAAGGAATGGAGGAAGATCTACCAAGCAAATGGAAAACAAAAAAAGGCAGGGGTTGCAATCCTAGTCTCTGATACAACAGACTTTAAACCAACAAAGATCAAAAGAGACAAAGAAGGCCATTAAATAATGGTAAAGGGATCAATTCAACAAGAAGAGCTAACTATCCTAAATATATATGCACCCAATACAGGAGCACCCAGATTCATAAAGCAAGTCCTTAGAGACCTGCAAAGAAATTTAGACTCCCACACAATAATAATGGGAGACTTTAACACCCCACTGTCAACATTAGACAGATCAACGAGACAGAAAGTTAACAAGGATATCCAGGACTTGAACTCAGCTCTGCACCAAGCAGACCTAATAGACATCTACAGAACTCTCCACCCGAAATCAACAGAATATACATTCTTTTCAGCACCACACCACACCTATTCCAAAATTGACCACATAGTTGGAAGTAAAGCACTCCTCAGCAAGTGTAAAAGAACACAAATTATAACAAACTGTCTCTCAGACCACAGTGCAATCAAACTAGAACTCAGGATTAAGAAACTCACTCAAAACTGCTCAACTACAAGGAAACTGAACATCCTGCTCCTGAATGACTACTGGGTACATAAGGAAATGAAGGCAGAAATAAAGATGTTCTTTGAAACCAACCGGAACAAAGACAGAACATAGCAGAATCTCTGGGACACATTCAAAGCAGTGTGTAGAGGGAAATTTATAGCATTAAATGCCCACAAGAGAAAGCAGGAAAGAGCTAAAATTGACACCCTAACATCACAATTAAAAGAACTAGAGATGTAAGAGCAAACACATTCAAAAGCTAGCAGAAGGCAAGAAATAACTAAGATCAGAGCAGAACTGAAGGAAATAGAGACACAAAAAACCCCTCAAAAAATCAATGAATCCAGGAGCTGGTTTTTTGAAAAGATCAACAAAATTGATAGACTGCTAGCAAGACTAAAAAAGAAGAAAAGAGAGAAGAATCAAATAGACGCAATAAAAAATGATAAAGGGGATATCACCACCGATCCCACAGAAATACAAACTACCATCAGAGAATACTATAAACACCTCTATGCAAATAAACTAGAAAATCTAGAAGAAATGGATAAATTCCTCGACACATACACCCTCCCAAGACTAAACCAATAAGAAGTTGAATCTCCCAATAGACCAATAACAGGCTATGAAATTGAGGCAATAATTAATAGCTTACCAACCAAAAAAAGTCCAGGACCAGATGGATTCACAGCCGAATTCTACCAGAGGTACAAGGAGGAGCTGGTACCATTCCTTCTGAAACTATTCCAATCAATAGAAAAGGAGAGAATCCTCCTTAACTCATTTTATGAGGCCAGCACCATCCTGATACCAAAGCCTGGCAGAGACACAACAAAAAAAGAGAATTTTAGACCAATATCCCTGATGAACATTGATGCAAAAATCTTCAATAAAATACTGGCAAACTGAATCCAGCAGCACATCAGAAAGCTTATCCACCATGATCAAGTGGGCTTCATCCCTGGGATGCAAGGCTGGTTCAACATATGCAAATCAATAAATGTAATCCAGCATATAAAGAGAAACAAAGACAAAAACCACATGATTATCTCAATAGATGCAGAAAAGGCGTTTGACAAAATTCAACAACGCTTCATGCTAAAAACTCTCAATAAATTAGGTATTGATGGGACGTATCTCAAAATAATAAGAGCTATCTATGACAAACCCACAGCCAATATCATACTGAATGGGCAAAAACTGGAAGCATTCCCTTTGAAAACTGGTACAAGACAGGGATGCCCTCTCTCACCACTCCTATTCAACATAGTGTTGGAAGTTCTGGCCAGGGCAATCAGGCAGGAGAAGGAAATAAAGGGTATTCAATTAGGAAAAGAGGAAGTCAAATTGCCCCTGTTTGCAGATGACATGATTGTATATCAAGAAAACCCCATCATCTCAGCCCAAAATCTCCTTAAGCTGATAGGCAACTTCAGCAAAGTCTCAGGATACAAAATTAATGTGCAAAAATGACAAGCATTCTTATACATCAATAACAGACAAACAGAGAGCCAAATAATGAGTGAACTCCCATTCACAATTGCTTCAAAGAGAATAAAATACCTAGGAATCGAACTTACAAGGGATGTGAAGGACCTCTTCAAGGAGAACTACAAACCACTGCTCAACGAAATAAAAGAGGACACAAACAAATGGAAGAACATTCCATGCTCATGGATAGGAAGAATCAATATTGTGAAAATGGCCATACTGCCCAAGGTAATTTATAGATTCAATGCCATCCCCATCAAGCTACCGATGACTTTCTTCACAGAATTGGAAAAAACTACTTTGAAGTTCATATGGAACCAAAAAAGAGACCACATTGCCAAGTCAATCCTAAGCCAAAAAAAGCGAAGCTGGAGGCATCATGCTACCTGACTTCAAACTATACTACAAGGCTACAGTAACCAATACAGCATGGTACTGGTACCAAAACAGAGATATAGACCAATGGAACAGAATAGAGCCCTCAGAAATAATGCCGCATATCTACAACTATCTGATCTTTGAAAAACCTGACAAAAACAAGAAATGGGGGGAAAGGATTCCCTATTTAATAAATGGTCCTGGGAAAACTGGCTAGCCATATGTAGAAGGCTGAAACTGGATCCCTTCCTTACACCTTATACAAAAATTAATTCAAGATGGATTAAAGACTTAAATGTTAGACCTAAAACCATAAAAACCCTAGAAGAATACCTAGGCAATACCATTCAGGACATAGGCATGGGCAAGGACTTCATGTCTAAAACACCAAAAGCAATGGCAACAAAAGCCAAAATTGACAAATGGGATCTAATTAAAGTAAAGACCTTCTGCACAGCAAAAGAAACTACCATCAGAGTGAACAGACAACCTACAGAATAGGAGAAAAATTTTGCAATCTACTCATCTGACAAAGGGCTAATATTCAGAATCTACAATGAACTCAAACAAATTTACAAGAAAAAAACAAACAACCCCATCAAAAAGTGGGCAAAGGATATGAACAAACACTCCTCAAAAGAAGACATTTATGCAGCCAAAAGACACATGAAAAAATGCCCTTCATCACTGGCCATCAGAGAAATGCAAATCAAAACTGCAATGAGATACCATCTCACACCAGTTAGAATGGTTATCATTAAAAAGTCAGGAAACAACAGGTGCTGGAGAGGATGTGGAGAAATAGGAACACTTTTACACTGTTGGTGGGACTGTAAACTAGTTCAACCATTGTGGAAGTCAGTGTGACAATTCCTCCGTGATCTAGAACTAGAAATACCATTTGACCCAGCCATCCCATTACTGGGCATATACCCAAAGGATTATAAAACATGCTGCTATAAAGACACATGCACAGGGATGTTTACTGCAGCACTATTCACAATAGGAAAGACTTGGAAAACAACCCAAATGTCCAACAATGATAGACTGGATTAAGAAAATGTAGCACATATACACCATGGAATACTATGCAGCCATATAAAATGATGAGTTTATGTCCTTTGCAGGTACATGGATGAAGCTAGAAACCATCATTCTGAGCAAACTATCGGAAGTACAGAAAAACAAACACCGCGTGTTCTCACTCATAGGTGGGAATTGAACAATGAGAACACATGGACACAGGAAGGGGAACATCACACACCGGGGCCTGATGTAGGGTGGGGGGAGGGGGGAGGGATAGCATTAGGAGATATACCTAATGTTAAATGACGAGTTAATGGGTGCAGCACACCAACATGGCACATGTATACATATGTAACAAACCTGCACCTTGTGCACACGTACCCTAAAACTTAAAGTATAATTAAAAAAGGGTAATTATGCCAACATTTATTGTTGTCCACATATATAGATTGATATAGATATATAATATTTCTTAACCATTGTAATCATATCATTATTGTGAGTATGAAGTGATAGCTCATTGTGGTTTTGATTTCCATTTCCCTAATGATTAATTATATTAAGCATCTTTTCATGTGCTTATTGGCCATTTGTGTATCTTCTCTAGGGAAATAAATACTCAAATCTTTTGGTTAATTTCCAGAGTTCTAAAAAAGTTGTTTTCAAAATTTTTTGGCTAGTGTTCTTATTGTTTTTCTATAGGAGTGTTTTTTTTTAGTTCCTTACTCCACCATTCTTGAAGTCATCTAGATCTGAGATTTAATGTCCACTACTATCTCCTCCTTTGCACCAAATGTTGTTAGACCAACTTGTGCTATTTTTTTTGGAACTGAATAGATAACAATATCACAAATTATCACATGCATTATAACTCAGTGTAAAACTGTGGGGATTTTCAGAAGATTAGCCTATGTGAGCCAGGATCCCTGTTGTTTTGTGTTTTCACTGTTTGTGTTTGTATCTCTTGCCCGTGAAGCATCAGGTTAACATGGGAATTTTTGTCTCAAAATTGTTACTGAAAAATATACATGGCAAATACTCATCATTCTAAATGGAAATATTAGATTATCTAATAGAGGGTATGTTTAATACACTATGAAAAATGTTCTGTAAGTCCTAGCCCACTACCAGCCTCCAGTGTAATCAAGGGAAGCTGTGAGTGATCAGGAAGGATAACTGATGAGTGAGAAATACTTTGAAGTTTGTTTTAATACTATGCATTTCTCTCCCCACTCCCCCAATCTTCAAGCCATCAAGAGAACTAACTATTCTGAGCTTGTTATGTGTCCTCTGGAATTTGGACAACACTTGAAACGTGCCCTTTGAAGCTAAGAAAGCCCAAGGGGTAGTGACTGAGGCACACCTAAAAAAATAATTTAAAGACTGGTTGGAGTTGCCCATGACTGCAAAGCAGAGAGAGGGTTGCAATGGGAGCAGCCTACACTTTAAATTTGGTGGGGCAAAAGTACAAAGTGTTTACCATATGCCAAAAGATGTATCCACACTTGAAGCTTCTTGAATGGCCCCCACTGAAGAGGCATGCATGTGGCAAAGTGATCCCAGCCTTCAGAGCATGGGTGGAGTGTACAACCGGAGGTGGGAGCAGAGGGGAAGAACAGTAAGCAAAGAATAATGGTATCATCAACAGAAACAAACAATGAGTGAGAAGACTGGTAGGAAAGAGAGAAGTTTTGAGTTTGAGTTTAGACGTTATGTTGTGATTTGGTTTCCCAAAGATTATTTCACATGAGTTAAAGGGGTCTCTGCTACCTTCTTTGTATACATGTAATATTTCCAAAGTATTTTTAAGAAGTTAGCACTATTTTCATTAACCTGGGATGCTTCACTAAAACTAAGACTCAAAGCCCAAGTTCTAGTCCTAGTTGTATAACCAAGTTGCATGGAACTTTAACTGCTGTGTCTCTCATTTTCTCCACTATAAAACACAGATAATACCTGCCCTACCATCTCACAAGGTTGTGATGATGATGATAAAGGATATAGGATAATTTATGTGGAAGTTCTTTGAAAAGAACCAAATGCAAGATTTATTCCAAAACTATTTCTCATAATGAGTATATACCAGTGATCTGGCAGGAATAGGACAAGAAGCAATGAAGTTCCAGTTTGTATTCCAGGACAGGAACCTAGCAGGCCCTGGTAATCTGTAAAGAAACAATGATTGTAAGCTATGGCCAGTGCTCACCTGGAACAAAGTGCTCACTGAGGGTGAGGCTCTGGGGAACTGCATAGTTTTTGCTCTATAACATTAAGGAAAGGAGGGACCTATCAGGTAGAGATGCTGAGTTTAACAGCACTGGATAATAATAAAAAGTGAAACAAACGGAAGTTCCTAGTTTGTCACTTCAGAAAGTTCCTAATTTGTCACTTCAGAAAGTTCCTAATTTCTCGCTTCAAAAAGTTCCTAATTTCTCACCTCAAAGTATCGACTTTCTGAAACTCAAGAGGGACCCTGCTGAAAGAAACTCATCCCTGGACAGAGGAAGCAGCTCTTTCCCTGCCACCCCTTGGGCTAATGAATCTGTTCCTCCTTTCCTGGGGGCGTTCCCTTTCTAGAGGAAAACAATTATCTTCATGTCCCACCCCTTATTCACAGTAGACCTGTAACCAGCATTAAGCTTCAGCGGTATGCTGGAGCAGGCAAATTGAAGAGTCAGTGTCAAAGATTCCAAAAGACTTCCAAGAATTTGTTACATTATATGTACCAGAAACCTGCGTATTAAGGATGCTGTACCAAGGGCAATGAAGTTTGTCCTTATGTTTGTTAGCTAGAGCATCAGGGTGTTTCCTTTTCTTTTCTTTTCTTTTTTCTTTTCTTTTCTTTCTTTCTTTCCTTCTTTCTTTCCTTCCTTTCCTTCCTTTCTTACAGGGTCTCATTCTGTTGCCCAGGCTGGAGTGCTGCAGTGGTGCAATCATAGCTTACTGCAGCCTCAAACTCCTGGGCTCAAGCAATCCTCCCACCTCAGCCTCCCGAGTAGCTGAGACTACAGGCAAGCACCACCATGCCTGGCTAATTTTTGTATTTTTTGCAGAAACGGGGTCTCACTGTGTTGCCCAGGCTGGTCTTAAACTCCTGAGCTCAAGTGATCCTTGGCCTCCCAAAGTGCTGAGATTATAGGTGTTAGCCACTCTGTGCCCAGCCCAGGGTGTACTTCTATTAGTTTACTGATCTGATTAACTCACATCTAGACTAAATGCTGGGATCCTAGAAATCCCCCAGCATGATACAGAGGAAGGAATTCACAGACTTTGAGAAAAAAATATGCTAGTGTAAATTTATCACCTGTGATTCGCCTGTTCATCCCCTAATAATGTCCTCTGAAAGACCAGATGACTTGAGACAAATTGGTGAGTTAACCTATGATATCTTCTTTTTTCTTTGAAAATAATGTAAAACTTTTAGAAGAATTGCAAGAATAAGAGTGGCACAAAGAACATTCATATGCCCTTTACTCAAATGTATCTATTGCTAACAGTTCACCTTATTTGCTTTATCATTTGTACACACATTCTTTTTATGTGTGTGCATGTACACACACATAATTTTTCTGAACTTTTTGAGAGTACTTTGCATATCCCATAAGCCCTTCACTGTGTATTTTCTTTCTTTCTTCTTTTTATTTATTTATTTTTTTGGCAGAGTCTCGCTCTGTCACCTAGGCTGGAGTGCAGTGGCGCAATCTTGGCTCACTGCAAGCTCCACCTCCCGGGTTCACGCCATTCTCCTGCCTCAGCCTCCTGAGTAGCTGGAACTACAGGCGCCCACCACCACTCTTGGCTAATTTTTTTTTTTTTGTATTTTTAGTAGAGATGGGGTTTCACCATGTTAGCCAGGATGGTCTCGATCTCCTGACCTTGTGATCTGCTTGCCTTGGCCTTCCAAAGTGCTGGGATTACAGGCTTGAGCCACGGCACCTGGCCCCACTGTGTATTTTCTAAGAATAAGAATATTCTCTTACATAACCATACTATAGCTGTTAACTTCATCAAATTTAACATGAATACAAAGCTTTGATCTAATTGAACATTCATATTCCAATTTTGCCAATTGACCAATAATGTCCTTTACAGTACTTGTTTATGCTTTAGCACAGGATCCAGTCTAGGACCAGGTATTGCGTTTAGGTACCACGTCATTTTAGTCTCCTTTAGTCTAGAACATTTACACAATTTTTCTTTTAGAACACTGAGGTTTTTTTCCATCTCTAATGGTCTTTTTTTAATTTTTAATTTTTAGCTTAAGTTCTGGGATACATGTGCTGAAAGTGCAGGTTTGTTACATAGGTATACATGCGCCATGGTGGTTTGCTGCACCTATCAACCCGTCATCTAGGTTTCAAGCCCCACATGTATTAGGTATTTGTCCTAATGCTCTCCCTCCCCTTGTCCCCCAACCCCCGACAGGTCCCGGTGTGTGATGTTCCCCTCCCTGTGTCCATGTTTTCTCATGAACATTGAGATTTTTGAAGAATACAGTCTCCATTCCTTCTGTTTCAATAGAGTATTCCTCATTTGGAGTTTGTCCACTATTTCCTCATTTCGAGATTCATATTATGCATTCTTGGCTAGAAAACTACATAATTGATGCTGTGTCCTTCTTGGGGCATTGTATTTGAAGGCAGAGGATGATGTCTATCGGCCTCCCGCCATGGGCAATGATAATTTTGATTACCCAATCAAGTTATTTTCTGATTTTTCACTTTATAGTTACTATTTTTTCTCTAGCAGCTAATAAGCAGTCTGTGGAGACACACTTTAAGAACAATGCAAATATTTTGCTCCTCACCAAAAATTTCCCTTTGTCTTAGCATCAGTTGATGATCCAATCTTTACTATGATGGTTGGAAAATTATGATACTCAATCCCTATTATCTTTTAAAACAACTTTATTGGCTTGTTCTTTCTAGGTGGAGATGCTAGTGTGACATACTACGTCACAATGAGCTTGCCAATTTCAATTGGAATAATGAGTCTTGGATAGCAAAGACCAGCTGAGGACACTGAACCAGCGTAGACATGGGGATGCTGTGAGTGCTAGAACAGGCAGCAGGGCCTGTATGGTAATCAGGAATGTGTTTCACAGGGATCTTTGGCATTGTGTAATTGAACAGGGACCCAAGCACAGAAATAGCTGGGCAGCCTGCTGAGGTCCTTTTACAACGGACAAAACTCCTGGTTTAGTGGACAGAGACCTGACTTGATTTGCCACAACAGAGAGGCATGGCCTTTTAGCCAATTACCAGACCTGAGCAAATGAAGGGGAGGATGAGTTACCTTGAGGAAGAACACCACAAGTGTTTGCATCATTCCTCTGTGCATTCCTGTTGCATTTTCCTCTCTGCTTTTCCCCCAGTGAACCTATAGCCATTTTCCCTGGGGAAGAAGAAATACCCCCAAAGTTTGGAAATTAGTAGAGCCTATCTCTGAATTAACACTAATTTCTAGACTGCCAGAATACTATGGTCACCAGTCAGACTTTTAGAATAGGGATTGACAAGATATCAACTCAGTTTTGACCCTAGTCAGTCTCACTAGACCAATGAAACTGCCAAACCCAATCTAGTGGAAACATCTTCAGTTACTGAAGGTATAAATGACATGTATATACAGCAAATGACAGAATGCCTCCCTGGGCTCCTTGAGCCACAGACAGGGCTTTTAAGACTATGTTGGCAAAAGGACCAAGTGAAATCTCCCAGACTTCCTCCTGCCTAATAAAAGAGCAATACTGCCTCCCTTGTAGAACTGCAGAAGTAAATGTCATTAGCAATGACCTGTAGGATGTTGGAGTGATGACTTAATTCATATTTGGCTACTTTAAAAGGCAGGTAGGTTTCAAAGTAACCTTAGATTGCCGTTCATTGTATGTCAACTCTAAATGTGGCTACTGTTTCAGCTATGATCTTATAGGCACTAAACAAGTAGCTATTGATCTAATGAAAGCATTTTCTTTATATATCAACCAAGGAACCAAGGTGAGGCAAGTAAAGCACTTGCCTAAGGCACAAAATTTAAGGGAGTACCAAAAAACTCAATCACCAAGATAAATAATATTTAATGCAATATTTTATAAAACCAAAATTTATGCAAAAAAATTATGAAACACAAAATAGCAAAATTTTAAATAGAAACAGGACCAGCAATAAACAGAGAACACCAGAAGCAGAACACACCTTCATTGTCTTGCCACAATGTATGTCAACTCATCAGCCACATGCCACTCACTTGCAGGGAATCTTCATCACCTTACCATCCCACTATCATCATAAACATCATAATGCTAGTCTACCATTGATGACATCATGTTGATTGAAACCAGAGAGCAAAAATTAGCAGGTTTCCCAGATGCTAGAAAACAATCCTCTAGAATATAGAGGAGCCTGCTGAAACTGCAGTAGTCTCAGTGGTGCAATGGTGGAAGGGGTATGTGTGTCTAGTGATCTGAGACATACTGGATATACCTTCCAAAGTGCACAAAAAGTTGTATCTTAGACTCCCTACCATTTAATGGGCTTCAGTGGGTGTTGGAAAAAACATATGTCACATTTGATTGTTGCTTCTTTCCATTTACTGGGTACTGTTAAAATCTTCTATCTTTAGGAGGACCCAGAGCAAGAGGTGGTGCTCCAGCAGCCCCAGGCTATAGTGGGTACGAGTCTGCCACGTGGCCCTTATCACCCAATAAAACCAATGCTACCCAGAACATCTGTGGCAGATTGGGATATTGTGACAGCTTGTGTAAAGTCCACAAAGCAGAATCACAGCAAGAAGCTCCTGGAGCTCTGAAACAAACCCATGTTCCCTTAAAGGAAATAACTTCTGTCCTTTAAAAACCAATTCCTCTCTTGCTTGCAGTTTCTGGTCTAGATTGAATTTCTAACGTAGAACTTCAAATGACCATGTAACCCAAACTGTCCATCATAAATTGGGTGCTGAGAGCTACCTAACTATAAACTTGGGTGTGCCCTGAAGCATTTCATCTCCAATGGAAGCTGTGTAATTGGAATGTGACCTAAGCAGATCTTGAAGGTAAAAGCCCCAGCATACCTAATCCTGCCACACAGCCATTCTTCCAATGGCTCACCCTACAACCTCATGGGGCGTTCAAGTTGTGTTTATAGCTAGCTCTGCATAATATGCTTGCAGCACCCAGAAGTGAACTGTTCTAGAATTATAGCCCTGAAGGGTACCCCTGAAGGAGAGTGGAGAAGTAAAATTTTCCCAGCGGACAGAAGTTCAAAGAGTGCAACTTCTGGTCCACATTGCCTGCTTTACTTTTAGGCCAGGATCTATACCAGGGATCAACAAACTTTTTCTCTGAAGGACCGGATAGTAAGTATCTTCTGCTTTGCTTGTCACATACAATCCCTGTTCCAACTGCTCAATTCTACCCTTGGAGTGCAAAAACCACCACAGAGAGTATGTAAATATATTGGTATAGCTGTGTTCCAATAAAACTTTATTTACAAAAACAGGCAACAAACTGGAGTTTGCCAATCTCTGATCTATACCAATCCATTGGCAGGAGCTAATGGTTTGGTCAGATGGTTATGGATTTGGAAGAAGTGAAAAGGAGAATTGGTAACAAGGTTGATCTCCTAATTTTGGGTTCATAGAACCCTAAGTGGCCTGAAGATAGAACTATATAATATTATGTAATAGTGATTTCCTTAATAACCTTATGTATTCTATATGTTACACATAAAATACTATTCTGAGAAGGGATCCATAATCTTTGCCAGACTATCAAAGGCTTTGTAAGATGCAAAGAACTTCTCAGAATGGACCTAGAGAGTGAGAATTTTCATATCTCAAGTAGAATGCTTCCCAAAAGGCCCTAGTCTCCATTGCAGAGGAATGGTACCAGCAAGGTCAGGAAGAGCAAATCCAGAAATAGTTTCTATTCTAGTGAGGGGAAATTACTACCCCACCTATAATGGAAGGGGTTTAAACCAATCAACCTGCCACAAGATTATGGCTTGTCACCTCAAAGTATAGTACCCTACGAGGAACTCAGAGTTTGTTGCTGCTGCTGATGAATTGGGTTAAAGTCCATGAGATTCACTGATCTTATCATATACATTATTGCAGAAGCAGAAAACCTCATAGATTGTTGGAAAGGCTTAATGAAGACTCAGTTATGACACCACCTGGGAAGCTAACACATTGCAAGGTTGAGATGCTGTGCTATAGGATGTAGAATCACTCTGAAAGTGCTCGCTCTCTCTCTCTCTCTCTCTCTCTCTATATATATATATATATATATATATATATATATAGCCATTTTCTCATCATCAGAATACATGGATCTGGGAACCAAAGGGCGGAAAAGGTTCCTAGCACCTCTCAATAGTAAACCTAATGATCCACTGACAAAACTTTTGTTTCCCATACTTGAAACTTGGAAGTTGAAGACAGTAACCCCTGGCAGTAATGACTTCATCAGTATCAAAGGCCTTGGCAGTAGATGGCCAGCTAATGGAGGAGAATGAGTGAGGCAGCTTGATAATTGTATGAGTTACATTCCTGAGAATCCTTTTTTTTTTTTTTTCATTCCTGAGAATTCTAAGAAATAACAGGGCGGGGGCTCAGTATAGAGGGAACTGGAGATTCTTCAAGGCTGGATGGAAGTAAATCCAAAGAAATGATGTGTGTGACTTATTCTAACCACACTGTGATTACTTAGACATAACAGCAGTTTTGTCCACGAAATCTGTGAATTTTACAGTCATGCAACTAGAAGAATCATGACTTATGTTTTTTGTTTGTTTGTTTGTTTGTTTTTTCAGAAGGAGTTTCGCTCTTGTTGCCCAGGCTGGAGTGCAGTGGCTCGATCTCGGCTCACCACAACCTCTGCCTCCCAGGTTCAAGCGATTCTCCTGCGTCAGCCTCCCAAGTAGCTGGGATTACAGGCATGAGCCACCACGCCCAGCTAATTTTGTATTTTTAGTAGAGACAGGGTGTCTCCACGTTGGTCAGGCTGGTCTCCAACTCCCGACCTTAGGTGATCCGCCCACCTCGGCCTCCCAAAGTGCTGGGATTACAGGCGTGAGCCACCGTGCCCGGCCGACTTATGTTTTATAATTCATATATTAATAGCTGTTTTCATTTACTTTTGATACTTTTAGTTGTTTTAGCTGTTAACATTTGTTTGCATCCTTGGGAACTTAGGTATGTACTCCCCTATCCATGTTATACCCACGGTTATCTGGAAGAACATGGCTCTTAAGTTACTCCAGGCTGGTGTGGTCTGGGGAAGCAAGAGTTACCATACAATTTGGTACTTTGTTACATGTACTCTTCTGGTGTTCACTCTAACAGGATTCTAAGTTCCTTAAGGACAAGGACTATCTTTCATAACAATGCTACTCCAAGTGTGATCTGTGAACTGTTTTCCACTTCCTGCCTAAGTAAGTATAGGAATTGAAATTAAACTTTTTTAAACTTTCATAGAAATTTGACAGGATAATGTAGAAACATTTTGGGATTTATACTTTCTATATTTCAGTGGTGTTTTAAAAAATGTTCTAGTATTTTAAATAACATTTTCATTTTTATTGCATTTTATACAAGTATTGGTCCACTACGATTGGAAGTTTGTAGAAAAGTCCTTCACTACATATTTTGAGAAAGAATTCTTACTATAACACTTTTTCTTTAGATGTGAAGTTTTATTTTAAGTTTCTCTTTGAGGACAATCTTTACAGTTTAATGAGAATGACTGAACTACAAGTGACAATTTTGGCAAAATATTACCAATGAAATAAGAGGCAGAATTTAAAATAGAAAAATAAATTATTATGTATACTGCCAGTAGCATTATAGATACCATTAGATATATCTTTTAGTTAATTTATTTCAGATGAGGGACAAATGATGACTTGTAACATCTTTTGATTCTAACAAGAATTTTTTTCTTTACAAAGAAGAAAAAGATTTTATGTTTCTATTTGTTCACAATAAATTTGTTTTTATGAAACCCTAGTTTTTAATATATATACAAGTTTACTTTGAAAGACCCTTTGTAAAACACTTTTTTCACTTTTCACTTAATGGCTTTTAAAATATATTTTTAATTTTTATTTTATTTTAATTTTTTTTAGACAGGGTCTGACTCTGTCGCCCAGGCTGGAGTGCAGTATCTAACATAGCTCACCACAGCCTCAACCTCCTGGGCTCAAATGATCCTCTCACCTCAGACTCCTGAGTAGCTGGGACTACAGGCACATGCCACTACGCCTGGCTAATTTTTTAACTTTTTGTAGAGATAGGGTGTCCTTATGTTGCCCAGGCTGATCTCAAACTCCTGAACTCAAGCAATCCTCCTGCCTCAACCTCCCAAAGTGCTGGGATTATAGCTATGATTCACCATACCCAGCCTAAAATACATTTTTAAAATCATGGACCTTATACTAATTTTGCCTAGTATGGTGCTGGTTCTTAAATATATGACATATACATTAAGGTAGTCTTAATGTTGTATTTCAAGCATGTGGTCTAGAAAACCAAAAATTCTCAGAACTGAGTTGTATCACCTGAAAAATGAATAAAAATTATATCGAATAACTAGACTATTAATTCATTCAACATGTCCTGGACACCTGTGTGCCATGTATCCAAAGATAGACCATGGTATTAAAACGTAATTTTAACTTTCTTGCAACCAGGGGTCTTCTTATTTTTTACTCCCTTAATAGCCAAGTAATTATACCCTTAAAAAGGCTTATTTTTTTTGTCTAATACCAGAAGCCTAGTTCTGAATTCATAATTATTTAAGAAGGAACTATTCTGGTACACTGAGGATTAACCCATTTCCATATTATAATACACTATAAGGTGAAAAAAGTAGGAGATAAGACTATATGTGCACTACAATTACAAAAGAGAAAAACATGCATATGAAAATAGCCTAGAAGGCAATAAAAATGATAATAGCTGTGTTGGAGTATGGGTGGTTTGTAGTTTCTCTGTGTTTCAAACCTTTTATAATATATTACTTTCATAATTTAAAAAAATATGGGCAGTGGACAGGAACAGACCAGTCACAAAAGAAATTCAACTAGGAAGCAAACACAGAAAACCATTCACGCTCACTAATAAAGAAATATATATTAAAACAACACTAGGGTGCAATTCTTCACGTAATTAACAAAAAGTAATTTTGTAACATAATACCATTAAGGATTATTATTGGGAATATAGGAGAACGGGAACTCTTATACATTGTAGGTGATACTGTAAATTGGTTTGACCCTTGTTATGGGTTGAATTGTGTCTTCCCCAACATGCATATGTTGAAGTCCTCACTACGAGTACACCAGAATGTGACCTGATGTGAAAATAGGGTCATTGGAGATGTAATTATTTAAATTAGGATGAGGTCATACTGGAATAGGATGGGCCTCTCATCCTATATGACTGGTGTCCTTATAAAAAAAGGATATTTAGGGACAGTCACACACACAGGAAGAATGCTATGTGAAAACAAAGGCAGATATAAGGAGATGCTTCTACAAGGCAAGGAGTTTCAAAGATTGCCAGCAAACCACCAGAAGCTATGGAAGAAGCATTGAACAGATGTTTCCTCACAACTCTCAGAAGGAACCAACCCTGCCAACACATTGATTTTGGACTTCTAGCCTCCAGAACTGTGAAACGAATTTTTGTTGTTTAAGTCACCCAATTTGTGGTACTTAGTTATGGCAGCCCTAGCAGACCAATACGACCATTACATACTGAAAATAGCCTCCAAAAAGTCTCTATATAATATAAATATCTATGAAAAACCATATAAAAATGATGTGGTGGAACTGTTTTTTCTTTCTCTTTTACCATTTTATTTAATGTGCTTATATTATTTTTATAATGAAAGAAACATTAACAAAATATAAAAATAATTTGTTTCTTAATTCCCTTGTTGATTCATGGACCATTAATTGAGAAATATATCTGTTTAATTTCTTTCTTTCACTCTTGTTGCCCAGGCTGGAGTGCAATGGTGTGATCTTGGCTCACCGCAACCTCTGCCTCCCGGGTTCAAGCGATTCTCCTGCCTCAGCCTCCCACGTAGCTGGGATTATAGGTATGTGCCACCACGCCCAGCTAATTTTGTATTTTTGGTAGAGACGGGGTTTCTCCATGTTGGTCAGGCTGGTCTCAAACTCCCGACCTCAAGTGATCCACCCGCCTCAGCCTCCCAAAGTGCTGGGATTACAGGCATGAGCCACCACACCTGACCTATCTGTTTAATTCCTAAGGGGCATTTCAGCTCTGAAATTTTTGATTCTGCAAAACATACAAGACAATAGAGTTTCCCCGTTGATGTGTTAATATTCCTTGTGGTTAAGAAAACCTTTCAAGGAAACGTGGATGGAAATTAAATATAAATCTTATTGGCATAAGGGACTCAAGTCAAATATACAGCAATTGTAAGAATTGCAAGACTCACTGAATTCCGTGTGTCAACCCTGACAGATGCTCATCTGGCCTCTGTCCCATCACTGGCCTCTGCCCAAGTACTTACAATGATAGAGAGGTCACCGCTTGTTCATTTAGGCCAGACAATTGTTGCAGAGCAATCAGATTAAAAAGTCTTCAGTATACTGAGCTGAATTCTGCTGCTTTTTCTAGTTTCTAGGGTTCTCCTTGAAGCAACACAAAATAAATTTATTACCTTACTCATATGGCTCCCTTTAAAATATATGAAGTCTTTTCTCTTCGGGTCAAATGCTTAATTCTTGAAAATTATTCCTTATGCGATATTGCTTCCAGATTCTCTTTTCATGTTTATCCAGTCATTCTCTAGTCTATTGGTATACCTCAAAATATGGTACAAAAATTAAGTTTCTCCAGTTTAAGCTGAACAAAACAAATTATTGTGGAAAAATTATCACCTTTGACCTAATACTAGCCTAAACACTAAAAATTATTATTGCTATAAATACTGTTCCAGGCCCTTTGCATATATTATGATATGGTTTGGCTCTGTGTTCCCACCCAAATCTCATGTTGAATTATAATCCCCAGTGTTGGGGGAGGGGGCCTGGTAGGAGGTGATTGGATCATGGGGCGGATTTCCCCTTTGCTGTTCTTGTGATAGTGAATTCTCAGGAGATCTGGTTGTTTAAAAGTGTGTAGCACTTCCCCCCTCACTCTTTCTCTCCTGGCCATGTGAAAATGTACCTGCTTCCCCTTTGCCTTCCACCATGATTGTAAGTTTCCTGAGGCCTCCCCAGCCATGCTTCCTGTACAGCCTGTGGAACCATAAGCCAATTAAACCTCTTTTCTTTATAAATTACCCAGTCTCAGATAGTTCTTTATAGCAATGGGAGAATGGACTAATACATATTATCTTATTTTCATCCCCTTAATCACTGTGTACTATTATTAATCATATTTTACAAATAAGAAAACAGAGGCACAGAGAAAAAATGTGCCCAAAGTCACAAACATCAAACTAAGATCAGTTGAAGCCCAAAGCCCATTCTCTTAACCAGCTACCAATATGCATTTGCTGAATAAGAGGTTAATAGATTCTTGTGGAATGAAGGAAGGATTTATATATTTACATTTTTCATAATTTGTAGGCTTGTCCTAATCCTGCCATTTATGTAATTAGCATTTAACTGAAATCCCCAGACACTGTTCCTATAAACAGCCTTTAACCCTCATTCCAAACAGCATTAGCTTTCATCTCTTTAACCTAAATGCAAAAGCCTACATTTCTCTCGATTCCATTTCACCTTGTTGTTTTGGGCTCGTTATTATAGTCCGTGAAGATATTTCTGTATGTTGCCTATCATGTCAGTGCTCTCCTACCTTTGTGGCAACCAAAAATTTAATGAGTACACCTTCTCCAATCATTGTACAGTTGAAAACAGAGAGATAAATGCTTTGCCCTAATTTTCTATGACATAAACTATCGCTTTTATAACTATACATTTCTATGAATAAAATAAACGTGTTAATAGAAAAATTCAGTTTTCAATCTATAATTCAGTTTTAATTATTTCATGTTGATGTTCAGCTCCAATAGGACTGAATCTAAGACATTTTGGTGAAGTGTTAGGAAACGGGGAGAATGACAGCATGTAATGCAATATAAGAACCATCAGCTTTATGGAGTATGTCAGTTAAGATGCCTGAATGCAAGTAATAGAAAACCCAACCCCAACTGGCTTCAACAATAAAGTCAGTTTATTAAATTATGACAAGGAGAACTGAGATAAGGCAGTTTTGGTAATTCACTGTCTCGACAATTTTATCAAGGATTCAGGTCCTTTCCATTTTTCTGCTCTGAGGTTCTCAGTTTGTCTGTTACTCTACTCATAGTTGCAGAATGGCCACAACAGCTCCAGTCACCATGTCCTCAAACAACAGCTTCCAAAGGCAAGAAGAGAGGACATCCTTTTCTGGTATCCCTTTCTCAGAAAAAGGCTTCTGAGCAAATCTCAAATAAACTTTTCCACATGTGTTATTGACCAGAATCGTATTACATGTCTGTGCCTAAGCCAGTCATTAACAGGAGTGATAAAATTATCATGGCTCATTTAGCCTGGCTAAGGGTTGGAACTGGAGAGAGGTGTAGCCTCTCATAAGACCCATAATGCCTCATACCAGTACAAATTAGGGTTATGTTATCATGGAAGAGGGAGTGGTGCTAAGCAACCAATGGTGTCTGTGACATGTAACAGGGTATGTTCAGATATTTGAAAATGTGGAATGAATAGAAGACATCCAAATACACTTGCACAATTATGTACAGGAAAGTTAAATACTATTTAACAGTGGAACAAAACTGTTAAAATCCAAACCAATTGGAAAAACTAAAATAGTACAATACTCTTGATGGGCATTATTACGGATAAAAGGTGTGGCTGATAGCAAAATGCTAGAAATAAACTGCCACATATTTCATCCATTCAACAAGGATTGTATCAAAAAGGAAGAGGAAATTTCTTTCAGAAAATCCAAGTAGAATTGAGTAAACGCACATTGAAGTAACATGATTTTGCATTTATTTCATAGAAAAATAAGCAATATACTTCAGGCTTCCTTATGTTTATACAAGTATACGCCATAGTTTCTTTGATGTCTTCAGTATAAAAGCACACTAATACCAGTTTTTAATAAGGAATAAGAGTGATATAGTGAATATTTCATTTTGAGGAGTTGGCAAAAAGATTATTTTTAAGTTTACTTCAAAGGAAAAGGATGAAATAATAAAAGATGAAAGACTGATTCATGTTCTCAGAGCTAGTTAATTCAGAAGACTCCATGGTCCCATTTTTATCTGCTGACTGCAATCTTTCCAAGATAATTGATCTAGGTTTCTGTTTTATTGCATTTGCTGTCACTCATTGCATTGTTTGCCAGATTAGAAGTGTTTGATACGAGTTTACGTACTAGGTATAATTTCAATATGTCATCCAGTCTTTGTTCATCTTTCACTGCCAGTTGAAGGCTTACAGTTGGCTCTCCAGGAAATCTTAATTCACTATTATCTAACTGCTCCATTTAAAAAAATGAGGGAGGGATTTCATCAATTGCCGTTTCCAAGATAATTCCATAAACCCTACATACTTAGAGTGACAGCAAGATAAGTTTGGTTGAAGTTTAAATTATTGAGTCTGGTTCATAACAATTTTACAAAAATAATATTGCAAGTCCCATGAGTCAGTTCCATTTCCTGGAATCAGGAAAACAGGAAGTATTTCTAAAACTATTCTAAGGATGTCAGTGGTATTCACAGGATAAAATGGGTACGGAGTACAATATTATCAAATCCAATAACATATAGAAAAGTTTTCTTATTTGGTGACCTTGGTAACTTTTGTGTATGGGACATAGTAGAACAGACAATAAATAAGAGTCTAAATACCTGTTACAGAGCTAACGGAAGGGATGTTTAGCCATGGGCACTGCAGAGTACATATGCCTCAACTGAAAAGCAGGAGGAGATACTAGAGTAGGTACACAGAAGGAAATTGGTTCCCAGCTTTCTCAGTGATGTTGTTTTTCATGCATTCGGGGGCAGGGGGTCCCCAAGAGGGGAATGACAGGTGGAATTCAAGAACAGAGCAAAGATATCTCAAAAAGTAATAATTTGCATCAGAAGATATTTCTAAGAAGCTCTGGTGAGTAATGTATTACTCAAAAGTCGTTAGCCTACAATTCCCTCTGAGGGCAAGGCTGCTGGGAGCCCCCCATCAAGTTACAGAACAGGGAATTTTTGTGTTTAAATTCAAACAAGCTTATCAAGACTGCTGCGGCTCAGGAAATGGGCAACAAAGGAAAAGACAATAAATAAAGTGCTCTCCACAATGAAATTTGTAAAAACCTTTTAAGAAAAGTAACTATCAAAAGAATTTTGCATAATACCTTACCCCAGGGGGTTTAAATCAAAGTTTCACAAATTCCTTATCTTCCTACAAATTGGAAAAGAAGAAAGAGCACATAAACAATACAAGAGAGCGACATCATTCACTCACTCAATAAAACATTCATTTAGCACCTACTCATTTAGCACCAACTTTAAGCATTAAAGCATTAATACTTTAGTATTTAACTAGGATTAAAGTGCTCTACTAAAGTATTTAATTTTACTTCAGTATGAATTTTATTTTAGTGTTTTAGTATTTAATTTTACTAAAGTATTTAATTCCTATGAAAAGGAAAAGGTAGGATGGCTGGGATTTGCTTTCAAGTGATCCCTGACAGGAGGGAAATGTGCCAGGGTATAGGAAAATGAATAGCTATATATTGATGATTGTTGAAGGTGGGTGACAGTTACATGGGTAGTTCATTATATTATTCTCTCTGTTTCTGTGTATGTCTGTAATGTTCTATATTAAATAAATCAACATGGGGAGTCAGAGAATGCTTCCCAAAGAAGTTTGAAGGGAAATTTGAAGACGGACAAGAGCAATCTAGCTAAAAGGAACACCTATCTTCTCATCTCAAAGAACTGGGGAATAATATTAGATGTTTAAAATAAAACTTTAAAAATCATGAAGTATGTGGCACATAATGGTGTATTTCATGTAACTACACAGTTTAAAGAATAACAATGAAATTAAATCTGTGTACCCACCACTCTTCTTAAGAAATACAACACCTTCAAAGCTCTCTATGCCCCTCCTGCACTTACCATCCTCAGCTCTCCACCTCCAAGACTAGTCATCCTCCTGAATTTTGTGCTTATTGTTCCTTGCTTATCTTTATAGTTTTATCACATGCGTATTTATCTCCAACCAATATGGTATGACTTAATTTTGCCTGGCTTTGAACTCCACATAAATGGAAGTATACTGCATGTGTTCTCTGACTTACTTTTTTCAGCATTGCTTTTGAGATTTATCCATGGTTTTGTATGTGCCTCTAGATCATCTTTTTTGTTGTTGGTATTCTATTGTATAAATATACCATAATGTATTCATCCTTTCTACTATTGATGGGCATTTGGGTTGTGTCCAGTTTGGGACAGTTTGCTACTGTAAATAATCTTTTACATGTCTTTGGAGAGCATGTACAAGAGTTTCCCTAGGGTATAACAGCCTAAGAGTAGAATTGTCTGGTAGCATTAAGATTGCTTTTTTGAAATGTCAGCTGATTAAATCAACTCATATTGGAGGCAGGCACTGTCAACTCTACTGTGGCTTAGCCAATTGTGTCAACACACTCAATAATGTTTCTCAGTCAATCTCAGCATTGGAAAAAAAAAAGGTATTCCAAGAACATAGTTTGGTAATGTGTTTCTTGTTCCATATGGGGGAGAGAAACGTTGAATCTAGGGGATGTAATCCTTTCCTTAGAAAGGTACCATTTGCTACAGATCAGGGTCCATTCCTGGGGCTTCATCACAGCTGAAATAAAATATCCCTCAAGACCATTTTCCTCCCTATGCTTTAAATCCTCACTCACCATGCAGATTTCTGAATTGTATTTCTCAGCAATCTTGATATCAGACAAAGGGAATACTCTGGGTAAAACACCATATGCAAAGATCCAGAGGGCCCAAACAGCCTATTCACTGGAAACAGATTGCTTCCACTGGAGAACAAGATGCTGAAGTATGAACCTGGTTGATGGCAGTGAGAACGGGGTTGTGGAAATTGCATGGTAATTCCTTAGAACCCTAAGAGGTTGAGGTTTTTAAGGCCATCATCTGAGAAGATAGTGAAGCCATTAATAGATATAAGACAGTCAAAAGGAATAGGTTTAGGGTGGAGATGGGGAGCAGAGTTGGAAATGATGATGATGGGGTTCAGGATATGCTACCCCAAAATACAGCACGTTGCTTGGCATTTGAGTAAACAACAGAAGCAGGAAGGTCATTCTCACTTTCCCCTTGCCCTTCTCCTCTAAAACAGGTAAAAGGATTTTCTGACACTGCCCTGAAGCAGGTCGTTAGACTCTCATTTGAGCGGTATCCTCTCTATACCTGGGAGAAAGGAACATCATTTTCTCTGAAGACACAGCGTCACAAAGAAGAATCTGAATAAACAGGCCTTGTTAAATTCCCCTGCCAGTTGATTACCATTAGATTATACTTTTGTATGTAATCATCCTTCACCACTATCCACTTCTTCATGAAATCTAGCATTAAGAATGCACAGGTTTACCTGTTTCTCTGAGTCTTCATTTCCTTAGGAAGGCTCCTGTATCATGTAAAACTTCTTAAATAAATGTGTCTGTGTTTCTCTTGTTAATCTGCCTTTCTTATAGGTGCCTCAGCCATGAACCTAGCCATGGATGAGAAAAACATATTTCTCCTCCCCTACAATGACTTTAGCATATACTAGGTGTGCAGGGCCCTCAAGACATCCAGGTGACAATGGCAAATCAGGAGTCTGGAAACCAGGTCTGGAGCTCAAGTGAAAAGCTGGGACCAGAGATACACATTTAGAAGTTATTCATAGGCTGGACATGGTGGCTCACGCCTGTAATCCCAGCACTTTGGGAGGCAGAGCCAGGCAGATCGCTTGAGCCCGGGAGTTCAAGACTAGCATGGGCAACATGGCAAAAACCCCACCTTGACAAAAAATACAAAAAATTAGCCAGGTGAGGTGGTGCATGCCTATAGCCCCAGTTACTTGGGAGGCTGAGGTGGAAGGATCACTTGAGCCCAGAGGGTTGAGGCTACAGTGAGCCAAGGTCATACCACTGCACTCCAGCCTGGGCTACAGAGCAAGATACAGTCTCAAAAGAAAAAGAAGTTATTCACATATGCCTGAAATGAAATTGCCGAGAGAATGCAAGAAAAAAAGTTTTGAGCACAGGATCTTTTTTTTTCCTAGTCCAGTGCAGTAGTGAGAAGGGTGGAAAGAGTAGAACAAGGAGTTTGACCTGTAACTGATGGTGAACAAGCAATTGAGGTAACTCACTACCTTAGGGCCAGCAGAGCACAGGATCTTGAAGGAATACTTTCACTTAGGAAATAGAAAAAGGAGCCAGTAAAACCCATGCAAGAACATAGAAGGCAAGGAAGGAAAGTGAGAACTGAAGGCTGAGGAAAGTGAAAAGGTTTGGAGTGGATCCTGTAGACAAAACCCTGGGGATTCATTCGCCTTGCGATAAATGAAAAGGTGTTTGATAATAAAGCCCAATTATTGAGCACCTATTAGGTGTCAGGCACTATGCCGAGAACTTTGCCTATATTGTTTTTCATCTTCACAACAATTTTGGGGGCAGGTAATATTATTACTTCTATTTTACAGAAGAAGGAAAAGATTTATGATGTTGAGTATCTTGTCCAAGGTCACAGAGATGGTAAATGGGGGAGTCAGAACTTGAATCCATGTCTGCCTGACTCCAAAACTCAGGCCCTTGCCGTATGTCATGTAGTGGAGGCTTGGCCAAGATTAGCAGGAAATTATAGCAAAATTAACCAGTGTTTGACTTTTACCTGTGAATAAGAGGAGTGTGAGTTTTCCCAGGGATCAGCTAGGTATTAGGAGGCCCCACCTCCTAATACCATCACCTTGGGGGTTGGGATTTTAACACATGAATTTGGGGGAGACATAAAGCTTCAGATCATAGCAAGCCCTAAAGAGCAGTTTGACTGCTGCCTGCTTTAGAAGTGGAATTACTGCACATACCTGGCCAAACTCCAACTTAACTTAGAATCATGGAACTCTTTCTAGATCTGTAAAGGACATTAGAGGTCATTGAATCAGACCTCCTTTTTATATATGTTAGGCAAACAAAAGCAAAGAAAAATTCAGTGACTTTCCTAAGGTCTGGAACTAAAATCCCTCATTTTAAAAATTGTACACATTTTGAGTGCACATTATGTGCCAGGCACCATGTTCAGCAATGGAGAAACAGAGATGAAGAAGACTCAAATCTCTGACCTCTAGTTTTGTTGGATGAGACAGAAATGTAAACGAAAGTGTGGTGTTACTGGAGATGTGGATACAAAGTATCACAGTGACAGTTCACTCTGAAATCAGAAGAGATTTCCCATAGGAGGAGACACTTGAAATGCGTGCTGCAGGCTGAAAGAATGGAATGTGCAAAGGTGGAGTACAGGTGCTAAGAGGGAGCACTGAAGATGAGGCTGCTGGGGGGTCTTCCTTCATTACACATGCTGGGCCGGTTGCCCCAGCTGCCCCGCATCTCTGTCCCTATGGCTGTAGCATTGCACTGATCACTTTTTTTTTTTTTTGAGACAGGGTCTTGCTCTGTCGCCCAGGGTGGAGTGCAGTGGCACCATCTCAGTTCACTGCAACCTGTGCCTCCTGGATTCAAGTGATTCTCCTGCCTCAGCCTCCCAAGTACCTGGGATTACAGGTGCCTGCCACCACGCCCGGCTAAATTTTTTTTGCATTTTTAAAAGAGACAGAGTTTCACCATGTTGGCCAGGCTGGTCTCGAACTCCTGACCTCAGGTGATCCACCCATCTCAGCCTCCCAAAGTGCTGGGATTACAGGCGTGAGCCACCACACCCAGCCACTTGTCACTCTTTTAAGCTTGCTTCTGCCAGGAGCCTGAGAGCTCTGTGATCGGCCCCAGCCCACCAGTTTCCAGCACCACTCTTGGCCCAGGGTTCAAGTAGCCAGATTTAGCAAATAAAAATACAGGCCATCCAATTAAATTTGAATTCCAGATAAACTATAAATATTTTAAATTTAAGTATGCCCCAAGCATATGCATGGGACATACTTATACAAAAAAAAATTGTTTATCTAAAGTTCAAGTTTAACTCAGCTTTTTGTATTTTATCTGGCAACTCTACTTAGAGTAAATGCTCAATAAACAGTTATGGGAGTCAGGGAATTACAGAGGAAGGGAGAAAATAAAAAAGGAGGGGAAAGAGTAAGCCAGTGTATCCACCAGTAGACAATGAATTGGAAAAGTTGCAGGCTTAAAGAGAGTGGTAGATTTGTCAAGACCTTGAAACCGTACAAAATCTGGCCTTAACATTACTTCTCACTATTTTCAGTTCTATACAGTACAATGTAAACAGTTGTTTCCCCTTTTTTTGTTAAGAAGTCTGCCCTCATGTGGCAGGAAAAAAGTATTAGGCCTGAGGCCTTAATTTTGGTCTTTCAGCTCACTGGGGCAAAAGACTCCACAGAGTTCAGAGATCTGGAAAGGAGGGATGCTAGGAGTTTCTTTGTTTGTTTGGGTGGGTGGAGGACAGGGGAGGAAAAGAAAAATGAGCTCTATGTGTCAGATGCCAAGAGAGTATTGTTAAAATAGGTTTTAAAAAATGGTTCAAAACAGATTTGTAACTTTGTGCAGGCCAGCATCATCTCAATTTCCAAGCTGTCGTGGTCAGAAAAGGCGTTAAGATACTGTGCCTAAAATTCATGCAGTGGAACATTTCAGTGGAGACATACTTTATAAACTGTAAAGTACATTTAAATGTTATTAGCTAAAAAGCCACCATGGTGACATTGGATGTGGAGAAAGCCTGGTTTGGATGCCTCTCCTAGTCATCAACCTTAGCAGGTACCCTAATTCTCATGCTGAATCCACCATTTCTCAAGTAGTGTCCACCTCCACAAACAGAGCTGTTCATTCTCCCAAACCATGAGAAGAGATGAGGTTGCCATCTGCCTCTGCTCTAGACCTCACACGCTGCCATCACCCTGAGTGACTTCAGAGCCTATGTGGACACCCCTCCAAAACCAGGCCTCATAATTCCTTTATGTCCTCACTTCCAGGGCCTCACTCTCAACCTCACACCACATGTCCAGGGACGTCACTTTGGCTTTGCCATCTCTGGGTTCACCTCCTCCAAAATCTCAATCTCTGACCTGACTACAACTTTCCATTCTTCCTACTTTCTCACTCTCCCACCGAGTCTATTCCTTAAACCTCCAGCAGACTTCCAGAACTGTGAGCAGTCTGTGTTTGCCCACCTTCTCCATTCACATCTGAGTTCACATCCTTCAGCCTGGACTCCAAGTATGATCACTTTTTTTTCACGATTTTAATTCTAATTTTTAAGTTCTGGGGTACATGTGCAGGATGTGGAGGTTTGTTACATTGGTAAACGTGTGCCATGGTGGTTTGCTGCACAGATCATCCCATCACCCAAGTATTTAGCCCAGCATGAATTAGCTATTTTTCCTAATGCTCTCCCTGCCTCCACCCCAACTCACCCCCTTTTTTTTAGAGACAGAGTCTCACTCTGGTTGCCGAGGCTGGAGTACAGTGGCGTGATCATGACACACTGCAGCCTTGACCTCCTGGGCTCAATCGATCCTCCCACCTTGGCTTCCCAGGTAGCTGAGACTATAGGCACACACCACCAGGCAAACGTGTTCACTTAAATTACTTTGGCTCTAGCACCCAAACTCCTCACCCTCTCTATCCATCAGCAAGGCCTGGCCCTCAACTCTGCTTCAATCTGACCACCTGTCCACTCTTTCTCCAGTAGGGTGACCACAGCTGCAAGCTGCTGGGCGACTAGAGCCAGTCCGTAGTTAAGAGAGCCCACTTCGGCTTACTGGGAGAGCTTCCCTTCAGTTCTTTCACCTGAATCAGCTTAACAAGCTACCTCTCTTTCCATTCCTCAGGTATTCCAAACTTTGTATGCCTCTGAGTACCTCAGCTTCATCATCTATAAATGGGGTGATCATACCTAATCTGAGGGTTGTTGTGAGGAATAACTGAGGCATGTGTGTAAGTGGCCCAGCATGCTGCAGACCATTGGTACATGCCTCAATACATGCCCCATTTATTGCTAATCTTCTCTAGCATCTAGCATCTAACACAACACTCATTCCCCCTTACTTTAAACAAATGACCTTACCTCACAGAGAAGGCATCAGGTGTAAGGGAAGTGGTAGCCCTGCCTTCCTCTACCTACAAACTGGACTGCTCCACACCCAGTTGTGCTAACTTGCCTCTGGTCTCAGAGAATGAGAGGCTGCTCTTCTTTTCCCGGGCTACGCCCTCCTCCAGTGTTTTTCGCAGAGACCCTGCTCAATTCATCCCTTCTCTCACCTATATCTTATGTTTCCCCTTCCCCAGCTCCTCAGCTTCTACACATGGTCAGATCTATCCCATTTAAAAAAATTCTCTTGACACTAAGTCATATCTCTCATTCCTTTCACAGTCAACTTCTTCAAAGAGTTGTCCGCATTCGCTGTCTCCACTTCTTCACCTCCCAGGGACATCTCCCCACAGTGCAATCTGCCCTCTGCCCTCAGAGCTCCACCAAAACAGCTCTCCGTGACCTCACCATGACCTCTGTGTTGCTAGAGCCATCAAATACTTCTCAGTGCTCATCGTACTTGACATTGTTTGACACTGGTGACCACTCCCTCCTTGTTGACACTCTGTCATCTCCTGGCTTCACAGCACAAGTCTCAGGCAAGAGGAAAACAGACCTCATCGCAGCCTCCTTTGCTGCGGCACACCCCTTCTATGTTGAAGTCTCTGAAAGATTAGCCCTGGGCTCTCTAAGTTCCTCTATCTACACTCCTTCCTGGTGAGATCTCATTCTATCCCAGCTATGTGCTGTGATCCCCAAATATCTATCTCCAGCCTAGACCTCTGGAATCATGCAGCCCTTATCCTTATCACAGCTCAGGTGAAGGGCCCTTTAGGACCTGTTAAGAGAAAACCCACAAGAAGCATGCATTTATTTTCACGTTCCTCTCACAGGGCAAGGAATATATCAAGCAGTCTGGGACTAGCTCTCCTGCTCCTGCCCCCTCTGCTGAGTTCCAAAATGGCCTCCGCCACTTCTTAGCTATGTGGTCTGGGTTAAATTAACCTCATTAGTAAAATGGGATTAGTAATGGTGTCAACCTTAATGGGTTGTAGTGAGGATGAAATGAGATAATCCATGTAAAGTGCTTAGTGCATTGCCTGGCACATACATGGTGAACATTTGCTATGTTTTATACCCTGCTGGTCAGTCTGCCTGGGTCTGAATTCTGGCTCCACCACTTCCTACTGGTATGCTCAGAGCATGTTATTTAACCTCTCTGAGCCTCAATAAAAATAGTGTCTACCACATAGAGCTGTGCTAGACATTCAGTAAGTGGACATGTATAGCACTTAGAGCAGGACTCATAAAGTATTAAATGTTATTGTCGCTATTATCCTCAAAAAGGCAAGGAATGCATTAGTGAGCCCATCAGAACACAGCCATCTGGGTCTCATTCCAGATCCCCCTTGCAATATGCAAGACATATGTATACATGCTCCTTGAGGTCAGCCAGGAAATGGAAAGCAACATCAGGACAACAAATGTCACCTGGTGCAGCCCAGTGTCAAACTGCTTCAGGGGCAGCTCTTTGTGTGGGGATAAAAGCTTGTTCAGCAATCTCTGGCTATGTGATTTCTTACAGCTGGACATTGCTACATGACACTCCCCTGAGGTCCAAGTGCCTCTCCTGGACTGTCAGCATCCTGTTTTTTCTTATCTTGAAACTGTCTTTGAGGCCCTAAACAAGGATCTGCTGTTCTTATTTTTAAATTAAAACACACACACACACACACACACACACACACACACACACACACACACTTTATTAACTCTTAACAGTCCTCTCGGCTGCAGCTGTGAATACAACTGCCTTTTCTACATGGCAAATAGGCTTTCCATACTGCCCAGCAATCCTGATTCTTTTCTCTGATCAACTTGCACTTTCACTTTCCCCAACGATGTTTTCAAACCTTCTTCATTCTCCCTAAATCTCCCACCCTGCCAACTCCCCAACTGTCTCTACCCCACCCCATACCTCAGCAGATGACCATGCCTCCTACTTTACAGAGAAAACTGAAGCCGTCAGATGCAAAACAGTCATTTAATGTTGCAAAACCTAATAGGCAGTATGTTCTGTCCTCATCTTTCTGGACCTATCAGCAGCATTTGACACAGTCACTCCCTTCTCCTTGTTGTCCTTTCTTCCCGTGGTTTCTAGGATGCCATGCCATAGTCTCTTGGTTTCCCTCTTCCGTTAGTGGCTGCTGCTCTCCACTCTCCATTGCTGGTTCTGAAGTAGGAGACAGGACTCTACTCCAGAGGCGGGGCTTGGACACCGGACCAGATTGAGGACTAGCTAAAACAGGGCCGAGTGGAAAGCAGCTTTCAATCAGACACGCCTACCACTGTGTGATGTCAATTTACCATTGCCATGGCAACACCCAGGAGTTACCGCCCCTTTCCATGGCAATGACCCCAAAGTTACTACCCCTTCCCTAGAAATTTCTGCATAAACCGCCCATTAATCTGCATGCAATTAAAAGTGGGTATAAATATGACTGCAAAACTGCCCTGAGCTGCTATTCTCTGCCTACAGAGTAGTCCTGCTCTGCAGGAGCAGTCACGGAGCTGTAATACCTCTGGAGCTGTAACACCGTGTCTTCAATAAAGCTGTTTTCTTCTATCTCCTGCTTGCCCTTGAATTCTTTACTGGGAAAAGCCAAGAATCTTCACTGGCTAAGCTCTGCATTGGAGCTCACCTGCCCTGCATCAGTTCCTCATCATCAATCCTACTTTTAATATTGGCGTGCCCCATGGCTCTGTCCTTGGACCTCTTCTCATCTCTACCCTCACTCCCTTGATTATTGCATTCAGTTTCATGGCTTTAACTACTGTTTATATACTAACAACTCCCAAATTTATATCTTCAGCCCAGACCTCTCTCCTGAGCTTCAGGCTCATATTTTTCTGCCCACTGCATAGATCCACAGACAGGTTGGCTTAAACAACAGACATTTGTTTTCTCACAGTTCTGGAGGCTGGAAGCCCAAGATCAAGATACCTTCAGGATTGGTGACAGGTGAGGCCACCTTCTCAGTGTGTTCTCACGTGGCCTTTCTTCCGTGTGCAGATGGAGAGACAGCAAGCTCTCTGGTGTCTCTTCTTATAAGAATGCCAGTCCAGGCCGAGTGCCGGTCTCATGCCTGTAATCCCAGCACTTTGGGAGGCCAAGGTGGGCGGATCACCTGAGGTCAGGAGTTCAAGACCAGCTTGGCCAACATGGTGAAACCCCATCTCTACTAAAAATGCTAAAATTAGCTGGGGGTTGTGGCACATACCTGTAATGCCAGCTACTCAGGAGGCTGAGGCAGGAGAATCGCTTGAACCCAGGAGACAGAGGTTGCAGTGAGCCGAGATCACGCCACTGCACTCCAGCCTGGGTGACAGAGTGAGACTCTGTAAGAACATCCATCCAGTCAAATTAGGGCCCCACCCTTATGACCTCATTTAACTTTAATCACCTCCCGAAAGGCCCTATCTCCAAATATAGTCACATTGGGAATTAGAGCTTCAACATACACAGTTTAGGGGAACAATAATTCAGTCCATAACAAATGATCAATAGACATGTCAAACTTAACATGTCCAAAATGGAACTTCTAATCAGGGGCAAATCCAAATGTTTGGGTCCTGAAACTTATACAATTTGGGGATCACTCTTTAGGAAAAAAAGAAACTCAAAAATAATTCATTAACATATTGTTAGATCCTAAGCAAATGAGAAGCCCCGAAACCTAAGCTTCGTTAGCTTTAACCTAAATCTACTTCTGCTCCTGATCCTCACTCCCTCCCCATACAATACACACTCCTGTCTTGCCCATAGTCCTTCCTCTCCCAGTCAATGGCAACTCCAGCCTTCCAGATACTCAGGCCTAAACCCTTAGATCATCCTTGACTCTGCTCTTTCTCTCCTACCCTAAATCTAGTATGTCAGCAAATCCTGTTGGTTCTACTTTTAAAATACTCTGAATGTGACCACTTCTCACCATCTCAACCACTACAACCCTGTAGCAAACCATGATCAACTCTAGCTTGGAATTTTAGAGTAGTCTCTGTAACTGGTGTCATGCTTCCACTGTTGACCCCCAATGTCTATTCTCAACATAGTGATCCTTTTTAAAATATAAATCAAGTCAGCTAAACAAAATCCTCAATTTTTTTTCATTTGATAAACATAATCGAGGCACTATACTAGGCTCTGGAGACACAGCAGTGAACAAAACAGATAAAAATTCCTGCTTTCATGGCACTTACATTCTCATAGTGACTTCCCTGCTCACTCAGGATAAAACCCAACGTCCTTATAATAGATTTTTAAAAATCTGTTGGTTTATTGTATCTCCTCCCACTAAAATGTAAATTCCATAAGGTTAGGAATTTATTGGTCTGTATCCTTAATGCCTGGTGCATATTAGGTAATTAATAAATATTTGTAGAATGAATGAATGGATGGATGGATGGATGAATTTCCCCATACCAAATGAATACATCTCTCCATATCTATACTCTTTCTCTCCTGTTACAGTAAGGAGATATCCTTCTTTTTGTCCATGGCACAGTGGCTCTTGAACTTGAGTGTACATCTGAATCCCCTGGAAGTCTTGTTAAAACACAATACTCTAGGCCACACTGCCAGAGTTTTTGATTCAGTCAGTCTGAAGTGATGCCCAAGAATTTATATTTCTAACTCAATTCCAGGTGATGGTGATGCTACCAGTCCAAGGGCCATGCTTGAGAACCACTGATCTCACCCCTCCCTCCTGCTTTCTCAGGAAGCTTACACCATCAGCTACCATTTCTTTCTAAATATATTCAGTAGCTATCTTTCAGCTGAATCCTTCTGTCTTAGTTTAGTGTTGCTGTAATGGAATACCTAAGGCTGGATAATTTATTTTTTAAAAGAGGTTTATTTAGCTCATTGTTCTGTAGGCTGTAGAAGAAGCACGGTGCTGCTTGGCTTCTGGTGAGGGTTTTTGTACTGTGTCAAAACATGTGGAGAAGATCAAAGGGGAAGCAGGCACATGGGAAGAGGGGGCTAAACAGGAGAAGGAATCTTGCTTTCTCACAACTTTCTCTCTCGATGGAACTAATTAATCCATTCCCTCCAGAACTAATCCCATCTAGCCACAGTGAGAGCTCACTCACTACCTCGAGAAGGGCATCAAGCAATTCATGAGGGATTTGCCCCATGACCCAGACACCTCCCACTAGCCCCTACCTCCCAACACAGTGATACCAGGGATCAAATTTCAACATAAGATTTGGTGGGGACAAACAAACCATATCCTAACCATAGTGCCTTCCATTCCCTTCCTACTGCTACTCTAGCTCTATCCTTTTGATTGTAAGCCAAATTTCTAAAAAGTTTTATCTATGCTGAAAGTCTTTATTTTTCACCTTCCACTCACTCTAATAGAGCTTTTGTTTCCATAACTCCACCAAAACATCTCTCAGCTGGGCACGGTGGCTCATACCTGTAATTCCAGCAGTTTGGAAGGCCATGGCAGGCAGATTACTTGAGGTCAGGAGTTTGAGACCAGCCTGGACAACATGGTGAAACCCCATCTCTACTAAAAATACAAAAATTAGCCAGGCATGGTGGCAGGCGCCTGAAATCCCAGCTACTCAGGAGGCTGAGGTGGGAGAAGCGCTTGAACCTGAGAGGTAGAGGATGCAGTGAGCCAAGATCATGCCATTGCACTCCAGCCTGGGCGACAAGAGCAAGACTCGATCTCAAAAAAAAAAAAAAAAATATATATATATATATATATCTCATTTGGGTCACAAATGATTTACATGTCCTCAGGTCTAATAGACATGATTTTAGTCATCGTCTTATACACACTCAAGACAGAAAACCATTTTCTCCTTCTTGAAATGTCACTTTCCTTGGCCTCTTCCCCTTGGCCTCCATGAAACTACAGTTTCCTTGTTTTCTCCCACTTCTCTGGCTGCTCCTCCTCAGCCTCATCTTCTATCAAACCATTAGATGTTGGAGACCCTGAAGACTTGATCATAGGTCCTCTTCTATTGTTAGTCTGTATTCTTTTAAAGGAGGTCTCGTGAATGACCAAGGCTCAATTTCTAGATGTTAGTGATGCCCAAATTTATATCTATAAACGATATATTTATATATTGCTAGCCCTAGACTTCTATAAGTGACTACCTACTTGAGTCATCTGCTTATTTGTCTAACAGGGATCTCAAACTTAACATAACCAAAGTAGAATTCTTAATTGTTTCACCATACCAACTGCTCCTCTTACAGTGTTCCACCACTCAGGGTTGGCACCAGCGTGAACCCACTTGCCCAAGCAAAAAATCATTCTTGACCCCTCCTTTACTTGCACAGGAAACCAGGTGCTACCCTTATCACCCCTAAATGTCTTTCAAACTCATCAAATTCTCTCCATCTTAGTCCGGGCCACGATCATCTCTCACTTGGACTATAGCTGTACAGTCTTAACTGATCTCTGTGCTTCCCCTTCTGCCTCACTCTCCATCCTCTACCCAGCAGTGAAAGCAACCTATCCAAACACAAATCTGACCATGTCCTTCTCTTGTTTACACACTTTCCATGTTGCTCCTTATACATCCGATAAAGTTAAAACTCCATGGACAGGTGCACAAAGCCCGCTGAGCTTGCAGGCATTACATATATGTCAAGGCCTTTAAAATCTCTCCCTTGCCTAACTCTTCTTCACCCTGACTCCTACAAAAATCCTCACTCTAGTTATTAGGTTGGTGCAAAAGTAATTGTGGTTTGGCCATTAAAGGCAATGGCAAAAACTACGATTACTATTGCACTAACCTAAACATTTCAGTCTACCTGCAATTCCCAGAATATACTCTCTCTTCCAAGGAGCCCTTTATTTCCTCACCTACTTGGCTTACTATTGCTTATCTTTAGAAAGAAAGCTCAAGCATCATTTTTTCTTTCTTTCTTTCTTTCTTTCTTTTTTTTTTTTTTTTTTTTTTTGAGACAGAGTCTCACTCTGTGGCCCAGGCTGGAGGGCAGTGGCATGATCTTGGGTCACTGCAGCCTCTGCTTCCCTGATTCAAGCAATTCTCCTGCCTCAGCCTCCCGAGTAGCTGGGATTACAGGCACGCACCCCCACTCCTGGCTAATTTTGTATTTTTAGTAGAGATGGGGTTTCGCCATGTTGGCCAGGCTGGTCTCGAACTCCTGGCCTCAAGCAATCCACCCGCCTTGGCCTCCCAAAGTGCTGGGATTACAGGCATGAGCCACCGCCCTGGGCCTTCAAGCATAATTTTCTAAAATTTTCTTCAATTCCACATTACTACCTACTCCTGTGCTTTCAGATGCTCTCATGCCTTCCCTGTCATGTCACTTACTACTCTGTATTTTAAACATTCATTTTATTTTCTGTTTCCCTCAAAAAATCATGAGCTTCTGTAGGGCAAGAACAACTGCAATTTATTTATCTCTACATCATCAATATTTATAGCAGTGCCTGATGCATACTATGCATTCAATAAACGTCTATTGAGTGAGCTATTAATTAATTAACTTATAAACAAATGGTGACCTTGAGAAAGCAAGTTTAGGAGAAAGCCTGGTTTCCAATGGGACAAAAAATACACAAAAGGGGAGGAAATGAAGAAGATGAGTGTAGACTACACTTTTGAGAAGTTTGGCTATGAAGGAAATGAAAGAAAAGGGAGAAGAGTTAAGGGAAAGGCCGTGAATGGTGGCTCATGCCCATAATCCCAGCATTTTTGGGAGACCAAGGAGGAAGGACTGCTTGAGGCCAGGAGTTTGAGACCAGCCTGGGCAACATAGTGAGACCCCATCTCTACAAAACATTTTTTAAAATGTTAGCCAGGCATGGTGATGCACACCTATGGTCCCAGCTGCTCTGGAAAGCTAAGGTGGGAGGATTGCTTGAGCCCAGGAGGTCAAGGCTGCAGTGAGCTGTGATCATACCACTGCACTCTGTCCGGGTAACAGAGTGAAACCCCTTCTCAAAAAAAAAAAAAAAAAAGGTTAAGGGAAGGCATAACAGAAATTTCTAGTTGCCTAACCCAATATTCATTCTCTCCTTTGTAGAAGACTGATTTTTTTTTAAGCTGACTTATGATCATCTGGGTTAGAATGGACTGCATTTCCTCTCTTTTGCAGCTCTGTGTGGCCAGTGGGGTATAAGCAAAAATGTTGTGTCATAGCATTTTGCTGCGTGAAAAATGGATACAAAGGTTTGCACTTCATCTTGGAGCCTGGTTGCGGGGGGGCACACTCTGGAGATAGCAGAGCAAAAAGCTGGAAGAAGCCTGAGTCCCTGATAACTGTACAACTGCCGCGTAAGCCTGGGATTGCCCACTTCAGGACTTCTGCATGAGAAATACACTTCTATTTTGTTTAAGACATGGTTAAATCAGGTTTTTCTGTTACTCATAGCAGAACCCAGTTCTAAGAAATGCAAAGGTAGTTTTATTTAGGATGGGGTAGGTAAGGTCATATTTATAGCTAGAAGGAGTCAGTAGAAAGCGAGATTTGGAATGTTCACAACACAAATAAATGATAAATGTTTGAGGTCATGGATATCCTAAATACCTTCATTTGATCATTACACATTGTATGCATGTGTCAAAATATCACATGGACCCCTTAAATATGTACAATTATTATGTATCAATCAAAAATTATTTATGTTTATTTTTACAAAAGGGAAATAGAGGACCCAGTTGATGGATGAAAGTTAATGAGGGCATGGGAGGGATAGAGACATGGGACACTGATAGAGGGATTTGCTTCAGATAGGAACAGAGCCATCTCATTCTGTGAGCTCTAAGGAAAAGGACAAGAAGTGACATTTATTGAGCACATTCTATGTACTAAATTTTTTATAAATACTACCTAATCTAATCCTCACAACACTTTAAGGTAGGTATTATAGAAAGTACAATTTGTGTTCAGTTGTGCACAAAATGAGACTTTATTATTTCAATAAGAGTTTAGTCTCTGAAGTCATAATCAGGTTTCAGTTAAGTCAATATTAGTTAGTTAGTGCTAATGAGTTAATACTAATCATTAGTTAGTGCTAATGATAGCAATAGATTGGAAAAAACCTAAATGTCTATCATAGGGGGTTGATGAAATAAATTATGGCCCATCTTCACAATGGGACACACTATAACTGCTAACAAAAGAATGAGGTAGCCCTTTTTGGATTGATACAGAATGAGCTCCAAAACACCTTGTAAATGAATAAAAACACCCACAAGGTGAACATCGGGTATAGCATGTTATAATTTGTGTAAAAAAGAAGAAGCAAAACAAAGGACCTACATGTTTGCATATATATGCATTTATATATTAATAGATATTAATATATTTTAATTTTATGTTATATATTATATTATAATTAATTTATATATTAATATATAAAGCATGTATATGTATGAATTTATAATATATGTACTTATATATTATATATTATAAATGCATACATATTATACATGCATATTATATATTAATATATAATATACATATATAATGTATATTATATATAAATATACTAATTGTGTTAATATATATAGATCTATTATATTTATTAATATAAATGGATATATATGCATTTATGTATTATATATTATCATATATGTATTATATCTCTGAAAGGATATACAACAGGTAACAGGCAGATGTCTCCTGGGAAGGGATGGAGTGGTGAGATGGAGACTTGATTTTCACTGTATACTCTTTGGTACCTATTGAACTGTAGGTGATCTACCATCCACATATGTTACCTATTTAAAAATGAAATTTCACTTAAATAAATAAACAAACAAACATAGTGAGTTCAGGATTTTTCTGTCATCTTCCTTCCTCCCAGAGTGGTATCTCAGTTCTAGCAGGCTTACACAGCCCCATGGCTGCAGTGGGAAGCAGCTATTTGAGCTGGTAGCACTTAGATCAGAGGTTGATCCAGGTTTGATGGGGCTCAATTTATGCAACTTAGAGAACCTTTTAAAGAAAAATAATACACAATTAGGAATACAAAATTAAGTAGAAATCCTTGGAATTCATTTGTGCAAATGAGGGGCCCTGAAGCTGAAACTTCATTAGCTTCAAGGTAAATCAGCCTCTGACTCTGAGTATATTATTCCATCGGGGCTTAGCCAGTGTTACTCCTCCACAGTGCTGCACTGAGATAAAAAGATGCTCATCTTATTTCCAGCCTTACAGCCATGCCCTAAATGCATACAATCATTAGGGGCAGATTTCTTCAGATCTGCCAGCTTCCACTCTCAGATCACTTACGTGCCCTTCTTAGAGGTTACAGGAAAATTCAGCTGCTGTCCCAAGCCACAGATATGAGAAACTTGGCAAAATTAGGATGTGGACAGTTAAAAAGCAGCATTTTGGGTTCCTCAGAGACCGTAGTGACATCAGTTCCCACTTGGTTGTGTCATGTTCTCTGGCAGTGTGCAGCCGTTCAAGTGCAGGAGCAGAGAAAAGGGGGCTATTGGTATCCAGAAAGGGACAAGGGAGTTGGGATATGGCAAGATAGATGCTGAAATTGACAGAATTGAAGTCAACTTACTGTGAGGCTGTGGTGCTAAGAAGTTCAGCGGTGATTTCCGTGACACCACTATCTCCTTGTCCTTTTCCTATCTTTGTGGTCACTCATTTACAGTCTTCTTTATTGGACCCTCTTTCTTTAATTATCCTTTAAATATTAATATGTCCAGGGCTCTGTCTCCATACTAGATATCTCTACTTGGATATCCCATAGGCACTTCAAGTCAAACACAAACTCATTTTCTTCCCCACATCATGCTTGATCTTCTGATTTATTGGGATCCTATTTTACAAGCTTCATTTCATTTCATTTCCATAGCAATGTGATCAAGTTTGGAGATATTCCTATAGAATATTATATATATTATATAAGATATATTCCTATAGAATATTTATATACAAAATATTATATTTATATATTATTTTATATCAAATATAAATATATAAATATTTATATAAAATATAATCCAATATTATAGTATAATATAGATATATTTATATAAATGTATCTATATAAATATATATTTATATATAATATATTTATATAAATAAAATATTTTTATTTTATACATATTTATATAAAATATGTTTTATATAAATAAAATAATATATAAATATGTTATAATTATATATTATAGATTATTATATTATATTATATTTATATATTATATTATTTATAATATATATTACATTATATATGATATATAATGTAATATATATTATATATATTATGTAATATATAATATATTATATTATATATATTATGTAATATATAATATATTATATTATATATTATGTAATATATAATATATTATATTATATATATTATGTAATATATAATATATTATATTATATATTATGTAATATATATTATAATTATATATTTTATTTAGATAATTACATATTAATATACATTATCTCTATATTCTATATATATGTGTCAAATCAGAATACCTGTTCTCTCTACCACATACAGATATTATGAGAATGTATAAAATACTAGACATGAAAGGACTTTGTGGGAAAAAGTGAAAAGTACCATACAAGCACAGGGTATTATTTTCACACATTCATATAGTTAAATGAGTTTCCATCATCAAACACCTGTTGAAACATATCATTCCTGCTTTCCTCTGTTCTCTCTCAAGATGTTCTGGTATTTAACTCCTGGGCTGGCTCTCCCAGCTTCTTTGAACTTTTCTTGTGTGAGAGTCAGGAGAAATCACTTGTTTTAATAAAGCTGGCTATAAAGTATGTTTCTATAAAGTCAATTTTGAAAACCTATGGAGAAAATGATAAAATCAGAGATACATTGCTACTGAGGCAAAAAAAATCCCAATTTGGGACCTAAAATGATGAAGTAATTGAGATGGCTCAAGCTGCCCTATTTAAAACTCTTTCTCTGCACCTTTATTTTTATTCGTACGTATTTTATTTAGCTAGCCCTAATATGGCACTTACTACATGTCAGACACTATTCTAAGTGCTTTACAGATATTACTTGATTTAGTCCTCATAAAACACTATTTTGGGGAGCCGGGGGGGACAGTGTCTCACTCTGTTGCCCAGGCTGGAGTGCAGTGGTGCGATCACAGCTTGCTGCAGCCTCAACCTCCTGGGCTCAAGTAATTTTCCTACTTCAGCCTCCTGAGTAGCTAGGACCACAGGCACATGTCACCACTCCTAGCTAATTTTTGTAATTTTTGCAGAGACAGGGTTTCACCATGTTGCCTAGGCTGGTCTTGAACTCCTGGCCTCAACTGATCCTCCTGTCTCAGCCTCCCAAAGGGCTGGGATTACAGGTGTGACCCAACACAGCCAGCCTTAACACACTTCTTACTCTCATTTTACAGACAAGGAGACTAAGTCACAGAGAGATTAAGTAAATTGCCTAAGCTTGCACACTTTCCCCCACTGTAGGCCATTTCTGGACCATAACCTCATGATTCTGACTCTATCCTTGTAGACCCAAAACTTGACCCTCCCCTTCTCCTGCATGGGCATTTCCCAGATAATTATCACATCATATCCTACTATGCTGGGCAGTAATAGCAAACTGCATCAGTACGCATTGTAAAATGAGCCTGGTTTTAGCCAGGAGAGCTGAATTTGCTCTGCCATTAACCAATTGTGTCATATGGAAAGCCAGATGAAAAATAGAAACTCTCAGCATGGGACCCTAGTGCAACAAAGAATTGTCTGCTGTGGTGAGTAGCCCACTGAAGAAGGATGTGGCTGCTCCCAGCGTAATGTTTCAGAAGGTAGTAAGTCAAGGATCTTCCCACTTGGCAGGTTTCTCACCACTGGAAGACTGCCTCGTCCACCAGATCTTTGCAGGGAGTTAGTGAGTCACTGGAGACTGAATCCACTCCTTCATTTGTATCCTTGATCTCAGATCCTTTGTGCTGTTTATGTAATGGTTCTATAGTAAACCAAAGTACAAGAAACTTGGGCCCAGCGAGAATCTCCATAAATACAGGTCCTTGGGCCATGATGAGCCTTTGTGGTCTGACCTACATCAGGCCTCCTGGGCAAGTCATTTAACATCTCTGAGTCTCAGCTTTTCCTTCTATCAACATGTGAGTCAATGTTGTTTAGTCAGAAGAAAAAAGTGTTTTGTGTCAGGCAAACTTTCTTTTTCTCTGTGTGTGGCAGGGTATCACTCTGTCACCCAGGCGAGAATGCAGTGGTGCGATCATGGCTCATTGCACCCTCAACCTCCCAGGCTCAAGCAATCCTCCCCCTTCATTTTTTGATTTTTTTGTAGAGATGAGATCTCCCTATGTTGCCCAGGCTGATCTCCAACTCCTGAGCTAAAGTGATCCTCCTGCCTCAGCCTCCCAAAATGCTAGGATTACAGGCATGAGCCACTGTGCCCTGCCCAGAAAACTTCCTTATTCATTCATTCATTCATTCATTCACTAAAGGAATATTTATGGGCTTGAAGCAGTGGCTCATGCCTGTAATCCCAGCACTTTGGGAGGCCAAGGCAGGTGGATCGCTTGAGCCCAGGAGTTCAAGACCAGCCTGGCCAACATGGTGAAACCCTGTCTCTACCAAGATTACAAAAATTAGCTGAGTGTGGTGGTGCATGCCTATGATCACAGCTGCTCTAGAGGCTGAGGCATGAGAATCACTTGACCCCGGGAGGCAGAGGATGCAATGAGCTGAGATCATGTCACTGTACTCCAGCTTGTATGACGGAGTGAGACTCTGTCTCAAAAAAAAAAAGGGTGGGAGGAATATTTATGGAGTGTCTATTATGTGCCAGTCACTTACACACTAGGGACACAGAGGCGAACAAAGCTGATATTGGGGTAGTACCTGCCCTTATGAAGCTTACATTCTAGTTGGAAAAACAGGCAAAAGACAAGTAAACAAGTAATTATAAGTTGGAATAAGTGACACAGTAAACACTATGATAGAAATGGTATGTGTGTGTTGAGGGGCACTATTTTCCACAGGGTGATCAGACAGAGTTTTTCTAAAGAAGTGTCATTTAAGCCAATTTTTTTAAACTAGGTTTGTGACCTTGGCCAAATTACAGTAAATTTTTAAAAAATGATAATAGGTGACTGTTGTGAGCTTCAATGGGCATACCTCCTACCTTCCAGAATCCTTGTGATGCTCCAGTGAGATGATATGTGCAAACATCCAGCACACAGTAAGCTATCTATAAATGTGAATGCATTTCCCCTTCTAGCTGGAGCAGTTGGTGTTCTCCAGCCTGAAATTTGCTTAAGGTCACACAATCTGGTTTGGTAGCTATTTACCTACTTAATCAGTTCAATAAGTTGGTAATTTAATGGACAAATCAACTCATTTCAAAATTAGCAAAAAAAATACACACACTTTAGGATTGAACCTAGTTGTCTTCAATTTATAGGGCCTGCCCATCATCAAATCTAGCTAAGCCTTCCCTTAAAATAATCAGCTAACAAAGCAGCAGATTAATGTCCTGTAATTTTCCAAATTGGTATCAGCTAGATTTCCCTATCACTGACTCAACCTTCAGCAAAATCGTTATGGGAGATATCCACTACTAGATCTTTGTACTGCCCAAGGAAATGGCACCTTGATTTCTCCTTAGGGTGGAACAAGGAAACAGACCTTTGATAGGGAATGGATGCTGTGGTTCTCTCCACTTACAGGTGAGGAACTAGCAGAGTTTAATTTTCACATCCAAGGTCACATAACAAAGTTGCTAGCAAGCTCAGACCAGAATTCAAGGCTATGGACTCTTTTGCCACTATTTTCCTGCTTAGACCAGTGGTTGCCTGGGGTGATGATTAAAAAATGCAATTCAGCAGAACTAAAACCCCTACTGACTGGTTATCCTATTACAAGACATGCACACGCACACACACACACGCACACGCAAGTGCAAATTAATAGAACTAATGATGCTGATTTTGTCAAGAATAATGTGATCATTTGTGATTGACATTCAGTATTCTAAATAATCTATACTAAGAGCAAAGATAGAGATTATCATTATGACAGACCAGTCCCTAAGGTCACTTGGTGGAACCTCATCTGACTACATTATAAAAGCACAATGCTACACACACACACACACACACACACACACAGAGAGAGAGAGAGAGAGAGAGAGAGAGTGTACTGAGGTAGTCAAACTCTTTTTTTAGTTTTTATCGTTAATAATGTACCTACAAGTAAAAGTTTAAGCCATGCTTCAGCTAAGGTCTGAAATGTGAGGAGATCACACTGTTCGGGCAGGGAGAAAGGAAGTGAAAGCTGCTCAACTTAATGAAGCAAAAGCAATATTCTTGGTTTCTGTTTAAGATATTTTTCATGATCAAGAAAGAATTACTATTTATTCAAGTACTACTTCCAATTATTCATATGAAAGATTATAAATCTCTAACTTGAATTTTGTCCAAATCAACCACGGTGTAACATAAATCAGCCCCTAAATCCACCTAAGTTTTTGTCTTTGAAAATATTGTTGAAAATATGTTTTCACCCTAAAACAGGCATACTCATTTCCATTTATACTCAATACTGTCAGTCCTAACCCCAAAATTTAAGAGCTCTGTCAAAATTAAAATAACATCCTTAGGATTAAGCTGAACCATAGTTCATTTCAAATTATTCAATACACAAAACCATGAGGTATGCTTGAAATAAATTAGAAGCAATGGCTGTAACAACCATTTCCCAAGTCAATGCTTTTGAGCAGCTCATAGAAATAGATCCCTGCTTTGGTGGCCAAAGCAATTTAAGCAAATTAGAGATGCTTAAGCTTTTGTCAAATGACTGTACTAAAGTCAAATTTTATATACTTTAAAAGCCAATGTTATAGATAGTAATTATAATTGCTTCTGACAAGTCAGTTAAGAAACCATCCTAGACCTCTAAAATATACAATAGTGTTTAAATAGGATTGTCCCTTTAAGCACAATTCTACATAAATCACTTAAAGTAACAAAGGAACAGGAGTCACTGTAAAACAGATGCAGTTTGGCAACCTGGTTCTCCTAAAACATTAGAAGGGCCCTGGCACATAATCAAAGTAACTAGGGCTGGACAAATTTTTGGCAACCAAGAGGCATTACTGGAATAATATGGAAGAGCTCCTCCTTCACTATGAACAGAAATAATTTTATGGTTCCCAACATTAGCTTACTTTCCTTTGTCTTGTTAAAAAATATTCACCATTGACTATGGTGACTATAACTCATGGAGAGATTTTCTCATATTTTCCTATAGAAGATAAGTGATATAAAACTGCTTAGGTATAGAAATATCTAAGTATCCTCCAATGCAAGAAAAAATATTCCTAAGTGAAAATGACATGAAATTGGGATACTCAACAAATATTGAGCCCTATGACACCTCTCTCTTCTGCTTTTTCTTCTACCCTCAGCTTGGCTGAATAACTCTTTATTCATCAGCTCTTTAAATGAAGTTCTGTCCTGTGCACTCTCGGCTCTTCTCACTGCCAAAGCCTGAAAGGCCAAGACTTCTTGTACCTGCATGTACAATGTGAATCTATCATCTCTCTCCATCACCTCACTATCCCACATCACTTCCCACAACCCTCTACCTATCACCACCTTCTGCTGTTTCTCCTGCATTATTTCATCTGTGCTTGCCAGAAATTTGGTATTCATTCTAGAAAGGAGTAAGGATAAATTGTGTGGGCTTTGAGGGTTAAGTTACTCCAGATGCTACCACATTCTAATTAAATGAACTATCAGCAAGATTATATCGAGACAAGGTATCTCTCTGTCACCCAGGCTGGAGTGCAGTGGCGTGATCACAGCTCACTGTAACCTCAAACTCCTGGGCTCAAGTGAGGCTCCCCCTTCAGCCTCCTGAGTAGATGGGAGGGACTACAGGTGCACACAACTATGCCTGGCTAATTCTTGTATTTTTTGTAGAGATGGGGGTCTCACCATTTTGCTCAGGCTGGTATTGAACTCCTAGTTTCAAGTGATCCTCCCACCTCAGCCTCCCAATTTGCTGGGATTACAAGCATGAGACCTCAATCATTTTAACCATGGTAAAGTTGGTAAATGAAAAATAACTCACCATTGTTTTAATTTGAATTGATAATTACTGAGCATGAACTTTTAAGACTGTATCCCTACGAAATTTTTTCTTTTATCTCCATTTTTCTATTGGTCGAGGCTCTGGAGACAGAAGGATATGGACTTGGTTTTTGGCTTGCTAGATGCGCAAAGTTGGACAAATTACTTAGCCTTTCTGAGCTTCGGTTTCTTCATCTTTGAAGTGGAAATAATAACAGATTAATCTTACAGAATAGTGCTATCTTTCTGGATTGTGAAAATAATGAGACAATACTTGTAAAGCATTTATTATTATAGTGTTTGAAACATAGAAAGTGCTCAGTGAACGTTAGCTGTTATTATTATTTGGCTCTTTATAGATTAAAAAGAATTACTGTTCGATATTCACAAATCTCATTTCTTCATTAATTTCTCCCATCTACTCAAATGTCACCTCAACAGCAAGAACTTCCCTGATCATCAAATTTTCACACAGCAACCAACCCCAGCAGTATTCCCCTACCTTGCGAAACTGGGTTGAGTTGCGGCCTTTCAAAAGATATGTCCAAATCTTAACCCCCAGTAATCGTAAATGTGAACTTCTTTGGAAATAGGATCTTTGCAGATGGGTTCCAGTTAAGATGAGGTCACACTCAGTAAGGGTAGGCCCTGAATCCAATGACACATACAGGCACACAGGGAGACTGCTATGTGACAACAGAGACAGAGACTGGAGTGATGGGTCTACAAGCCAGAGAATGCCAATGATTGCCAGTAACCACCAGAAGGGGGAAGAGGCAAGGAAGGATCATCCTCTAGAGCTTTCAGAGGGAACATGGCCCTACTGATACCTTGATTTCAGACTTCTCATTTCCAGAACTGTGAGAGAAAACATTTCTGTTGTTCTAAGGCACCCAGTTTCTGGTACTTTGTTATGGCAGTCCTAGAAAACAACTACATTTGCCTAATTTTTCTGCATAGCACTTATCATCTGACATGCTAAATATTCATTTTGTTTATTATCTGTTTTCTCTCATTAGAATATAAGATCTGCGAGAGCAGGGACTTTGTTCATACTGATTCTTTAGCATTAAGAGGGTGCCTGAGGCCGGGTGCAGTGGCTGACGCCTGTAATCCCAGCACTTTGGGAGGCCAAGGTGGACGGATCACCTGAGGTCAGGAGTTCGAGACCAGCCTGGCCAACACAACGAAGCCCATCTCTACTAAAAATACAAAAATTAGCTGGATGTGGTGGCATGCACCTGTAGTCCCAGCTACTTGGGAAACTGAGGCAAGAAAATCGCTTGAACACCCTGGAGGCAGAGGTTACAGGAAGCCAAGATTGCACCACTGCACTCCAGCCTGGGTGACAGAGTGAGACTCAAATGAAAACAAAAAAAAAAGAGGGTGCCTGGTACATAATAGATGCTCAATAAACGTCTCCCAAATGGATGAATGAATAAAGGATATTTACCATTCTGTGTCCTACATTAAACACCATGATTTTTTAGTTTGTCTTTTGCTTTTTAATTTTAAGATAGTTTTTGATGTGGTTTTATTGTTCAAATTGATATTTTTGTCAGTGGTTTCTGTCACCTATGTTATGTTTGAAACCACTTTTCCCAGTCTCATGGTCATATATGCACCTTATTTTCTTCTTAATCTTTCATAGTCTAATCCTTTTTTAAAATGTTATAAAAATTGTAAATAAAAGTAGAGAGAATAATGTAATGTGCAGTGTGCAGTTTCACTGTTTATATTCAACCCTCTATCCATCTGGAATTATTTTGATGTGTGGGATGTGGGAGAGTTCTAGCTGTTTGTTTTGTTTGTTTTCAAAGATAGCTAACCAAATATTCCAACAACTTTTATCGACTAATCCATCTTTTCTTTACCAATTTTGAATAGCTCCTTAATGATAATCTAAATACTTACATATACTTCAATCAAAACAGGAATCTCAACAATAGACATCTATTTTTGCATTAGCATCACTTTTTAAATGCTGCTTTATAATAAGTTTTAATACATGTTAATACAAGTTCCTCTTTGTGATTTTTTTCTCTGTGTTTTCTTTTTCATTAAAAAACATTTTTTTCAGAGACAGCGTCTTACTATGGTTGCCCAGTCTGGTCTTCTGAGCTCAAACAATCCTCCCGCCTTGGCCTCCCAAAGGACTAGGATTACAGGCATGAGCGGCTGTGCTCTGCCTCCCAGTATTTTCTTGACTATTCTTCCCTGTTTATTCTTACATATGAACTTTAGAATTATGGTGGTTTGGAAACCGTCCCTTTGAGATGTTGATTGGAATTGTATTAAATGTACCCATGTACTTGTAGGATCCCATTGAGATGTTGATTGGAATTGTATTAAATGTGCCCATGTATTTGTAGGAGAAATCTGTCTCTTGTCTTTCTCCCTCTGCCTCTGTCCTGATGCAAATCCTCATCTCCCATCTGTAAAATAGCCTCCTAACTGGCTTCCAGCACAGTGGTCTCCCAGCCAGACTCCACATTGTCTTCAGAGAGATCTTATTAAAATGGTAAATTTGGGGTTCACTGCTTGAAATTGTTAAGTGACTACCCTTTCCATCTGGGACAAGGTTCTGTGATCTGGCCCTGGGCCACCTGTCCTCTCACACACACCAGACATTCTGAACTAAACGCTGTTCTTTGGAAGAGCTCCCATCTGATGTCTTCCTTCCCTTGCTTTTTGCAAAACGACTCTTCCTAAAACACCCCTCGTTGGCCTTCTTTGCCTGCCTTAATGCCCCTCAGGAACCGCCCCAACACTGCCTCTGGGAAGTACTTCCTGACCCAGCCACGCTCCATCCCTGGCCTGGGTTACTTGCCTTCCTCCAGGCCTCCAAACTTCTAGCAGGCATTGATCATATTGGTCCCTAATTTGTTTATTTACTCAAACCTTGAGCAAGTCATTTCTTCCTGGTTCTCAGTTTCCTCACCTAATAAAGAATAAAGCTGGACTCTGATCTGTAAGTAGGGATTCTTTCAGCTACAATTTTATACCATAACTTCCCCTCCTTTTTGCTATATGTCCCTTGTTTCAAAACTAATATGACTGACAATTGCCAAAAAAGCAACTTCCAAGTTGACATATGTTTAGGCTCATTCATACCTGTGCCACATTGACTCTTCTGTCTAGGGGAATGAATGCCCATACTGATGACCTTGGAAAGCCATGGGATATTAAACTACCATCTGAACCAAAGATAGAAATTATACCTGGCAGTGCTTCTACTGAACTTACTGTAATTATTTAAAAATGAGCAAGCTATATATGTCGTATGTAGATATTACTAATTTTGCCCATGATTAATGACTTAAATTAACCCATTCCCAAGTATTCTAGACAAATGACTTCAATGCAAAACACTTGAAGAATTATTGGATAAGTCTGAGGTGAACAAAGGCGGAGCTGGGTGAAGCCGATGGAGCGGAGTTGCAGCACCTGGTGGCCGCCGAACAGCAGAAGGCGCAGTTTACTGCACAGGTGCATCACTTCATGGAGTTATGTTGGGATAAATGTGTGGAGAAGCCAGGGAATCGCCTGGACTCTTGCACTGAAAATTGTCTCTCCAGCTGTGTAGACCACTTCATTGACACCACTCTTGCCATCACCAGTCGGTTTGCCCAGATTGTACAGAAAGGAGGGCAGTAGGCCATCCCCCAGGAGAATGACAGAAGCAAAGGACTTATTATTAAGCAGACTTAAGGGCCAGTGGGGGAAGGCTGTCAACCCATTGTCAGATCAGCATCAGGCTGTTATCAAGTCTGTTGGTCCTAAAAAGTAAAAGATGAAATGTTCAAAAAAAAAAAAAAAAGAATTATTGGATTAGTCTAACTTGAGCAAATATAGAATCAGAATTTTTGAAGCTAGAAAGGGTCCTCAGATCATCAAGTTCGGCCCTAACTTTAGGTGAGGGAATTGACTCTAGTGGGCAGAGTGGCCTACCCTAAGGAACACAGCTCCTCCACACAAGCCTATTAAAAGTGGAAACTGCAATAACTGACTGCATACTAGCCACGTTAGGTAAAGCACCAGTGAACCACTAGGACAATAAATTTGTATTATTAAAGTGGAGGTTTGGTGGTGTTAAGGATTACAACAAATAAGCTTTAATCCCCTCTTTTACTGAGCTACTTTATTAAAGGGCGGGAGACCCTTTTCTTTGCTGCCACATCAAACTTAACTATGATTAGGCACCAACAACGTAGTCAGCACTAGACAACACAGGAAATACCTGTAGTTATTTATGTTTGTATAATTGCCTCAAGCATTAGTCACTTTTAAAAAATTACACACACATACTTAATACTGGACGACAGAATTTACTACCCTAAGTCTCTTTTCATTAAGATTTCACTTCATCACTAACAATTAAAATCCATCCCCCCAGCCGCCACCACCAGAGAACTTACTTAACCCACATATCCTTGAGGTAGACCAATGTTATCACTGTATTTCCCCTAATGAGGAAATTGAAGCCTTAGGCAACTAGCTCAAGATTAAAATGCAATTCAGAGAGAGTTCCTCTTACTGATTAAAATGGACTGATGTTATGAGGAAAAATCAAAAGGGTTTCAAAATTAGAAAATTCCATGGCACCAGGAAGTAAGAATGACACATACTGATACCATCTTTTAGTTTGGCAGCACCTTTTTGATGAGAACTAAATGTTCATGTTGGCAGACAGTAAAACTACCACAAGCCTCGTTTCTTCATTTGCCAAATACATGATGTTAAAGATTAACATTAAAATATGAAACATAGAACTGGAAAGCAAGCCAGTCCCTGCTTCGAGTTCTTTTAATTTTATGAAGTTTAAAATAAACAACTTCCTTTGTTAACTTTGTCCTAGAAGCTGTCGTTAGCTGTTTTCGAGCAGTGGTTCTGCAAGTATGGTGTCTTGACCAGCAGCATCAGCTCCTAGGGAAAGGTTAGAAATGCAATTCCTTACCTGTAATGCCAGCACTTTGGGAGGCCAAGGTGGGTGGATCTCTTGAGGTCAGGAGTTCGAGACCAGCCTGACCAACATGGTGAAACCCCGTCTCTACTAAAAGTACAGAATTAGCCAAGCGTGGTGGCGCACGCCTGTAATCCCAGCTACTCAGGAGGCTGAGGCAGGAGAATCACTTCAACCCGGAAGGTGGAGGTTGTGGTGAATGAGAGATCGGGCCATTGCACTCCAGTCTGGGCAACAAGAGCGAAACTCCGTCTCAAAAAGAAAAAAATAAAGAAATGCAATTCCTTAGGCCCCATCCAGACCTATTGAATGAATCTCTGGAGATGGGGTTGGCTGGCTGTGTCTTAGTAAGTGCTAAAGTTTTAAGAACCACTAGAGGATCCAAATAACTTTTGGTGTTCAGTCTCAAACCACTAATTAGCTGCGCATGAGAAATTTCTGCTTTAGGTTAGTCACCCTATGGAGCCCCCGAACCCTAAATATTAACAGTAGGCCCACATCCAGGTTTCCATCTGCTAGACTCCAAAGCAAGGCAGCAGCCATCCCTCTCAGTAGCCCTGCCACCAAATCCTCTTCTCCGAGAACCCCAAAACAGAGTTTGATTGACAAGTTCATTCTTCTCTCCTGTCAGACCTCAAAATGTGCCCAGTTCCTTAAAGGTATGTGTCCCATTGGTTTACAACTCTTCATTCCCTTCCTAAGAATGAGCACGTGTACTAAAACAAAATTAGTACATGTCATCCAAATATTGTCAGGGTAATAAAATTCCTAAAATTAGGCATCTTGGTGCTTTATGTAGATGCAAACTTGAAAAGCAGCTATGTCCAAGTTTTCCTTTAGGATCCTCCCAAGAGATATTTTACAAACTCCTCTAGCATTGCTAATTATTTTTTTTAAAAAAAAAAGAGTCATTTTTTCAGATCTATAAATTTCATTTATTTTGAGGTTCATTCACATTCAGTAACAATCTGATCATTCACCAAAGTTCCAAAACACATACTTTATAAATTAGCTATCATAGTTTTTAGAAATCCAAATATATTTCAAATTATTTTTTAATAGCAGCAACTAGAGAAAGGATTTTTTACCATCTAGCTTACTGTAGCGCTGATCAGGAATGTCGCCAACAAAGGTCCTGCGGTTTACAGATGGATACCGTGCAATTTTTCTCCTATGATACTCATCAAAATTGCATCGTGATCCACCCGACAACAGCAAAACAGATCATTTTACAATGACTAAATATCAGAACTTACGGCTTTTAAAAGTTAAAATAAGAAGACGATAAAAATCCTCCTTTCTTCCACAGGCCGGGACAAGTGCAATACTTTATATAGAACACAAGTAATGCAACAAATCCCCACCCAGGGATGAATGGGCATGAGTGCTGGAGATACGCATGAAGGTGTGTTCACACAGACGTAGGAAGCACACATTATCACAATCAGTTTTGCATGGATTTGCACAGCCACATATACATATATACGCTGAAATGCAAACCTGCAAAACTAATTGTAAGTAGCAATGTCTTTGAATATTCTCTCCATCAACAAGAGATTTGTTATCCAAGAGTACTGGAAGTGCCCATACTACAGTAGAGTCATGCCAAAACTACCTGCACTATGAGCACTTTGGTACTACTAGGACCCAATCTTATCCTCTGTACACAACTGTACACTGCACAGTCCCCACCATCTGTTCCCAACAAACAATAAAAAGGCAAAAAACAAACCACTGAAATGTGTCCTATTCAAATTACTACTCAAGGCATACTTTTAAAATGCTGTATATTAGGCAGCCTGTGCCAGAAGGGGCATTTAGGGCAGTAGATTCTAAGCTGCTTCACTAACTGCACTAGATGCACCTTAACACAAGAGACACATTATAAGAAGCAGCTCAAAAGCATCAACTACTTAATTATGCACAAACTACAGTTCTCAGTAGCCATTGACTAAATCACCATGGTAATGTAAGAAGTGCTTACATTGCAGTAGATCTCAAAAAGCTACCTGCACTGTAAGCACTTTTACATGGCCAAGGCCTATTCCTGTAGCAAAATTTTAAGTCTTCCAGGAGCTCTTCTTTTCCGTCCTCACAGATCCATGCAGACTCACCTGGTTAAAACAACAAAACAAACACACACATATTAGAAACTAAACAAGTAAACTACTAGTTAATATTCCTGAAACAGGCTTTCCTTTGGCTTACAGAGTCTAAGCTAGGTTTTGTGGTTTCAACCAAATCCTGAGAAATATTAATAATCTCAATTATTTACACAGAATTGAACACGAATAACACTGGCAACTGCAAAAAGTCCAATTCTTATGTATAAGCAGATTTTGGACTCCCCCTCTCCATCTAAGAAAATTTGATATCTGCATCTCAGTAATTTGCAGGCACATTCTATCCACCCTGATTTTATAAGAGGAGGACCTAGAGAAAGGAGCATGTAAAACCCAGGATGAGTATTCGAGTCTTCAGATCATTCAGAGCTTTTGGGCTCCATACGGAAAGTGACTGTTAGATTAAATGAATATTCCCAGCCCCCACCCCATTAATAGAAAATGAGAGAAATTTTAGAGCTGGTTTAAGAAACACAGCCTTACAGTCTTCACATAATGCACAGATGGCTGAGAGATGTCACATTTTGATCTATTTCAAAGGGCTCTACTTCTGTTTAAACATTTATGGACCCATTTTCTCCATTAAACCAAAGTAGGCAGATTAGCTCTTCTTCCCTTCATGTCATTATCTTCCATAAGAAAACCTTCTCCCATTTCCAAGTGCTTATTTTACCTAAGAACATACAGCAAGGAAGTGAGCCTCTATGTGAAAAAGGCTCACAGGGTCCCCTATCTCTTCCATGATGGGGTAACTTTTGTTTAAAAGAAAAACAAAAACGTTTGGGACAGAATCTGTAATACGTTAAACGAGTGAGGGAATTTTAAATGTTGAACTTTCGTCACGATATCTTATGCCACTAAATGAGTCTTTAGAAGTCTTTACAAACTAAACTGATTTATAAAACTTATACATCAATCTGGAATCAATTTTCTATTAGGGAAGAATGGATTTAGTATAGAAATGAGAAAAATAACATTTTTCCCCTTAAATTGGGTTTCTACACCTGTGAAGATTTCTTTTCCATTAAAAAAAAAATACTCCAAACTTGACTCAAAATGCATAGTATTTGCCAACCCAACCTGGCCAAACTGAGCCCCACAGCCATCAGACAGGGCGCCCTTCTAGTTACTACCTTTTGCTAATTAGCGGTTCATCTGGCATCCCTCGCGCACGCTGGGCAGTCACTCTCCAATCCCCTTAAATTGCAAATAATAATAATAATAATAAGGAAAAGAAAGAAAGAAGTCCTTCCCTGTACGCCTTTGTGGCTCCCTTTTGCCTCTTCCCGCGTCTCTCACACCCTTACCTAATGCTCCCGTTGAAGTCCGCGAGCAGCCCGCGCGTCCAGGGTGTGCTCCAGCTGCTCACACCACGCGCTCCAGTCCTCGTGCAGCCTCAGCCGCCGCCGAAATTAAAGAGAAAGAAACAAAGCATCATGGGAAACGGAGTTCTCCATTCAAAGCACCAAAAACGCGCCAAGCCCACGCCTCCCTCCCCCTCCATTCCCGGGTTGGTGGGATAGAAGCCAAGAGGGAGGGGAGTCCCTTTTTTCCCTCCACGTGCACCCCCTCATTTCACACCCTCACCACCAAAGTTTTCCAGGAACCTAAAGGTCAACGGTGGAGAAGAAAAGGGGAGTCGTTTCCCGCGCGCTGCCCGCTACCCCTCAACCGCACTCTGGTACTTTGCTTTTCTCAAGTCCCGCCCGCTCCGTCCCCTCCCACCCAACCAGTCAACTCTACCGGATCACAGCTGCCCCAACGAAGGGCTCCCTTCTTGCCCAGCCACCCGCTCGGGAAACCGCGCGCGGGACCCAGCTCCGGCCCGCCCCTCGCAGGTGGAGAGCGCGGGGATCCCGCACGGGCCGCCCTCTCCGGGTGTCCCCTCCACACGTATACCCAGTGTCCCAGCGCGCAGCTCGAGCGCTCCGGGGCCGGGTGCGAGCGCAGTCTCCCGCGGAGCCAGAAGGGGAAGAGAAGTGAGAAAAAGCGTCCACTAAATGGATCAAGGCCGCGAGCGCACATCTCACCCCAAAGCGCCCCTGTCCAGAGCGACGCGGGGCCACGAGCCTCCCTGCCACCACTTGAGGAGCGCTCCGTCCCCTTGGCCCTCTGTCCGTAGCTATATCCCTGGGAAAAGCCCGCCCCTCTGCCTTTAATAGCCCAAGGAAAAAAGCCCGCCCCCGCCCACCCGGCCCGCACAGGAATTAGGAAACGGAACCCCCACCCCGCCAAAGCGAAAACCCCACCGAGCCCCAGTTACCCACGGGCGGACCGCAGTCGGCATTTTCCCTTCTCTCTTCCCCCAAGCTGGAGTCCTTAATTAAAGGCGCGCCTGGGACAGCGGCCCAGGCAGAGGCCGTGGCCGGAGCCGGTGCGGGTGCCACCGGCATCCGGGCCAGGATGGCGCACTCACTACCACCTTGTCCCATCTCGCTCCCGCGGCGCTCGCCTCAGCCCCCCACCGGAGACAGACGACGAGGCCCACGGAGCCGTGGGACAGGGGTGTCCCCCACCCGGCGCGCGCATGCGCGCCACCTCGCCGCTAGATTGAAAGTGTTCCTAAGGCCCGAGGAGGGAAGAAATAGAAACACGACTTACTCTCTGCACATGTGAAAGTTTTAACCCCTAGCACCTTGTGCTACTGTTGGGAGGCTTTCGCCCTTGCCAGGCGCCCTCTTCACCCACTAAATCAGGGTTTCTTGGCAGGTATCGTTAACGGTAGCAGCCACCGAATACACGCGCAAATGTGCGGAAGATACGGTGCAATTATCTTGCTTTCTCCTCTCATTCCACCGCTAATGAGAACCAATTGAGGGCGGGCTGCTTCAAGGCCAAAGCCCGACAGCGCTCTGTAGAATAAAATGATGTCTTAGTTTAAGACGCACAATCAAAATGGAATTAAGCATACCAGACTTTGAACACCGGGCAAAATGAGAGACAACCGGGCTATATACCTTCTCCGCGTCCCTGGCGGACACAGGCGCAAGATGGGATTTGGGGAGCGTGCGGGGGTTGGGGGGGTGGGCGGGGGTGTGCAGGGTACGAGGTTACAAATCAGAGACCAGTGAGCACGCTGGGTCGGAGGAGGAAAGCCCTGGAAGGCAAGCGGGGGGCAAGGAAGGAGGGAAGGGGTGCAAAATGAAGCCGGACCCCTCCCTTTCCACCATTGTTACCAGGGTGATTGTGGCAGCCCAAAGCCCAGAAGAGGACAAGGGCGCCATGTGATTCTCAACCTGGTGCACTGGTGCACAGTAGTAGCTCAGGCAAACATTACAAAAGACTGGCCTCTCCCGCCCCTGGCCCGCGAAAGAGTCCAACCTGAACTGCCAGCGCCCCTCAGGAGTCAGCGGTGGATGCAACGAAAACCACAATCATTTCTCCAACGCGAGTCACTCGCACAGGTGGGCTTCCTCCCCTTTTTCATGCAACAGACCTTGCAGCCTACCCTGGCACGTCTGCGTGATACTTTCTGGAAACTACGCAGCCCGAAGTTTACTACCCAACCAGATCCCTCCTGTGAGATTGCACCGACTGCAATGCAACTTTCGACCTTTAATGGTAACGACTAGCAGTGGAAAGAAGAGGAGGGGGAGGGAAGAGAACTTAGACCCGACTTTAAGAAGCGTTGTATTAAAGCAAGATAAGAACAGTACCTTTGAGCTGGAGCAAAACCTGGAGTAAAAAAAAGGGTTTTTGCGAAAGTGGCGCGAAGATAATATCATGTGATCCGACCCCAGGGCGTCTCCTTCCCCTTTTGCCAAACTCCCCTCCCCTCGAAAAAAGGGGGGTTGGGGGAGCTACATCCGCTCCTCACAAACTATTAGCATAATTAATTGTGTCCTACAGCTGCAGCCAGAGCTCCCGGGTCAATGAGTAAACATATCCTCATCCTCTTCAACATCAGAACAAAAAAACCCATTACCCTGATTTTGGAAAATGTTCCCAAATAAATCTCATTATCTTCAAAAGTCTTTATTTGGTATTCGGAGTCTATGTGTCTTGGTTGGAGAGACAGAAGAAGGTTGGAAAAGATGAAATCATCCTATTAAAGGGAACAAGTAGAAGTAACTCCCCAAGAGTGACATATTTAAGTAAAGGTTTTCAAATGGAAATACCGTGTTGAGGGACTTCACTAGCTTAAAATTTTCCAAAAGTTTTAGCAGTTCATTAAACAAGACATCCTCCCAGTCTTCCTATTCGCCACCCCCCATCTCCCACCCCTCCTCCCAGTCCTCCTTCCCTTTAAAGCTAGAACAATACCCGGAATAAGGTATTTTGAGATTGCTTTACCAGGATATTTTCTTGTTCTTAATTTTTTTTAAGGGTTTGCAACATATAGAATGTCTGGATCAAGTTCCCAACTGGCGAAAATAATTTATTCCATCTCAGTACCTGTCTAGCACAAGGTAAAACTAACTAAGTACAAGATATAGGTTATGAGAAACTAGGACATTTTGATACACCAAATGATTTATTTTTGTCTCTTTCTTTTGGAAAAAAAATTTAATCATCGGCCAAAATACCTAGAGAATCAAAAAAATCTAAAGAACAAAGCATTTCACACACACCCCCCCCAAAAGTCAGAATAACTAACAGCTCAAAGAAAAGCACGTGATCCCTTCATGCTTTAAAACTTGTGGTCATGCTGAGGCTAAAAGCAAAGAGCTTGTGACCCCGCAACCCCGTCCCCTCCCCCAGACCACAGCCCAGGGCTTAAGGCTCCAGGCTCCCACCGGGCTCCTGCTCGCTCCCAGTATTGTGAGACAAACAATACTTAGGCATTCTGCAAAATAAAGGAGCCACAACTCCTATCCCCCAGTCACATCATTTATGACCAAACAGACTGGCCGGTGTGCGTATATACGCATGTATGTAAATATGATATAGAATACATGCCTACACGAAAGCCCAGATGTTCTGTCAGAATGTGTAAGAAAGGTATGGAAACTGGCCAAAGGGAGGGAGAACTTGTTATCTTTCGTGAGCCTAAGGATTCTCATCACAACTTTAAATTCTTGACACTATTTTGAGTTTATGATGGATTCAAAGAAAAACGGTGAATGCCCAGCAAAATATTCCCCTCAAAATAGACCCACTTTGAGCTTTCCTCTGCCTTGAAAAGGGGTGAAGGGATTCTTCTGTATTGACCTCTAGATTTAATTATGCCATATAAAGCAGCAATCTCAAGTAGTTTGGATTTGAACACCTTTAAGAATAAAATTGACATTTTACCCAGTTGAGAAATCATGTTACTTGATTTAGAAATAATATTAAGTGGCTTTGTTAAACCTAATGATTGGTATCTTAGAACAAAAAGGTCCCCATGGAAACCAGAAAGTAATTTAAGAGTATTATGTTCCTCACACAACTAGAATAGAGCTTTTGTTCTATGTGTATTTACTACTCTACATTTTTGAACTACACTTGCAATTAAGGTCTGTTACACTCTGGTTTTGCCCAGGATGAGAAGTTTAGTGTCCCACTGAAATATGTGTTTTGCTACATTTGTGTGTTTATGTTCATGTGCTCATGTGCATGCCCATGAGGCCTAAAACAAAGCCAGCAGATCAGAACACTCACTAAACAGAATGGAGGCGGAAGATCCCAAACAAAATATTTCAAATGCTATTTTGCTATTTGATCCTAGAGCAGGAACTGTGATTTCATTAGAAGTCTATCAAAACTGGTCTTCACTAACTTTATTTTTTAAACGAAGTATTCCTTCATTTGCAAACATTTCATAGTTTTTAGATGAATCAATCTTCTTTTGAATGCCAATCATACTAACACAAATCAGCCTGAAAAAATGAAATTTGAATTTTTTGGACCAGGCCTTAATTTGTTTATGAAAATTTATGTCAGCAGAACAAAGAGAAAAATTAGAGTCAGTAATGAATTTCTGAATCTTATTTCTTTTCAATAGCATATGCCAACATAAATCATGTAAATAAAATAAATACATCTTCAACTAAATAGCGTCCATGAGAATGAAATATCAATTTCAAAAGATTTGCCACTTGATAAGAAGCAGAAAATTTCACTAATTGAACATGCACAGTTAATATAACTTAGTTTAAAAAATGTAGAAAGTAAAAATATACTTATCCCAATCTCAAAGGATTTTATGAAGACCAAATGGCACCAGAAGGTGGATCAACTTTTCTGATATACAAATACGTTTAAAATACACATTTTACTAAATTTTACTTGTAAGTAAACCTTACTTTTACAAGCTGGTCTTTGCTAACTTTGATTTTTTAGAATAAGTGTCTATTTACAAACATTTCTTATCTCTAGTAATGATTTAATCTTATTTTAAATCAAAAGAGTAATCAAATTAAAATACAATTAAATTACATCTCACATAATTCAGCTGAAATATGTTGGTACTAGAACTTACAACATGGAGCTAATTTTGCTATTATGTGATGCCTTAAAATTACCTTGTTGTGTGGGTCTTTGCTTTTCTCAGTAGTATGTTAAAACACAATTTCCTCTCACTAACAACCATATTTTTTACATGTCAAATATTTTACATCAAAATATGTGTGCAAATATTGAAAAGATATAAGAATAACCTGCTTGCCATCAGTAGAAAAATTGTTTCTCAAATTAATTCTCCCACCTTGAGAATAGACTCAGTAGACATTAAAGTGATTCACTATTAAGATTAAATAGTGTTAAAGGTATTTTTACACTCTGTTTGAAACACTTTGATTTTCCTGTTTATGTGACCTTAGAAGTGGAACTTCTGGTATTACAAACCATAAAATTGCTAGCAGACTGTAATACTATAATCAAAGAAAAAGCTGTAAACCAGAAATGTTTTACACACATCACTTTTTTCAATCACTTTTCTGATTAAGTTTGTCCATCTTTGCACCATTATAAATTTTCTAAGTGGAAAATATGTCATGGTACGGAACACAATAAAAAATATAGTTTTACATTCAAAACAGTCTCTAAAACGTCATCACCATAACATTGTCTTCCAAAGCAAGTAAATCATGGTATTAAAAATTATCTCATTATTTAATAATCTTACACCAATAAGTCTGTTATTGAAAATGTCATGATTGAGAAGTAAAAACTCTAGATGACAAATATGCTTTTAAGTTAGGAAGCTTTAAGTTATTTAATATTCTGTCTGCTATAACTAAAATAAAGCATGATAATCTTCTACTACCTATGTGCAAAGAGGGCAAAATGGTATTTTTTGGAGCCTCTCTCTTTTTTTCTCCTCAAAGATAACATTTATCCTTAGTTTGGTAGTACTCTGCTAAGCTTAGAGATTCTCTTTAACTGTCTCCTGACTTGTGATTGCTGAAGGAAGTAGAACTATTGTCTGGCCTTTTTTATGCTGAGGAGGAAGGCGCAGTGAAATGTGTTGAATTATCCAGATGCCTGAAAGGACTGCAATGAAAGCTTGCAACAACCTAAATAACAGGGCTAACACTCACTGTAAAAGGGAATCTTTCAACAGATACAGCCTACAGAGGACATCTACTTTTAAAATGAAAGGGGAGATTTTATTTTCTCAAAACAAATGTAATCTAGCTTACTTTTGAAATTTTTGAAAGGATGTCTAAGTCAACAGGAAGACTACTGATTTAAAAATCAAAGATGGAAAGATGAAGTTTTATTATTTAAAATCATATAATTTATGACCCTACTTGGAGCTCTGAGCATATTTTTATTCTTTCAGAAAAGAGTGAGCTGTCCATCTCATCCCTCACTTTTTTAAATCCTAATGAATTTTACTACTTGAAACTTTACTCCCTAAATTTAAAAAATGATTAACATCCCTAAGACGAACTGATCCTTTATAGCTTTCAGTGATCCCATTTCTATAGCTGCTACTTATTAAACCATCTTTAATAATTAAAATGGTTTATGTGCTAGTAGATAAAAGCAAGAAGAAAATGTGCAAGTTATGATCAAGTATGGATTGCATATTTGTGAAAATGTTTAGATATCAAATTGATAAACTTGCTTAACTAAACATTATTCTAGGATCTGTTTTAAGTTTTCAAGAACTTAAGGTTAAAGAAGCAAACATGATATGTTGGTATGTATTACAAAAAGATACTGTATTATAGTATGTTAAACTTTTATGTTTTTTATAATTAATTAACTAGATCAAAGTTCAGTGTTTCCTTGGAGGATATCAAGGCTAATAAACAAAGCCATTTTAAATATAGAGTCTGCTTGTTGATTTTGGAGAAACAGCAAGACAAATAATTCTAGTGAATATCTAGGGTTAAATTATATTTTTAGAATGTAATACTTGACTAATCTGTAAATCCTTTCATAGCTATTTCATTTGCAGTTTTGCTTTAAAGGCCATTTAAACAAAAGCATGGAAACCACTAGATCTTGATGAACAGTGATATGTAACTTCTTTAGAGTAAGATACACACCTTGCAATTACTAATAGCCTTCACACCCAATCATACTACTTTGGGCTTTCTTCAATTTGATCTGAAATAAAATGTGTTTTCTTCCTTTGTGTGTTTTAATCAAGCTTTTTCTGCAGTGCTTTCATGTTTATTCCAGTTGTCAAAAATATAATCTTGCTTCTGACATATTATTTATCAGCGTTATCTGAATATTATATCTTTTATTACTTACTAGATATCCTCAACCCAAGTCATTTTTTAAAATTAAATGTGTCTGAGGATAATCAACAAACTAGAAATTGAATAGACCCCATCAGTTTGGTTAATCACCTAACAAAAGCAAGAACCAATTTTTATTTGCTGTGTTAGTTGGAGTCCTTGTTGTCCCACTCAACTAATTACCCCTCTTCGGTAAGTTTCAAAAGGGTTTTCTTTAAATAGTAGTTTATAACATCTTTAAAATCTGCTGGGTGGGGAGAGTCCTACATTTAGTCAATTTTTACTTTTGTGTCAGAAATTTAAATATAAAAGTTGAGAGGATTCATTTTATACTTTGGTTCATAAACAAAGTGTCCTTTTTAATCCTTGTTTTGGTGTATAGTCCCTTGGTTTTCTGCAATTTCAACTATTTCATTTACAATTCAAACTCACCATTCTTAAACTAATCTCTACACTTGATTAATCCCTGCATGCACACTGCATGTTTTTTAAACTCCAATAACGGTGTTACCAAGTTTATATAAAAGTCTTGATAATATTTAAGACCTAAAGCTCTTAGCAAATTAATTCTAAAATTAATGTTGCTGGCTTTTAACACTACCACATTTGCAGCTACATATCTAGCCTTAGACAGATTAGCACAATTTGCAAAAAGAATCCCAAATTCCAACTTGTCTTTCATTTTGCCTGACTCCTGGTCAAGTGCTTAGGTTCTTTCAATGCTAAGTTTGTGGCAAAATACTATACATAACAGCATCAAACATGGAAATGACTTAGCAGAGAATCTTTTAAAGGATGGTTGGAACCAATATGTTAGGTTTGGCAAGGTCCTCACTGGGCATCTAACCTAATCGCTTCATTTTACAGATGAGGAAACTGGAGCCCCAAAAATGACCTGCCTAAAATGCCTCCACTCATTGTCACAGAGCCAGGATAAAGAAAGACACTATTATGGTCAATTTTAAAAGAAATTTTAAATAGTCCTTGACTGATTTTCAAGCTTGATTTTCCGGTAGGACCGTTATGAAAATTAAATGAGATCGTGTGTGAAATCTACAGATCACACAATGATCACAATGCTTGGCACTTCAGAATGCTCAATAAATGTTCTTTTCCTGCTTTTCTCTTTCCTGCTGATGCCATATGCATATTTCTTAGACTCCTTGCCAAGATCCTGACTTCTCGCTGCCAAAGTTTGGGGCACCAGCAGTGCAAGCAAGGCACAGAGAGAGGGTTTCAGGAGAAAATTTAACAATTTAGTCATTCTCACTATTTAACTACAATCTGATTGTACCAGCTGAAAAGACACATAACGACCATCTTCCCCCTCAAGTGTTCTGAGAAACCTAGCTGTCATACAGGGAAATCTTGCTTGATTTCTCACCCCCTCACATCCCCAGTCCAGATTGGAATCCCAGATCACAGTACCAAATAATGAACATTTGATCATCAAAATGTAACTTTATGTTCATGTTCATAACCTGCAAGTCGACAATTTCCTCACATGTCAATTGTTTCTTAGATTTTTCTTCAACTGTAAGAAGGAGCAACACACGTTACTCCCTGATGCCTTTATATGTACTAATTTAACATTAAAAGAGCTGTTAATATTGTATAAACTGTTATACCATCTGTGTTATAATTCTGTTTCATCAGGTTTTATGGAATGCCCACCCCCCATTTCCTTCATTCCACCAGGCGTGTCATCAAAGGAGAATAAATTAAGTATTGTGCCAGAAAATGTGGTCTACTTTCTAAAAGGCATCTATCTCTAGCTTTCAGAAATGCCTTTCGGAATGAGCAATGTGGAAACAGTGTCCCCATTGTTGTTTAGGAATGTCATGAATTGGATCCCCACCCCAGCCTTTTACAGGGAAAAAGAATAAAAATCGTTCATCTGAGTTTACAATTATCATATTTGATAGCATATGCTAATATGCTAATGAGGTGAGGTATTATCATATCTTTGTTGAGGTCATTATGAATAATTGAGCTTTGTCCATCCACCCAACCAGATTGTAAATTCTGTGATGGTGTAGAGAACCTCAACTTTGTAGTTTTATGAGACCCCTTTCAGAGTGTGTTGACACATCCATTGTTGGCCTAGTGACTAGGTTGAATATTTGCATTGAGGGATATCAGAAATGCCAGCTCCCTTCCACTTTGTAAATTCTTTTTCAACCCTGAGTGTTTACTACCGCCCAGGAACCATATGTAAAGTACCAGATAACATTAGCAATTCTTTAACTGTCTCTAAAAATATGTAACTGAGAGATCAAGCAATGTTCCCCTAGTAAATAAAGATAACTCCGGGGAGTTTCTTTGTAAAGACCTAGACAGCTCATACAGAAGTTCCTTTTGGTGATTTGGAGTAGAAAGGGGTAGGGGAAGATTAAGGGAAGCCAGTTCAATGTGTTAGTTAGAGAGAGGTTTTTGCATCTCAAAGAGGGGGAGGGGTTGAGAATCTAAGAAGACTGAGGCTGGGAATTTGGGCCTTTCCCTTCCCACTGACTGTTCTAACCTCCCTCTCCCAAAACTATGCAGTAGTGTCGAAAAGGACCTGGAGTGAGAAGCTGGAGATCTCAGCTTGAGTCTGTGCTGTGTCACTAACTAGCTGAATGACTTTTTAGCAAATCACTTACTAGATTACCTCTGAGGTCTCTTCCCACTCCATAAATCTTTGCTTTTTATCTCAGTACCCCTCCTCTTTGTTCCTCTTTTGCCCAACCCCACCCCCGTGCTTCTCAGGTCTTCCTTTTAACTGGCAATAATAGTAGTAATGAATTAGTTACCTCTGGAGAGATAACTGAGATGGTGTGCAGATAATTAATGGAGACTAGACTGTGGCTCTTTATCTGTATCATGAACTTTTTCCTTTATTTCCCTGTGTTTTCTTTATTAAGTTATAAATTCTCACAAATTTAAGGTGCTTATTTAAGTATTCAATAATCTGCCAAAAAGGTGTCTCTTTTGTGGGTGTACATGTTAACACAAAACATTTGGTCACAGGAGTGCAGTCAATCAAGAATTAATGTGAAATTATTCCACATAGACCTACTATATAGAAAAATGAGCCATAAAAGTGCCATGAGAGTCTGCAGCTCCAGTTGCATTTTACTTCATCTTCTATGCTATCAGTAAGGGTTTGGGTTTGCCTTCATGTAAGTGAACAGAAGGATTCTGGGAACCTCTTTGACTATGATTGTGTGCAAAGTAGATTAGTAAATTACCTCATGACATGGACACGTGACAGAGATTTGGGCAAATCAATGGTCTCTAGTTCTCTCTCCTCTCATTCTTTAAGGGCCACTTCAAGTCCTACCTCCCATGGGAAGCCTTCCTTAGGTCCAGCACATGGAGATTTCTGCCTTCCCTGAACTACCATAGCACTTGAGTTCCATGCTGCTTCAATTGCATATTTAGGTATTTAGAAAGAGAATAATAAACTGTGGCCTCTGTTTCAGTGCTTGGCTGGTATTACTATTATTATTACATGAGATCTTGCTCTGTCACCCAGGCTGGAGTGCAGTGGCACAATCATAGCTCAATGTAACCTCGAACTCCCAGACTCCAGCAATCCTCCCACCTCAGCCTCCCAAGTAGCTAGGACTACAGGCACACACCACAATGCCCAGCTAATTTTTTAAATTTCTGGTAGAGACAGGGTCTTGCTCTGTTGCCCAGTCTGGTCTCAAACTCCTAACCTCAAGCAATCCTCCTGCCTTGGCCTCCCAAACTGCTGGGATTACAGGTGTTATTGACAGTTTCCAAAGCACATCAGCATGCACATTATTTTGCTTGACATTCACCTGAAATCTGTGAGGTAGATGGTTGAGGTTATCCCTATTTTACACTGGCAGAAAATGAGGCCTACAGAGGTTGAGTGAACAACTCAGGTCTCCACCTACCTTGTTCAATCTGTCACTTCTCAGCAATCCCGAACACCACAATTCAATATAAACCCTGCCCCTTCAATTATGTCATATTCAAGAAGCCTGCTCCTCACTTCCACTGGGCCTCTAAAAATGAGTTTAGCTGCTATCTCTACTTCATCTGTTCCTTAAACAGGGCCCTACTAGTACCTGAAATCCTAAATCTTTAGCGATTCCATCATTTTATCATTCATCAGCAGAATAACCTGGGTAGTTGTTTTTTGTTTTTTAACCTAAACTCAGAGGAGATTTAACAATCCAAACCTACCTCATCCGGCAAAATGCTCCAGGCAAAAATGGGATTAATAATCTGTAACATTGATTGAGTGTTTACTATGTGCCAGGCACTGCTGTAAATTCTCTCTCTCTCTCTCTCTCTCTATATATATATATACACATATATATACACATATATATATACACATATATATACACATATATATACACATATATATACACATATATATACACATATATATACACATATATATACACACATATATATACACACATATATATACACATATATATACACACATATATATACACATATATATATATATACACATGAGATGTCTCATATATCTCACAGGATATATGAGAGATATATGAGATATATCTCACATGATGATCCTACTAAATAGGTAATTATTAATCTTACCCTTCTGTTCTAGATGGTGAACAGAGGCTGTGAAAGGTTAGGTCATTTGAATGATATTGCATGGCAGGCACATGATGGAGCCTGTGCTTGAAGCCAGGTCAGCCTGTCACTCAGCACTGTTTCAGGAATCTTTATTCTCATCACAAAGGAGAACAGTAAAGCCATGGTGGAAGCATTTGGATTAGTAAGTCAGAGTATAGCCCAGTGCCGGTGTCAGTAATTGAATGTGACTTCCCTCAGAGCTTCCGAGGGAAGCTTATGACACAGACATGTGACAGAGAGGGAGGGAAATGGAACTTTCTGGGACAGAGTCACGTGGGTCACGTGGTGGTTTCACCTCCAGTAAGAGACTACTGGGGAAAGACTTTAAGCACAGGAACAGTTGGCTCTTTTTTTTTGGATGGAGTTTCACTCTTGTTGCCCAGGCTGGGGTGCAATGGCTCGATCTCGGCTCACTACAACCTCCACCTCCCAGGTTCAAGTGATTCTCCTGCCTCAGCCTCTCGAGTAGCTGGGACTACAGGCGCCTGACACCATGCCTGGCTAATTTTTGTATTTTTAGCAGAGACAGGGTTTCACCATGTTGGCCAGGCTGGTCTCAAACTCCTGACCTCAGGTGATCCGCCAGCCTCAGCTTCCCAAAGTGCTGGGATTACAGGCATGAGCCACCATGCCCGGCCCCAGTTGATTCCTTTAACACTTCAGAATTATACTGTCCAATGGAAAGATAGTAACACATAGCACATGCAATTTTACATTTTCTTGTAACCACTTTTAAAAAATGAAAAGAAACAGGTGAGACTAATTTCAATAAAACATGTTATTTAACCCAATATATCAAAAATATATTCATTTGAACATATAATCAGTATTAAAAACTATTAATCAGAAATTTTACCTTTTTGATACTAAGTCTTTGAAATCCGATGTGCATTTTATACTTGCAGTACTTTTCATTTCAGACTAAGCACATTTTAAGTGCTCAATACTGTATGTGGCTAGTGGAGACCATATTGAACAACACAGGATTTTTGCTATCTTCTGGCACCAACCACTTCTATTAATAGTACCTCCCTCTTATTAATCATCCACACTATGGCTATTAGCTGTTAATATTGATTTGCCAGTGTTTCCAGATCATTGAGCCATCCCTATTAGTAAGGGGTTCACTCCATATTCATCTCATGATATCAGCTAACATTGAATGTGTTTGTGCCAGGCACGCTTCTGAGTGTTTTCGCTTTATATAAAGTCATAAAATCCTCACAACAGCCCTAAAAGCTAAGCTTTTTACCATTTCCTCATTTTACAATTGAGGAAACTAAAGTTATTTAACTGACCAAAGCCACACAAGGATCAAGTGGAGGAGCCATGATTCCAACCTCTGTAGCTTAATCACCCTTACATCCCACCCCAACCCCCTGCCATGCTCTAGAACCAAGGCTGCAGAGAACTGGCTAGGTAGCATTTCACTTGAGGCAGTGAATAGATACAGCTTGGACTCAGCTCCTCTTAGGCCCTCCAAATCTGTGAGAAATTTGGCCACCACTGCTTTCCTTTTCTGTGGTTGGTTGCCCATAGCAACTAGTACATAGCACATATATAGGGTTTGTGTATATCTGTGTGGGTTTGTGCCTACACAAACACACACACACATACACACATGGACGAAAAACATCAAACTACTACAGAGAGTGTTCATAAAAATCATAGAATTGTAGAGCTGGAAGGGCTCTTAAAGACCATCTCATCAAAACAGTGCAGCGCAGCACATTCAAGAGACTTGCGCAAGGTTACACAGCTGAACTAGAACCGAGATCATCCTAAATTAAGTAATTTAGTATCTACTAAATACTTTTTTTTTTTGAGACGGAGTTTCTCTCTGTCATCGCCCAGGCTGGAGTGCAGTGGCGTTATCTTGGCTCACTGCAACCTCCACCTCCCTGGTTCAAGCAATTCTCCCGCCTCAGCCTCCTGAGTAGCTGGGATTACAGGTGCACGCCACCACACCCAGCTAATACTAAATACTTCTTATGCCTAGGACTTCCTAGTTGAAGTGTGGGAGATGGAACAATGTAGCGTCTGTTCTCACTGATATATACTTTATCAAATGTTTCTCTTCCCTACCAGAATACCACCTTTAGGGTGTCAGCATTTGCAAAAACTGTTGATGTTTTTTAGAAATTTAAAACTGGAGAACTCGGAGTTAAAGTGAATTCCTCCAGCCTTACCTCGTTCATGCCTATGGTTAAGCATTTACATTGCTTCTCAAATGCTTCAAAAGGCCAAGGACATATTAAGTTATTTGAGGGTTAAGATATGATCATACAATTGAACTGCCCTGCTGCCCTAATTCTGAGCCCTTATGTGTAAATAACAAAATTGAAATTGTATAATTATCAGTATGAAGAGGTTGGGCTTAGCTTAGCCCTTTCATTTAATAGATTTAGTTTTTTTAATGATATTCAAACGCCCTACTGGAAAAAGTATTGTTATCAGCTTGACCTTTAGGATTAGTGCTGGTCACCATTTCAGCCAAAAGTACAGCAGTAACATCTCACAGAGATTCTTTCTTTCAGCAGCAAACTAGCCATCACTCTTTCCTCGGATCCTTCTATTTCAAAGTGAAGAGCTTGACTACAGTTGAAATGTTGAAATGTTTCCCACTTAAGCACAAAACACACTTGATTTCTTGAAAAAAAAAACCACAGCTTTTATATATTATGTTTCAAAGTGGAGATGGCTGTGAAACTTGAACTCTGACATACAACCTCAACCTGACTTTCTAAAAGTGCCCAGAAAACTGGTCTTCTAATAAGCATGACGAGAGTCTGCTTTTTAATGATTTTTTTGCTAGCCTACATAATTTATTCTAAATCATTAAAAAATAAAAATAGTTTACATTAAATAAATCCCCAACTATGAAAGAAGATGGTCTCACAGACGTTGGATAAAGGACTGAAAGGCAGCAGAGCCAGTCCCAGCGCAGAAAAGTGACTCAGTAGTGACAGCTTAATTCTCAGGAGCCGTTAACAGAACTTTCAGAAGAAAAATTATGTATTCTTGAATTATTTATAAAAGTCATGAGAAAAACACTTTAGGGACCATGGGGAATCAGTTTTGTTCTTTCTTTTCACATTTGCTGAGCCTAAGTCAGTGAACAAAATGCTAAGTAAAAAAAAACAAATGAATTAACATTTAGGTGGTTGAGCAAGACTCTTGTTTTTTGTTTATTGCTCTTTGAATTTTTTTTTACTAGCCCATTGTAAAACCCCTGGGGCACACCTTCAGAATATACGAATGTCAGTAATAACTAGTACAACCTGCTATGGAAAATACTCTGTTTGCAAAACCACAGGTTAGTTCCTGGAAGTCAGCGCGGTCAGAGAAAGGATGTGGTATAGCAGAAAGTTTAAATAGCTCCTGCAACAAAGGGAAGAGAGATCTGTTGACTTCTGCCTCCTAGAGGGTTGAAATTGGAAAGAACAATACTTGAATAGTTCGTACAGAAAGCATTGAAGATGAAAAATTCATCACATTTTGAAAAGCTTCACTAATCACTTTTGGGAAATCAGGTGAGAAAGGAACGAATATATTAGGATAATGATAAGATGAAAATAAGTGTTAACTTCAGATTCGGCAAATCAGCCTGGTTTGTTTTGGTTGCTATATGGAGGACGTTGACATCATTTTTTAAATTAGCCCCCAAATCCCACTTCTTATTGTTGTGGATTGAAAGAGTTGTCGTAATTCACCTGGTTCTAAAATTCTGTGCAGTTGTAGAGCTCCGTAGCCAAATAAGTTCCATAAAATAAACTCATCTCAGGCGCAGGAAAAGCAGCTCTTTTGAAAATACCTTGTGATCAGGCTCTAGGTCACGACCTGGGTCTTGAGAAACTTGAGTTAGTAGATGTTAGTTTTTCTTAGCTCCTTGTTTACTCTGGACTTAGACATTTTGTATTATTAAAAACCTGTGGCTTATAAGGACATTCTATTTATCTTTCCAGGCTTTTTTGATGGAAATGCGTGGATTTTCTTGGAAACAGGGATTTTATTGTGGATTCCTGGTGCCCCCTTGGAGAGGCTTATTTTTCTGGACAATAGTTTTCCTTAGTGTCACTACTCTTTTCATCTCCAAATAGTCACAAGCTCCCAAGGTCGAGAAAAGTGCATCCTTTTGTTCTAATGAATCTGAAATTCCATTTTAAAAAGTCTGCAAAACAGACCCTTGATTAATAACTGAAGGCATATCTCCACTGCATGAAGCATCCAGAGGGGTAGCCTTCAAGACACTTGGAGAAAAAGAAAATCCAACTTAGTCAAACTCAAATAATTTAACAGCATTATTACTACATTTATTATTGCCACTTAAAAGTTTAAGCTTTATCTGTGCTTTAAAGTGTGTTGTACAACATAGGCATGCATGCTTGCCTTTGTTAAAAGAATAGAACCCAGTAAACTTGGCAAAAAGAAGTCAATTACCATTGCCTCTATGTGGAATTCTCTGGGTGTGAAAAGTCCTGTTGCTCCAGACTACATCTTGTCTTTGTTGTAACATGAACATTAAAATGCTTTGTGAGTTTATGCAGTACTTGTGTATGTTATTTTAATCAATAACTCAATCTTTCAGGGAAAAATTAATAGCCACTTTTAGTTAAATGCTACACCTCTAGCCACTAGTCGAATATGGCTATTTTAAAGTTGAGTTAATGACAAATAACATGAAAAATCCAGTTTCTCAGTTTTATTAGCCACATTTCAAATGCTCAATAGCCTCATGTAGCTAGTGGCTTCTACATTGAACAGTGAAGATACACAATGTTTCTATCTTTGCAGAAAGTTCTATTGGACAACACTGCTTCAAAGGATACCTATTCTTGGAAATGAATCTTATCCGGCGCAGAAAACGCTGATTGTTGCTATAGCTTGCTGTCCAAAGAATCCCAGCTTTCTAAGATGATTGATGTCTCTTCCCCAGTCACAATGTGGAGAAATTAACTGAGGCTGTGGATTTGGTATAATTATTAAGAATTCTGAAAATTTCCTTCAAGAGTTGTTTGTTACTCTAAATTGTAATAATAATAATAATAATAATAACAATAACAATAATAAAACCTCTGTGTCTCAATGCCATTTAGCTTTGATTAAGCAAGGAAGAAATGTGGTTTCCTCCATTTTTTTTTTCCTAAGCAGGCTATGTAGAATGCTATAGAAACTGCATTTGGTTGGCATTCATTAAATGCACATAAAATTATCACTGAAAATTGTTAAGAAAAGATACAGTAACATGTTGTAGTGACTGCTATTCAAACATCCATAAATAATACTATTTTAAAATTTTATTCTTTAATATTTTTTGAGACAGGGTCTTGTTCTGTTGCTCAGGCTGGAGTACAGTGGCGTGATCTTGGCTCATTGCAACCTCGACCTCCCAGACTCAAGTGATCCTCCCACCTCAGCCTCCTGAGTAGCTGAGACTACAGGTGTGTGCCACCATGAGCAGCTAATTTTTAAAATTTCTATAGAGACTAGGGTCTCACTATGTTGCCCAGGCTGGTCTCAAATTCCTGACCTCAAATCATCCTTCCACCTCAGCCTCCCAAAGCACTGGGATTATAGGTGTGAGCCACTGTGCCCGGCCTCATGTGATACTATTTTTTTTTAAATTACCTGTTGGGCCTTTTACTTTTTATAGTAACAATTATTTCCTCTTACTCATTCAAAACTTTGTGTCTTATAAATAATTATGCTAATTAGGTTAGTTTTCTGTTTCCCGGCTTGTGGTCCCTCCAATTTCTCGGGGGTCCTTTACCTACTCCATACCTAAATGGCTTTTTCAGGATTCCCTGACTATGTCCTGCACTTTTTTTTAATCTCCAGCCTTTGTGTGTGCCCTTCCTGACATCTGGAATGTTATCCCCATCTGATAAGCATTTCTGGGACTTAGCCATCCTTCAAGGCCCATTTGAAATACCACCTCCTTATCCCTGCAGCTGAAGTGACCTCTCCCCTCTCTAAACTATAACTGCATTATGATTAAGTGTCTCACCTCCCTTACTAGACTGAAAGCTCACTGGTGCGAAGACCTTGGTCTTAGTCTATCATGGGATCCCTCCACATGCTTGGCACAGAGCGAATGCTTAAGACATGGGTGTTGAAATGAGGAAATTCTACCAATTTTCTAAATATGTATACACACAAGATTTCTTTCAGCTGCATCTGCTCTGACAAACCAAAGGTGGTAGCATTGCACACACGCTTTGATATTAAGTTGTAACAAATATGTTACCCTTGCCAATTCATTTTGGCTCATATAGATAATTTGCAGTGTTACAACAGTTATAAACAAGTTGACCTACAACATTGACTCATGTGAGCTAATTTACAAAGAAACTGGGCTGCAGCAACACGAAATCTAGTTCTAGTCAAATCTAAATTGTGTTAGCACTTGACAAGATAACATTTTTCATGTATCAGATTGGCAGAGACTAAAAAGAGCTTGATAAAACAATGTCGGTATGGGGAAACAGAAACTCTCATTTAATTTCAGGTGGGAATGTAAGTTGGTACAATTTCTGTGCAGGACAATTTGGTAATTTGTTAATACCTATCAAAATAAAAAATAGAATAAGCAATTTTACTTGGAGGTATTTATCCTACAATCACATTCATACCTATATACAAGAATGCCTATGGTCTCTCGAGAAAAGTACACAACACCATCTAGGAAGTATTCTTACCAAAGCATGAAGCCTGAATCTGATAAAGTCCCCTGATCAAACCACTTAGTTTGCAGGAAATAGAGGGAAGAGAGGAGAACATGTTAAACAACACCACGCAATGCAGTCAGCAAAACCCAGAATGTAGAAAACTGAAGGACAAACCACACAGATTTGTCAACAAATATATTGCAAGGAAAAAAAGAAAGGGATTTATAAACTGAAGAGGCATATTAGTCAAATGCAATGTGTGGACCTTGTTTGCATTCTGATTTTAATATACCAGCTCTAAACAATAGTTCATATGGCAAATCTGAACACAGGATGTTATTGATATCAATAAATTATTTTTAACTTTTTGAGTAATGGTAATGGTACTTTTTTTAAAAAAAGTGTTCTTATAATATATAATTAAATATCTATGGAAGAAGTTTGCCTCGAAATAATCTATTAGGGCGAGTGGAGGGTTATAAATGAAACAACTTTGCCCGTGAGTTAGGTGGTTATTGTTAAAGTTGTGCTATTTGCTTTACCACTGCATATCTTTTGCATTTTCCCTTTTAAAGGGGAAAGGGGAGATGTCAATATTTCTTGTAATAGAATAGAAATCTAAAAACAGCCTATTTATCTATAATAAGAATTGGCTAAATCAATTAATGTAGACCCACACAATGGAATATTATGATATTATTAAGAAGAGGTGTGTGCTATGTGAGTGTATCTCCTGATATGGAACAGCTTCCAAGATAGAGCAAGCAAAAAATAATGTAAAACAGTATGAATAATATGCTTCCATTTATGTAAAAAAGGGAGATAAATATACACATGTATACATGGATTTGTATAGGTTATTTCTAAAAATGTTTTAAAGAAATTGCTAAGAGTGGTTGCCCCTGGAGAAGGGGCTGGGTGTTATAGAAGAATGGGGTAAGAAAGAGACATTAATTACTTTTCTAATAAAAAAAATGTTTCATTTAATTAACACTTTAAAATATAGCCCATACCCATAGTTAATAACTGAGGTTCTTGAGTTGACTCATGCTCATTGCCAAATAGATGCTATAAAAATTTCTGCCGACTAGTAAAAGTTTGGAGGTCAAAACACATTTTGAAATTATCTGCAAATTGGCAAGCATTAATGCTCTCCTTTGTGTCAAAGGAAAGACATGCACTTCTCACTCACAAATGAGAGAAACATTTCCATTTGGAGATTCCCCAGAGGGACTTATGTTTATAACTAAACACATGTTTTCAAGGGATACTAAGCTGCAGAGGAAATTCTACCCTCTGGAGCAGTGGCAGAGATAATCTGAAACAGCAGATAATCCAAACCTCATAATATTTTGTTTTTAAACGCACAATATTATTTTTAGAAGCAGTCTATTTATGTTCTTAATTATGTTTTTCTGAGGATAATAGACATATTAAAGTGAATTTGTAGTCTCTGAGCACCCACCAACAGAAGGTGGTAGAACACATGGGCCAGAAATATGCTTTGTGGTAGAGGAGATACTGATAACCTATAACTAGGTCAGGAGGTGGTGACTGTAGATTTTTATTTCACTTCCCACTGCTGTTTAGACGTTCTGCCTTTGCCTTCATATGACCTCCCCTCCAAAATCTTTCTGAGAGCATTCCATCTAATTTTCCTTCCAAGCCAAAGTTTAAAATAACAATACTGATCTGTAAGAAGAAAAGAAATCATTAGCATCCTATCTATTTATAAAGTAAAAAGATTAGTGTATTTTTCAATTAATATGTTCCACATGGACAACTCCATTATTCTTGCCTAGTGAATGGTGAGTGTCCTGTACGCCAATTCCTTCAGATATACAGTTGAACAAGTAGGGCAGAAGCCTCAGGTAGACAGTGTGGAAAGCTGTAGACCACTGGTAAGGAGGCATTGCCTTTTTAAAAATGTGGTGTTGTTGCTGCTGTTCTTTGTGTGTGTTGTGAAAAGTAACAGAATGAAATTTCCCTTGTCCTGACCACTGCCTCTCTAAAGTTATGCTGGGTAATTCTAGACTTGTTACCTTGTTTCCTCCTCACAAAAGACTCAGTGAAAGGGGTGAGGGTGGGGAACAGCTGCATGGGGCAGAGCAAGAAATGGTGACGACCCCCCGATTTCTAGCTTGGCCGACGTGGTAGATGTGATGCCTTTAACAGAGAGGGGGAACACAGCAAGAGCTGTAGATTTAGGCGAAAGTTAGGAAGAGTTAGCGAGTTTAATTTTCCACAGGATAATTGGTGGGTCAGTAGGTCTTGACAGGTCACGTGGTGCATGATGGGTCATAACCTTTTAGCCAGTGAAAGAAACAAGCCATCCTTTCTATCCCTCTGAAAATCTTAATTCCCACCATATGTTTTACTGCCCATGGCACATTACAGATCATTGGTCTATTTCTTAAATGACAGAAAACCGTACTTCTATTGTTCTTGTCTTTATACATTTAGCACATATATCAGCAATAGAAGGTTTTATTTTTTAAAGTGCAAGTAACATGGAAGCATATTATATTTTTTCTAATGGCTGGATTCCCTTAAAGCGGCACATATTTCTATGAATTTCCGGCTCACTTGAGGAAAGTGCTTCTTTAAAGAAATACAAATATCCAGAAAAGCATTAAAAAAAGTTCATCCTCACTCACAGTTAACATGTAGGTTCAAACAGTATTATTCACCTTCCCATTTTGGCAAGGTTGTGGGGAAACTGAAGGGCACTTTCCAAACAGTGATACAAGCAGTGCAAATCCCTGGAATCTCTTTGGGGCCAGTGTCCATGCACTTAACCACTCTATATCGCCCTGCTATCCTGGCTTTGTGACTTTCTCAAAGTCTTCCCAAAGTCACTTCTCAAATGTCTTTCTACAAATATATGCCCACAAATACAGTAAACATTGTTTAAGAATGTCCATTGCACTTCATGACTAAAACACCAAAAGCAATGGCAACAAAAGCCAAAATTGACAAATGGGATCTAAATAAACTAAAGAGCTTCTGCGCGGCAAAAGAAACTACCATCAGAGTGAACAGGCAACCTACAGAATGGGAGAAAATTTTTGCAATCTACCCATCTGACAAAGGGCTAATATCCAGAATCTACAAAGAACTCAAACAAATTTACAAGAAAAAACAAACAACCCCATCAAAAAGTGGGGAAAGGATATGAACAGACACTTCTCAAAAGAAGACATCTATGCAGCCAACAGACACATGAAAAAATGCTCATCATCACTGGTCATCAGAGAAACGCAAATCAAAACCACAGTGAGATACCGTCTCACGCCAGTTAGAATGACAATCATTAAAAAGTCAGGGAGCAATAGATGCTGGAGAGGATGTAGAGAAATAGGAATGCTTTTACACTGTTGGTGGGTGTGTAAATTGGTTCAACCATTGTGGAAGACAGTGTGACGATTCCTCAAGGATCTAGAACTAGAATTACAATTTGACCCAGCCATCCCATTACTGGGTATATACCCAAAGGATTATAAATCATGCTGCTATAAAGACACATGCACACGTATGTTTATTGCGGCACTATTCACAATAGGAAAGACTTGGAACCAACCTAAATGTCCAACAATGATAGACTGGATTAAGAAAATGTGGCACATATACACCATGGAATACTGTGCAGCCATAAAAAAGGATGAGTTCATGTCCTTTGCAGGGACATGGATGAAGCTGGAAACCATCATTCTCAGCAAACTATCACAAGGACAGAAAACCAAACACCGCATGTTCTCGCTCATAGGTGGGAACTGAACAATGAGATCACTTGGACACAGGGCGGGGAACATCACACACTGGGGGCCTGTCAGGAGGTGGGGGGCTGGGGGAGGGATAGCATTAGGAGAAATACCTAATGTAAATGATGAGTTGATGGGTGCAGCAAACCAACATGGCACATGTATACCTATGTATCAAACCTGCACATTGTGCACATGTACCCTAGAACTTAAAGTATATATAAAAAAAGAATGTCCATTGCAATATTGAAATAGCAAACAGAGGGAAACAGATTAAATATTTATGAATGAGTGACTAGTTAAATATATTAAAGTACATCAGGCATTGGAATATCATGCAGAATAAAGGTGATCTATATGTATTGGGCCCTATGTGTAGTGTGATCCCAATGGAGTCTAAACAAAAACAAAAATAAAAAAGTTATTTCTCTCGCTACTTATATATTGTAGAAAATAGGGCGATATTCATGTCAGTGACTTCTAGGGGTAAGATTAGAGTGGGAAAAGGGTACAGGAAGACCTTCTTCTTTTTCTTTCTCCTTAATTGCTTAACTTAAAAAAAAACCTGTGTATCTAAAACAATAGAAAAAGAGATGCTGAAAAAGTTCTTTTTAATTTTAATTTTGTAACCTTTAAAACCCCATGCCGCTCTTTTGATACATCTAAAAATGTCATGTCCTCCTTCAGTGCTATTTGAAATTTGAAAATAAATATTGTTGGCCGGGCGCGGTGGCTCACCCCTGTAATCCCAGCACTTTGGGAGGCCAAGGTGGGTGGATCACAAGGTCAGGAGTTCAAGACCAGCTTGGCCAACGTGGAGAAACCATATCTCTACTAAAAAAAAAAAAATAGCTGGGCATGGTGGCCGGTGCTTGTAATCCCAGCTGCTACTCGGGAGGCTGAGGCAGGAGAATTGTTTGAACCCGGGAAGGCGGAGGTTACAGTGAGCCAAGATCAGTCACTGCATTCCAGCCTGGTGACAGAGCAGGACTCTGAAAAAAAGAGAAAGAAAGGAAGGAAGGAAGGAAGGAAGGAAGGAAGGAAGGAAGGAAAGAAGGGAGAGAAAGAGAGAGAGAAAGAAAGAAAGAAGGAAAGAAAGAGAAAGAAAGAAAGAGAAATATTGTTACTACAAACAAATAATGGCGCTGTGACAAAACGATGTTTCGTTTTCAAAACACATATGTTTCTTAGAGATTAATACTATCTTATCCTACAATCTCTTTTAAAAGAATCAGGCTGTCTAAAATGTTCAATATTCTTATTCCTCTTTTGACAATCCTTTTTTTATTTTTTATTTTTTAGAGATGGGGTCTCTGTTGCCCAGGCTGGAGTGCAGTGGCACGATCTTGGCTCACTGCAACCTCTCTGCCTCCTGGGTTCAAGCAATTCTCCTGCCTCAGCCTCCCAAGTAGCTTGGACTACAGGCACATGCCACCAAGCCCAGCTAATTTCTTTTGCATTTTAGTAGAGACGGGGTTTCACCATGTTGCCCAGGCTGGTCTCGAACTCCTGAGCTCAGGCAATCCACCCGCCTCGGCCTCCCAAAGTGCTAGGATTATAGGCATGAGCCACTGCACCTGGCCGACAATACTTTAAAAACAGCTTTATTGAGGTATAATTGACATAAAATGAATTGTATGTATTAAAACTGTATCATTTGAAAATCAGTATGTCAAAGACATATCTGCATTCTCATGTTCATTATAGCACTATTCACAATAGTCAAGGTATGGAATCAACCTAAGTGTCCATCCATGGGTGAATGGATAAAGAAAATGTGGTATACATATTCAATGGAATACTATTCAGCCTCAAAATGAAGGAAATCCTGTCATTTGTGACAACGTGGATGAACCTAGAGGATATTATGTTACAGAAAATAAGCCAGACACATAAAGGCAAATAGCACATAATCTCATTTATATATGGAGTCTAAAAAAGTCAAACTCATAGCAGTAGAAAGTAGAATGATGATTACCACAGGCTGTGGAGGGATTGAGAGCTTTTGATCAAAGGATACAGAAGTTCAGTTAGAGAGGAGGAATAAATTTAAGACATCTATTGTACAACATGGTGACTATAGTTAATAACAATATAGTATTTCATTCTTGAAAATTGCTGAAAAAAATAGATTTTAAGCACTCTCACCACAAAAATTGACAAGTATGTGAGGTAATGCATATGTTAATTAGCTTGATTTAACTATCCAACAATGTATACATATTTCAAAACATCATATTGTACACCATAAATATATCTAATTTTATTTGTTAATTTAAAAAGTGTATCATTTCTGAGAACACATAGACACTTGAAGGGGAACAACACACACTGGGGCCTGTGGAGTGTGGGGAGGGAGAGCATCAGGAAGAATAGCTAATGGATGCGGGGCTTAATACCTAGGGGATGGGATGATCTGTGCAGCAAACCACCATGGCACATGTTTACCTACGTAACAAACCTGCACATCCTTCACATGTACCCCTGAATTTAAAATAAAAGTTGAAGAAAGCAAAGTATATCATTTCATAATTATTGCCATAAGTATATACTCACAAAACTATCACCACTGTCAAGATAGTGAACATATCACCCCTAAAACTTTCCTCCTGCCCCTTTGTAGTGCCCCCCTCCTGCCCAACTCATCCTCAGAAAACCTCTGACCTGCTTTATGTCATTGTAGATTAGTTTGCACCTTTAAAACGTTCATATAACTGGAATTATGCAGTACTTAGTCATCTTGTCTGGTTTCTTTTACTGAACATAATTATTTTGAGATTCATACATACTGTTGCGTGTAACAAAAGTTCATTCCTTTTTCTTGCTGAATAGTATTTCATTGTGTGACTGTTCCAGAATTTATCGATTCACCTCTGAATGGGCATTTGAGTTGTTTTCAGTTTGTGGCTGTTACAAATAAAGTTGTTATGACTATCCACGTACAAGTCTTTGAATGGATGTATGTTTTCACATCTCTTGGATAAATACCTAGGAGTAGAATGGCTGAATCATCTAACAAGTATACATTAAACTTTTGAAGAAATTGCCAAATTGTTTTTCAAAGTGGTTGTACCATTTTACATTCCTATCAGCAGTGTACAGTAATTAGAGATTTTCCACATCCTAGTCAACATGTGGAATAATCAGTCTTTTTAGTTTTAGTTACTGTAATAGGTATGCAGTGACATCTCATTGTGGTTTTAATTTGCATTTTGTTAACGGCTAATGGCATTGAGTATGTTTTCCATGTATTCATTTGCAAACTATATATTTTCTTTAGTAAAGTGTCTGTTCAAAACTTTTGCCTTAGGGCCCGGCATGATGACTCGTGCCTGTAATCCCAGCACTTTGGGAGGTCGAGGTGGGTGGATCACTTGAGGCCAGGAGTTCGATACCAGCCTGGAGAATATGGTGAAAGCCCATCTACTAAAAATTAAAAAAAAAAATTAGCTGAGCATGGAAATCCCAGCTACTCAGGAGGCTGAGGCACCAGAATCACTTGAACCTGGGAGTCCAGGCTGTACTCCAGCCTGGGTGACAGAGTGAGACTCTGTTTCAAAACAACAACAACAACAACAACAACAACAACAACAACAACAGCAAACCCAAAACTTTTGCCTGGCCGGGTGTGATGGCTCATGCCTGTAATCCCAGCATTTGGGGAGGCTGAGGTGGGAGGATTGCTTGAGGCCGGGAGCTTGAGAGCAGTTTGGGCAACACAACAACGAGACCTTATCTCTACAAAAACAAACAAACAAACAAACAAAAACTTATCCCTTTTTTCTTAATTGGGTTACTTGTCTTTATATTATTCAGCTGTAGGAGTTCTCTATATATTCTCTATACTAGTCCTTTATCAAATATAATATTTGCAATTATTTTCTTCTAGTCAATGCCGTTACTTTCTCTTAAGCAGTATCCTTTGAAGAGCAGAAGTTTTAGATTTTGATGAAATCCAATCTATTAATTTCTTCTTTCATAGATGTGCTTTTGTTACTATATCTAAGAAATACTTGTCTAACCCAAGTTCAAAACAGATTTTCTCTAAAGTTTTCTTCTAGAAATTTTAGTTTTAGGACTGTAGTTTAGACTAGGTCTGTGACACATTTGGAGTTAACTTTTGTGTATTGAGTAAAGTAAGGATAAAATTTTTTGTGTATAGATATTAAAATGTTTCAGTACCATTTGTTGAAAAGATGATATTTTCTCCATTGAGTTGCATTTGCACTTTGTAAAAAATCAATTGTCCCTATATATGTGGGTCTATTTCTGTCTACATTTTGTCATATCAATCTATTTGTCTTTACACCAATGCCACACGCTTTTGATTACTGTAGCTTTATATCTTGAAATCAAGTAGTCTTAGCCCTCTAACATTTTTTAATTGTTTTTACTATTTTAGGTCCTTTACATTTCTATATGAATTTCAGAATCAGCTTATCAATTTCTATTTGAAACCTCTGCTGAGAGTTGGATTGGGACTGTTTTGAACCTCTAGATCCATTTAGGGAGAACTAATATTTAAAAGTATTGAGTCTTAATCCATGAACACAGTGTATCTCTCCATCTATTTAGATCTTTTTAAATTTCTGTCAATAACATTTTGTAGTTTACAGTGTACAGATTTTTCACATTTTTAACCAGATTCATCTCTAAATATTTCATATTTCTTATCTTATTGCAAAAATATTGTCTTTAATTTGAATTTCCCATTGTTCATTGCTAATATATAGAAATATAATTAATTTTTGGATATTGATATTGCATCCTACAACCTTACTAAGCTTACTAAGTTCGCTTACTAGTTCTAGTAGCTTTTTGGTCAATTACATTAGAGGATTTTCTACAATAGAAATGGCCTTATTTCTTTCTTCACAATCTGGAAATCTTTTTTTTTTTTTTTCTGTTTGAGACAAGGTGTCCCTCTGTTGTTGAGGCTGTGATGCAATCACAGCTCACTGCAGCCTCCACCTACTGTGCTCAAGCAGGCCCTCCCACCTCAGCCTCCAGAGTAGCTGGGACTATAGGCATGCACCACCATGCCCAGCTAATTTCTTTGTTTGTTTGTTTGTTTGTTTGTTTGTTTGTTTGAGACAGAGTCTTGCTCTGTTGCCTAGGCTGGAATGCAGTGGCGCGATCTCGTCTCACTGCAAGCTCCGCCTCCCGGTTCACGTCATTCTCCTGCCTCAGCCTCCGAAGGCTGAGACTACAGGCGCCCGCCACCATCTGGGACTACAGGCGCCCGCTGCCACGCCTGGCTAATTTTTTTGTATTTTTTAGTAGAGTCCGGGGTTTCACCGTTTTAGCCAGGATGGTCTTGATCTCATGACCTCGTGATCCGCCTGCTTCTGCCTCCCAAAGTGCTGGGATTACAGGCGTGAGTCACCGCGCCTGGCTTGCTCAGCTAATCTCTTAAAAAAATTTTTGTAGTGATGGAGTCTCCCTATTTTGGCCAGGCTGGTCTTGAACTCCTTAGCTCAAGTGATCTGCTCTCCTTAGCCTCCTAATGTAATCCACACCTAATGGATTACAGGTGTGAGCCACTGTGCCTGGCCAGTAGGTTTCTTTGAAATAATTTGTTCATTTCATCTAGGTGTTGAATTTATTGGCATAAAGTTGTTAATAATATTCCCTTATTGTCCTTTTAATACCTGTAATCTCAGTAATAATATCATTTCTCTCATTCCATATTACTAATTAGTGTCTTCTGTCTTTATTTTCTGATCAGTTTGGCTGGAAGTTTGTCAGTATTATGTATCTTCTCAAAGAGCCAATTTTTAATTTCATTGATTTTCTCTATTGTTTTTATCTTTTCTATATTACTGATTTCTACTTTAATCTTCATTGTTTTCTTCATTCTGCTTACTTTGGCCTTTATTTTTTCTTTTTCTAGAATTTTAAGGTAGAAGTTGAATTCATTGATTTGAGAACTTAGAATTGGCTTCTCTTCTAACATAGGAATTTAGCACTCTAAATTTTCTTCTAAACACTGTTTTAGCTGCATATCAAAAATTTTAATGTTTTGTGTTTTCATTTTCATTTGGTTCAAAAGACTTTTAAAATTCTTTTGAGCTCTTTGACCTATGTGTCATTGAAAAGTGTATTATTTATTTTCCAAATATTTGAGGATTTCCCCAATGTCTTTCTGTTACTGATGTCTAGTTTAATTCCATTGTGGTCAGAAAACATACTTTGTTTGAACCATTTAAAATTTATTAAGACTTATTTTATGGCTCAGAATATATCTTATCTTGGTCAATGTGTGTACTTAAAAAAAAATATGTATTCTGCTCCTGGTGGTGGAATGGTCTGTAAACATCAATTAGGTGAAGTTAGCTGATAGTGTTTTTCAGGTCTCCTATATCCTTAATGACTTTCTGCCTATTTGTTCTATTAATTATCGAGAGAGGGGTGTTGAAGTCTCCAACTGCAATTGTGGATTTGTTTATTTTTTCTTATAGTTTGATCAGTTTTTGCTTCATGTAATTTTAAGCTCTGTTATTAGTCACATAAATATTTAGGCTTATTACATTCTCTTGAATAATTGACCCCTTTATCATTATGAAATTGTGCTCTTACCCCTGATAATAGTTTTTACTCTGCAACCTACTTTGTCTGATACTAATGCAACCACTTCAGCTTTCTTTTGATTAGTGGCAAGTTGGCATATCTTTATCCATACATTTAGGTTTAACCTATTAGTGTCTTTAGATTAAAGAGTATTTCTTGGATGCAGCATATACTTGAATCTTACCTTTTAACTGGGGTGTTTTAACCATTTATTTTTAATGTGAGTATTGATATGCTTAGCTTTAAGTCTGCCTTCTTACTATGTATCTCTTTATCCCCTCTCTTTTTTGTTCCTTTTTCCTTTTTCTGCCTTCTTTTGGATTATGTTTCATTTATTACTTTTTATCTCCTTATTGGCTTACTATTTATTTATTTATTTATTTTGAGACAGAGTCTTGCTCTGTCGCCCAGGCTGGAGTGCAGTGGTACGATCTTGGCTCACTGCAACTTCTGCCTCCCGGGTTCAAGCCATTTTCCTATTCAGCCTCCCGAGTAGCTGGGACTACAGGCACATGCCACAACGCCCGGCTAATTTTTTGTATTTTTAGTAAAGATGGGGTTTCACCATGTTAGCCAGGATGGTCTCGATCTCCTGACCTCGTGATCCACCTGCCTCGGCCTCCCAGAGTGCTGGGATTACAGGCGTGAGCCACCGCACCTGACCGGCTTACTATTTATAACTGTATAACTGTAGTATTGTTTGAGTGGTTGCTTTTTTTTTTTGGAATCTTGCTCTGTCGCCCAGGCTGGAGTGCAGTGGCGCAATCTTGGCTCACTGCACCCTCTGCCTCCTGGGCTCAAGCGATTCTCCTGCCTCAGCCTCCTGAGAGCTGGGATTACAGGCACGCTTCACCATGCCCAGATAATTTTTGTATTTTTAGTAGAGATGACGTTTCACCATGTTGGCCAGGCTGGTCTCGAACCCATGACCTCAGGTGATTCACCAGCTTCGGCCTCCCAAAGTGTTGGGATTACAGGTGTGAGACACTGCGCCTGGCCTGAGTGGTTGCTTTTTAGGAGAAATAGGGCCAGGCATGGTGGCTAATGCCTGTAATCCCAGCACTTTGGGAGGCTGAGGCAGGTGGATCACTTGAGCTCAGGAGTTTAAGACCAGCCTGGCCAACATGGCGAAACCCCATCTCTACTAAAAATACAAAAATTAGCTGGGCGTGGTGGTGCACACCTGTAAATCCCAGCTACTTGGGAGGCTGAGGTAGGAGAATCGCTTGAACCCAGGAGGCAGAGGTTGCAGTGAGTGGAGATCGTGTTGCTGCACTCCAGCCTGGATGATAGAGTGAGACTCCGTCTCAAAAAAAAAAAAAAACAAAACAAAAAAAGGATATAGTACAGGAAGTCTCTTTGCTTGGTAATGCTAGACTGTAAAAATGACCATGCAAGCTGAACTGTGCAAAGAGATATTAATAATTAATGAAAAAAGTTACAATTTTTCAGTGACCCTGAAATTTTTTGTCAAAATATTAAAAACTCTCCTATCATTTATAAATATATAGGGAAACGAAAAAACCATAATCACATGAATATTTATTTAGTATACTATAACTTAAAACTTTAGTATACTGTAATTTTAAACACAATATTAGAAATATTGAGAATTAAAGTGTTTTGTTTCTTTGTTTTAAAAAAATATCAAAATGACATCCTCTTCCAGGAATATGGAATAGACACACTTGTCTTTCTTCCTCTCTCTAGGTACAAGTAAAAATTCTGTACATTATATATAAAATAAACATAAGAAGACTCTGAAAGTTGAAGAGAAGACAGACCAGATCTTTTGGCTAGGAATCTTGAGACACAAATAACATGGCGTTGAGTTCCCTGGGTTTTCTTTTTGCCTTATATATCCTAAACATGGAGATGAAGAAACTGGCAACCTCAAAATGCCGATAGGAACAGATAAAAAAGAGCCCCAGTAAAAACTTGTGCTCTCTAGCCAAAGCACCAGGAAAGGGGCAGCCTAAGAAAAAAGAAAACATTTTGTAATAACTACTGTACTCCAGCCAAACACCACAGAAAAAAACTGTAGTCCCACCCCCATCCACATCAACAAATGCCAAGTGAAGAGCTTAGAATTCCACACTAGCAAGGCAGTAAAGAGGTGCTACAACACCCCCACCAGGGAAGTGTCAAAGAATGCCAAGTCAGGAGCCAGGACTGTCATCTCTGCTGACCCATAGTAAGCTTTCCCCCAAGGATCTCAACGGCAATCACATGGAGAGCTTAGACATGCCACTTCTAGCAGTAGTGAGGTGCTCCTTCCCTTCCCTGCTAGTATGGTGTCAGAGGTAACACTAGCTCCATAAAATAAATTGGGAAGGGTTCCCTCCTTTTCCGTTTTCTGGATGAAATTATGTGTAATTGGAATTAAATCACTAATCATTTGGTAGAATTCTCCAGTGAAACGATCTGGGCCTGGAGTTTCTTTGGTGGGGGGAAATTTTTAAATTACAAATTTTTACAGAAAATCCTAAATAACTAGCAGAAAAATAAAAACCTCTTAGAACTAATAAACCAGTACGGCAAGGTTGCAGGATACAAGATCAATATACAAAAATCACTTGTATTTCTATACACTAGCAATGAACACCCCAAAAATGAAATTAACAATCTCATTTACACTAGAAATTAAGAAAACATTCCCATTTACAATTCTTAGAATAGAATACTAAGGAATACATTTAACAAGCAACAAAAACAGGTTGGAGAACTCATACTTTCTGATTTCAAAAATTTCTATAAAGCTATGGTAATCAAGACTTTGTGTTACTGCCATAAGGATAGACATATGGGTCAACCAAACAACATAGAGAGTCCAGAAATAAACCCATACTTCTATGGCCAGTTGATTTTTGACAAGAGTGCCAAGACAATTCAAAAGGGAAAGAACAATCTTTACAACAAATGGTTCTGGGACAACTGAACGTTCACATGCAAAAGAATAAAATTAGACTCTTACTTCACAACATATACAAAAATTAACTCAGGTGTGGGGCCAGCTCCTAGGCCAGCGGCATACAAATTGGCTTGTCAGTCAGCTACCATGGGTGGTGGCCTGGCAAAGGCAGGAGCTGAGCTCAGTTCCCCAAAAATTATAAAAGGAAACTTAAGAAATACAATGAGGCTAGTGATTTATTTCAGTGATAAAGCAAATTGAGCAACATCAAGAGAATTGGTGAACACTAGATGTCAGAGGGTCATCAGTCAAAAAAAGAAGACACAAAATAGAAAAGAAGAGAAGGTTGAAGAGAGAAACCACAGTGAGAACAAACCATAAAATAAAACTTGACGGCCCTGGTGAAAACATCAATGAAGATGAGGCTCAGTCAAGTAATTAAGGAAAGAAAGTTAATAAGCACAAGTGGGTACCACTCCACTTAGATGATGTAGGACCACATAATCAATAAAGACCAGTATCCTAAACATCTTACAGGATTCCGAAACCTGAAGCAAATAAATTACACATAACAATAGGCAAAATGATATACAAAATTGAAGGCAAGATAGACAAAAATAGAGAGATGATTAATATAAAGTTTCCAGTATAAGTGAGGGTGGCAAGTTCCTTTAGAGACTTGGGAAGAGGCCAGGCCAAAGACAGAGATGAGAATGAAAATGAGGCAGAGGAAATCCTCAAATGAGGATTATTTCATTATTCTTATAGTTATCAAGAACATGGTAAAAAAGTTGATCAACCATTTCAAACAGAACTTAATACCAGGATGATATATTACTATGATGATACTACTGGCATACAGGTATATCCTGTAAAAGAAACATTGCATCAAGAGTATATTAAGTGCCAAATTAAAATGTTACTTCGGTAAAAGAAAATTCGGAGTGGAAATATCTTAGAAAACAGATGTATGAACATGGCTTCTTGCCTATTTCCCTGATAGCTGGTTTCCACCACATTCAGACTCACTATAAAGCTTAATCTTATTTTAGAGACATTAAGCAATAGCACAGAAATGGAAATTGTGAACGAGAGCATGAGAAAAAAGAACAAGATAAATAGCCCTTTCCTGATTGTCTTCTATCAAGTATGCCACAGACTTCTCTCAAATGATCAATTGCTCAGAATTCATACTAGGCCAAGCCTTTGGCTAACATACAGAGAGTCTGTCCTATATTCTACAAGAATTGGAAGTCCACTGAGTCCAAAGAAAATACTGAAACAAGCAGTCTTCAAGCAATCTAGAAGTTTGTCTACCAATTTGCCCCATTTAGACTCAGAGCCTTAGTGTCTTAGTCCATTTGGGCTGCTATAATAAAATACCATAGACTGGGTGGCTTATAAACAACAGAAACTATTTCTCACAGTTTTGGAGGCTGGGAAGTCCAAGATCAAGGCACCTGCAGATTTGATGTCTGGTGAGGGCCTGCTTCATAGATGGCATCTTCTCATTTTGCCTTCACATGGTGGAAGGGGCAACGGGTCATTCTTGGAACTCATTTGTAAACACACTAATCACACTCATGAGAGCTCTACCCTCATGACCTAATCACCTCCAAAAAGCCCCATCTCTTAATATCATCACCCTAGAAGTTAGGATTTTAACACATGAGTTTGAGAAGGGCACAAACATTCAGACCATAGTAGTTGGATAGAAGTAAAAAAGGATCGGCTGGGCGCAGTGGCTCATGCCTGTAATCCCAGCACTTTGGGAGGCCGAGGTGGGTGGATCACCTGAGGTCAGGAGTTCGAGACCAGCCTGACCAACATGGAGAAACCCTGTCTCTACTAAAAATGCAAAATTAGTTGGGCGTGGTGGCGCATGCCTGTAACCTCAGCTACTCGGGAGGCTGAGGCAGGCGAAACGCTTGAACCTGGGAAGCGGAGGTTGCGGTGAGCCGAGATCGCACCATTGCACTCCCGCCTGGGCAACAAGAGCAAAACTCCATCTCAAAAAAAATAAAGAAAAAGAAAAAAAGAAGTAAAAAAGAATCATCAACCACCTCCAGTGAAATGGAAAGAATCAATGTCTGTATCTGATGAGAGAAGTCAACTACATCCTCTAAAGTAATGAGAATGAGAAGAACTTGATATTTTATTTGATGAAGAAGTGAAATATAGAAGAATGAAAAACACATTTACTGATTGGTCTGATAATGATTCAGATTAGAAAATTGATGATCAGGATTCAGAAAAGATTTTTATTCTAATCCGTACTCTGCCTTACATGAGAAAGCATCCTAGAGGGTATCAAACAACAATAATGTGTCTTGGGCAAGAATTTTAATCTGAACTTGCTAAAGTTATCAATAATATCATTATTATATATTAATATGTCACATATCCATATAGCATGTATCAATGATATTGTTATGAACACTGCACTTCAGCCTGGGGACTCCATCTCAAAAACTAAAGTCAGTTCATCTATAGTATAAGAGGACAATTAGGGGTATAAAGGCAGCAGTTAGATCATACAAGGTTTTATGGGCAATGTTAAGTAGTTTGAAATTTGAAGTTCAAATGCAGTAACTTGAAGGGTTTTACCAAGGCAAAATGGCACAATCTAATTTTCATTTTTAAAGGAGCACTTTGGTTGCTGGAGGGAGAAGGGATTGATTGAGGAGAAGAGTGGGCAGAAAGCATCCAATGAGGAGGCTAATGAAGTGATAGATATTGGTAGCATAAAGTTCAGTGGTGGCAGAAGAAGTGTAGAAGTGAAAAGACCTAGATCTGATCCCCGAGGAATAGTTGTTTAGGCACTGTGTAGGAAAAGGAGGCGCTGTGAAAGCTAAAACCTGGTTCTGAGAGAAAGGGAATAATCAGGTGTCAGAAACCGTGGAGAGGTTGAATTAGATAGGAATGAAAAGTATGTCAAATTGATATGGCAGCTTGGTTATCTTTTCTGACCTCTGTGAAAGGAATTTTAGTGGCTCCAGAAGCTTTGTTGAAGTGGACCATACAGAGAGTATAGACTTTCTGTTTCTGGCATGTAATCACTGCTGAAAACAACAAAAAGTACAGTCATGCACCACATAATGACGTTTTGGTCAATGATGGACAGCATATACAACAGTGGTCCCATAAGATTATAATGGAGCCGAAAAATCCCTATTGCCTTGTGCCATCTTGGTGATCCTGACCCGGTGTAGGCCTAGGCTAATGTGTATGTTACTGTCTTAGTTTTCAACAAAAAAAGTCTAAAAAGTAAAAAAGAAAAAGAAAAAATTTTAAAAATAGAAAATAGCTTAAAGGATAGGATATAAAATATACAGCTTGTACAGTAGTATAATGTGTGTTTTATGCTGTGTTATTAGAAAAGAGCCAAAAGGTTTTAAAAATTAAGTTTATAAATTTAAAAAGTCACAGTAAGCTAAGGTTAATTTATTATTGATGATAAAACAACTATTTAAAAATAAATTTAGTGTAGCCTAAGTATACAGTGTTTGAAAAGTCTACAGGAGTGTACAGTAACTTCCTAGGCCTTCATATTTACTCACCCCTCACTCACTGATTCACCCAGTGAGTCCTGCAAGTTCCATGCATGGTAAGTGTCCTGTACAGATGTACCATTTTAAAAACTCTTTTATATTTTTACCATATCTTTTCTATGTTTACATATGTTTAGATACACAAATACTTACCATTGTGTTATAATTACCTACAGTATACAGTACAGCAACATGCTGTACAGATTTGTAGCCTAGAAGCAATAGGCTGTACCATCTAGCCTAGGTGTGTAAGAGGCTGTAACATCTAGGTTTCTGTAAGTGCACTCTACGATGCTTGCACAGTGATGAAATTGCCTAACAGTACATTTCTCTGAACATATCTTAGTTACTAAGTGATGCATGACTTTATCACTTAATTAATGGATAAGAAAACATCTTAAAAGTCTCAAAGATGGATAAGGAATTATCAGGATAAAATCTAGAGACTGTGAGAACATAGAGAAGTGAAGTACTTCAGTTTTGTCCTGAAGAAAATTGCAGAATTTGAAGAGGTTGAGAATTTCAACTTTGCAAAAGCCACCCAAAATTTAAGGGTAAAAGACAAAAGCCTGGGGTCCAACTAAAGGTGGAGAGTCTAACAAGAGTTCTTTTTCTATTAAATTGGTACCCAGGAGGATACACCCTCAGAAAAGGAAAACTTAAGTTGCTTTCTTATCCGCTCCCCCAACCCCAAGAGACTACAAAGAATAGTTCCTTGGTGGTGCTGAGCAGGAGAGGGAGGGAAAAAAATAACCTAGAAGTTGTAATCATTCTGCTCCAATTCACACTCCCTGGGTGAGTTGAGAAACCTCTAGTTATAAGTTTAAAGTGACTCTGGCCTGTTAGTTTTCCCAGACACCTAGCAAAAGCAAAAAGCAAATATAGATCTTCTGTGAGGGAATTCACCTTTGTCCTAGACTTCAAAGAATTTACTCAAATTATTTTATAAAGAAATTAAGCAGGTCACAACAAAGTTAATCAAACGAAGAAATAAATTACCACAAATGAGAATCAACAAGAGTAATAGGGAGCAGAACTATAACCTGAAATAATTTAGATACTAGAATTATTAAACATAGTATATGAAGAACTATGCTTTCTGATTATTTTTTGAGACAGGATCTCACTCTGCCGCCCAGGCTAGAGTGCAGTGTTGCAATCTCGGCTCACTGCAACCTCAACCTCCTGGGCCCAAGTGGTTCTCCCACCTCAGCCTCCTGAGTACCCAGGACTACAGGTGTGTGCCATCACACCCAGCTTAATTTTTCTATTTTTTTCTACAGATGGGTTTTTGTCATGTTGCCCAGGCTGGTCTCGAACTCCTGGCCTGAAGCTATCTGCCTCCCTTGCTCTCCCAAAGTGTTGGGATGAACCACTGTGCCTGGCTGCTTGCTGAATTTAAAGAAATAAAAACATATGCAGGAAAAAAAAACTGAAGAATAATCACATGTGAAAAATTACTCCATCAAAGTTCTGGAAGTGAAAATAAAAACCATGGTGGGAATTAATAACTCAGTAAACTAAAGAAATTAGCAGAAACTTAGATACAATTAATTAATTAGTGAATGAAAGACAGTTCAGAAAAAAATTATTCAGAAATCAGCACAGAGAGGCAAAGGCAATAAATGAAAGAGGGTACAAAATTATTTTCTGGACAAACTTTGCTAGTGTTTGGTAAGTTTCCATTCAAGTTGTATCTAATAGATGTTAATAAAGTTGTTTATGGAAAAAAAAAGAATAAAAGAAAGCAAACACCAGGCACGGTGGCTCACGCCTGTAATCCCAGCACTTTGGGAGGCCGAGGCAGGCAGATAACCTGAGGTCAGGAGGTTGAGACCAAGCTTACCAACATGGTAAAACTCCATCTCTACTAAAATTACAAAAATTAGCCAGGGGTCTTGGCAGGCGCTTGTAATCCCAGCTACTCGGGAGACTGAGGCAGGAGAACCACTTGAACCTGGGAGGTGGAGGTTGCAGTGAACTGAGATCATGCCATTGCACTCCAGCCTGGGTGATAGACTGATATTCTGTTAAAAAAAAGAAAAAAAAACCCAAAAAACAAAAAAAGAAAGAAAAGAAAGGAAGCAAACAAGAAAGAAACGCCGGGTGTGGTGGCTCATGCCGGTAATCCCAGCACTTTGGCAGTCCGAGGCAGGTGGATCACCTGAGGTCAGGAGTTCCAGACCAGCCTGGCTAACATGGTGAAACCCCATTTCTACTAAAAATACAAAAATTAGCTGGGCGTGGTGGCACACACCTGTAATCCCAGCTCCTCGGGAGGCTGAGGCACGAGAATCACTTGAACTCTGGAGGCAGAGGCTACAGTGAGCCAAGATCATGCCACAGGTCTCCAGCCTGGGCTACAGAGAGAGACTCTGTCTTAAAAAAAAAAAAGGAGATATCACTACATGACTAGCAAAATGACTAAAATAAAAAATAGTGCCAATACCAAATGCTGAAATTGATGCAGATAAACTGGATCCCTCATTCATTGCTGTTGAGAATGCAAAATGGTACAGCCACTCTGAAAAATAGTTTGACAGTTTCTTAAAAACATTAAACATGCAATCATGCAATCACCACATGACCCAGCAACTGCACTACTGGGCATTTATGCCAGACAAATGAAAACTTGTATTCATACAAAAACTGCTACACAAATATTTACAGTAGCTTTCTTTGTAGTAGCCCCAAATGTTAAACAACCCAAATGTCCTCCAAAAGGTAAATGGGTAAACAAACTGTGATAAATATCATGGAATACTACTCAGCAATAAAAAGAAACAAACTATCCACACATGCAACAACCTGGATGAATTACCAGAGAATTATGATGAGTGAATAAAGCCAATCTCAATAGGTTACATACTTTATGATTTCATGTGCATAACTTTCTGGAAATGACAACATTATAGAAATGGAGAACAGATTAGTGATTATCAGGAGTGAAGGGGGTGTGGGAGGAAAATGAGTGTAACTATAAAAAAGCAACAGGAGGGATTCTTGTGGTGATGGAAACTGGTGGGAACTGGGTAAAGGGTACATGGGGCCAGACGAGGTGGCTCACACCTGTAATCCCAGCACTTTAGGAGGCCAAGGCAGGTGGATCACCTAAGGTCAGGAGTTTGAGACCAGCTTGACCAATATGGAGAAACCCCATCTCTACTAAAAATACAAAAATATTAGCCAGGCATGGTGGCCCGTGCTTGTAATCCCAGCTACTCAGGAGGCTGAGGCAGGAGAATCACTTGAACCCGGGAGGCAGACGTTGCAGTAAGCAGAGATCATGCCATTGCACTCCAGCCTGGGCAACAAGAGCGAAACTCTGTCTCAGAAAAAAAAAAAAAAAAGCAAAAAAAACAAAACTTGGAATTTAGAGTGATGGAGTCAGAAGGTCAAAATATACATGTAATCAGAGTTCTAGAAAGGAAGGACAGTAAGAACAGGGCAGAATCAATATTTTAAGAATTAGTATCTAAGAGCTTTTCAGAACTAAGGAGGGACACTAGAGTAAAGCAGCCATGGGATGGTGGGAACAGATTATTTTCAAAGAAAGGATAGACACTAGATAGCCAACTGACAGCTGACTCTCAACAGCAACAGTGGAACCCAATAGACAATTGAATGATCACTTTAATGTGCCAAGGTGAAAATACCTATCAACACCTAATTGTATGCCTTTTAAAATAATCCTTCAAATAAGGTGATGAAATATAATGGGAGACATTGCCAGCAGTAGAGCCTCATTAAAGGAAATTCCAAAGGTAGAATAAAATTTATTGCAGATACCAAGGATGCAGAAAGGGAAGCAGAGGAAAGCAAGAGAAAAATATGTGGATAAATCTAAATGAATATTAACTGTATAAAAAGAGTAACTATATATTACAGGGTTAAAGTATATACATATATAGAATTAAAATATACCATTAACATAAACTTAGAGACAGTTTAGTATTAAATCTAGTATTTAAAGGTCCTTCTGTTTTCTGGGAAAATAATATTAAATTTTGATAAGTTTGCATATTGCAGTTTCTAGGACAACCATCAAAAATTAGAATTAGCTGGCATAACCTTGAAATTAGGAGACAGAAAAACTGTGGAATAAGAAAAGGCAAGAAAGAAGGGGAAAAACATGAAAAAAGGGGGACTGATAGCACAAAAATAAGGTGGTTGATATAACCCAAACATTTAAGTAGCTAAAATAAAGGTTTTCAGATTGGACCTAAGAAAAATACAATCAGTTATTTACTGAGACACATAAAAAGCATAAGGAAGCAAAATTACTGAAAGAAAAAGAATAGAAAAATATATACCACAAAATATAACCCAACCCAACTTGATCCACAGATTCAAGGCAATTCCTATTAAAATCTCAAATGTTTTTTTCCAGAAATTCACAAGCTGATCCTAAGATTCTTATGGAAATTCAAGGGAGTCAAAATAGTAAAAAAAAATCCTGAAAAAGAACAAAGTTGAAGGACTTACACACCAAACTGACTACAGAGTTATAGTAATAAGGACAATATGGTACTGGCACAAAGATAGACATATAGATGAATGGAATAGAATTGAGAATCCAAAAATAAACCTTCAAACTTATAGTCAATTGATTTTTGACAAGGGTGCCAAGATAATTCAATGTGGAAAGAATAGCTTTGGCTAGGCACAGTGGCTCATGCCTTCAATCCTAGCACTTTGGAAGACTGAGGCAGGAGGACTGCTTGAGCCCAGAAGTTTGAGACCAGCCTGGGCAACGTAGGGAGACACCCTCTCTACAAAAAAAAATTAAAAATTAGCCAGACATTGTGGCATGTGCCTGTGGTCCCAGCTACTCAGGAGGCCAAGGTAGGAGGATTGCTTGAGCCTGGAAGGTTGAGGCTGCCATGAACCATGATTGTGCCACTGCACTCCAGTCTGGGTGACAGAGCAAGACCCTGTCGCCAAAAAACAAAAACAAAAATGAAAAACCTTTTCAACAAATTGTGCTGGGACACTGCAGGTGGATACCTGCAAAAGGACTGTACTCCTACCTCACATCACATGCAAAAATTAACTTAAAATGGACGTTAGATTTAAATTTAAGAGCCTGTAACTATAAAACTCTTAGAAGAAAACATAGGTGTAAGCCTATGTGAACATGGATTATCAATCATTTCTTAGATGACACCAAACAAGCAATGGCAAAAAATTCATATTATCAAAATTTAAAACTTTTGTGCTTCAAAGGATACCATAATGAAAGTAAAAGGCAACCCGCAGAATGGGAGAAAAAATCAAGTCAGTGATCATATAACTAATAAAGGACTTGTATCTCTCTTTTTTTTTTTTTTTTTAGACGGAGTCTCGCTCTGTCGCCCAGGCTGAAGTGCAGTGGTGCGATCTCACTGCAAGCTCCGCCTCCCGGGTTCACGCCATTCTCCTGCCTCAGCCTTCCGAGTAGCTGGGACTACAGGCGCCTGCCATCATGACTGGCTAATTTTTTTTATTTTTTATTTTTTAGTAGAGACGGGGTTTCACCGTGTTAGCCAGGATGGTCTCAATCTCCTGACCTCATGATCCGCCCACCTGGGCCTCCCAGAGTGCTGGGATTACAGGTGTGAGCCACCGCGCCCGGCCTTGTATCTTGAATATTTAAGGAACTCTTACAATAGTAATAAGAAAGTAAATCCATTTAAAAATAGCCAAAAGATCTGAATGGACATTTCTCAAAAGAAAACATACATATGATCAACAAGTACATGAAAAGATGCTCAACTCATTAGCTACCAGGGAAATATAATCCAAAACAATGAGATACCTCCTCATTCCAACTAAGATAGCTATAATAAAAAGACAGATAAAGATAGGCGATAGTGAGGATGTGGAGAAACTGAAACCCTAATACATTGTTAGTGGGAATATAAAATGGTTTAGCTTCTTTGGAAAACAGTCTAGTAGTTCCTCAAAAGGTTAAACATAGCATTACCATATGAGGCAGCATTTCCACTTCAAGGTGAAAGGAAAACTTATGTCCACACAAAAACTTGTATATAAGTGTTTATAGCAGCATTATAAAATGCAAATAATTCAAATATCTATCCACTGATGAATGGATAGATAAAATGTGATATATTGATACAACGAAATATTATTCAGCAATAAAAAGAAATGAATTACTGATACATGCTAAAACATGAATGAACCTTGGAAACATGCTAAGTGAACAAAGAAATATGCTAATAAGTGAAAGAAGCCAGTCACAAAGGACCACATATTGTAGAATTCCATTTATATGTAATGCCCAGAATAAGCAAATTATAGAAATAGAAAGCAGGTTAATGATTGCCTAGGGCTGGGGGAGGGGTTGGAAAAATATGGGGAGAGACTAATAACGGGTCCTGGGTTTCTTCTTGGGGTGATAAAAGTATTCTAAAAGTGATTGCAGTGATGGTCGCATAACTGTGAATATATTAAAAACCATTTGCTATGGTTTGAATAGGTTCTCCAAATTTCACTTGTTAAAAACTTAACCCCCAATGTGGCAGTTTTGAAAGGTGGGGCTTTTAAGAGGTGATTGGATCATGGATTAATGGGTAACTGTATTAACAGTCTCTAATAGGAATGGAACTGGTGGCTTTTTAAGAAGAGAAAGAGAGATCTGAACAAGCATTTGAGCATGCTTGGCCCCCTCATTATGTGACTCCCTGCACTGCCTTGGGACTCTGCTAAGTCCCCACCAGCAAGAAGGCTGTTAGCAGATGGTGGCCCCATGACCTTTGTCTTGTCAGCCTCCATAACTGTAAGAAATAAATTTCTTTCCTTATTAGTTACCCAGTTTCAGATATTGTGTTATAAGCAACAAAAAAATGGACTAAAACACCATTGACTTCTACACTTGAAGTGCATGAATTATACTGTATATGAATTATATCACAATAAAGCTGTTAATTTTTTAAAGCCTACCTTCCAAATTTAAAAAAATGACAATGAAAAATTAACTTAAAATAGATTAAAGACCAAATGTAAGAGTAAAACTATAAAACTCTTAGAAGAAATTATAGATGTAAATCTTATGACCTTGGATTAAGCTACAGTTTCTTATATCTAATACGTAAAGTACAAGCATAAGCAGGACATCATAAAAATTAAAAACTTTTGTGCTCCCAAGAATACTATCAAAAAAGTGAGAAGACAATTTACAGAATTGGAGAAAATATTTGCAAATAATAGATCTGACAAGAGTCTAGTATCTGGAATATATTAATAACTCTTACAACTCAACAATAACTCAAATAAGGAAATGAGCCAATAATTTTTTTTTTTTTTCGAGACAGAGTTTCGCTCTGTTGCCCAGGCTGGAGTGCAATGGCATGATCTCGGCTCACCGCAACCTCCACCTCCCAGGTTCAAGTGATTTTCCTGCCTCACCCTCTCTAGTAGCTGGGATTACAGGCATGTGCCACCATGCCCAGCTAATTTTGTATTTTTAGTAGAGACGAGGTTTCTCCATGTTGGTCAGGCTGGTCTCGAACTCCCGACCTCAGGTGATCTGCCTGTCTCGGCCTCCCAAAGTGCTGGGATTACAGGCATGAGCCACCATGCCCGGCCAAACCAATAATTTTCTTAAAGTGAAAGCAAGTTTATTAAGAAAGTAAAGAAATAAAGAAATAAAAGAATATTCCATAGACAGAGCAGCTTTGAGGGCTGCTGTTTGCCATTTTTATGGTTATTTCTTAATTATATGCTGAACAAGGGGTGGATTATTCATGCCTCCCCTTTTTAGATTATATAGGGTAACTCCCTGACATTGACATAGCATTTGTAAACTGTCATGGCACTGGTGGGAGTGTAGCAGTGAGGATGACCAGAGATCACCATCTTGATTCTAGTGGATTTTAGCTGGCTTCTTTACTGTAGCCTGTTTTATTAGCAAGGTCTTTATGACCTGTATCTTGTGCCAACCTCCTATCTCATCCTGTTACTTAGAATACATTAACCATCTGGGAATGCAGCCCAGTAGGTCTCAGCTTCATTTTACCCAGCCCCTATTCAAGATGGGATTGCTCTGGTTCAAACACCTCTGACATTTCTCCCCTTCCTTTTATAAGAGAACCGTTAATCCTAAGAGTTGTAGAGAGATGAAGATTCATCTACTGTAATTTCTTCAGGCTGAATAGGGGTGATGATATTCCTGACTAACTATTAGGGTCTCTTGTATTCAGGGTAGAGAGGAGCTCAGTCAGAAAGCACCAGTATGGCAAGGGCCATTCATAACTCCGAGTTCTAACAAAAGGTATTATCTGGAAGATTAATAAGTGTTCAGTTTAAGAAAATATTCAGTAAGCTTACTGTGCATTCCTACACAGAGAGTACAACAGCAATATATACCACAAGAGTAAAGCAAGATATGTAAAATTATCCCAAGTAAGCTAAATAAGAAGGCTTTCCATGAACTGGGCAACTGTTGGAACCAAACAGATATGGAGTTCCTAGCCAATTCCAGTATGTGCCCAGAATTAGAATATTGATCCAGATTTTTGCATTACCCAACCCTCCTGTTTCTTCTGAGGTGCAGCCAGAGATCACTGGTTGGTTCACAAGAATAAGCAGGGTTAGTGTAAATTGCAAGGAAAACCTCAAAAGCAACTGATGAGACTAGAATCTAATAACAAATGTACCATAGTTCTTGAAAAATAATTTCTCTCTGCAGTTTCCCATTTTTACTAAAGACAAATCATGGTAAGACCAATTTGCTTTATTATACTTGGCCTGATTATTTGTGTCAAATGCAGCAAGAATAATTATTTTTTACATAAGCTCTTTTTAAATTGGCTTTGATGGAACTCTGTTCCATAGAAGGAATTTCAGATAAGACTTTTAAAAAGCTGGGCCCAGCCATGGATTTGTACCTTCAAGTACCTATGAGTTGGGAAAATTTCTCTCCTGTTGTGGTCCCAAGATACCTTGAGTCTCCTGGGCATGTCAGAAAGTGACATTCTTTACTTACCACAGGTCAGGAACTGTGCACAGGGACGGTGTAGACAAGGTATGAGGCCAGTTTTCCCAAGGGGCTTTTATTGGTGTTACAAGTCAAGTTTGATTCCTTAAAGAAAAGTACACCATTCTAGTCAAAGCCTTGGTAAAATAACCAGTTTCTCCAATTGTGTCCTGTTGCAAAAGAAAACAGATTCTTTTTTGTTTGTTTGTTTTTTGAGACGAAGTCTTGCTCTATCACCCAGGCTTGGCTCACTGCACCCTCCACCTCCCAGGTTCAAGCGATTCTCCTGCCTCAGCCTCCCGAGTACCTGGGACTACAGGTGCCTGCCACCACGCCCAGCTAATTTTTGTATTTTTAGTACAGACGGGGTTTCGCCATATTGGCCAGGTTGGTCTCGAACTCCTGACCTTGTGATCTGCCTGCCTCGGCCTCCCAAAGTGCTGGGATTACAGGCATGAGCCACCGCACCTGGCAAAAACAGATTCTTATTGCACTTATGCAAATAATTATGTTGCCGTAAGTTAAGAATACTCACAAGTAGTTTCCAAATTCTGGAGAAATCAGGTAGAGAGAAACAAATATGCTCCAAATTTTGTTCACAGGAGTATACTTTACTCAATTGTTAAAAGCTGTATATAGCTCAAAAGAAAAGTTTTCTTGACTCTGAAAAACAAAACAAAGGATCAGCAACATTTTAAGCAAAATCAAAAAATTTACTTCAGACTTCTACTAGTTTAGTCCATGCAGTTTACTCCTGTTCTGCTTGGTGTTCATGAACATTCCAGCTCTCCATGAGAGTCCTGAAAGTTTTTTCCTCTATTCTAATATCACAATTTCCAAAGTTATCAGAAACCTGCATTTAAGAACACCATTAGAGTTCTGTAGTTAATTATAAACCACCTTTTAAAGGAGATCAAAACAAGACAGCAATTGTCTGTGGATGACAAAAAGTCTTAGGACAACCACTATTAAAGCCACAATTGACTAGGAATTTTGGTTACTTCTGTAGCATACAACAATTTGACATAACCATGATAATTATTAATAACACACAATAAGTCGTATTAGAATTATAGGAGTTTTCCAGCTGGGCATGGTGGCTCACACCTGTAATCTCAGCACTTTGGGAGGCCGAGGCAGGCGGATCACCTGAGGTTGGGAGTTTGAGACCATCCTGGCCAGCATGGTGAAACCCTGTCTCTACTAAAACTACAAAAATTAGCTGGGCGTGGTGGCAGGTGCCTGTAATCCCAGCTACTCAGGAAAGAGGCAGGAGAATCACTTGAACCTGGGAGGTGGAGGTTGCAGTGAGCTGAGATTGCGCCATTGCACTCCAGCCTGGGCAACAGAGTGAGACTCCATCTCGAAAAAAAAAAAAAGAATTATAGGAGTTTTCCATAATTTTGGAACACATACAAGTAACATATTTATAAAAATAGAGCCCAAAGAAAGCCAAACACCATTTTATATTTGACAATGCTTCCTGTATGATTTTTTATTAGTAAGAATGATTTAATGTTGAGTGACAATGCAAGTTTATAAGCAATTCTATATATCATTTTTAAATAAAACAAGTACCTGGCCCATTACATTACATTACATTAATTTAATTGGTTCCTGCAGAAAAAAAAAGAAAGGAAAGAGGGAGGAAAGCATTGCATTATTTATCTATAATTTTATATATATTTTCTTTTTCTTTTTTTTGTTTTCTTTTCGAGATGGAGTTTCACTCTTGTTGCCCAGGCTGGAGTGGAATGGCACGGTCTCAGCTCACTGCAACCTCCGCCCCCTGGATTCAAGTGATTCTCCTGCCTCAGCTTCCTGAGTAGCTGGGATTACAGGCACACACCACCACCCCCAACTAATTTTTGTATTTTTAGTAGAGACAGGGTTTCGTCATGTTGGCCTGGCTGGTCTCGAACTCCTGACCTTAGGTGATCCACCTGCCTCAGCCTTCCAAAGTACTAGGATGACAGGCATGAACCATCACACCCAGCCAAAATCTTTTTTTTTAATATAACATGAAAATATTGTTCAAGAGAGAAAGCCAAATTTCACCCTTTGCATTAGTGTACTATCACTGTTAAACTGAATTCTTAACAAAACCTTATGGACATATTTACCCAATTTTACTGTTTGACCATAAGGTAAGACTTTCCTAAAACTTTCATAACCCTTTACAAAAATTTTTGTGAAAGGGCAGATTAGTGCTCTAAGGAAAACCTGTTGTGCTTTATTCCAATGTTCAATTTACAGAAAAACTGAATAATACACCTTTAACTTTAGCCAATACGTTCATACACAGAATCTCTTTTACAATTAATTTTTCGCAAACCTTCCACAACTTGCTTAAACATTCAGCTTTATTCTATTTAACTTAAAACAATCCTTTAACCTTTTAATCTAGGCAAAAAAAAAAATCCACGTTTCCATGACTTCTTATAATCTTTTAGCAAAAACACATTTCACTTTCTTTACACACCTCACATGTATCACTTTTATTTCCCAAAGATTACTTAATTCACATGAACTAAAAGGCATTACACTTTTTACTTTTTTCACAAAATATTTGATTTAAGTACTTATTATTTTTAAACCAGTTAATCAAAGCTATTTCATATCACTTACACAACACATGTAAATACACAGGCAGACAGAAGAAGATCCAGTAGTAGTAACATGTTTCATTTGCCAGAGTTTAAGTTTCTCTTTTTAAAGCATGCAGTTTATAGGGCCTAATAAGCAGGCACAGCTGGAAGGCAAAACAGATCTCCAGAAAATAAGGGTCCCTTTTTTATACCAGATCCTGGATCCCCAAAAGAGAGAATTAATCCATCTCCCACAGGAGGCTTATCTCTCAGTGTGGGGTGGGGGACATTTCCATATTTCCTAGGTGGCCAAGAGTGTGCTTCTCTGATCCAAATGTGCAGAACTGAGTATCTCCCCATAACTACTATTAGCCATCCCCAAAAGTATATTTCCTATCTAGTTATTACACAACAAAGTTCTCATAATGTGAAGTAATTTCTGATACCCCCCCAAAGTCAAAAACATCAGATAATGCAACGCAAACCAGAACAGAGCCTCAGATTTTGACAGGGATTTATCCACTGTTAATTCCTGGGGTTTCATGAAGAAAACAGAGGTTTTTTCCAAAATGGAGTCTGTGGCGCTCCTGTTTTTCTCAAGGAGTCCCAGGCTGTTACGGCTTGAATAACCACTTTTAATTAAGCTGACTTTTAACCATACCACTCTTTTTTTTTTAAAGTCCTTTTAAATCTTTTATTACCCAACTAGCCAGTCCAAATGGCCAATATTTCTGGCTTTTGAACTCTACAAAAAGTAACCTCACAGGTGCTCTGAGAAAAGAAATTCAAGACAGTTTGTGGAGGGGAAGAGAATAAAAAAAATGGCAAAGGTCACCCAAATATCAATCAGAAAGGCTCATCCCCTAAGCTAGGGATTGAACCCTGAACCTGGGCAGCCATTGTGATGGTGGAGACCAAGAGGAAGTACTGCCACGTGGTTACAAGGTCAGGCTTCCAAGGACATCGAAGAAGATGAGAGGAGAACCTCATCGAGTTTTTTTCCCCCCAGGAAAAAAAAAGTTTATAACTGACCAGTTTGCTGGGCCATCTTGAACAGTAGGCTTATGGGGTCCTAGGCCTGTGTTCTATCATAAGGTACCACTCTTTCTTGCAGAAAGATACAGAAAGACAAATTCATAGCACAAAGTACAACAGATTCGCTACAGCTTGAGACTAGCCTTACAAATCCTTTTTTAAATTAATCAAAACTTTACAGAGGAGATAAACCGTGATTGTTACCATTCATTCCACTGGTTCGCACAGATTGAGAGAGAGACAGGCCAGAAGTCTGACTGGTAAGAAATTCTTACCCTTTTGCTGCAATGCCAGGCTTCTGGGTTCCCTTTCCCTGAGTGGCCCTAGTGACCCAGCTGGCTGCATCACAGCCCTGGGGGCCAAGCCAAAACACAAAGGAAAATTATGTTTTTCCGTTCTGGCCAGAGCAAAATACGTCTGAAAAAACATAGACATTAGCCACTCTGCTTGGCACCCAATATCAAACCGGCAAGGCTCAAACTTGCCCCTGATTAGGCTCTGTCATCGTCAATCCAACTTCTGACTAGGAGTTTCATCATGTGGTCTCTGGGCAAGATGTCGCCCTGAGTAATAGAAAAGATAAGAAAGGGAAAGGAGAGAAAGGGAGAAAAGCATTGCCTGCAGCGGGGTGGGGAAGGCAAGCAACTCACAGAGGCCAGAGAAAAACCCACCCATTGCAGCGACACTGAAAAGTTCAGGCGGCTGCTCGTCAGTCGCGAAGGGATCTTTTCCAGCAGTCCAATCAGCTCTCAAGTTTCCCCTTTTGTGGAGGAAAAAGTCGGCCATGACCCGTGGTCCTGTACATGCCTAATTCTGTCACCCATAGTCATCAGCAAAGAGTGCAAGGCAGATTGACCCAAAGAGAATAGCAGTTAACACCCCATAGTGCCAAACCCATTCTTAGCCGAGAGGGACTTTACTGAGAGGGGCCTCTAACCCCCTAAATCATAGGAAGGGCTCTAATCTTTCTAAATTGGGCCTCAAACCCAAGTTAGGTCAGTCGTACTTGCCTTTTATTAAGAGGGGCCTTTAACCCTCTCTGTCTTAGGAGAGACTCTTAACTCCCCTAAGTTGGGCCTCAAACTCAATCCCATCCTTTACCAGGGTATATGCACCCCACTTACCCAAAGTCAGACAATTGGTGGGCGCCGATGATTTTTCTTTGGGTTGGGGGTCTCCTTAGTATCGTCCCTTCCATGGTTCACCAGAAAGATGTTACCAGACTCCATCACTTACTGTAAGTTAGCCTTTGGGTGTGTGGGTGGGGGTTCTTCTCTATTGTCCCTCCGTGGTCACCAAAAAGATGTTACCAGAAAGGGTTCCTGATCCAGACCCCAAGAAAGGGTTCTGGGATCTTGTAGAAGAGAGAATTCAAGGCGAATCCATAAGGTAAAGTGAAAGCAAGTTTATTAAGAAAGTAAAGGAAGAAAAGAATGGCTACTCCATCGATGGAGCAGCCATGAGCAAATAATTTGAATAGACATAGCTCCAAAGAAGATATACAAATGGTCAGAAAGCACATTAAAAGATGTTCATTATTATTAGTCATTAGGAAAATGTAAATCCAAACTATGAGATATCACGTCACACTCACTAGAATGGCTATCATTAAAAAAACAAAACAAAACAAAACAAAACAGTCTGGGCGAGGTGGCTCAGGCCTGTAACCCCAGCACTTTGCGAGGACGAGATGGACCGATTGCTTGAGTCCAGGAGTTCGAGAACAACCTGGGCAACATGGCGAAACCCCATCTACACACACACACACACACACACACACACACACACAAATGGCTGGGTGTGATGGCATGCACCCGTGGTCCCAGCTACTCAGGAGGCTGAGGTGGGAGGACTGCTTGAACCCAGGAGGTGGAGGTTACAGTAAGCTGAGATCGAGCCACTGCACTCCAGCCTGGGCAACAGAGCAAGACTGTGTCCCCACCCCAAAAAAAACCATAGAAAATAATAAGTGTTGGTGTAGATGTGGAGAAATTGGAACCCTCATGCATGGTTGGTGTGAATGTAAAATGGTTTAGCGCCTTTGGAAAACAGTTTGACAGTTCCTAAAAGGGAAAACGTAGAGTTACCATATAACCCAGCAATTCCCATCCTGGGTATATACCCAAGAGAACTGAAAACATATGTTCACACAAAAACTTGTACACAAATGTTTGTAGCAGCATTATTCATAATAACCAAAAAGAGGAAACAACCCAAATGTTTGTCAGTTTATGGATGAATAAAGAAAATGTGATATAGCCATACAATGGAATTTTATTCAACCATAAAAAGGAATGAAGTATTGAGACATGCTACAACTTGGATCAACCTTCAAAACATATTAAGTTAAAGCCACCAGACTAAAAGGCCACATATTTTATAATTGCATGTATATATAATGTCCAGAATAGGCAAATGAGCTCATGAATTGGATGAACCAACATAGTAAAGGTGTGAATTGTCCCCAAGTTGATATATAGGTTGAGTGCAATTCCTACAGGAATGTAAGCAAAATATTTTGTAGGCATAAATAAGATTATTCTAAAATATATGCAAAGGCAAAGGAAGTAGAATAATAAAGCAATGTTGAAAAAAATCAACTCAGAGAAATCAGTCTGTCTGATTTTAAGGCTTATATGGCTGTAGTAATCAAGATTGTATGGTTTGGGAGAAAGGATATACAAATACATCAGGGGAACAGAATGCAAAACTCAGAAATACACCAAAAAAAAAAATATATCCATCTCTTTTTTTTTTTTTTTTGACAGAGTCTCACTCTGTCACCCAGGCTGGAGTGCAATGGTATAATTTTGGCTCACTGCAACCTCCGCCTCCCAGGTTCAAGTGATTCTCCTGCCTCAGCCTCCTGAGTAGCTGGGATTACAGGCGTGCACCAACATGTCTGGCTAATTTTTGTATGTTTAGTAGAGATGGAGTTTCACCATATTGGCCAGACTGGTCTCAAACTCCTGACCTCAAGTGATCCACCCACCTCGGCCTCCCAAAGTGCTGGGATTACAGGCATGAGCCACCACGCCCACAAGATACCCATCCAATTTTTGACAAAAGAACAAAAGCAATTCAATGGAAGAAAGCCTTTTCAAGAAATGCTGCTGCAGCAATCAGATGTCCATATGCAAAACAGCAAACCTTTTTTTCCAGCTTTATGAGATATAATTGACAAGTAAAAATTGAGCCAGGCGTGGTGGCTCACGCCTTTAATCCCAGCACTTTGGGAGGCTGACATGGGCAGATTGCCTGAGCTCAGGAGTTCAAGACCAGTCTGGGAAACATGGAGAAACCCCATCTCTACTAAAAACACAAAAAATTAGCTGGGTGTGGTGCCCCGTGCCTGTAATCCCAGCTACTCAGGAGGCTGAGGCACAAGAATCGCTTGAACCCAGGAGGCAGAGGATGCAGTGAGCTGAGATTGCACCACTTCACTCCAGCGTGGGTGACAGAGTGAGACTGTCTCAAAAAAAAATTGTATTTGTTTATGGTATACAACGTGATGTTTTGATATATGTGTACATTGCAATGCAATTACCAAAATCAAGTAAATGTATTTACCCATCCTTTACTCGACTACCGTTGCATGTGTGTGTGTTGAGAACATTTAAGAACTACTCTCAGCAAATTTCAAGTATACAATACAGTATTATTAACTATAGTCACCATGCTGTACAATAGCTGTCCAGAGCTTATTCATCCTGCATAACCGAAACTTGTACTCTTTGACCAATATCTCCCCATCCCTTCCTTGAGCCCTTGGTAACCACCATTCTATTCTCTGCTTTTATGAGCTCAACTTTTTAAAATGCTACATGTAAATGAGACCATGCATACTGTCTTTCTGTGCTTGGCTTGTTTCACTTAGCATAATGTCCTTCAGGTTCATCTATGTTGCTGTAAATGACAGGATTCCTTCTTTTTTTAAGGCCCTTCACTAGTCAGCCCATCCATAAATTCTGGGTGGGCTGTCTTGTGGGCTGTGAAGGCAGGCCTTTTGCTGGAGTCGTCAGGCAGGCTGGCCCAGTGCCTGAGTCCACAGGGACTAGCCTGGTGCCTGAGTCTGCAGGGGTGGGCTTGGAATCTAAGCCCTGGGGGCAGGCCTAGATCCTGTGTCTGCAGGGCCTGGCCTCAAGCCTGGGTTCATGGGGGCTGACCTGAAGCTGGGGAAGGCTTTGAGCCTGAGTCTCTGGAGATGGCCTGGTCCTGGGGCAGTCCTGGCCCCTCCCTGAGCTCACAGGGATAGGTTTGGACCTGAGTCCCAAAGGGGCTGGCCTGGTTCCTAGGTGCATGCAGAGAGGCCTGTTCATTGGTCTGCAGAGGCAAGTCTGGAGCCTGGATCCATGGAGGCAGGCCTGGACCCTGGGGCTGCTGGAGCTTGGGGCCATAGTAGGAAGTGGAATAGCCTATAAGCTGAGGCTGCAAAGGGCTGGCCTGGCACTGGGGCAGGCCTGGAGCCTAGGTTCTCAGGGGCCAACCTGGCACCAGGGCTCCCTGGAGCAGTCCAGTCCTGGGGTCCACAGCAAACTCAGATGCTCACTTCATTCTCCTTCCCTTTGTGGAGAGTATCTCTCTCAACACTGTACTGTCTGGGTTTGGGAGAGAGGTGACATGAATAATGTGAAACTGTCTGTCCTACTCTCTTCAATGTGCCTTTTAAATTTTCTGTGCTACACTCAGGTGCTCTAATCTCTCACCTGGATTCCTTAGCTCTTATGAAGGTATATTTTGCATGGGTAGTTGTTCAAATTGACATTTCTGTAAGGGGATGAACACCAAGGACTCTTCTTCTACCATGGATGTGTTCAAAAACATGAACCTTGATGTAAGTCTTATATCTTTTATAAAAAAGTAACTAAGTCTGGGCACGGTGGCTCACACCTGTAATCCCAGCACTTTAAGAGGCCGAGGCAGGCAGACAACCTGAGGTCAGGAGTTCGAGACCAGCCTGAACAACATGGCGAAATCCCGTCTCTACTAAAAGAATATATATATGTAAAAAATTAGCCGGGTGTGGTGACACGCACCTGTAATCCCAGCTACTTGGGAGGCTGAGGCTGGAGAATTGCTTGAACCTGGGAGGCAGAAGTTGCAGTGAGCCAAGATCATGCCACTTCACTCCAGCCTGGGCAACAGAGTGAGACTCTGTCTCAAGAAAAAAAAAATTAACTAAATACCAAACATGATGATAGGGAAAAAATTAACTAAAAATGTATCATAGATTTAAATATATAGTGTGGGCTGGGTGTGGTGGCTCATGTCTTTTAGGAAAAAAAGCAGGAGAAAATCTTCGAGATCTAGGGCTAGACACTGTTCTTACACTTGTGTAAGAACAAAAGCATGATGCATAAAAGAAAAAATTGATAAATTGGACTTCATAAAAATTAAACATTTTTTGTACTCTGAAAAACTGTGTTTAGAAAATTAAAAGACAAGGTACAGACTGAGAGAAATCACACATCCAACAAAGGACTAGTACCTAGAATATATAAAGAACTCTCAAAACTCAGTAGCAAAAATTAAAACCAAAAATGATTCACATAGAAAATGGGTAAAAAGTAGGAAAAGACATTTCACTGAAGCAGATATACTAATCCTCCATAAGCACATGAAATGCTGTTCAACATTAGGGACAACCACTAGGGAAATGCAAATTAAAACCAAAAGGAGGCTGGGCACGGTGGCTCACACCTGTAATCCCAGCAATTTGGCAGCCCGAGGCAGGCGGATCACCTGAGGTCAGGAGTTCCAGACCAGCCTGGCTAACATGGTGAAACCCCATCTCTACTAAAAATACAAAAATTAGCTGGGCGTGGTGGCACACACCTGTAATCCCAGCTCCTCGGGAGGCTGAGGCACGAGAATCACTTGAACTCTGGAGGTGGAGGCTGCAGTGAGCCAAGATCATGCCACAGGTCTCCAGCCTGGGCTACAGAGAGAGACTCCGTCTTAAAAAAAAAAAAAAAAGGAGATATCACTACATGACTAGCAAAATGACTAAAATAAAAAATAGTGCCAATACCAAATGCTGAAAATGATGCAGATAAACTGGATCACTCATTCATTGCTGTTGAGAATGCAAAATGGTACAGCCACTCTGAAAAATAGTTTGACAGTTTCTTAAAAACACTAAACATGCAATCATGCAATCACCATATGACCCAGCAACTGCACTACTGGGCATTTATGCCAGACAAATGAAAACTTGTATTCATACAAAAACCGCTACACAAATATTTGTAGCAGCTTTCTTTGTAGTAGCCCCAAATGTTAAACAACCCAAATGTCCTCCAAAAGGTAAATGGGTAAACAAACTGTGGTATATATCATGGAATACTACTCAGCAATAAAAAGAAACAAACTATCCACACATGCAACAACCTGGATGAATTACCAGAGAATTATGATGAGTGAATAAAGCCAATCTCAATAGGTTACATACTTTATGATTTCATGTGCATAACTTTCTGGAAATGACAACATTATAGAAATGGAGAACAGATTAGTGATTATCAGGAGTGAAGGGGGTGTGGGAGGAAAATGAGTGTAACTATAAAAAAGCAACAGGAGGGATTCTTGTGGTGATGGAAACTGGTGGGAACTGGGTAAAGGGTACATGGGGCCAGAGGAGGTGGCTCACACCTGTAATCCCAGCACTTTAGGAGGCCAAGGCAGGTGGATCACCTAAGGTCAGGAGTTTGAGACCAGCCTGACCAACATGATGAAATCCCATCTCTACTAAAAATACAGAAATTAGCTGGGTGTGTTGGCCCATGCCTGTAATCCCAGCTACTCAGGAGGCTGAGGCAGGAGAATCACTTGAACCTGGAAGGCGGAGGTTGCAGTGAGCTGAGATCGCACCATTGCATTCCAGCCTGGGTGACAAGAGTGAAACTCCATCTCAAAAAAAAAAAAAAAAAGACACACAGGATCACTCTATGTTATTTCTTACAACTGCATGTAAATGTGCAGTTATCTCAGAATTTAAAAGTTTAATTAAGAAAAACATCAAAATTGTTTGAAGAGTAAGGACTTCTCATTGTATGACTATCTGAAGCAAGCATTTTTTCTACGCCTTGGCGAATTGTCATGGTCATTTATTTATTTATTTATTATTTTGAGACAAGGTCTTGCTCTGCTGCCCAGGCTACAGTGCAGTGGCACAATCATAGCTCACTGCAGCCTTGAACTCCTGGGCTCCAGTGAACCTCCCACTTCAGCCTTCCAAGTAGCTAGGACTACAGGCATGCGGTACCATGCCTGGGTAATATTTTTTTTAATTTTTAAAAAAATTTTTGTAGAGACAGGGTCTTGCTCTGTCGCCCAGGCTGGAGTGCAGTGGCACAATCACAGTTCTCTGCAGCCTCAACCTTGTGGGTTCAAGAGATCCTCCTGCCTCAGCCTCCTGACTAGCTGGGACTACAGGTGCATGCCATCACACCTGGCTAATTTTGAAAATTTTTTTGTAAAGACAAGGTCTATGTTACCCAGGCTGCTCTTGAACTCTTGGGCTCAAGCAATCCTCCTGCCTCAGTCTCCCAAAGTGTTGGGATTACAGGCATGAGCCATCACACCCAGCCATCATGGTCCTTTCTAAGTTTGAATCCACTTTCAACATTTTATCCTCCGTGCTTTCGATATCACTAAATGTCTCCAAAAGTTCCTTTAATGTGGAGGGATTTTTCCCCCTGGCATTACTTCTTCTTGAGCATCTTCATTCCTTTCTCCACAATCACTTTCCTCATTTATGTTGATGAGTTTTTCTTCTTTAGGTTCATCTGGTTGCATATCTAGAGTCTTTGAAATGATGTCAACATTCCCATGATCAACAATTTATTCTGTGACTCCATATATATTGTATTCAAATTTCATTTCCAATATTCTTACTTTCTATTTCTTTGTTGCAACCTCGTCTATGTTGTCCAGTTTTCTCTCTTTTTAATTGATCTTTGTAAAATGTCACTTGTGTTTATCACTGAGATTCATGGAGTCAAAACATCTACATGCTTTGTTGTCTGTGCATGAACTGAATAACAGCTGCACAATGACCAATAGCTGGCAAGCTTTGAATGAAGTGATGTGATTGGCCACTGATCATGATGCATATCTGTTATTTATGTAGTTATCTGTGAACTGATGAGCTAGCAACAAACTCTGTACTTTATGTAATTACAGTTAATATACTATGGCAACTAAAATTTGAACTGTGTTGTTGGGGGACTGGTGTTAACCAAACTGTGTAACTGAAATTTGTGCATATTGAAACCAAGCAAAGTGAGCACTACCTGTAAACATGCTTTGCTTATTAGATTCTACCTTCAAGTGATTTATATTATGCAAGAACTTTACAATATTATACTTCCATTTCTTCCCTCCCAACATTTGTGCTATTTTCTCGTATATTTTATTTTGACATATGTTATAATCTCATAAAATATCAATCATTTTTGCTTTAGACAGTTGACTATCTTTGGAGATTTAAACAATAAGAATAAAGTCCTTATACCTACCCACATATTTACCATTTTCAGTGCTTTGCATTTCTTAGTGTAGATCCATATTTTTTATCTGGTATCAATACTGAAGGACTTCCTTTAACATTTCTTGTACTGCAGGCCTTCTAATGACTAATTCTTTCAGCTTTTGCATACCTGAAAAAGTCCTTATTTTGCTTTAGTTTTGCTGGGTGAAGAAGTCTAGGCTGAAAGTTTTTTTTTTTTTAACTTTCACTTCTTAAAAGATGTTCCAGCCAGGTGCGGTGGCTCATGCCTGTAATCCCAGCATTTTGGCAGGCCGAGGTTGGCAGATCACCTGAGGTCAGGAGTTTGAGACCAGCCTGGCCAACATGGCGAAACCCAGTCTCTACCAAAAATACAAAAATTAGCTGGGCGTGCTGGCACGCACCTGTAATCCCAGTTACTCAGGGGGCTGAGACAGCAGAATCGCTTGAACCCAGGAGGCAGAGGTTGCAGTGAGCTGAGATTGCACCACCGCACTCCAGCCTGGGCGACAGAGCAAGACTCCATCTCAAAAAAAAAAAAAAAAAAAGAAAAAAGATATTGCTCCACTGTCTTCTGGCTTGCATTTTTTCTGATGAGAAATGTCTGCCCTATGTATATAATGTGTTGTTTTTTCCTCTGGCTGCCTTGAGGTTTTCTCTATCACTGATTTTAAGCAATTTGATTATCATGGGCCTTGGTGTCATTTTCTTCATATTTATTGTGCTTGGGTTTGTTGATCTTCTTATTTTTTTTATTTTTAATTTTTTAGAGACAAGTCTCCCTCCGTCACTCAGGTTGGAATGCAGTGGCACAATCATGGCTTACTCCAACCTCAAACTACTGGGCTCAAGCAATCCTTCCAGCTCAGCCTCCTGAGTAGCTGGGACTACAGGCGTGTGCCACCACGCCTGGAAAATTTATTTTTATTTTTAATTTTTGTAGAGCTAGGGTCTTACTCTATTGCTCAGGCTGATCTCAAGTGATCTTCCTACTTCAGCCTCCCAAAATGCTGGGATTACAGGTGTGAGCCACCAAGCCAGCCTGATTTTAGTAATTTTTGAATGCACAGACTTAGCACACTACCTGATGTGTTGTAGATAAATGAATAGGTATTTTCTGAATCCAACCAAATGATTTAGTAAGGCAAATCAACTATATAAATGCATCTATTTGGATTTTCAAATATTTTAATCTGTTAAACAAATATAACTTCACCTACGAGTAGCACCTTTTTCTGTGGGCTCTTACTCTCACTCAATCCCCTCCTAACTCCTGCCTTCCACTTTAAGCTCCAGTAAATCTGAAATAGTTTAAGACTTCTAACCCGTCAAGGCCAGGTGCAGTGGCTCACACCTGTAATCTCTGGACTTTGGGAGGCCGAGGCGGGCAGATCATGAGGTCAGGAGATTGAGACCATCCTGGCTAACACGGTGAAACCTCGTCTCTACTAAAAATACAAAAAATTAGCTGGACGTGGTAGCACATGCCTGTAATCCCAGCTACTCAGGAGGCTGAGGTACAAGAATCACTTGAGCCTGGGAGGCGGAGGTTGCAGTGAGCAGGGATCACGCTACTGTACTCCAGCCTGGGTGACAGAGCGAGAGAGTGAGACTCTGTCTCAAAAAAAAAAAAAAAAAGATTTCTAACCTGTCATGCTGTTTGCTGTTTCGTACTTCTGTGCCTTTACACGTGCTATTCCTTCTGCGTTTACCACCTTTGTATATGTGAACTACTATTCATCTTTCAAGACCCAGCTCAGATGATTCAACTTCCAAGGGGCTTGAGATTTCCTTGACTCAAGCCCCTTTCCCATCTGATGGACCACTCCTTCCTCTGAGCCCTCCTTAATTTGTGCATACACCCATCACTGCATTTATTACATTTGCCTATTTAAATACTTCTAGCTTTCAGTCCAATTCCAGGCACATTGAGGTGCTCAGCAAATGTTACTTGAATAAGCAGGAATTTGGAGAAATTTTTTAAAAGGAATACAGAAATTAAGAGAAAGTGATATGGGGGAGGCTGCCTTCAGTTGTTTTTAAATCGAATTTGTATTGAGGTATGCAAATAAACAAAGAAATAAAAAAGTCCGAAACTTAAGTGTACATTTCCATGATTTTTCACAAAGTAAACAAATCCACATAACCATGCCCACATCAAGAAATAGAACATTACCGGCCAGCCGTGGTGGCTCATGCCTGTAATCCCAGCACTTTGGGAGGCAGAGGCGGGTGGATCACTTGAGGTCAGGAGTTCGAGACCAGCCTGGCCAACATGGTGAAACCACGTCTCTACTAAAAATACAAAACTTAGCTGGACGTGGTGGTGCACGCCTGTAGTCCCAGCTACTCGGGAGGCTGAGGCATGAGAATCGCTTGAACCCAGGAGGCGGAGGAGGCTGCAGTGAGCCGAGATGGTGCCACTGCACTCCAGCCTGGGTGACAGAGCGAGACCCTGTCTCAAAAAAAAAAAAAAGCCAAAAGAAATAGAACATTACCATAACCCCTAAACCTGCCTTGTACTCTTTTCCAGTTACTACCCACCCCACCACAAGATAACCTTTATTACGACTTCTAACATCGGGGTAAAATTTTTTTTATTTTTATTTATTTATTTATTTTGAGACGGAGTTTCACTCTCGTTGCCCAGGCTGGATTGCAATGGCGCGATCTCGGCTCACCGCAACCTCTGCCTCCCGTGTTCAAGCAATTCTCCTGCCTCACCCTCCCGAGTAGCTGGGATTAGAGTCATGCACCACCACACCTGGCTAATTTTGTATTTTTAGTACAGACGGGGTTTCTCCATGTTGAGGCTGGTCTCGAACTCCTGACCTCAGGTGATCCGCCCACCTCGGCCTCCCAAAGTGCTGGGATTACAGGCATGAGCCACCGCACCCGGCCCCCATCAGGAGTAAATTTGTATCACAACTTCTATATTATAGGCAAGACTAGATCAAAATTTGTTACTTACAGAAGACTACTATTACTAACAGTTAAGACCTGTTGAGTACTTTCTATTTACCAAGCACTGTTCAAATTGCTTTACACGTAGTAACTAATTTATCCTTACAGCCACCCTGTGAAGTAGGTATTATAATTACTCCCGATTTATTCAGGAAGAACCTAGGATACAGAGAAGCTAAGCAGATTGCTCAAGAACATATATCAGTTAAATAGTGGAGCTGGTATTTGTACCCAGATAGTTTCCAGAGTTTGTGTGATGCAATGTATAAACATCATCAAACTGCATCTTAGCAAAATATGGCATGAATAGTTTGAAAACTATTACTATTCATCACCTGCTGTTAGAAAACGTGAATGTCAGAACAAGACATAGCTGGGATATAAGGTCTCCCTGACACTAGTGGTCAGATGCTCTCTTATGTGTCAATGCTGCATAGTCATTGAAAGACTCCAAAGCCAGACCTTCCTGAGTTCAAACCCCAGCTCCACTTACTAATTGTGTGACATTAGGCAGGTTACTTAATCTCCGTGTGCTTCAGTTTTCTCATCTGTAAAATATAGGAACAGAGAAATGAAGAGAAAGTGATATAAGGGAGGCTGTAATAATAGTACCTACATCATAAGATTGTTGTGAAGATTAAATGAAACACTCCTGGCACATGGTATGAGCTCAACTCATTAATCCATTCATCCATTCATTCATTAACTGTTCAGTGCCTACCATGTGCCGAGCAGTCTGCTTGGTGCTTAGTATATATCAGTGAACGAATCAAAGATCCCTGCCCTCTTGGAGCTTATAGTGTAGGGCAGACTGGAGGCAAGGGGTGCAGGAAGAACAGAAGATAACATAATGGAGTATGTTAGAAAATAAGTGCTATATTAAAAAAATTAGAGCATGGTAAAGAATAGTGGGAGTGCTGGAGAGGCTATAAGTTAGCAGTAGGTGTCACCAAGAAGCTAGGATTTGAACAAAGATTTGAGGGAGGTAAGGAAGTAAGATATGTGGATGTCTTGGGAAAGAGCATTCAAGGCAAAGGGAACAGGTTGAGCAAAGCCCCTAATGGTGGGAGGGTGCCTGTGTATTCTCCGAACAATAAGGCAGCCACTGTTATTGAGTGGTACCAGCAAGGGTCAAAGGAGTAGGAGAGATCAGAGAGGTATTGTGGGTATGGGTGTGGAGTTAGAGGGTTCTTGATGCAAATCCCATAGAGCCTATTACAAAGGCTTTGGCTTTTACTGTAAATCAAATAGAGAGCCTTTGTAGGCTTTTGAGCAGAGTTGTAACATGATTTGACTTAGTGTTTTGTAATGGTCTCTCTGGATACTGTGCTGAGAATAGACGCTGGGCAGGTGTTGTGGGTTGAATTGTGTCCCCCCAAAAGATATGTTCAAATCCTAACCCCCAATACCTATTAACGTGACCTTATTTAGAAATAGGGTCTTTACAGGGCCGGGCTCGGTGGCTCTCGCCTGTAATCCCAGCACTTTAGGAGGCTGAGGCAGGTGGATCATGAGGTCAGGAGTTCGAGACCAGCCTGACCAACATGGTGAAACCCCGTCTCTACTAAAAATTCAAAAATTAGCCCGGCGTGGTGGTGCGTGCCTGTAATCCCAGCTACTCAGGAGGCTGCGGCAGGAGAATCACTTGAACCTGGGAGGCGGAGGTTGCAGTGAGCTGAGATCGTGCCACTGCACTCCAGCCTGGGCAACAGAGAGTGAGACTCTGTCAAAAAAGAAAGAAAGAAAGAAGGAAAGAAAGAAAAAGAAAGAAAGAAAGAGAGAGAGAGAGAGAGAGAGAGAGAGAGAGAGAGAGAGAGAGAAAGAAAGAAAGAAAGAAAGAAAGAAAGAAAGAAAGAAAGAAAGAAAGAAAGAAAGAAAGAGAAAGAAAGGGGGTCTTTACAGATGCAATCAAGTTAAGATGAGGTCATATTGGATTAGGGTGGGCCCTAGGCCAACAACTGGCATGCTTATAAGAGGAGGAGAATTTGGGCACACAGACACACACAGAAGGAGGATGGCCATGTGAAGACACACAGACACATAGGGAGAAGACCATGGGAAGACGGAGGCAGAGATTGGAGTGATGCATCTGCAAGCCGTGCAGGGTTGAGGATTGCTGGCAACCACCAGAAGCTAGGAGAGACAGATTCTCACTCAGAGCCTCTAGAAGGAACCCACTTCAAACCACCTTAGTTTTGGGCTTCTAGGCCTCCAGAACTGTGAAAGAATAAGTGTCTGTTGCTTTAAGCCACCCAGTTTGTGATACTTCATTATGGCAGCTGTAGGAAAAGAATACAGCGGGCAAGTGTAGAAGCAGGAGGCTATTGCAAGGTCCAGTCAAAAGATGATGAGGGCCAGAGGAGGGGTGGTAAAGGCGGAAATGGTGAGAAGCTGTCAGATTCTGCTCTGTTGCCCAGGCTGGAGAAGCTGTCAGATATTAGGAAGGTACGGCCAACAGAATTTGCTGATGTATAGGATGTGGGGTGTGATAAATGTTAGCTATTATTATTATCTGCACAAATAGTTTATCCACATATAATATATGCTTATAGGCCAGGTGCAGTGGCTCACGTCTGTAATCTGAGCACTTTGGGAGGCTGAGGCGGGTGGATCACCTGAGGTCAGGAGTTTGAGACCAGCCTGGCCAACGTGGTAAAACCCCGTCTCTACTAAAAATACAAAAAATTAGACAGGTGTGGTGGCACACGCTTAAATCCCAGCTTCTTGAGAGGCTGAGGCAGGAGAACCGCTTGAACCCGGGAGGCAGAAGTTGCAGTGAGTTGAGATCACGCCACTGCACTTCAGCCTTGGCGACAGAGTGAGACCCCGTCGCAAAAAAAAAAAAAATATATATATATATAATTATATATATATATAATATTATATATATATATACACATACTTATAAATGTATATGTTTTCATTGCCCCAAATAGCCCAGGTTTGAGGCTACTGAAACTAGGATCATTTTCCAGGGCAATCAAAAGTAGCCTATTTTGCTGCATGATCCAAGAAAAAAATCACATTACTTCTCTGAGTCTCAGTCTCCCACGTGGTGAAATGAGAAGGTTGGGCTCCATTGTATGACTGTATAATTCTATTAATACAATATCAAGTGCTTTGTTGCCTTAGTATTGGTAAATCTTCCAGAGGATAGTAAACGTTTTCTGACTTACATATTTGAAAACCTATCTCCAAGTCTGCAGTAGCTTTGAATAACAAAACTCTCTGTCCTAATCGTTGTTGATCCTCTGCCATTTGATACCGATGGTACAAGGAGTGACCCACCATATTTAAAAAGATAATTACGGCAAGACCAAGGTAATCTTTGTGCCTTTTATTCACGAATATGGGGGTGGTGTGGAGTTGCTTGGTGAGAATCTGAAACTCTACCTGAAATAAAGGTTTGGAATTCTGGGTCTCAAGATTTCTGACTCCATTTTCCAGAACACACCCTGAATTATCACCATCAGTGTGTTTGTATTTATATTTTAGGAAAGTGATGAATGTATAAGGCAATATAATAATAAGAATAGCAAACAGTTGTATAGGATTTATTCTGTGTCAAGTACCGTTCTAAGGGTCTTAAAAACATTAACTCACTTGATCCTCACAACACTCATGAGTTAAGTCCAATTAGTATTCCCATTGTACAAATGAGGAAAGTGAGGCACGGAGCAATTAAGAAAGATTCCTTTATTATAAGGGATCTTACCTCCAGCAGAAATAAATGGGATCCTTTTAAAATAATTAAAACAAATGATAGGCCAGGTGCGGTGACTCATGGCTGTAATCCCAGCACTTTGGGAGGCCAAGGCGGGCGGATCACTTGAGGTCAGGAGTTCAAGTTCAGCCTGGCCAACATGGAGAAACCCTTTCTCTACTAAAAATTAAAAAATTTAAAAATGAGCCAGGCATGGTGGTGCGGGCCTGTAGTCCTAGCTACTCTGGAGGCTGGGGCAGGAGAATCACTTGAACCGGGAAGGCAGAGGTTGCAGTGAGCTGAGATCGCACCACTGCACTCTAGCCTGGGTCTGCACTCCAGACTCTGTCTCAAAAAAAAAAAAAATACATGGAAGATGCACGGCAATTTGGAGACTCAACGTCAAGGAAAGAAGTTCTGTCAGAATCCCACAAATTAATTCTGAAGGAGTCAGTCAATAATAAAACACACATTGACATTAGGACTCTTCCTACCTCCAACCCTTGTTGACTTTGGTTCTCTAAGGAGGAAAAAGGTGATTGAGAACTAGGCCTCAGGGCACCTGGAAGAAGCTTTGCCAGCTCTCAAACACCTGTTACATCCGGTTCCCAAGAAGTTTTGAAGCTTTGAAATGTATCCTGGTATTGTTCCTAAGTCACTCCCTTGCTAGGTCCTTGATAAATTAGACTGGCACGTTTAAAAAATTCTTAAACCTCCTTTCACTTGAGATCCCAAAGCCAATATTTCCTTTCACCCTAATGCTTCCTAGAAAATACTAGCTTTCCTAAGAATCACTCTTGTTACTATTTCAGACACCCCAGACCCACGGTTTCAGGTCCCACAGCCTGGGTCAAGTCCATCGTGGTGATGGAAGAATTAGTACTGGGCAACCAGGCTAATCAAAATCTGAGAAGATATTTATTTATTTATTTATTTAGAGATGGAGTCTCACTCTGTCACCCAGGCTGGAGAGCAGTGGTGCAATCTCGGCTCACTGCAACCTCCGCCTCCCAGGGTCAAGTGATTCTCATGCCTCAGCCTCCCGAGTAGCTGTGACTACAGATGTGTGCCACCACACCAGGCTAATTTTTTGGTAATTTTTAGTAGAGATGAGGTTTCACCATGTTGGCCAGGCTGGTCTCGAACCCCTGACCTCAGGTGATCCACCCACCTCGGCCTCCCAAATTGCTGGGATTACAGGCATGAGCCACCGCGCCCGGCCTATTTATTTATTTTTTGAGATGGAGTCTCGCTCTGTCACCCAGGCTGGAGTGCAGTGGCATGATCTCAGCTCACGCCTCCCAGGTTCCAGCAATTCACCTGCCTTAGCCTCCCGAGTAGCTGGGACTACAGGTGTGCACCACCACGCCAGGCTAATTTTTGTGCTTTTAGTAGAAATGGGTTTCAGCATGTTGGCCAGGCTGGTCTCAAACTCCTGACCTCAGGTAATCCGCCCACCTCGGCCTCCCAAAGTGCTGGGATTACAGGTGTGAGCCACTGCGCCTGGCCTAAGTCTAAGAAGATCATTTATTGATTCAACAAAATACAATGTTTAAAATCTATAACACAGTGAAAAGCATGGGCTTGTCACCCAACCAAATCCTGGAAGTTGTGAGCAAACTTTGAAGTAGGAAGACAGTACTTTGGGGACAAATAAAAGGAAACAATTTCACACTGTCAGTAGTGTGGAACTAGTTGCCCCCAATGGGTTTTAAATTCAAGTAGGGTGCAAGAGTGGTTTAGAGAAATTCCTGAGTGGCAAATGAGGAAACCATGGGCTCTCTGAGATACAAGCCCAGTCTTCCGTAGGGGCATAGCCACGGCACAATGCTCTCCTGACCTAACGTCCTTAAAACCTTGGTCAGAAGTCAGACCATTGTGCTAATGCGTGAGGGTGTGCGTGGGGATGGAGGGTGGGGTGGAACTCCTGCATAGTTAGCAACCCTGCACCAAATCCTGGCAACCTTCCAGAGCAAACCCTCCACCATGTCATGCTAATAACAGCAGACCTAGGAACTGACCCTATGCCACGCCGTCTGGACCCGCATACAGTCATAGTGTCCAGGTGGCTTTGTGAGTCACCCAGACCCTCCGAAATAATCCCACTGCGGGTGGGGCTGCCTTGCAGTTTCTGGCCCCTTCCCACCCTGACTCAGCTTTCCTTCCACGAGCTCCTATTTCTTGCCGGGCAGAAGCCGCCGCGGTACCCGCTTCACCGGGCATGCTCAGTCCTCCGGCCAGGCTTTGACTGCGGGACGCCAGCGTCCGGCCCCCTGCGCGCGTCCGGAGTCCGGGTCCCTTTAAATCGGGCAGGCTCGTTGCTAGGCAACCGCGCGGCCCGCGCTGGCGCTGCACTGCGGTGGCTCAGCCCGGAGCCGGCCCGGCGGGGTCGCGGTGGCCAGAGCCGAACGGGGGGCTGCCGCGCGCGGGTGGTGGTTGTCTTTGAGGAAGAGAGGTTCGGGCTCTCCAGACGGCATCCACGCTTCCAGGTATGTCTGCGGACGGGAAAGCCCGGGCTCCCCCGGGCTCGCCCCTCTTCTTCCCGGACACAGGGGGCGAAGGGGCGGGGAGCCAGGGGCAGGCGCCCAGGTCCGCACCCCAACCCCCACTGCAAGTTATTTCTGTCCTTAGAGCCCCAGGCCGGGGCTGGAGAGCGTTTGGGAGGGAAAGGACCAGGACGTGGGAGTGGCAGTGCGGAAAGAGGAGTGGGGTCAGGCCTCTCCCGCCGCCCGCCAGCGACTAGGTCGGGACTGGGGAGGTGGAAAGTGTCACCTGCAATGGGGACCGAAGCAGCGCCCCGACCCCGAGCCACCTTCTCTCCTCGGGAGGCAACGATGGCAGGAGTTTCAGTTAACAATTTACAGAGAAAACTCCCAAACTATGCATACAAAGATACAGCTTTGTAGCAAGAATGTGACTCTCATACTAATAAAGTCTCAGCCTTCGGAATTAAGGTGACTCCCCGTATCTTTTCTTCTAGAAGGAATAACTTCACACTAATAACAAAGAACTGGGGAGTAATAAGCATTCACGGGGCCCAGTTTTCAATGGTACTTTTCTTCCCCCTCAATAGCTGCCAAGCAATAGAGAAGACAATTTGTCCCGGGAAGTGGACACTTTGGCCCATATATTAGGACCCTGACAGATGAAGGCAAAAATCAGGATGACTTCCCTTTTCGATGTTTTTTTGTTTGTTTGTTTCAAATTAACTACACTCTGAGGGAGGGAGGCAAGGCCTGGGCTCCAGCCTTTTGCTAATGCGGTTCCTGGCGTGCTCATTAACAACAAGCCAGGGTGGCTCCTTTGCTCAATAGGTGCTAAAAGTGAGGAGGTACTGTGTTGAATAAAATTTCCTCATGATTCTTGTCCCATTTGATATCTGTATGGCTTGGGGAAGGAAGACTTAGTGGCATAATAGTTGGGGAAATGGGTTGACAAAAAGAGAAATTACCTCTTAGTGTCTGGTATCACATTTCAGATAGACCAAATGACATTCTAAATATATCACTTGTCTTTTTTTTTTTTTTTTTTTTTTTGAGGCGGAGTCTTGCTCTGTTGCCCAGGCTGGAGTGCAGTGGCGCAATTTCGGCTCACTGCAACCTTCCCCTCCCTGGTTCAAGCGATTCTCCTGCCTCAGCCGCCTGAGTAGCTGGGATTACAGGCGCGTGCCACCACGCCCGGCTAATTTTTGTATTTTTAGTAGAGACGGGGTTTTGCCATGTTGGTCAGGCTGGTCTCAAACTCCTGACCTTGTGATCCGCCCGCCTCAGCCTCCCAAAGTGCTGGGATTACAGGCGTGAGCCACCGCGCCTGGCCATCACTTGTCATTTTAATCTACATCTCAGATATAAACACGGGTTTGGGCATTCTGGTTAAATGTATTTCCTGATTACAGGGAGGGAGGCGGAATTTTCTTTTTTCCAGTTCAAACTGGAGAAGGAGGGCAGAGATATCCAGTAGACAGAAGATCTTGGACCCCAGGAAGTGTAAGTACAGTCGTGTTAGCTGTTATCTTTTTGGGGTGTTTAGAAGCACAGAGCCTTACGCAACATAACTCTTCAGCCTTGTAATTGATCGTCTGCATTGTCAGTAAGCTCTCAGGAAGGCCTCATAAAAATACAAAGGAAAAGTGTCCTGAAGACTTCAGCTAAGCCAAATAAACTTCAAGGGAAAAATAAAAGTGCTTTCTCTAAAATACCATCCCCCAAAACTTTTTAAGCCAGAGGAGAAATTATGTCAAAAAAAATTTTTTTTAAACTAAATTAGAATCAAAGCATTGTAGAGATTTCAGGAAGAATATTAAGGATCATTCATTAAACAAATATTTATTCAGGGCTACTATGTGTCAGGTAACAATGCCAGGCCATCATAGCATATTTGTATAATAAAGGTCTGTGTGAAATGCCACAGAAGCACAGGAACAATTCAGAGTGCAAAATCATCCTTGCTAATCTTCAAACGAATACTCCTGTATTTCTGAGAAGTTATTGGTGCCTCTGAAATACAGTGGGACATTTGGAAAACTCTTGGTAAAGCAATTGGTGATTTTAAATTGCCAATATATTAGGGTGTAGAAAAGACTACCACTTTTTTGCTTAGATAAAATCAATTCAGCTTCAGAAATTTGGGGACATCAACAACTAACTTACAGAAGTTAGGGATAATTTTTCCCTGAAGATGCAGATTAAATTAATCTGAGATTGGAGTTTAGGCTTCCTTATATTTATTTTAATAGTGCCTACTTTTTTTTTCAAACTAACTTTTTCTGAGGTCTGATGACTTCCGGCTGGCCACTTTGGAGTACATATCTCTGGAGAAAGTTTAGGTTGTTTAACTGGCTGGTTTATGTTCAAAGGGAGGGTAAGGAAAACCTGAAAATGAACAAAACCCATTGTTTACAGTACACTTTAAAAGTTGCTTTCATTTCCATTTTCATTCATTTTTCTTAATCACCTGTGAAACAGGTATATTGTCCCTATTTTACACCTGAAGAATCTGAGGCTTGCAGTTCTAAAATGTGGGGGCCAAGATATCTGACTCCTTCAGTCTTTTTTCCACCATAGTCCACACTCAGTTCCTTTCTCAGGAACTTCCTTTTCCTTCTTCCCCACAATGTTGCATGGTAAAACATATTGATCCATCTTAACTTCAGACAGTTCATTTGGGTCCTTCTTTTGGTATTTAATGGTTTTCTGCAAGTCAGTGAAAAAGGGTGGAGAATGGGGAATCTCCCCTATAGGGGGCAGGTCAGAATCTTCTAAGGAAAGAGGGTAATGATGGGAGTGTTTTTGTGTCTGGAAACAGTGGAAGCAGGAAAAAGAGAGAAAAAAAAGGTTGAGAACCACTGCTCTGAAGTGAGAATAAATTGGACAGTTGAGAAGGAAGCAAACCTAGTGATTTCCTTTGTAACAGATTTTTTTCCTATTTTGGTGGAGCAGTTTTTCTAAGAGTCCAGAGAACAGACCATCCAAGAATAAGGGGAGAAAGTTCTTTATGTTAAGAGGAGCCCTTTGTCTTCACCTTACTGCCCCTAGGCAGTGACTAAAAGCCATGCCCCTTGTTGAGAGCTACTAAGCGACTGAGGATAATGACAGGTTACTCAACACGGGTTGGAGATGACCTTTTCCAACCATCATTCCCAGTTTACAAAGTTTGAGAGGAAGGACCCTTGTGAGATGGGAAAGAGCCTTTGGCATTCTTCCAGAACTGTTTTCCAGTCCCTACCTACTCTGCCTGGAAGAATAATGGAATTTTGCAGGCAGATCTAAATTTGTGAAGAGAGATGGTCCTGAAAATTTGAAACCAAATTCTTTTTTTTTTTTTTTTTTTTTTTTTTTTTTTTTTTAGGAGACAGAGTGTCGCTCTGTTTCCCAGGCTGGAGTGCAGTGGCATGATCATAGCTCACTTCAGCCTCAACCCCCTGAGCTCAAGCAATCCTCCCACCTGAGTAGTTAGGACTACAGGCATATGCCACCACACCTATCTAATTTTGTTTTTAATTTTTGTAGACACGCATCTCACTATGTTGCCCAGGCTGGTTTTGAACTCCTGACATCAAGTTATCCTTCCGCCTCTGCCTCCCAAAGCACTGGGATTACAGATGTGAGCCACTGTGCCCGTGTAAATGGGATAAGGCAACAGAAAAAAAAAATTGATTTATGTCATCAAATTTCCCTAAAGCCTGTGATTTAAAATATGAATATTTTAGAAAACAAATAATTAAATTTCACATCCGCTTTAATATGATTATACTCTCTGGGGCCCCAGCTGAAAAATGAAACTGAGATGGTTTGTGGATTTCTCCTTTCAGAGTAAACAGTAGTGTATTATTTTATGGAGCTATTTGAGAATAGATGTGCATTCCTCTAAGATTTTTATGGAACAGTGCACCTATAGGTCCATTGTAAATGACTGTTCTTTGCTTAGCTCTCAACATTTATGTTACATCATGTTATATATAAATTCATATTCAATTTATTTTATCAGTGGTTCTCAAATTCTTTAGGTGAATACAAACCACTTTCATGAGACAAGAGATCTCTCACTCCACAAAAATGTCCTATTACTTTGCCACTGCAAAAAAAAAAGTCACCTGAGGATAAATGATGATGTTTTCAGTGAGACACTAACTAGAACCATCAGGAATCCATTATTAATTCATGTCAGACACAAATGAATAGATGTAGTCATATTGTAGACACATACGCCTTAACAGTGCAGTCCTAAGGGCTTCTGGGGGATTGCTATCTTAGAGGACTACTTGTCCTATGACTTTGTATTGTTTTCCTGTCTGTGTTCTAGATTATTTGCTTCTAAAGAAACCAGTTTTTCATCCCCATTGGGCCTCCTTCCCCTACCCTTCTGACCTTCAGTATCCAGTGTAGTGTTGGGTAGGCACTTATATTAATAAATGTCCACAACTGACCCACTAACAGGCATGCCTACACTTTCAATAATGGCTTCTGGTTTGGTTTGCCTTATGCTGGAACAAATTACCTAGTCAAGTTTATTGAGAACAAAATGGCTACCAGGCCAGGGTAGAGGAGTGTCATTGCCTTAAAGCATATTCCTTGTTCTTGCCAGAGAATACTAATGCCATACTCGTTCTGCATAAAAAAACAAACAGTACAATTTGTGAAGAGAAAATGAGACTGGCAGCTTTTACCCCGAGTCTGGGATTTGCCACATTCTGTGACTAGATTTGGGAACAAGCCCTTAAAGGATATCTTGCCAATGAAAGAGAGAAGAAAAAAAAAAGAGCAGCTCAGAGACTGCTTGACCCTGCCCTGTGTAAGCCATGGGAGGGAAATTCCAAAAGGCTTTTCAAACCTTTCTCTTTCTGTTCTTTGAAATGTGACATGCAGTTCTCCTTACCCTCCCCCCTTCACTTTTCCTCTCTTCTTTTGTGGCCTTTTAAAAGATACCTAAGCTCTGAAAATAGTGAGTTGTTTTCTTTCAATATGGGGAATGAAACCTAGCAGATGAATAAAGAAGAATTTTAGAACAAGCACTGACCTGAGAGACAGGGTCCTCAGTTTTACTACTATGGGCTGTGTGGCCTTGGTCAAGTCACTTAACTTCTCTGGGCCTTAGTCATAAATGGGCTCTTCCCATTTCAGTAGCTATATAGGCTTCACTGAAAGGCATTTCCTTTCAGACACCAGGAAATTATACAGAGGCTCAGGGAAGAGAGACAGTGAAAATTAAAAAGTGTGTGTGTGTGTGTGTGTGTGCATGTGTGCATATGTGTATGTGTTTTGCCAGAGATTTATGGGATGGTTGGATGTAGAAGTAACTTTTTCAAGGAGCAAAATTATTAATGAAAAGAGTTTTTTATTTTAACCTTTATCCATACCCAGACCTCTATCTCAGATAGAGATATTCTTGCTATCTCCAGATATAAAGTGTCCACACTTTACTTGCCCCTGTGCTCACCTCCTTCCTAATCAATCCCACCAATGCCCTTCATCCAGAATTAAGTAAGAGGAATAGTAATCTCTCTGCCATTGCTACCTGATTAGAAGCATTTTTATCATCTATATAATTGTTGGGTAAAAATTTGACTGCTAAAAAATGTGACTGGCAATTAACATCACCCTCTTTTCTCCTCTCTCTGTTCCTTTCCTCTATGATTGCTGTAATAATTCCTACTGATTTGCATTCATATTTCTAGAGATGAGGGAAACCAAGATAATGATATTTCCCTTTAAGAACAGATCAATCAATGATGCTTCTGGATGGTGACTCGTGGAATAATGAAAGTCAGAAAGAACTGTTTCAAAAGAAAGAAGATGATGCTCCAATGGCAAATATATATTGTGAATTTAAAGTCTGAGTTTATCATTGTGGTCTGATTGACCTCAAGAAAGCTTGGCTTCTGGCTTTTGGACCAATCATTTTAGTACCTTCACTGAACTCTCCAAATAGTTCATCTTAAGAATATATGTACCTTCTCCTTTCCTCAAAGCCAAGTAGTTGCCAGTAGGGATGTACTCTTGGGGATGGTGAGTCCCTTCCATCTTTTGTGGGGAAAAGGGGAGAGGAGAGGTATGTTCAGTACCTGTAGGTATCAAGTTTATTCCTTCATTGCTCATAGTAAGGAAAACCTGTGTTATTTAAAAATAAACTACTGTTTGTAAAAAGAAAAGAGAAGATAATACACCAAAAAGTAGTTATCTCAGGGCCATGAGATTATGAAGGAGATTCCTTCTGTTTTCTGTGCTTTTCTCTGTTCTCCAAAATTGTTATAATAATCAAAGAAAATATTAATTAAGAAATAAATGCAACATTTGCCATTTCTCATTACCAGCAGAAAATTACATTTGAGTGCATAGATAAAAGAGATGCAGGCATACTTTGATTTTTCTACATGGTGATACTACAAATATGTTTTGGTGAATTAATATATAAAATGAATAAAGTGACCCTCTCCTTCTTCTCCTCACCCTTTAGGGCTAACTTCAGCTACCAGTTGGTGGCTTCAGGTGCCAGTGGCCCTCCACATACTGCTCTGGTTCTTCTTTCTCCCTTCCCTCAGAAGTAGTCACTTATCAAATATTTCAGTGCTGTGGGAAAGCTGTACATTAAGGATGTACAGCTTTGGGTAGGGAAGACTCTTTTTGGAACAAAATAATCATCCTCATATTTTTATAAACTTGGAAAGTTGGTTGTGATTTAGTATGCTGAATTTTCACCTAAAAACTACACTCAGAGTCAGTATCTTGAGAAAAACACATTTGGTGGCATTAATATTTTCAATTGTTGACATTAGATTCTCCTCATGAAATTGCTGTCAAAATGGATAGAATTCTGTACACTTGGCAGTCTTGCCTAAAAGCAAAGCCCAAGACTGGAATAGCAGGAATTTATAGGTCAAGACAGAAGGGCATTTGGCAGAGTTAGTCATAAGGAAGTCTGCATGGTATACTTTACCAAAAGCAGCTCACATTTCATTAAGCCCTGATGTTTTAGTCACTTTAAAGAATGAATTAACAATAGTCCAATCCAAAAGAACTAGAAAGGCATCAGACACATTGAAAGCACAGGTATTACCAACATTAACCTATTAATTTCAAATCACTTTTTTTTATTTTAAAGCAGTCTGTTTTTATGTGTACAGTTGTTTTCTTATAGAATCACTTTCTCTGTGTACAGTAAGTAGCTAAATGTGTCAGTTTACTAGTTCTATTTCATAGGATGAGAGACTTTTAAAGCTGGAAGCATCTGTAGAACTTAGCTCTTTCAGCCCTTTCCATTTATAAATGAGGGGACTGAGGCCCAAGCCATTCAGTGAGTTAGAGAGAGAGCCAGCCCTCAAATGTTTAGATTCTTCACCCGTGAGCCAGCATTTTTATTTCTTTCTACTATATTAGCTACTAGTGTAAATAATGTGCCTGCCTTGGTTTTAAATTTTGTTTTTCAGATATTGGAAGAGGTGCCTGGAGAAATGGATGCTAGAAGAAAACACTGGAAGGAGAATATGTTTACTCCTTTTTTTAGTGCACAAGATGTTCTAGAAGAGACTTCTGAGCCTGAATCTTCTTCTGAACAAACGACTGCAGATAGCAGCAAGGGAATGGAAGAAATTTATAATTTGTCCAGTAGAAAGTTTCAGGAAGAAAGTAAATTTAAGAGGAAAAAATATATTTTCCAACTAAATGAAATAGAACAAGAACAAAATTTAAGAGAGAACAAGAGAAACATTTCAAAGAATGAAACAGACACAAATTCTGCATCCTATGAATCATCTAATGTGGATGTTACAACAGAAGAAAGCTTTAACAGCACAGAAGATAACTCTACCTGCAGTACAGATAACTTACCAGCTCTACTAAGACAAGACATAAGAAAGAAATTTATGGAAAGAATGTCTCCAAAACTTTGCCTGAATCTTTTGAATGAAGAACTGGAAGAACTTAATATGAAATACAGAAAAATAGAAGAGGAATTTGAAAATGCTGAAAAAGAACTTTTGCACTACAAAAAAGAAATATTCACAAAACCCCTAAATTTTCAAGAAACAGAGACGGATGCTTCAAAAAGTGACTATGAACTTCAAGCTTTAAGAAATGACCTGTCTGAAAAAGCAACAAATGTAAAAAACTTAAGTGAACAGCTCCAGCAAGCCAAAGAAGTCATCCACAAATTGAACCTAGAGAACAGAAATTTAAAAGAAGCTGTTAGGAAGTTAAAGCATCAAACCGAGGTTGGAAATGTGCTCCTAAAAGAAGAAATGAAATCATATTATGAATTAGAAATGGCAAAGATCCGCGGAGAGCTCAGTGTCATCAAGAATGAACTGAGAACTGAGAAGACCCTACAAGCAAGAAATAACAGAGCCTTGGAGTTGCTTAGAAAATACTATGCTTCTTCAATGGTAACATCATCAAGTATCCTTGACCACTTTACTGGGGATTTTTTTTAAAACTTAAAAAAATCCTTCCAGTAGGCAAGTCATTGAGCCAAATCAGTGTTTATTGTATTTTCTTTGCGTATTACTTAAAATATATGTAATAGGATGTTATTTTCATTTTCAGTAAATCACAGTATCTATAAAACATATACATGTTTCCAAGCTTCTGCTTTCTCTTTCTGATGAAGTTATTGCAGGAATACAAATGGAAACGAAGCTTTGGAAATCTCATATCAGAGTGTGTGTGTGTGTGTGTGTGTGTGTGTGTACACACACACATATATTCACTCAAAAACACATAATGATTCACCAAATCATTTATGAATACAAATCAGCAATTTTGTGATCTCGTAAGCAAATATGTCTTTGGCACGTGAATATTTTTCCATCTGTGTTCATTGATGTTAACAATAAAAATCTTGTTTATGTGTATAAGCCTAACATATGCCTGTGGGTCTTATAACTGCCTGTTCAAACTCAATGGGATACCAAAAATGTATCTGCTTACTTTGGGGGTCTAACTTTAATTCGGTACATATAAACATCTCTGGAAAAAAATGTAGTTTTTTTCTTCCCCCTGCTGTTTTCCCCAGGCTTTCTCCTTTGACCTGGCCACGGTTCCCATAGACTACAAGACGACTTAGAGACATTGCTGTGACCTTTTGCTAGAGCCCTGCTCTTGCCAGCAGTGGCTTTTGTGTTTTCTTATGTTGACCAGTAAGGGGCATTGTTTACACAGTTCTTCCAAAACTCGACCAGGGGAAAATTTCGAAGCTTCCTCCCCGGCTTACATCACAAGTTGGCGGGGACTGTGGTGAAGTTGGATGTCATCTGGATAAACTTTTAGTGAGCTGGCTTGATTTTTACAGTAATCCAGCCCTGTAAGGGCTCCAGGTGATGACAATTTATTTTACACTTATACATGGTAAAAATGTACTGCCTCAATCCTTGGGTGGAAGTGATGGGCCAGTTGACTCTTTACCATTTGTTTGTATCAGTCATCAAGATATCCTGTAATAGGAGCTCTATTTGCATGGTGTTTTAAAGCCTAATAAACCAAATGTAATTGCACACTATGAGGATGAGATACAATTGTTTTAAGGGTTTAGGTGTCTTCCCTGTTGGGAAAATCCCTAGACTGGGAGTCAGGACATTTGGCTTCTAGTACCTGCTCTGCCAGTAACTAGTTAACTTTCTTCCCCTAAAAGTCCTCATCTATAAAACAAGGCAACAGATCTATCATCGAGATTCTGTTCAGTTCTAATGTTCTGTGATTTCACCTCAATGATTTTATTTGCAAGTGTAACTCTACCTGTAAGGAAGTAAAACTCCTATGGCATTGGATGCATTCAATTCTTTTTTTGTTTTGTTTTGTTTGAGACAGAGTCTTGCTCTGTAGCTCAGGCTAGAGTGCAGTGGCGCGATCTCGGCTCACTGCAACCTCCGCCTTCCGGGTTCAAGCGATTCTCCTGCCTTAGCCTCCCGAGTAGCTGGGATTACGGGCGCCTGCCACTACACCCGGCTATTTTTTGTATTTATGTATTTATTTATTTATTTATTTATTTAGTAGAGACAGGGTTTCACCATCTCGGCCAGGCTGGTCTCGAACTCCTGATCTCGTGATCCACCCATCTCTACCTCCCAAAGTACTGGGGTTACAGGCGTGAGCCACCGCACCCGGCCTGGATGCATTCAATTCTAATACTTTGGGGGACCTACTTTGCAGACTCCCTTTGAAAGAAAATATAAGCAGGGTCCTTTATATAGTTTGAACATCTCCAAATACTATGAATAATAAATCAATAGAGGTTGTTTCTCTACCTTTCTCTTGTTTCCTCTTTATTCATTAAGGTTGGGGAAGGCACTGAATGGATACTGACTAAGCTGACCTGGAGGCTGAACAAGTCTTGCCTTGCCTGGGAGGACTGGCGTAAATTGGAAGATGCTAATCTTTGGAGCTCTGTGACTTAGTCCTGATAAACCTAACCCAGGCACTGGCAGCCTGCCTTAAAGGGGGAGATGACTTTCAGGTTTTTAGTGGTCACTGGCTTCCCACCAAGGGTCTAGGTACGAAAGCAAACTAGGAACTCGTTGCCCTATTTTACTTTCTTCTTCATCACCCCCTTATAAGATTGCCCCTTTGTACTTGCCTCATAAGACGCTCATTCCCTGAATGCTAATGTGCAGAGCTGCTTACATGTTTAAAAATTTTACAATGTATTAATTAAGCTACTAGGCTCAATCCTTTCAATATAATTTTTTTTTAAGAGAGAGAGGGGGACAGGTTCTTGCTGTGTTGCCCAGGCTGGACTCAAACTGCTGGGCTCAAGTGATCCTCCCCAGTAGCTTGGGCTGCTGGCATATGCCACCATGTCTGGCTAGTATAATTCCATTTTAATTCCATTTTCTTTTTTTTTTTTTTTTTTTGAGACGGAGCCTAGCTCTGTTGCCAAGGCTGGAGTACAGTGGCACGATCTCAGCTCACTGTACCCTCTGCCTCCCAGGTTCAAGCAATTCTCATGCCTCAGCTTCCTGAGTAGCTGGGATTACAGGCAGCTAATTTTTTTTGTATTTTTATTAGAGATGGGATTTTGCCATGTTGGCCAGGCTGGTCTCAAACTCCTGAGCTCAAGGGATCCGCTCACCTCAGCCTCCCAAAGTGCTGGGATTACAGGCATGAGCCACCATGCCCGGCCTATAATTCTGTTTTCAAAGAGGAACTTTTATTCCAGGAGTATTTCTATGAACCAACCATACATTTAAGGTTTTCAGTGACAATTTGGTTTATCTTGCATGAGTGTGTATGTGTGCTTGGGGGCAGGGAAAGAGTGGTGGAAGGAGGGCCAGAGACATTAAGTGTATGGCTTAGACTAGGTCTAGGGCAGGGGGTGGGGTTTCTATTTCTAGGTTGGAACTAGAATACAGATTCTTGGTGAGACAGCCTGAAATACTAAAACCCAGCAAGGCCTGCCCTGTGGAAAGATCCTATGGAAAGCACAGGTCCAGACACTAACCAGGGAGGTAATATATACAATCACTAACTTCAGAGGGCCAAGGAGAAAGGGGAGCTAAGGTCACAGACCCAACAGTTTGGAATTAGGAAGGGATTGCATCAAAATAAAAGCAGGGCAGGAATAAACTGGGAGAAAGCTGTGCTATTATTCCTCTTCATGGGCAGATGAGCACAGCAGTGGGTTGAACTTGTTTAAGGAACTAGAATCAATATATCATCACTTTACTTTCTAGTATATTAAATGGGAGATCTGGAGGTGTCTTTGTTGTTGTTGTTGTTTTAGAGGTGGGGGCTGGCCTTGTTGCCCGGGCTGGCCTTGTTGCCCAGGCTGGAGTGCAGTGGCACAAATAGCTCACTGCAGCCTGGACCTCCTGGACTCAAGCAATCCTCCCACCTCAGCCTCCTGAGTAATTGAGACTACAGGGGCTTGCTTCCATGCCTGGCTAATTTTTTATATTTTTAGAGACAGGGTCTCACTATGCTGTCCAGGCTGGCTTCAAACTCCTGGCCTCAAGCAATCCTGTGCCTTAGCCTTCTGAAGGAGTGGGATTACACACATGAGCCAGCAGGCTTGGCCCTTGCAGGTGTTTATGTGGTTTTTTTTGTTTTTTTTTTGTGTTTTTTTTTTTAACAGGGATGGCACATCAGGCCACTCATCCCTTTAACTAATCTGTTGGGTAAAATATTTGAAATCAGCAATGCAGTCACACACCATTCATCACCAACTTCTAATCTCTTACTTATTAAGAAGCATGGGCTGTCACAGTTCTCTGGAAATATCTGTTCCACCTTGGTTTAATAATTCAGTTCTATAAACATTTGGTGAGCACTTATTGCCACAGTTCATTCCTTCTAAAACACATTTTTAAAATTTTTGACATTTCCTGAATTTGGGACTCATCTTCAAATTGATGGTATGTCATAGAATAATTGTCAGTGTTTTGTTTTTCTTAGTAATTAATGAAATAATGGTGTATCTTACAATTGATGGAGTTTTAGATTTGATGAAATAAGGTATGTGCTAGGCTGGGGATATGGAAATCAAAGGGTTTATGAATAAGACAAGTCTCTGACCTCAAGGAGCTTACTTATGCAATTAATTAAAACAATGTGGTAAGAGCTATACCACCAATGCTAATATAAAGTGCTGTGGGAGCATAAAGGAGGATCAATTAATTCTGCCTGTGGGACTGGGAAACACTTTGTAAAGGAGGTGACATTTGAGCTGGGCCTTGAAGGATATGAAGGATTTTTCCAGACAAAGCATGGGAGTAGGAGGCAGGGACATTTCTGGAATGTGAATATGGAAGGTTTATTTGGCTTCAAAGAGGACTCAGCAGCAATGAATTAGAGCACTGGTATGTTATGTGTTGCTGATTTTTTTGTTTGTTTGTTGAGACGGAGTCTTGCTCTGTTGCCCAGGCTTGAGTGCAGTGGCACGATACCGGCTCACTGCAACCTCCACCTCCCAGGTTCAAGTGATTTCCTGCTTCATCCTCCCAAGTAGCTGGGATTACAGGCGCCTGCCACCACACCCTGCTAAGTTTTGTATTTTTAGTAGAGACAGGGTTTTGCCACATTGGACAGGCTGATCTCAAACTCCCGACCTCCTCAGGTGATCCACCCGCCTCGGCCTCCCAAAGCGCTGGGATTACAGGCGTGAGCCACCTCGCCCAGCCATGTTGCTGATTTTTAATGTCTCGTTTGAGGTTCTACCCTGAAAACTACTGTGAATTCCAACGTTTTTGGTCATTTGCAGATAGACTGGAGAATGATGTTCTCATGACATAAAGACCAGGTTCCAGATAACAAACTGCAGAAAACCATTTTGCTGATGCTACTCTACCTTTGGATGCTATCATTTTTGTTTTGGAAACAAAAGACCTAGGAGATTTTTATCATAAGCCAAGTCTGCCGTGAGTAGGCTGGTTTCAAGGAGATGTATGAAAGAGAAACATCACAGTTGCTCCTCTCTCCAAAGAAGCATAGAGCATAGAGGTTAAGTGCACAAACTTTGGTTATCCACTTGCTAGCTGTGTGACCTTGGGCAACTTGTGTAATTCTCTGTAGCTCAGTTTCCTCATCTTGTAAGACAGGGTACATAACTAGTGTTTTTGAGAGGTAAGATGAGATCACATACGGTCAATAAATGTCACCCTTGTTATTATCATTATTGCTAATCGACAATGGGAAATTGACCAAATCTATCTGTCTCCTCCCAGCTATTACTCTCACCAAGCTTTTTATACCTATTGTGTTCCCTGGAGAGAATATGATGAACTAATTCGTAATATGTGTATCAATGATGTGTGTATATATTTGGGAAGGTGGAACAAGTTGCAGAGAAGACATGTTGGTTTTATTAGTATATGAAGCCTTAAGGCAAAGTAACAAATCTATTGTGATGGCTCTTCTGGCCTCAGGAAGGATCCTGTAGAGGGCATTTCTTGGGTTAGAGCCTACCCACCCCCCCTCCAATCAGGTCTGTGTTCGATTGGCCCCTGGCTCTAGCAGGCAGAGTACCAGAAGGGGGAAGAAAGCCCTGCTCTAGTGCTCCAGAGGGAAAAAAAACTCATCTAGGAAGAGGGAATGGAGACAAGAGAAGCTATTATAGCATTTTTTATTTCCCCTTGGCACAAGGAGCTGTGCAGCTGGGGACCCACTACTACAGCTGCTCAGATAAAAATAAGTCATTGTCTTGTCCTTTGTACTCATGAGACACTGAAGCTATAGTTATCTATGTATTGTAGGTGTACCCTCCTTTCCATACTGAGTACCAAGGTGATGTCTCCCCTGTTTAGTGGTCAGAGCTACTGTTCACAGAGTCTCTCTGTCCCTCCACCCCACTACCTCTCTCTATGAATGACACCTTTGATCACACTCAACCTTCTGATGATTGCTATGTTTCACTGGGTGCAGGTTGTCATTTCCCAGGAGACTGGGTTTATTCCTGGTTCTATGAGGATGTGTTCTGGGGTATCCTCGAAGCATTACTTTTGCCTTTCAACCCATGCCTGTTGACTCCACAACAGGCGTTGTCATGTATGTTTCAGACCATGACAGGAGGCATACCTAAGAGATTCTCCTTATGTCACTAGTACCCTAGCCTGTATTTGGGCTATTGGTTAGAGCCTAGTAACAAAACTTTATCATGTGTCACACATTTCCATATGCGTTGTCTTATGTAGTCTGCTCAAAAATCCTTGATTGCCACCATTTTTTACAGGTGAGGAAACCGAGGCTCAGAGATATGAAATGACTTAGTCAGTATCACACAGGTAGCAAGTGGTGGATCTGGGATTCAAACCAAGCCTGTCCAACTCCATTAGGATGCTTGTCTCATTGTATCAGGCCACCTTTTGTGCTAAAATTAATGAGCCAAAGATTAATCATCGTAGAGATTATTTAACTTTCCCAAAGACAGACTCGTTTAATACTGCAACCTGGACTCAACTTGAGTCAATCATCTAACAAATGGCTGAGATGAGCAGTGAAGATGCAGCTTAATACTGGAAAGACTGTGAAGTGTGCATGTCTTCTGATGGCAGGTTAGTAGGTCTACATGAAGACACAGCATCCTCTTCCTATGGTTATGGAATGGATGGTAACAGTAACATCAACAAGAACAGTTGAAATATGAAGCCCAACTAACAGCTCTCTAAATGAAGAAAGCTCCAGCACTGATGGAGCCAATTCAATAAACATCCAGGACTCTTTGATGAATACTCACTTTAGCTTTGGGGTCTGATTTTTATAATTCAAAATGATTGATCCTTTCACCCAATACTCATTTTTTCCTTAGATTATTTGCCTCCTAAAGTGTTTTCATTGAAAGCTAACTAATTTTTGAGAAAAATAAATGCTGTGAACCCCCACCCCCGCATCTTGCTGCTTAGAAAGTGTTAATTATACTTAATGATTTATATGTTTTCCTCTTGTTCTTTCCTTGACTCCCTGGTAAGCTTCTTAAAGTTACAGTAAAGGAATCATATTCTGCTCACTCATAACTGAAACAATTCTTGAAAAAAATTTTCAGGACCTTTTTATTAAAATATCTTCAATAACAAGACAAAATGTTTCCTTTCAAACTGACAAATGTATTCAAGATTGTACAAAACAACATTTCCCCTTCATGTAATGAAGGAGAAGAAAATCTGGAAAGCTGCTTTTGACTTCATAAATGTGGGTTATGTCAGCTGAGAGCCTGGAGGGCATTTCTGGTTTTGAGGTAATCAACCTTTTAAAATGCATAATATACTTTTATGTGGTTTTAATGAGTACAAAAATATATTTGCATGTAGCATAAGGGCTTTTTCCCCATAAAACATGTGTTATCTTGAATCTTTTCCTTTGGGTATATATTCAGGTATGTTTTTAAATAAACTGCTGAGAGCAAAGGGGCTCCGGTTTCTATGTTTGGGCCAGGGGAGAGTGGTGCACTAGAAAAAGCAGGAGATGTGGAGTTTGCCCACTTTGTTCCTCTGGTAGAAGATACTGAGATGGAATTTGGGGTGGTAGATGTTTATTGCGGATCGACACCTGTGAAGGAAAAGTGGGAGGAAGCAAGACTGGGCAGAGAGAAGTTGAATTGCCATGCAAGCCTGACAAAACCTCAGCAACCCCAGCAGGGACCTCTGGAGTACTGTTCATCAGAGTGCCCCGAATTGGGTAGAAATACCTGGACTTTTGTTTTATTTTATTTTGAGGCAGAGACTCACGCTGTCACCCAGCCTGCAGTGCAGTGGTGCAATCACGGCTCACTGCTGCCTCAACCTCCTGGGCTCAAGCGATCCTCCCGCCTCAGCCCTCCGAGTAGCTGGGACCACAGGCACGCACCACCATGCCCGACTAATTTTTGTATATTTTGTAGAGATGGGGTTTCACCATGTTGCCCAGGCTGGTCTCGAACTTCTGAGCTCAAGTGATCCACCTGCCTTGGCCCCCCAAAGTGCTAAAAATAAAAGCCCCTGGGCTTTTATTCTCCTGCCTCTTTGAGTCGCCAGATGTAAACCGCCTCTGTCTGGAAGGATGTAACCTGGGACCGAGTGTCTCTCTGCAGGTAAGTCAGGCCTTGCAGGAGCTGACAGCTGGAGACTGCCTGCCAACCTCACTCCCCACCGTTGGACAGCAAATCCTTTCTTGAGGTGGTGCATCTTTGTGTCTACCACGGTCCATCGCTTGCATCTCTTTTTCTCAATTCCTTCACGCCTCTCCCAGAAGGGAACCTTGGAAGAGTGGTATTAGTGGGACAAACTACAGCCCCCACTGCTGCAGTTAGTTTTGGGGCTGCAACTGATACTCAGCACCTGCCGCCTCCACTGCTCATTCTAGGTCACTCTCACCCATAGCTACTGCCCTCTGGTGGCCGTGATGGCTTCCTGGCTGGCCTGACCAAGACCCTAATTTCTGAGGGGCGAAGAGCAGCCTGGTCATTATCCCCTTCTCAGGCTGGGGCTGCTGTATCTGTCCACTTATAGTCACAATTTGGCAAGGAAGTACTAAGATATGCCCAGGTGACTCACCTATTTCTCCCTCTCCCCATTGTGCAACAGCAGCCCTACCTCCTCCTGATAATTTGAGTGAATTACTGCTACCAAGTCAGTGACCCCTCTTCTGGCCTGCTGGTCTCTGGACACAAGGAGCCCAAAGTGTCCAGGCTGCAGCCATAGCTTATAATTCAGTAAGACATTGACTCTGGATATGATGTGTCTCCTTTGGAGACCAGTTCCTCTAGCCCTGTAGCATGTAAGGGAGAAAATATTTATTTCCTCACCCATTGCTAGGTTCATACCTGACACCCCTATAACAAAAGACAAATTAACAAGAGAAAAGCAGACAAATTTATTTAATACAAGCTTTAAGTGACATGAGAACCTTCAGAAATGAAGACCCAGAGAAACAGGAAAAACTGCTTCTGCTGTTTTCTCAAATGCCAAGCTATCATAGTTGTGGGTAGTGTGTCCTGAACCCTGTCAAGAGTTACAGAGCACAAAGTTCCTGTATTAGTCAGGATTAAATCAGAGAAATGGAGCCATTAAGAGATATTATTATTATTATTATTATTATTGTTATTATTATTATTATTATTATTGAGACAGGATTTCACTCTGTTGCCCAGGCTGGAGTGCAGTGGCACTACCTCAGCTCACTACAACCTCTGCCTCCCGGGTTCAAATGATTCTCCAGCCTCAGCCTCCCAAGTGGTTGGGATTACAGGTGCATACCACCATGCCTGGCTAATTTTTGCATTTTTTGATAGAGACGGAGTTTCACCATGTTGGCCAGACTGGTCTTAAACTCCTGACCTCAAGCGATATGCCCGCCTCAACTTCCCAAAGTGCTGGGATTATATGAGTGAGCCACCACACCCAGCAAGAGATTTTATTTTTATATCTATACTATCTACATCTATCTATCTATCCATCAGAGATTTGACCTTAATTGTGGGAGCAAGACTGGTTAAACAGCCTCTGCATTTCTTCACATTTAATGCTGTAGCGTGAAGTCTGCAGGGCAGTCAGGAGGGGACAATGAATGGGAAGTGGAGGAGAACAAGGACAAACTGGAACCCAGAAGCATGAGCTGGAACACAGGAGGATGAACTAGGGTCTGTATCAGTCTCTCGTTATCTCCAGCTTGGGTGATGTGGGTATCCTGCAGGGGAAGCTGGTGCCCTTTGCCCACAGCTACACACATACCTGGCCTATATCCAGGAGACTGAGACACTAAAGGATGGTTGGGAGGAAGGTGTAGCAGCAGCTGCTGGCCCAGTTGCTGCTGCACGCCACTGAGGTGAGCCAGTAGATAAGTGACAATGTGCATGAGCTACAACTGCACCTGGTTTCCCCGCACTGATTTTCCAATGTAGAAACTATATGGCTCCTAACTGACTAAGGCCCAACAAATCTCCAAAAGATCTCTGTGACCCACTCTAATTGGAAACATAGAGGTGAGGGAATTCTGGGAAATGTAGTTCAGCTGGCTGTTTCAATGCTCTATCAGACCAGCAGCTTCTGGATGGTGTGGTATGTAATATGATTGGTGGGTCCCATGATCCTGGGCCCACTCCTGCATCTCCTTTGTCGGTCTTCTGGTCTGTCTCAGTGTTACGTGGAATACGACACTGCTGGATCTAATACTACCAAAGTCCTGAAATAGAGGTGCTGCCTGAGACCCTGCAGGCTGGAAAGTTAAATTCATACTTGAAATATGCATGTATTCCTATGAGAATGAACCATTGGCCCTTTCAGGATGGAAGGGGCATAATGTTGTGAACTTGCCACCAAGTGACCAGTTGGTCTCCTCAAGGAATGGTGCCATATTAGGGGCTCAGTGTTGATCTCTGTAGTTGGCAGGCTGAACATTCTTTAGTGGCAATGGCTAGATTGGTCTTCGTAAGTGGGAGTCTGTGCTGTTGGACCCAGGCTTAGCCTCCCTCTCTGCCTCGGTGGCCACTCTGTTCATATGCCCATTGTGCCAATACTGCAGTGGCCAAAGATAGAGACTGACTGGTGTCAACTGCCCAGGTCATTTTGTCTGCTTGGTTGTTCAATGCTTCTTCTGAGCTAGACGCTCTCTAATTGGCGCCAATATGTGCTACAAACATTTCATGCTTAGTGCCCACTTGCACATATCTATCCACATCCATCTACCTCAGATATCATTGTTTCCAATTTTCCAGTCTTTTCCCTTCCAAACGCCTTACAAGCTGATCAGGTCATTCACCAGTGACCACAGCTTCATAAATATTTTAACCTCAGGCCACTTCTCTTTCCACCCAAGGTGGGTGATAAAGTGCATCACCCAAAGCTCTGCCCACTGGGAGGATTTTCATCTGTCACTGTCTTTCAAGCACCTCTGATCTCCCAAGTGAGGCTACAATGCAGCCAGTGTCCATTTTTGGCTTGCACCCGCATACTGACAAAACCCATTCATAAACCAAGCTTTTCCTTCTTTCTTCAGTTGATCTGATAGAATCCCCATAAAGTTGCAGGCATGAGCTAAAGGAGGGCACTGGTATAACAGTGGTGCATGCCATGGTGGTCTAGGCTACCTGATCTTGCACTTTACTTGTGCCCTGTAGTCCTGCTTATAAGCAGTCCTGGAGAGCCCCCTTTTGTCCTTTGATGAATTGTTGCTGGGTCCGCCTGACCTTATGGTTTAGTGGGTCTGATAAGACACAGCTCATGATAGACAGTTTTAGGTCCATGATCACTTGGTGTTCTGTGATCAGGTGTTTCATATTTTTTAATTAATTTATTTTTTTTGAAACAGGGTCTCTCTCTGTCACCCAGGCTGGAGTGCAGTGGCGTGATTTCGGCTCACTGCAACCTCCGCCTCCCAGGTTCAAACGGTTATCCTTCTTCAACCTCCCGAGTATCTGAGATTACAAGTGCCCACCACCACGCCTGGCTAATTTTTGTATTTTTAGTAGAGATGGGGTTTCACCATGTTGGCCAGGCTGGTCTCCAACTCCTGGGCTCAAGCAACCTGCCTGCCTCAGCCTTCCAAGGTGTTGGGATTACAGGCATGAACCACCGTTCCTGGCCAGTTGCCTCGTCTTTACCAGGGCCCAATAGCATACCAGAAGTTGTTTTTCATAAGGCATATGATTCTCTTCTGTAGGCGACATGGCCTTTCTCCAGAACCCCAGGGCCCTGCATCATGATTCTCCAACAGGGGTTTGCCACAGAATCCATACTGAATCTTTTCCCACCACTGATACCTCCAACACCACACGATCTGCTAGATTGTATGGCCCAAGTGTCAGGCAGGGCACTTGCATGACAGCCTGGACCTGATGCAGAGCCCTTTGCTGCTCCTGGTCCCCAGGCATAGCTAGTAACCTTCCTTGTCACCTGTTATAGAGGGATGGAGCAGAATCCTTACATATGGGATACATTGCCTCTAAAACCCAAAGAGGCCCACCAGGTGTCATGATTGCTTCTTTGTGCCAGGAGGTGCAATGTGCAGGAATTTGTCTTTTACTTTTACTTTGGAGGGAATGCCCCAGTATGCCCTGAACCACGGGACTTCTAAAAATTTTATGGATCGGGTAAACCTCTAAATCTTTATAGGGTTTATCTCCCACCCTCAGTGTATGTGTCTTACCAAGAGGTAGCACACTAGTTACCTCCTGCTCATCTGGTCTGATCAACAAAACATCATCAATGTAATAGGTTAATATGATATTCTGCAGGATATCCAGATGTTTTTACTCTCTTCAGACTAAATTATGACAAAGTAGAAGAGCTAATATAGGCCCAGGGCAGAACTATAAATTTATATTTCTTCCTATTTATTTGAATATTTCTGTTTCTTTTTTCTGATTGAGATAGAAAAGAATGAATTTTCCAAATCAACGCCTACACAATATATATTTGAGGCTGTATCAATCTGTTCCCACAAAGATACCATGTCTGACACAGAGACTATGATCAGAGCTACTATTTGGTTGAGCTTGCAGCAGCCTACAGTCATCTCCAAGGATCTATCTGGTTTTTGCAGGCACAACACTGGTAAATTAAATGGAGATATGATGAGAATCGCCACCTCTATATCTTTTAGATCCTTAAGGATGACACTAATCTGCATACACCACTACCCTGAGGGGATGTGATAATTTATTATCTTGGCCAGGGGTGGTGGTGGTGGTTTAGTATCAGAGGCTTCTACTTGGCCTTCCCCATTGTAATAGTTATTATCTCACTGGCCAAAGACACAAAGTAATGGCTGCCCTAACTACCCGATCATACACTTTGAGACTGGGGTAATGACCACTGAGTTCTTGTACCCAATGGACTTCCTGTGAGCTGGAGCTTGGCCAAGACTCAATTTCTTACCTGGTTCCCGTATGTCCCCACTCTCACAGTGGGCCATGATGATGCTTTGGGTCTCTGAGTGTCTATGTCAACTCAGACTCTAGGTCCAACACTCCTTGAAACATCTAAGTATTCCCTTTCTCTAGTGCACAGTTACCTAAATGCATGCCCAGAGGTCTCTGCAGGAGGAAAAAGAAGAATCATGGCAGTGTCCTTTCTCCTAGGGACCCAATCACCTCTTCTGTCAGTGAGTTCTGGGCTTGAAAACTGGCTCAGATCTGGAAACTCTACAAGGGATCACGGCTTTTTTATTGAAGTGACTGCCGTCAGCCTCCCAGATTTTTTCAGCTATTACAAGCTGAGTAATACTCTTTTCAATAAATTTTGCCCCTGGAGATGCTCTGTTCTATTAACCATCTCCATAACTCTCCTGGGTCAGGCTTCCTGAACTGTCATGCTAACTTTGTCTTATAATAGTTGCAACTTCCTGGCTTCTGGAGATTAAGGACCACCACCTGGCCTCTGCTGTCTTGGGTCTTATCATCCATAGTGCTATCAGTGAGCTAAGTTTATAAGGGCTTTTCCTGTTGTCAGTTCTGACCTGCAGAGGAGGCCACTACTGAAATTTTGAGTGATGCTTGCTGGCGATCGTCTTGCCAGTGGATTCCTGATGGCCTTGTTCAACAGTGTGAATCTTTCCATGGAATACAATCTTCTGCTGGGTCTTGTGGCTGTACATAGTGACATGAGTTCCAGCATGCCCACTTCCTTGAGCCTCGAATCCTTCCCTCTGCAATTTGCCTAAGCAATTCTGAAATTCCAACTTCACTCAGCACAGGCTGTATTTCTTACATCTAGGAGCCATCTTAGTAGAAAATTTGCACCATTTCCTGGGGTCTTTGACAGGATGTTAAATCCGGTATCTCAGGAAAGCACTCCCAAGTCAGTAAACTTTTCCAATTGTATGATCCCACTGCCTCCATTCCCACCGCCTTGATCAAGCCCCCTCAGAACCCAGCCTCATGTGTATATTCCCCTTTCTCCTGCTAGTACACGTCAGCTACTTCTTGTAGCTTCTTTGAAGTGTAAGCCCTTTCCTCGCTTGCAAGGCCCAGCATATCCCCAGCACAGCATATCCCCCAGCAGCTATGCTTAAACTGAACCCTGACTGTGCGGCTAGTGCCCTGAAAGGGAAGTGGGAGCGAGCCCTAAGAAGGAACATATGTTGTCATGTGGGAAGAGGCCTCTGCATAGTCTTCTACTGTGGGTGCTAGTAGGGTGCTAGCTCTTGATAGGAATTAGGTGGGCCATATCTACTGGTTCAGAAGGTTTAGGGGAGTGTGGGGAGTCAAAATCTTTGTAATCATTCACCTAGATGACTCCATCCATGTGTTGCTGTGCCTGATTTTCCCAACCAAGGGCCTTACCTTGGTTGGGTATTTAACCTTAGTAGAAGTCCAGCCACTCTGACTATTAAGTCCTAGGTTTAGTTCGCAGAGTACTCTGCCCTCCTCATAGGAGATGAAATAGCTTTTTTAATTTTTATTTTTGTTTACTTATTTATTGTTTTTGAGACAGGGTGTCTGTCTGTCACCCATACTGGAGTGCAGTGGTGTGATCTTAGCTCACTGCAGCTTCAAATTCCTGACTCAAGCAATCCTCTCGCCACCACCTCCTGAGTAGCTGGGACCACAGGCATGCACCATCACACCCAGCTGATTTTTTAAATTTTTTTGTAGAGGCAGGGTCTTGTTTTGTTGCTCAGGCTGGTCCCAAAACCCTGGCCTCAAGCAATCCTCCCACCTCGGTGTCCAAAAGTGCCAGGATTATAGGCATGAGCCACTGAACCAGGCAAAAGAGCTCTTTTGTATATAACCACAGAGGCCTTCTCAGCTTTTGCACCTGGCTTTCAATTGCCTATTACCCTCAGCAGTTCATTAAATATTTAGTCATCCGATCTTGTCAGCCACGTAGTTAATATTCCCTCCCGATATTTCAAATGCCTTCTGTATCACACCCATAATGCATTTCCAGTGCACCTCAGGTGAAAGGTTAAATAATCAGACTGCTGCCTGGTGCCATCTGTACTCCTCACTAGTGAGTGAGGGGTTCTCATTTTCACCTGAGAGGTGAGTGATCTGACTCCAAAAGTCCATCCTATTGGCTGCTTTCTCAGAACACTCCCAGTATCAACTGTCACAGGGTTCTGCAGAAGCAGGCATGGAAATGAAGTTTGGGGTACAAGATATTTATTAGGGATAAACATTTGTGCAAGGAAGGGGGAAGAAACACTGTTGGGCAGAGGGAAAAGATGAACTACTGTGCAGGTCCAACAAAACCTTGGCCAACCCAGCAGGAAACTCTGGAACAAATAATGCTCGTTCAAGAGCCCCATCTAAAGCCAAAATGGCCATGCCTTCGTAGCCCTCCCCCTCTCAGTCACCAGATGCAGGCTGTCCCAGGAAAAGTGTGACCTTGGGGTAAGGTGACTCTCTGCAGCTGTGGAAGGAGCTGACAGATAGATGGAGGATGTTTGCTAATCAAACTTCCCATAGCTGGGCAGCATCTCCTTCCTTAAGGAAGGATTCAGGTGGTAGATCTCAGTGTCTATGACAGAGTTAGAAGTCGAGGGTCTGAGTCCTGACTCTTATCACTTGCTTGCTGTGTGACACTGGGCAAAGTGCTCCACATTGTTGAATCTCTGCTTTCATATTTTGAAATGGAAATACCATGGATGGAACTGGAGATCATTATGTTAAGGGAAATAAGCCAGGCACAGGAAGACAAACATCTCATGTTCTCACTTATTTGTGGGATCTAAAAATCAAAACAATTGAACTCATGCACATAGAAAGTAGAAGGATGGTTACCAGAGGCTGGCAATGGTAGTAGGGGGCTGGTGGGGGAAGTGAGTATAGTTAATAGGTACAAAAAATAGAAAGAATGAATAAGACCTGCTATTCGATAGCACAACAGGGTGACTATAGCCAATAACAACTTAACTGCACATTTTAAAATAAAAAGTGTGACTGGATTGCTTGCAACTCAATGGGTAAATGCTTCAGGGGATGGATACCCCATTCTTCATGATTCTTTTTGCATGCCTGTATCAAAACACCTCAGGTACCCCATAAACTTATATACCTACTATGTACTCACAAAAAATTTTGAAAAATTTTTGAAAGAAATAAATAGGAAAAAATTAAAACGAAATAAAATAAATTGTTGGTCTGTAAAAAAATGGAAATACTTCCCACATGGGGTAGTTATGAGAAGATTAAATAAAGCAATGCACATGCGGCAGCATTTTGTAAACTCTAAGGTGTGTTATAAACATGAGTTTTATTTCAGGAAAAGGGCACATTTACTGGTATTCATAGAGCTTCTTTTTTTTCCTTTTCTCTTCTCTGGCCCATTTCCACTTCTTTCAGCCACCTAAATTAAAACAAGTAATACGCTGGATAAAGTTTATTCATTTTTTCTCTATTGGAGTAAATATCCATTCATGTGAAGATCTATGTGTGACTTATATTTAGATATTTAATAGTGACTAATACAGAACTTTGCACCCCATCATATGGGGCCTACAAAGCCAGAGACAAGTCATTTGATTCCTTGTAACAGGAATGTCTTGTTAGCAAGATTTAACTGGTGGCTTTACTATCAGTTTCATTCAAGTAAGCTTCTGTGTGGATAGACAATATTTCTTGATATTGCATGAGAATCAAATGAGACCCTATATATAAGAAGCTTTGCAATGGACTGTGCACATGCTTTCATTTCCATTAATATCATTTCCTGCCCAATCATTTCCTTCTGGAAAGGTAATTTCAAGCCTCTGTAAAGAAGTCCTGTGCTTAAGGATCTTGCTCAAAAATGCCACTTTCTTCCTGAAGGCTGGACTTTAAGGAATTTCCCCTTCTTTCTTACCAAACAAGAAGCTTCTTGATTATCATAGTACAGATATTTAATAATATTTGTTGAATGATTTAGTAACTGAATGAAATATTTTTAAAAGGCAATAAAAAAGAGGCTTTTCTTGCTAAATGGAAGGCTTCATTTGTCCCCATTCTATTGAATGTGCTGGTTCTGAGAAGAATTGAGTTACTTTAATTTTCACTCTAGGCTTTCCCCAAGTTTGGTGAAACTTTCCATAGAACTGTTTGTTTTGTTATAGTACCATCTTCTGTTTTATTTATGTTACTAGCCTTATATACGTGTGGCTTATATTTAGATATTAAATATTGCCTAACACAGAGCTTGGCACCCAATAAATAAATATTTTTTCAGTGAATGAATGAACAGGAAGGATTGTGCCCACTTTTATAGGAGAAAAACAGTGTTATCAGAAGTGAAGAACTATCTGCAAAATTATACGAAATAATAAATTCAGAATATTTTATTTTCATAATATACCTATACATTATGTATATGTACACAATATAGCTAGATATACATACGTGTATACATATATAGTGTCTATGTATAGTCAATATATTTATGACTTTTTCTATTTAAATTTTCTTTTTAAAATTTTTTTGAGACAGAATATCGCTCTGTCGCCCAGGCTTGAGTGCAGTGGTGTGATCTTGGCTCACTGCAACCTCTGCCTCCCTGGTTCAAGTGATTCTCCTGCTTCAGCCTCCCGAGTAGCTGGGATTACAGGCGTGTGCCACCACACCTGCCGAATTTTTGCATTTTTAGTAGAGATGGGGTTTCATCATGTTGGCTAGGCTGGTCTCAAACTCCTGAGCTCAAGTGATCCACCTGCCTCGGCCTCCCAAAGTGCTGGGATTACAGGTGCGAGCCACTGGCCCAGCTGGCTACTTAAATTTTCTATACAAAGTCATTGCCAATTAATATAGTCATTGATGGCATAGTGCTTAAACAACCAAAATGCACTTAAAAAGCTTCAGTCTTGGACCCCTCCCTCTCCAAAACTGGATAATTAACAATGCCCTAACTTGCATGTAAAAACAGTGTCTGAAAAAATAATTTCCATTAAACTGTACAGTATTTAACATAGAATTTAGTAACACTCATTATTTATTGTTATTTTTGCAGAACAGTGTAACATTACAGAAATTGTTTTGCTTTATTATGGAAATTTTCAAACATAAACAAAAGTAGGCAGAATAAGACGGTGAACCTCTATGTACACATCACATAGCTTCAATAATTACCTACACAGGCTGGGCACGGTGGCTCATGCCTGTGATCCCAGCACTTTGGGAGGCCGAGGTAAGCGGATCACTTGAAGTCAGGAGTTTGAGACCAGCCTGGTGAACATGGCAAAACCTGTCTCTACTGAAAATTCAAAAATTAGCTGGGCGTGGTGGCGCACGCCTGTAGTCTCAGCTACTTGGGAGGCTGAGGCACAAGAATTGCTTGAATCCTGGAGGCAGATGTTGCAGTGAGCCTGGGCGACAGAGGGAGACTCTGTCTCAAAAAAAAAAATCACCAATACATTGCTCAAACTTCTCAAACTTGTTTCACTGATATTTCCCCAATTCTTCTAAACCCCATCCCATCCTGTCCACCTCCTGCTAAACGATTTTTTTTTGAGACAGAACCCCAACCCATCCTGTCCACCTCCTGCTGAACGATTTTTTTTTTTTTTTTTTGAGACAGAATCTCACTCTGTCAACCAGGCTGGAGTGCAGTGGTGCTATCTCAGCTCACTGCAACCTCCACCTCCCGGGCTCAAGTGATTCTCCTGCCTCACCTTCCCCATTAACTGGGATTACAGGCACTCCCCACCACATCTGGCTAATTTTTGTATTTGTAGTAGAGACGGGGTTTCACCATGTTGGCCAGGCTGGTCTCGAACTCCTGACCTCAGGTGATCTGCCCACCTCGGTCTCCCAAAGTGCAGGGATTACAGGCATGAGCCAACACGCCTGGCTGCTGAACGATTTTAGAGAAAACCCCAGACAGCATATCATTTCACCTATCAATACTTCACTTTATTAAAAGCCTTTGAAAGAAGTATTCAGCATGCCTTACTGTTTACTGGTGTGTGTAACAATATTAGTCCCCTTGAGGAAGACATAAAATCAAATATTCTGAACAAGGCACTATTGGTATTTAGCACTGCATTTTTTAAAAAGCAGCTTAAAAGAACACACGTATTTATTATCTCATGCTTCAGGGGTCCAGGCATAGCTTAGCTGCATCCTCTTCTTCAGGGTCTCTCAGAAGACTGCAATCAAGTGTTGGCTGGTGCTGGGGTCTCATCTGAGACTCAAATGGTGAAGGATCCACTTCCAAGATCTCATGGTTGCTGTCAGGACTCAGTTCCTTGTGGTCTATTAGCCAGTCTCACCTCATTTCCTTGTTACATAGGCCTCCCTAATGGCTGCTTGTTTCATCAAAGCATGTAAGTTGAGAGAGAGAGAAAGTCTGCCAGCAAGATGGAAGTTGCAATCCTATGTAATATAATCATGGAGGTGACATCCCATCACCCCTGTCACATTCTATTGGTTAGAAGCAAGTCACAGGTCTTACCCACATGTGGGGGAGAGATTACACAAGGTGTGAATTCCAGGAGACTGGGATCACTGGGGACATCTAAAAGCCAACCTATCACACTTGGCATGCTTGAAGCTGATTGATAGGATCCAGGTTCAAAACAGCTTTCCAGGGCAAGATGCAGTCACTTAGGAGCAGGGCTCTACTAAGATTGAGTGTGGCAGAGAGGTGAGCTGGGTCCAATAAGAAGCCTCTTGATCAAACTATATTAACCCAATCAGGTGGACTAGCAGGTGCTTTCTGTTCTGTCTTTGAACCTCCATTTAGGTTATATGTCTTCCATAAGTCAGCTGAGTTTGTCCTCAAAACTGATAACTCCAGTTATTATAATTACATTATCATATAACTAAATATTACATAAATTGACTACATATGGCTATGAAAAAAGTGTTTTATAAAAATTGACCTTAATATTATAGAAATTATTATTAAATGACTCAAGTTGCTAAAAACATCACTGTCAACTTAGCCATGGTTGAAACATTGGTAAGGATGAGGGAAAGATGAAAATCTAGGAGTCTGCTCTCAGATTTCTTTGCCCATGTTTCCTAAGCTCTTTATCCACTTTAAATAAACAGGAACTGGTAATCAGATGAAGCATACATGTGCTGTGTATATAAGAAGGACGAGGAGAAATGCTCATCAGCATGTTCACACTTGAAGAAAAGTCTTCAGCCTTAAGTCAGACTAGTGCATGTACAAATATAGGTTTTAAAGTAGAATAAAATTTTCATGTATATTTTCAGTTTTTGAATAATTGTGTAGTTAAGTCAGGCCTAGCTATTGATAATCTCCATTCTTATTTCATGGGCATCTCAGGTGAGGGATTGCTTTCCACTTACCTTTTGTTTTGCCCTTTTCTCAAGTGGTACCATCCCTACTTGACCCAGGGACTTTCATTCCTAGCGGGTATTCCCTGCTGGATAGGTGAGTTCATCCACCCATGGGCTTTGGTGGCTGGAGATCCAGCTGATTAACATGTCAACTGAGCATCCTTCTTCTCCCAGCTCAAGATGTTTCCCTATGCCCATGACAGGCTGAAACCGCTAGAGTTGTTCAAATGCTTGGCCAACTATACCTGTGGATCCTTCAAAAACCCAAGGGTCTGAGAATAGAGGCCTTTTAATCCAGCTGTGCTCACAGGCTCAGCATTAGATCTGGTTGTCTCTAGGAAAGCCCCAGCTGTCAGGTCTCCCAGGGACATATGATCATATGCAACCTGCTATCCTCACACTTGCATTCCTTTTACTCATCTATGCCATAATCACCAGGTGTCTGCTTCAAGAACAAAACCAAATTTAATTATTAACCTTATCATAAATAGAATTAGGCAACTAAAAATAACAAAACTAAACAAAGAAGTATACATACATTTTGGATAAATTAGGCGGGCAGATCACATGAAGTGAGGAGTTCAAGACCAGCCTGGCCAACATGACAAACCCCATCTCTATTAAAAAAATAAAAAAATAGCCAGACGTGGTGGTGGGCACCTGTAATCCCATAGCTACTCGGGAGGCTGAGGCAGGAGAATCGCTTGAACCCGGGAGGCGGAGGTTGCAGTGAGCCAAGATCATGCCACTGCACTCCAGCCTGGGCGACAGAACAAGACTCCATCTCAAACACACACACACACACACACAAAAGGAAAGAAATACCCAAGACTGTTTAATTTATAAAGAAAAGAGGTTTGATTGGCTCACAGTTCTACAGGCTGTACAAGAAACAAGGTGGTGGCATCTACTTGGTTTCTGAGCCTCAGGGAGCTCACAATTGTGGTGGAAGGCAAAGGGGGAACAGGTACATCACATGGCAAAAGCAGGAGAAGGGGAGAGAAGTGGGGGATGCCAGCACTCTTTTAAACAACCAGATCTCGTGAGAATTCACTCACTATCAGGAAGACAACACCAAGGGGATGGTGCTAAACTGTTGATGAGAAAAATCCTCCCACATCATCCAATCACCTCCCTCCAGGCCCCACCTCCAACACTGGGAATTACATTTCAACTGGAGATTTGGGTGGGAACAAATATCCAAACCATATCAAACACCAACCCTTTTCCTCACCCTTGTTCTAAACTCCCCTGTTCACCCACAATGATACCACCCATGGAAAAAGGACAAGGGGAAGTGGCAGGGAATACATGAAAGAGTCATTCTGCGGTGGGTTGGCACAACAAGAGAATCTTGAATATCTTCCTGCCTCAACTTTCTAGCACCTAGCTCCAACCTTTCAGTAAGACTATTTAGGTTGTACTCATTTCCTGTTGCTGAGAGAAATTAATCTTTGGGGTTCTGTAATTTCACTAAAGTTTTATCTTAGACGTTTCTTTAAACTGTGTCTACACAGGCAAAACACAAATTAGATGTGAGAGCTACACCGATTATCCTGGTAATTCAAGCAAAACACCCAGTTCTTGGGTAAAATGAGAACTTTTTGTGTTCATTTTTTTCTAATTCTCTATACTACCCAAATACAAGGGATTGTAATGATACCATAGTCCTTAGGATTCGTACTGGAGGCATTATAATTTGGGCCTTCAAGTCTTTTAGTAATTAGAACCCTGCTGATAAAATAAGACTTTTACCAAATCCCACTTGATGTTAAGCAAAACAAAGTTTTACAAACATAGCAGATAATTGCTCTACTTTGCATTTTACTTCATTTTAGAATTATAGTTCGGAGAATTCTATTAAAACAAAGTGAAACTTAACAAATAATATCTCAAGATAATGTCTTTTTTTTTTTTTTTGAGACAGAGTCTTGCTCTATCACCCAGGCTGGAGTGCGGTGGCACAATCCTAGCTCACTGCAGTTTTGACCTCCTGGGTTCAAGAGATCCTCCCACCTTAGCATTCTGAGTAGCTGGGCCCACAGGCACACGCCACCATGCCCAGTTAATTTTTTATTTTTTGCAGAGATGGGATCTTACTATGTTTCCCAGACTGGTCTTGAACTCCTGGGCACAAGTGATCCTCCCGCTTCAGCTTCCCAAAGTGCTTGGATTACAGACTTGAGCCACTGCACCTGGCCAAAATTCTATTAAAACAAAGTTTTAATATTAAAAAGAAAGCAGCTTCCTCCCAGACATATGTCTTCATGTGTCTGAGATGGCAGTGACACTTTCTAGTTTACAATGAACCAGTCATGACAAGTCCCTATGATCTGTTTCAAGCCAGGCCCTCTTCCTTTGATTCTGAAAGGTTAAAAATTTGTATCATACAGACTACAAAATACTAAGAAAGCAGGACCTTCACCTTACAGTTAATTATTTTAGTTTACTTTTTTTCTGATTATAAAAGCTATACATACTCATTGTGTAAAATCTAGAAAATAGAATTTGCTCTTTGATCCACTAATTCCATTTCTAGGAATCTCTTCTTGCATATAAGCTCAATGATTTACGAGTGCATGGATGTTTACTGTGGCATTGTTTGTAACAACAGAAATGTCCACTAAAAGGGAAATAATTTAATTACAGTGTCTCTACACTATGGAATTTATGCAGCAGCTTTAAAAAATGATGTTAGTCTATATGAACTGATATTGAATGGTTTCCAACACATATTTTTAAAAGATTAATTGTATCTTTATCACAACCAGACATTGCTTTTCCTGTTGAAGAGGCTGCGTCTTGGTTGCTTTAGTTAAATATATTGTCTTAACCCAGAACTAAGGAGACAGTTTTGACTAGGAAAACTTGCGGAGTAAACACAGTCCCTCTTTGTGACTAGAAGATAATTTCTCTTTATCCACATAAGCTTCCACTTTCTACCTTCTTTTTGCTGGGTGGGGTAGTGGGATGTTCTATTTTAATTTTTATCCTAGTAACACAGGAATAAGATTAAAAATAAGCAATAGTACAGGTTTTTAATGAAATGCAATATCCACCTGCTTCACTCCTCTCCATTTTCAGACATACTTCCTAGAAGTAACCACTTTTAACCATTGCTCTTTTTAATTCTTCTGATGGTAATCCACTGAATGCCAGATAATCTGCACATCATTTGAAAATTCATATTGTGCCAAAAATGCTTATAATGCTAAAACATCAGCCTCCTGACACATTCCCTCTATTTCTGCTCCTCCAAAGGTAACCACTTTCTTGTCCTTTCTCCCGTCTTGTTTAGTAAGGTAATACATCCACGTGGTTCAAAATTCAGAACTACATACAAAGGTGTACACTGGGCCAGGCATGGTGGCTCACACTTGTAATTCTAGCCCTTTAAGAGGCTGAGGCAGGCAGATCACAAGGTCAAGAAATCAAGACCATCCCGGCCAACATTGTGAAACCCCATCTCCACTAAAAATACAAAAAGTAGCCAGGTGTGATGGCATGCGCCTATAGTCCCAGCTACTTGGGAGGCTGAGGCAGGAGAATCGCTTGAACCTGGGAGGCAGAGGTTGCAGTGAGCTGAGATCACGCCATTGCACTCCAGGCTGGCAACAGAGTGAGACTCCATCTCAAAAAAAAAAAAAAAAAAAAAAAGGTGTACATTGACAGGTCTTATTCTCTCTCACCTTCCATCCAATTTTACCTGCTTTTTTGCATGTTCTTCCAGTGTTTATGCAAATATATATTCTCCTCTCTTTCTGCTTTGTTACACAAAAGTAGAACACTCTAAACACTGTACTACACGTTGCTTTTTAACCTTTAACAAGATATATTTTTACATCAGTACATAGAGAGCTTCCTGATTTTTTAATAGCTGCATAATATTCCACATAAAATTCCACTGGGTAGATAAATCATAATTTATTTAACCAGGCCCTGACTGATGGACACTTGGATTGTTTTTAGTCTTTTAAGAGATAGAGAATGATTTGGAAATAAAATCATACATCTGGCAATTTTTAAGATATGACTTTGGTCATTTACTTAAAAAAATGCTTACAGAAAGAGATAAGGGGAGCAAGTAACTTCCAGGTAGAAGTAATTAATTGATTCTCTTTCACACCTGAGCACAATCTAAGTTTTATCCCATAAGCCTTTTCAGGAGTAGTTTGAGGATCCATAAGAAAGGCAAGCCCTTGCACTCACAAGTAAACACACTTTAAAAGACTGACAATATATATTTGAAAAGCATTTTGAAAGCAGGAGGAGCAATAGAAACCAGGTAAAATATATGATTAACAAAAGACTTAAAAATATATTTCAAAAACAGGAGGAGTCATAGAATTTGTTTAGAAGAATCACGGAGAGGGAGTATGATAGTGAATATCTGCAAAGGTTTATAAATTTTGTTTGAGATAAGGATTATTTTGTTTGTTGAGTTTTTTAAATTAAATATGTAATTATGGTGGCTCTTTCTTTTTTTTTTTTTTTTTCTGACAGAGTCTTGCTCTGTGGCCCTGGCTGGAGTGCAGTGGCGTGATCTTGGCTCACTGCAACCTCTGTCTCCCAGGTTCAAACAGTTCATCTGCCTCAGCCTCCGGAGTAGCTGGGATTACAGGTGTGAGCCACCACTCCCAGCTAATTGTTTTTTTTGTTTGTTTGTTTGTTTTTTGTACTTTTAGTAGAGATGGGCTTTCACCATGTTGACCAGGCTGGTCTCAAACTCCTGACCTCAAGCCTCAGCTTCCCAAAGTGCTGGGATTACAGGCGTGAGCCACAGCTCCCGGCCAGCGGCCAGGTGTTTCTTTTTCAAAAGATAGCCACTTTCAAAAGATTCGAACTCTTCTTGGATATATTTATCTTGTTTCTAAAATATAGGGATATTGTTATTTCTCGATTTGTCCATTTGAGATGTTATCTATGCACTTTTTATTAGAGTAGTTGAGGAGGACATAATCCATTCTGGGTTTGTCTCTCACTAAGTGCTCATAGTTATGGTCTTGAGGCTTCTTTCCTCTGTCATTATGGAAATCCTTTTGTCTCTATTCTGTGTTAAATTACCCTGGTTTCCATGTCTTCCTCTCTTGTTTACTCCTTAATTGCAAAAAGCAAATCCTCCTATTAGAGAAAGAGTGCATAGGAAATATTTTTTTGAAATTTGCAGATGTAAATTAAAAATGTGTGTTTTTATATTTGCTTGTGATAGTTTTGCTGAGTTTGGGATTCTTGTTAGGAAATAATTTTCTTCCTTTTTTTTTTTTTTTGTTTTGAGACAGGGTCTTGCTCTGTTGCCCAGACTGGAGCACAGTGCCATCATAGCTTGCTGCGGCCTTGAACTCTTGGGCTCAAGCAATCCTCCTGCCTCAGCCTCCTGAGTATCTGGGACTATAGGTGCATACCACCACACCTATCTAATTTTTAAATTTTAATTTTTTATAGAGATAGGTTCTCGCCCTGTTGCCCAGGCTGGTCTCAAACTCCTGGCCTCATGCGATCCTTCTGCCTTGGCCTCTCAAAGTGTTGGAATTAGAGGCATGAGCCGCTGTGCCCAACCTTAATTGTTTTAATTAAAAATTTAACCATTTTAATGCATGCAGTGGCTGTAATTTGCATTTTCCTGATAATTAGTGATGTTGAACACTTTTACCCTTGCTTATTGGCCATTAATATTCCTTTTCTCTGTGAAATATCTGTCAAAGTCTTTTGCCCGTTTTCTTTTCTTTTTTTTTTTTTTTGAGACAGAGTCTTGCTCTGTCGCCCAGGCTGGAGTGCAGTGGTGATCTCGGCTCACTGCAACCTCCACCTCCCAGGTTCAAGCAATTCTCCTGCCTCAGCCTCCCAAGTAGCTGGGATTACAGTTGCCCACCACCACACCCAGCCAATTTTTGTATTTTTAGTAGAGACGGGGTTTCACCATGTTGGTCAGGCTGGTCTTGAACCCCTGACCTCGTGATCCACCTGCCTCGGCCTCCCAAAGTGCTGGGATTACAGGCATGAGCCACCGCGCCTGGCCGTCTTTTGCCCATTTTCTAATTGGGTCATTTGTCTTTTTATTGTTGAGTTGTAGGAATTTGTTATGCACCCTGAACATAAGTCCTTTGTTAGATACATAGTTTGCAAATGTTTTCTCCCTGTCTGTGGCTTGCCTATTCCGTGAATTTCCTAATAGTGTTTTCTCACATACACATATTTCATTTTATTTTTTATTTATTAATAGTAGCTTCTTCTTATTACAAAATTAATACATACTCATTTTAAAAAGTGAGAAAAGCTTGCACCCTCCTGGGCCGAGGCGCTCCCCGGTGCTCCCAGTGCAGCCATGGCTCAGCACTTCTCCCTGGACGCCTGCGATGTGGTCGGATTCTACCTGGACCACACCCTGTGTCACTACAACCTGCCCGAGAGCGCCCCACTCATTTATAATAGCTTTGCCCAGTTCTTAGTTAAGGAGAAAGGGTATGATAAGGAATTGCTCAATGTGACCCCAGAGGATTGGAATTTCTGTTGCAAGGGTTTGGCATTGGATCTAGAAGATAGGAACTTCCTTAAACTTGCTGATAATGGCACTGTTCTCAGGGCAAGCCATGGCACCAAGATGATGACTCCAGAGGTGCTGGCAGAGACATATGGCAAGAAAGGGTGGAAGCATTTCTTGTCGGACACTGGAATGGCTTGCCGCTCATGAAAGTATTATTTTTACAACTACTTTGACCTGCCGGGAGCTCTTCTATGTGCCAGGGTGGTGGACTATTTAACAACAAACAATGGTCAAAAAACATTTGATTTTTGGAAGGATATAGTTGCTGCTATACAACACAATTATAAAATGTCAGCTTTTAAGGAAAACTGTGGAATATATATTCCAGAAGTAAAAAGAGATCCAGGCAGATATTTACACAGTTGTCCTAAATCTGTGAAAAAATGGCTTCGACAGCTAAAGAATGCTGGGAAAATTCTTCTGTTAATTACCAGTTCTCACAGTGATTACTGTAGACTTCTCTGCGAATATATCCTCGGGAATGATTTTGCAGACCTTTTTGACATTGTGATTACAAATGCATTGAAGCCTGGTTTCTTCTCCCACTTACCAAGTCAGAGACCTTTCTGGATGCAGAGAATGATGAGGAGCAGGAGGCGCTGCCATCTCTGGATAAACCTGGCTGGTGCTCCCAAGGGAACGCTATCCACCTCTATGAACTTCTGAAGAAAATCAATGGCAAACCTGAACCCAAGGTTGTTTATTACGGCATGCATTCAGATATTTTCCTGGCTCATCACTATAGTAATTGGGAGACAGTTCTTATCCTGGAAGAACTCAGAGGGATGAAGGTGCAAGGAGTCAGAGGCCTGAGAAGTCAGAGCCTCTAGAGAAAAAGGAAAATATGAGGGACCAAAGGTAAAGCCTCTAAATACTTCATCTAAAAAATGAGGCTCCTTTTTTTTTTATTGATTCAGTGTTGGGACTGGAAAATACAGAAGACTCCTTGGTTTGTGCATAGTCTTGTAAGAGAATCAGTACTTACAGCACTATTGTAATTCCAAGTATTGAAATAATCGCAGAATTACCTCTGGACTACAAATTTACAAGATTCTCTTCAAGCAATTCAAAAACAGCTGGGCTACTATCCAAACCCTCCATTGGTCTTATCAAATGATGGGACACTGATAACTAAATAAGTTGTCTTTACTGAAAAATGAAGTGAAGACCCATATATGCAGTAAAAAAAAAATTCAAAAAATACTGTAAAAAGTTTTAAGGAATAAGTTTTTAATGAAAATTGACCAAGAAGTTGAAAAAAAAAATGAGAAAATACACATAAACAAAAAGACTAAACTAAAAAACAGGCATGTTAGAACCCAGAAATATTGTAACCAGGATATTAATACCTTTCAGATACTTTGCTGCATATATTTATAAATTTTTCTTTGCTATAAAGAACATTAGTAGCAAAGTTATTGAAATTTTAACAATCTATAGATTAAATAATAGTATTATATTAATATTAATAAGACTTTGACAATTCAACTACAGTTATATAAGAGAATGTTGTTTAGGAGTAAAGAGACATCATGGATGCCACTTACATTCAAAATATTAAAAATAATATAATAATTTCTATCAATTAAGAGAATGAAAAAGCAAATGCAGTAAAAATGTTAACATTTGGAGAATCTGGATAAAGGGCATACAGGAACTTATTGTACTACTATATTGAAATTTTTGTCTAAGTCAGCTATTATTTCATTATAAAAGTTCAAAAACTTAATGACTAAATTAATTTTAAAAATTAAATTTTTTAATGGTTATTGCTTTCTGTATCCTATCTGAGGAATCTTTGTCTACCCTCACATCCTGAAGGTATTGTCCTGTGCTTTCTTCTGAAAGCTTTACAGTTTAGTGCCTATGTTTAGGACTCTGATCCATCTCAAATTAAATTTTGTATATGGTGAAGAGTGGGAGTTGAGATTAAATTTTTCTTCGTAGGTTATTTTTCCAATTATTTCACTACATTTATTGAAAAGACTTTTTTTCCCTATTGTTTTGCTTTGCTGCTTTTATTGAAAATCAGCTGACTGTGTAAGTATAGGTCAATTTACGGACTCTTATTCTAGTTCATTTATTTAGTTGATTATCCTTAGACCAATGCCACACTATTTTGATTACTTTAAGATTTACAAACTTGAAAGTGAGGAGCGTTAAGTTCTGCAAGTTCGTTCTTCTTCTTCAAGACTGGACTAATCTATGTCACTTACATTTTCACATACATTTTATAGCTGGCTTGTGAATTTCTACAAAAACGTCTGCTAGGAGCTTGGGATTGCATAAAGTCTAAAGATCAATTTGGGGAAGAATTTACTTTTTTACAATATTGAGTCTTCCAATCCACGAACATGACTTTTTTTTTTTTTTTTTTTTTGAGACAGGGTCACTCTGCCACCTAGGCTGAAGTGCAGTTGCACAATCATAAGTCACTGCAGCCTTGAATTCCTGGGCTCAAGAGATCCTCCTGCCTCAGCCTCCCAAGTTGCTGAGACTACAGGTGTGCGCCACCATAACTGGCTAATTTTTAAAAATGTTTTATAGAAACAGGGGTCTCACTGTGTTACCTAGGCTGGTCTTGAACTCCTGGCCTCAAGTGATCCTCTCCACCTCAGCATCCCAAAGTGCTGGGATTATAGCACTGCACCTGGCTCTCCAATTTTTAAGTTTTCTTTAAACACTGTTATCATTTTTCCATAATTTCCAGTGTACAGGTATTAGATGTCTTTTGGTAGATTTATTCTTAAGTATTTTATGTCTTATAACACTATTATAAACTGATTTTTGAAATTTTTATTTTTCCATTTTGCTAGTAGAATCTAAAAATAAATTGATTTCTGTATTGATCTTGCATCTGGAGATGTTGATAAACTCACTTATTAGTTCTAGTAGTTGTTTTGTAAATTCTCTGTAAAAATAATGTCATATGTAAATGACAGTTGTATTTCTTCTTATCAAACTGGCATGCCTTTTATTTCCTTTTCTTGACTTATTGCAATGACTAGGATCACCAGTACAATGTTGAATAGAAATGATGAGAGTAGATATCCTTGCTCTTTTTCCTATCTTAAGGTGGAGAAAAATTTAATGGTGAAATTCACTATTTCATTACTAACTATGATGCTAGATGTAAGTTTTGGGAGATGTCTTTCATCAGATTAAGGAAGTTCCCTTCTATACCTACTTGAGAGTTTTAAAAAATCATAAATGAATATTGGATTTTTCAAACGCTTTTTCTGTATCTATTGAAGTGGTCATGTTTTTTCTTCTTTATGCTGTTAATATGGTTGGTTAAATTGATTTGTTTTTTCCATAATTTTGTTATGAAAAGTTATTTTCAAATGTATGGCCAAAGTGAAAGGATTTTTTGGTGAACCATATACCCACCAACTACATTATACCATTAATCTTTTACTATACTTGCTTTATCATATATCTATTTCTCTATCCATTCCTTTACTCATGCATCTTACATTGTTAATTTATTTCAAAGTAAATACTTTGGTATGAATTGACTACAGTGTATTGACTTGTTTTTGAATGTTAAATTAACTTTGTACCTGAATTCCTTAGATAAACTCATTTGGTCAGGGTGCATTTTTTTATGTATTGTTAGTTTTGATTTCCAACTAATTCTTAAAGGAGTTATATGTCTGCATTTGTGAGTGATATTGGCCTATAATTTTCTTTTATTGGTTTTGGTATCATGATTATGGTGGCCATATAAAATGAGTTGAGAAGTGTCTCCTTCTCCTCTATTTTCTGAAAGAGGTTGTGTATGATTGATAATATATCTTCTCTACAAGTTTGATAGAATTAACCAGTGAAGATATCTGGGCTTGGAACTGTCTTTGTGGGAAAATTTTCTATAACAAATTCAATTTTTTAATAGATATAGGGCTATTTAGACTTACTATGTCATCTTGTGTCAATTTTAATACTATTTTTTTCCAATTATTTGGTTCTTTCATCTAAACTGTTGAATTTATCGGCATCAAGTTTATCATAACAGTCTTCTATTTCCTGTGAGATATCCATAGGATCTGTAGTGATAATCCCTCTATCATTTTTGGTACTGGCTATTTGTGTTTTAACTCCTTTTTTCCTGATCAGTCTTGTTAGGTGTTTATGGATTGCATTAATCAAGTTGAAGACTCATCTCTTGGCTTTGCTAATTCTCTCTATTGCTTGTCTTTTTTCCACTACATTGACTATTGCTCTATATTTTTTCCCTACTTCTCCTTTCATTAGGGTTAATGTGCTCTTCTTTTTCTAGTTTCTTAAGATGAACTTAGATCATGGTTTTATTACTTCCTTTCTAACATAAACATTTCAAGCTATAAATTTTCCTCTAAGCCTTGCTTTAAGTACACCCCACCAATTTTAATATGTTATCAGTTTGGAATATATTCTAATTTTCATTGTGATTTCTTCTTTGATCCATGGGTTACTCAGAGGATATTGTTTAATTTTCAAATATCTTAAGGCCTTTCTAGATATCTTATTGTTTTTAATTCTGAATTTACTGCCATTGTTGCCATAGAACATATTCTGAGATTTTAATATTTTGGAATCCATTGTTGTTTTATGGCCTAGCATTTGGTTTATCTTGATGAATATTCTGTATGCATTTGAAAAAATGTATAGTCTCATTTGTTGGGTGTAGTATTTCATAAGTAGTAGTTATGTCAATGTGGTTGATAATGTCATTCATATTTCCTATATCTTTTCTGATCTTTTTCTATCTCCTCTATTATTTACTGAGTGGGGTATGTTAAAATCTCCAACTATGGTCTTGCCCATTTCTTTTGACCTGACAGATTTTGCTTCATATATTTTGAAGCTATGTGGTTATGTCTGTTCACAACTACATTTCTTTCTGATATATTGACCTCCTTTTTATGGTGAAATATTCTTCTTTCTCTCTGATAATACTCATTGTCTTATAGTCTATTTTGTCTGGTAATATCATCACTCTGGCATTTCTTGGAGTACTGTTTCCAAGGTTTATTTTTTTTCCACTAGTTTACTTTGAAACTATTTATATCTTTGCATTTGAGAATATCCTGGCTAGGCACAGTGGCTCACACCTGTAGTCCCAGCACTTTGGGAGAACAAGGTGGGAGGTTTGCTTGAGGCTGGGAGTTCAAGGCCAGGTTGGGCAACATAGCAAGACCCTGTCTCTACAAAAAATTTAAAAATTCAAGGGGTGTGGTGGCACACACCTGTAGTCCCAGCTACTCAGGATACTGAGGTGGGAGGATCATGTGAGCCCAGGAGTTAGAGGCTGCAGGGGGCTATGATTGTGTGATTGCACCCCAGCCTGGGCAACAGAGTGAGACCTTGTCTCTTAAATAAATAAAGTACATCTTTTGTAGATAACAAATAGTTGGGTCCTACGTTTTTATCCAATCTGACAATCTCTGGCTTTTAATTGGGGTGTTTGGTTCATTTACATATGATGTAATTATTATTATTTTGTTTAATTATACCTTCTTTCTTTTTTCTAATTGTGTCATCTGGTTTCAGTTCTACTCATGCTCCTTTCATGCCTTCTTTTGATTAAAGAAATATTTTTATATTCCATTTTATTTCTTCTATTAGTTTTTTATCTATAACTGTTTTTTAGTGGTTCTGGGGATTACAATGTGAATCTAACTTATCACAAGCTAATGGATGTGTAGTGGAATCTTATGGTTTTAATTTTCATTTCCCTAATGGCTAATAATGTTGAATGTCTTTTCATGCGCTCATTTGCTATTGCATGTCTCCTTTGGTGAAGTGTCTGCTCAAGTGTTTTGACCATTTTTTAAATTGGGTTTTTGTTTTCTTGCTGTTGATTTCTCAGAGTTCTTTACATTGTAGATAAAGTCTTTGTCAGATATGTGCTTTGCAATTATTTTCTCTCAAATTGTACCTTGTCTTTTTGTTCTCTTAGCAGTGCCTTTCTAAGGGTAAAAGTTTAAATTTTGATAAAGTTCAATTTCTTGATTTTTTTGTGGATCATGCTTTTGATGTCATATCTAAGAACTCCTTGCCTAACTGTGATCAAAAATATTTTCTCCCTCCCTCCCTCCCTCCCTCATTCCCTCCCTCTGTACCTTCCTTCCTTCTTTCCTTCCTTCCTCTCTCTCTTTCTTTCTTTCTTTCTTTCTTTTTTTGTTAGACTGAGTTTCGCTCTTGTTGCCCAGGCGGGGGTTCAAGCAATTCTCCTGCCCCAGCCTCCCAAGTAGCTGGGATTACAGGCATGCGCCACCATTTCCAGCTAATTTTTGTGTTTTTAGTCGAGACGGGGTTTCACCATGTTGGCCAGGCTGGTCTCAGGTGATCCACCTGAGCGGAACTGAATTCCTGACTTCAGGTGACCCGCCCACCTCAGCCTCCCAAAGTGCTGGGATTACAGGCATAAGCCACCACGCCTGGCCTCTCCTATGTTTTTCGATAAATGTTTAATACTCTTACATTTGACCTTGAGATGTATAATCTATTTTGAGTTAATTTTTGTATAATGAGGGGAGTTTAGGTCAAGGTTCTTTTTTTCTCTTTTCTGTCTTTTTTTGTTTTGTTTTTTGTTTTTGGCATAAGAATGTGCAATTGTTCCAACACTATTTGTTGGAAATGCTATAATTTCTCAATTGAATTTTCTTTGCCCTTTATCAAAAAATCAATTGGCCAAATTTCTCTGGGTCTATTTCTGGACTTTATTTTTTGTTCCTTTGATTTATACATCTAATTTTTCACCAATACTACCCTGTCTTGATCACTATAGCTTTATGGTAAGTCTTAAAATCAAGCAATGCTTGGGAGGCTGAGGCAAGAGAATCACTTGAACCTGGGAGACAGAGGTTGCAGTGAGCTGAGATCGCACCATTGCATTCCAGCCTGGACAACAGTGCAAGACTCCAACTTGGAAAAAAAAATCAAGCAATGTGAGATCTTCCACTTAATTATTCTTTCTCAAAATTGTTTTGAATATTACAGTTTCTTTGATTTTTCACATAACTTTTAGAATTGGCTTCCCTATATCTACAAGATTTCTTGTGGGATTTTGATTGAAATTGTGTAAAATCTATAAATCAGGTTGGGGAGAACTGATATTGTATCTCTCTCTCTCTCTCTCTCTCTCTCTCTCTCCATATAGAGAGAGACCAGTTGATCAAATTTCTCTGGGAAAGAGAGAGAGAGAGAGAGAGAGAGAGAAACAGATAGTATCAGTTCTTTCCAACCCAATTTATAGATTTTACATAATTTCCATATATATATATATATATATAGAGAGAGAGAGAAACTAATACACACACACACACACACACACACACACACACACACACACACACACGACTCATGATTTAATCATGAGTCTTCCAACACATGAGCACAGTATTTCTCTCCATTTATTTGGGTCTTCTTTTATTTCTTTCATCAGATTTTATACTTTTCAGTATATAGATCCCATGCATATTTTGTTAGATTTCACTTTTGAGGCAGCTATTGGAAATATTATTGTCTAAAATTTTCAGCTTCTATTTGTTAACTATTAGTGTATAGAAATGCAATTGATTTCTGTGGGTTGACCTTCTATACTGCAACCTTGCTAAAATCACTTATGAATTCTAGGTGCTTTTTGAGTAGATTACTTGGAATTTTCTATGCAGACAATCATCTGTCACCTGTGAATAAGGATATTTTATTTCTCCATCTTTCAATCTGCATGACTTTTATTTCTTTTTCTTGTTTTATTGTTCTGGCTGGGACTTCTACTGCAATGTTGAATAGTAGTGATGAGAGTGAACATCCCCTACTTGTTTTTTTGGGTTTTTTGGTTTTTTGTTTGTTTGTTTGTTTGTTTGTTTTCTTAGGGCTGGATATTCATATTTTCTTTTTTTTATTTAATTTAATTTTTTATTATTTATTTTATTTTATTTTACATTCCAGGATACATGTGCAGGACATGCATGTTTGTTACATAGGTAAACATGTGCCATGGTGGTTTGCTGCACCTATCAACCCATCCCTTAGATATAAAGCCCCTCATGCATTAGCTATTTATCCTGATGCTCTCCCCCCAGACGGGTCCCGGTGTTTGTTGTTCCCCTCACTGTGTCATGTGTTCTCATTGTTCAGCTCCCACTTATGAGCTGGATGTGAGACATGGAGTCGAGATTATTTCAGAGTTTTAAGATTTAATTACTGCCTCGTTGGATTTCAGACTTGCATGGGGCCTGTAGCCCCTTTGTTTGGGCCAATTTCTCCCATTTGAAATGGGTGTATTATCCAATGCCTGTACCTCCATTGTATCTAGGAAGTAACTAACTTGCTTTTGATTGTATAGGATCACAGGCAGAAGGGACTTGCTTTGTCTCAGATGAGACTATGGACTTGGACTTGTGGGTTAAAGCTGAAATAAATTAAAACTTTGGGGAACTCTTCGTAAGGCACAATTGTGTTTTGAAATGTGAGAAAGATGGGATTGGGGGGGCCAGGGGGCAGAATGATATGGTCTGGATCTGTGTCCCCCACCCATATCTCATCTTGGATTGTAATCCGAATTGTAATCCAAATTGTAATCCCCATGTGTAAGGGGAGGAATCTCGTGGGAGGTGACTAGATCATGGGAGTGGTCCCCCCATGCTCTTCTCATGATAGTAAGTGAGTTCTCACGAGATCTGTTGGTTTTACAACAGGCTTTTCCCTCTTTGCTCAGCACTTCTCTCTCCTGCCACCTTGTGAAGAAGGATGTGTTTGCTTCCCCTTCCACCATGATTGTAAGTTTCCTATGGCCTCTCCAGCCATGCAGAGCTGTAAGTCAATTAAACCTATTTTCTTTACAAATTACCCAGTCTCAGGTATTTCTTCATAGCAGCATGAGAATGGACTAATACAGCATCTAAATTGGAAAGGAAGAAGTAAAATTATCTCTACTCACAGATTACATGATCACATATGTAGAAAACCCTAAAGACTCCACATCACACTTCCTGATGTCAAAATATATTACAAAGCTACAGTAGTTGAACAGTATGGTACTGGCATAAAGCTAGGACTACAGAACAGAATAGAGAGCCAGAAATAAACCCATGCATATACTGTCAACTGATCTTTGACAAAGTTGCCAGGAATAGACAATGGGTTAAGGATAATGTCTTCAACAAATGGTGTTAGGAAAGCTGGATAGCCCTATGCAAAAAAACAAAATTAGACCCTTATCTTAGACCATACACAAAAATCAAGTAAAAATGGACTAAAGACTTAAATGTAAGACCTGAAATATTATAACTCCTGAGGAAAACAAGGAAAAACTTTCATGGCATTGATCTTGCAATGATTTCTTGGATATGACCCCAAAAGCACGGACAACAAAGGTAAAAATAGACAAGTGGGACTACATCAGAATAAATATTTTCTAGACAGCAAATCAAACAACAGAGTTAAGAGGTAAAGAGGCAACTTTCAGAATGAGGAAAAATGTTTACAAATCATATATAACCTGATTTGAAATGCACGAAAGACTCGAATGAATATTTTCCCAAAAAAGACAAGTAGCCAAGAGCTACATGGAAAGGCACTCATTATCACTAATTTTCAGGGAAATGCAAATCAAAACCACACTGAGATATTGCCCCACACCTGTTAGGAGGGTCATTATTAAAAAAATAAAATAGTTATTGGTGAAGATGTAGAAAAATTGGAACTTTTGTTGGAAAGTTCCAATTGTAGAAATGTAAAATGTGGAAATGTAAAATGGTGCTGCTGCTATGGAAAACAGTATGCAGTTTCCTCAAAAATTAAAAACAGAAATGCCATATGGTCCAGCCATCACACTTCTGCATATTTATCCAAAAGAATTGAAATCAGGATATCCAAGAGATATTTGCACTCCCATGTTCATTGCAGCATTTTTTTTTTCACAACAGTCATGATGTAGAAACAAACTAAATGTCTATCTATGGATGTATGGATAAAGCAAATGTAGTACACAATGGAATATTAATCAGCATTAAAAAGGAGGGAAATTCTGACATTTGTAACAACATGGATGAACCTGGAGGACATTATGCTAAGTGAAATAAGCCTGTCACAAAAGACAAATTCTGCATCATCTTATTTACACATGGAATCAAAAATAGTCAAACTCATAGAAGCAGAGGGCAGAATGATGGTTATCAGGAGCAGGGTGAGGGGAAAGTGGGGAGACGATGGCTAAAGGGTAGAAAGTTTCCATAATGCAAGATGAGTAAGTTCTAGAGCTCTGATGTAAAACATTGCATGTTGCACTCAACAATACTGTACTGCAGGGATCCCCAACCCCTGGGCCATGGACCAGTACTGGTCTGTGGCCTGTTAGGAACCAGGCTGCAGAGCAGGAGGTGAGAAGCAGACAAGCGAGTGAAGCTTCATCTGTATTTACAGCTGCTCCCCATCACTGGCATTACCGCCTGAGCTCTGCCTCCTGTCAGATCAGTGGCAGTATTAGATTATCATAGGAACACAAACCCTATTGTGAACTGCACATGTGAGGGATCTAGGTTGCAAACTCCTTATGAGAATCTAATGTCTGATGATCTGTCACTGTCCGTCTTCCATCACCCCCAGATGGGACAGTCTAATTGAAGGAAAACAAGCTCAGGGCTTCCACTGATTCTACATTATGGTGAGTTGTATAATTATTTAATTATACATTACAATGTGATAATAATAGAAATAAAGTGCACAACAAATGTAATGCACTTGAATCATCCTGAAACCACCCGCCACTCACCCACCAGTCTGTGGAAAAATTGTTTTCCACAAAACCAGTCCCTGGTGCCAAAAAGGTTGGGGACCACTGCTGTACTGTATACTTGAAATTTTGTTAAGAGGGTAGATCTCATGTTATGTGTTCTTGCCACAAGTTTTAAAACCCACTGAATTGTACACTTAAACAAATAAATTGTATGGTATGTCAATTATTTCTCAAGCTTTTAAAAAATCTTTAGCATCAGAAAATAGATTAGTGATTGTCTGGGACTAGGATGGGAACAAAGATGAACTTTAAAAAATCACAAGGGATTTTACTGGGGTGATGAAAATGTTCTAAAACTGGATTGTAGCAAAGATTGCACAACTCAGTCGATTTACTAAAAATCATTTAATTGTACACTTAAAGTGGGTGAATTTTATGGGATGTAAATTCTACATCAATAAATTTGTTTTTTAAAAAAACAATGGGGAGTGTGAGGACACAATGAAATCCATGATGACAATCTGGATCTCCCCAGGCCATACTAGAGCTTGTGTCTGTCTTTCACCTCCTCTAACCTAATTCATGTAGGTAACGTGCTAAAGAACTTGGTGCTCTTTGCCATGGAGCTGCAACATACCTGGCCCAAGACTTGGAAAAGCTAAAGGAGCACATCTTGCTAGAGGTGAGGGACCAGTCAACCCACATGCTTCCCCTTCACAACAGAGTCAGCTAGCAGATTAGTGACAAATGTGCCTGAGCCATCACATCCTTGCCAGCATTTGTTATTTCCTGACTTTTGGAAAAAAAAGCCATTTTAAGTGGGATGAGATGGTATCTCACTGCAGTTTTGATTTGCATTTCTCTGATGATAAATGACATTGAGCACATTTCCATATACCTGTTTGCCATTTATATGTCTTCTTTTGAGAAATATCTATTCAAATCTTTTGTACAGTTTTAAATCAGATTACTAGATTTTTTCCTATAGAGTTGCTTGAGCTCCTTATGTATTCTGGTTATTAATCCCTTGTCAGATGGATAGTTTGCAAATATTTTCTCCCATTCTGTGGGTTTGTTTCCTTTGCTGTGCAGAAGCTTTTTAACTTGATGTGATCCCATTTGTCCATTTTTGCTTTGGCTGCCTGTGCTTGTGAGATATTGCTCAAGAAATCTTTGCCCAGACCAATGTCTTGAAGCATTTCCCCCAATGTTTTCTCTAGAGTTAATGTTTTATATGGTTATGATAGTTAATTTCATTTTCCAATTTGAATGGGCCAAGGGATGTGCAGATATCTATCTGGTTAAACATTATTTCTGGGTGTCTGTCAGGGTGTTTCCGGGAAGAGATTAGCATTTCAATTGGTGAAATGAATAAAGCAGATGGCCCTCTTCAAAGTAGTTAGGCATCCTTCAATCTGTTGAGGGTTTCAATGTAACAAAAATGTAGAGGAAGATTAAATTCACTCTCTCCTTGACTACTTGAGCTTTATCATAAATCTCCTCCTGCCCTCAGTGCTCTCAATCCTCAGGAGGCTTTCAGACTTGGACTGGAATCCATACCATAAGTGCCCTGGCTCTCAGGCATTTGAACTATACTGCAGGCCTTCCTGAATCTCCAGCTTACAGATGATAGATCATGGGACTTCTCAGCCTTCATAATCACATATCACATGAGCTAACACACACACACACACACACATGCATACATGCATGCACATACACATAACTAGATAGACTGACAGATAGATAGATAGATAGATAGATAGATAGATAGATAGATAGATAGACAGACAGACAGACAGATAGATATTCATTCCCCTGGTTCTGTTTCCCTGGAGAGCCCTAATACAATGGTGTGTGAGAGTCCACACTTCATTCTTTTGCATGTGGATATCCAATTTTCCCTACCACAATTTGTTGCAAAGGCAATCCTTGGCACCCTGTCAAAAATCATTTAACCATATAGGAAGGATTTATTTCTGGGTCCTCTATTCTATTACATTGGTCTATGTGTCTATCTTTATCCAGTACCACACTGTTTTGATTACTATAGTTTTGTGGTAAGTTTTGAAATCAGGAAGTGTGAGGCCTCCAACTTTGTTCTTCCTTTTCTTTTTTTTTTTTGTAGTTATTGATCATTCTTGGGTGTTTCTCGGAGAGGGGGATTTGGCAGGGTCATAGGACAATAGTGGAGGGAAGGTCAGCAGATAAACATGTGAACAAGGGTCTCTGGTTTTCCTAGGCAGAGGACCCTGTGGCCTTCCACAGTGTTTGTGTCCCTGGGTACTTGAGAATAGGGAGTGGTGATGACTCTTAACGAGCATGCTGCCTTCAAGCATCTGTTTAACAAAGCACATCTTGCACCGCCCTTAATCCATTTAACCCTGAGTGGACACAGCACATGTTTCAGAGAGCACGGGGTTGAGGGTAAGGTTATAGATTAACAGCATCCCAAGGCAGAAGAATTTTTCTTAGTACAGAACAAAATGGAGTCTCCCATGTCTACTTCTTTCTACACAGACACAGTAACAATCTGATCTGTCTTTCTTTTCCCCACATTTCCCCCTTTTCTATTCGACAAAACTGCCATCGTCATCATGGCCCGTTCTCAATGAGCTGTTGGGTACACCTCCCAGACAGGGTGGGGGCCGGGCAGAGGGGCTCCTCACTTCCCAGACGGGGTGGCCGGGCAGAGGCGCCCCCCACCTCCCAGACGGGGCGGTGGCCGGGCGGAGGCGCCCCCCACCTCCCTCCTGGATGGGGCGGCTGCCGGGCGGAGACGCTCCTCACTTCCCAGATGGGGCAGCTGCCGGGCGGAGGGGCTCCTCACTTCCCAGACGGGGCGGCTGCCGGGCGGAGGGGCTCCTCACTTCCCAGATGGGGCGGCCGGGCAGAGACACTCCTCACCTCCCAGACGGGGTGGCAGTGGGGCAGAGACACTCCTCAGTTCCCTGACGGGGTCGCGGCCGGGCAGAGGCTCTCCTCACTTCCCAGACTGGGCGGCTGGGCAGAGGGGCTCCTCACATCCCAGACGATGGGCGGCCAGGCAGAGACGCTCCTCACTTCCCAGACGGGGTGGCGGCTAGGCAGAGGCTGCAATCTCGGCACTTTGGGAGGCCAAGGCAGGCAGCTGGGAGGTGGAGGTTGTAGCCAGCCGAGATCATGCCACTGCACTCCAGCCTGGGCAACATTGAGCACTGAGTGAGCGAGACTCCGTCTGCAATCCCGGCACCTCGGGAGGCTGAGGCAGGCAGATCACTCACGGTCAGGAGCTGGAGACCAGCCCGGCCAACACGGCGAAACCCTGTCTCCACCAAAAAATACAAAAACCAGTCAGGCGTGGCGGCGCGCGCCTGCAATCCCAGGCACTCGGCAGGCTGAGGCAGGAGAATCAGGCAGGGAGGTTGCAGTGAGCCGAGATGGCGGCAGTACAGTCCAGCCTCCGCTCGGCATCAGAGGGAGACGGTGCAAAGAGGGGAGAGGGGGAGGGGGAGGGAGAGGGAGAGCTGTTCTTCCTTTTCAAGGTTGTTTTGGACGCTTGAAGTCCCTTGAGATTCCATACAAAATTTAAGATGGATTTTTCTGTTTCTAAAAAAAAAAAAAAAAAAAAAAAAAAAAGCATCGGGATTTCTACAGGGATTACACTGAATCAGGAGGTCCTTTTGGGTAGTATTAACATTTTAACAATGTTTAAGTCATCTATAAACATGGGATATGTTTCTATTAATTACTGTCTTTAATTTCCTTCAGCAATGTTTTGTAGTTTTCGGTGCACAAGTCTTTCACCTTGTTGGTCAAATTTTTTTCCCTCAGAATTTCATTATTTTTGATGCTACTGTAAATGGAATTGTTTTCTCAATTTCCTGCCCAGATGGTTCATTGTTAGTGTATATAAATGCAACTGATTTTTATATATTTCTTCTGTAAATTTACTGAATTGTTTATTAGTTCTAACAGTTTTTTTGTGAAATCTTTTGGGATTTCTACATAGAAGATCATGCCATCTGTGAACAGAGATAATGTTACTTCTACCTTTCCTATTTGAATGCCTTTCTTATGGCCTTATTGCCCTGGCTAGAACTTCTAATACTATATGTAATATACTGTATATAGAATAGAAATAATGAATGGAGCATCTTTGTCCTCTTCCTGAAAGAGAAAAAGCTTTCAGTCTTTTGCCATTGAGCGTGATGTTAGCTGTGGACTTTTTGTTATGGCCTTCATTATGTTGAGGTAATTTTGATAGCAGTAGCGTCCTGTCTGGAGCAGCTGCTGCAAAGATGCCAGCTGCAGTGGGGGGGTGCGTGGCTGGGGGCTGTGCATTCCATGGAGCTGCTGGCAGCCAGGAACTGGTAGTAGCTCTGCTCCCTTCTGAGTTGATGGGACGGGAGCCCTGTGCTCCCAGGAGCAACTGCAGCTGCCCAGCTGCAGCTGCAGACCTGGGCATCCCTGTGCTCTCAGGGGCCCAGAAAGCTCCCCTGCCCCCACAGGCTCAAAAGTGCCTGCTCCCACTGCCTGGCCTCTCCCCACTCACAGCAACCACTCCAAGTTTGGAGCAAAGTTGTGGCTGAGCCTGGGCATTGTCACAACCCGGCCAGGTGTGCATGTGCTTGGGGCAGCACTGACATACCAGCCCCCTGCCACCTCAGCCCCCTCTGGACTTTGGGTGCCAACAAGCATGGGAGGGAGGCAGAGGGGGGCTGAAGGGGGCTCAGCGCAGGCCTGCAGGCACCCCTTGGCACACACAGCCTGGGCACCATGAACCGCAGCAGGAGGTAGACAGGCTCCTGGGCAGAAAGGGGCAGGTCTCTGGTGAAACCCCACCTTCAGGCCAGGGATGGCCTAAAGCCTGGGGGTTGGGCTGCCAGTTCTGCAGACCAGAATGAGAATTTATGATGCTTTTTCTCAGCCCACCCATGGCCACTCGTGTACCAATCAGCACACACTTCCTCCTCTCTGAAACCCATGAAAACTCCAGACTCAGCCAGACTCAGGAAGACAATGGGGACAACCTGCCTACAAATAGGAGCTACCCACTCTGGGTCCCCTCTCTGCTGAGAGCTGCACTCATCAGGAGGACCTGCCTGCAGAAAAGAGCTACCCACTTTAAGTCTCCTGAGAGCTGTACTGTTGCTCAATAAAGCACCTCTTCACCTTGCTCACCCTCCAGTTGTCCACGTACCTCATTCTTCTGGATGTGGGACAAGAACTCAAGACCTGCCAAATGGTGGGAGTAACAAAGCTGTAATACAAACAGGGCTGAAACACGCCCCTCGTCCACCACATTGCAGGTGATGAGAAGGAGAGAAGAGAGAAGGAGAGAAGAGAGAAGGAGAGAAGAGGTGCAGCCCTTCAGGGAGCCCAGACTTAGAAGCTCCCAAAGCCAGGGCTATGACATCCTCTTTGGGGCTCTGTGGTTCATGGCGCCACCATGTTTCCTAGTGCCCACAGTGGAAGCTGCTTGTGGTACACCTGATCCAACTGCAGCAGGGAGCCAGCACCTGTGCCAGTGCCTGGAGCTGCCTGCCCCACCACAGCAGCTGGTGTGCCTGGCTGTGCACAGTAGCCAGATTCCATGCTTGCTCATTCACACATCTCTTACCACTCCATGCCTGGCTCACCCTTGGCAAGCACGGGATCCGGGCTGGTAGCATGAGCCGACCACAGCCTGCCAGGCCAAGTGGGCGGAATGAGCCCAGTGGGCCTGAGCAAAACTCAGGCAAAGGTGCCACCAGCCCCAGAGGCTTCTGGCTGGAAAAGTGACACCCCAAGGATCCCGTGACAATTTCCTTCCTAGTTTGCTGAGGGTTTTTATCATGAAAGGGTGTTAAATATTGTTACATGTTTTTTCTGCATCTATCAAGGTGATTATGTGATTTTTATCTTTCATTCTAGTAATGTGGTGTATTGCATTTATTGACTTGCATATATTGACCCACTCTTGCATCCCAGGGATAAATCCCACTTGGTCATGGTGTATAATCCTTTTAATGTGCTGTTGAATAATGTTTGATAGCATTTTGTTGCAGATTCTTGCATCAGTATTTATCGTGGATATTTTTCTGTGGTTTTTCTTCTCTTGTAGTATCATTCTCTGGCTTTGGTATTAGGGTAATGCTAGCCTTAGAGAATGACTTTGAAAATGTTCCCTCCTCAATTTTGGGGAAGAGTTTGAGAAGGATTTGTGTTAATGCTTCTTTAAATATTTGGTAGAATTCACCAGGAAAGACAACTCGTCCTGGGTTTTCCTTTTTGTGGTGGTGCTGGGGGGGGATGGTTTTTTACTGATTCAATCTCCTTACTAGTTATAGGCAATTAAGATTTTCTATTTATTTATAATTCAGTCTTTGTGACTGTGTTAGTCCATTTGTGTTACTATAAAGGAATACCTGAGACTGGGTAATTTATAAAGAAAAGATGTTTCTTCTTCTGATTCATGGTTCTGCACGCTGTACAAACATGGCACCAACATCTGCTTGGCTCCTGGCGAGGGCCTCAGAAAGCTTACAGTCATGGTAGAAGGCAAAGAAGGAACAGGAACATCACACGGTGAGAGAGAAAGAGAGAGAGGGGAGTTTCCAGGCTCTTTTTAAACAACCAGCTTTCATGTAAACTGATAGAGTGAGAACTCACTCTTCACCATGGGGAGAGCACCAAGCCATTCGTGAAGAATTCACCCACCATGGCCCAAACCTCTCCCACCAGGTCCCACTTCCAAAACTGTGAATCATATTTCAACACGAGATTTGGAGGGGACAATATCCAAACCATATCAGTGGGCTGTGTGTTTCTAGGAGTTTTTCAGTTTTATGTAGGTTATCCAATTTGTGAATGTACAAATGCTCTGAGTACATTCTTATAATCGTTTTTATTATTATAAAGTCAATAGTAATGTCCACTTTTTCATTTCTGATTTTAGTTATTTGAGTCTCTCTCTTCTTCTTCTTAGTCAATGTAGCTAAAGATTTTTCAATTTTGTTGATCTTTCAAAAAAACATAATTTGTTGAGTTTTCTATTATTTTTCTATTCTGTATTTTACTTATCTTTTATTTAATCACTATTTTCATAGTCTACTACTAGTCTCAAAATATTATCCAATTTCCCCTATCATTAATTTTTTATCCATTGGGTGTTTATGAGTGTGTGGTTTAAATTCTTATATTTGTGAGGTTTATAGTTTTAATTTAGCATAATAATGTCCAATTTCATTTCATTGTGAACAGAAAAGACATTTTGTATAATTTCACTTTTTAAAAATTTATTAAGACTTGTTTTGTGGCCTAACATATGTTCTATCCTGGAGAATATTCATGTGCACTTGAGAAAAATGTGCAACCTGCAGTTGTTAGATAGAGTGTTCTATGCATATCTGTTAGGTACAATTGGTCTATAGTTTTGTTCAAGTCTTCTATTTCCTTATCGACCATCTGTGTGGTAGTTCCTTATCCAATTTTTAAATTGAGTTATTTGTCTTTATGTTATAAATATGTAATAATTCTGTGTCTATTCTAGATACAAGTCACATATCAGATATATGGTTTGAAATTTTTTCTGCTATTCAGTGGGCTGTCTCTTCACTTTATTGTAGGTGTTCTTTGATATATTTTTGTTGCTTATGCTCTTGGCATCATATCTAAGAAACCATGTCATAAAGATATTGGCCTATATTCTAAGATTTTTACACTTATAGATGTTACATTTAGCTTTTTGATCTATTTGACATATTTTGCGTATCATGTTAGGTAGGGAAACAAATTCTTTTTTCTTTTTTTTTTTTTGCATGTGAACATCCAGTTGTCTAAGTACATTTATAGAAATTCTATTCTTTCACCATGGATTTTTCTGCGCACCATTGTCAAACTAGGCATTTTCCGGCTGGGAGGACCAAAATGGTCATCACAGAAATCCAGAATGTGTCAGGGAGATCAGGGAGTCGAAAGTGCTTGAAAAAGAGACCAGTAAAGTATTTATGAACTTCTAGGCATAACCTTGACCTGCACGTGCATAGATGGGGTACAGTTAACATAAGGGAGACTTTGAGAACTTCTGCTGACTTTGGTCAGCATTCTTTTTAATGTTTCCTTGAGGTATAAAATTAGGTTTTTTGAGATCTTTCTTTGTTCTTAATATAGATACTTATCGCTATATATTTTCCTCTTAGTACTGTTTTTGCTGCATCCCATAAGCTTTGGTTTTATTTTTTTTTTTTCATTTTTGTTTCTCTCAAAATATTTCCTAACTTCCCCTTTGATTTTTTTTTTTGATCCATTGCTTGTTCAGGAACTTGTTATTTAATTTCCACATATTCATGAATTTTCCAGTTTTCCTCCTGTTGTTGATTTGTAGTTTTATAATCATTATGGTTGGAAAAGATACTTGATATGATTTTAGTCTTCTTGAATTTGTTAAGACTTGTTTTGTGGCCTAAATTATGACCTATTCTGGAGAATATTCCATGTGCACTTTCTTTGTGTTTTTGTTTTTGTTTTTGTTTTTGTTTTTGATGGAGTCTTGCTCTGTCTTCCAGGCTGGAGTGCAGTGGTGGTTATCTCACCTCACTGCAATCTCCACCTCCCAGGTTCAAGCAATTCTCTCACTTCAGCTTCCCGAGTAGCTGGGATTACAGGCACCTACCAACATGCCCAGCTAATTTTTGTATTTTTTGTAGAGACTGGGTTTCACGACGTTGGTCAGGCTGGTCTCAAACTCCTGACCTCAGGTGATCCGCCTGTCTTGGCCTCCCAAAGCGCTGGGATTACAGCTGTGAGCCCACCACGCCCAGCCCCACGTGCACTTTTGAAGAATGTGTATTCTGCTGCCATCAGATGGAATGTTGCTATATGTGTCTGTTAGATACATTTGGTCTAAAGTGTAGTTCAATTCCAATGTTTCCTTATTAATTTTCTGTCTGAATAACCCATCCATTGCTGAAAGTACAGTATTGAAGTCCTCTACTATCATTTTATTACTGCCTATGTTCCCCTTCAGATCTATTAATATTTGCTTTATATATTTAGCTGCTCCAAAGTTGGGTGAATATATTTTACAGTTATCATATCTTCTTCATGAATTTACTCCTTTATCATTATATAATGAACTTTTGAATCTCTTTGTATAGTTTTTGATTTAAAATCTATTCTGTCTGATGTAAGTATAGTCACCCATGCTCTCTTTTGATTACCATTTGCATAGAATATGTTTTTCCATCCCTTCTCTTTCTGTCTGTGTGTCCTTAAAGCTTAAGTGAGTCTCCTGTAGACAACATATATTTGGGTCTTGTTTTTTTATTCATTCAGCCACTCTATGTCTTTTAATTGGAGAATTTAATCCATTTACATTCAAAGTAATTATTGCTAGAGAAGGACTTGCTATTTCCATTTTGTTAATCATTTTTGTGACTGTCTTGCAGAACTTTTGTTTCTTTTTTTCTCTCTTGCTGTCTTCCTTTGTGAGTTGATGATCTCTAGTAGTATGGTTTGATTCCTTTCTGTTTGTCTTTTGTGTATCTACAATAGGCTTTTGCTTTATTACCATAAACCTTACATAAAACATCATATAGTGATAACAAGCTATTTAAAGCTGATAACAACTTAACTTCAGTCACATTAAAAAACTACATTTTTACTACATACAGATGTAATTGTATGTAATTATGTTTTTGATATCATGATTTACATCTTTTTATATTGTGAATCCACTAACAATTTATTATAACTATAGCTATTTTTAATATTTTATTTAATATTTTATTTTAACATTTTATTTTAATAACCTTTATACTAGAGTTATGAGTGATTTATATACCACTATTACAATATTAGAGTATTTCTATTTGTTTATATATTTATTTTTACTAGCGAATTTTACACTTTTATATACTTTCATGTTACTAATTAGCATCCTTTCATTTCAGCTTGAAGAAGTCACTTTAGTATTTATAATAAGGCAGGCCGAGTGGTGATGAACACCCTTAGCTTTTCTTTGTCTGGAGAAGTCTTTATCACTCCTTTATCTCTGAAGGACATCCTTGCTGGGTAAGGTATTCTTGGTTATAAGGTTTTTGTTTGTTTGTTTGTTTGTTTGTTTTGGCACTTTGAATATATCATCCTACTTTCTCCTGACCTGCAAAGATTCTGCTGACAAACATGTTGATAGTCTTATGGTGTTTCCTTGTATCTGAGAAACATATTTTCTCTTGCTGCCTTCAAAATTCTCTCTTTGTTTTTGATTTTTGACAATTTGATTATAACATGTCTTGGTGAAGACTTCTTTGGGTTGAACCTGATTGAAAACCTTTGAGCTTCATGTAACTGGATGTCTAGATCTCTCTCCAGATTTGAAGGTTTGGGGCCATTATTTCTTTAAATGAGCTCTCTGCCCATTTCTTCCCCTCTTCTCATTCTAAAAATCCTATATTGCTAATGTTAGCTCCCTTGATGTTGTTCCATAAATCTCAAAGACTTGCCAATTATTTTATTTATGAAGGGAAGGTTAGGCTCCTGATAAAGCCAGTATATAATTGAAAATGGCTATGCTCCAGGATTCTGCAGGAAAAGTTTTAATAACACTCCTGTAATAGTTAATTTAGTAATTTCTTCAGAAACTTGTGCGATATGTTCTGCTTTTCCCAACAATTTCTGTTATAATCACAATATTTTCTGTTCCATGTTTTATCCAAAGATTATCAAATGCATAGGTTGTTACAGAAAGAAGTTTTCCTATCCACCTAGGCTATAGACATGTCAATGAGCTGATCATGCCTTTGACAGGAAGCTGAATCTCACTTACACAAGTTGCTGGTCTATGAAAGAAGAGGATTAATGCTATGTCAGTTAAGTGGCATGCTCTAGTTTGTAATGTAAATCCCATAGAGTTTTTAAATCACAGCATTTATTTTTACACTGAAATGGGAGAATATAAATAGTTAGATTTCTATGTAATGACTTCACCAACTATTTTGCCAGTCAGTGAAAAGTTCTTCCTTCACTTGTTTGTTATGAATGATACTAGATTCTCTGCCAATTCAGTAACAATTACCCCACATTGCCATCTAAAAGAATCCCACTTATAATAGATTATGAACAAACGTGAACTGAATTAATGAATGATGTGTTTTTCTTGTTTATTTTTCATGGAGCGTACAGGGTCATAAATAAATAGTTTATATCACAATCTGGCCACCAAGAAATTAAATCCATCATCATTAAAGTGATAAGTCAGATGCCAAAAAGCAGATGGACAGTGGCATGATGAGGCCTTTTATGAACGTGGCTTATATTTATTCCTAGCCAAAGACATGATATGTAGGAGTTCAGACCAAAAAAGCTTGGCAAGAGTGAGGATTAGACCATTAGAAGTAACATGTCTTCCTCTGCTCAATTTCTTTATTTTCTCCTTTAAGCAATTGACCTCCTCTTAACACCAATTCCTGAATGAAGTCTTTATACTGGGATGTAATGTTTTTTAACAAAGCCACAAAGCTTGGGTTTGTTGAGACTGAGCTAAATACTTATTGCTCTCTGTTGCCCCTTGTGGATAGACAGAGGGAATATGACATAGATTTCCTGATAAATTAATATAAGAAACAGCTTCATAAAAGGAGATGAAATAATCAGGGATTGAAGAGTCTTAGCATCTGTAGTAGCCAATAAACAAGGGCAGAATCAGTGTTAGGTTTAGATAGCTTGCTTAAGGATGGTAGGGGCTTGGGCCACTGGAGCCCTTGCCCTGACTACTTTCTCTTGTCTTCTTTCATAGACTTTGTCAACCCTGTTTTTCTCTCCTTCTTCAGAAATGTGTTGAAACATCTATAAACTCCAACCTGAACAGCCCACACACTTGGGTAACAGTGTCTGTTCCTGGCATACTCAGAAATTACTGGACAGTCTTTGTAGCAGATTCAAATTCCTATCTTTCTGCAGTCTTCCTGCTGTCTAAATTTCTTAACTGAATTTGAAGAATTGTGTGGATTCTTATGATCTACTACAAAACATGGCCTGGTCCCAGACCCCAGCACTACCAAGTTCTGATGTAACTTACCTCATCTTAAAGGCCAAGTCTGCTTCTAAGCCTGCTTCCCATCAAGTCTTTTTATGTGTGCCTTATTTGTACCAAAAGTGGGTTGTCAGTATTGGAGCCACGAGATTTCCATGCTGACTGGTATGCAACTAACAACATAGGAATTATTCAAGAAAAAAGAAATTAGGGAATAATAGACACATCCTGAACTTCATTTCTCCACATGTTTCCGTAGGACAGCTATCCCTATACTTCCAACTAGTGAAGCCTCTACACCTAATAGTAAAAAACAAATATGGGCACCGTTTATTGAATAGGTACTAGGTGCTTGGCACTTAACACAAAACCCTATGAGGTAGATAATATGAGTACCACTTTAATATTGGAGGACATGAAGCTCAGAGAGGGTACAATACTTGCTGAAGATTACAGAGTTAGCTTGTGGCAGAACAGGGATTCAAAACTACGTCTGTCTGATTGGTGACATTAGCAAGATGGTAGACTAGGAAGTCCCATTCTTTGTCTTGCCATGGAAATAACAAAAAGCTATGATATTTAGGCCAAGATACCTTTAGGAGAACTCCATAGTCAAGTTAAGAAGTTACAACAACTCAGATGAGCACAAAACCAAGTAAAACTGTTTTGAAAGAAGAGCAGTTTCACTTATCTGTGTCATGCCATCCTACAAGCCTGCACAGCTCAATGTCATAAGAAAGCCGCTCAGCCCATGATTTCTCCCCATGGTAAATAAAGTGTGAAGTAGACGTGCAACATCCTCAGCCTTTCAGGGCACTGCCAAGAGATCTACTTTTGTCTTAACTCACTCACAATGGTGAAGCAACTAGCATAGCTAGAATGCTTAAAGAAAGCTAAAAAAGAAAAGAAAAGAGAAAAGAAAAGAAAAGGAGGTCTCATTGGCTAGAAGGGCTCTGCAAGATTGAGAGAAGGTGTACAGTCTTGAGACTTCTCCCTCAGGAGAAAGAGCGAGAAGTGGAATTTACACCAAGCCTCCAAGTATTCCAGTGTTTCCTTGTAGGAAAAGGTGGGTGGGTAGCTCTCAGCAGCCTGCAAAGCATTGCAAGATTGAGAAAACATGCACAGTCCTGAGACTTCTTTAGGAGAGAGGGAGAGAAGTGGAGCTTAAACCAAATGACCTGGCATTTTAGGCGCTGTCTTAAGGAAGAGGGGAAGGAGGGCCTCAGCAGTCAGCACAGCTCTGTGGGATAGACAGGAAGCTCACAATCCAGAATCTTCTTATTCAAGAAGAAGGGAGATAAGTGGAATTTATACAAAGCATTCCAGTGTACTCACCAAGGGAAAAGGGGTGGGTGGCTCTCAGCAGCAGACATAATTCTTCAGGATAGGTAAAAGGCACACAACCCAGAATCTTCTTCAGGAGGAAGAGAGAGAAGTGGAGGTTGAACCCAACATCCTGGCATTTTAGTGCACTGCCTTAGAGAACAGGAATGGAGGTTTACAGCAGCCTTCATGGAATGACAACATTTGGAGAAGGCAATAAAATCCCTGAGGCTTCTCCCCCAGGATGGAGTGGAAAAAGTGGAGCGTGCACACCCATAGAGAATGTTTGAGAGGCTTCCAGACTCTCTAGCCAGGCTGACTGGTGAAGGTCTTTACTTGATTTCTTTTTTAAGTTCATAAAGACTGGAAGAGGTGGTTGCTTCTTCAAATGTGCATATACCAGGGCAAAGGTACCAGGAATATGAAGAATCAAGGAAATATTATACAACTAAAGAACAAAATAAATCTCCAATAACTGACCATAAAGAAATGGAGATCTAATAATTGCCTGACAAAGAATTTGAAATAATTGTATTTAAGAAAGTCAGTGAGCTACAAGAGAACACAGATAACTGAACATAATCAGGAAAACAAGACATGAAAAAAAATGAGAATATCAACAAAGAGATAGAAACCATTAAAAAAGAATTAAATAGAAATTCTGGAGATAAAAATACAATAAGCAAATTGAAAAACTCAGTGGAGAGATTCAACAGAAGATTTGATCAAGCAGAAAAAAAGAATCAGTGAACTATAAAATGGGTCATTTGAAATTATCCAGTCAGAGCAGAAAAAGAATTAAAAAGAGCAATAAAGCGTACAAGACTTATGAGGCACAAGCAACCCAATATATGTATTATGAATATCCCAGAAGAAAGGGCCAGAAAGCTTATTTACAGAAATAATTACTGAAAAATATAGTAAAGGTAAATATATAAACAAATATAGAGATACTATAATACTCTAATAGTGGTATGTAAATCACTTTTAATTTTAGTATAAAAGCTAAAAGATAAAAACATTAAGAATATAGCTACAAAAATTTATTAATTGATTAATGCCATGTATCTTCTGTGACCACAATGGTATGAAACTAGAAATCAACAAGAGGAGGAAAACTGGAAAACTCACAAATATGTGGAAACATAGCAACACATAATGAGCAAAAGAAAAAATTAAAATGGAAGTTATAAAATAGCTTGTGACAAATGTAAATGAAAACACAACATATCAAAGCTTATGGGATGCAGTAAAAGCAATATTAAGAGAGAAATTTATAACAATAAATACCTACATTAAAAAAGAAGAAAGCCTCAAATGAAAAACTTAATGTTATACCTCAATGAACTAGAAACAAAAGAAAAAACTAAGCCCAAAATTAGCAGAAGGAAGGAAATAATAAAGATTAGATCAGAAGTAAATGAGACTGGAGAAACAAAAATCATTGAATCCAAGAGCTGATTTTTTAAAGATAAAAAATGGGCAAACATTTAGATAGCCTAACTAAAGAAAAAAGAGAGAAAAGTCAAATAAATAAAATCATAAAGGAAAGAAAAGATATTAAAACTGATACCACAGAAATAAAAAGGATCATAAGAGACTGTATATACAGTTACATGCCAACATATTGGATAACCTAAAAGAAATGGATAAATTCCTGGATACATACAATCTACCAAGACCAAATCATGAAGAAATAGGGAATCTGAACAGACCAAGAATAAATAATGTTATTGAATCAGAAATCAGAAACCTCTCAAGAAACAAAAGTCCAGGACCAGATAGCTTCACTAGTGAATTCTACTAAGCATGTAAAGAAGAATTAACACCAATCCTTCTCAAACTCCTTCAAAACATTGAAGAGAAGGGAACACTTCCAAATTCATTTTATGACGCCAACATTACCCTGATACCAAAGCCAGAGAAAGGCACTTTAAGGAAAGAAAATTACAGTACAAAATCCCTGATGAACATAGATGTAAAAATCCTCAACAAATACTCGCAAACTGAATTCAAAGTACATTAAAAAGATTATATATAGATGAGGCAGAGCAAGATGGCAAAATAGAAAGCTCCACCAATCATTCTCCGACAAGGACACCAATTTAACAGCTATCTACACAGAAAGACATCTTCATAAGAACCAAAAATCTGCTGAGCACTTATAGTACCTGGTTTTAACTTCATATTGCTATAAAAGGCACTGAAGAGATAGAAAAAAACAGCCCTGAATCGCTGATGCCACTCATCCCCCCACCCCTGGCAGTGCCAACATGGTGCAGAGAGTGTCTCTGGGCATTGTGGGAGGGAGAATATACCAACTGTGAGGCATTGAACTTATTAATAGTGCTGTCCTGTTAGAGAAGAAAGGAAAACCAGACAAAACTCAGCTGGTGTCCACTCATGGAAGGAGTATTTCAACCAGCCCTAGTCAGAGGGGAATCACGCATCCCAGTGGTCCAAACATGAGTGCCTGAAAACCTCTCCACCAAGGGCTATAGCACTCTATATCTCCAAGTGAACTTGAAAGGCAATCCAGGCGATAAGGACTGCAAATATTGGGTAAGTCCTAGTGAGTGCTGAACTAGGCCCAGCGACAGTGGACTGTGGCAGGGCACATGACATACTGAGACACTACCTGGGGCAGCCAAGGGACTGCTGGCATCACGCCTCCCCTAACCCAAGGCTGCACAGCTCATGGCTCCAAAAAAGACCCCTTTCTTCCACTTGAGGATAGGAGAGGGAAGAATGGGGAGGACTTTGTCTTGCATCTAGGATACCAGCTCAGCCACAGCAGGATAAGTAAGCCACCAGTCAGAGTTGTGAGGCCCCCATTCCAGGCCCTAGCTCCCAGAAGACATCTCTAGACAAATCCTGGGCCAGAAGGGAACCTGCTGTCTTCAAGGAAAGGACCCAGTCCTGTCAGCATTCATCACCTGCTAACTGAAGAGCCCTCGGCCCCTGAATAACCAGCAGTGATACCCAAGTACTACATCAAGGGCCAAGTACTACATCATGAGCCTCTGAGACCTGCTGACTTCAGGTACCAGCACAGCCACAGGGGAGTAGAGCACTGATTGGGCTTTTGGGGTCCCTGATTCCAGGACTTGATTCTTGGATGGCATTTCTGGACTTGCCCTAGGCCAGAGGGGAGTCCACTGCCCTGAAGTGTGAGTCCCAGGCCAGGCAGCATTCATGACAAGCTGACTTAAGAGACCTTGAGCCTTAAGGGAACATCTATGGTAGTCTGGCAGTACTCCTCACAGCCTAGGGTGGTGGTGGCTAAGAGGCGAGGCTCTGATTTTGAAAAGAGGAGGGAAGAGTGAAAAGGACTGCATCTTGTGGTTTGAGGGCTAGCTCAGCTGCAATACAATAGGACACCAGGTAGACTTCTAAGTTTTTGACTCTAGTCCACGACTCCTGGGTGACACTTATGGACCCAGATGGGTCCTGGGTGACCTTGTTGCCCTGAAGGAAAGGGGACAAGCCTGGCTGGCTTTTTCACCTGCTCATTGTCGTCCCAGGGCCTTGAGTGAACATAGGCAGTAGTCAGGGAGTGGTTACAGCAGGCCTTGGGTGATACCCAGTGTTGTGCTGGCTTCAGGTCTCACTCAATGCAGTAATAGTAGTGGTGGCCATAGGGGTGCTTGTGTCACTCGACTCCCAGCTTTAGGTGGCTCAAAACAGAGAGAGAGACTGTATGTTTGGGAGAAAGTACAAGAAAAGAACAAGAGTCTCTGCCTGGTAATCCAGAGAATTCTCTCAGATCTTGTCCAAGACCAGCAAGGCAGTACTTTCAAGAGTCTGCAAGAACCATGGTGTTACTGGGGTGTCCCCTAAAGAGGATAGAGCTTAGATCACAACACCCAAGTCCTTTAAAATATATGGAAAGCCTTCCCAATAATGATGGCTACAAATAAGCTCAAACAGTGAAGACTACAATAAATACCTAACTCTTTAATATTTAGACACCAAACAACATCTGCTAGCATCAACACCATCTTGGAAAACATGACCTTACCAAATAAACTAAATAAGGCACCAGGGACCAATCCTGGAGAAACAGAGATATGTGACCTTTCAGACAGATAATTCAAAATAGCTGTACTGATGAAACTCAAAGAAATTCAAGATAACACAGAGAAGGAATTCAGAATTCTGTCAGATAAATTTAACAAAGAGGTTAAAATAATTTACAAGAATCCAGCAGAAATTCTGGAGCTGAAAAATGAAATTGGGATATTGAAGAATACATCAGGGTCCTTTAATAGGAGAATTAATCAAGCAGAAGAAAGAGACAGTGAACTTGAAGACAGGCTTGAAATTCATATTTGAATTTGAAAATATGTAGTCAGAGGATAAAAAAAGAAAAAAGAATAAAAAACAATGAAGTGTGCCTACAGGATCTAGAAAATAGCCTCAAAGGGGCAAATCTAAGAGTTATTAGCCTTGAAGGAGCAGACAAAGAGATAGGGGTAGAAAGTTTATTCAAAGGAATAATAGCAGAGAACTTCCCAAATGTAGAGAAAGATATTAATATCAAAGTACAAGAAGGTTATAGAACAGAAAGCAGATTTAACCCAAAGAAGACTATCTTAGGCATTTAATAGTCAAATTTCTAAAGGTCAAGGATAAAGAAAGGGTTCTAAAAGCAGCAAGAGAAAATAAATAACATAAAATGGAACTCCAATATGTCTGGCAGCAGACTTTTCAGTGGAAACCTTACAGGCCAGGAGACAGTGGCATGGCATATTTAAAGTGCCAAAGAAGAAAAACTTTTACCCTGGAATAGTATAGCTAGTGAAAATATCCTTCAAACATGAGGGAGAAATAAGGGCTTCCCCAGACAAACAAAAGCTGAGGGATTTTATCGATACCTGACTTGTCCTACAAGAAATCCTAAAGAGAGTACTTCAATCAGAAAGGAAATGACATTAATGAGCAATAAATAATCATCCGAAGGTACAAAACTCACTGGTAATAGTGAGGACACAGAAAAACACAGAATATTATAAAACTGTTACTGTGGTGTGTAAACTACTCTTCTCCTAAGTAGAAAGATTAAATGATGAACCAATCAAAAATATTAACTACAACAACTTTTCAAGACATAGTACAATAAGCTATAAATAGAAACAACAAAACGTTAAAATGTGGGGGGATGAAGTTAAAGCATAGAATTCTTATTAGTTTTCTTTTTGTTTATGCAAATAGAGTTAAGTTGTTATCAGGCTAAAATAATGGGTATAGATAATATTTGCAATCCTCGTGGTAACCTCAAACCAAAAAATCATACAATGGATACACAAAAAATAAAAAGCAAGAAACTAAATCATATCGCTAGAGAAAATAACCGTCACTAAAGGAAGACAGGAAGGAAAGAAAAAAAGAAGACAAGATCAGAAAACAAATAACAAAATGGCAGGAGTAAATCCTTACTTATCAATAATAACATTTAATGTAAATGGACTAAACTCCCCAATCAAAAGACACAGCCTGGCTGAATAGATGAAAAAACAAGATCGATTGATCTTTTGCCTACCAGAAACATACTTCGCCTACAAAGACACACGTAGACTGAAAATAAAGGGACGGCAAAAATATTCCATGCCAATGAAAACCAAAAAAGAGCAGAAGTCACTATGCTTATATCAGACAAAATTGATTTCAAGACCAAAACTATAAGAAGAAGCAAAGAAGTTCACAATATAATGAAAAAGGAGTCAATTTAGCAAGAGGATACAACAATTTTAAATATATATGCAGCCAACACTGGAGCACCCAGATATATAAAGGAAATATTATTAAAGCCAAAGAGAGAGATATCCCTCATTACAGCTGAAGACTTCCACGCCCCACTCTCAGCATCAGACAGATCTTCAGACAAAAAATCAATAAAGAAACATCAGGCTTAATTTGTGCTGTAGACCAAATGGAGCTAATAGATATTTGCAAAATATTTTATTCAAGAGCTGCAGAATACAACTCTTCTCCTCAGCACATGGATCATTCCCAAGGATAAACCATATGCTAGGTCACAAAAGCAGTCTTCAAATATTCAAAAAAAATTGAAATAATATCAAGCAACTTTTCTGACCACAATGGAGTAAAACTAGAAATTAACAACAAGAGGAATGTTGGGGAAGATACAAATACATGGAAATTAAACAATATGTTCCTGAATGACCAGTGGATCAATGAAGAAATTAAGAAGGAAATTGAAAAATTTCTTGAAACAAATAATAATGGGAATACAACATACCAAAACCTATGGGATACAGCAAAAGCAGTACTAAGAGGGACGTTTATAGCTACAAATGCCTACATCAAAAAAGAGGAAAAACTTCAAATAAACAATCTAATGATGCAGCTTAAAGAACTAGAAAAGCAAAAATAAACCAAACCAAAAATTAGAAGAAGAAAAGAAATAATAAAAATCAGAGCATAAATCAATGAAATTGAAATGAATAAAACAGTACAAAAGATCAATGAAACAAAAAGTTGGTTTTTTGAAAAGATTTTTAAAAATGACAAACCTATAACCAGACTAAGAAAAAAAGAGAGAAGATACAAATCAATAAAATCAGAGATGAAAAAGAAGACATTATGACTGATACTGCAGAAATTCAGAGGATCATTAGTGGCTACTATAAGCAACTATATGCCAGTAAATTGGAAAATCTAGAGGAAATGGACAAATTCCTAGACACATACAACATACCAAAACTGAATGAGGAAGAAATCCAAAACCTGAACAATAATAACAAGTAACAAGATTGAAGCCATAATAAAGAAAAAGCCCAAGACCCAATGGCAGCATCACTGCTGAATTCTATCAAACATTTAAAGAAGAATTAATACAAATACTACTCAAACTATTCCAAAAAAATAGAGGAGGAAATACTTCCAAACTCATTCAGTTAGGCCAGTATTACCCTATACCAAAACAAGATAAAGACACATCAAAGAAAGAAAACTACAGGCCAATATTCCTGATGAATACTCATGCAAAAATCCTCAATAAAATACTAGCAAACTGAATTCAACAAAACACTAGAAAGATCATTCATCATGACCAAGTGGGATTTATCCCTGGGATGCAAGGATGGTTCAACATATGCAAATCAATCAATGTGATACATCTTATCAACAGAATGAAGGATAAAAACCATATGATCATTTCAATTGATGCTTAACAAGCATTTGATAAAATTCAGCATCCCTTCATGATGAAAACCTAAAAAAAACTGGGGATAGAAAGAACATACCTCAACATAGTAAAAGCCATATATGACAGATCCACAGCTAGTATCATACCAAATGGAGAAAAACTGAAAGTCTTTCCTCTAAGATCTGGCCCACTGTCACCACTGTTATTCAACATAGTACAGGAAGTCCTGGCTATAGCAATCAGACAAGAGAAATATATAAAGTATATCCAAATTGGAAAGTCAAATTATCATTCTTTGCCAATGATATGATCTTATATTTGGAAAAACCTAAAGACTCCACAAGAAAACTATCAGAACTGATAAATTCAGTAAAGTTACAGGATACAAAATCAACATACGAAAGTCAGTAGCATTTCTATTTGCCAACAGTGAACAATGTGCAAAAGAAATTTAAAAAGTAATCCCATTTACAATAGCCATACATAAAATTAAATACCTAGGAATTAACAAAACATGTGAAATATTTCTATAACAAAAACTATAGGCTGGGCATGATGGCTCACACCTGTAATCCCAGCACTTTGGGAGGTCAACGTGGGCAGATCACTTGAGGTTAGGAGTTCGAGACCAGCCTGCCCAACATGGAGAAACCCCGTCTCTACTAAAAATACAAAAATTAGCTGGGCATGGTGGCGGGCACCTGTAATTCCAGCTACTCGGGAGGCTGAGGCAGGAGAATCATTTGAACCCAGGAGATGGAGGTTGCAGTGAGCCAAGATCGCACCACTGCACTCCAGCCTGGGTGACAGAGTGAGAGTTTGTCAAAAACAAAAACAAAAAAAAAAAAACACTATAAGACACTCATGAAAGAAATTAAAAGCACACCAAAAAAATGGAAAAATATTACATGTTCATTGATTGGAAGAATCAATATTGTTAAAATTTCCATACTACCCAAAGCAATCTACAGATTCAATGCAATCCCTGTCAAAATACCAAGGACATTCTTCACAGGAATAGAAAAGTCTATCCTAAAATTCACAGGAACCACAAAAGACCCAGAATAGCCAAAGCTATCCCAAGCAAAAAGAACAAAACTGGAGGAATCACATTACCTGACTTCAAATTATAGTACGGAGCTATAGTAACCAAAACAGCATGGTACTGGCATAAAAACAGACACGTAGACCAATGGAACAAAACAGAGAACCCAGAAACAAATCCACACACCTACAGTGAACTCATTTTTGACAGAGGTGCCAAGGTATACACTGGGGAAAAGACAGTCTCTTCAATACATGGTGCTGGAAAACTGGATATTCATATGCAGAAGAATGAAACTAGACCCCTATCTCTCACCATATACAAAAATCAAAGCAAAATTGATTAAAGACTTGAATCTAAGACCACAAACTATGAAACTACTACAAGAAAACGTTGGGAAAATGCTCCAGGACATTGGTCTGGGCAAAGATTTATTGAGAATATCCCACAAGCACAGGCAACCCAAGCAAAAATGGTATCACATCAAGTTAAAAAGCTTCTGCACAAATGGTATCACATCCATTTAAAAAAAGCTTCGGCACAGCACAGGATACAATCAACAAAGTGAATAGGCAACCCAAAGAATGGGAGAAAATATTTGTGAACTACCCATCTGACAAAAGATTAATTAACCAGAATATCTAAGGAGCTCAAGCAATTCTATAGGAAAAAAATATATAATAATCCTATGAAAAAATGAGTAAAAGTATTGAATAGATATTTCTCAAAAGAAGACATACAAATGGCAAACAGGCATTTGAAAAGGTGTTCAACATCATTAATCATCAGAGAAATGCATATCGACACTACAATGAGATACCATCTCACCCCAGTTAAAATGGCTTTTATCCGAAAGACAGGCAATAGCAACTGCTGGTGAGGATGCATAGAAAAGAGAACTCTGGAACACTGTTGGTGGAAATGTAAATTAGTACAGTCACTATGGATAACAGTTTGGAAGTTCCTCAAAAAAATAAAAATTGAGCTACCATATGATCCAGCAATCCCACTGTTGGGTGTATACCTGAAAGAAAGGAAAACAACATATCACAGAGATATCTGCACACCTATGTTTGTTGCAGCACTGTTTACAATAGCTAAGGTTAGGAATCAACCTAAGTGTCCATCAACAGATGAATGGATAAAGAAAATGTGGTATGTACACACAATGAAGTACTGTTCAGCCATGAAAAGAATGAGATCCAGTCATTTGCAGCAACATGAATGGAACTAGAGATCATTATGTTAAGTGAAATAAGCCAGGCACAGAAAGACAAACATCATATTTTCTCACTTATTTGTGGGATTGAAAAATCAAGACAATTGAACTCATGGAGACAGAAAGTAGAAGGAGGGTTACCAGAGGCTGGGAAGGGTAATAGGGGACTGGCAAGGAGATGGGGATGGTTAATGGGTGCAAAAAAATAAGAAGAATGAATAAAACCTACTATTTGATAGCACAATAGGGTGACTATAGTCAATAATAATTGTACATTTTTAAAAAACTTAGAGTGTAATTGGATTGTTTGTAACTCAAAGGATAAATGTTTCAGGGGATGGGTACCCCATTCTCCATGATGTGCTTATTTTACATTGCATGCCTGTATCAAAACACCTCATGTATCCCATAAATATATACACCTTTTATGTACCCACAAAAATAAAAAAATAAACAAAAATATTTTTAAAAATAAGAAAAAGATTATACATCATGACCGGATGGGATTTATCCTTGGTATGCAAGGTTGGCCCAACATATGCAAATCAATTATGCATGCACCACATGAATAGAATGAAAAATAAAAATCACCTGATTATCTCAATAGATGCAGAAAAAGCATTTGACTAAATTCAACACCGTTTATTATAAAAATTCTTAACAACGGTATGGAAGAACTGTATTTCAACGTAATAAAGGCCATATATGACAAGCCCACACCTGACATTATACTAAATGGAGAAAAATTGAAAGTGTTTCCTCTAAGATCAGCAATAAGACAGGTATGCCCACTCTTGCCACCTCGATTCAACATACTGCTGGAAGTCCTATCCAGAGCAATTAAATATTTAAAAAGAAATAAAAATAATCCAAATGGGAAAGGAAGACGTAAAATTGTCTCTGTTTGCAGATGATATTATTCTATATATACAAAACCTTAAAAATTCTGCAAAAAATCTGTTTGAACTAATAAATGAGCTCAATAAAGTAGTTGTGTTTCTACACACTAACAACAAACCATCCAAAAAGCAATTAAGGGGCCGGGGGTGGTGGCTCACACCTTTAATCCCAGCACTTTGGGAGGCCAAGGCGGACAGATCACCTGAAGTCAGGAGTTTGAGAGCAGCCTGGCCAACATGACAAAACCCCATCTCTACTAAAAATACAAAAATTATCCAGGCATGGTGGTGGGTGCCTGTAATCCCAGCTACTCAGGAGGCTGAGGCAGGAGAATCACTTGAACCCGGGAGGCGGAGGTTGCAGTGAGCTGAGATTGCACCATTGCACTCCAGCCTGGGCAACAAGAGCGAAACTCCATCTCGAAAAAAAAAACAAAAAAAAAAGCAATTAAGTAAATAATGTAATTTAAAATAGCATTGAAAAGAATAAAATACTTAAGAATAAACTTAACCAAGGAGGTGAAAGACTTGTACACTGAAAACCACAAAACATTGTTGAAAGAAATTAAAGACACTAACAAATGAAAAGGTATCCTGTGTCCATGGATTAGAATACTTAATATTGTGAAAGTGTGCACACTAACAAAAGCAGTCTACGAAATTAATGCTAAAATAGGAAAAGCAATAATAAAATTCACATAGATCCACAAAAGACCAAGAATGGCCAAAATCAACAGAGTAAAAAGGCAATCTACAAAAGGGGAGAAATATTTGCAAACCATATATCTGGTAAGAGATTATTTGCCAAAATATATAAGGAACTCCTTCAACTCTAAAGCAAAACATAAATAAATAAATAAATAGTCAAAGGACTTGAACATATATTTCTCCAAAGAAGGCATATAAATGACCAACAGGCATGTAAATAGATGTTCAACATCGTTATCAGGGAAGTGCAAATCAAAACTAGAATGAGATCTCACCTTATACCTGCTTTCATAGCTATTATACTATATAAAAAATAAGATAAAATGTGCCGGCAAAATGGAGAAATTGGGACTCTGTACACTGTCGGTTGGGAGTATACAATGGTGCAACAGCTATGGAAAGCAATATGGATAGTCCTCAAAATATTAAAATTAGAGCTAACATATGATCCAGCTATCTCACTTCTGTGTATATATACAAAGGAATTGAAATAAAGATCTTTAAAAATTTATTTTTTATGTTTCATTTTTTTACAAACCCAGGCTGGGTGGAGAAATAAAGATCTTAAAGAGGTCTGCATTCTCATGTTCACTGCAGCAGTATTCATAATAGCTAATATAAAGAAATAACCCACATGTCTATTGACAGATGAATGGATAAAGAAAATGTGGTATATGCACTCAATGGAATATTATTCAGCTTTAAAAAGGAAGAAAATCCTATCTCAAAATAGCTAAAGGGGGATTTTCTATGCTCCCACCACCAAGAAATGATAAATGTTTGAGGTGATAGATATGCTAATTACCCCAATTCAATTATTTGTTACACAATGTATATGTGTATTGAAACATCACATTGTACCCCATAAATATATACAATTATTATGTGTCAGGTAAAAACAGCATTTTTAAAAAGGTGTTAGGTATGTATATTGTATGCCTAGAATAACCACTTAAAAAACTATACAATGATATATGCTCAAAAACACTGTAGATAAATAAATATTTACTTGTAAAAAGTGTTCAGATATGTTGCAGGAATGTATGGAGAAGAAAACAGAGGAACAAAAAAGAAAACAAGCAAGATGACATGAAAAATGGCAGCATAGAGGAAACCAGGGTTCTACCATACGCCAAAAGTAACTAATGAATTGGCAAAAACTGTCAGAATGAACTTTTACAGAACTCCAGAATATACTAAAAAATTACTATGACTAGGAAAATGATTAATTTTTTAAAACCCCTGCTTCTCTGTAGTAAGAGTGTTGTGGTATTTAAAATTGCTTGCTTACAGCACATCAAAAAGCTTATCCACCAAGATCAAGTGGGCTTCATCCCTGGGATGCAAGGCTGCTTCAACATACGCAAATCAATAAATATAAACCATCACATAAACAGAACCAAAGACAAAAACCACGTGATTATCTCAATAGATGCAGAAAAGGCCTCTGACAAAATTCAACAGCCCTTCATGCTAAAAACTCTCAATAAACTCGGTATTGATGGGACGTATCTCAAAATAATAAGAGCTATTTATGACAAACCAACAGCCAATATCATACTGAATGGGCAAAAACTGGAAGCATTCCCTTTGAAAACTGGCACAAGACAGGGATGCCCTCTCTCACCACTCCTATTCAACATAGTGTTGGAAGTTCTGGCCAGGACAATCAGGCAGGAGAAAGAAATAAAGGGAATTCAATTAGGAAAAGAGGGAGTCAAATTGTCCCTGTTTGCAGATGACATGATTGTATATTTAGAAAACCCCATCGTCTCAGCTCAAAATCTCCTTAAGCTGATAAGCAACTTCAGCAAAGTCTCAGGATACAAAATCAATGTGCAAAAATCACAAGCATTCTTACACACCAATAACAGCCAAACAGAGAGCCAAATAATGAGTGAACTCCCATTCACAATTGCTTTATTATTTTTTTTTTCCCAGAAAACAGAGTCATTTTATTTGGGAGTTCTCATCCGGGATTGTGATCAGAACAGAAGATAGAAACATCAGAATGGTGAGTATAGAGCAAACCTCAAATCTGTCCTTTAATTTCAAGGTTCTCTTCAAACTAGTTTCCTTTCATGGAGAACCTCACCATCACATGAGGCTGGGGGATGTCCTGGAGCAGCTGAGAATTTCTGGCCAGGACACACCCTGATGTTATTCAAAGGCTTCTGGACTGAACACAGCCTCCGGCACAATTGCTTTAAAGAGAATAAAATACCTAGTAATCCAACTTACAAAGGATGTGAAGGACCTCTTCAAGGAGAACTACAAACCACTGCTCAACAAAATAAAAGAGGACACAAACAAATGGAAGAACATTCCATGCTCATGGATAGGAAGAATCAGTATGGTGAAAATGGCCATACTGCCCAAGGTAATTTATAGATTCAATGCCATCCCCATCAAGCTACCAATGACTTTCTTCACAGAATTGGAAAAAACTACTTTAAAGTTCATATGGAACCAAAAAGGGAGCCCACATTTCCAAGACAATCCTAAGCAAAAAGAACAAAGCTGAAGGCATCATGCTACCTGACTTCAAACTATACTACAAGGCTACAGTAACCAAAACAGCATGGTACTGGTACCAAAACAGAGATACAGACCAATGGAACAGAATAGAGGCCTCAGAAATAATACCACACATCTACAACCATCTGATCTTTGACAAACCTGACAAAAACAAGAAATGGGGAAAAGATTCCCTACTTAGTAATGGTGCTGGGAAAACTGGCTAGCCGTATGTAGAAAGCTGAAACTGGATCCCTTCCTTACACCTTATACAAAAATTAATTTAAGAGGGATTAAAGGCTTAAATGTTAGACCTAAAACCATAAAAACCCTAGAAGAAAACCTAGGCAATACCATTCAGGCCATAGGCATGGGCAAGGACTTCATGACTAAAACACCAAAAGCAATGGCAACAAAAGCCAAAATTGACAAATGGGATCTAATTAAACTAAAGAGCCTCTGCACAGCAAAAGAAACTGCCATCAGAGTGAACAGGCAACCTACAGAATGGGAGAAAATTTTTGCAATCTACCCATCTGACAAAGGGCTAATATCCAGAATCTACAAAGAACTTAAACAAATTTACAAGAAAAAATCAACCCCATCAAAAAGTGGGCAAAGGATATGAAGAGACGCTTTTCAAAAGAAGACATTTATGCAGCCAACAGGCACATGAAAAAATGCTCATCATCACTGGTCATCAGAGAAATGCAAATCAAAACCACAGTGGGATACCATCTCACACCAGTTAGAATGGCAATCATTAAAAAGTCAGGAAACAACAGGTGCTGGACTGGGTGTGGAGAAATAGGAACACTTTTACACTGTTGGTGGGACTGTAAACTAGTTCAACCATTGTGGAAGACAGTGTGGCAATTCCTCAAGGATCTAGAACTAGAAATACCATTTGACCCAGCCATCCCATTACTAGATATGTACCCAAAGGATTATAAATCATGCTGCTATAAAGACACATGCACACGTATGTTTATTGTGGCACTATTCACAATAGCAAAGACTTGAACCAACCCAAATGTCCATCAATGATAGACTGGATTAAGAAACTGTAGCACATATACACCATGGAATACTATGCAGCCATAAAAAAGGATGAGTTCATGTCCTTTGTAGGGACGTGGATGAAGCTGGAAACCATCATTCTGAGCAAACTATCACAAGGACAGAAAACCAAACTCTGCATGTTCTTACTCATAGGTGGGAATTGAACAATGAGAACACTTGGACACAGGGCGGGGAACATCACACACCAGGGCCTGTCGTGGGGTGGGGGGATGGCAGAGGGATAGCATTAGGAGAAATACCTAATGTAAATGATGAGTTAATGGGTGCAGCAAATCAACATGGCACATGTATACATATGTAACAAAGCTGCACGTTGTGCACATGTACCCTAGAACTTAAAGTATTTTAAAAAAGAAATGAATAAAATAATTCAATAATGAAAAAAAAAAATGCTTGCTTACCATCCCCCACACCCCAGATGGTGGCAGCTGTGAGAATGGCAGCCTGTACTCTTAGTGCAAGTTCCCAGTGCCAGAGGAAGCAATATAGACCTTATCCTCAAAGAATTGTAGTTGTGAGTCTCAACCTGTCTGGCAGCTTCCTTAAGGACTAGCACAAAAGTTTGCCTTTGTTTTGCCTCACTCAGAGCTTTCCCAGGGCTGGAACGGCTTCTCATGTGGCTTTTGCTGAAATCATTTAAAGCACAGATATTGTCTTCCATAGTCTGGGTCAAGGGACAACAGTGAACAGACAGACCAAAAAGCTAAAGAAAGTGGAGATTGAAAAAGGAGATACAGGCAGAAATAAGGGCTTTTGAAAGATGATTCATATAACGTGGAATTGAGAAAGTCACAGGTATACCCAAGGCTGGACATGTGCTCAGGAAAGACCTGAGAAGACCCTAATATTTCAGCTATGACTGGCTTTCAGTCTCCACATGAACAGGAAGTGAAAGATAAGACAGAATTTTAAACAATCTGGCTACAATTTGCAAAGACTAGAATAGTACTTTTTTCCTTTTTCATTTTTTTCTTTATTTTTATTTATTTATTTATTTATTTATTTATTTATTTATTTATTTATTTATTTATTTGAGACAGGGCCTCACTCTGTCACCCAGGCTGGAGTGCAGTGGCACAATCACAGCATATTGCAGCCTCAACCTCCTAAGCTCAAGCAGTCCTCCCTCCTCAGCCTCCCAAGTAGCTGGGACCACAGGCACACATCACCACACCCAGCTAATTTTTGTATATTTTGTAGAGATGGGATTTCATTACATTGCCAAGCTGCTCTTGAACTCCTGGGCTCACTCAATCTGCTCACCTTGGCCTTCCAAAGTGCTGGGATAACAGATGTGAGCTACTGCGCCCAGGCATTTTCTTTTTCTTTCTTTCTTTTTATTTATTTATTTTTTTTTTTGAGAGAGGGTCTCACTCTGTCACCCAGCTGGAGTGCAGTAGAGAGATCACGACTTACTGCATCCTTGACCTGTGCTTAGGTAATCCTCCTGCCTCAGCCTCTTGAGTAGCTGGGACCACAGGCATGCACCACCATGCCTGGTTATTTTTTTTTATTATTTGTAGAGACACAGTCTCACTGTGTTGCCCAGGCTGGTCTGGAACTCCTGAGTTCAAGTGATCCTCCTGCCTCAGCCTCCCGAAGTGCTGGGATTACAAGCATGAGTCACCATGCCTCGCCCATGGTTTTCTTTTTAAATATTTCTTTTATCTTCTCTTCTTTTCTTGCTTCCTTCATTCCTTTCTTTCCTTCTTTTTTTTTTTTTCCTCAGACATTTAAGATAACTCTGTCAAACACTAGCTAACCACTATGGTAATAAGACACAGATGTCAGTGGCAACATATAAGAAAAAAATGCAGATTTTACAGATAGTTTAGAAAAGTCATGAAATAAGCCAACAACAACAACTTATAAAAAACAGCAACAACAAACCATGGAGAAGGAGGAGAATCTTATGTCCACAGTTGCCACATTACAGTGCTCCAAATGTCTAGTATTCAACAAAAAATTATGAGGCATGCAGGAAAACAAGAAAATATGGTTGATTCACAGGAAAAAAAGACAAATTAATAGAAACTGTCTATGAGGAAGCCCAGGCATTGGACTTACTAGACAAAGACTTTAAATGAAAATATGATCAAAGAGCTAAAGAAAACAAAGAACAAAAGAAAACCAGGAAATTGGTGTCTCAAAAAATAGGGAATGTCAGTAAAGAAGTAGAAATTACAGAAAGAAATCAAATGGAAATTCTGGAGCTGAAAAATATGGTAATGGAAATAAAAAATCACTACGTGGATTCCAACAGCAGATGTTAAATGGCCAAAAAAAAAAATGAATCAGTGAACATGAAGACAGGCCAATTGAGAGCATCCAATCTGAAAAGCAGGATGAGAAAAGAATGAAAAAGAAAATGAACAGAGCCTAAAACCTGTGTGACACCATCAAGCATACTAGCATACATATAATAGGAGTTCTACTGGGAGAGAAGAGAAAGGACAGAAAGAATGTGTTAGAAATAGTGGCAAAATCTTCCCAAATTTGATGAAAGACATGAATTTACATATCCAGGAAGTTCAACAAATTTAAAAGATTCACACCTAAATACATTGTAGTCATATTGCTGAAAGCAAAAACAGAGAGGAAATCTTGAAAGTAGCAAGAAATAAGCTACTCATCACATATAGGGGATCTTCTATGATTTTAACAGCTGATTCCTCTCTGAATCCAAGGAGGCCAAAAGAAAGTAGGATTTAAAGTACAGATCATGGCCAGTCACAGTGGCTCATACTTGTAATTCCAGCACTTTAGGAGGCCAAGGTGGGAGGATCACTTGAGCCCAGGAGTTTGAGACCAGCTTGGGCAACATGGCAAAACCCTATCTCTACAAAAAATACAAAAATTAGCCGACATGTTGGCATGCACCTGTAGTCCCAGCTACTCAGGAGGCTGAGGTGGGAGGATTGCCTGAGCCCAGAAGCTGCGATCATGCCACTGCACTCCAGCCTGGGTGACAGAGTGAGATCTTGTCTCAAAAATAAAAATACAAAATAAAAAGTGCGGATCATATATGTGATATGAGTCTTATATCCAGAGTTTATGAAGAACTCTCCCAACTCAATAATAAAGACAAAAAAAACAATTTTTAAATGGTCAAACCATCTGAATAGTCATTTCTCCTCAGAAGATGTATGAATGACCAATAAGCACAGGAAAAGATTCCTAACAAAATTATTCATCTAAGAAATGCAAATCAAATCTGTAATAGAATGTGGTTCATACCCACTTCATGCTCACAAAAATGACAATAATAAAACTGAAATAATAACAAGTGTCAATGGGGAAGTGGAGAAATTGGAACCTTCAAACATTGCCAGTGGGTATGTAGATGGGGCAACCATGCTACAAAACGGTCTGTAAGTTTTTCAAAATGTTAAACATACAATTGCCATGTGATACAGTAATTCCACTTCTGGGGATATACCCAAAGGAACTGAAAATGGTACTAAAATTAATGCTTCTAAAAAATGTTCATAGTAGCACTATTCACAATAAAATCCAAAGCAAGAAACAATTCAAATTCATAAAATAATGAATGAGTTAACAAAATATGATACATCATTAGAATGGAATATTATTGAGCTATAAAAAGGAATGAAGTGAGGTGGGTGCAATGGTTCATGCCTGTAATCCTAATGTTTTGGGAGGCTGAGTGGGAGGATTGCTTGAGGCAGGAGTTTGAGACCAGCCTGGGCAACATAGCAAGATCTTGTCTCTACAAAAAATAAAAATAAAAAAATTTAGCCAGGCATGGTGGCACCTGCCTGTAGTCCTAGCTACTCAGGAAGCTAAGGTAGGAGGATTGCTAGAGCCCAAGAGTTCAAGGCTGCAGTGAGCTGTGATCACACCACTGCACCTCCAGCCTAGGCAATGGAGTGACACCTTGTCTCTTAAAAAAAAAAAAAGTAATGAAGTTGTCAGCAAGTTGGCAGAATAGGAGGTAACTGGTTTCAGTATTCCCCCACCTCCACAGAAATTCCAACTAACAGCTATCTTCAGATAAGAACACCTTTGTGAAAATCTCAAAACTTGTGAATGACACTGACACCTCCTTGTGGACCATAGAACCAAGAAAAGCAAAAAAACTCACCTTGTAAGGGTGATACCAACCAATAACCAATACTGACACACAAAGCCAATCTAGTCACTCCCAAAAAGATGATCAGCAGTTCTATTAGGCTTGAATTCCTAGCCAGCCACCCTGCCCAGCCTCAGATCCCATCCCAAGGCTCCACCCAGGTGGACTGTAGACCACCAGAGTGCACTTCTGTGAAGCATAGCCACTGGCCACATCTAATACATCTAAATACATCTAATACATCTGGTCATGTCTAAATAAAGACTGACCAGTGTCTAAGCTCCACATGGTCAGGGCAACACCCACCACCATACACTTCTGCAGAGTATAGCCACTGGCCCTGCATGACCCAGAAGTCTGAATAGAGACTTGGCCTAGCCTCTAAGTTCACCTTGAGGCTCCACCTAGGCAAGGAGACACCTGCCATCATGCACTACTGCAGAGCATAGCCATTGGCCCTGCCCAGGTCAGGAGTCCAAAGAGAGACTCAGCCCAGCCTCTAAGCTCACCCCAAGGCTCTGCCCAGGCAGGGAGAGAACCACCACCACTTCTGCAGGGCATGGCCCCTGGCCTTGCTTGACCCTGGACTCTAAATAGAGATGTGGTCCAGCATCAGAGCACAGCTAGAGTGCCCCAGAGCAGCAAGGCAAGCAACAACTGATGTGCCTGTGAACCGTAGTCACTGGTCCCGCCCAACCCAGAAATCTGAACAGTAACTTGGCCCAGCCTCAGAGTTCAGCAAAAGGATACACCCAGGCAGAGAGACAAGCCTGAAACATGCATTTCTGCAGAGCATAATCTTTGGTCACACCCATCCTGAGAAGCCAAGCAGTGACAACACCCAACTTGGAGCCCAGTGTGCAGCCCCGCCCAACTTCAGGATACAAACAGCAGTACTGTCAAGTAAGGGAATACTGACTGCAATCCTGCCTGATCAAAGGCAACTACAGTGCCCTGGCACCAGCTCTACCTGACCTCAGAGACTAGCCAGTGGTCCCTTCATACAGCAGAGTCCAGCCAAGTGCACCACCTGATCTCAGAGCACACGAAGTGACCCTACCTAACTAGAGAACCCACCAGAAAGCTATGCCTGCCCATGGTCATTACCAGCTGGCCCATTAAGAATCCCACGTTAAGGCTGGGTGTGATGGTTCACGCCTGTCATGCCAGCACTTTGGGAGGCCAAGGCAGGCAGATCACAAGGTCAAGAGATTGAGACCATTCTGGCCAACATGGTGAAATGCCGTCTCTACTAAAAATACAAAAATTAGCTGGGCGTGGTGGTATGAGCCTGTAATCCCAGCTACTCGGGAGGCTGAGACAGGAGAATCATTTAAACCTGGGAGGCGGAGGTTTCAGTGAGCCAAGATTGCGCCACTGCACTCCAGCCTGGTGACGCAGCGAGACTCTGTTTCAAAAAAAAAAAAAAAAAAAAAAAAAAAAATTAAAAAAAAGAACCCCAAGCTAAAAAAAAGAAAGAAAGAAATTCCAGACTAGACTAAATAGTGAAGGCCTATGCCTGCCAAAGAACACCTGTATAAAGGCAGGAACAGGTGGCCATTTTCTCAAATGTGCAGACACCCACATAATAACACAAGGATTACAAAGAATCTGGGCATTATGATACCACCAAAGGAAACTAAAGCTTCAATAACAAACCCTAAAGAAATAGAGAGCTATAAAGTGACTGACAAAGAATTAAGAAAATCCTCTTAAAGATCACTGAACTGTAAGAAAATAGGTACAGAAAATTCAATAAAATGTAGAATACAATACACTAACAAAAAGAGAAGTTTGACCCCCAAAATATCTAATTTAAAAAATCCAAATAGAAATCCTAGAGATGAAGGATTAGCTGAATTGAAAATTTTAATAGAAATCTTCAACAGCAGGCTTGATTAAGCAAAAGAATCAGTGAGCTTGAAGACAGGACATTTGAAATTATCCAAACAGAGGACCAAAAAATAAAAAAAAAAAGCCTGTGGGAATTATGGAACACCATCAAGAGAACTACCTTTTCCTAATAGAAATTTCACAAGAAGAGAGAGAAAATAATCAAAAAGCCTATTTTTAAAAAAGGTGGTAGAAAATTTCCCAAATTTGGGGAAAGATGCCAACATACAAGTACAGGAAGCATAGAGGCTTCCAATAAAATTCAACACAAAGAGAAGTTCACCAAGGCACATCATAATTAAACTATCAATAATCAAACAACAAATTAGGAAAGTGTCAAGAAGTAAGAAACATATTACATATAAGGGAGCCACAATACATCTATCAGCTGATTTATCAGCAAAAACCAGGAAAGAGTGGGATAATATACTGAAAGTGCAGAAAGAAAAAAAACCTGCCAGCCAAAACTACTCTACCTGGCAAAGCTGTCCTTCAGAAATAAAGGAGAGATAAAGCATTCGCCAGAAAAACAAAAGCTGAGGAGCTCATCACCACCAGACCTGTCTTACAAGAAATGAGAAAGGGAATTTTTCAAGCAGAAAGACAGACACTAATAAGTAACATGAAAACATAAAAGTACAAAATTTAATTGTATAAGTAATACATAGTCATACTCCCAATACTCTAATACTGTAATGGTGGTATATAAATTGAGAGAAGATTCAAATAAAATCAGAAATAAAAGAGGAGACATTACAATTGACATTCTAGAAATAAAAGAATAATAAGAAATTCTTGTGAACAATTATACCCCAACAAATTGGATAACCTAGAAGAAATTAATAAATTCCTAGACACATACAATTTAACAAGACTGAATCATGAAGAAATAGAAAATCTGACCAGACCAATATGAATAGGAAATGGAATCAGTAATGATAAGTTGCTGATTAAAGAAAGCCCAGGGCCGGATGGCTTCATGCCTGATTAGTACCATTCTCAAACTCTTTCAAAAAAAAAAAAAAAACTGAAGAGGAGGGAGCACTTACAAACTCATTTTAAGAGGCCAGCATTACACTGATAACCAATGACAGACAAGGACACTACAACAAAGAAAATTACAGGTTAATATCACTGAGGAATAAGGATGCAAAAATTCTCAACAACATAGTAGCAAATGAAATTCAAAGCACGTTAAAAGGATCATTCACCATGATCAAGTGGGATTTATCCCTAGGATGCAAGGATGGTTCCTCATATGCAAATTTAGAAATGTGATACACCACATTAATAGAATAGAGGATTAAAAACATGATTATCTAAGTAGATGCAGAAAAAAACATTTGACAAAATTCAACATGTTTTTATGATTTAAAACAACTCTTAACAAATTAGGTATAAAAGAGATGTACTTCAACACAATAAGGCCATATATAACAAACCCACAGCTAACATCATACACAAAGATAAAAAGTTGAGAGCTTTTCTTCTAAGGTCAGGAACAAGACAAGAATGCCCCCCTTTACCACTCTATTCTCTATAATACTGGAAGTACTAGCCAGAGCAATTAGACCAGAATAAAAGGCATCCGAATTGGAAAGAAAGATGTTAAATTGTCTTTGTTCTTGACGACATGATCATATATATAGAAAATCCCAAGGACTCTACCAAAAAAAGTTCAAACTGATAAATACAATAAAGTTTTAAGACACAAAATCAACATACAAAAATAAGTAGCATTTCTATATACTAATGAACAAGTATCCAAAAAAGAAATCAAGAAAACAATCCCATTTACAATAGCTACAAAAATAAAATACTTAGGAATAAATTTATTTATAGAGATCTTAGACCTGCATGCTGAAAACTATGAAACAATAATGAAAACACTGAAGAAGATTTAAAAAAAATGGAAAGGTATCCTGTGTTCATGGAGTGGAAGAATTGATTTTGTTAAAATGTCCATACTACCCAACATAATCTACAGATTCAATGCAATCACTATCAAAATTCCAATGACATTTTACACAGAAACAGAAAAAAATTCTAAAGTTTGTATGAAACCACAAAAGACCCAGAATAACCAAAGCAATCTTGAGCAAAAAGAACAAAACTGGTGACATCTTACTACCTGACTTCAAAATACATTACAAAGCTATATTAATTAAAACCGCATAGTACTGGTATAAAAACAGACATATCGACCAGTGGAACAGAATGGAGAGCCCAGAAATAAACCCATACATTTACAGTCATTTGATTTTTGACAAATATGCCAATAACACACAATGAAGAAAAAAACAATTCTCTTTAATAAATGATGTTAGGAAAACTGGATATACACATGCAGAAGAAAGAACTTGGACACTTACATCATATACAAAAACAAACTCAAAATGGATTAAAGACTTAAATGTAAGCTCTGAAGCTGTAAAAGTCGTTTGAAGAAAACATAGGTGGAAAACTCCACATTGGTCTACACAATGATTTTTGGCTATGATCCCAAAAGCATATGCAACAAAAGCAAAAGTAGAGAAATAGAATTGCATCAAACTAAAAAGCTTCAGTAACACAAAGAAAATAATTAACAGAGTGAAGAGACAACCTATAGAATGGGAGAAAATATTTGCAAGCCATATAACTAATAAGGGATTAATATCCAAAATATATAAGGAATTCAAACAACTCAATAGCAATAAAGCAAATAACCAAATTTAAAAATGGGCAAAGGGCCTAAATAGACATTTCTCAAAAGAAGGCATACAAATGGCCAACAGGTATATGAAAAAATGTTCAACTTCACCCATCATGCAAGGAAAATGCAAATTAAAGTCACAATGAGGTATCACTTCACACTTGTTAAAATACCTATCATCAAAAAGACAGAAGATAAGTGTTGGTGAGGATATGGGGAAAAGGGAACCCTTGCACACTGTTGTTGGGAATGTAAGTTAGTACACCCATTATGGAAAACAGTATGGAGGTTTTTCAGAAAATTAAAAATAGAACTACCAAACAATTCAGCAATCTCTCTACTGGGTATATAGCCCAAGGAAATGAAATCAGTATGTTGACTAGATATCTGCACTCACATGCTTAATGGAATCAACCTAAGTGCCCATCAGTGGATGAATGGATAAAGAAAATGTGGCACATATATACGCACAATAGAATACTCTTCAGCCTTAAAAAAGAAGGAAATCCCATAATTTGCAACAACATGGATGAACCTGGAGGACATTATTATTATTACTATTATTATTATTATTATTATTATTATTATTATTATTGAGACGGAGTCTCTCACTGTCACCTGGGCTGGAGTGGAATGGCACGATATAGGCTCACTGCAACCTCCGCCTCCTGGGTTCAAGAGATTCTCCTGCTTCAGCCTCCCGAGTAGCTGGGATTACAGGCACCCGGCACCACACCCAGCTAATTTTTTTGTATTTTTAGTACAGACAGGGTTTCACCATGTTGACCAGGCTGGTCTCGAACTCCTGACCTCGTATTTCACCTGCCTCGGCCTCCCAAAGTGCTGGCTGGAGGACATTATTTTAAGTGAAATCAGCCAAGCACAGAAAGACAAATACTGCATGAGACAAATACTCCTCACTTACATGTGGAATCTAAAATTGTTGAACTCGTAGAAGCAGAAAATAGAATGGTGGATATCAGGTGCTGGGGGTGGGAGGTTGCTGGTCAAAAGTACAAAATTGATTTTAGATTGGAGAAACAAGAGATCTATGGTACAACATGGTGACTATAATTAATAACAATATATTGAATTCATGAAAATCACTAAGAGAGTAGATTTTAAGTGTTCTTACTATAAAAAATGGTATGTATATAATGCATATGTTAATTAGCTCAATGTAGCTATTCCACAATATATGCATATTTCAAAACATCATATTGTATACAATAAACATATATGGTTTTTATATACAATTTTTATGCATGACTCCACTTGTATGAGGTATCTAAAATAGTCAAACACATAGAAGCAGAGAGTAGAATGGTTGTTGCCAGAGGCTGAGAGAGTGGGAAATAGGGAGTTGGTGTTCAATGGGTATAAAATTCCAGTTATGTGTGATGATAATTTCTAGAGATCTGCTATATAACATTGTGCCTATAGTTAACAAAACTGTATTATATACTTAAAAGTTTAAGAGGTTATCACAGGGTTGTTGTAAGAACTAAAAAATTGTCAACCTAGAAGTTCTTAGCACAGCCAAGAAATTTTTTATGTTACTTTTTTTATTAAATGATGTTCATTTTTGTTATCAATGTAAAAAATTTAGGCAGTTAAATCATATGTGAGGTATATTTTTGATACCACAATCATATGATTTAATTAAGCATTACAGAATTTTAATAGAAGTTCTAATCCATGTTTCAAAGAGTTGAGTCTGTAAAATTGCATAACAATTTTATATCTTAAATTTATATTACTGTATCCTCAATGGTCCTCATTCTCATTTAGACAGTATGCTCCCAATATGCTTTTAAAAAATTATTATGGGTACATAATAGTTGTATATATTTATGGAGTACATATGATGTTTTGATACAAGCACGCAATGTGTAATGATCAAATCAGGGTAATTGGTGTATCCATCACCTTAAGCATTTATCATTTCTTTTTAGTAGGAACATTCCAATTCCACCCTGTTGGTTATGTTTAAATACACAATATATTATTGTTAACTATAGTCACTCTATTTTACCACACTGAAAAATCTTTTTCAAGGTTGATAAGTACAGTTTTAGATTTTACAACTAGATGTCTTGGCACTGTGAGATAGTCTTAAAAGATACAGAAAAAATACTTGAAATGTAAGCCAACAATATAGACTGTAGTAACATTTCTGGATTAGATGCTAACAGATGGTGTCAATAATTCTAGAGCCTGAAAAAATGTATACTGATTTGGCTAAATTCATTTTTGTTTATAAGTAAATTGCTTTCCAACCAATTCACAAAAAACTTAGATTTAGTTTGTGGGGCTTTTTATCTAACATTAATTGTCTCCTTACCAAAAAAAATTTGTCTTCAACATGCTGCCCAGGAAGAGGTTAAACAATGGACACATATATAGTACATGGCAAAATTACTCTACAGTTTATGAACTAAATTGTTGTCTTCTATAAGTCTATTTTTGGATAGCTACAGAGAATATTATTGTCAGTCAGTGAGTAACAAAATCATAGCTGATAAAACCAAGTCAAAGCACGCCAGATCATTTTCTTCTCTCATCTTTGAGGTTTGTGCCATAAAATATATAATACCATCTGATAATGCACTTGTGTAGCATCTCACTGATTAGAAAAGTGTTCACATCTCATCTGATCCTCACAACAATCCTGTGAATAGACAAAATTATCCAGAACTTACAGATGAGGAAACTAATATTTAAAGAACTTAAGTGATTTGCCCATTTGCCTCACAATGAGAAAAGGCAGTTCCAGGATTCAAACACAAGTCTGCTGATTCTGATCCCTTTACTGCCCCAGAGCTGCCATGCTTTACCTTGTGAAGGATATATTAGGCCTCATAGCAACAACCTATTGCTCCATCAGTAACTAAACCATCCTGATTAAAAGTCCAAAATAGATGTTTCTTATGCTGAACTCTGCTCCAATGGAAAGAGTTATAGTAAGTGCTACAATTTTAAAATTTTTTGACATTTTAGTTATGATTTCCCAGAATATGTATCAATATGTGTCACGAGGACAGATAAGCTATGTCATTGTCTGATCTGGGTAACTGAATTGAGCACTAAGCCCTGTGTATTTTCTTATTTGCAGAAGAAACAATGTATAATAAATATATGACTTGTGTCACCCCATAATAATAATTACATGCAAGAATAATAATAATACCTGTATTATTAGATACAGATACTGAGCATCTATAATAAGCCATATTCTGTTGGGCACTCTATGTACATTTCCTCACAGAATCATCTGTGAAGTATGTGTGCGTATATATATGTATCTATAAATAGATACATATATATTCTTGTGAGTAATATAACTATTTCTCTCATTTTACAGATGAGGTAACCAGTGGCCAGAGAGATGTAATAATTAGATTGAGACCATATAGCTAATAAGTGGGAAAGCTGGGATTTACACGGAGACTGACTCCAAAATAAATTCTGTTAACCGATACGCTTCTAACACAAGAGTATGAAACCATGTATGGTTTCAAAAATGAAAGGATTTTTTAATTTAAAAAATGAATGAATAAATAAATAAATAATAAAAGCAGGAGCACTTAGTCAAATTATGGGTTATTTTTAAAACAACCTTTAAGGGATCATTTCTTAATCAGTAATTTTACAGAATTCTCTCTCTCCCTCCCCCTCGTCTCTCTCTATATGTATACTTTCTAGTATAATAGAATCTATCCCTCTCTATGCATCTATATAGAGACATATGTATCTACACACATATATATTTAATACTTTCTAGTTCACATTCATTTTTTTCCATAATTTCAGAGAAATTGTAAGTGCATAGTGGTACTTTCAATTCCATTACAACCCTACAAGATACTTCCTGCCTTCACCCATTTTATGATTTTGTCACCCTTCTTAAAATGAGAAGCCTAGTTCTCAACAATATTAACTCATTTAATCCAATACACACAGAATAGTGTATATCTGCCTGTATGTTTGTAACCATTAATCAACTTCTCTTTCTTGTCTCCCACCCACACACTCTTCCCAGCCTCCAGTAACTATCATTCTATTCTCTATCTCAATTAGATCAATTTTTATAGCTCCCACATGTGCATGAGAATGTGAAATATTTGTCTTTCTGTGCCTGGCTTATTTCACTCAACATAATGTCCTCCAGTTCCAACCATGTTGTTGCAAATGACACAATTTCATTCTTTTTATGGCTGAATATAATAGTATTCCATTGTGTGTATATAACACATTTTCTTTATCCATTCATCCATTGATGGACACTTAGGTTGGTTCCATACCTTTGTTATTGTGAATAATACTGCAATAAACAATTGAGTGCAGGTATCTCTTTGCTATACTCATTTCTGTTCTTTTGGATGGACACCAGTAGTGGGATTGCCAGATCGTATGGTAGTTCCTTTTTTAGTTTTTTTGAGAAATCTCCATACTGTTTTCCATAGTGATTGAACTAATTTACATTCCCACCAACAGTGTACAAGAGTTCCCTTTTCTCCACATCCTTGCCAGCATCTGTTATTTTTTGTCTTTATAATAATAGCCATTCTAACTGGAGGAAGATGATAGTTCATTGTGGTTTTTGATTTGCATTTCCCTGGTGATTAGTGATGAACATTTTTTAATATGCCTGTTGGCCAGTTGTATGTCTTCCTTCTTCTTCCTCTTCCTCTTCCTCTTTTTCTTCGTCTTCATCTTTCTTCTTCTTCTTCTTCTTTTTTGACAGGGTCTTGCTATGTCACCAAGGCTGGAGTGCAGTTGTGTGATCATAGCTCGCTGCAGCCTCAAACTCCAGGCCTCAAACAATCCTCTACCTCCCAAAGTGTTGGGATTACAGGTGTGAGCCACTCTGCCTGGCCTGTATGTCTCCTTTATAGAATTATCCATTCATGTTCTTTGCCCACTTTTCAATAGGATTTTTTTTTTATTGCTCACTTGTTTGATTTCCTTGTTCTGGATATTATTCCCTTGTCAGATGAATAGTTTGCAAATATTTTCACCCACTCAACAGGTTATCTCTTCACTCTATTGATTGTTTCTTTTGCTATGCAGAAGTTATCAGTTTAATATACTCCCATTTGTCCATTTTTTAAAATTGTCTGTGCTTTTAAGGCCCTAGCCATAAAATCTTTGCCTAGACCAATATCCTGAAGTATTTTCCATACATTTTCTCCTAGTGGTTTCATAGTTTGGGGTCTTATGGTTAAGTCTTTAATCCATCTTGATTTGATTTTTGTATATGGTGAGAGAGAGGGGTCCACTTTCATTCTTCTGCATATGGATATCCAATTTTCCCAGCATCACTTATTGAAGAGGGTGTCCTTTCCCCAGTGTATGTTCTTGACGCCCCTGTCAAAAATCAGTTGGCTGTAAATATGTGGATTTACTTATGGGTTCTCTTTTCTGTTCCATTGGTCTATGTGTCTATTTTTATACTAATACCATGTTGTCTTGATTACCATAGTCTTGTAATATATTTTGAAGTCAGGTAGTGTGATGCATCCAGCTTTGTTTTTTGTGGGTTTTTTGGGTTTGGGGGTTTTGTTTGTTTGTTTGTTTGTTTGTTTGTTTTGCTTTTGCTTAGGATTGCTTTGGCTATTTGGGCTCTTTCTTGATTCCATATGAATTTTAGGATTATTTTTTCTATTTTCATGAAAAATGACATTGGTATGTTGGTAAGAATTACACTGAATCTGTCACTGCTTTGGGCAGTATGGTCATTTTAACAAAACTAATTCTTCTGATCCATGAGCATCGGATATCTTCCCATTAGTTTATGTCATCTTCAATTTCTTTCATCAGTGTCTTGTAGATTTCCTTGTGGGGATCTTTTATCTCTTTGGTTAAATTTTTTCCTAGGTATTTTATTTTTTGTAGCTATTGTAAATGGGATTGCCTTCTTTATTTCTTTGTTGTCTATTTCATTACTAGTGTATAGAAATACTACTGATTATTGTATGTTGATTTTGTATCCTGCAGTTTTACGGAATTTGTTGATCAGTTCTAAGAGTTCTTTGGTGGAGTCTTTTGGTTTTCTAGATATAAGATCAGGTCATCTGCAAAGTGGAGCAATCTGACTTCCTCTTTCCCAATTTGGATGCCTTTTTCTTGCCTGATTGCTCTGGCTAGGACTTCCACTACAATGTTGAATAGGAGTGGTGAAAGTGGGCACCCTCGTCTTGTTCCAGTTCTTAGAGAAAAGGTTTTCACCTTTTCTCCAATCAGTATGATGATATTAGCTATAGATATGTCATATATGACCTTAATTATTTTGAGGTATAATATTTGTATGCCTAGTTTGTCCACAGTTTTTTCATCATGAAGGGGTGTTGAATTTTGTCAAATGCTTTTTGTATGTTTATTGAGATTATCGTATGGTTTTTTCCTTCATTCTGTTGATATGATGTATCATGTTTTTTGATTTGTATATATTGAAGCATCCTTGCATCCCTGGTAAAAATCTTACTTGATCAATCCCATTGCTGGGTATATACCCAAAGGATTATAAATCATTCCACTATAAAGACACATGCACACGTGTGTTTATTGCAGTTCTATCACAATAGCAAAGACTTGGAACCAACCCAAATGCCCATCAATGATAGACTGAATAAAGAAAATGTGGCACATATACACCATGGAATACTATGCAGCCATAAAAAAGGATGAGTTCATGGCCTTTAATGGGACATGGATGAAGCTGGAAACCATCATTCTCAGCAAACTAACACAGGAACAGAAAACCAAACACTGCATTCTCTCACTCATAAGTGGGAGTTGAACACTGAGAACACATGGACACAGGGAGGGGAACATCACACACCGGGGCCTGTCAAGGGGTAGGGGGAAGGGGAGGGATAGCATTAGGAGAAATACCTAATGTAGATGATGGGTTGATGGGTGCAGCAAACCACCATGGCACGTGTATACCTATGTAACAAACCTGCACGTTCTGCACATGTATCTCAAAATTTAAAGTATAATTTAAAAAAAAACTTACTTGATTGAGGTGTATTATCTTTTTCATATGCTGTTGGATTTGGTTTGTTAGTATTTTGTTGAGGATTTTGCATCTATGTTCATCAGGGATATTGTCTGTAGTTTTATGTTGTACTCTTGTCTGGTTTTGTTATAAGGGTTATGCTGGCCTCATAGAATTAGTTAGGGAGAATTCCCTTCTCTTCAGTTTGTTTGAATAGTTTGAGAAGGATTGGTATTAGTTCTTTATACAAGTTCAGCAGTGAATCCATGTGTTCCTTGGCTTTTTATTGTTAGGAGACTTTTTATTATGGATTCAATCTCACTACTCATTATTGGTCTGTTCAGGTTTTCTATTTCTTCCTGACTCAAGCTTGGTAGGTTGTATGTTTCCAGGAATTTATCCATTTCCTCTAGATTTTCCAGTTTATTAGCGTATAGTTGTTTACAATAGTCTCTGATGATCTTCTGTGTTTTTTATGGTATCAATTGTAATATCCCCTTTTTTATTTCTGATTTTGTTTATTTGGGTCTTTTCTTTTCCTGGTTAATTTAGCTAATAGTTCATCAATTTTATCTTTTTGAAGAACCAACTTTCGTTTCATCGAAGCTTTGTATTGTTTTTCTTTAATTCTCTATTTCATTTAGTTCTGCTCTTATCTTTTATTATTTCTCTTCTTTTGCTACCTTTGGGCTTGGTTTATTCTTTTCTAATTCCTTGAGGTGCTTTGTTAGATTGTTTATTTCAAATCTTTTTTTTAATGTAGGCATGTATTGCTATAAACTTCCCTTTTAGCACTGCTTTCCCTGTGTTCTATAAATTTGGGTATGTTGTATTGCCATTTTCATTTGTTTTAAGAAATTTTCTGATTTATCTCTTAATTTCTTTATTGACTGAATAATTGCTCAGAAGCTTGTTGTTTAACTTCCATGCATTTGTATAGTTTCAAGGTTCCTCTTGGTATTGATTTCTAGTTTTATTCCCCTGTGGTCTGAAAAGACACTTGATATGATTTCAACTTTTTAAAAATTTGTTGAGACTTCTTTTGTGATCACATGGTCAATCCTGGAGAACGTTCCATATGCTGATGAGAAGAATATGTATTCTATAGCTGTTTGATAAAATGCTCTATAAATGTCTGTTATGTCCATTTGGTCTAAAGTCCAGTTTAAATCCAATGTTTCTCTTTTGATTTTCTGTCTAGATCATCTGTCTAATGCTGAGAGTGGGGTGTTGAAGTCCCCCACCATTCTTGTGTTGAAGTTTATTCCTTTCTTTAGATCCAGTAATATTTGCCTTAGGAATCTAGGTGCTCAGTGTTGGGTGAATATATTTTAGAATTGTTATATTCTCTTGCTGGATTGATCACTTTATTATTATATAATGACCTTCTTTGTATCTTTTGTTTTACTGTTTTTTACTTAAAGTCTGTTTTATCTGATATAAGCATAGCTACTCCTGATTGCTTTTGGTTTCTGTTTCCATGGAATATCTTTTCCCATCCCTTTACTTTCCATCTATATATATGTATTTACAGGTAAAGTGCATTTCTTGTAGACAGCACATAATTGGATCATTTAAAAAATGCATTCATCCTCGGCAAAAGCTGGAAGTATTCCCCTTGAAAACAGGCACAAGACAAGGATGCTCTCTCTCACCACTCCTATTCAATGTAGTATTGGATGTCCTGGCCAGGGCAATCAGGCAAGAGAAATAAATAAACGGCATCCAAATAGGAAGAGAGGAAGTCAAACTATCCCTCTTTGCAGACGACATGATCCTAGAATCAATGTACAAAAATCACAAGCATTCTTATATACCAATAACAGACAAACAGAGAGCCAAATCATGAGTGAACTCCCATTCACAATTGCTTCAAAGAGAATAAAATACCTAGGAATCCAACTTACAAGGGATGTGAAGGACCTCTTCAAGGAGAACTACAAACCACTGCTCAGTGAAATAAAAGAGAATACAAAGAAACGGAAGAACATTCCATGCTCATGGGTAGGAAGAATCAATATCGTGAAAATGGCCATACTGCCCAAGGTAATTTATAGATTCAATGCCATCCCCATCAAGCTACCAAGGACTTTCTTCACAGAATTGGAAAAAACTACTTTAAAGTTCATATGGAACCAAAAAAGAGCCCGCATTGCCAAGTCAATCCTAAGCCAAAAGAACAAAGCTGGAGGCATCACGCTACCTGACTTCAAACTATACTACAAGGCTACAGTAACCAAAACAGCATGGTACTGGTACCAAAACAGAAATATAGATCAATGCAACAGAACAGAGCCCTCAGAAATAACACCGCATATCTACAACTATCTGATCTTTGACAAACCTGAGAAAAACAAGCAATGGGGAAAGGATTCCGTATTTAATAAATGGTGCTGGGAAAACTGGCTAGTCATATGTAGAAACCTGAAACTGGATCCCTTCCTTACACCTTATACAAAAATTAATTCAAGATTAATTAAAGACTTAAACGTTAGACCTAAAACCATAAAAACCCTAGAAGAAAACCTAGGCATTACCATTCAGGACATAGGCATGGGCAAGGACTTCATGTCTAAAACACCAAAAGCAATGGCAACAAAAGCCAAAATTGACAAATGGGATCTAATTAAACTAAAGAGCTTCTGCACAGCAAAAGAAACTACCATCAGAGTGAACAGGCAACCTACAAAATGGGAGAAAAGTTTCGCAACCTACTCATCTGACAAAGGACTAATATCCAGAATCTAGAAAGAACTCAAACAAATTTACAAGAAAAAAAACAAACAACCCCATCAAAAAGTGGGCAAAGGACATGAACAGACACTTCTCAAAAGAAGACATTTATGCAGCCAAAAAACACATGAAAAAATGCTCACCATCACTGGCCATCAGAGAAATGCAAATCAAAACCACAATGAGATACCATCTCACACCAGTTAGAATGGCAATCATTAAAAAGTCAGGAAACAACAGGTGCTGGAGAGGATGTGGAGAAATAGGAACACTTTTACACTGTTGGTGGGACTGTAAACTAGTTCAACCGTTGTGGAAGACAGTGTGGCGATTCCTCAGGGATCTAGAACTAGAAATACCATTTGACCCAGCCATCCGATTACTGGGTATATACCCAAAGGATTATAAATCATGCTGCTATAAAGACACATGCACACGTATGTTTATTGCGGCTCTATTCACAATAGCAAAGACTTGGAACCAACCCAAATGTCCAACAATGATAGACTGGATTAAGAAAATGTGGCACATACACACCATGGAATACTATGCAGCCATAAAAAAGGATGAGTTCATGTCCTTTGTAGGGACATGGATGAAATTGGAAATCATCATTCTCAGTAAACTATCGCAAGAACAAAAAACCAAACACTGCATATTCTCACTCATAGGTGGGAATTGAACAATGAGAACACATGGACACAGGAAGGGGAACATCACACTCTGGGGACTGTTGTGGGGTGGGGGGAGGGGGGAGGGATAGCATTAGGAGATATACCTAATGCTAAATGACGAGTTAATGGGTGCAGCACACCAGCATGGCACATGTATACATACGTAACTAACCTGCACAATGTGCACATGTACCCTAAAACTTAAAGTATAATAAAAAAAATTAAAATTAAAAAAAAAAAGAATTATATACTACAACCAAGTGGGGTTCATTCCAGAAATGGAAATGCAATACTTGTTCAATATTCAAAAATCAGTGTGATCTACCATATTAACAGGCTAGAGAAAAAAAAAACACATGATTATATTAACTCATTCAGAAAAAGCATTTGACAAAATTCAGTACTCATTCCTGATAAAAACTCTCGCCTAACTAAGAATAGAGGAGAATATATCCTCAATTTGATAAAAAACATTTATAGAAAACCTACAGCTAACATCTTACTTAATGGTGAAATGCTGAATGCTATTCCCCTAGAACAAGAACACAGCAAGGATGTCCACTCTCACCACTTATTCATCATATACCAGAAGTCCTAGACAGAAGGCACGAAAAAGAAATAAAATACATACAAATTAGAAAAGAGGAAATAGGCCGGGCGCGGTGGCTCACGCTTGTAATCCCAGCACTTTGAGAGGCTGAGGCAGGCAGATCACGGAGTCAGGAGATCAACACCATCCTGGCTAAGATGGTGAAATCCCGCCTCTACTAAAAATACAAAAAATTAGCCTGGCATGGTGGCACGCACCTGTAGTCCCAGCTACTTGGGAGGCTGAGGCAGGAGAATTGCTTGAACCCGGGAGGTGGAGGTTGCACTGAGCCGAGATCACGCCACTGCATTCCAGCCTGGGCGACAGAGTGAGACTCTGTCAAAAAAAAAAAAAAAAAAAAAAGGAAATTTTCCCTTATTTGCAAATGTTTTATTGTCTAAATATAAAACCCTAATGAATTTACCAGAAAACACTGAGATCTTACATGCAAAGCACTTCACATGTACAAGATCACTAGATACATGGTAAACACATAAATATCAATTGAATTTTTGTATTCTAGCAATGAACAAGTGGAATCAGAATTGAAAATACAATACCATTTGCAATCATCAAATAAAATAAAATACTTAGGTATAATTCCAACAAAACACGTACGAGATCTGTGTTGTGGGGTGGGGGGAGGGGGGAGGGATAGCATTAGGAGATATACCTAAATGACAAGTTAATGGGTGCAGCACACCAACATGGCACATGTATACATATGTAACAAACCTGCACATTGTGCACATGTACCCTAGAACTTAAAGTGTAATAAAAAAAAATCAATTGACTGTAAATGTGTGGGTTTATTTTTGGGCTCTCTATTCTGTTCCACGGGTCAATGTGTCTGTTTTATGTCAGTACCATGCTGTTTTGATTACTATCACTTTGTAGCGTATTTTGAAGTCAGGTAATGTGATGTCACCAGTTTTAGTCTTTTGCTCAAGATTGCTTTGGCCACTCTGAGTTTTTTGTGGTTTCATATGAATTTTAGGATTGTTTTTCTATTTCTGTGAAAAATGTCATTGGAATTTTGATAGGAATTGCATTGAATCTATAGATCATGTTGGCTAGAATGAACATTTTAACAATATTAATTCTTCCAATCCACAAACACCTTTTCATATTGTTTTTTGGATCTTCTTCAACATTTTCATCAATGTTTCATAGTATTCAGAATACAGGTCTTTCATCTGTATAATTAAATTTATTCCTAAGTATTTTATTTTTTGGTAGCTATTGCAAATGGGATTGTTTTCTTGATTTTTACGGATAGTTCCTCATTACTCAAAATCATACAAAATCATACTGATTGTATGCTGATTTTGTATGCTGCAACTTTACTGAATTTGTTTATTAGTTCAAATTTTTTTTGGTAGAGTCTTTATGGTTTTCTGTGTATATCACTCTGTTGTCTATAAGCAGAAACAATTTAATCTCTTTCTTTCCAATTCAGATGTGTTTTTTTCTGGCCTAATTGCTCTTGCTAGGACTTCCAGTACTATAGAGAATAGAGTAGTAAGCCGGGCGTGGTGGTTCACGCCTGTAATCCCAGCACTTTGGGAGGCTAAGGAGGGCAGATCACCTGAGGTCGGGAGTTCAAGACCAGCCTGACCAACATGGAGAAACCCCGTCTCCACTAAAAATACAAAAAAGTTAGCCGGGTGTGGTGACGCATGCCTGTAATCCCAGCTACTCGGGAGGCTGAGGCCAGAGAATCGCTTGAACCTGCGAGGCGGAGGTTGCAGTGAGCCGAGATTGCGCCATTGCAATCCAGCCTGGGCAACAAGAGTGAAACTCCATCTTAAAAAAAAAAAAAAAGAGAGAGAGAGAGAGAATAGAGTAGTAAAAGGAGACATCCTTGTCTTGCTCCTGATTTTAGAGGAAAAACTTCCAGTTTTTTAACATTGAATGTAGTGTTACTGGTGGGTTTATCATATGTGACCTTTATTGTGTTCAGGTACATTCTTTCTATATCTAATTTGTTGAGAATTTTTATTACGAAAGGATGTTGAATTTTGTCAAATGCTTTTTCTGCATCTATTGAGATGATCATATGGTTTTTGTCTTTCATTCTGTTAATGTGATATCACATTTATTTATTGATTTTCATATGTTGATCTAGCCTTGCTTTCCAGGGATAAATCTCACCTAGCCATGGTGTATAATCCTTTAATGTGCTGTTTAATTCAATTAGCTAGGGTTTTTTGTGTTTTGTTTGTTTGTTTTTTGAGACAGAGTCACTTTGTCACCTAGGCTGGAGTGCAGCAATGAGATCTCCCCTCACTGCAGCTTCGACCTCCTGACTCAAGCAATCCTCCCACCTCAGCCCCCCAAGTAGCTGGAACTACAGGTGCATGCCACCATGCCGGGCTAATTTTTTGTATTTTTTGCAAAGACAGGGTTTCGCTGTGTTACCCAGGCTGGTCTCGAAATCCTGAGCTCAAGCAATCTGCCCACCTTGGCCTCCCAATTTGCTAGCATTTTGTTGAGGATTTTTACATTTATGTTCATCTGAGATATTGGCATGCAATTTTCCATTCTTGCAGTATCTTTTTCTGGCTTTGATATCAGGGTAAGGCTGGCCTTATAAATTGAGTTCGAAACTGCTCTCTCCTCTTCAATTTTTTGGAAGAATTAAGAAAAACTGTCCTTCAAAAATGAAGAGATAAATACTCTCCCAAACAAAAGCTAAGCAAGTTCATTACCACTCAACCTCTTTTTCATGTGTGTAAGATTAATCTATGTCATAGATTCATTTAAATAACCTAGTTATTTATATATTTTGTGCCTATACAATCATGCATTACTTAACAATGGGATACATTCTGAAAAGTGTGTCATTAGGCAATTTTGTCATTGTGAGAACATCATAGTATACTTACACAAGCCTAAATAGTATAGCCCACTACACATCTAGGCTGTATGGTATAGCCTATTGCTCCTAGGCTAGAAACCTGTACAGCATGTTACTGTACTGAGTACTATAGAAAATTGTAACACAATGGTAAGTATGTATATATCTAAGCATATCTAAACATAGAAAAACATTTCTAAACAGTAAGAATATGGCTGGGGGCAGGTGGTGCACACTTGTAATCGCAGCACTTTGGAAGGCTGAGGTGGGCGGATCACTAGAGTTCAGGAGTTCAAGACCAGCCTGGGCAACATGATGGAAACCTCTCTCTACAAAAAAAATACAGAAATTAGCCAGGCATGGTGTCATGCACCTGTAGTCCCAGCTACTCAGGAGGCTGAGGTGGGAGGATAGCTTGAGCCCAGGAGGTCGAGATTGCAGTGAGCCAAGATCATGCCACTGCACTCCAACCTGGGCAACAGAATGAGACCCTGTCTCAAAATATATTTATATATGGTATAAAAAACAAAAAAATGGTGCATCTATATAGAGCACTTACCATAAATGAAGCTTATAGGACTAGAAGTTGTTCTGAGTGAGTCAGTAAGTGATGAGTGAATGTGAAGGCCTAGAACATTACTGTACACTACTGTAGACTTTATAAACACTGTACACTTAGACTGCAATAGTTATTTTTTAAATGTTCTTGCTTTTATAATAAATTAACCTTAGCTTACTGTGAATGTTTATAAAGCTTACTTTATAAACTTTAAATTTTTTAACTTTTGAACTCTTTTGTATTAACACAGCTTAAAACACAAGCTCATTGTACAAGTGTACAAAATATTTTCTTTCTTTATATTCTTGCTCTGTAAGCTTTTTCACATTAAAAATTTTTTTTTTCACTTTTTAAACTGTTCGTTAAAAACTAAGACACAAACACATATATCAGCCTAGGCCTATACAGAGTCAGTATCAATATCACGGTCTTCTACCTCCATATTTTGTCTCACTGGGAGGTCTTCAGGGGCAATAACGTGCAAGAAGCTGTCATCTCCTAGGATAACAGTGCCTTCTTCTGGAATATCTCCAGAAGGGCTTGCCTGAGGCTGTTTTACAGTTAACTTTTTCTATAAGTAGAATGAATACACTCTAAAATAACAATAAGTTATCTCAGAATAGATATGCTTACTATGACCTTCCAAGTTTGACTTGCGTAACATCGTTGTCATCTGTACTCATCTATATCACCCTAACTTCATATTTTTTGATATGCACTTTGCAGGATGGCCTCAGCACTATGTGGATTGAGTAGTGGGATTTGAATATTAAATATCTCCATAGCTAGGAAACATGGGAACAATTTAACATTGGTTTCTGAAAATATTCACATATTTTGGAATACCAGGTTGCTCAAAACTCAGTTCTGATATGTTGTGTCTTTGATTTTTATCCCCAGTGGCAGTTTTTCTAACTGGCCTTTTACCTGGATATAAAACAATAGTGCCTGCCACCACCATCAAATTGACCTGGTGCTATAATGCCAGTTGTACATGAGAAACTTGCTGGCATGTCTTCATTGGCACTATAAAATGTGGCTACAAAGATAGGTTCTCAGAGTAAGAAGTCCATGTTGGTTAGGATTAACTTTGCCCCAGAACTCTGGTATAAGGCTCCTCAAATGTGACTGTGTGAATCTGGATGGGATGATGAACTCAGTTCTATCTGCTCAATGCCATTGTGCAGAGAAGCACCCTAATGTATAAGCTTTTTATTGCTATAAAATATAATTGCTGAAATTAAGTGCTACTTTTTCAGAGGTGAATTAATGGACAGTCTGGTCAAATTCAAAGCTTTTGATGAATAAAACTTGATAAATGGAACTATTCCATCAATAGGCAAAGTGTAACAAAAACCTGTCTAGATGGATAGTATGTAATTTCTGCACATGTCTCTGTTTAGCAACTATATCACTGTATACCGACCAGGAATCTTGCTCCAATAAAAGAACATAGATTAATTGATTAGCCATAAAAGTATAGTATAGTAAATACATAAACCAGTAAATAGTCATTTATTATCATGATCAAGTATTATGTACTGTACATAATTGTTATGTGCTGGGCTTTTATACAACTGGCAGTGCAGTAGGTTTATTTACGCTAGCATCACCACAAACACGTAAATAATGTAATGAGCTATGAAGTTATGACAACTACAACATCACTAAGTGATAGGAAATTGTTAGCTTCGTTATAATCTTATGGGACCACCATTGTATATGTGGTCCATCATTGACCAAAATGTTATTATACAGTATATGACTGTAGCCTAGCTGCCCCCTTTAAAGGATGTAGTCAAGTCACAATTTATTCATTTACATAGTAGTTTGCATAGTGCCTTTGTTATCTAGAGCATTGTCTTGGTCTATTTTCTGTTGCTATAACAGAATATCTGAGCCTGGGTAATTTATAAAGAAAAAAGGTTTATTTAGCTCGTGGTTCTGCAGGCTAGAAAGTCCAAGATTGGGAGGCTGTATCTGGTGGCTTCTGTGAGAGCCTTGTTCTGTATTATAACATGTCAGAGAAGCTGAAGGAGAAGAGGGCATGCAAAAGGGAGAGGGAACAAAAGAAGCTGACCTGCTTTATAACAATCTACTCTCACAAGAACTAACCCAGTCCCACAAGAACTGATTCTGTCCCGTGAGAATGAGAACTCATTCACTAGAAGGGCACCAATTCACCTATAAGGGTGGAGTCCCCATGAGCTAAATACCTCCCATTAGACCCCACCTCTTAAAGGTCCCACTTGCCAACATTGCCACACTGGGACCAAGCCTTAATATGAATTTTGGTGGGAACAAGCCATATTTAAACAATAGCAGGTAGCCTTAATTTTTAAGGAAGTAATAAAAAATAAAGTATGATACATTTTTCTATGAAACTTTCTTTTCTGGTTCATTCTGTTTCACATTTTATTTAAAATGATCAAAAAAATGAGGATGTTTAGGACATTTACTGAGTCAAACTTCCCTGACTCAAGCTTTCTCATTATAGCAGTTACAGTCTGTGAATTCCTAAGCACTAGTCAATAAAAGTCTATGAAAGTACAAAGCTTTATTATTCATTGTGAACTCCATTAAAAATTCAACCAAACTTTACATTTTGTTCTCAGATGTCACTCCTGAATCTAAGATTAAATTTTGAGTTTACTTTTCTCCCTGAAATGATATTTGCTTTAAGAAGCACTTAGGAACATTTCAAAATTTTGTTGTATTATTCATCAGACTTTCCTCAGCCTTCTGTATCCAGGAAATCCGGCCCACTATTTTTCTCTGTAATGATATAAAGGAATTAGAGTAGAGGCTGGGGTCTCTGATGTGATTACAAAAGAGTCACTTGTAAACTAAATAGCTGAAAAAGAAATTAAAGTTTCCTAGGTCAACCTGCATTTGTTTAGGTCCAAATGAGGTTTGGTGAAGAAATTGGAAAGTAGAAGGTGAATAGACCTTATACAGTCTCTAGGGTAGGAAAGAGGGAAGGCATTTTCATATCATTATAGACTTTTCAAGTCTGGAATAATTAAGGAAACTTAAAGATTATCTACTCAAATCACCCATCTGGTGCTAAAGTATCCTTTATAACACCATCACAAACTATTTGTCTAGCCTCTGCTTAGACACCTGCAACAACCGTTAATAAAGCCAATTCCAGTTTTCTGACATTGATTCAAATCTTGTGGCTTCCACCAATTAATTCTAGTTCTATTTTATGAACTCATTCAGAAAGAGATTAATGCCTCTTCCTTAAATATTTGAAAACAGCTTTCATATCCTCCACAACATGGCATCACTAGGCTGAACACCCTTAGCTTCTTCACGTGTTCCTCCTATGACAGTGGTGGTGCTTAATAAATATTTGCAGAATGAATAAATAAGTGGTTACTCTTCTTTGAATATATTTCAGCTTGTCTATGTAATTTCAAAAACTAATATTTATGAAGTACTTACTACGTGTTACTTCATTTAATCTTCACAGCAACCCTATTATTATCTTTATTTTACAAGTGAGGAAACTGAGATATCAAGAGGTTAAGTCACATGCCTAAAGTCATAGATTTAGAAATAATGAAACTGGGTCGGGTGTGGTGGCTCACACCTGTAATCTCAGCACTTTGAGAGAGAGTCCGAGGCAGGTGGATCACGAGGTCAGGAGTTTGAGACCAGCCTGGCCAAGATGGTGAAACCCCGTCTCTACTAAAAATACACAAATTAGCCGGGCACGGTGGCAGGCACCTATAATCCCAGCTACTCGGGAGGCTGAGGCAGGAGAATTGCTTGAACCCGGGGGGTGGAGGTTGCAGTGAGCCAAGATCGCGCCACTGCACTCTAGCCTGGGGGACAGAGCAAGATTCCGTCTCAAAAAAAAAAAAAGATAATGAAACTGGACTTTGACGTATGGCAGTGTAATGACAATAAAGCTCATATTACACTATTCTCTGTTTTTAAAGGTGTAACTCGAAAATGAACACCAACACCTCAAGTGTGGAACACAGTAAAGTATGACCAGCACCTCCATTTTCGATATTGCATTTCCACTAACATAACCTAAGATCAGTTTAATGTTTGAAAGGACACTTAAACACTATTGGCACACATTCAGCTTACTCTTTTAAAGGGGCAGCATTCTCAAACTATAATCAGGCCATTGGTTTTTTGAACTCAAGTATATGAACTTGTATTTTTCCCCTGTGAAATTCTTGTTTCTTGATATTTAGTCAGTCTCTCTAACTCATCAATCTCTTTGAGTTTGAATCTTGCTAACTAATACAGTTATCATTCCTCCATGTTTGTGTTGACTGCAAAACAAATTAGCTAATCATACTTTCTATATCTTCTTGAGAAAATTGATGGGCAGAAAAAGTCTACAGGAAGACCCCTGTGGCAAACCACTGGAAACTTCCTTCAAGGGTGCCATCATTTCACTTTCACTTTCATCAGCACCCTTTGAGCACAATCATTCAGCCAGTTGCCAATTCACAAGATTGGTTAAACAGTCAGCCCATTCATAGCAGCATTATTCACAATAGCTGAAAAGTAGAAGCAACCCAAGTATCCATCAACAGATGAATGGATAAGCAAAATGTGATATATGCATACAAAAAATTCGGTCTTAGAAAATATATGAAATTCTGATACGTGCTATAATATGAATGAACCTTGAAAACGTGCCACGTGAAATAAGCCAATCACAAAAAGACAAATATTGTATGATTCCACTTATATGACATACCTAGGTTAGTCAAATTCATAGAGACAGAATGTAGCATAGAGGTTACCAGGAGCCAGGGGAAGGAGGAAATAATAAGTTATTGTTTAATGGGTACAGATTTTCTGTTTGGATTGATGAAAAAGTTCTGGAAATGGAGACTGGTGATGGTTTCACAAAATTGTGGCTGTACTTAATGCCACTGAATTGTATGTGTTAAAATGGTAAATTTCATGTTTCGTGGATTTTAACATTTTTTAAAAGCCAGTCAACCCATATTTGTTCACTTGTCAAACAGCCCTTGTCAAATGCCTTGCTGAAGTCCAGAGCACTATACCTATATTACATGATCAAGCAGTTTGGTAATCCAGTCAAATCTGCCTAAATTACCCTGCCAAAGAAAGAAATGAAATTATATATATATACATAAAATTCAAATTGGTCCCTTCTCTATCCAAGTACTCAAAAACATTTTAAATAATGCTTGCTAGAATCTTATTTGTGTCAACATCAAACATGTCTTTGGGCGAAAATACTCTGTAGTGTTATTAAGTATCAAGCACCTAGCATTCATCATTCAAATCATTATCTTGCATGTTAGGTATATCCTCTTTTTACACGTGGGAAAAACTGAGTCTCAGAGAATTATTTATGTGACTTAACCAAAGTCACATAGTAGTAAGAGTCAGAGCCAGGATTAATCACATTGTTGTCTACTTCCAATGACTTTATATATTCCTCAAAGCTCTTTTGCCTACTTCCACTCCTGTATTTCTTTTCTCCACAATTCTTCAATCAGAGAAGAAAGGAACACAATAAGAGTTGAAGAGTTAGGTCCTTCTCTATGTCATCTATCAAACTGCATCATCAGCTCAAAGCACTAGGTATATATCTTTCCTAATATTCCTCCTCCTGCTGCTCTGAATATAAATTTCCTAAGAGTCTTTTTAAGTTTGCAGCATTTATTGCAAGTTTCAGATCTTTTAGAGCTCCTTGTCACTATTCAAAATTAGTTATGCCACCCTTTATGTATTTGTTTTTGCTTATATGTCCTTCCCTTTTCGTTTTCATTCCGTCATTTTTTTTCAGTCAGCAAATGTTAACTGAGTACCATATGGGTTAGGCACTGAGAGTATGGTGTTTAGCATGATGAACACCGTTCCTGTCCTCATGGAGTTTATATCTAGTGAGAAAAACAGTTGAGAAGACAACTGTTTTACAATTGTGTTACAATGGAAAAAGTGCTATGATAAGGGTAAACCACTGAGTTCTGTGAAAGCTTAGAGGAGGGAAACCGAATCTTAACCCTATTAAAGGTACACGGTAGGATAAGTGAAGGGAGGTAAGGCAGGACCATGGAAATCTTCCAGGAAACGACATGTGAAGTGAATTTTAAAGGATTATTATTAGGCTTGGAGGAGAGGTCAGGGAAAGTGATTCACACTAGAAGGGCCAAAATGTTCAAAGGCCCAGAAGTAAAAGAGAGTTGGATGACTTCAGGGAATATGAATAATGTGGTGTGGCTGAAATACAGGATGAAAGCAGAGGAGTACATTTGTTGGAGATGGAAAAAGTAATGTAGATCACAATCATGCAAAACCTCGTAAACTATACACAAACTATGCTAGGGTGATTGGACTTTATCCTGAAAGTTATAGGAAGTGTTTGATTGATTTGAAGCAGGGAAGTAGCATGAGATGAATGTCTTATTTTCTAGTCAATCTGAAAGCAGGGTGGAGAATGAATTGGGTGGGGGTATGAAGAATGGAAGTGTCAAGACCAGCGAAGAAGATGCTATATGGGGTAGGAGGCTAAAAACTTAAGAGAAAAATCTCTGAAAATCAAAGCAGGGTTTTCTAGTCTCCTGTTGCTGAGGAGGCAAAGAGCAACATTAGGGACTCTCCAAGGGGAGAGCCCTGGTAAGTATTGCAGGCCCTGGAGGGGTCTGCTCTGGGAACAAGTGAGAAGCAAGCCAGCCCAAGCATTACCAAACTGCAACCAACCTTAACTAGCTAAGCCCCTGACTAGGATAAGATGATTGACAACCAGAGCAAGGATTCATCACAATGTTGTCTACTTCCAATGACTTTATATTAGATTGGTGAAAAAAGTTATTGCAGTTTTTGTCATTATTTTTAAAATGGCAAAAACCGCAGTTACTTTTGCACCAACCTAATATATTCCTCCAGGCTCCTTTGCCTTCTTCCACTCCTGCAAGACATTTCTCTTCTCCACAATTCTTCAATCAGACTGGGATAAGATGATTGATCACTCATTCTATCTGGCTAGCAGAGAAAAGCCCTAAGAAAAGGATGAACACTTTCTGAAGGAAAAGAACACGATCAAGAGTCAGAGTCTCTACAATGTTTAGATACAACGTCCAGCATTTAATTAAAAATTACTAGGTATGTCACAAGAAATAAAACTATAGAAATGGACCCATAGGGAATCCAGAAAATTGAGTTAACAAAAACTTTAAAATAAAGATGATTGATGTATTGAAGAAAACAGAGAAAATTGATAAAATAGATAGTAAGATGGAGAATTTCACCACAGAATTGGAATCTATTAAAAAATAATCAAATAGCCAGGCACGGTGGCTCATGCCTGTAATCCCAGCACTTTGGGAGGCCGAGGTGGGCAGATCACCTGAGGTCAGGAGTTCAAGACCAGCCTGACCAACATGGAGAAACCCCGTCTCTACTAAAAATATGAAAAAAATTAGCGAGGCATGGTGGTGCATGCCTGTAATCCCAGCTACTCGGGAGGCTGAGGCAGGAGAATCGCTTGAACCTGGGAGGCAGAGGTTGCAGTGAGCCAAGATCATGCCATTGCACTCCAGCCTGGGCAACAAGAGTGAAACTCAGTCTCAAAAATAATAATAAAATAAAATAAAATAAAATAAAATTTTAGAACTGAAAGCCAGTATTTGAAATTAGGAACTAAATATAGGCATTTAACAACAACATACACCTGGGAGAAGACAGAATTGGTAACCTGGAAGACAGTTAAATGCATAGCGCCCAAGTCAAAGCAAAGCACAGAGAGAAAAAAGAATAAAATATTTAGAAAAGAACAAACATATGGGACACATTGTAAATGTCTAATATACATGTAATTTAAGGCCCAGAAGGAGAGGAAAGAGAACAAATGGGGCAGAAGTAATTTCGAAGAGAAAATGAACATTTTTCTAAACTGAGTAAAGATGCCCAAGAAATTCTGTGAACCACATACAGAACAAATACACACATACAAAAAGATACATATAGGCAGGTCATCATAAAACTGTTGAAGAGCAAAGACAAAATCTTAAAAGAGGCCAAAAGAAAAAGAACAAATTACCTTCAATAAAGCAAAATAAGTTTTAAAACTGACTTCTCCATTCCACCTTTGAGCATTTTAAAATCAACTCACTTAAAATCAGGGATACATTTATGATTATGCCTTTAGTTCTTCTCATTACAACTTCAGCTTACTGTCAACACAGTCACTTTCTTTCAATGCTATCAACACTTCCATATTATCAACAGGTTCTTCAGAGTGAGGCGCCTACTCAGTGGGAGGCATTGCAGTATGACAGAAACAGCATGGTTCTGCCTCTAGTGAGCTGTGTGACCTTGAGCAAGTTGGTTATCTTCTCTAAACCTCGGTGATGCTTGTCATCTGTAAAATGTAGACAGAATCCACCTGTTAGTGTTAGCGTAGCAATTATGTAAGAAATACTTTGAGCACAGTAGCCATTATGATATAAAAGGTCTATGAAGGTAGCCAATATCTTCTTTTTTGTTCTTTTTTAAAGACTTTTTTTTTTTTGAGACGGAGTTTGGTTCTTGTTGCCCAGGCTGGAGTGCAATGGTGCAGTCTCAGCTCACTGCAACCTCCACCTCCAGGGTTCAAGCAATTCTCCTGCCTCAGCCTCCCGAGTAGCTGGGATTACAGGCATGAGCCACCACGCCCGGCTGATTTTTTTTTTCTAGTTTTAGTAGAGACAGGATTTCACCATGTTGGCCAGGCTGGTCTTGAACTCCTGACCTAAGGTGATCCACCCGCCTCGGCCTCCCAAAGTGCTGGGATTGCAGGCGTGAGCCACTCCACCCAGCCAGACTATTTTTTAAGAGCAGTTTTAGATTCACAGCAAAACTGAGGGGAAGGTAGAGAGATTTCCCATATATCCCCTGCCCCCACACATGCACCGCCTCCCAATATCTTATTTTAAGATGTAAAATTTTCAGCAGAGTAAGTAAACAGTTTACCAGATGCTTCACTTTCTACAGAAAGAGAAGCAACTTCCACCATCTGATGATGAAGAGTATGATGGTGATCATGATGACTCTAACTACCATTTATTAGAGCAGTCACTATGTGCCAATTTACCTTTATTTACCCTGAACAGCAGCCCTATAAAACAAGAACTATTATCATTTCCACTCTACAACTGGGGAAACTGAGGCTTAAAGAAGTTAAGTGACATGCTTAGAGTGGCAGAGCCAAGATCCAATCCAATAGGTACCTGACCTTGAAGTTTGTGCTTAGATTGTTAGATGACCCCCACTGCTTGCCTATGCCAGGCTGGCCATTGCCCTTGGCAAGTCTGTTCACACAGTCCACATGAAAGATCTGTGTTATACCCCACAGTGGCACCACTTCCATGCCTCCTTCCATTAGCCTGACTCAGTTTACTCCATGGTTTCTTCACTCTGATCTTTGTACTTGCATATGAATGCTTCTGGAGTCCCATACTATGATATTTCCCTGTGATTTTGTCTTTTAATGTAGTTACCATTCCACTGTATTTTGAACTTTCCTTTCTTCTCCACCTTGCACTTGTCTCAATGGCATCTCAGTCCTTTCCCACAAGTTTTCAGTCTCCTTTAGTAAGTAGCATTGTTTCAGTTTAGTAACTAAGATTCAATCATGCCGATTTCTAAGCTTCACTCTTTGATTCCATTGAAAGCACTCTTTTCGTAGGGTAGGAAAGAGTTTCCAACAGGGGTCTAGACCAGAGTAGGGAGTTTCCTTCTCTCTTGCTTTCTCCGCCCTCTTCTCTGCACCAAGGACTTTAGAGTTGGGATAGGAAAAAGTGAGCGGAAAGCAGACTGTCATTTTGTCTGACCATCTGTGGTGAGATTCCACTCCCCTATTTATGGGTCATCCTTACAGCAGAGTGGATAGTAATGATCCTCAAAATGTATAAAACGCCCAGAGGAGATACAAGATGTTCCGTTTGTGCTGTAAGAAAATATTAGAACTTCTACCTATAATTCTTCTAATTCAAATAAAATTATAAAAGTCAGCTTTACTAACGTTTAATGTGCATATTGACATCAGAAACTTCCCCAAATCCACATATCAGATGATCACACACAAGGCCTAGAGGATTCTTGAGTAAGAGGGAGAGTTCCACAAAGCAAACGGCTTGCCAATAGTACTCTACCACACGCCTTGGTTTTTGCAATTTACCTGTGGAGGATTGCTATGGTTTGAATGATGGCTTCCCCTCCAAAATTCATGTTGAAACTTAATTCTCAATGCAACAATAGTAAGAGGTGTGGCCTTTGGGAAGTGATTAAGTCATGAGGCTCTGCCCTTATGAATGAGATTAGCACCCTTATGAAAGGGCTTGACGTTGAAGGGAGCATTCTTTTGCCCTTCCACCTTCCACCATGAGGACACAGAGTTCTTCACCTCCAGAGGATGCAACAACAAGGCACCACGTTGGAAATGCAGATCAGTTCTTCAACAGACACTGAACCTGCCCATACGTTGATCTAGGAGTCCCAGACTCAAGAACTGTGAAAAGACAAAGACAAGGGTTAAATGTATTCATGCATATTATCTAATTTTAGCTAAACCAATCCTAATATAATGTAAAAATGATTTGAACAGACCTTTAAAAAGAACCCATGGAAGGTGGGTGCAGTGGCTCATGCCTGTAATCCCAGCACTTTGGGAGGCCAAGTTGGGCTGATCACTTGAGGTCAGGAGTTCGAGACCAGCCTGGCCAACATGGCGAAACCCTTTCTCTACTAAAAATACAAAAATAAGCCAGGCATGATGGTGTGGGCCTGTAGTCCCAGCTACTCTGGAGGCTGGGGCAGGAGAATCACTTGAACCCAGGAGGCAGAAGTTGCAGTGAGCTGAGATCGCACCACTGCACTCCAGCCTGGGCAACAGAATGAGACTCCATCTCAAAACAAAGAGCCCATGAATTGAAATGAATGCCAATAATGTAAGCACAAACAAACGAGAAAATGGCAAAGCAAATGTTTCTCATTCTCCCAGTATAAGCGCTTCTTCATCTCTATGTCCTGGTGAAGACTGAAACACTGTACTTAGATATGAAAAAGTCAGTTAAAAGTTTTTTTGTTTTTGTTTTTGTTTTTGTTTTTTTTTTGAGACAAGAGTCTCGCTCTGTTCCCCAGGCTGGAGTACAGTGGCACAATATAGGCTCACTGCAACCTCCACCTCCCAGGTTCAAGTAATTCTCCTGCCTCAGCCTCTTAAGTAGCTGGGATTACAGGCGGGCGCCACCATGCCTGGCTAATTTTTTTTTATTTTTAGTAGAGACGAGGTTTCACCATGTTGGCCAGGCTGGTCTCGAACTCCTGGCCTCAAGCAATCCTCCTGCCTCAGCCTCCCAAAGTCCTGGGATTACAGGCGTGAGCCACCGTGCCTGGCGCAAAAGTCTAATTATCAAGAAGACTATTAGAAATATGGATTTACATTCACATTTTATGTCTAGTTTGCTTTACTATGCAGTCTTATTCTATACACTTCAATATAAATAGTTAAAACATAAGCATCTCTCCTCATCCAATTCTGTTGTCTGTTCCCTTTATTCTTTGATACAATATAAAGAGATAGAGGGGCCAGGCATGATGATTCACCCCTATAATCCCAGCCCTTTGGCAGGCTGAGGTGGGAGAATTGCTTGAGCCCAGGAGTTTGACACCAGACTGGGCAATATAGTGAGACTTTGTCTCACTATATATTTTTTATTATTATTATACTTTAAGTTCTGGGGTACATGTGCAGAACGTGCAGGTTTGTTGCATAGGTATACATGGGCCATGGTAGTTTGCTGCACCGATCAGCCCGTCATCTACATTAGGCATCTCTCCCAATGCTATCCCTCCCCTACTCCCCTACCTTCCAACAGGCCCCGGTGTGTGATCTTCCCCTCCCTGTGTCCATGTGTTCTCATTGTTCAACTCCCACTTATGAGTGAGAACATGTGGTGTTTGGTTTTCTGTTCTTGTGTTAGTTTGCTGAGAATGATGGTTTCCAGCCTCATCGATGTCCCTGCAAAGGACATGAGCTCATCCTTTTCATGGCTGCATAGTATTCCATGGTGTATATATGCCACATTTTCTTTATCCAGTCTATCACTGATGGGCATTTGGGTTGGTTCCAAATCTTTGCTATTGTGAACAGTGCCACAATAAACATACATGTGCATGTGTCTTTATAGTAGAATGATTTATAATCCTTTGGGTATATACCCAGTAATGGGGTTGCTGGGTCAAATGGTATTTCTGGTTCTAGATCCTTGAGGAATTGCCACTCTGTCTTCCACAATGGTTGAACTAATTTACACTCTCACCAACAGTGTAAAAGCATTCCTATTTCTCCACATCCTCTCCAGCATCTGTTGTTTCCTGACTTTTTAATGATCGCCATTCTAACTGGCGGTCTCACTATATTTTTTAAAAATTAGCCAAGTGTGGTGGTGCATGCCTGTATTCCCAGTCACTTGGGAGGCTGAGGCGGGAGAATTACTTGAGCTCGGGAAATGGAGGTTGCAGTGAGCTGAGATTGCGCCACTGTACTTCAACCTGGGTGACAGAGCAAGGCCCTGTCTCAAAAAAATCAAAATCAAAATCAAATTCAAAATCAAAATAAATAGATGGAGAAAAAGAAGGATTCCAAAATAATTTCAAAGTTTTAATCCTGGATGATTGGAACAGTTATGATGTAGAAGGTTGAGAACAAAATGCTAGATAATGTTGCTTTTGGGTAAGTTAAGACTGAGGTCAAAAGAAGATGTCTCTAAAAAGCCTCAGTAATGCACACACACACACACACATACAATAGTGCACACAGAGATATATACTTAAAGAGTTTCACTTTGAAGAACTTGAAAAAGTGGATTTGTAAATTCAAATTTCTATAAATGGAAGCGTATTGCCACAGAATGCCAAAGCAATGTACTATGTAAGACTTTTTTAAAAATATGGATATTAAATGTTGAGTGCATTTGTAACTAATAACACATTTGGAGTGAAAAGTGTCAGTTCTAAAGTGGTGGTACATAAAAAAGTGTAAGCACCATGCCATTTTAATCACGCGTTTTGCAAATAAAACTTTTTATTTTTATTTATTTATTTATTTTATTGTTTTTGAGACAGAGTTTCACTCTCGTTGCCCAGGCTAGAGTGCAATGGTGCGATCTCGGCTCACTGCAACCTCTGCCTCCCAGGTTCAAGCAATTCTCCTGCCTCAGCCTCCTGAGTAGCTGGGATTACAGGTGCCTGCCTCCACGCCCAGCTAATTTTTGTATTTCTAGTAGAGTCAGGGTTTCACCATGTTGGCCAGGCTGGTCTCGAACTCCTGATCTCAGGTGATTCGCCCACCTCAGCCTCCCAAAGTGCTGGGATTACAGGCATGACCCACCGCGCCTGGCCAAAACATTAGTTTTAAAACATGATTTCTCAACAGAAACAATGGTAGAGGAAACACAAAGTAATGGCATTGTTATAGTGTGAAAAAATGACTGCAAAATCACAAATCCATAACCAGAGAAAATACTCTTAAAAAATAAAAGTACCATAAAGACATTTCAGGCAAACAAAATCTGAACGAATTTATAGTTAGCTGGCCTGAACTGAATGGAGTTCTTCAAGCAAAAGGGAACTAATCCCAGGTAGACAATAAAAAATGCAGGAAGGAATGAGGAGCAATGGACAGATAAATATGTGGGTAAAAAGAAATCAGTTTGATTGTAGAAAGCAATAATAGTAAACTTTCATAGAATTAAAATGCATGACAACACCATGGAGTTTGGACCGGGTTCATCCCAATCCCTCATTTCAGAGTTGGGCATACAATACTGACCTGGCCAATAAAATACCATGATGACTGGTTAAGTGAGGGGTATATGACCAAAGATGAAGCCATAAGAACCAGCAAGTACCAGCCCTAAAACTAATCAAAAGTATCGTGATGTAAGCGTTCTTTTTTCATTGGGGTTGCTAAACAGCAGGATGTAAGCCTTGAGATTCCAAGGGCCATCTTAATGTAACAGTGAGATGGCTTATCTGAAATGAATCCAGAACAGAAGGAAGCAGAGATGACAGCTGGAGAGAGATTGATATTGGATTTAAGCTCCTTGATCCAGCCATATCTGAACCTAGTCCTACCTCTGAAATTTGTATGTATGTGTCAACTTCTTTCTTTCTTTTTTAACAGTGAACACAATAATGGAAAATGAGAGTATAAATGAAGTTAAAGAGCTTTTGGATTATAACGTTATTGGGAAAGTGGGAAAATATGACATTATTGGGAAAGTGGGAAAAAATAATTTGTATTAGGCCCCAAGAAGTCAAAGATGCATGTGTAATCTCTAAGGTAAGCACTAAAAAGTAAAAAAAAAATGTACAACCAATCAAGCTAATAGAAGAGAAAACTTGAATAACAACAATAAAAGATTAATCTAAAAGAAAATGAAAAAGAAAAGTGAAGGAAACATAAAACAGTATGATCAAACAGAAAAATATGTGAGAGTTGGCTAGGCGCAGTTACTCACGCCTGTAATCCCAGCACTTTGGGAGGCTGAGGCAGGTGGATCATGAGGTCAGGGGATCGAGACCATCCTGGCTAACATGGTGAAACCCTGTCTCTACTAAGAATACAAAAAAATTAGCCAGGCGTGGTGGCGGCTGCCTGTAGTCCCAGCTACTCAGGAGGCCGAGGCTGGAGAATGGTGTGAACTTGGGAGGCAGAGGTTGCAGTGAGCCGAGATCACGCCACTGCACTCCAGCCTGGGTGACAGAGCGAGACTCCGTCTCAAAAAAAAAAAAAAAAAAGAAAAAGAAAAAAAGAAAAATATGTGGGAGTTAAAAACCCCAGATATATTGCTAATTAAAAGTAAATGGACTGGTGATGAAAACGTTCTAAAATTGATTGTGGTGATGCTTGCATAACTCGGTGACTATACTAAAAGCCATTGAATTATACACTTTAAATGGGTGAGTTGAGTGGCATATGAATTGTATCTCAATAAAGCTGTTTTAAAAGTTAATGAGGGCCAGGTGTGGTGGCTCACACCTATAAACCCAGGGCTTTGGGAGGTTGAGGTGGGAGGATCACTTGAAGTCAGGAGTTCAAGACCAGCCTGGGCAACATAGTGAGACCCTGTTTCTACACACACACACACACACACACACACACACACACACAACAACAACAACTAAAAAATTAGCCAGGGGTGGTGGTGCACACCTGTAGTCCCAGCTACTCGGGAGACTGAGGCAAGAGTATCACTTGATCCTAGGAGTTCGAGGTTACAGTGACCAGTGATGGCACCATTGCACTCCAGCGTGGGCAGCAGAGTAAGACCGTTTCTAAAAAATGAAAAACAAAAGGCCAGATATGGAGGCTTATGCCTGTAATCTCAGCACTTTGGGAGGCCGAAGCGGGAGGATCACTTAATCCTAGCAGTTCAAGAACAGCCTGGGCAACACAGTGAGACCATATCTCTACAAAAAAAAAAAAAATGTAACCAGGCATAGTGACATGTGCCTGTGGTCTCAGCTACTCAGAAGGCTGAAGTGAGAGGATTGCTTGAGCATAGGAGGTCGAGGCTGCAGTGAGCTGTGTTCGCACCACTGTGTCACCCAACATGGATGACAGAAAGAGAATCTGTCTCAAAAAAACAATAAAAATAAAAAATAAAACTAATTTTAAGTGAATGGATTAAATATACCAAACAATCAAAATTATTAGACTGAATAAAGATAAAACCCAACTACATACAGCTTACAGAAGATACACCTTAAATATAAGGTTGAAAGTAAAAGAATGGAGAAAGATATATCCTGCAAGTACTAACCACAAGAAAGCTGACACTGCTGTACTATTTATAATATCAAACAAAACATGACTAGAGATAAAGAATAATATTTTATGATGATAAAAGAATCAATCCACCAGGGTAATACAACACATTTTAAAGCTACATGCACCCATAACAGACATAAAGCAAAAATTAATGGAACTAAAAGGAGAAATAGACAAATCCACAACCATCATAGAAAGTTTAAACAGATGCTTTCTAGTAGATGATAGAACAAGGAAACAAAAAATTATTAAGAAGATAAGGCCGGGCGCGGTGGCTCACGCCTGTAATCCCAGCACTTTGGGAGGCCGAGGTGGGCAGATCACAAGGTCAGGAGATCGAGACCATCCTGGCTAACACGGTGAAACCCCGTCTCTACCAAAAATACCAAAAATTAGCCAGGCGTGGTGGTGGGCGCGTGTAGTCCCAGCTACTCGGGAGGCTGAGGCAGGAGAATGGCGTGAACCCAGGAGGCGGAGCTTGCAGTGAGCCGAGATTGTGCCACTGCACTCCAGGCTGGGCGACAGAGCGAGACTCCATCTCAAAAAAAAAAAAAAAGATATTTAAATAACAAAATTAACCATCTTCTCTCTCTTTCTCCCTCATTTTATATATATTATAAGTATATATAGAGACAGCCATGTGCCACATGACAACATTTTGATCAACAATGAACCACATATATGACAGTGATCCCATGAGGTTATAACGGACCTAGCTGAAAAATTCCTGTTGTCTAGTGACAGCATAGCCATCATAACATCACAGCACAATTACTTTTTAAAAATAAATTTAGTGAGGCCAGGCATGGTGGCTCATGCCTGTAATCCCAACACTTTGGAAGGCTGAGGTGGGCGGATCACCTGAGGTCAGGAGTTCGAGACCAGCCTGACCAATATGATTAAACCCCATCTCTACTAAAAATACAAGATTAGCCGGACGTGGTAGCACATGCCTATAATCCCAGCTACCTGGGAGGCTGAGGCTGGAGAAACACTTGAACCCAGGAGCCGGAGGTTGCAGTTAGCTGAGATCGCGACATTGCACTCAAGCCTGGGCAAACTCCATCTCAATAAATAAATAAAATAAAATAAAATAAAATAAATTTAGTGTAGCCTCAATGTATAGTGTTTATAAAGCCTACAGTAGTGTACAGCAATGTCCTTGACCTTCACGTTTACCCACCACTCACTCACTGAATCACCCAGAGCAACTTGCAATCCTGCAAACTCCATCCATGCTAAGTGCCATGGATGTTGTATCGTTTTTTATCTTTTAAACTTTTTTTTTTTCTGAGATGGAGTTTTGCTCTTGTCACCCAGGCTGGAGTGCAATGGTGCAATCTTGGCTCACCGCGACCTCCGCCTCCTGGGTTTAAGCGATTCTCCTGCCTCAGCCTCCCGAGTAGCTGGGATTATAGGCATGCGCCACCATGCCCAGCTAATTTTGTATTTTTAGTAGAGACGGGGTTTCTCCATGTTGGTCAGGCTGGTCTCGAACTGCCGACCTCAGGTGATCTGCCCACCTTGGCCTCCCGGAGTGCTGGGATTACAGGCGTGAGCCTCTGCGCCTGGCCTAAACTGTTTTTTTTTTCCTGTACCTTTTCTATGTTTAGATATACAGATACTCACCATTGTGTTACAATTGCCTACAGTATTCAGTACAGTAAAATGCTGTACAGATTTGTAGCCTAGGAGCAATAGTTTATATCCTATAGCCTAGGTATACAGTAGGCTATACCATCTAGGTTTGTGTAAGTATACTCTATAATTTTCACACAATGACAAAATCACCTAATAGCACATGACTGTATATGGAATGAAAGACAGAGAGGGAGGTTTGTTAATTTTGTTACACACACACACAACACACACACACACACACACACGCACGCACACGTAAACACTCTACCCAACAACAGAATATGCATTATTTTCAAATGCAAATGTAACGTTTACCAAAATTGACTGTATACTAGGTCCTAAAGCGAGTATCAACACATTTCAAAGCATTCAAATTATTCAGAGTATGTTCTCTCACCACAATAAAAGTAAGCCAGAAATCCATAACACAAAGGTGACTAGGAAATTATTGACCGGGCACATTGGCTCACGCCTGTAATCCCAGCACTTTGGGAGGGCAAGGCAGGCAGATCGCTTGAGCTCAGGAGTTCGAGACCAGCCTGGGCAACATGGCAAAACCCCACCTCTACCCAAAATACAAAAATCAGCTAGATGTGGTGGTGCACATCTGTAGTGCCAGCTACTCGGGAGGCTGAGGTGGGAGGGTCACTTGAGCCCAGGAGGGAGAGGTTGCAGTGAGCAGAAATCACGCCACTGCACTCCAGCCTGAGGGACAGTGTGAGATCCTGTCTCAAAAAAAAAAAAAAAAAAAAGAAAAGAAAGGAAGGAAGGCAGGAAGGAAGGTAGGAGAGAAGGAAGGAAGGAAGATTCTCAACTATGTGGAAAGTAAGCAACATATTTCTAAATAATGAATGGGTCAGACAGTAAATCACAATGGAAATTTGAGACCATTTTAACTGAATGATTATGAGCATACAACATTTCAAAACTTCCAGAATCAAGCAATGCTTAAAAGGATATTTATAGCCTCAAAAGCATACATTAGAAAAGAAGAAAAGCTGAAAACCAGTAATCTAGTCTTCCATCTCAAGAAGCTAGAAAAAGAATGGCAAATAGATACCAAAAAAGAAGAAAGAATGAAATGATAAAAATAAGAAAAATAATTCACTAAAAAATGAACATGCAATCGAAAAAAAACAATAAACACAAAATTGGTTTTCTGAAAACGATAATAAATTTTATATCCCTCTAGAAAGATTAATCAAAGGACCGGGTATGGTGGCTCACGCTTGTAATCCCAGCACTTTGGGAGGCCGAGGTGGGCGGATCACAAGGTCAGGAGATCGAGACCATCCTGGCTAACACGGTGAAACCCCATCTGTACTAAAAATACAAAAAATTAGCCAGGCGTGGTGGCGGGCGCCTGTAGTCCCAGCTACTTGGGAGGCTGAGGTAGGAGAATGGCGTGAACCCGGGAGGCGGAGCTTGCAGTGAGCCGAGATTGAACCACTGCACTCCAGACTGGGTGACAGAGCAAGACTCCGCCTCAAAAAAAAAAGATTAATCAAAGAAAAAGAGAGAAAAAACACCAATCACCAATATGAGAATAAAAAAGCTTGCATCACTATAGGTCCTATAAATATGAAAAAATAATATCAGAATATAACGAACAAAATTTAAGGCCAATAAACTTGACAATTTGTATGAAATAATGAATTGCTCAAGAAACACAAAGCTGGGCACGGTGGTGCACACCTGTAGTCCCAGCTACTCAGGAGGTTGAGGAAGGAGGATTGCTGAGTACAAGAGTTTAAGTCCAACCTGGGCAAGATAGCAAGACCTCATATAAAAAATAAAAAGTGACACAACTTACCACAAGTGACTGCTGTAATCTGAATGTGTCCCCCAAAATTCATATGTTGAAACAATTGCCAATGTGATAGTATTAAGAGATGGGGCCTTTAGGATATGATTAACACATGAGGGCAGAGCGCACATTAATGAGATTAATGATTATATAAAAGAGGCTTCAGAGAGCTGTCTAGCCCTTTCATCTCTTCCATCATGTGAGGACACAGCAACAAGATCTTGCCATCTAGGAAACAGAGAGCAAGCCTTCACCAGACGTCAAATCTGCTCTAACGGGTGATGTCTGTGAAAATAAATATATAAAAATGAAAAATGAAAAAACAAAAAAGAATAAAAAAATCTGCTGGTGCCTCGATCTTGGACTTCCCATCTTCCAGAACTGTGAAAAATAAGTTTCTGTTGTTTATAAATTATCCAGTCTAAGGTATTTTGTTATAGCAGCAGGAATGAACTAAGATATTGACACAAGAAAAAATAGGAAATCTAGTTATCCATTACATAAATTGAACCACCTTATTAAGCACCTTTCCAAAGAAAACCCCAGAACCTGGATGGCTGTACAAATGAATGCTTCTAGAAATCTAAGGAAAAAAAAGAAAGTTAAGCTTCACAAACACTTTCAGAAAATAGAAAAAATGAACACATCTAAATTATTTTTGTGAGTCCAAAATGACATTTTCCTCAAAACCTGACAAGGATTATAAGAAAAGGAAATTACAGAAAATTATGAGCATAGATTCAAAATTCCTAAATACAATATTATCAAAGAAACCAAGCGCTACATACAAAGAATAATACATCAGAAACAAGATGAATTTATTCTGGGAAGGTAAAAGTTAACATTTTAAAATGAACAAATATATTTACAATATAAACAGAAAAAGGAACAAATCTTATGACCATCTTGATAGATGCCAAACAAATTTTAAATACAACATTCATTCATGATTAGAAAAAATACTCATAGCAAATTAGTAATAGAAAGGAATGCTTTTAATCTTATAAAGTATATCTACAAAAAATCAACATTAAACATCACTTAAGGATGAATTTTTATTTATTTTTAAATTTTCTTAATTTATATTTTAGGTTTGGGGGTACATGTGAAGGTTTATTACACAGGTAAATGTGTGTCATGGAGGTTTATTGTACATATTATTTAATCACCCAGGTATTAAGCCCAGTACCCAATAGTTATCTTTACTGTTCATCTCCCTCCTCCCGCCCTCCCTCCTCAAGTAGACCCCAGTGTCTGTTGTTTCCTTCTTTGTGTTCATAAGTTCTTATCATTTAGCTCCCACCTTAAGTAAGAACATGCAGTATTTGATTTTCTGTTTCTGTATTAGTTTGCTAAGGATAATGGCCTCCAGCTCCATCCATGTTCCTGCAAAATACATGATCTCATTCTTTTTTATGGCTGCATAGTATTCCATGGTTTGGATGTACTGCATTTTCTTTAATGATGAATTATTCAAACATTGTTTCCTGAGATCTGGAATGAGAAACTGTTATTACCACTTCTGCTCAACATTAAACTTGGTGTCCTAACCAGTGCAATAAGACAGGAAAAAGCAATAAATAAAGAGTACATGATAGGAAAGAAATAAAACTAGTATTTGTAGACAACATGATTGTACACAAAGAAAATCCAGAATAATCTACAGAAAATCTATTAAAATTAATGAGCAAATTTAGCAAGGCTGCTAGATAGGTTTATCTTTTTTAAAAAGATCAAGTATACTTCTATATGTCAGCATTAAATAAATATAAAATGAAAAAAAATTTTTTTTGAGATGGAGTCTCACTCTGTCACCCAGGCTGGAGTACAGTGGCACAATCTTGGCCCACTGCAACCTCTGCCTCCTGGGTTCAAGCAATTCTCCCTGCCTCAGCCTCCCAAGTAGCTGAGATTACAGGCACCTGCCACCATGCCCAGCTAATTTTTGTATTTTTAGTAGAGACGGGGTTTCGCCGTGTTGGCCAGGCTGGTCTTGAACTCCTGACCTCAGGTGATCCACCCACCTCAGCCTCCCAAAGTGCTGGGATTACAGGCGTGAGCCACCACACCCAGCCGAAATTTGTAAGATATCATTTACAATAGTATCAAAAAATCAAATAATTAGGGGAAAAAATCTAATAGGATATCCAAGGTCAGTAGTTGGAGACCAGCGTGGCCAACATGGTGAAACCGTGTCTCTACTAAAAATACAAAACTTAGCTGGGCGTAGTGGTGGACGCCTGTAATCCCGGCTACTCGCAAGGCTGAGGCAGGAGAATTGCTTGAACCCGGGAAGCGGAGGTTGCAGTGAGCCGAGATTGTACCACTGCACTCCAGCCTGGGTGACAGAGGGAGATTCCGTCTCAAAAAAAAAAAAAAAAAAAAAAAAAAACCAAACCAAAACAAGGCACTAACCATAAAAGAAGAGCTGATAAACTGGACTAAATTAAATTTAATACATTATTTTTATTACGGGATACTATTCAGATAATGAAAAGTAAGGCACAGAGTGGGAAACCATATTTGTAAATTAGCTGACAAAGGGCTTACTTCTGTTCAAAATATATATGGAATTTCTGTAAATTGGCTGGGCGCGGTGGCTCATGCCTGTAATTCCAGCACTTTGGCAGCCTGGGGCAGGAAGATTGTTTGAGGCCAGAAGTTCGAGACCAGCCTGGGCAACATACTGAGATCCTATCTCTACAAAAAAATTTGAAAAATTAACTTGGCATGGTGGCGTGCACCTATAGTCCCAGCTACTTGAAAGGCAGTAGGATCCCCTGAGCCCAGTTTGAGGCTGCAGTGAATTATGATCACACCACTGCACTCCAGCCTTGGTGACAGAGTAAGACCCTGTCTCTAAAATAAATAAATAAATATATATATATAAATAAATAAAATTTTAAAAAAAGAATTCCTGCAGATAATTAAGAATAGGGCAATCATGTAGAAAAATGGGCAAACAACCTAAACAGGCATTTCCCTTTTAGCACTGCTTTAGCTACATCCCACAGAGTTTGATATGTTGTCTTTTTATTTTAATTCATTCAAAATAATTTCAAATTTACTTTCAAATTTCCACTTTGATTCATCGATTGTATAGAAATCTGCTGCTGAATTTTTAAGAGCTTGGAGAGTCTTTTGGGTTTGTTTGTATCTTTCTGGAATTGATTTCTACTTTAGTTCTTTATTACAGTCAACGAAAATCTCAATTCTACCAAATGTGTTTTGTTTTTTGACCCAAGATATGGTCTAGCAGGCTTACTTTACAACAAATACTAAAGGAAGTTCTTCAGGCTGAATGTAAGTGACCCCAGATGGTAATTTGAATCTACTTGAAAAAACAAAGAGCGCCAATAAAGGTAATTTTATAAATATGTAATTATAAGAGACAGTATCAATGTATATTTCATCTCATTTCTTCTCTTAATTAATTTAAAAATCATTTTATTAAACAATATGTGTATAATTATATTGTTGTACCTATAACAAAAAAACGGCATATATTTGACAATAAGGGCACAACACAGATGGGTGGGAGCAAGTTGTATTGGAGTAAAAAAATGATGCTAAGTGGTAACTCAAATCCACAGAATCCAGTGGAGAGAACCAGAAATGGTAAATAAGAAAGTAAACTCCATAAATATATACCTGTTTTCTTTTCTCAGCTTCATTAGTAGACATAAAATTGTGTGTGTGTGTATATATATATATATATATATATATATATATATATATATATATATATATATTGAGATGGAGTCTCACTCTGTCTCCCAGGCTGGAATGCAGTGGCACGATCTTGACTCACTACAACCTCCATCTCCTGGGTTCAAGCGATTCTCCTACCTCATCCTCCTGAGTAACTGGGATTACAGGCGCCCTGCCACCACACCCAGCTAATTTTTGTATTTTTAGTAAAAACAGGGTTTCGCCATGTTGGCCAGGCTGGTCTCAAACTCCTGACCTCAGGTGATCCACCCACCTCGGCCTCCCAAAGTGCTGGGATTACAGGCGTGAGCCACCACTCTTGGCCAAAATTACATATTCTAACAACTATAACAGTGTATGTTTGGGTTTGGAACACACATACATGTAATATGTATAACAGCAGCAAAAAGGGGGAAGAGAGAATAGAGCTACATAGGAGTAATGCTTATTATATATGTCACTGGAATTAAGCCAGTATAAATGTGAAGTAAATTCTGATTAAGTTGAGATGTACACAAGAAGCCCTAGAGCAACCACTAAAAAAATAAATAAATAAAAATAAAAAACTCAAAAAATACGGTGAAAAAGATCATCAAAGGAATGAAATTGTTAAGCTAGAAAATATTCATGTTGTGCAAAAGAAAGCAGTAAAGAAGGAATACAGGGATGTAAAGGACATGGGATATATAGAAAACAAAATGTGAAATTGCAATGTAAATTCAACTATATCAATAATAAAATTTAAAATAGATGGACTAAACAATCTAATCTAAAGGCAGAGAATGTCAGACTGGACAAAATAAAACAAGATCCAACTATCTGCTGTCTACTGGAGGAGACACACTTTAGATTCAAAGATACAAATAGGTTAAAAGTCAAAGGATGAACAGAGATATATCATGCAAACAGCAACCGTAAGAAAGCTGGAGGGGGTATACTAATGTCAGACGAAAATCATTACTATTGACAAAGAAGGATATTTATATAAATAAAAGAGTTGACCCACCAAAAACATACACCAAGTGTAAACTTATATGCACTTACAACAGAGCCCCAAAATAATACAAGAAGCAAAAACAAGAAGTAAAGGGAGAAGTTAAATAAATCAACAATAATAACTGGAGACTTCGGTACCCCCACTTTCAATAATAGATAGTCGGCCTGGCGAGGTGGCTCACTGCTGGTAATCCCAGCATTTTGGAAGGCCGAAGTGGGCGGATCACTTGAGATCAGGATTTCGAGACCAGCCTCGCCAACGTGGTGAAAATCTGTCTCTATTAAAAATACAAAAAGTAGCCGGGTGTTGTGGCACACACCGGTAGTCCCAGATACTCAGGAGGTTGAGGCATGAGAATCACCTGAACGCGGGAGGCGGAGGTTGCAGTGAGCTGAAATCGTGCCACTGCACTCCAGCCTGGGTGACAGAGCAAGACTCCATCTCAAAAAATAATAATGATAATAATGGATAGAAAAATTAGGCAAAAGATCAAAAGAAAATAAAAGTCTTGGAAAATGCTATAAACCAACTAGAACTAACAGATGTATATGGAGAGAACACACCAAACAACAAAAGCACACGCATTTTTTTCAAGCGCACATGGAACATTTTCCAGGATAGACTATATGTTAGGCAATAAAACAAGCCTTAATACATTTTAAAATATTAAAACCACAAAAAGTATGTTTTCTGATCAATATGGAGTAAAATTAGTAGACTTTAACAACATAAAGAAATTGGGAAGTTCACAAATTTGTGGGAATTAAACCACACATTCCTAAATAATGAGCCAAAGAAGAAATCACAAAGAAAATTACAAAATACTTTGAGGTAAATGAAAATGTAGATACAACATATTGAAATTTATGGAATGCAGCTAACATATTATTTGTAGCTATAACCACCTACATTAAAAAAGAAGATTCAGATCAATAGCCTAATCTTCCACTGTAAGAAACTAGAAAAGAAGAGTAAACTAAACTCAAAGCAAGTAGAAGAAAATAATAAAGATTAGGATGGAAATGAATGAAATGGAGAATAGAAAAAGAATAGAGAAAGTCAATGAAGCAAAAAAATCAGTTATTTGAAAATAGTAAGAATATTGAAAACATTTAGCTAGACTGTCCAAGGGGGAAAAAAAAGAGAGAAAAGTCAATTCACTAAAAACAAGGATGAAAGAGAGGACATTACTACCAACTTTCCAATCTAAAAAGGATTATAAGGGAGTACTATGAACAACTGTATGCCAACAAATTAGATAACTTAGATGAAATGGACAAATTACTAAGAAGACACAAACTAACTGATGTAAGAGAAAATCTGAATAGACCTATAATTAGTAAACAGATTAAATTAGCAATTTTAAAATTATTCACAAAAAAAAAGGCTGCACTGGACCAGGTGCAGTGACTCACGCCTGTAATCCCAGCACTTTGGGAGGCCGAGGCAGGCAGATCACCTGAGGTCGGGAGTTTGAGACCAGCCTGACCAACATGGAGAAACCCCATCTCTACTAAAAATACAAAATTAGCCAGGCATGGTGATGCACGCCTGTAATTCCAGCTACTCGGGAGGCTGAGGCAGGAGAATCGCCTGAACCTGGGAGGAGGAGTTGCAGTGAGCCGAGATTGTGCCATTGCACTCCAGCCTGGGCAACAAGAGCGAAACTTGTCTCAAAAAAAAAAAAAAAAAAAGGCTGCACTGGTAAATTCTACCAAATACTTAAAGAATGAACAGCAGTCCTTCACAAATACTTCCAAAAAATAAAAGAGGAGGGAATACTTCCTAACTGATTTTATAAGGCAATATTACTCTGACACCAAAACCAGACAAAGTCATAGCAAGTAAAGGAAAGTAAAGACCAAAAATTCCTTATGAAAATAGGAACAAAAATCCTCAACAAAATACTAGGGAAGTAATCCAGCAACATTTAAAAAGGATTATACACCATGACCAAGTGGGATTCATCCCAGGATTACAAGACTGTTTTAATACCCAAAATCAATTAATGTAATGCACCATATCAATAGAATAAAGGACAAAAACCACATGATCATCTCAATAGATGTAGACAAAGTATTTGACAAAATTCACCACCTCAATGATAAAAGAACTAAACAAACTAAGAATTAAAGAAACTTTCTCAACCTCATAAAGGACAACTGTGAAAAACCCATAGCTATTGTAATATGACTCTTAATGGTGAAAGATTGAAAACTTTCCACCTAAGATGAGGAACAAAACATGCTTGTCTCATCTCAACACTTTTATTCAACATTATATTAGAGGTTTTAATGAGAGCTTTGGCAAAGGAGAAAAAGGCATCCGGATTGGAAATGAAGAAGTAAACCTGTCTCTATTTGCAGATAACATAATCTAGTATATAGAAAATCTTGAGGAATACACTACAAATGCTAGAACTTTTAAGTGAGTTCAGTGAGGTTGGGGATACAAGACCAACATACAAAACTCAATAGGATTTCTATATACTAGTCATGAACAAATTGAAAATAAAAATTTTAAAATTATTCAATTTACAATAGCATCAAGAAGAATAAAATACATAGGAGTAAATTTAACAAAAGAAGAGCAGACTTGTACACTGAAAACTACAAAAAAGTACCGAAAGAAATTAAGGCCAGATGCATTGGTTCACACCTGTAATCCTAGCACTTTGAAAGGTCCAAGTGGGAGGATCACTTGAGCTCAGAAGTTTGAGACCAGCCTGGGCAACATAGTGAGACCTCGTCTTTATAAAAAATTTTAATCCGGGCGTGGTGGCTCACGCCTGTAATCCTTTGGGAGGCCGAAATGGGTGGACCACTTGAGGTCAGGAGTTTGAGATCAGCCTGGCCAACATGGTGAAATCCTGTCTCTACTAAAAATACAAAAATTAGCTGGACGTGGTGGCACATGCCTGTAATCCCAGCTACTCAGGAGGCTGAGGCATGAGAATCTCTTGGACCCCAGAGGTGGAGGTTGCTGTGAGCCAAGATCATACCACTGCACTCTAGCCTGGGTGACAGAGCAACACTGTCTCAAAAATAAAAAAAATAATAATTAGCTGAGTGTAGTGGCACATATCTCTTTTACTACATTCCAAAAAAAAAAAAACAAAAAAGAAATTAAAGACCTAAAAAGTGAAAAAGCATACCATCATGGATCAGAAGACTTATTATTGTTAAGATGGCAATACTCCCCAAATTGATCTACAGATTCAATGCCATCTATTATAAAAATCCCAGCTTGCTTTGTTGCAGATTTTGATATGCTGATCCTAAAATTTATCTGTAAATTCAAAGGACCCAGAATAGCCAAAACAATCTTGAAAAAGAACAAAGTTGGAGGATTCACACTTGCTTATTTCAAAACTAACTACACAACTATAGTAATGAAGATAGTGTGGTACTGGCATGAGGCTAAAGATATCAATCAATAGAATAGTACTGAGAGTCCAGAAATAAACTCTCACATTTATGGTCAACTGATTTCAACAAGGGTGCCAAGACAATTCAGCAGGGGAAAGAATGGTGTTTTCAACAAATGGTGCAAGGACAACTAGATATCCACATGCAAAAGAATAAAATTGAATCCCTACCTCCCAGTATATACAAAAATTAACACAAATTTATCAAAGGCTTAAATGTAAAAGCTAAAATATCCTCTCAAAAGTGTTTGAGCATGGAATATATATATTTTATTAAGCAAAAACATCAGGTTTTTAGACTTTTAGGAATTAGTTCCCAGCTCTTGAAAAATATTCATTCGCTTTATAGTGTCAGGCTGCTTTTGGTAGACCAGCTGTTTGTCAATCAGGTTCTCAGCATCTATAAATTAATCATGTAGATTCATTTGTGTCTGGAATGTCCGTCATTTTTAAACACTGCAAACCACATTGGATGCCATCATAAGTTAATCCTCTCTTTCTTAGAGAAAACGGCTTTAAAGTACAGAAATAACTTGTAATTGTGAAATCAAAATTGAATTCCAAATAAGTTAGTGGTTTAGTAAGGAAACTGAGAAAGTTCTATTTAATTTGACTGTCCTTTTCTGGTGACATTTTATTTGGCGTTCTAAAGCTGTCTGATTTCCAAAATTTACATTTGTACTGTCTGCTGAATATGCAAATAGATGAGCAAAGTTTAGTTTGTTTTTAGACAAGATATCAACAATCTTTTTTGTTTTATATTTTCTGCAGTTTCATTTTGATCATCATAGAAATCAAGAAGGTGATTTGAAATTCTATTTTTCAAATCAAAGTACATAAAAGGTAGGAGAAACAGTGATTTGACAAGTCGCTTGATATACTACTGTACAAAGCATGATATCTGGTAAAATCTGACAAAATCAGAGCTACACTGTATGAGGCAAACACATATCGTACCCAAATTTACCCTTTTGTTCACCCACAGGACATTTAAGTTGCAACCTCTTAAACAGGAAATGTAACTTTATTCAGTTTCATGTATGAATGATACAATGATACATGTTTCCGCATGTGGCATATTTAGGCTAAATCAGCGGCCATCAATTTCGAGTTAACATTAGTGTCTTTGGGGAAGATCAAAAGCTTTTTATTGGTTTATAGTACTTATCTGTCTCACCCTGGACTGTGAGATTCAGTTTCTGTATGTGCTTTCATATCCCTGTCTCTGTCATGCCTAGTCCCAACTTGTTTTCTGCTTATTGCCCAGTATGCTCTGTTTTGGTTGTTTACCTCCCTAATGCAAGTTGTATGTGTCCTTCTATCTATTATTAAAACAACATGGTCACTTAGCCTTATTTTTTGGTAATTTCTAGGTCAAGCTGGGGTTAGTATTGTAATAATTCTCTTTTTATCTGAACACTTAGAACACATGGTTAGCATATTTATAATGTTAAAAATCAAAGTAGCCCTATCTCCATACAAATCACACCAGGTAATCCACAGGCAAAGTCAAAGATACAATGTTAACTGTTCACGACTGCAATGTCCAGAAATTGCACACTTAAGTTGCATCCCTTGGAGCAATGCAACAATGGATAATCCATTATTGTGAACTGCAAATCATGGTTGCCATCATGAGTGGTCAGGGTTAAAAACAGTAACAGGGCCTGGCGCAGTGGCTTATGCCTGTAACCCCAGCACTTTGGGAGGCTGAGGCAGGCGGATCATCTGAGGTCAGGAGGTCGAGACCAGCCTGGTCAACATGGTGAAACCCCATCTCTAGTAAAAATACAAAAATTAGCCAGGCATGGTGGTGCACACCTGTCATCTCAGCTACTCAGGAGGCTGAGGCAGGAGAATCGCTTGAAGCGGGGCGCCAGAGGTTGCAGTGAGCCGAGATCGCACCACTGCACTCCAGCCTGGGCAACAGAGTGAGACTCCATCTGAAAACAACAAAAAACAAAAACAGTGACAGTGACAGTGACTACGGGTATCTATGCCATATCCACTTGACACTAAAAACAGTGTTGCTTTCAACCCTTATTTTGGGAGACAGGGTATGGGTTTGGTACCTTTGCCCTAAAACTTGAGCAACCATTGCTGAAAAATGAGACTTTTTTGCATCCTGGGGAGGGCTTTCCTGGAATACAGGGTTTTTAGCACTAAAACTGGGATAGTAACAAGGAAATTAGGATGATTGGTCACCCTACTATGCCTTTGGCAGCTTTCCAGAGCACCGAAAGAATTGTTTTTGACATTTTTGTCCAGCTTTATAGTAGTTGCTTTTGGAGCTCTGTTAACTTCCTTAATTCATCATGCTGGAAGTGAATCTCTGACACTATTACATATTTTACATATTATTTTTAGTGTGTCTCTGACTCATTAAAATGTAAACCTGATGAAAATAGAGATTTTTGTCTGTTCTGTTCACTGCTGTATTCCATGTACTTGATACATAGTAGGCACTAAATAAATATTTTTTGATGACTAAATCAATTAATGACATTTGAAGGAATGTAGAGAATAGACTGGAGGAGAGAATAATCAAACTAGGATAAACTAGTTAGTAAGCTAGTAGAATGGTCCAGATTAGAGATGGTAGAGATGCTGGAGATAATGAAAAATACACTGACTCAAGATTTACTTAAGAAGCAAAATTGCAAGCTGGGTGCGGTGGCTCAGCCTGTAATCCCAGCACTTTGGGAGGCCAAAGAGGGCAGATTACCTGAGGCCGGGAGTTCAAGACCAACCTGGCCAGCATGACGAAACCCCTCTACTAAAAATACACACACAAAAAAATTAGCTAGGCGTGGTGGCAGGTGCCTGTAACTCCAACTACTCGGGAGGCTGAGGCGGGAGAATCACTTGAACTCGGGAGGCAGAGGCTGCAGTAAGCCGAGATAGCACCATTGCACTCCAGCCTGGGTGACAAGAGCGAAACTCCGTCTCAAAAAAAAAAAAAAAAAAAAAAAGAAAAAGAAAAATTGCCATGATTAATGATGAAGTGGAGATGAATGTGGGGAGTGAAGTAGAGGGCAGTGTCAAGAATAACTCCCTGGTCTTTGGCCTGCAGAACTGGGTGGATAGAGGTGTAGTCACTGAGTTAGGAAACAGTGGGCCAATACCAGGGAGAAGATCATGAGTTCTCTTTTAGACATATTGAGTTTGAGATGCCTTTGAGATAACTAAGCAATTTCAAATAAGCAGTTGGAAATATGATCCTAGCATTTAGGGGAGAAATGTTGGCTAGAGAGATATTGGCTGGAGAGATAAACAAGTGTGTCATCAGTCCCAGTGATAATGAACATGGTAAATAATGTGATGGGTGTGAATGATTACCAAGAAGAGAGAAGAGAGGGCCTAAGATTAAGCTGCAATTGTTACTCTGTATGCACTCAATTTTTACTTGGATTAATGAAATAATTTGATTGTAAACTGGAACCTAAGTTAGGATTTTAAATCACAAATATCTTAAAGATTTTGAAATGCAACAATTAGAAGAGATTTTCAGGTTTTCTCCTATTTTTCTCTTAGGGCTCATTTTTAGAGATAAGGTATGTTTCACAGTAGAGTTTAGTGTCCATTGGTTATTTTGTTTCATTTTTATGTTGGTTATAGGTGGCTATTGAGCGTGATGGTTCTAACTTTTTAGGTATTTATCAAATCCTCTTGTGTGCGCAGCACCGTGCTAGGTGCTATGAAGATATACATAAGACATATATTTGTGCTTACTCGAGGAATTTTCAAACTATTTGGAGGAAGAATTGTATATTAAACTTGAAAGAGGGCCGGGCACGGTGGCTCACGCCTGGAATCCCAGCACTTTGGGAGGCCAAGGCTGGGGAATCACCTAAGGTCAGGAGTTCAAGACCAGCCTGGCCAACATGGTGAAACCCCATCTCTACTAAAAATACAAAAAATTAGCCGGGTGTGGTGGCAGGTGCCTGTAATCCCAGCTACTTGGGAGGCTGAGGCAGGAGAATGGCTTGAACCTGGGAGGCAGAGGTTGCAGTGAGATGAGATCGCACCATTGCACTCTAGCCTGGGCAACAAGAGTGAAACTCTGTCTCAAAAAATAAAATAAAATACAAATACAAATAGAAAATAAACTTGAAAGAGACTTTAAAGATCTTCTGGTCTTCCTTCATACTTTACAGAATATAAAAGCATGTCCCAGAAACAAGAAGTGACTTTCCAAGTTCAAAATGAAGTGATAGAAATCTGATTAGAAGTCAGGGCTCCCGATCTCTAGCCCAACCAAGTGCACTGCTCTTTTTATGAAATCATTTATTCATTCAACAAATATTTCTTGAGTGCCTACTGTGTGAACATACTGCTGCAGGCAGTAGTTTTAAATCATGCTACTTTTTCATCTGCATTCACCTCTGGTGACTAATAGTTGTATTCATAGTGCTGGGGCATTCAGTAAGCAGAGTTGAGTGACAGCTGGGTGTGGCTTACAGCTGGATCATCCACTTTCAATTTATAATCACTTCTTAGTGCCTGAAGGAAGAGGAAATAAGTGGTGGATTAACATATGAAGCAATTAGAGAATAATATATGTTATACGATATATAATTAAGTGCTAAATTGCATGGCATGACTGTAAGTGCAACAGGGAGGAACAGGAGCCAAGGCCCAGAGTATGGACAGCTATCTTAGGACAAAATCTTCCAACAGTAGTAACCATCGGATCTCTCACATGTTCATCTGAGAAAGCTCAGCAAATATTTATTGGGCAGGCACTGTGCTAGGTGCCTAGGGATATACAAAGAATAAGACATGGTCCCTTCTCCCAAAGATCTAGTGGGAGAGACAGACGAAATACTTTTAATTTAAATATAATACAGTAAATGATGAAATAGAAGTCTGGCCAGAGAGCTATAGAAGCAAAGAGGAGGGCAGCTTCACCTAATCAAAGGATAAGGTCAAGGCTTTTTGGACACTGACATGTGAACTGAATCTTCAAGACCACTAGGTCTCAGCTAATCCAAGAAAGTTGCCAAGAGGAGTTCTAGGAAGCAAGAACAGTATGAATAAAAAACAAAGACCTAGGCCGGGCGCAGAGGCTCAAGCCTGTAATCCCAGAACTTTGGGAGGCTGAGGTGGGTGGATTACAAGGTCAGGAGTTCGAGACCAGCCTGATCAACATGGTGAAACCCTGTCTTTACTAAAAAATACAAAAATTATCTGGGCATGGTGGCAGGCACCTGTAATCCCAGCTACTCGGGAGGCTGAGGCAGGAGAATCACTTGAACCTGGGAGGCGGAGGTTGCAGTGAGCCGAGATTGAGCCATTGCACTCCAGCCTGGACATCAGGGCGAGACTCCATCTCAAAACAAACAAACAAACAACAACAACAACAACAACAACAAAAACCCCCGAAAAGAAACAAAGACCTTTTGTCTCCTATTCCCCTTATCAGGAAAACTGGAGACAATTAACTTAGCTATTCCTAAGTGAAATAAGATAAAAACCACTCAGTATCACTGATTATAAACTAGCTCTTGTAGCTAACTTTTATTAAACTCTATGAGCCAGAAATTGTGCTAAGTTTTTCACACAATCCTCATAGAAATCCTTGAGAAAGGTACTCCTAGCATCCTTAGTTTACAGATGAGACAATGAAGACACTGAGAAATTAACCCGAAACCAGGATTTGTGTCCAGGCCATTTGGTTCTTTGCCTCCCTGTCAGGATTATGTCCTATTGTGAATATTAGCTTCCCACAAATCTTATCCATATGGAATTACTCTACCTTTTAGACTTATTATTATAATATTTGAGAGTAGTGTAGATCTGTCTGATCATGTTATTTAACCAACAACCAAAATAGGGCTGTTGGTTAAAGGAACAAAGGTTCTCAAGGTCACTGGAGACCCAGTGGCAAAGCTAGTTATTCCTGTGTGTCCTCACTAAAATATATGCCTAAAAATGATATTAATCAGAATGAAGTCTCTTGGACATTCCAATGTAACTGATGAGACAGCCATGTTATTTTTTTTTCTGTTTTCACTTTGATGGCTGTAGGTCAGCGGTTCTCATATATTTGTGTATATCATGATCTCACCTGGGGAGCTTGTTTTAAATATATAGTTTCTGGGCCCCATTTCACACATATGCCAGAGTTGCTGGGGTAGGAATTGGGCTGCTAAATTACAAACAAATTCGTGAAATGATTTCATTCCATTTCAGTTCCACTTCTCCCCATTCTTCATTAGATTCTCCTTCTCTCTCCAGGGCCTCACTTCAGTAGATATTTACGAAGAGCCTACTATGAACCAGGCACAGAGTTCTATGGGCTGAGGATAGAGCAGTGGACACGACAAAACAAAGCTCCTGCTCCAATAGAGCTTCATTCTAGTCGAGAGACAGATAATAAACACACGAACAAGTAAATAAAAGGCAGTACAGCACAATGATTAAGAGCTTGTGCTCTGGAGCTAAAACAAATGTAGCCCTGAAACATGGTCCTTCCTCTTCCTGGTTGACTTTGAGCAAGTTACTTAATTGCTCAACACTTTCTTCCTCTGTGAAATGGGACTAATAATATTCCCTGCTTCTCAGTGCTATTGTAAGGATCTAATAAGATCATATACATAAAGTACTGAGTGCAGTGCCTGATACATTGTCTGCAGTCAGGGTTAACTCCTTTTGAAATGACTCATGATTGCACGAGTACTGTGAAGTTTAGTTACTTCTGCAATATTGCCATCAACGTATTAAATTAAGTTCAGCTTCTGTGTTTATTCGGCACTCAATAAACAATGTTCTAGAGATGTTGCTGTGTCTCTAAAGCATTTCCCCTGCCACAGTTGCTAGTTTCCTGAGCTGTGTCTATACCATACCCAGCCTCAAATTGCTAAACAAGGAAGAGATATCAACAACAAAGTACATCAGAGTCCCCAGCTCCTCAATTAGGTAGCTGAGTAGTTCCATAGGCTGGATAGAATTAAGAATGTTGACAGGGCACAGTGGCTCATGCCTGTAATACCAGCACTTTGGGAGCCCGAGGTGGATGGATCATCTGAGGTCAGGAGTTCGAGACCACCCTGGCCAACGTGGTAAAACCCCGTCTCTACTAAAAATAAAAAAATTAGCTAGGCATGGTGGTGGGCACCTGTAATCTCAGCTACTTAGGAGGCTGAGACAGGAGAATGGCTTGAACCTGGGAAGCAGAAGTTGCAGTGAGCCGAGATCGTGCCATTGCACTCCAGTCTGGGCAACAAGAGTGAAACTCCGTCTCAAAAAAGAAAAAAAAAAAAAAAGAATGTTATAAAGCCTCACCAATACAGTAAGTGAAAATTAAAAAATAAACAACAAAAACTAAGTAGACGCTGGGAACCAACACACTAGTAGGTAGATCAATCAGATGATATGACAGTTAAGGGATATATTTCAAAAAACCATCCTTCGTATTTGTTGGGACAAGAACATTCACAATCATCATTATCTCTCTTGTGTCTCATAACAACCTTGCAATTCTCATTTAATTGATGTGTAAATTAAAGCTAAGTGCAGCAAATGAATCACCCAAGTAACCTCTGCTAGTTAGTGGCAGGCCAGTGATTAATACTCAGGACATCTGAATCTTATACAGCATTTCATACAAATAAATAGCTTTTTTTCCCCCACAGAAACATTTAAAATGCTTAGTCCATCCACTTGAAAAATAAAGAATAAAAAATACAAAATGTATTCCATATACAAAATGCAAATACATAATACTTCATTTTCTTTTTGTATTTGTCATGTTTGCAAGTTTACATTTGTATATGTGATTACATGATTTAGGCCCATCTCCTCTACTACACCAAAATGAATCATATCAATTTTTATCTAACACATAGTAGGTGATCAACATGTATTTAATGAATACATGAGTGATCTATTGGTGTTGATTATAGCCAGGAGGCCACATGTAGGTGAATTTAGTTGTTGGTTTAAGCAGGAGCAGAAATGCTAGTGGTATCTTATACGGAAACACTGAAAATGGGCAAAGGAGTCACTTCCTAGTTGCTGAAGAGAATGATTTGCATGTACTGGAGTTGGTGATTTGAAGTCAAGAGCAGGGCTGATCTAAGCAGAGCAGATGCAGTTGCTAAGCATTGGTTTACAGGGTAGTGAAAGTCAAGAGGCTGTCTGAATCTAAAAAAAAAAAAAAAAAAGGCGGGGGCAGTGACAAAAATTCTGCACGTATAACAAGCTCTGTAGGTAATTCTCACTTCCAAAGTTTAAGAACTACTGGGCCTGGAAGGTCTAAGACTGTATCTGGGGAAGGGTCAGACTTATATTAATATTATAAAGTAAGAAGAAGAGAAACCTATGAAAGAAAAAAAGAGCAGCCAGAGAGCCAGAGTCAGGGCATTGTTGTTATGAGTCAAGGGGGGTGAAAGTTTAAGAACAAGTAGATGGCCAAAAATGTCAAATGTAACAGAGATGTCAAGAATGAAGACAGACCAGCCTAGGCAACATGGTGAAACCCAGTCTCTACCAAAAACAAAGTACAAAACTTAGCTGGGCGTGATGTTGTGCCCCTTAGTCCCAGCTATTCAGGAGGCTGAGGTGGGAGGATCACCTGAGCCCAGGAGGTCGAAGCTTCAGTGAGCTGTGATTATGCCACTGCATTCCAACCTACAGAGCAAGACTTTGTCTCAATTAAAAAAAAAATGAAGATAGAGAAAAGCTGTTGAATTTGGCAAAAAGATCAACTGTGGCCTTGGAGTATATTTTTTGTAAAGTTGTGATGATAAAATACAGATTTTTCTGGGCCCTGACCTGTCCTTCAAGACTCAACTAAAAACATTGCCTCCCAGTGATGTATTTCTTGGACTGAGTCCACCAATCCCTGTGGTAGATAATTCTATTATAGCAGTTCACCTATTATACTAAAATTCTGCTCACCTGTTTTTCTTCCTGATTAGACTGAGAATTTATTGAAGGCAGAAGCTGTGCCTTTTTTTTTTCATCTCTTTCTCCATCCCCAACCAGCTTTATTGAGATCTAATGGACAAATAAGAATTGTACATATTTAATGTATACAATTTGGTGTTTTGATAAGAAGCCATATCTTGTTCCTTTTCAAATCTCCAGGGTCTGGCATAATACCTGGCATACAGAAGATGTCTGTAAATGCCTGCTGAATGAATGATTGGAGAGCAATTGGAGGCAAAGGAGCAACTGCAGTCTGGCAGTGAAAGAAGATGAATCCCATAGTTTGAAGGCAAATGAGAGCAGGGCAGTAGATGCTGCTGGAGCAGGTAATAAGCAGGGAATCAGATCCTCCAGAGCATGGAAAAGATGTAATTAAAAGCACAGCTTTGAAAAGCTTTAGAAAGCAAGAGGGACAGCTCTTTCTCTGAGTATTGAAGGCAGCATGAGAGGGTAGGTGTATAAGATAGAGTAGCTTAGCTCAGATGGCCCTTTGCTAAATTAAGTCATAAAGTTAATGCCTTTGCTGAGAATGAGGTGGAAAAAGTGAGATCTGGAGCCTGAAGAAAAAAACTGGAAGAGTGTTGGTGAGAGTGTATTGGTGAATCAGTAAGAGATGACTAGATCTCATGCTATATCCCCAGGCATTAAGGGCATGTTATCACAATCCAATTCCTTTCTGTAGGCCTTGAAATAACAGGCTGCATCTATCAGCCATGCTAATTGGGACTGGCTACCAGACTTGGGGCCTGGAAGTAACTGGAGCCACTGATATCTCCCTCTCCTGAACTCTCTCTGCACTTCCTTTCCACCTTTTAAGGCACTCAGTGCACTTTATCTCCTATTGTAACTATCTTTTTCTTGGTAGACTGTAAACAATTGAAGGCAAGGGCTGTGTCTTAGTTACTGTTGTGTCATACCTCAGCATAGTGCTTTGTACATAATAGGCAGAAGATGTCTGTACCAGCCATAGTCTGTAATACAGCATTTATCACATCATACTGTGTATGTTTGCTTGCCGTCTCTTCTTTTTGACCATGAGCTCAAGGGCAGGGATTGAGTTGTATTGATCTAGGTCTCCATTGTGTTTGGAACTTAATAGTTTTGCAAGTGTTTATTGAATCAAAGTTTGTTGAAATGAATGCATGGATGAAATAATGAATAAAAGATAGCAAAATGTGGGGATTTGGGGGGAAACTTAAAAAGATGGCATACTGCATAGGCATTGCATTTTGTCAGTTACACAATCATCTGTCTCATCCTGGCATCAGTAAGTGTGTAAAGCTGGTAGAAAATGATGCTGGGGAACCTGTCTTCATATACACCATAAATGTTTGGAATACACATTCTGGATCTTCTTATGCAAATCTTTAGCCACTCCCTTTCACAGCATAGGGCCTTGGGTTAAAGGGCTAAGGGTTCCTTGCAGCTAAATGGCTGATTTGTCCACCCTTATTAGGTATCTATTTGAAGAGTTCAACGTCACACCACCATGGTCACTGTTTGCTTGGGAACTTACACTTTAAAGTTGACATTGCAGAGAAAAGTAAAAAGATTGACGAAACAGTATAGAAACAGCATTGGATCAAGACCGTGGAAATCCACCGCCACTACAGGAAAAATGGCTCTTGAAGAGCATCTTTAAATTTTCACTGGTTTAAGGCTTTTTTTTGTTGTTAAAGTCTGTGAAGCCCATAGAAAATAACAAAAGCTAACCCTTACATAGGGCATACTATGTGCCTAGGCATTATTCTGTGTGATTTACATATACTATCTCATTTCTCACAACTACCTTTTGAGACGAATACTATTATGATCTCCATTTTGGACAGGATGAAACTGAGGGACTGAGAGGTAATAGAAAGCGATCAAGGTCATAGAGCTAGAAGTGGCAGAGCTGGAGTTCAAACCCAAGCATGGCTCCAATACACCAAAGAGGAAAGCACTCGTCTAGGTGTCTGGTTTACATGTATAGATTATAAAGAAAATCACCCTATCTTTTCTGATTGTGATAATCCCAGCATTTATGGAGAGTCTGTTATATGCCAGGGATGCTAATAACACGCTTTAGTTGCATTATTTCATTTCTTCCTTACCACAAACCCGTGAGGTACTATTTTTATCCCCATTTTAAAGACCAAAAAAAAAAAGGTATAGAGGTTAAAACGATTCGCCCAAGGATTGAAATGCAGGCAGGGTGACTCCACTACAAGCTTCTCAGTCATTCCTGGCAATAAAACGAACGGAGGACCTCAAAGAGATGCCATGAGAGTACAATGAAATAATGGATGTGAAAAGGCCTCGGCGAACAAGTGCAAGGGATAAGGCCTGTCTACGTGAATCACTGTTGTGAACTGGTTACCCAGGGCCCCTGTCCAACGGTTTCCGTCCCAATCCTGCCCCTTCTCCGCCCAGCCCACAGCGATATCTTTGAATCTCTTTCTCTATCTCCTCTGATCCTGCCCCCAAACACTCGGCGGAGCGGCGGAGCGGAGAATAGAAGGTCCGCGCGCGAACAGGAGGCGGGGCCTGCCGCCTTCAGTCGTACAGGGGGTGGTTTCTGCACATGCGCTGTGGCTGTGCGGCTTCAGCTGCCCCCTCTCTGCGGCCAATCAGGGCCCGCGGCGCGCTCGGGACGTATCAACGCTCTGTGGGTCGTGTGCGTGCGAGGGGGGCGACGTAAGGGCGCTCCGCGAGCCCGTCTCTCCTCGAATGAAAGGAAACAACCTCCGGCGACAGAGCCCCGCTCTCAGGCACTGCTGGAGAACCGAGACCGACTTCTTTCTCTTTACCCTCATTGGCGCTTCTCTCCTGCAGTCCGCCTCTGGGCCCTGCCGGTGAGTCCCCACGGAACCCTGGGGCCCCCCATTCTCTCCCCGGCGGGAGAAGACAAGGAGGATGGCGGTGGCCAGGCCGCCGCCCCTGCCCGTTGTTAAAGGGGACTCTTGGTGGTCTCGCTTTATTGTCAGGGACCCCAGAAGCGCCGCTCATTGTAGGCGCTTGGCGGAGAGGCTGCTGAGAAAGTGCTTTGGAGGTGCAGAAGGAGAGGTTAGGCTTACGCCTAGACTTCGGGGGAGGGGGCGCAACATTTGAGGAGGGAAAAAACTGGGAATTTTTAGTTTTTGCCATTGCTTAGAACATATTTGGGAAAGAGGGAGACTCCCAGTTTGGGAAGAGTAAGAGGAAGAATTGTTAGGATGGCAAGAGAGAGAGCCTTACGGAATGAGGAAAAACTCCGGGGTGGGGGGAATTAGGGGTGAAACTGAGGTATAAGGGGAAGCTTACAACGAAGACTGTGAGAGGGCTAACTCTTGGGGGAGGGGGCATAAAGAAAGTGGTAGGATGATATTTTCCTAGATTCGGGAGGATTGGAAAAGGACGATTAGGGGACCCTGACTTTACGACGGAAAGGAACCTGCTGAAGTGTTTTAGGGGAAGATAGTTTTGTGACTTTAGCGCTTGATTAGAGGGAGATCTTGGGAGTCTAGTGTGTATTGGGGGAATAAATAACGGAGAGGATCCGGTACTTTATGTGTACCGTCTTTCATTATATGGATGAACACCACGGTATTCTTTTCCAATTTCCATTCGTTTTGATATTCTGCGTGGAAGTTAAAAAATCTTTTGTTTTTAGAAAATCTTTTATTTTCATCGCCTTACTACCTAATGTCAGGTCTTATTTATACTGTTCAAATTCTTTCTCTACCCTTGGGTTTGAAACAACTGGAAAATTCCTTTAGTTTCCTTTTGAATAACCGCAAAAAGCAGTGCGAAGCATGTAATAATATCGTGCAACCAAATTCAGGTGCCCTTCCGGTACATCTTATTCGTTTATTTCTGTCCACTGTAACTTTCCTGTTAGAAATACTGCTTCTTTGGGGAATCACGTTTGTTATCTGTTTTGATTTGTATATTTCAGCTTGCTTTCGCGTGGAATGTTTTAATCTTCCGGAACTGCAGTTTTTGTTGTTTTGTTTGTTTTTCTGTGAAAATGCTTTTTCAGATACCAGGCATTGATGAGCTCTGGAGTTGGTTCTTGAATGCTCTCTCTGATGTTTCAGGTTATTTCTACCTTGGTGCTTCGCAGCATCTTGGAAAATCAGAAATGCATTGATTGCTTCAGCTTAACTAATCTAGCTTTTATTTTTTTTCCAGGCATTTAAATTATGTATTTCACGCTGTTATTGTTGCCTCTTTATTTCTGCTTTGTAGTATTTTCCATAATGCGATGTTTCTTTTAAAGAAAAGCCTTCATTGTTGCGTGAAAGCATCAAACTTTGATCTCCGCATGGCCTGAAAAACCTTTTAGACTAAAATTAAAATGCCATATAGCTGTGGATCATTATGAACCCCTTAGTATTGGTCCTTGGAATGCCCTTATTCTGCTTAAGTAGAGACCACAAATGTGACAACATTAGATAAAAATCTGTACTTTTATGATAAAGACATTTTTGCTAGGAGTCATTGTTTCCATGATGTTCTCCACTTCATGTTTTACAAGGAGACTAAAAAAATTACCAAGATATGCGCAGATGTATTATTTGAATTTTAGTGGAAAAATCCATTTAGTCATTGCACATTGGGGAAAGTTTTTAATTGGTTTGGTGCACTTTTTTTGTGGCTCTTCTTACTTTACAAATTAAATTTAAGCTGATTACAGAAAAAATACACTAGAATATTTTTTAATGCAAAATAAAGTGTACCTTTTTTCTCTTTTAGATTTTTGGGGTCTTTGATATCTAGAAAAGCAGGTTCTCAAAATTAGGATGAGAAATTAGCCTGTTTATAAATTGGAAGAGGCAGAATTAAATATAGACAGAATTTTGGGGATGCCATTTCGGAATTAATTTTAAGAATACGAAGTGATTTTTTCCATTCTAGAAATTTTCTTTATCTTAAGCCAGCTTTATAGCCAGTGCTAGGATTGTATGGAAATTACACATTAAAGATGTCTGTACGGGATTTGATTTATACTGTGCCATCCTTTCAACTGGCCAGGATGACCGGGAGTAATGCTGAATACATTATTATGGTGATTTCAGAGTGCGTACTATTCATTGCATAGTAGTAAAGAAACTAATTTAGAACTCAAAATATAATAGCAAATTCTGATGCTATTTATGAATTTTGGTATTTTGCATAGTTAATTCTAAAAATTTGGGCAGGTATACTCTTGATAAAGCAACCGAACACAGATACTTGCCTGAGCAAATGCAAACACACTTCCCTTTTGTTTCTTTTGTTTCTCTGTTATGTCCTTTTTTTTTCTTTAATCCTAAAAGTATTTGCTGCCTGTTTTCAATCAGTTTCACGGTTTATAGCCAGTGCTATGAATACAGTACTATGGTAAAGTATCCGTTGTCATTTGGACGACTGAGATATTTAAAATTATAGATAGCATTAAGAGTTTGTTAAACCTATCAAAGCAGAGACTGTCAGGGCCTTTGAAGTTGTGTTAAAAAGAAAATTCTAGACATAAATGGATGAGAAGACATGTTTTCTTTGTGGCTTCAGGTGAAATTTTGATTAAGTATCTGAATTTTATATTGAAAAGCACTGAATAGTTTGTAGATATTACCTTCCTAGCATACAGCTGCTACTGTTCTTGTTGGTGAACGAATGCTTCTCAGCTGCAATGTAGTGTTAGACAATTTTTTTTCAACATAGTATTATGAAACTGTTCAAATGTATAGACAAATTGAAACAATTTAGTAAATTAATTTTAAGACAAAAGTTTGAGATTTTTCTTGATTGTGACGTGTGTTGTGGCAACCTGGATCTTGAACTGCTTAGTCCTGTTGATTTGGGAAAACTGTACAAATCAAGTAACTGGTTTTAAATTTCTTCTGAAGAATCCATATTAAGATTGATGATCTAAATCTGAAACCTTTCATGTTAGAGCTTTCCTTCCCTTTTTTTGACTACACTGTACTACCTATAATTAAAATGTGACCAAATTTAAGGCTCATTCAGAAAAAAATTTCTTCCTTTACACAATATTACTAATTTAAGTACGGAAGTTACTACATTTAGAAGACCACTATCAGTTTGTGACTTTAATTGATAAGCAGGCTTGGAGTAAATCTTAGTCATATAATATGGTTGTTTTATAAATAATTGGGTCTTAAAGTCTGCATTTTTAAATAGACTGTCAGAAGCCTAACTTTTTATTTACTTGAAAATGGAATAGAATAGCAAAAATTAATTTATTAAAGACATATTCCTGATTTTTTTAAACTCAGAAATAATTTTTAAAGTGCACCAAAGTCATAGTTAGGTAAATTCGTTTTACTTTTATTGTTTTATCAATATGTGAACTTTAAGAAATTGTTCAATTACAGAATTCTGTTCCCACGGAGTATTCTGAAGTTTCCTTAGTAGCTTTTACCGTGTTCTTAAGAGGTATAATTCTTTATCGCCTTGAAAGGGCACCTAGTTACACATGAAAATATTTTACATTAATTATGCCAGCAGGGGATAATTTAATATTATACATTGTACATTTCTCTCCACACAGAACTAGTGTCAGTTATTTCACATATCCTCCAATTTGGAAGCAGTTTGATTTTTCTCAATTACTCTAAACTTCATTTAGCTGTCTGTTATCTATCTATCTGTATTTATTACGGAGGCATCTTAGGTTTTAATGTTAATTTATGTATACTAAATAACCATTTAAAAATGTATATATTAAAACCTATGTCAAACAAACAACTTACATGAGTATGTATAAACTGATTTTAAAACAAAATGAACTTTGTTACCCTTCTTATTCTCTGTAGCATTTCTTGGGGCTTAGAGTGGCTTAATTTGTCTATACTAAATAAACATTTAAAAATGTGTATATTAAAACCTAGGTCAAATTTTTAACAACTTTCATGAATATGTATAAACTGATTTTAAAATAAAATTAACATTGTCGCCCTTCTTATTCTCTGTAGCATTTCTTGAGACTTAAAGTGGCATTCTAAAGGCAATTTAAAAATCATGTCAAGCTCAGTTGAACAGAAAAAAGGGCCTACAAGACAGCGCAAATGTGGCTTTTGTAAGTCAAATAGAGACAAGGAATGTGGACAGTTACTAATATCTGAAAACCAGAAGGTGGCAGCGCACCATAAGTGCATGGTAAGTATACCGGCAGCAACAGAGACCTTGAAACGATTCATGAGACTCTTAATAACACATGAATGTTCCTGAATACTAAAAAAAAAAACAAAAACCAAAAAAAACTCAGTTAAATTTTAAGAAATGGTTTATCACTAATGCTATGCCATTTTTACTAGAAAATTACCATTTAAATTTGACATCTTATTTACTGTTTTACTGTGATTAATTTATATATGAACCTTAATTTTTTTTAAATGTAATTTATAGCTCTTTTCATCTGCTTTGGTATCATCACACTCTGATAATGAAAGTCTTGGTGGATTTTCTATTGAAGATGTCCAAAAGGAAATTAAAAGAGGCACGAAGCTGGTAAGTTGGTATTTCTGCCTCTTGAGAATAAAAATTATTTAAACTCATTAAAGAGGAAATTGCTTATTTTAGAGTGTATTGCATTATTAACTGAGTATAATTTTAAATTGCAGGCTTTTCTTTTTTTTTTTCTCTGAGCCAGCAAAATCCAAGGCCGGGTTTATCTTATTTACCACTCAACAAAAAGGAATGAGTCAATATTTATACTATTCAATTTTTTTTGCTTTTCAAAGAGAATTAAAATCTTTTTGGAGGCTGTTTACTTAGAAAACAAACAGTTTGGTTAATTTGAGTATATATTGTGTTAAAGTCTTCATTCAAGTTTATTTTTCATAATTCTGATATGTTTTCATCTCCATCATAAAGTTATGGTCATTACAAATGAACATGACAGTAGCCTCTCAAAAGGAAAATATTAGCACTTGCTGAACAAAGTATTTTACTGTAGTTCAGCTGTATAACACAACATTTATGACTTTGGATAACTTTCAGTGAATTTCACAGGAGCTTTTCTGAAGCTGCGTTAGAGTAATGTTCCCGTAGTTGTCTTCACTACCAATAACCATATTAGTAAGATATTACATTGCTCTGTTGGAATAGTAATGTCATCTCAGTTGGTACTTATGACACATTATGGTTTACTTTGAAACGATTATTTTTTGTCTTTTTTGTTTCCTTCCTTTTTGTGGAGAACGGGATCTCGTTATATTGCCCAGGTAGGTCTCGAACTCCTGGGCTCAAGCTGTCTTCCCGCCTCTGCCTCCCTGAGAGCTGGGATTACAGGCGTGAGCCACTGTGCCCGGCTACTTTGAAACAATTAATGGGAAGATTTATTTTTATTTTTCTCATTTGAACACTTTATTAAAATTACATCCATAAATGCACCTTTAATAGCTTTGCTATCCAGTTTCATTTTTTAAAAGATGCGTTTTGCCAAACATATAACTGCGTTTGTAGTTACTAAATAACCTCTTATTTCACAAAGACTCTGAGATGGTAGTTTTTGGATGAAATGGTAATAGGAAGAGGGGGGCTATCATTTTGATGATCAGGAATAATATGTTTTGAAAAGTAGTCTTCTATTAATCGTTTTACATAAAAAGCAATATGAAGAAATATGGGCTCAAAAATGACATTTGGGATTTGCTTTAGGATAGTCTCAAATCCTAGTATCAGTATTAGTACAAATGAGAATTCAGAGGTCAAACCATTTCTGTTGTAGTGAGACCTTAACTGTGAAAATGTTTATCTTCCCCATCCCCAAAACTGTAGATATTAATAGAAAGCTCTGGGGTTTTTTTTTCCTTTTTCTTTTCTTTTCTTTTCTTTTTTTTTTTTTTTTTTTTTTTTTTTGAGACAGAGTTTCACTCTCGTTGCCCAGGCTGGAGTGCAGTGGCGCAGTCTCAGCTCACGGTAACCTCTCTCTACTGGGTTCAAGTGATTCTCCTGCCTCAGCCTCCCAAGTAGCTGGGATTACAGGCATGCGCCACCATGTCTGGCGAATTTTGTATTTTTAGTAGACACGGTGTTTCACCATGTTGGTCAGGCTGGTCTTGAACTCCAGACCTCAGGTGATTTGCCCAGTTTGGCCTCCCAAAGTGCTGGGATTACAGGTGTGAGCCACCACGCCCAGCCTAGAAAGCCCTGTTTTTCAAATGTGGATTTTATTTGGTGGTTTTAGGTTTCTTCACGTTACTGTGCTGATTTCTGAGAACCATAGCACTATGTTTTTATTTCCTAGTCCTTAAAATAAATGCAGATATAAAAAAGAATGATACTTACTTGAAAGTGATTGTGCTGTAAACCTTATTACCCCTTTATTTATTGCTTGACATTATGACTATCCCTGGAAAATATTTCTGTATCCTGACTTGTTAGCATTTTGTCACTTGACACAGCTTGTATAGTCAGAACAAAAGCAGTTTTGGTCCCTAATGTTGAAACATTATTAACAAATGCAATGCCTAGTGTTACACTACATGAAGCAACAGCATACATCTGTCAATATTGCGAAGTTCAGTGGAGATTTAATTTATTTGGACCTTTTTTTTTTTTTTTTTGACAGAGTCTCGCTCTGTCGCCCAGGCTGGAGTGCAGTGGCGTGATCTCGGCTCACTGCAAGCTCCACCTCCCAGGTTCACACCATTCTCCTGCCTCAGCCTCCCAAGTAGCTGGGACTACAGGCGCCCATCACTGTGCCTGGCTAATTTTTTGTATTTTTAGTAGAGACGGGGTTTCACCTTGGTCTCAATCTCCTGACCTCGTGACCTACCTGCCTCGGCCTCCCAAAGTTCTGGGATTACAGGTGTGAGCCACCGCGCCCGGCCTTGGACCTATTCGTTAAAGCATCAGAACTTTGTATGAGTTTTACTATTATAAATTGTTTTGATTAATTTTTAGTGTTATAGTGTAGGGAGATAATTTTTTCCCCAAATGTAGTGTGTTACAAATAACGAAATTTGTTCCTTGATCTAGGGAATGGAACAATACTGGGAATTGAGAACACAAGCTTTAGTGACAGACTTGAGTTTGAATCCCAGCTCTGTCATTTACTAGCTAGGTGATCCTGATTAAGTTATTTACTTCTCCAGGCCATGTTTTCCTCACCTGCAAAAGGGGTTAGATAATGACAGTACTTGCCTCCCAGAATTATTGCCAGAATTAAAAGAGGAAGTATATAGGATTTAAGGTGGTGCTGGGCACATGGTTAGGACTTGATAAATAGTAGCCACCACTTATTGTTTTTGTTTGTTTTTGTTTTTGAGATGGAGTCTTGCTCTGTTGCCCAGGCTGGAGTGCAGTGGTGCGATCTCGGCTCACTGCAGCCTCCACTGGGTTCAAGCAATTCTCCTGCCTCAGCCTCCCGAGTAGCTGGGACTACAGGTGTGTGCCACCATGCCTGGCTAATTTTTAATTTTTTTTTTATTTTTAGTAGAGACAGGGTTTTGCCACATTGGCCAGGCTGGTCTTGAATTCCTCACTTGAGACCGTCTGTCCGCCTCGGCCTCCCAAAGTGCGGGGATTCCAGGTGTGAGCACTGAGGAATAGTGGCAGAAGGGAAGAACTTTTGCTCCGTTTCCTTCCCTTAGAATGTCAGTTTAAACAACTTATATAGGGGATAGGAATGTAACATACGTTTAGGTTTGAAATAATTTTTGAAACTCCTTTTAGCCTTCAGTTTTGCTTCTTTCATTATATCATTTTTACATGATGTGCTATCAGGTAACCAAAATTCTAGATTTAAGTTTGATTCTCTACTATTCCCTGTGTCAATTTGTCTAAGCAATAAAAGGGCTATGAATCAAATAGGAGGGGGGAAAAAGAGTGAAGAGCTTAATGTAACTAGATAAACTGCATATAAACTAGGTAATCAGCTTCCCTAATTGACATTTTTTTTTTTTTTTTGAGATGGAGTTTCGCTCTTGTTGCCCAGGCTGGAGTGCAATGGCGCGATCTCGGCTCACTGCAACCTCCGCCTCCTAGGTACAAGCGATTTTCCTGTCTCAGCCTCCCAAGTAGGTCAGATTACAGGCATGTGCCACCATGCCCAGCTAATTTTTTTGTATTTAGTAGAGACGGGGTTTCACCATGTTAGGCTGGTCGCGAACTCCTGACCTCAGGTGATCTACCAGCCTCGGCCTCCCAAAGTGCTGGGATTACAGGCGTGCACCACCATGCCTGGCCCCTAATTGACTTTTTAAGGCATTTTATCCCGTGAGCCTGTTTGCTTTGGCTCCTGTTCATCTGGATTTCTAGGTGAAAAGTAGGTCATGAACACTCATTCAAAATCATCGAAAACTGGAGTACTGAACCCTGAGTGCTTTCAAGACAAATTTCAATCTGTACCTGGTGTTGACTCCAAAGTTGCTCGCTTGCCCCAAAGAAAAGAACAGAGAGATAAGGAGGCTAGGGCTTGAGGTTAAAGTGTACGTATCAACAGCCAGGTGGGTCAGAGTTGAGGATGAGAGGGCTCAGTAGAGCAGGAGGTGTGAGTGTTTGGTTTTTATGTTCTTGCTGCCACAGGCAATTTTCCAAGGTTCATGTCAGCCACAAGGATCAAAGGAGGAAAGCCATTCTGCATGAACATTTTCATCTCCTTTACACGGTCTTTAATTATATAGCACCAAGATGGACCAGGAAAAATTTGCCAGAGTACTAAGGCTTTTATGATTTGATGCCCTGTTTTTGCAGTTTAGACAGATATATATTTTTCCAGTATGATTTCCAGTTTCTACTGAAGCCATATGGAGATACCACATCTGTACCATCTATTCTTACTTAACTCCAGTCATCTAGCCAAGAAATGCAAATTTCCAAGTAAAATTATGAGTTAGCACTGCTTTTTTGAATTTAAGGAGATACTTGAAAGAAGGATATTTGAAGAATTTACCGTTTCTGGATGAAGCTAGCTGGTGAGATTACTAAGGGTATCTACTATCTACATTGGATAGCTATTCTTCTTTTTTTTTTTTTTTTTTTAAGATGGAGTTTCCCTCTTGTTGCCTAGGCTGGATTGCAGTGACATGATCTCGGCTCACTGCAACTCCGCCTCCCAGGTTCAAGCAATTCCCCTGCCTCAGCCTCCCCATTGGCTGCAATTATAGGCGCCCACCACCACGCCCAGCTAATTTTTTGTATTTTTAGTAGAGACAGGGTTTACCACGTTGGCCAGGCAGGTCTCAAACTCCTGACCTCAGGTGATCCGCCTGCCTCTGCAGATAGCTATTATTCTAATTGGTACCGGTGTCAGATTATATCACAGATTACAAGAAGAGAAAGAGTTCAGAAGGCCATTTAGTTCACCTGTCTTACCCCTATGCAAGATTTCCTACAAGCCACTCAAGATAAGATTTTTGGCCTAAGGATTGGCTGACACGTGTAATCCTAGTGCTTTGGGAGGCCGACTGGGAGGATTGCTTGAGGCCAGGAGTTGAAGACCAGCCTGGACAACAAAGTGAGACCCCTATCTCTACAAAAAAATTTAAAAATTTTGAAATGTGGCATGTTCCTGTAGACCTAGCTACTCAAGAGGCTGAGGTGGGAGGATTGTGTAAGCTCAGGAGTTCGAGGCTGTGGTGAGCTATGATTGTGCCACTGTATCCATCTAGCCTGGGTGATAAAGTGAGGTCCTGTCTCAAAAAAAAAAATTTTTTTTTGCCCTGTTTTTAAATATATCAAGAAATTGTAATTCTACCCAAGTAACCTGAAACAAGACCAGTAATATATAACACTCTTCAGAGTTGAGAAATTCATCCTTCTGTATAAATTAAGTATTTCTCTTAATTTAAAGCCATTTTAGATCTGTCTCCTTCCATTAAATAAATATTTGAGTTTTTTTTTATTATTAAAAAACCCTTCATATACTTGATGACTGTCCTCAGGTCACTCCTAAACGTTCCCTTTTTTCACACTAAATTTTACTCATGTCTTATGAAATCCTCTGAACAGTTTTCCTGCTTTTTCTAGTAGTAGAAATAGAAATAGCTAACATTTGTTAGACACTTAACATGTGCTAGGGACTATGCTAAGTTTTTTAATTATATGATCCTTTTTAATGCTGATAATCATGTTGTGAGATAGAGAAGTATTCTCATCTTACATGTGAGGAAATTGAGGCTCAGATGAGTTAAGTAACCTGACTGTAGCTAGTAAGTGGCAGAGCTGGGATTTGAATCCAGGGTCAGTTGACTCCCAAGCCAGAACTCCTAATCACCAGGTTACGCTAGACTATCTTTTAAGCTACCCACTCCAAAATCACTTTTAAAGAAACATAAGGATTACAGCTTAGCAGTTTTCTAATAAAGATGGAAATAGTACTGAATTTAGGACATAATCAGACTCCTATTAATATGTTCTGTTAAATAGTAATATCTTGTTAATTTTTAGGACAAAAACCCTATACACATCCTATGTAAGAATATTGTGATTATTACCCTCCAGATACTTTTTAGCCTCTGAAAATAAAAAGACCATTTCCACATAGTCTTCACTTTGTTATTTACTCAGTACCACTGGAGTACTTAGCATTTTAAAGAAACAGGGTGTCTTCTGTCTGGGAGGAGTCTTACCTATTGAGATAGTTCAGACTGCTTCCTAGAGCTGGTAAGGTTAAAAAAATGGAATGAGTCTAGGAAATATTAATAGGTTAGCCATACCAGAATAGGTCTTTGAGACCCATTCCAGTTGAGTAAGGTGGGATGATTGCAGGGTCTTCCAACATTAGAGAAGAATTTCAACTCAGATAGGAAGGGATGGGGAAGGGTAAAAGCAGGATTTTTCAGGAGACAGGTGATATACAATAGTCACTGTGGAGAATGAAGTATAATAATGGCAGCATATTTGTCTACTCTACATAGATGTCCTGCAGGCATCTTAAACTCAACCTGTCTTAAACCAGTATTCATTACCACCCCGCCCACCACGCCCACTCCCTGAAACCTGATTCTTCTTCTGAATCCTTTACCATCAACTCTTCCTTCTTCCATATCAGTCACGTCAATTCTATTTGTGGGATATCTCTGCCTTTTCTTCTTTCTTTCTTTCTTTCTTTTTCTTTTTTTTTTGAGACGGAGTCTTGCTCTGTCGCCCAGGCTGGAGTACAGTGGCACGATCTCGGCTCACTTCAAGCTCTGCCTCCTGGGTTCACACCATTCTCCTGCCTCAGCCTCCCGAGTAGCTGGGACTACAGGCGCCCACCACCGCTCCTGGCTAATTTTTTGTATTTTTAGTAGAGACGCGGTTTCACCGTGTTAGCCAGGATGGTCTTGATCTCCTGACCTCATGATCCGCCCGCCTTGGCCTCCCAAAGTGCTGGGATTACAGGCGTGAGCCACTGCGCCCAGCCTGCCTTTTCTTTCTTAATGCTACCCTATGTCCAGTCTTGCTCCTCCCACCCTTCCAACATACTACTGGTAGTTACTTGATCTCTGCTTTTAAAAGCTAATGCCACTCCCTAACTGGAAACCTTTCATGATTTCTTACTGCATACAATATAATGTCCAGAGGCCTCAGCCTGCCATTCAGAAGTCTTGTCTTAACCCACTTTTTCCATCCTTATCTCATTCTCTCTCCTCTAGGTTTTCCAAGCATCCTGTCTCTGTCCCCGCTGCGGTGCCTGTACTGATGTTCACCTCTGCTTGCGGCTCTTTTTTCCTCCTAGCTGCCTCTCAAAAGTTCTGTCTGTTTTTGAGATCCAGCTCAAACTTCACACTTCATTTCTGTCATATAGCATAACACAATATGCGTTGTATTTGATACACATGTGCAAGCCTTTTTTCTCCACTGTATTGTTGACTCTGGGAGAGTAAGACTGTATTCTCTTTGCCCAGCCTAGCATGATGTGGGGATAATGCATAGAAAACTCTTAATATGGTGCTTGATGTCTTCTTTGTACTCAATAGTGTTCTAATAAATAAGTGGGTGCTCATTGTTGGTGGACTTTGAAGATGGAAAGGGCTTCAGCTGGATAATAGTGTGAAGCCTTAATAACAGGCTAGGTATAAATTGAACAGGGAAGTCATGGCGTAGCACAAAATTCCTCTCTTTTGGTTAATTAGTATTTTAGTGTTGTTTACAACTTGAGCAGTTTGAAAAGGGAGGAGAGTAATTTAGAGGGAAAAATGACGTTGGTTATTTTTTTTCCAGAGAGTAGAGAGCTGTGTATGCCTCAAACATGAGAGTTTTCATGTTTCTTCAGCCTTCACTCCCTCAGTATGGTTTTGTGTTTGTTGTTTCCTTAGGTATTATATTTGTCAAGGCCCCATATAGTATAGAGTTTAGAATTCAACTGTTTATCAAATACTTTAGTGCCCACTTTCTACCAGCACAATGCTAGGTACTTTGAATGTAAACATGAATAAATATGGTTTAACCTTAGAAGTATTTAAAGAATGGCACAGGAGAGCTGGGAAAGAGGATCACAATTAATTATGAGAAGTCAGAAGGCTCCATAGAAAACGAGAGTTGAAATGTGTTCCACCAGGAGAGTGATGCTATGGAAGTCAAAGACAAACAATTTCAAGGAGGAAGAAGTGGTCAAAAAATATTAAATAAGTATTAAATGCCAGTGCTATTTATAGTAGATTGTGTGACTTACTTAGCGTTCAGTAGGGGCAAAATGGAATACCCACATTGTATAGAATGCTGCCACTTTGCTTTCTGCAATCACAGAAGCTGAAGATTCTGGATGACTATTGGTGCTACTAAATCGTTAGAGCAGAGGTACCTAACCAACTCTACTAAATCAGAAAAGGGGCAGGGGTGAGGGTTGGGTTGCAGGCACAATCTTTTGAAAAAGGTTCCCAGATGATTTTTTTTTTTTTTTTAGACTGAGTCTCACTCTGTCGCCAGGCTGGAGTGCAGTTGTGTGATCTTGGCTCACTGCAACCTCCGTCTCCCTGGTTCAAGCGATTCTCCTGCCTCAGCCTCCCGAGTAGCTGGGATTACAGGCACACGCCACCACGCCCAGCTAATTTTTGTATTTTTAGTACAGACGGGGTTGGGAGTTTCACCATGTTGGCCAGGATGGTCTCGATCTCCTGACCTTGTGATCCACCCGCCTCGGCCTCCCAAAGTGCTGGGATTACAGGCGTGAGCCACCGTGCCTGGCCTCCCAGGTGATTTTTGATGAACAACCCTGGTTATGGACCATTGCCTTGTGTCAGGGGTTGGCAAACTTTCTGTAAAGGACCAGACAATATTTAAGGTTTTGTAAGCTATGTGGTCTCAGTTGAAATCACAGACAATACACAAAGAAATGAGCATGGCTGTGTTTTAATTAAACTTTTTATTTACAAAAAGTTTTTTTGTAAATAAAACAAAGTTTGTAAATCCCGTGGATTAGGCCCACAGGATGCCTTCTGTAGGGAGGAAAAGAGGTAACTTTTCTTCCTGAAGATTTATTCAGTGGCCTCATTGTCATCTGTGTAGCTAAGCGTACATGCATTGTGAATGTATTCATATAAATGTGATTTTTTTTAAAAGCTCCAGTTATGGCATGCAGATTAATTTTAATGTATGCAGATATTTTACCAGTCATTTATATTAAAATGAACTTTACTTTTGAGGTGATAAAGGAGAATGAATGTAAGGTCAAAGAGAAACTTGGAAGTGTAATGATGGAGGAAATTGGGTCTTTGGCTATTACTGAATACATTTTTTTAATGCATAATTTTTTTATTTGCCTCCATTTAATACTTTTTGGTAACTGGGAATACTGTCAATTAATTTCATTATAAAATCCTCATTTATTTTTGCTAATGGAGGAGATCCAAAACCAATAATATAAACAAAATGTATTCTTGGTGTTGGGGGCTGTCTTGGTACTTATTTGAGCATAGGTGTGGATGAGGTGTTCTTCACAGACTAAATATAGCAAGCGGCATAGCAGTTTAGAGTACCCTCAGCTGGAAAAACCCATACACGAGAAAAGCTTGGACATAAAAATCTGAGCTCAGAAAATGTCTGTCTGAATCTTTCAGATACACAAAAAGAAACTTCAGAAACTCCAATAAGATAATTTATATTCCTCATCAATCATGATGCAGAAAGTCAGATAGAGTTGGAGTATGTGATATTCTGAGCAAGGTCAGGAGATGAGGTTAAGGCTTAGTTCATTTCCCTCCAATTTCCAAGACATCTGAAATAATCTATTCAGTAACTACTTAGATTTAGTCTGTTAAATCTAGTAAAAATTTAATGAGTACTTTTCAGTGGCCCTATTTTTTAGAAGCACCTGGAATTTAAGGTCCTAATCTGTTTTTCAAGCAACTTGTCACTTTTCAGTGACTGACAGCTTTCAGATTTCACTGTTTTCTGGCTTTCCATTTAAACCTTAAAAGTAGTGTTTAGTTTGTGTTCTTATGAGACCTCCTTCAAAATGCTGTATTTTTAAAAAATAGTAACTAAAGGATCAAACAGAAACAGTTATGAGTTCGTATTCCACCCTCCCATGAAGTGGCACTTTTTAAGGAATTTTTAACACATAAATTTAACAAATAAAAACTAAAACAGCAGTTAACCAGATAATTCAGAGCCACTCTGTTGTCTAGTTATTTGGATATGTGAGGTATTACTATAAATAAAGCAATGAAGCTGGAGTTAAGGAGCATTTTTGGGGCATCTCTGAAAACTTGCCCCTAACTGTACTGTCACTTTCTAGTTTTTATTGGAGGTAGTATTACCTGTTATTAAAACAAAAAGCCAAGCACCTGCGTAAAGTAAGCTGCTTTCACTTTGTTTTTGGCTCGTATCTCCTGTGCAAATATCCTCAGTACAGCGTTCCCTACTCCAAGAGCTTTTGGCATTTTTTTTTCTTTGCCTACAGGCTCAAGAACGTGACCTCTTTTTGTACCCTTCTTTGCCTTGTCTGTGCATTTGTAGCAGTTTTCTGGGAGCAGGTTTCTTTAGAACAGTTAACTGCTTGGCTGTGAGAATGTGTATCTATACACTGATAGTCAGTTACTGACAGACATATTAGATATAGGACAATGAAGCTGGACAAAGCTAAGTTGCAGACAGCCTTTCCTCCATCAGTTCCCTATGGCTCTATCTGACCATTAGGTTCCAGCTTTTCCCCAAGAGCCTTGTCGTAGAAGTTGGCAATCTCATTTTCATTTTACTCCCCTATAGTTACTGAGAAAGCAATATTTTTCCTTTTGCTCTTTAAGACTTCTTTTTGCAAACTGAATTTCAGTCCTGTCCTAGTTAAGTTGACTGAGGAGCAGGTATGCCCCAGCCTCTGGCTCCTACCCGACATTAGCTAAGTCTCAGTCCATTTAGTTCCTTGTGTCTCCTCTCATGCATGACTTAGTTCCTCTTTCATCAGTGGGTCAGCTCCTTGAGACTCTGCTTATGTTGCACAATTTAACCTTAAGTTAGTGTAGCTTCTAACAATACGATAGAGACGCCATGCAAATATCTGTAATAAGACAGGACCTCTTTTTCCAGTATCCCTAATTTGAAGCTGTTAATTAATTATTAAGGTTTACTAGGTCGACTAGGTAGCAAACTGAATAGGGGAGTGAGAGAAAAATTATTATTAATGAAGAAGTTTTCACCTCTATCTAAATCAAGAACTTGAAATCAGGATACAAGCAGGATAAGCTGAGAATTAACATGTATGCCTATGTTGGAGGCAGGAAATTAGCCCTCAACAGAATATCTGATACATGGGGCAGGCCTTTTTTGCGGGGAGTTGGGGAGAGGTCTTCCATTGTTTTTGAAAAACATGTTTCTGTCAGGTTAACTTTCATTTTCCCACGTTTGAGGGAGCCATGGATACTGTGCAAGCATGATGGTACATGGCAGCTGACAGTCATTCTGCTGAAGGCCCAGTAGGGACTGTGGTAAATTGGAGAGCAAATGTTTTGTGTAAAGGGAGATACTGGAGCCATTATTAGGGTATAACCAACCAGGTGCCTTGTGGTAGAGGGGTCCCCATTTTCCAGTTATTTCACCTTTTTCTAGGGAAGGCCTCTTTGTTTTATTTTTATTTCCTATAACATTTTTTAAGCTGGACTAGCCACCTATCTGGTTTCTCAGCTTCTTTAATTTTTCTTTTTATCTCATCTTAGTTTTCAACCTTGTTTCTAGCGGGGCTAATCTTTTCCCTGAAACATTCTTGCCACGTTCATTCTGTGCTCCTCCAACTGGATTGATCTCCCCAATTTCACCATTCCCAGTCCTAGATCAGAATGTTTAAATATTTTTAGAAGTAGCTGAAGATAATTATGTTAAATCTGCAGGTATTAGAAACATGAATGAGAAAAAATATGCCATAAGATTAAGATCTTCAATAATAGAGTATGTTTGCAATGACATACTTACTGAACAGTACTTTGTAAGGCACAGTGTTACTCTTCAAAAAAAAATTCTGTCTAGAATGAATTGATTGATAAAATTTATGTATTTATAATCAGCCATATAATGGAGTAAAATGATAAGAGCCAAAATGAACAGTATATATCTTGAGTCCCATAGGAGTTTAGAGAAAAAGGATTATTTTAGAGGTTGGAATATAGCATGGTAGACTAAGATAATTTTCCCTTTTTGTATTCATAGGTAAGCAAGCAAATGTAAACATTGTATTTTGGCTTTATTATGGATAATTTTTGCTATTTTGTTAGTACCTTGCCAGAAATTTGACTGCTTGTATGTGAATGCTGCATAAAATAGGTCCTGGGAATTCTAATTTAGCAAAATTCCAACTCCTAACCTTGTAAAGAAGTTTCCACTCCGAAAATATTTTTTATTGGTATGTCTTCCTCTTTCTTGTCTTTCTTGAGTGAAACTGACTATAAAAATAAAGTAAGCTTTAAAAAAATTATCTGTCCTGAGTTGCTGTAGTTAACTGGTTATTTGCAAAATGCATGTATTTCACCATAGCAGCTTAAAACCAGTTACTTTGGGCAGATTTAAATTTATAACCAGCCAAAAACTATTTTGGTATATTTTGGGTTTTTGGTTCCCATCTTATTCTCACCAGACTGAGAGACGGGTATTGAAAGCATTTACTAGAGTTTTCCTAATTTGTTTTTTAAATAATATTTTTGCATATAAAAGTACTTTTGCCCATTGTAGAAAAATCAAAATACAGGGCATTATGAAGAAAACCAGCCACCCAGAGATAGCCACTTAGCATTTTGCTGTTTTTACTTGCACCTGTTTTAAAGAATCTATGTTATAAACATAGTTGGGTTCATAATTCACATAGTTTTGTATCCTGCCTCATTTTTTTTAACTTAACATTACACATAGATCTTCCTGAGCCATTCCAATTTCTTTGAAAAGAGTGGCTGTAGAACATTCTCTCATATGTGTATACTATAATTTATTTAAACATTTTTCTTTTTCTTTTTTTCTTTTTTTTTTCTTTTTTTTTTTTTTGTGATGGAGTTTCACTCTTTTTGCCCAGGCTGGAGTGCAATGGTACAATCTCAGCTCACCGCAACCTTTACCTCCCAGGTTCAAGTGATTCTCCTGCCTCAGCCTCCCGAGTAGCTGGGATTACAGGCATGTGCCACCACACCTGGCTAGTTTTGTATTTTTAGTTGAGATGGTGTTTCTCCATGTTGGTCAGGCTGGTCTTGAACTCCTGACCTCAGGTGATGCGCCCGTCTCAGCCTCCCAAAGTGCTGGGATTACAGGCGTGAGCTGCTGTACCCGGACCTAAATATTTTTCAATTGTTGATAGGTGGTTTTACATTTTAGACTGTTCTAAATAATTCTACAATGAATGTGCTTGTGCATTAATTGCTTGAGTGTGATTATTTTTTAGACTAGGTTTATAGAGTAAAATTACTGGCTTAGAGAATACAAATTTTTTAAAAACCTTGTTGAATAAGGCAAATTGCATTCTAGAGAGTATGTACCAATTTCCAGCTGTATACAACAGTGCCCATCTTAACTGTATCTTGTCAATGTTGAGCTCAATATAGTATTTTAAATGGCACCTCTCTTTTCAGTTTTGCTCGCTAATTGAATTTAATATATTTTTTTCAAAATGTACCCATCTAAACCTGTTTTGGATGTAAGTTTCAAGATAAACTACTTTCCCTAAAGTTCTTAGTGAAGTGGGATAATGTTTGATGCGTTAAAAAAATAGATTGCAAAATAGTATGTGTAGAATTACGTTTCACTAAGCATTGTAACACTGTGAGGCATCTCTGCTTGGTGAGTATGAGTGATTTAAAATTTTTCTTTGTGCTTTTTTGTTTTCCAGAATTTCTTTAATATAATAGAACTTTGTAATTAAGCTACAGTTCAAATGCTGTACCTCCTTAAGAATTTATAAGCCATCCAAAAGCTTTGCCTTCTTGATAATTTGGCATAGTATTTCTTTTTACAGTAATACTTTGAAGTTTCTGTATTTATTTAAGGAAGAAAGGGGTATTTCTTGTATCAATAATGGGCACTGGCCCTCATGTTTTCTGGGAAACAGCTGTAGTGAGACTGTTTCTGTTTCTGACATATGAATATTTTTTAAATGATAGCCTGAATGAGAGTTTTAGTGTTTGACTTGCTTAGAGAAATGTAAGAAATTTTATTGGAATTTATATTAGCCTCTTGGTACACCAATATTGCTTAGAGGCCGAGTAATCCAAAAGTTAGGAATGCTAAGTGTTCTTTATGTTCAAATTAATAAAAAGAGGGATGAGAACACTTTAGAACAAGGTGTCCAGCAACCAAGAAGCAAATGAACAGTTTTTTAGATTTAGCTTGTTGTGAATCTATTTTGGCATGTCATGTACAGTTAAATGGCCTCATTATAAAAGTTCACTTGGTACAGTACATTATGATATGTTAATCAAAACCACTGAAAGTCATTGTTATGTAACTTTTTAAAGATAACTTTTTTCCTAAATGTAGAGCATGAGCTAGTTAATCAATATGAATTATCCATTAAATTCAAAAGGTAAGGTATAATAAAATACATTGAAAGAATCTGTTCTTTTATCTGTTTGCCTGAATTCATAGTGCAAGAGGTAAGTGACATAGATTAAATTGAAATACTGTGCATATTTTCATAATATAATCAACTTGACATCACAAAATAGTCTCAGAGCTCAAGGTATTAAAAAAACTACCTAATTCTTTCACCTTGTCTCCTTCCCTCGCTTTAAATGGATTTTACTAGGTTCTCAAATAGTAAGTTATGTGAGATATTTTTCCCACAGAGTCTCATTAATTAAGTGGATTTTTTTTTTTTTTTTTAGACGGAGTCTCGCTCTGTTGCCCAGGCTGGAGTGCAGTGGCACGATCTTGGCTCACTGCAGCCCCCACCTCCTGGGTTCAAGCAGTTATGCTTCAGCCTCCCAAGTAGCTGGGATTAGAGGCATGCGCCACCACACCCCAGCTAATTTTTTTGTATTTTTAGTAGAGATGGGGTTTCACCATATTGGCCAGGCTGGTCTCAAACTCCTGACCTTGTGATCTGCCTGCCTCTGCCTCCCAAAGTGCTGGGATTACAGGCATGAGCCACCGCACTTAGCAATTAAGTGGAAATTTTAAGGAAAACTTTTTTTTTCTGGTATGAGACATTTTCTCCAGTTACTTGTACCTAGGAAGATCTGGATTACATAAAAAGTCTCTTTTATAATGTTATATACAGCTCACATTCCTGAATTACAGTATTTCAAATTTTCTCTTGACCATAATGAAACAATAGACATTAATAACATTCTGTTAATTTTGTCAGTGTTTAACATGGGAAAAAATACCCCAGAAGAATTTTATTCCGGTTATTCTAAGGAGAGAAAACAAGAAAAGTAGCATTAATTACAAAACTTTTCAATAACCAATTTGTTTTCCTTGACAGAAATTGATATGCCTCTAATCTGATATACAGCCTTAGAAAGTCACATACTAATAATATTATTTTGTCGTTTTGCTGTAGATGTGTTCTTTGTGCCATTGTCCTGGAGCAACAATTGGTTGTGATGTGAAAACATGTCACAGGACATACCACTACCACTGTGCATTGCATGATAAAGCTCAAATACGAGAGAAACCTTCACAAGGAATTTACATGTAATTATTTAACTTCTCTTTAAGTTTTTTTTTTAACAATAATACTTTCTTTGGGCTTTTGTAAAAATTTTTCCCATTTCAAAGCATTTCATCATCATCATAAAGGGTGTTTTTGATAAGAAATTTAATACTTAGAGAAATAGTACAGGAAGTTTAATAATATATTTTGAATCCAGCTAGTGAATTGGGTGAAGTGTACTGCTCGTTTTCTTAATTTGAAAAGTGAGTTTAATTTAGTTTGCTTACTAATTTTTGATTTCTTCATTTTTTATAGGGTCTATTGCCGAAAACACAAGAAAACTGCACATAACTCCGAAGGTACATCATTTAGCCACGTTTCAGCCACTTTTCAGTTTCAAGAAGAAATTTGAGTACAGATTAGTGAATTATACTATATTAATTTTAACCATAAGACATATCTCAACATTCAGTACATTTAGAAGAATTGAGAAAAGTGTTAGGATAAACTAATGTGCATAGTGAAAAAGATCTGAACTTCTTTTTTTTTTTTTTTCCTGAAACGAAGTCTTGCTCTGTCGCCCAGGCTGGAGTACAGTGGTGTGATCACAGCTTACTGCAACCTCTACCTTTCAGGTTCGAGCAATTTTCCTGCCTCAGCCTCCTGAGTAGCTGGGATTACAGACGTGCACTGCAATGCCCAGCTAATTTTTGTATTTTTAATAGAGATGGGGTTTCACTGTGTTGGCCAGGCTGGTCTTGAACTCTTGACCTCGTGATCCACCTGCCTCAGCCTCCCAAAGTGCTGGGATTACAGGCGTGAGCCATCGTGCCCGACCAAGATCTGAACTTTTAAGAAAACTTTTACCCCAAAGTCCTTGTAAAGTATATGCTGAAAATCTATCTTTAGTAAGAAATTATGCTGGTGGCTGCGTGTTTCATTTCTTTGTGTTTTTTTTTTTTTGTGAGACAGAGTCTCGCTGTGTTGCCCAGGCTGGAGTGCAGTGGCGTGATCTTGGCTCACTGCAAGCTCCGCCTCCCGGGTTCACATCATTCTCTGCCTCAGCCTCCCGAGTAGCTGGGACTACAGGTGCCCGCCACCACGCCTGGCTAATTTTTTGTATTTTTAGTAGAGATGGGGTTTCACCGTGTTAGCCAGGATGGTCTTGATCTCTTGACCTCGTGATCCGCCTGCCTTGGCCTCCCAAAGTGCTGGGATTACAGGCGTGAGCCACTGCGCCCGGCCTCGTTTCTTTTCTGTTTTCTTTTTCTTTTTTTTTTTTGAGACGGAATCTCGCTCTGTTGCCCAGAGTGCAGTGGCACAATCTCGGCTCACTGCAACCTCTGCCTCCTGGGTTCAAGCGATTCTCCTGCCTCGGCCTCCTGAGTAGCTGGGATTACAAGCACCCGCCACTACGCTTGGCTAATTTTTGTATGTTTAGTAGAGACGGGATTTCACCATGTTGGCCAGGCTGGTCTGGAACTCCTGACCTCAGGTGATCCACTCACCTCGGCCTCCCAAAGTGCTGGGATTACAGGCGTGAGCCACTGTGCTCGGCCAGCTGCGTGTTTCTTTAAGGATGATAAATGGGATCCTTGATACTGTCATATTATAAATGATGTGAGCTTGGTAATAGTAGTACATTTTGTGATCACCAGGCTTTCTGTTATATTTTTATTCACATCTGTAGTACTTTAAAAAATGCCAATGTGTTAATAAGTAACCAAATTTAAAATACAAACTTTAAAAATTATTTAATAGTTTGTTTCTACTTAAATTTATATAAAACCAGGTTAGTCATGTTTATATATAGTTAGCCAAGTTGAACTTGGTCTGTAAAAAGTATGCGAAAACTCTGATACTGAGTTCTGACTTGTTTCAAACCTTTTCAAACAGATGGTTTTGATACTTTTACTAGCAATATAAAATGGCTTAGATGTAATCTGCGATTGTTCTATCCCTTCATTTAGATTAGAGATCTTTAAAATTTTTGTTCGCTTTTGAGAATATGTTGCTTAGAATTATAATGGTTTGAGCACTGTTGTTTTAGGAAGCTGTTTCTTTTATGAAGATTTACCTAATTATTGGTATTCGCATGTTAAAATTGGTGGCCCTTTTTGATCTCTAGATCTTGGCTTTTATAATACAAAACAATATAGTTTCCACTTCTGGACTCGAGATTAGTCCAGATACTTTAAAGTGTTGGTTAAAAATACAGTCGTTAGCAAAATCTAGTCTTTAAGGTAAACATGCTGGATAAATAATAATTTTTTTGAGGTGATAAAATATGACGGAAAAAACCTTAGTAGTGCTTTTCTTCTGTTTTCTCCTCACTGAATTCTAGAATTGAATTGGAAAATCCTTTGTGAAAGATTGAGTACGCTTTTCCACCTTCCATTATTTCAGATTTTAACAGTGCATTTATTTCATTCTCTTTAAGACTGTAGTGGCCCTATATGGTTTTTTTCTTAATCTATTTTTAATTTTTGTGAGTACAGAGTAGGTGTGTATTTATGGGGTACATGAGATATTTTGATACAGGCACACAATGTGAAATAAGTACATCATGGAGAATGGGGTATCCATCCCTATTTCAAACAATCCAAGTTAAGCTGAGGATTGAGACTATGTTATGCTGTATGTTAAGCTGAGAATTGAGACTCATGATCTGATGAATACAAGTATGAGCACACTGAGACAGGATATTTGAGATAATTAAGAAGGATGATTAATATATACTGATTATGTAGATAGCTCCCATTTTATTCCCTGGATTTCTGAAGCTGACAGTACCATCTAGTGGTAGGGAGAAGTCACTGCAAACTATATAAAGTAGAATAATTTTGGCCATGTTTTAGCACTGTGACACTTAATAGAGATCTAAATTCATACTTTTCAAGACAACTTTTCTTTTACTGTAACTGGCAGCATTATTATAACTTCAGATTTGTGCTACAATTAATTTGAATTTGGGATTCGATGTGTACGTCTATAGAACAATGGGCGGGGGGCTTGTATCATTTTTATATATAGTGTGTTTATACTCATTGTGGACCTTGAAAGAATAATTTTATAATTTAAAGTATTAAAGCTTTATATTTATTGATTTCTGGCTTTTATCACATTGATCTAGCTCAAATTTAGTTGATTTTGAGTGCTTTGTCAGAAACAGAACTTCCAATTATTCCATTGTTCTAATGGGAAACATATGTTCTCCTTTACGATCATGGTTTATGATGGGAGGTTATAGGATTGTATTTCAGGGACTGTCTTTTAAGAATTGTACTGCACTAAAAAAAAAAAAAAAAGAATTGTACTGCACTAGTCTCCAGAACAAAGATGAATTAATATCTATGGTAATGTCTTGGTCATTTGCCATCTGTGGCTCAATACTTACTTTGCTAATACTTAATATGATAAATGCTATTAATATATAATTCATTCTGCCATGTTAGCTTTATATAAAATGAGCTGTTTTGAAATATTAAATTTGAGAATAATTGCATAATATAGCAATTCAATTTTCCCATCACAAATAAAATATTATTGAATATTAAATACCTAAAACCTATGTCATCAGTTTTGCTTCAGGAAAAAATGGACTGTGAATTTGAAAAGCAATTTTAAAAATCTATATGGAGTTTATAACTATCATTATGTCACTAGGTTATTAGAATGCCCGTCCCAGGAACTGTATGTATTTACCTGTTAGTGGTGATGGGCTTAGATAAGTTGCCTATAAAATGATTCGAAACATATAAGAAAGCATTTCTGGGCTGGCACGGTGGCTCACTCCTGTAATCCCAGCACTTTGGGAGGCCAAGGCTGGTGGATCACCTGAGGTCAGGAGTTGGAGACCAGCCTGGCCAACATGGTGAAACCCCGTCTCTACTAAAAATACAAAAATTAGCTGGGTATGGTGGCACACATCTGTAATCCCAGCTACTCAGGAGGCTGAAGCGGGAGAATTGCTTGAACCCAGGAGGCGGAGGTTGCAGTGAACTGAGATTACGCCATTTGCACTCCAGCCTGGGTGACAGAGCAAGACTTGGTCTCCAAAATAAAAAGAAAGCATTTCTGATAAAAAAAATATCTCCCCTATCAATGGTGACAGTTAACTGAGGACAGAGTCCTTCCGGAATTATATACAAGCTAGTAAATATATTTCAGCTACTATTTTCCAGGCCTGTTAGGTAATTGGAGATATAGGGATAAATTAGATGGGTCTCTGCCCCAAAGAGCTTGAAGTCTAATATGAGAGATGTACATTAAATAAATAGTTGCACAATTAATAGGTTACAATTGTAATAAATGCCATGAATGAGAAATTAGAGTGCCATGAGCAAATGTTTGGGGGGACCTATGAGGAAATTTCATTTAAATTAAGTCTTAAAAGACTAAAGAGGATTGGAGGCACATTCTATGCAGAAGGAACAGGATCTTTGAAGACTTAGACAGGAAGGAACTTGATGCTTCCAAGGAATTGATAGAAAGCTATGTAAGTAAAAGATAGATAGAGGCAGGCATGGTGGTTCATGCCTGTAATCCCAGCATTTTGGGAGGCTCCAGTGAGGAGATGGCTTGAGGCCAGGAGTTTAAGACCAGCCTGGACAACATAGCGAGACCCTCTCTCTACAAAAATTTTAAAAATTAGCTGAGTATGGTGTGCACCTGTAGTCCCAGCTACTCGGGAGGCTGAGGCAGGAGGATTACTTGAGCCCAGAATTTCAAGGCTGCAGGGAGCTACAATCATGCCACTGCACTCCAGCCTAGGCAACAGAGTGAGACCCTGTCTCTTATTCAAACAAACAAAAATGATAGGTAGAGTGGCATATGAGGTTGGGAGAAGAATACATGGGCCACAATGGTAGGGATTTTGAATATTATCCTAAGAACAGCAAGAGGTAATTGAGGGTTTTAAGCAAAGAGAATGGCTTGTTGCAGGAATCCTGGTTAGTAGTGATAGAAGGCTTGGACTAGAGTTGTAACTACGGAGATGAGCAGAAGTAGACAAATTTGAGAGAGTGTTTGAAGATAGAATTGATGGGACTTAGTAGGTGCATCCAATATAGGGATAAGGGAAAAGAGATATTGGAGATGACTCCAAGGTTTCTGGCGTATCCAAATGGGTGACGGAGGGTGCCACTTGCTTAGATAACAGGAGAGGTAAAGTAAGCTTATGGGGAAAGTTGATGAGTTAAGTTTGAAAGATCAAGTTTGAGGTACCTATGAGCTAGCTAAGTGGGGATATCAGAGAAGCAGATGGATTGATTATATGGTTCTTGTTCTCAGAATAGAGATCTTGGCTAGAGATAGAAATTTGCCAAGTGTGAGTATAGATAATTGCATCCTTGTGAGTGGAGGAAAAATCCCCTAAGGAGAGCGTTCAGAAGAGGAAAGGGCCTAGGACTGAGCCTTGAGGAACTTTAACAATTAAAGGCTTGGTATAGAAGGATGGGCCTGCAAAGGGAGAGAAAAAGAATGGCTAGAGAGGTAGGAGGAAAGTCAGATTAGTGTTACATCCTGGAAACCAAAGGAAGGAAGAGAGTAGTTCCTGAAGGAACCAAATGGTCAACTTCGTGGGCTGTTGAAAAAGTATCCATTGGATTCAGTGACAACGGAGCCATGGGTGACCTTAGAAAATAGATTGGGTAGAGTAATAGGGGTAAAAGCCGTATTGATATGCACCTCGATAAATGGGAAGTGAGAAATTGGAGATTTGTGGCATGGCATGTTACATACATGTCAAAATCCATAGAATGTACCACACTAAGAGTACCCTAATGTAAACTGTGGACTTCAGGTGATAATAATATGCCTATATTTGTTCATCCATTGTAACAAATGTACCACTCTGGTGTAGGATGTTAATAGTAACACGGGTAAGCCTCCTAATATGTTTGCTTGTAAAGGGGCAGGGAATAGTTAGAAGGAAGTTAAAGGGTGGCTTTTTTCCCTTAATTAATAGACTTTATTTTTAGAACAGTTTTAGGTTTATAGCAAAATTGAGCACAAAGTACAGAGTTCCTGTATATCTCCTGTTCCCCAACCCCTAACATACACACACACACACACAGACACACACACACACAGACACACACACACACACACACACAGCCTATCCACTATTAACATCCCACACCAGAGTGGTACGCTTATTACAATGGATGAAGCAATATTGGCACATCATTATCACCCAAAGTCCATAGTTTAAATTAGTGCACTCTTGGTGTGGTACATGCTATGGGTTTTGACATGTGTATAATGACACGTACCTACCATTACAGTATCATACAGAATCATTTCACTGCCCTGAAAATCCCCTGTGCTCCACCTTTTCCCTCCCAAACCTCTGGCAACCACTGATACTGATACCACTGATACTTTTACTGTCTCCATAGCTTTGCCTTTTCCAGAATGTCGTAGTTGGAATCATACAGTATATAGCTTTTTTCAGATTGGTCTCTTTCACTTAATTGCCTTTTATTTTTATTTATTATTTTGAGACAGGGTCTCACTCTATCACGCAGGCTGGAATCCAGTGGCTCAATCACGGCTTACTGCAGCCTCAACCTCCCAGGCTCAAGTGATCCTCCCACTTCAGCCTCCTGAGTAGCTAGAACCACAGGCATGTGCCACCACACCCGGCTAATTTTTTTTACATTTTTTATTTGTAGAAACGGGGTCTTGCCACATTGGCCAGGCTGGTCTCGAACTCCTGGGTTCAAGTAGTCCTCCACCTCAGCCTCTCAAAGTACTGGGATTACAAGCGTTGAGCCACCCTCCCAGCCTTTGCCTTTTTTTTTTTTTTTTTTTTTTTTAGGAGGAGAATTAATTGATACATAGACCCCTTAAGAGAAGGGATGCTATGGGCAGGAAGAGATTGAAGGTAAAGGAAAAAGGATTCAGCACCCAAGCAAAACAATTGGCCTGTGATAGAAGGGCATTTCCACTGTAATAAGAGGGAACGAAGAGGATAAGTGGCTCCTTTCTGGTCTGCCTTCTCTGTGAAGGAGAATGTAGCAAAAGGTGTGAGGGTTGGAAGCTGAAGGAAAGAGAACCGTTTGAAAGAATAGCTCTGAAGACTGGGAGAGGAAGTTTGCCTGGAGAAATGTAAGGTTTCCAGAATAGGTTGAGGGCCCTGTTGAGGTTAGTACCCATGAGTTTATGTAGTGGTTCCCAACAGTCAAGTGATGTGACTTTTCCACCAGTAATTCAGGATCCTGTATGTGCATAGAGAAAGTGGCTAGTTGGGTAAATAAAAATTGGGATCTTGCCAAGTGAGTTTAACGAAGTAAAGGGATATGGGAGTTTAGGATATTTGCAAGAGAGCAGTTTGAGCAAGATAGGGAGGGAAGTGACAGCAGGAGAACAAGAAACAAGAAAGCATCAGTGGACTGGAGGTCCTAATAGGGTTGAAGAACAATGAGAATGAAAGTACTTAGGAAAACAAGCATTTGTGGTCCCAGAGTGTGACATAGGGATGTCAGAAATAGAACCATTTTATGTGATTATAAGGTTTTTGAGTGTGGTAAATTGGAGAGAGTAATGCCCAACTTACCAGTACACCAACGCTCCTCCTAGTATTCTAAAGCCCTGTCTGTCCCTTTTCTGATTGTCTTCTCTTCTTAACCACTGTTTTCCTCATCTTACATCTTCCTAGTTTATGCTCCATCTTCCTCCTCCTAAGTTCTCACATCATTTAACAGTGTGAAGTAGAAAGGGTATCTGGACAGAAAGTCTGAAACTGCCACCCACTAGGTCTTAACTTGGTTAACTTATTCACAAGGCAAAGTGTCCTCATGTATCAAATGAGACTAATAAATATATAATTTTTGTTTAGGGGGAGTGGGGGAGGACATAATTAAGTGACAGATATGTGACAAACATTAAAATACAGTGGTGACATCATGGCTGCATCTTACTCTTAAACCTTTCAGGAAAAAATGTGTATGGATATTGAGAGAGAATGAATGATAAAGCAAGTGTGGTAAAATATTATTTTTAGAATCTGGGTGAAGGGTATACAGGAATTTTTATGACAACTTTTTTTATAAGTCTGAAATTACTTAAAAAGATAAAGTGGTGATAAGTGTTAGAATTACAGTGACCACAAAATCCCATGCTTTCTGAGATGGTGTAAAGGAATCTTTTGTGCCTAACCTTGGAGGCTATAGTCTGTATTTTATTCAAGGACCTGGTGGATTCCCTAATGAACAGTTCTGAAACTTTATATTAGAAATTGCTTGTCAAATGATATAACTCAGTTTATGTTTCAGGAAATAGGGTCACCATAGTTATATTAAAAGTATCTTAAAAATGTTATAATTTATGTAGATTTGAAGCCTTTACCTGCTTTAATATTCACTTATTGGTTGTTTTTTGTTTGTTTGTTTGTTTGTTTGTTTGTTTTTTTGGTTGAGACAGAGTCTCATTCTGTTGCCCGGGCTGGAGTGCAGTGGCACGATCTCAGCTCACTGCAACCTCTGCCTCCCTGGTTCAAGTGATTTTCCTGCCTCAGCCTCCCGAGTAGCTGGGATTACAGGCAAGCGCCACCACGCCCAGCTAATTTTTGTGTTTTTAGTAGAGACAACATTTCACCATGTTGGCCAAGATGGTCTCCATCTCCTGACCTCGTGATCCGCCCACCTTGGCCTCCCAAAGTGCTGGGATTACAGGCGTGAGCCACCGCACCTGGCCACAGTTTGCATTACTTTTATTAAATGGAAATATAGGGAGATTCTGATGTTGGTATTAAGCTCTTTAAAAACCTTTAAGTTGAGTAGCATTGAATAGACTTATGAAGTACTGGGAAGGCAGTATTATACACTGGTTAAGAGTATGGGCTTTGAAATAAGGTCTGTATTTGAATCTTAGCTCTGCCACATCCTAGGCACATGATCTGGGACAAATTATTTGATCGCTCTCAGAGGAGAGCCTTAGATATTGCATCTGTAAAATTTGGGGGATTTTTTTAAAAACCTACCTCATAGGATTATTCTAAGGATTAAATGAAAAATAATGCGTGTACAACTCTAAACAATGGCTCAGTACAGGCATACCTTATTTTATTGCACTTCAGTTTATTGTGCTTCACAGATAACTGCATTTTTTACAAATTGAAGGTTTGTGGCAACCTTGCATTGAGCAAGTCTTTCAGCATCATTTTTTCCGACAGGATATGCTCACTTTGTTTCTGTCACATTTTGGCAATCTCACAATATTTCAAACCTTTTCATTTTTTTATCCGTTATGGTGATCTGTGATCAATGATCTTTGATATTACTATTGCAAATTGTTTAGGGACATCATGAACCGTGCCCATGTAAGACAGTGAACTTAATTGATAAATGTGGTGTGTGTTCTGGCTGCTTCCCCAACCAGCCATTCTCCATCTCTCTCCCTCTTTTTGGGCTTCCCTATTGTCTAAGACATAACAGTATTGAAATTAGACCAATTAATAACCCTCTAATGGCCTCTTAAGTGTTTAAGTAAAAGGAAGAGTTGTACCTTTCTCACTTTAAATCCAAAGCTGAAATTATTAAGCTTAGTGAGGAAGGCATGTCGAAAGCTGAGACAGGCCAAAAGCTAGGCCTCTTGTACCAAACAGCCAAGTTGTGAATGCAAAAGAAAAGTTCTTGGAGGAAGTTAAAAGTGCTATTCCAGGGAACACACAAATGATAAGAAAGTGAAACAGCCCTATTGCTGATATGGGGAAAGTTTTAGTAGTCTGGATAGAAGATCAAACCAGCCACAACATTCCCTTAAGCCAAAGCCTAATCCAGAGCAAGCCTCTAATTCTTCAATTCTATGAAGGCTGAGAGAGGTGAGGAATCTACAGAAGAAAAGTTTGAAGCTAGCAGAGGTTGGTTCATTAGATTTAAGGAAAGAAGTCTCCATAACAATAAAGGTGCAAGGTGAAAGCAGCAAGTGCTGATGTAGAAACTATACTGAGTTATACAGAGGATCTAGCTAAGATCATTGATGAAGTTGCCTACACAAAACAACAGATTTTTAATATTAATGAAACAGCCTTGTATTGGAAGGAGATGCCATTTAGGACATTCATAGCTAGAGAGATGTCAATGCCTGGCCTCAAAGCTTCAAAAGACAGTCTGAGTCTTGTTAGGGGCTAATGCAGCTGGTGATTTTAAAACCAATCCTCATTTACCATTTTAAAAATCCTAGGGCCCTTAAGAATTACAATAAATCTACTCTGTTTATACTCTATAAATGAATGATAGCACATCTGTTTATAGCATGGTTTACTGAATATTTTAAGCCCACTCTTGACACCTACTGCTCAGAGAAAAAGATTCCTTTCAAAATATTACTGCTTATTGACAATGCATCTGGTCACCCAAGAGCTCTGATGGAGATCTACAAGGAGATGAATGTTGTCTTCATGCATGCTAGTACAGCATTCATTCCGCAGTTCTTAGAGCCCGTGGATCAAGGAGTACTTTGGACTTTCAAGTCTTATTATTTAAGAAATACATTTCATGAGGCTGTAGCTGCCATACATAGTGATTTCTGTGATGAATCTGGGCAAGGTAATTAAAAACCTTCTGGAACGGATTCATAATTCTGGATGCCATTGAGAACATCTGTGATTCAAGGGCAGAGGTCAACATATCGATGTTAACGGGAATTTGGAAGAAGTTTATTCCAACCCTCACGGATTACTTTGAGAGGTTCAAGACTTCGGTGGAGGAAGTCACTGCAGATGTGGTAGAAATAGCAAGAGAACTAGAATTAGAAGTGGAGCCTGAAGATGGGACTAGATTGCTGCAATCTCATGATCAAACTTTAACAGATGAGGAGTTGCTTCTTATGGATGAACAAAGAAAGTAGTTTCTTGAGATAGAGTGTACTTCTGGTGAAGATGCTGTGAACATTGTTGAAACGACAACAAAGGATTTAGAATATTCCGTAAACATGGTTGATAAAGCAGTGGCAGGGTTTGAGAGGATTCATTCTAATTTTGAAAGAAGTTTTCCTGTGGGTAAAATGCTATCAAACGGCATCTCATTCTATAGAGAAATCTTTCACAAAAGAAAGAGTCCATCAATGCGGCAAACTTCAGTGTTGTCTTAATTTAAGAAATTGTCATGCCACCCCATCCTTCAGCCATCCACCACCTTGATCAGTTAGCAGCCAACAGCATCAAGGCAAGACCCTTCACCAGCGAAAAGATTACAGCTTACTGGAAAGCCCAGATGATTGTTAGCATTTTTTAGCAATAAAGTATTTTTAATGAAGGTACATACCCTTTTTTTATACATAATGCTATTATACACTTAGTAGACTACAATATAGTGTAAACATAACTTTTAAATGCACTGGGAAATGAAAAGATTCATGTGATTTGCTTTATTGCGATAACTTGCTTTACTGTGGTAGTCCGGAACCAAACCCACGATATCTTGAAGATGTCTGTAAATACTGTGTTCTATATCATTATTATTCCTTTAAACTTCCACCTGCTTTTATCACCATCTTTTCATGTGCTCTTCCTTAGATGACAATGGAATTTAAATTCTTTGTACTTTAACCTGGAAAATTTTAGTAGTGTATTCATATTGTGGTCTTCGCACCATGTAAAACTGACTCCATATTCTTTTTTTGTTTGTTTGTCTCATTCTGTCGCCCAGACTGGAGTGCAGTGGTGCGATCTCGGCTCACTGCAGCCTCCACCTCCCGGGTTCAAGCGATCCTCCCACCTCAGCCAAGTAGCTGGGATTACAGGTGCCTGCCACCACGCCCAGATAATTTTTGTATTTTTAGTAGAGACAGGGTTTTGCCACGTTGGCCAGGCTGGTCTCAAACTCCTGACCTCAGGTGATCTACCCACCTCAGCCTCTCAAAGTACTGGGATTACAGGCGTGAGCCACCGCGCCCGGCCGACTCCATATTCTTTCTGATTCACCCATGTGCAGAGTACTGTGTTAGGCATTGTGTATGCTCATCTGTGATTTAGCACACTGTACAAGCTTTCATTATAGGAAATTTCAAACTTAGGCAAAAGTAGAAATAACAGCATAACGTTTCATCTTTACCCCCCACTCACTTTCTTCATTTGGATTATTTCGAAGTAATCCCAGACATCAGATTTCATTTTAGCACACTTTAGTAATAATATATTTTGGGTGTATGTTACAAATTTGTATATTCATGTGTATGTATATATGCATGTTTGTGCATGTGTATGTATATATATATAATATCAAGTATATCAAGTAAATGATTTATATATATAAATGATTTATATATATATAAATCATACCTTTCCTGAAAAAGCAGGAAGCTGAGTTCACAAATGACTCCGCACATACAGAGTAAATGCACATCACATTTACACTGGAAAAGGCAGGGCGAATGTCCTCCAGTTTTCCTTTTGCAGCAACCATGAAGATTCAAAGCAGAGGTGGTGATGCTTGCCTCAATCTTAATGCCTGTCCTTTTTCTTTTTCTTTCTTTCTTTCTTTCTTTCTTTCTTTCTTTCTTTCTTTCTTTCTTTTTTTTTTTACTCTGACAAACATTTATTGAGTACCTACAAGGTGTGAGCACCTTGGAGAATTAAAGTCCCCATGTGGACAAAGAGCTTAGAGTCTACACAAGATATGCCAAGAGTATTAACTAACAATTAAATAGAATTTTATAGTTTACAAAGCATTTTTCACAAGTAATTTCTTAAAGCAGCCTTGTAAGAAAGGTATTAACATTAGTCCCATTTGACACATGAAGACACTTGTGAATGGTAAGTAACTTAACCAAGTTAAGACCTAGTAAGTGGCAATTTCAGATGTTCTGTCCAGATATCCTTTCTACTTCACACTGTTAACTGATGTGAGAACTTAGGAGGAGGAAGGTGGAGCATAAACCAGGAAGTTGTAAGATGAGGAAAACATTGGTTACTAAGAGAAGAGAATCAGGAAAGGGACAGACAGGGCTTTACAATACTAGGAAGAGAGTTGGTGTCCTGGTACGTTGGGCATTCCCCTCCCTATAGAGGCCATACCAGAGGAGAACAGAAGGGTAATAGAGAGGGGCCTGGCCATTCTAACGTGACACAGACATCTGCAAGCTGTGCTGATAAGAGGCTGGGAATGTTTGGTGGCTCGGGAAGGAGGACAACCCTATTTTGTCGCCTGCCTTATCAGCCTGGATTTTTAGAAATTGCAGCTGTGAATATAAGTGTAAAGTTTTACTTTTTATCGTATTTATTTTGAATAGATACATGAACATTGTACAAAAATCAGGCTTTCCTGTCACCCGTGCCCTTGTATCTGTTTCTGAATTCTTTTGCTAAAAGCAAACACTACTATCTGTGAGTTTCTTGTGTATCCTTCCAGACCAATTATGTGCATACATAAGCATAACTGTTCTTTTTCTAACATCCAGGAGCATATGGAAATGTGTATTTCCATGACAATGAATATTACTATTTTAAGAGCATACTTGTAGTTATTCACTGACATATATATTTGTCCCAGCTCTGCCATTCTCTAGCTTTGTGACCTTGGGCAAAATTACTTAACCTTTCTAAACTTCCTTATCTGTAAAACAGGGTGGTGGTGGGTGGAGGGGGTGTTGGGAAGATGACCGTTACAACTTTGTGGAATGATTGTGAGGCTCAAATGAGATAATGCATATAAACCACATAGCATATCTGGTATAGTGAAAACTTAAAAGCTCAAATGTTAGCTCTTACTATTCTATTTCCAACTTATACACACATATTTACAAATGAAAGCTGTTAAGATACTGTACAAGTGAGCAAAGATAAATGGAGAAAGTGTTCATCACATTTGTAACAGCAAAACCACTGAAAACTTACAAGTCATAACCATAGGGGGCTGGTTAAATACGATGGATTACTATTAGCTCTTATATGGAAGGAGGTAAATTCCTATATACTGACATGGAAAGTTGTCAAGCTATATTAAGTGGAAAAAGCAAGATGCAGAATAGTGTGCTTAGAATGCCATTTGTGTGTATATCATTTTAAAAAACGTGCATATGCAGAGAAAATAATAGCATTTATTGAAAGCATCTTATGTGCCAGGCACTGTTTTAAGTATTTTACATGCACTAATTCATGTAATTCATTTAAGAACCCCCTGACGTAGGTTTCAGGTCCAAAGATACACAGTATGTGGAAGATCCAAGATTCAAACTGAGGCTCTTATACACTGAGGTTGAGAAAAGAAGCAGTTAACAGTGCTTTTCTGGGTGGGAGGTCAGGAGGTCAGGGAGGGAGGCAGGTTAGGGAGACTGAGGAGCCAACCAGGAGCACAGAGCAGGTGGAAGTAGAAGGTGAAAGGAAGATTTTCACTTTTTTTACATTTTTATTTTGAGACTCGCTCTGTCTCCCAGGCTGGAGTGCTGTGGCGTGATCTCGGCTCACTGTAACCTCCGCCTCCCGGGTTCAAGTGATTCTCCTGCCTCACCCTCCCAAGTAGCTGGGATTGCAGGCATGTACCACCACACCCGGCTAATTTTTGTATTTTTAGTAGAGACGGGGTTTCACCATGTTGGTCAGGCTGGTCTTGAACTCCTGACCTCAAACAATCCACCCGCCTTGGCCTCCCAAAGTGCTGGGATTACAGGCGTGAGCCACTGCGTCCAGGCCTAAGGATTTATCTATTAATAAAATTGGTTATATCTGCTTCTTCATCATTACAAATAATACTGCAACAATTTCCCTTGTACATAATATACTTATGTACTTATACGAGTGACTCTGTAAGATAAAAGTCTTAGAAATGGGGTTGCCAAGTCAAAGGGTCTATGCATTTAACACAGGGAATGAGTACTGTCACGTGGCTTCTGAAACTGTTTACCCAGTTTATGTTCCCACTAACAGTGTCTAATTCCCATACCTGTGCTAGGTATTATGTCTTTAATTTTTGTCTGATTATTTCATTTAATTTTAATTTCCATTATCACTGGTGAGGTTGGGCCTCTGTTCATGTTTTTTTGTCATTTATGTTTCTTTTGTGAATTGCCTTTTCCTATGCTTTGTGCATTTTTCTCTTGGGGTTTGTCTTTTTAAAATTGATATACAGGTGTTCTCTATAATATAGATATTCTGCCACTATATGCAAATGATCTTCCAATTTATTTATTTATTTGAAACAGAGTTTCACTCTTGTCACCAGGTTGGAGTGCAGAGGTGCGATCTTGGCTCACTGCAACCTCCACCTCCCAAGTTCAAGCGATTTTCCTGCCTCAGCCTCCCTAGTAACTGGGATTACAGGTGCCCTGCCACCATGCCCGGCTAATTTTTGTATTTTTGGTAGAGACGGGGTTTTGCCATGTTGGCCAGGCTGGCCTCGAACTCCTGACTTCAGGTGATCTGCCCACCTCAGCCTCCCAAAGTGCTGGGATTACAGGCCTGAGCTACCGCACCGGCCCCAATTTATTTCTTTTAACTTAGTTTATGGTGCCTTTAGCTGTACAAAAGTTACTAATTTTTAGTCAAATATCCCAGTCTTTTCCTTTAGGGCTTCTTATATGTCCTGATCCAAGATTATTTTTTAAAATTCTCCGCTATTTTCTCCTATTATATTCATAGTTTACTTTACAATTAGATTTTTAATACATCTCCTAACTTTTTCATATAGTATGAGGTATCCATTTTTAAAAAATGGATATCCAGTTGTGCCATTATGTCTTTTCCACTCATCTGAAATGCCACCATTATCATATTTTCAATTTTCATGTGCACGTGGGTCTGTTTTCAAACTTGGAGATTCTCTTCCACTGATATATGTCTATTCTTGTGCCAGTGGTTTAACTGCTATTGCTTTATAGTATATTTTGATATCTTCTTTTCAAAAGGATACTCTTGTGTATTCTTTTTTTCATCTTGTGTATTCTCATCCATTTTCCAGAAAACCACAGAATCAACTTTAAGTTTCATTTCATTAAGTCAGATTAGTGAGAGCTGATTTTCTGTGTATCATGTTCATTCAGAAACATAGTCTATCTCTCCATTTAGGGGCACTTGTTTTATATTTTCTTTCTAACACGTATTTTGTTGGGTTTATTGTACCTTTTTTTTTTTTAACTTCAGATTCAGGGGGGTGCACGTGCAGGTTTGTTACCTGAGTATACGATATGATACTGAGGTTGGAGTATGAATGATGCCATTACCCAGGTACTGGGCATAATACCCAATAGTTAGTTTTTCAACCCTTGCCCTTCTCCCTCTCTCCTCCCTCTAGTAGTCCCCAGTTTCTATTACTGCCATCTCCATGTTCATGAGAACCCAGTGTTTAGCTCCCACTTATAAGTGAGAGCATGTTGCATTTGGTTTTCTGTTCCTGCCATATCCTTATTGCCACAAAGGACATGATTTCATTCTTTTTTATGGCTACAGGATATTCCATGTAGCAGGGTATTCCACACCAAACCACATTTTCTTTATCCAGTCCACCGTTGACGCACACCTAGGGTGATTCCTTGTCTTTGCTATAATGAATAGTGCTGCGGTGAACATAACAGTGCATGTGTCTTTTTGGTGGAACGATTTGTTTCCTTTTGAATATATACCCAGTAATGGTATTGCTGGGTCAAATAGTAGTTCCGTTTTATGTTGTTTGAGAAATTTCCAAACTGCTTTCCACAGTGGCTGAGCTAATTTACATTCCCACCAACAGTGTATAAACATTCCCTTTTCTCCACAGCCTCACTAGCATCTATTGTTTTTTGACTCTTTAATAATAGCCATTCTGACTGATGTGAGATGGTATCTCATTGTGGTTTTTATTTTAGCTTTTAATAACTATTTAAAGTCTGCTGTTTTGATAGGTGAAAATGATATATCACTTAATTTGCACTTTGATGCTGGAGAAGTTAAATATTTTTAAACTATACTTATTAACTACTTATATTCTGAGAATTATCTGATTATATCCTTGATCTGTTTTTCCATTTGGGTCTTAATCTTGCATGAGCTTATCATATCATAATGATACTAATTCCTTGTCAGAGGTACAGCAGAAGCAGATATTTTTCCAGTTTATTTTATTTTATTTTATTTTATTTTATTTTATTTTATTTTTGAGACAGAGTCTTGCTCTGTCACCCAGGCTGGAGTACAGTGGCATGATCTCGGCTTACTGCAACCTCTGCCTCCCGAGTTCAAGTGATTCTCCTGCCTCAGCCTCCCTAGTAGCTGGGTTAACAGGCACGCGACACCATACCCAGCTAATTTTTTTTGAAGTTTTAGTAGAGACAGGTTTTCACCTTGTTGGCCAGGCTGGTCTCGAACTCGTGACCTCAAGTGATCCAACTGCCTCAGCCACTGCGCCCGGCCTTTTTCCAGTTTATTGTTTGCCTTTTAACTTACCACTTTTTTTTTTTTTTTGAGATGGAGTCTTGCTCTGTCACCCAGGCTGGAGTGCAGTGGCGCGATCTGGGCTTACTGCAAGCTCCGCCTCCTGGGTTCACACCATTCTCCTGCCTCAGCCTCCCGAGTAGCTGGGATTACAGGCATGCACCACCACGCCCAGCTAGTTTTGTATTTTTAGTGGAGATGGGGTTTTTCCATGTTAGTCAGGTTGGTCTCGAATTCCCGACCTCAGGTGATCTGCCCATGTTGGCCTCCCAAAGTACTGGGATTACAGGTGTGAGCCACCACACCCAGCCCAAATTTACCACTTTTTAATTTATACTTTTCAGTTTGAAAGTCTAATATAGTTAAATATATGAATCTTTCGTGACTTTTACTATTGATGTTAAAGTTGTTAAAAATTTTTGTGGAATGATTTCATATTTAGAACAAATATGACATGTGGGAAACTAATCATGTTGGCTTGATAATGGAATCAGTTCTTAAGTAATTTTTATAGATGTTTAATAAATAACATTATTAAATGTTATAGATGTTTAATAATGTTATTTATTAAACATCTTATTTGTTTATTGTTATTTATTAAACAACTATTAAATGTTATTTAATAGTGTTATGTATGGTGTTAGTGATGCTTATTTTCATAATAGATAACTGAATATATTATGTGTATACATATGTATAAAACAATGTTTTATATATACATACACATAGATGTCTTAGAATGATTGAAACAGTTATGATTTTTCATTTTGAGAATTTTTAATATTTGGCAAGTGCAAGTAATTCTTTTTTGAGATGGAATCTTGCTCTGTCACCCAGGCTGGAGTGCAGTGGCACAATCTCGGCTCTCTGCAACCTCCGCCTCCCGGGTTCAAGCAATTCTTCTGCCTCAGCCTCCCGATTAGCTGGGACTACAGGTGTGCGCCACCACACCCGGCTAATTTTTTGTATTTTTAGTAGAGACGGGGTTTCACCATATTGGCCAGACTGGTCTCGAACTCCTGACCTCGTGATCTGTTCACCTCGGCCTCCCAAAGTGCTGGGATTACAGGCGTGAGCCACCACGCCCAGCCAAGTGCAAGTAATTCTAACAGCTTTTAGTGAAATTCCATGTCTTAAAAATTGTCAGTTTGAATATTTAAATTAAGTAGTGTATTCTGACATGAAGTTTGCTATCGTGTTAAGGAGAGAAAACATCTTTAATTGACTTCTGTGTCTTCACAGGAAGTTATTCACGTGAATTTATTTTGTTGCCTATAAAACACTATGCAATAACTTTTACCTTTTCCCCTTAACTCCCTCAAGTCCCACCAGAGCTATGTGAAGTTGCACTCATGTAAATTGTTATTAACTGTTTTGCAAACAACCTAATACTTGTAGTTCCCTTAATTTATATATATATTCAAGTATACCAACTGAATTGCCCTTTTCTTATAATAAATGTGCTTTCATTTCTAATAAACAACCTTCAAAGTAGTAGGAAAGATATTAACGTCTGAGCATAGGAGTTGATATGCTTTCTCATTGAGAAATTAGTCTCTAGAATTATAATCAATAACATGGTAAAGGAAAAAATGGCGAAAATATTAGAGCTGTGCCTAAAACTTTCCATAGTTTGAGCCTATGGCAAGTGAACATTTGGTTTTTATTACCCTTTTAAACACTAAATATTAATACATTATCTTATACAGAGGCCTTCAATAAATAAAATATTTATAGTAAACTACTGATGAAACACCTTTCATTATGGTAGAAATTCTTTTCAGATTACTGAGAAATGCAGTTCTCAAATTTCTGCGTAAGTTTTGCTTAATTCATTAAAGCATATGCAACTAACTTGCAACATACTTTTTTTACTGCTTGTATTAGAAATTCTTTTTGTACTTAATATTTGTTTAATTACTTGATCCATTAGTTCAATTGTAAATGACTTCCTTGTTGAATTTGTTCATTCAGTTTTCATGATCGTTTGAAGAGTAATCTAGACCAGTGTTATCCAGTAGAACTTTCCTGTGACAGTGGCAACAGTCCTGTATATGTGCTGTCTAATACAGTTGCAACTAGCCACATGTAGCCAATAAGCTCTTGCAGTGCGGTCAGTGTGACTAAGAAACTGAAGTTTTAATTTTATTTAATTATAACTGACTTAAATTTTTTAAGGCCACATGTTGCTAGTGGCTACTACATTGAATAGCACAGATATATCTACTTTATTTTCATTTAGTTTTCCAAGTTACAGTAAGTGTATTTTCTAGGTAAGTGTTCTAATTTTACAAACTCTTTGAAACCTATGGTAAAAAAAAATAATAATGCAAAAGCAAACTCTAAAAATTAATTTACTAAACTATTTGTATTTGATTTTTATTGCATTTATCTGAAACATTGGGTGGCTTTATTGAACATACCACAGACCATTTCTCCTCATTTCTGGAGACAGTTTCATTCTAAGGAGAAACATATGTCCTAAAGACCCATGAACTAATACTTATTTTGAGATTGGTCCATAAAAAGTTTTTGTTCATTTTTAAGCAGCTGATTTAGAAGAAAGTTTTAATGAACATGAACTGGAGCCCTCATCACCTAAAAGTAAAAAGAAAAGTCGCAAAGGAAGGCCAAGAAAAACTAATTTTAAAGGGCTGTCAGAAGATACCAGGTCCACATCCTCCCATGGAACAGATGAAATGGAAAGTAGTTCCTATGTAAGTAAAAAAAACTGTTGGATTCTTACTTTTGTTGCACCATGAATATTTCATTTAAACTATCTATAGGTAAAGTTCATCATTTGAAATGTTAAGTAAGCTTGAAATACCGATAGCATATTTTCATGATTTTTTTTAAGTTCGTTTTTTCTTTTACATTTGCAGAGAGATAGGTCTCCACACAGAAGCAGCCCTAGTGACACCAGGCCTAAATGTGGATTTTGCCATGTAGGGGAGGAAGAAAATGAAGCACGAGGAAAACTGCATATATTTAATGCCAAGAAGGCAGCTGCCCATTATAAGTGCATGGTAAGCATGGTTCTTTTAAGCCCAATTTTGTTTTTTTGTTGTTTGTTTTTCTTTGTTTCCCCTGTGATCTAAAGCCCAAATGATTTTTTTTTTAAAAATCATTTAGCTAGTAACCAAAAAATTTCCCCCCACCAGCATTAGTATTTTAGAGTTATAAACAGTATATCTTATAATCCCAAATCTTAAGTTTAGATTTTGTTAAATTATAGCCTTTATGTTTTAGTAGGATTTGAAGTAATTCTAATTATAGTTACTGTAGTTAGGATAATCTGTAATTAATTATTTCATAACTATAAAAATTTTGTCTTTATAAGCATGTCATGAAATATATTTTAGACTTTCACTATAACCTAATAATTATCTCTGTTGTACTTAACACTCTATATTACAATTATTCATTTATGAACTTATCTTCCCTAACAGACTCTTAAATTCCTTGAAGATAAGAATAAGTTTTTATCTTGACATCCTTAGGTCCATGCCTGACTTACAGTACACATAAATATCTTTGACTTAGATTGTATTGAATGACTCATCCCATTGATAAGGTTTTTAAAATTACATTATTTATGTCAGAGATTCTTAACCAGAGTGCATGTCAGATTTACCTGGTGAGCTTTTTCCGAAATATGTGCATCTAGGCACCCTGTGGAATAGATCTCGTATATGTCTAGTTTGAAAAAAAAAAATACGCGAGTGATTCTAATCTGCATCTATGGTTGAAATTTGCCAATTTAAACTATTTTTTAAAACTTTGTGGAAATGTAAAATAGTTGAGAATAGAGTGACATTGTTGAAATTTTCATTGCTTAAAGCAGGCTATTTAATCTTGGCTCCACACTGGCAGTCCTCATTTTATTTCAATGTCCATAATTTTGGTTATATTTTAATCAGACATGTAAATATATTAAAAATATTTGAGCAGATACTTGATTATTAAGGAAAGATTATCTTTCTTCGGAAATTAAATATAACACACTTGTTATCACATTTAATGTTTCTCTCATAAGGATTCTGAATGTTAATTTTCCTGCATTTTTCTTCTCTAGTTGTTTTCTTCTGGCACAGTCCAGCTCACAACAACATCAAGAGCAGAATTTGGAGACTTTGATATTAAAACTGTACTTCAGGAGATTAAACGAGGAAAAAGAATGGTCTGTAGTTTTTATATTTGTTATGCAACATTACACTTGATTTGCTGCTTTAAATTTAGAGTACATCCCAAATTTATCCAGTCATCAGAAAATTTAAAGTAGTTCGTATGTTAAAGCAAAGTATATATTTGACTTATTTGTAATATAATAAAGGATGCTGATGTTACTGAAACTTATTTCTCTATGTAACTTCATTACTTTAAGAGAATTATACTGAGAAGATTTATATACATTTCAAGGCATTTGCAAGCCGTTTAATAAAATAAATGAAGATATGAATGTGACAAACTTCATTAAGTTTAAAATGTTACATTGTGTAAGCTTGCTTAAAGGAAATTTTTTTCAGGGCTTTCTGTTTAAAGAACACATACACAGGGCTGCCTCTTAAAATGTTTGTCATAGCTTTAAGGTTTTTTAAATAAAATAATATAAAATACGCCTTAGTCTCATGTTGTTAAACATACTGAATTACCAACAAGTAGCTCTAAGAAATGTTGGCATCTTTATTGATCGCTTACTCCTTTAACACTTATGAATGCTATGTCGGTTATTTCTAGAAATTAATTTTTAAATTTTTTTGTTGGGAAAATTTTCAAACATACCGCAATTGGAAAGCCTAGTAACATGTATCTATCCATCATCTTGCTTCATCAGTTACCTAAATTTGTGGCGCTTGTTTCATATAGGCCTTTTATTCTTGTTGCTTGAAGTATTTTAAAGCAGACCTCAGACTTCGTATCACTATACCTCCATGTAGTTGAGTATGTATCTCTTAATAATTGGACATTTTCTTACCTAACCACAATGTCATTATACCTTACAATTTTTTTGTTTATTTTTTATTTTTTTATTTTTTTGAGACAGAGTCTCACTCTGTCGCCCAGGCTGGGGTGCAGTGGTGCGATCTCGGCTCACTGTAACCTCTGCCTCCCGGGTTCAAGTGATTCCCGTGCCTCAGTTTCCAAAGTAGCTGGGATTACAGACATGCACCAACACGCCTGGATAATTTTTGTATTTTTAGTAGAGACAGGGTTTCATTATGTTGGCCAGGCTTGTCATGAACTCCTGACCTCATGTGATCCACCCACCTCGGCTTCCCAAAGTGCTGGGATTACAGGCGTGAGCACCCGGCTAAAAATGAAACTTTCGTAACAGAGCCTGTAGTACTGAAAAAAGGAAAAACCACTTCATCATATTATTCAGAGCAGTGTTGTATAATACAGCTAAAGTCCAAACAGGTGACTAAGATAACAATTCAATTATCTTGCCAACTTATTGTTTACCTCTGTACCATTGAGGATTGGGGTAAACACTAACCTAGCATTTCCCCCAAGTGTGCTCCAAAGGAAGTTAGTCCATCAAGATGTTCCCCCACCCCTCCAGAGATAAAAGGGCATCTAGATTTCAATAAACTTGAAAACTGTTTACTCTGTGCCCCCTCCCTTGGAGAAAAGGCTGTGAGAAGTCCTGCAATAAAGTGATCTGCTTAACCTATCCTTTCTCAAACTTATTTGACTTGAAACCCCCTTTTCAACAGGTACCTTTTAATCTCCGAACATTCTTCAGGCAAGGTTTATCTAGGCCAAACTGAGAAGTTTTGAAAAGATTTCAGCCCCTTTAGTCTCCCTCTGTACTTTTGTCTACTGGTAGCAATTCCTCTGTGGGAGGATTGCTTTTCTGGTTTCTTATTCTTTCCCCTAATCATAATAGGAAAGGATCTGATCTTAGGGAAGAAAAGAAGCCAACCACTAAGATATACAACATCATTCTTTTTGTGTATTTGGCAGCATTGAGGAGAATCTTATCTACATTTAGATGTCAGACCTGGGATGGTCAGTAGTTTTTCTAATAAGCCAGCAGTTTATAAATGTTAAATAAGGGAAACATCAGGGGATGACAATATTAGAGGGCTTATCAAAGTATGGTTTAAGTTGCAGCATTATTTCAGTTATATGCTATGTGATAATTTCAGTGTACTCTTTTTCAATAGAAAATAGCTGCTGTTTTCTTGAAATACGGCTTACGATTATTTCTCTTTCCTTATACAGAAATGTACACTTTGCAGTCAGCCTGGTGCTACTATTGGATGTGAAATAAAAGCCTGTGTTAAGACTTACCATTACCACTGTGGAGTACAAGACAAAGCTAAATACATTGAAAATATGTCACGAGGAATTTACAAGTAAGAAAACAACAGTTGTCTATTTCCCTAAACATGTTAGTAACCGTCCTTAAATAGATGACATTAGTTTACTCAGTCTCTGTTCTTAAATGGTGTTTAGTTAAGTATAGAATACTGAGCACATTATGTAAGGAATGAGTACTACAATTGGCATTTTCCTCTGACTACATATCCCTGGATTAGCATTCATCCATCCAATATTAGTTAGGCTTCCTATGTGCCAGCCATTGTGCTTGAAGCTGGGCATATGCCAGTGATCAAAACTACATACACTGGGCCGGGTGCGGTGGCTCACATCTGTAATCCCAGCACTTTGGGAGGCCGAGGCGGGTGAATCACCTGAGGTCAGAAGTTCGAGACCAGCCTGACCAACATGGTGAAACCCCGTCTCTACTAAAATACAAAAATTACCCAGGTGTGGTGGCAGGCACCTGTAATCCCAGCTACTCGGGAGGCTGAGGCAGGAGAATCGCTTGAACCCAGGAGGCAGAGGTTGCAGTGAGCCAAGATTGCGCCATTGCACTCCAGCCTGAGCAACAAGAGTGAAATTCCATCTCAAACAAACAAAAAAAAAACACTACATATACTCTCCTCATGAAGCTTACAGTCTATTGGGAGAGACCTATTATTTAAGTGGCCAAATATGCAATTACAACATAGCAGCGTAAGTGTTCTAAAGAAGTTACAAAGTGTTATGAGAGCGTATAAGAAGGAAGAGCTAACCTAGTCTGTAGTGGGGAGTATTTAAAATGTTCTGAAGGAAATAGTGCTCAGCTTTAAGCTGAGATATTAAGGACAAAGGTGAGCCTTGGTTGGGGGAGGTATTCTGGGCAGAGAGAAGAGCATATGCAAGAGCCCCGGGTGAGACAGAAGCAGAGGTGGAAATGGGGAGATGTGTTAGGAGGCTAGTGCTGGTGGTCCAGGTGAGAATTATTGGTAGCTTAGAATAGGATATGGTAGACAGAAGGCAAAAGATTCTCTTGAGAAGATGGTGAAAAAGTAAAGTATGAAGATTTGGGATTGGGGGTCACCCTCTTTTTTATGGGTCTTCCACTTACCTGTGCTGCCTTGTGCTAGGTGGTGTTAATGTATATCTGTAATGGTTCCATTTGTTTAATCGACTGGAGTATAAGTTGGTAGGGACTCTTGAAGTTTTGATTTGCCATCCAGAGTTGTAAAGCACTTCCTTACTCTCACATGCCTAGAATGCAATAAACCAATGACTTCCGGGTCTAGTATTCTGTGTAAAAGACAATGTACACAAGCAGTCACCAAGTCATTTGGGTGCCTACATAAGGCGCTATGCTGTATAATAAAATTTGCCAAATTCTGTTTAATAATAAAGGCACAAATGTTTTCAAGTGAGTTCTATAAAGCCTTTAAGGAACAAATAATCCCAATGTTATTTAAGAGGTCCAGCACATAGCAAGAGATGGAAAACTTATTGATTCATTCTGTAAAGCTTACATAACTGTGGTACCAAACCTAACAAAGATACGTTAAAAGAAAAACAAACAAACTGTAGACCAATCTCCCCTTTTTTTTTTTTTTTTACTTTGAGACAGGATCTGACTCTGTTGTCCAGGCTGGAGTGCAGTAGTGTGATCATGACTCACTGCAGCCTTGACCTTCTGCCCTCACGTGATCCTCCCAACTCAGCCTCCCGAGTAGCTGGGACTATAGGCGCATGCCATCATGCCCAGCTAATTTTTTTTGTTTTGTTTTTTGAGGAGGAGGAAGGGTTTTGTTTTGTTGCCCAGACTGGTCTCAAACTCCTGGGCTCAAGCGTTCTCCCTGCCTCAGTCTTCTAAAGTGCTAGGATTACAGGCATGAGCCATGCCCAGCCACAATCTCACTTTTATAAATATACAAAAATTCTAAATAAAATATTAGTAAATCAAATCCAGCTCTGTATTCTAAGAATTGAAAGACTGTTCAGGCTGGGCACAGTGGCTCACACTTATAATCTCAACACTTTGGGAGGCTTAGGTGGGAGGATTGCTTGAGGCCAGGAGTTCCAGATCAGTGTGGGCAACAAAGCGAGACTCTCATCTCTATATAATTTTAAAAATAGAAAGAAAAAAGACTGTTCAAAATTAGGAAATATATTAATATAATTTATTAGAATTAGTAGAGTAAATAATCTTATCACCTTCCTTATAGATGGTGAAAAGACATTTGATAACATTCAACATCAATTTCTGAATTTTAAAGTAACGAGTGCTCTTGGTAAGCTAGGAATCTTAATAGGTGTTTATGAGAAAAACAACAGCAAATAACTTATTTATTATTAAAGTGAAGGAGCAATGGTTCTTAACCAGGAGTGAGCCTCAGAATCACTGTGGGGTGGATAAGGCCCTCTTTTAAAATGTTCATGTCTAAGCCCTACCTGTAGAGATTTAAATTTAGTAGGTCTGGGTTGGTGCCCAAACCATGCACTTTTCTGACTCCCCAGGTGATTCTTATGTTCCCCTCTAATTGAGAACCATTAGACTATACTTTAATTCAGATTAGGAAGAAGACAAGGATGCCAACTACTAGCATGACTTTTAACATTCTTCTAGAGGGTTAAGCTGATGCAAGACAAAAAGAAAGAGGCCCAGTGCATTGACTCACGTCTATAATCCCACACTTGGGAGGCCAAAGCGAGAGGATTGCTTGAGGCCAGGAATTCGAGACCAACCTGGGCAACATAGTGAGACCCCATCTCTACACAACATTTAAAAATTAGCCAGGCAAAGTGGCACACGCCTGTAGCCCCAGCTATACAGGAGGCCCAGACTGGAGGATTGCCTGAGCCCTGGAGGTAGAGACCAGCCTGGGCAACATAGTGAGACCCTGTCTCAATTTAAAAAATAAAAGAAGGCCGGGCGCAGTGGCTCACGCCTGTAATCTCAACACTTTGGGAGGCCGAGGCTGGCAGATCACGAGGTCAGGAGTTTGAGACCAGCTTCGAGATCGCCCCACTGCACTCCAGCCTGGGCGACAGAGCGAAACTCTGTCTCAAAAAAAAAAAAAAAAGAAATAAATAAATAAAAGTGTATAATAAAATGATCAATATTTGTTATTCATATCATTGTCTACCAAGAAAATTCAAAGGAATCAACTTTGAATTTATTAAAATTAGTAAGAGCTCAGTAAGATTGCTGAATATGAGATGACTTTTAAAAAACAATTCCAGTAATAACTAGTTAGAAAATGTAAAGGAAAACCGCCTGCCATACCCCGCCAAACACACATACACTAAAGATGAATTTTTTCCATTTAAAAAAAAAACACACAAAGCTTTGTTTTGGGGTGTGGTTGGGGAGACAGGGTCTCACTCTGTCACCCAGGCTGGAGTGCAGTGGCATGATCACGGCTCACTGCAGCCTTGACCTCCTGGGCTCAGGTGATCTTCCCACTTCAGCTTCCCAAGTAGCTGGGACTACAGGCACACGTGACCATGCCTGGCTAATTTTTGCTATTTTTTGTAGAGACAAGATTTCACCTTGTTGTCCAGGCTGGTCTCAAACTCCTGGACACAAGTGATCCACCCACCTGAGCCTCCCAAAGTGCTGGGATTACAGCTGTGAGCCACCATGCCTGGCCAAAAATTACATTTTACAAAGGACTGAAATGAGTGGTGAAATATATTATGTTCCTTGATAGAAAACTCAGCATCAAAAGACACCTATTCTCACCAAATGTATAAATTTAGTACAATTTTGATCAAATCCAAATTTTTTGGCAGTTTTATTTAGAAGGCTAAATGTGATATAATTTTCACTTTTAATGGTTGTGTTTACCTTATATAACAGAAAAAAAAAATAGCAGCTTAACAGGATAGAGGGTTGCTTTCTCACCTAAAAGACATGCAGAGGAAAGCAATACAGATGTGGTAGGCAATTTTTCAGTGTCATCAAAGACCCACATCACCATCCTTCTGCTCACCCCTCCTTAAGGTCTCCTTCCACATATGTGTGTGTAGGTCTCCTTCCACATATGTGTGTGTATGTTTTTGTGTATGCAGAAAAATCTCTAGAAACATATTCAACAAGCTTAATGGTTATATTACTTCTCATTAGTTGCATAAGGATGGAGGAGAAGAGGCAAGTTTATATTCTCCATGATAGGATTCTGTGGTGTTTGAATATCTTCATGAGAAGTATATTATTATTAAAGTAGCCCTTAACATTTTAAAATAACAGGCTGATTTTAAATATCCAAAATCAGATTGTATGGAGAATTATTGTATTTAAAAGTGTAACTTTTAGATGATTTTATTATAATAGTTTTAAATGGAAAATATTTAAATATTTCCATTTTCATTTTGGAAGAAAAATGGAAATATAGATGAGAAAAAATACTTAATGTCAACTTTAACTCTGCCATGCAGAGGTAATAATTTTAAATCTTTTGGAATGTTTTCTCTTAGACGTTTATGTGATTATGTGTGTGTATTTATAAAAACAAGATTTTCTGCTGCTCTGCCTATGGGGTAGCCATTCTTTTATTCGTTTGCTTTCTTTAAAAAAAAAAAAAAGATTTTCTTATCTATGCTGTTTTATAATCTCTTTTCCACTTACTAGATCAGAGACATTTTTGTGTGACATTAAACAATTTTACATCTTGTTTTTTGTTTGTTTGTTTGTTTGTTTGTTTTTGAGACAGTCTCACTCTGTTGCCTAGGCTGGAGTGCAATGGTGCGATCACAACCCATTGCAGCCTCAACCTCCCAGGCTCATGTGATCCTCTCACCTCAGCCTCCCAAGTAGCTGGGACCTCAGGGGCACCCCATTATACCCGGCTAATTTTTTTTGTGCAGACGAGATTTCACCATGTTGCCCAGTCTGGTCTCAAATTCCTGGGCTCAAGCGATCCACCCGCCCCAGCCTCCCAAAATGCTGGGATTACAGCATGAGCCATTGTGCCCAGCCTACATCCATTTTAATGATTGCATAATATTCCATCATATAGGTATATCAGTTTATTCTATTGGTTCCTTTTTCAGACATCTAGGTTGTTTTTGCTTTTTAGCTATTAGACAACCATATTTCAGTGACAAAACAAAAATATATGTACTTGGATCCATAATGATTTGAATTGCTCTTTTTCTTTTCTCCCATTGAGATGTGTTTCTGCAATCCATTTGTAATGTGGATTCCAGATAGACACAACTGAGTTCAAATGAGAGCCCATAGGTGGGTAGTTTGGGGAGAGAAGAAGGGACAAATAAGAGGAAATGCAGGGAGGAATATTTCTGAATGAAGTGGCTTCCCTGTCTCCTAACTATGGCTTTTCTTCCTTACCAGCCCTTTCTGGGTCCTGACTGTATTCCTATTCGAAAGACTAGGGAGGGATAGATAATAATTTTTATTTATATTTATCCTGTTTTATTGTCTTTATTGTATTTTTAACTATTTCAATATGGATTTTTTTAAAATGTCAGCCTCCCACCATAAAAAATGGAGTTCTGTGACAGCAGGGACCTTGTTTGACCAGTTGACACCTGTAACCTTAGCACCTAGACTAGTGAAGGCCATATAAGGGCCTATGGGAAATATTCTGCAAGTAAAAAATAATCCCATAAAATAATTAAAAGTTGCTCCAACAACAAAGCACTTGTCCTGTTAGAGGGAACTTCCTATTAAAAAGACGATTTTCAAATGTAAGCAAAAACAGAATAGTATAACAAGTCCTCATATCAGCAGTTAGCAAGTTATTGCCACACTTGCTTTATCTATTGTTTATTTTCCTGAAGTATATTGTTTATTTTCCTGAAGTATATATATTAAAGCAAAATCCCAGATGTCTTGTCATTATATAATTATTATTCCATTATCACACTTTGTAAAATTAACAATTATTTCTTAGCATCATCTTATACCCAATCCATTTTCACATTTGCCCAGTTGTATAAAAAAAATCTCATTTTAGACTTAATTTGTTGAAATCTGGATACATGCAAGGTCCATCCATTGCATTTGATATGTCTCTTAAGTCTAAATACGGACATACTTGTCCCCTTACTTATTGAAGAGCCTCGATAAATTGTCCTAAGTCCCACATTCTAGATTTGTCTCTTTGCCATTTCATGATGCCATTTAACTTGTGTCTCTATCCCTCTCTCCCATTTCTTGTAAACTAGAGGTTGGTTCAGAAGTTTAATTAGATTCAGGTTATATTTTATGGGAAGATTCTTCGTAGGTGCCATTGTGTAGGAATCTCACTCTTGATATTTAAACTCATGATTTAAAAATTTAAAAAGAGGTAGTTCCCAATGTGTAGTATTTGAAGTGTACAGATTCTCCCTAGCTTTTTGAAAGTTATTGAAAATGTTTTAAGACTAAAAAGAGAAATAATGAACAAAACTAGATTAAAGTCAGTTGTTATTGTTGTCCACTGTGTCCTGAACCCCACCCCTGCCTTTTATTCTACTCAAATATTAGACCTAGTTTAGATAATCTATTTGTAACATGTGAATTCCTAGATGATTTTTTTCATCTATTGCTGACCACAAGAGGGCATCCAGTGAACATGTTCTAAGCATTCTTCCATTGTCGTCTTATGTATAATAGACATAAAACTGAGGAATCGCCTTACACTCATAGGTGGGAATTGAACAATGAGAACACTTGGACACAGGGTGGGGAACATCACATACCAGGGCCGGTCGTGGGATGGGGGGACGGGGGAGGGATAGCATTAGGAGATATACCTGATATAAATGATGAGTTAACGGGTGCAGCACACCAACATGGCACATGTATACATATGTAACAAACCTGCACGTTGTGCACATGTACCCTAGAACTTAAAAGTATAATAAAAAAAAAAGAAAAAAAAAACTGAGCTCAAATCAGCCTGCCCTTGTTTGATTGTCCAAATCACCTATATTACGATTTTTATTTAAAACCTAATGAATTTTAAATATACAATCTGTATACCCAAATAAAAGGTTAGAACCAAGCATGATATCAAATTAGCACTCCAGAGATAACTTTCCAGATTTAAAGGGGAAAACCTACCTTTACAATGGAGATAGCTGGTCATCACCACTACTTTAACCAAATGATCAAACATAGTGTCACCCAGTAGCAGGACATTTTGAAATTAGATGCCTCCTGAAATATGCAGGATTACCTACAGAGTGTCTTGACTGAAAAAGAAAAGCTGAACCTGAAGCTAACCAAGCCTTTAGACCTTATTCCCAGTGTATAGGAAATACAGGGCGAGAGAGAACCAAATAAAACAGTACCACAATTAGACAAGTCCAGAATTTGCTACAGTTGACAGACTGTCTGGTCTAATCTCATCCTAAAAAGTCAGTGTTGTGTAAAAACAAGAAGTTGGAAGGACCAGTCTAGATTAAAAGAGACATAGCCAAATGCAGTGCCGGAAAACTGTTGGATGGCTCATGTAGGTATTCCAGTGAAGGCTAGGATGCTAATAATGAAAAACCATTTGAAGAGTTTGAGTAAAATTGTTTCATCAAATGTGAGCAGAAGGCAGCAGTATAGATAGAATATATATTTCCTGAAATGTGATTTTAAATTAAATATATGAAACAAATTTATAGAATTTGATTATTTCATCAATATACCTGAAGGTTGGTATTTTTAAGTTGGCCAAAACTTTGCTTTTAATCTCATTGGGCAAAATGAGGAATTGCCTTATGATAACTGTCATCCTAAACCAGAGATTTTGTTTCAGATGAACTTTTATTATCTCAATAATAGTGTGTTTTCCTATCTGTTAGATAAAAATGGGTCTGTAACTAATTGGGGAGTATTTTTTAAAGTGTGGATGAGGAAACCCATGTTTTAAATGGGCACTAGCCTCATCCACTAATGTTGGCAGGAATGTTCATCAGCAGTGACAAAGCATTTTGAGATTTTTGTCTTTCATCATTGTAGACTATACTGTAAAAATCATAGTGGAAATGATGAGAGAGATGAAGAAGATGAGGAACGAGAGAGTAAAAGCCGAGGAAAAGTAGAAATTGATCAGCAACAACTAACTCAGCAGCAACTTAATGGAAACTAGGTATGAAAGTTAATTATATGGGATCTGTTGTCAGGATACAATACACACTGATATATACATGTTGAAGTAATGGTATGCAGTAAGATTTTTTTTAATCCTATTATGTTTAGTTAAGAGCATGTTACTAAAATGCTGAGGATTTTGTAGGCTTGCATAGTAGTTGTTTTTTAACTAGCTGATTTTGTAACCATAAAAACAAGCTATCTGCTTTATCAATAAGTGTAGTTGTAATGTCAAATCAATAAGATATTCACACTCCTCAATAACATTATATTGATTGTGTTCCCCTCAAGCATCATATTTTACATTTTTTTATCATCTTTTAAACAGGTTCATGGGACAGAGTTAGAAAACTGGGAATGAATAAGACATCCATAACTACTATTCTTTTTTCACTGTTTTCTAAAATCAAAAAGGGTTTGTAACTTTTTACTGCCCAACTCTTAGATCCTTCATTGAACTGCCTAAAAATGTCTTGTTTGTTTTATGAGCCCTCACTAGAAGGCTGAGTTTGACATGTTGATATTACGTAGCTATAGTTTGCAGTTTCTGGGAAGCAATTGAAACACTATTAACCCTGTGTATAGTGTCAACAGTTAAAGCAGACGAAACGAAGTAAGCTATATTTCTGGACTGAACAAAGCTCTGCTGTTTAGAGCATTTAAGTTTGTTTAGTGGATCCATACTCAAAGGAAAGCATAAGCAAATTTTCCTTTACAATGCAAACATGCCACTGGTGGCAGCACATGGTAATTTGTGGATTTTTTTTTCATACTCAAGTAATGGAGGCTAGAAATGAAGAGAACCTTCTTTTTCTCTTGACTTTGACAGCACATGCTAAAAATCTCTTCCAAGAAGTATGCTAAAGCTTTTCATTTGGTTCCTGTTAAAGTTGTTCTCACTGACCAGCATGGACTCAGGCAACTGGTAATGATAAGCTATGAGCTCCAGTGCTTTTGCCAAAATTCTCTTGACAGCACACCTCCTCTCTTTCCATGTTATACAAAGGACTTCTGGCAAAATGATTGAGTCCTTCAAGTTTAAACTAACATTTGGCAACAGCAAATTAAACGTTTTTAAGATGTAAAGAAAGGGTTACCGCTTGCTAAGGACTTCAGACACCATGTCCGAAACCTGTTCCTCTCAAGTGCCCTGTTGTGTGGAACACTTCACATATTGGCGCACAGTACGTAAGGAGGTCTCATGTGCTGTAGGAGTAAAAAAGTCTTTGCATAAAACAGTATTTATTTTTACTTTTGTGACCACTATTTTAGAAACTTTATTTAATATTTTAATGTTTTCAGTCATTGCTTTGGTTATCTATAAAATAGGCTTTTGTGCCCTACTTTTCTTCTTGTAGGGCTTGGTGGTGTTTTATCGATTGTCAGAATTGTTTTTGAAAGCCTAAGAACCCAGCTTTTTAGAAAGGATTTTCACACTGGCATTTCTAGGTAGTGATATTTTCTTCCACTTACCTGCTGAAGCACATTTATGCATTTCTTTATGGCAAAACCAAATAACTTTAGTTGTGGTCTGCCTGATACTACCATAGCACCTCAGTACCAAGGGGAGGGATTTTGACTAGTTGAATTATTAAGCCACCACAATAAAGCAGATTTTTAAATAAGAAATAATAATGTTAACTTGACTGTACATTGAGATATTCTGCAGCTGATAGAGCAGCATTTTAAAAATGTAACAGGTGGAAAATTACACTGTGCTTAATGACTGATTTTTTTTTAAACTGCGAGTCCCTTAAGATCACGTTTGTCAAGTGTGTATTCACACATTTACTTAAATCAAGGGACTCAATGCTTGCTTTTATTTTAACCATCTTTTACTATTTTTAGAAGGAAACTAGCTTTAGTAGTGGGTTGCCCTGTATGTTTTCTCTTTTTGCTCTTAATATGCCATTGGGTTTTTGTGTGTATGTGATTTTCAAAATTCATGACTTGAAGTGCAAGGACAGATCTAGATGTTTGTTTACCAAGCTATGTGACTTCTCCCAAAGGATCTGTACTTTCTTTCCTTACAACAGCTTGAAAATCATTATTTTAAAATCCTTAAATCACTGTGTCTAGATCATTTTTTACATTGTGTGCCATAGACTTACCCATGGGACAACAGAGCTCCTTCATTTTTGGACAACTACTGTAATCATTTTTTTTTTAGGAAAAATGGAAGGTGCCGGGGGTAATCATGGCCAGTCAATAATTATATAAAGGAGTTCAAATACTATAGCTGTCAGTTGATGAATTTGTTATGTAGTAAAATGTATGACTTTGTATGGGTTTCTTCAGCCCTTTTTCTGCCACTAGCAACCAGAATAGCACTTTACCTTTTGGTTGGCTAGATAAGTGGCTGACTACCTGTTTTTCTCACTGTGGTGTGATTGGCTAAACAATCTCGCATTAAAAATTCAAATGTAAATTGAATTCACATGAAAAATCATGTTTGGTTGTAAACCTCCAATGTTTTGATTCTCTAATCATGTTTTCGTCACATGCTGAGTAAAAGTGCCTTACAATGTAAAAATTGTACAGTACTTATGTTCCCAAGTAGCATCATCATCTTCTGGGTAGTAATTACATTGTGGTATTAATATTTAGAAAAATGGACCTCAGCAGTGTATTTACTGTACATCTCTTAAGTCCTTAACTGTAGTTTTAATAAGCATGACATTATTTGATAAGTATATAACATTTACATCATTTCAAAAAATACTGCCGTTACTGTCTTTTATGCATATTTTAGCCTGAAATTTTGAAGCGTCTTTTTTCTTTCTTTTTTCTTTTTTTGTTTTGTTTTTTGTTATTGATATTAAACAGTGTAATCTTTGCAAGCGTATATTGAAGATTATTCTGGAGCATTTATTGCCTTACCAGAAATGTTAGTAGGAAATGTTCTTTAGAGTAGAAAGATAGACTTGAGTTTCTATACTTTTAAGAAGAGCTCTTTGTTCCTGGGGGAGGGGGGCAGGGGGTGAATTTTACTTTCATCTCAAGTTATTAAAAACCCACAACTGAAGTAAATTTTATTTCAAGAATCAGCAGTTTTAGAATTTCAGATAGTACTTGCTCAGAAGTACATGCTACTCAAGATATTAAGAGATAACAAGATCTGTAGATCTGCTATTGAATCAGAATCTGTGTACTTGAACAAATGTGTGAATCTCAAATATCTCAAAGCAAAAGAAAAAGTGTTCTAGAGTGTTGTTGCTTTTTTAAAAAAAGCGCTGAAGTTAGACCAAGGTATACAGTTTTGTTCTAACAGACATTTAGGTTAATTGTAAAGATAAGGAATGCATTATGGGTCAAAAATCAAACATTCCTCTCATGTTATGTATATTTTGTTCCTGTTATATTGGCTTTATTTTCAAAATTGTAGTTTGTAGTATTAGTTTCCTTTTATTGGTATTCTTGCATATACTATTCATTCAATAAATGACTTATGACTTTCATATTTGTTTGTCTTTTTTGTGAAAGTGTATACTGAAGCTTATTTGATAACAGCAATAGTATTGTGTTCCTTTTAGTCTTGCTTTATTTCAGAGTAAAATGCCTTAATAACTTTTCATTAAACAAGTATGGGAGGAAAAAAAGTGTGAATTTGAATTCAGTTCAAAGTTTCACAATATAAAAGTTTTATCATGGAGAGAAACTGCAATCTTGTAAGTACAATCGAACTGCATTACATCTTGGTTTTTTTATTACATGGTTCAGATGCCCATCGTTTAAATCAGATCCTCTGAAACCTAGTTAGAAGGTTATTTTGAAAATAAACCAAAACTCCTAGTACTATTTATCAGATTGGCAATATGGGTGCAGGATTAATATCCTTGTCATAAAGGGATTTTACCTTATATCTTTAAATGTACTCCCATTACCATGGACAGTGTGCTTCTAGTACAGTGCTCATATATTGAGGTTTGTCACATCCAGGGCAGAAATCAAGTTGTAATTAGTAGGATATGCTCATTCCATACACACAATTCCTAACCTGCAGAGTGGGGTAAAAAATCAAGTAACATGTTCTAATTAACTCCGGAACATAGGATAGTGTACTTCACTGCAAATGTTACCTAGTAGTGCCTGGCACATATGTGCCTGTGTGTGTTTAAAATCCATTATTAAGTCTCATTTTAATTGCCACCAATTTTTAAAGTCTCATTTTAATTGCCATAAAAATATGGAGATGGGGAGTTATGTGCTATTCTTTAGCTAATTGAAACTATTTAAGCTGGTTTTTGTTTTTGTTTTTTTTTCCAGCTGCAGTCACCAGCAATTGCTAAGGTTACTCCAAAGGATGGACCTGGTAGAATTTCTTAGGAAAATTCTATGGCCAGCAGATGGCTAGTTTATCTTTTTAAGAGAAAAACCCAATCCCTTTTACATTTACATATTAGACTAAGTCCTCAGTTGTGTAGGCAAAATGGTACTTTATACATCAACCAATGTTACATAATACTGCCTTGTTCAGATAGTGAGGTAACTGAATATTAATGATGTAAAGCAAAAATGTATTTGTGATTTTTATTCAGAAGATGAAAACTATAAAATAACCAATTACTGTACAAGTTAATGGTGGCATTTGGAAAGTGTTACACGATAGCAGACATGCTCTACATACGGTCAGTGTACTGAAGTCAGTCAACCAGACCTGCATCCTCGTCAAAAGACAGCAGATCCGTAAACATCCAAATTATACCTTTGCCTATACCTCTCAGTGGCTGTAAGTGGGTTTTTATGCTGGTTGTGGGGCAGTGGTGAGGAGATAGGGAAAATAAAATGTAGCTGGGCAAAGAGCTAGCTAGCTCTACTGTGTGAACGATAATATTCCAATGAAAACAAGAGTACTGTTTGAGAGGGTAGCCTTTTAAATGGAACCTGAGAAACTAGATATTGAAGACAGTATTAGGAATTGGGAGACAGAAACTATGCTTTTATATGAGACTGGATTTAGAGTTGTTGTTGAGTTTCTATAAAGTAATTGGTACAGAAGGGTAAGTTGTTTCTGAGTGTTTTAAAAATCAGACCTGTTTACAGATTTTGTATTAAAGTAATATATGGTCATAAAAAGGAATGAATTACTGATACATATGCCAGTGTGTATGAGCCTTGAAAACATTATGCTAAGAAGCCAGGCACAGAGGTCACATATTGTATGATTCCATTTATACGAATTGTTCAGAGAGGCAAATCCATAGAGATGGAATACAGATTAATGGCTCCCAGGGACTGCAAACATGGGGGAATGAGAAATGACTTTTATTGGTTATACTGTTTCTTTTTGGGGGTGGTGAAATGTCTGGAATTAGGTACTGGTTGATGGTTGCACGACTTTGTGAATATACTAAAAATCATAAATTATACCCTTTAAAAGAGTGGATTTATTTATTTATTTATTTATTTATTTTTGAGATGGAGTTTCGCTCTTGTTGCCCAGGCTGGAGTGCAATGGCCCGATCTCTCCGCTCACCACAACCTCTGCCTCCCGGGTTCAAGCGATTCTCCTACCTCAGCCTCCCAGGTAGCTGGGATTACAGGCAGCTGGGATTACGTGCCCGGCGAATTTTCTATTTTTTTTAGTAGAGACGGGGGTTTCTCCATGTTGGTCAGGCTGGTCTCGAACTCCCGACCTCAGGTGATCCACCTGCCTCGGCCTCCCAAAGTGCTGGGATTACAGTCGTGAGCCACCACATCCGGCAAGAGTGGATTTTATATTAATTTTATCTCAATTTTTAAAGTGCTATGTAGCCATTTTACAAAATTAAAATACAAAGGTATATAAAGCAAAATGTGAAAACCCCCCCTTCTGTACAAGTCTACTCCCTAGAAGTATTTGATACATATTCTTCTAAATGCTTCTGTACATATATAACATAAACACTTTTTTTACATAAACAGAATCATGCATAACATAAATAGAATCATGCATAAAAAATAGAATATTTTTACCATAAATAGAATCATACATACAGTTCTGCACCTCGTCTTTTTTACTTGAACAACATTACAAGGTGTCAGTACCTCTAGATTTCTCAATTTTTTTTTTTAAATAGCTCCATGGTATTTCAGTATATGGATGAACTGAAATTGTTCTCTCCAGCCTTACATATATCCTTTATGCAAGTAATTTCTTAGGATAAACTTCCAGAAGTAGAACTGCTAAGTCAAGGGTATGTACATTTAAAGTTTTGATAAAAATTGCCAGCCGTCCATTTTTGGCTCACATCTGTAATCCCAGCACTTTGGGAGGCTGAGGCAGGAGGATTGCCCAGGAGTTCAAGACCAGCCTGGGCAACATAGTGAGAACCCCATCTCTACAAAAAAAAAAAAAAAAAAAACCAGAAAAAATAGCCACACGTGGTGGCATGCGCTTGTAGTCCCAGCTGTTCAGGAGGCTGAGGTGGGAGGATCGCTTAAGCCTGGGAAGTCACAGTTGCAGTGAGCCGTGTTGGCTCCACGGCATTCCAGCCTGGGCAACAGAGCAAGACTCTACCTCAAAAAAAAAAAAAAAATTACCCATCCATTCCAGGGATTAAGCTTGCCCACTTCTCCATTCCAGAAGAGTGCTTTTAAGTGTGGTGCCTTTAAGAAAAAACACACACACTCCAGAAAATTCTATGGGGTTTGATTGTATTGTAAAACCCATATAGACTGTATCTGAAAGTGACATATGAATCATCATTGAGAAATGGGGCACTACATTTCATTTGTGAAAAGGCTAAATTGAAAGGTTTATTTCGTATGTATTAACAGCAGTAGCTGGTGAATCACTTCCCTTCCTGCTTTCTGAAAAGTAATAGATTGCTCATCACTGTCTGTTGTTTCCAGATGGACCTGCCCGGTGTCCAGAGTCATATGTAGCTCAGTTCAGGACACCTGAAGGGGCTGTGTACTGTTTTGTTGAAGAACTCCTATGACCTTTATCTGTCATATGATGGTTCTTATTCCCAAAATTATGACTGTGCCTAACAAATGGTCAGTTACATGAAACAAGATGAAGTCATCTGAAGTTTTCACTTCAAGTAGTTGTTTTGTCCTTTTATGAATAAAATCTAAGCCTAATCAGAAAAATTGTCAAGATACTTTCAGCTCATTTGCCAAAAATGAGCTATTATTTTTGTCATTTAGCAATTTCAAGCAACAGTCACCTGCATGTCTGAAAATAAATTGGTAAAAATAACATGGGTACTGAATTATGCTGGTCAGTCAGCATGGAAGTTTTAAAATAAAGAATAAATTGAATGTAGTGAAGGATGAATTAATGCTACATGAAAATTAGTTTTAAAATTCTCAAAATCACATTTGTCGCTAATTAGTATTTATAACATTAGCCAAGCAACAATTTTATTGAAAAAGGTTTGTAACTTAGAACTGTAGCAATCATGGAGACTGCTGTTATTTTTATTTCAGAGGCTAGCCAGACAATTTAACACAAAGGCTTATTTTCAAACGTTCCTGATCCTTAAGCCCAATAGGCTTATGCTCTATATTTAGTATTGATTTAGTATTACCAGGAAGCAATAATTATTTGGACCCTGTTCTCATATGTTCCTGGTTAGAGAGCAAGCACAAAAGATAAGCAGTTTCTGAAAGTTCCAGATCAAAGAGCTGGTATTTTGGCATTATCCTTAAATACAACATTCTTTCTGGACGTCCCTTAGAAGAATTGTTATTAAGCGCTTCAACCTATTCCATGTGCCCAAACAGCTTAGGGCAGCTAGCCAGTGTGCTGGGGATGCAGGGGGGGAAAAAAGCATTAAAGAAAACGTATGTTGCTTAGCAAAGAGGCAGGGTAGGAGAGAAAAACTTTAGGCAGCTTTTACTGTGGTCTTTGGAGCATTTAATAACTGGGGACACACCATTGCATGGAACTTGGAAATGCACCCTACAGTTTATAGGCCACTTCCTAGAAAGATTGATGCAAAACTTCAGTCACAACTTTATTCTTTTTTTCCTTTGATGCCTTCCGGGAAACTCTCTTTCCTTAGTTCCCGTATCTGTACCACCCCTTCAAGACCACTCCTTTTCTGACTCTTCTCCCTACCCCTAACATAAGTGTCACCTGGTTCTGGTCTTTGCCATCTTGGATTATTCTTCCCTATCACCACGATCTGCTTACAGGTGCCACCTGTGTGTTCCACATGATCATCTTCCACTCACTGCAGCTTCAGGCTAAGTCTCAACACTTCTTCTGGACATGTCTACCCAATCTGGTGGCTACCCAAATGTGAGTCCCAAACTAAGTTGTCCTGAGCTGAATTTTATCTATTTGTTAATGACACCATCAGTCAGTAGGGTTACAATTGGTCTACTTGGATTTCCACATCCACTTGCTAAGTTCCACAAAATCTACCACTCTGCCTTTTGGATCCATCCTCTCCATTCTTATTGCTGATAAGCTAGTGTGGTTTCTACTTTTTTTTTTTTTTTTTTTTTTGAGACGGCGTCTCACTCTTGTTGCCGAGGCTGCAGTGCAATGGTGCCATCTCAGCTCACTGCAACCTCCACCTCCCAGGTTCAAACCATTCTCCTCCCTCAGCCTCCCGAGTAGCTGAGATTACAGGCGTGCACCACCACGCCCAGCTAATTTTGTATTTTTAGTCGAGGCAGGATTTCACCATGTTGGCCAGGCTGGTCTCAAACTCCTGACCTCAGGTGATCCACCCGCCTCGGCCTCCCAAAGTGCTGGGATTACAGACGTGAGCCACCGCACCCAGCCGTCCATTAATTACTTCTTGATACTACTGACCTCACCTTTCCACTTCTCTCATTTTACCTCCCCATGCCTAGAATTCACCCCACTCTTATATCTGGGGAAGATGACCTGCTAAAGAAAACCACAACAATGCAGACTGATGCCACCGCAGACATTTGGCATTTGGTCTCAGGTTCTCCACATCAGTCTTCTGTCCTTTTTACCTACTTGTCTTTCCCATTATAGTACCTAGAAACTATTACAAACATAAGCGTGCAGACTCTAGATTTTGGTGGCCCGGATTCAAATTCCATGGAAGCTTGCTTAATTTATTAAGCCTCTCTCCACTTCCATGATCTCATCTTTAAAATGCAGATAGAGGCAAGGCACGGTGGCTCACACATGTAATCGTAGTAATAACTGATTTGGGCAAGAGTCATCAATGGGTGCTAAAAGTAGTGGGTGAAGGCTCGATGAGGAATAGGATACTTACCCCCAAACTAAGCCACAAGTTGTTAATTACAAAGTGGAAAGTAGTAATTTTACAATGGCAAGACACCACTGTAAATGGATAATGAAAGAACATCAACAATAATGGGAAAAAAATGATGCTATTTACCTCCTGCTATGCTGCTCTGAGAACAAATATAATTTCTGTGGTAGTCCTCCAAAAATGCATAACCTGAGTCTGTTCGTGGGGAAGCATCAGACAAACCCAAATTGAGGGACATTCTACAAAACAACTGGCCTATATGCGTCAAAAATGCCAATGTCATGAAAGGCAAAGTCTGGGGAACTCTTCCTGATTCAGGAGACAATTTAATGTGTGATCCTGGACTGTGAAAAAAGTAACTATAAAGGATGGTATTGAAACAGTTGTCAAGATTGGAGTACAGTAGTAACATCAAGGCTAAATTTTCTGATTGTTCTCTGGTGTGTAAAAGAATGTCTTTGTTAGAAAATACACACTGAAATACTCACAGGTCAAGGAGAACAATAGCTCCAATTTACAAACGGTTCTGAAAATATATATATACAGACACATACCGGTAGAGAGACAGAGCGAGAAGGCAAATGATAAAGCAAGTGGGACAAGATTTTTTAAAACTGGTGAATCTGAGCAAAGGGTATTCAGGAATTCTTTGTACTATTGTTGCAACATTTCTGTAAGTTTGACCTTACATCAAAATTTAAAGTTTAAAAAGGAAATAAGGCATAAACAATATTAAAAATAAAACAGAACATTACTATAGATGTAGTAGAGATTTTAAAGATCATGAGGAAAACACTAGAAATAAGAGTGTATCTTTTAGATATACATACTGAAATACTTATTGTAAAGTGGTGGGATAGCTGAGATTTCCTTAAATAATTCAGGGGGCCAGGTGCGGTGGCTCACGCCTGTAATCCCAGCACTTTGGGAGGCTGAGGTGGGCGGATCACTTGAGGTCAGGAGTTTGAGACTAGCCAGGGCAACGTGGTGAAACCCTGTCTCTACTAAAAATACAAAAATTAGCCAGACGTGGTGGTGAGTGCCTGTTATCCCAGCTACTCGGGAGGCAGAGGCAGGAGAATTGCTTGAACCAGGGAGGCGGATGCTGCAACACTGCAACCTGGGCGACAGAGCTCAAAATAATAAATAAATAACTCTAAATAAATAAAATGCAGATAGAAATCATATTTCACTCATAGACTTGTGAGGATTAACGGAGTGAGCATAGACCCAAGACTCTCCCATCCCCCAATACACTGGCCCTTGTACCTGTGTTCCCAAGTCTAGCTTTTCTCCTCTTCTCATATAATTCCCATTTCTCTCCTCATATAATTTTCTTGAAAGTCAAGTTACCACTTGATATCTCCATTTCTCTATTTTTATTATTTGTTCATCAACCCACTGCACTCACTTCTGTCTCCCCACCTTCACTTCTCTCAACTACACAAAAACTGCCCCAGCAAAGTTTACCAATGACTGTTGCGAAAACCAGTAGGTGTTTTTCCAGTTCTTTTTTTTTTTTTTTGAGACAGGGTTTTGCTTTGTCACCCAGGCTGGAGTGCAGTGTACAATCACAGCTCACTGCAGTCTTAACTTCCTGGGCTCAAGCAATCCTCCTGATTCAGCCTCCCAAGTAGCTAGGACTACAGGCATGTATCACCACGCCTAGCCCTTTTTTTTTTCGAGACAGAGTCTCGCTCTTGTCGTCCAGGCTGGAGTGTAATGGTGTGATCTTGGCTCACTGCAACCTCTACGTCCTGGGTTCAAGTGATTCTCCTGCCTCAGCCTCCTGAGTAGCTGGGATTACAGGCGCGTGCCACCACACCTGGCTAATTTTTGTATTTTTAGTAGAGGCGAGGTTTCACCATATTGGCCAGGCTAGTCTTGAACCCCTGACCTTGTGATCCTCCCACCTCAGCCTCCCAAAGTGCTGAGATTACAGGCGTGAGCCACCGCGCCCAGCCTGCTTTTTTTTTTTTTTTTTTTAATTTTTGTAGAGATGAGGTTCTGGTATGTTGCCCAGACTGGTCTCAAACTCTTGAGCTCAAGCAATCCTCTCACCTCAGCCTCCCAAAGTGCTGGGTTTACAGGCATGAGCTACTGCGCCCAGCCAGTTATCTTACATCTTGACTCTACTTGATGTCGCTGACAATCCAAGTGCTGTCGTTTGGTCCTCTGCTAATCTGCTCTTGCAGGTGACCCAAGAATAGAAGTAACACATTTAATAATAAAACCAACGTTGCAAAGTTCACTGGCTGGGACCCTCCCTGAACTATCTACCCACCTGCTTCCCTGCTCGCAGAGATTTAATAGGAATCTACATAAATTCTGCTATTTCCTTGGCAAAGGTAAAATGTCTAGATGAAGGGTGGGGTGAACTATACAGGGAGGTGAAAGGGTAGAAGAGAATTGAGAAAAGTGGGAGGTTGGGGCCAGTAATATCCAGGGGTAATGGAGGTGATTAACCAATTTGCTTATGAAAAATGCCACATGGCAGAGACAACTCAAAGCTCGAGGTGCATTGGGAAACCAAAATGCATTTGTGTACATATGTAGACATATGTAATTCTTGTCTAGTCAAGAAAAGAACAGTTGAAACACATACCTTCTTATGAAACTGTGAAAATCACCAGATGAAAGGTTGTGAGACCAAAATATGGAGAATTTTAGTCAAGATTCCAAGCCCCATATCCAGATGGAGTCAGGCAGCAGACAGCTGAAAAATGGTGCTGCCATTCTTCTCCAGGAGCCCTTTCTGCCACATCCCTCAATGACATCTGCCTTCTACTGCAACATTTCTAGGTACAGAGAGTTCAGCCCATTTCACAATTCTTCAATTCTGCTGTTCAAAAAATCGCCTCCTTATGCCTGTCATCCCAGCACTTTGGGAGGCTGAGGCAGGAGGATCATTTGAGCCCAGGAATTTGAGACCAACATGGGCAACATAGTGAGGCCTCATCTCTACAAAAAATTAAAAAATTAGCCTGGGCAACATGGCAAAACCATGTCTCTACAAGAAATACAAAAATTAGCAAGGCATGGTGGCATGCACCTGCGGCCCCAGCTACTCGGGAGGCTGAGGTGGGAGGATTGTTTAAGCCCAGGAGTGAGGCTGCAGTAAGCTGAGACCATGCCACTGCATTCCAGCCTGGAAAACAAAGTGAGACCCTATCTCAAAAAAAGAAAAAATTAGTCGAGAATGGCAGCACGTGCCTGTAGTCTCATCTACTGGGGAGGCTGAGGCGGGACAATCGCTTAAGCCCAGGAGGTCAAGGCTGCAATAAGCCATGATCACGCCACTGCACTCCAGCCTGGACAACAGAGCAAGACCCTGTCTCAAAAAAAAAAATCAACTTCTTGTAACTTCCACCTGTTGATTCTCCTAGCCCTGCCTTTCAGGAGGCTACACAGGAGCAATGTGAGGTGGAGAAAAATAAGGGTTTTATAGTCTGAAAGACCTGGGTTTGAAAACTAGATTGGCCACTCATAACTGATAACTCTAAGCAAGGTACCATTCCCCTTCTCTCAGCCTCAGCCACCACCCCGTCTGTCAAAATGGGGGTGATATCCCTTAAACGACTGCATTGTCTTAAGGAATATAGAAGATAAAGTGATTGTAAGTGAAATTAGCTGGTTCGTAATAGTAAGTCGTTTTTATTCTTTTTTTTTTAACAGAAAAGTAATTTGTATTCCCTTTTCCACACCGTGATCCTTCACATATAAAATCAAGAAGCTAGCCTCATTTTAAGTGTATTTTTTTTTTACTATTAACAGGTGAATTGATGTTTATTACACATAAATTATACAGATAAGTAAAAATAAAAATTTTAAATATCCCATAATTCTAGTACCCGTAGGCCACAATTGTATGTTTTGTAAAATCTTTCAGACATTTCTACAAAAAATAGGTTCATACCTATTAAGTTATAATCTACTTTTTTCACTTAAAAATTGGAAGTATCTTACCAGGTCAGTATACTCTGTCATTCTTATTGGCCGCATAATAGTCCATTTTGTGGATGTATCATAGTTTACTTAACCATTTCCCTATCATTGGACAGTTGTTTCCAGGTTTTATGGTTGCCATTTTGTTGTTGCAAATAGTGCTGATCTAATCACCAAGAAATAGCCGAGACTCCCAGATGGAAAGATGTTCCACAGAACGACTGGCCTGTACTCCTCAAAAAAAAAAAAAAAATGTCCTGAGAAACAAAGAAAGGCTGAGGAACTGTTCCAGACTAAAGGTGACTAAAGACACATGACAACTAAAAGTAATGCTTCATCCTGAATTGGATGCCAATTCGGGGTCGGGGGAACCCTTGCTCTGAAGGACATTTTGGGGACTATTGGCTAAATGTAAATATGAATTGAATATTACATAATATTGTGTCAATGTTAGTTTCCTGATTCTAATCATTGTACTGTAGTTATATAAGAGAATATCCTTATTCTTAGAAAATGCATACTGAAGTATTTAGGAGTAATGAAGTGTCATGTCTACAATTTAACTGGTTCAGGAAAAAAATGTGTGTGTATATACGAAAAGATAAAGCAAATGGGGCAAAATGTCACAAGTTGGTGAACCTTCGTGAAGGATATACAGGAATTATTTGTGCTTTTCTTGCAACTTTTCTATAATTTTCTTTCTAAAATTTTATTTTATTGATTGATTGATTGATTGAGACAGTGTCTTGCACTGTCACCCAGCCTGGAGTGCAGTGGCATGATTGTGGCTCACTACAGCCTCAACTACCTGGGCTCAAGCCATCCTTCCACCTCAGCCTCCCGAGTAGCTGGAACCACAGGCACGCACCACCACACCCCGCTAATTTTTGTATTATTTGTAGAGATGGGGTTTTACCATGTTGCCAAGGCTGGTCTCAAACTCCTGAGCTCAAGCAATCCTCCTCCCTCAGCCTCCAGAAGTGCTCAGATTACAGGCATGAGCCACCACGCCCAGCACCTTTTCTATAATTTTTCAATTTTGCTTAAAAGTTAAACACACCAGCAGAAACAGCAGCTCTTTCCAAGGGAGTCTGAAGAAGTTCAAAACTAGGGTCAGCAAACTCAAGGAACAGGAATAAGCCTTGAGGAGGTCATCAGGATATTTAACTAAAGAGCCATCTGAAGGAAAGAGTACAAACTATTTGGTTCAGATGAGCTAGAGAGAACATTCTTCTTCCCCAGTACTCAGAATGATTCTCAACCTTTTCCACTGAAGTGCACTCAAAATAGAGGAAATTGACCTTCTGCACTGTTTTCACCCTTAACTTGTGACTGTTTTGTTTTGTTTGTATCTCCTGTCCTCATCTATCTTAGATTCCTTTTTCATTTTGCTGAAGTAACACTTCTTTTTTTCTTATAGGACACGTGGGTAATAAACATCTAAAAATAAACAATGCTGAGATGAACATTCTTGTACATAGAGCTTTCTGCCCTTCTCTGATTTTTCCCTTAAGATAAATTTCTAGAACAGAAATTCCCAAGTCAAAGAGTTTTTGTTGTTGTTGTTGTTTTGAGATGGAGTCTCACTCTGTCACCCAGGCTGGAGTGCAGTGTCATGATCTCGGCTCACTGCAGCCTCCGCCTCCTGGGTCGAAGCGATTCTCCTGCCTCAGCCTCCTGAGTAGTTGGGACTACAGGCATGCACCACCACGCCCGGCTAATTTTTGTATTTTTAGTAGAGACGGGGTTTCACCATGTTGGTCAGCCTGGTCTCGAACTCCTGACTTCAAATGATCCACCCGCCTCAGCCTCCCAAAGTGCTGGGATTACAGGCCTGAGCCACTGCGGCTGGCCACCAAAGTTTTATACATATTTTTTAAAGTCTATTGATTCATATCACTAAATGCCCTGCAGAAAGTTTTTACCATGAACACATTACCCAGCTTCAACAATTATGAACTAATTTCCCATCTGGTTTCATATATATTCCTCCCAATTCCCTGTCCCCACACACCATGGTTTATTTTGAAGCAAATTCCAAAGACATCATTTCATCCTCATATATATCATTATATGTCTCTAAGATGCATACTTTTAAAAAATGCAATCACAATACTATTATTGAACACCCCTTCCCCACCAATTTTTAACAATCATCTCTGGTTGTCTTCAAACATCCGGTGTTTAAATTTCTCCAATGGTGAATGTTATTAAGTGTTTGCCATTGTTATGGAAATCTCTGCAGATGGTGGGAGGAGCAAATGCATGTTCTTGGAGTTTTCTTTGAAATCGAGGTGAAAATTCACATTATATTTACTATCTACATATTATTTGTCATATATATTACAATTTATATATGTAAAGATATGTATGAATATAGGCATATACTACAGGCAATTCTGGTAGACTGTATCAAATCAAATGCTCATTATTCTAGTTTTATACTAATTTAAACTTCCCAAAGACACTTAAGAATATTAGGAGATGCAATCAAAATAACAGATAAAAGACAATTGCTAAATAATTATTAGAAAAAGGTGTCAGGAGGCCGGGTGGAGTGGCTCATGGCTGTAATCCCAGCACTTTGGGAGGCCAAGGCAGGTGGATCACTTGAGGTCAGGAGTTCGTGACCAGCCTGGCCAACATGGTGAAACCCCATCTCTACTAAAAATACAAAAATTAGCCAGGCATGGTGGCGCATGCCTGTAGTCCCAGCTACTCAGGAGGCTGAGGCAGGAGAATCGCTTGAACCCAGGAGGCGGAGGTTGCAGTGAGCTGAGGTTGTGCTACTGCACTCCAGCCTGGGCAACAGAGTGAGACTCCATCTCCAAAAAAGAAAAAGAAAAAGATGTCAGGTATTAAGTCTTTAAAAGTCCACCCACAAAGTGGAAGTAGAAACATTTCTATATCATGTAGTTTTTATAGTTTTATCTAGATTCACCTATTAAAATAAGCTATTTTAAAAGGCTTTTTAAATTCCCTTTTTTTTTTTTAGATGGAGTCTTGCTCTGTTGCCCAGGCTAGAGTGCAGTGGCGTGATCTTGGCTCATTGAAACCTCTGCCTCCCAGATTCAAGTGATTCTTCTGCCTCAGCCTCCCAAGTAGCTGGGATAACAGGTGCCCACCACCATGCCTGGCAAATTTTTGTATTTCTAGTGGAGACGGGGTTTCACCATGGTGGCCAGGCTGGTGTCGAACTCCTGACCTCAAATGATCCACCAGCCTCGGCCTTCCAAAGTGCTGAGATTACAGGCATGAGCCACTGAGCCCAGCCAAGGCTTTTAAAATTTCTAACAAATGGGCCAGGCGCGGTGGCTCACGCCTGTAATCCCAGCACTTTGGGAGGCCAAGGTGGGCAGATCAACTGAGGTCAGGAGTTCGAGACCAGCCTGGCCAACATGGTGAAACCCCGTCTCTACTAAAAATACAAAAATTAGCTGGCCATGGTGGTGCACACTTGTAATCCCAGCTACTTGAGAGGCTGAGGCAGGAGAATCACTTGAACCCAGGACGCATAGGTTGCAGCAAGCCGAATTTGCACCACTGCACTCCAGCCTGGGTGACAAGAGTGAAACTCCATCTCAAAATAAATAAATAAATAAATAAATTTCTAACAAATGGTGGAAAATAGGCATAGTCTTAATTATACAGTACACATAGTCTTTATTAGCATTATATTCATGCAGATATTATTCCTTTAAACTGGTTTCTTATGAAGGTATTTCCAAATATATCCATGGTGACTTATGTTCAGTAGTATCCATTTGATGTAGCCTGTGGACCTGGGTGTAGTAGATGCTATTGGTGCCCTGCCCGGCTCTCTTCACCGGCTAGCACCCCATCCCACATCTGTTTCAAGTGCAGCTTACTTCTGCGACCTCTGATTATCTGCCCTTGCCTGATGGGAACCTAGGAAGCTATACTCCCCTTATAGCCAATGAATGATTCTGGGATACAAAATCCCTGGCCCCTGCCTCAAGCAGGACTACTGCAAATGTTTCCCGCTGTGGACGCCAAGGCTAAACTGTATCTAAGACCATGTCCTTTCTCAGTTCTCTACCGTTCCCTATCCCACTTCGCGTCCTCCCTCATAAGTTTTCTTTAAGTGCACCCCTTCCAAAAATCAGATAACTGAAATATCATACCATCCAAGGAAGGAATTGTGCTTTTAGTTTAGAAGTTTAAGTTTTGGTTGGAGGTCTACTGGTAATGAACTTTTGAGAGAATGTGTTCGTCCCAATGGCATTGTTACAGACTATAAAACTGAGCGTTAGAAATTGAGAAAGAACAGCCTGGGTAACGTGGTGAAACTCGGTCTCTACAAAAATTAGAAAAATTAGCTGGGCATAGTGGTGCACACCTGTAGTCCCAGCTACTTGGGGGGCTGAGGTGGGAGGATTGCTTGAGCCCAGGAGGTAGAGACTGCAGTGAACCATGATTGTACAGCTGCACTCCAGCCTGGGTGACAGAATGAGACCCTCTCAAAACAACAACAACAACAACAAAGAAGCGGAGCAAGAAAGAAAGGGGCTTTGTCTATGCCTGTCAGAAAATAGAACATAAAAACCAATTCCCAGGCAACCACAACTAGATTTCTGTTACTGATTTACTCAGCCCTACTTCGTCTTCCAATTTTAGTAGCAGTCTACCTTCATGAAGCCATCTGCCTCTAGGCTAAAATAGTTCTGGAAATCCTGAGTCTTAGGTGCACTGGAGCAGTCTGTCAGTTTTATGCACCTGGTAGCAGTATCAGCTTACACTGAGAAGCCTGTTTCTAGTATAGTCCTTCCTCCTGAGGTTCTGAGACTATTCTTTGTCATTCTTTCCAGAAGACTGACTCTCTGGCCCAGGGCTGCTGCACAGGATTTTCCACAATGATGAAAATGCTCCATGTCTGCACTGTCCGATGCAGTAACCACTAGCTATAAGTGGCTATTGAACATTTGAAATGTGGCCAGTAGGATTGAGGAACCAAATGTAACATTTTAATTTTAATTAATTTAAACCTAGATTTAAATAGCCATGTGTGTGGCTAGTGGCTGCTATATTGGGCAGCACAGCTCTAATTTTCTAGCAAGGACATTTAGGCCATTGTGAAGGGAAAGCAGAGACCGCCTACTGAAAGGCCAGATTGTTCTGGCTTCTTGCTTATAGTAACCAAAAGTATCCAAATGGAAGCAATGAATGGGCCTACCTGTAACTATTTAGTCTATGATAACCATGGGGGCAAGAACACGGGAACAGAGAAGGCCTAGTGAAATCTTCAGGGTGTTAGAATCTGTCCTGTACAGAGTGTACTATGATCAGTAGCAAACAATAGAAGTATTTTAAACTTAGCAATCACATGTTTACAAGTTGATTTGTTAAGTTACTTTGTTAGCCCTGACATGTGAACGTGAGTTTGTCCTACCCTGCTTGAAAAGATATAATTTCATTATAATATTTTACCTACACAAAATTAACCTAAAGAAAGTTGAACCTTTTTTTTAATTTGATGGCTTTCCCTATATTGTGAGCCTGAAATATAAAAGTTTACTATAGAGTTCATAAAGAAAATGAAGCAGCCAGGCGAGGTGGCTCACACCTGTAATCCTAACAATTTGGGAGGCCAAGGCAGGAGGATTGATTGAGTCCAGGAGCTTGAGACCAGCCTGGGCAACAAAGCAAGACCCTGTCTCTACAAAAAAAAAAAAATCTTTTTAAAAGTACCTGGGTGTGGTAGGGCATGCCTTTAGTCCTAGCTACTCAGAAGGCTGAGGTGGGAGGATCACCTGAGCTCAGGAGGTGGAGGCTGCAGTGAGCCATGATCACGCGACTGCATCCCAGCCTGGGTGACAGAGCAAGACCCTGTCTCTCTCTCTCTGTCTCTCTCTCTCTGTCTCTCTCTCTCTATCTATCTATATATATATATATGCAGACCTATCATACCTATTTATTTACTTATTTATTTTGAGATGGAGTCTCACTCTGTCACTCAGGCTGGAGTGCAGTGGCACAATCTCAGTTCACTGCAACCTCCGCCTCCTGGGTTCAAGCAATTATTCTGCCTTAGTCCGCCAAGTAGCTGCGATTACAGGCGCGTGCGACCATGCCCAGCTAATTTTTGTATTTTTAGTAGAGACGGGGTTTCACCGTGTTGGCCAGGCTGGTCTCAAACTCCTGCCCTCAAGTGATCTGCCCACCTCGCCCTCCCAAAGTGCTGGGATTACAGGCGTGAGCCACTGACCTGGCCCCTAATTATTTCTAATACATGTCCTACCCCCATTTTTGCTTGTGATGCCATTGTGGGTCACAGGATGAGGAAGCAAGCAGCCGTCTAGGAGAATGCAAAAGATGGTTTGGGTGTAAGATACTGTAATAGGAAAAAACAAAAAAACCTGTTTTCCTACTCTCTTCTCTTACTCAGCACAGAACACATCTGTGACAAGATGTGTTGGGGTTTTCCCCACACACCAAGCTATTCTCCAGCAAACACCAGCTAGATGCCCTATAATTCAGTTCAGTTCAATTCTAACACTACCTGGAGATAGCATCAGATGCCACAAGGTAAGGGCTCAGTCCCACAAGACTGCCCCCACCCCACTTCAGACGCCAATTGCAAGTCCCAGGTTGTGACCTTTACTTCTGACCAACCAGCTGTAAACTGGGGATTCCCATTCAATTAATTTGCTAGGACAGCTTACAGAACTCAGGGAAGCATTACTTAACATTTACCAGGATATTTCAAAGGGTACAAATGAACAGCCAGATGGAAGAGTGTCAGGGCAAGGTGTCAGGGAAGGGCATGGAAGCCCCATGCCTTCAACTGGTGCTATCCTCCAGTACCTCCACGTGTTCAGCAACCCAGAAGCTTATCAAATCTTTCAGTTTTTGTAGAGCTTGATCTCTAGCCCACCCCTCTGCACCTGCCAGGGGTGGGGCTGAAAATTCCAACCCTCTAATCACTTGGTCTTTCAGGTGACCAGCCTCATCCTGAGATTATCTAGGAGCTCTATCCAAAGTCATCTTTTAGCCTAAACTCAGGTATGATCAAAAGGGGCTCATGAGGCCAGGCACAGTGGCTCAAGCCTGTAATCTCAGCACTTTGGGAGGCCAAGGCTGGCAGATCACCTGAGGTCAGGAGTTCGAGACCAGCCTGGACAACATGATGAAACCCTGTCTCCACTAGAAATACAAAAATTAGCCCAGCATGCTGGCGCACGCCTGTAGTCCCATAGTTGGGAGGCTGAGGCAGGAGAATCGCATGAGTCCAGGAAGCGGAGGTTGCAGTGAGCCAAGATCGCACCACTGCACTCTAGCCTGGGTGACAGAGGGAGACTGTCTCAAAAAAGGGGTGCAGGGAGGGGGCGGGGCTCATGAATAACAAAAGTCATTCCTATCACTAGGAAATCCTAAGGGTTTTGGGTACTCTGTCAGGAACCAGGGACAAAGACCAAATATATTTATCATACTACAGATACCTTGTCAGTTTTATTCTGAATTTGGGGCCTGATCCTGAAAAAGAGCAACATTCTAAAGAGATGTCTGGTCAGAATACAGATACCTGAGAACTCCAAGTAGCCACAGCCTTATCTATATTAATAACCAAAGTGACGATGCTTTCTGAAAACCACAAGAGAAGGTAACATAACCTTAAGGATTTTAGCTCCTCTAGAAGTTAGGAACCCTTACTATTGTTTTGTTTGCTGATTTTTGTATAGTTTTCTATAGCAGAAGCATTCAAATGCAGCACGTAAACATGAAAACTAGCAGATATATATATATTTTTTTATTTTTATTTTTTATTTTTTAAGGTTTTAGATTTTTCTTTTTCCCTAGACTTCTCAGCAGAATGCAGACCTTTTAAAGAGTACACGTTTAAGTTAGGGGAGGTAAAACCTCTCTGCTTTCTATGTGGAAAGTGAATTCTGTTGGGGGTGGGTGGTGTGCCCCTGTAGTCCAAGCTACTTAGAAGGCTGAGGTGGGAGGATGGCTTGAGCCAAGGAGTTTGAGACCAGCATGGGCAACACAGCGAGGCCCTGCCTCCAAAGGAAAAAAAAAAAAAAAAAAAGACAGTAATTGATTGCCTGATTGACAGAGTCCCACTCTGTCACCGAGGCTGGAGTGCAGTGGCGTAGTCATAGCTCACTGCAGCCTCGACATCCTGGACTCAAGCGATTTTCCTGACTCAGCCTACCAAGTAACTGGGACTATAGGCGTGCACCACCATGCTCCACTAATTTAAAAAAAAATTGTTTTGTAAAGACAGGGTCTCTATGTTGCCCAGGCTGGTCTGGAACTCCTGGCCTCAAGCAATCTTCTGTCCTCAGCCTCCCAAAGTCCAAAAAGGATTACAAGCGCGAGCCACTGCACCTGACCAGGAATTTTTAAAATTGATACATAATAGAGGTACACATTTTCAGGATACATGTCATAATTTTTTTTTTCTTTTTGAGATAGGGTCTCACTCTGTTGCCCAGGCTGGAGTACAGTGGCAGGATCATAGCTCACTGCAGCCTCAGCCTCTTGAGTTCAAGTGATCTTTATGCCTGAGCCACCCAAGCAGCTAGGACCACAGGTGCCCACCACCACGCCTGGCTAATTTGTTATTTTCTGCAGAGATGATGTCTTGCTATGTTTCCCAGGCTGGTCTCAAACTCCTGGGCTCAAGCAATCCTCCCACCTCAGCCTTCCAAAGTGCTGGGATTACAGGTGTGAGCCACTGTGCCTGGCCTTCATGTGATAATTTAATATATTCATATAATTTGTTTTCTTTGGAGTGTTTTTTTTTTTGTTTTTTGTTTGTTTGTTTTGTTTTGTTTTGTTTTGTTTGATGGAGTTTTCGCTCTTGTTGCCCAGACTGGAGTGCAATGGCGCAATCTCGGCTCTCTGCAACCTCTGCCTCCCAGGTTCAAGCGATTCTCGTGCCTCAGCTTCCCGAGTAGCTGGGACTACAGGTGCCCGCCACCACGCCCAGCTAATTTTTTGTATTTTGAGACGGGGTTTCACCATGTTCGCCAAGCTGGTCTCGAACTCCTGATCTCAGGTGATCCACCCGCCTCAGCCTCCCAAAGTGCTGGGATTACAGGCATGAGCCACGGTGCCCAGCCCATTCATATAATTTGTAAAGATCAAATCAGTGTAATTGGTATATCCACCACCTTAGAAAGTAAATTCTTTATTGTCTTACATTGAGAAAAAACTGTATTTTCAATGCAGTCTCAATATTTTTATTGATGAGCTACTAGTTTTCTTTATTGTACATATGTTTCTCTTTTTCTAAATGAATTTAATATACCTCAATATATACATATTTAAATATACGAATTTCAACATACATATACTAAATAATGATAGGGTGCATTATTTAAGCTTTAAACCTTAGTTTTAAAATACAGTTACTCTTAAAAAGCTTATTATAAGACACTGTTAATTTTTACATCATAGCTGGGCGCGGTGGCTCACGCCTGTAATCCCAGCACTTTGGGAGGCTGAGGCAGGTGGATCACGAGGTCAGGAGATGGAGACCATCCTGGCTAACACGGTGAAACCCCGTCTCTACTAAAAATACAAAAAACAATTAGCCGGGCGTGGTGGTGGGCGCCTGTAGTCCCAGCTACTCAGGAGGCTGAGGCAGGAGAATGGCGTGAACCCGGGAGGCGGAGCTTGCAGTGAGCCGAGATCGCGCCACTGCACTCCAGACTGGGCGACTGAGCAAGACTCCATCTCAAAAAAAAAATTTTTTTTACATCATAATTTAAATGTTATAACTACTGCCCAGAGCTTGGTTTCTAATAATACCATTTTCCAATATAAGAAACCAGAGCTCCTGGTGCAGCATCTGCTCTGGCCCCTGGTCCCCTCGCTCCCCACCCACCCAGGCCCCTTCCTCCGGAGCTCACCTGGGGCCTCCATCCCAGAAGCTCAGGGCTTATTTTTCTGATTAAAGAAAATAAAAAGTGCCGTGCCACCATTTTTTATAATAGCATCAGGGTTTATAATTTAAACAACAACAACAACAACAAAAACAGAAAAAAAAAACAGAGCTCTTTGTAAAAATGGCTGACTCCAAGGCTAAGGCAGGAAAAGTAAAAGATGAGACTGGAATATCTTGTGGTGCCAGAAATTAAGTAAGTGCTCAAAGAGTGATGAGGACATATTGAAAGGACACAGGAGCCAACATGGAGGGACGCCCAGTAGCCAAATCTTGGACAACCTGGGCAACAAAGTATTAAGTACTACTAATGGATCATTCCCTATAGGATAAAATCAGAATCCCTGAGTTCATGATGATGTAAATAATTTCATTTAAAAAAATGAGGCCTGTTGGCCGGGCGCGGTGGCTCACGCGTGTAATCCCAGCACTTTGGGAGGCCGAGGCGGGTGGATCACGAGGTAAGGAGATCGAGACCATCCTGTCTAACATGGTGAAACCCTGTCTCTACTAAAACTAAAAAAAAAAAAAAAAAAAAAAAAAAGGCCTGTAATACCAGCACTTTGGGAGGCCGAGGCAGGGCAGATCACGAGGTCAGGAGTTCGAGACCAGCCTGGCCAACATGGTGAGACCCTATCTCTGCTAAAAATATAAAAATTAGCCAGGCATGGTGGTGCGTGCCTGTAATCGCAGCTACTCGGGAGGCTGAGGCAGAAGAATTGCTTGAACCCAGGAGGCAGAGATTGCAGTGAGCCGAGATTGCACCACTGCACTCGACCCTGGACAACAAGAACGAGACTCCATCTCAAAAATGAATAAATAAATAAATACACGGGGAGAAGGGAATTCGCTTCATTGCAGTAACATTACATCTAATAAATGAAGAAAGAATGATGATAATGGAAAAATCAACATTCAACACTTCGGTAATAGTTATTTCAGGCAAGAATCATCAATGGAAATGTTAAGTATGTGAGTTGATGGATTTGTTAGACTGGTTTAATCATTCCACAACATATACCAAAACATCACATTGCACCCCATAAATATATATACAATTATTTGTCAAAATAAAATTGAAAAAAATGAATTTTCATGGAAAATAACAGTGAGCATAGATATAAAGATTAGGGGATAACTTCTGGCTTCAAATATTAAAAATACAAGTGCAAAAGACTTATGGGAAAATAAAAAATAAAAGTAAAAATAAAATATTTAAAATACTTTCTAGTAAACTACCTGGTACACAGTAGAGTTCTAAATGCAGAAAGGATTCTACATGTAATTGGGATTACAGGTGTGTGATCCCAAAGGATTCTAAATGTAATGATTAAGGGTGCATTCCAAAAAAACAAAACAACAAAAACAAAAAAGGTCCATTCCATTGTTTCTCAATTTCTCCTCTCAAATGCATGACCACAGCTTCAGAATTCAACTTGCTTATAATTCACTTCTTCTTCTTTTTTTTTTAGACAGAGTCTCACTCTGTTGCCCAGGCTGGAGTGCAGTGGTGCAGTGGCGCAAGATCAGCTCACTGCAACCTCTGCCTCCCGGGTTCAAGCGATTCTCCTGCCTCAGCCTCCCGAGTAGCTGGGATTACAGACATGTGCCACAATGTCTGGCTAATTTTTTTTATTTTTAGTAGAGACGGGGCCTTATCATGTTGGCCAGGCTGGTCTCGAACTCCTGACCTCAGATGATCTGCCTGCCTTGGCCTCCCAAAGTGCTAGGATTACAGGAATGAGCCACTGTGCCCGGCCTATAATTCACTTCTTAAATTGAAAAGTACACACACAAGAAGAATCATCAATGGATGCTAAAATTAGTGGGTCAAAGTTTGATGAGGAACAGAATATTTACACAGTCTCAAACTATCATTCCTCGTATTAATTACAAAGGGAAAAATAGTATGTTTATACTGGAGATCTGGCAGAGGCTGTCTTGACAAAGTAATCCAGATTAACATCATCATTAATGAAACAAATTGACATCTCGGGCCTCCTAATATGAAGCACTGTGAAGGACAGGCACACTATTACTACTGTTGTATTTCTGGCCCAAAATGGAACACATGAAATTTTGTTGTTTTATTTGTTTTGTTTTGTTTTTTAGATGGAGTATCTCTCTGTCGCCCAGGCTGGAGTGCAGTCGCACAATCTTGGCTCACTGCAGCCTCTGTCTCCTGGGTTCAAGCAATTCTCCTGCCTCAGCCTCCCGAGTAGCTGGGATTACAGACATGTGCCACCATGCCTGGCTAATTTTTTGTATTTTCAGTAGAGATGGGGCTTTACCATGTTGGCCAGGCTGGTCTCGAACTCCTGACCTCAGATTATCTTCCTGCCTCGGCCTCCCAAAGTGCTGGGATTACAGGTGTGAGCCACCGCACCCGGCCCGTTTACACTGGATGTTAACAACACTGAAGAAGGATAAACTGAAAAGTCTGAGAGCGAGTGAGCGTGCGAACTCATGAGCAGGAAGAAATAGGGAAGTACAGAAGGAGGATCAGGAAGGTGGCATTCCAGAAGCCAAAGAAACAGATTCAAAATCAAAGTGGTAAATTTTATCAAATGCAATAGAAAGGACAGTTATATAAGGCCAAAAAAGTGTCCACTGGATTTGGCAAGAAAGCAGTCACGCAGTCAATGATGTCTTTTGCCAACAGTTTTGTACAATGGTGGGTGCAGAAGACAGATCACAAAGAGTTTGAGGAGAAAATGGAAAATGAGGAATTGGATAGAGCAAGTAAGGACAACTCAAAAAGCCAGCTGTAACCAGAGGAAGATGCATCGTCAAGAGAGGGCTTTAAACATGTTCATTCATTCAATTATTTGTTTACTTACCTTATTTTTAGGATAGGAAAAACTTGAGTGTTTACAAACCTAAGGGGAAAAACTAGAAGGAAGGATAAACAAAAGCTATGGGAGAATAAAATCAGCATTTGATAGAGGCAAGTACCAAAGGTGATGGAATGCAGGGCACAGATGGATCTGCTGGCCAGAGAAGGGACACCTCACCCCTAGGCCTGGAGGAAAGCGGGGAAGAAGCAGTGTAGATGTGGATGGAAAGAAATGGATGTGGTTCACACTTGAATCCTTCAATCTCTTCATAAACTAATGGGTTGAGTCTATTTTTCTACAGTGAGGATGGTGGAGGTTGAATGGGGATGCATGTTTACATTACTTTTTAAAAAGTCTTCACATCTGTAATGCCAGCACTTTGGGAGGCTGAGGCAGGAGGATCACTTGAGCCCAGGAGTTCAAGACCAGCTTGGGCAACACAGTGAGATTCCGTCTCTATAATTTTTTTTTTTGAGACGGAATTTCCCTCTTGTTGCCCAGGCTGGAGTGCAATGGTGCAATCTCGGCTCACTGCAACCTCCGCCTCCCGGGTTCAAGCAATTCTCCTGCCTCAGCCTCCCGAGTAGCTGGGATTACAGGCATGTGCCATCACGCCCGGCTAATTTTGTATTTTTAGTAGAGACAGGGTTTCTCCATGCTTGGCCTCCCAAAGTGCTGGGATTACAGGCATGAGCCACTGCACCTGGCCCTCTATAAAATTTTTTTAAAAAATTAGCCAGGCATGGTGGCACACGCCTATAGTTTCAGCCACTCAGGAGGCTGAGGTGGGAGGCACCTGAGCCCAGGAAGTCGAGGCTGCAGTGAGCTATGATTGTGCCACTGTACTCCAGCCTGGGCGACAGAGCAAGACCATGTCTTGAAAGAAAAAGGGGAGAGAGAGAGAGAGAGAGAGAGAGAGAGAGAGAGAGAGAGAGAGAGAAGAGGGGGAGGGAGGGAGGAAGAGGAAAAAGGGAGGGAGAGAGGGAAGAAAGGAAAGAGGGAGGGAGGGAGGAAAGAAGGAAGGAAGGAAGGCAAGAAGGGAGGGAGGGAGGGAAGGTCATGGTTTGGTCCAGGCATGGTGATTCACACCTGGTAATCCCAACACACTGGGAGGCCAAGGTGGGAGGATCCATTGAGGCCAGGAGTACAAGACCAGCCTGGGCAACATAGCAAGACCCTGTCTCTAAAAAAAAAAATTAGCCAGGCTAAGCAGGATCACTTGAGCCCAGGATGTCAAGGCTGCAGTGAAGTGAGCTATCATTATGCCCACTGGACTCCAGCCTAGGTAACAGAGCAAGACCCTGTCTCAAAACATTTTTGCCTTTTTTAACCTTTTTTTTTTCCTTCAGGGAGGTATGGCCTTAGACTATTCAGAACGTTACTGGTGGGAATAACAAAGGGAGCTGACCGAGGATTTATACAGGACCGTGGAGGGGTGTTTAGAGCCAAGTTGAGATCTGAGCCCATGAATCTGTACCAGTCTCCATGGTTGTGGGGTTTTCTCCAGCAGTACTCAGCAGCCTAGTATATGGACAGAGAAAATGGGGTGTGTTTTGAGCCAGGGTGTGGCTTAGCCATCTTGGCAGAGCTGAATCATAGGGTACAAAGGGCTTCCAGGAGTCAGGGAGAGTGATTCAGGTGGGATCCAAACAGAACTGGTAAGTAAAGGAAGTCAGGAACAGGGTGGGAGACCGTAGAATTGGAGATCTCCATGAATCTGAAGCACAATTAGGGTGGCTAGAGAGAACCGGAGAGGAAGCAAATCGCAGTCAGAGATTAGGATACTACAGTTTAAGGGCTGCCATGAGCAGCACTGGAAAGCGTCCCCATACCTTATACCACTGTAGGAGGCTATACATTCTAGTTTCCCTGAGACAGTCCCAGTTTACATGTTATTCTAACATTTTGTCTAATTTAGCATTTGTCCCAAACTTCATTTTCTAACAAAGTTTAAGTATTAATAGTTGCATTTAAATAAGCCAGGATGAGTCTGTTGGGCCACCATATTTTTATTTTTAGAGACAGCGTCTCGCTCTATCACCCAAGCTAGAGTGCAGTGGTGCAATCACTGTAACCTAGAATTCCTGGGCTCAAGCGATCCTCCCACCTCAACCTCCCAAGCAGCTAAGACTACAGGCACGCACCACCATGCATGGCTATTTTTTTTATTTTTTTGTAGAGACAAGGTCTCGCCATGTTGCCCACTCTGGTCTGGAATTCCTGGCCTCAAACGATCCTCTCACCACAGCCTCCCAAAGTGTTGGGATTACAGGGGTGAGCCACCTTGCCCAGCCTAGGACCACAACTTTTTAATTCCAACTTCTGCCTTGGTCTCATCTACTAGTTTGTGAGATGCATATACAGAGAACCAAGTTCTCACTTTAACACAGGGTTAAACCTAAAAGACAACCAGTGATAACCCTTCTCCCTTTCTCTAATCTTTTCCAAATACAATATAACTAACACCTCCCGCTCAAGGATAGCATGTAGGGCGTTCACTGATAACAAAGCAAGTGCAATCAGGCACTAGGGGTTAGGGACAACGAACTCATTTTATTCCCAGGTGGGAAGTGAGAGGAGTATTCACCATTGTGCGCCTTGCTGAATATGTGGTGTACCAGCCAGCTGTCCCCATGCCAAAGCCTGCAAGATACAGGAAGCTGCCAGGCCACCAGTTGGTAAGTCAGTGGATGCAGGAAATTATACATTTACATGTATGTAAAATATATTCCGGAAATAAAGGCAGAGGAGTCCTGCCATAGAACATATATCGAGTAGTCTGAATACTTTTGGTATAACAGTTATTCATTATACAATGTGTATCTACAACTCATGTTTTTATTTTTTTATTTTTATTTTTTTTTCTGAGATGGGGTTTCACTCTCCACCCAGGCTGGAGTGCAATGGTATCATCTCGACTCACTGCAACCTCTGCCTCCTGGGTTCAAGTTATTCTCCTGTCTCAGCCTCCTGAGTAGCTGAGATTACAGGTGCCCGCCACCACGCCCAGTTAATTTTCATATTTTTAGTAGAGATGGGGTTTCACCATGTTGGCCAGGCTGGTCTCAAACTCCTGACCTCAGATGATCCACCCACCTCGGCCTCCCAAAGTGCTGGGATTATAGGAGTGAGCCACCACACCTGGCCCAACTCACGTTTATAATAATTTTTTTTTCTAGAAACAGAGTATCACATTGTTGCCCAGGCTGGTCTTGAACTCTTGGCCTCAAGCGATCCTACTGCCTTGGCCTCCCAACACTGGGATTACAGGTGTGAGCCACTGTGCCTGGCCTATTTTATTGTTTGATAATGCTTTTTTAAATTTTGGAAACAACTTTTCCAGCATATAAGTTCAAAAACTAAAGTGCATAATTAATGAAAAAGTAAATACTGAATCTCTTTCTCAAGAAAGTTGATGATAAATGTATAACATGCATAAATCATTTGTCCGCATTTATCAGCCACTCACAGGGCACAATGATGTCACTGACCACATGAAAATCAGAAGACATAAATCTGCAGAGAAAGCATCAGTATCTACCTCAAAAGTTTGTCGGTTTTTTTTGTTTGTTTTGTTTTTTGAGACAGAGTCTCGCACTGTCGCCCAGGCTGGAGTGCAGTGGCGCAATCCCGGCTCACTGCAACCTCTGCCTCCCGGGTTCAAGCAATTCTCCTGCCCCAGCTTCCCAAGTACCTGGGATTACAGGCGCCCGCCACCACGCCCAGCTAATTTTTTGTATTTTTAGTTAGAGTCAGGGTTTCGCCATGTTGGCCAGGCTGGTTTCGAACTCCTGACCTCGTGATTCACCTGCCTTGGCCTCCCAAAGTGCTGGGATTTCAGGCGTGAGCCACCGCGCCAGGCCGGTTTGTAGTTATTTTAAGACTGTGGCCAAAGAGGTACAGCTGCAGAGAGGTATTTACATACTGCTCTGTGAAGGACTTTTGTTTAGATCAAATGACTTATTTAGATCAAAATTCATTGGCTCATTTTCCATTTTATGTTGCCTTGTACATGATGAAAAGTGAAGCACTACTTGTAATGCGTAGCTCTATTAGCAGAACTTCACAGTTAAATGATGCCAGTTTAATGTTGATATCTTTAGATGGTTCCAATAGAAAATCAGTTGTATTAGTCGGGGTTCTCCACAAAAACAGAAGCAACAGGATGTACCTGGATCTATCTCGATCTATCTATATGTCTATATGCGAGGTTGGGAGAGATTCATTTATTTTAAGGAATTGGCTCACGCAATTGTGGAGGCTTGTTGAGTCCAAAATCTGAAGGTGTAGGCCTGCGGTCTGAAGACTCAGGGAGGAGTTGCAGTTCCAATCCAAAGGCAATGTGCTGGAGAATGCCTTCTTGATCAGGGGAGGTCAGTGTTTGTTCTATTAAGGCCTTTAGCTGATGAGGCCCACTCACATTATGGAGGGTAATATGCTTTCTCAAAACCCACCGATTTAAATATTAATCTCATACAAAAAACACCTTCACAGAAACATCCAGAAGAATGTTTGACCAAATATATGGGCCAAGTTGACACATAAAACTAACCATCATGGCCAGGCACGGTGGCTCACGCCTGTAATCCCAGCGCTTTGGGAGACTGAGGCAGGCAGATCACGAGGTCAGGAGTTTCAGACCGGCCTGGCCAACATGGTGAAACCCCATCTCTACTAAAAATACAAAAATTAGCCCGACGTGGTGGCACACACCTGTAATTCCAGCTACTCAGGAGGCTAAGGCAGGAGAATTGCTTGAACCCGGGAGGTGGAGGTTGCAGTGAGCCCAGATCGCGCCATTGCACTCCAGCCTGGGTCACAGGGCAAGACTTTGTCTCAAAAAAAAAGAAAAAGAAAGAAATTAACCATCATGTTAGTTAATTCCAATTATGGTTCAATTTTACACCCCATTTATGGAATAAAAGTAAAGTTTATGGAGGCCGGGCACGGTGGCTCATGTCTGTAATCCCAGCATTTTGGGAGGCCGAGGCGGGCAGATCACCTAAGGTCAGGAGATCGAGACCATTCTGGCTAACACGGTGAAACCCCGTCTCTACTAAAAAATACAAAAAAAATTAGCCAGGCGTGGTGGCAGGTGCCTGTAGTCCCAGCTACTCGGGAGGCTGAGGTAGGAGAATGGCGTGAACCCGGGAGGCAGAGCTTGCAGTGAGCCGAGATCGCGCCACTGCACTCCAGCCTGGGTGACAGAGCGAGACTCCGTATCAAAAAAAAAAAAAAAAAAAAAGTAAAGCTTATGGAAAGTTATTCTGATGAAAGTGAAACATCTGGCATTATTGAGAAAACCATTATCAACTCATTGAAAAAGTAAACATTTAGTATAAATATTTTTGTGATGATTGTTTTTCATAGAAATACAAATTTTGGCGGAGCACAGCACCATGGTTAAAAACAGACTTCTTAATAAAGAAATTTCTAGAGAAGAAATACAGTTGGACTTGGTTGTGGCGCACAAATAATTCATAATTGTGTTCAAACAAGTCGATTACAAAATTGTTTCTGGCTGGGTGCAGTGGTTCATGCCTGTAATCCCACCACTTTGGGAGGCCGAGGCAGGCGGATCACCTGAGGTCAGGAGTTCGAGACCAGCCTGATCAATATGGTGAAACCCTGTCTCTATTAAAGATACAAAAATTAGCCGGGTGTGGTGGCGTGCAACTGTAGTCCCAGCTATTCGGGAGGCTGAGAAAGGAGAATTGCTTGAACCTGGAAGGCAGAGGTTGCAGTGAGCTGAGATCACACCGCTGGACTCCAGCCTGGGTGACAGAGCAAGACTCCATCTCAAAAAAAAAAAAATTGTTTCTGGAAAGGCATCGGGAAGAGGAATCTTAGGTTACACTCATGCTTTCCTTATTTCTTCCTGCATGCAGATATTCCAGTAAAGAACAGTGACATACCTAGCATATAGGACGTCCAGAGTAGATAATTTTTTAACATTTTTCACCTCTATGACAAAATCATTTTCAATAATAATCATATAATAATTAGGAATAATTATTTTCTTGCTTTTGTCTGTAGTGGGAAAACAATATTTTAGAAGAATACATTTCCACTTTAAATATAATGTGGAAATTCAGTAAACCATTTCATATGTGAACCAGATTTTCACTTACCAAGAAAAAGTCTTACATCTTGCAGATTGCAGTGTTTGCTGTTTTCCATTTTAAATACAAATAAAAAGTCCAAATTGTCACACAGAATGACAAGATTGAAAGAACAGTACTGTTTCTTTGTTTTTACAATCATCTGGCTATCATTATTTGTTTCAAATCCACTATTAAAATACAGGAGTATCTGGTACTGCAGGATTTGGAGAAAGGAACTGCAAGCCAGAGGCAAGCTGGAAGGATTCTGAATTGTTGGGTACCTAATTTAGAAACAAATTTGAGTAGCTGAGACCACATGTGTCAGGGGACGAATATATAACCGGAAGTTCTCTGAATTAACTTCCTGATAGAACACAATGTTTGTTAAAAGGATAAGTAATGAAAATGTTCTAATATGAATTTCAAGTTCTATGCCAAATAGAAATGCATTCATATATTCACCAAAAGATATGTACAAAATGTTCATAGTAGCATTATTTCTAATAGCCCAAACCTGGAAACTGCCCAAATGTCCATCAACAGGGGAATGGATAAGAAGTCTTAGAGGCAGGCTGGGCGTGGTGGCTCACATCTGTAATCTCACCACTTTGGGAAGCCAAAATGGGCGGATCACCTGGGGTCAGGAGTTCAAGACCAGCCTGGCCAACATGGTGAAACCCCATTTTCTACTAAAAATACAAACATTAGCCAGGTCTGGTGTCACACGCCTGTAGTCCCAGCTACTCGGGAAGCTGAGGCAGGAGAATTGCTTGAACCCGGGAGGCAGAGGTTGCAGTGAGCTGAGATCATTCAACTGCACTCCAGCAGAGCAGCAGAGCGAGACTCTGTCTCAAAAAAAAAAAAAAAAGTCTTAGAGGCTAGAAGAAAGTGAACTGTTTAAGGCAAAATTATTATGGAACACGTAACATTGGTATCATCATGTATTGAGCCAAGCTCTATGCTAGGCACTTTTGCATATATTATTTTGTTTAATCTTCACCACACTCTGTGACAGAGATATTAACCTCATTTGACGTATAAGAAACCAAGCACGCAGGGACCAAGGATCTTGCCCAAAGTCAAAATGCTATAATAGTGGGGAACCCAGGATTTGAACTCAGTCCAAAGCCCATACATCCCTTTTCCATTACAGCCTGCTGCCTCTCCAGGATAAAGAGGGAAGACAGGGAAAGTAGGGAAGTATGGACTTCACAAATTCATACATGCTAAAATTATAACAGCTACTGTTTCTTGAGCACCTATTATGTGGCAAATACTATATGAGGTACTTTACATAAATGATTTTTAGAATTCTCGTAAAACTCTTCATGGCAGTAGTTATTATTCTCTCTCTCTCTCTTTTTCTTTTTTCTTGAGACAGGATATTTCTCTGTTGCCCAGGCTGGAGTGCAGTGGCACAGTCTTGGCTCACTGCAGCCTGGACCTCCTGGGCTCAAGCCATCCTCCCACCTCAGCCTCCCAAGTAGCTGGGGCTACAGGCACATGGCCACCAGGCCCAGATAATTTTTCATTTTTGTAGAGACTGAGTCTCACCATGTTACCCAGGTTTATTATTCTCATTTTTTAGATGAAGAGACTGAGGTCCAGAGAAGCTCAATGACTTGCCTAGTTTTACAAATCTCCTGCCATCACATACCCCTCAGCGTCCTTAATAAGAGGGAGGCCACCAACTATGTGCTGGGCACTGTGGTGGATGCTGGAGCTATAGGGTTGAGTATATAAGAAATGGTGTTGCTGGAGCAACTGTTGCTTGCTTACCTGACCTATCTGAGAATTAATTAGCAGGGGAACATATTTTTGTTTTCAGATTCAATATAAGAACTTGTGTGGGCAAAAATAAAGATCAGTAGTAATAACAGTAGTTCCCATTTGCTGACTGTACTGTCCTAAGTGCATATATATATACATACACACACGCATACCTATACTCCTCTAATACTCAAAATGATCCTGTTTATGTATTGTTAATATGCTCATTTTATTTTTAAATTTTTATTTATTTTTATTTTTATTTATTTTTGAGACGGAGTCTCATTCTGTCGCGGAGGCTGAAGTGCAGTGGTGCGATCTCAGCTCAGTGCGACCTCCGCCTCCCGGGTTCAAGTGATTCTCCTGCCTCAGCCTCCGGACTAGCTGGGATTACAGGCGCCCGCCTCCACGCCCAGCTAATTTTTGTATTTTTAGTAGAGATGGGGTTTCGCCATGTTGGCCAGGCTGGTCTCGTACTCCTGACCTTGAGTGATCCACCTGCCTCGGCCTCCCAAAGTGCTGGGATTACAGGCATGAGCCACCGCGCCGGGCTAATATGCTCATTTTAGTGAGGCAAAAATAGAGGCTCAGAGTCTGATTTGTACAAAACTACAGAGCAGTTAAGTGTCCTCTCAGATGTGTACCCTGATCTGGGTGACTCTAGGACTCTAGGTCTCAACTGTTACAACCAGTTAAGGGTTTGGGGAAGCACTGGGCCAAGAGTCAGGAAAATGGAAGCCACAGGTAGTGCAAGGTCTTGGGAATGGGACGTCTGGTCCAAGGATTCACGCGATGACTGGAACCCGAAGAGCCGGGGCCCGGTTTACGGCCGCCATGAAGCAACGCGCGCCGGTAGGTTTGGGAATCAGGGAGCCCTCTGAATAGGAGACTGAGTTGGGAGGGAAAGGGGCTTCGCTGGGGGAGCCTCGGCTTCTTCTGGGAGAAAATTCCCACGGCTACCTAGTGAGCCTGCAAACTGGTAGGCGCCGGCGTAGGCGCGCGGGCGGGGCCGGGGGCGGGGCCTGCGGGGCGTGGCGGGGCGGGCAGAGGGCGGGGCCTGCTTCTCCTCAGCTTCAGGCGGCTGCGACGAGCCCTCAGGCGAACCTCTCGGCTTTCCCGCGCGGCGCCGCCTCTTGCTGCGCCTCCGCCTCCTCCTCTGCTCCGCCACCGGCTTCCTCCTCCTGAGCAGTCAGCCCGCGCGCCGGCCGGCTCCGTTATGGCGACCCGCAGCCCTGGCGTCGTGGTGAGCAGCTCGGCCTGCCGGCCCTGGCCGGTTCAGGCCCACGCGGCAGGTGGCGGCCGGGCCCTGAGGCGCGGGATCCGCAGTGCGGGCTCGGGCGGCCGGGCCCAGGGAACCCCGCAGGCGGGGGCGGCCAGTTTCCCGGGTTCGGCTTTACGTCACGCGAGGGCGGCAGGGAGGACGGAATGGCGGGGTTTGGGGTGGGTCCCTCCTCGGGGGAGCCCTGGGAAAAGAGGACTGCGTGTGGGAAGAGAAGGTGGAAATGGCGTTTTGGTTGACATGTGCCGCCTGCGAGCGTGCTGCGGGGAGGGGCCGAGGGCAGATTCGGGAATGATGGCGCGGGGTGGGGGCGTGGGGGCTTTCTCGGGAGAGGCCCTTCCCTGGAAGTTTGGGGTGCGATGGTGAGGTTCTCGGGGCACCTCTGGAGGGGCCTCGGCACGGAAAGCGACCACCTGGGAGGGCGTGTGGGGACCAGGTTTTGCCTTTAGTTTTGCACACACTGTAGTTCATCTTTATGGAGATGCTCATGGCCTCATTGAAGCCCCACTACAGCTCTGGTAGCGGTAACCATGCGTATTTGACACACGAAGGAACTAGGGAAAAGGCATTAGGTCATTTCAAGCCGAAATTCACATGTGCTAGAATCCAGATTCCATGCTGACCGATGCCCCAGGATATAGAAAATGAGAATCTGGTCCTTACCTTCAAGAACATTCTTAACCGTAATCAGCCTCTGGTATCTTAGCTCCACCCTCACTGGTTTTTTCTTGTTTGTTGAACCGGCCAAGCTGCTGGCCTCCCTCCTCAACCGTTCTGATCATGCTTGCTAAAATAGTCAAAACCCCGGCCAGTTAAATATGCTTTAGCCTGCTTTATTATGATTATTTTTGTTGTTTTGGCAATGACCTGGTTACCTGTTGTTTCTCCCACTAAAACTTTTTAAGGGCAGGAATCACCGCCGTAACTCTAGCACTTAGCACAGTACTTGGCTTGTAAGAGGTCCTCGATGATGGTTTGTTGAATGAATACATTAAATAATTAACCACTTGAACCCTAAGAAAGAAGCGATTCTATTTCATATTAGGCATTGTAATGACTTAAGGTAAAGAGCAGTGCTATTAACGGAGTCTAACTGGGAATCCAGCTTGTTTGGGCTATTTACTAGTTGTGTGGCTGTGGGCAACTTACTTCACCTCTCTGGGCTTAAGTCATTTTATGTATATCTGAGGTGCTGGCTACCTCTTGGAGTTATTGAGAGGATTATAAGACAGTCTATGTGAATCAGCAACCCTTGCATGGCCCCTGGCGGGGAACAGTAATAATAGCCATCATCATGTTTACTTACATAGTCCTAATTAGTCTTCAAAACAGCCCTGTAGCAATGGTATGATTATTACCATTTTACAGATGAGGAACCTTTGAAGCCTCAGAGAGGCTAACAGACATACCCTAGGTCATACAGTTATTAAGAGAAGGAGCTCTGTCTCGAACCTAGCTCTCTCTCTCTCGAGTAATACCAGTTAAAAAATAGGCTACAAATAGGTACTCAAAAAAATGGTAGTGGCTGTTGTTTTTATTCAGTTGCTGAGGAAAAAATGTTGATTTTTCATCTCTAAACATCAACTTACTTAATTCTGCCAATTTCTTTTTTTTGAGACAGGGTCTCACTCTGTCACCTAGGATGGAGTGCAGTGGCACAATCACTGCTCACTGCAGCCTCGACTTCCCGGGCTCGGGTGATTCTCCCCAGGCTCAGGGGATTCTCCCACTTCAGCCTCCCAAGTAGCTGGGACTACAGGTGCGCACCACCATCCCTGGCTAATATTTGTACTTTATTTTATTTATTTATTTATTTATTTTTTGAGATGGAGTTTCGCTCTTGTTGCCCGGGCTGGAGTACAGTGGCATGATCTCGGCTCAGTGCAACCTCTGCCTCCCGGGTTCAAGCGATTCTCCTACCTCATCCCCCTGAGTAGCTGGGATTACAGGCGCCTGCCACCATGCCTGGCTAATTTTTTGTATTTTTAATAGAGACGAGGTTTCACCATGTTGGCCAGGCTACTCTCGAACTCCTGATCTCAGGTGATCCACCCGCCTTGGCCTCCCAAAGTGCTGGGATTACAGGCGTGAGCCACTGCGCCCGGCCTAATATTTGTATTTTTTGTAGAGATGGTGTTTTGCCATGTTGTCCAGGCTGGTCTTGAACTCCTGAGCTCAAGCGATCTGCCCGCCTCTGCTTCCCAAAGTGCTGGGATTACAGGCATGAGCCACCGTGCCTGGCCTAGGTAGACGCTTTTAGCTTTGGGGTGTGATGCCTGCCCCAGTATATAGTGAATTTAATTATTGCTAGAGCTGGCTGTTTGTTAGTTTTCTTTGAACATAAGATACTCATTGTTTTTAGTTTGCAAATCCCTCTTCCTTTTTAAAAAATTTCTTTCCCTTAAATTGTTTGCATGTTAGCAATAACAAATGCTTAAATGGTGCTATGTGCTAGATACTCTTCTAAGCCCTGTTATGTATATTAACTAATTTTTTAAATTACACAAATCAGAGAGGTTAAGTAACTTGCCCAAGATTACCCAACAATACTAGGATTTGAACCTAAGTTTGTCTCACCCCAGATTCTGCTCTTAATCTCTAAACTTTTAAGTTAGTAGTGACAATAGTAGGTATTTATTGAATACTTAACTATGTTTTAGGCGTTGAAGTAAATATTTTGCAGGCATTATCTAATGTAAACACCCTAAAGTTACATAACAGGTACCCTTTAGGTAAATAAACACTAGTATGACCTTGGAGGCACAGATAGTTGAAGTAACTTGCCCAATATCACTTACATGAAATTGGCCCTCAAATGTGTCTGATACAACCCATGCTGCTTGTAACTATCGTTTTAAACTGCCAGGGTAAACTTGGACACACTTGAGCTAAGAAAAAGCTTTTAGATTTTTGCAAATTAATGTGAAAGATATGCTTTATGTGGATATAATATCTTCTAAATTTCGGGGATGGTAGTCCTAGAAATGTAATCCTGCCCTAGCCGAGCTTACCCTGCCAATAATTTTTTACAGAATTGGTAAAACGGAGCACCTTTTTTTTGTCCTTGGCCACACTGTTATCAACAGGGTGTAGATTGACATCAATCTGTAGGTGTAAACCAGAATTACTCTTTGTGACCACCAGGAAATAGAGCAGTTCAGTTCAGGGGTTTCTTTCTGTGAATTTAGCACTGTGACCTGCATACTACAAGTCTACTTTGTTTTCTATCCATTGTTTGTATCTGGGTATTGCAAAAGGTAGGAAAAGGACCAACCAGATCAGCAGAGAAGAGTTGCCTTGGAGTTTTCTTTTAGTTTTCTGCAGTTCATTAGATAGTAACTAGGCCATGTCATTTTACTCCCTTGTAGTGAAGATATGTTGAAGTTGTACTGGTATACTCTTCTACCTTTCTGTAATTTTATATTGTGTAGACTTGATAAAATTTATGTGTCAATCACCACCATTAATATCAATATTGAGCCTCAATTCTTATTTTTCTGCCCAGTGGCTGCCAAATTACTAACATTTACAATAATTCACTACTACTAAGATAATCTACTAGTTCGATCACATACTTCAAATTGTTATGGAACTACTGTCTTCAGCATTGTGCTTCTGATAACTGATAAGTATAATTTTTTTTTTGTCCAGAGTGAACATGTCTATTCTTCCACTGTACACACTAATAAAAGGAAAAATTGTAATATTGGGTAAATTCATGTCCTTACACATGTAGTAGTTATGAGCCCATGTCCCTAGAATGAGTAATAATTTATCCCTCCCTTGGTTGAATAGTCAAGAATGCTGATTTTAATTCTTCTAACAGCTTTATCCCTCAGAAGGGAAGGCAAGCAAGTTATATATGTAGTTTATTTGTAAGACTGATATGAAATTGGAAGATGAATCTACTATTAGCTTTAATTATTTTTACATTTAGGAATATTGCATCAGTAACTCATAATTTTGGTTTTCTGTTATCCTGAGTTAACACAAATTATCCAAGGAGATGGCGGATCATCTGCTTTGAGGTGTTTTTTTTTGAGAATTTTAATGTATCTGAATATAAAAGGTAAAAATATGCCAACTAGCAATTTCTGCCCATTCCAGAAGTTTGGAAATATTACTCATTACTAGGAATTAAATAAAATATGGTTTATCTATTGTTATACCTCTTTTAATTCACATAGCTCATTTTTATCTTTTATTTTTGTTTGTTTTTTTTGAGATGGAGTCTTGCTCTGTCACCAGGCAGGAGTGCAGTGATGCAATCTCGGCTCACTCTAGCCACCGACTCCCTGGTTCAAGCGATTCTCCTGCCTGAGCCTTCTGAGTAGCTGGGATTACAGGCAGGCACCACCACGCCCAGCTAATTTTTGTAGAGACAGGATTTCACCGTGTTGGCCAGGATGGTCTCCATCTCCTGACCTCATGATCTGCCTGCTTCGGCCTCCCAAAGTGCTGGGATTACAGGTGGGAGCCACTACGCCTGGCCCACATAGCTCATTTTTAGACTCACTTCCATTAAGTCTTGTTTGGACCCACGAACATTGTCTTTTTTTTTTTAAGATGGAGTTTCACTTTTGTTGCCCAGACTGTAGTGCAATGGTGCAATCTCAGCTCACTGCAATCTCTGCCTCCTGGGTTCTAGCAATTCTCCTGCCTCAGCCTCCCGAGTAGCTGGAATTACAGGCGCCCGCCACCACGCCCAGCTAATTTTTGTGTTTTTAGTAGAGACGGGGTTTCACCATGTTGGGCAGGCCAGGGGTGATCCGCCCACCTCAGCCTCCCAAAGTGCTGGGATTACAGGTGTGAGCCACCGCATCTGGCCAACATGTCTTTTTTTTTTTTTTCCTTTTTAACCACAAAGAGACTTAAGCAGTCCTTGTCACAGATGATGAATTGATGTTGCAAGTATTGTCTTAGCTTGGATTAATTTTCTTGCTTACTGTAATTTTAGATAATATAGCTTTGTAATTAGAGATTTTATGTGTAAACCACAAAAATGTTTACATGAAGGCCATTATTACAGATGTGACGTGCATAATTATTAGTAATTTGTATGTTTACATGGGTCAGTCTGGCAAAAAATTATGAAGTTTTAAAAATTAAAAAAAATTATAATGCCAGTTTTACTGGAAAGTAAAATTATTTCAGTAATCGATTATAGCAAAAGTATTGATTTTCATTCCAGACAAAAGTCAGAATGAAAGGTAATTTCTCAATACTCTTTCAGATTAATAAAAGTACCTGTAGCGATTTTTATCATTCACAAGTATATCACAAGTAAGTTAGAATTTGAGAACTGTGTTCTAGATCTCTGAGGAGATGCAGTCAGATTTCTGAACTGTCTCAGCAAATGGTAAGTAACTTAGAGCTAGTAATTAATAACCTGTCCTTTGATTTCTGATTCAGCCAAGAATGGCCATATTTGGGAAAGGCAGATCTGGAGAGTAACCACGTTTTCATTCATTTACCACTTCTAGGCCCCTCCAGAGCTCTCAGATATTTTGGGGTTGAGCCCTTCCCCAAAGCCATACAGGACCTTTTTTTTGTGATCTGTTCTAGCCATTTTTATGTTGGGTGCTTGTTATGGACTGAGCATTTATGTCCTCCCACACCCCCCCCATACCTTTTTTGAAGTCCTAACCCCCAGTGTGATGGTATTTGGAGACAGGGCCTTTGGAAGGTAATTACAGTTAGAAGAAGTCGGGAGGGTTGGGCCCAGGTCTGATTGGATTAGTGCCCTTATATGAAAAGACACCAGGACGGGCGCAGTGGCTCACACCTGTAATCCCAGCACTTTGGGAGGCCAAGGTGGGTGGATCACGAGGTCAGGAGTTTGAGACCAGCCTGGCCAATGTAGTGAAACACCATCTCTACTAAAAATACAAAAATTAGCTGGGTGTGGTAGCGGGCTCCTGTCATCCAAGCTACTCGGGAGGGTGAGGCATGAGAATCACTTGAACCCGGGAGTTGGAGGTTGCAGTGAGCCCAGATTGTGCCACTGTACTCCAGCCTGGGTGACAGAGTGAGACTCTGTCTCAAAAAAGAAAAAAAAAAAAAAAGAGACACCAGAGAGCTTGTTAGAAGAGGTCATGTGAGCACACAGTTAGAAGACCTTCAAGCCAAAGAAGAGGCCTGAGATTGAAACCTACCTTGCAGGTACCTTAATTTTGGACTTCCCAGCCTCCAAAACTGTGAGAAATAAGTTTCTGTTAAGTCACTCAGTCTGTGGTATTTTGTTATGGCAGCCTGAGCAGGTAGTTGTTCTTTCAGAAGGTGTTGATAATAACCACATGCAACACCAAGTCACAAATAATAAAACAGATGTAACTTATATTCATACAGAAAGTTGGGCACTGCCATTGCCTTGTTGGTTTACACGGCTGTGCTAGTTCAGTAGCAGAAAGGTGCTGGTCTCCTTTACTCAGTTTACAATCTAGGCAGTAGAATGTAATCACTGCTTTAAACTTGATACTGCTTAGGGAGAGAATCATTGGTGCTGGGTAACTTTGGGTTCTAGGTTTACTTTTTGTGTATATATAACTGTTTTTGGTAAATCACAAGTTTCTGGGCTTGTCGAATTAGATTTTGTTACAGATTATGAGCTTTATTATGCTATACAGTTAGTTGTATGTATATATGCCTTTCCCACTAGATTTTAAGCTTTTTTTTTTTTTTTTTTTTTGTGACGGAGTCTTGCTCTTGTCGCCCAGGCTGAAGTGGAGTGCAGTGGCACAATCTCGGCTCACTGCAGCCTCCACCTCCTAGGTTCAAGCGATTCTCCTGCCTCGGCCTCCCAAGTAACTGGGACTACAGGCACGTGCCACCACACCCGGCTAATTTTTGTATTTTTTGTAGAGACAGGGTTTCGCCATGTTGGCTAGGCTGGTCTTGAACTTCTGGCCTCAGGTGATCCACCCGCCTCAGCCTCCCAAAGTGCTGGGATTTACAGGCATGAGCCACCACGCCCAGCTATAAGCTCTTTAAGGGTTGTAAATTTATAATCATTCTTTTACTCTCCTGCAAATTCTGTTGCACACTGCCTTAATCAAGGTAGATGCTGAATGCATTTTTGTATAATTGAATATGTTGCAATCCCCAACTCTCTCCAACTGTTCCTGTCAAAGCAGCCACTGGATTGTTAACTAATCCATATTAGATGGGGTTAATTAATATCAGATGGGACAAGTAAGGGCTAATAAGATTATAGGCCACCAAGTAGATTTCTGTCTAGCTCTTATAGAGATTGAGTTTATTGGACCTGTTTGATAGGAAGTTTTGGTGTTTGGGATGATTAAAACTGAAGTTCCTATTTATTGAATTATACCTATTTATATTATTTCATATCAGTGGTCCACATGCAAGTGAGGCTTCTGAGACAGAGTTTGAGTTCTCTCTTCAACTACCATAACACTTAACCTGTATCTTTTTTTTTTTTTTTTTTTTTAGACGGAGTCTCGCTCTGTCACTCAGGCTGGAGTGTAGTGGTATGATCTCGGCTCACTGTAACCTCTGCCTCCTGGATTCAAGCAGTTCTCCATGTCTCAGCCTCCCTAGTAGCTGGGATTACAGGCCTGTGCCACCATGCCTGGCTAATTTTTTTTTTGTATTTTTAGTAGAGACGGGGTTTTACCACGTTGGCCAGGCTGGTCTCGAACTCTTGACCTCGAGCGATCAACTTGCCTTGGCCTCCCAAAGTGCTGGGATTACAGGCATGAGCCACAGCGCCCAGCCGTCTTTTTTTTTAAATAGCAATTTAACACTGTTCACAGTTACTCATGTACATGTCATGCCATCTATTACACTGTAAGTTCTGTGAGGGTAGCTGTATCAAATTTATCTAACTCTCTCTAGTATGCATGACATAGTAAGTATTCAATAAATATTTGCATATTAGTGATAAGGATACAGGTTCTGAATAGTGGGTCCTTACCATTTAAGAATTAGTATTTGATGGCCGGGCGGGGTGGCTCACGCCTGTAATCCCAGCACTTTGGGAGGCTGAGGCGGGCGGATCATGAGATCAGGAGATCGAGACCATCCTGGCTAACATGGTGAAATCCCGTCTTTACAAAAAAAATACAAAAGAATTAACCAAGTGTGGTGGTGGGTGCCTGTAGTCCCAGCTACTGCTTTGTGAGGCTGAGGCAGGCAGATCACCTGAGGTGGGAAATTCAAGACCAGCCTGACCAACATGGAGAAACCCCATCTCTACTAAAAATACAAAATTAGCCGGGCGTGGTGGCGCATGTCTGTAATCCCAGCTACTCGGGAGGCTGAGGCAGGAGAATGGCGTGAACCCGGGAGGCGGAGCTTGCAGTGAGCCAGGATCGCGCCACTGCACTCCAGCCTGGGCGACAGAGCGAGACTCCGTCTCAAAAAAAAAAAAAAAAAAAAAATTAGTATTTGATATTTGATCATTAAATATGAATTAAGAGGACTTAGACTTTTTGTTAAATGTCAAGCTGGGAAAAGTTGTCATTTAAATGAATTGCCTCTTATTTAATTTCGTCTGATGATACATTTTGTTTTTATTTTGTAAAAAATTATTTTTTTTCTTTTTGGAGACAGGGTCTTGCTCTGTTGCCCAGGCTGGTCACAAACTCCTGACCTCAAGCAATCCTCCTGCCTTAGCCTCCCAAAATGCTGGGATTACAGGCGTGAGCCACCTCGCCCGGCCTTGTATTATGATACATTTTGAACAACTACAAGTAGACTTGGTATAATGAACCTGCACGTACCCATTGCCAAGTTCTGACAACTGTCTGTCTATAGCCAATTATGCATTTCTTAAATTAGAACCCCCCCAATATACCCAAATATATATATATGTGTGCATATATATAGTAAGTTGTAACAAAGTTGTGAATTCATACCTGAAGTATCTCAAGTGATGCAAGTTTTATGAATTTTTGTTTATGCCTTTTGGGAAGAGTTGTATTGACAAATTTTTTATGCTTAAAGTAAACCATAAATCAAAAAAATAAAATCTAGGATGCAATAAAACAAAACAACTTCTTGACATAAGTATGGTATGTAAATCTGTTTTGATTGGAAATCAATTTGTTATATTGCCAGAATTCCTGTTTTAGAATACATCTCTGCTGATCTGTCTGTATTCTTAGACTGCATATCTGGGATGAACTCTGGGCAGAATTCACATGGGCTTCCTTTGAAATAAACAAGACTTTTCAAATTCTTAGTCGATCTGCAGAACCTGTAGCCAGGCACTGAACCATTTTGATAGATGCAGTAATCGTTGCAAGTGTATATTTCAAGGAGTTCTGGCTGGGTCCTAGTTTATGCTTGTGGCAGAAGCAGTGAGTAACTGGGAGGAAGTTGGTGAGTAAGCTTCAAGGAAGAAGTCATTTTTAGTACTCTGGATCTTCCTGATTTTAAAGCACTACAAAATGGTGCATTTTCATTCTTGTCAAGTGATAACAGATATATTCTGATGAGCCTGAAATGAATATATATTGTATCATTTTTATAATATCTAGCAAGGTTTGTATTTTCCTAGAACTTGAACTAAATTTCAGTTCATAAAATTTATAAAATACTTAGTTGTTGTAAAATATTTTTGGAATGTTCACATAGGTGACACACAAATGTCCCATTTTCATTCTTTCTATAGTAAATATGTTCTGATATGTGAAGGTTTAGCAGATGCATCAGCATTTAATCCTAGAGGATCTGGCATAATCTTTTCCCCCAAGAATAGAAATTTTTTCTGCTTATGAAAGTAGTACATGTTTCTTTAAAAACAAATCAATATTGACTTCTGCCTGCTGTATAGCACTATGCCTCCACCTGGCCATGACCAGGGGCATGTCCTGGTCCACCTACCTGAAAATGTTTGCAACCAGCCTCCTGGCCATGTGCACAGGGGCTGAAGTTGTCCCACAGGTATTACGGGCCAACCTGACAATACATGAAGTTCCACCAAAGTCTGAGAACTCAGAACTGAGCTTTGGGGACTGAAAGACAGCACAAACCTCAAATTTCTCAGCACTGGAAACCTCAAAATATAACTGAATTCCATAAATAAGATTTTAAGTCTTAAATATGTATTTTTAAATGTATTAAAAGTCAAGCTGCTTGTATTTAAGCACCTAATACAATGCTTAGGTTGTAAAAGGAGATGCTCAATAGGTACTAACTGATATATTGAGATTTAATTATGGTTTGACCAATATTTATTGGAAACCGCCAAAGCTTAAATCATCAGCTTCTTGAATGTGATTTGAAAGGTAATTTAGTATTGAATAGCATGTGAGCTAGAGTATTTCATTCTTTCTGGTTTATTTCTTCAAATAGACTTTGAATATAATGGTGAATGGGTATTATAAATTAACTAATAAAAATGACATTGAAAATGAAAAAATATATATATTAAAGTGTAGAAAGTGACCAGGCGTGGTGGCTCACACCTGTAATCCAAGCACCTTGGGAGGCTGAGGCAGGAGGATCTCTTGATCCCAGGAGTTCAAGACCAGCCTGGGCAACATAGCGAGACTTCGTCTCTAAAAAAAAAAAAGAGAGAGAAAAAAATTTTTTTTATTTAAAAAAAGTGTAGAAAGTGTCAAGACCCCACTTCTTACCATTATTTGGTATATTTCTCTATACCCACCCACCCTTCCTCCTTACTCCCTCCCTCCCTTCCCAATCTTTTTATCTTTTTGTATTCTGATTTTTTGTTTGTATATTTTGCTTTAATTTAATGTATCCTTTAAAAATTTCCCATACATTTTATATGTATATATAAAAACGCATGCTGCCAAAGATAATTTATAAGAAAGACCATTGAATTTTTTTAAAAGTGATATATATTCATTGAAAAAAATTTAGAATATATAGCAAAGCAATAAAGAACTAAATAAAATTGCTGTAACTCCTCTTTCAAAGATAAGTGCTTTTATGATTTTGTTGTATTTTTTTCTGTATATAGGTACATATATAGTATTTATAAAGCTGTACTCATAGTACATTTTCACATCACAGGTACCATATCAGTGTTATTAAATATTTTGTATGCCAGGGGCTAGACATACCAAGACAACCAATATGTGGTTCTACTTAAATAATATTAGAGTATCTTTTATGATGACACTTCATGAGTTGACTATAATAATCTTAGACTTCTAAGAGTTTGGGTTTTCAAAAGATCACTTAGCTTTTTTGGGTGATTTTTCCCCCTTACTGTGAGATGAGAGAGGCTGTTTGGATTTGGGATTGGGGTAGCGGGGACAGCAACTTTTCTTTTCTTTTTCTTTTTTATTTTGAGGTAGGGTATTGCTGTGTCACCCAGGCTGGAGTGCAGTGGTGTGATCTCGGCTCACTGCAACCTCCACCTCCCGGGCTCAGGTGATCCTCCTGCTTCAGCCTCCCCAGTAACTGGGACTACAGGCGCGTGCCACATGCCTGGCTAATTTTGTATTTTTAGTAGAGATGGGGTTTCACCATGTTGGCCAGGCTGGTCTCTAACTCCTGACCTCAGGTGATACGCCCACCTGGGCCTCCCAAAATACTGGGATTACAGGCATGAGCCGCTGCATCAGCCAGCAGTTTTTCTTGTGGTTTTTTTTGTTTGTTTTGTTTTGTTTTGTTTTTGAGATAGGGTCTTACTCTGTTGTCCACGCTGGAGTGCTGTGGTATGATCGTAGCTCACTGCAGCCTCAAACTCCTGGGCTCAAGTGATTCCTTCTGCCTCCGCCTCCCGAGTAGCTGGGACTACAGGTATGCACCACCATACCTGGCAAATTTTTACAAAGTTTTTTGTAGGGACGGGGTCTTGCTACATTCCCCATGTCGGTCTTGAACTCCTGGCCTCAAGCAACTCTCCTGTCTCAGCCTCCCAAAGCACTGGGATTACAAGTGTGAGCCACCACACCATGCCAGTTTTTCCTGTTCAGTGTGATATTTTATCTTGTTAGACTACAGTGTGTTAAAACTTGTTTTACTAAATTTTCAAACATACTCAAAAGTGGAGAGAATAGTATAATGAATACCCGTATGTTCATCACCCATGTTTAGAATATTATTAAATATAAAGATTTTGCTGCGTTTGTCTTAGCTCTTTAAAATTTTTCTTTTTCTCTTTGTGACCTAAAGGAAATTCCATATCTTATCACTTTACTTCTACATTCTTGACTAAGATGACTAAGACATATAGTTACATGGTTTTTTGTTTTGTTTTTTGTTTTTTAAAGACGAAATCTCGCTCTTGTCCCCCAGGCTGGAGTGCAATGGTGCCATCTCAGCTCAGTGCAACCTCTGCCTTCTGGGTACAAGCGATTCTCCTGCCTCAGCCTCCCAAGTAGCTGGGATTACAGGCTCCTGCCACCACGCCTGGCTAATTTTTGTATTTTTAGTAGAGACGGCGGGGGGAGGTTTCACCATGTTGACAAGGCTGGTCTGGAACTCCTGACCTCAGGTGATCCACCCGCCTCGGCCTCCCAAAGTGCTGGGATTACAGGCGTGAGCCACCGCGCCCAGCCTGTTTTTTTGTTTGTTTGTTTTGTTTTTTTTGAGACAGAGTCTTGCTCTGTTTCCCAGGCTGGAGTGAAGTGGCGCATTCTTGGCTCACTGCAACCTTCACCTCCCAGGTTCAAGTGATTCTCCTGCCTCAGCCTCCCAAGTAGCTGGGACTACAGGCATGTGTCACCACACCCGGCTAATTTTTTTGTATTTTTAGTAGAGACGGGATTTCACCGTGTTGCCCAGGCTGGTCTCGAACTCCTGAGCTCAGGCAGTCTGCCTGCCTCAGCCTCCCAAAGTGCTGGGATTACACGTGTGAACCAACCCGCCCGGCCTGTTGTTTTCTTACATAATTCATTATCATACCTACAAAGTTAACAGTTACTAATATCATCTTACACCTAAATTTCTCTGATAGACTAAGGTTATTTTTTAACATCTTAATCCAATCAAATGTTTGTATCCTGTAATGCTCTCATTGAAACAGCTATATTTCTTTTTCAGATTAGTGATGATGAACCAGGTTATGACCTTGATTTATTTTGCATACCTAATCATTATGCTGAGGATTTGGAAAGGGTGTTTATTCCTCATGGACTAATTATGGACAGGTAAGTAAGATCTTAAAATGAGGTTTTTTACTTTTTCTTGTGTTAATTTCAAACATCAGCAGCTGTTCTGAGTACTTGCTATTTGAACATAAACTAGGCCAACTTATTAAATAACTGATGCTTTCTAAAATCTTCTTTATTAAAAATAAAAGAGGAGGGCCTTACTAATTACTTAGTATCAGTTGTGGTATAGTGGGACTCTGTAGGGACCAGAACAAAGTAAACATTGAAGGGAGATGGAAGAAGGAACTCTAGCCAGAGTCTTGCATTTCTCAGTCCTAAACAGGGTAATGGACTGGGGCTGAATCACATGAAGGCAAGGTCAGATTTTTATTATTATGCACATCTAGCTTGAAAATTTTCTGTTAAGTCAATTACAGTGAAAAACCTTACCTGGTATTGAATGCTTGCATTGTATGTCTGGCTATTCTGTGTTTTTATTTTAAAATTATAATATCAAAATATTTGTGTTATAAAATATTCTAACTATGGAGGCCATAAACAAGAAGACTAAAGTTCTCTCCTTTCAGCCTTCTGTACACATTTCTTCTCAAGCACTGGCTATGCATGTATACTATATGCAAAAGTACATATATACATTTATATTTTAACGTATGAGTATAGTTTTAAATGTTATTGGACACTTTTAATATTAGTGTGTCTAGAGCTATCTAATATATTTTAAAGGTTGCATAGCATTCTGTCTTATGGAGATACCATAACTGATTTAACCAGTCCACTATTGATAGACACTATTTTGTTCTTACCGACTGTACTAGAAGAAACATTCTTTTACATGTTTGGTACTTGTTCAGCTTTATTCAAGTGGAATTTCTGGGTCAAGGGGAAAGAGTTTATTGAATATTTTGGTATTGCCAAATTTTCCTCTAAGAAGTTGAATCATTTTATACTCCTGATGTTATATGAGAGTACCTTTCTCTTCACAATTTGTCTCTTTTTTTTTTTTTTTTGAGACAAGGTCTCTGTTGCCCAGGCTGGGGTGCAGTGCAGCAGAATGATCACAGTTCACTGCAGTCTCAACCTCCTGGGTTCAAGCGATCCTTCCACCTCAGCCTCCTGAGTAGCTGGGACTATAGGTGTGCGCCACCACTCCCAGCTAATATTTTTATTTTGTAGAAACAGGGTTCGCCATGTTACCCAGCCTCCCAAAGTGCTGGGATTACAGGCATGAGCCACTGGCCCAGTTTCTACAGTCTCTCTTAATATTGTATATTATCCAAGAAATTTCATTTAATCAGAACCTGCCAGTCTGATAGGTGAAAATGGTATCTTGTTTTTATTTGCATTTAAAAAAAATTATGATAGTGGTATGCTTGGTTTTTTTGAAGGTATCAAATTTTTTACCTTATGAAACATGAGGGCAAAGGATGTGTTACGTGGAAGATTTAAAAAAAATTTTTAATGCATTTTTTTGAGACAAGGTCTTGCTCTATTGTCCAGGCTGGAGTGCAGTGGCACAATCACAGTTCACTCCAGCCTCAACATCCTGCACTAAAGTGATTTTCCCACCTCACCTCTCAAGTAGCTGGGACTACAGGTACATGCTACCATGCCTGGCTAATTTTTTTTTTTTTGCAGGCATGGGGTCTCACTATATTGCCCAGGTTGGTGTGGAAGTTTAATGACTAAGAGGTGTTTGTTATAAAGTTTAATGTATGAAACTTTCTATTAAATTCCTGATTTTATTTCTGTAGGACTGAACGTCTTGCTCGAGATGTGATGAAGGAGATGGGAGGCCATCACATTGTAGCCCTCTGTGTGCTCAAGGGGGGCTATAAATTCTTTGCTGACCTGCTGGATTACATCAAAGCACTGAATAGAAATAGTGATAGATCCATTCCTATGACTGTAGATTTTATCAGACTGAAGAGCTATTGTGTGAGTATATTTAATATATGATTCTTTTTAGTGGCAACAGTAGGTTTTCTTATATTTTCTTTGAATCTCTGCAAACCATACTTGCTTTCATTTCACTTGGTTACAGTGAGATTTTTCTAACATATTCACTAGTACTTTACATCAAAGCCAATACTGTTTTTTTAAAACTAGTCACCTTGGAGGATATATACTTATTTTACAGGTGTGTGTGGTTTTTTAAATAAACTCCTTTTAGGAATTGCTGTTGGGACTTGGGATACTTTTTTCACTATACATACTGGTGACAGATACCCTCTCTTGAGCTACATCGGTTTGTGGGGAGTCAAAAGTCCTTTGGAGCTAGGTTTGACAAATAAGGTGGGTTAACACTTGTTTCCTAGAAAGCACATGGAGAGCTAGAGTATTGGCGAATTGAAGAAATCCCCCTTTTTTTTTAACACACTTAAGAAAGGGGACTGCAGGTATACTCAAGAGAGTAAGTCGCACCAGAAACCACTTTTGATCCACAGTCTGCCTGTGTCACACAATTGAAATGCATCACAACATTGACACTGTGGATGAAACAAAATCAGTGTGAATTTTAGTAGTGAATTTCATTCATAATTTGATCGTGCAAACGTTTGATTTTTATTACTTTAGACTATTGTTTCTGATTTTATGTTGGGTTGGTATTTCCTGTGAGTTACTGTTTTCCTTTAAAATAGGAATTTTTCATACTCTTCAAAGATTAGAACAAATGTCCAGTTTTTGCTGTTTCATGAATGAGTCCTGTCCATCTTTGTAGAAACTCGCCTTATGTTCACATTTTTATTGAGAATAAGACCACTTATCTACATTTAACTATCAACCTCATCCTCTCCATTAATCATCTATTTTAGTGACCCAAGTTTTTGACCTTTTCCATGTTTACATCAATCCTGTAGGTGATTGGGCAGCCATTTAAGTATTATTATAGACATTTTCACTATCCCATTAAAACCCTTTATGCCCATACATCATAACACTACTTCCTACCCATAAGCTCCTTTTAACTTGTTAAAGTCTTGCTTGAATTAAAGACTTGTTTAAACACAAAATTTAGACTTTTACTCAACAAAAGTGATTGATTGATTGATTGATTGATTGATGGTTTACAGTAGGACTTCATTCTAGTCATTATAGCTGCTGGCAGTATAACTGGCCAGCCTTTAATACATTGCTGCTTAGAGTCAAAGCATGTACTTAGAGTTGGTATGATTTATCTTTTTGGTCTTCTATAGCCTCCTTCCCCATCCCCATCAGTCTTAATCAGTCTTGTTACGTTATGACTAATCTTTGGGGATTTGTGCAGAATGTTATTTTAGATAAGCAAAAACGAGCAAAATAGGGGAGTTTAACTTTAATATTTTCTTTTAAAAAGCATTTCATGTTATAAGATCAATTCTGAGTGGTAGAAATGCTTTGACATTTTATTTCCATTTTCTACTTTTAGTTTTTTTCCTATTTGTTTAAGATCTTAGAGGATTATTAAGCTGAACTCCTCAACTGATAAAAAGCATGACATCTTAAACATAAGCAAAGCATATTTTTAGGTTAATTTTCACATAGAAAACAGTTTATTTTATGTGAAATTCTATGTAGATATACTATTTTTTTGGTATTTATTGATATGTTTATTTTATTTTATTTTATTTTATTTTATTTTATTTTATTTTATTTATTTATTTTTTTTTTTGAGACAGAGTCTCACTCTGTTGCCCAGGCTGGAGTGCAGTGGCATGATCGTAGCTCACTGCAACCTCCACCTCCCGGGTTCAAGCAATTCTTCTGTCTCAGCCTCCCGAGTAGCTGGGACTACAGGTGCCTGCCACTATGCCCGGCTAATTTTTGTGTTTTTAGTAGAGATGGGGTTTCACCTTGTTGGTCAGGCTGGTCTCGAACCCCTGACCTCAGGTGATCCACCCACCTCAGCCTCCCAAAGTGCTGGGATTATAGGCATGAGCCACCGTGCCCGGCCGACATGTTAATTTTTTAAAAAAGGCTTTACTGGGGTATATTTTATATAATATAATAATCACATGTTTTAACTATACAATTCCAAGCTTTTTAGTATATTTATAGGGCTATGCAAGGAAGATATACTGTTAAACAGTAGAAATTGAGAAAGCTCTTCTGATAATATCTCTTGATTTGATGATGGCTCATGCCTGTAATCTCAGTGCTTTGGAAGGCCAAGACAGCAGAATCACTTGAGGCCAGGGGTTCGAGACCAGCCTGGGCAACACAGCAATACCCTATCTTTACAAATAATAAAAATATCTGTTGATTTGAAGTAAAGTTTTTTTTTAAAGACAAGGTCTCATTCTGTCACCCAGGCTGGAATGCAGTAGCAAGATCACAGCTCACTGTGGCCTTGACCTTCTGGGCTCAAGTGATTCTCCCACTTCGGCCTCCCGAGTAGCTGGGACTAACAGGTGTGCACCACCATGGCTGGCTAATTTTTTTTTATGTTTGTAGAGATTGGGTCTTACTGTGTTGCCCAGGCTGATCCCGAACTCCTGGGCTCAAGCAGTCTTCCTGCCTCAGCCTCTAAAATTGCTGGGATTACAGGCTTGAGTCACCATGCCCAGCCTGAAGTAGCATTTCTACCCTGTTTAATAATTCAGCAGCTTGTCATGTAAGATATTCATATATGCATATAAAACATTAGGCAGCTTAATTTGGTAAAACTGTAAAATGGAAATTTTAAATTGTTTGCAGCATCAATAACATTGATGTCAGTATGATTTTTACATGCTGATCTTGACCAATTTGAAACAGTGAGTTAAAATCTGGCTGATCCGTACTAATCCTAAAGAAATATTCTATGAACTATTAAATGTTTCCAGAATATATAAAGAAACATTATGATGTCAACACACCCATCTATTTTTTTTTGGAAATAAAAACTCCATTTTTCTTATTAAAGAAAACATGCTTATTAGAAAACATACGGCTGGGTGCAGTGGCACACATGTAATTCCAGTGCTTTGGGAGATCGAGGTGGGAGAATCACTTGAGGCCAGGAGTTTGAGACCAGCCTAGACAACATAATGAGACCCCCTCTCTACACAAAAAGAATTAGTTGTGCATGGTGGCGTGCACCTGTAGTCCCAGCTACTTGGGAGGCAGAGGCAGGAGCATCCCTTGAGCCTAGGAGTTTGAGACTGCAGGAGTTCGAGACTGAGTGGAATGCAGTGGAACTGCATTCCAGCCTGAGTGACAGAGGGAGACCCTGTCTTAAAAAAATAAGAAAGAAAACACAACTGCAGAAAATTATAAAGGATTTAAGTCATTCCAAATATCACTGCCACTTTTTATTTAGAATATTCTAAAGAATTCTCTCTCTGTGTACACACACACATATGCGTACTCTTAATCCAAGTAGCTTGGTAGGATTTTATTTACCTAGTGCCTAGATGGGAAATTGCCTGGGGATTCCAAATACCTATTTCATTAAATTAAAGATGTCACTGATTTTAAGACTTAACACTATTTTTCATACTGCCAAGAAAGAAAACACTACCAGTTATAAATGTAAATTGCCATCAATTGTAATACATCAATTTTAGAGCTATTATTAATAAAATGTGAATGTGCATCTTAGAGCAATGAAATATAGTACTATATATTTGATGACCTTTTCTGCCCTGTGATATTCAGAAAGTGAAAGTTAAATATGGGCTGAGCATGGTGGCTCACACCTGTAATCCCAGTACTTTGGGAAGTCAAGACGGGAGGCTGGCTTGAACCCAGGAGTTCAAGACCAGCCTAGGCAATGTAGCGAGACGCCATCTCAAAATATTAAAAATAAGTAAATAAGTAAATAAAAAGAAGGTTAAGTATACAAATGTATTTCCTTTGTTGTGAATTTATTTCAATTTTATAGTGATTTTTTTTTTTTGAGACGAAGTCTCACTCTTGTCCCCCAGGCTGGAGTGCGATGGCGTGATCTCAGCTCACTGCAACCTCTGCCTCCCAGGTTCAAGCTATACTCCTGCCTTGGCCCCCCGAGTAGCTGGGATTACAGGCGCCTGCTACCATGCCTGGCTAATTTTTGTATTTTTAGTTGAGATGGGGTTTCACCATGTTGGCCAGGCTGGTCTAGAACTCTTGACCTCTGGTGATCCACCCGCCTCGGACTCCCAAAATGCTGGGATTACAGGCGTGAGCCACCGTGCCTGGCCAGTGGTTTTTTGTTGTTGTTGTTGTTGTTGTTTTGTTTTTGTTTTTGTTTTTGTTTTGAGACAGGATCTTGCTCTGTCACCCAGGCTGGAGTGCAGTGGTGCCATCTTGGTTCACTGCAACCTCTGCGTGGGCTCAAGCAATCCTCCCACCTCCCTTTCCAGAGTAGCGGGGACCACAGGTGTGTGCCACCACACCTGACTAATTTTTGCATTTTTTTTTGTAGAAACAGGGTTTTGCCATGTTGCCCAGGTTGGTCTGAAACTCCTGAGCTCAAACAATCCAACTGCCTTGGCTTCCCTAAGTGAAATTACAGGCATGGGCCACTGTACCCAGTCTAGTGATTTTTTTATTTTTATTTTTATTTTATTTTATTTTATTTTTTTACCAAAAAAACAACAAAGCCTCAGGAGGAAAAGTTGATACACAAGTAAATTTTATTGGAAATGTTTTTGTGTGGACCTTAAGCAGAGGGAAAATTAGTCTGCATTATGGTGTATCCAGACTAAATGACTGATATTAAAATGAAATTATTCTTAGGATTTGCAATCTTAGAGAAAACTTTTTCATTTTTATTTTTTTGAGTTACAAATTATCTTCATTTACATTTGAGAACAGTGAGTCACAGAGGGATTAAGTAACTTACTCAAGATCATACAAGTCTTTGATTTGAACCCAATCTTTTAACTCTGCAGAACTCAGAGTCACTCTTATTTGGAAAAACTTTTTAACTGATGTGGATCCTCTAATATGGGCTTCCTATTATTCATTCTCTATTAGTCAGAAGTTTTGCAAGCAGACAGAATTCATTTTGCCAATTACGGGATTTTCCCTCAGTTGCAGTCAAGGTTCATAAAACTATAACTCTTTATCTTTAATTAGAAATGTTTTTTTTTTTGAGACAAGGTCTTGCTCTGTTGCCCAGACTGGAATGCAGTGGCATAGTGGCCCATTGCAGCTTTGAACTCCTGGGCTCAAGGGATCCTCTGCCTCAGCCTCCCAAGTATCTGAGACTACAAGTGCGTGCCATCACCCATGGCTATTTTAAAAAAAAAAAAAATTGTAGAGATAGGGTCTTGCTGTGTTGCCCAGGCTGGTCTCAAACTCCTGGTCTCAAGCAATCCTTCTGCCTTGGTCTCCCAAAGTGCTGAGATTACAGGTGTCAGCCGTTGCACCTGGCCAAAACGATAACTTAAAATACACACACACACACACACACACAAACACATATGTGTATTTGTGTGTGTGTGTGTGTGTGTGTGTCTCAAAAGGTATCAAAAGAGAATAGCTATAACTTTAGTGTTGATCTTGATAGTGACTTGATTAGGCTCTGTTTAACATCAAAGATGCAAATTAATACTTTCTTTGAACATATTAAAAATGCAGAAAATATTGGAGTATTTTATTTTAAATAAATTGTATTCTGTATATTTAAGGTATACAACATGATGTTATGGGATACATATAGGTGGTTAAAAGATTACTGCAGTGAAGCAAATTAACGTATCCCTCAACTCACATAGTTACCCATTTTTTTTTTGTTTTGGTGGCAAGAGGAGCTTAAAATCTCATTTAGTGTGAATCCCAAATACAGCACAATTTTATTACCTATATACTTCATGTTGTACATTATATTTCTAGACTTGTTCATCCTACATATCTGCTACTTTGTATCCTCTGAGCTACATCTCCCCATTTTCTCACTTGCCCCCCAAGTAGTTTCTTAAAGTGTCTCATGTAAGAGGGCAGTAGCTTTCAGCTTAAACTTTTTCTCTGTATGTAGTCGATTTCTTTGAGGTATACTTTTCTCTCCAGAATAGTTAGATGTAGGTATACCACTTTGATGTTGACACTAGTTTACCTAGAACTTATCTTCTGTAAATCTGTCTCTATTTCCATCTCTGTCTCCATCTTTGTCTCTATCTCTATCTGTCTATCTCTATCTATCTATCTATCTATCTATCTATCTATCTATCTATCTATCTATCTATCTAAAGCAAATTCATGCCCTTCTCCTATTTATTGAATCGAGACCATAGACAGGGGTGAGAGAAAGAATTTGGCAGGAATGGGGATGTGTATTATCTGTGGCATAAGGAAACTTTACAGAACTAGGTTCAAAAGTATACTTTCTAGTTCTTTCCCATGGCTTTTCACTTTGATGTAGTCCTTATCAGGTAACTGAGGTTTTATATAAGTCCCCTGATTCTTAGAACATGAAGGTGTAGTAGTCAAGGTTGGTCCCTTGAAACCACAAATTTTGTGAAAAAAAATTAAGAAAATTGAATAATTTCCTCAGCAAATACATATTGATCATCTGTTATACAGCCATGAGAAGTGGTTCTGTTGCACACGTTTATTTTATCAGATCCTAATCCCAAACCAGGCATAAAATGGAAACCATGAAGATAGGATGAAATAACTTCTGAATGTTTGAATGTTTGAAAATAGTGTACTTAAAAATACCAGGTGGTTTTTGTTTGTTTTTTGTTTTTTTCTTTTTTTGAGACAGGGTCTCACTCTGTCACCCAGGCTGGAGTGTAGTGGTGCAATCTCATCTCATTGCAGTCTTGACCTCCCAGGCTCAGGTTATCTCCCACCTCAGCCTCCCAAGTAGCTGGGACTACAGGCACATGCCACCACGCCCAGCTAATTTTTTGTATTTTTTGTAGAGACGGGGTTTCACCCTGTTGCCCAGGCTGGTCTAGAACTCCTGGGCTTAAGCGATCCTCCCACCTCAGCCTCCCAAAGTGCTAGGATTACAGGCATGAGCCACCATGCCTGGCAGAAAATACCAGGTTTTTAAGTATCAGCACTTACTCTTCAATCTTTTCTATTACTATGTTGTGCTAAATGGTATTTTTTATTTAATTAGAGCAATGCTGTTCAATAGAACTTTCTTTGAGGATGGAAATCTTTTATGTTTCTGCTATGTGGTACAGAGCCACTAGTGACATGTGGCTTTTGAGCGCTTGACACATCTTGTGCAACACAGGAACTGAATTTTTAAGTAATTTATATTGCCACATGTGGCTACCGTATGGGACAGTGTAGTACTAGATGATCTGTAAGGGCTGTGCTTCATCAGTGTCGTTTTTTAACTGACAAAAACCTTTAGTTTTTTTTTTAGTAATGTGTTTATTTAAAAGAATTCATAAAATACAAGTAAACAAATTAACTTGTTACCTGAGCATATGTCCTTTCATACTTATTTTTTCTGCATACATATTTTGGAAAATGGAATATCTGCCCTTTTTTTTTATCTGAGATACAGTCTACCTCTAAAAATACATGATTCTAACATTCTCACTTTTGTTGGCATTTGATCAGGGTATAGAAAAACAGTTAAAAGGACAGAGAATGGTTGAGAGATTATGATATGAAGAGAAAATGTGATTGAGTGTGGTAGACTTGGGGCCTGCTTGAATGTTGAGAGAATGACTGTTTTCCGATAAAAAAAAAAAGTCCATTCTAGGATCCTAAAAGAAGGGTCTGAAGTTCACTGCAGAAAGCAAGCTACATAGTACTAAGCCACTAAGGGGACATGGAGCCCTTAGTAATTCCTACCTTAGTAATAGTCTCATCATGCCCTCTTGGGAACCCAGCCTTGTTGATTAGCCTCTCTGCTTTCTCTCCTTATAGTTCAACCTCCCTGTTTGTTCCAAGCAGTTCTTTTCCTGCCCATTTATTATGCATTTCTATACAGCTTTCCTCCTCTTTTTCTATACCATGCTGCAGTTCTTATTGCTACCTAGAGGTTTTCAAAATTCCTAGGGGCGGATAAGTAGGCATAAACAAAGTTCTTCCCTATTATCCTTCCTATTTTTTCACCTAGACTGAAGAGGTAGACAAAATAGAAATAAAGACATTAAGGGTATGTGTTTGTAGTCCCAAAGAGCTTCTCTGGCAATTTTATGTAGTTGACAGTGACGCTCTGAGTTCAGGACAGATTGGACTCCTTGGCTGAGAGGAGTGAGGAGATAGGACGGTAGAGGAGAGGGTAGAGCAACTCTGGAGGAAGCTTTCCCCTCACCTTTGCCAGTCCTGTTATCCTAGACTTAACCATAATTAAAGATGAGGGAGGCACTCAGTAAAGGGATCTAGTGGGAAGCTTGTTCCAGACAGCCAAGGAGGGAGGTTCGCGCAGTTCCTTTGGCCACCCAGGTGGGGTAATTGATCCATGTATGCCATTCATGTACAATGTAGGCACTTATACCTGTATTCCAATGTAGTGAACTATACCATTACTCTTAAATTAATATTCTTTATTAGCTTCCATGGTGGCTATAGGCCAGGCAAGAGAGTTAAGAAAAAATAAATAGCCAGGTATGGTGACTCAAGCCTGTAATCTCGGCACTTTAGGAGGCCGAGGCAGGAGGATCGCTTGAGTCCAGGAGTTCAAGACCAGCCTGAGCAAAATAGTGAGATCCTGTCTCTATTTTTTAAAAAAGCCTTGGGGCAAACAGGAGTATGGAGGTTTGGATGCTAATAGAACAGCAGTGTCTTACTGCTTGGAGTTCTCTTGTTTCTTGTCCTATCACCGTAGCCTTTGGATCACAGCAATTTTTCCATGACTCCATACTTTTCAGTTCTTGAATATTTTTTCCTTTATTCCTCTTGTCTCTGTAAAGACATCAACTGGAGTTGGACTGTAATACCAGGTATCTCCAGAAGATGGCACTATTTAACAGATTTTATAAATAATTTGATGTGAGTCACTGTCATCTGAAGCTTGTTGCCTTTTCTTTCTTTCTTCTTTCTTTTTTTTCCCCATCAATTCTGTATGTTTGAAATGCTGGGTTTTAAGTTAGTTAGAATAAGGGATGTCTGTAATTTCCCTAAATTGAGAAGTAATATGCAAAGGTTGATATCAGAAGTCATATGCTCACCTTGCAACACCAAATAATACTGGCCCATTTGTGATTTTTGAAAGTAACACTCCATAATAAATGGATGTATATATAGAAGCATAACAAAAATAGAAGCACATAAAAGTGAAAAGTCTCATAAACGCCATTGTCACTACTCATGTAATTGCTGTTACAAATTTGTTTAAATGTTGAATAAAAATGGTGTCATAGGCAACACAGTGTTCCACTACTTGGTGTTTTTAATAGCATTATTCTGTCTCAGTGTGCTTTGGATTATCAGGTGCTTTTTAATAGTTGCATGGTATTACATTGTGTAGATGAACTTGATTAATTTAAATGGTTCCCTGTTAATGGACATGTTGGTTTGTTTTTGTGAACAACTGATACAGTGAACATTTATTTTTTAAATAAAAAAAAGAGAGACAGGGTCTTGCTGTGTTTCTCGGGCTGGCCTTGAACTCCTGGGGTCAAGCGATCGTCTTGCCTCTGCCTCCCTGGGATTACAGGCATGAAGCCACCGCACCCGGCCCAGTGAACACTCTTGAATGTATCTTTGTATACTTGTCAGTGTTTTTGTAGCATTGATTCCCAGAAGTGGGATTACTGGATTAAGTGACATGCATGTTTGCAATTTTAACAGGTATTGCTATGTCATTTTCAAAAGAAGCTATGCCAATTAATACTCTCACCAACAAGAGTGCTTATTTCCCCTCAGCATATTATCAGGCTTAAGTTTTGCCAGTATGGGTGGGAGAACAGTAGAATCACATTGTTTTAGTGTTTGTTTCTCAGATAGATATAATTTTACACCTTATAACCTTCTCTTCTATAAATTGTCTATTTGTGTTCATTCTCCATTTTCCTATGGGTTCTTATTGTTGGAGCCCAATATATAAAAGGGGGTATTTGTTACAGAACCTCTTCAGTTTTGGTTCATGTCATGCCTGGGTTTTTACCCTTTCTACGGATGTTAAAAAAAATTCTCTATTTTCTTCCAGTCCACTTATGGCTTTATTTTTTACATTTAGATTTTAATCCGTCTGGAATTTATTTTTGTGTATGCTGTGAGGTAGGGACCATACTTTTATTTTTTCCCAAATGGGTTACTAGTTGGCCAAACATCATTTATTGAATAATTCATCTTTTCCCTACTGACTCGAAATACCATCTTTATTGTATACTAAATCCTCATATAGTTCTGGGTCTGTTTCTGGGCTCTACTTTGTTCATTTACTGTGCTGGTACTGCACCGTTGTAATTGCTGTGGCTTTGTGGTATGGTATGGCTTGCTCTCTGCTAGGGCAAGTCGAAGCTCTTTTGTTCACCTGCTCTTTCACCCAAATTTTCTGTCCTGAATCCAGCACAGCCAAATTATGGTCATTGTCACCACCAACTACAGTGGGTGTTGAGCATTTCCCATTGAATCTCCTGTAAGGGTTTTATTGGATTCTGTGATAGCAGTAAAATGGGAGCCTAAGAGGTATTCCTTAAAGGACTACTAATCAGACCTGGTTTCCCAGATGATGCTGAAGATGACGGGGCCTGGGCTAGACTTTTGAGGGACATATCCTTGGGGTTGGGTGTGATATAGACCAGCCCTTACAATTTGCTTGACTCATGGGAATCGTACAGGGCCAGAACCAGACACCTGTCATGCTAATAACTTCCCTCACAATTCAGAAATCACTGTGATTGAAGATGGGTGGCTGTTATAATACTACCCACTTAAAAATGGATGTAACCCATTTTTTAGGACTCTTAAAAACATCAAATCAGTAATGGCCGATTAGGACTTTTTAATTTTTACTAATCTCTACTTGAAAGTTTTCTAGTCATTCATTTCAGGAAACCTAATTCTTATAATTCATATCATTTAGAATATCATAATGCTATGGATATTAGCTAGCTAACTTCTCAAATCTTCTAGTTCTCATTTAATTTGAAGTTTGTGTGTGTACATAAGGATATACATATACATATGTGTGTGTAGATATATATATATATAGTTTTTTTTTTTTTTAACTAGAATGACCAGTCAACAGGGGACATAAAAGTAATTGGTGGAGATGATCTCTCAACTTTAACTGGAAAGGTATGTATCTTGAAAGGGAAGAAAAAAAAGCACTTCATACCGAGTCAATTAGTAACAGTGTGCTTTCAATCAATCACTAAGAGATAATTTACATAGTATAACTAAATGGGTTATTTAACCCTTGGAAGCAGTCTAGGTTAATTATCGTTCCCTAGGTCATGTAGTAAAAAGACAGTAGAATCCAACATTAACCTTAAATGTCCATATTGTCAAGTACTGCTGTCTGCCTCTGTGGGACTCTAATTTGGGATCCTTCAAAAAACATTGATGGGGGAAAAGATAGCCTTTAAAAAAAAAAAAAAAACAAACCTATGTGAGTCTATGTGAGGTAGACTCACATAGTTTCCTAAAAGATAGCAAAGCAGTATTATGTAGTGGCTGAAAGTGTGAGTTCCGGAGCCTGACAACTGATTCAAAGCATGGCTTAGTACTTCCTAACTCTGACCTTGGGCAAGTTACTTAACCTCTCTGTGTCCCATATGTGATTAGGGTGAGGTTGATAATAGCAGCCATAGAGTTAAGAGGATTAAGTGCTATAATGCAAGTAGAGCTCTTACAACAGTTTCTGGTAAATCACTCAATAAATTCAGACATACTATTATTTTAAGAAATCTCAAAGAGTTTTCTTGTACCTTAAAATTCTCCTAGTGTGAACCATTGGTTTTGGTATATTGTGCTTCCATGTAGTTTAATATCAAGATGTTTTTAGATTTCCCTTTTAATTTATTTGTTGACCCATTGGTTGTTCAGGAGCATGCTGTTTACCTGAAAATAATGGAGATATTAAGGTATTTGAATATTTATCTTCTAGTACATTGAAAAACTTTTTGAGAGTAACCAATAATAAATGATGGAATGCTACTGCTTTTTTTTTTTGAAGCTGCCAGTTATTGTTTACTTACACTATGCCAAATATAAAGGCATTAATCTCATAAAAGTTTCACAACAATCCTGTGAGGGAGACGATATCCCCATTTTACAAATCAGGAAATTAAGACTTAATAAGGTTAAAAGACTTGCCCAAAGTCACAGAACCAGTAAGTGGTAGAGCTTGAATTTGAATACAGACCTGACTCTAAAGCTCTTTTCTTTCTTTAGATTTTAGTGTTCATTGCTTACTTGAATGAGTATCTATAAGAAAACTTTAACATGTAAAACTTCTGTGAAATTATCTTGTCCCATATCAGGGTCATGTCAAACTAATGTCCTCCTCAGCATCTTTGGAAAACTTCAGAGGAGAAATGAGCTTTGCCCCTCCTGTTCATTTCATATACCACTGTTAGACCTGTCCTTCCCTTTCAGCATGCTTTGTCCATATTTAGAAGCTGTTGAAGCCATTACTTGTCTGGTCAGTTTTTAGTGCTGGAATGGACCTAGCCTTTTAGGCCTTCTGAGATTTAGTTTGATCTCGTCTTTCCCACCTAATGGCTCTGTTCTACTACATAGATTTGATCTGAAACAGTTCTCTGTTTCTAAAATAACTTTCTTTTCATGATAGTCACAGTAAAGTACATTTATTATGGAAAAATCAATAAGTATAACGAGTGAAAGTTATTTCTTGGTGGTAAGATTATGGGATTATTTGAACTTTCTGTTTCATTGTATTTTATTTATTTATTTATTTTTGTGATGGAGTCTCACTCTGCTGCCCAGGCTGGAGTGCAGTAGTACGATCTTGGCTCACTGCAACCTCCCCTTCCCAGTTCAAGTGATTCTCCTGCCTCAGACTCCCAAGTAGCTGGGATTACAGGCGCACGCCACCATGCCTGGCTAATTTTTTTATCTTTAGTAGAGACAGGGTTTCACCATGTTGACCAGGCTGATCTCCAACTCCTGATCTCAGGTATCCACCTGCCTCAGCCTCCCAAAGTACCGGGATTACGGGTGTGAGCCACCCTGCCTGGCCTCATTTTGTCTTTTGGGGGTATTTTTGTGTGCAGATATATATGTATATAAATATTTTTCCCTCTTTTCCCCAGTTAGTATTTGAGCAGATGAACTTTGGACCCGAATACCTGTATTCAAGTCTCTAATACCACTTCTTGGCTATTTTCATTTTATCAAATGGCCTCTTATCCTCGTTTTTCTCATTTATTAAGTAGAGATGTAACTACTTGATATAATTCAAAAACTCAATAATGGCATTCTTTTGTTTTTTAGACTCTAGTGTCTGTACTCGTTGTACCATGCTGGGATTCATTTGAACAATTGCATGGCTTTTTTAGTGTATTATTAAATTTGCAGTTTACTTAGAATTTACTGGGACCTCATACAAATGGGAAAAAAACATAACTGTGTTACTCATTTGCTGTGTGCCTTTGGATTGACCCTATTTTTTGTATTCATTTTCTCCCCATGTCCTGAGTTCCACTTTGAATAAAAAGTAATTTTTTTCCTGCCTGTAAAATAGGCTACCAATAGGCTGCAGTTGTCTATAGTAGCTGCTTCACTGAGGAGAGCTCAGCATGAGAGAAATAGTATGAATTGCTTGCCACAAGTTATGGGCTAGCCTTACTTCATTCTGTACTTGGACCTGTTTAGGCTTCTAAGAGATCTTACCTCCAACAATAAACTGCTTTGAGACATGAAAAGGTGGAAGCTTTACTTGGTTATAACTTTACTTTTAATACCTAGAACAGTGAGTCTTCAAACTTGTATTTGCATGCCCAATTTATAAAAAGTTTCCTGAGCATTTACCCCTAATATATGCATTTTAAATTATATATGATTTATGGTAATAATAATATATATGTTACAAAATACATACAAAAATATAGATTAAACAAGGTGAGGTAAAAAATTTAAAAGTTCTAATCTTTCTTGCAAACCAGTGGATCTTTTGTGCCTTACTCTGGTAAACACTGTCTTAGAAGAATATATAGAACATTAAAATCTTAATGCTATAGTTATATGACAGAGTATGATGAGAGCTACAGATAAACAACACATCATGAATCTTCTTGTGGCAGTGTTTATAACCATTATGTGAAATGCTGCCTCATTCTTATAACTAGCATAAGAACAGATAGGACTTTCTCGATTTTGAGGGGTAATTATTAGATGGTATTTTCTGTTAAGGACTCTTCCAGCTATAAAATTCTTAAATGTAGAAAGCGAAGTGAGGGTTTATGGTGAGAGGAAGCATTGGTATCATGTTTTAGTGTAGTCCAAGAATATGGACACATCCAGAAAATGCAGATCAAGTTTAGCCTAATGAGAAAATATATTTTGGAGTCCATATGGTAAATTAAATTATGTGATTTTTGAGTTATTGTACAAATATAATTCTTAGAATGTTAGAGTCAGGAGACTATAAGAGACCAACTGCTTCAAGTTTCATTTAACACATGGGAAACTAAGGCCAGAGAAATTTCAAGACTTGCCCAAGATTAGACCTCTTGTTAAGTAATGAAAGTGTTTTAAAAACAGGTGGGTCAAATTCTGTTTTTAAAATTTCCATTATGATGAAAATTTCAGTATTACAGGCTTCCAAATCCCAGCAGATGGGCCACTTGTTTAAAGGAGAGTTTGATATAATAAAGCATCTAAAAACAAGAGTTTGGATAATTCCTTAGGGTTGTTATGATGTGATTTGACTTATAATTGGAAATACCGTTTTATTCATTGTACTGATTTTCATTTCTCTTTTTCTTCTAGAATGTCTTGATTGTGGAAGTAAGTTCACATTTACTTTTAATATAACATTTATGACTTTTCTAACTTAGTATGCACCATCCTAAAGGTAAGCCAGGGAGAGAAATTCCTCTGCATCAGTTTTAATGGTGGGCTTGTGTTCTAAAGGAGTGAGATTGGTTTTTTGTAAAGACTACTTAGTAATTTGTTTTTACCAATAATGGAATGGTATACTTCCTACCTCTCTTTTTTTAGTTTGAAGTATTTTCTTTCTAAACATAACTCTCTCTCTCTATTTATCTATATATAATATATACATATATATCTTATATTTTATGTATATATATATATATCTTGCTTAGATTTTGTCTTATGTAATATTTGGTACATAAAAAATAATATTTATAATTTATAGACTATTTTCCATGTGTTATTATGTGCTAAAGTATTTTGTATCTTAGCACCGAGAGGCTAAGCAGTTTCCTAGGGTTACCAGCTAGTAAACTAAGGGAAACCTTTACTTCCTTTAGCTCAGTGGTTCTCAAAATGTGGTTCCCTAGACCAAAAGTATTAATATCAGACAAGAACCTACCGAATCAAAATATCTGTGATGAGGCCCAGCAAGCTATGCTTTAACAAGTTTCCGAGTGATTCTGATGCATGCTAAGGTTTAGGATCCCTTGTTTTTACTCATAAGTCACTTTCTCATTAAGGCCTTCCCTGGCCATCCTATATAAAATCTCATGTTTTCACACCGTCAACTTCGTATTCCTCCTCAATACTTTTATTTTCCTGATCACTTATCACTAACAGCCTCTCTCTCTCTCTCTCTCTCTCTCTATGTATATATATATATATATCACTTATCACTGTCTAACAGCCTCTCTTTATATATATATAATCTATAGATTATATATATATGCAGCATTGTGCAATCATTATCACGCTCAATTTTAAAACATTTTCATTGCCCCACAAAGAAACCCAATCCCCTTAGCCATCACTCCCCATTTCCCCTTCCCCCAGCACCTAGCAAACTGATCATCTACCTACTTGCTGTCTATAAGATTTGCCTATTCTGGACATTTTGTATAAATAGAATCATACAATATGTGGCCTTTTGTATCTGGCTTCTCTCACTTAATGTTTTCAAGGTTCATTCATGTTGTGGAGTATATCTGCACTCATTTCCTTTTTATTGCCAAATTGTATGGATAGACAGGTGTTCCTCAACTGTGTCCTGATAAACCCATCTGAAGTTGAAAATATCATAAGTTGAAAATGGATTTACTACTTTGATAAATCTATCCTAAAGTCAGAAAAATCTCATGTTGAACCATCGTAAGTTGGATACCATCTGAATTACATTTTTGTTATCCATTCACTGGTTGACAGACGTTAGGTTGTTTCCACTGTTTGCTCCTTATTTCTCGTACCTGAAATGTCCTTATTCCCTCCCTTCTTATCCCATGTTTAAGTCATTTAAGACCCAGCTCAAACGTCACCTCCACAAAACCTTCCTTGATACCCCTTTCCTCTTCAATTCACTTGGACCTTTTGCATTTAATTTTAATTTTTATTTTTTTTAAGACAGAGTCTCACTCTGTCACCAGGCTGGAGTGCAGTGGTATGATCTCAGCTCACTAACTACTCTGCCTCCCAGGTTCAAGCAATTCTCATGTCTCAGCCTCCCAAGTAGCTGGGACTACAGGTGTGCGCCACCATGCCTGGCTAATTGTGTGTGTGTGTGTGTGTATGTATGTATGTATATATGTGTGTGTGTGTATATATATATATACACACACATATATAAATATATATACATATATATATATACACACATATATAAATATATATACATATATATATATACACACACACACACATATATATATATATAGTTTTTTTTTTTTTTAAGTAGAGATGGGGTTTTGCCATGTTGGCCAGGCTGGTCTGGCCTCAAGCCATCCTCCCACCTCGGCCTCGCAAAGTGCTGGTATTATAGGCATGAGCCACTGTGCCTGGCCTGCATTTCATTTTAATTATAAAATATTTTGAACTCAGAAAAAAGGGTATGCTGAATACCTACGTACCCACAAAAGTATTAACATTTTGCCATATTTGCTTCTGATCTTATTTTTTTTGAGAAATTAAAGATCATAATACAACTAAAGCCCCATTTCTTTCCCTTCATTCCCAGAAGTATGACAATTATCCTTAAAGTTGATATATATCATTCCCATGCATGTTTTTTATACTTCCCTAGTACAAGTTAGCTGTATCCTCTGCTCAGGGGCTCATCAAGCTGAATCAAGGGACTCATGATCCTCTTCAAAGTTCCTTCAGGTTGTTGGCAGAATTTAGTTCCTTGTGATTGTAGGACTGAGGGCCCGTTTTCTCACTGGCTGCTGGCCAGGGGTTGCTCCCAGATATTTAAAGGCTCATGCCCTAGCCCATGACAGTCTCACAACATGGCAGCTGACTTCTTCAAAACCAGCAGGAGAATCTTGCTCTAGTCTACCACATAACCTAATCACAGGAGCGGCTATCCCGTTATTTTCACAGATCCTGGTCACATTCAAGGGGAGGGAACCCTTCTGTGTGTGTACACCAGGAGGCAGGAATTTTTTTTTTCTTTTTCTTTTTTGTTAAAAAGTCTTAAAGTCTTTTATCCCTAAAGGAGGCAGGAATTTTGAGAGCCATCAGAATTCTGCCTACCACAGCCCAGAAATCTGCATTTTTCACAAGTCTCCAGCCATGATGTTTCTGATGGCTCACACTGCTTTATTCCATTTTTAAAGAGTATTTTTATTGAAAAGCATTAGGGTTATGGTTTAAAAAATATTTTCCCTAACAAAGATGGGTTTGTTTAGAGTCCTACTTTTGACTAAATAGCTGAGATTCACTTTTATGTAAAGTCATTTTATAGCGTTATTAATTTGGGTGCCTTTAAAAATAGTATAAAGCATGTTTCTCGAGTGTAGTCTGTTAGCCACCTATATTGGAGAGTTGGGAGGAGAGAGTCTCTATCTTGAATTTATGGGAAAAATTCTAAAATACTTTTTATAATGAAGGACAACATCATAACTCCCTAATAAAATGTGCATGTATATATTCAAATTTGCTGTCATTGATCCTGCACCTACAAAATCCAGTCCTGGGGGCTGGCATTCTTACTGCTTGCTGAGGGCCAGATGATATAGATTCCAGAATATCTCCATGTAGATTTTGGTGAGAATTACTGTGCTGAAAAGAATGACAGTATTGCAGTTATACATGGGGGTTTTGGTACTTTATATTGTGACTCTGAATTTAAAGCTATGCAATGTCTTCTTTTTTGAAAGGATATAATTGACACTGGCAAAACAATGCAGACTTTGCTTTCCTTGGTCAGGCAGTATAATCCAAAGATGGTCAAGGTCGCAAGGTATGTATGACATTTTGACACAGAATATTTTCCTCATTTGAAGGGGGATTAAGTGATTGCTTCTTTTTAAGGATAAATGTTTTCAACTGTCATTTTATCTTCGAAAAGTAATGTAATCTCATATAAGACTTAAGATATAATCCTTTTAAATAATTTTGTCATGTGTTAATAAAGCTCATAATTACAGTCACTTCCTTGCCTAATATTAACATTTGGTTTTTCAGCATGCTAATTATATCAGTTTGTCCTGAATAGCATGGCAGAGGATTTTGGGCCCCCTTGCAAAATTAAGAATAAGGATTCCAAAGCGGGTGAGGAAGTGATAGGAAGGGGTGGGCCCTGAAGATCTGGACCTCCTGGAATTGAGTGATGAATGCTGCATCTTCTTTGTGTCTGTAGTGAAATTTTATAATGCCTGCTTCCTTTTTTATTAAGTCGGCCTCACCTCCTCACCTTACCTATGCTGTTTTACTTTTGCTTTTATAGTTCTACCTGTGTTTATTTCTCATTTTCGTTTCATCTCTCAACAACTCTGGGGTGGCATTATTATTCCCACTTTTCAGATAAGGTTACTGAGGCATAGGGAATTGTCCAAAGGTACAGAGCTAGTCCGCTATAGAGATGAGATTTGAACCCAGGGAACCTGGCTCACAGTTTATGCTTTTGCTACCTTAAGTTTTTAATAGAGTGACATCAAACAAACATTTAAGAATATGTTTTTCTTTTCCTTTTATAATTTCATTAAAAACATTAAGTCTCTGATCAGTCTGCAGTTTTTATGTAGGGGTCAGGTAATGTTCTAACTTCTGCTTTTTCCTAAGTGATTAACAGGTTTTTATAAGCCCTTTTGAAAAAATCACGGTATCTGTCGAGCATCTTTGAATCAGAGTAAGCCTTCTAGTGAGTCATATGTCAGCAGTTTGACTGTATGGGCTTTTCTAATATCCAGTTCAAGTGTTTATCAGTGAGTTTTTCTTTTAAATAGATTTGGGACAGGTACTATGAGAGTATATAAGTGATACGTTATAGGACACTAACTAGTATCCTATGAAATGGCAAAAACTGCAATCACTTTTGCACCAACCAAATAGAAACTAATCAGTGCACTTGCTTATTTTTCTACATGCTCTTTAGGGTTTTAAATGTCAACCTACTGTGGCATAGACTTTAATCCTCTGGGTATTCTTTTGTTGTTCTTTCCTGGTATATGCTGTGGAATTGAGATAGACTGGTTCGTGAGCGAGAGATTTTGTGTTGCCACAGGTAGGACATGCTCAAACAATACTTGGGTCATTTCTTGACCCAAGTCATCTATTCACCATAGTTTTGTAGCACCGATCTTGCATACATTTCATGTATCTTCTTTGAACCCCACGTCAGTGCTGCTTATATGATACTCAGAAATTAAACACTAAGGAATAAGATTTTCAGGTAGGATTGAGTTTTGGAGGGTCACAAATCTTGTAATGTCTAATATTTCCACTCTCCCTGCTGAGAATTAGTTTTGGCTTCCTTGGAGGTGATATCGCCTCTGTTGAGTATAAGTGGCCTACTGTGATCACACCACTGCACTCCAGCCTGGGTGACAGAGTGAGACCCTGTCTCAGAAAAAAAAAAAAAAAAAAAGAATGCATGGCCTAGATGACTTCTAAGGTTTTTCCCACCCAGTTCCAGTTTTCATGTTCTAGGCAGAGCAGTAAAGTGAGAAACACATGGACTTGGGAGTTTAGTCTCGCATTTCACTGCCACTTAATCTGAGCGACTATTCCATATTTAATCTCTCTGAATGTATTTACTCATCTTTAAAGGGGAATGATTATTAACATCTTTTTCTCAGGGAAACTATATGAGTCAAGGAGATAATATATTTGAAAATCTTTTTAACTGCAAAGCGCTGTTTCACTGTTGGTTATAATGTGATTGATCTCATTGTAGTGAGCAGCTGCTTAATTGCGTTTTAGAATGTAGGGAAGATAGTAATATTTTTCACATTATATATGTAGCTGGTTCTGGAACTGTAAACATACTCCTTTTTTATGGAGATCTGAGTCACGTACCATAAAATTCACTCTTTTAAAGTTGTACAATCCAGTGGTTTTTGATATATTCAGAGTTGTGCATCTGCTACCACTATTTCATTTTGGAACCCAAAGAAACCTTGTACCCATTAGCAGTCATTCTCCCTTCTCCCAGCCCCTGGCAACTACTAATCTACTTTCTACAGAAAGTCCGTACAGATTTGTGTATTATGGACATTCCATATAAATGGACTCATGCAATATCCTGTCTTCTTTCACTTAGCATAGTGTTTTCAAGGTTCATCTAGGTTGGGGCATGTATCAGTACTTCATCCCTTGTTTTGGCTGAATAATATTTCATTGTACAAATATATCACATTTTGCTTATCCATCTGTTGGTGAACATTTGAGTTTCTACCTGTTGGCTTTTATGAATAATGTTGATTTGAATGTTTGTGTACAAGTATGAATACCTGTTTTCAGGTCTCTTGAGTATATAGTTGCTAGGTCATATAGTAACTCTGTGTTTAACATTTTGAGGAATTGCCCGACTATTTAACAAGGTATATGTACTGTTTTACACCAGTAACATATGAGGGTTCCAATATCTCCACATCCTTGACAACACTTGTTACTGTCCTTTTTATTGTAGCCATCCTAGTGGCTATGATGTGGTATCTCATTGTGGTTTTGATTTGTGTTTCTCTGATGCTGATGATGTTGAACATGTTTTCATCTGCTTATTGGCCATTTACATATATCTTCTTAAGAACGGTTACCCATTTACAGTATGGAAAATGCTTCAGATGCAACTCTAGTCATGCCTTAGAGATGGAGCTTTATTAAACATTCAGATCTCTAGGCATATGAAGTGCTGAGTTCTCTTGAACTCCTAATACAGATTGCACTGAGTTTAGTGATACCTTTTCTGGAGCATTCCTGAGTTCAGGTAGGGAGAAGGGTTTTTGCTGTGATTGGCTTGTTATGTTCTTTCTAAATGGAAATAGAATTGAAGTGTCTCCTCTCTCCATTTATTGGAAGAGTCATGAGGGACATAATTAGATGATCCCTTGGAGTCTCCGGCTTAGGTCAGTGGTTATCTACTTAGGCTGCACATTGGAATCACCTGAGAGTTAAAAAACCAGGATAACCTCTGCCTGTGTCTCATCTCCAGCAATTCTGATGTAATTGGTCAGGGCTGTGGCCCGAGTAGGTGAGTTCTGGTTTTTTAAAGCTCCCAGGTGATTCTGATGTGCAATCCAGGTTGAGATCACTTTGGGCCCTTTCCAGCTCTTTAAACATATATATTTATCTAGGAAGGTATGAAAGCATAAGTTTTCTTGAGACTGCCTTTAACATCTGTAAAGGCTTTCAAAGCAGCTTCTGTAGTTTTTTTTAAATGGCTGAATATTTTTCAACAGGCAGCATTTGGGTTATAAAATTAGCTTTTGGTAGAGTTGACTTATACCACCTCCAGCTTTTGTTCCAAAAATAAATACTGGTTCTTTTGGCACACTAGTTGTTTTACCCTAAAGTTCCTCTTTGTAAGCCAGTTATTAAAAGTTGTGATGCAGCCAGGGCGAAGTGGTACACATCTGTAGTCCCAGCTACTCGGAAGGCTGAGGGGGGAGGATCGCTAGAGCCCAAGAAGTCAAGGCTGCAGTGAACTGTGATTACACCACTGCACTGCAGCCTGGGCCACAGAGCGAGACTCATCTCTTTAAAAAAAAGAATGTTGTGAGGCCGGGCGCAGTGGCTCACGCCTGTGATCCCAGCACTTTGGGAGGCCGAGGTGGACGGATCACCTGAGGTTGGGAGTTCGAGACCAGCCTGACCAACATGGAGAAACCCTGTCTCTACTAAAAAAAATACAAAATTAGCCGGGCGTGGTGGCACATGCCTGTAGTCCCAGCTACTCGGCAGGCTGAGGCAGGAGAATCGCTTGAACCTGGGAGGCAGAGGTTGTGGTGAGTTGGGCGAGCCATTGCACTCCAGCCTGGGCAACAAGAGCAAAACTCCATCTCAAAAAAAAGAAAAGAAAAGAAAAGAATGTTGTGGCCAGGCGCGGTGGCTTACGCCTGTAATTTCAGCACTTTGGGAGACCGAGGTGGGCGGATCACGAGGTCAGGAGATCAAGACCATCCTGGCTAACACAGTAAAACCCCATCTCTACTAAATACAAAAAAAAATTAGCCGGGAGTGCTGGCGGGTGCCTGTAGTCCCAGCTACTCAGGAGGCTGAGGCGGGAGAATGGCGTGAACCCAGGAGGCAGAGCTTGCAGTGAGCGGAGATCGCGCCACTGCACTCCAGCCTGGGCAACAGAGCGAGATTCCGTCTAAAAAAAAAAAAAAAGAATGTTGTGATAAAAGGTGATGCTCACCTCTCCCACACCCTTTTATAGTTTAGGGATTGTATTTCCAAGGTTTCTAGACTGAGAGCCCTTTTCATCTTTGCTCATTGACACTCTGTACCCATTAATCCTCCTTATTAGCTCCCCTTCAATGGACACATGGGTAGTCAGGGTGCAGGTCTCAGAACTGTCCTTCAGGTTCCAGGTGATCAACCAAGTGCCTTGTCTGTAGTGTCAACTCATTGCTGCCCCTTCCTAGTAATCCCCATAATTTAGCTCTCCATTTCATAGTCTTTCCTTGGGTGTGTTAAAAGTGACCATGGTACACTCAGCACGGATGAAATGAAACAGTGTTTAGAAACGTCAGTCTTCTCTTTTGTAATGCCCTGTAGTCTCTCTGTATGTTATATGTCACATTTTGTAATTAACAGCTTGCTGGTGAAAAGGACCCCACGAAGTGTTGGATATAAGCCAGACTGTAAGTGAATTACTTTTTTTGTCAATCATTTAACCATCTTTAACCTAAAAGAGTTTTATGTGAAATGGCTTATAATTGCTTAGAGAATATTTGTAGAGAGGCACATTTGCCAGTATTAGATTTAAAAGTGATGTTTTCTTTATCTAAATGATGAATTATGATTCTTTTTAGTTGTTGGATTTGAAATTCCAGACAAGTTTGTTGTAGGATATGCCCTTGACTATAATGAATACTTCAGGGATTTGAATGTAAGTAATTGCTTCTTTTTCTCACTCATTTTTCAAAACACGCATAAAAATTTAGGAAAGAGAATTGTTTTCTCCTTCCAGCACCTCATAATTTGAACAGACTGATGGTTCCCATTAGTCACATAAAGCTGTAGTCTAGTACAGACGTCCTTAGAACTGGAACCTGGCCAGGCTAGGGTGACACTTCTTGTTGGCTGAAATAGTTGAACAGCTTTAATATACAATAATTGTTGCATTATTATTTCAGATGATAAATGTGGTCATAAGTAAGAAATAAATGATCGAGTTTAGTCTTTTAATTCACTGTCCTTTGAATACCTGCCTCTTACTCTGGAGGCAGAAGTCCCATGGATGTGTTTATGAACATGGTTGAGGAAGATTTAGGAAGACTGCAACAGTACACTACCTAAAGCAGGTTTTTTACTCCATCTTTTTTTGCCACGTACACTGGCCTCCCACTTTGATATGCTTGAAATTATCTCCTTGATTTGTCTTTCAAAACTACATATTGAGGCTGGTTGCGGTGGCTCACACCTGTAATCCTAGCACTTTGGGAGGCCAAGCCGGACAGATCACTTGAGGTCAGGAGTTCGAGACCAGCCTGGCAAACATGATGAAACCCCACCTTTACTAAAAATACAAAAATTAGCCAGGCGTAGTGGTGTGTGCCTGTAACCCAGCTACCTGGGAGGCTGAGGCAGGAGAATCACTGGAACCCGGGAGGCAGAGGCTACAGTGAGCCAACATCACGCCACTGCACTCCAGCCTGGGTGACAGAGCAAGACTCTGTCTCAAAACAAAACAAAAAACAAAAAACTACGTATTAAGACAAGAAACAGACTGGGCGCGGTGGCTCACGCCTGTAATCCCAGCACTTTGGGAGGCTGAGGCGGGCGGATCACAAGGTCAGGAGATCGAGACCATCCTGGCTAACACGGTGAAACCCCGTCTCTACTAAAAAATAGAAAAAATTAGCTGGGGTGGTGGCGGGCGCCTATAGTCTCAGCTACTCGGGAGGCTGAGGCAGGAGAATGGCGTGAACCCGGGAGGCAGAGCTTGCAGTGAGCAGAGATCGTGCCACTGCACTCCAGTCTGGGTGACAGAGCAAGACTCCGTCTCAAAAAAAAAAACAAAAACAAGAAACAAATTAAACTAATGTGATAGACTACTGCTTTGTTTTCAAAAGATACACTCCCCAAAAGTTACTGATCTAAAATACAGTAGTACTATCTCTGTTTAGTAAGAACCCTGACAACTAATAGTGTTCTTATATGTAAAATGCTATTCTTGCCTTTCATTTCAGAATATACTTTTTAAATGTGAATTTCTGGATTTTTTTTTATAGCATGTTTGTGTCATTAGTGAAACTGGAAAAGCAAAATACAAAGCCTAAGATGAGAGTTCAAGTTGAGTTTGGAAACATCTGGAGTCCTATTGACATCGCCAGTAAAATTATCAATGTTCTAGTTCTGTGGCCATCTGCTTAGTAGAGCTTTTTGCATGTATCTTCTAAGAATTTTATCTGTTTTGTACTTTAGAAATGTCAGTTGCTGCATTCCTAAACTGTTTATTTGCACTATGAGCCTATAGACTATCAGTTCCCTTTGGGCGGATTGTTGTTTAACTTGTAAATGAAAAAATTCTCTTAAACCACAGCACTATTGAGTGAAACATTGAACTCATATCTGTAAGAAATAAAGAGAAGATATATTAGTTTTTTAATTGGTATTTTAATTTTTATATATGCAGGAAAGAATAGAAGTGATTGAATATTGTTAATTATACCACCGTGTGTTAGAAAAGTAAGAAGCAGTCAATTTTCACATCAAAGACAGCATCTAAGAAGTTTTGTTCTGTCCTGGAATTATTTTAGTAGTGTTTCAGTAATGTTGACTGTATTTTCCAACTTGTTCAAATTATTACCAGTGAATCTTTGTCAGCAGTTCCCTTTTAAATGCAAATCAATAAATTCCCAAAAATTTAACTGCTTTATGAATTCAATTTAAAAATCCTTAAAATAAGTCCTGTCTCTTTAAAAAAACCTATGCATAGTTATCATTTCTCTACAAATTAACCTAGTTTAGTTTTCTGTTGGTTCCATTTTCCTTGTTTGTTAAGTTTTAGTAGCTAGTTTAATTGTAATCTCAATGATTATGTGGTAGAATGGGTTGGCGGAGCTACAAAAATTCCTAGCTACTTCAGAGACATTAAATTTCAGACACATGGTACACTTTATATTACATTTTACTATGCTAAAATAACACGGCTTTCTTTTGGAATTCTGTTCAGTTTTTCAGATTGTAATCTCAGCTACATCTCAACAGATTGTTCTCAGATATGTCCTATTACCTTCTTTGTGTAGATAGTGCTTTATTGACTAAGAACAATGACAACAACACCTTTTGTTTTCTGGGAATAGGAGAAAAGTTTTAAGCCAAAACTCTTAATTGCTTATCTGCTCCACGTGAGGTATGAACTATCAAACTTAGGAGCCATCTAGCTTACACGTGTTCCTTAAAAAGTTTGCTGTAGGCCGGGCACAGTGGCTCGTACCTGTAGTCCCAGCACTTTTGGGAGCCCAGGGTGGGGGATCACTTGAGCTCAGGAGTTCAAGACCAGCCTGGGCAACATGGCAAAACGCCATCTCTACAAAAATACAAAAAAAAAAAAAAACGCTGGGTGTGGTGGCGCACAACTGTAGTCCCAGCTACTTGGGAGGCTGAGGTGGGAGGATTGCTTGAGCTTGGGAGGTGAAGGCTGCAGTGAGCCTTGACAGTGCCACTACACTCCAGCCTGGATGACAGAGTGAGACCCTGTCTCAAAAAAAAGAGTTTGCTGTAATTCCCAGCAACAAAGTAGGAGACTCAAACTAAATAATTTTCTATAGTCCTAGAACTTCTTAGTTTACAAAACATTTTTACTTCTGTTATCTCATTTGATCTTCATACCCATGTAAGGTTGAGGTAGATGTTACCACATGTGAGTGCAATATCCAGAACTCCTGAATCCCCTTCTTCCCCTAAAATGTCAGCCCGCTGAGGTCCACTTGGCTACCCTCTTGAATACTGCATCCAGCTTCCCACTGCTGAACCTCTTTACTCTTTTTTTTTCAGTTGCACTTACCACCTTCTAGTAAGTTGAACCATATGAAATTACCATTTTTGCAGGTAAAAAATGGCCGGTGATAGGCAGTTTGGCGTCGTATAACCCAATAACATGTTATATAATTTACCCACAAGTGGTGGGTTGCTATGTCCTGGAGGAGTCAGCTTCAGACTCTAGCTAAATGATTGTATAACCTTGCAGCTCTCCCCTAAGTGAGGAGGCAATGTTGAAAGTCCCATGTCTTATCAGAACCAGGGAGGCAGATGAGAAACTGCCTTATGGCAGCTCCCACAACATAGGGAGGTGGGTGACAAATGGCCTTGGGACAGCTTCTTCCCAAGACTGGTTATGTTACAGTGTTCCTGGGAGGATCACATGGCATTCCTCCAAGATGGGTCAGACTGCTGTTGGCCTTGTCTGTGTGGCGTATGTGAAGACATTCATGGCAGAGCTGTTCCCTTAGAAGCATCTACTAAATTGATCTTTTCCTTTCTTACTTACTGTCTGTCTCCCTTAGTAGGCTGTCAGCTCCGTGAGTGCAGGACCTTGCCAGTCCTGGTCACTGCTATATCCCCAGCACCTACAAGAGTGCCTGGAAAATTGTAGTGCTCAATAAATATTTGTTGGATAAATGATAGAATGATAGGAAGTTAAAAAGCAATTAAAATACTTGAAAAGAAGCAAAACATTTTTCATGTTAAGCAAAAAAAAAAAAAAAACTTATTAAGGATAGCTAACATGTATTGAATTCTATATGCAATGGAATGATACTTAGCGCCTTTGAATCCTTATGATAACCCTATAAGGTAGGTTGTTTGGGTTTTTTTAATTGTCCCAACTTTACAGATGAAGAAGTGCAGGTCCAGAGAGGTCACATAATTTGCCCAGGATCACACAGCTAGTAAGTAGCAGATGAGGAATTTGAACCCAGGCAGTTGTATTCCACCATCTGCCCTCTTAGTTCATTGCCACTTAACCTATAATGCCCAGCTCTTGTGTAGAAATTAATACACTGATAACATAGAGGAAAACATTAAGCTCATTGAATGTAATAAGTCCAGATGACTTGTACATTAAACACAGCTTTTTGAGGTCACAGCTGATCTCTAAGAATGTAAACTGATTTCCTCTGGCACTAAAAAGCATTTTCAAAGACTGTTAAGAGAGTTTCTCCAACATTCTCTTCAGATTTTTCTGCTGGCTTATTTTATGATTCTGTGGACAGCTTCAGACAAAATAACTTTCTGGTATGAAGGATTGTGTTTACTCTGCTTTTTTTTTTGTTGTTTTTTGGGTTTTTTGTTTTGTTTTGTTTTGTTTTTGAGACAGTGCCTTGCTCTGCTGCTGCCCAGGCTGAGTGCAATGGCATGATCTCGGCTCACTGCAACCTCTGCCTCCCTGGGCTCAGGCCAGGTGTATGCTACCACTCTCAGCTAATTTTTAATTTATTTTTTTAGAGATACGGTCCCACTCTGTTTCCCAGGCTGGTCTCAGAACTCCTGGGCTCAGACAGTCCCCCGCCATGGCCTCCCACAGTGCTGGGATTACAGGCATCAGCCACCATGCTCAGCTTGTTCTGCCATTTTCAAATGTGAATTTTATAGACACTTTAAACCACTTGAAAGAGTGATGATGTTTTAATGATTTTCATTATTATTTGCAACTTCAAGCATTAAACACTGCCAAATTAAGTTTCAAGTTTTCTCTTTACACAATATGGATGTACTTCATAATGGACTTCCTCATCATGATTAATGAGTGAAGTGACATTCAAACTTGGTAGCTTTTCAGTAGAACTTCCTTTCCCAACATTTTTTCTGTTCCTTTAATTATGGCAATATCTGAGAGCTCTGAACATAAGTCAAAGGTTTGATTATTTTTCATGTGGCTTCCTCTGCTTGGAACTTTCTGCCCCGCATCTTCCCGTTGCCCCCTGTGTCCTCTTGTCATGCCCCTACCCTTTTTTGAGTGTGTCTATTTTCTGGCACTACAAGACATAACAGGCTCATCTTGTGTTTTCCCTACCCTGACCCAGAATCAGCCATTACTTCAAGGAGCCCTGGTTCCATTATTGGAGAATACTATTAGAAACCAGGATCTGGTGCTAGGCATGCTCATTTCTATTGGAGTGTCATACAAACAATTTGTAAATTGTTTGTAGGTCCTCCCAGTGGATAGGATTAGGAAATAAAACATGCATACTAACCATGCATACACACACATCTACGTCTATTTCTGTATCTGTCTGTATACATATTAAAATAAACATGGGTTGATAACTAATGTTTCTGCTGTAATCCACAGCCTTCATCCTAGCCTGCCACTCTTCTTCTTTTTAGCTTTTTCAACAGTGGGAAATGTGGCTCTTGTTATGTACACTTTATTCACTTATTTGTTTGACCCTAGTATCATAAAGTAGTTCCGTATGCCTGTAACAGATCGACTAACTAGAGTCCATTATTTGCGGAAAGATCTTTTTGTCCGAAGCGTTACCGCAGGGGTGTCCAATCTTTTGGCTTCCCTGGGCCACACTAGAAAAAGAAGAATTGTCTTGGGCCACACGTAAAATACACTAACACTAACGATAGCTGATAAGCTAAAAAAAAAAAATCAAAAAAATTTCATGATGTTTTAAGAAAGTTTACTAATTTGTGTTGGGCCACGTTTAAAGCCATCCCGGGTCGCAGGTTGGACAAGCTTGCCTTACAGTATCCAGTCAAAATAATGTTTTCCAAAATTACTTCTTTTCTTTTTCATCCCTTTCAGTGTGGCCGTTATTTATAATGCAGTTTGGTTCATTAGTGTTTTTATTACAAATACACCCTCAGCCTTCATATCCTAGTTTTAATGAATTATTACGGTGAAACATAATAAGAGTCAGAGCTATACAGAAAGGTCTACTCAGAGGTGCTTTGTTCCCTCCTATTCTGTTCCCACTACTCCTACTTTCCACTGACCCTGTAAGCATCATATTTATTTTTAATGGCAGTTACATTTTTACCAAGTGCTTACTATCTGTAGGCACTTGGTGTGTATTGCTTCTTTTGGTGTTCACAGCAACCTCTTGAGGTAAGCACTATTATTATCCCCCCTTTTTCTTTTTTCTTTCTTTCTTTCTTTTTTTTTTTTTTTTTTTTGACAGTCTTACTCTGTTGCCCAGGCAGGAGTGCAGTGGCGCAATCTCGGCTCACTGCAACCTCTGCCTCCCAGGTTCAAGTGATTCTCCTGCCTCAGCCTCCTGAGTAGCTGCGAGTACAGGCACAAGCCACCACGCCCGGCTAATTTTTGTATTTTTAGTAGGGATGAGGTTTTGCCATGTTGGCCAGGGTGGTCTCGAACTCCTGACCTCAGGTGATCTGCCCGCCTCGACCTCCCAAAGTGCTGGGATTACAGGCACGAACCACTGCACCCGGCTATTATCCCCATTTTTTAGATGAGAAAGCTGAATCCCAGAGAGCATAAGAAGCTTGTCCAGAGTGACATCTCTGATGCATAACCAGTACTCAAACCTATTTTTCTGACACCAAGGCCTGTGTGTAAACTGTAAAGGGGCTGCTTGGCACCTACTTTCCTAAAGTTGTCCTATCCCTTCTCTGTCTGGGTCTTCCTGAAGCTTGGCACTTCTGAAGTCACCTCTCTGAAAACATTCTGGTAACTGTTAAATCCCTTGTTCTAGCTATTCATGTGTTCTGTGTGGTTAAACAAGGTTCACAATGGGCCACCTGGCCTTTGGAACTTGGGTGAAGAGGCTGCCTTCAGTTGATCCTCCCCACTCCCATTTTCAAAACATGGGTTTACATGAGTTATTTGTGAATTAGGAAACATAACCATGTTTTGAGCCTTCATAGAAAACAAACGTCTGGGGTCATACAGGTTAAAAGGAGTAACCAAATTCGGCACTATCATTGTTCTATTCAGTAGACAATTCTGGGGCCTTTCTGTGTCTCAGGTTCTGTACTAGTTGTTTCAGGACTTTGGGATAAATACAAACTATCCCTGCCCTCAGGGGGCTTAAGGTCAGGTGTACAAGTGACTCTAATGTGAGGCAAGGCTGGATTCAGTGCTGCATATCTAATGCTATGGGAATTCAAAGAGGAAGTGATCAGAATGAGAAGGGAGGGATGGATCATTCCAGGAGAAGCTTCAGGGAAAAGCAACATTTAAAATGAGACTTTTGAGAGTGAGGGAAATTTGGACAGGTGGATATAGAGGATGCAAGGCTAGAGGAAAGGTTTTAGCCAGAAAGTCTGCTTGGGCAAATGCCTGGGTAAAAAAAGAAAATCCACTTTGGGAGGACAAGGCGGGCAATCGCCTGAGGTCAGGAGTTCGAGACCAGCCTGGCCAACATGGTGAAACCCCGTCTCTACTAAAAATACAAAAATTAGCTGGGCGTGGTGGTGGGTGCCTGTAATCCCAGCTACTTGGAAGGCTGAGGCAGGAGAATCACTTGAACCCAGGAGGCAGAGGTTTCAGTGAGCCGAGATTGCGCCACTGCACTCCAGCCTGGGCAACAAGAGTGAAACATCTAAAAAAAAAAAAAAGAAAATCACAGGGCAGTGTGGGGAATGGTGAGTATTCTAATTTGGTTGTGGCAGAGAGGATGTAGAAGGAAGTGATAAGAGAGAAAGCCGGATAGGAGGGCCTTTGTGCCAGTTAGGATGTTCTAGACTTCCAGCCAGGTTGCCCAGCTCAAACTGGCTTAAACAATGAGGGGGTTTATTGGCTATGTAATTGGGAAGTGCAGAGGTAGCTCAGGCCAGATCAGTTTGATCCACTGCTCCATTATGATGTCAAAGACCCATGCGATTTCCACCTCATTATTCTGCTGTCCATAGAGCCAACTTCATCCTAAGGCCAGTCCTTGTGGTCAGACAAGGGCTGCCAATAGTAATCTGGGTGCAAGTTTCTTTGAGAAAATCTTTCTGTGTCAACTCTCTTAAAAGGGGTGAAAAATCTCTCCTTAAGTCCCACTGGCCAGAATGGGCCCATGCACCCATTTCTTAACCAGTCACTGGCAACTGGGGGTGGGATTGCCGTTTGCCCAATCAGGTCCATTTCTGGAGCTAAGATTAAACTCCATTTCCCTTGGGACACATTGAACAGAATCAGAATTCGATGAAGAAGGAAGAAGCGGAGAATTGGTTTGGTGTTGGGTAGGCAACCAAAAATAACCTCTGTTGCCTCAAGTGCCAAGAAAGTGGTGTTTTGTGCTTGTTAGGGTAAAAATGGGGATCATGGAAAATATTTTAAGTTTCATAGACCAAAAAATATTCCAGTGTTTCATCAAATCTAAGAGGCTATCAATTATAAGATATACCATTATTTTATGTACCACCAAGGAAGAAAAAATGCTGCCAGTGAAGTTAGGATGTATTGCAGGTTGGGTTCTCTGGGAAGCAGGCTGAAAAGGAGGTGAGAATGCAGGACATTTATGGGAGAACACCCTTGGGATTAATACTGGAGGAGGAGAACCAAGCAGGGTTGGTGGGGCACAGGGAGAAGTTGGGATGCCATGCAGTCACAACAAAGGCCTCAGCCAACCCCACGGGGAGCTCGAGAAGCTGAGATGGCCCTTCAGTGTTGCCCTGCCTTGTGGTGAGTGAATTGGGTCTTCATATCCCCATGTTGACTGGTCATTGGATGTGGGCTCCCTTAGGAATGGGCATCTCTTCAGCAGAGGTAGCTTTCTTCAAAAGAGGTGATTCCAAAGAGTCACCCACTCACTGAGGGCTGTCTGCTGGCAGCATTCTCAGCCACTACTCAAAGATGACCTGTCCAGGAAGGGGAACCTAGGTGGCATGACACATTGTCTATTACAACATGCTACTGATTATAAGAGCCGGGAGGTGGGGGGCAACACAATGTCTGAGATATTAAAATGGAAGTCTCTTAGAAGAAATGGATAATTCTATAATTATAGTTAATCAGAAAGGGGAAGAAGTGGGGAAATGGACCAAGGGCCTGAGAGAGAAAACAGACGCAACAGGCCACTAGAAAGATAGGACACTGGAGGGTGGGAAGCCCTAGCAGTTTCTTCCAGGGTGGGCTGGGCACGGTGGCTCATTCCTGTAATCCCAGAACTTTGGGAGGCCGAGGCGGGCAGATCATTTGAAGTCAGGAGTTGGAGACCAGCCTGGCCAACTCCTGTTTCACCCTGTCTCTGCCAAAAATATAAAAAATTAGCCGGGTGTGGTTGCATGCGCCTGTAATCCCAGCTACTTGGGAAGCTGAGGCAGGAGAATCGCTTGAACCCAGGAGGCAGAGGTTGCAGCGAGGAAAAATCGTGCCACTGCACTTGAGCCTGGGTGACAGAGTGAGACTGTCTCAAAAAAAAAAAAAGTTTCTTCCAGGGTGGCTTCTGTGCCAGAGTCAGGTGCCCCAGCTACCTCTAATTTATGGTCCTCCTGCACTGGGAAACAGATTTTCTACTTTTGGTTTCATGATAAATAACATTTCCCCCTGATTTTAAAAGTTATGGATTTGGCTGGGCATGGTGGCTCATGCCTGTAATCCTAGCACTTTGGGAGGTCAAGGCAGGCAGATCACTTAAGGTCAGGAGTTCCAGACCAGACTGGGCAACATGGTGAAAACCCGTGTCTACCAAAAAAAAAAAAAAAAAAAAAATTAGCCAAGTGTGGTGGTACATGCCAGTAGCCCTAGCTACTCAGGAGACTGAGGTGGGAGGATTACCTGAGCCCAGGAGATCAGGCCTGCAGTGAGCTGTGATTGTGCCATTTTACTCCAGCCTGGGTGACAGAGTAAGACCCTGTCTCAAAAATAATAGTAATAGGCTGGGCGCGGTGGCTCAAGCCTGTAATCCCAACACTTTGGGAGGCCAAGGCGGGCGATCAATTGAGGTCAGGAACTCAAGAACAGCCTTGCCAAAATGGTGAAACTCCGTCTCTACTAAAAATACAAAAATGAGCCGGGTGTGGTGGCGCATGCCTGCATTCCCAGCTACTCAGGAGGCTGAGGCAGGAGAATCGCTTGAACTCGGGAGGCAGAGGTTGCAGTGAGCCGAGATTGCACCACTGCACTCCAGCCTGGGTGACAGAGTGAGACTCCATCTTAATAATAATAAAATAATAAAAATTTTAAAAAGTTATGGATCTGGATGGAGGGAAATGGAATGTATAAAAGAAGTAAACATACACAAGAAGATACAAATACAGAATAAAAGTAAAATGCAACCATCATCCCACTACCCCGATACCAGGGTATCCGTTTTTACATCTTTTCTTTCATTCTTTCTGTCTTTATATAATTGTATAAATGCTGCATAAACCTCCTCTTGCCTGCTGCCTCCTCAAAGACCTCCCTCCCTCCTTCACTGCCCTTCTGCTCCTGGAGAGCCACCCTCTCTCCATTTATCCTTCCTATCAGCTTCAGGTTCTTACCATGTTAACAAAAAGAAAATCTTATAAGCCTGTCACTCTCTACATACGCCGCACCTCCTTTCATTCATAGCCTTTAAAACATATATATAGCAGTTATTGTGGTTATTTTTCTGTTCACAAAATAAAAAAACACTCTTTCTAGAAAACTGGAATATAGAGGCAAGCTTTTTTTTTTTTTCAGACGGAGTTTCGTTCTGTCGCCCAGGCTGGAGTGCAGTAACGAAATTACAGCTTACTGTAACCTCTGCCTCCTGGGTTCAAGATATTCTCTTGCCTCAGCCTCCTGAGTAGCTGGGATTATAGGTGCCTGCCACCACACCCGGCTAATTTTTGTATTTTTAGTGGAAATGGGGTTTCGCCATGTTGGTCAGGCTGGTCTCGAACTCCTGACCTTGTGATCTGCCCATCTCGGCCTTCCAAAGTGCTGGGATTACAGGTGTGAGCCACTGCACCCTGCCGAGGCAAGATTTTTTTTTTTTTTTTTAAGAAAACCCAGTTATTCCATTACCCAATGAAACTCTAAACATGTTGATGTACATCCTTCCAAAATTTCTTTTTATGACAACATGCTTTTTATTTTTAATTATTTTTATTTTATTTTAAGGTCCGGGGTACATGTGAAGGATGTGCAGGTTTGTTACATAGGTAAACGTGTGCCTTGGTGGTTTGCTGCACCTGTCAACCCATCACCTACGTATTAAGCCCCACATGCATTAGCTATTGATCCTGATGCTCTCTCTCCCTGCTGGCTCCCCAGCAGGCCCCGGTGTGTGTTGTTCCCCTCCCTGTTTATGAGAACACTTTCTTGACATAAAGATTTCATTTATTCCCATGGAATTCTAAAGGCTTTTCATACTTGTGAAGGAATAATAGTTTAGAAATAAACTGAACTTTAAAAGATACCATTTTGAAAAATAATATACAGCCATCAAAAATTATATTTATGGGAACTATGCAATAATATTAAACTCTATCATCTGTTGACTGCCTCCTATATTCCAGAAACTTTACATACACCAATTCTAATCCTTACAAGAACGCTGTGTAGGCTTTAGCATTAGATGGACCAGGTTTCACCAACTGTATGGTCTTGGATAAGTACCCAACCTCCTGTCCCTAAGTTTCCTCACCTGTGAAAACACGGTTTCTACCAGCTTTCAAATAAGATGATCAATATAAGGCACTTGGAACAGAACCTGACACATCATAAGCACTCTATAAATGTCTATTATCACCAAATAATTCCAGGTGCCTTGAAAATTTAAATGAAAAACAAAATCAAACCATGACAATACTAGAAGCAAATTTAGGTGAACACTTTTCTAATCCGGGGGTGGGCGGGGGCTGGGGGGAGGCAGGGAGAAGACCTTTTTTTTTTCTTTTTGAGATGGAGTCTTGCTCTGTCCCCAAGCTGGAGTGCAGAGGCGTGATCTCAGCTCACTGCAACCTCTGCCTCCTGGATTCAAGTGATTCTCCTGCCTCAGCCTCCCGAGTAGCTGGGACTATACAGGTGCACACCACCACGGCCAGCTAATTTTTGTATTTTTAGTAGAGATGGGGTTTACACCCTGTTAGCCAGGATGGTCTCAATTTCTTGACCTCGTGATCCCATCCGCGTTGGCCTTCCAAAGTGCTGGGATTACCAGCATGAGCCACCGTGCCCGGCTGGGAGAAGACCTTTCTAAGCATGATACCAAAGGCAGAGACAATAAAGGCAAAGAATTGACAGAATTCACTATCCGATAAAAATCACTTCTGTGGCCGGGCGCGGTGGCTCACACCTGTAATCCCAGCACTGGGAAGCCGAGGTGGGCGGATTGCTTGAGGCCAGGAGTTCAAGACCAGCCTGGCCAACATGGCAAACCTCCTGTCTCTACTAAAAATACAAAAAATTAGCTAGGCATGGTGGCATGCCTGTAGTCCCAGCTACTCAGGAAGCTGAGGCATGAGAATCACTTGAACCTGGGAGGTAGAGGTTGCAGTGAGCCAAGATCATGCCACTGCACTCCAACCTGGGTGACAAAGTGAGACTCTGTCTCAAAAAAAATAACAATTAAAATAAAATCACTTCTGAATGGTGGAAAGCACCACAAAGTTAGAGGTCAAGCAATAATTTGGAGAAAAGAATTAGTAATTTGTTGGACAGACAAAAGACTTTTTTAATATAACAAAAACTTTAAAAATTAAAAAAATACACATTCGAGGACATTTTCCTAAAAACACAGGCAAAGGACATAAACAGCAAAGCAAGAAGACAGCTTGATGTGGCCATTTTATCCAGGGGGACATTTTGGTGAGCCCTATGGACACAGCTGCCATGATGCCAACAATGTGACAGCTGTCCCCTTCAAAATGCGTTAGCCCCAGCTCTTCCTCTCCCCCAACCTCCAGTCCAAAGGACTTGCACTTTCTACTTTACTCCTTTCTGCATTGTTTAATTTTCTTTTACAAATATGTTACTTGTCATCAGAAAAAATAAAGAAATAAATAAACTGTTAGAGTGTTAGCCCCTTAAAGGGGAGCAAGAATCACCTTTCTAAAAGAAAGTTTATGTTAAATATAATATTAGCATATGTGAATCCTGAGAGAAAAGTTAACAGTTTAGTTGAGTTATTTCCTCTGTAGTCTGGAGCTAAAAATAGGGAATCTTATTCTGTCCTAAATCTTTTCCTTCCTCCACCCAGTGTCTGTCTGGATCGAATTCATTCATTCACTCAGTAGGCACTCACTCAGCCAGGCATGGTGCTAGGCCTCAGGACCTCGCTGTGAACCAGAAACTGTCCCTACCCCCATGGTGCAGGCATTCTGCTTGGGAGTTGGAGGAGGAACAGGTAAAAAATAATTAAATATTCAGGTTAACGATATATTGTCAGGTTTGAGGATTGAGGAAAGGGCGCAGAGAGTGGCAAGGGCTGCTGTTTTAGATACAGTGGCCAGGAGGCCTCCGATGAGGTGACCTTTGAGGAGAGACATGCAGGAGATGAGGGGACAGTGAAGAGGATTTCTAAGAACACTCCAGGCAGACAGAACAGCGACAGCCAAGGCCCTGAAGTGGGTAGGGGCCTGGTGTGTGTGAGGAACCTCAGGATTGCCATCATGGCTGGAGCAGAGACATGAAGCAAGAAGGCCATGGAGATGAGGGCAGGGAGATCCCGGAGTGGGGAGATCAGATGGGGCTCTGTGTATCATGCAAAGGACTTTGCATTCTGTTCCAAGAGCTGGGAAGGTTGACATAATTAGGAAAAAAGCCCAGAAAAGCAGAGGTATCCATTTTTCATGGTAAAGATGATAATTTCAATTAAAACACGATTCCTGGATATATGTAATTTGTAGGCCAAATGGTGCCCAATCCCTACCTCCCTCACCCCCTCACTTCCCTATCCCTAAAACCTGTACCTCAACTCCCGTTCGTAAGTGATGGGAGTTAGGAATAGAGAAATCTCCCGGTTGGGTTTTCTGAGCAAAGAGGTAACATAGCAGCTCTGTTATTTCTTTCACGTCTCCAAGGGAACCATGACTCACCCTTAGCTATCCCCCGGGAATGTGGCCCTCAGAGTGTTCTTTTACTGATTCGTGATTTTGTTATGTACACCTGGAGTGATGGAACATACCATACCAGCTTGTCAGGGTTGCTTTGTGCAAAGATCGATGACGTGTGTGAACCCGGATCCATGCTTGGGGTCCTGAGTTTCAGGTGCCATGGCCAGTTGCTAGCAGGTTGTATGTGTGTGACCAGCCCCTATGTGAGTCTCTCAGACCCTGAAACTCCAAACAGGCTTCCCTGGGCAGAGACATTCTGTCCATGCTCTGTGGCTTGCTGCTCGAGAGGGATAGATCACATCCTGTGTGGCTTCTTCTTAAATGAAGAAGGACATTGGAAGCCTGTGCTGGGCTTCTCTGGACCCCCCGATGTATATGTATGTATATTAAAGAGAGACCAGGGTCTCACTCTGTTGGCCAGGCTGGTCTTGAACTGCTAGCCTCAAGAAATCCTCCCGCTTTGGCCTCCCAAAGTGCTGGGATTACAGGCATGAGTCACCATGCCTGATGTATATATTTTTCCAGCTCCCTTCTTTTCTGTATCATTTGCTATTACTACCTCTTAGCTATTAGTATAAACTGATCTTGAGTTGTGTAAATCTTTCTGGTGATTCACTGTGATGGGATGATTGTGTCCTCTCAAAATTCCTATGTTGGAGTCCTGACCCATGGTACCTCAGAAAGTGACTGTATTTGAAGATAGGTCTTTAAAGAGGTCATTGTAAATTAATTAATAAGGTCATTAGGGTGGACTCTAATCCGATATGACTGGTATCCTTATAAGAAAAGGAAATTAGCACACAGACACACAATCAGAGGGAGAAGACAGCCAGTCATCTACAAGCCGAGGAGACAGACCTCAGAAGAAACCAACCCTGCCTGCACCTTGATCTTGGACTTCTAGTCGCCAGAACTGTGAGAAAACAAATCTCATGTTTAAGCCAGAACCTAGCACGTGGTACTTGTTAAGGCATCCCTAGAAAACTAATACACTCACTGAATGAGGCAGGTAGCTGTTTCTTTTATTTTTTGAGACAGAGTCTCACTTTGTCTCCAAGGCCAGAGTGCAGTGGAGCGATCACAGCTCACTGCAGCCCCTGCCTTCCAGGCTCAAGCCATCCTCCCACCTCAGCTTCTCAAGTAGCTGGGACTACAGGCATGCACCACCACGCCCAGCTAATTTTTGTATTTTTTTTTTTTTTTTGTAGAGACGGGGTTCACCGTGTTGCCTAGGCTGGTCTCAAACCCCTGAGCTCAAGCAATCTGCCCTCCTTGGCCTCCCAAAGTGTTGGATTTACAGGCGTGAGCCACTGTGCCTGGATATGGTAACTTTTTCATATGCTATTTGCTTGATGATTATTTTTCTGTTTCTGATATAATGCTTTTTATTAGAGAGTTATCTGTTTGTTTTTATTTTTTAATGTTTGAATTTAAAAAATTAGTATAATTTGCATAATTGAAAAATTATATTTGAATAATTGAAATATATTTGTATAACCTTAAATTTAAAAACTATGATAGCGTATACAGTGAAATTTTCCTCTCATCCCTTTTTTCCATTTAACCAGTGCACTTCCCAACAGCCAACAGATAATTTTAGTTTCCTCACTCCCTGAGCTATTTTATGTATATGCAAGTAGATATGTACATACATATTTCTGCCTTGTAACACAAATAGTAGCATACTATACAACTGCTCTGCTTCTTCCTTTTTTTAGCTAAGAATATTAAAAGAGTGAAAAAGATGTACGCTAACAAAAATCAAAAGAAAACTAGAGTGACATTATAAGAACTGATGATGTAGATTTCAGAGCAATGATTACTGCTAGGAAAAAAGGGTCATTTTACATTGATCAAAGAGGTCAACTCATCAGGAAGACATAATAATCCTAAACACTTATGTACTTAACAGAGCATCAAAATACATGAAGCATAAATGAAAGAACCGTGGGAGAAAGTAGACAAATTAATGACTGTAGTTGAAGATTTCAGTATCCCTCTATGAAAATCAGGGTAGTACAAGTACACAGAAAATTGGTAAAGATATATGACTTGAACAACATTATCAACCAAATTGACCTCATTTACATTTGTGGAATGTTCCAACTAAGAACGTCAGAAAACATACTCTTTTCAAGTGCACATGGAACATTTACCAAGATAGACAATATTTTGGGTCACCGCAAGTCTCAACACATTGAAAGGATTCAGATCATATAAAGTATGCTCCATGACCATGATGGAATTGAATTAGAAACCAATAATGTATCTCTGGAAAATACACAAATATTTGGAAATTAATATGCCTTCTAAAAAATTTATGCATCAAGAAGAAATCAAAAGGGATATTTGAAAGTACTATGAACTGATGGCCAGGCATGGTGGCTCACGCCTGTAATCCCAGCACTTTGGGAGGCCGAGAAAGATGGATGAAGTCAGGAGTTCAAGACCAGCCTGGGCAACATGGCAGAACCCCGTCTCTACTAAAAATACAAAAAATTAGCCGGGCGTGGTGGTGGGCGCCTGTAATCCCAGCTACTCAGGAGGCTGAGGCATGAGAATCGCTTGAAGCTGGGAGGTGGAGGTTGCAGTGAGCCAAGATCACGCCACTGCACTCCAGCCTGGGCAACAAGAGTGAAACTCGGACAAAGAAAGAAAGAAAAGAAAGAGAGAGAGAAGGAAGGAAGGAAGGAAGGAAGGAAGGAAGGAGGGAGGGAGGGAAGGAGGGAAGGAAGGAAGGAAGGAAAGAAGGAAGGAGGGAGGGAGGGAAACAAAAAAGAAAAAGAAAGAGAAAAAGGGAGGAAAGAAAGAAAAGAAAGAAAGAAAAAGAAAGAAAGAAAAGAAAGAAACTAACTCACCATTTAGTAACCATAGTAGTAATAACTGATTTGGGCAAGAGTCATCAATGGGTGAAAGCTTGATGAGGAATAGGATACTTATATACCCCCAAACAAAGCCACAAATTATTAATAACAAAGGGGAAAGTAGTAATTTTACAATGGCAAGACACCACTGTAAACGGATAATGAAAGAACATCAACAATAATGGGAAAAAAATGATGCAATTTACCTCCTGCTATGCTGCTCTGAGAACAAGCATAATTTCTGTGGTAGTCCTCCAAAAATGCATAACCTGAGTCTGTTCGTGGGGAGGCATCAGATAAACCCAAATTGAGGGACATTGTACAAAACAACTGGCCTATATGCATCAAAAATGCCAATGTCACAAAGTCTGGGGAACTCTCCCCAGTTCAGGAGACAATTAAATGTAATGTGTGATCCTGGACTGTGAAAAAAGTAACTATAAAGGATGGTATTGAAACAGTTGTCAAGATTGGAGTATAGTAGTAACAAATCAAGGCTAAATTTTCTTATTGTACTGTCGTGTGTAAAAGAATGTCTTTGTTAGAAAATACACACTGAAATATCCACAGGTGAAGGAGAACAATAGCTCCAATTTACAAATGCTTCTGAAAAAATATATATATACACACACACATACAGAGAGAAGGCAAGTGATAAAGCAAGTGGGGCAAGTTTTTTTAAACTGGTGAATCTGGGTAAAGGATATTCAGGAATTCTTTGTACTATTGTTGCAACATTTCTGTAAGTTTGAAATTTAAAGTTTAAAAAGAAAGAGAGGCCGGACTCAGTGGCTCACGCCTGTAATGCCAGCACTTTGGGAGGCCGAGGCGGGCGGATCACGAGGTCAGGAGATCGAGACCATCCTGGCTAACACGGTGAAACCCCGTCTGTACTAAAAATACAAAAAATTAGCCGGGCGTGGTGGCGGGCGCCTGTAGTCTCAGCTACTCGGGAGGCTGAGGCAGGAGAATGGTGTGAACCCGGGAGGCGGAGCTTGCGGTGAGCCGAGATCGTGTCACTGCACTCCAGCCTGGGCGACAGAGCGAGACTCCATCTCAAAAAAAAAAAAAAAAGGAGAGAGAAGGCATAAACAATATTAAAAATAAAACAGAACATTACTATAGACGTAGTAGAGATTTTAACGATCATGAAGAAAATACTAGAAATAAGTCTTTATGTTTTATTTTATTTTATTTTATTTATTATTATTATTTTTTGAGATGGAGTCTCATTCTGTAGCCCAGGATGGAGTGCAACGGCGCGATCTCTGCTCACTACAACCTCCGCCTCCCAGGCTCAAGCTATTCTCCTGCCTCAGCCTCCCAAGTAGCTGGGATTACAGAAAAGCGCCACCACGCCCAACTAATTTTTGTATTTTTAGTAGAGATGGGGTTTCACCATGTTGGCCAGGCTTATCTTGAACTCCTGACTTCAGGTGATCCACCTGCCTTGGCCTCCCAAAGTGCTGGGATTACAGGCGTAAGACACCGCGCCAAGCCCTTTATCTTTTAGATGTATATACTGAGATACTTATCATAAAATGGTGGGATATCTGGGATTTCCTTGAAGATAATCCAGGGCGCCAGGTATGGTGGCTCACACCTGTAATCCCAGCACTTTGGGAGGCCAAGGCCGGAGGATCACTTCAGCTCAGGAGTTCAAGATCAGCCTGGGCAACATGGGGAAACCCTGTCTCTATTAAAAATACAAAAAGTAGCTAGGTGCGGCGGTAGCACATGCCTGTAGTTCCAGCTACTTGGGAGGCTGAGTTGGGAGGATCACTTAAGCCTAGGAGGTAGAGATCAGCTTCAGCAACATGGCAAAACCCCATCTCTACAAAATATACAAAAATTAGCTGGACTTGGTGGTGCACACCTATAGTCCTAGCTACTTGGGAGGCTGAGGTGGGAGGATTACTTGAGCCCAGGAGGTAGAGGTTTCAGTGAACCGAGATCGTGTGACTGCACTCCATCCTGGATGACAGAGTGAGACCCTGTCTCAAAAAAAAAAACAAAACTGCACTCTTTTATGTATTTTTATACTTTTGAAATGTTCTATAATATTTTTGAAATGTTCTATAATAAGAGAATATTGTGAAGACTTTATAGAAATACATTTGAGAACCTAAATAGAGTAAATTACTAGAATCAAACTAAGGAAAAAATGGAAAATCTGAAAAAAATGCAATAATCATTAAAGAGATTGAATTGTCATTTGAAAGTCTGTCCTCACAAAAGACCTCCTTCCTCTACTGTGGTCAGCATCTTTGGCATACATGAGATAAAATGTATGGTCCAGTCCAGCCTCTAAGCCTGTGCAATTCATTCAGTCATTCAGCAAATATCTATTGAATACTACGTATGGGCCAGGCACTCTTCTGGCTACCGGGGATACATAAGTGAACAACAACAACAACAACAACAACAAAGGAAAAATGTCTCTAATTTTGTGGCACTTAATATACAACAAATAATAATGAATAAGTGATATATAGTATGTTAGGAGGAGAACATTACTATGGAAAAATAGAGGAGGATAAAGGAGACTGAGAGGCAGAAGGATGGGCCAGTTTGTAATTTGAAAGGCAAGGTTGTAGGCAAGGTTCAGATTGGAACACTGAAACACGGATTTCCCACAGAAATGAACAGGTCTCCTTGGAGAGATGGCTAATTCAAGGTCTGGGTCAAGAAGTGTACAGGAAGAGCCTGGAACATTTTGTTGCACCAAAAAGATAAAACAGAACAAAACAAAACTCGGTTAATTAGTTACTGTTGGAAGATGCTAGCAAGCCAGTTCTTTAGTGATTTTTAAAAGACAGATAATTATAAGGAAACTTTTTAATAAACAAGCATTTATACTGTTTTCGACACAGACTACCACTGACTACTCAAATAATACATGAGGGGATATTTCTTTTTATGGAAGTATTCTGGCTAATAAGAAGAATAGAATTAATCACCAGTGGCTGCCAGCACCACAAAAAGAGATACAACTAGATCTTATGTGTTTTACAATTTTTTTATATTTGGGGGGCTGGTCTCTTATATGTCTCTTTTGGAGAAACAGCCCACCACCTGGATTCATCTCCTAGGGCTTCCATAACAAAGTACCATAAAATGAGTGTCTTAAAACAACACATGGCCGGGCACAGTGGCTCATGCCTATAATCCCAGCACTTTGGGAGGCCGAGGCGGGCAGATCACTTGAGGTTAGGAGTTTGAGACCAGCCTGGCCAACAAGGTGAAACCCCGTGTCTACTAAAAATACAAAAATTAGCCAGACATGGTGGCGGGCACCTGTAATCCCAGCTACTCAGGAGGCTGAGGCAGGAGAATCGCTTGAACCTGGGAGGCTGAGGTTGCAGTGAGGTGAGATCTCGCCATTGCACTCCAGCCTTGGCAACAGAGCGAGACTCCATCTCAAAAACAAACAAACAACAACAACAACAAAACACTCACGTTTATTCTCTCAAAGTTCTGGAGGCTAAAACTCTGAAATCAAGGTGTCAATAGAGCTGTGCTCCCTCCAAAGGCTTTAGGGGAGGATCCTTCCTTGCTTCCTCCTAGATTCTGGTGGTTTCTGGCAAGCTTTGATATTCTTTGGCTTATGACTGCATAATTACAACCTCTACCTCCATATTCATGTGGCCATCTTCCCTCTATGGGTGTCTGTGTCCAAATTTCCCTCTTATGGACACCAGTCATATTGGATTAGGCTTCCCCTAATCCAGTATGACCTCATCTTAACTTGATTACATCTACAAAGGCCCTATTTCCAAATAAGGTCACATTCACAGATTCCAGGTAGACATGAAATTTGGGTAACACTATTTAACCCAGTATACCACCTATGAAGTATTCTTTTTATTTTTCTCCTCAGCTTTTATTTTAAGTTCTGGGGTACATGTTTAGGACGTGCAGTTTGTTACATAAGTAAACGTGCCATGGTGGTTTGCTGCACAGATCAACCCATCACCTAGGTATTAAGCCCAGCATCCATTAGCTATTTTTTTCTGATGCTCTCCCACCACCCGCCCCGCCCCCGACAGGCCCCAGTGTGTGTTGTTCCCCTCCCTGTGTCCATGTGTTCTCATTGTTCAGCTCCCACCTATAAGTGAGAACATGCAGTGTTTGGTTTTCTGTTCCTGCATTTGTTTGCTGAGGATAACAGCTTCCAGCTCCATCCATGTCCCTGCAAAGGACATGATCTTCTTCTTCTTTTTTATGGCTGCATAGTATTCTGAAGTATTCTTGACAAAAAGAAAAAATCAACCTGAATCTATTCAAGCCTCTAGAGTCAACTAAAAATTTACAGAAAATACAGGAGACTGAGTAACGTGTTAAATGACATCACAGGGATGCAATTAGCCAACTCCAGACTATGGGAAACTCTACAGGACAAACTACCTGGTATCTTCAACAAATAAATTGCAGGGAATAAAGACATGATGGAGGAACCTAGACTAAAAGAGACTTAAAGATGAACCAGTAGCTATGTTTGGACCTCATTTGGATCCCAATTCAAACAAACTTTAAAATACACACCCATTTATGACACTTATGAGACAATTGGAGATTTGAACACTGACTTGAATATCCATTGATATTAAGGAATTATTTTTGAAAATGCGGAATAATACTAAGGCTATGGTTTTTTTTAGAGAGTCCTTATCTTTTAGAAACATATACTAAATTTGCAGATAAAAATGACTTGATGTTGGGGATTTGTTTCAAAATAATATGGGAGTTGGGGGATGTGGGTGCAGATATGGCTGTGACAAGATGGTTCATGGGCTGATAATTGTTGAAGCTGGGTGATGGGTACATGTGGGAGTTCATGATACTATATTTTTATGTGTTTCAATCTTTCCATAATAAAATTTTTTTTTAGAAAAAAGAAAGAAAGGAAAGAAGGAAAGAAAGAAAAGAAAGAAAGAAAGAAAAAGAAAAGAAAGAAAGAAAGAAAGAAAAAGAAAAAGAAAGAAAGAAAGAAAGAAAGAAAGAAAGAAAGAAAGAAAGAAAGAAAGAAAAAATACGGTATCAGGATAAGCCTAAATAAGAAGGTGACATTTGCTGTGGATCGTTCAGCATGTACAGGGCCCCTGTCACCATCTGGCTTTAAAAATACTAAAAAATAAATCTTGTGTAGGGGCTGTGAGAGATTAAAGACGGCCACAAATTCTTTTTTTAACCCAATTCTCCCATACCATTTATTTTAAAATTTATGCATTTTTATTAATTAATTTATTTATGTATTTAGTTTTAGAGACAGGGTCTCGCTATGTTGCCCAGACTGGCCTTGAACTACTGGGCTCAAGTGATCCTGCCTCAGCCTTCTGAGTAGCTGTAACTACAGGTGCCCACCACTGTGACTAGCCTCTGCCACAAATGCTTTTCTAATTCTCCCCTTACCTAAAGCTAATTCCCCTCCCTTTGAATTTGGCCTGGCCTTAGAGACTGGCTTGACCAATAGATGGCAGCAGAAGTGAAGTTCCAGGGCTTCTGAGGCTAAGTCATAAGAAGCCTTCTAGCTTCTGTTTGGCTCTCTTGGAATATCTCTGGATGTCCTGGGCTACCATATGAGAAGTCGGCTTACCCCAAGTCAGTCATTCTGGAGTCCATTCTCCAGTAAACAGTCCCAGCTGACTCAGTCTTCAACTCAACCCCACCAAGCCTCCAGACTTGGGATGAGAGGACTTCACTAGCACTTCCCAGACTGGCCCATCCGCTGTGTGAAAAGAACAGTCACCCAGCTGAACCCTGCCTGAATTCCTAACCCATAACATCAGGAGATACAATTCAATGGTGGATGCTCTAAGCTACTAGGTTTTGAGGTAGATTTTTTGTTTTGTTTTGTTTTGTTTTTCAGAGTCTCGATCTTGTCACCCATGCTGGAGTGCAGTGGCGTGATCTGGGCTCACTGCAACCTCCACCTCCTAGGTTCAAGCAATTCTCCTACCTCAGCCTCCTGAGTAGCTGGGATTACAGGTGTGCGCCACCACGCCCAGCTAATTTTTGTATTTTTAGTACAGACAGGGTTTCACCATGTTGGCCAGGCTGGTCTCGAACTCCTGACCTCATGATCCACCCGCCTCAGCCTCCCAAAGTGCTGGGATTATAGGCATGAGCCACTGCGCCAGGCTGGTTTTGAGGTAGTTTTTAAGGCAGCAATAGGTGGCCAGAACATAGGTTTATAATATGTGACAAACTATGTTTTGTAAGCAAAGGAATAATAAACACAAAAGCCAGGATAGTGTTTCTTGGGGGAGGTAGGTGCAGGTGGTAGAGGCAGGGGCAATGAGATGTGGAAGAACACAGGTTGAACTAAAGGTATTTCCTAAGAGCCTACTTTGGAGGTTGGGTGTTGTGGTAGATTTTTTTTCTCACTGTTGCCTAGGCTGGAGTGCAGTGGGACAATCACAGCTCACTGCAGCCTTGACCTCCCAGACTCAAGCAATCCTCCCATCTCAGCCTCCTGAGTGGCTGGGACCACAGGCAGGCACCATCGTGCCTGGCTACTTTTTTTCTTTTTGTATTCTTTTGTAGAGACGGGGTTTTGCTATACTGCCCAGGCTGGTCTTCAACTCCTAGGCTCAAGTGATCCTCCTGCCTTGGCCTCCCAAAGAGCTGAAATTACAGGCATGAACTACCACACCCAGCTGGTTTTTATTTTTTTATTTTCATTTTTAGAGACAGGGTCTCACTCTGTCACCCAGGCTGGAGTGCAGTGGCACAATCACAATTCACTGTAGCCTCCAACTCCTGGGCTCAAGTGATCCCCTAGCCTCAGTCTCCCTTGCAGCTGGGACTACACTCATGAGCCACCAGGCTTGGCCGAAATTTCTACTTCTGTAACAAGGAGAGCAGGCAGTGAAGTGCTATTCAGCAATGTTTTAATTAGAAAGGAAATGGGCAGGGCAGAGATACAGATAAATTGCTGTTTTACCATCTTGCCCAACACGGTTGTAATCAAGCCTACACAAGTATAAAGGTCATTAGCCAGTAATTGACTGGCCTATTTCTTCCATCTACAAGAGACTAATTTTAAATATAAAGACGCAGAAAGATTAAAAGGATGAGCTTTTTATGCTGATAGCACTCTCGCAAACCTGGTGAACATTCCTAAAAGTCACCAGACTTTCTGTAAGAAGTTTAGGAATCACCAATACCACAAAGTGACACAGTACAAGAAGGGCAAGCATTCTCTTTATGCCTGGGGAAAGTGGCGTTATGACAGGAAGTAGAGTGGCTATGGTGGGCAGACTAAGTTGATTTTCCGGAAAAAGGCTGAAAGTACTAAGATTATACCGAGACATGAGAGCATTGAGCCCAATTGCTTTTCTCAGAGAATGCAAACATTTTGAACTGGAAGGAGATAAGAAGAGAAAGGGCAAAGTGATCCAGTTCTAGCGTGATCTTTTTTATTGTGAAGAAAATACAATCTTGAGGTTATGTTCACTTCATTTGGTTACAGCTGCCATTTAAAAAACATATATATATATATATACAGAGTCTCACTCTGTCGCCCAGGCTGGAGTGCAGGGGTGCAATCTTGGTTCACTGCAACCTCCACCTCCTGGGTTCAAGTGATTCTCCTGCCTCAGCCTCCTGAGTAGCTGGGATTACAGGCATGTGCTACCACACCTAGCTAATTTTTGTATTTTTTGTAGAGATGGGGTTTCTCCATGTTGCCCAGAATGGTCTCAAACTCCTGGCCTCAAGTGATCCGCCCTCGGCCTCCCAAAGTGCAAGGATTACAAATTTGAGCCACCATGCCCAGCCTACAGTTGGCCTTTGGGGAGGGAATAAGCTAGAGCCATCATTAAAATTCCCTTTGTGGAGAAATTTATGCTTCGTGAAAAAAAGAAAGTAAAAGGATGGAAAAAATGTGCAACAAGTGTAAGAAAGCTTCATGGTTATATTAATATAAGACAAAGTAACTTCAAGACAAAGAGAATTACCCAAAGAAAGACGGCCATTAGATAATATAAAATAAACGATTCACTAGGGACATGACAATCCTAAATATGTATGCACCTAACAACAGAGCAAAACAGTTCATGAGTAAAAACTGACAGCATTATATAGAGAAATAGACATATCCACAATCGTAGTCAGATATTTTAACACCAGTCTCTCAGCAACTGATAGAACAAATAGACAAAAAATATCGGCTGGCTCACGCCTGTAATCCCAGCACTTTGGGAGACCAAGGCGGGCGAATCATGAGGTCAGGAATTCAAGACCAGCCTGGCCAACATGGTGAAACCCTGCCTGTACTAAAAATACAAAAAAATTAGCTGGGCGTAGTGGCCGGCGCCTGTAATCCCACCTACTCAGGAGGCTGAGGCAGGAGAATCGCTTGAACCCGGGAGGTGGAGGTTGCAGTGAGCCAAGATCAACCCACTGCACTCCAGCCCAGGCGACAGAGTGAGACTCTATCTCAAAATAAATAAATAAATAAATAAATCTATAAGGATATAATGGAGATCTGAAATTTACTGTCAACCAACTGCATCTAATTACAGAGCAGTATACCTAACAACAGCAGAATAGACACATTCCTTTCAAGGGCACATAGAATGGTCACCAAGATAGAGCATATTCAGGGAGATACGGTAAGTCTTAAAAATTTTTTTCATCAACTTTTATTTTAAGTTCCAGGGTACATATGCAGGATGTGCAGGCTGGTTACAGAGGTCAACATGTGCCATGGTGATTTGCTGCACAGATCTTCCCATCACCTAGGTATTAAGCCCCGCATTAGCTGTTCTTCCTGATGCGCGCCCTTCCCAGCCCCCCCGACAGGCCCCAGTGTGTGTTGTTCCCCTCCCTGGGTCAATGTGTTCTCATTGTTCAACTCCCACTCATAAGTGAAAACATGCCATGTTTGGTTTTTTGTTCCTGCATTAGTTTGCTGAGGATAATGGCTTTGAAATCTAAAGTATGCTCTCTGATCACGGTGAAATTAAATCATAAATCAACAAAATAGAAAAAAATTCCCACATTGTAGTAAGTCAACTAATACTTCCATGCAACTCATGGATCAAAGGAGAAATTAAATGATAAATTAGATTTACAAATAAATAAAATGCTGTACTTATGTTGCTATTTCCTGATTTTACATTTTATTTTTTTATTTATTTTTAATTTTTAATTTTTTTTTTTGAGACAGGGTCTCACTCTGTCACCTAGGCTGGAGTACAGTGGCATGATCTTGCCTCAGTGGAACCTCTGTCTCCTGGGTTCAAGCAATTCTCCTACCTCAGCCTCCTAAGTGGCTGGGATTACAGGTGGGCATCACCATGCCTGGCTCATCTTTGTATTTTTAGTAGAGACAGGGTTTCACCATGTTGGCCAGGCTGGTCTCAAACTCCTGACCTCAGGTGATCTGCCTGCCTTGGCCTCCCAAAGTGCTGGGATTACAAGTGTGAGCCACCACACCTGGCCTGATGTTACATTTTAAATATTACCAATTGACTGGCAAATATTGAAGATGAGGATTTAACTGTCATATAGGCACACACACATTTATCCTCTTTCCATCCTCCCAACAAAGTTTTAGCAAGTTTTGCTTAATTTACATTTGGTGTTTTCATTAAAATGACTAAATAAACATTGTTCTCTGCTGAGTGAGGTACTGTACTATGATAACATATCCTCTGTTGTACATTGTTTTGCTTTTCTTGTCTCCGCCCACCGCTTCCCTCTCTGTCTCACTCTCTTTCCAAATACCAATGAAGGCAATGTAAGGATATAATCATGAAGAGGGCCTTCACCACGAACTATGCTTTGCTCTGATCTTGGCCCTCTAGCATCCAGAACTGTGAAAAATAAGTTGTTTAAGCCATTATGTCTACGGCATTCTATTATACCAGCCCCAAACCACTGACACGGTGTCTTAAATCTTTATGTGTTTGAGGCCGGGCGCGGTGGCTCATGCCTGTAATCCCAGCACTTTCGGAAGCTGAGACGGAGGATCATTTGAGGTCAGGAGTTCAAGACCAGCCTGACCAACACAGTGAAACCCCGTTTCTACCAAAACCACAAAAATTAGCTGGGTGTGGTGGCAGGCGCCTGTAGTCCCAGCTACCTGGAGGCAGAGGTTACAGTGAACCGAGATTGTGCCACTGCACTCCAGCCTGGGCGACAGACCGTGTCTCAAAACAACAACAACAACAACAACAACAACAACAAAAAACAACATTCATGATGTGAGGTATTTTATTATCTTTGATTATGTGTTGGATATTAAATTTTTTCTTTAAAATTTTCTTATTTTTAAAAATTTCTTGTTTCCAGCAGGGCGCAGTGGCTCACGCCCCAGCACTTTGGGAGGCCGAGGTGGGTGGATCACCTGAGGTCAGGAGTTTGAGACCAGCCTGGCCAACATGGTGAAACCCCGTCTCTACTAAAAATACAAAAATTAACCAAGTGTGCTACTAAAAATATAAAAATTAGCTGGGCGTGGTAGTGGGCACCTGTAGTCCCAGCTACTCGGGAGGCTGAGGCAGGAGAATTGCTTGAACCTGGGAGGCAGAGGTTGCAGTGAGCTGAGATCGCTTCACTGCACTCCAGCCTGGGTGACAGAGTGAGCCTCTGTCTCAAATAAATACATAAATAAATAAATAAATAAATATTCTTGTTTCTTATTGTTTCTTATTTTTCTTTTAATAATTTTTTTTTTCTTACAAACCCTTGTGTCAAAGGCTGACTCTCCATAGATCACAGTGAGAGAACTGCCCCGCTGTGGATGAAACCCTCACACAGAAGCAGGTCATCTACAAATGCTTTAGCGCCAGGTTTTGCACAAACATGCATTGCATGACGTAGACATTAGATTTTATTTTAAATAAATAGTTTGAAGCCCAGGATATTGTTGTATTCCTCCAAAGAATACTTGTACTTTTATCCTCAGGTGTCTGGGGCTACTAGCTATCTGAAATCAACTGAATTTAATTTCAGGGTATGAGATTTTTCTGGGTTACTCGGATGAATGGAATGCAGGCTACAATGCATGTGAGAGCTAGTTTACTTCCAAGTCATCTTTACTCCTAGGGTAGAGTGTTTCAGGATACCACCCCAAAGTAGGGATGGTTTCCCAGAGTCTCCATTATTTATTTATTTATTGAGAGACGGGGGTCTCCATATATTGCCCAGGCTGGTTTCGAACTCCTGAGCTCAAGCAATCCTCCTGCCTCGGCCTCCCCAAATATCTGGACTATGGGCATGAGCCACCGCACTCAGCCAGAGTCTCCATTTTTGACTGACCCTGGACCCTGGCTTTTGTTCCCTATCTCTGAGCAAAAGTGATGCCCAAGATTTGGATTCATCTCTCTGGGTTCTTGCCCTCTTTGGAGCTCGATGCACTACCTTCTCACTGTCTTGTTAAGTATTTTATACTTTTGAGGATATTTGTAAATGATTTTGTCCACCTTCTCTGATATTTTTAGCAGTAGTGTTAGTCCAAATTACCTAGCCTGCGATTTACAAAAGCTGGTGTCTCTCCCTCATTTTGCATTCACCCTCCAGTAGCTTCCTGAGAAAGAGTACAATAAAAGGAATTTCTGAGACTGTGCATGTTTGAAAGTGTTTATATTCAAGCTTCACACTTAATTGTTGGTTTGGCCAGGTATAGAATTCTCTGTTAGATGTTAATTTTCCTTCAGAATATTGAAGGCATTGCTTCCTTATCTTCTGTCTGCCAACACAGTATTTCTCTGGAAAAATCCAAAGCTATTCTGATTCCTGATCCTTTGTGTATAACCTATTTTTCCTTCCGGAATCTCTTAGAATATTTTCTTTTTCTTTTCTTTTCTTCTTTCTTTCTTTTTTTTTCTTTTTCTTTTTTTTTTTTTTTTTTTTTTTTTTGAGATGGAGTCTTGCTCTGTTGCCCAAGCTGGAGTGCAGTGGCACAATCTTGGCTCACTGCAACCTCCGCCTTCCAGGTTCAAGCGATTCTCCTGCCCTTAGCCTCACGAGTAGCTGGAATTACAGGTGTACACCACTACGCCCAGCTAATATTTGTAGTTTTGGTCGAGACGGGGTTTTGGAATCTTATTTAAATTCTTGTTTTTGAAATGTACACAAAAGGTGACTTGATGTGGGCTTTCTTCATTCACTCTGTTGGGCACGCAGTGTTTTTATTATTTGAAAACTGGAACTTTATGTCTTTCAGCTTTGGATATTTTAATGTATCATTTCTTTGATAATATTCTCTCACTTTTTTCTTACCCCCTTTCTGGCACTCTTACATCACATCTGGAACAATCCTCTAATGTCCTTTTCCTTTTCCGGTCTGTTTTACTGTTCTTTGCCTTTTTTGTTCTGCTCTCTGAGTGGTATCTTGAACCTTTAATTTCCTAGAGCTCTTTCTTGTTCTTTAAATGCCCCTTTTTTTTTCTTCTTGGTGAATAAATAAATTATCTTATGCCTCTGAGAATATTGTGGATTTCTAAGAATTGCTCTTTGTTGTTTGCATTGTTTCTTTTTCATCTGAGTTTCTTTTTTTCTATTTGTTTGTTTCAACCTTACAGGCTTTTTATTAGTGTCTTGGCCAGAGCCAGGAGTAGGGTGAGGCAAGCAGAGAGCCCAGGGTGCAAAATGTCAGGGGTCCCTCAGGCTCAGGTCCTGCAAGTGCAGGGTTGGCAATTGAGAGTGAAAGCCTCCTTACGTTTTGCACTCAGAGTGCATTGCTTACCTCACTGATGTCCTAGCCCTGGGCCCTGATCTTGGCTGTCCATACTTAGGGTTGAGATATCCATAAGATGACTGGAAGTTCTGTGGCATGAATGGGGCCTGTCCGCCGGCTTCACTCTAAAATGATTGGACCATGCTGGGCGCGGTGGCTCACGCCTGTAATCCCAGCACTTTGGGAGACCGAGGTGAGTGGATTGCTTGAGCTCAGGAGTTCCATACCAGCCTGGGCAACGTAATGAGACCTCATCTCTACAAAAAACACAAAAATTAGCCTTGCATGGTGGCGCGTGCCTGTAGTCCCAGCTACTCAGGAAGCTGAGAGGGGAGGATCGCCTGAGCCCAGGAGTTCGAGGCTGCAGTGACCCCAGATTGCACCACTGCACTCTAGCCTGGGTGACAGAAGGGGACCCTGTCTCAAAAATAAAACAAAATAAAAATAAAATAAAATAATTGGACCAGAACACAGACATTTAATTATGGCATCTCCAAATGTAGACTATCTTAGTTTGGGTTCCTTTCAAAGCAGAGGCTGAGAAGAGGATTTGAGAACAGGTGGTTTATCTGGGAGTTGGTCCTGGGAAATTGGGGAGAGGGAGCCAAGAGAGTGAGACGGGGAAAGAGGAAAAGCCAGTAAAAAGGTGCATTATGAATGAGGTCATCCCTGTAGGAAACAGGAGGCTTCCTTGGAAACATCCACAAGGCTTTCAGAATTGTCCACTGAAGAACAGGAAGCCAGAGCCTTTAAACCAAAGCCCCCACCCCCATCATGGAGGCTTCTCCCTGGGATGAAGGGAGAATGGTTTAGTCTGCTGTTAAAAGTCAGCCAGTTAAGAGAAGGCCTTGAAACTGAAAGCAGAAAGAGACTTAATGCTCCCTCAAGGGCAAACGCTGTGCTGCCTGCATGAGGTCAGGCTGATCTTGTAGAAGACAGTGCACTTCAGCAGCTGAAATCGGTGGGGCTCAAGGGGAAGGGACAAGAGGTACTAGAGACATCTGCTACGGAGAGTAAAAGCCAGCCTACTCCTCAGGGCAATAAGGTGGTTTCCAGGGAGCTCAATGGGGAAGGGCAGCAGGGGTGGGGATGGTGGGGTTGTCATGCGTTTAGACTTTTACTAATTGTCCCGGTTTTCATTTGACACGTCATTCCCATCCTCAGCTGTGTTAACTGTGACTAGGATCGGGTGTTCTAGAATTCATACTAGTCCCACCCACTCTGCATATTGATGGCCTTCTCAGCCCACTTGGGCCAAGATTTGGCCATGCCAGGCTGCCCTCCACATGTACGCCCGCCCTCTGAACCCTGCTTGGGCTCTGAAACAATGCTCCAGGCCACCCCATGGCATGGATACCCTATATGCCCCACCCACACTCTGACACTCTATGCCAGGCTGCCCCCGACCACATGGGTGAGCTACTGACACCTCAGGATCTGACATCAAACACTAGCCCACCCTCCTTCCCCGGTTTGAGCTCTGACACCCCAGGCCAGGCTACCCATTGGCAGTAGTGTCCTCAGCTGGCTTGGCCTTTGACAGCCACACTGGGCCCCACCCCTGACATGGCTGGCCTCACCTCGCTCACCATGCCGACCCCCAGTGGGTGCCTTTCCCCCACACACACACCCTTTTTTTTGAGACGGAGTTTCACTCTTGTCACCCAGGCTGGAGTGCAGTGGCGCAATCTTGGCTCACTGCAACCTCCACCTCTCAGATTCAAGCGATTCTCCTGCCTTAGCCTCCAGAGTAGCTGGGATTACAGGCGTGCACCACAACGCCCAGCTAATTTTTGTATTTTTAGTAGAGACGGGGTTTTGCTATGTTGGCCAGGCTGGTCTCAAACTCCTGACCTCATCAGGTGATCCACCTGCCTCGGAGTGCTGGGATTACAGGCATGAGCCATTGCTCCCGGCCGCCTTCTCCTTTTATCTCAGGTTTGGAAACCTGCAGGAGGCCACCCCACACCCCTGGCAAACACCCTCCTTACTCCACTTGGGCTCTGGCTTTGCATGCCGAGCGGCCCCTGTGTAGATGCCCTCATGACCCGGCTCATGTCTGACACCGTCTTGCCAGGCTGCCTCTTCAGGGAGATGCTGACTCCCTAGCTCCGCCTCTGACTCTCCAGGACAAGCTGGTCCCCACGTGGACATCCTACTGGCTGCACTTGGACTCTGAGTCCCTCTGCCTGGCTGCCTCCGGCATGGATGTCTTCCTCACTCTGCTTGGGTTCTAGACCTCACATCAGGCTGCCCCTCCACACGGATGCCCTCTCCTCCCTGCTCAGACTCAGATAGTCCCCAGTAGACCATCCTGTGTGGATGCCCTATACACCCTGCTTGCAGACACCATTCTTGACCTTCTAGGGTCCTGTTTTTTTGAGATAGGATCTCGCTCTGTCGCCCAGGCTGGAGTGGAGTGGTGCCATCAAGGCTCACTGCAACGACCTCCCTGGCTCAAACGATCCTCCTACCTCAGCCTCCCAAGTAGCTGGGACCACAGGTGCAAGCCACCATGCCCAGCTTATTTATTTATTTTTGTTTAATTTATTTATATTTGTTTGCAGAGATGAGGTCTCATTATGTTGCCCAGGCTGACCTTCTAGGTTCTAACACCTGTGCCAGGCTAGCCCCATGCGTGGACGCCCTCCTCAGGCTCTGTATGCCACACTGGGTGGCCCCTCCACACGGATGATCTCTTCACCCTTCCTGGGCTCTTACTCCCTGCTCCAGGTCATCCCCCTGTAAGGCCATCATCTTCAACCCACTCAAGCACAGACTCCCGTGATGAGCAGACTCTCCCGACCCCCATGCACTTCGACTCCCTCCTCTTGGTTTTGTTTTGTTTGTTTGTTTGTTTTTTAGATGGAGTCTCACTCTGTTGCCCAGGCAGGAGTGCAGTGGCACGATCTCAGCTCACTGCAACCTCTGCCTCCCAGGTTCAAGCAATTCCCTTGCCTCAGCCTCCTGAGTAGCTGGGATTACAGGCGCCTGCCACCATACTCAGCTAATTTTTTTTATTTTTAGTAGAGATGGGGTTTCCCCATGTTGCCCAGGCTGGTCTTGAACGCCTGACCTAAGCAATCTGCCACCTTGGCCTCTCAAAGTGCTGGGATTACAGGCGTGAGCCACTGTGTCCAGCCATTTATTATTTTTATATAAGTATTTTAAAAATATTTAATATTTTAATTTAAATATTTAATTTCTTAAATTAATTATTTAAATTAATTGACCCTTCCAACATATATTTATTTTTCCCCATTTCTTCTTACTGTGGTTATATTTATATGGCATACAATTGACCATTTTAACCATTTTTAAGTATACAGTTCCCTGACATTAAGCACATTAACATTGTTGTGCAACCAGCACCACCATCCATCTCCAGAACCTTCCCATCATCCCAAATTAAAATTCTATACATATTAAACACTAACTCTATTCTCCCTCCTACCCCAGCCCCTGGCAAGAACCACTCTACTTTCTGTCTCTATGAGTTGTGCTACTCATATGGGGACATAACTCTTATAAGTTGAATCATGCGATATTTGTCCTTTTGGTTCTGGATTATTTTACTTAGCATAATGTCCTCAAGGTTCATCCACCTTGTAGCATGTCTCAGTTTCCTTCCTTTCCAAGGCTGAATAATATTCCATTGTATGGATATTTGGTTCATCCATTCACCCATCAATGGACATTTGGTTTGCTTCCACTTTTTGGCTAATGGGAATCGTGCTGCTATGAACACCGGCATACAAACATCTGTTATAGAGCTTAATATCGCATCAGATTTATGCTACAACAAATGATAAATCCACATTGGCAAAATGTCATCAAAATGTATACATTAAATATGTGCAATTTTGTATATCAATTATACCTCAATAAAGCTGAAAAAATTAATACGGGCAAGAGGGAGTGTTCTGCTTATCAATTGTGACATAACAAACCACACCCAAACTTAGTTTGTTAAAACAACAATGATCATTTCTTTTGCTCACAAATCGGCAGTTTGGGAGGGGTGACTTGCGATATCCGGGATCTTAACTGGAATGACCTTCACCGCTGAGGGCTGAAACAGTTAGGGGCTGCCCAGCAGCTCCTTCTCTCCAAATCGTAGTCTCAGGACCTCTCCATGCCATTGCTTCATGTGGTTTCTCCAGCATGATGCCCGTTGAGTAGGTGGATGCCCACGTGGAAGCTCAAGGCTCCAAGAAGCCAGTGGAAGCTACTAGGCCACTTTGGCCACATTGGGCAGCGAGTCACTGAAGCCAGCCTAAATTTAAGAGGAGGGGATGCAGACCCCATGTCTCTATGGGAGGAATGTCAAAGAATTTGTGGCCATCTTTAATCCACCGGAGGGAGGTCTGTTTGTCTTGCAGGTGCTCCACTCTAAAGAATATGAGTATCTCAGGCAAACAGAGCTGCCCAGGTTGAGTGCCAGTAAAACTGCCTTTGCAAAATTATAACTGAGGAAATTATGACAGTGAAAGAAATCAGACCTAACCAACTGCATCTTGCTTCTAACCTTTAAGCTGTCCTTGTTCATTCCTAGGCATAGGCCAAACTAACTTTGGGAAGGAATTCAGTTCATGGTTTGACTCTGAAACAAAATTGATAATATCCCTTTCCCAAAAAGACCCCTTCTTGCCTGGAGACCAGTCTGCCTTTGCAAGACTAACAAATTAGCTACAAGATTAGAAATTACATTTGGGGGTCATGCAGCCTCTGGCTCCAAGAGTCTGAACCTCCCCAAATTGGTCCTGGGGATAACGTCACTATTGTAAAACCTAAGATGAGTGCTTGAGCTATTTTGCAGACCCTGCACTCAATGGATCAGCTGGCACCACCCAGACCAGTAATCTGGCTCAACCAGTTCTGCCATCACACCCAGGAACAGAAGACAGCAAGAAAAACACACCTCGACCCCCTATGATTCTATCTTCAACCTGACCAATCAGCACTCCCCACTTCCCAAGACCCTACCTGCCGAATTATCTTTAAAAACTCTGATCCTTGGCTGGGCATGGTGGCTCACGCCTGTAATCCCAGCAATTTGGGAAGCTGAGGCAGGCAGATCACCTGAGGTTAGGAGTTTGAGACCAGCCTGGTCAATATGGTGAAACCTCATCTCTACCAAAAATGTAAAAATTAGCTGGGCATGGTGGCAGGCGCCTGTAATCCCAGCTACTCAGAAGTTGAGGCAGGAGAACTGCTTGAACCGGGAGGCGGAGGTTGCAGTGCCTGGGTGACAGAATGAGACTCCATCTCAAAAAACAAACAAACAAATAAACAAAAACTCTGATCCCCGAGTGCTTGGGGAGACTGATTTGGGTAATAATAAAACTCCGGTCTCCCGCACAGCAGGCTCTGCGTGAATTGCTTTTTCTTCATTGCAATTCCTCTGTCTTGATAAATCGGCTCTGTCTAGGCAACGGGCATGGTGAACCCATTGGGTGGTTACACTAGGAGCAGGAGTAGGATGAAGCCACAACTCTGGGGAGACAGAGGTAGAAGAGGAAGATGGAAGGGTGATAGGATGAGGGTGTTTTTTCTTTTGGTTTCCCCTGTGAGGTAGACTTTCACAAACTAAAGCCACTCTGAAAAGAACCATGAAGCAACCCTTTGCTTCATCTGCTAGACCTGAGGTTTGTTCATGTTTGTCTTTGAATTCTTTCTGGTCCTGGACCAGGCCCGTGTGCCTTCCCAGTCCTGGAGGTGCATAACGGTGCTATTTTGCATACCCATGGTGTGAAATAAATGGAGATAATATCTGTGTCTTGTGACAGGCTGGACTGTGGCTTTAATGCTTCATGTGCCAGAGAGTGTGTGGGAGCCTGTTGCAGTTGAGTAGACAAGACTTTCCGGAGTTCTCTAAGGAATACGTTCAGTTCCAAGTGACAGAGCATGGAATTGCAACATAATACTGGTTTTTTAAAAAATGGGTTTTTTGTTGTTGTTGTTTGTTTTGTCTGTTTTTTTAAATACAGATGAGATCTTACTTTTTGGCCAGACTGGTCTCAAGCTTCTGGCCTCAAGTTGTCCTCTCACTGTGACCTCCCAAAGTGCTGGAATTATAAAGTGTGAGCCATCGCACCCTGCCACAATGCTGATTTTTTTTTTTTTTAAACAGAATTTCACTCTGTGCCCAGGCTGGAGCGCACGGGCACAATGTCGGCTCACTGCAACCTCCACTTCCTGGGTTCAGGTGATTCTCCTGCCTCAGCCTCCTGAGTAGCTGAGACTGTGGGCATGAGCCACCATGCCAAGCTAATTTTTGTATTTTTAGTAGAGACAGGGTTCCACCATTTTGGCCAGGCAGGTCTTGAACTCCTGACCTCAAGTGATCTGCCCATCGCAGCCTCCCAAAGTGCTGGGATTACAAGCATGAGCCATCATTCTGGGCCATAATGTGGTTTTGATTGTATAAATACTTTGTCCTATATCAGGAATCTCTTCAACTGGGCTGTGACGACAGCCCCTTTAATATCCTCTAAACAAATATGGTTACAATATATTTTATCATGGGACACTTTTGAGAGTGAAATGAGATGCTACTAATAATTATGACAATAAAGTAGGCCTAAGCCAGGACTGTCCCAGGAAAAGGATTAAGATGGCCTTATCCCCAGGCCATCTATATGCTCAATGTCATCAGTCAACCTGGATGGAGCACCCGCTCTGCTGTGCCGGGAACAGCGCTGGGCTCCATGACAGATTTGGGGGTGAAGAAGGACCTGGTTCTTGGTGCTTCCTGCGGATTTGCAGGAGGCACACCTGTAAAAATGGACATGAGCCAGTGTCTGGACACTGGGTATGGCAGGAGGTCAGACGAGGTTCAGTATGAGTGGGGTGGTCAAGGCAGTCCTCAAAAGAAGGAGGCACATGGAATGGGTCTTGAAAGATAAGTGGAGGCCGGGCGTGGTGGCTCATCCTTGCACTTTGGGAGGCCGAGGTGGGTGGATCACCTGAGGTCCGGAGTTTGAGACCAACCTGGCCAACATGATGAAACCCTGTCTCTACTAAAAATACAAAAAATTAGCTGGGCGTGGTGGCAGGCACCTGTAATCCCAGCTACTCGAGGGACTGAGGCAGGAGAATCACTTGAACCTGGGAGGCGGAGGTTGCAGTGAGCTGAGATCGCGCCACTTCACTCCAGCCTGGGCAACAAGGGTGAAACTCCATCTAAAAAAAAAAAAAAAAAAAAAAAGGTAGGTGGATTGGGGCAGGGAGAGGGAAGCCTTCTCTGCAGCTCACATTGTTCCTATCAGTGGCATGTGGACTCCATGTGCAGACATGTGTGGGTTCGAGGGGAGAGGAATCCAGTGCTAGGTCGGCCTCAAAGCCAAGCAGCAGTGCAGCACACGGGCAGAGGGCGAGAGAGTGGAGCAAGCCGGGAAGGCTGAACCAAAGGACCCAGCCAGGAAAGGATGGGAGGGCAGGAAGAGCTGGGCCTGGAACACTTCCTGGAAGCACTTTATTTTCCTCCCAAATTGGGTTTCCTTCCAGAGACCTTGATTCAGTAGGCCACCTTCTTCATGAGGGTATTTCAAAAATTGAACAAATCAGAGTGCCAGCCACTCTGGCCTTTTTGTAGTCACTGCTTCTAACTTAGCCCAGCCTCAAATCTAGACATTTGTGAAAGATCATGTGATTCCTCTCCTGAAAATATTCAAAGCTCACCCCCCAGCCCTTGTTTATAGTAGTCCTCGGGCTAACATGCAAAGTCTCCCTCTTGTTTATAGCATAGTCCTTAGGCCAACATGTCAAGCCTCCCATGGTCTGGTGGGCAGCACTGTTCCAGTTGCAAGTGACAGAGACAGAGGCACAACTCAATGTGGTAGGGAAACACCACAAGAGCAGGGTCTTTGTCTCTTTTGTTCACCGCTCTTTTTCCATTCCTAGAATAGTGCCCAGCATTTAGAAAGTACTTGATAAGTTTTGCTGAATGAATAAATGAGACTAGCTTAAACAAAAGGGACAATATGTGCTCTGGTCACTGAGGGACAGGAGTGGAGCTGATGCGAGAACCACCTGGGTTCAAGGACTCAAGCAATGTCATTAGCTCTCTCTCTGTCTCTGCTCTCTGTCTGTCGTCTCTCTCTTTTATGTGCATGTTTTACTTTTTTATGTGCATGCTGTTCTCATTCTCTCCTGCTAATATTCCTCGGGTGAGAGACATGGCAGAGCAGGGTTGGGGAGGGCATAGCCATATACAGCTTTAGGTTTAGAAGCCACAGAAGAAAGGGAGGCTCTCTCCATTTCAGCATTGAACATAAAAAACAAAAACAAAAAAACAGGCAAGGCTGAGTATGGTGGCTCACCACTGTAATCCCAACACTTTGGGAGGCTGAGGCTGGAGGATCACTTGAGCCCAGGAGTTCAAGACTAGCCTGGGCAACATAGTGAGATCCCATCTCTAAAAAAAATAAAAAACTTAGCCAGGTGTGGTGGTGCGCCTGTTGTCCCAGCTACTCAGGAGGCTTAGGCGGGAGGATTGCTCAAGCCCAGGAGTTCAAGGCTGAAGCGACCCACATGCACACCGTCACACTCCAGCATGAGTGACAAACTGAAACCCTGTCTCAAAAAAAAAAAAAAAAAAAAAAAAAAAAAAAAAATCCCAGGCAAGTACTTTGAGTGGTTAGGCTGGGGTCACGTGAACTTTCTTTACCACAATCATTGTGGAAGAGAGGATGGGATACTGTGGTTTGCCTGACCTGGGTCACGTGCCTGGTGAAAGGCTCAGCAGTTTACAGAGATGGGCAGCCCTTCCAGAATCCCATGATTGCAGTGGAGGAGGGGCAGTTCAGCAAAGGAAAGAGCCAGGGAACTGTTATCAGAAGACAAGGAGTGCTGGCAGGAAAAACAAACAGCCAAATGCCTAGAGACCAGTGCACAAATACTCCCTCAGAATGAGACTGGAGTGGGAGTCCTAGGACGGCCTGGAGGGGCCTGCAACAAACTGGAAATGATTTTGTGAGGTCTCAGTTTTATCTGTTTAAATTTGTGCTTGTTTTTACAGAAAAACAATGCTGTAAATTATTTATTATGGATACCAAGCTGTGCTCTAGGAAATTGTGCCATCTATATTCTGTGGCTTTTGGCAACCCATGGGACACTGTCTTATACCCTCAAGGGCTTGCATAGCCCACGTTGAGAAGGAAGACTTGACCTTAATTTCCTCCAGATTGCCCTGTGGTGACACCACATCCATTCCTCCAGTGCTTATGTCATTACCCCCTGCCTGGAATGTCCACCCCTGTCCTCTCTGCCTCTTCTGGCCCCACCTATCTTTTTTTTTTTTTTTAAAGAGATAGGGCCTTGCTTTGTTGACTAGGCTGGAGTGCAGTGGCCATTCATAGGCATAATCATGGCGCACTGCAGCCTGGAACTCCTGGGCCCAAGTGATCCTCCTCCCTCAGCCTCTGGCGTAGCTGGGCCTACAGGTGAACACTACCATGCCCAGCCCCACCCACTTTTGCAGGTGCTCATCAAGTCCCATATCCTTCATAGAGTCTTTCCAAGTCACTCCCTGTGTCCTTTAGACCCAGTATATTACAATGGAAAAAGCCCTGAAGCTCAAGGTTCAAGTTGTAACATTGCCCAATTCTCTGCACGACCTCTCTGCAACTTATTTTCTCTCTCTGCAACTTGGTTTTCTCTTCTGTAAAATGAGGGGCTGGACTTGTGTAAAATGAGGGTTTGTACCCTGTTAACAAAGGGAAGCCCTCAGCACCTTCTGCACCTGCCCCTCCTCAACCCCTCTTGGCATACTTCCAACTCTGAGAAGCAATCTCTGTACTGGCCAAATTCTAGGACATTTCACTGGTTCAGAAATTCAGCCGGGCGCAGGGGCTCACGCCTGTAATCCCAATACTTTGGGAGGCTGAGGTGGGAGTATCGCTTGAGCCCAGGAGTTCAAGACTAGCCTGGGCGATATAGTGAGACCCTGTCTCTCTGTCTTTCTCTATATATACATATATAGAAAGAAATTCAGGGGCTGAAGATTTTTTTTTCACTGGTCAACGAAAGGGGCTTAAGATCAATGCTCAATTTGGAATGATTTCTCTCTCTCTCTCTTTCTCAGCCCTAGAGGCGAGACCTCCCATTTAGAAAGGGGTCCCTCCCACACTCTGCCCCTATTCCATACATTTTGTCCAGCAGGGACTAGAGTGAGCCCTAGGGGAAAGGAGGCCACTTAGATGGTTGCTTAGCAAAGCAGATTCTCTGTGTGGTCTGACCTGGCTCAGACGAAGGTCAAAGCCTCAGCTGATCCCTGCTCTGTACCCAGTGGCAGACAAAGTATTCGTGTGTTCAAGGCCTCTCTGGCTCAGTATCACCTTAACCTCCGCTTCTCCCCTACCCGCTCCTCTATCCACAAGTAACTAGCACAGAGGTAGGCACCCAGTAAATATGCTCTGATTGACAGAGTGTGGCAGATAAAAATGCTTATGCTCCTTAAAGAGGAGTACACACATTTAAGCATGGGGACCAGTTTGGTTGTATGATTGTATGTTCTTAAGCAGAACAAGGGCAGGGCATCAGAAAATTGGAGGAATGGTCTCCTGTATCTTTGTAAATGGATATGTGTATATATATTTGCCTCACAACTCAGCTTCTCCTTTAAGGAATATGATGGATCTATTTTGAAAGTAATGTCGGCCGGGCACGGTGGCTCACGCCTGTAATCCCAGCACTTTGGGAGGCCAAGGTGGGCAGATCACGAGATCAGGAGATCGAGACCATCCTGGCTAACACAGTGAAACCCGTCTCTACTAAAAATACAAAAAAATTAGCCAGGCAAGGTGGCGGGCACCTGTAATCCCAGCTACTTGGGAGGCTGAGGCAGGAGAATCGCTTGAACCTGGGAGGCAGAGCTTGCAGTGAGCTGAGATCGCACCATTGCACTCCAGCCAGGGTGACAGAGCCAGCCAGACTCCGTCTCAAAAAAAAAAAAAAAAAAAAGAAAGTAATGTCTAGTCATATGGACTTGCTAGAGTGCCAAATATGTCCTTGGTGGGGGAACAGTTTCCCAAAATGCTACTAAAAAGATAGGAAGGAACTTAGATCCTCCTGTAATGTGTCTCTGTCCAAATCAGTGCCACTGAGGAACGCTAAAACCTTGGTAGGTGCCCTTCAGACCATGGGCCAGGTACGTGACCAAATGGTTCCATCTCTTACCAGAACAAGGATCGCCTAAATTGAGGTGTCACATGTGTTCTGCAACACCAGAGTTACTATGGAGCTCAGCTGAATTTGCGGGAAAATGCAGGGGGGGCTTTACCCGCATCTGCAAGAAGTTGGCTGAGTGGAAATAACCTAAATAAGGTGTTTTCCTGACTTGGGCATATCTCAAACTGGCCAATGCGTCTTGAGGCCCTGGGCGAGCATCCAAGTACCACCTTCCTGAATTGCTACTAGAGGAAAAGGAGCCTGTTTCAGCTTTCTATACTTCTTTAAATGTTACTTTGATTAGACATAGATAGCAGTTTGTTTACTAATATTACTATTATAACTCTGTCGTGGTTATATTTTTTAGTTATACTTTCTCTTTTCTTTGCCAAGAGCAAATGAAAACACATTTGCACTGCAGATCCAACTGAAGTTGTACAAAGGTTTCCCAGATATGTTTGAAAAAGTATTCTAGGCCCACTGCTGGCCAAATAGGAAGTCTTCCCCCACCCTTATGTCAGGGGTTCATGCTTTAAAAAAAATACAAACTCTTTTTAAAAATAAAATGTTTTATTATTGCTATAAAAGCAATGCATTTTATTGTTTATGCAAATATTACTTGGAAAATACATAAAAGTATAAAGAGAAAAACAAACATTACCTATAATTTTATACTATAATACTGTTACAAGTTTTGGTATATTTCTTCCTAGACTTTTCTCCATATGTTGATACAAAACTATGGATGCAAAATGATCCCAATACACTTATATTACATATTCAGGAACATATTGCAAAAATAATTCTGCATCTTACATTTATCACAGAAGTAAACCACAGATAGCCGCTGTTAGATTTTTTGCTTATTCCCTCCATCTTTTCATCTGTATATTGATACAAAACTATACATGCAAAATGTTCCCAATATATTTATAGTGCATATTAGGAACACATCGCAAAAACAGTTTAGTATCGTTTTTGATTGCCTATAGTGACACAAGTCAGCGATAACCACCTCTAGACTTTTGGTATACTTCCTGATAGCCTCTTTTCCCCATATTATTGATACAAAACTATGAATGCAAAATGTCCCCAATACATTTATATTACATATTAGGAACACATCGCAAAAATAGTTTAGCATCTTTCTTTGGTCACCTTTATACCACAACTCAGAGATAATCACAATAAAGTTTTTATATGTTTCCTCCTAGCCTTTTATCTGTATGTTGATACAAAACTATTCATACAGAATGCTCCCTATATACCTATATTGCAGAGATGGGAAAATATTTTGCACCTTTTTTCAATCGCTAAATGTTTTATCAGGAGCACATTCTCATGACATGAAAATTACTTTCAGAAACATTATTTTACATGAAAGCATCCTATTCTATTGTACTAGCTAGCTACGCTGTATTTTATTTGTCTAATCCTTTGTTGTTGGTCATTCAGGATGTTCCTAACTTCCATCCTTAAAATATTGAAATGAGCATCTTTATGCATTTTTTTTAACTGGGGCTTTCTGTTCATGTAGTTTTTATGGTTTTTCTTGACCACTTGTGTGGACTCAACATACTAAAAATGACCCTGTGTCTGTAATGCTTATAGCAAAGTGTTTTCCAGTTGTTTGCTTGAGCATAAATTCTTTATTTTAGCATTCTAGCACAAGTATAAAATCATATACCTTATGTAAGTTTCAATTCATTCAACAAACATTTAAAGCAATAAAGACACAAATAAAGGCATTCCCATTACACTCCTATGAAAACACAACTCATCCTCCCACCCCATCCCATAGCAACCCCTTTCTTCTTTGCTTAGGGCCCACTTTCCTCCTGATCTTTTCATTGATTCGTCTTGTAATACTTACCACATGTTTTGCTATGAAGATGAGTGGCTCCCAGACCTTTCAGTTATCAATCTGTCACAAGTGCACACTGGTATCTCGTGACATGATGATCCCCGAGATGTCTGAGATCTGTGCATCCTTGACCGATCCCAAATTTCTGTATCACCCATGACCCCTAAAGACTTTTTAGAGAATTATATTTTGACAACATAACAAGAAAACGTGGCATCTCACACACACACACACACACACACACACACACACACACACACACACACAAAACCATGAAAAAGTAGAGAAAGAAGAAACTTCAGCTCTAATCCCACCACCCTTAAGTAACAAGTATGTCTGTTTTGCAGGTTTCCTCCAGGTTCTGCTCCTATTTTTCAATCATGGTGTCCATGTGATTTTGTGGCCCTGATTTTTTTTAAGTTGATATCATAAGCATTTTCCAGGTTTCTGTATATTCTCTATCATTATTATTTGCAATGGCTGAAAAAGGTTCCATTGAGTGAGTGACTAGATTAAGTCAACCCCTATAGCTTGACACTTCATTTGTTTCCTTAAGATAATTTGATTGAATCTACAGAAAATAACAAACATGGGACAGAGGTTTAAAATGAATTTAAATCATGCTTTTTTGGTTTGTGCAGATTGACTTGTACACGGCTGGGTAACTTATAGTCACTATTTAGTAATCCTGGGGCCAATCTTGGGCCTCACCCAGGAAGTGTCCAATGTATAGGCCAAAGCTCATCATAAGACTAGCCAGTTTCACCGGGAATTTTTGTAACCAAACACATTCACCTCCATTTCCTGCTCTGGTCACTACTGCATAGTCGGTTCTGATGAACAGGTAATGACATAAGGAACACAGTATGAGGCCTGGAGGAAGAGCCCCCAGAGAGTAGCCTCAGACAAATCCTTAACCTCCAGAGGCCCCAGTTTTCTTGTCTGTAATTATTTTTTGGACTGCCTTAACTCTGTTTGTCTTTCAAGGTTGTCACAAATTAAAAAAAGAAAAAAAAGAAAAAACAAAGTATTTGGAAAAGTATGTAAACACACGATACAAAGGCAAGATGTTGGGATACTGATGATTCTGTGGCCACGCCTTTAGAAGGTCTGGTCTTAGGGTAATAGTCTTGTCTGGATGGCAGGTGGGGGTGGACATGGGGGAACAGGTGAGGGAGCTGCCTTGGGAGACTCAGGCTTCAAAGCAACCCAGACTCTCACTGGCAGGTTGCTGCAGTGTTCTGAGCTCCCTGACTCCAGCAGTGGAGCCAAGGCCATGTTTCCAAACACCCACCAACTGCTCAGATTATAGAGCTCAGTAGTGGAAGGGGGAGTGCTCAAAGGCCCAAGCAACCACAGGAAGTGGAAGTCTTTCGGGGCTCCTCCCTCTTGGCTCAATTTACTATCCCCACAGGGGTTTTAAGCCTGGCTGAACTTGCCAAAGAGATCAGCTGTGGAGCTGGGGAGGAGGGAAAAGGTGGCAGATAGGTGAAATATTATGAAAGAGCTAGCCGATCCTTGTTTATTCACTGAGGAGTAACTAATGGGTGGGCCTGAGTGGGATGTAGGGGGGCAGGGAGATACACGTTTGCTACACTTGATGTATATATACTCTTTTTTGCTTAAGAGTCATGTAATAACTCTAAATACAAATGCATATATAAAATTCTAGGGTTATGAGATTAAGTCATACTGCAGGCCAATGGGAAAAAAGATCTCTAAAAACATATGCCAACTTGCATATAGCCAGACTCAAGTCTTTTAACTTCTATCGATAAACTCATTGATCTTCCCCAAACATATTTTTTGAACCTAGTTTTATTTTCATCTTACACAGCCTCAGGAAAGCTGCCTATAACTCCCATCTCATAGGCTCAGGTTTTCTGCAAATGTTGCCCTGAGCTCTATAGCAGTCCAGGATTCAGGGAACGAACCCAGTCCCCCGCTGCCCCATTTGCCTTGATGAGTTGATAGGTATGGTGTTTTAAAACAATCAGCAAAACAATTTGCACTGCAGAGTCCTTAGGAGTTTTTTTTTTAATTGGACAGTTGCCCATATTAACGGAAATCAAAAGCAGCATACAGTCATTCAATGTCCCAGCACTGGAGTACAGCCCACTGTTTTCCTGTGTGGGGTTCCACTTTAGTTCTTGTCTGTGTGCATGCATACATTTTTACAGAGTTGTGACCACTGCCTTTTTCTGTGACCCTGGTTATTGACATCTAGTTTTCCAAGTAACATTGACACACATCTGTTCAAATCAGTTGAGGTTCCCATCATGACTGACTCATTTGGCGGGAAAACCAAATTTACATGCCAATTGGAACAAAGAAGTGTGGGTATGGGGGAACAGCGGGGGGAAAGAAATGGTGGGAGAGGATTCCTTGGACTTACAGATCATAAAACATTTCCCAATAACATTTTTAAAGGATGTATAATATTACACTGAGTGATTGATTATATATTACCCTTCTATTTGGGACACTTGGGTGGTTTTCAATGCCTAGAGTTTTAAAATGCATATAAATTACAGCCTTTGAGAGATGATTGTATTTTCTTGAAACAGGAGTCTTCTGTGTCCAGGTCCCCGCCAACAGTGTTGATGTAGTGTTCCTTTGTTGGGGGGAAAAAAAATCAGTACTGCTAACTGGAGATGCTGGATGCCTTCAAGAAAAACATTCCTGTGATTTAAATTTTTAAAAAATTATGTTCAATTCTGGTTTATCAAACAACCTGGGTATCTTGTCTCACAACTTACCGAAATGTCGAATTTTAGATTTAGAGTTAGACTAAGCTCTTCCTAGTTTAAGGGCCACGTCTGTCTAATAAACTTTATACAATGCCACGTGCACGCAGCTTCCTCACTAACAAATAACATGTGTTGGGGAAAAAATGAGAAAATAGTGGAAAGGTGCCTCCTTGGAGGTGGTAACATCGGGTCAATTAATCAGCTGAGTATAAATTGATTCACTTTATACAAGTCTCCCACACATTATGATGCACATTTAGCAACGCTGAAAAACAATTTAAAAGAATACCTTAGGGAGTTGTTAAAGAGAATTTATAGTCTGGAACGAATTGCAATCTTCTTAATTGACACAGAAATGTTTGGCTAAAATATTGCTTTATTCACATTTTTGTCCTTGGAGGAAAATCTAGGCACACTGCAACTTGGATCGTGTAAATAAAGGTACAAGGAATGTTTTAAGTCAGAAAAGGGCATCACGCAGTCAGGGGGCTGTGTGGACGAGCTCAATTTCGATGCATCTCGGGAGACCCGGGCAAAAGGCCGCTTGGATTCCGGGAGGCAACGCCCCCAAGTCAGGATCCCTTGCTCGCCGCCCCCAACCGGTCAGGATCCCTGGCTCGCGTCCCCAACCGGTTCCGTGTCTCACCTGGGTCCTGCAGGCGTCCACTGGAGGAAGCCGGATGGCGCGGGCTTGGTCTTTCAGGAAGGCTGGCTGGCACCGGGCTTCCTTCTGGCTCCAGGGGGAACCGTACAGGACGGGGAGAAAGGGGGAAGCTGGTGAGAGGCAGAAGGGGCGTCACAAGGTGGCTCTCCCACCCCCAAGTGCAAAGGCAGGCGGATGCGGGGACCTGTTCGCCGTTTGAGCCTGGAGATTGCGGGCCTGAGGGGCCCTGCGCTGGCCGGCCGGGGCGAGGCGGGAGCAGAATGGGGATTTCTAGGCCGCCGGGTCGGGCTGGTGGGCGGCGCCCCGGGAGCCTGAGGGTCCCCGCCGGCCCGGGAGGGACCCGAGCCGCCCCCGCGCACTGCCCCGGCGCAAGGGAGTCTGGGAGAGCCAGCGTCTCGGGCCGCTGAACCCGACTCCCAGCTCTAGACTTCGGAACCCCGGCCCCACCCCAAACTGGGAAACTTCTAGGGGCCCACTCCTGGCCCCGGGAAGCCCAGTTCCAGGCAGCCCATTCAGACCAGAGGAGTTTGGGTGTCTTTTTTTTTTCTTTAAGGTGACAAAAAGTGTGGGAAAGATTCCACACCTCCCTCCCCACGCCCGCCAATGGTCCTTTACCTGTCCATGTTTCAGATTAAATAATTAGCTCAAGAGATTTGCACAGAAAGCGAATTAGCCCTTTTCTAGTCAGACTGTTAAGCTCTCAGGCGGGCAACTCGGAACCCCGTTTCCTCACCGAAGGCTCAGGAGGCCAGCCCAGTGAGGGATGGAGGTGGCTTTAGAGGGCGACAGTTGTGCAGCACTCATGAGCAACAGTGCCCAGGACTTTTGAAGTCACGAAGGGCTCCTGAAATCGACAGCTCAGGTCCCGCCCCTGGGGCGACAAAGGAGTCTTGGGGGCGTGCCGCCGGGTTGGAATTGTGGTAGCAGATTTTTGGGGGAGGAGGGCGCAAAGCAGCTAGAAACGCACATCCTCATTCTGGAACTATCCCAAGGCCCCCATGCTTCTCAGCAGGCCTCGGGCTCAGATTGGGCGGGTTGGAGCCTTCCACCCCACCTTGGGTTCACCCGCCCGCAAGGCCTCGCGCCTCACCCGATCCTTCTAGAGTGCTGGAGCTCCACGGAGCCTCCCTAACCCCCCAGCAGCGGGGAAGGGAGGGCGAGGGAGTGGGGAAGAGGCCCGTTATTTTGATCTTTCCTGAATTCTTAAGTCCCTTCCATACCCAGGACATGAGCGCGTTTACCAGGAACCGCAGAGAGGTGTAAAGACTTCTTGCAGCTGCTCACCCTTCCTCTCCCCTTACTCCTTTTCCAGTCCTCCCCACCCCCCAGCATTTCGTGGGTGGGGACTGAAGATAGGTTTTCTTCGTTGTCCTGTGGGTGGTATTCTGATTGGGAAGGGATTTTTTTCAATTGTTTACATTCTACCTGAGCAGGGAAAGGGGGTGCCAAAATGAAGCATCATTCACGTCCAGTCACATATGCAGAGACGGGGCAAACGTTTGATGCAATCTTGGGTCTCGCTGCTCCCGGGGCCGACACCGCAGGCGATGGCCTAAGACTTACCTGCTGGGTAGGCCCGAACGGCAGTCCCAGACTTACCCTGGCAGCGGAAACAATACCCCAGAGCACCGATCGCTCACTGCAGAACTGTTCCCGCTGCTAGGGCACGGCTGAGCGCGGGCACCGCGTCTCTCCTCGACTCGCACCGCCTATGCGCCCCAGCCTAGCCAGGAATACTGCCCTCCCCGGACTACAGCCCTGCTGCGTGGACAAGGGCGAGGACCCGCCGGAAACAGAGACGCGAGCCCCCGCCCACCTACCTGCTCCTGAGCCGGCCTCGCGGGGAGCGGGCACCTGGTGGCAGGAACACGCGTCCGGCAGACCCCACCTTCTACCTTCCCCACGAGGGGGTATAGCAGCGCCTCACGTTTTGAACCATTTAGAACACTTCAAAACATGAATTGCTGCTGTATCCCCTCGGAGTCAATGAAGGGGGATCGATCTGGGGGTACCTGCGGGTGAATAAAGACTGGATGACTGAAGGAAGCCCCGCCCCACCCCCTGGCAAGGAATAGGGCAAAACTTATGACTAGGCCACTTCACTCCAAGTTAAGGTACTTCTTATAACTTCACCATTTGATTTCCAGGAGCTGCAGGTGGAGCCGAAAGTGTGGCTCTCAATTTTTTCCCCTGAGGATGAATCTTGGAACAACGTAGTGGGTGAAAAGCAGAGCGATGGGGGATACGAATTAGTGTGGAAGAGAATCTAATTACTTCTGAAGGTAGACGAATAAGGTTAAGTAGAGGCAATTGGACATCTGGATCATTCTTGCCAGTTTCAAAGTCTTGGTGAAACTTCTTCCTGCTGCATATTACAAGTCTCATTCATTGTCCCCATTAAAAAAAAACAAAAAACGAAACAAAAAAACAACCTTTATTGGAAATGGACTCAGATGACTGAAAGAAAATAACCAAAACCTCACCGGTAGCTTCAGCTGATTCTTACACTATCGTTGCGACATATACATCTATCTTTAAAAGCATTAGATGTCCTAACTCACTGCTAGTGTTTTTATTCTTAAACACCCCAGCTGAGTTATTTTAAAGAGCTCCAAACAATGACAGAGAACTTTCTGTAGATGAAATACCAGTTTACATATTAAACTGGTTACTCAAACTTATTTATAATTTATACCTATCAATGTCATCTATCAAAACATAAATCAAAAAGTTTAAATACTTGATGTCAAGTCGCTCCTTCCTGTTTCAAGCAGCTCCACAGAAACTTTCATGTCCTGAAATGGCCGGCACTGCGCATACTCCTTAATGATTAACTCATTAGATACCACTTTTTCCTTTTTAAAATGGACACATATTAGCAACAAGTCACATGCATGCCCTCTTTTTGTTTGAATACAATATTCAATTAAGCATTAAAAAAAAAACCCACTCTGAAATCCTCAATCACAAACCTAAAAGTTAAAACAACAAAATCAGCACTAACTGTAATGGTTTTGAAAGTTAAATACATTTCAGCACAAGTAATAGACATTTAAATTATCCAACTGTAAGTATCTTGTTACACTTACAAATTAAGTCGGTTTTTCAAAACCAGTACAATGAATGTTAAGTGTCCTATTTATTAGTTAATAAAATGTGCAGAGTATTTAATAAGATTAAGTATCGAATTTATAACATCCAGACTGAGATCCAGTGGTAACAAATACACTATGTCATGGTAAAAAAAAAAAGTCATTAGTAACAATAACCCCATTCCCTAAATTGCGACAATCAAGTATCTCTACATTCCATCTTGTTTTGGCAATGATATTTACAAACAACTTTTACACTGACTTTGGGATTAATGGAGAAAAATGTCGTTGACTGCCCTTAAAAAGAAAAAAAAAACATGTTTAGCAAATGTACAATTATCATGTAAAACTCCACAACTTTCTCCCAACATTTTGTTCCACACAAATATACGAGCCATCATGTCAGAAGTTAAAGTCATGCCTAATTTAACATTTCCTTAGTTGACTACTTAGAAAAACAAAAGTTCATTCGAAACAGCATCGGTGTCAAAGGCGAAGGTCCCTTCCAGATTGCTCTTGGAATCAAATTCATTTATACCTTTCACCCTAACCCCTTTCATCTCTCCCAGTGATAGTACAACGAGTTACACCCCTAAAAAGCCACCTCGATCCCCTAGTTTACATATTTCCCCTTAGACTGAAATTTACTTACGAAAAGAGATTACAAAGGGGCGTCTTGTCACTTCAGGAGAGGGTCATTCACTGATACAATAGACAAAGAATCGATACTTTCGAGTTGCCATAGCCCCACCCCCTTCTGAACTGCAATGTGTTTGGCTAAATGATTTAAGAGCCAAAGAATACGCCTCTTCCTCTGTTCATACTCTACAACGTTTTGTCTTTTAATTTTGCATATGCCTTCGTCCCCCACACCCCAAACACACGATGTACCTTCTCTCGGCGCATTCTAGCCAAACTTCCACAATGTCAAGTCCCTACGGGGAAAACTAAACAACCTTTAAAGTTTTAATTCGGGAGAGACAATGTGAAATTAATCACACATTTCTTTCCAAGACATAACTAACTTCTTGCAAATAAGAGGAAAAGTTCATTTACATTCTGTCAAAACCAGTCGCTCCCGACCCTAGCGAGGCTGACAGTCGGTCACTGCCCCTTACTCAGTTTTCTCTCCCCGCCCCTCCATGTTAGTTGTTGTTTTTTTTTTCCCAGTCCGTTTCCTGAGAATTTCCCGGCCGCACTCATTTGTTAAACACTTTAAATGTCAGATTTGCCCCCATCCCGCCCGCAAAACGTGCTTTACAACCCCCCCAAACGCCACAGCACTTTTTTCAGAATTATCACCAGATGTTTTTCTGCCTGCCGTAACCCACGTTACAGTCGGGAAAGACGCCAGCCACCAAGTCCCTTTTTAAAAAATCGCATGTCACCTCTGGCTCCACTCGAAAATGGCGCCGAAATCGAAGAACTTCTTAAATTTCATTGCAAGCTTTTTGCAAAGGTTTCTGGGATTTGCCTGCGAAGCTGTTTCGCCGCGTCCGAGAGCGAGCGAACGTGCAAGCCAGCGAGGGAGACAGGGAGGAAGGAAGGGCTGGGGAGGCGGAGAGACAGACCGAGCGAGCGACACACGGACAGCGACGGACAGCGACAGAAGCGGGGCCCGGGACTTGGGAGACGGCGAGGTTGCGGGGCGCGAGGTGCTGGGCACGGAGCTACAGGGACGGAGAGCCGAGAGCCGGGGTCGCAGCGTGGAGGGGGCGCTGGCTGCTGCCGAAGCTCGGAGAGCGGCGTGGCGGAGGCGGAGCGGAGCCGAGCGAGGGGCCAGCACGGAACGCTCCCTTGGAGGCGAGCGGCGCAGCCGGCGGAGAGGCTCCCGGAGCCGCCCTAGAAAAAGCCGGCTCGGGGGGCGTGGCCACGCGCTGTGGCGCTCCCCGCCCCCCGGTGGCCCCGCTCGGCTCCGGGGCCCGGGGGCGGAAGGGGGGAGGGGAGGAGAGGAGCTGTAGGGAAGGGGGTTGTGCAGGCGCTCGACGCCGCAGCCTTGGCCCGCTGCGGGGGAGGGCCGAGAAGGGCACTGGGCGCCCAGAGTAACCAACACCGAGACGAATAGCGAGGGCTCGGGGAGAAAAAACGGAGGATGGCAAACGGCAAAGCCAAGGGCACGAGGTAGCGCAGCGCGCACCCAGAGGCTCCTGGGACGGACACCACCCCACGCTCACGGGTCCTCTGGCGGTGTCCTTTGAGCTGCCGGGACGGCGCAAGGTGGCTGAGCGAAGCTTTTTGCTCGGTGCTTACAGGGAGTACCTGAGATGGTTTGGGAAAGGAAACAGGGGGTCTCAGACCGCTTGGGTGCAGCGCTCTCCCCATGCGTTTGAGTGCAGATCTGTCGAGACGCCCCAGCCCTCGCCACCCCACCAAGCTCTCAGGTAGAGAGGCCCCGGGACAGGGTGAGCCCCATAGTCCTTTGGTGGGCATAACACAGAGGGAGGAGCAATTGTTTACACATGTGCCCAGTACAAGAAGGGAAACTGATATTTAAGACTGAAGTGGGGAAACGGGAGGGAAAGGAGCCCTTATCCTGGATGTTAGACGCTATTAAGGACCATGCTATTTTGTATTTGTGAGAATGATATTGAAGGTAAGGAGGTCCTTATCCTTGAAGATGCATGCTGAAGTGTACAGAAGTGAAATGTCACGATGTCTGCAGTTTTCAAATGATGCAGCTAACATACGCACACATTATGAGAGAGAGAACAGAAAGGAAGCAAGTATTGCAATATGTTAACAGTTGTTGCATCCTGTTGGGGGTGGGGGGTAAACAGACGTTCGTTGTACCGTTCTTTCAACTTGCCTAAATATTTGCAAAATGCCATAATGAAAATTTTGGAAGAGTTCCCTTATAAAATAGTGCCTGAATGCTAAGAAAATGAACGCGGCTTCTTTTCCTTTCCCTGTCCCGGGTGGGACAAATCTGCGAGCAAGCAGGGCTCAAGGCCAGCGGGGTCTGGACGGGAAGAGCAATGGGTAGAGCCGGCCTGCAGCTGCCATAGCCCTGGGCAGGCCAGGAGGGGCCATCGGAGCCTCGGGGCAGATAGGCTGCCGGGCGCAAAACTATGCGGAGGAGCAGCCGAGCGCGTTGGCCCCGGGGGCGGTGCGGGGTGGGGACTTCCTGGCGGCTCTCAGCAACCCCTGGTCCGACCAGACTCGGTGGGCTCGGCTGCACCACGGATGAGCAAAGAAACCGGCGGGCCGCGGGAACTGAGCCGCGCGCCTGCAGCCGTCGCCACGGCGGCCCGCGGCCTTCCCCCGCATTCCCCGAGGGAGGCCGTAGTTGTCGCGGCCTGCAGACAGCGCGCAGGGTAGCCCAGAACCGCGTGCGGGCGCTGGGGGAAAAAAAATTAGGTGCCGAAAGAAAGCAGCAACGCACGCGCGCGCACACACACACGAAATCAGTTTACAAAAATAAAACCGCGGAATCTGCCGTGCTCGGCGCCCGAGTTTGAGCTACTTAACTCTCGCATGCATTTTACTGTCATATTTCTGTAGAGCTGATGGAAAATCTGAAATGTTTTTGCAAGGGCGATCTCGCAGACCCAAGGCGTTGCAAGCGTTGCGCAGCCTTTCGCTGGCGTCTGCGGCTCTTTTCCGGGGCGCGAGGAGGGAAAAGAGTAGTGTCTTTCAGGGTCTGCAAAGCTGTTTTGAAAAGTTAACCAAAAAGGTTTTAAATAGCAAGATTTTCTTTTCAGGAAAAGTTTTTAAAACGGCTGATACTCGTCCAGTTTTGGTGGGCGCTAAAAAGTCTTATTACTAAGCTACAAGTTTCCCTGTTAAGATTTTCAAAACCCCTCGTGGACAGGGCTGAAAGTTTGCCGGGCTGTGAGACGTGACTGAACACGCTTCTAAATCCTCAGATAGATCATTTATAAAGCTCTGGTGCCCTTGGGATGAAAGGCTTCGCTGAGTTTTTAAGACTTGCCTTCGTGGGTAAATTTGCTTGGGTTGCTACACGTAAGCATTCATTTCCCCACCTAAATTAGTAAAAGGGCAGAAGATTCCAACGACGTAAGATAAAAGTTGGGTTTATGGCATGTTCTCTAAAGACAAATTGCAACAGCTTTCTTTATTAAACTCCTTTTGCTACCTCAGCAAATTGGAGAGCCAGTTGAATATTGATGAATTCTTTGAGGGTGAGTAATATTGCTACAGGCCGGAGAAAGTAAGGGAGGACAAGCTTAAGCATTTACTCAAGTGAACAACCTTCAAATGTTTTTCAACTATGATGTCTCAAGGATTTTCTTAGGACCTTTGAAGCAAACCCTGATTCTGCAAATGGCTTCTTATTTGGTAGGCCCTTCCCAACCTGACAAAACTCACAGGATATAAATTGCCCTAAGAAGTGGTGAGAAACTTACCCTAGCATTGGAAACAGGCACAGCCCACCACCTGGGGTGTTAGGGGGGCCTCCAACTGGTAGTCAGGCAACTTCTCACGGGGCAACTAGGAACCTGAAATGAAAATTGCACACCATCTATTGTTTTTTTTGGTCCCTTCTGAAATATTGTTTCAAGGCAGCTGTTTTCAGGAAAATAGCACATATTTTCCTTTCTCTTTTTGTTCCGTGAAACGTTCGGAAATTATATTGATAAGGAATAATCATAGTCCGCCGAGGGAGCAATAGCTTTGAAGGCTCTGAAGGCACAGCTGAGAAAAATAAATTAGCTCTAGACTAGAGATACTCAGCAAGGAAGTTATGCATAACATGGTATTTGGCATAAATTTTGGAAAATGTTTTCTGGAAAGCAACTGTGAATGAATCTTGGGAAATAGATACTGGAGAATCAAGTTGCATTAAAACTTATTTTTTTGTAAATTACAAAGAAGATTTCTAGAACTTTCCATTTTTATTTTAACTAGAAATGGTGTTTAAGATTGTGTTTTTAATGAAGGCCTTGAGTTAGGGAAACAAGATTTTCCTTATGTTGTAAATATCCAGAAGTCTTTAGAGAGATAAAATCAGGATAGAGTTACAAATTTAACAGAAAGAAAACAACTGGAATTGTGTTATGAAGCTTCTATTGTGTTTTTTTGTAAAGGCTTTTTTTCATGGTTCAAGCAGTGGCTAGCAGTGAGTAGTAACTGTATACTATAATATATAATGTAAGAATGCTTGTCCTACTCTCAGATTAAACAAAAAAGACAGTGTCCTTTGGTAATTTTTATTTTATGAAATTAGTTATAAAAATAGTTATTTGCAAAACTCAGAACTTTGGGAGAAAAACTCTAATCTTAACTTCTCCTACCCCCGTGATCCCATCAGGAAAAAGTAGAATGAATTAGTAAATTTTTCCTTTCTGCCAAAGAGAAGCTTAGTAAGTCATTAGTAGCTGTTGCTTTTGATTTCTAGATCTCTTTTCCCTCCTCAAAGACGCAGAATCACTGCCTTCAGTGCTGCCTGGATTTCTTCTTTAAACCAGGCTTTTTTTTTTTTTTTTCTGGGTGTGTACTATTATTGTCTTAATTATTCCTGGATTTTTGCCCATTAAATCAAAAATTGTCTCAGATGACGGCAATGATTGGAACTTTTTGCTAAGGAGGGCGAGAATGAAGGGGTGTAGGACAGTCTCAGCGTCTCTTTACACCGTGCTGGCCCTATAGTGCAACCTGTAAGTGGGCAGGACTTGCTGTCCTTTGCACAGAGCGTGAACTGACAGAGCAAAATGTAATGACAGGAGCATGGAGACCAAAAACCCATCTCTTGTAGGTGTGGTGGCCATAATGGCGGTTCAAGTATAGTACTAGGCTAGATTTAGTCACTTGCTTTCACCATAAAATTATGGTAATCAGTTTCACCTCACACTTCTAGAACTTTCCTCGAACTTCAGCTAATTACGAAAAAGAGAAAAGAAAAACCCCAATATATCAGTGTCAACCTGTCAAATGCAATCTTGTTGAGGGAAACTGAAGTGCCTTTGGAAGGCACTTCATTGATATCAAAAAAATTGAAACAAACAAACAAAAACACCAACCAAAAGTGATCAGCACCAAGGATATCCTGTAAAAAGCACAGAGCTCTGCTTTGTGATGTCTGAATGACATCGCTTTTGGGATCTTGTTATGTGAAAAGAAAACACTCCTCGGGGCAAATAATATCTTGCTGGGTAGAAAGAATAGGAGGGAACAACAAATTGAAGAGTGCTAAGGGATGCTATCCTTGTTCAAAACCAAGATGCAGCTGGAGTGTTTTCCAAAGCATGAAATACATTGTTGAAATAGCAGAGAGAAAGTGAATGTGCATATCTGAAATGTTCACATGAGAGATGGTAACACGGCATCATCCAGAACTGAACTCACTCGTGGTTGCCATTCTTTCCCCTGAAGCTCCGTTTGCATTTTAAAAAATAAAACTTAAGAGATAGAGTGTCAATTCGCCGGGCATGGTGGTGGATGACTGTAATCCCAGCTACTCGGGAGGCTGAGGCAGGAGAATTGCTTGAACCCGGGAGGTGGAGGTTGTAGTGAACCGAGATCGCACCACTGCACTCCAGCTTGGACACGACTCTGTCAAACAAACAAACAAACAAAAAAAACAGCGATAGAGTGTCTAGGACTGATGGATAATGTCATTTCTTTTGCTTCCTGTTTCTTAAAATTATTCTTGGGCTTACGATCGGGTGGGATTTTGCAGTTCATGACCAGAGTAAGTCCCAGCCCTCCGTGTAGAAGAGGAAGTAGAAATCCAGATCCTGTTTTTAATTTTAGCATTTCTCCTAAACCCAGGGCTTGACAGCTTCTTTAGTCCAGAGTCCCCAGGAATGCCTACGCCATAGGCAGGGAAGAGTGAAAATGAGAGTAGGGTGGAGAGCAAGGGCCAGGGCAGAAGACAGAAAGAAAGAAGATGAAAGAAGAGAAAAAAAAAAACAAGTCCTTCTCCTCTGTCCCTACTATCTGTCCTCAAGTTCAGAGTCTCCACTTGCCACCATGATGTCATCAAGGTGACCTTCTCAGGCCCCCCACTGATCTCTCAGTTGAGTTCTGCTCCTCTCCCAGTGGTCCACGGAGTTCTGCTGGGAAAACACAATTCTGGTCATATTAATCCTCGGCACAAAAGGCAGATGACTAAAAAGCTTAACTCCTTAATGTGGCATTCAGGGCATTCTACAATCTGGCTCCAATCTGCGCTTCTGCTTGCATCTCCTACCCTCCAGCCACACCTTCTTTATGTGTTTATGCTGGATACCCCTGTTCCTCCCATTTCCGCATCCTTCTTAGGCCCAGCTCAAATGCCACCTCTTCCTTGAAGCCTTCTCAGATGGCCTCAGAGTTGGAGTTAACTGCCTCTGTCCTGTCCTGTCACGGCACTTTAATTAACTTAGTTGTTCTGAAATTCTCTTCCTAGCAGACAGTAAGCTCCTAGAGGGTAGGGACATGTCTGTCTATAGGTATCTTCTCAGCGCTTTGCACAATAATTTGCATCCGTTGATGTCCAATACATATTTGTTTTTTTGTTTTGTTTTTTTTGTTTGTTTTTTGAGATAGAATCTCACTCTGTCGCCCAGCCTGGAGTACAGTGGTGCCATCTCGGCTCACTACAAACTCCGCCTCCCAGGTTCAAGCAATTATCATGCCTCCCAAATAGCTGTGATTACAGGCACGCACCATCACACTCGGCTAATTTTTGTATTTTTAGTAGAAACGGGGTTTCACCATGTTGACCAGGCTGGTCTCAAACTCCTGACCTCAAGTGATTCACCTGCCTTGGCCTCCCAAAGTGCTGGAATTACAGGCATGAGCCACTGTGCCCAGCCAAGTTAGAAAGAAATCCAATACATATTTGTTAACTGAACGTATACCTGAGAAGGGAAAAAAGGAACCGGAAGAAGTGAGAACAAGGTGCTGTGCTGGCGGTAAAGATGATGGCTAACATCCTCAAGAGTTGGCTTAGGCACCATTTGGTGTTCTTGGTGCTGACCAAGGGTTGTTGAGCTCATATCTAACATGTTGGCTTCACAAACATCCATCTGGGACTGACACTTGGAACACATCCTCTGGAATAATATAGAATTAATTTGCTTTTAAATTAGCTGCTCAGTACTATAAACTCTCTCCTGAAAATCTATCACCATCATTTTATACTTTTAAGCTTCAAGCTGATCCTTGAAGGGAAGGTGGAATTTGGATGGAATGGGCAAAACAGCATTTTCAGAGGCCAGGAGGCAGAGAAGAACTGAAAGGAGATGGACCTAGTTGGACAGAGCCTTTCTACTGGGGAATTAGAGACTGGGCTGGACAAGTAGGGTGATGTCAGATTATTGGGGGGTGGGGAGGCAGGCGCGGTGGCTCACGCCTGTAATCCCAGCACTTTGGGAGGCCGAGACGGGTGGATTGCTTGAGGCCAAGAGTTCAAGACCAGCCTGGCCAACATGGTGAAAACCCATCTCTACTAAAAAATACAAAAACTAGCCGGGCATGGTGGCGTGTGCCTGTAATCCCAGCTACTCGGGAGGCTGAGGCAGGAGAATGGAGAGTAGCTTAAACCCAGGGGGCAGAGGTTGCAGTGAGTGGAGATCGTGCCACTGCACTCCAGCCTGGGTGACTGAGACTGTCTCAAAAAAAAAAAAAAAAAAAAAAAAAAAAAAAAAAAAAAAAAAAAAAAAAAAGAGGCTGGGCATGGTGACTCACGCCTGTAATCCCAGCACTTTGGGAGGCCAAGGCAGGTGGATCACGAGGTCAGGAGTTCAAGACCATCCTGACCAAGATGATGAAACCCCGTCTGTACTAAAAATACAAAAATTAGCCGAGTATGGTGGCAGGCGCCTGTAATCCCAGCTACTCAGGAGGCTGAGACAGGAGAACTGTTTGAACCCGGGTAGCAGAGGTTGCAGTGAGCCGAGATTGCATCACTGCGCTCTAGCCTGGGCGACAGACTGAGACTCTGTCTCAAAAAAAAAACAAAAAACATTATGGGGGGTCTGGAAGTAGGCAGAGGAGTTGTGACTTTAGTTGCAGGATGGTATAGAACCTTTTTTTTTTTTTTTTTTTTTTTGGTGTGATGCTTTTAAAGGGGCAGGGGCGTGATGTAATGAAAGCCGTGTTTTTTAACAGATTCACCTGGCTTATATGGTATAACCCTATGAACTACAAACTATGGTAAACCTAGGACTATTTGAATAATTAGAATATCCCATTCTCCATGCCACACTGGAGTGAACTTTCTTATTTGAGAAGATAAAGAGTGGAAAAATACTATTTATCATATACCTATTATGTATCAGGAGATGTACTGGATTCTTCCCCCACCCCAGGTATTCCCTCCCTCTCTCCCCCTTCCCTCCCTCCCTCTCTCACACACTTGCACTTGCACACACCAGAAATCCCAACTAGGACTTGATTTTAATTGACCTTTAAAGTAATCAATTTTTTGTTAAATTACTCATACAAAGCATGCTATGAAATACCAGTAAATATCGGGTTAAAAATTAACTGAAAGACAGAAACTTACTATTGTGTGCTGATTTGATGGAACAGAGGAGTGAAAATATAGTACGCACCTTCTGGATTGAGACTGTGGTTTTCGTTTTTGTTTTTGTTTTTTGGTAGTGGCAGAGCTTCAAACTGGAGAATGTTCTTTTTCATGCGCAGTTTTTAAAAATTGTCATTAAATATTTTCACAAAGTTAAAACAACATTGAAAGTAACTTGGGCAACTTAGATATTCCCTGTACTTGCTGTAACTCAAATACCAAAACATATTTAGAGTTTAGGTGCATCTATCATTCGAGGCATGTGATTTCTTTACCTGGGTGAAGCGAAAGAAAGTTAAATCGATGAAATATGAAATGAAAATGAGAATCAATTTGTAGAATGAACCATAAAAGAACGAGATTTTTGAAGAGATTATTTTATTTTGATTGCAGACTGTAAATTATCACAGGGAGTTGCTGTAGGAATGACATTGAGGCTTACTTTTGGGTCAATTTGTTCCTGTCCTGACCCACCCTTGGCAGTGGAGACAGCTAGAATTTCTCTAACTCCATAGAAACCAGTCTCACTGTTGCTTTAGGACTCGATTCTCTCCCTACACTGGGCTTCCTTTAGTGCTTTGTTATGTAAATACAGCTTCAAAAATAGAATAAATATTCTGTAGGCATTACTTGGAAAACGAGCTTTTATTTTAAAGATGTGTGCTTATTTAAGTCGCAGACAGAGCTTTAAAGAGCTCTTGATAGAAAGAAATATATTTGGCGAAGAGTCAAAACTTTTAAAGTAACTTTAAAAGGTGAATAATTTACATTCGTATAGTGTTTACATAATAGGGTGTGTACGACAAAGCCAAAACAACATTGAAAATAACCTGAGCAATTTAAATATTCTTCCTAGTAACTGTAAAATAAAAGTGCCTTCGAATGGTACATTTGCTGGCAGGAAATTTTTTTCATGTTCCCAGGTGGCAAGGATTCTTTCATGTTCCCTTATATTTGAAAACTGGTATTAGCGTTTACTTCTCGGACTCAGACCAATTCCCCCTTACCTGTCAGAGAACATCTAGCAATAAATGCTGACAAAGCTACATAGCAAAGGGCAAACCTGTCACTTCCCTTTCAGAAACCTGTTTATGCACCCTCCTGCAATCCCACCACCTGCCCAGGCCAAGTGAGCCCCTCTCCGCTACTGGTGTTTCATAATGCTGGGAGCTACTTTGATTTCATGCATTGCCCTTCAGGTAAGCCACAGGAACCTCACCACTGGCCATGCCAGATGGTTGTGAATTGGATAAGAACAAAGAAAAATGGAAGTAGCAAGTGGTGGGGAGTTTAGTGTACTATATGACTTACTCATATGCAAGTCAATAAGCAAAGTCCCCTGCCTCTTGTCCTTGGATGCTGGATAATAATAAATATAAATATACATAATATATATGCGTACATATATACATGCATGCACACACACACAGACACACATTACCTGGATCCCCCACCTCCTCACCCCACTTTGAAAAACTTTAGAGTATCGTTGGCCTCATCAGAATTACATTACATTAGAGGATTGTTGAAAGATTTCATATTACTGCTAATGTGGGGAACATAATTAGAACCAACGTTAGCGCCTCTACTCAGTATCATCATTGCTATTATTTTATTTACATCTTATGCTTTTTTCCTTTGGCTTTAACTGTCTTCATCAATCTCCTGTTATAAAAATAAATAAAAGCTTCCTATGGAATTATTTTCACCAGTCAAGTCCTGTAACTTGTTTTCCTTGAAGAGGGAAAATATAACTGATGGACACAAGGAAACAGCAGTGGCATAGCATGTCCTTTTCCACCCAGTCTGTGTTTTGACATCAGTTGTATTTACACACATAAACTGAAGAACGTTGCATTTGTGGAGTTTGCCAGTGTGGTAAGATTGAAGGGGTGGTAGGCAGCCTCTATGCTGGTCCCCACTGATCCCTGCCTTCTGGTGTTCCCACTGTTCTGTAATCCCTCCTAGTACGTGCGCTGGACCTAGAGACTCTTCTAACAAGTAGAATATGGCAGAAGCCATGGGATGTCACTTCTGTGGCTTCTAACTTGGGCCTTTTGTCATCCCCTTCCCCTTCTCTCTATCAGCTGCCATGTTATGAGGACACTTGGAGAAAGCTACAGGAGAGGAACTGAGGTCTCCTGCCATCAGCCACTTGAGTGAGCATGGGAGTGGATTCTCCAAACTCCAGTTAAGACTTGAGATGTCCACAGTGGCAGCCACTAGCTTGACTGCAACTTACGAGAGACCCTGAGCCAGAGGCACTCAGTTAAGTCATACACAGTTTCCTGACCCGTAAAACCTGTGACACAATGAAGGTTTGTTGTTTTGGGGGTAATCCGTTATTCAGCAATAGATAACGAATACAGAAGGCTTGTAATTGTATAACCAACGTGAGTTTATAAGCGGATATCTGACCTCATTTGTTTTCTCCTGAAAAAGTTATAGAAAAATCACAAGACTGCAAGTCACTCTCTCTCTTTCTTTTGTGGGGAATAAACAAGTATAATTACAATTTCTAAACCTATTGTTTTATTCTCAAATATAATTACAATTTAAACAGGATATTGTAGAGCTCCATCATAGGGATTAACACTAATTAGAATTAAAGAACGTTTTTGTGAAAGTCAGCTTTTTTTTTTTAAATAAACACTCGTCCCTTGATAATGTATTTCTTTTTCATAAAATTAAAAAAAAAATGTGGGTTGTAGTAGGTGTATATATTTATGTGGTACATGAGATGTTTTGATACAGGCATGACGTGTAATAATCACATCATGGAAGATGGCGTATCCATCCCCTCAAGCATTTATCCTTTGTGTTACAAACAATCCAGTTACACTCTTTTTGTTATTTAAAAATGTACAATTAAATTATTATTGGCTATAGTCACCCTGTTGTGCTATCAAATATTAGGTCTTATTCATTCATTTAACTATTTTTTTGTACCTATTTATCATCCCCATCCCCGGTTCCCTCCCACCACCCACCCCACTACCCTTCCCGGCCTCTGGTAACCATCCTTCTACTCTCTAGCTCCATGAGCTCCATTGTTTTGATTTTTAGCTCCCACAAATAAATGAGAACATGTAATGTTTGCCTTTCTGTGCCTGACTTATTTCACTTAACATAATGACCTCTAGTTCCCTCTATGTTGTTGCAAATGACAGGATCTGATAATGTATTTCTTATAAACGTGTGTGTGTGTGTGTGTGCTTAATTTAATGCTTGACTAAGCCTTCGTTACTGGTGAAGGAGGGACGGGTGTCTTTCTGTGCATCTCCAAAGTGGGCTATAGGTTCAAAGTAGTGAGAAAAGACTTTTTGCCCTTAACATTTACATATAGTTTACACAGTTTTCTAAAAAACCTGGTTGGCTACTTTCAGGCTACAAGAATAAAAATTTAAACGTTACTTTGAGTTTCCTTTTATGGGTCAAAAATCTCGCTATGGCCCTAAGTTTTAAATATTTGACAAGCAATTATCATAACAAACGGTTTCAGACATTTTTGGCTTTCCCAGAGATTGAAAGGTGAAAATGTTCATTTCTTTTGTTCGCAATGAAGCATTTCATCTTATTATCACAAATATGACTAACACTGTTATGGATTTTTATAAATCATGTCATCTTAAAAATTAAAGAACATTACCACAATAAAGGAGAAAAACACTCTTTTGAAGTGGCATTTCAAAAGGCAAATGAATTAGTCAATTTGAAATGCAGTTTTTTCACAAGGTGTTATCTTCCCATCTTTAGAATGGTTCCTTTAGCTTATGGACTCCCACGCCCTTTCTCATTACCAGTCAGTCAGTCAGTCACCTGGATTGACCATCTATTGGGTACCTTCACCAAGTAATGGAAAAGCAAGGCAAAGCAAACAAACAGGCTGGGTGTGGTGGCTCACGCCTGTAATCCCAGCACTTTGGGAGGCCAAGGCAGGTGGATCACGAAGTCAGGAGATTGAGACCATCCTGGCTAACACAGTGAAACCCCGTCTCTACTAAAAATACAAAAAATTAGCTGGGCATGGTGGCATGCGCTTGTAGTTCCAGCTACTCGGGAGGCTAAGGCAGGAGAATCACTTGAACCCGCGAGGCGGAGGCTGCAGTGAGCCGAGATCGTGCCACTGCACTCTAGCCTGGGTGACAGACAAAAAAAAAAAAAAAAAAAGCAAGGCAAAACAAACAGGAAACAGCCCCCACCCTGCCCCACTCAAGACATACACAATCGAATTGAGAAGATCAAACATGCACCTGAAATGTTTGAAGAACACTTTTTTCTGAGTAATGATATGCCAAGCCAACAAGTGCAGATTACTATTGAATTTTGAAAAATTATGCCTAATTATCCTGAGACATTAACCCATGCAAAATATGATCCTTGACCACAATGTTTCTTCGCATCTTTTTTTTTTTTTCTTGAGACGGGGTCTCTCTGTGTCACCCAGGTTGAAGTGCAGTGGCACAATCTTGGCTCACTGCAACCTCCACCTCCTGGGCTCAAGAAATCCTCCCACCTCAGCCTCCCAAGTATCTGGGACTACAGGCATGCAATGCACCACCACGCTCGGCTGATTTTTTTTTTTCCCGTATTTTTGGTACAAAAATGTAAACATACAGGCTGGTCTTGAACTCCTGAGCTCAAGTGATCTTCCCGCCTCGGCCTCCCAAAGTGCTGGGATTACAGGCATGAGCCACCATGCCTGGCCTGCATCTTTGTTCTTACTGCTTCCTTTGCCTAGGATGCCCTCCTCCTACATCTTCACCTGATTCAATTCTACCTCTCACTTCAGGTCCAATTCAAAGGCTCCCAATTCTGTGAAGCCTGTGCTTACTCCCTCTTGGCTTATCTGTTGTACTAGAGGCTATAGTCTACCCAACTTTCCTCCCTAGAATTTCATGAGTCATATTTCTTCCGTATCTCTGATCACTTCTCTTCTATCTATTTTGATGACTGTTCTTCTCCTGTCCTTTTCCTAACAATGCCATGAGGATTGACTATGAAAAAATTCTCTTTCCTGCACTCATGTAATTTCCCCCAAGGCTTTATCTCCCAGTAATTACATTTCTCGAGCTGATTCCTGGATATATCTACTTGGATGTCACTGTCATCTCAAACTCAACATGTCCAACCTAGATTCATCTTCCCGCCATCCTCTACCATCACCCCAATTTCCTTACTTAAATCCAGGGCTTACCATGTCTTCTGAGCTTCTAGGGCTCTTGATGGTGACATCTTCTTTGAGTCAACATCTTCTTTTTCACATATATCCAGTCAGACAAATCAGAGCATAGCTTAAGTCTTGTCCTCCATGAAATCTGTCTCTCTGCTCTAAGGCCAGGAGCTTTCTACGCTCCAAATTCAATTTCTCTCTTAATCGTGAATGAGGCTTATATAGACATTTAACTGTTTCCTGTAGGCTAGAATGAATGAAGTCCTGTTGTTCTTCACTTGAAATGGGTCTCATTTTCTTCTCTTCCTATCCTTCAACTCCTCCCATCTGCTGTCCTTATCTCCTCTCACCTAGGTTAGAGCAATAGCCCCCTAAGCGGCCTCCCTCCAACACAGTGCCCTTGTCCACCCTGTTCCAGGGGTTATGCCCACAAAGAATACTCTTCATCCTCTTCTCTGCTTAGCCAGGTCCTCCTCATCTTCTAACAGTGGGGTCATTGCCTACCTCTACCAAGAAACCTTCCTGGATCTTCTAGTCCACATGGAAGTCTCTCTTCTCTGGGAGTGAGTGTTGAGCATAGAGGGGAAAGTGGACTTTGGCGCTAGACAAACCTGGGTTTGAGTTCCAGTGATGTCATTTCCTAATGGTACAATCTCCACTTCTCTGAGCCTCAGTTTCCTCATCTATAAAACAGAGAAAATAATTTTCATTTTGTAGAGCTGTTGTGAGGATTAAATGAGATCATATATAATGTGTCTGAAACATAGTAACTCCTGTTATTACCATGGAGGTCTTGAGTCTTTTCTAAGGCTGATACATTATGCAACTTCAGGGCAAGGCTCTGTGAATATCACCCTTGCAGTTGTGAAATGCTCAACTTGCACCTCGTAGCCCAAGTCTAATGTATCTAGATCTAGTATTGGTTGTTTGCAAAGTTGCTTGCCTGTGTTTTGGTATTAAACAATTTGTTAGCTTCAGAAGAGAGGATGGGGGAGGGATGTGCTAGCTTTCTTGTACACAGTCTCATATACCACTCATGCTCTAGCCCCATCACTCACCACCATCACTGCCCCGCTACACTGCCTCCATTGTATTGGACCAGACCACTTGCACTTTCTCTGATGACCTCAGCCCAGGTCCTCACGTCTATGCACAGGCACATTCTCTGGACTGGAGTAGCCTCTATAGCCTCTATCTCTGTAGGCCTCTTTACTTGTCTCCCTCACCCAAATTAGATTGTGTCAGTCTTGTTCCCCATTGCATCCCCAGCATCTAACATAGTGCTTGGCACATAAGACAGGCCCAATAAACATTTGTTGCATGAATACACTGTTTTCAGGGATTATTACTTAGTTTTCCTCAAGAAGAGGCAAGGGATTTTTAAATCTAACCGCTCTGTTTCTTCAACTACCATGACTGAATTTCTAAATCTACTCACCTACTGAAGCACTTTGCCTATATTAAATGTGCAAACATTGTGTCAACATTGTGTAATTTTAATTAATTTATCTTCCAGACAGGGTTTCTGTCATCCAGGCTGGAGTGCAATGGCACGATCATGGCTCACTGCAGCCTTGACCTCCCAAGCTTAAGTGATCCTCCTGCCTCAGCCTCCCGAGTAGCTGGGACTTCAGGCACACATCACCATGCCCGGCTAATTTTAAAAATTTTTTGTAGAGATGAGGTCTCACTATGTTCCTCAGGCTGGGCTCAAACTCCTTGGCTCAATCAATCCTCCGGCTTTGGTCTCACAATATGTTGAGATTACAGGTGCGAACCACTGTGCCTGGCCAAATTAATTTATTTTTAATGACAAATAAAAATTATATATATATGTATATATGGTGTACAATATGATGTTTTGAAATAGTCTACTTCTTAATAGGTATGTGGCCTTGGGCAAGTATCTTAATCACTCTGTGCTTCAGTTTCCTTATTTATAAAATAGATATGAGAAGAGTAGTTCTCTCACAGGTTGTAGTGAAGATTAAATGAGATGCTTTTACTATCTGGAATGTGTTCTCTCCAGATCATCCCAGGACTGGCTCCTTCTTCACATTCAAGACTTAGTTGAAATGACAAGTCTTCAGAGGCCTTTCCTACTCTGGTCCCTTCTCCAGTTTATCTCATATCACTTTATTTTAGTTCTCCATAGCATTTGTTGCAGTCTGAATATTTATTTATTTTCTGTGTGACCTCAATTTTTCTGAGTCCCTTTTTTTTTTCTTGAGATGGAGTCTCACTCTGTCACCCAGGCTGCCGTGCAATGGCGTGGTCTTGGCTCACTGCAACCTCCACCTCCTGGGTGCAAGCGATTCTTCTGCCTCAGCCTCCCGAGTAGCTGGGGCTATAGGTGCCCACCACCATGCCCGGCTAATTTTTATATTTTTAGTACAGATGGGGTTTTACCATATTGGCCAGGCTGGTCTCGAACTCCTGACCTCAGGTGATCTGTCCACCTCGGCCTCCCAAAGTGCTGGGATTACAGACGTGAGCCACCATGCCCGGACTTTTTTTTTTTTTTTTTAGACGGAGTTTTGTTCTGTCGCCCAGGCTGGAGTGCAATGGCATGATCTTGTCTCACGGCAGCCTCCGTCTCCCGGGTTCAAGCAATTCTCCTGCCTCAGCCTCCCAAGTAGCTGGGATTACAGGCGACCACCACCACACCCAGCTAATTTTCATATTTTTAGTAGAGACAGGGTTTCACCATGTTAGCCAGGCTTGTCACGAACTCCTGACCTCAGGTGATCCACCTGCCTCGGCCTCCCAAAGTGCTAGGATTACAGGCATGAGCCACCACTCCTGGCCTCAATAATAAATTTCTGTTGAACAATTCACTTACTCTTACTCCTCCCTTTCTCTCTTACTCCTCCACTTTCTCTCTTACCCCTTTGAGAAAGCTAATAGACAGCCAAACTTTAGCAAACATTTTCTGATCATAGATGTTGGGGGAGAAAAACTCCTTTCAAAGCACTATCAGTCTGTGGCTAAAGCATAAGCTCTGGCTCTCGGCATCAGGAATTTGCTGTCTAGCTGGTGGGTAGTGACGTGAGTGCTTCTTAGAACCATTGATGGTTTATAAATCACCAGTGCAACCTATGCTTTTTGTGGATAAAAAGTGACACAGTTGTAGATTGAACTAAGAAACGATGTGGCTGAGTACTAAGTTAGTGGTGCAGAGTGTAAGGGAAATGGGGATATAGACAGAGGGTCAATTGCAGAAGGCTTTCTTAGAGGAACTTGACAGAGAGGGAAGTCATCCTAGAGAGAAGGGACCAGGCACCAATGTTTGCAAACCACTTAGAACAATGTCTGGCCCATACTAAAAATGAGGTATGTGTCTATTAAATAAAAATGCCCAACATATTTTTATGCGATCAGAATTTTATTTTATTTTTTGTTTACACATGAATATAAAAATATAGAAAAAGGCTTAATTCATGAAGTTGCTATAGGTTTCTCTTTCTCAAAAGTGCTCACATGAGGGTCACAAGAGCACTTATTTGTCAGACATTTGTACACTATATACTAATTCTAGAAATAGCATCTTCAGGAGACCCCAAACCTGAGGATCACATGGACCCAATCATATCATCTGTGTGAAGAGACCAATCCTCAGAAATATCAAGAAAGTGAGATGGCTGCAGAGGTTGAGCCTCCTGAGCCCCTGCTTGGTGACAAGGGACCTGGGTATGCTCTTCTTCACTGAAGACACAAGGTGGACAATCGCAGTTGGGCCTTTGACTGGACTGTGACAAGCTGAACACCTCGTAGCATTTCTCATCCTTCTGGGCTGTGGCCCTGCTCTTGCTGGCTACTCTCATGGAGCAGGGCTTGGTGAGCCATGGGGACTTTTGGGGGGCAGCACATGACACTGGGATCACAAACTTAGATGGCGTGCCCTTAGAAGAGTAGTGTATCTCAGTGCTGTAGATAACCATGTCCTGAGAGACAGCTTTGGCCCTGATGCCACATTCAGTAACACGGTAGGTGAACTGGTAGGCGTGTGGCTGAACATGGTTTGGGGGGCAACCCAGGCCCAAGTGTAGTTCATGAAAGTGTACACACACATCGTTGTTTAGCATGAAGGGGTGCACTGTGACCATGAACCAGTCTATGGAGCACAGCACAGTCATTGGACTTTGTCCTGAACCGGCTGAAAACGCAGAGGTGAGGAGGATCATCAGTCCTATGAACTTAAAAACTTTCATCCCTGCAGCCAATCAGATAATGAACCACAGGAAACAGGAAGCCGTCCAGTGAGGATTTCTAGAGCACAAAAAAACACAAGAGGCAAGTCATCTTATTTTCTATTGAAAGTTCAAACATGATATATTTTTTAAGCAAAGGGCTGTTCCTAAAGCATTAAGAAGAGGAAAACACTCATTTGAGAGAGAACTGAACTTTAATTTCATTGTTGGAACTCACGTGTTTATGGACGATTACAATGGCTTTTTAAAGTGACTTTCCCATGCTGTTCTAGCATAAAACACATATCCCTAATATGTAGAACAACAGTTTACACTGATCAGGAGTGGCATCCTTTTGTGTTTAACCTCAAGATGAACCCAAAACAGAACAGTTTTTGTGTCAAACGTTGAATAAAGAGATAGGAGATAGAGTTTAATTCAAGATGGCAATACTTCCCTCTTTAGGGGCCTCCATGTCCTCTCATAGGCCATACTAATGAACCCTTCCCTATCGCTTTTTTGTTGTTGTTACAACAGATTTGATCAAATAAAAACCTATGAAGGAATTGTGGTTTATTCTTAACAACCAGATATTGAAATTTTGCCGAGTGGCTTACTTAAAATGATCAAACGAATGCTTCATAAACTCTGGCAGCAGCATCATAAGTCATTATGACCAATAGAGTCCCTGATAAATTCTTTAGGACACCTTGTAAAATACTAAAATTGTGGAAACATAAAAACATGCTGGTTTTTAATTTTACATTTTTCAATGCATATTACACATGAAAACTACCGTAAAAGTCTTATATTAAAGAAAGGGGCGGCTTATGCCCATAATCCCAGCATTCTAGGAAGCCAGGGTGGAAGGACTGCTTGAGCCCAGAAGTTCAAGAGCAGCCCGGGCAATATAGTGAGAGCCTGTCTCTATAAAACAATACAAAAAACTAGCTGAGTGTGGTGGTGCACGCCTGTAGTATGAGCTACTCGGGAGGCTGAGGTGGGAGGATCGCTTGAGCCTTGGAGGTTGAGGCTATAGTGAGCCAAGAGTGTGCCACTGCACTCCAGCCTGGGCAACAGAGAGAGAGAGACTCTGTCTCAAAAAAAAAAAAAGGGAAGAAAGAAAAGAAAGGAAAGAAAGAGAGAGAGAGAGGGAGGGAGGGAGGGAGGGAGGGAGAGAGGGAGGATTGAGTTTGTACTTTACACATTGATTGACAAGATATCTCCTAAAATCTTTGCATTACGTCTTTTATTTTCTCTAGCTTTTTATTGTTTTCTTTTTCCATAGGAAGCTCTGTGGCCACTTCCTAGTCCTATTGCTTCTAGCTCTCAAAGAGTGACAGGCAGACCAGTGAGGAGAAAAAGCAGTGCTAGGAATAAGTATCTAAAACATGCTATCAGAAGGAGGTAACAGATGAAGAAAGAAGAAAGCAAGAGCAACATCATCCAATGTTTTCCAACTCAACTTTCATTTTACAAGTGAAAATGACATAAATCACATAGTAAAGTACCTAAAGTTTGGAAGGAAATGTACATGCATATAGGGATTCACTTTTGTTCCCTGCTGAGATAAGTAACCCCTGCACAAATTCATTCTTTGACTAATATTTGTTGAATGCCTACTATGTGCACGGCAATGGGCCAAAAAACGTCCCAAGACATTTCTCTCTTCTCTTTTTCCCCAGTTGCAAAAATACAGCTCTTTCTCTTCCCTTGATAGTGACGAATTTGCTGCATTGTTTAATGGAAACCATGGCACAGGAGCCCGCTAGAAAAACGCACTGGCCTGGATGAAATGTTTTGTTTCTGATTGGTACGGATTGGTCTCACTGTCTTTCACTCTGCCGTTAATGATTCCTCATTCTCTCAGGGGTGTTGTGGGTGTAAAAGAGAAGCCCCACAGGTCTGCCAGGCTCCTTCCTCTTTGTTCCTTCTGAAATGTCTCTTCTGGGACAACTTTTTTGGGTTTTTTTCACAAAGCAAAAGTAGAAGCAGCAGCAACAAACAAAAACCTACTCCCTTTCTCTCCCCCGCACCAAAAATCCCCAAAACAAACAAAAAGGAAACAATAATAACAACACAAATAAGTAAATTCTGATGTGAGCTGGTCCTGGATGACTCAACAGTTAAGTAAAGAAACCACCTGCTCTGGAATACTGCATAACATTTGCTGAGGTGCCTTTTGGAAGCTGAGATAATCACCCCATCACTACTGCACTATTGTCTTGATCTATAGAAGACCACCTTGTCTTAAATGTGCTTTAGGTGGGTTTTCTTTCCCTTCCTGCCTCTCTCTTTTTCTCTCTCTCCTTCTTTCCTTCTTTCTTTAACATCATCCCACAACCTGGGCCTAATTGCCCTGAATGAAAACCTCCTCCTTAAGTAGTTCTGGACTAGGCCAAGGAAACAACTGTTTTTGTTCAAACCCCAAAATTAACACCCAAGTTTAAGGCTACTCTTTTCCAGAGAGCTAAGCCATCCATTTCCTCCCCCTCCCTCAAGCATCTTTCCTGTACTCCTTCTCCTCCTTCCCCAAAGATAATCCAAATATAATTATAAAATGTCTAGAATTTCTGAGAAATGAGACTGTTGTCCCTCAAGCAATCATTTTAGACTACCTCACTTCCCACCCCCACACGTTCACTTCTTGTATTATGTTGCACTGAGTCAGTCTCAAAGGAAGGGGCTCAATAATGTCATTGAGTTTAGGGGTTCATTTAGTACAACTCTCCAAATTTGAACACGGCAGAATCTCTTTCCTCTGACTTTCATAAAGCCAAGAACAGCTCACCATGTGATAGGAGAAATAAACGAAGATGACTAGGCATGTGACAGCACACCCTTCAGCTCAGATAAAGCTTAAAGAAGAGGTCACTGAGACCCAGGTTTAAGGTTGCTCATCTCTAAGGGGAGAGAAAGGAGATTAGGGGGAAAGCAGAATGTACTTTCTAATGAGCTTGCGAATGCCCAGCTCATTGGCACACTTTGAGACTTACTCCTTCTTGCTGAGAACAGATCCTCAAAGCAGGGCAGCCTCCCTTCTCCTGCTACCTGCAATTCCTAGGGAAGGGTAGAGTAGTGTGTGTGTGTGTGTGTGTGTGTGTGTGTGTGTGTGTGTGTGTGTGTTTGTGTGTGTGTGTGTGTGTGTTGGGGGACGGTTATTATTATTATTGTTATTATTTGAGACGGAGTCTTGCTCTGTTGTCCAGGCTGGAGTGCAGTGGCACGACCTTGGCTCACTGCAACCTCCGCCTCCTGGGTTCAAGCGATTCTTCTGCCTCAGCCTCCCAAGTAGCTGGGACTACAGGCAGGCACCCGCCACCATGCCCTGCTAATTTTTGTATTTTTAGTAGAGATAGGGTTTCACCATGTTGGCCAGGCTGCTCTCGAACTCCTGACCTCAGGTGATCCGCCTGCCTTGGCCTCCCAAAGTGCTCGGATTACAGGATTACAGGCGTGAGCCACCACGTCCGGCAGGGGGGATGGTTATAAGTCATTCACAACACAGTGTGAATTCATCAGCTGACTTTTCTAACACCTTGCTGAGATGTGCTGGAAGAATGGGATCCCGAACAAGGGAGGGAGAAAGTGGGCTCTAGTTATTGGGGGCAGAGGGAAAAGAAGGCTGAGGGGTTAGAGATGGGAAGGAGATGCCAGAAGAGAGGGCTGTGTGGGGGTGCCCAGCTGAAGGTATTTTTAGCCATCATGCGGGCCATGCACAGTATCCCAGGAGCTGTGGGCAGAATTCTATTTAAAGTCTTTAGAACTCTTTAGAGCTGACGTGGAGTTGGGGACTGGGGAAGAAATAAATGCAAAGAAGGGAGCACTCATTTTGGGACTACTGTCCAGCTTCTTGGGGAGGCCTCTGTGCTGAGAAAAAAAGCAGTCTCAGGGTCTGTATCACTGTAGCCCCATTTTGACTCGATTGCAAATTAGCCTTGCAACATGCCCGAAGCAATGAGCCTAGATGCATTTGTATAGCCAAGTAGGGCTCAGCTGTTGGTACACAGCGTCCTGAACTGAGCTATAGAGAGGTCAGGCAAACCCAGAGCTTCTAATAACACCTGGATGCAAAATGTTTGCTTTCCTTGAAGCTACAGAGTACAAGTAGCTTTCTGTTTTTTTGTAAATGGAGTTTATGCATATACATTTCCCACTAGCTCCTTTAACAGAGTTTTCCTCTTTCCCTTTTTTTCAAGAACTCCCTAATAAGCCTTAATAAATTTTCTACATTAAAAAATCATAAAACATTTCATTTTGGGAATATAAACTGTATTTCCTTTCTTCCCTCATAAACACATATGCTCTTTTAATTAAGTTCAGAAAAATGCCAGTGTTTATGTTTAAGAGCTATCTATATCAGTCACTGACAGTGATACAATCTGATTAGCAAAGCCAGACTGAGATCTCGTAGTACTTGTGAAACCAAGACAGCCCTTTTCTTCTTATAGACAGGAAGAGAATGGATTGGCCAAAACAAAAAAAGGAAAGAGGAAGAAGAGCTGCCACTTAACTCCCCCATCGTTAAATTTTTTATGCTGAAAATGCTGCTTATAAAGTTCAGCAGTTGTTTTGTTTTTAAATTGACAAATAAAAATTGTATATATTTATGGGATACAGTGTTCTATGTATACATGTAACAATGATCTATGTTTACATTGTGGAATGATTATTTTAGATCAAGCTGGTTAACATGACCATTGCCTTACTTTAAGAAGTAGAGAGTAGAATGGTGGTTATTGGGGTGGAGTGGAAGGGGTAAGGGGAGATACTGGTCAAAAAGTAAAAAGTTGCAGTTAGACAGGAGGAATAAGTTCTAGTGATCTATTGCACAGCATGGTGAGTTCAGCCAATAATAATATATTGTATATTTCAAAATGGCTAAGAGGGTAGATTTTAAGTGTTCTTACCATGAGCTCTATTTCTTAATGTTTTATAATGAAGAGATTGAATATTGGTCTAAGCACAGAGCATTTTTAATCTCAGGACCCCAAAAAAATCCTTTTAAAAAGAGACAAAAGCTGAAGTCCAAATTAGTTTTGTGACGTTAGAGAGAGAATTGAGAAGTGTAAGAGAAATCGCTTTGAAAGCAGACAGGATTTTTTGCCTCCCCATCTCCTCTGATGTCGTTAGAGACACGTATGAACTCTTTGCATGAAGAATGGGAAGGGGAATTAGCTAAACATTTCCACATCTGGTTTTGGAACGGTTTGGAAAAAGAATTCACTCCATAGGCTCCTGGAAGCTTTTTGGGTCGACAGTTATTTATTTTTAAAATTCAGTATACTCGTGACAGCATAGTTATCATTTGTATATTGTTTTCCCAGAAACTTGTTGTCAAAACAAAAGGAAACAGCAGGGAAAAGGAAACTCCAAAGCAGCATGCAATTATCTCAGGGAAATGTAACTGTCAGGGCTTTGATTTGCAGCAAAGTTTGTTCACTCTCTTGCAGCTGATTTAAAGAAAAATGAATCTGAGTCAGAATAAAGATTCTTTTACAAGACAAGAACGGAAAAAAAGGAATCCTAACACTTTGTGGGTGCTTTAGTTTAAACATTCAAGCAGTCACATTCTGACTGTGACCTGCAAACTATCTCAAGGTTTGAGAGCCTTTTAAAATGGAGGTTCTTTTTAAAGCCCAGTTTTAAGGAATTAGTTGGTTCACTGCTCTCAAAGAAAGTGACAATTGTGATTAATACTAATGATGTTGAAAGTACATTAAAGCGAGTTAGAAAATTAAATAACTGCTTTTGTAGAATTTACATTAATTTTAAAGACGCTGAGACCGGTTTAGTTTTCCAACCTCATGAAGCACAGTGTTAAAGTAACCGCACATTATTCATCATTTTGTGTGGAAGAAGAATTATGAACTGCTAATGCTTAACAATGTCCATTTTCTCAGCAGAGAAAAACACCTTGACCGAACCCTTAAAAAGGCTTCATTAAAATTAAACTAAAAAGCAGCCATTAAAAATTTATTTCTGATTCTAAAACTAACTGCAGAAAAATTGGGTGGTGTCGAAAAGAAAAAAGAAGGAAACACCCTTCTCAACCCCCAAATAACCATTGTTAAATTTTTTATATATTTCTAATTTGGGGGGAAAGTATATGTCCACATATATGATTCAAAATTATCTCGGGGGAAAAAAGTCAAGGCTTTTTGAAAGCTGTTTTTAATTTTTGACATTGAATTTTAAAGCAATCAAAGCATTATTTTTGTTTGGGCCATCTGGTTTTGTTCTTATAATCTGTTAAGCTATCAAGCATAGTTTAAATGTCATGGTTCATCTCATACACAAATAAAGGTTGCAAAATAAATAAGAATCCAAGCTCCTTGTAAGAGAGAAATTTCCGCTGGGTCGCAAATTTGGTTACTAAAAGGTGAGTAGTCCAATGTGAAATCAAACCATAATAAGGCTACACAACAAGGGTAAACCATGCCCTGACTGAACATAAATATTCCTAAATAAATACAGAAAGCCATACTTTAGAGGAAATTGCAAAGATCAGGTCATGGGAACTCCTCCCCTTTTGTGCAGAGAAGCTGAGTTGGTTGAATTTTAAACTTGAACAAAGAGATGTATTTCATAATTTCCATGAAGTGTGAGGGACATCCCAAATGTATGCCCCTAATTCAGTTTATGTTTTAACTTAACAATTTATTTGAGTTTGATTTTTTTCAGAAAACTACACCCTTTTCCACAAAGCCCCAGAGTCCCTTCTCATTTTAAAAGACAAGGTAGGTTTGTGTCTGTGCAGACCTCTCAACTCCACGGCAGCCACGGCCACATTTTTAACCCATTAGTAGTCTCTGGGAGTCTGCCAAAACCAGATAAAGGCCCATTTGCCTGAGGTGATCTGAAATCATCAGAAGGCAGAGGATTGAATCAGATGTTCCTTCAAGGGCTTCACCACCTCTTTGATACACCTGTGTCAATAAATGAGGGCTCTAGATGGCTTCCAAAAATGGTCAGGCACATTCCCGTCTCCCTTTCAAAATTGGGATTTTTGAGTACAGGTTTTCTTAAAGTGAGGTGCACGCATATGGCCCCTTAGGTGTGGCCTAAGTCCAAAATAAACCACAGTTGACTTTATAGGCTACTTGGCTGATTTTTCACTGACTTGACCAGAATGCATCTTTCCAAAACCCAAAGCTACCTTGTGCATGCCCCACCCAGAATGTGGTCACTTGGTGCATGTGTATAACATCCTGACTGAGGCCATTCACCATCATTTGGCTCCTGAGACGTAGAGAAGGTTTTAGAAAAGGTTCCTTTGATAGGAAGGCTGTTGGTCATTGTTAGCGAGCCTACAATTTGGGAGGCATGCGTGCATATCGGAGTAGGTAAAGATGCATTGCTTTGTGATGAGGACATTGTAGGAAGATAAATTTTCTCTCTCTCTCTCTGTCTCTCTCTCTCTCTCTCTCACACACACACACACACACACACACAGTGATGGAGAGACAGACACACACACACATACTGAGGAGAAGAAAATCCCCAAATCTGTTTCTTACTATTGCCCTGATCCCTACTATTTCTCCCCATTCCTTAATTATTGTACCATAAATTCCTTTAAAAATGGGGTCTTGATCTACTATAGTATCTGGTACACAGTAAGTACTTAGTAAATATTTTTTAAATGAAAGAAGGAAGAAATTAATGAATGACCACCAGAAATCACCACCTGCCCCTGTGCCTCCTTGTCCAGCCCCTAAGGGCCTGAATCTGGTTATTGGCTAACCCCTTCCCCCACTCCTTCTCTAGTCTACCAGTTGAAGGCCTGGGGTAGCAGTAGAGCCTTTCTATAATAGTTAGAGAGTACAGAGTCCTAACAAGCGTCCTGGCCTGTCCACTTGCACACCTGCTTATCTTCTAGGATCATTGATGCCAAGGGCTCTATGTCTGTCCCATCCAACGGTACCCAATGTCCTGTCAATTAGCTCTTAGTCAGTGACTCCAAGTGCAGCCAGCACTCTTTGTACCCCTTTTCCTCCATCCCTGTGATAAGTCGTCCTCTGGAAAGAAGACAAAGTGGAACTCTCCCCTAGTCTGGCCTTTACATGGGAGGAAAGAAGAAATTATCAAGCCGTATCTAGACCAAGTCCAGGCAATTGAGAGACAGCATAATCAGAAGCAGAAGCCTCAGGTTCACGAGGTACTGAAGAATGGTGGGGTGCCTCGAAGGGGCTTGCTAGAGTCCCCAAGTTTACCCAGGCAAATGGACTTAGCCCTGAGGTTGTCCAAGGATTCCCTTAGCTAGAAAAAGGAACCTAAACCACAGGCTGGATATCTGTTCCTCCTGAGAGCAGACCTACACATCCACTCCCAGTTCCATACACAGATACAGAAATCAGAAAATGCTAGAGGTTCTTGGGAAATCAGAGGCAAGATGGGTGAATTCTCCCCTACCCCAACTTGACCCTTGGCTCCCTCTGGGCTGGGCTTTTCACTCTGCCAACTCTGGACTAAAAGAGAGATCCAGGCTAACTTCACGTCAGTTTGAGTGTCCCCGAGCCTGAATGTTCCCAAAAGTGCTTTGCAGTTGACCCCATATCCACATATGATAGAGTATTGTACTGGTAAATATCACTATACACTTCTCTGATCTGGACTTTCTATATAACGAAGATTTGACTTTGGGTGTGATAGCTCCTTATACTAGCAATATCAAAAAACATAACAATTTTTTAAAAACTAGCTGGATGTGGTGGTGCGCACCTGTTGTCCCAGCTACTTGGCAGGAGGATTGCTTGAGCCCAGAGTGAGACCCTGTCTCCAAAAAAAAACAAACAAAAAAAAAAGAGCAAGAACAGGGTGTTGAGCCGGGCGCAGTGGCTCACGCCTGTAATCCCAGCACTTTAGGAGGCCAAGGCGGGTAGATCATGAGGTCAGGAGATTGAGACCATCCTGGCTAACACAGTGAAACCCCGTCTCTATTAAAAATACAAAAAATTAGCCAGGCGTGGTGGCACGTGCCTGTAGTCCCAGCTACTTGGGAAGCTGAGGCAGGAGAATTGCTTGAACCCAGGAGGCAGAGGTTGCAGTGAGCTGAGATGGCGCCACTGCACTCCAGCGTGGGCGACAGAATAAGACTCCGTCTCAAAAAAAAAAAAAAAAAAGTAGAACAGGGTGTTGGTTTGGTGCCTTTTTCCTGAAATTAATTACTTGTTTAAAAAAAAGCAATTGGTTAAACTTGTGTTCATCATTTGCATATTATAATACATAATATTTTAAAATACACCATATATAATGTTAAAAATAAATATAAAAGTCTTATCATATCTAATAATATATACATATATGATATTAATATAATTATTAACAACAAAAAGGAAGTTTCCCCCCACTGGTAATCTATCTTCCCTTAACAAAGAATGAAGGACTTTCTTTCTGAAATTTTTCTCCAGGACTGAGACTTGAACTTACATCACTGGACTACAAATGTTTAGGAATACCTATCTATGTATTCTATATCTATGTATCTAATATTCTATATATACATTATATATCTATATCTATTCTATATCTATATATTCTATATAGCTAGATAATTATATATACATATATATGTATAAAATTATGTCCTCCCAGCTGGGTGTGGTGGCTCACGCCTGTAATCCCAGCATTTTGGGAAGCTGAGGTGGGTGGATCACAAGGTCAGGAGTTCGAGACCAGCCTGGCCAATATGGTAAAACCCTGTCTCTACTAAAAACACAAAAATTAGCTAGACATGGTGGCACATGCCTGTAGTCCCAGCTACTCAGAGGCTGAGGCAGAAGAATCGCTTGAACCCAGGAGGCGGAGGTTGCAGTGAGCCAAGATCGTGCCACTGCACTCCAGCCTGGGCGACAGAGTGAGACTCTGTCTCAAAAAAAAAAAAAAAAAATTGTGTCCTCCCAAAAAGATATATTGAAGTCTTAACCCCTAGTGTTCAGAATGTGACTTTATTTGGAAATATGCTCTTTACAGAGGTAATCAATATAAAATGAAATCATTATGGTGGGCTCCAATCCAATGACTTATGTCTTTACAAAAGGGGAAAATGTGGACACAGAGACAGACACACACAGAGGTAAGACAATGTGAGACATGTAGGAAGAAGGCGGCCATGTGCATCACTCCAATGATGTGCCTGCAACCCCAGGAACGTCAAGAATTGTCAGCAAATACCAGAACTAGAAGAGGCTTCTCTAGAGCCGTCACACAATATGGCCCTGCTGACACCTTGATTTTGAACTTCCAGCCCCCAGAGCTGTAAGACAATACATTTTTTGTTGTTTTAAGCCACCCAGTTTGTGTACAGCAGCCCTAGCAAACTAACAATTATATCTTCCCAACAAATGGAACAGACACACATGCCTCCTTTCTGAGATAGGAGCCTGCAATTATTAATGTTCTGACTCTGTGTTTTGTTACAATCTTAAATTCCATTTAGAATTAGAAATATGATGAAGCAACAAGGAATAGAGACAAAAACTTAGAAAGAAAGGGGCCAGTTAAAAGTGGTATTGGTGCTGATATTTGATGCCTACAGGAGAAACTGAACTAGAATTGCAGTGTAATATCAGGGAGACGTTCCCAACTATAAAAGTTGTCCAAAAATGGATGGAGAAACCTAGAGTGAAACTAAGATCTCTTTGTTCCCTGTAGGCATTCAGTTAGAGGCTGGCTGTCCACTTGTTGGGGTCACTGGAGAGGGAGATCCTGTCCTACGTCAGAGGCTAGAGTAGATGATCTTTGGCCGGGTGCAGTGGCTCACGCCTGTAATCTCAGCACTTTGGGAGGCCAAGGCGGGCGTATCACCTAAGGTCAGGAGCTCAAGACCAGCCTGGCCAACATGGTGAAGCCCCGTCTCCACTAAAAATGCAAAAATTAGCTGGGCGTGGTGGCGCATGCCTGTAGTCCCAGCTACTCTGGAGGCTGAGGCAGGAGAATCGCTTGAACTGGGGGGCAGAGGTTGCAGTGAGCTGAGGTCGCGCCACTGCACTCCAGCCTGGGCAACAGAGAGAGAGACTCCACCAAAGAAAAAAAAAAGATGGTGTTTAAGGTTCTATCACAGAATGCCTCATGTGTGCATGCATGCGTGTGTGTGTGTGTGTGTGTGTGTGTGTGTGTGTGTAGTGGAGGGATAGATTAGCACATGTATTATGAACAAATGCATGCATGGGAACACACACACATACATACATCATGCACACATACAGAGGTTATTTATGTAGGTCTTCTCTTGAAAGTCTTACAATGTCATTGATGCCTGAAGCCTCTAATCCTGAGATACGGAAGATTATATAACATTTTCTAACAGGGACTTGACCTCTCAGCCAGGTTTTTGTTGTGACTGGATGTGACTGTGTATTGGTGGCAATTACAAGGGGAAGGTGGCAGGGGAGAAGGGAGGGCAGGTCATGATATAGAGGAAAATACTCAGAATGATTCTAAGTATTAGTCATTAAGAAAACAAACCAGCTGGGCGCAGTGGCTCACGCCTGTAATCCCAGCACTTTGGGAGGCCCAGGTGGGCGGATCACAAGGTCAGGAGATGGAGACCATCCTGGCTAACACGGTGAAACCCCGTCTCTACTAAAAATACAAAAAATTAGCCAGGCGTGGTGGCGGGCGCCTGTAGTCCCAGCTACTTGGGAGGCTGAGGCAGGAGAATGGCGTGAACCCGGGAGGCAGAACTTGCAGTGAGCCGAGATCGCACCACTGCACTCCAGCCTGAGTGACAGAGCAAGACTCTGTCTCAAAAAAAAAAAAAAAAAGAAAAGAAAAAAAAACTCAGAATGGAGCTTACTGCCCAGCCCTAAAGCCTGGGGGTGGGGCAGTGGAAATGGTCTTTCTTTCTTTCTTTTTTTTTTTTTTTTTTTTTTGACATAGGGGTTTGCTCTTTGCCCAGGCTGGAGTGTAGTCGTGCAATCACAGTTTACTGCAGCCTCATCTCCTGGGCTCAAGCGATCCTCCTGCCTCAGCCTCCTGAGTAGCTGGGATCGCCTGGCTACTTTTTTTTTGAGGAAATGGTCTTTCTAAGCAGCATGGTCTCTGAAAGCCTGAACTGGGGGTTCATGTGATGCCTGTCTTTGGGGAATTTACAGGAGAGCTGATCAAGAGAGATAACAGGAGGGAGTTATCTACTGGGGTGGGGCTGGGGAAATCTCTAGACAAAAGATATCCAAATTAAAGCAAATTTCTTGCACCGAATTTAAAAGGTTGGGGCTCTGATCCTTGGAACTGCAGTCTATGGAGGCCCTGTCACAGTTATAGGGCAAATGTTCAAAGTAGAAATACTTTCTATTTCACCTAGAAAGTAGTAGTAGTGATGACTTTAAAAATATATATTTATGCTTCTTTGCAATGTCTTAAGTGATTACAGAAACCAGGGGTTCTAAAAAGCTTGTTTAAACGTGTATGGATTACATATGGCAACAAATCTCAAAATACAGCACTTTTGCTTTAATTTGGATATCTTTTGTCTAGAGATTCCCCAGCCCTACCCCAATAGAATGCACTCCCTCCTGTTATCCCTCTTGATCCTTGCAGCTCTCCTGTAAGGGCCCCAAAGACAGGCATCACATGTTAAAACTGTGGAAACGGGGGTCCCAGAAGGGCAGAGAGCCTTGGCCAAGATCAAGGTTAGATAAGTCAATCGGGGCCTCAGGCCTTTCCACCAGCCCACCTTGCTTCTCTGCCTTACAACTCAGAGAAAAATGGCCAGACATTACAATAAATTTAATCACCATGAAAGAAAAGGAAAGTCCTGAGGTGGCTTGGCTTCCGGACTATGGCTCTAAAACACTTGGGTGATTCTGCTTCAGTGTCTGATGGCTGAGTTTTTAGGAGAGGGGACAGAATCAACTTTAAAACTGAGCAAACCAAAGCATAGAGGGGCTGTGGGAGCAATTTCCCATGCATGACTCGGGGAAGCTGAGAGAAGCTCTAAGATGGTATGTGGCAGTGAGAGACAGGGACAAATCTTTCCTGAAAACAACAAGAGGAAGAATGGAGTGTTCTCAGGCTTTCACACAAGACTTGTGTCACAAGTTGGAGAGGGGAGACCCAGATAGACTCCAGCTGAGCGGTGGTTTGTGCTTTCCCGGAAAGCTGAGGCCTCTAGAACTTAGGACAGTGAGGGCAGATGCTCATCCCTAGGAGGACACCCACATCCAAGAAGAGCAGATAATTCCTGTATTCCAAGAGCTCTGTGCACTTCTTTATGAACCTGCCCTGCTTCCACCAAACATAGCTATTTCTCAGGCCAAGCCACCAGTTCTAAAATTGATCGCTCTGCATTTACGCTGGGTATAAATAGATATAGATGGGCCGTTTAATTTCCCACGTGGCTACCTTCCGCCAATTGGAGCACCCTTGGGAGTAGAAGAACAGAAAGAGGTTCAAGGTAGGCAGGCCACTGGGATTTTTGAAACTTGGATATTTTGTCTTATACAAAGAGCAACAACTTTTCTATATGCCCTCAAAAATAATCCTACTTTTTAAAGCTTTCTTTTTACACCTAAGTGATGAGAACAAAGACAGAAACTGGGTCCACCCACTAGACAAAACCTTTCATCATAGGCAGTTGCTTAAACGTAGCGACTGAGATTCCCGCAGAAAGAAGAAAGGAAGGAAAACAGGAAGGAGGGAAATGGATATATATTGAGACACTGTATTACTGTGTTTAGGGCTGTACGTGCAGTATCTCACTTAACCCTCATAGCAACTCTGTGTGGTATTATTATTAGCTTCCTTTTATGGAAGAAGAATTGAGGATCAGAAAGGTTAGGAAATTCATTAAAGACACAAAGGTCATAAGTGGCAAAGCCAGAACGAGAAGCTTCTATAGTTCTCTGTCTAGTCTATGCCAGTGCCAAGAAAGTAAACACAGTGAAGGTGTTCATAACAGAGGACATAAAAGAGTGGCAACGGTTGTTTATGGGTATCAGAGTCTAGGGTGGTGGAGAGGTGGGGAAGTTAATAGCTTTTCAAGCAGGGGAAATTGAGAAAAATAGAGGCAATAAATGGGAGACAGAAATTCAAGGGCATTTAGAGTAGATAATTCTGGACCACTGTTTCTATTTTATCACTCTCTATATTTTGGACTTCTTGTCAGCACACAGTCATTCCTTATTTCAATGTAACACATTTATTCCGTGGGTTGCATGCATACCCAGAACACAATGAACCTCGAGACACACTGTATATTCAGGCCTTCTCAATCTGTTTTGACGAGGGAAATGTGTATGGCTTCTGTACAAAGCCACCAGATACGGCAACCCCAAACTAAGAAGAATGGCCTGTAGACTCACCCAATAAATCTTCCTGAATGGAAAAAGGGTACCACACATTCTCCAACTCTTGCATTTGTTATGGAAGTGGAGAATCACATATTCCTGATTCCACTCTGAGGACAGGGATTGTGTGTCTTTCTGATTTCATCATATCTTTAAAAAGAATGGGCTTCTCTTGCCAAGCCTGAATGTTTGTGACACTCCAGACCTGGATGTCAGGGCTTGGATGGGAGGGAGGGAAAGAGTACAGACAGTCAAATGACTGAATCAATGGGCAATGTCTCATTAGTGCCATGTTGGAAACAACCAGAGCTAGGCAGCCCTAGTTCCCTGGCATAAGTTGGGTTTTTACAAACATTTTAATTTGTAAAAACTGGAAAAAGGGTGGGGGGCACTTACTGAGTTTGAAGAAAGCAGCAGGGTGAAAGCGCCCTTCATTCCTGATTAAAACCACTAGCTTGGGTTGCTGAAGAAAGGAACTGAGTTTATTTCCCCCCAATAATACCATCTGGTGGTTTCTCAGACTCTTTTTTTTTTTTTTTTTTTTGAGTTGGAGTCTCACTCTGTCACCCAGGCTGGAGTACAGTAGTGGGATCTTGGCTCACTGCAACCTCCACCTCCTGGGTTCAAGTGATTCTCCTGCCTCAGCCCCCCGAGTAGCTGGGATTACAGGCACCCGCCACCATGCCTGGCTAATTTTTGTATTTTTACTAAAGACGGAGTTTCACCATGTTGGCCAGGCTGGTCTCAAACTCCTGACCTCAAGTGATCCACCCGCCTCGGCCTCCCAAAGTGCTGGGATTACAGGCGTGAGCCACCGAGCCCGGCCCAGTTTCTCAGACTCTTTATGAAGAATCCTATATTGTTCGAGCTATGAACCAGCTCATAATAAGAGCTGAACAACTGTGGCACCCACCTGTTAGAAATCAAGACTGGGGTATTAAAACCAGAAGTGCTGGCCTATTAGAGGGGCCTGACCATTTTGTGTGGAAAGCAAACCTCGCCTAAACCCAGGGATTAGCATTTTCACATTGGGACAATAACTGAAGCAGGTGCTCATTCTATGGGTTGTTCGGAATCATTTTTCTGACTGCATAGAGGTAGAAGCTGAAATAGAATAAGTTCTCAGAGGGCATGACTCCAAACAGGGAATGGGGAGGGAAGTGAGGCATTCCTTATTCTTTGCTTCCTTGGAAAATGGAAAAAGAAACTCTGGCACAAAATGGCAGCTGCCCTGGCTCATTGGCAGTTCTGCTAAGAAACTAGGGAGCAAAGAGCTGATTAAAGAAGGTCATGTTTATCTAGGGATATGGTAATTGGAACACACCCTCACTAGTGATCTAAGTTTAAATCCCCAGCCTCTAAATAAGCAATACTTTCAAAAGGGCCACCTTATCATTATTTATAAAATAGTCTGATTTTCAGGGAGGAGTACTTCTCTTTTAAGCCTCTCCTTTAGAGATTTTGTATGTGGGAGATTACAGACCTCGGGGAGTATTTTTTTAAACTAAGTTTTAAAGTCACCATAGTGTTTGTAAATAAAATAAGATAAAATAAAATAAATACCAAGTTTTAAGTAGTATTGATTATTTTTAAGTACAAGGGCTTATGGTTTTGCTGACTTCTTAAGATTCTGTGAACCTAGAAGGGTGACTGAAAACTTGGTGTTAGTAGTATTCTTGTTCTGATTTCCCTATATGGACACATCCTTGGAACTTCCAGATCTGTCTAATTGGATATTGGAGATAAGAAGTGATTTGGGTGAGGAGAAAAGGCAAGGTTATGGAGAAGACAATGACTTAGCTCACTCATAGGACAGAAATGAGTGCAATGTATTTGGACAGACTTATAAGGACAGAAAAAAAGGTGAGAAGAAAGTCTAGGGAAAGAAGTTTGGAAGCAATGAGGTCCTGGAGGGTTTGAGGCAGGATAGTCTAGTAGTTGAGTGGCTTTGATGTACCAAGAGAGACTTGGAATAAGACGGCGCTAACTAACTTTGGGAATTACTTTCTAAGCATTGTTTTCATCATTTGTTAATGAGGATAATAATAATAACGATAACACTGCATCGGGTCGTTATGATTATTAAATGACACCATGAGTGTAAAACTGTTTAGTGTAGCTCCTGTCATGCAAGTGCTCAGTAAGTGTTAGTTATTATTAAAATTATTATTGTTGAATATAGAAATTAGACTAAACCACACATGGAAACAGAGTTCATAGCACCTTTTAGAAGCTCCTAAGCTCTCTCTTTTTAAAATGTCTGGACTTTTGATATAATGATAAGGAGGGTTTTCTTGTTTTGTTTTGTTTTAATTTTTTTGTAGAGACAGGGTCTTGATATGTTGCCCATGCTAGACTCAAACTCCTGGCCTCAAGCGATGCTTCTCCTCCGCCTCCCAAAGGATAGGATCACAGGCGTGAGCCACTATGCCTGGCTTTTTTTTTTTTTTTTTTGGCTTACGTCTAAACCACATCTGAGTTGTTTTTTTTTTTTTTAAATGCCCAGAGAATTGGAGATATACAGACCTAAGTTTGAATTGAGGCTCTGTCACTTCCTAGCTGTGTGACCTTGGGTAAGTCCCTTCCCTCTCCTGGCCTCAGTTTCCTCATATAAAATAGGGACAGTTATAATAGCAACCTCAATGGGATTGGAGGAGTGAATGAGGTCTGAAAAACTGCACGTACAGGGCCTGGCACAGAGCAAGTGTCCAATCAATGGGAGCTATAGAATAGGCTCAGGCAGACAGCCTGGCTGCAGGGCTCTTTCCGCCCCCACCTCCCTCCACCCCCTGGTTAGTCCCAACTAGAGTCCCATCAATCTGCCACTCTCCTCAGGGGTTGCTGGAAATTCCTGGCGCAGATGTCTCCTACAGAGACGAGTTTTGGATATTCCTTCATCCACCCCTGTTACCACTGAATTATGGGGAGAGAGAGAAGGAGAGAAGACCCATTGAGAGGGAGAGGAGAAAACAAACGACTTCTGTATACTACTGCCCTGGCTAGCCCAGGCCCATGCCTGAAATAGGTGTTTGGTAAATACTTGAGGAATGTATGTACAAGTGAATGAAAAAAAAAAAAAAGAGGTTGCAGGCAGGCATCTGGGCAGGCAGAGAAAGAAATCCGAGTCATGGCAAACTTTTCCTGACTATGCCTCCACGACATCTGTCTATACAGGGGCCTCCCCTGGCTATCGGTTCACTCAATAACTCCAATTTGCTCCTTCCTTTTGCACAGATCACATGCAACACCCTACACACTTCCTTCAAGAGATCCAGATAGAAGCTTGGGGGCTCACCACTTTGGGGTCAGAGCACTTGAATTGCTTAGCTGTGGGCAGAAATGCTGATCGCAGGCAGCCCAGCAAGGGGTATCCAGATATAACCCCATTCATCATTCTGAGATTCCCTTCTTGTCCTGAGACCAAGTAGTAGGGTGCTAGACAACAGGACCCACCAGTCGACTTCCATTTTCCATTTAACACAGGTAAGCAATATGACTATCAGATTTTGACGTGAAGGATTTGCAAGTGAGTGGACACCTGTGCACACAGGTGGATAAACACGAGCATTGAACGTGCACGCTGACCATCCAAGGGACTGACACTGAAGATTATGCTTTTTCTGGGCAACATTTTAAAACCTTATGTGTGAGGGTTTCTCGGTGCCCTTCATAAGCTCAACTTCTGTTCCAACATTTGTTTCAAATAAGATTTCCTTCCATAAAAGTACCACTTAAGGACACACATGCAGAATATGCATTTGGCTTTTCCTGGGTGTTAAATATTTTATTTGATGTGCTGATTTTGTTACTACATCACTGGAAAATTAATCCACAATGAATTGCCTGTGTGACAAGCTCTCACCACAGAAGCAACAGCGATTTTAATCTTGAATCCTGGATTATTTATCTCTTGCTCCCTGTGAGCTCCTAGCCTCAATTTCATACCTGATTTCCTGTTACCCACAAATTCTGCAACTGACACATAAACACAGGCAGAACGTCTTTCTCCCTAAATAAATAAAAACAACAAGGAATCAGAAAAACGGGGCAAGGATTCCACCTTTCATGATGCCACTTAAAATTTAAAAAGTATTTTAGGCCGGGCGCGGTGGCTCACGCCTGTAATCCCAGCACTTTGGGAGGCTGAAGCGGGCGGATCACGAGGTCAGGAGATCGAGACCATCCTGGCTAACATGGTGAAACCCTGTCTCCACTAAAAGTACAAAAAAAAAAAAAAAAAAAAAAAAGCCGGGCATGGTGGCACGCGCCTGTAGCCCCAGCTACTCGGGAGGCTGAGGCAGGAGAATCGCTTGAACCCCAGGAGGTGGAGGTTGCAGTGAGCTGAGATTGTGCCACTGCACTCCAGCCTGGGTGACAGAGTGAGACTCTGTCTCAAAAAACTTTTTTTTTTTAAAAAGAGAACCATTAAGCCAGATCTTTCTAACACGTGTAACTTCTTGATTAGTTCCACATTCACATCATCTCTGCCTTGAGTTGGTTCTGGGGTCTGACTTAGCAAGCTTTTGTTTTTATCTCATTCCACATGTGCTGAGAGTGAGGGATATCTGTGAGTTGCTCTTTATTGTTTAAGTTAAAAAAAATAGTGAAGACCACAGCTGACTTCCAAAGTGGGCAACTCCAGCTCATGGGTTAATGAATGAGCCCCAGGGAGTGTGTTTATGATGTCCTGAGGTGGGGACCCTGAGGTGGGGGTAATTTTGGCCCAATGGCAGCTGGTTAGGCAGCTGGTAGAGAGCAGCTGCAGGAATGGGACTATTTCTATGGGGGGTAGAATTTAAAGTTGGACTTCTGGATAGAACTGTTCAAGTTGAGCTGCCCCTGGGTTGAATTCTCCCTCTCGGTATAGGTTACCAGCTTATGCTTTGACATCAGATGTACAAGGAGTTGGGGGAGGGAACTAGGGGTGAAAAGAAGGACCCCTGCTGACTTCCTGAGTCACAGCATTGCTGGGGAGAAGTTGGGACCCAAAGGTGCCCATTGCCATGTGCCCTTCTTCCCCTCAACATGCTGTTTTGATGGAACTTAGCATTTGAGAATGTACCGCCAACAGGGCTCTCATTTAAAATGTAAAATGTCCTTTCATAACTGTTGGAAAGGAAGTTTGTATACATAGAGAGCATCTAGGATTTGCCCATTTCTGTGAAAAAAAAAATTCTTCCTGACTGTAAATCCTGTGCTCTGTAAATAATTGTTGGGTCCAAGAAGACCAACAACTGGCATTTTCCTGCCCCACCGCCTGCCCTGCTTTTGAAGCCCACAGCGAGGGGAGGAGGAGAGGGCATCTGGAGGGAGGAGAAGGCAAATGGTCCAAACACACATATTTATTTAGTAAACAAGCTCATCATCTCCTCAATTTTAAAATTCCCTGTGAGCAAATACAAGCACAGACTTCATTTGAAAAAAAAATGTACAGCATTCCCCTTAAAGCGATTTAGTAATTGCAGGAAACAGAGAGCAACATTCCACCCAGGTGCTCACTACAGCACACCTGTGAGTCTGGAAACAAAGTCTCAGCTGTTAAACCCGAGGGGCCGTGAAGCCACCTTTGGATTAGGCCGTGAAAGGAAGAGTGGTAGGGGAAGGACGCAGAGGGCAGCTAGGCCCCTTCTTTCCAGGGGACTCCAAGGTCATCTTGCCGCCTTCTCCCTCTCCTCCTCTTCCTTCTCCTCGCTAACATTTTTTTTTCTTTTTCTTTTCTTTTTTTTTTTTTTTTTTGAGATGGAGCCTCACTCTGTCACCCAGGCTGGAGTGCAATGGCATGATCTTGGCTCACTGCAGCCTCTGCTTCCCATGTTCAGGTGATTCTCCTGCCTCAGCCTCCCGAGTAGCTGGGACTACAGGTGTGCACTACCACGCCCAGCTAATTTGTGTGTGTGTGTGTGTGTGTGTGTGTGTGTGTGTTTGGTAGAGATGGGGTTTCACCATGTTAGCCAGGCTGGCCTCGAACTCCTGACCTCAAGTGACCTGCCCGCCTTAAGCCTCCCAAAGTGCTGGGATTACAGGCATGAGACACCGCGCCCAGCCCACATTAACATTTATGGAGTACTAACAACATGCCAGGCACTGCACTTAGGGCTTTGTGAGCCTTGCTTCATGTAGGCTTCACAGTGTTCTGAGGTAGGGACTGTTATTATTCCCATGTGAGAGAGGAGGAAACTGAGGCCTAGAGACTTTGGATGACTTGCTCATGCAGGTCACATCCTAGTAAGTGACCAGGAGTCAAGGCCAGGCTGAGCTCACTCCACAGCTGGTTCTCTCCCCACAGAAGTCAGACATTTCCTTAAGCCTCCCTTTATGGGCTGGGTGCGGTGGCTGGGGCCTATAATGCCAGCACTTTGTGAAGCCGAGGAAGAAAGATGGACCACTAGAGGCCAGGAGTTTGAGACCAGCTTGGGCAACAAAATGAGACCCCTGTCTTTACAAAAATAAATAAATAAATAAATAAATAAATTTAAAAAATAGCCGGTCATGGTTGTTGGCACCTATAATCCCAGCTACTTGGGAGGCTGAGCTGGGAGGATCGCTTGAGCCTGGGATTTCGAGGCTGCAGTGAGCTATGATTGTGCCACTGCACTCCAGCCTGGGTGACAGAGTGAGACCCTGTTTCAAAAAAAAAAGCCTCCACTTGTGGATCCTGTTAAGATGCAGACTGCTCTAGGGAGGCGTAGCCCTTTAAATCCCTCAGTTCTCCAGAACAATTTCATGAAGAGAGGGCCCAGGTACATCACAGAAAATGGTAAGTAGGGGAGATGGCACCAGTAAGATGCTTCCCAATTTTCCTTTTTCTCTCACTTCATTCAAGTGCTATTCATGGTGGCCTCTGCCGTGGCTCGCAGGCATCTTAAGGTTGTTCATAAGACCCACTAGCTTTCAATGAGGCAGGCAGTGCGGGAAGGGGACAGGGATTAAAATCGATGTTGTTCTGTTACCTCCCTTCATAACCTCCAAACTGTAAGAAAAAGGGCACGTTTCATGCAGAATAAAACAACTGTCAAGATATTTCTTATTTCTATGAACTGGTACAGTTTTACCCCCACTTAAAAATGTGATTGACCCTAGAAAAGCCCAATTTATAAGGTTCTGGTACTTGTTGTATTCTTTCTGAGAGCATTTTGAAGAAGGTTTATATACAAAGAGGATGCATATAGGAAAGTGATATAAAAACACCCTTGAATAGATTTTAACTATGATTTGATTAGCTTACCCCCTCTTTAGGGGGAAAGCTAGCGATTTTCTAGCTGTTTTGCTGAAAAATACTCTCATCTTCAAACTCAGTAATATCTGAATCTTGCACCCTTTTTTTCTAGAACTCTTTATTTTATTTATTTATTTATTTATTTATTTATTTATTTATTTATTTATTTATTGTGAGACAGAGTCTTGCTCTGTTGCCCAGGCTGGAGTGCAGTGGCACGATCTTGGCTCACTGCAACCTCTGCCTCCCGTAGAACCCTCTTTTCTGTTATGTGTGTGCTGGAGTTAGACCCTCCTTGTGTAGGGAACCCACAGGAACCTGTGGTTGTTTGGTGATTGCAAAATGCTGGTGAATAAATGACCGCATCTACAGCTGGGGAGCAGGCCCAGGATGGATGTGGGGTGAGGGTGCTGTGAAGAAAATGATCTCACCAGAGCACCATTGGCCAGGAGAGAGAGGAGCCTGGAGAATACTGAAGGATGGAGAAAACACAAGCTGGAGGAAGTGAGAAGGAGACATTTGAGAGAAGGGATGAATTCAATCAAGAGTAGCAGAGAGCAGAAGAGCAGCTGGGGAAAAATTTGACTGATTTAGGGGCCCAGGGAGAAAAATGAGTTCAAGCAATACAGGGCATCCGATCAAGGGAGGGGTTGAGCAACAGCTCCGGTGTCAGGTGGCCATGAGGAGAGCACTGGATACTGAACATGGAACTCAGCCAGAAAGGACCCTGTTTCCCTGAAGGGACTGGGTGGAGGAGATGCGGGGAACCTAGGTGGCCTGGCACTAAATCATGGTATGTTGAGAAGAAAAGGCAAGCTTATGTGTGAGAGGCTAAACAGGTTGGACTTGTCCCTGAAGTGTTCCGACTTTGAGCATGTTCCCCCAACCCCTCCAGTTTCTCCCACTGGTGGAATCTCTATTTCCTAACTGGCTGGCAGGGAGGGCTCCAATGTGAGTGACAGGGAACTGGAAACCTGGAGAAGCCTGAGGAAGAATATTGGGGTCCTAAAGTCAAAGTCTAAAGTGCAGCCTCCTCTCAAATCCTTTGTGCTTGCCTAATTCGCTTGTTCCCTTGGGGAAAATAAGTATGGGGGATGGAAATCGTAATTTTTAGCTTGAGTAGCAAATGGTTCCATCAACCCCTGGGCTCTACTGGATGATTTCAAGGGATATTTTGTGGGTGGAAAGAAACCCCTCCAGTGATGGATACATGAGTACTGATGTCTGCATTTTCATGTGCAGAAGATTCAGGGCTTGGGATTCTGTACCTCAAAGAACATACAATGGGGCCAGGCGCAGTGGCTCATGCCTGTAATCCCAGCACTTTGGGAGTGGATCACTTGAGGTCACGAGTTCGAGACCAGCCTGGCCAACATGGTGAAACCCCATCTTTACTAAAAATACAAAAATTAGCCGGGCGTGGTGGGGCATGCCTCTACTCCCAGATACTTGGGAGGCTGAGGCAGGAGAATTGCTTGAACCGGGGAGGCAGAGGTTTCAGTGAGCTGAGATCACACCACTGCACTCCAGCCTGGGTGACAGAGCAAGACTCTGTCTCAAAAAAAAAAAAAAAAATACAGTGGACCCCCAGACTCAAAGGGTAGGAAACCATTGCTTTCCTATCATTAGTCCATGTAGTCAAACAGTACTTTTTATTCCAGGGCATCCCTGTAGCTATTCAGTCTTATCCAATGTGGGATAGGGATGTTTTTCCTCTTTTGTAAGAGAGAAAATAAATACAAATGGGCCGGGCGCGGTGGCTCACGCCTGTAATCCCAGCACTTTGGGAGGCCAAGGTGGGCGGATCACAAGGTCAGGAGATCAAGACCATCCTGGCTAACATGGTGAAAACCCATCTGTACTAAAAATACAAAAAATTAGCCGGGCGTGGTGGTACGTGCCTGTAGTCCCAGCTACTTGGGAGGCTGAGGCAGGAGAATTGCTTCAACCTGGGAGGCAGAAGTTGCAATGAGCCAAGATCACGCCACTGCACTCCAGCCTGGGCAACAGAGTGAGACTCCATCTCAAAAATAAATAAATAAATAAATAATAAATAAATAAATTAAAAATGAAAGTTTATTTTTCCTTAACATGATTTTGAGTAACTGTGTTTAAGTCAATCAGGGTCTTATTACCTGGCTTCATTCATCCAACATATACGTACTGAGCACCTTCTTTGGACCAGTATTGTGTTAGGTGCTGGGAATATCAAAAAGGGAACTAACACAGGGTTTCTACATTAATGGAGTTTACAGTCCCAAATGGGAGACACGAAGTAAATAGATAAATTCACACATCATTACTTAGTATTAGATAGTTGATCTCAAAAATGTGTAATTACATTTGCGATAAATGATACAAGGGTTATATGCAAGTGTTATAATAAAGAATGCATAACAGAGGGATCTAACCTATTCTCGGGATCTGGCAAGGCCTCCCTGAAGAAGAGACTTTTTTGTTTTTTTGAGACAGAGTCCCACTCTGTCACCCAGGCTGGAGTGTGATCTTGGCTCACAGCAACCTCTGCCTCCCAGGTTGAAGCGATTTTCCCACCAGCCTCCTGGGTAGCTGGGACTACAGGCTCAAGCCAGGACGCCCAGCTAATTTTTTGTATTTTTAGTAGAGACCGGGTTTCACCATGTTGGCCAGGCTGGTCTCGAACTCCTGACCTCAAGTGATCCACCCTCCCCCCCCACCCCACCCCTTAGCTTTTCACAGTGCTGGGATTACAGGCATGAGCCACCACACCTGGCCAGAAGAGACATTTTAACATCAGTTGTCAGATACAGAGTTGGGGCTGCAGATGGGGAAGACAGCACATGTCGAGAGAATGGCCAAGACCAGCACTACAGAGCTGGAGCCCAGGTCAGCACAATCCTCTTCATGCAACTCTGTGTTATCTTCCTTTCTTCCCTGCTATTTTCCTTATGCCACTACCAACCATCACCCTTTCCCCTCATTCGAGCACAGCTCAGGTAGGTCTCTATCTTTCATCTTTGAAAATGAATCAATACAGGCAAAAATCTCATTGCATGAAAATCTGTCATCTTGGAAATGTGTGTGTGTGTGTGTACACATACACATGTGTGAATATGTGTGTCTTGCAGGTATGGGATAATAATATTTAAGAAACATTGCCTCAGAGATTGCCACTTCTCATACACTGCTACAAAATTGAAATCACCTGGGTGCTTCTTTTGCCAATTTGTCTTTTGAATCCCAATGAATCGAAGCTAGCATGTTTGCAATGGCAGAGGAGTGAGGAGTGGAGATCTTTGTGCAAACAATTTTGGCACTCAAGGTAATACCCTTAAGGTCCATCCAAGTTATTGTCCATTCTTTTTTATTGTAGCACGGTTTGTTTAACTACTCACTTATTGAAGGACATTTTGGTTGTTGCTAGTTTTTTGCTGTTAACAAATAACGCTGTTATAAACATTCATGTATGAGAATTTGTGTGGACATAAGTTTTCATTTCTCTGGGATAAATGCCCAGGAGTGTGATTGCTGGGTCCTATGGTAATTGCATGTTTAGTTTTATATGAAACTGCCAAAGAGTTTTCCAGAGTGGCTGTAGCATTTCACATTCCCACTAGCAATGTCTGAGAGATCCAGTTTCTCTACATTCTCACCAACATTTGGTATTGTCACTGTTTTTTTATTTCAGCTGTTCTAATAGGTATGTAGTGACATCTCATTGAAGTATTAATTTGCATTTCCCTAATGATTAATGATGGTGAACATCTTGTCATGTCTTTACAATCCATGTTTCCTCTTTGGTTAAATGTATCTTTATGTCCTTTGCCCATTTTCTAATTGGATTTTGTTTTACTGTTGAGTTTTTTAAAGTTCTTAACGTATTCTAGATATGTGTCAGTTGTCAGATGTGTGGTTTGAAAATATTTTCTCCCATTATGTTATATAACTTGTCTTTTCATCTTCTTTCACAGAGCAAATGTTTTATATTTTGGTCAGGTCCAATTTATTGATTTTTCCTTTCATGGATTGTGCTTTTGATCAAGTCTAAGACCTTTTTGCCTAAGCTCTAGATCCCAAACATTTTCTACTGTTTATTTAAACATTTTAAAATAGTTTTTATGTTTAACTCCATCATCCATTTTCAGATACTTTTTGTATAAAGTATGAGTCTTAGACTGAGCTTTGTGATGGTTAATTTTATGTGTCAACTTGGCTAGGCCACAGTACCCAGATATTTGGTGAAACACCTCTGAATGTTGCTGTGAGGGTATTTTGTTTTTTAGAGGAGATTAACATGTAAATCAGTAGACTTTGAGTAAAGTAGATTACCTTCCATAATGGGGGTGGGCCTTATCCAATCAGTTGAAGGCCTTAAGGAAAAGACTGACCTCCCCTGAGGAAGAGGGAATTCTGTCAGCTGACTGCCTTTGAACTCAAGTTGCAACATTAACTCTTCCCTGAGTCTCCAGCCTGCTGGCCTGCCCTGCAAATTTTGGACTTGCCAACATCCACAGTTCCATGAGCCAATTCCTTAATCAATCAATCAATCAATCAATCTCTCTCTCTGTGTCTCTTTTTTTTTTTTTTTTTTTTTGAGACAGAGTCTCGCTCTGTCGCCCAGGCTGGAGTGCAGTGACGCGATCTCGGCTCACTGCAAGCTCCACACCTCCCAGGTTCATGCCATTCTCCTGTCTCAGCCTCCAGAGTAGCTGGGACTACAGGTGCCCGCCACCACGCCCGGCTAATTTTTTGTATTTTTTAGTAGAGACGGGGGTTTCACTGTGTTAGCCAGGATGGTCTCGATCTCCTGACCTTGTGATCCGCCCGCCTCAGCCTCCCAAAATGCTGGGATTACAGGCGTGAGCCACCGCGCCCAGCGCTGTGTCTCTTTTTCTCTCTCTAAACAGGCCCCCCAACACACACACATCCTATTGGTTCTGTTTCTCTGGAGAACCGTGACTACTACAAGGTTCTTTTTTCTCTGCCATGGATGTGCAATTTCTCCATCATCATTTGTTTAAAAGGCTATCTTTCCTCCATTGAATTGTGTGTGTATCTTTTAAAAAGTCAGTTGGCCATATTTATATGGGACTATTTCTGGGTTCTGTTCTGTTCTGTTGATTTATGTGTCTGTCCTTCTACCAATACCACACAGTCTTGATTACTGTAGATATATGATAGGGTCAACTGATTCCTCCCACTTTATTCTTCTTTTTCAAACTTGCTTTAGCTATTTGTGTTCCTTTGACTTTTCTGTATAAATTTGACATAAAATTGTACAAAAATCTTGTTGCTGTTTTGATGGGAATTATGTCAAACATGTATATCAATTTGGAAATAATTGACACCTTTATGCTTAATCTTTAAAATGGATTTAAAGCATTTAAAGTACATGGTATGCTTCTCCATTGAGTTAGATATTTGATTTCTTTCCTCAGCATTTTGTAGTTTTCAACATACAAGTCTTATTCATGTTTTGTTAGATATACACCTAAGTCTTTTTTGAGCAATTATAAATGGTGTTGTATTTTTAACTTTGGTGTTTATGTATTCATTATTAATATATAGAAATACAATTGTATGCTTATCTTTTGTTTATGCATGTATCTCCTGACCTTGCTGAACTCATTTATTTGTTTTAGGAGTTTAAAAAAAATAGTTTTCTTGCTATTCTCTATACAGACCATCATGTCATCTGAAAATAAGAAAATGTTCTTTCTTCCTTTCTAATCTGTATGCCTTTTATTTCCTTTTCTGGACTTTCTGTACTAGCTAGAATGTCCAGCACTATGATGAATAAGAGTAGTGAAAGTGCACATCCTTGCCTTTTTCCTGATCTAAGGGTGAAAACAATCAGTTTTTCACCATTAAGTAAAATGTTAGTTGTAGGGGTTTTTTTGCAGATGCTGTTTATCAAGTTGAGGAAATTCCTCTCTATTCCCTGTTTGCTGAGAGATTTTATCATGAATGGATGCTGAATTTTGTCATTTTTTTGGCATCAAATGATATAATCATGTGATTTTTCTTCTTTAGCTGTTAATATGGTGGTTCACACTGATTGATTTTTAAATATTGAACCAGACTTGCATACACGGAATAAACCTCTCTTGGTCATGGTGTATAATTCCTTCATATTGCTGAAGTCTGTTTGCTAATATTTTGTTATTAATTTTTGCATTTACATTCATGAGTGATATTGGTCTGCAGTTTTCTTTTACTGTTTTTGCCTGATTTTAGTATCAGGGTAATATGAGCTTAATAAAATGAATTGGGAAATATTTCCTCTACTTCTATTTTCTGGAAGACATTATGTACAATTGGCATTACTTTTTCTTTAAATGTTTATTCTCCAGTGAAACCATCTGAGCCTAGAGATCTCTGTTTGGGGAGTTTTTAAATTATGAATTTAATTTCCTTAATAGTTATGGAGCTACTACCTGTATTTATATTGGGTGAATTGTGGTAGTTTGTGTTTTTCAAGGAATTGGTTCATTGTTATATTTGTGTGTATAAAGTTGTTAACCTTTTGATGTCTGCAGGGTTTGTAGTAGTATCCCCTGTTCTGTTTCTGATGCTGGTAATTTGTTTCTTCTCTCTCTCTCTCTTTTTTTGATCAGTCTTGCTAGAGGTCTGTCAATTTCATTAAATTTTTTATTTTTTGCAAAGGAACAGGTTTTTGTTTCATTAATTTTCTCTATTGTTTTCCTTTTTTTCAATTTCAACTCTTATCTTTATTATTTCCTTCCTTCTGCTTGCCTTATGTTTATTTGTTCTTTTTCTAGGTTCTTGAGGTGGAAGCTTAGATTACTGACTTGAGACCTTTCCTCTTTTCTAATGTATAATTTAGTGATACAAATTTCCCTTTCAACGTGGCTTTTACTGTGTCCCACAAATTTTGAAATATTATAGTTTTATTTTCAATCCAGTTCAATGTATTTTAAACATTTCTCCTGAGACTTCCTCTTTGACCTATAGATTATTTAGAAGAATGTTGTTTATTTTCCAAGTGTTTGGATGTTTTCCTGTTATCTGTCTGTTATTAATTTCTAATTTGATTCCATTATTGTCAGAGAACACACTATGTACAATTGCAATTCTTCTAAATTTGTTGTGGTTTCTTTTATGGCTCAGAATATGGTCTATCTTGTTCTATGTTCTACAGAATGTGTATTCTGCTTGTGTTGGATGGAGTATTCTATACATGTTGATTAGATCCTGTTATTGTTGGTATTGTTGAGTTCTATATCTTTGCTAATTTTCTGTCTAGTTGTTCTATCAATTGTAAGAGAGGAGTGTTGAAATTTCCAACTATTGTGGCTTTGTGGATTTTCTTCTTTCAGTTCTATCAGTTTTTGCTTCACATATTTTGCTTCACAAACAGCTCTGTTGTTTGGTGCATGAACATTTAGGATGGCTACATCTTTTTGGTGGGTTGAGCCATTTATATATATAATATATATATAATGTGTGTATATATATATATATATCTGATAATTTCTTTCTCTGAAGTCTATCTGATATTAATATAGACACTCATGCTTTGTTTTGACTAATGCTTGTATGATAAATATGTTTCCTTCCTTTTACTTTCAGTTGTCTTATATCATTATATTTAAGGTGAGTTTCTTGTAGAGTACATACTGTCGGGTCATTTTTTCTTATCCACTCTGCCAGTCTCTGTCTTCTAATTGGTGTATTTAGACCTTATATACATTAAATGTAATTGGTGATATGTTAGGATCTAAGTCTGCCATTTTATTTTTAATTTTGTTTTCTTTTTCCTGCCTTCCTATGAGTATTTGAATATTTTGGGGAATATTGTAACATTTTGATTTATCTGTAGTGGTTTTGAGTGTATATCTTTGTATAGATTCTGAGTGGCTCTAGGTATTACATTGTATATACATAACTTATCACAGTCTGCTGGTAATGTTATTTTGCCAGTATGAGTGAAGTATAAAAACCTTACTTCTGTTAATGTCTCTTTATCTCCCTAGTTTATGATATAACCAACTTAAATATTTCCTCTACATGCAATTAGAACTATATCAGACAGTATTATTATTTTTGCTTCAACCATCAAACAAAATTTTGAAGACTCAAAGAGGAAGGAAAGTCTATTGTGTTCATCATATTTTTGCTTATTGTATTATTTCTTGCTTCTTGATGTTCCAAGATTTATTTTATCATTGCTGTTCTGTTTAGATAACTTCCTTTAGCTATTATTTTAGAGTAGCTCTGATGGAGACAGGTTCTCTTAATTTTCCTTCATCTGAGAATGTCTTGATTCCCACTTCATTCCTGAAGGATATTTTTGTGGGATATAGGATTTAGTTCTTTTCTTTCAGCATTTGAAAAATGTGCCAATTCCTTCTGGTCACATGGTTTCTGATGAGAAATCAACTGCCATTTAAATAATTGTTTATCAGTTTCTCTGTCAAATTATTGTTTTTCTTTTCTTTTTTGAGACAGAGCCTCACTCTGTGACTCAGGCTGAAGTTCAGTGTGGCATGATCATGGCTCACTGCAGCCTCTACCTCCCTGGGCTCAGTGATCCTCCTACTTGAGCCTCTCGAGTAGCTGGGACTACAGGTGTGCACCACCACACCTGGCTAATTTTTGTACTTTTTGCAGAGATGGGGTTTCACCATGTTGTCCAGGCTGGTCTCAAACTCCTGGGCTCAAGCAATCCACCCGCCTTGGCCCCCAAAACTGCTGGGATTATAGGCACGAGCCACTCTGCTTGGCCAAATCATTGTTTTTCCTCTGTCTGCTTTCAAGATTGTTTTCTTTGTCTTTAGTTTTCAGAAGTTTGACTATGATATGTCTTAGTGTGGATTTCTTTGGGTTTAGCATGTTTGAGATTCTCTAAGCTTTTTGAATCTGTATGTCTTTTGCCAAATTTGGAAAATTTTCAGCCATTATTCCTTGAAATACTTTTCAGTCCTAGTCTCCTCCTCTCATCCCAGGACTCCAATGACATGAATGTTATATCTTTTGTAATAATTCTACAGGTCCCTGAGACTGTTATTTTTTTCCAGTCTATTTGCTCTCTGCATAATTTCTGTTGTTATATACTCAAGTTCACCGATTTTTTTCCTTTGTCCCCTCCATTCTGTTGTTCACCCTATTCACTGAGATTTTCATTTTGGTTATTGTGTTTTTCAGTTCTAAAGTCTACATTTGGTTCTTTATGTATTCTTATTTGCTTACTGAGACTTTCCGTTTTTATTTGTTCCAAGCATGTTTGTAATTGCTCATTGAAGCATTTTTATGATAGCTGTTTCAAAATCTTTGTCAGATAATTCTATCTCATCATCTTAGTATTGGCATGAATTGACTGTCTTTTTCACTCAGTTTGAAATCTTCCTGGTTCTTGGTATGATGAATGATTTTCAACTGAATACTGTTCATTTTGGATATTATGTCATGAGACTCTGGATCTTATTTAAACCTTAGGTTTTAGTGGTTTTTTTCTGACATTGCTCTAGTAGAAAAAACTGGAAGGGTTGCCTTGTTACTGCCAAATTGGGGTAGAAGTTCAGGCTCACCACTCAGCCTTTGCATGGACAGTTGGAGGTGAGGGTTGCAGTTTTTCCTGTGGTGTTTGGCTATAGTAGAGCAGTAATGGTCTAAAAGTTTTCTGTCTTTCTAGGATGCCCCTTTTCTGGTCCTTTGGCTAGAGAGAGTAGGCTTTTGTTGGGACTTTAGAAAAATCTGTTCCCACTGGTGTTTCTGAATTGCTAGCTTCTCTAGCAGCCAGTCTGGGATATTTGAGGCAAAAAGAAAGCTCAGGGAACTCACGAACTCATGTCACTCTTTGAGTCTCAAGGTCCTTAGTCAGTCTATCTTCTCTCCACCTTTCTTGGTTGTCTTATGTTTGTTGTATATATAATAACTAGGGTTTATAGTTGTACTTAGTGAAAGGAATAGGGAAAAGTACATCTACTCCATCTTTCTAAAAGCAGAAGTTGACTTTTAGGATCCCACGTCTCTGATTAGTTATTAGATCTCATTACTTATCTCTGAAGGTATGGTGTTAAAAACTCACATTTTAATACGTTGTCTTTGTTGAATGAGTGGATCATACTCGTGTAGCTTGTGAGATGTTGAAGCAGAACTATAGACTAAAGTGTCCCCTGAGCTGAGCTCGTCAGCTGCTGAACTGGTGACAGATTCCTTGAGTCTGTACTGCTCTTTAACTAACAGATCTTCAGTATGTGCCCAGAACTGCACTGGGTGTTTAAGAAACTATGAAGAAAGATGTGGCCTCGACTCTCAGGGTATTTGATGTCTATATGGGAAAACAAGAAAAGTGAATTCTCCATTTCAGGGTGTAGAATATAGTAGACACTCAATACATGCTTGTTGCATGAGTGAATGCTGCTGAGCACATGCTAATTGCCCCTGAATGACAAGTGCTAAACTAAACTGTGTGATGCAGATTAAAAGTGCTGTATGAAGCCAGAAGAGAGGCAGCAGTATGGCTGAAGTGGTCGAGAAGGGTTGTTTTTTTAAGGAGGTAGAGGTTGAGTTTCCTTGACAATATGTTAGGACCTGGCGGTAGTTTTTGAAGGAAAAAATTGACAGGACTTGTTAACAGACTGTTTGTGGGGGATGAAATTCAGTAAAAAGCAAAACAGACTTTGGTTCAGATCCTGGGTGACAGGGAGATGAGGGAAACACCATGAGTTTGACTTTGTACCTGATTAGCTTGAGCTGTTAGCAAAACATCCAAGCACAAGTACACAGTAAGTATTTGGAATATTTGGAGCTGAAGGAAAGATTATACTAGAAAAACCCATCTTTTCACTTGAGAGTTTCCAGAAGATATGGGAACTATCACAACTTAGCAGCCAACAAATGATGTGAGCTAAGATAGTTAATAACCCCTCTCTGGGCTTTAGTTTCCTCATGTATAAAATGAGGTGCGATGGTAGGTGGTTTTTTATGAGATAACATTTGGATTAGCATAGTATCTGGTATTTGGAAGGAGCCCTATACTTGCTGGAATATTTTCCTTCCAGATCTAAAGGTCTAGGATTGTGTGATTTCTTTGAAATATGAACTGTCCTTAATACATCTGCTGATATGGTTTGGCTGTGTCACCACCGAAATCTCATGTTGAATTGTAGTTCTCATAATCTCCAAGTGTCGTGGGAGGGACCTGGTGGGAGGTAATTGAATCATGGGGGTGCCTACACTCATGCTGTTCTCGTGATAGTGAGTGAGTTCTTACAGGATCTGATGGTTTTATAAGAGGCTTTTCTCTCTTTTACTCAGCACTTCTCTCTCCTGCCACCACATGAAGAAAGACATGTTTGCTTCCCCTTCCGCCATGAGTGTAAGTTTCCTGAGGCCTCCCCAGCCATGTGGAACTGTGAGTCAATTAAACCTTTTTCCTTTATAAATTACCCAGGCTTGGGTATTTCTGCAGAGCAGCATGAGAACAGACTAATATATCTGCCTTCTATGATTGGGTTTTTCCCCCAGCAGAGCCCAACAGTTTATATCACGTGAAGCTAAGAATCTAGGGGAGGGAGAGTTGTACATGTTATGTCTCAATCTTTTCAGACTTCCTAAGTTTTTCTATCTTTTGAGCATTTGCATTTTTCATGTTTGAATCAGAAAAGCCTCCATTTTGGCTGACTCTAGCCCTTCACTCTGGGGAGTAGAATGGGCAGGTAGCCATTAGTACACAGGAAGGGAGGGATTTGTGGTATCTTAAAGCCATTGGATTTTATTTATTTCCAGTTTGCTCAACATTTGTTCCACAGATCTGGAAAGTTTAAAAAGGGGTGGGGATGGAGAGAAAAGGATGAAAATTAACTAGGCCTAGAGAAAAGGATAAACATATTTTCCTTTCAATATCAAACTAAGGCTCAGAGCATTATTATTATTATTATTATTGAAATAATAATAGGCTGGAGTGCAGTGGCATGATCACAGCTCACTGCAGCCTTGAACTCCTGGGCTCAAGCGATCTTCCTGCCTCAGCCTCCTGAGTAGCTCGGACTACAGGCATATACCACCATGTCTGACTTATTTTTCACATTTTTTTCTTTGTTGAAATGGGGTCTTCCTATGTTGCCCAGGCTGGTCTGGAACTTCTGACCTCAAGCAATCCTCCCACCTCAGCCTCCAGAGTAGCTGGGACTACATGTGCATGTCACCAGACCTGGCTAATTTTTTAAATTTTTTGTATAATGAGGTTTTGCCACGTTGCCCAGGCTGGTCTTGAACACCTAGGCTTAAGTGAGCCACCCACCTTGGCCTCCCAAAGTGGTGGGATTACAGGCATGAGCCACTGTACCCCACCCCTCAGAGCATTTAAATCTGAAATGGCTTCTGGGCTTTATTTAATTTTTCTAAAAACTGACCACTGCCGTAACCATCCACATGTCATCTGAAGAGTTGACACTGAGTTCAAGAGTTTGAGGCTACAGTGAGCTATGATCAGCCCACCGCACTCTAGCATGGGCAACAGAGTGAGACCCGATCTCATTTTTTTTTTTTTTAAGGATGAAGATTTGACACTAGTTGGAGAAATGGTTCTACATCTCATTACTAGGATTTTATGAATGTCAGCCCTCTAGCATAAGTAGTAGTTACTTCTTTCAAATTAAAAAAATTTGGATTTTAAAGTAAGATAAGCTCATTACAAAAATAAGAAAATGAAAATGACTCATAATCCCACAACGTAGGGATAATTATAGCTTTGTGGTTTGTTGTTTAGGGACATGGTCACCCAGGCTGGAGCACGGTGGTGCAATCACAGCTCACTGCAGCCTCAAACTTCAAAGGATCCTCACATCTCAGCCTGCTGAGTAGGTAGGACCACAGGCATGTGCCACCATGGCTGGCTAATCATTGTTAATATTTCTATTATTTCTTTCTAGTCATTTTTTTTCTTCACACACACACACACACACACACACACACACAAACACACTTGGGATTTCACTGTATGTTTGTGTATCCTCCTTTCCCCCACTTAAGTTAGACCATGAGCATTTACTCATGTCATTAAATATTCTTCTAAACATGATTTTAAATAATTACATTGCATTTCATAGTATAAATGTTACTGCATAGGATTTCATAGTATGGACAACTTAAGTTTTTTCCACTTTTTCTCTATTTTAAATATTGCCACAATGAATTTCCATGTATTTGTATTTTTTTGTGCATCTCTATTTCCTTTTAGGATAAATCCTTAGAAGGAGAATTACTGGGTGAAAGGATAAGAACATTGTTAAGGCTTTCGAGCATTTTGCCAAGTTGCCCTGTGGGAGAGTTGTACCAATTTGCATTCCTATTAGTGTTTGAGAATGCCTGACTCACTGCATTAACACAGAATATTTTACCATCATATATACATGACACTCTTTTGGATCATTTCAATTCAAATGGCATTTAGTGAGCACCTACTATATGTAGTGTACTGTGCTAGGCATTAGACTCTCTCCTGTTATACAGCATAAGTGCTAGAGGCATAACACATGTACAAAGATGGTTAAAAATGCAAATGAAATATAACAACACATAAATCTCTATGGCCAGGGCTGACATCATTCAGCCTTTAAATGGCTACTCATTGAGTAAAGACACTATGCTAGCTAATTTAAAAATTAATTTAGATCTTGTAAGCACTTAAAAAACCAGAATGCATTAATATGAATCTTGCAAACAATAGAGGTTCCATTGTGATCACTTACACTCTATTTCCTGGTATAAATTAGAGTAGGAATGGAGAGGAATATTACAAATCCACATCTTTAAAAAAATCAACAATCACAACTCATTTGGGTAAAAGGACAATTTCTGCTTTTGTCAGTTCCCTTTAGAAAGTTAACCTGTTGGTTATCAGAGAAGGGGGACACTGAACACACAGAAAACTAACCTTCTTCTGGCAGCTGGGGATAATTTGTCAGTTTCCTTTGAAATGTGGCTTTGTGCTCACTGGTGAAGGCAGCTGGAACAGAAAAAGCATGACAGACAAAAGCTGAAATCCACATGAAGAAAGGTCTTTTTCCCAAAAACTACTGCCTGAGTTAGCAACGGTCAGAACAGAAAGTACATGCGTATCTTCCCAGCAACAAGCATATCTGGTACTAGAGAAGGCCCCCTATGTGACAGGAGGCATTTAGAATGGCTGTAGCCTTGAATAGGGCTGCTGGACAGCATTTGAGCAAACCTTCCCAACCCCATGAAAAATCACACCCTCAAATTAAATCCGTCTAAAACTGTGACTAAAGAAATGAAAGTATTATGTTTTTCAATCAGTCCAAAGCATTTACTATTCTGAAAAAGAAGACCTACTTACTATATAGTGGATGATGGTGCAAGAAGTAGAGGTTTCAGTATATGATTTTCAGTTAAAAAGTAACCAATAGAATAACTAAAAATAATGCTATCAAACTGGAAACAACTGAAATGGTCTGCAACTGGTGAATGGATAAGCTGTGGTACATCCATGCAGTGGAGTACTATTCAGCAATACAAAAGAATGAACAACACATACATGAATCTCAAAATAGTTATACTGAGTGAAAGAAGTCAGTATCAAAGGGTTATATAGTATATGATTCAATTTCTGGGCATTCTGGAAAAGACAAAATTGTAGCAACAAAACAGATCAGTGTAGGGGGTAAAGGGAGAAGCCAATTACAAAGGGCAGCATGAGGGGATTTGGGGGGTAATGGAACTGTTCTATATCATGATTGTGGTGGCAGTTACATGACTTTATGTATTTGCCTAAACTCATAGAGCTGTACACCAAAAAAGTAAATTTTTAAAATAGCATGCTATTTTAAAAAGTGAATTTTTAAAAATCTCATAAAATATTGCTATCAACCATGGGGAGGCAGAAGAAAGAGAGGCAGTTGGGAGTAATGTTAAGTGAGCTAAATCTTCCATTTTTATAACAGGAGTTAATAGATAATGTCCAAAATGGATAAATCAAGAATGGGAACAGAGTAATATTTAGAGATTCAGAAGTAACTATCAGATGAATTGCCAACAGAATCTGTTAAAAAATGGTTGCCTCTGAGGAGTGGGACTGGGGATGGGGAGGAGTGGGGCAGAGAACTGTTGTTTTTTATTATCAGCTCTCTGTATTTTATATATATATATATATATATATATATATATATATATATATATATTTTTTTTTTTTTTTTTTTTTTTTTTTTTTTTTTTCTTTTTTGAGACAGAGTCTTGCTCTGTCACCCAGGCTGGAGTGCAGTGGCATGATCTCCACTCACTGCAAGCTCCACCTCCCAGGTTCACGCCATTCTCCTGCCTCAGCCTCCCGAGTAGCTGGGACTACAGGTGCCCGCCACCACGCCTGGGTATTTTGTATTTTTAGTAGAGATGGGGTTTCACCGTGTTAGCCAGGATGGTCTCGATCCCCTGACCTCGTGATCCACCCGCCTCAGCCTCCCAAAGTGCTGGGATTACAGGTGTGAGCAACCGCACCCAGCTGCCTATTTGATATTTTTAAACCATGCTCATGTATTACTTGATTTAAAAATAAATGTAGTGGAAAATGCACTGGACTGGGAATCCAGAAACCTGATCTCTAACCCTAATTCTGCACTAATTGATCAAATCCCTTCCCCTTTCTGGACCTTGGTTTCTACATCTGTATGATAAAGGGGTTGGACTATACGATGTTTAAGGTCCCTTTCATACCTAAAGAAAATTATAAAATTAGATTACTTACATATCCACAATTCTTTGTTAAATGCCAAGCTATGAAACATGCATTTTTATTTTTAAAGCCGTAAGAGACTAACTCATCAAATTCAACTGTCTCTTTTCAACTGCTGAAGAAACCAAGACACAGATTCACTAAAAGATTCACTTGGAATGACAGTTAATTGGCAACAGAGCTAGGACTAGAGCTCAGGGCTCCTCATGGCTCTTTCTGTTGCACCACACAGCTTCTCCTAGGCCTAATGGAATCAGTCCTGGGCACCAGGGCTGACAAAAATTCCCTTGGACAACACCAGGGGTGTAATTCACATGCTGAAATGGTTTCATTGGCCTGGGAGATGAGTCAGAATTTTGGAAGTGGTCCCTGACATAAGCATGTATGATGCAATACCATAGGCATTCCAAAGTTGATCAAGGCTATGTTAAAATTCCAATTTTAGGATTCCATTCCCTAATAATTGTCCAATAAGCTGCCCTTGGCAGCTACTGCCAGCCTACTGACTTCCCCTTTTGTGTGACAGGAATCCCACTACTCAGAAATATCACCATTCACATTCTGATGTAAAACAATGGGCTCATCCGTTTTTTCTCATCAGCCTTTCATCTCTAGGGCCTCTCAGCTTGTGGCATGATTCACTGAAATACATCAAACATGACAGAAGATGCAAGCATTTGGAAACTTACATCAGCCATCATCAAATTAAAAAGGTATCTTGATATGATTTAGCAATCATCCTTGGAAGAGAGTTGAAACAGACCCCTGACTTTGACCACACCATCTTCCTAGGGAAGACCTTCCATGTTGACCAGTAAGCAAGCTAAAAGTATGTGTTTTGCCAACCATTTCCTCCCCCTTTGCTGGGGCCTGCAGGCTCACTTGCCCCTCATCGCACAAGGTCTGGGGTTTACAGAATAAGGACACCATTATGCAGGGCTATCATTCTTCCTTAGTGGAAACAACACTGCCCTTTGTAAGCTCCCAGCTAACTTCAAAGGGTGTGGCTATCTTTCTGTGCTCCAAGGGAAGCCTCCTCGGGAAACATTGCTCACAGTGCCTTTCCAGTTCTAGAATCTTCTTGAGCTGATAGTCAGAGCAGGCATTTTCAGGCAGCACCCCCACCCCTGCACCCCCCATTGGTGCTTTGTCTACTTTAGAGGCCAGATTGTGTTTTTTAAAACCTACTTGGAAAGCATTTGTTTGCCAACTTTTGTGCTCCCCTCCTATCAGTGCTCCCTCTCCAGCCTGGCTTTCTGCCCAGTTCTGAATCTTGCCTTACCTACTGCCTGGCGTTTACTTCACAACAGCTGGCCCAGGGATCTCAAGTACTTAGTCTCAGCTGCCAGCTTAGGGAAGGAGAGGCCCCTGTAGTTGAGCCTGTGACAAAGACAGCATTTGTTTCCACACCGGTATTTTCAATGTCAACAGCAGTGACAGGCTCCAAAGGGGATCATACCCAGTCACTGCCCACTTGGTGAGAACTCCACAAGCTCAGGGATGTCCATTCATCCAGCTTCAGCTCTCCCCGCAATGCTATGAGATGACTAGAGACCACTAATAAGATTCCCATTTTTATTTGCCCATGGGGAAAGGAGACAAATGGCTGGAGACTGGGGGACTCGTCTAAAGGAATTAATGATCATTTTGTTCACAAGAAGAATCAGGATAGCTGAGTCTGACAAATGTTGGTTTCTGTGATTTATCCATTTGTGTAGCTAAAAAGTGCTATCAGCTGGCTTGCTCATCATTGAGTGACCTGAAGTGATGGATGATGGAGAGGAGGTTGCTGTGAGGGTAGAGGTGGCTCAGTACCCTGCAGGAGCAATGCAAAGAGAGACTGTGCCCAAGACCATCTCCCCGGGGGGGATGGGTGGCATTCCTGCCTTCCTTCCACCAACAAATGTTGACTGTGCCATGCACTGGGATGACAGAGATGACTCAGATGTGCCCTTGTCCTCAATGTGTTCATGGTTGGATGAGGAGAACACCAGTCTTACTCTAGTGACTGAAGGCTAAGACAAAGACTCCAGCCTCAAACTTGAGGAAGGAAGTTCATGTTTCTTCCTGGGTTGGCCAATAGAAAGTGGTATTTGTGGCCGGGCATGGTGGCTCACGCTTGTAATCCCAGCACTTTGGGAAGCCGAGGCGGGTGGATCACGAGGTCAAGAGATCAAGACCATCCTGGCCAATATGGTGAAACCCTGTCTCTACTAGAGATACAAAAAAATTAGCTGGGTGTGGTGGCATGCACCTGTAGTCCCAGCTACTCAGGAGGCTGAGGCAGGAGAATCGCTTGATCCTGGGAGGCGGAGGCTGCAGTGAGCCAAAATCGCACCACTGCACTCCAGCCCGGGTGACAGAGTGAGACTCCATCTCAAAAAAAAAAAAAAGTTGTATTTGTGTAGTTTTTCTAACTGTAGTGATGTGCGTGTGCTGAATTACTCACTTGGATTCTCCTCCTTGAGAGTAGGGTTCATTTTGTCACTAATCTGGCTAGATTGCTTATCATAATGCTTAAAAATATAGCTTTAAACATACAAGTGGCCAATAAACATGTGAAAAAAACACTCAACATCACTAATCAGAGAAACACAAATTAAAACCACAATGAGATACCATCTTACACCAGTCAGAATGGCTATAATTAAAAAGAAAAATAGATGTTGGTGAGGATGTGGAGAAAAGGGAATGCTTATGTACTGTTGGTTAGAATGTAAATTAGCACAACTTAAGGAAAACAGTAGGGATAGTTCTGAAAGAACAAAAAATAGAAATGTCATTTGATCCATTCTCAAAGAACTAAAATTAGAAATATCATTCGATCCAGGAGTCCCACTACTGGGTATCTACCTACAGGGAAATAAATCATTATATGACAAAGATACTTGCACTCATGTTTATCACTGCACTATTCACAATAGCAAAGATAATGGAACCAACCTAAGCGTCCATCAGTGGTGGATTGGATAAAGAAAATATGGTAGCTATACATCATGGAACACTACCCAGCCATAAAAAAGAATGAAATCATGTGTTTTGCAGAAAATTGCCTATTGTGTACAATGTTCACTATTCGAGTGATGAGTACATCAAAAGCCCAAACTCCACCATGGTACAATATATGCATGTAGGAAGTCTGCACTTGTACCCTCTACATCTGTACAAAATATTTTAAAATATAGCTTCAAGATGTAATTAAAGTCACATATCAGCTGATTTTGAGTTAATAAAAAAGACAGATGATCACTTTTGGCCAGAACCACCATCTTCTAGTATTTTGCCAAAATAATGAACACAAAGGGAAAGAGAAGAGGCACCCAATACGTGTTCTCTAGGCCTTTTAGAGAACGTGGGTTCATTCCTTTGGCCACATACCTGTGAATCTACAAGAAAGGTGATATTGTAGACATCAAGGGAATGGGCACTGTTCAGAAAGGAATACCCCACAAATGTTTTCATGGCAAAACTGGAAGAGCCTACATTGTTACCCAGTGTGCTGTTGGCATTATTTTAAAAACACAAGGTTAAGATTCTTGCCAAGAGAATTAATGTGCATATTGAGCATATTAAGCACTTTATTAAGAGCCAAAAAATAGCATCCTGAATTGCATGAAGGAAACTGTTCAGAGAAAAAGGAAGCCAAAGAGAAAGGTACCTGGGTTCAACTGAAGCACCAGCCCGCTCCACCCAGAGAAGCACACTGTGCAAGAACCAGTGGGAAGGAGCCGGAGCTGCTGGAACCTACTCCGCATGAATTCATGGCATAATAGGTATATATGTAAAAAAAAAAAAAAGGCCTCTGGACTGTAACAAAACATAAAAAACATTATCTTGGGTGGGGCTGATGTAATCAAGTGAAAGCTATTAGCCCTCCCTGAAGAGAGACAGCATTTCCTGCTGGACATGAAGAAGCAAACAAGGTTGTGGAGAGAGGGGCAGCCTCCGGGAGGTGAGAGCCTCGGCACTAGAGCAGCAAGGAACTCAATTCTGTCAACAACCTGAACAACCTTGGATGCGGACCCCAAGCTCCAGATCTCCAGATGAGAATGCATCCTAGACAACACCTGGACTGCAGGCTCATGACACACTGAGCAGAGGACCCAGCTAAGCTGTGCCTGGACTGAACCATAAAAATGGAGACAACAAATGTGTATTCCTTCAAGCTGCAAAAGAAAAATACAAATATATATCTCCATATGATTATGTTTTGGTTGTTGAGTTTTTCTTTACAACAATAAAAGTAGTGCTATTTTCTTGTTCCTCAGTAAGTTAAACACAGAATTACCATATGACCCAGCAAGTCTATTCCTAGATACATATCCAATAGAATTGGAAATAGGTGTTCAAACAAAAACTTGTATCCCAAATGTTTAGCAGCACTATTGATAATAGCCAAGAGGTTGAAACAATCCAAATGTTCATCAGCTGATGAACGGACAAGCAAAATGTAGTCTATCAGTACAATGGAATATTATTCAGCCATAAAAAGGAATGAAGTGCTGATACATGCTACAATTTGGATAAACCTTGAGAACATTATGCTAAGTGAAAGCAGCCAGACACAAAAAGACTGCTATATGATCCCAGTTACATGAAATATCCAGAATGTTCACATCCACAGATACAGAAAATAGATCAGTGGTTATGTAGGGCAAGGAGGAGGGAACAACAGGGAGTGAGTACTTAAAGGGGCATAGGATTTCCTTTGGGATGATGAAAATGTTCTGGAAATAGTGGTGGTGGTTGGAGAACACTGTAAATGTGCTTTATTCCATCAAATTGTATCACTCTTCTTTTTCTTTTTTTCTTTTTTCTTTTTTTTTTTTTTTGAGATGGAGTCTTGCTCTGTCGCCAGGCTGGAGTGCAGTGGCGCCATCTCCGCTCACTGCAATCTCCGCCTCCCAGGTTCAAGTGATTCCCCTGCCTCAGCCTCCCGAGTAGCTGGGACTACAGGCACCCGCCACCATGTCCGGCTAATTTTTTATATTTTAGTAGAGACGGGGTTTCACCATGTTGGTCAGGATGGTCTGTACCTCCTGACCTCATGATTCACCCACCTCGGCCTCTTAAAATGCTGGGATTACAGGAGTGAGCCACCGTGCCCGGCCTCTTTTTCTTTTTTTAGAGACAGTGGTCTCACTCTCCCACCCAGGCTGGAGTGCAGTGGTGCAATCATGGCTCACTGTAGCCTTGACCTCCTGGGCTCAAATGATCCTCCTTCCTCAGCCTCTCAAAGTGTTAGGATTATAGGCATGAGCCACCACACCTGGCCTGTGGTGCCATTCTTTCTGCTAGTAATGTCATTGTCATCTCCCACCATGCCCTGGAAAGCGCATGCACACATACAGGGAAGCCATCTCATCCTCCCTCTTCAGGTCATGGGCCCCTCTTATATCTGTTCATAGCTCCTTCACTTCTTCATTAGCACCACATAACAACTGGAAATAACATCACTATTTATAAGATTATTTGTTCAATATCTGCCTTTTCCATTAGATTGTAAGCTACACGAAGGCAGGGATCATGTCTGCCTTGGTCACTGCTTAGAAGAGTGCCTGGCACATAGCAGGTACTCGGTAATTGTTTGCGGATTTTTCTTAAAGAATGAATAAAATATATTTTCTAACGTAATTCTGAGAGCCATCTGAGAAGCATAAACCATTCTTCTCTAACACTTTCAAAATGTAGGCAATCAGTTGAAGTAAATGGCCAGTGTCTTAGTCTGCTCAGGCCACCATAGCAAAAATATATACAACAGACATTGATTTCTCCCAGTTTTGGAAGCTGGAAAGTCCAAGATCAAGGTGTTGTCCAATTCAGTTCCTGGTGAAGGCCCTCTTCCTGCCTCACGTGGCCTTTCCTTGGTGCATCTGGGTGAAGAGAAAGTGAGGGAGTTCCAAGCTCTGGTCTTTTCCTCTTCTATAAAGGGCACAAATCCCAACACGGGGAACCCACCTTCATGACCTCATCTAAATCTAAGTACCTCCCTGAAGCCCCACCTCCAAATGCCATCACATTTCGGGTTAGAGTTTCAGTATGTGAATTTTGAGGAGACAAAGTTCAGTTCATAGTATAAGCATAGCAGCATTAAATAGACATTGTGCATCAGTGGAAGAAATTTTTTTTTTTTTTGAGACAGTCTCGCTCTGTCACCCAGGCTGGAGTGCAATGGCGCAATCTCAGCTCACTGCAACCTCTGCCTCCCAGGTTCAAGCGATCCTCATGCCTCAGCCTCCTGAGTAGCTGGGATTACAGGCGTGCGCCACCACACCCGGATAATTTTTATATTTTTAGTAGAGACGGGGTTTCACCATGTTGGCCAGGCTGGTCTTGAACTCCTGACCTCATGATCTACCTGCCTTGGCCTCCCAAAGTGCTGGGATTACAGGCGTGAGCCACCGCACCTGGCTGGAAGGGATCTTATTTGTGGGCAAGATGTTAGTGTTGATGCTTTCACTATACCTGGTCCCCCTCAACCCACCAATGGTGTCTCTTCACCTTTGGCTCCTGTACCTCCTAAAATCTCTTCTCGGCCATGGTTTTCCTAGGGTTCCAGTATCATTGCAAAGCTTCCAGGAAACTAGATGAGAACAGTTTTCCTTGGTCCCTAATTTAGACTAGTAATGTTAAATCCTCCCAGGAATCCTTGTCAACGTGGAGGGTCACTCTGGCTGCCTTTGCCATGCCCTGTGCTCAGTCCAGATACTTGCTGCTTGCTCCTTACCCATATGAATAAAACAAGGGCATTTTGCATTGGATAGCATAACAATCCATGCAGATCCCACAGCTCCAAAGCTGGTCGAGGGTGACAGGCTGGGGTGCCAGCAAGTAGGAGAGTGACAAGCTGGAGTTTCTGAACTGATATGACTACAACAACCAGTAATCCTGCCTCATGTAAACAAATTTATTTGAAATAATCCATGTTAAGATGTCTCATCCATCTTAAGCACTCAATAAATGTTAATTATTTTACTTTTGTTGAGGCAGGGTCTCACTCTGTTGCCCCGGCTAGAGTGCAGTGGTATGATCAAGGCTCATGCAAACCTCCACCTCCAAGGCTCAAGTGTTCCTCCTACCCCAGCCTTCTGAGTAGCTTATAGGCTTATAGGTGTGCATCCTCCTACCTCAGCCTTCTGAGTAGCTTATAGGATTATAGGTATGCACCACCATGGCTGGCTAATTTTTGTGTTTTTTTGTAGAGATGGGGTTTTGCCATGTTGCCCAGGGTGGTCTCGAACTCCTGGGCTCAAGTGATTTGCCCACCTTGACCTCCCAAAGTGCTGGGATTACAGGCATCAGCCACCACGCTTGGCCTATACTTTTATGATAAAGGTATTTTATACATCCTTAAAATTATGTTATTGAATACATCTAGGCATATAAGAAAGTTATTAAGTGAAAGGACATTACAAAGAATGTATACAGTGTCATCTCATTTTTATAAAAATGTAATTTATGTATGAGAGATATTGTATAGTACTTTACAGCTCAGGATCTGAAGGTAGGCCTATTTTTAAATCTGTGCACTATCACTTATTAGCTGTCTGACCTAGAGTAATTTCTAAACCTCTCTGAGTGCCTTAGTTTCTTTATCTGTAAAGTGGATATAGATATATAGATTATATATATAGATATATATATACACACACACACATACATATACATATGTATATATGCATATACACATATGTATATATATGCATATATACATATGTATATATATATGCATATATATTTGCAATGATATGCTTGCATATCTAGAAACCCAAGAGGTGTAACTGAATTAAAATTTCGCAAAAGAATGAATAAGAGTTCAATGCGGTAGTTAGATGCACAGTGGACAACCCAAAAATGAAAACTTTCCAGTGTGCCAGAAATAACGAGTTAAAAACTACCATGATAAAAAGGCACGAGACACAAGGCAGGTGTAGGTTTAGTGCAACGAGCTGGTTGTCTGCTCTGCCCAACTCTAGGTCACACTTGAACCCCTGGGCTTAGAAGCAGCTCCATGGGTGCTATGGTTTCTCAGGCCTGTCAGCCTCTGGCTCTTGGCCTTCTTGCACTCAAGGGACTCAAAGTCAAACTCCACTCCATCACCTCACCGTACTTGTTCTCTCTTCAGCCGAGATGTAATTGCTCCAATAGCAAACTAGTTTGCAGAAATGCTACTCTGCCTCCCTGGTAGATGACTTTGTATATCTTCCTCCTTGCAAAGCCATTTTTGCTTCTTGTACCACACCTGATTTCATTAGAAAGTATTTGCTTTAAATTTGCAGGGAGAAGAAACTTAAGTAGTTCTCACAAGGATGTTTTGCACAGTCATTAAGACTACAGTTCAAACCCCAGCTTTCCACCTATTAGCCACCTTGCCTTAATCAAGTCCCTCAACCTCTCTTCCCATCACTTTCCTTCTCTGTAAAATGGAGGACAACAATAGTACCTCACTTTTAAGGACACTGTGAAGATTAAATGAGATTATGTATGTAAAGCGTTTAGCACAGTGCCGGACACATAGGAAGCTCTCAATACATAGGAGATGCTATCATTAAAACAGGAAGAGTTTGTCCTAAATGAATATCAAATGTTTCATCTCTTATAAGCTAAAAACTACTTGCAGCAATTAAACAGGATTTCTCCACCCCTAGTTTCTATCCAGCAAAGTTTCAAACATGTCAGGGTCTTAGTTTTAGCCTGGGGCTCCCAAACACAATTGTGCAGATGTTTGTATATAAGGAAATATATCTATATAGAAACATACATAAGGAAATACACAGTCTCCATACAAGCCTCTCTAAGCCCTGGAGCCACAGGGCACTTCATCCAGCAAGGCAATTCAATCACAACAAAGTCATTTTTATATTCCTTTAAAGTTCGTAAAAACAAAATCCTCCTTTTCCAGCCAGATGAATGTATTGGTACCTTTGCTTTGCCCTGCCCCTGAGCCGGAGTAGCTGAATCTGTGCTGAATCCAGCCTCTAAGAGCAACCTTGGTCAAGTGCATGGACCCCCAGGGGGTCCTATTATCCCATTTGTACTTGAGGGTATATGGGGATTGGGCCAGGCATGGGTTTCTCAGGCACACATAGCAGGTAGAAATGATGCTTCAGAGCCTCAGAGGGGTCTCCACATGAAACCACCTCACTCATATTTCTGAAAGAAATGCTCAAATCTGAGATGGGTTGGGTGGCTAACACTGGTAACCCCAGCAACTCGGGAGGCTGAGTTGGGAGGATCACTTGAGCCTGGGAGTTCCAGATCAGCCTGAACAACATAGTGAGGCCCCATCTCCAAAATAAAAGGAAAAACCTCAAATCTGAGAAAGAAATGCACAGGACGATCCAGGGAACTGAATCCTGAGACCCCTTTGCAGATTTCCCTTTTGTACCTTTCATGCTAAAATGTCAACAGAATTGTGTCCATGTGGGATCAGGTTCATGACTGACCTGTGAAGGCTGAGAGAGCATTTTCCCACCTGAAAAGACTCACAAGACCTGTTACATCAAGTAGAACTATGGGCAGAGGCGGAGGAAGGGGACTGTGGAGGTACTTTGTCATCCCACACCCCAAAGCCTCCCTAGGATGCAGGGCAGTAACTTGCACATAAGTTAGGGCAGTGTCTATGTCAAAAGACCCTCTGTGACTCCTTTGGTGAAGAACCATTGTGCAACATGAAAAGTCATCTCCCAGGCTCTCTCCTTTGCAAGCTGTCTTGCCTGGTTTTCTTCAAGCAGGGCACGTGCTCCTGGATGAAAGAGGCATTTCTCATGCTGTAGAAATATAAAGACCAAAAATGGACTTGCTCCTTACAGAGAGAAAGGTCTTTGTGTTACTCCAAGCAAAGGCTCTAGAGACCAGTGAGCGCTTTCATCCTTCCCCTTTCTCTGTTTCTATGGCTTCGTCCTAGCCCAGACTCTGATCATTGATGGCTAGATTCTTACTCCTGGCTCCCAGCTGGACTCTCCCAACTCCACTGCCTTTTCTTGCCGCTCTGTTGCCATACCTCACAGCCCCTCACCGCCTACGAAATCAAGTCCAGTCCCCTTCCCTTGTTTGAGCAATCAATGCCTTCCATAACCTCTTTAATCAAAATTACCACTATTTCCCAAAGCGACCCCCCGGCTGACCACTGTGTGAGCCCCTCCATTCCCCCAGCCTGCTCATCCCAGCCTCTATGCTCCTGCTTATCTGCCTGCCACACTGCTTCCCTCCACCTCCCTAGCAGCCCAGGGCCCACCTCCTCCAGGAAGCCTTCCCTGGATCCTGCAACCGACCTACATCTTCCCTTTGCTACAGTCTCACAGCTCTTAGCTGTACCAGACCACCCAGTGTCTAGTTATACTTTCTTATGATTTTACTTTCACATATTCTTTTAAAATGTTTATTGCATATATATTTGAGGTGTATAACATGATGTGTATATATATATACAGTAAAATAATACAATCAAGCAAATTAATATATCCATCACTTCACATAAGTACTTTTTTGTGTGGTAAGAGCATCTAAACTCCACTCTCTTAGGAAATTACATATAATGTCATTAACTATAGTCCTTATGCTGTACATCATCAGCTCTTTTTAAAAATTCTACATATAAGTGAGATCATTCAGTATTTTCTTTCTGTGCCTGGTTTATTTCACTTAGCCTAATGTCTTCCAGGTTCAGCCATGTTGTCACAAATGGCAGGATCACCCTCTCTTCTAGGCTGAATAGTATTCTGTATATATGATACACACACACACACACACACAATATACATACATACCACAATTTCATTTTTTATATAGAGATAGAGTCTCACTTTGTTGCCCAGGCTGGAGTGCAGTGGTGCCATCATAGCTCATTGTAGCTTCAAACTCTTGGGCTCAAGCTATCCTCCTACCTCCACCTCCTGAGTAGCTGGCACTACAGATGTGCATTATCATGCCCAGCTAATTTTTTTTCTTTTTCTTTTTTTTTACTTTTGTAAAGATAGGGTGTCACTATATTGCACAGGCTGGTCTCGAACTCCTGGCTTCAAACTATCCTCCTGCCTCGGCCTCCCAAAGCATTGGGATTACAGGCGTGTACCACTGTGCCCGGCCACCACAATTTCTTTATCCATGCATCCATCCATGGACACAAATTGTTTCTGAATCTTGGCTATTGTGATTAATGCTGCAATGAACATGGGAGGACAGATATCTCTACAAGGTGTTGATTTCATTTCCTTTGGGTATATATCCAGAAGGGGAATTGATAGGCCATATGGTAATTCCACTTTTAATTTTTTCAGGAACCTCTATCCTGTTTTCCACAATGGCTTTACTCATTTACATTCCCACCAGCAGTGTACAGGTGGGTCCCTTTTTCTCCACATCTTTGCCAACACTTGTTATCTTTTGACTTGTTGACAATAGCCAACCTAACAGATGTAGGGGATATCTCATTGTGATTTTGATTTGCATCTCCTTAATGATTAGTGATATTGTGCACCTTTTCATATACTTGTTGGCTATTTGTATGTTTTCTTTAGATAAATGTCTATTCAGATCCTTTGCCCATTTTTAAATCAGGTTATTTATTGATTTATTTTGCCATTGAGTTGTGTGTGTTCCTTACATATTTTGGATATTAGCCCCTTATTAGATATATTATTTGCAAATATTTTCCCCCAATCTGTAGGCTGCCTTTTCATTTTGTTGATTATTTTCCTTGCTGTACAGAAGCTTTTAGCTCGATGTAGTCTCACTTCTTTATTTTTGCTTTTGTAATCTGAGCTTTTGGTGTGATATCTGAAATATCATTGCCAAAGCTAATGTCAAGGCGCTTTTCTGCTAGGTTTTCTTCTAGCTTTATGGTTTCAGGTCTTATATGTAGGCCTTTAACCAATTTTGAGTTGATTTGTATGTATGGTATAAAAGTCTAATCTCATTCTTTTGAATGTGGATATCCAGTTTTCCCAACACCATTTGTTGAAGAGATGCCCTTTCCCCATGGTGTCTTCTTGGCACCCTTGTTAAAAATTAGTTGACTGTGTATGCTTGGGTTTATTTATGGGCTCTCTATTCTATTCTATTGGTCTATGTGTTTTTTTAATGCCAGAGTTATACTGTTTTGATTACTATAGATTTTTAATATAATTTTTTTTAAGAGACAGGGTCTTGCTCATCACTCAGGCTAGAGAGCAGTGGCAAAATCATAGCACAGTGTAACCTTGAACTCCTGGGCTCAAGTAATCCTCCTACCTCAGCTTCCCTGGTAGCTAGAACTACAGGCATGCACCACCATGCCCAGCTAATTAAAAAAATTATTTTGTAGAGACAGGATCTTGCTGTGTTTCTGAGGCTGGTTTCAAACTTCTGGACTCAAGCTATCCTCCCACCTTGGCTTCCCAAAGCGCTGGAGTTACAGGCATGAGCCACTGGACCACCTGCCTGTAATATAATTTGAAATCAGAAAGTGCCCCCAACTTTCTCTCTTTTTCCCTCTCAAGATTGCTTCACCTTAGCTGGGCGCAGTGGCTCACGCCTGTAATCCCAGCACTTTGGGAGGCCGAGGCAGGCAGATCACGAGGTCAGGAGATGGAGACCATCCTGGCTAACATGGCGAAACCCCATCTCTACTAAAAATACAAAAAATTAGCTGGGCATGGTGGCGGGCGCCTGTAGTCCCAGCTACTCAGGAGGCTGAGGCAGGAGAATGGTGTGAACCCGGGAGGCAGAGCTTGCAGTGAGCCGAGATTGCGCCACTGCACTCCAGCCTGGGCGACAGAGCAAGACTCCGTCTCAAAACAAAAAAAACAAAACAACAAAAAAAAATTGCTTCAGCTATCTGGGGTCTTTTGTGGTTCCACACAAATTTTAGAATTGTTTTTCTCTTTCTGTGAAAAATGCTGCTGGAATTTTGATAGGGATTACATCAAATCTGAATATCACTTTTTTTTTTTAGACAGAGTCTCGCTCTGTCACCCAGGCTGGAGTGCAGTGGTGCGATCTCGACTCACTGCAGCCTTCGCCTCCTTAGTTCAAGCTATTCTCCTGCCTCAGCCTCCCAAGTAGCTGGGATTATAGGCAGCCGCCATCACGTCATCTACAAAGGCATAATTTTACTTCTTCCTTTCTTTTCTTTCTTTCTTTTTTTTTTTGGTGGGGGGGTGGGGAGACTGGGTCTGGCTCTTTTGCCCAGTCAGGAGTGCACTGGCACGTTCTTGGCTCACTGCAACCTCCACCTCCCGGGTTCAAGCGATTCTCGTGCCTCAGCCTCCCAAGCAGCTGGGACTACAGGTACAAGCCACCATGCCCAGCTTATTTTTGTATTTTTAGTACAGGCAGGGTTTCGTCATGTTGGCCAGGCTGGTCTCGAACTCCTGAACTCAAGTGATCTGCCTGCCTCGGCCTCCCAAAGTGCTGGGATTACAGGCATGAGCCACCATGCCTGGCCTACTTCTTCCTTTCTTATTTGGATGCCTTTCAAAAAAGGTGTGTGGTTGCTCTGGCTAGTACTTCCAATACTATGTTGAATAGAAGTGGCGAGATTGGGATCCTTGCCTAGTACTGGATCTTAGAGGAGGAAAAGCTTCCAGTTTTTCCCCATTGATTATGATGTTAGCTGCAGGCTTTTCACAAATGGTCTTTACTGTGTTGAGGTAAGTTCCTTCTATACTTAATTTGTTGAGAGTTTGTATCAACAAAGGATGTTGAACCTTGTCAAATACTTTGTCTGCATCTATTAAGATGATCAGGTGGTTTTTAGCCTCATTTTGTTAATGAGGTGTATCACATTGACTGATGTGTGTATGTTAAACTCACCTTGCATCCCAGGGATAAATCCCACTTGGTCATGATATATAATCTTTTTGATGCATTGTCATGGAATTCTTGCCACACCAATCTGACTATATAAGCCTTTCCATGTGCCCAGCTCTGTGCTATATTCAGTTATACTCAATAAACTCAATATTCAAAAACGAATACCCAATAAACATTTCCTGCTAACACACGAATTTTACTTATTTACAAACCACTGCATTTTCACAAAGTCCTTAAAACTTCTGGACCTGCTTGTATCATTGCTGCAATAAGTGGCTTCTCCAGCACCTGCTCTGCTTACCTCATATGGCTGTTTTGAGGATAAAATGAGAACAGGGATGGGAAGGCCCTTTGGACACTATTATTGCTGCTGGGTCAAAGCACCGACTGGAACTTTTGAGCTGATGTGACTGCACCAATTGTTCCTCCCTTTTCCCTACATAGAACTTCTGGGTTTAATAGTCAAACATGGTTTCAGGGCTCCTCAACAGTTTCTAGCAGAGTACAAGTGTTGAACAGGCCAAACCCTATGTTTTGAATAAAGTGACAAAGGTCCGACTGTTTTTGTTCCCATGCCCATGGATGGACCACTGAGCATGGCCCCGGGCAGCAAGGTAGCTCCCAGACAGAGCTATCCATATCCTCAGGAAAGAGCTTTGGATCTTCTTAAGAACTTGCTTATCAGCACAGGTACCATTGGCATTGCTATTTATTAAGCACTTACTATGTTTCCAGCACATTATATACATCATCTCACTTTTTTTTTTGAGACAGGTTCTCACTCTGTTGCCCAGGATGGAGTGCAGTGGTGCGATCATGGCTCACTGTAGCCTCAACCTCCCAGGCTCAAGCAATCCTCCCACCTTAGCTTCCTCAGTTGCTGGGACTACAGGTGTGCACCACCATGCCTGGCTAATCTTTTATTTTTATTTTTATTTTAGTAGAGACGTGTTTTCGTTATGTTGCCTAGGCTGGTCTTGAATTCCTGGGCTCCAGCGATCTGCCCACCTCAGCCTCCCAAAGGGCTGTGATTACAGGCGTGAGCCACCATGCCCAGCCTCATCATCTCACTTATAATCCTCACAACAACCCTGTTATTATTCCCATCTGCCAGATGAAAACTGAGGCTCAGAGAGATTAAGTGACTTTCCCAAGGTCACAGAGCTCTCTGATTCTAAAGCTGAAGTCATGCAACAAAGATGTCTGCCTTATAGGCTGTACTCTGGGGTTGACAACTGAGGACAAGGAATTAGAAATGTTATCAAATAATACCTTATTTTAGTCTACAACAATTGCCATTCAACTCCTATTAGCATGGTTAATACCCTGCAAATACGACAGAGAAAAAGTCAAAGCTTGGCACTATGTCCCATGGGTACCTATCCTTCAGAGGCAGCAGAAGGAAGAGAACCAGACCATGCAATTGACAGAGACAAAGCCACCTTCTTAAAAAATTGCAGTTGAAGCTGCATACTTTAGGACTCACAAACACAATTATAGTTCCACCATTTTTTTCACCCAGTTTTTCTTCACCTTTTTGGGTGTTAACCCTTTTGAGAATTTGAGGAAAGCTGTAGATCCTCTCAGAAAAGTATGTAAAAGCAAAAACACAATTCTGCACATAGTTTCAGAAAAATTCACCCAGCTTCCCATAGCTAGTCCAAGAGCAACAGACCCCATGTTTAAAACTCCTGCATTAAGAAAACCTAATTCTGGCTGGACGCGGTGGCTCATGCCTGTAATCCCAGCACTTTGGGAGGGCGAGGTGAGCAGATCACGAGGTCAGGAGTTCAAGACCAGCCTGGCCAACATGGTGAAACCCCATCTCCACTGAAAATACAAAAATTAGCCAGGCATGGTGGCATGCGCCTGTAATCCCAGCTACTTGGGAGGCTGAGGCAGGAGAAGCGTTTGAACCTGGGAGGCGGAGGTTGCAGTGAGCTGAGATTGCGCCACTGCACTTGAGCCTGGGTGACAAAGCAAGACTCCATCTCAAAAAAAAAAAAAAGAAAAAAGAAAAGAAAAAGAAAACCTAATTCTGTGTTTTAGAAAATGATAAACTAGAGATCAATGATTTCTTTAAATAACAAGCCGATCTAGGGCACAAAAATAAGGATTTGCTTTATGAAAATTTTGTTTTCAATGTCTAATTGCCTGCATGAGGTACACTTACAATGAACATATCTCTATTTCCCTAGTGCCCCATGCAATTAGAAATGATGATGGCACAGACGACCATCATAACTGTCCAGAACAGAAAGCTGGAAACTATAGGTACAGTAGGCAGTAAGTTTTTTGTTTGTTTGTTTGTTCATTTGTTTTGTCACTGGAGGGTGGACAGTGACTCATCAGATAGGAATAGCTTTACTGGATGGGGACTAGACTATATGACTTTATTAAACAGCACCATTCAGTATCATGAGTCAAAGGTTCTAAGACCCATGTAAACCTGGAGAAGACTCAGACCACAAGTCTGTTCCTGCTAAACAGCTTATGGCTTCATGAAAGGCCAGACACCTGATGGGACAAACTAAGTAGATACTGGCTGACTTACTTGAGTCTACAGTCAACCTTCTTATAGTGGCCCATGTTATTTCAAATAGCAACTGTTAGTTCCTTGCCAACTAGAGGTCCCATTGTTCTTTTACAAAAATATTAGATAATCCAAACCCAAGTCATTCCAACACCATTTCCCCCTGGCCTCTTGTATTTTGAGTTGACAAGTTCTTACCATAATCTTCAATAGCATTGTTAGTCCTAGCCTGATATTTCTTCTTCTAAGCCCACTTCCAGTGTTTAAGCCCTCATATAAAAGGTGCTTAGTTGTAAGTCATAGATCCTATGTGGTGGTCCTATAGAACTTTCTTCTTTAAAAACCTTTTTCATCTGAAAGTAAGAGGTTGTGTGGTACGTTAGAAGGAGCACTGCATGCGGAGCCCCTAGTTCCATCATCTATTGCCTCTCCACCTCTCCGATACTCAATTCCCTCTATCAGACAGGTGACAGTCCTTACCCTGCCTATCTCACAGGAGCCTCGAAAGATTCAAATAAGATAGTGAGTATACAGATAATGTATTAAGCGTAGTGTTAGAAAATGAGAACTCATAACCATTATTTCATTTAAGCTTCAAACCAACTCCATGAACTACGCAAATCCTTACCATTCTGTCATATATTAATTCACTTTCTTGACATATTCATTCATATATTCATTGCTTTCTTTTTCTCTCTCACTCTCACTTATTCAGAAAACATTATTACTAGGCACTATGTGTAGCTAAAGTATTTACTGAATCAGAAACAGGCTTAGAAAAGTAAGATAACACTTCAAAGCTTACACTTCTTGGGTCACCCTTCACACCCAAGGGAACTGGGACACTCCCTCCTTCCTTCTCCCCTCTCCTCTTGCCAGACCAGTTTGTTTTCCATTACTCCACATTGCCTGTTCCAGAACATTTCCCCCATTAGATGAAGAAATTTTTACTTGCTTATGAAAAATAGATCCTTGGCCAGGCGCAGTGGCTCATGCCTGTAATCCCAGCACTTTGGGAGGCTGAGTCTGGCGGATCACTTAAGGTCTGGAGTTCAAGACCAGCCTGGCCAACATGGTGAAATCCCATCTCTACTAAAACTACAAAAATTAGCCAGGTGTGGTGGTGCGCAACTGTGATCCCAGCTACTTGAGAGGCTGAGGCAGGAGAATCGCTTGAACCCGGGAGGTGGAGGTTGCCGCGAGCCGAGATCGTGCCACTGCACTCCAGCCCGGGCAACAGAGCAGGCTCTGTCTCAAAAAAAAAAAAAAAAAAAAAAAAAAAAAGAAAAGAAAATCCTCGGTCTTGTTTGAGACCTCGGAGGCAGTTAGTCCTGTTTTCTCCTTGTGAGCATGAGGGTGAGGCAGGCCTCTTGGACTTGAATCCTCAATGACTGAACTGTTTGAGTTGTATATGGCTTTCAGAATATGGCTGAGTATGTTCACTCTCTCTTTTTCCCTGCTGCCCTTTTCTATTTTGCAAGTTGTAAATAAAATCTGTCACCCCCAAATGCACCAGGTGTCTTCCACTTTCTAATTGAGCAAGGCAGACTCTTTTCCAGCCAACAGTCTTAAAATATTTACCCAAATTTTGGGTTCACTGGATTACTGCTTTAAGCTGGTGAGCAACCCAACTGAAGGTCAATGTTTGTTTCCTGAAGTTGTCCAATGGCCGTGTGGTACTCAGACCTGAAAATGATAACGTTACTCCAGATTGCAAACTCCCCAAGGTGCATCCTGGAGATGGAAGCCAGCCCACAATATTTTCTGATCGGTCAGCATAAGTGATCCTCTCTTTTGAGTTCAAGGTGGGCTCAGAATTGAAACTGTCTTGAGATAAAGCAGATCAGCCCCAATTCACCCCTGGGCTCTGAGCAGAGGAATGTGAAAGGCCCCTCCAGTCAGGGAAGGCATCTGCTCCGCTTGGCTTTGGGCTGTATCAGTTGGCAGATGAAGCTCTGTGCAAATGCTGGCCAGACCAAAATGGTGCCGAGACAGCCACAATGTTGTTTAGAAAAAAGAAAGGAAACATCTGCAAATCCTGCCTTGGTGCTGAGCGGGGACAGCCTGCTGCTTTTCCTCATGGGCCCACGGTGGGCTACCTCCTGACTGATCAGAAGGGTTCCCTGAAACAAATGCATTTGAAAGATATTTTCCATCCCCCTCCTCCCCCCTCCACAGGAAATTCTTGTGTTTAGTCATCCTTACTACATGGGCTGAGTCAGCAAGCTCTGCTTTAACCACAGCTGCTTTCAAATGGTAAGTTAAGACCAGTTAGTTGAATGAGGAGGCTTGGCTGAAACACTTTGACAGCTGGAGCTCCAAAATCGGATGGGTAAACTAGAGGAATTGCAATTTGGATACTGCTCAACACCTTCGAGTCCTTCTGGGTGGGCCTCAGTTACTTTTTTAGTACATTGATACCATGGAGCATTCCAGAACTAGAAGGGACAGCACTTTGAGTGCCTTAAGAGATAACTAAGGTGCAGTGGCAAGCTGTGTTGGCCTAAGATTTAAATCCTGGTCCTGCTAATAATTTGCTATATGACTATAGGGCAATTATCTCCTCCCTCTGTGTATTAGCATTCTCAATCCTTAAAATAGAGGTTTGGATATGATGACCTCTAAGGGTTCTTCCTGCTCTGGTGGTCTATGAAACAATCTAGGACAGATGGCCAGCCACTCTTTTCCCAATTTACCAGGGGAAGACACTACATAACCTGTTTTGGGAATGTGGCCCAGCATTTTATCTGTGTGTGGTAAAAATGTCTTCCCTGGGTCTAACCACAATCTGTTTTCTCTTGTTTGGGCCTCTGTAGACATGGAGCACCCTCAGGGAACATTCTTTTCTAAAGATCCTTTGTCAACTACAAGAGCCTTCACGTCTGAGCTCTGTTAAATCCTCTGCAATGGCAGACAATTGCTTATTGCTGGGGTCTCAATGAGCACACTTTCCCTCTCGTCAGATAGTTTTTCATATTTTTGGTCATTATCACTGACTTGTGAACCCAGGGACACTAAGGCTGGGCTAGTTGGACAGTAGCTCTATAGAAAAGGGAAAGTCATCTATTCCAGAGCAGATACAAGTTGTTCTCACAAAAGTTGTCCTAGACCACAAAGAGTCTTGGACACAAGAGGGAGGATGGCCCTGTGGAATCCAACCTTTCAACTCCTGGATCCATACTTGGACATTTGAGCCCAATGGACAAATAGTTAACATTTGCCGAGCACTTAATATGTGTGTGCTACACGTTGTTCTAAGCACTTTACATGCCCACGTGATCTTATCTAATCCTTGCAACTGTACTCTGCAGTAGTGTGATTATTATTCGTATTTTACAGATTAGGAACCTGAGGCACAGAAAGGTTAATTAACTCACTGGAGGTAAACAGCTAGTAAGCACTCTAATCCAGGAATGCTAGCTCAGGGATCTCTGCTCCACACCATTATGCTTCTGAGTGGGGCCAGCTGCATGGGAGGACTGAGGCTAGTACTGATGATTCTGGCTCCTGTGAGGGACAGCCCGCCCCACATGCCGCATGTGCCTGCATCTCTTGTCAGGTGTTGGTTCCTGCCCTGGTTCCCGTGGCATTCTGTGCCCCTTCTACATAGAAAGAAGCTTCCTCGTGCAGAGCTGCAAAGTGTTGACTTTACAACACCGGAAATGGGTCATGTTTTCCTTTTAAAAGGGAAACACAGGGAAAGAACATTATATAAAATTAGTTTCCCCAAACTAAAGAAAGAGTTGGAAAATAGCCACATTCCTCTCTGCTGATAAGTGCATTAGATTTATCAAGTGTCAGAGTTTGGGGAGAACTTGTAGCTTGTCTAGTCCAAGTCCTTCGTGTTACATATTAGGAAACTGAGGCTGAGAAAGTGGTATTAGATACATGCAGATCGAGGGCCAGGAGAGCTCTTAAAAGGTTGGGAAATGGACAGAAATGACACAGACTAATTTATAATTGCCCTTTAAGCCAACCCTACAAAGGAATCTGAAGGACGGATTCATCCACACTGGAGCCACTTTTTCCAGTGGGCTTCCCCAACCCCTTGCATAACAGGGATTCCATAAGCATGAGCTTCAAATGCACTGAGATAACACCCAGCTACCACATTCAGATGATCAAGGTCCATGGCTAAACGGTAATGTTCCTATAACCTTCCTTAACAGCAAACCTGCTTTCAGAATAGATCCCACATCAACAATCACAAAGGACTTTGGAAAAAGCCACTTCTGTTGAAAAAGAAGCTGATCAACCACTGGACTAATGACTGTGATACAAAGAAAAGATACCTCTCAAAGCCTACTATAATGAGAGCAGAATGGAGCCATCTTACTTTTCAGTATTGAATGTGCAGATGTTACTGAAATATTTTCAAGCCAAAGGCTTGTAAAGTATTACTTTAAAATAAATTATATGATAGTATAAATTTTCACTGATCTTAACACAGGAGTCAATATAGAAAAGCTAGAAGAAGAACCTGGGGCTTTGTATGTGGTTAAAACTGCCCAGGAATTGGCCCAGGGGAATAGTATCTTAATGGCTGTTTTCAAAGAAAGATCCTCTTGCATTCCCCAGTGTCAACCCACAATGTATTTTCCAGTATCTTCCTCCTAAACTCAGAAAAAAGGTGTCAGCATTTAAAAATACAAAGTACACAATGGGAGATCTTGCCTAATTTGCCTGCTAATGAAGCAGATAGATAGATGACAGATAAATGATAGATAGATAGATAGATAGATAGATAGATAGATAGATAGATAGGAGAAACCTTATTAAGTATCATGTCTCCTAGGTGCAACTACAGCTAGACTCAAACAGATCTTTAAAAGATCCACATCGTATTTTGGGGCATGATCTATTACAGCCTACTGACTTTCCCACATAGAAAGTCAGCCACATACCATCTTACAAATAACCAAATGAACTCCCCTTCATTTTATATGATAGCTGAAGCCTGATTACCTTTCATAATCAGCCAATATCTTAATTCATCCCAGGTTGCAGCTGGGCTCCAGGAACATGGAAGAAGCTTGGTTTAGGAGGGAAGGCAGAGGGTGAGAGAAATGGGGTATATGTGTACATGTGCATGGCACACAGAATCACTTTTGAAGATTTTTATAGGTAGTCAGTACTTCTAAGCTAGAAAAAACCTGCCTTTGTAGTGTTAGGGGATGACATTTCATTGCAAAAATAAATGATTTGGTCATTACCATTTCATGGTTGCTGGCAACCACCCTCCTCTGCTTTCTAACAATTTCCATTTTAGGCACTGACAAGCCCTTCAAAGTGATTCAGCCAAATATCCACCCAAAGTTGCGTATTTGGCAGTTTCAAACTGAGAAATCTGGGTCCTCTGGGCAAAAATGTCAGAAAGGGCTCCCTCCTTCTTTGTCAATTGTGAAACAAACAGATCACCATGAACAGTCACTGGGGGCTCCTTGGGCAGCCATGCCGAAGGAAAGGGAAAGAACGGAAGTTGTTGGCAGGGGCTGCTTCCTTGGCTTCAGTTTTTGCTCTCTCTCCATTGCTGCTTGCACTTTTCCTGAAGGCCAGCACTGCCTCAATCTTTAACCCTAACCAAGGCGAGGCACTGCTTTTCCACAGGCAAGTGTCCCCTGCAGAAAGAAAGTGATGACCAGGAATGGAAATCACTGGGAAATGGGTCTCGGAGGCTGTAGGGTTTAAGAATATTTTGGAAGCTCACCTCATCCAACTGGCTGAAACTCGCAGGCTATCACCATGCATCCTCACTGGGGAACTTTCAGGCTGGTCTCTGGAACCCATCTGGTCCTCTGTGCCCTGAGCAACCACAAAGCCTAGAGCACTTTGGTTTGCACAGTGAGGAGCAAAAAGTGGAGCAGATTTCAGGGAGCCTCCTGCCTGACCAGCGACTTCAAGAGCCTGAATCCCAAAAGTGCTTTCACACACGTTCCCTTCAGCCTGAAAGGTGGCTCCCTTCTCTTTATTCAGAACTCACTCTAAATGCCAGGCCACCATGGCGACACCATCCTGACCCTTAGTCCATGCCCCACCTGTATTTTTTCTTTTGCCATCTGTAATTCTATATTTGTGTGTTTACTTGCTTTTCACTCACCTTGCCTATGAAACAGTAAGCTCCCTGAGGGCAGGGGACACTTCTGTTTTGTTCAACAGTTTACTCCCAGTGTTTATCAAAGTACCTGGCACATAGTAGATGCTCAGTAAATATTTGTCAAGTGAATGAATAAAATAGTGGTATTCTGTACCTAGTTCATTTTGTGGAAATTTAAAAAGTAGGCCTATTGTCTCCACACATAGGTCTCTCCAATAAAAGCTTGCATTGGATTCTGTTGTAACCCATCTCTCTGGGAGAGACAGCTTGCCTCAGCTATCTTCTCTCCCCATCTACTCCCTTCTTCTTACTTGGCTCATGACACCCAGGATCTGGCACCAGGGCCTGGTAGCTTTTTGGCCAGAGGCAGTTAGTACTGGGGAGGTGCCAAGCAGAACTGGCTCTGCTAGCAGTGAATCAAACTTATCACTTGGAGGGACAGACCATTATACTTCATAATAACACTTGAGTTTACCTTCCCTTCCCTTTGGGAGCTGTTTTAAAGAAGTTATTTAAATCCCCTAACTAAAAACAATAGCCAACCTTCTCAACTACAAACAAAATCAAGTTGTTATTATTATATCTGAAAATTGCCCTGTATTCAGTTTGCCAATCTTCCTCCTAGAAGCCTCTCAATAGGCTGTCTATTAAATGACAGCCACACAGGAGGATCACTTGAGCACAGGAATTGGAGGCTACAGTGAGATATGATCACACCACTGCACTCCAGCTTGGGTGACAGAGTGAGACCCTTTCCCTTAAAAAAAAAAATGACAGCCACAGCTATCCAGCTGCTCAACACTTCAGCATAGTTCCCCTTCCCTCAAAATTAAGTAATGAAGAGAGATGAGTTCCCAGTTCTCCATTTGAAAATGGTTCCCAAAAGGGTTACTGTGTCTTCTGTTCCCTTTCTTCCTGTAATTAGCTTCGACAACATTGATGTTGTTTGGTAGGAATGGTATGAAAGGCCTTGTGCTTTTTGATTACACTTTTGAATGATGACCAACTAATTTATTTCTGCTATAGTATATCTACCAAGGAAGGTTCCCTCCCACACCCCTAATTTAAAATAATAATCACTCAACTATGAAAATCTTCCCGAAAAAGTCTATCAAAATTTAAAATATGTTTCTTTCAGGCCAGAAATTCCACTGATTGGAATTGATCTTATATACATACCAGTATACAAAGATATACGTATATCCAGCATGCTCACTAGAACAGTGTTTGTCGTAGTAGTACTCCCACAGATTGAATGCCTAAGCAGTCACAAAAGGTACAAGGCAGATTTATATGTCTTATCATAGGAAGATCTCCACGATATCCTAAATGGCAAAAGCAGATCCTGGCACAGTAAGATCCTATTCGTCTTTGGAGTCTGTCAGTTTCTCCTTCCAGTTCTATTTCACAGAATTCTTTATTTTCATTCCCTTTCATTGGTTCTGCCTCCTAACTGGTTCCTTGGTCCTGGGGCCTATCTTTCCAGTTCACTTTTTCCACCAGCCAGAATGAACATTCTAAAATACCACTTTTGTCAGAGGGAGAGTCTCAAGCAACCAAGCTGTCCCAATTACAGAGGCAGGATGGGGGAGTGTTTCTGTGCTCTGGAATTAAGGGAGACCTGGATTTGAGGGGAGGTTCCACCACTGACTAGCTGTCTGACTTAGGGAAGATGAGTTAACCTCTCTGAGCCTTGGTTTCCTCATCTGAAAAATGGAGGTAGTGCCTACATCACAACTGTAGGATGAAATAAAAAAGGATGAAATAAAGGTAAAAGGAGGAAATAAGAAAACCATGTAAAGAGCTCAGCATGGTGCCTGGCACATCGTAAGTGCTCAATAAATGGTAGCTATTATTAATGTTATTATTAAACCAAGAATTGGTTTACTGGAAGCATTAAAATGCTTTTTAACTTCACAACACCTTCAGAATAAGGTTTGCACACTTCCTTCACATTTACTGGGCATCCCATATCCACTGTGTATAGTAAAGCTGCTTTTTTCAGTCTGTTTTTCCTGATAATCACTGCAAAGGCTGTGCATCTCTCTTGTACTCCAGAATCTGATGAATGTGTCTAACTCCCCTGGATCCACGACCTTCAGGAGTTTCTCTATATACTTTGATTATATGACATCCCTTCTATGCCTTCATCTTCCCCAACTATTTTGCTTTAATCTTTCCTGCCTGGCCTTGTAAGGCAGCTTCCCAATGCCCTTGACCCTTTCCTGGTTTCGTCAAGACCTTCTTTGTGGCTGCCTGTTTGGTGTTTCTCTTTTTTGGATTGGGTGACTGTTTTACTCCACTAATTCTTTAAAATGAACAGGGCTGTTAGCTGGTACTGTGGAATGAAAGGGCATGCCAGTTTGGTGTTTCTTGTAGAATCCTAATGTTATGCCTGTATTGTGAAAGGGCAACAATGTTTTCTATATTCCATTTTGATTCTGCCTCTTTCTTTTAGTGGGTTCCCTGAATTCTGCCTGGAGATGAATTTCCTCTATGACCCTGGGCATGTGTAAGAGACTCCTGTGCCTGTTTCCTTATCAGTGAAGTGAGAATGTTGGATCATAGTTTCTAGTATGTCTTCCAGCTCTGATGTTAGGTGTGGATGGAGTACTGATGGCAGACTAAAGTACTAAAGTCCTCTCGTTATATCCACCCCCATACTGGGGCTGGGCTGGTTCAAGTTGAAATTAGCTATTCTGTGGGACAGTTTCATTTATTTCTAAGAGCCCATCTTTTGAAAATTCCTCTAATGTCCACTAAATATCAAAATAATTGATTTTTCCATTTTTCCATGGCTCACCACAGCTTCAATTTCCAAGTCCCACTTACATTGAGAAAACCCCTGCATGCTGAGCTCCGGTTAGATGTGATGGCAAATAACTTTCTATCACCACCTCTATCTCAGTAATTCTCATCCTCACACATGTACATCCCTTGGTCTCTTACAGGCAAATGCTGACTGGTTGATTATTTGCACTGATGATTGCAGCATGCCCTCACTTGGATTTTGCCTCCAAAGTATTTTTATTGAGAGTTTTTATATTAAACATACAGTAAGTCCCAAGCTTGATTTTTAACTGATCCCACATGAAGGAATGATTTTCAACTCAGAACACATGAGGAACATCTGTTCCATTTATTTGAATTCAGGCGGTCCCATTATTATTATTATTATTATTGAAGCTGACTGTTGAGTATCAATATTTGTCTCTTTCAGTTCCATTGAACTTTCCTGAGTGCCGCTCCCATTTGTGAATTTTTAAAACATATATCCTGAAGTCTTTAAAACAGTGGAACAACTCACATTTTCCTTTTCCTTTTTCTTGAGTTTTATTGCAGAACTTGGGTCAAGCCCTTGTGATTTCTTGTACATGTGGTTGGGACATGAGAGTCCCTGTCAGATGCAGCCAGAGTCACTGCTCAAAAGTCCAGACATGAGGTGCACAGCCTTTGAGGCTGCTTCATGAAGGCCACCCCAGACCTTTGACACAATCCGATCTTCAGTCTTCAGGGAGAACTTCACTGATCTGGGAATTCACCTGCAAACTGGAGGTAACTGAGCTGAGGTGTAGCTCTTTGCAGCCTCTAGATGTGTTTGGACCAAAAATTCTCACCTTTGATGTCAGGACACGTTGGTGTTTGATAATCAGTTATTATTTCTTTCTTTCTTCCTCTTCTTCCCTTTTTTTTTTTTTTTTTTTTGAGACAGAGTTTCGCTCTTGTTGCCCAGGCTGGAGTGCAATGGTGCGATCTAAGCTCACTGCAACCTCCGCCTCCCAGGTTCAAGCCATTCTCCTGCCTCAGACTCCTGAGTAGCTGGGATTACGGGCATGCGCCACCATACCTGGCTAATTTTGTATTTTTAGTAGAGACGCGGTTTCTCCATGTTGGTCAGGCTGGTCTCAAACTCCCGACCTCGGGTGATCTGCCCCCCTCGGCCTCCCAAAGTGCTGGGATTACAGGCGTGAGCCACCACGCCTGGCCTCACTTATTATTTATTTCTAATAATCAAATACCAAAGCTTGCATATGATTTACTTAAAAATAAATTTGAGCAGATTCAAAGATTTCTCTATAAATAACTCTCACTAACATACCCATATGCTTTCATGAGTGGGAGAGAAGGAGGTGGGGTTATATTCAGCTCTCTGGGAACTAAAGAAAACTCTGGGTGTGCCCAAGGGCATATGAATACTAGGGGCACTCATACCAGGCTACTAGCCCTGCCAACACATGGGTATTTTCACAAGGGGCTCATGAGATTATTCCCTTGCCTATGGGGTCTGTCACAGTGGGGATTTAAGGGCGGGCAAGATGGGGCAGGCAGCACATACCACGAAGAGAGTATGTTGCTTCTAAGTAAGTAGACTGGCTCTAAGTAGGGCTGAATACATGATAAATAATGGAAGGACTTGAGTTGGAATCTTAACTACTAGTGCGATCTTGGCCAAGCTACTCAATTTCTCTTAGTCTTGGACTACTCATCTTTGAAATGGGAACATTATTATTATCTACTTTAGAGAGTTGTTGTGAAGATTAAACAGAATGGTGCAAATCAATCACCCAGCATGTGCCTTGATTAAGCTAAGTATTCTAAAAAGCAGTAGCTGCTGCACCTGAGGAGGAATCCTCATGTCTATTACAGTGGGTACTCAAAGAATACTGGCTTGACAACAAAGACCACATACTGTATGATTCCGTTTGTATGAAACGTCCAGAATAGGCAAATCCACAGAGACAGGTAGCAAATTAGTGGTTTCCGGGAGCCGGTACAGGGAGGGGAGGGGATGGGAAATGAGTGCTTAACAGGTATGGGGATCTTCTTTGGCGATGATAAAAATGTTCCAGAACTAAACAAAGGTCATGATGGTATAATATTGTGAACGTACGAAATGCCACTGAATTATGCACGTAAAGGCCTGGGCCCTAGCCCCTGTCTCAATGCAGCTGGTGGTTTGTTGGCCCTCTTGGCCTTGCCCCTGACCTGAGCCCATGTAGGAGGAGAAAGAATAGTAGGAGTGGAAAGGTGCCAGCAAAACCCAGAGCTTTAAGCCAAGGCCCAGCAGAAACAGTGGTGTCCAACTCAAAGCCACCATTCCTTAGGCTGCTCCAAGCTGACCAGCCCTGGTGGAAGCCACGGATGGCCCTACTCTTGAAAAAGGTCACTCTCCACACTTCTGCAGGGAGCACAAGGAGGCTGATGTTATTATTAAGCCCTTACCAAATCCTCCTTGAGCAATCACCCAACACTCCAAACACCAAGATTCTTGAGCTGCAATCAGGAATGTCCCTGGAGTGAATTAGTTTTGGCTGGGGCGTGGGGGTTGGATTGAGCAACGAGCTCCAATCTGGGGTCTAGGGGTAACTGGAGCATTTGAAATTTGTTACCCAATAAAAATCTCTGCTAAGGCTCAAGACTGAAATAACTCAGCTGGGCTCTGGACTCAGCAGGGACCATTCATTAACTAACACTTCTCATCTGTGATAGTTACAGACAGGTTTTTTCATGCCCCCCAAAACGGGCTTTAACGTTGCAGCTGGCAGACAGCTGTGGCCTCACAGTGTTTACATTACCCAGACTAATGCAGTCTGCGCAGGAGACACAGAATGAATCTGATTTAGCTTTTGGAAAATGGGATTTTGAAAAGTTCCGTGGTTTTCTCTCACCCCTCCCTTCCTGAGCTGCAGAAAGACTGAAGGTGGAACGAAATAGGCATGGCTAGGAAAAGGAGACTCTTGTTTCTTGGGCTGACACTCTTCTTTATTTTGGACTTCTTTGTGTGACACCTCCAGGTGGTCAGAGCTGAGTTGAGGCCTTAGGATTAAGACAGCCAAACGGTGGTTCATCACTCCTGAGCTTTGCCTTATTGGTCAGCATGAGCTCCCTGGGGACTTAGCACAGCCGGCACAGAGACAGCTGGGCAAAGTCCCCTCAGCAATGGTCTAGTCCCTTTCACCTCTAGACATGAAAAGTACAGCTGTGCTCATAACCAATTGTCCACAAAGTGCAAATGGAGGCTGGTTAATCCTATTGGGGTCTGTAGGACCTACCACACTGCCTCATGGGGAACCTACTTTGGTTCCACAGTCCTTTTGCATTGTTTCCTCAGGTCAGTGTTAACTAAGGTTCCCAAGTCCTGTCTATTCTTCTTTCAAAATACATCAGACATCCTCCCTTCTTCTCTGTCACCATCGCTACTGCTTTGGGTCAGGGCCATATTTCCTCATCTCCCAGGGCAACATCCTTCTAACTGATCTCCTCTTCCTGCCTTCTCTTCCAGATGGCTCCTCCACAGATCTAACCTTCTATCAAGTCCCATCCCGTCCTGTCCCATCCCATCAACACACATTTCCTGAGTGCTGACCACGTGTTAAACCCTTTGTTAGGCATTAGGGATATATGCATCAACCAGATGTAAGCTGTTCCCACAAGGAAATCAGTTTGAGGGAAGAAGTACAAGGAAGCAGTGAATTACAGGAAAATGTGTAAAGTGCTAGGATAAGGCCCAGGGGGTTGTGGGAGCCCAGAGAATACCAAAACCAGTGTTGAGGGGAGGCTGAAGAGAAGGCTCCCCTGATGTGGTTTTCATCTGGCCACTCACCTCTTCAAAATGCTCCATTTTGCCTCCACAATCTGTCTCCAACCTTCTTTTTCAATCAAACATCCCATTAACTCCCTCAAAAGAAATCTCTATTCCAGAAAGACTAGTCCCCTCAATGTTATTCAACATACATCTACTCTCCTAGCCCTTCAGCTTTGCTCTTGCCCCATGCTCTTGCCCTACACCATGCCTGGTTCACCCTATTTTGGGGGTGTATGGCTCCTGTTGGTAGGCATCATTTCTTCCCCGTCTTGTCTCCCCCTAGCACTGGCATTGTACCTGGCACACAGGGTCTGTTGACTGATGGCCTACTAAGCACATTTTCTTTTCACTGTGGTACTAATAGGACTCCAACAAGCATGATCAATGGTTTTGCTGCTCTTAGGGTTATCAGGAAAATCTGTGAATGCAGATGAAGGAGTTTGGAAAATTGCTGATACATTTCGGTCAGACTGTCCCCAGCTTTGTCCTGACCTCCTGCAAAGGTCAGGTTGTGAATAATCAAGTAGAGATTAGCAGTTTCAAGGGTTCCAGTAGGCGTATAGTTGGATATATTTTCCATTCTGATTTAAATATTAAGCTTAATTTGTTTTTGGCTTTATTATTTTTTGTTTTGTTTTGTTTTGGTCCTGAGCCTGTTGGTCAGGGCTAATTTGTACAGCTGCTTTTTCGTTTGATTTCTTCCAAGAAAGCAAGAGGAAATAAGGTTGCCAGCAAATTTGCAGTTACCAAGGTTTTCCTAAGATGAATATTATTTTTCTCTTCTAATACTGCCAAATACAGTATAAAAAGAAGCATGTGATTATTCCACAAATTTAGTTGTACCAGGGGTCAAATCCTGTACTCCATCCACATCCTGATGTTGGAAGACCTATAATACAGATCTTCTGATCTACTACTTAGGAAAATTGTACCATATTTCCAAAATTGTAAATTCACCCTGATTTTGTGCTTGGATTCTCAGACTTGACTCCTAGATTTTAGCAAGAAGGGCCAAAGGGGCTGATTTGGGCAAGGCAGGGGAAAGGGAAGTAGTGGAGAAGCCAGGACAGGAGAAAGAGCACTGGAGTGGGAGTTAGGAGCATCAGGTTCTGGTCCATGTCCTGCCACTGACTAGCTGTGTGACTTGAGCAAGTCACTTCCTCTTTCTGAGCATCTACACAGAGGGATTGGAGTAGGCAAGCTCTAAGGTTCTTGTCTGTCAATTATTATTGGACTCTGTGGCTCTGGGTTGGATGTTTCTATAAAGGGGGAAAAAAACCCCAAAGGCTTATGGGTATTAACAAGGCTTCTTCCCACTGGTTTGCACTTATGAGGCATTTGCCCAAGTTCATGCTTGCCCATTTTGAAGCCTGAGAAGAGCTCTCTGGAAGAGAGTGCCCATGTCCTTGCTAAAGGAGTGCAAGCCTAACTGGGTAGCTGGTACTGAGTCTGAGTTATGCCTGGAGGCCACACGTTTAATGGCTTTATTGAGATCTAAATTACATTCCATACAATTCACCCATTTAAATGGCACAATTCAGTGGTTTTTAGTATGTTCGTGGAGTTCTGCAACCATCACCACAATCAATTTTAGAACATTTTAATCACCCCCAAAAGAAACTCTGTACCATTAAGCTGTCACTCTTCCATCCCTGAATCCCCACCCTGCTCAGTCCTAGGGAACCAGTAATCTAATTTCTATTTGTATGGATTTGCCTGTTTTGACATTTCCTAGAAATGGAATAATATGATGCAGTCTTTTGTGATGGCATCTTTCACTTAGCATTATGTTTGCAAAGTTCATCCGTGTTGTGGCATATATCAGTTCTCTACTCCTTTTCATGGTTAAATAATATTCCCTTATATGGATATACTACATTTTGTTTATCCATTCATCAGTTGATAGACGTTTGAGTTGTTTCCTCTTCTTGGCTATTATGAATAATACCGCCATGAACATTCATGTACAAGCTATTGTGTAGACATATGTTTTCACTTCTCTCGGGTATATGTGTAGGAGTGGAACTGCTGAGTCATATGGTAACTCTATGTTGAATTGTTTGAGAATTTCCAAACAGTTTTGCAAAGTGTCTGCACCATTTTACAGTCCTGCCAGCAGTGTCTGAGAGCTCCAATTCCTGGAGGTGACGTTTTGATCCTGTCCGATTGGTAGAGGATACTTTCTAGGGTTGGTGGCTTGGAGAAGCCCTTTCCCTGGGATAGTCTGACCATGCAATCTTAAGTTGTTAAGGGAACAACTTTTATAAGCAAGTATTTTTTACACTTGCTTATAAAATATATAATTATAAAACATATTGCTGCCAAACAAGCTGGGAGGTCATGTGAATTATCTGCCCAAGCAAAAGGGAGTGTGGTGTTTTTTAATTAGAATAAGGATGAAGGATATTCAGAACCTTGGTCTGTCAGAGAACTTGGAACACCCAAATGCTATATTTCATTCACATTTCTCTCTCTTTCTCTCTCTGGAGACAGGGTCTCACTCTGTTGCCCAGACTGGAGTGTAGTGGTATGATCATGACTCACTGCAGCCTCAGTCTCCTGGGGTCAAGCAAACCTCCCACCTCAGCCGCCCGAGTAGTTGGGACCACAGTTGTGATCCACTACACCTGGCTAGCTAATTTAAAAAAATCATACAGACAGGGTCTCACTATGTTGCCCAGGCTGGTCTTGAACTCCTGGACCCAAGCAATTCCCCTGCCTCGGCCTCCCAAAGTGTAGGGATTACAGGCATGAGCCACCTCACCCAGCCAAGTTTCTCTCCAAACTTCACCTTATCCGTGGAAGCTTTTCTGCAAAAACTTCCATCCCCTCACTGCACCTCACCCCTCCTCTGAAATGCACTTCCCTGCACTTTGAATCTCATCAGGATTTTGTTTCCACTGTGTGCAATCCTGGCTCCCACAGCCATTCTGAAGCTGTCCTTCAGCAGATTTGAAAGCCCGTTCTTTATCCCAGTGAGATAGAAGCTCATCAACTGCAAAACTCTGTAGTCTTTCTAGCTCTGGGTGTGATCCTGTACATTACATATTTGCTGCCTAAAGCTAAGGTGCTGCCTAAAGCTAAGTTTATTGTACAAACTGGAACACTTTTGTGGGTGAAGGGCACAAATGTGCCTTCGATAATGACACTAGGACAGCAGGTGTAACACAGGACTATCCTGAGCAAACCAGTACCTACGTTCCCCCTACCTAAAACACAAAGTTCCTTTTTAACTTCTATTGTTCCTACCCCAAATCCCAGGAAGTACTGGTTGACACCAAGGCTGAGTAGGCAGATATACCAAAAAACCCTCAACTCCCTCTACCCCAGAAATGATACAATGCTTACAGAAAGTAGCCTTGAAAAGGGTTAAAACTTACATGAGCCCACGACAAACCCTTGGCATCTTAACACAAGTCATTTGACAAAGCATCCTGAAAGTGTTTCTACTGAATTCCTATAGGTCTCAAAGGCCAATGATGGCTTCCTCCAAGTCACCTTTTCCCAGGATCCAATTGCCATATAACAAAATGAGCTATAAAGGCTACAGAGTTTCACATCTTGATAAGGTTCTATCTCACAGGATAAAGAATGGGTCTCAAATCTGCTGAAGGGCAGCTTCAAAATGGCTGTGGGAGCCAAGATTGTATACAGTTGAAGCCAAATGCTGATGAGATTCAAAGCGCAGGGAAGTGCATTTCGGAGGAGGGATGGGATGCAGTGTGGGGATGGAAGTTTATGCAGAAAAGCTTCCATGGATAAGGTGAAACTTAAAGAGAAACTTGAATGAAGTATAGCATTTGGGTGTTCCAAGTTCTCTGACAGACCAAGGTCCCTAATATCCTTCATCCTTACTCTAATTAAAAGATATCACGCTCCCTTGTGCTTGGGCAGACAATTCGCATGACCTCCCAGCTCATTTGGCAATGCTTGGGAGAAACCTGGCCTTGCAATCAGACTAAATGATGTGTTACCCTACACTTAATCTCCACCATCCATCAAAATCCAGGGGCCTTGGCCTCAGCCCCTCGACAAGAGGCCCACAGTACCTGGGTAGGATTTCATTCAGCGAATGAATGCAAAGCCCCTAATTCTCCATCCATCTCAGTCCTCCGTAAACAGTTAAAGACTGCAGCCAACAGCAAAAGAACTGCCAACCCAAATGAAAGCAGTGAGTCAGCAAAATAAAGACAGATGGCAATGGATTAACTGTAGCATAGGCAACAAGAAGCAGGCCCTACTTAGTTCTGACCAGATTGCTTTCCCTCAATTTCAGGCAACCCAGCGCTCACATGGAGTCCCTCATGAGCTATGCTGGAGATAGGGGAAAGCAGCCGCTGCACCCAGGGGTGTGTGTAGCCATAGGGGTGCAAGAGAATACTGCTTTAATCCATAGTTTCCAGGTGGTCCAGGCATGGGGAAGGGGACAGGACAGAAGGAAGAAGACATTGACCAGGCTTTCCCCCAACTGTTCCACCTCCCTTGTCAAAGGGCCATTTCCTTCAATAGCCCTATTTGCAAGTATTCTTCTCTGTTGTCCATTAACCATACTTATTGGATCACATATTCCAGTTTGTGGACACACCACTATCGTCACCATAACTTGCCCTGTTCTTGCCCATCAGCTTACTCAAGCTCAAAGTTTAGAGATAGTAAAGGGTTGAAATTATGCTTACAAAGAATTTGGGGGATTGTAGGCTGGGCACAGTGGCTCATACCTGTAATCCCAGCACTTTGGGAAGCCAAGGCAGCTGGATCACTTGAAGTCATGAGTTCAAGACCAGCCTGGCCAACATGGTCTAACCCTGTTTCTACTAAAAATACAAAAATTAGCCGGGCATGGTGACACATGCCTGTAATCCCAGCTAGTTGGGAGGTTGAGGCAGGAGAATCGCTTGAACCCGGGAGGCAGAGGTTGCAGTGAGCTGAGATCATACCACCGCACTCCAGCCTGGGCAACAGAGTGACACTCCATCTCAAAAGAAAAAAAAATTGGGGGGATTGTATGTGAATTTCCTTTATCCATGCCTATGATGGCGCATCCCTATTACTGTATTTCCTGGAACACAGCAGGTGCTCAATAAATTTTTGTGGAATGAAAGAAAAAATGGATGACTGAAAGCTCTTACACAAAATGTGGTCTGAAGCCCATAAACGAGAGTCTACTGGAGGGGAATCCTTTGTTTAAATGTCCTTTTTTGGTTGTTTTTAAAGTAATGCATTTTTATTTCTCAGAAAGAGGATGATGAACATTTAACTTGCACAAAATATTCACTGGCACGTATCGTTTACTCTGGGAGCAGTAGCCGTGTCATTGACCACACAAATAGCAGAAGACACAAAGCATCAGCTTCTACTTCAAAATTCATTGTTACTTTTACAAAGACTGCTTAAAAATGACCATTTTTCACATGCAGCTATGTTGAGATATTATTTTATAAAACAAGACTTGCCATTTAGACTAAAGAGTTGTTCTCCTTAAGTTTTCTAAGATATTTTTTTGTGAATGAGCAAAAAGTGAGTTGACAGTTGTTGAGGTGTTGACTATTAGCAGAAAAATCTTATAAATAGTTCCATGATGCAAGTATTCTATGAATGTCATACGATGATTCAAATAGAAAATCAGTTAATTATATTTCAGCACTAATTCTATTTTTTTCAGATTTTGTTGCCTTGATATTTGTATTTTTCATTTCATCACTACTTTTCCAAAGGATCTCAGTAGCAGAGTTAGGTAAAGAAAGATTCCCATCCTCTATTTCTCCTGAAGCTCTCTGCTGTGTCAACATCTGCAGCATAATTCCGGGTGGTATAATTCTTTGGTCCTGCTCTTACTCTTGCCATTCCCTCTGCTGGGTGTGCCTTCCTGGCTATTGCCATTGCTGGCTTTTTTAAAAAAAAAAAAAGCAAACAAACAAAACCTTTTATTTTAGGTTCAGGAGTACATGTGTAGGTTTGTTATATAAGTAAACTTTGTGTCACGGGAGTTTGGTGTACAGATTATTTCACCACCCAGGTAATAAGCACAGTACCCAATATGTACTTTTTTGATCCTCACACTCCTCCCACCCTCCACCCTCAGTTAGGCCCCAGTGTCTGCTGTTCCCTTCTTTATGTCCATGTGTACTCAAAGTTTAGCTCCTACTTATCAGTGAGAACATGCAGTATTTGGTTTCCTGTGCCTGTGTTAGTTCACTTAGGATAATGCAAATGTCTTTTTTTACTCAATCAAGGAATCAGTCAATCAACAAGCATTTCCTAGCATCCCCCAGGTACCCAGCATTTTGTATGCACCCATCACCTTGGCTACATCAACATTTTCTGACGACTCTCCTCAAAAGGCCATCTTCTTAAGCTGACATAGGTCTACATGATGGTTTCCATATTCCTAAAATCTTTGATATTTGGGGTTTCTTAGAAGGACTCCCAATAAATTACAACTGCCTTTTTCTGATGAACAGTCCTTAGAGAAGTAGAATATTCTTAAGAATAATTCCAGATGATTCTTGGATATGAACAGGAATGGAGATAGGAATAAACACTTGACTTAGCTGAAGAAAGGAACAAGCATTGGGGAGTGGTGGGGTGGTGGGTAGGGAAGGAAATAGTTCCCACTCTACACCCAGCTAGTCTACCCTTCCCACAACTACCCAGTTTGTCCACAGAATTGAGGCTGTTCTACTTTGACTTTTTCCAAAGTAAAATAATTAACTGAGGTGAAATTCACATAAAATTAAACATTTTAAACTGAATAATTAAGTGGCATTTAGTATATTCACATGTTGCATAACCATCACCTCTATCTAGTTCCAAAACATTTCCATCATTCCAAAGTAAAACCTCTTACCCATTAAGCAGATTCTTCTCATTTCTCCCAGACTCTGGAAATCATCAGTGCCCCAACTCTACAAATTTACCTATCCTGGATATTTCATGTAAATAAAATCATACAATATGAGGCCTCAGTGTCTGGCTTCTGTCCTTTAGCATAATGTTTTCAAGGTTCATCCACATTGTAATCCATATCAGTAAGTTCATTCCTTTTTATAGCCGAATAATATTCCACTGTATAGATATACAATATTTTTTTGTTTATCTATTCACCATGTGATGGATGCTTGGGTTGTTTTCACCTTTTGGCTATTGTGAGTAGTGCTGTTGTGAACACACATGTGCTTGTACTCATTTGAGTCCCTGTTTTCGATTTTTGGGGAGTATATACCTAGAAGTGGAATTGTGGGGTCATATGGTAATTCCATGTTTAACTTTTTGAGGAACCATCAAACTATTTTTCTACCCTATTATTTTAATACCTTCAAGGATGAATAAACACTACAATAAAAGTGACCAATTCAAAGTCACTAGCATCTGTGAAGCTGACCTAGGTATGCCTGAGCTTTTGTCCCATGACTTTGGGAACTGCTTCAGGATTCTAGTTGCTTCAGAGACATCTTGACTGGGAGGGTTGTTTCTGGGGGGTCCAATCAATGATCATCAGGGACTCAAGCATTTCCCTGAGATTGGCTCCTATGAAAGTTACTCAACATCATCTCCAGTCAATATGAAACATTTCTGGGACACCTCATCTAGCCCTTTTTCCTTCCGTCCTTCCCTTCTCCTTTCTTTCCTTCCTTTATTCATCTAACAAATGTTTATTGGGTACCTACCATATTTTAAGTAGTGTGCTAGATGTTGGGGGTACAGATAAATGAGATGCAGTTTCTGTCTCTGGGGCCACTGAAAATGCTGAAGAGATGGTACATATTCAAGTCAAGGTGCCAGATAGCATAGTAGCCAGGAAAGTTCCAAATGTGGACACTGTGTCCCACACAGATACCAGACTATAAGCTCCTCAAGGCAGTAACTGTGTCCTGTTCTTTGCTATATCCCTAGAGCCCAGCACAGTGCCTGGAGCACATTTGCTGTCAACAAAACAACCTTAGAAAGGTCTGAGTAATGGGGCCAGGTGCAGTGGCTCGCACTTGTAATCCCAAAGGTTTGGGACGCTGAGGTGGGAGGATCACTTGAGCCCAGGAGTTTCAGACCAGCTTGGGCAACGTAGTGAGACCCTGTCTCTACAAAGAAGTACAAAATTAGCTGTCGATGGTGGCATGTGCCTGTAGTCCTAGCTACTCTGGAAACTGAGGCGAGAGGATTGATTGAGGCCAAGAGTTTGCCTAGCCTGGGCAACATAGTGAGACCCCATCTCTCCAAAATAAAAAAATAAAAACCTAATTAGCTGGACATGGTGGCACATGCCTGTAATCCCAGATACTCAGAAGGTTGAGGTGGGAAGATCACTGAACTCAGGAGTTCGAGGCTCCAGTGAGCTATGATCACACCACTGTACTCCAGCCTGGGCAACATAGTGAGATCCCATCTCTACAAAAAAAAAGAAGAAGAAGAAAGAAGAAAGAAAAGACTGAGATAGGCTGCCTGGCAGCATCAGTCCATTACCTTTTCCTAGCACCACCATGAGCCTGCATGGTTCCCTGTAGCCATCTCTCTTTCCTTAGTTCTGTCTTAGGCAGGTAGCACAGAGTGGGTATCCTTTGGGTCCTGTATTCTCTGACCTCCCTACAATTTCAGAATGAGTTTTCTTTCAGAAGTGTTTTTATATTTCAGTTTCATGATGCCTTCCTCAAAGAGGAACCCAGATGATGTGAGGAAGTGAGACCATCTTTCCCAGGAAGTAAATTCACAGTGAGCAGGAAAACCCTCAGTCACCAGCTTGATGTTTGTCTCTAGAAATAGTCTTCTATCAGCCTGTAGCTTAGGGTGGAGGTGGGAGCTGAGACGTGGGCAGGAGCCAGCCCTGATGCTGATGGTGTTCCATGATTTGGGTATGCCTCTCTTTCAGTTCGTTCTGTGTTCTGCTTTCCTTGGACCTGAGTGCTAACCACATAAGTTTCCAGAAGAAAACTGAGGGCAGCAGAGCACAGATGTTGCCAATTTCATAAACTACTACTTCAGTTCACATTCTCGAAACACCTCCTGGACACAAGTAATAAAAAACTACAGAGTCAATGGCAAATAAGGGGAGGGAATTGAGAGGAAAGATGAACATAGAGGGAAAGGTGTTTCAGATGAGATTGGAAACAAGAGGAGTGGAAGTGGGGGTGAGGTACCCCAACCTTAACTACAGAGAAGGAAAAGGCTTTCATGCAGGAAGCTGCTTTGAAATAAAGAAGCCCTGGGGCAGCCTGCAGACTCTAACTCTAGTCAGTCTCAGCTCCTTTAGGGCCAACTCTTGGCCTTGTGCCCTTTGGGGTTGAAACCTCTAGATCCATGCTGGAGTGCAGAGGTAGAATGCGCAGAACACGTCCCCAAAGGGTAGACAGACCATGGAATGACACATTTGAAGGGATTTGATTATGTTAAAAATCAAGAAACTAAAGCTACCAAGGGTATTTTTTTCCTTTTTAAAAAAAGACCCCAAACTTCAGGCAACAGACTGTACTAGGAGCTCCTTTGTGAGATCTACCTACCAGCTTATGGGTGGGTTGCTACCTCCAATAAAATTTCCATTTGAACTCCTATTGGGGATGGCAAATATTAATACTATGTTAGGAGCTTGGGGGTACAATTATGAACCAGACACGGTCCCTGCCCTCAAGGAATTTGCAGTCTAATAGGGAAGAGAGATAAAGCAGACAGCTAATTATAACATGGAATGATGAGGTCTGGAAGTTGTTGGGGGAGGACAGAGGATGAGCATTTAAATCACTCTGAAGTGTCAGGGAAGGCTTCCTGAAAGACATGATGCATAAACTGAAGAATGAGTAGGAGTCAGCCAAGTGAAAGGGAAGGGGGAAAGGATATTCTAGACAGATGAGCTTTGCAGGAGTAAGGTTTGCTAAGAAAGATTAAAGCAAAAACTTACAAAATACACAATCATCAAAAATGAAATGTTGATCAATACAAGCAAAAGCCAGCTCTTTGGGAAGACCATGAAAATAGGCAAAGATTAGCAAGTTTGCTAAAAACGAAACAAAACAAACAAACAAAACACATCAACAACCACTCAAGAGTAAAAAGAGGCAGAGAAAGGGAGAGGAAGAAGGATAGGGAGAGGGAGAAGAAGAAGAAAAAGAGAGAGAGAGGACAGAACTGTATTTAGAATATATTAAAAATCAGATATGAAGGGTGGGACTAAACAAAAAATAAAAATAAAAAAGACTATATTAAAAAGTATAAGAGAATATTATTCTTAGTAATTGTGTAAGTCCTGGTACAGGTATAAAATTATAAATAATTGGTATTTTGTATTAATATTTATACCAGTAAATTTGGAACGTAGATGAAATAGACAATTTTCTGGGATACTTTACCAAAATTGGCTTGAGAGCAAGATGAAAATCTGACTGTATCAACAAAACTAGAGAAGAAATGGAAATAGAATCAAAGATGTGTACACCTCAGCCCCCTTAACACACACAAGTAGTCTTTAAAGGTAAAGTGTACAACAGCTTTAAGGAACAGATAATCCCTTTACCAAACAAACAATTTCAGAGCATTAAAAAAGATGAGAAACTTCCAACTTATTTTCCAAAGCTATCATAACACCAATGCCAAATTATATGAGGACCGAAAACTAACTCTATACAAAACCCCTAAATAAATTATTACCAAATCAAATCTCGCACTTTGGAAAAAGAAGACTATACCATAACCAAGTAGGGTTTATCTCAGAAATTCAAGGCTGGTTCACCATTAGAAAATATACCAATGTAATTCATTATATTTGCATAATAAAGGAAAAGATAATATGATCATTTCAATAGATGCAGCAAAAATGTTTGATAAAACTGAGTTGAGTACTCATTTGCTCTTAGAAAGCTCTAAGAAAATTAGAAATACAAGGAAACTTTAACTTGATAAAAAGTACTTTCCAGAAAGGTACAGAAAACTTCATACTTAAAAAGAGGCAGCAAGTGTAGCAGGGTAGTTAAGAACACAGTCTCCAAAGCTAAGCAGTGGAGCTTTGAACACTTGTTGGCTGTGTGACCTTGGGCAAGTTACTTAGCTTTTCTATGCCTCAGTTTTCTTATCTGTAAAAGAGGAATAATAATAATAATAATAATAATAATATCTATTTCATAACATTGTAGGAGGATTAAATAGCCTAATATTTGTAAAGTGTTCATAATAACGTTTCACACACAGAAGCAATACACAAGTGTTTGTTAACAAATTTGGAAATATTAGATGTTTTCACCCTTAAAGTCAAGAACAAGATAGAAATGTCTATTTCTACTGCTACTCTGCTATTCAACATTTTACTAGAGCTCCAAGCCAATGCCATAGAATAAAAAATAGAATTAATAGCATCAGAAAGGAAGAAACAAAATTGTCAATATTTGCAGATAATATAATCATCTAACAAAAAATGAGGTCTGTGTCTGTCAGAAAAGAAGTAAAAGAAGGAAATTCTTCTCTCTAGGGTATTCCAGTATCAACTTTTTTTCTAGACATTTCTATAAATTGAACATTGAGTCCATCATCTTCCTTCCATGTCTACTGCTCTTCTTGACTTCCATTTTTCTGTCAATGGTACCACGACTTTCTTTTTTAAAATTTAATTTAAAGTTCTGGGATACATGTGCAGGATGTGCAGGTTTGTTACATAGGTAAACGTGTGCCATGGTGGTTTGCTGCACCTATTAACCTATCACCTAGGTATTAAGCCCTGCATGCATTAGCTGTTTATCCTGATGCTCTCCTCCCCCTGCCCCCGAGACAGGCCCCAGTGTACGTTGTTCCTCTCCGTGTGTCCATGTGTTTTCATTGTTCAGGTCCCACTTATAAGCAAGAACAATGGCACCACCACTTTTGAAGTCACCTAGACTAAAAACTTTGGAAGACTCTTGGACTCTTCCTTCTTGTTCATCTCCCATATCCAATTACCTACTCTATCTGGTTAGTTTTTCCTACAAAATACTTTTCAAATGTTTTCTATTCTCACTCTCATGTCTCTAGTCCAGGCGCATGTCAACTCATGCCTCAAACAATGGATATCCTCCAGTCCCTCTCCAAGTCATCAAGTGCTCCATAGGCCAATCCTATTCGAAGACTACTATCGTCAAGTCACTCTCTTGCTTAAAAATCTCTGGTGGCTTCTCCCTTCCTATCATATCCAGTCTAAACTCCTCCAGTTGGTAGCCTTTTGCCATCTTGCTGCACCCAATCTAACACAGTTTATTGTCTCCTACTCCCTTTATATGTATGTACTCTCTGCTTTAGCAATACCAGTATTCTCAATATCCTCATCCACCTCCTTTCCTTTTTAATTCAGTACCTTTGTTTAATTCAGCGCCTCGTATTGTCCTGTCTCTCCCCCTGAGTGTCTCCAAATCTTCCCCATTTTTAATGGTTAGCTTAAACAGCACCAAATTTTATTTTCTCAAGTGAGATAATGGATACCATACTGTGCTCATTTAATCTTCTCAGCAACTTTTAAAGTACTTATTCATTTTCACCCCATTTTATGGATCACGTATAGTGATTTGCTCAAGGTTCACATTGCTGATAATGGTAGATCTGGAATTCAAAGCCATGTTTACTGCCCAACCTCAGAGGTCATGCTCCTAACCACCCCTCTGTTCTGACTTTCTGGGATGTCTCCCCTGGCTGCCTCAACCCTCTCTGACCTTCTCTTCCTTTTGTTTGGCTGCTACGCATTGTTGTGTAGTGTGTACAAGTTTAGCTCCCAGCAAAACTGTAAGCTTTTGGAGGTCAGGATCCATTGACTCTGATCTCCTACTTCTCTGTCTCTTCCTCCCTGCAAGAGCTGGGCCCACGATGTACAGTTGATTAATTGGTAAGGTTGATCAAATATAGCTAAATATATAGGAATTTGGCCTTGGTATCCAGTCTTCAAGAAACTTTTTGAGTAGCTTGAGGATAATGCAAGCCTTCCCATTCAAGCGTGAGTTTTTAGGCCCAGGAAGGGAAAGGAGGAGTAGAATTATTACATTTCCCAAGAAATTTCCCCTAGTCCCCTTCCCCGATGATCAGGCTTCTCTCTGCATAGCTTAGGTCAATGTTGCATGACAAATCTTCCCTTTACATACGGTTGGACCAGGCCAGATTTTGTTAGCATGTGCAAATAGAGCCAAACCTGTCAACTTACAATTGTGCAAAATCTGACTCCTGGGAATCTTCCAGAAGTGAGCCGGGGAAAACTAATATCTGTCCTACCTACCTCACAGGGTCATGGTGAGAATCAAATGAGATAATGGATATGAGCACATTTTGAAGAGTAGCAATGAAAAGCAGCTTGCTTCTTGAGCCTGGAGTGGAGCAGTAGGAGCTCTTTGGTGATTTCAAGGCCAGGTGAAGGGTGGAGGCTCTTCTGAAATTCTTGGACTCATCATTTCCCAGTGGTTGTAAGACTTGCTTTCCGGCAATTCTTGGGAAATTTTACTTTATTGTGAGACTTCTCCAACTACATGGGAGTTTGTCCTTGACTTCCCTTTTCCGTTTTCTAATTACCCTTACTCAGCTAGTTCACAGTACTTTGAAGGATTCTACAAGATAAGCTAACTTTCCCTCCTTTTGGTGCATTGAAAAGACAGTATTTTGCTGGTGACTTACATTTAGATTTCGAATCTCTCTCCAACATCAGGAGCAAGTGATACGGGAAAAGCACACTCTGAGATTGATGACTTCCACGATGGTCTATAAATGATAATTAGCCACTGAATGTTATTGGATAAATAAGGAGTGCCTCTCTGCTTCCCCTGGAGAGACCAAATTCCCTCAGAATTCAAGTGTTAGAAGACACAAGAGAACCTAGAAATCTAGAATGGAAGGCTAGAGGTGAGAGTTAGAGAAGATATTTTTGTAAGAAAGAAAGTTTTGGTTCAAAAGATTCCAATTCTGAAAGTGAAGGACTTTGGGGAAAGCCAGGGGAGAGTGAGCTCAGCTTGGACAGGGAAGAGGAAAGAGTGCCGACTGTGCAGGGACCTTGGCCAAACGGCCCTGGATCAAGACTAGACCGGGCTTGCAGAGGTAGCCAGAGGTATTCTGACCAGGGAATTGAGCAAGATTTATTGCCTAAGCTGGCCTCAACTGGACAGAGTTTGGCTTTGGGTCTGTTTTGTGTGTTGGGCATGCATACGTACCTCCTTACAGTTGAAGCTTTCAGATAGTGAGCCATGTCCTCAGCAAAATGGGGCCAAAGGGAGGTTGCTGCTGGTGTCAGAAGTGGGGACAGAACCTGAGAAGCAAAGCTATGGAAAGTACCCCAGGCCTCCGAAGGTAGCCGTGTAGGCAGGAAATAGCAGCCCTCTTGTCCCCCACAGCTCCTGGGCCACTGGCTATCCTATCTACATTTGAACAGTATGCACCCAGCAGACTGGGCAGCTGGCCGAGAAGCTCATTATTGTGCCCCATCCCGTGGCCTTCTGGGCCACCAGGTTCCATGCATCTTATTCCACTGCTCTGCTCTACTTTTGCTTCCATAATACTGACTCTCATGAGCTGCTGTGTTGAACTGAGGGAATGTTGTGGTCTTCTATGTGTGGGCATGCATGCATCTGTGTGTGTGTGTGTGTGTGTGTGTGTGTGTGTGTGTGTGTTGGAGGGGTCCCGAGTGTCCCCCAGCCTCAGCCTCTCTGACTCCAGGCTTCAGAGGGTGCCTGTGCCTATGAACTTTGCTTGGCTAGCCTGCTGGATGGAGAGAGATGAGAGTAAACACCTGCTGGTTCCATCCCACACTCCCCGTTATGATAGGCAGTGAAGCAAATCATTTGGGCAATTGCCTGACCTTAATGGGATAGAAAGGGCTCCTCTCTTGCTTGAAAGGAACATCCAAGCATGTGCTTAGTGTTTAGTTTTCCTGGAAAAATAATTTTTCTGGCATGCTAAAGAGGGTGAATTTGCCTTCAGAAAGGATTGTGTCATATCCATAACCTTTGCAGCCTCTCTATCATTTCCATGGATGAAAACTTTGCATTCAGGGGAAGACGAACCAAACATCTGCTAGAATAAGGTTTCAGTTTTCACTGCAGGAAAACTGTGTTGTGTAAAGAAAAATAGAGATACACCCTTGGGCAGTTTTTTGGGGGTAACCTAGCAACCCATCGAAATCAAGAGATTTTTGAAGGATACTGCAAAGTAGAATCAGGTCTGACTGTTCAGTGTTATGATTTTAAGGGCACTGAGTACAGATAGCACCCCACCCCTCACCCCCAGCACCCTGCCTGGAATTTCAGCTTTTAAAAATTCATTCCTTTTATTTGAAAGACCTTATGTGTCTTCTGGAGTCATGTGTTGAAGAGTAAAATACGCCTGGGAGGAATATCACCTAAAACCCTATCAGCTGATAACAGCTATCTCTTCAGTGAAGATGGAGAGCCTGGGATGGGACAAAATGATCTCTGGGAATAGCAGGAATAGGATGCCTGAGTGACAAGAGGGGACAAGGGAATGAAAGGGAAAATGGAAGACATGGCTAACTTAAGATACCATAAACGGAAGGAACCTCATAGACCATCTATACCAATGCCTTTTAAAAAAACATTTAAAAAACGTGGAGGCTGGGTGCTCACACCTGTAATCTCAGCACTTGGGGAGGCCGAGGTGGGTGGATCACTTGAGGTCAGGAGTTCAAGACCAGCCTGGCCAACATGGCGAAACCCCGTCTCTACTAAAAATACAAAAATCAGCCTAGCATGGTGGCACATGTCTGTAGTCCCAGCTACTCAGGAGGCTGAGGCATGAGAATCGCTTGAACCCAGGAGGCAGAGGTTGCAGTGAGCCGAGATTGTGCCATGGCACTCCAGCCCGGGTGACAGAGCGAGACTCCATCTAAAAAAAAAAGGTTAAAAAATAAAAAACATTGGAACCCTCTCCTCAAACACAGAACCCCATTATGTACGAAATGAATACAAGTGGGGCTGCTCTGGTTAAAGTGGGGGCAAGAGCCTTGGGACCCAGTTTACTCAGACTCTCTACTGCTTAAGCTAAGAGAAAAGTGAGGCAGGACCACACTCACCCAGATAGTGAGAATCGATGGTTCAACATGAATTTTGTGGGCCAGTTTGTTAAATATAGCCATTGTTAAAAGTGAAATGATCTAAACTTACAATTAGGTTATATTAAAGACAAAGCAGGCCGGGCGCAGTGGCTCACGTCTGTAATCCCAGAACTTTGGGAGGCCAAGGTAGGTGGATCATGAGGTCAGGAGTTTGAGACCAGCCTGGCCAACATAGTGAAGCCCCATCTCTACTAAAAATACAAAAAATTAGCAGGGCGTGGTGGCGGGTGCCTGTAATCCCAGCTACTCAGGAGGTTGAGGCAGGAGAATCACTTGAACCTGGGTGGAGGTTGCAGTGAGCAGAGATAGCGCCACTGCACTCCAGCCCAGGTGACAGTGGGAGACTCCATCTCAAAAAAAAAAAAAAAAAAGACAAAGCTAATGAATACTCAAAACTCATCACTTCCTAATTATTTTACTACACTTACTGTTACCTATGCTTTTGAGGTTATTTACATCTATTGTATCTGTATGGTGGAAATACGCTATGATGCCTTGCTGTTGCACATGTATTCCGGACTCCTTGTTCAGTGATGTCATGTCGGGAGCTTGAAATTGGCCATGGTGGGAGCATTTACACCATGGAAATCAGCAAACACTATAAACCAGCATTCCCCTCCCTGCTCAACTGAGGGAGGCCAGCACGCCACTGACTATACTATAATGTAAGTCACCACTTCCTTGGAAGCTATACTTCCAGCAACCTCAACCATGTGGAATGAAGAGGAAATACATCCAAATGGCCAACCATTATCACAAAACACATCCACTTTATACTCCGTGGGAGAGAAAAGCCACTGTAAGGCCCTAGCCTAGGCAAACATGTGTTAAATAACATGGCAGATAAGAAGTGCTGGGCCTCAGAAAATGGTAACCCAAACGATGGCGCTTTGGCATGCTGAGTACTTTGAACTAAAGGAGACTGGAAGGTCTCAGAAGCCACCTCAGAAGCAAAGTCTCTCTCTGACCTTCTCCTACCCTCCTGTCTCCCGCCCCGGGGGGAATCACAGAAACTAGAACCTCTCTCCCCCAAGGCAACCCATACAATCTAGAAAGGTCACTTCTTCCTTGTAGACCCTCATGCCAGAGAGTTCCTGCCCTATACCCTGGAGGAAGGAATGCTACACAGAAAAGCCAAGAAGAATCTAAACAGACAGGCCTTACTGGGTACCCTCTGCCTTCAGTCTATTACCATTAGATCATACCCTTTATCCAATCACATTTCTAAACATTCTTTATAGAATCTAAGCATAAAAATACTCAATTTTCCCTGGGTCTTTGGGTCTTCATTTCTGAAATTTCCCATGTCATGTAAAACTTTGATTAAATAAATTTGTTAAATGCTTTTCTCTTGTTAACTGTCTTTTGTTATAGGAGTGTCGGCCATGACCCTTATGATGGGTTAGGAAAGAGATCACATCTTTCTGCTCCTACAGAAACAACACGGTGACAGCAGCACGGAGAGACAGCTGACACTGGGAAGTCTCGGCACCACAATCTGGAGCCTTTTATTACAAGGGTAAACAACCCGACTTATTCCCGAGACCCTCAAAGACCTCACTGCATCACAGCCCAGCACAGTTTAGGAAGTGGAAGTGTTCATTCTCTGACCCCCTCAAAATGGGCCAAATTATAGGCAGAACAAGTTCCATAAGAAGGCTCCAGGTCTGTCGTGTCCACAGCACCCAACACAGTGCTTAGTGCACAGAAGGCCCTGAATAAACAAATATCTATTTAAAGAATGAAACCAATATTCACAAGCAAACTCCTTGCCTCTTTTACCACTGTTTCCAGAAAAAAGACTCAGGATGTTTAGTTTCAGAAAGCAGTGGAGTGTGAATACATTTCAAAAGCTATCTATCCCAAACTGTGAGACTTGGGCTTCTTCCTAAGCCAGCACTCAGCAAGGAGAAGGCCACGTTCAGTTTGAACACTAGGATCACGAAGCCCAACGGCAAGAAGCCAGACAAGTTCAAGTTCGGCATCTCCCAGGCTCTTCTGGAGCCAAAGATGAACGTGGACCTCAAGGCTCAGCTCAGGGAGCTGAATATCACAGCAGCCAAGGAAACTGAAGTTGGTGGTAGTCAGAAAGCTATCATAATCTTTGTTCCTGTTTCTCGACTGAAATCTTCCCAGAAAATCCAAGTCTGGCTAGTATGTGAATTGGAGAAAAAGTTCAGTGAGAAGCATGTTGTCTTTATTGCTCAGAGGAGAATTCTGCCTAAGCCAACTTGAAAAAGCCATACAAAAAATAAGCAAAAGCATCACAGGAGCTGTACTCTGATAGCTGCGTACCATGCGATCTTGAGGACTTGGTCTTTCCAAGTGAAATTGTGGGCAAGAGAATCCACTTGAAACTGGATGGCAGCTGCCTCGCAAAAGTTCATTTGGACAAAGCACAGCAGAACAATGTGGCACACAAGGTTGAAACTTTTCTGGTGTCTTTAAGAAGCTCATAGGTAACGAAGTTAATTTTGAATTCCCAGAGTTTCACTTGTAAACAAAAATGACTAAATAAGGTATATTCACAGTAAAAACAAACAAATAAACAAATAAAAACAACAAAAAAATGAAACTGAGTTCCAAAAGGATTGATACCCAAAGGGGCCAAATGTCTACTCTTGGATAAATCTTTGGTATGAGAACTCTAATGCCCTAATGATGTCTGATAAACAGGAAATGACTTTATCAAGATGCGGAGCTGTCAGCGCCATGGGTTCTCCCAACTGTCCCTACTCCAAACATCTCTGGCGTCCCTCTTCTCTCCCTTCTGTGCCTGTTCCCTTCACTTTCTAGTCTCTCACCCCCTCACCTTTTTCCCCCCTTTCTTCCTCTGTCCTCCTCATGCCCTCGGCCTGCCAGTCATCCCCCACTTGGCCCCAGTCACCCACCAGGCCAAGTCCTGCCTGAGACCCTCAGGCTGGAGAGATTGCTTCCCCCATACCCAGACAAAATGTGTTCAGTAGACAAATGCATTGTCTCCAGCCTTTACAAAGGAAGCTCACCTAGAGCCAAATACTTTCCTTTTCTCATTTCTTAATTTCTACGGGGGGAGGAGGGTATCATGTGGGTGTGTGTATGAGTATCCCAGACGACTGTGCTGTATCCAAAGTACCTTTTATCCCTGTGTGTCCTTGCAGCCTACTTTGGCCTATCTAAAGTTTATAGTATTGCAGCAGAGGAACTTGAGCCTATTTCCTGATTTTAATTAAGCCTTTTTGGGTTACAGTGACCCAGAGGCAAATATCTAGTTAGTTCAGGCAGACTCGGAAAAGAGCTTAGGCTGGAATTGCTGGGTGAACTGAAGGTTTTCCTCAGAAAACACCCACGTTGGCAAGTCACGTGGCTCAAATAGGATGGATAGTTGGTAGGCTGCCCTTTTCTTCTCTGGCGGCATGGTCAGTAATCTGACTATTGGTCTTCACGGACATTTTGGGGTCCTTCTAGAGGATCTTGTGGTTTGCGGCCAACCCTAGTGAAGTTTGTTATTTCTGTTCTCTGGTTCTACAGGCAACTGCTCCCAGGTGAGTGGTGCAGCTGGCCCTTGGTCAGGTTGACTCCATAGCAGGGCTATCCTAGGAAACCTCATTTGAAGATAAACCTGTCACCACAGGGGTTGAATCAATAGGGAGAGAAAATTCAGAAGTGGGCTTGGGTGAGGAAAAGTAATCTGAAAGAGTCTAGCTGGCCAGCTGACTTCCAGAAATTCTGCTGGAGCAGAGCAGTGCTGGCCAAGTTACTTAATCTCTCTGTGCCTCAGTTTCCACATCTGTAAAATTGGTTAACAATAACATCTACCTCACAGTGCTGTGGTGAGGATTAAATAAATGATATATCCAATATGCTTACTCTAGCATCTGGCACATAATATGTGTTTTTAAAAGCATGGGCGGGGGTGGGGGCAGTTACAGAAAATCAAAACTGTGGATTTCTTAAGAGACATGGCAGAGCTGGAATAAACTGTCATGCAAAATCCTTGAGGCCTGATCCCCCAGATGTGAGGTCCGCGGCTGCTCTCTGCTACTGTGGTCCATCAGTCTGTGTCACTGCATAACAGCGCAGGTGGAAGTGTCCCTGGGCTAGCAGGCTCACTGAAAATTCAAAGCACATGCACTCAGCACAGTCATGGTAATAATAGTGGTAAGGAATTGGAAACTGTGGTGATGGCTTCCCGATTCCACAATCATTACAGTCCAGGTGTGCCTGTGGGGCCATATATGAGAAGAGTCCTGGCCCAGGCCCCTCATACACTCTCCCCAGGCCCTCTCCTCAGGCCTGATGGCTCATCTCTCTCATTCCTGAAGGTTCTACCAGTGGCTCAGGGGCCATGTTGGCAGGCCTGGGTCTTCTTGACACCCTTCCCTCTCCTAACCACCTGCTCACCCTCCAGGCTTACAACAAAAACCAGACACATCACTACCCACCCTTCTCCATTTGGTTTTTAACCTTAAGTGAAAAGCTGCTTGTCTTAAAAAAATTAGAGATCCTGTCTTTACCTCTGAGACACTTTGATTTAGAGAAGACAGGGGACGTCAGTGCTTCACACTGAAATGTGAACATTTCAGGCAGTGTGACAAGCCAATGCAGTCCTCTGCCATTGTGGGTCCCTAAAATGACATTGGGCCTTGCTCTACCTTGTCCCAATGCAGAGGGTGAGTTAGATGCAGAGCTGGGTTTTCTAGGACACCTGAAGAGACCAATATGAGGTCAGCATATGGCTTCATGGGTCTGTGGGCACACAAGGCCCCTCAGAGCTCCTGCTCTTGTCTCAGGATTGTTCTTAAAACATTGTGACTGGGAGTCCTAGGGCCGCTTCTAGTAGGAGTTCAATTCCACAGACCATTAAAAAAGTCATTTCTTAGAAATTCAAGTCCATATCAGGAATGATAAAAGGATGGCTGTCTCCCAAGGTCTGCAAGCTGTGTAGGATTTAGCTGCAAATAAATAAAATAAATAAAGGAATCCAGTCCCTTTTTGTTAATTGTGCCAGTGCTTTCATTTTTCAGGCAATTTCAGTTCAGTCCAGATCTGGTTTCTGGAATCACATTTTTCCAATCATCCTTCCCATTTGCAAGGAGGAGTCTTATGTCCAAGTATGTGATTTGAATTTGCCCAGGTGCTGCCAGTTAGGGAGGGTTTTCATATTCAAAGCTGCACATGCTTTGGAAATGTGACCCCAACGATTGCAAGAGGAGGCAATCATCTCTGGAGGGGAGGGGTTGGGGGAGGAAGCTTGTATGGGAATTAGTGGGCTCCATCCTTGGACTTCAGCATTTCTCAGGCATCTTGCCTGCTCTGTCTATTCTCAGGCCTTTAACTAGCACCATTAGTGGAGCTTCCATCTGTCAGTGCAGTCCTGTCGCTGGAGCCCTAGACCTGGTTCTCCAACTGCGTATGGCAGCACTGCCCTAGCTGGAAAGCTTGTTAGACAAATACCCAAATGATTCTTACGATCAGGCAAGTTCAGGAAGCCTAGGCAATGTTTTTTCTACCCAGATGTTCCACCATCTCCCAAAGCACAATATGATTAAAACCATACTCATCCTAAAAGCAATTCATCCTAAAAACTGTACTGAAAGAATGAGACATAACTGTACTGAAAGAATGAGACAGATCTACACGTGGTTATATGGAACAGTCAGGGTGTGCCTGTGGGGTTCAGATGAGAAGAGTCCTAGCCCAGGCCCCTCATGCACTTGCTGACTTCACCTCTCCCCAAGCCCAATGGCTCACCTCTCTCATTCCTGAAGGTTCTACCAGTGGCTCAGAGGCCATGTTGGCAGACCTAGGCCTTCTTAACACCTCCAAGAAGGCTCCTGAAGTGAAACAAAAAAGCAGGCTGCTGCCATTACAGTGGAAGCTCGCTTAGCTGACGTCTGTGGGGCCAACTCTCACAATTAAAGGATGCTCTCCATTTCCTGTGTAAAATGCACTGATTGATACCCACAGTATTCTGGATGCACTTGGTCACCACTCCCTAGTGGGTCCAAGCACTTCCACTTTTACTGATTTTTAATTAACTAACTACTCTCCCAGTTGAATAGATAAGAGAGTCTACTTGTAGCTAACAAAAAGATGCATAGCATGAACCTATCTATTTATTAACAGAATTTACAAACACATACATAGGCTTGTAAAATGCAGATAACATTTCAAGAAATGTGACCAGTGGTTACTTCTGGGAAGGAGTATTGGGTGTCTGGGGCAGAAAGGTTCCCCCCATACCCTTTTTTACTGTTGTTGTTGTTGTTTTTTACAATGTTCATGCATTATTTTTTCCTGAATTTTATTTTGAAAAAATTCAAACGTACAAATAGATCAAAGAAGTAGAACAATGAACATACATATAACCACCAAGATTCCACAATTAACATTTCAACATAGTTGCTGTGTAGTTCTGTTTCTATCAGTCAATCTATTTACACACACACACACACACACACACACACACACATATATTTGAAGGTCACAGGCATCATAACACATTCCCACTAAATTCTTCAGAATGACTCTTTAAAGAATAAGAAGATTCTCCCTCCTAACCACAATATATTATCACAGCTAAGAAAATAAACAATAATTCCTAATATAATCTAATTTCCAATCCATATTCAAATTGCCCCAATATTCCCCAAATGTCTTTCATAGCTTTGTAAAATCCAGAATCCAAAACCAAGGTTTGTGTATTGCATCTACTTATGTCCCTTTAGTGTCGTTTAATCTAGAACAGTGCATGCTCCTAATTTTTGTGTGTGACACTGAATTTTTGAAGAGTTCAGGCTAGTTGTCTTGTAGAATATCTCATATTCTGAATTTGTCTGTTTTCTTATGGTATGTGTGTTTTTAAAAAAATAAAAAGATTTAATAGCAATAATAATAAAAGAAACCAGGCTCTGTTTTATATAAACAGCAACCTTAAAATGAGTATGCTATCCCAATATGCCTAGTAGCAGCATTGCCCAGTCTTCTGGTTCCCATATCAGATTCTTTAATCATCCCGCTGTCCTTCTTTCTCCTTATTCAGCCAGTTCCCAAGTCTGTGAATTTGCCCTTTGACATGCCTAATGGCTTAATGCCTTCTCTAGTCCCACCATGCCCCTACCCTGGATCAGGCCTTCAATACCTCAGCCCTAAAGTATTGCAACTGCCTCCTAATTGACCCCTCTAGTGCCAGAATCGTCCCCTGAACACCTGCTGCACTGTGAATATAGAAAACACACTGCCTTTTCTACGTCACTCCTATCTGGAAAACCATCAATGGCTATTTCCTATTTCTCATCTTTCTTCAGTCAGAGCCAGCTTTGAATGTAGCCTTCAACACCAGACAGAGACCGATCTCTACCTAAATCCTAGTGCTGCCATTACTTGCTGAGTGGCCTTAGAGAAGTCACTAGGCTTATCTGGCCTTCCATTTTCTTATCTGTAAATTGGAAATAACAGTTGTGCCTACCTCTCAAGTTTGACCAGCATTTGCCCACAGAGCTCCCACCTTTTCTAGGGGTCACTCCAAGCCTCATCCTTTCTTTAAGTCTCAGCTGAAGCCTTGCCTCCTCCAGGAGGACTTCTTATTCACAGCAGCACCCCCTCTCTGAATTTCCATAGCACTTGTGGTCTATAGGGAAGAATTTAGCAGATACTAGTCTTATTGCCCACTCATATTTACATTTTCCTCTTTTTTTCTTTTCTTTTTTGAGATGCGGTTGTGCTCTGTCCCCCAGGCTGGAGTGCAGTGGAGTGATGATGGCTCACTGCAGCTTCGATCTCCTGGGCTCAAGTGATCCTCCCATCTCAGCCTCCTGAGTAGCTAGGACCACAGGTGTGCCCCACCAAGCCTGGATATTTTATTTTTAGTTTTTGTAGAGACGGTGTCTCCCTACATTGCTCAGGCTGGTCTTGAACTCCTGGGCTTAAGTAATCCTCCTGCCTCAGCTTCCCGAAGTGTTGGGATTACAGAAATGAACCACCATGCCCAGCCTTTTTTTTTTCTTTTTTAACATTTGTAGACATTTTCATCTTATCTGCTCATTTGGATGGCCAGGGCCCCTTGAGAGCAGGAGTAGATCTACCCATTGTTTCTCCTAGAGCCTGTTAGAGAGCTAGTGCTATGCTGAGCATCCAGCAGCTCCGAGCTGTCACTTGACCGTGAGAAGATGCTTTGTTCATCTTTAGAGTCCTCCTTTAACTCTGATTGTCTCTAACTCCAGTGAGACAGGAAGGACCAAGGGTTGCGACCATCATCCAAATAATCATAGTAATTCCACCTATTTATAGAGCACCAATTATGTATCCAGCACCTTGAACATACGGATGCTCCTTGACTTATGATGGGGCTATGTCCCGATAAAACCATCACAAATCAAAAATATCATAAATCAAAAATGCATTCAGTACCCTAATAAGCCCGTCATAATGTCAAAAAATTGCAAGCCAAACCATTGCAAGTTGGGGACTGTCTGTATATTCTATTTGATGCCAATTAAGCAGATAAAGAAACAGAAGATCAGAGAGGATAAGCAACTTGCCCAGTGTCACTCAGCTATTAACTGCTGAAGCTGGAACTTGAACCCAAGTTTGTTTAAATACAGAGCCCATATTTGTTCCCTGCTGCCTCTGTAGTAACAGTGATCAGTATATTGATAGAAAGAAGGACAAGTTATTAGAGCTGCTGGGATTAGAATGCAATTTATTCTACTACTCTTTTTATAAATGAGAATGTCCACCCTGAGAGTAACATTGTGCTACCAGTGGTGGTGTAGTTTCTGTGAATCTGTTTCCTCTCAGAATCAAGGTCCAGAGACATGCCTCTCTGTGGTCATGGGAGAGAATGAGACAAAGCAGCTCACAATGGATTTAGGGTCCCTGTCTCTTTCTCAAAGAGTCTGAAACTGATCATCTGGGTTAATAGGAACACACAGCTAAAAGCAATGATAAAGATAAGTAGGAGAGTAAAGGAAGAGAGAATGATGAGATGGCAAGTAAACAGGGGAAAGAATAGGCAGTTAGACTGGGAAATATGTGTAGGGGAATCCCACATGAATCCCTAAAAAATACCCTGTGCAGTTGGGGAGTGGTGCATGTGTGAGTGTGTGTGTGTGTGAATGTATGATATTGATTTTAGATCTATGTGTGTGTGTGTTCAATCTTTAGATTTAAATAAAGAACAGACCAAATTCAGAGTCTAACTGCCTCCTTCTCAGCAGCCACTTCATCACCCCCATGTCACATTTCCCAGCTGGAGGGCAATAATTGCATGGCCAGATCTGGCCCCATCTGGGAAACACCAGGGTCTTCCTGAATCGTCATACACCATGCTGGCTGCCAAGGCATAAGGTGACCTAAGCGAAGCTTTCACACAGGCCATGTGCACAGTCATAAAATCTCGAGAGAATGTGGCAACAGAGACAGACTTGACTTACCTGCCAAATTTCCAAAGGGAAGAAGGAACTTGCTGTGTCTGTATTTGCCCCCAGGATTGGAAAAATGTATCTCAGTCACTGGAACTGAAGAGGGGTGGCCTTTACCTTCATAGGAGAGTCACTCTTTATACAAATCCTTCTGATGGTCTGATATATGTGTGTGTCTTTATATAAATAGAGCTATATACTGACTTTGCCAGATTGCATCAGCTACCTGCTTAACATTTTACTCTGGTGCTTTCGAAACAACACTCTGAAAGTCAGAATAATATGTGGCCTCTGCAGCATTTCCCAGTTTGGCATTTTGTTTACAGAGTAAAAGAAAGCTACTCACCCTTGAGATCATCAGTGATTGAATGATACCTACTGTCATGTGTTAGAAGCCATGTCACCTTGACAGAACTCATTCACAGGAAGAAGGGCGGGGAGGAGGGTTACAACATGGTGGTGGTAATTCTTAGAGAAATCAAGCAGTGAGCTGGCCACTTGTAGTGCTTGCTGTTGCCAAGGCAGTCTTTCGTGTCTTTACTCAGTAAACACATATCAGGCATAGGGAATACAAAAACAAATAATATATGTCCCTTCCCACCAGGAATCCAGCCTTTGTCCCCAGTTCTCTCAAGGAGCCCACTGCCAAATGAGAGGTAAGCCTCTTCAGGAAGAATGCTCAGGGAGAATGAGAACACATGGACCCAGGGAGGGGAAAACACACACTGTGGCCTCTTGGGGGGCTGTGGCGGGTGGAAAGCATCAGGAAAAATAGCTGATGCATGCTGGGCTTAATATGTAGGTGATGGGTTGATCGATGCAGCAAACCACCATGGCACATGTTTACTTACATAACAAACCTGCACATCCTGCACATGTACCCCGGAACTTAAAATTTAAAAAAAAAAGAAAGAATTTTTAGGGATTACTGGTCAGTATGGTTGCCTGAGCTGTTGCAGGAAGCTCCTCCCCTGCTCAAAACACATTGTTTTTTCAAAAATTTAAATATGTTGTAGAGAGCAAAAGCAAAAATAAACATATTCTAGTGCCAGAAATGAAGAGGGAGCTCAAAGCCACAGCAGCAACTACACAGCCCACAGAAGAACCAAAGGTGGTCACATATCCTGGGCGAAGGGTTTGAATGGCAGGGTGGGAACGGGAGTGGAATCTGAGCTCCTATGGAAAGTCAGTAGTGGTAAGTGCTGGCCCATAAGTGGGGATGGGGGAAAAAACACAGTTCAGAAGTGTACTGGCCACTTTGAGCTGAGAGTAGGCAGTCACATAACCCAAAGTACATAAGACTCCAAGGTAAAACAATTCCTGCCAAATAACAGTAATTACACTAGCCAAGTGCTTAATTATGTGCCAGATGCTGTCCTAAGTGCTTGGCTTATATTATTTAGGTTGATGCAAAAGTAATTGCGGTTTTTGCCGTTGAAATTAGTGGCAAAAACTGCAATCATTTTCCACCAACCTAATAACTCATTTGTAGAACAGCCCTGATTTCCAGATACTGAAACTGAAGAACAGAGAGATTAAATAACTTACCTAAGGTCACACAGGTACTAAGTGGCAGAGCCAGAATTCAAACCCAGGTGGTATATAGCACATGAATCTGTGTTTGTATCTATGACTCAGGATGAATGCATAGCTAGAACTTACTAAGTCCGTGAGGAAATAAACCACCATAAGACCAGTGCAACCAATGGAAGAATTCATACCTTAAGAACCACAGCTAATAAGAAAATCTAAAAGGGATTTTAAAATAAGTATGCTGAAAATGTTCAAAGATTTTTTTTTTTTTTTTGAGACAGAGTATTGCTCTATCACCCAGGCTGGAGTGCAATGGTGCGATCTCAGCTCACTGCAACCTCCGCCTCCTGGGTTCAAGCGATTCTTCTGCCTCAGCCTCCTGAGTAGCTGGGATTACAGGTGCCTGCCATCATGCCCAGCTAATTTTTGTATTTTTTAGTAGAGATAGGATTTCATCATGTTGGCCAGGCTGGTCTTGAACTCCTGACCTCGGGTGATCCACCCGCCTCAGCCTCCCAAAGTGCTGGGATTACAGGCGTGAGCCACCATGCCTGGCCGAAAGAGGTTTTAAAAAGGAATAGAAACTAGAAGGCAAGAATAGAATAGTTTGAAAAATACAGGTGAATGCAAAAAAGAACCGAAATATAGGCATTGCAATGGAAAAAAGAACACTCAACAGAGGGATTAAACAACAAACTAAACACAGTTGATGAGAGAATGAGTGAACCAGAAGATAGAGCTGAGGAAATTATCCAGATGCAGAGCAGAGGAATAAAGAGATGAAAAATAAGAAAGGAAAGCTAAGCTACATGGAGGACAGAATGAGAAGTTCCAGTAAGTGTCCAGTTGGAGTTCCAGAAGGAGGGAAGAGAGAGAATGAGAAGAGGCAGTATTTGAAAGATAACAGAGGATATTTTCTGGAGTTGTGGGAAACCATGAGTCCTCTAACTTCCTGTCTTAGTATCAGCCTCTGGAGCCTGCAGGTCTGTAGCTAGTCCTCATGAGAGGAGTCAGCCTCTTAGCTCTGCCACTGCTGTGATAATAGCTCAAGAGCACCAAGTTGTTTATATAAACCAATGTTTCTCAATGTTGTTTTAAAAAAATTATCATCCCCTTCATCCCAGGAGCCTTTTTAGACGTCTTTTTTTTTTCTAATTTCTCCCCCCATTAAATTTTAATACCAAAGAGATGCTGTGTATCTGTGTATGTATTGTATGTGTACCTGTGCTTTGGGCAAGCATCCTATAGGATGTCCCCATCACCTGGAAGGAAGGGTGTTCTACTTCTTTTTGCCTCTTCCTTGGCATGGCTTTCTACTCATTCTTCAGGTGTCAGGTTAAATGCCACATCCTGAATCTCCCAGAATAGATCAGGCCGCTATGTTATATGCTCTCCTTTAAGGTACTAATGTAAAGTATAAGTAAATAATGATCTGCGTAATTACTTATTCAGCAGGGGCCATGTCTCTCTCGCGTTCTGCTGTGTCCCTGGGGCTCAGCACACTGGCGGGCAGTTGGTAGATGCTCAAATAGCTGAATAAATGAATGAGCACCATGAGTGGCATTACCTGAGCAGATGAGAGGAAAATCACAGCCCTGGGAGGAGCCTTGGAAAGCTATTTTAACTCTTCCCCAGTTTATGGGCAGAAGTATTGTGTAACTACTTCTGAAAGAGCAAAGTATGTGCTTTTCTTAAAACCACACTACAGTAGTTCCTTTTTCCTTTAAATAGTTTTCATTATTTGGAAGCAAAAGGTGGTCAGGAAGCAGTTGAGAATAGAGACAGACCTCTTTTTGAAAATACGTAAAAATAACATCTAAAATCATTTCCTATTTTAGAAGAGCCAGGGAAACTCCCAGCTTCAAAGAAACCCTGTAGTAAATTCTTTTGTTACAAGGAATAATGGACCAAATTGAGTGAAGATTCTCTTTTTACCTACTCCCCAACAAAAAAAGACAGGTTGAAATTTGTTATGGTCACAATGGTGTGCTCATACCAACTTACAAGAGACAAATTAATTTTGAGAGCTGAGTTGTTAAATTCAGCCATTATTAGAAATTAAATTATATAACCTTGCAATAAAATAAATTATATGAAAAACAAAGCTTGGCTAGGTGTGGTGGCTCATGCCTGTAATCCCAACACTTTAGGAGGCTGAGGTGGGAGGATCACTCAAGCTGAGGAGTTCCAGACCAGCCTGGGCAACATAGGGAGACCATATCTCTACAAAACATAATTTTTAAAAAATTAGCTGGGTGTGGTGCCACACACCTGTGGTCCCAGCTGAGGCAGGAGGATCGTTTGAGCCCAGGAGGTCAAGGCTGCAGTGAGCTATGATCATGCCACTGCACTCCAGCCTGGGTGACAGAATGAGACCCTGTCTCAAAAAACAAAACCAAAAAAACCCACAAAGCTAATACATATGCGAAACTCATCCCTTTCTAATTATTTGACTACACTTTGCTATTATCCATGCTCTTGAGGTTACTTATATCTTTTATATCAGTATACTGGAAATACTATATAATGTTCTGCCACTGGACATCTCTTCCCAACTCCACATTCTGTGACATCAAGTTGTGTAGCCTGAAGTTGGCCATGGTAGGACTATTTATGTCAGGGAAACTAGCAAATGCTACAAAGCAGTGCTTAATCTATTGTTGTGTTGATTGTCTTGACCAAGAGTTGAGAACTTTCCCCACAGTCTGTTTTTGTGTAGCCCACAAGCAAAGGATGATTTTTACATTTTTAAAGGGTTGTAAAAAAAATGACTATGTGGCTACAAAGCCTGAAATGCTTAGCCAGGCGCAGTGGCTCATGCCTGTAATCTCAGCACTTTGGGAAGCTGAAGCAGGTGGATTGCTCGAGCCCAGGAGTTCGAGACTAGCCTGCTCAACATGATAAAACCTCATCTCTACAAAATAATAAAAAGTATCCAGGCATAGTGGTGCACGACTGTAGTCCCAACTACTTGGGAGGCTGAGGCAGGAGAATTGCTTGAACTTGGGAGGCAGAGTTTGCAATGAGCCGAGATCATGCCACTACACTCCAGCCTTGGTGACAGAGCGAGATCCTGTCTCAAACAAACAAACAAAAAGCCTAAAATATTTACTATCTGGCTCTTTAACAAAATATGTTTGACGACCCCTGATCTAGGCTTAAGAAAGATGGAGGAAATGTTAATAGTGCAGCTGAAACTTAAAAATTGTGTTGTCTCAGTAGCTGTTACATTGTAAACAGCACAAAAAATTTGAGGAAATATCCTTCCAGTATTTAAAGATGATTATCTGATTTAGTAAAGAAGTCATTTATGTCACTATGTGAATCAGAGAAATTTTGACATGCATTTTGTTGTTTTGCTTTTGTCTTATTCATAAATGTAAACCAATGTATCAACCAATACTTATGTCAGAACCATGCTTGTTTGTTAATTGCCACCTTAGGTTGGATATGGATACAAGAGTTAGGTAAAAATCAACTAAGGCATGAGTATGAATGTTAATTAGCTGTATGAAATTTACAAGAATGAATATTGTATATTTTATTATTTTTGGATCACGTGCCACACATTTAAAATAAAGATATGTGTGTGTGTGTGTGCGCGCACGCGCGTGCACGTGTGCACACGTGCAGATTGTTAAGCATTTACCAGAACACACTGGTAAGAAGGGGCATAGGTCTGAGAGGATTCTTTGAGTCTTTGAATAGGTTCATGGTTCCTTTTCTTCAGGGGTTCTGAGCAAAGTTCCTAACCTGAAAACAAACACACATCTGAGCCATCTTAAGGCATTTGAGTTACGGCTGCAAGTTCTAACCCTCTTCATTTGATCATGGTGATGGGGGAGGCTGTCTAGTCCTTGAGGCCTTCAGCTGCCTGGGAAAGTCTTCAGGAAAAGATAACATTTCACTTTGGTGACAAATTTGTTGATTTTACAGATAACATCCACATTTTGCCATCAAGGAGCATTCAACAAGGACATTGGTTTTTATGTTTTTCTCTAAACAGTCATTAGTACAAATTAATAAATCTTTTTGTTGAGGGAACATTGGGCTATATTTCATCTTTGCTCTGCTAACAGAAAAAAAAAAAGAAAAGAAATGTGTTTCCTTGGGTTCAGGATATAAAGAACAAGAGACTTTGAAGTTATATGGACCTGGCGTGTGCCTCTAAGTCATACCAAGGACACAGGACACTGGTTATGCACATGAGCAGAGCACATGTGAATGCATCCTTGCTTTCTCTGGCAGTGGAATTTAGAAACCTCTAGAACAGAGGCTCTCAAACTTAAGGGTGCCTCAGAATCACCTGGAGGGCCTGTTAAAACACAGATGACTGGGTCCCACTCCCAGAGTTTCTTTCACTAGGTCCCTGGTGGGGGCCCCAATTTGCATTTCTAATCAGTTCCCCGGAGATGCTAATGCTGATGCTGTTGGTCTGGGAGCCACACTTTGAGAACCAGCAGTCTAGAAAGAAAGCCCCAGTTTTTTACATGCCTGGTTTTGATTATATTCTGCCTTGAGACATTTCCTACAGGGTCACTTTGACAGCTTGTGGTCATCTAAGCAAGCTGGAAGATGCCTTTCTCTCATAATTCACACAACTGCCAGGCAAAAAGCTTGGCTGCTCTGACTGCTCTGAGCCTGCACCACTTCAGCTTTGGGGAGCATCAGGTACATTCCCATCAGAAAGTCCTTTGGGGCCTGAGTTAGCATGTCAACTCCTGCAAAAGCAGAAGACACAGTGAACCTGGCTTCCTGACCTGGCTGTCCAGAAAGGGAGCCAGAGGCCCAGAAGATGCAGTGCAAGGTGATGTGCAGATGAGGACGTTGACATTTTGGCACTATTAAGCTTCAGGTTTTATCTGAGGGAAGGAGTGAAAGAGAGGTGAGAAGCACTATTTCCAAGAAGGTGGAAATGGTGGTGGAACTTCCTTTCTCCATGAGCCAGAGCAGGACCATAGAGAAGTAGAGCCAAGAGGGCTAGAGAATGCAATGCAATATCTAAAATGTCTCTACTGGGTATCTTTGGGAGATGGGGCCATAGGAGATTTTTTTCTTTCTATTTTTCTGGATTTTCTAAATTTAAAAAACTTAACTTGTACATATGCTAATTAAAAATAAAAAACTCCCCGCTATATTTCCATTTGTAAAAATGCAGCCATAACATACATAGGTAGGTGCATAAAGTGTATTAACCTTAATTGCAAGCTTTGTGATTTTGGAGTGTGTGTGTGTGTGTGTGTGTGTATGTGAGTGTGTTTGTGTGTGTGTGTGTTTGTGTGTATGTGTGTTTGTGTGTGTGTGAGTGATATAACCAGAATCTAGATCAAGATAGAGAACATTTCCAGCTTCTTAGAAGGTTCCCTCATGCCCCTGGTCATTATCCCCTAAGGGTCACCACTGAGTCACTGGCCTTTATCATCACTCATTAGTTCTGTCTATTCTTGCACTTCAGAGAAATGGCATCATACAACATGTATTTTTTGTGTGTCTGGTTTCTTTAGCTCAATCTAATGCTGATGAGATTTACCCATTTTATTGCTGATTAGAATTCCATTGTATGGACCCAGCACAATGTATTTATCCATTCTTCTGTTGATGGGCATTGAGACTATTTCTAGGTTTGGATTATAATGGGTACTTCTATTTCATTTAAAAGTTAGGATATAGCCATGGAAATGATAGATTCCCTAGTAGTAACAGCTCCCTTTGATGGAATGCCTCCTTTGTGGCAGGTATTTTACTTAGTTCTAATCTTTTTACCAACCCTGTGGGATGATGCCATTATTCCCCTGTCACAGGGGAGAAGACACAAGCTGAGAGACGACAGGTTGAGTTCTCTGTGAAGCAGATGCTCTGACAGGTGGGAGTGCAAGAGGTTTAGCGGGAAATACCTGTGAAAGAAAAGGGGAGAAAGCAGGACCAGGCAAGAGGAGCCCAGAGCATGATGCAGACCTGTCAAAGTCTGTGCCCAACAGGGAGCTCTGGAGCAAATACTGCCTTTTAGAGGAGTCTTCTGGGTGGTGGAAATGGGCCTTGTATCACCTCCTTCATCAGTCATTGGCTAGGGGCCACCTCAAGAACAGCATGACCTTGGCTCAAAAGCTGAGGCAGACCCTGAAGGAGCTAACAGCTGGAGACTGTCAAGTAACCACACTCCTTTCAGCTGGTCAACGGGTTCTTTCTTGACAGGGGATCTAAGCAGTGCATCTCTGTGTCTGCCATAGCAAGCAAACGCAGAATCGGGGACTCAAACCCAGGCTGTCTGGTATCAAAGCTCGTCTCCTTTGCACTCTGCCATTCTGCCTTCCCTAACTCAGGAAACCTTATAGTCAAGAGGTCAAGAATCTCCTGAAGGCACGAGTCAGGATCGTCAGTTGCTAGGTAGGGCCAAAGCTAGTGGGAGGTCATGTTCCCTTTCTGTCCTGGGCAGTCTGCTGCAACTGTGAGGTGCTCACTTCCCAGCAAAAGCAGGAAGGACGTGTCCAGAATAAGTCCATTGCCAACTTGCTGGGGGACTGCCCAAAGTGTGAAGCTGTGTGACCGGCAAAGAAGATGCAAGCAAGAGCATTTTTCCTTCGAGAAAAAAAAAATGAAACCAAACCTCTCTGATTTCTGAAATTCTGGGCTCTAACTATAGCTTAAACCGAGAGTGGGCAGTCTTAGGAGGGTGAACATGGGATGAACTTCCCAGCTAAGGGGAAAGGAGAAAAGACTTTTCTTAAACTCATGACGGCATGCTCAGAAAGAGGAATGGAGGTCTACACTGAAGCCTAACTTTCCAGAGAAAGGAAGGTTGGTTCTGCAAATACGTGTAACTTTTCCACATGATCTCCTTCCAGGTTGAGTCATTAGACCTAATGTTGGTGACCACCATTTCCCTGGGCAATGATCCTTTCTCTACTGAGTGGATGGAGGGATAAGAGGCTTCTGGGTGTGCTAGGCTGAGATATTGGGACTATTGTAGGCCCTCCATATCTGATCATTCTTTTCTGTCAGTTAAAAATGTTGTGGACCAGAAATAAACCCTCACGTTTATGGTCAATTTACTTTCAACAAGGGCATCAAGACAATTCAATAGGGGAAAGGATAGTCTTTTAAACAAATGGTGCTGGGACAACTGGATATCCACATGCAAAAGAATGGAACTGGACCTTTATCTTACACCATGTGCAAAAATTAAATAAAAGTATATCAAAGGTCAAAATGCAAGAGCCCAAACTATAAAGCTCTTAGAAATAAACATACGTGTAAATCTTAGATTTGACACCAAAAGCACAAGCAACCATGGAAAAAGTACATCTATTTTTTCTTTGATGAAATGGAGACTTCATGAAAATTAAAAGGCTTTCTGCTTCAAAGCACACAACCAAAAAAGTGAAGAGACCACCCATGGAATGAGAGAAAAATTTTGGAAATTACATATCTCATAAGAGACTTGTATCTAGATTACATGCAAAACACTTAAGACTCCATAAAGCAAAAAGACAAATAACCCAATTAAAAATGATCAAAGGATCTGAACAGACTGTCTTCCAAAGAAGATACATGAATGGCCAATGGAGCACATAAAAATATGCTCGACATCAATAATTAGGGTAATGCAATTCCAAGCTACAGTGAGGTACTACCTCACACCTATTAGGATGGCTGTAATAAAAAATACAATGCAAAATAACAACTGACGGTGAGAATGTGGAGAAATCAGAACCCTTATGCATTGCTGATGGGGTTGTAATATGCAGCTGCTTTGAAAAACAGTTTGGCAGTTCCTCAAAAAGTTAAACATGGACCAGGCACAGTGGCTCACACCTGTAATCCCAGCACTTTGAGAGGTCAAGGCAGTAAGATTACTTGAAGGCAGGAGTTTGAGATCCGCCTGGGCTATGCAGGGAGACCCCCATCTCTATAAAAAAAAAATTTTTTTAAATAGCTGGGTGTGGTGGTGCATGCCTGTAGTCCCAGCTACTCAGGAGGCTGAAGCAGAAGGACTCTGGAGACTAGGAGTTTGAGGCTGCAGTGAGCCAAGGCCCCACCACTGCACTCTAGCCTAAGTGACAGAACAAGACCTTGTCTCAAAAAAAAAAAAAAAGTTAACTGTGGAGTTACCCTATGATCCAGCAATTCCACTCCTAGGTACATACACATCCAGGAGAATTGAACATAGATCCACATAAACACTTGTACACGAATGTTCATAGCAGCAGTATTCTCAATAGCCATAAAGTGGAAACAACCCAAATGCCCATCAACAGACAAATGGATAAACAAAATGTGGTATAGTCATATTATTCAGCCATAAACAGGAATGAAGGACTAATGCATACTACAACATGGATGAACCTTGAAAACATGATGCTAAGTGAAAGAAGCCAGACACAAAGATCACATATACACGATTCCATTTATATGAGATATCCAGAATAGGCAAATCCATACAGACAGAAAGAGATTAGGAACTGCCAGAGGATGGAGTGGGGAGAGAATGGGAAGGACTGTTTAATGGGTACAGTTTCTTTCTGGAGTAATGACAATATTCTGGAACTAGTGATGATGGTTGCACAACTCTAAACCTAAAGTCACACATCTATGAAATGGTAGGGCTAAGATGTCAGTCCATTCAGTCTTACTCCAGCACCCACACCCAGAGTCACTCTGTCTAGAGTTGGATGCTCAGACTTATAATTCAGTATTCTGGATCCTGGGCATCATGTTCTAGTTTTATTTTTTTAAGGGATGTCTGCTTTTTTCCTCAAAAGGGCCTCTAAGGGCCCTGGGAAGGACTAGTGATGGGTCTAAATCCGGCCATAATGGCCAGCTCACACTTGTCTATAGGAATTCCACACAGGTGAAGCTTTCACACAAAGGTTTCAAGGCTGAAGACAGAAAATTCTAGGACCGGGAAAGACTTCCTTCTGGCCTCCCCAAATTTCCCTGAGATTGGGGCAGGATGGGCTAAGTGTGAACACTCCACACAAAGAGGAGCCAAGCCCTCTCCCACCCTACCCACCTCCCCCAGTGAGCAAGTACATTGTGGTCTTTAACCAAAACCAAATGAGAAGTAGTGGCTACACTGGGTGGCAACAGAGCAGGCAGGCCCAGCGAAAATGGGTCTGGCCTTTGAAAATGGCCTCCCAGAGGCTGCCTCCCAACGTGGGGCCTTCGGCATTGTTCTGGCCTTTGTGGTTCCTGGAAATCACCCACAGCAGGATCTGTTAGGCCTGAATACCCATCCACAAGGGCAGGAGGGAGAGGTGTGTGAGTTATTAGGGGTTACCTCTTTTTCTGGCCCATCCCATCTTTCCAGGATCTTCCCTATGGTCTTCCTAGTTTCATGTGGTTCAATTAAGTCCGCCCACATCTCTGGAGTGCCCACTCTGAGAATTCAGGGATGATTTGACTCACCTGCCCTCAAAGAGTTCACTTTCCAGTGGGATATATTTTGGAGCCAGAAAGCTTGGGTTCAAATCCTGATTTCATCATTCCCTAGCCGTGTGATGTTGGGCAAGTTACTTAACCTCTGAATTTCCCAGGGCCCTCATCAATAAAATCAAGATACTGATGTTAATATGTGTAAAGAAGGTAGAACAGTGACTTGCGCATTGTAAGCTGGAGATGGGTGTGAGCTCTTATTCTCTAGAGTGAGAAATGCTGTGGTTGGAGAAAACACAACACTTGGTGGGGGAGCACAGAGGAGAAGGCCAAACTCAGACAGACGGAATACAGGAAGGCTTTCCAAATGAGGTGATCCCGGAGGGGAGCCTTGCAGAATGGGTAGGAGTTAGGAGAGGGAAGCAGTGGGGAAAGAGCACTTGGGATGGGGAAAGGGGCATGAGCAGTGGTAGAGTGGCTGAGAACTGCCTGGTGTGAGCGGGATGCTGGGGCAGCTTGGTGTTTCTGGAGCTGGAGGTCCGCAGTAGCGGAAGACAAGGCTGAAGCGGGTGGTGGGCTTGGCGGTGGAGGGGCCGTACACAGCCCGGCTACTCTCCCCGAAGTCTCCTGTTTCTCCCTCTGAGTCAGGCCAGTCTGCTCTTGGCCATGGGGCTTGCCCTGGATCTCGAAAGAACCTTGGCTGGGGTTCACAGGAGGCTGCAACCATCTCCAGGAAATGCCGAGGTGATGAGGATGGCTCTGCATACGGCTAATGTAACTGTCACTCCAGTCTCCCCACCCCACCCCCACCCTGAGAAACACATTTTTGTCTCTGTCTCTGGAAAACATGTGTGCAAGCAAAGTTTGGCTGGGTGGCAGCTGAAACTTTTTTTTTTGACAACAGAAAGGCACCAACAATCTGGCTCTTGCTACCTGGGAGCTCCCAGCCCAGCCTTCTATGTTCACCTGAAAAGCCCAACACCCCTGGGTGGTCCCATGCCACCCTGGGGACTGTCCTCCATGCATCTGTTTCCTGCTGACCTTACAGCAGAAATCCAGCAGGCAAAGGGACCCAACTGCCTCATGCCTGAGGAATGCCTCCCAAGCCCCCTCCCACCTCCTGCCTCCTAGCTTCCAGAACTCAACAGCTTGCCTCTTGTGGGTCAATGTTTGCAGAAAATGTTTGCAGACTTCATATCATGCCATTTCCAGGAATAATTAGCAGTCAGGCAGTCAGTCTCTCATTCAGGTCTGGTGAACTAAAACCTCAAGAATGTGGAGCTGGGTGGGGGTGGGAATGGGAGTGGGTGAGGTTTGGGGTGCTTGCCCATCTTGCCAGCCTGCCTAGCTGGCTGAGTTCACAAGCCACTGGATCCCAGTCCCTGAGCACACCACCAAGGAACCTGCTCTGACTGGCCTCCATGGAACACAGAATGACTGGTCATTTTGTTGTCCCATGAATGCCAAGTCACAGTGTAGCCTCCAGCCCTGCCATGCAAATAAGACAAGGAGATGCCTTAGCTCATGCAACTCATACCAAGAGCAAGCAGTCACGGGCACCTTTGCCAATCATGACCCATTGCCTTGAGGATTTGGTCTCTGCAAACTCCCTTCCCCCATTCTAACCTAACAAAGACCCTGCAGGTTTCAAGTTCCCAGCCCCAATTCAACCATATGGTGAGCAGTTGGGGATCTTTCTGAGAAGGCTGTTATCTGTAACATGCTTGGGAGTTCCTTGCATTATTTTACTGAGCCAAAGCATAATGTGATTGCCTTGCTTCTTCATTTGTTAAAAAAATTTTTAACCCCATGAGGTGAAACTCCTATGACATCTTGGGTGTCAGGCCTTCAACTTTTGGCTAAGACCAAGTTTCTCTCTGTGATAGCCCAGTGTTATAAGTTTTATAAACAGACCCCTGAGTAAATGCAAAGGACTTTCTGTCCTCCTAAATCACAAACTAGATCAATAGACTGGCATGACAGAGTATTTTTAGCAAAATAATATTTAACAGAAATAAATGTAAAATGTTATAATTTGGTCCAAAAAAATCAATTGCACTAATATAAAACAGGAGAAAACTGACCTAATGGTAAAACATGTTTAAAAGTGGGGAACAGGGGGGAAGGCTTAGGAGTGTCTGTTGACAGTCAGGTCACTGTAAGTCAATGTATGATGCGACCAGTTGTATTAGTCCGTTTTCACACTGCTATAAACAACTACCTAAGACTGGGTAATTTATGAAGAAAAGGGGTTTAATTGACTCATAGTTCCACAGGCTTAACAGGAAGCATGACTGGGAGGCCTCAGGAAACGTACAGTCATGGCGGAAGGTGAAGAGGAAGCAAGCACGTCTTACCATGGTAGAACAGGAGAGAGAGAGAGAGAGAGAGAGAGCAACAGGGAAAGTGCCACACACTTTTAAACCATCAGACCTCGTGAGAACTCACTCAGTATCAGGACAACAGCAAGGGAGAAATCCACCTCGTGATCCAATCACCTCCAACTAGGACCCTCTTCCAATCTGACACGAGATTTGGACAGAGACACAAATCCAAACCATATCACCAGTGAAACAAAAAGCAAAAATTGTTGTAAGTTGCATTCATAAGAGTCTAGTCTTCGGAATAAAGGAGTTCTGCCCTGACCTCATAAATCAAGCAAAACCCTCCCAAGTCATTGGGTTACATTTTGGGCACCACAAACCCATGGGCAAAGGCATACAGAGTGATAGAGCTGGGTGGAGAAAGTTCTGTTCCTTTATTATCTATCTCCTCACTAGAATGGAAACCCCAGGAGGGCAGGGAACCCATTTGTTTCATCCACTGCTGTATCCCCAGTACAAAGTACACTGCCTGTCATATAGTATAAGCTCAATAAATGAAACTGAGAGCCTGAATAAATGAAAAAAAATCCTTTTCAGAGCCATTCAAGAGTGTGAAACCATCTCTGGTGGTGACGACCCTACTATTGGAATAGTCCAAGGAGAGGAAGTATAGCTATTTGGTGTGGGAACTGTACAGGGGATTCCAGGATCATTAGATAACCTCGCAGGGTCCCCTGACAAATTCCAAGGGCTTATCATAACATCCTTTGTGGGGAATGCAGGGGCTGACGGGGTATCTCTGGGTGGTCCCAATACCCTAGCTAGCTGTGTGCTCAGAAGTCCATGAAGCCTGAGTTCTCTTGTGTACTTCCTTGTATACTCTCTCTTGCTCTCTCTTCCCTTCTATTTTGACGTTAAGTAGTGTCTCTGGAGCATCCTGTGGTAGCTGTACTAAAATCAGGCAATACTCAGTTATCTTCCTCTTTGATGGTAATGTTGGTGCTACTAATCTAATTAGCTGCTTGGAGGTACATCCCCACTCTCTGAAGAAAAATACCCTTGATCAATATGAACCTCAATAAGAACTGATGATTCTGATGAAACAGAGCAAAGGATTCTTTCATAAGTCATAAATGTTACCCCAAAAGGGGGCTCCATTTGAAAAAAAATCCACAATATACTATTGAACAAGTTAGGGGCTGATTATTTACTATACATAAGTTGCTGCACTAACAATGCCCTGTAATAGGCAACCGGCTGGTGGGTGAGAAGATTTCAGAATGGATCTGGTGTTTTTCCTCCTTATTGAATGTACTTCTAGGCACCTCCATAAATCCTGTCATTTCAGAGACTCCTTCAGCTATATACTATTAGAGGCAAACTCAAGACTTACTGAGTACTTTGTCAAGGCTCAAACTCCTTATGTAAGTCACAAAAATATGGATTTTCCCCCTCTGTGTCTGCTTAAACTGTAATAGCCATTTTGGAGAATCCAGTAAGTGCTAACAGGGGAAAAGGTGAGAAAGAGAGAAACATCTCAGGCTTGTGAACTTGCTGAAATTAAACTGGGTGAGCCTCTGCAGGCTAAAGTATTTTTAAAATGAAAGAAAAAGAGAAAGGAAAGAAGGAAGACAGGGGAGGAGAGAAGGAAGAAGAGGAAAGAGGGAGGGAGGAGAAGGAAAGGAAAGAATGGAGGAAAGGAGAGAGGGAGGGAAGGAGGGAGGGAGGAATGGAGGAAGGGAAGAAGGAAGGAAGGAGGGAGAGAAGGAAGGAAGGAGGGAAGGGGAAGGGAAGGGAAGGAGGGAGGGAGGAAGGAAGGAAGAGACAGAAGGGAGAGAGAGGGGAGACAGGGAAAAGGGAAATTTGAGTGTATTTGTGTGACAGGATGTGAGGAAGAAAATGGCCCATCATTCTGTGGCCATTTCTTTTCAGCCTAGAAACTCTGTCATGTGAAAGTCTCATCATAGTCTCAATTTTTTTTTTTTTAATAAATGGAGAGGTTTAGTAGACCAAATGATTCCAAATGAAAAGTGGCCATAGGATGCAGAGACCACCCCAGTCCCCAAGCCCTGTGGCCTAATAAGGCTGTTTCAGATTGCTGCCTCCCTCACAGAGAGATGGAATTTGTTGATAGTGAGTGTCAAACACTGGAGAGATTTGTGGATGGTTAGGCTGACACTGTCTTTTGATCTCCATCTGTTGAGGGAGGAAAGGGGCTGGCCTTGCTTTCCAACATAACTTAATCCCAGAATGAGAGCCCAAAAAGCTTCCAACAACCTGACCTAGGTACTGCCAGCCATTTTTCAAATGTCCCTCACTTGCCTTCACTCTTCTGTTCATGAGAAGAAATGTGGCTATAATCTTGTGTGGGGCTGGGTAGGACCGTTCACACGGTCTTTATCTATCCTGCAGATGAAAGGAAAAATGTTCAACAGATGGATATTTCTAAAGCCTACCACCCTTTGCTTTTTTGAAGCTACACATCTGTTGGGTATGATCACAATTCCCTACGGAGTGAAACACAAGATGGCCTACTTGAACACCAAAATCTTGGCCCAACAGCCCACTTGGGAGCCATTTAGGATATGGCCCTTTTATGACACTTCACAAGTTGAATGGTAAAGGAAGATACCAAGGTTGCCCAAATTAGCTGATATCATGGATCTTCTTCAGAAATTCTAGATTCAGGATGACATGTTGAGGAAAAATATTCCAAGCACTGAATCTTAAAACTCATTTTCTCAGCCTTATGCCTCAAATTCTCTTGGGAATCCTGAAACAGACCTGTGGAGACACTCTTAATCTTTGCAATGCCAAGAGAGCCTCCAGCCAAAAGGTCACTCAGGAATGAAATGGAAGGGTTGGGGTAAGGGCAGGGATGTTTCTATGTCTTCAGTAGATCCAAATAAGAAAAGTTCACACAGGCAATAAAAGAAGGCCAAAGTGAGAAAGGACCCAGGACAAAATAAACCTGGTTCCTACAGCATTCAACCCATACATAACCTCAATCACATGCACTGTGACCCACAAGCATCTGTGGTGCACAGACGTAGGTAATTTAGAACTGTAGAAAACAAACATCAACAGCCTCTCAAACAGTGGTTGGCTGGGTCCTCCACTTTCCTATGGGCTATGTTGGTTTCATGTAGATGTGGCCCAAGATAGACCACACTAACTGCTTTGGTACTTCCAGGATGTGGAAGAAACTATTTTGGAGTATTCAAGGAAAACTTGAAATGGGTTCTCATTGGTTTCTCACTCCTTCCTCTTCCTGTCTTTACAGCTGGCAATACAGATCAGACCCAATCTTTCAGCAGAACAGGGAAGAAAGAACTCGGCCTAAGCTCTGCTTTCACAAAAAGAACACAGGACAGGAGTTTGGGAAGAGAAAACTCATTGAGAAAACACTCGTTCTTTATTCTCTTCAATTCTTAGCTGAGGCTCTTTGGACAAATGTAACCTTTGGGACCTCAGTTGTCCTAATCATAGTATGTGGTGAACAAGAACAGTGATCCATGTGAGGCAGGGGAGCTCAATCAGTCGTCACTTAATGCATCGAACTCTGGAGTCTAGGATCAGTGGGCTTTGTTCTGAGCCCATAGACAGCCTCATTGTCTCTGAACTCTGCTAAAGGCTGAGTTGGCTCATAATTAAGAAGAAAAAGTAAGCTATTACACCTGGGCAGAGCCTAAACCTGTCGTCAGGCCTCTTGCTCCTTTTCTGTGCTAGTATTCTAGACCAGGTAAGTCCAAGACAGAAGTTGGTGAGATTGCTTTGTCCCCCCACAGGCCTCCCCAAACATCTCTAACCACGTGACCTGGATAGAAATAAAGTGGCCTGGCCGGGCGTGGTGGCTCACGCCTGTAATCCCAGCATTTCGGGAGGCCGAGGCGGGTGGATCACCTGAGGTCGGGAGTTCAAGACCAGCCTGACCAACATGGAGAAATCCCGTCTCTGCTAAAAATACAAAATTAGCCGGGCCTGGTGGTGCATGCCTGTAATCCCAGCTACTCGGGAGGCTAAGGCAGGAGAATCGCTTGAATCCAGGAGGCAGAGTTTGTGGTGAGCCAAGTTTGTGCCATTGCACTCCAGCCCGGGCAACAAGAGCGAAACTCCATCTCAAAAAAAAAAAAAAAGAAAGTGGCCTTTTTTCCCTCCTGCCATTTATGTCCCCAAAGGATGGAGGCAGAGTTAGAACTCATGGTGTGGGCAACCAATACAGAAAATCTGAGCTCTTGAGATCCATTTTGAAGCAGAGATGAAGAGTCTGAATTCCCAGATGGACCAGGTCACAACACCATTGCTCAACCCTCTGCTGTTCTGAGCGAGGCTAGAGTAGCCCTCTTTCCGTCTCCCCAAAAGGTAGAATACGGGCTCGCAGAGGCAGGAGCAAGAGGGGAGGCTAGAACAAAGGAGTCTTTCTTTAGCAGAGTGACCTTCCATAAGTCACTTAACCCTTCCATGCCCCTTGCTGTCATGTGACTCAAGTCATAATTTATTGGTTAGAAACGTTCAGTTGCTCAATGAAAAGTAATGGAAAAAGGGTGAACTCGTACAGTCATTCTACTAAGGAAACTTTGTCTATTCAATGTTAGGTTACAGAGTGGCCTTTATTTTAATTAAAAAGCATCTGGAAATTGAAAAGCCTGTTTGGCCCGGGGCCTCATTGGAGAGTAACTGAGGCATGTCATCTGGCTGGGCCATCCCCTGGTTCTCTCAGTGGGGGCTGGCGGGAATAGGGGAGTGGAGGCTGCCTGCCGAGGCCTGGTGCACTTTTTGTGACCGGAGCAGATAAGCTCCGCCGCACATACTGCTCCCTCCGCTGACATTATGGGGGCTTCTCTTACACCTCCATCCTCAACTAGGCCAGCAGCAGCAGGCTTCGTCGCCCGTGGCTTTGCTAACTGTCTCCTGAGGGAAGAGGGTCTCCCACTTTAAGCTTGTATTGTCCCAGAGATGATAAGAGATCCCAATACCAGGATGTGTTCCTGCATTCCCTGACAACCAGTGCTGACAGCAAAAACATTTCTAGACAACTTCTTGTGACTTAACTTTTATGTAGGCAGCATACTCCCCGGCCCTGCCCTTTACAGAGCACAGAATGACTGGACAGAATGGAATGCTCATCAGATGGAAAGACGCAAAACCTATCTCATTTCTGATTGTGGCTTTAATCAGGTCCATTGTCTAGTCTGGGTCTCAGTGTCCTTATTGGAGCCAATTTTATGTATGGGTCCCAAACAGCACTGATCACAGAACTTCTTGTGCAGAGTCAGCACAGAGTAGTGGTTAAGAGGACATACTGACTGGGTTTGAATTCTGACTCTACTACTTCCTGCCTGGGTGGCCTTGGGCAAAGTTACTAAATGTCCCTGTGCCTTCGTTTCCTTGGCAGTAAAACTGTAATACTAAAATTACTATTAAAAGGATAAAATGAGTTAATATATGTAAAATACTTAGAATAGTAGCAGTAAGTGCTACATAAGTGTTTGTTACAAACTGAACTTGTTCAAAATGTAGATTTGTGGGCCCGCCCCAGGAGATTTTGATGCAGTAGGCTTGGAAGGGGCCCTGGAAATATGGATTGTTTTAAAAGCCCTCTGGGTGATTCCGACGTCCACTCGCTGGATAGTCCTTAAGCTCCTGTCCAGTTGTGCACTGGGAGAGAGGTTCATTCACTCAACAGATATTAACTGAGGGGCTACTGTGTGCCAGGCACTGTACTAGCTGCTGAGGTCATAGCAGCAAACAAGTCAGACATGAGCCCTGATTCAGGAAGCTTACCTTCTAGTAAGAAAAGACAAGTAGTAAATAAGCCACCATATAAACACATAATAAATCAAACAAATACCTGATATAATTTCAGAGAGTAATACATGCTCTGAAGAAAATAAAAGAAAACAGGGTGACAATCAGGATCCTACTTTCATGAGGGTAATCAGGGAGGCCTCCTGGAGGAGGTGACAGCCGCTGGAAAAAACCATATTACCACCTAGAGGAACAGCTGGTGCAAAGTCCTTGAGGTAGGAACAAACTGGAAGGGTTTAAGGAAAGAAGGCCAGAGTGGCTGGAACGTAGTGAGTAAGGAGAGTGGTAGGGAATGGGGCTGCAGGATAGGTGAGAGTCACATAATGGCGGCCATGGCAGAGTGTTTGGATTTTATTTTAAGTGCACTGGAAAACCATCGCAGGTTTTAAGCCCGGGGGGTGACATGTTCTGACTTATGCTTTAAAAAGTTCGATTTGGCTCTTGTGTCACAAATAGACTGAGGAGGCAAGGGTTGAAGCAGGGAGACCAGTTGGGAGGCTATCATAGTGGACCAGGCAAGAGATAACAGTGGCTAAGACTGAGGGGTAGTGATGGAGGTGATGAGAAATGGTCAAATTCTGGATATATTTTGAATATGAAGCTGAGAGGATTTTTCCAGTGGATTAGATGTGGGGGATAAGGGTAAGAGAGAAATCGGGAATGACTCCTTGAGCAAGGGGATGGATGGAGACAGTGCCTCTCCCTTTCCACAAGCTCGTCTCACTGCCTATACACTTGCCCTGCTGCTATGCCTCCTTCTCCACATCACAGCCAGGCTGATATTTTGAAAATGCAAATCAGGTCATGTCACTCCCCTCATCTGTAGACTCGGTCTAATGGTTTCTTATCACACTTGGAATAAAACCAAAGTTCTTTCCATGGCCCACAACACCCTGCGTGCTCTGGTTCCTACCAACCTCTCCAAACTCATTTCCTGCCACTCTTCTGGTCACTGTCTGTGCAACACCCACTCTGGCCTCCTTGCTTTTTCTCAAACATGTCAAGAATAATCCTTTCTAAAGACCTTTGCACTTTCTGTTCCCTCTGCCTCTAACACCTTTCCCTGACCTTCCCATGTCTGGTTCCAGTGCTTCGGTTCTCTACCTGAACATCACCTCTTCCAAGAGGATTTCCCTGAGCGCCCTATCAAAAGTAGCATACCCCATCATTTTCTATCTTCTTACCCTGTTTTCTTTTTCTCTCTAGCACTTATCACTACCTGACATTCTATATTATATAGTTATCCATTTATTGTCTATCTATCTTCTAACAGTATAATGTAATTTCCACGAGATCAAGGACTTTGCTTTGTTCCCCACTGTATCCCCAGCATCTATAACATTCCTGGTGCATAGTAGGAGTGGTGGGTTGAATGATGGCCCCTAAAAAGATACATCTGTGTCCTAACCGCAGGAACCTGTGAACATGACTTTTTTGGAAGAAGGATTTTTGCAGATGTAATTAAGGATCTCAAGATGAAGTCATTGTGGATTATATAGGTGGCCTCTAAGTCAAATGATGAGTGTCCTTATAAAAGACAGAGGAGAACCACAGGGAGAGAAGAGGAAAAGACCATGTGATGACCAATGCAGAGATCAGAGTGATGCAGCCACAAGCCAAGGAGTACCTGGAGCCAGCAGAAGTTGGAAGAGGCAAGGAAAGATTCTCCCCTAGAATCTTTGGAGGAGGCAAGGCCTTGCTGACACCTTGATTTGGGACTTCTGGCTTCCAGAACTATGAAAGAAAACATTTTCTGTAGTTTAGACCACACCAAGTTTGTGGTAGTTTGTAACAGCAGCCACAGGAAATGAATACACTAGGTGTGCAATATTGTCTAATGCAAGAATGAATGAATGAAGGCAAGAATGAGTTGGAGAAAGGGTAGGCTCAAGAATCAGGAGTTCGGTATTGTCTGAGATGCCTATAACATGTGCAAGAGGGATGTCGAGTAGGCCGTGGATATATAAGACAGGAGTGGGCTGGAGAGGTCAAGTCTAGAGCTCCACATCTGGAAGCCATCAGCCACGGGGTTGGATGATATCACCATTGGAGACAATATAGTGGAGAAGAGTGCTGAAAAGAACTCTGAGGAGCAAGCTACATTTACAGTGCTGCTCCTATTCAGCTGTGCTCTCAACATGAAGTTCTGCCACCCCACCTTACCCCTAGAGCAGACATTTGGCAATGTCTGAAGACATTTTTCGTTGTCACACAACTGAGCAAGCAGGCCAGGGATGCTGCTACACATTCTACAGTGCAATGTGTGGTAATAATTTGTAATGATCTGGCTCAAAATGTCAATAGTGCTAAAGTTGAGAAACCCTGGTGTACAGAGACTAGCTTAAGTCTCCTAGATTCATGGAGTTTGTTTTTGAATCTGTTCTATACTGCACACATTTTGTTTCTCAACTCTTATTCATAAAAGAAGCAGTAAAAAGATCAAGAGGTAGAACTGTCCACCACTAGTTTATTGTGTGACCTTCAGAGATTCACTTCCTTTTTTGGAGTTTCTGGGTCCGTTTGGTGTTGGCGGGTGAAGGTGAGCAAGAGGGTGATTGAATTAGCTGCTCTCTGAGCTTAGAGTTTATGTCTCTGTTCTTTCCGCCATGGAGTGGTATATTCCCACTTGATCAAGCCACTGAGCAGAGTTTTCAGGCAAAGAGCAGAGTGCAAACTGCTTCCTAGGCAGAGACTGAATTTTGTAGGACAGCTCCAGTTTCAAACATGCTACCACCCTGAATCTTCAGAAGGACATGGGTACTCTTGTGTCCCAATATTGCAATTTGGACATTTTTCTCCTAACACTCACAGAGCACCAACTAAGAGCCAGGCACTGTTCTAAGCATCCCTTTGTTTAATTGTCACAACGACCCTAAGAAGTAGTATCATTATTATTCCCTTTTACAGATGAGGAAACTAAGGATCAGAGGTTAAGTGACCTGGCTAAAGTCATGCAGCCAGCGCATGACAGAGCTAAGACTAAGACCCAGGTATCCCTGATGCCAGAGCACACCATCATAGCTACTCTATCACACTGGCTGTCACATCACATGCCAGCGTGCCCTGGAGCTGTTAAGCAGTGAATAGAGGGAAAAGAAGAGGGTCCTGCCTGAAATACTGGCCATTTCTTTGCCTTTGAAAGGGCTTCTGTATGAGCAAGTATTCCTAAACTAAACTGAACTAAACTAAACTGAACTAAACTAAACTAAACTAAACTAAACTAAACTAAACTAAACTAAACTAAACTAAACTAAACACCTTCCTTCCCTGATCCCTTCGTCACTTGTGTGTAGCCTCTTGAGAACATTACCCAGCTAAGGGTTTGGAAAATCAGTTCTATATGTGGTGCATTCGCTGCAATTCTAGGCTTTTCATTTGGGTGCCTTAATTAAGGCCAATATTCAAGTGTCTGTGCACTGCACTTTTAATTAGAGCAGGGCAGACATGGTAGTGCTGGGGCCATTTGAGAAGGCACTGTACTTTCTCAAGCATCCTGGCCATATCCTCTCTTCCTGAAGTCAGGAAGAATGAAGCCTAATAGATAGAAAATTGCAAAGGACCCAAGTGCCCAGAGAACAACTGCTTCATTGTACAGGTGAGTCCAGTGAATTTCAAGGGGCTAAGACTTGACCAGAATCATACCGGCAGATTGGGGGCAGAATTGCAATCAGGCTCATGTGACCAGGCCAGGAAGATTCTGCATGACCAAGGTGCTCATCAGAGAAGGGGCCTCATCTGTCTTCTCAGGGCCTAAAATTGTAATAGCTGCTCTTTTGTTAGGGCATCGTGGTTTTCACAGGGCCCCTGGGAAACTGGAAATCATTTTACCTACCCATATTAATTAGTGGCCCTTAACAGAGTTAAATGAATAAACTACAGTCCCCAAGCTGTCACATACTGTGTATGATGAGATTTAAATGAGTGGTAAACACTTTGGTCGTTAAGAGGAGGGGGTCCTCCTGGGAAGTCATCACTAAGGAAATGAGGCTGCCTTGAAGGATAATGTGAGAGAAGTGGAGATGCTATTTCAAGCAGTGGGGGATAGACTGAGCTACAGTGTAGAAGTGAAATGGCATTATATACACAGTCACGACATGCACACACACACAGATACATACATGTGCACATACACATTCCTTAATTGAAGATAACAACTATTTATTAAAAAGCTATGCTGTGCCAGGTCCTAGAGATATAGCTATTTAGGAGTCTTTGTGCAAAGGAGCACAAATTTTTAAAAAAGGTGAAATGGTAATGATGAGGATGAGGATGAAGAAGGTAAAGATGAAAAAGCATGAAAATAAATATAAGCCCCATGAAGGCAGAGATCTTTTGCTTAATTCACTGATGACTCTTGAGTGCCAAGCACACTATCTGGCACATAGTAGAAACTGAAAAAAAAATTGATTGAAAAAACATGAAGGTATCATCATCACCAACATCATTATGGTTGGAACTAGATGGTGCACCAAGACACCATGGAAAAATATTCTAATCCCAGTTTCAGACTCAGTTCCTTCTCCTTGTTGTGTATCAGTTTCCCAATTTGTGTGACAAGATGCTTTTTCTCCAGCTTTTTGTTTTAAAATGATGTTGTGTCCTCATATTGAGTCACATCAGAAGACACATTATGTAATTTTGCTCCATTGTAGGCTTATTTATTATTGTTGTTAGGGTTGTAATTTCAAAGGGGAAAAAGATAGTTTTATAGTGGAAAAATTGAGCCGATACCACCATAACCAAGAAATCAAACTAACGTAGACTTGCACCCTATAGTTTCAGCATACGTTGATGATCATTGTCTAAATCCATTATTAAGATGATGGTTGCGAAATGGTGATATTTTAATTCTATGATTCCTTCTGTATTTATGCCTTGGCATTCTTCTGGGCAAAGTAATTTTTAAGGCCCTTTCTGACTCAGATGTTCTGTGCTTCTATAATTAAACCGGATTTAGTTTGTCTGGTAGCAGGAACTTTGAAGAATAGGAACTTTGACAAATTATGCTCTTCACAGGGCAGCTGGATGGGGCAAGGAGCCCTGGCTTCTGCTCCAGCCAGGGAGACAAGCAAGCTTAGGTGTGTTCTGAGGGGCTCAAGGGGAAAGGAAGGGTCCTTTGGCCAAATGACTCCTTCTCTTTTCTTCACAGTTATTGGATCCTGGTCTTGCCATGGGTGTCTCAAGTACCTCTCTATCTGCTTTTTTTTTTTCTTTTTTGACATGGAGTCTCGCTCTGTCACCCTGGCTGGAGTGCAGTGGCACGATCTCGGCTCACTGCAACCTCCCTCCGCCTCCTGAGTTCAAGTGATTCTCCTGTCTCAGCCTCCTTAGTAGATGTAATTACAGGTGCCCACCACCACGCCCAGCTAATTTTTGTATTTTTAGTGGAGATGAGGTTTCACCATTTTGGCCAGGGTGGTCTCAAACTCCTGAATTCAGGTGATCTGCCCCCCTCGGCCTCCCAAAGTGCTGAGATTACAGGCATGAGCCACCATGCCCGGCCTCTATCTGCTCTTGACTAGAGGATGTCAGCTAATCAGATGGCCTAGGAGAAGTGCCCCTTAAAAGCCAAACTCAGTAAGTGGAGATAAAGTAAAAGAGCATATGGACTCTTCAACTGTGAAACCAAGATGTCATTTCATCCCTGTTCACTTTATAAGTGGTAGAGACAAGCCCAGGAAATATGTGCAATATTATTTTGTGTGTGATTTATTTGTTCAATTTCAATACTTTCTTCATCCTTCCCTCCATCTCCAGAATTTTCTGTGAAGTCTCAGTACACAAAGAAAAATCAAGAAGTAGATAGCTTTAAAGTTTTCATTTTCTCCTGTGATTGAAGCTGCAATTGATTGATTTGGGGTGTGTGGGTTGAGCAATAAAATGAGATTTGGCTTAATCTAGTGGGCCTTGGAATCATCTCAGGCTTTCCACGGCCATTTCTGCCTCCATCTACAGAGATCCTAGAGATGTCAGTTAGGGTATCTTTTCTCTGTTATTGTGGGCCTACTTATCTCCAACATAAACAACAAAAATAGAGAGGTGAATTCCACAAACTGGTTCAGATGGCCCTACTCAGTGAAGACTAGAAGAGACTCTGGTCTGCTCTCACTGTGTGATGGCACAAAGATCTGAGTGTCACAAATCTTTTCCATCATAGATTGCCAGGGGTTTGCAAACAGTGGCCTTGAACCATTTATCTTTCTCTGCTTCCCATCACAGGCTAATTCGGCCCAGATTGAAAACAGATGATGGGGATGGCTTTTGGTAAAGTCAGGGATGTGGTTCTTCCAGAGTGTTGTCCCTGACACTGAGCCCAAACATGGAGTGTCTATGTGGCTTGAAAAATACTGTGAAACCATCCACACTAGCATTGTGACAAGAGACTTGGAATGATGTACACTTCCATGAAAGGCTGTCTGCTTCCGGAGCTGCCACAAAGTCAATACTGGCTCTGTGCCCAACCTCACTTTGTGCCAACATCAGTCTGTGTGGGTACCATGCATAAGGCCTGAAAATTGAGCTGGGCATCTGCAATCATGTTAGACTAGGTCTGAAAGAAAAAGTTAAATTGGCATGTCCACTACAGGCAAGGTATCAGAAGTCCCTTGCACATTCTCTAGCTAGACTGGTCTGGCTTGGAACGCCCAGTCAGAAAGAGAGGGGGTGATCTTTTGTGGTCCTAATGGGAAGCTGGCCACATCAAGTGATGATCAATCTGGGACTACATTTTGGGAGGAGGGGTGAAATGGGAGAAGGAGACTGAGAATGGGACTCTTCTACAGGATGTGAAAGAGATTGGTAGGCTTACCAAAGTCTCAATCAAATTCCAAAGGAAGGGAGCCCACCTGGTGCTAAAAATTTCTCCATATAACCCTCAATAGAAAAACTACCTTTTGCATAGTTCAGCCTCTCCCCCAACTATATGAAGGCAAATGAATGTCCTTCTAAAACTCCTAGTAGAAACTCAGGAATTGGCATCATTCAGGAAGGAAGAGAGTTCTAGGGATTGAATCTTACCATCTCCTCAATATCCTGAATGTTACTGAGTGCTCTGCCACTAAAAAAAAAAAAAAAAAAAAAACACTCTAGGTTTTTATTTAGTGTCTTTTCATTTACATTTCTGCTGCCCACAAACTGAAAATCTCAGTATTTTCATACTTACATCCTCGAAAGACAGGTCATCTGTCCTAGCTACTTCCCATTGTCCTACTAAGTACAGTTTTTTTTCTTGCTAGGCCACTTCATACAAAAGTCATCCATCAGCTTGGGTCAGGTACTCATCCATAATCTAAGAAGTTACCACTTCATTCTCAAGTAATAATTTAGGGCTATTTTCTTCAGCAAGGGACTGTGCAGTTTCCCTTAGAAGGAAATGGTAGAAATGGTAGTCTCCATGATTGACATGACTGGTCTAGGATTTCTGCCAGCATAATGGCTGGAGGGGGGAGATAATTAGAGCCTTATTGGACAGCCCTTGCATTAAAATGTGGACATGGTCATCTATTTCAGCTACGCCTAAAGCTGGCCCTAGGCATATCCCTCAAATCCCATAAAGTGTACACAAGGTTATCCCTGACTTGGACTATGCAGAAGAAAGACAGTCTTATCCCGATTTTCTCTATTCATGGCAAAAGGTGGTAAAGGAGAATAAATGGCTTTTCCCTGTCTTGGGAGACTGACTAGCTGCTCCAGAGGGCCTCAGCAGAGCAGCTGTCAGTCTCTACAGAGGAGTAGCTTTAGCCCTGCTGAGTGAGTGGCTGTGTGTCATGTTCCCTTCCTGAGGAACATGCTCCAACTTGTGTCCCCTGCTATATTTGAGTTGTTGAAAGTGGATCAAACAGGAACTAGACATCTGCAGCATTAGGTAGCAACACAAGATCATAACTTTTACTGGGCTGAGGCTTGCAGTGAAACAAGAGCTGAGCCTAGCACCAGATACATAGGAATCCCTTCTCAAATTCCTCATCCCAATGCCACAGTTCTACTGCTTAGGTTAGCTCCAAAAATAGTGCCCACACTGGGTCACAGTCTGTTGAATAAGGGGAGGTAAAACATGGAAATATATGGAATACAGCAGGCTGGACAAAATGGCGTCCCTTTTTTTTTTTTTTTTTTTTTTTTTGGTTAGTACTTAGGAAATAGTGCTCACTTCATGTGAATGGAAAAAATGGTAACCAGAATCTAATGCCTCATGGAAGAACAGGTTAAGAGCTCCTCAGAGAAGCTCAAGCTTGGGTTTAAAAGCCAATTTTCTAAGAAACGCAAGGCTTAAAAGGCTATTCAAGTCGGGGACTCTATGTACATCTTCTTTAAAAAGGAAAATTCAATATTTTGTGCATTTGCTCTTGTCGGGGAGCAGGAACTAGGCAACAATAGCTTTTTCACACCCTAAAAGCTTGTGTTCCCTTATTGGGGCTTGTGTAACTGATATTTTTTCTTGTCCAGTATCTAAGGAGTCATTTTGAGACAGACATCTGCTCAGCAATCCGAAAGCCCCAGACAGAAGACAGAGACATTCATTTTCGTTTACTCACAGTGCAGAGGCCAGGGAGGATTGATTTTGTGGCACTGTTCCATCCTGGCCTGGATTGCAACTGATCTGGGGAGAACAATCTAGGATGACACTTAGGCACTATCCACACAGCCTTGGATTATCAAGTGAGGCCGAAAAGCCAATGAAGGAATACTTTAGAACCTGACACACACGTAAGCCAAGAAGTCCTTAATCGGATGTCGGCTATTGATGGAGTCACCTTGTGGTGGGGTGGAAGAGTACTCATCCAGGAATCAGGAAATCTGGGTTCTAGCCCATAACTAAGTCACTGCATGACTTTAAGAAAATCCGTCTCCTTCTCTAGGCCTCTCTGTTCCCCATCCATGCAACTAAGTGTGAGAAGAGATGCGTTTGGAATTCTCTTTCAGTTCTGTCATTCTATGGTTTGAAGATGGGAAAGTTGGTGATCAAGAGTATCTCTTGCAGGGTATAATGACAAACCCAGGGTATACTAAAGAGGGCAGAATTGCTGGTTTGACTCTTCTGTGGGATAGTTTCATGAAAAGTAAATAAACAAAGAAAATATGTTTCCCTGGCTAGAAACCCTCCTTCATCTCAGCTAGCCATCTTGTTTGGTACGGGCAATACTAGGTGAGAGAGTGTGACGTGCTCAGTCTGAGTCTTGTCCACCAATGGAAAAACCCCTTGAAACCCAGTCCTGCTTAGGGTAGGTCAGCAGTGATTAGCTTTGTTAAGGCAGGACAGCACTTATGTTATTGTAACTTTTTAAAGATCCTCCTTCAACCTCTTGTGAATCATAGCAGAAGGCAATGGGTCTTAGTTTAAGTCTCTGCATTGGCCACCTGTACAGACTGCCATGTGTTCAGGGCCAGCGCCGAGGCTTGATAAATTTGGGAAGAAGCCCAGGCTTCTCTTGGTTGCTCCCTTCTAGAGCCCCAATTTCTGCTTGTCTCTTGTCCTGTTTCTTCTTCCAATATGACAAAGAATCATGGTTCTTAGCCTTCATCTTGGAAACCAATGGGATGAATTAATCCCGACACAGAATTGGGTGGTAATGCAAGAAGAGATGATAGTCTACTCTTTCAAGAGACTTGCAATCTAACAAGGGGTAAATGCAAATCATAAAGCTTCTCATTGCCCCTCAAATCCTGTGCCACTCTTAAGATCAATGTTTTAGTGGAAAGATATTATGAAAGGGATATTAGCATCATGGCTCTGTCACAGATCAGTCATGGCAGGGCTAGATAGAATCAAAGTGCAAATTCAAAATCATTGGAAATGCCCAAGAAAAAAATGTGTGTTACAATTTCTTAATTCAAAAGCATCTAAAGAGTAACTGTAAACTTCCTGCCAAAACAAAACTCTCCCCTTGCCCATGTTAAGGGTAGAAAACATCTTTCTAGTTTCCTTTAGGCCAAGCTTGTCCAACTCACAGTTCGTGGGCCACATGTGGCCCAGGATGGCTTTGAATGGGGCCCAACACAATTTGTAAACTTTTTTAAAACCTTACGAGTTTTTGTGTGTGTGATTTTTTTTAAGCTCATCAGCTATCATTAGCGTTAGTGTATTTTATATGTGGCTCAAGACAATTTTTCCTCTTTCAATGTGGCCCAGGGAAGCCAAAAGATTGGACACCCCTGCTTTAGGCCATCAGTGGAGTCTGCCTTAGGGGGCAGATGTAAGGGCCTCTAGGAACTTCACTGCTCAAAAAAATGATGTGAGAGTCTGCTGGTTGCTAGGGTTGATCTGGGTGCTTTTGGCTAGCTAGGTTATACCCCTGTCTTTCCTATCACTTTATGATGAAGGTTGATGTGGTGGAAAGAGTGCCAGACTCGGGTTTGTGCCTTAGTGGAATCTACTTAACCTCTTTAAACGTCACTTTTCTAATCTGTACAATGAAGGGAATAATAGTACTTACCTCATAAGTTTGTTTTAGGACTGAGATAACATATATATATATATATATATATATATATATATATATATATATATATATATATAGCACCTAGCACAACGTCTGACACATTGTCAATTCTCAATACACAATCGTTATTATGAGTCTTAGTGACGCCTCACAGTGGGGACCTGGAGCTGTGCTAGCTCTGGGAACTTAGAGCCTGTAGACTATCAAAAGTGCTGTGAGAAGAGAGAAGACAGGAAGAATGGTGGAAGGGCTAAAAGAGAAACTTCACAAGTTTTCCTGATGACCGGCTCAGACTCCAAGAAAGAATTAAAAGAAAAGGCTCCCACAGTCCTTCTCTCTGTAAAAATGTCCAGAACCTCTGTGAAACCTGCTGTTTTCGCCAATTCAGACAGTTTATTGTAGTTTGACTCATAGAAATCAGAGATGAATTTTTTGGGTTAGCAAGTCCAAGAGTTTTGTCAGTTATGCTTAAGGAGGTATAGCCTTTCATTCACTGAGCAAGTATGTAACAGACAACAGAGCAAATATTGTCCACTCTCCCGTTCTCACTTTGTCAAATTATGTGGTATTACATGATGTCCTGATATGAATCATTCAGGCAGCTGCCATCCTGCATTAATTGCAGAAGAGCTGGATTCCATACAAGGTGTTCCCAAAGGTTCATTACTAAATACTCATCCAGCAGTTCTTTGAAAGGTTGTATTGGGTGACAAGGACACTAAATCCTTCTATGCATTAAAGCTCCAAGAAAAGACAACTGGAAATTACACCATGGTTTTTCTCTTTTTTCTTTCCAGAAGAGAAAATTTATAATTACTCACTTGGGCCAATCCCCACCCTTTCCTTGATGTTTTCTGGCTTTTAAGGCATTTAAATGCTTGTTCTCTTGCGTTCAAAGTCTTACACCACAATTTCTTTATGAAAACAATATGTCTTTCAAATTAATGCTAAACAAAAATGAATATGTCACTAGAACACCATCCTTGTGTAAAGTATCCATATTTAAAATGAGAGTTTAACGGCCTCTTTCCTGTAACCCAAGGGCCAATCTCATATTTCAAGCTGCTTGGAAACTACCTTTACTTGGATGTTTCTTTACCACCTCCAACTCTTTATGTCCAAAACCAAATGTTTCACCTTTGCCCCACATTATTTCTTCTTCCTTTGTTTTTCATTTCAGTTAAGGGCACTACTATGACTCTATCGTCCAGGCTTAAGAATCTTGAATCTGTCCTTTCATGAATGACTAAGTTCTGGCTGTTCTGCCTTTGACTTGCCTTTGAATGAGTCACTGATTTACCTTTGCCTCTTTATTCTTATTCCCACCATCCCAGTTCTGGTCCCTGTCATACCATGGCTGGATTCCTAGAAGAGCCCACTCACTGGTCTGGTTTCATTATATGCATCCTGTTGGTCACTGCTAGATTAACCTTTCTACAAGCCTGCTTTCACCATGTCACGCCTGTGCTCAAAATTCTACAAGGGCTGCCTATTGTTTACTATATCAAGTCCAAATTAATGTATTGTTCGAGAGGCTTCTATTACTTCAAAACATAACTGCTCCAGTTAGGGTTCCATTTTCACTATCTCCATACAAACCAGAAACCAAATTCATTTTTGCTGATAGAGTTTTGTGTTCATGCCCGTTTTCATCTCCTCTGACTTACAAATCCTTCCATCTTTAAGGGCCTTCATCAAGTCCTACTTCCTCCATCAAGCCCTCCCCAACTTCTCTAGCACCCACGGGTGTCTCCTGTGTCTGTTGCCGACACCGTGATATTTGAGCAATGAATCAGATGATATAAATTTGAAAATACTGACAGAGTTGGGAGACCTGGATATCAGTACTGGCCCTGCCACTGACTCAATGTGTGATGTTGGGCAAGTCCCTGCCCTTCTCTGAGCCTTGGTGCCCTCCTAAGTAAAATGAGGGAGTCAAACTACAATCATTTCTCAAACACCAGTCACTTGCACAGCACTTTCCTGATTGCCATATCTGCAGTCCGTCTCTACTTTTACCAACTTTAAACTTCTCTATCTTGCTTTTTAAAGTACATTTTATTGTGGTAAAATATACATAACATAAAATTTACCATTTTAAACATTTTAAGTGTACAATTCAGTGGCATTTGGTACATCACAATGTTGTGCAACCATCACCACCATCTATCTCCAGAACTCTTTTTATTTTCCCCAACTGAAACTCTGTCTTCATAAACACTAACTCCCCATTTCTCCCTCCCTGCAGCCCCTGACAACCACCACTCTACTGTCTCTATAAATTTGACTACTCTAGGTATCTCATATGAGTGAGATCCTTCAGTATTTTGTGTCTGGTATATTTCACTTAGCATAATGTCCTCAAGGTTCATCCATGTTGTAGCATGTGTCAGAATTAAATACACTTTTAATGAAAGAAAAGTATCATATCTGGGAAATCATAGTTTTGTGGAATGGTTATGGTCTTTCTAATACACACTAAAATAAACATATAATTAAAATATGAAGTTTGTGTGTTCCCAGTCCCAAGAGTACTGTGCCTCCCACTCTTCCAGAAACACCTGACTTGTTCACATATATGAGAAGATATGGATCACTGGGGCAGTGGTTTTCAAACATGGCTGATTATTAGAATCCCTCAGGTGGCTTTGAGAAAATACCAAGACAATATCCCAGACCTGCTGAGTCAGAATCTCTGGGGATGACCTGGAAGTCTCTGTGTTAACAAGCTCCTGAGGTATTTTTGGTGATCAACCAGGTTTGGAAGTCACTGTTCCATGGCTGACTTGAAGACAGGGCTCCAGGTCTACACCTTTTTTATATTTCCAATAGTGCAGGGCACAGAGGTCACACTCAAAAATATCATATTGATGGCTCATACCTGTAATCCCAGCACTTTGGGAGGCTGAGGCGGGTGGATCACGAGGTCAGGAGATCCGAAACCATCCTGGCTAACATGGTGAAACCCCGTCTCTACTAAAAATACAAAAAATTAGCTGGGCATGGTGGCAATGGTGGCACACACCTTTAGTCCCAGCTATTCAGGAGGCTGAGGGAGGAGACTTGCTTGAATCCGGGAGGCGGAGATTGCAGTGAGCCGAAATCGCGCCACTGCACTCCAGCCTGGGCGACAGAGCAAGATTCCGTCTCAAAAAAAAAAAAAAAAAAAAAAAAAAAAAAAAAAATATATATATATATATATATATATATATATATATATATATATATATGTATATATCATATTGACTGATATATTGAGAATCTCCAGAAATAGAAAGGAGACAAGACTTTAACTTCTTTCTTTTGAGCAGTGTTTCTTTTTTCTTTTTTTTTTTTTCACAAGTTCCTCTGTAAAATGGGGGTAATACCACCTACCTTACAGGGCTGCTGTGACTCAAATCTGATACATGTGGAGAAGCTATGGCTGTTACTATAAAAATTTCTTGTACATATCCTCTGAGGCCAGCATCATGCCAGGAGTTGTGGAAGAGTGGCAAGAAGTTTAAAACATGATTCCTGCTCTCACAGAGCTCAGGATCTGTTCGAGGAAACCAAACCAACCCAGATGGAACAAATGAGGAGCAATGACTTCCGAGCAGGGCAGGAATTCAAGCCAGGTGTGCTCTGGGCAAGCTTCATGGGTAAGACTTGAGCTGAGCCTTGAAGGAAAAATAAGATTTGGAGAGAGAAGCAGGAGAGGCCAGAATATTCCAAGAGAAAGGAACGGCATCAGACGTGGCTGAGGCGGTTACCCATGTGGTATATTTGAGTTGGCCCAATAAGGCTTGTCTCATCACACAACATGCCGAAATAACTCTGGAAATTTGACTGTTTAGAATTCTGTTCCTTAGGACGGCCCTTCTGGAAATGTAAACACACCTGGCTAGTTCGTGTATGACCTCACTTACACCTTAGTGTGCATTAGTTAAATAAGAATGCGTTCTCTCTAGCAGCTAGATGAGATGGGGGGCACTGAGGGATGAGACTCTGATTGGTAGAGGCCTAAGAAGGGGTCATTTTGAGCCATGGAAACAGTTTCTTCTGGGAATTCAGAAAACAGCCTGGGAGCCTGGAGAAGGTGGCAAGTGGGAGAGTTCTGAATTGTCAGCAACGACATCACTTTGAACATGAGCAAGGGACAAGTCCTAACCAGAATCCATTTCAAGCAGCTTCTTTTGTTGATGTGCTTGGAGGCTTTTGCAAACCAGGATAACATGCAGATGTATATTAGAAAAGCTTTGCACTTCCACATTGGACAAATGAAGATTTGTCACAGATGGGTTATTTCATTTGATGAGCATTTGGGAAGACGGATGGTGACAGGCATGGAGTTGTGGTTCTTCTGAACCAGGGTGTAATAGGCTCTTTCCATTCATTACATACCCAGGCTATCCTTCCCAGTCCCTTCAAAGTTTAACTACTTGGTCTTGACCTCAGGTTAGAAAAAAAGTTTCCTTTGCAAAGACTGTCCTTTTCCCCCCTAGAGACTGCTGCTCTCAGCAGAGCCTGTTTCTTGAATAGCTGTGATTAAAGATAGAGGCTGTTTCTCTTCCTTCTCTGGGCTCTGAGGAAGCTGGTCTTCCCCACAGGGCTGCATTTGGGGCATCTCCTTCTGGACAGTCCTCCATTTCCTGCATTTCCTGGTAAGGACACTAGTTAGCCCAGCCAGCCAGCCAGCCAGCCTTTGTTTGGCTTGGCAGATTCCTGGTTAACAAATGTCTTTAGGCAAAGACATTTAGGAAAATGTTCAAAAAACTTGATTCTGGGGCTTCAGGAATGAGCCTATGACCTATAACCCTGTCCACCTTTCGTTTTACTACATTCCTCACAGAGCCAGTACTCATCCTGTCTAAGGGACACGTTGCTTTTGGTGCTCCAATTAGGCATGCCCATAATCAATCATTGAGTTAACTCATAAATTATTCCTTCAGAGTCCACAATGTGCTAAACTCTGTGTGGCAGACAGAGGAAGTGAAAGGCAGGACCCTATCTTTGGAGAAAAATATTTCTCTCTCTCTCCCCCCACACGCACAACTCAGAGAAAACATTTAGCCTTGAGATAAGGTGGTAGATTAAGGGCAAAATTATTAGGGGGAAGGGGAGCAATCGGTGTCAACAATGTTTGGAAAAGGAAGAGTGAGATGCAGTAGGGGGAAGTGGCTGTAAGCTGGATTTGACAGATGAGCTGAATTTGAAAGTATACTAACTGTTTTATCATCCCATCACCCTTGAGTAAAAAATCTCAAACAATTCTTCACTGCTTCCAGCACCACATCCTGGCATTCAAGGCCTTCAATCACATGGCCCTGGCTTCCTCCTCCAACAGCATATTTTATTATTCCCTTCCACAGGCTTTACTGCCCACCCCCATGTATTTCAGGTCTCTAGACATCCTGACTCATCCATGTCTTGGCTTTCTCCCTGCTTCCACCATCACTCCCTTCCTGCCTCCAGCTCTCCAGTATTACCCATATCTCACCAAGTTCAAAAGTGATCTCACCCATGAACCCCTCCCTGCCAATACACTACTCAGTTATGTACGTTATAACACATAAGGCATGTCTCTTTCATTTGACACATCACATATAAACCACTTGCTGTAATAGTTAATATTGAGGCTTTTATGCTACCAGGCATTAGACTAAGCATTTTGCAAATATCACTGCATTTAATCCACAGAACAATCCTGCAAGGAAGATGCAATTATTATCCTTATTTTATTAGTGAGGAAATGAAGGCTCAGAGGGTTCACTGGGCCAACGTCATACAGTCAGTAAGTGGTGAAGCTCGCCTTCGCATAGCTTCTCCTGTCTTGTTACGTGGGTATGGAGAGGCACATCACAAGTACACCATTCTTATATGAGTTGGCTGATATACAGAAGAAATTGAGAGAGAGAGAGAGAGAGACAGAGAGCAAGATCATGTAAGCAATTGAAAATTATGTGGGCAATCCTAACTATTATTCTACTCAACAAGTTTTGCCCTGGAGTTAAATTGAGTTGAGAGACGTGAATCTGATGTTCCTTCAGATGGTGTCAGTTCCTGTGGGTTTCTCATGGTGAGATTCTCATGCTTAAATATGTGCGCTTTAAAAAATTCAACACAGCCTCTAAGTGCAAGCCAATTGGCTTGGTTCTCAATTAAAGAAAAAGTGATCTGGTACAAGGTTGTAGGGGAAAAAAAACAACTGTGTTTGACTTATTGAAAAATGGTATGTCTGTCTCTAATATTGAACCTCTCAAAGGAATTTTCGAGGTGCGTTTTGTCTATAAATGATTTTTTTTTCTCATCAAGAATCTAACCCCTTATAAGACAGGACTTTGCCATATGGGTCTTGTTTCCTCAACTGGTGTGAAAACTCTGTGTGAGTAGAGCCTGTGTCTAAACTTCTTTGTATCCCTGCCCCTAACAGTGCCTAGGAAAGTAACTTGAAACTAATAGGGGCTCAACAAGTCAATATCAAAAATTATTCATTAGACATGTTAATTTTTTTCAGCAAGTTTAAGGTTCCTAAGATACCCTCCAAGCTCCCTAGAAGATGGAAGGGAAGATTTGTGCAATAGCTTATATCCTATGACCTGTTGGCATCCTCTGTGCTATTTCTAGAAATGGAATCTGTCTGTTCCCATCCCTAGCTGGATCAGCTGAGCACCTGGCAATTTCCTATTGATGCCTGTTCAGCTGTCACCTTCAAACTCCTGGTTCTGTTTGCTCAATGCATCTCCTTGAGCAGGCCTGACTATTTTGGGTGTAAGCTACAGCTGTCAGCGTTTCAGGCATACCTCACGTATTTCTAGAATTAGTCGGAAATATTTGAAGCTTGAAAAAGTAACTATAATGTTCTGAGTACGAAGGAAATATTTAGGCAAGTATCAACTGGCAGCATATAATGCCAGCTAAGAAGAATCAAGTCTCTGGTGATAAAGGGAGATGAGAACAACATAGCCAACCCATCTTGGGTTACTTGCATTTTAGTACCACAGGGTGAGTTACCAAACTATTTATATCATTTTTATTAGCATACGATTGAGGAATTGACCAAATGTGAGATTGTTTGCTATAAATCTGAAATGACAGACTGACTGAATACATTTGCTTTGTCCTATTAGAGATCATCATAATTCCTCAACTAAAAAAGTCATTCTGGCTATACATACATCCTAAGGATGTTTTGAAAGTCAGGTTGTACCTCTTGACCTCATTCTTTTTAATGTTTGATAATCATTTCTGTACTCCAGTCTGATAGGATACAATACTGACCTGGAGCAATTACACTGTGACTCTGTACCAAATTATTAAGATATGATTAGTTCTCTTGGAGTCAGGCCCAGGAAAAGTAGAGAATAAATTTTGTGGAATGGCAAGGCCCCAATGCAAGAGATATAGGTGATAGAGAATTCTTCAGATTCCAAGATCCAGTTAAATTTGGTGATTTAATAGAGGCCAGGTCAATCATTTTTTCTTTTACATCTAATGCTTATTTTGGATGCCTTTATTTGGCTGTGCTGGGGGGGATATCAAATCCCTCTTCAATTTTGCCTTTTAATAAATTACCTTTTATAATATGTAATGGCAGAAACAAAAACTAAAATAACCAGAAAGCTCTCTAGCATTGAGACCCTCCAGATACAAGCTGTTAGTGGAACTAAAGGCTGTGGAAATGGAGGAAGTGATTGTGGTGCCTACAAGACAAAGACCAGGAACTCAAACTTTCAAAGGACCCATTACCTTCACTTTCTGTCTGTATCTACAGACTGCTTTCCAGATGATACTGATGCAGGTAGAATAAAGACTACACTGTGAAAAACACTTCTTTAGAGGCTAAGCCCAGTCATGACCATGGAGGAAAGTAAAACCTTAATGCTTGTCACCTTTAGAATCTTTTAAAAATTTACTTTTCATGGGAATATGTACCTTTGTGATCATTCTAATCCTGTTTCCTTACAGCCAATAAATTATTGATAAAAGTTTGCTGAATTAGATCATGTGCTGGAAAACTTGAAAACTTAAATTTTCAGCCCTAGCACTGATTCGCAGTCTAACCTTGACTTAATCAGTTAGTTATTTTCCCCTTTTGTAAACTGAAAGGCCATCTAAGAAACATCTGGTAAGTTTTAGATGAAAAGCACTGAGAAAACCCTTGTATCACAAGAGGGATTTTTTTTCTCCATCTAGGATTGCCAGATTTAGAAAAAAAAAAGACATCCAGTTAAATTTTAATTTCAGATAAACAATGACTTTTTTTGGTATAAGTATGTCCCATGCAATATTTGGGATATACTTATACAAAAAAAATCCATTGGTTATCCAAAATTCAGATTTAACTGGCTTTCCTGTATTTTATCTGGCAACTCTATCTACCACCACCCTTTTCCTGGAGCCTGCACTTTCCAAGACTTGGGCAATAGCAGAGGGACTTTTGTAACTCAAGGCCAGGAAGGAAATGAGCACTCATTTTGCATGGTACAGTACAGGAGAAATGCTAGCAGGAGACTAACCTCCCATACTGGAGAAATCTAAGTCTTTTCTGTTGATGGGGAGTGGGTGGGTAATGAGGGGGAGTGGAGGGGAGGATAGAGAGAGATTAGGCAAACACATACGTGGAATCCCAAAGAATATCCAATCAATTATTCAAAAAACATAATCCAACTTGTTTTTCTTACAGCCTCAGAGAAAAATAGAAAACCAGGGACTTCTTCATACAGAAGACTGCCTTCATTTTCCACTGCAACCACCAAAGGGAATTAGGCATTTCTATACCAAACAGCACAATCTGGGAGTCGTAGCTTGGCTCCTTTATTAACTCCTGTATCAATACACAACTGAGAATCAAGAATTTAGATTGCAAAATTTACTGTGCTCTAAGTGTTCCACAGGCTCTTCTCCCCAAGGTCAGGCTTGCAAGCGGCCCTCAGCTTCTTGTTCTATGTTGTTCTGCTTTGAAAATGTCTGTTTGGCCGGGCGCGGTGGCTCACGCCTGTAATCCCAGCACTTTGGGAGGCCGAGGCGGGAGGATCACGAGGTCAGGAGATCGAGACCATCCTGGCTAACTCTGTGAAAACCCATCTCTACTAAAAATAGAAAAAAAAAATTAGCCGGGCGGGGTGGCGGGCGCCTGTAGTCCCAACCACTCGGGAGGCTGACACAGGAAGAATGGCGTGAACCCGGGAGGCGGAGCTTGCAGGGAGCCGAGATCGCGCCACTGCACTCCAGCCTGGGCAACAGAGCGAGACTCCATCTCAAAAAAAAAAAAAGGAAAGAAAGAAAGAAAGAAAATCTCAGCTCAACTTTCTTCCAAGGCACAAGTCTTTCTTTCTCACAGTTGCTGTTGACCTTCACTCCTAGTTCACCTTTTCTGCCTCCAGCTCTCCAAGAGACAACATATCTCCCTGTTATCATTCTGATATACCTGCCTAAATATGGATTTTCAGTAGCAAAGCAATTGCTTTGCTCTGAATTCAGCCAAATAGGGGTACTTGGAAGTCATAGGTAACTGATAAAGGTGAGGATGGTTTCAAAAATTAAAAGAATGTTCTTCCTGATAAAAAGAATGTATGGTCATTGTAAAAAAAAAATCTAACACAATACAAAAGAAAGGAAAATAGAAGACCTTTTATCACAGGACCTAGAGATAACCACTCTTAATATTTTGGTTAAAGTTTTATATTCATTCATTCGTTCATTCATTCATTTATTCATTCCTTCAACAAATATTCATCTGTGTCTACTGGATACTTAACACTGTTTTAGGCTCAAGGGATACATCTATAAACAAAGTGGAAAAACAAAACACTAGCTGGGCACAGTGGCTCACACCTATAATCCCAGCAGTTTAGGAGGCCAAGGAGGGAGGATGACTTGAGGTCAGGAGTTCGAGACCAGCCTGGCCAACATGGTGAAACCCCATCTCTACTAAAAATACAAAAATTAGCTGGGCATAGTGGCGCGTGCCTGTAGTCCCAGTTACTTGGGAGGCTGAGACAGGAGAATTGCTTGAACCGGGGCAGCAGAGGTTGCAGTGAGCAGAGATTGCACCACTGCACTCCAGCCTGGGCGACAGAGTGAGACTCTATCTAAAAAAAGAAAAAACAAAAAAACAAAAACTACCATCATGACCCTATTTACATACATGCTCTGACACATACACACATATAATTTTACACTGATGTCTTCATACTATATAGGCTACTTTGTAATCTGCTCTTGCATGTAAGAATGTATTATGGACTTATTTATATGTCAATAAATATTGATTGGTATCATCGTTTTAATGTTTGCCTAGCATATTCTGTTATAAATATATATATATGCATGCCATGATTTAACTATCTCTCTATAGACATTTATTTCCAATTTTTACTATTATAAAAATACTGTGGGCCAGGTGCAGTGGCTCACACCTGTAATCCCTGCATTTTGGGAGGCTGAGGTGGGTGGATCACCTGAGGTCAGGAGTTTGAGACCAGCTTAGCCAAAATGATGAAACCTTGTCTCTACTAAAAATACCAAAAATTAGCCGGGTGTGGTGGCGCACACCTGTAATCCTAGCTACTCAGGAGGCTGAGGCAGGAGAATCTCTTGAACCTTGGAGGGGGAGGTTGCAGTGAGCCGAGATAGTGCCACTGCACTCCAGCGTGGGCAACAAGAGCAAAAACTCCGTCTCAAAAAAGAAAAAAATACTGTGATGAATACACTTCTGCATTTATATCTTTACATGCTTGTCCAGTCATCTTATTAGGATAAATTGCTGGTTCTATCCTATCTTGCTTGCTGTTTCTTCTCAGTCTCTTTTGCTATCTTCCCCTTCTGTGCTTGATCTCTCCATGTTAAAGTATTCCAAGGCTAAGTCCTTAGCCTTCTTTTCTAGTGTCATTACACCCTAGATGATCTCATACAATTCTATGACTTGAGTCATTATCTATATGCTGATGACTACTAAATTGATATTTACAATCTTGACATCTCCCCTTGAGCTCTGGACTCACATATCCAACTGTCTTCTTAAAATATCTGCTTGGATAGCTGCTACAGAATTTCAAATATAATGTGACCAGAAGAGAACCCTTAATTCTGCCCCTAAAATATATTCCCATGCTGGTCTTCCATAATTCAGAAAATGGCATCACCATCCACCCACTTAGGCCCAAAATAAGGCACCAACCCGGTTTCTCCTCTTTTCCTTACCCTCAGCCTCCATATATTGAATCTATCAAGTCTTTTCAAGTCTACCTCCAAAATATACTTCAAATCTCTACCTTTTTGTCTACATTTACTATGATATTCACTTACTGTCATCTTAATCCAAGCCACTTCAATCTCTCATCCAGGCTACAACATTGGCCTCTGATATGGTTTGAATGGTTTTTGTCCCCTCCAAAATTCGTGCAGGAACTTAATCCCCAATCCAACAGTATTAAGAGGTGTGGCCTTTAGGAGGTGATTGAGTCATGAGGAGTCTTCCTTCATGAATGGGATTAAATACTTTCAAAAAAGGGCTCGATAGAGGGAGTTTGTCCCTTATTGCCTCCTCTGCCCTTCTGCCTAATGAGGACACAGCATTCCTCCCCTCCAGAGGATGCAGCAATAAGGCACCATCTTGGAAGTGGAAAAAAGGCCTTCACAGACACCAAGCCTGCCAGTGCCTTGATCTTGGACTTCCCAGTCTCCAGAACTGTGAGAATAAATGCCTATTGTTAAAAAGTAACTACGTGAGATGATGGATATGTTAATCTGCTTCATCACAATAACCATTTTACTATCTATATGTGTCCCATACATCATGCTGTAAACCTCAGATGTACACAATAAAATTTATTTTTTAAAATTTCTGTTGTTGGTTAATTACCCAGTCTGCAGTACATTGTTATAGCAGTGCAAACTGACTAAGACAGCTTCTTAACTGGTCTTTTGGCTTCACCTGTTGCCCTTCTAGAGTCCTGACCCTACACATTAGCCAACGTTATCTTTTAAAAAGTATAAATCAGTTCTTGTTATCCCCATCCTGAAATCCCTTGATTTCAAATCACACTCAAGATCAAATAAAAAATCATTACAAGTCTACAAACCCCCTGTTTCTTCTAGCCCTGGTGTAACTAATCTACCCCATCTCATGTACACTCTCTTCTGCTAATGAAACACCAGTCACAGAGTCCTTTCTATTTCTTCAGCACAGTAAGCTCATTCCTGCCTCAGACCAGAAATGTTTCCTCTGCCCAGAACACTCTCCTTCTGAATTTCCAGGTTCCTGCCTCCTAATTTTTCAGATTGTACCTCATATATCACTGCTCAGAAAGGTCTTTAGTGATTACCTCATATAGACTAGCCTCCACCCCTCAGTTACCCTCTATTTTATAGCTCTGTCTGATTGCCTTCATCATACTTATGATTATCTGAAATTAACTATCTGGTTTATTTATATATTTACTTGTTTCTTCTCCCCTAACTCCATGAGAGCAAAAGATTTGTCTATCTTATTTACTATTATAACTTAAATATACCATTTCAGTAATTGGCCCATAGAAGATGCTCAATACAGTAGAAGTTCTTTTATCTAACTTCTTTACTCATTACTCTCCTGATTAATCAACTCTTTCCATTCCTCCTGTAAAATACATTGTATGACACTATGAATGCTTGAGGAAGTCTTGGCCAGAGCAATCAGGCAAGAGAAAGAAATAAATGGCATCCAAATAGGAAAAGAAGTCAAACTATCTCTCTTCACTGACAATATGAGTCTATACCTAGAAAACCCTAAAGACTCTACTAAAAGTCTCCTGAAACTGATAAAAGACTTCAGTAAAGTTTCAGGATCCAAAATCAGTGTACAAAAATCAGTAGCATTTCTATACACCAATAATGTCCAAGCTAAGAGCCAATTCAATAATGCAATTTCATTTACAATAGCCACAAAAAATAAAATACCTAGGAATACATCTAACCAAAGACATGAAAGATCTCTACAATGAGAACTACAAAACACTGCTAAAAGAAATTATAGATGACTCAAACTAATAGAAAAACATATAATACTCAGGATTGGAAGAATCAATATCTTTAAAATTTCCATATTGCCCAAAGGAATCTACAGATTGAGCACTATTCCTGTGAAATTAACAATGTCATATTTCACATAATTAGAAAAAAATTCTAAAGTTCACATGGAACCAAAAAAGAGCCCGAATAGCCAAAGCAATCCTACACAAAAAGGATAAAGCCAGAGGCATCACATTACACGACTTCAAACTATACTATAAGGCTACAGTAATCAAAACAGTGTGGTACTGGTACAAAAACAGACACATAGATCAATGGAACAGAATAGAGAACCTAGAAATAAAGTTGCACAGGTACAGCCATCTAATCTTTGACAAAGTTAACAAAAATAAGCAATGGGGAAAGGAATCCCTATTCAATAAATGGTGCTGGGATAACTGTCTAACCATATGCAGAAGAATGAAACTGGACCCCTACCTTTTACCATATACAAAAATTAACTCAAGATGGATCAAAAATTTAAATGCAAGACCACATACTATAAAAATTCTAGAAGAAAATCTAGGAAACATCATTCTGGACATCTGCCTTGGGAAAGAATTTATGACTAAGTCCTCAAAAGCAATTGCAACAAAAACAGAAATTGACAAGTGGGACCCAATTAAACAAAAGAGCTTCTACACAGCAAAAGAAATTATCAACAAAGTAAACAGACAACATATAGAATGGGAGAAAATATTCACACACTATGCATCCAACAAAGGTCTAATACCCAAAATCTGTAAGGAATTTAAACAATTCAACAAGCAAAAAACAAATAACGCCATTAAAAAGTGGGCAAAAACATGAGCAGGCACATCTCAAAAGAAGACATACAAGCAGCCAACAAATATTCGAAAAAATACTCCACGTCAGTAATCACTGGAGAGATGCAAATCAAAACCACAATGAGACCAGGCGCAGTGGCTCACGCCTGTAATCCCAGAACTTTGGGAGCCCAAGAAAGGCAGATCTCTTGAGGTCAGGAGTTCGAGACCAGCCTGGCCAACATGGTGAAACACAGTCTCTACTGAAAATACAAAAATTAGCTGGGCGTGGTAGTACACACCTGTAATTCCAGCTACTTGCGGGGGCTAAGTCACGAGAATTGCTTGAGCCCGGGAGGCAGAGGTTGCATTGAGCCAAGATTGTGCCACTGCACTCCAGCCTGGGTGATGGAGTGAGACTCTATCTCAAAAACAAACGAACACAATGAAATACCATCTCACACCAGTCAGAATGGCTATTAATTAAAAAGTGAAAAAGTAACAGATGCTGGTGAGACTGTGGAGAAAAGGGAACATTTATACACTGTTGGTGGGAATGCAAATTAGTTCAGCCACTGTGGAAAGCAGTTTGGAGATTTCTCAGAGAACTTAAAACAGAACTACCATTTATTTGTCCAGCAATCCCATTAATGAGTACATATCCAAAAGAAAACTAAATGTTCTACCAAAATGACACACACACTTGCATGTTCATTGCAGCACTATTCACAATAGCAAATACATGCAATCAACCTAGGTGCCCATCAGTGGTGGACTGGATAAAGAAAATGTGGTGCATATACACCATGGAATACTATGCAGCCATAAGAAAGTAAAGAAATCAAGTCCTTTGCAGCAACATGGATGCAGCTCGAGGCCATTATCCTAAGTGAATGAATGCAGGGACAGAAAACCAAAAACCGCATGTTCTCACTTATAAGTAGGAGCTAAAACATTGAGTACATATGGACATAAAGATGGCAACAATGGACACTGCAGACTACTAGAGTGGGGAGTGAGAGAGGGGGGCAAGGGTTGAAAAATTGTTGGGTACTATGCTTACTACCTGGGTGATGGGATCATTTGTATCCCAAACCTCAGCATCATGCAATATACCCATGCAACAGACCTGCATATGTACCCCCTGAATCTAAAACAAGAGTTGAAATTATTTAGAAAACATTGTGAATGCTCGAAGCTAGTAGGCCATTCTCTAGTACATCCCATGCACTTTTGCTCACACCAGTTAAGTTGGATATTTACTAAGAGCCAATTTTATTTGTTCCTAATCTTGTTTATGATAGCTTTGCTATGTAATTTAAATAAATATTCTGTAAACAGATGATATATGGGTATGAAAATGAAGAGTTATTTCTAAGAAAGTTGAATACTTTAGAGAGGCATAATAGAAAAGAACACAACCAAAAAAGGTGTTAAATTGTGTATAGGCAAGATGGCCATAAAAGACTGAGGGAATAACAACGATGGGAAGGCTGCTATGGTTAGTGTCTTTAGATCTTGATCCACTATTTAAAAACAGAAACTGTAAATTGAAAGCAATGTATTATGAATGTAGTCTAATGTAAAACAATAGGAACTCAGATTGAAGAAGCCCAGATCTTAAGATGAATAAAAATAAATACAAACCTAGACAAATCATAGTGAAAACAAATAGAAAATTTTTAACCAGAGAGAAAAGACAGATGGCATTCAAAAACTAACATTAAAAAATAGACTGACAATAGATAATAAATAATACACTTCCCATCAGCAACAATAGAACTCAAAAAACAATGGAATAATATTTACAAAGTTGAGGGAAAATACCCATTAACTTAAAATTTTACATACAGAAGTTATCATTCACAACTGAGGGTCATTAAAATGAGATCTTTTAAACAAAGACTATGAGAGTTTGTCAGTGATAAGCCTTCACTAAAAAAATATTAAATGATGTACATCAAGAAGAAAACTGAACCTACAATAAAGGACTGGAGTTCAAGAAACAATGGAGCAAAAAACTTGGTAAACATATAGATAAATTTAAATAAACCTCAACTGTAAAAAATAGGGTTTCTTTTGAGATGATGATGTTCTAAAATGGTGATAATTGATATCTCAATAAAGCTGTTTTTTCTTAAAAAAAGAATCCCAATAATAATAAGGTTACAATGACCAATTCCGGGGGGTATTGAAGAGGAAAATGCCACCAAAATGTGGCCCAACAGTCCCACTTAAGATAGAGAGTAGAAGATTAGAGTTAAAACATATTTAGCTTATTTTATTACTCAAAGGATAAATCGAAATATATCTCTATCTCTATCTCTAAATGGAGATATATCTCTATGCAATCTGTTTTCTCTCTCTGGTTAATACCTTTAAAATTTTTACATACACCCACGGACTGCACAAAAATTCAAGTTAATATACACATTAACTTGAATTTTTGTGTGTGTGCAGTCCGTGGGTGTATGTAAAATTTTAAAGGTGACCACTAAATTAACAGAAATACAACTTCCAAAATTTCAGAAGAAGGCAGGGGAAATAAAAACATTAATCAACTCAATCAAGGCAGAAAAAAATAAAAAAGAAGCAATGTAAAACATAGTAATAGAAATATAGGCTGGGCGTGGTGGCTTACACCTGTAATCCCAGCACTTCAGGAGGCTGAGGTCGGCGGATCACTTGAGGTCAGGAATTCGAGACCAGACTGGCCAAAATGGTGAAACCCTGTCTCTATAAAAATACAAAAATTAGCTGGGCGTGGTGTTGCATGCCTGTAATCCCAGCTACACAGGAGGCTGAGGAAGGAGAATCACTTGAACCCGGGAGGCAGAGGTTACAGTGAGCTGAGATTGCAACATTGCACTCCAGCCTGGGCAACACAGTGAGACTCCATCTCAAAAAAAAAAAAACAAAATAACAACAACAAAAAAAAATAAAACATAGTAATAGAAATATAAAACAAAATGAAAAAATAAATCTAAGCATAACAGAAATCACAATAATTACAAACATATTAAAGTATTCTACTTTAATATATATTTATATATTATATAATATTTATATATTATATGAAATATAATATAAAGTATTAAACATATTAAAATATATATATATGGCTGGGCGCAGTGGCTCACACCTGTAATCCCAGCACTTTGGGAGGCCAAGGTGGGCAGATCACGAGGTCAGGAGTTAGAGACCAGCCTGACCAACATGGTGAAACCCCATCTCTACCAAAAAAATACAAAAATTAGCCAGACGTGGTGGCGTGTGTCTGTAATCCCAGCTACTCAGGAGGCTGAGGCAGGAGAATTGCTTGAACCCAGGAGGCAGAGGTTGCAGTGAGCTGAGATCATGCCACTGCACTCCAGCCTGGGCAACAAAGCGAGACTCCAACTCAAAAAAATTATATATATATATATATATATACACACACACACACTAATATATAAAATATATAAATATATAATATATATATATTAGAAAAAGGAAAAAATCATAATTGCAGATGATATGATTGCCTATACAGAAAATGCAAGAGAATCGGCCAGGCACGGTGGCTCACGCCTGTAATCCCAGCACTTTGGGAGGCCGAGGCAGGTGGATCATGAGGTCAGGAGTTCAAGACCAGCCTGGCCAAGATGGTGAAACCTGTCTCTACTAAAAATACAAAAAGTTAGTCGGGTGTGGTGGCAGGCACCTATAATCCCAGCTACTCGGGAGGCTGAGGCAGAGAATTGCTTGAACACAGGAGGCGGAGGTTGCAGTGAGCCAAGATCACATCACTGGATTCCAGCCTGGTGACAGAGTGAGACTCCGTCTCAAAAAAAAAAAAAAAAAAAAGCAAGAGTATCTAGAAACTGTTAGAACTAATAAGAGCATTCAACAAAAGTGCTGGATATATTAATATGAAAAAAATCAGTATCATTTAAATATACCAGAAACAATAAATTAGAATATGTAATTCTTAAAGAGGAGTGATATTATCCAAAATACATATTATTAGCAAAGAGCTAGGAGCGTGAGCAGTGTGTGAGTAGCATTCCAAGAAACAGCTTTTAAACAAGTATATGTAAGTGCTTTATTACATGCATTACAGAGTGGTAACCATTTCCATTCACTGAATTAACACTGTTAACAACATAGTATATATACACACACAACAGTTGTATAAGACCTTTATGGAGAAAATTATTAAAATTTTTGAACGTCATAAAAGATGATCTTATACTTCAGTTTCAAGACAAGATGAAATAAAAGTAATTTTCCCTACTCTTTCTGCCAAGTACGGCTAAAAACCCTGAACATTATGTATAAGGCAGATATAAGATGACTCTGACAGGTAGAGAAAAAAGGGCAGACTGGCTAGGGACCTTGGGAACTGAGGCAACGTATTGGTGAGTTTCTTCTGTCCCCTTTTTGCCTCATATATCCCAGACTGGGTACTAGAGAAGCTAGCAACCCAGTAATACCAACAAGCACAGACAAAAAAAATCCCCAACATAAGCCTGCTTTCGCTAGCCAGTGTATCAGAAAAAGAACAACCGTGTAGAACAGAACACCTTTAACAATAACTGCTCTCTACTCCCGGCAAATATCTACAGAAAAAAACACTCCTATTCATGCCAGCAAAGGCTGAGTGGGGAGGCTGACTTTTCCCCTCCCTAGGCTGTAAGGAAGTATCCCAATCACCTAGCCAGTGTGGTGTTGGAGAGGGCCAAGTGGGAAGCTGTGACTGTAATAAATCTCCTTTCTCCACAGTGACAGTAGCGACCACATAGGGAGCTGTACGTCCATCTCCAGCTGGCAGTAATGAGGTGGTGCCTCCTCTTCCACCACTGGAGCAGCGTCAGAGGAGGCCTGCTAAAACAGAAGATTTCAATAAGAACCAGTCTCATAATGTAGTACCCAAAATGTCAAAGTTGAATAAAAAATCACTTATAATACCAAAAACCAGGAAAATCTCAATTTGAATGAGAAAAGACATTCAACAGATGCCAAGACTGAAATGACACAGATATTACAATTACCTGTCAACGATTTTAAAGCAGCCATCATAAGAACCTTTGAACAAGTAATTATAAATGCACTTGAAACAAAGGGCAAAAAATCTCAACAAAGAAAATAGGAGATATAAAGAAGAACCAAATGGAAATTTTAGAATGAGAAAACAACCAAAATTTTAAAACTTCAATGGATGGGCCCAATAGCAAAATGGAGGAGATAGAGAAAAGAAGCAGTAAGCTCGAAGATACAAAAATAGAAATTACCAAGGACAAACAACAAAGAGAAAGTAGACTGAAAAATATGTATGAACAGAGCCTCAGGGATCCGTGGCACTATAACAAAGCATTTATGTCATCAAAGTCACAGAAGGAGAGGGAATAAAAGGTGAGGCTGAAGATGTATTCAAACAAACAGTGGCTGAAATTTACTCAAATTTGGCAAAAGACAAACCTACAGGTTCAAAAAGCTGAGTAAATCCCAAATACATTAAACCCAAAGAAATCCAGGCCAAAACCCAGTGACTGTAGATTTCTCATCAAAATCTGTGGAGGTTACAAGGAAATGACATGGTATTTTTTAAGTACTGAAAGAAAAGAACTGCCAGCACAGAATTCTACAACCAACAAAAATATCCTTCTTAATGAAGGGAAAATCAAGACATCCTTAGATGCAGGAACACTAACAGAATTTATCACTTGCAAACTAACATTTTTTAAAATTATACTTTAAGTTCTAGGGTACACGTGCACAACGTGCAGATTTGTTACATAGGTATACATGTGCCATGTTGGTTTGCTGCACCCATCAACCTGTCATTTACATTAGGTATTTCTCCTAATGCTATTGCTCCCCCAGCCCTCCATCCTCTGACAGGCCAAGAGAATAGGCCAGGCACAGTGGCTCACGGGGTGTGATGTTCCCCGCCCTGTGTCGAAGTGTTCTCATTGTTCAATACCCACCTATGAGTGAGAACATGGGGTGTTTGGTTTTCTGTCCTTATGATAGCAAACTAACATTTAAAGAATGGCTGAAGGAAGTTCTCCAAACAGAAACAAGTGATAGAAGGAATCTTTGAGCATCAGGAATGAGAAAGAACAAAGAAAGAACAAAAAATATGGATAAATACAATAGGCTGTCCTCTTCTATTGATTTTTTTTTAAAATTATGTTTGATGGTTAAAGCAAAAAGTAAAACATTGTTTGATAGTTTTCTCAATGTATGTAAACAAAATACTTAAGATAATTATAAACTGGAGAAAGTAAAGGAATAAAGTTGCTATACTTTAACTGGTAAAATGATGACACCAGTAGATTGTAATAAGTTATGTGTATGTCACGTTAGACCTAGAGCAACCACAAAAAAAGCTACACAAAGACATAACTCTAAAAATCCTGTAGGTGAACCAAAATAGAATTCTAAAAAATATTCAAGTAACACACAGGAAGGCAAGAAAATGAAAACAGAGAAATAAAAAACAGAGGTAACAAACAGAAAACACTCAAACCAGAAACAACCAAAACGTCCCTCAACAAGTGAACGGGTTCGACCAACTATGGTACATCCATACCAGGAAAGAAGAGAACTGCCAGCACAGAATTCTACACCCAGCAAAAATATTCTTCAAAATGAAGGGGAAATCAAGACATCCTCAGATGAAGGAAAACTAACAGAATTCGTCACTAGCAGACTCGGCAATAGAAAGGAGTAACTATTGACACACACAGCAACTTGCATGAATCTCCAGGGAATGAAGAAAGGTAATCTCAAAAAGTCACATACTGTATTATTTCACTTATATAACATTCTTGAAATGACAAAATTGTAAAGATGAAGACTAGATTAGTGATTTCTGGGGGTTAGAGATAGGGTGGGGTGGGTGTAACCATAAAGGTAGCATGAGGGACATCTTTGTGGTGATGGAATCATTCTGTATCTTTTTTTTTTTTTTTTTTTTGAGACAGAGTTTTGCTCTTGTTGCCCAGGCTGGAGTGCAATATGGCACAATCTCGGCTCACCACAACCCCACCTCCCAGGTTCAAGCAATTCTCCTGCCTCAGCCTCCCAAGTAGCTGGGATTACAGGCATGTGCCACCACGCCTGACTAATTTTGTATTTTTAGTAAAGAAAGGGTTTCCCCATGTTGGTCAGGCTGGTCTCGACCTCCCAAACTCAGGTGATCCGCCCACGTCGGCCTCCCAAAGTGCTGGGATTACAGGTGTGAGCCACTGCGTCTGGCCTTCTGTATCTTACACAAATCTACACCTGTGATAAAAATGGCATAGAATTATATACACACATATTGTATCAATGTCGAATTCTTAGTTTTGATACTGTACTCTAGTTATGTAAAATATAATCATGGGAGAAAGTCAGTGAATGGTACAGGGGGCCTCTCTGTACCATATTTGCATCTTCCCGTGAATCTATAATTATATTGAAATAAAAAGTTTAGAATAAAGTAACCTCAAAAAGGAGATATATGCCATGTTCATGTATGGGAAGGCTCAACACAAATATGGCAATTTTCTTTAAATTGGTCTGTAAATTCTATGCAAGTTCAACCAAAATCACAACAGGATTTTTCTGGATTTTTGACAAGGTAATTTACACAGAAGATTTACACAGAGAATAAGATTGTAACAGAATAGTAAGGCATCAAGAATATACAAGACAATTGTGAAGAAGAGTAGTGAAGGGCACATTGTTAAGGCTTATTATAATGTCATGGCATTAAAACAACGTAGGCCAGGCACAGTGGCTCACGCCTATAATCTGAGAACTGTGGGAGGCCAAGGCGGGCGGATCACTTGAGGTCAAGAGTTTGAGACCAGCCTGGCCAAAATGGTGAAACCTGGTTTCTACTAAAAATATTAAAATTAGGTGGGTGTGGTGGCGTGCACCTGTAGTCCCAGCTACTTGGGAGCCTGAGGCAGGAGAATCGCTTGAACCCGGGATCGCGCCACTGCACTCCAGCCTGGGAGACAGAGCGAGACTCTATCTCAAAAAATAAAAAATAAAACTATATAGTATTGGCAGATGGATAAACAAATAGACCAGTGGAATATAAAAAGGGCCTACAAACAACTCAGGTAAGTCTATGAGAACTAGGTAAAGGACAGAGATTGATTATAAATCGTGGAGGATAAGATATAGATTATTTAATAAATGGCATTAAAATTATTCATATGATAAAAGATACAATTAGATAACTTATTCAAACCCTACATAAAAATCAATTCAAAATGAATTAAAGATCTAACTGTTAAAAGCAAAATTTTACAACACTTTGATGCAAATATAGAATACCTTTATGACCTCAGAATAGAAGAATTCATTAATCACACACACAAAACTTACAAATTTTAGTAGAAAAGACTGGTAAATGTGACCACATTAAACATTATAATGTCTATAAGAAAAAATGACAGTATAAAGTTAAAGATAAGCCATATAGTGGGAGAAGACACTTGCCACACATGTAATTGAAAAAGAAACAGAGTCAAAAAAGACATAAAATAAATGCTATAAGTCAATTTTAAAAGGCAATCAACACAATGGAAAAAGGAGCAAAGAATACCAACAGACAACTGGCAGAAGACACTGGAATGGTCTAGAAATATATGCAAAGATACTTAACCTCACTAGTACTCAAGGAAATAAAAACAACAACAAAACAAGATACTGTCTTTACTCATCAGACAGGCAAAAATTAAAACTCAAAAGTTATCAATGGTATGGTGTCATGGGAGCTCATAAACGACTTATGGGACTGTTACTCGGTAGAGCCACATTGGAGAGCAACCTGCCAGTGCCCAGAAAAACTAAAAGTGTATGTACTCTTTAACCCAGAAATCTTACTTTCTAGAAGGTACATACTCTAGAGAAATTCCAATCCAGTGTGCAAAGACACAGATATCTCAGTGTTTATTGCAAGTTGTTTGTTTCTAATACTAAAAATTTGGAAATAAATATCCACCAAAGGAGGAATGAATAAATTAAATGTGCTGTGGTGGTACTATAGGTTACTGTTCAGCAGTAAGAATGAACTAGACCAATAGGCACCCACATGGACTGATCTCAAGAACATAATGCTAAGTTTAAAAAAATACAAAAGTATATCATAGTTTGGAAGAAAACATACCAAATTAATAAAAATGAGTTGACTGGAGGCAGGAGATAAAGGGGGCCTCAACTTTTCATGTAGCACTTTTTTTTTAATTTAAAAAGAATGGAAGACACAGTAAATACAGTAGTGTATTTCTCCTCTGCATGGTGAGAACACAAGTGTTTGCTATACTCTTCTCTGCACTTTTCTGAATTTTAAAAGTTCTCAATATAAATGAAACGTGTGTTAAATACCCAGTTTGGGAAACCACTGTACTAAGATACTAATAACTCTATATGTTAACCTATCCAGAGGCATTTTTTATTTTTAAAGAAGGCTGCAATATTTAATCCAAAAGTTGAGGCACTGTTGTATTTGTTGTCACTTATGAAGTGTGGGTTTCCAAGGCAAAGCTTCAAAGGGCATCATTTTCCTCCTATGTACTAGTCCTGCAATTTGATTAAGTTACCACCACTTTGACAGAATGATAGTCTTCCCTTAGGTTGGACAGCTCGGAGAAAGGGAACAGAGCACACTTCCCCACTCAATTATGCTTTCATTCTTTATAAATAACTCTGTTTTTAAAACAACACCACATAAAATAAAATTTAGAGCAAGATTTATAGAAACACAGACACTTAAGTGCAAATAAATTCTTTCAAATGTTATCAAGCTCTTATTCTATCTTATTCATCAGCCTTGAGTAGATTTCACACAATTTAAATATTTCTTAGCTTGTCTGCAGAGTATCAAGGCTTGTCTGTGGCTTTGAGACTTCTACTCCCTTCACCCCAATCAACTCCACTAGTTGTTTAAACTGCTCAAATCTTTCTTCAGCCACAGTTTTTTAAGTGAGAGTCTTTTTATTGCTTTGGGCATGTTCCTTTTCCTAGCCAGTGCTCAGAATTTTAACTATCTAACTATTCAATTTCTCTCTGTCGCTTTACATGGAGGAGAAACTGGATTTCTGTTCCACACAGTTTGGCAAAGGCTAGCAGGGAGTGAGAGATTACAGCCAGATGTACATCTGCATGTCAGCAGCAAGAAGGTCTGGGATGGTGCTTTTTCAATCAGAAGGGAGTAGTCATTTTCCCTCTCTCTAAGGAGAGGGCCTCCTCCCTCCCATCAGATATTTGGCTGCTAGATGTTCACTGATTAATTACTGAGGTCGCATCTACACACAATTGGTTTCCTTAACAATTCCAGCAGGCTTCCAGCTCATTCTTGAATGTGCTTCTTATTTTTAGAAGAACTATCCTCTTTTCCTCCAGCATACATTTGAAAAAGAAAATGAAAACTAGTTGAACAGAGCAAAGCATAATTTGTAAACATATAAAAAGAGATTCTACCACAATTTCTAATATTAGAAAATCAAGCAGCAGTGGGAGAGTATTTTTAGGAGCAGGGAAACAGTTCTAGTACCCTTCAAATCAGAACACCAAGCTCATCATTTATTCTATTTTCATGAAAGGTGTCATTTCCAATATTCTAGAAATCCATTTTATATTGGAAAGGTAAGGAAAAGTAGACACTCCTTCTCTGTACCCCAACAGCTCCCCATACCCCATCTGACTTCCCAGTAGAAATAGCATATCAAATCCATTATTAGTAAGTTCCTTTTTCTAGTTTGACTCATGACCGAGAATTTCTATCTGTTTTTCAAGACAGATAAATGTGGTCCCGGCACAATCACCCCACGAAACCTAACCTGGAAGCTACCTCTTGGGTCACATTCTCATTTCTAAGAAGCTCAACATGCAACACAGCCAGTGCTAGAAGTACTTGATTCTGAGAAGTATAATTACAGGTTCTCCAAGACAGGTCAAATTCACAAGTATGAGTTGACAGTCACTACTTTACCTAAGATCACATCTCTGTACTTGGGGAAATACTGGAACCTGATAAACAAGCAGTAGCTCTACATTACTGACAATTAGATCTGCAAAATTTGGGGGCCAATCCACCTGAAACTGTGTTTATGCAAGCTCTGAAAAGCCGTATCTACCCATCCTGCCTCTCCCGGTTCATCTCTCTCCACTCTCCCACATAACACACGCCTTGTAGGCCACTCTGATAATCCTCAACTATGATATAACTGACAGATGATGTGCACATGCATGACACACTCCCATGAGTGTCCTTGGGGAATCCGCAGCTATTAATTGGACCCTTTTCTCTAACTCTCATCAAAACAAACTGAAATGCAAGCAGGTGAGAGTGATGCTATTATTGTAAAGATAACCTTGAATCCACTCTAACTTACAACTAAAGTAAATTATTCAGCAACTCTGGTACATTAATTATTATCAGTAACAAATTACTTGTGTCACACTTTCCAACCAATCACAATACATCAACTGTGGTTGACAATGGCTACCTTTGTCCTATCAGTGACCTGCTCTCTCATGCCTCTGCCCATGCTTGCCCCCTGTTCCCCAAAGGTCCCAAACCCCATATGGTAAGTCCGCAAAAAAGTTTGTTGATGGATTGAATAAATGAATGAATGAAGAGCTTCCGACCTCAGATAAGCCTCACATTGCATTTGCAACACTCATACATTGGGATGCAGCCATGCACCGATGAAAAATAATATTCTGTTATGAATAGTAAAGTCCACTGTGATTATGGGCAATTTTCTTAACCAGAAAGCATTGAGTAGTAAGATGCTTTGCAGCTGTAGATTTTTATTAAAGACTGTTTAAATAAACATAAAACATATTTGCCGGGAGAGGGTAAAAAGACAGATGCAAATTTCAGTCACAAAATAGGTACATTCATTATTTTTTGCATTTGCTTTAAAATGTGCCCCTAAAACAGCAATTACCCTTAGAAGTCATATTTGACCAGCGATAGGGACCAGAAACAGTGACTTAATTTGGGCAGGAGTTCGCTGGGACATAATATGGCTACTGTGCCTGGAGTCTTTCTTGGTCATAAAAGCAGTAAGGAAGTATGACATAATGGTGTGACGGTAAATCACAGCCTAAGCCATTTTGGTTGGCAGAATTTGAAAGACAAATAAACATTACTTCAGGAGCAGAGAAGACGGGCCTAATTACCTCCGTGCCTAGGCTGGGATCCCTGCGGCTTGTGTCGTTCCTGGACTCAGGTGTGTCTACACGGCCAGGGTCCACGTGTACAGGGTCCGGATGGTCCCGTGAAGAGGTGGGTCTGCTAGGGATGTAGGGACTGGCAGCCCCACCTCCACAACCTCCTCTCCAGGGAAATCAGGCAGCTGGAACCGAATGAGAAGGGCAGCCTTGAGGGGCCCCTTGTAGCCTGGAAGGAGTGGGATTGGAGGAAGAGAAGAGTCTGGTCCCACCCACTCTGCCTTGGAAGTGGTGGGGAGTTGAAGAGCTGATTGCACTTGCAAATCTCTGCAATTTTTACCTCAGGCCAGTCCAAATTACCTCCTCCTTCCCTTTTGTGGTCTCCCAGCCAGGCTATAGCTGTGGCCCAAGTGGGCTTTGGGGCTCACCTAGGGATGGAGCCTACTCTCCTTGCTTGTTGCATTTTCAGAGCTGAAAAACCTCCAACTTTTGTATTTTTTGTTTTACACTGACAGCCCAGGCCATTCTCCTTTCCCTCCTCTCCTGCTTCTCTCTCTCTCTATCCCCCCATCCCTCTCCCTCTCTCTCTCCCCTTCCCCTGTATGGAAACTGGCTGCCTTCTCATAGCGGAGTAGAAAATAGAATCCCTGGCTTTCACCAGGGCACTAACCTTTCATGGCTTTTCTCACACATATACCCCCAATCCATCCAAAATTGCAGTAAACACACGCAACATAAAATTTAACGTTTACCATTTTAACCATTTTAAGCGTACGATTCAGTGGCATTCAGTACATTCACAATGTTGTGCCACCAGCGCCACCCTCCATCTCCAGAATTTTTTCATCTTCTCGGATAGAAACTCTGTACCCATCAAACATTAGCTCCCCATTCCCCTCTTTCCCAGCCCCTGGCAACCCCCATTCTACTGTCTGTTTCTATGAATTTAACCATCCTAGAAACTTCATGTAAGTGGAATCTTGCAGTGTTTGTCTTTGAGTGACTGGCTTATTTCACTTAGCATAATGTCCTCAAAGTTCATCTGTATTGTAGTATGCATCAGAATTTCCTTCCTTTTAAAGGCTGAATAGTATTCCATTGCATGTGTGTACCATGTTTTGTTTATCCAATCATCCGTTGATAGACATTTGGGTTGTTTCCACATTTTGAACTCGCCTTTGAACTGTGTAAACATTAGGAATGCACACCCAAAGTGCTGAACATTTCAGGAAGAGAATGAGGTATCCCATCCCCCTCTCTCCACAATCCTCGTCTTTGATCATCACACCCCTCTGTATATATTGATAACACAGATCAGTTGCTAAGCACTTGGCACACTTTATGGCATTTAATCCTCACAACAATGCAGTGAGGTAGGTGTTATCCTCATTTGACAGAAGGTTATACTGAGACTCAGAAAAGCTAAGCAACTTGCCCAAAGTCAAACAGTTATAAGTAGCAGAGCTGAGATTTGAAACTCCCACTCAGGCTTGTCTGACTCCAAAGCCCACTCTAAACCACCACTCTAGTGCCTACCCAAAGCCCAGGGGCCCTTTGCCACCAGTCTCTACTTGCTTCTGATTTGGGGTTGGGTTGGTTTTTAAGAAAAGTAGAGCTGGCGTTAAACACTGACAAACCAGTGGCCACGTGCACTTGGAAGGGTCCTTCAAATCTTCAAATCCTGCCCACGGCCCCCCACCCCCCTAACACACTGAGTTCTGAAACCGTTCTACCTTGGGCTACTGCTATTCAAACCGAGCAGAGAGCATTACTGAGATGCTGGGATTTGTTTTAACCTTGTTTGTCAATTAACAGAAAGACTGACCTAGAAGACCAGGGACTTCATTTGTGTCCTTGGATCTGTAGCTCTTTCATAAGCTATTTGTTTCCCTCTCCTGGGGCCCTCTGCTCTTGTCTGCCTTGAATGGACTAATTAATTACAGAGAAGCCCGGCATTTTGAAATGCTAGAAGAATTAAGCTAGAGGCTGTTGGCAGATGTTTACCTGTTAGTGTCTTAGATACCTGAGTGACACTAGGTTCCACTAAGAGGAAGAAGACCTGAAGAACTTTGTGGCTGAGACTGGGGTGTGTGTGTTACGGAGGGGTGTCCCTGGAGGTGGGAGAAGGCCCAGTGGGGCAGGAAAGTTGCAGACATAAAACACAAACTTCCCTGCCTCAGTTTTGCCAGGAGATGGCTGAGTGCACAGCTCACTCTGACACTGCCCCAAAGGCCGGCCAGAGTGGCCATGCACATGCTGGTCCTCTGGGCAGCAGCAGGCCCAGCTGGGTAAACAGAAGTGCAGGAGCAAAACAAGCCAATCAATCACAGCACAGCTCCAGCCTACCCCAGTCCCCTCCTCCCCTTTCCTTTCCAGCTCCCCCGGGTCTCTCTAGCAAGCAAGTGGGCCCAGGTGGCCTTTGATCTGTCTCCTTTGCTCTTTACAAGGGGGAAATGTATCTATAGGAAGAGTGAGCTCAGCCCCACCTGTGACCCACCCCTAGGGTTCCTTGCGGGGAGCCACGAGCTTCACACATTCAGCTGCTAATGGCAAAAAAGACAGGCAGACCTGGGATGCTTGAAAAACTTAATGTTGGCTTATGGTAGGAGGGCCTGGGGTGGTTGACCTTCAAGGGTTACAGAGATCAGTAGGGCATGTTATCCTTCTCAAGCACTGGAGCATGGGCTATAGCCTATGCTAAGCATACAGAGCCCTGTCAGGGTTGAGCTGAAACTTTGCCATTGCCCTTTTGCCTTGTGGCTTGAGTTTTCCATATACTCCCTGTGTTTAGGCGTGGAGCTCCCACATTTTTGAGATCCCTCATCCTGCTAGCAAATGGATGTATTATCCAGTGTCAAGTCACTGATTCCCAGAGGGCCTTCTTCCAGAGGCCCACACAGTGTCATGTTCCACTGGGCGAAGATCTTCTGACTGCTGTATCCCCAGGGCCTAGAACCATGCTAACACAGAATTTGTGCCGATTAAATACTTGTTGAGTGAATGAATGAACTGGCATAGCGTAACGGTTAAGAGGTTAGTCTCTGGAGTCAAACAGACGGGAATTCCAGCCCAGTTCTGCCAATCTGACCTTGAGAAAGTTTACTTACCTTCCCTTGGCCTTGGTTCCTTGTCTGTAAAATGAGAATAATAGTACATAACAAGACTATTGTGGGAATTAAAAGAGATAATGCATGTAATGCACTTACCCAGTGCCTCACCCATAATAAATCCTCAGTAAAATGATAGCAATTTTCATTATCTTGTATACCAACTCCAAGCAACTGGCCCAGGCTGCTGGGAGTGCTGATCTGAGGATTCTGTGGTCTAAACCTGACTCAGTGAAAAAGAGTACTTACTCTAAGGCCTTCTATGGGTAAAGATGGTAGAAATAGGAAGGCATTTGCTGGGTACATGTGCGTGCTGGGTACGTGTGCGTTCTGGGTAGATGGCCAAACTGAAACCATTTGAAATAGTCTTCAGGGAGAAGTACATTGCGCACATATGACAAGTAGCTTTTTTCTTGAGACAGAGTCTTGCTCTGTCACCCAGGCTGGAGGGCAGTGGTGCAATCTCGGCTCACTGCAATGTCTGCCTGGGTTCAAGGGATTCTCCTGCCTCTGCTTCCAGAGTAGCTGGAATTATAGGTGCGTGCCAAAAATTACCCCTGCTAATTTTTGTCTTTTCAGTAGAGACAGGTTTTCACCATGTTGGCCAGGGTGGTTTACAACCTCCTGACCTCAAGCGATCCGCCTGCCTCAGCCTCCCAAAGTGCTGGGATTACAGGCTTGAGACACCGCACCCAGCCAGACAAGTAGCTTTTATCAGCCACACATGTGGGGGTGAGGAAAGAACTTTGCCTTCAGTGGGGACTGTCCCCCAGAGTGAGGCCTGTCTCCTAAAATTCTAGAGCCATTCATTAGCCCATTACTTGCCTAAGGGTTGGAAATAGCATTCTGATTTTTCGTCAAAAAGGCCCCAGTCTGAGTCTGTTGTCAACAAAGAGGCAGGCCCCAATGAGCAGTCACTCACCTAGTCCTTAGTGGAGTCTTTGCTCTGTAAGCAGAATAGCTGCCTCACCATGTGCTTGAATTTGTCAAATGTCACACACTCTATTTCAAACATGTGAGATTTGACATCATGTGAGCAATATTGCACTCATTTCCAACCCTATTTGAACTTCAAAGGGCATGTCAGCCACACTGGCCCTACCTAAATGTGTGACACTTTTGATCAACTGGTACCTGATGGCCAAGAAGACTTAGAGGCCCATGTGTAATCAGAAGTGGAGCCCAGAAAGGGAATTTTGATTAAAGGTAAATGAACTCAAGTCTTGGAAAGTTTGAGTTAAACTGGAAACACAAAGCACATGAGGTCAGAGCAAGTCTTAAATTCTCTATCTGAAAACACTCCAATGACATCACCTTGCATCTGGGAGTGTCCTTGGGGTCTGGAGAAGTGTAAGCCAGAAAGCCTCCCTGGAGAAAAAAAATTCCCCAGAATCTCTCCAGAGACTTAGCTCCTAATAAAGCTGTGGAGTGGGCTGTAAGGCATACTGTGAGGGTGGGGTGTCACCTTTTTTTTCCCACTGCCTGATCCTGCTTCACTAAATAACAAATTTGCCCATGGGCATTACTTGAAAAGTACGTAAAGATCACCCTGCTCTCCAGAAGTACCTCCTTCTTGGACTTCAGTGAGTCACCGTTTTTACAGCTTTGGGGCTTGACATTCCTCACGTTCAGGGAATTTGGACAGGATAACTTAGGGAGGCCTTAGCAAACAAGAACACGTGGCTCAAGCAAGTGGATGCCATCTGGCCAGTTAGTAAGGCTTGCAGGCAAGGGACACCCAACAGGAAACCAATTATGAAAGTAGTCTCAGGGCCTGCAGCCCCGCCTGGAGGGAAGAGATCTTAGAGATATCCTAGGGCCTGGCTACTTGAGGCCACCAGGGCCTGGATATAGCAGCAGAAAGGGGAGATTTGAGGGCAAAGGAGACAAATGTTTATATTTTGCCTGGAGCCATCCTGGGCAGTCCTCTTCTCATAGTCCCCCTTCTCTAGCAGAAGGAGGGGAGACAGTTGAAAGATTGCCCTCTTCCTTTTCCATGCTCACCTCCCTTTCTTGCCAAATGCAGGAGGTTCAAAAGGGGCCTGTGAATAATTGTGTGGGACAGGCTGCTGACTGGCTGCTGACTGATAAAGAATTTGTGATAGTAATTTTCTAAATAGAGGAAATTTCACCCAAACCCTTTTCACCTCACACCTGGGCAAAAAATATTCAGAATAGGCAAATACATAGAGACAGGAAGCAGATTAGTGGTTGCCAGGGGGAGGGGAGAATGACGGCTTAGTGTGTGTGGGGTTTCCTTTTGTCATGCTGAAAATGTCTTGAAACTACATAGTGGTAAGTATTGCACAACACTGTGAACATAACAAATGTCACTGAGTTGTACACTCTGAAATTGTTGAAATGGCGAATTTTATGTTATCTGTATTTTATCACACAAACACAAAAATCCTCAACAAAATACTACTAAACTGAATCCAACAACAAATAAAATGAATTACGCACAATGACCAAATAAAATTTTTCCTAGGGATGCAAGGTTGGTTCAACATAAGAAAATCAGTCAATGTAGTATGCTGCATTAATGGAACAAAAACTACCTGTTAATCTCCATAGATGCAGAACAAGTGTTTGACAAAATTCAATATTCCTTCATGATAAAAGCACTCAGTAGGCCAGGCGAGGTGTAATCCCAGCACTTTGGGAGGCCTGTAATCCCAGCACTTTGGGAGGCCGAGGCGGGTGGATCACTTGAGGTCAGGAGTTTGAGACCAGCCTGGCCAACATGGCGAAACCCCATCTCTACTAAAAATAAAAAAATTAGCTGGGCGTGGTGATGGGAGCCTGTAATCCCAGCTACTCGGGAGGCTGAGGTGGGAGAATTGCTTGAACCTGGGAGGTGGAGGTTGCAGTGAGCTGAGATCATGCCACTGCCCTCCAGCCTGCATGACAGAGCAAGACTCCGTTTCAATGAAAAACAAACAAACAAACAAAAAACACTCAATAAACAAGAACTAGAAAGTAACTTTTAATCTGGTAAAGAACATCTATGAAAAACCCACAACTAACATCAAATTTAATGGTATAAAACTGTAAGATTTCCCCCTAAGATCAAAAACAATACAAGAATGTCCACTCTTACCACTTCTATTCAATATTATACTGGAAGTTCTAGCTGGGCTAAATAGGCAAGAGAAAAAAATTAAAGACATCCAGATTGGAAAGGAAGAAGTAAAAAATATCTCTATTTGCAGGTGGCACAACCTTAGTTAGAAAATCCTAAAGAATCCACAAAAAACTATTAGAGCTAATAATCAAGTTCAGCAAGGTTGCAGGATGCCAGAAAACACAACAATCAATTCTATGACTAAGCACTAACAATGGACAACTTGAAAATCAAATTAAGAAAACAATTCTATTTGCAATAAAATAATAAACTAATTAGAAATAAATTTAACAAATGAAGTGCAAAACTTGTACACTGAAAACTATAAAACACCATTGACAGAGAATAAAGAAGGCCTTAGTAAATGGAATGACATTTCTTGTTCATGGATTAGAAGACTTAATATTGCTAAGATGGCAGTACTCCCCCAATTGTTCTACGGATTCAGTGTAATCTCTAATAAAATCTCAGCTGGCTTTTTTTTTTTTTGGCAGAAATTGACATGTTGATCTTAAAATGTACACAGTAATGCAACAGACCCAGAGCTAAAAGTGTAACAACTAAAACTAAAACTCAGAAGAAAACATAAGTGTAAATCTTCCTGACCTTGGATTAGGTAAGAAATTCTTAGGATGATAGGACAACAAACACGCAAGTGACAAAGGAAAAAAAAGAGAGATAAATTGGACTATATGAAAATGAAACACTTTTATTTCTAGAGCACAGTGTCATAATCATAGCTTAATGCAGCCTTGACCTCCCGGGCTCAAGCCATCCTTCCACTTCAGCCACTTTAGTAGCTGGGACCACAGGAGTGTGCCACCACACCCAGCTGAATTTTTTTTATTTTTTGTAGAGATGGGCTCTCACTATGTTGCCCAAGCTGTTCTCAAACTCCTGGGCTCAAGTGATCCTCCTGCCTCAGCATCTCGAAGTGTTAGGATTACAGGCATAGGCCACTGTGCCTTCCTAGCATGAAGCACTTTTGTACTGCAAATTAAACCACCCAGAAAGTGAAAAGGCAACATGCAGAATGGGAGAAAATATTTGCAAGTCATATATCTGATAATGGACTTGTATCTAGAGTATCTAGAATTCTCACAACTAAACGATAAAAAGACAAATAACCTAATTAAAAATGGGCAAAGAATCTGAAGAGTCATTTCTCCAAAGAAGATATACAAATGGCCAATAAGTACACGAAAAGATGCTCAACATCATTAGCCATTAAGGAAAGGCATATCAAAACCACAAAGAGATACCTAGTGAAGACATCTATTAGGATGGCTATAATCAAAAAGACAGGCTGGGCATGGTGGCTCACGCCTATAATCCCAGCACTTTGGGAGGCTACAGCAGGAGGATCACTTGAGGCCAGGAGTTTGAGGCCAGCTTGGGCAACATAGAATGACCCCACCTCTGAAAAAAAAATTAAAAAATTAGCCAGTATGGTGGCACACACCTTGTAGTCCCAGCTACTCGGGAGGCTGAGGATTGCTTGAGCCTAGGATTTTGAGGCTACAGTGAGCTATGATCGCTGCCACTGCACTCCAGCCTTGGAAATAGAGTGAGAACTTGTCTCTTAAAAAAAAGACAGGCCGGGCATGGTGGATCACACCTGTAATCCCAGCACTTTGGGAGGCCAAGGCGGGTGGATCACAAGGTCAGAAGTTCAAGATGAGCTTGGCCAAGATGATGAAACCCCGTCTCTACTAAAAATACAAAAATTAGCCAGGCATGGTGGCATGCGCCTGTAATCCCAGCTACTCGGGAGGCTGAGGCAGGAGAATTGCTTGAACCTGGGAGGCAGAGGTTGCAGTGAGCCGAGATCATGCCACTGCACTCCAGCCTGGGTGACACAGCAAGACTCCGTCTCAAAAAAAATAAAAATAAAAATAAAAAAAGGCAGATAATAACAGGAAGTGTTGGCAAGGGTGTGGAAGAATTGGAACGCTCATACATTGCTGGTGAGAATGTAAAGTGGTGCAGCTACTTTGAGAATGTCTGGCATTTCCTCAAAAATTTATAAACATAAATTCCCATATGACCCAGTAAGAGAAACGAAAACATGTGCCCACCGAAAACCTTGTAAATCAATGTGTTCTTTTTATTATTTTAGAGATGAGATCTCTCTGTGTTACCCAGGCTGGGCTTGAACTCCTGGGCTCAAGTGACCCTCCTGCCTCAGTCTCCTGAGTAGCTGGGACTACAGGCACATGTCATTGCACTCGGCATAAATGAATGTCTATAGCATTGCTATTCACAGATAGCCAAAAGATGGAAACAACTCAGATGTCCATCAGCTGACAAATGGATAAAGAAAATTTGGTATATCCATACAATGGAATATTATTCAGGTATAAAAAGGAATGAAGCACTGATTCATGCTACAATGTGGATAAACCTTGAAAACATTCAGCAAAGTGAAATAAGCCAGACACAAAAGGCCACATATTACACGATTCCACTTACATGAAATGACCAGAATGGGCAAATCCAGAGGCCGAAAGATTAATGTTTGCCAGGAGTTGGGGCGAGGAGGAAATGGGGAGTGACTGCTAACATGTAATGAGTTTCTCTTTGGGGATGATGAAAATATTCTGGAATTGAATAGTAGTGATGGTTTTACAACTTTCTAAATATACTAAAACCACTTAATCATATAGTTTAAAGGTGTGCATTCTATGGTATATGAATTATATCTCAATAAAAAACGAAAAAGTTATTTTTGCAGGGAGATAACTGATTTTTGGTTTATAGCCCAGATGTTTATGGAATTACATGACAGTGCTATTATAAAACTTTTAAATTTTCTTCTTCTTACTTATGTAAACAAGTTTATTCAGCCCTTAAATATATTAAAAAATTAGAAATAGAATTGATGCTGAAAGGTGAGAGCATACAGTCCAAGCTACTCAGGAGGCTAAGGCAGGAGGACTGTTTGAGTCCAGGAGTTTGAGTCCAGCCTGGGCAACATAATGAGACTTTGTCTCAAAAAAAAAAAAAGACGTGATTCTGAATACTGTCTCTTTCTAGCAATAAGTATTATTTATCCTAGATACCTGAAAAGAAAGTCCCATTCATTTCATTAAGAGATATATTTAAATAAAAATTTCCTTTTCACAAGTAATAATTATTTTTAAAAAACTTTAAATATACTTGTTTTGATCACTGTGTATAATAATCATAATAATTCTAATAGTGCTTTATGGTAAAAATCAAGTATAAATCAATTTCAATTTATAAAGCATATTTTTGTTACAGAGAAGTCACATAGGGTGAGAATTTTAAGCCTTACCTTTTAGGTATAAAATTGTATTACTTTTTTTTTTTTTTTTTGAGACAAGGTCTCACTCTGCCACCCAGGCTGGAGTGCAGTGGCAGGATCATGGCTCAGCGCAGCCTCAACCTCTCAAGCTCAAGCGATCCTCCCAACTCAGCCTCTGAGTATCTGGGACAGTAGGCACGCACCACCACACCTGGCCGATTTTGTAAAATTTTTGTTTTGTAGATACGGGGCTCTCTCTATGTTGCCCAGAGTGGTCTTGACTCCTGGCCTCAAGCACTCCTCCTGCCTTAGCCTTTCAAAGTGCTGAGATTACAGACATGAGCCCCAGCTCCCAGCCAAGAATGTATTACCTTAAGATAAAATTATCTGAGGAAAGTGGACTAGAAATACAGATTCAAGGAGTAAAATGTTAAATGTTTAAAAAAGATCTTCATGTATTTTAAAATAAAATAATGGTGGGTAAAAATGACTTTGCTATTTAGATTCCATTGAATACCTTTAAAAGAGTGAAGTAATTGCATTTCAAATGCTGATATTTACAACAGATTGGAAATAAACATCTTTGCAACCATTTATGCTTATAATTTTAAAATTGCATGATGAAAGCGTTTAAGGGGACACAGTTATTAAAAGACCAGGGAGTGCTAAGAATGGCATAATATCACTTCTCTGATATTCCTCTCAAAAAACGTGTAACCTCAATCTAATCATGAAAAAAAAAAACATAAAACAAATCTAAATTGAGGGACATTTTACAAAGTAGCTGACCAGGATCTTAGAAAGTGTCAAAGCCACAAAAGACAAAGACTGAAGAACTGTCAAATTGAAGGAGGCTAATGAGACATGACAACGCAATGCCAGGTGGGATCCTAGATTGGCTTCTGGAACAGAAAAAATACATTAGTGGAAAGACCGGGAAAATGTGAATAAACTATGGTTTAGTCAATATTATTGTGCCATTGTTAATTTCCTAGTTTTGATCTGGAAACTGTGCTATGGTTAACTCAGTTAACATTAGAGAAAGCTGGATGAAGGGTGTTTAGGAACTATCTATCTGCACTGATTTTTTTTCCAAACTCCTCCACCAGTTCCCTCACTGCGTGCCAACATGATAAGGCCCTCAGAATCCTCTTGCATGAAATAGCGACAAGCCAGGTGCATTTTTCTTTCTGTGGGTCTGCATTGTGCACTGAGAGGATGCTCACATCTTCCTCAAGTGCACATGTTCAATTTCTTTTCTTTTTCAAAAGGGTGTTTTCCCTGATTACAAAAGCAATATAAACTTCTTAGAGAAATTCTGGAAAACAAAGATAACTACAAAAAAGAAATTAAAAATGCCTGCAATTGCACCACCACAATGAGTATGTTGGGCTATTTCCTCCCAGTCTTTTTCCATGCATATATACATGATTTATGGGTTTTTTCTTTTAATAAAAACAAAACTCGGCTGGGTGCAGTGGCTCATGCCTGTAATCCCAGCACTTTGGGAGGCCAAGGTGGGGGGATCATTTGAGCCCAGGAATTCGAGACCAGCCTGGGCAAGATGACGAAACCCCATCTCTACAAAAAAATACAAAAATTAGCTGGGCATGGTGGAGTGCACCTGTAGTCCCAGCTACTTGGGAGACAGGTGGGAGGATCGCTGGAGCCTGGAAGGCCGAGGCTGCAGTGAGCTGTGATCGTGCCACTGCATTCCAGCCTGGGCGACAGAGCGAGACCCTGTCTCAAAAAAAAAAAAAAATTCCCACTTTAATTGTAAACATCTCTCCACATCACACCATATTTTTACCTTTCTGAGCCCCAGTTTCCTCAGCTGAAAAATAGGATTATAAAGTTGTTGTGAGGATTAAGTAGATTAATATTTGTGAAGTTCTTAGAATAATACCTGGTCCGCAGTAAGCTCTTAATAAATGTAAGCTATTATCATGAATGTCACTGTCACCCAGATTCCTTCTGGATGACCAACCATTTTTATATGGCCTGTGGGTCTTAGTTTAGTGTCATGGCTGTTCCCTCACTTCCCGTCCCCTCCCCTTACCCCCTCTCTTCACTGGAGTTTAGAACTTGCCCCAGGTTATATAGTGGGAGAGCTAGGCTTCCAACCTAGGTGGTCTGTGTAGGGAAGTAGTTCTCCAGCTTGAGCACGCATTGCAGTCACCTGGAGAGCTTGTTAAAACACAGCTGACTGGGGCCTATCTCTAGTTTCTGATTCAGTAGGTCTAGAATGGGGCCCAAGAATTTGCATTTTTAACAAGTTCCCCGTGACACTGAGACTGCTGGTACCTGAACTACACTTTGAACATCACTGATATATAGATTCTGCACTCTTAACTGCCTTACTATACTATCTAGGTCATTCCCCTGTGAAATCCTTTGTTGACTCCCTCATAACCTTCAAGATAAAGCACAGATGCCTCCTTAAAACATGCAGGGCATGCCAGGCACAGTGGCTTACGCCTGTAATCCCAACACTTTGGGAGGCTCAGGTGGGCGGATCGATCACCTGAGGTCAGGAGTTCGAGACCATCCTGGCCAACATGGTGAAACCCTATCTCTACTAAAAATACAAAAATTAACCAGGTGTGGTGGCGGGTGCCTATAATCCCCACTACTTGGGAGGTTGAGGCAGGAGAATAGCTTGAACCCAGGAGGCAGAGGTTGCAGTGAGCTGAAATCATACCACTGCACTCCAGCCTGGGTGACAGAGTGAGACTGTCTCAAAAAACAAGCAAACAAAAACTTGCAGGGCATTTCATGATCTGGCTTTATTTAAATTTCTAATCTAATCTCCTTTGGAACCCTCCATACACCCTATGTCCATCCTCCAAAGCTATTTTTCCGTCTTAGAATGTATCAGAATATACCAGAAGCTCCTTCTGGCTTCTGTTCCTTCTCACTAGGATGTTTGCACCCTCACACACTCCTTTGGCCAATGATGCTTGACAAATTTATTGTGCTTTAAGGTTAGAGATTCATCTCAAGCATTACCTCCTGCTAGAAGCCTTATAAATTCTATTTCCTACCCCTACTCGAAGCTGGAGTGAGGGGTCTCCTTGCAGATCCAGCTCCCTGGCCTTCCCTCAGTCACACTTCTGCTCTCACACTACTGTAATTTTCTATACATTACTTTCCCTTATAATCGGGACCTGTTTTATTCATCTCAGTATTTCTAATGCCTGACACTTGGTACATAATTGTTGAATGAATGTATAAGGTTGATGCTTAAGGAATATTTCAAGAACAAAATAACAATATTAAAAACTTCCTGGCCGGGCGCTGTGGCTCACGCCTGTAATCCCAGCACTTTGGGAGGCCGAGGCGGCCGGATCATGAGGTCAGGAGATCGAGACCATCCTGGCCAACATGGTGAAACCCTGTCTCTACTAAAATACAGAAAATTATCTGGGCGTGGTGGCATGCGCCTGTAGTCCCAGCTACTCAGGAGGCTGAGGCAGGGGAATCACTTGAACCCAGAAGGTGGAGGTTACAGTGAGCCGAGATCACACCACTGCATTCCAGCCTTGCGACAGAGCAAGACTCTGTCTCAAAAAAAAAAAAAAAAAAAAAACTTCCTGGTGAAAATATGGAGTCAGGAAGGGCAAACTACCCGTTGCTCTAAGCCTGCCCCAGTGTCACAGAATTTATTGACCATATTTTATCCCATTACCTACCTCCCTTTCCCCCTTTCTCTCCCTCCTCTTTACCCCCATCCAGTGCTGGAGACACTCTGCCCATGCTCCTCAGGCTACCTTACCAGTCCTTCTGGCCCAGTCTCTGATTACCTCCCAATTTCCTAAGGCTTCCTCCTTTGCTCGGAGAGAGAGCCTCACATAGGCACCCCTGTCTCTGGTAACACCACAGGACCTAGACAACTCCGGTTAGCAGGGGTGTGCTCCCCCTCCCTCAAAAGTAGGGAGGCTTGCAAATAGAAGGAAAGGGCTAGTGGCATCTCTCTCAAGTGACATGGATTTCCATTCTCCTTCTGGATTGTGGCTTATTTCACTAAAAAGGGAGCCTTTAACGCCTCTTAGAAGAGTGGAATGCGTTCTTCTCTCATGCCATGTAAATCTCTCATTTTTTTCTCATTCTGACATAAAGGCAGATAATGAATGCTGATTTGCCTTGTAATTTATGAGTTATTTGAATAAAGGTTGCTCCATGAAGATCTAAGAGGCATCAAGACAAGCTTCATATTTATATCTTGCTTCTCTTAATGCCTGGCTTTAAGTTTCATCAAAAGAGTTGTGGGGCAGCCAAAGCAAACAGTAGGGGGAGTTATACTTTGCAAATTGTAGCTATGAGATAGGACTGGCCAACTCTGGTAGAAGTTCAAACAGAATATGTCACTAAACAAATAACTACTACAACAAGCAGCAACAACAACAAACGCTCAGGAGGACAGAGAATCTGATTTCCAGGATGCCACCTTATAATATTCAAAATGCCCAGTTTTCAACAAAAAATGTATGGGATCTGCAAAGAAATAGCCCATACAAAGGAAAAGAAAACAATCAATAGAAACTGTCCCTGAGGAAGGCCTGATGTTGGACTTTTTACACAAAGATTTAAATCAGCTATTTCAAATAGGTTCAAAGAGTGAAAGGAAACCATGTCTAAAGAACTAAAATATGAGAGTGATATCTCAATAAACAGAAAATATAAATAGAAATTATTTTAAAACAACCAAATAGAAATTTTTGAATTAAAAATATAATAACTAAAATGAAAAATTCACTAAAGATGTTCAATGGCGGATTTGAATGGGGAGAAGAAAGAATCAGCAAATTTGAAGATACTTATATTATCCAGCGTGAGAAACAGAAAGAAAAACGAATGAAGAAAAATGTCAGAGCCTCAGACACCTGTGGGACACCATCCAGCATAACAACGTACACTTAATGGGAGTTTCAGAAGGAGAGGAGAGGAAGAAAGGAGTATAAAGAATGTTTGAAGAAATAATAGGCAGAATCTCCCCAAATTTGATGAAAAACATTAACCTACACATCCAAAAAGCACCACCAACTCCAAGTAGGATAAACTCAAAAATGTCCATATCTAGATACATCGTAATCAAACTGTGACAAGCCAAAGGCAAAGAGAATCTCATAAGCAGCAAGAGGGAAGTGACTCATCACATACAAAAGACCCCCAATAAAATTAACAGTTGATTTCTCATCAGAAACCATGAAGACCAGAAGCCAGTGTGATGACATATTCAAAGTGCTGAAAGGCAAACAACTGTCAACCAAAAATTCTATCCCCAACCAAACTGTTGTTTAAAATAAAGGAGAAATGAAGGCATTCCCAGCTAGATAAAAAGTGAGAGTTTGTTGCTAGGATATCTTCACTACAAGAAATGATAAAGGGAATCTCTCAGGCTGAAATGACGGGACACCAGATAGTAGTTTGAATCCACAGGAAGAAAGAAAAGAACACCAGTAAATTTAATATTTAAAGGTAAATGTTAAAGATTTTAAGGTATTTTGTAACTCCCTTTTTTCCTATCTGATTGAAAAGACAATTGCATAAATCAATAATCATAAATCTATGTTGATGGGCACACAATGTATAAAGATGTAATTATGATGCACATTTTTATAGATGAGGAAACCGAGAAATGGGGAGGTAGTGTACCTTTCCCAACATCACACCTCAGTCAGGAGGCAGAGATGATATGCCTGTCTGATTGCAGAGCCCATAAGTTTAAACCCCTTGCTATGCTACTATGTAAGGAAGAGCCGTGGGCCTCTCCACGTGGCTGCTAGTTGGGCTGTTGGAGGAAACTCAAAACATCCTGCCTAAAAAGCTCCTTGAGAACAGTTCTTCCTTCATAGATTTCTCCTGTATTCCTCACAGTGTCCCCAGCACAATGCTAGGCACACAACAGACACTCAATAATTCCAGTTGAATTGAGTTTCTCTAAAGTGACCTACTTAGTTAAGGGACTTAAAAGAAGAGGTAGCTTTAGCAAGGAAATGATAAGACTAGATACCATTCATTAAGTGCTTCCCATTGTACCCGGCACACAGGCACTCTGCTAAGTGTTTATATGTATTCAAGTTATCTAGATCTACCCACCTAAGAACCCTGTGAATTATGTACTATACTTATCTTGTTTTATAGAACGAGAAAACTGAGGCACCACGCATTGAGTAACTTATGAAAAGTGCCACAGCTAGTAAGTAGCAGAGCTAGAACACGACCCCAGACAGTCTGACTCCAGAGCCCATGCACTTTCCATTTGACCGTGTCAGGGGCAGCTGAGACTTTTCCAGCTATAGTTTCCAAACGGGACTGACACTCAGAGCCAGGAGTATGATTTCAGGAGTGGCAGAAAGGTGCCTTCTCTCAATCTCTCTTTATTAATCCACCCACCTGCTGGCTGATGCCTGAAATTCCACTGTTGGGGTTCTTGTCCCCTGAAACAAAGGCCCAGAAAAGAGCATATGAGCCATTATGATATTCTTTCCATAGAGAAAGGTGTTTTCTGTTTCTTTTTCTTTCTTTCTATCTTTTTTTTTGTTTTGTTTTTCGAGACGGAGTTTCGCTCTTGTTCCCCAGGCTGGTGTGCAATGGCTTGATCTTGGCTCACTGCAACCTCCACCTCCCAGGTTCAAGTGATTCTCCTGCCTTAGCCTCCCAAGTAGCTGGGATTACAGGTGTGCACCACCACACCCGGCTAACTTTGTATTTTTAGTAGAGACGGGGTTTCACCATGTTGGCCAGGCTGGTCTCGAACTCCTGACCTCAAGTGATCCACTTGCCTCAGTCTCCCAAAGTGCTGGGATTACAGATGTGAGCCATCACACCTGGCCCCAGAGAGACAGTTTTGTTGTACACATGTGGACAGCACATGAAGATGCACTCTGATCCAGGGGTGAAAGCACAAGCACATGAGGACCTGAAGGCTCCATATGAGAGAAAGGTGTGAGCTTGCACACTGCAACAGACAAATGTTACCATTTTTGAGAGGGCCAGCCTTTGTCAAGAGAAAGTCATTGCTCTGGAAGCTCTTCTTCACAGCCAGCATTGAGTTTCTGAGAAGGAAAGTGTTTTATGTGAGAGTTTAGAGCAAGGTTTCCCAATGGGAGTGGGTGCTGAAATCCCTAGAGTTGTCTATTTACCACAGAATTCATTCATACTCAATAGCTATGAATAATTACTCAAGATGAATTCTTTTTTTTAAGAGATAGGGGTCTTGCTCTGTCACCCAGGCTGGAGCACAGTGATGCCATCATAGCTTACAGCAGCCTCAAAATCCTGGGCTCAAGCGATCCTCCCGCCTCAGCCTCCCAAGTAGCTAGGACTATAGTTGTGCGCCACTATGCCCAGCTAATTTTTTAAAAATTTTTTTGTAAAGATGGGGTCTCATTATGTTGCCCAGGCTGGTCTCAAATTCCTGGGCTCAGGCAATCCTCCTGCCTCGGCCTCCCAAAGTGCTGGGATTATAAGCATAAGCCACGGTGCCTGTCCCAAACTCCTCTGATTGTCAATACTGTTATTGCTTCCTGGGAAATAACTCCTGTCTGACTGTAAAGTAAGAGAAAGGGGGCGAGGAAAGGATGGAGCCGCCTCTTGGTATGGAAGTTGCAGCTGAAGGAAACGGCAATGGGGGAAGTGCTGTTGCCTGGGCCTGGCTCTGTCCTTGATGGCTGTGTGACCTACAGCAAGTCTTTCTGGCCCTTCCTCTCATCTCCCTCAGCTTCACTTGCCTTCTATATGTTGATGGTGCCCATACCTGTATCATCCTCCTAAAGCTCTCCTCTGAGTGACAGAGCTATTTTCCCACGTGAGGCTGAGAGCTCCTCCAGAGAACACTTATGAAAAGAAACATCCCTTAGTTTTACACATTTATCTATAAGAATATGAATATTCCTGCAGCCTGACTTCACAACCTATGCTCTGTGCTACATTGTTTTTAATTCCAGCACCACTACTTTAGAGCTGTGCAACCGAGATGAATATGCCCGAGCATCAGTTTGTATCTCTATAAAATGGGGATATAATTGTACCTACCTGTCACATGAATGCTTTTCACTGTGCCTGGCACATATTTAATGCTCAATATAAAATGCTCAACTTTTGAAGGTGAATAAATGAGCAATGGTTGGATTTGATTCCCAAATTCATGTTTTTGTCAATAGATTAGGTTCTTGCTCCATTTTTGAGACATTTAAATCAAATAATCAAATAAAAGTCCATTCAAGCATTAGCAACAGCCTTCTCATCTAGACTACAAGCTAGACTACCCTAGGGGCCTGCTCATGAACTTGCAAAAGTACTTGGCCTAGCTGGAACTTCATGAATGCTATCTAGCAATATCGTAGGCCTACTACTGCCGGGGTAGAGCAGAGAGATTGGCACCATCTGACTGGAGACTCAGTGTGGTCTATTTGGTGGGATTTCTGGGGCATTGGGAAGCTCTGCCCCTGTTTTCCCAATCACACCCTTCTGATTCCTGAAATTCCTAAAGTGTCTTCTGATAAGACTCAGTCCAAAAATATCTACACTATGAGTTCTTATCCCAGCACTATGGCCTCCATCCTTGGGAGCTTTTGCCTCCTTGAGACACCTGTCAATATACAAGTATAAAAAATTACCCGGGATTGATGGCAAACACCTGTAGTTCCAGCTACACGGAGGGCTGAGGTGGGAGGATCATTTCAGCCCAGGAGGTCGAGGCTGCAGTAAGCTGTGATTGCACCTGCAAGTCATGCCCCAGGATCTTACCAATGAACTCCCAACTTGTAGTTAATTCCTTAACAGGGCTTGACAGAGTGGGGGCACACAATGGCAACATGAACTAGAGGGATGCCTTCCATCAGTAAGGGGAGTTGTGCAGATGGAGGTGGGGGCTGGTGTGTACATCCTCTGACCCTACCTCACTGCATGCAGCCCTTGTGTCCCTTCCTCCAGATTTCCTAAAGCTCCAGACAGAAATTAAATCCAGCATCTGAGAAGCCCAAGATTAGGCCATCAAGTCATATCAATTTGAGCTAATGGGTGCAGAGGAGGCTGTTCTACATGATGGACCATTTTTCAAAGAGATACAGTTTTATGACTGCCCAGCCGGTACAGTAGCATAGAACTAATAGCTAACCAAGGGCTGCCAAGTTCCAGGCCTGCCAGATCTGTTTTAATCACAAGATAAGAACCATTCATAATTAATGCATTTGGTCTGTATGTGGGCTCTACTACACTCCTCGCCAACAGTTTGTTCCCTGGGTTGTGATGAGCATGTGCCCACGATGCTTACCCCATTTTTTAACAGGATCTCAAAAAAACCCCAATCTTTATGAAGCCCAGCCCCTGAAAAATGCTCTTAAATGCTGAGATAGGGCCATTCAAAGCAATGACTGAGGTTTGGCTGTTGCCAGGTTATCAAAAAGCACGACTGTGGGCGAGGAGAAACCTTGAGCTTTATTAGAATGAAACATCAGCCTCCTGAGTCAGGAACGGATCCTACCTTCCTTATCTGCAAGGAATATGTCCAATGTCCTTGCTAGGAATATGTACAACGTTACCCAAACATCAGCTGAACACATTGTTTTTGTGGGCATCAAGTGGAGAGTGGGAGGTAGTCAGAGAAGCCAGAGATGCAACTCTGTGGTTACTTAACCAGCTTGGAGTAAAAGACGTTCCCAGCAAGCTGGGAAGAGAGACGGCGAGGGGCCCACACCACTGCTTCCTAATACTGCTGGGAATAGACACCCACTGCTGTTTCCTCCCAGGAAAAGTGAATGAACAACAAGGATCCTGTGTGCCTTCTCCTGCCATGGTACACACACTCACACACCCCCTCATACACAAGTCCTTTGTTGAGCCCTGAGGCAGGAAATGGGAAATTCAAAAGGAAGAGCCTGAGAAACCATTTTATTTCATTTCAGGGGGCTTCTCACCATCCCTTGAAGGAGGCAGCCCCAAGTGATATAGACCAGAACCCCTCTCACAGAGTCTTAGTTCACATCCTAGATATAAAACAGAGAACTTCCGGGGCTTAGAAGTTTTGTCTGTTGGGGGAAATCTCTGCAGGCTCAAAAAGTAACCCAGGGTTGGCCTTATGGGTGTGGTGGATTTGTGTTTCAGTGAAGTGAACACAGAAAAGAGGTGAGTATATATGTACACACAGAAATCACAGGAAAAAACTCCAAAAACTCACTTGTGCTAAGTCTTGAGGGCCAGTCCAGCAGAAAGATACTTGCCTTTCTCCTTCAGACTTCGTTGTCAGTCTCGTTTTCTTTGTCCTGTGGAGTAGCGGGGAGATTTGGAGTTCATGAGGATGGACGCACAGGCAGTATGTGCCCCAAAGCCCTTGACCAGGCAGTAATGGGGGCCTCAGGAATAGCTAGGGCTGTTTCCTCAGAGAACTGGTCATGTGAAAGGACAAAGGCTTTGGATCCTCAAAGGGCAAGAGGATTCCAGATGGAGCAAAAGCTTAAAGGCAAATCTGAGCAGGGTGGGTTGGCAGGGGTGCTGGGGATGAGGATGAGGCCTGGTTTGAACAGAAGGCTCAAGGCTGGGAGCAGTGAGAGGTGAGAGGGAAAAAAACCAGATTGTACTTGTCAGATACTGCAGGCTGTTGGCATGAGAGCGTTCACTGCCCTTCCCTTAGAAAAAAAAAGATGTTTGCAGACCGATGTGATTTTATGAACTGCAAGCTTTAGGACCCTGTCTGTTTAGTGGCCTCACCTCTGGGGAATAAATCTCTTGTCTTCAAAGATCTGTAGGGGTCCTAGGAAACCTGATTGAAGTTCTTTCCTGGATGAAACACAGTAAACCAGGACAACTGTGCCTGATATCCCACAAGTAAAACAAGGAGGTCTGTGCCTAGCTGTGCCTTGTTTGGGAGGGGAACATTCTGGAGGGAGCCACAACTCCCATCTGCTGCTCAGCCAGCCCTCTCAAATGTGTTGTTAGGTTGAAGGTTTAGAATAAATCCTCCACGTGAGTTTTCTCCAAACTCCATCCAGGGCAAACTTCCACACTTAGCCTGTTGTCCTCAGTCCATTGGCAATGACCTAGGCCTGATCTCAGAGGCAAAGCCTGGCTGGTTTCGGGAGAACTATTAGCACTGGGAACGCATGGGGCCGGGGGGCTCCCCACAGCTCAGCAGACCCAGTGCTCCCTTTCTCTGCTCTTGGGACCTGCAGGAGTTAAAATGCAGGCTTAGTCCCCCACTCCACACCTGCAGAGAGGACAGCAAGCCTAATCTGCCCCCAATGGCTGGCATACAGGGGCCTTATTCACAATTCACTGTGTTTCAAGGCCTCTCACAGGCTGCTCTTCCATGGGCCTCTTTCTAATGACTTGCTACCGCGAACAGCCAGGCTGCTCTAATCTTGAAGATAGGTCTGAACCTCCCTCCCTCAGCACATTTTTAAGGAATGGCGTTCCCTCCCCTCTCTCTTTTTTTTATCATCATCAAAATATATTCACAAAACACCCACATCTCTGTCCATGCTATAAATCAGGGTGGGGAACCTCTGGCCCACAGCCCAGATCTGGCCCTCAGCTTGATTCATCTGGCATGTGGGGGATACTGTACTTACTGCCACAGCTGCAACCCAGAGAATAATGCCTCCCTCCCCACCACCTCCCACCCCCTGGACTGCTGGGGCCATCCCCTTCCAAATGGAGCCTCGAAAATAGCCAGACTCAGATGGGGGGTGGTGGCTCCTGTGGCTATTTCAGTTGCTATTAAACAGGAAATGGGACTACAAAGCCAAGGAGGTGATTTTCATAATGAGAAAAGTCACCATTCTGTGACCATTTTACTAATTTCCAGGACTGGGCTGAGAAAGCATATCACCTATATTTTCTTGTTTAACCTTCCCAACCCTTTCGCACTAAGAACTTTTGTTTTCATCTGGAGGGTAGGAAGCAGGGGCTCAGGAACCTGCCTAGTGCCACGGCTATAAGGAGCACAGCTGGGGATCAAATTCAGGCCCAGCTCACATCACAGCCTCTGTAACCAGTAGCAATCTCTGTAACCTTACTGGCTGCTGGATAACTTGGAGGTGCTTGCTCTTGCAATTTTTGTCTCATATCTTTTGCTTGTCTCTGCAGTATATGCAATAACCATGTGGTTGTTCTGCAGTGACTATAAATTCTACTCCACTTACTTGTGTGACAACCTCTGCTCTAAAGATTTGTTAAAAAAAAAAAGAAAGAAAAGAAAAAAGAACTGGAGAAAGAATTAGAGGGTCGAAATAGTGTTTAACAGACTACTTAGAATTTTAAAAGGCAGTAAAGCTCTTCTCAAGTCCAGAGCCCAAAAAATGGATTTGCCAGGAGGAGTTTATCACAAATATTCCCCTTTTCTATTTGCTGATATAGGTCATGGCTAGCAGGGAAGAGAGAGAGAAAGCAAGAAAGAGAGAGGAAGAGAGAGAGAGAGAGAGAGAAAACACCCTTTGGTCTTACTCAGCAAGACACCTCTTCAAACCCTCCCATGGTATCTCAACTGGTACAACTCCTCATCTCCTAAAAGACTGCCTTGGGATGGCATCTCTGGACAGGTGAGCTGAAGCCCAAAATTTATGCCCCAACATAATATAGTATGTCTCTGGGCACCAAGAAAGAGGTTATAAATCCAGAATTACCCAGTAGTTGAAAGGCTAAAAACAAAAAGTGGGCAGTGGGTAAGTTCAGAGCCCCCAATGTCATATAATCTGTCTACCTTAAAAAAAAAAAAAAAAAAAGAAGAAGAAGAAGTAAAGGGGCTGGGCGCGGTGGCTCACGCCTGTAATTCCAGCACTTTGGGAGGCCGAGGCAGGCGGATCATAAGATTGAGAGATCGAGACCATCCTGGCCAACATGGTGAAACCCTGTCTCTACTAAAAATACAAAAATTAGCTGGGTGTGGTGGCATGCGCCTGTAGTCCCAGCTACTCGGCAGGCTGAGGCAGGAGAATCGCTTGAACCTGGGAGGCAGAGGTTGCAGTGAGCTGAGATGATTGTGCCACTGCACTCCAGCCTGGTGACAAAGCGAGACTCCATTTCAAAAAAAAAAGAAGAAGAAGAAAAGGGGAATGTAAGCTTTTGCCTGATATGAAATCTGCAAATACCAAAGACCCACAAATACCCTTTGCTGACACTCCAAGGCAGTAGACAACTGCTTGGGTTTAGGAAAAATCAGAGGGAAGTCTAGACTGATCCAGGAAAGAGGCAGCTGCTTAGTGACAGAGCCCCAAACCGCCCCCACCGCCCCGACTCCTGCTTCTTAAGGCCCAAGTGACCAGAGGTATAGAATAAAAGAAAGGGTTGGCTGGGCCCCTGACCCCACCAACAGGGTGGTCTCTGAACCCGACAGCTGGTACAAACAGCCCTGGCAGTGCAATACTCCAAATGAGTACATCTTGTCCTCCCAAGATCCTTGGAAATCGAAGCTTTGCTATGCTCATTACTGAGAAGGCTCTGGCGCCCTTCAACCCATTTGTATCTCTTCAACCTCTCACTAAACATTTGTTGTCTGGCCGGCACAGCTGCAGGCTCCTAAAAGCCATGGCCCCAGACCTCTGGGAAGCTCCCCTGAAAGAGGTCAAGGTGAGGAGTATCCCGAAGGGCATTGTGTTTGATTCTAGAAGCAAGTGGACACCAGGACACCACAAGATTGATCACGAGAAATCCATGCCTCTGTTTTCAGAACTTGCTTGCATCTTTCCCTATGTGGCACTCCAGAAGCCAGTAAGTTGGAGGAGTTTGATTCTACCCAGAGAGAAGTCTATGAAGACTGCAAGAGTCTAAGGAAGTAAATCAAAATAGCAGTGTATCTAGCAGCCCGGTGACCTATTTCCTGAATTGGATGTTGGAATCGTCTTCCCACAGAACAGCCAATTGTGATGTGTTAGTATTTTCATGCTGCGCAGCCCTCTGGCATGGAGGCGCTGCCCCATTCCTTCCCAAGGAAATTCCACTGCAGGCAATGTTATGATTAGTGGACTAATAACACTTGTCGTTGGAACACTCAGACAAAGCTGCAATGTGGACTGGCCTCCAAGTCCCTTAATCACCTATTTCATCATCTCGACACTGAAGCCCTGGCAATAGGGATGGACTTGTGGATCCCAATAATTAAGCAAAGGGACAGCTGCTTGCTTGCATGGGGATCTCCCTTCCTTCCATTCATAATCCCAAGCCAATCCGGGGTGTTAACTGGTGTGGTTACCACATCTAATACTGGATGGCAGCTAGAAAAAGAGACGCTGCAAGCTAATTCTGAAGCAAGTCACCTGCCTGTTCACTCCTAACATTCAGGCACACACATTTTCCTTGTGATTAGCTTGCTGGAGTTCTGGACAGGGGCCAGGGAAGAGGCCAGGAAGTGTGTGTGTGCTAATGCACCTGCCCCTAATTGGGAGCACCACTGATCCCCAACATTCTAGAGGTGTGCTCCATTACCCTTCCTTCTGACATTGCATGGGCAGTTGGAAAGGAGATCTGGAAGCTCTAACCATGCTGAGGTCGACGAAAAAGCTAGTTTGGCTTATGGGAAGTCAGGTGGGGGCGCCGAAAGGAAAGTCCACTCTATTCCTTTATTCTGGTTCCTTTTGATTGAACTTTGAACTAAATCAGAGTTAATTCGCTGAAGGCAAATGCTTATGGTGTTTGAATGAACTGATTTAGAAGTGAGCATGGATAAAAGGAGAATGGACAACACAGACAAGTAGGGGAGGGCGAGGCTGATGCAATCACAGAGGGAGGAAAAGAATCTTCAGGGACTTGCGGATTTCTCAGAACTGCCAGTTATCCTCACACCAGTGCACTTAACCTTCTTTGTGACTCTGAGAGCCATCGGGGCTTCTTGGCCACATCTTTGAGGGAAGACATAAACATATAAAGAGAAAACTAAGACTAGAGAAAGGGGGAGAGTAGTGAGAGCAAGACAGAGAGGGTGAGAAAAAAGAAAATAAAAAGGAGAAAGGTCAATTATTGTTGGAAGGTGGCGTGTTAACAGCGATGTCTGCAAGCCCTTAGCAGAAGCACTGGAGCTCTGGGGTGCCTGGAACTGGCTTCAGGGAGAAGCACTTTCCCAGCGCACAGTATTCAATTATTTGAAACACATCAGCAGTTCTCTCGAAAACAAGACACAAGGCAGACAATCCTCAGCTATTTTATTCCCACAGATGTTCTGTTCTATCTCCAAGGTTCCTGACATAACTACACTGTTCATAGGGTTCAAACGGGCTCGTTCCCAGGGTGAGACAACTGCACCCAAGCCAACTGAGCAAATCCCAGGTTTCCAGCCCCCCTGGACCCAGGTACCCAGAGAGAAGAATTGCTTCTGCTCTCTTCCCCACCCTCTCTGGGAAGTACAAACTGTCCGGGTGACCAGACAGCTCATGGAGCAAAGGCTCAAACATTTTCTGGAAAAGTCCCACCCCAATGTCTTTCCCACTGACCTTTCCAAAATTCATTTGGCTTTGTTTTTGGGCTCCACAAGTTATCTTCCAGGGGAGCCAGAGATGAGGCATTCCCAATGTGGGATTTAGAACTCTTCATTTCCACCAAAATGCCAGAGTAGAGTTGTGGGGCTGTTGTTTCTCCCTCATATTTAGACAATGATGCAAAACCTGTTGATTTGTTTAGACACAATTGTCCCTCAGCAGGACATATGGTATTCAACAGAATGGAATAATTAGGAGATTTAAAAGAAATAATTATGTGGGAAAATATGGTTGGAGTCAAATATGCCTGGTAATCTATATGAGGAATTCTGGCTTAAAATGTGGGTAAAATTTATCATTGTAGATTCTGTTGCCTTGTTATCCTGAAGTATAACTCCTTATCGACAAGAGATGTTTCATATCGTGCTGTTAAAGACAAACATGATTTTTTAAGACTCGTGGGAACAGTGACATGAAATGTTCAGTTTATTTTCATCTCTTCCTGGGGAAACTGAAGTTCCTGGTGAAACAACTTTATGAGGCAATGGCTTAATGACACTAAATGGTTTTAAAAAAATAACACAGCAGGGTGGGAGTGTGTGTGAAAGGGACTGTTTTGTTAAATTGATTTTTTTATTCGACTTCGAGGTGACTTTGGCTTTTCATAGCTCAGGGTCCAAAAGTGGGAACTTTTTTTTGAAACAGACACTTCTTGAAATGCAAGCTTCATGTATAATGCCCTTTCCTAGGCAACATCGCTCCTATGCCTACACTAGTGAGGATAAGAGAGCCTGCCTTCAATGCTATCCCAAGCCAGCTGACTGCTAGAGCAAACAGGAAGCCTCAGTGCAGGGAGGAAGCTGGTTAATTCCAGCTAATGCTCTTGGCCACATGGCTTGCCTCTTGCCTCTCTCCATGGCCAATGCTACCAAGTTCTCTTTTACTTGTGTGATCTGACAAAGACAATGCAGCATGTTTTTGGGGTGTCCGTGCCAGAATGGCAATGTAGAATAAGATCTGCCCCTTTCGAAAGGTCTGGGCACCAGGAGAAATACTGTTTTTTGGATTAGTGGATTTGGGATTATTACATGCATTTTATTTAAGTGAGGCATTACTTAAATCTGGTCTCGATTTCAAAGATTAATTATAACTTAAAAAATCTATAATTCTTTGGCACTGTCTACTGAAGCTGAACATACACATATCCTAGGACCTAAAAATTCCACCCCTGGGTATACCCAATGGAAATATATGCACATTTGCCCCAAGACACAAATACAGGAATATTCATAACCACATTATCGTAATGGTAACACTAAAAGTAATTCAAAGGCCCTTCAAAAGTCGAATGGATCATTGTGATAAAGTCATTCAGGCTGTGCATGGTGGCTCATGCCTGTAATCCCAGCACTTTGTGAGGCTGAGGCGGGCAGATCACCTGAGGTGGGAAATTCAAGACCAACCTGACCAACATGGAGAAACCCCGTCTCTACTAAAAATACAAAATTAGCCGGGCGTGGTGGTGCATGTCTGTAATCCCAGCTACTCGGGAGGCTGAGGCAGGTGTATCGCTTGAACCCGGGAGGCGGAGGTTGCAGTGAGCCAAGATCGCGCCATTGCACTCCAGCCTGGGCAACAACAGTGAAATTCCGTCTCCAAAAAAAAAAAAAAAAACTAATTCAATAGAATACTATACTGCAATGAGAGTGAATGATCAACAGCTGTAAGCAACCATGGAGATCTCATGAGCATGATGTTACGAAAAGAAGCCACACACAAAAGAGTATGGCCTCTATGATTCTATTTATAGAAAACTGAATTGCATGCAAAGCTAATCTATGCTTTTAGAGGTCAGGACAGTGGTTACCTTTGACATGGAAGTCGCTGAGAGGGGTATTAGCTTGAATGGCGGCCCCAGAAAAGATATGACCATGTCCTAGAAGTTGTGAATGTGGCCTTCTTTGGGAAAGGGGCCTTTGCAGATATAACTAAGTTAAGGCTCTCAAGATGAGTTCATCCTGGATTATCTGAGTGGGCCCTAAAGCCAATGACAAGTATCATTATAAGAGATGGCAAAGGAGAAGGCACAGAAGAGGGAGAAGCAGAAGGCCATGTGAAGACAGAGGCAGAGAATTCTGAAGTGATGCAGCCACAAGCCAAGGAATGCCTGGAGCCACTAGCTCCAGGAAGGAAGAGGTAAGGAAGGATTCTCCCCTACAGCCCCTGGAGGAAGCACAGCCCTGCTGACATCTTGCTTTCAGACTTCTGGCCTCTAGAACTGCGAAGGAATACATTTCTGTTGTTTTAAGCCATGAAATTTGTAGTAATGTGTTATGGCAACCACAGAAACTAATATAAGGAAAGTGTTCTGTTTCTTGATCTGGGTATTGGTTACACGGGTATGTTCATTTTGTAAAAATCCATCAAGTTGTACACTAATGATTTGTGTACTTTTTGACATGGATATTATGCTTCGATAACAATTTTATTTTAAAAAATCTATGATTCTATAATCCGGTTTCCAATTACCCACCACTTTGGGTAAACAGAAGCTAGCTTTATGAGGTTTTATTGTTTATGTTTAAGACATGCTTCACAATAGCAGAGCCTTTTTACCAAATCAAAAAAGTATACCCGTAACGAATGTATGTTCATAGTCTTTCCCTCCACTGTAGTACGGTGAGGAGAACTTTGGAAGAAAAAATGTCAGAAGCAATGAGCAAACATCTAATTTTCATACTTTCCTTTTTGTTAAATTAAGTAGCAAGGTAGTTTAGGGGTAACAAGTCTCTGAGACAGGAACTGTCTGGAAATTTTGGATAAGGAATAGACATACCCAATCACCGAGGAGGGAGAGAGTAACAACACCCTATTTTTGCTAAAAGCAGTTCAACTGTGACCCCTTTGTGGTAAACAACCACGATAATAAGCCAAATCCTAACCCCACCTTATTTGGCAATTTTGTAATGGGTGGGAGAAGCACTGTATATAGTTTGTCTGTTATTTAGAATGAGATGCAGAGATGGTGTCCTCTGTCTTGGAAAAAAAAAAAAAAAAAAAGAACACACTTGGCAGCCTATAAACAGTAAACCAGTGGAGGTTTCAGATTTTTCCAAAAGAATGAGATGCCTCCAAACCGAGCATGTTTCCCATTTTCCACTCTCTCCAATCCCAGGCAGATGATTTTGAACGTGCACTCTCCTCTCACTGACTTGGAAGAAGTCAGCCCTTGCCAGAACTGTGGACTCAAGAAGAAAGCCAAGTGCAGATGGAAGTGGCTGTGGAGAGCAGGCCTAAATTCCCTCAGCAGGAATTACTGAGGAACAAAGCTGGCAGAGTGGGGATTTCAAACAGTCACAGGTGCAGGGGCTGGGTGGGGGATGGGCAGTGGGGAAGAGCCTTTTTCCACCCTCATGCAGTCAGTTCTCATGTATGGCTGTCTAAAGCAGGCCACTGCTGTCTAAATCCAGGTATTGAATATGTAAGTTCAAAGAGACCTCATCACTGAAGATGGGCAGACAGGCTTACTGTTCCCTCCATAACAGAGTTGACACTTCCTGATTATCCCTGCCCAGGCACTGAGAGCACAGGACTGTGGCTGCACAGCCTGGAGCATGGAGTACGAAGTAAGGAAGACAACAGTGGGCCGGGCGCAGTGGCTCAAGCCTGTAATCCCAGCACTTTGGGAGGCTGAGGTGGGCGGATCACCTGAGGTCAGGTGTTCGAGACCAGCCTGGCCAATATGGTGAAACCCCATCTCTACTAGAAATACAAAAATGAGCTGGGCATGGTGGCGCATGCCTGTAGTCCCAGCTACTTGGGAAACTGAGGCAGGCGAATCACTTGAACCCAGGAGGCGGAGGTTGCAGTGAGCAGAGATCACGCCACTGCACTCCAGCCTGGGCGACAGAGCGAGACTCTGTTTCAAAAAAAAAAAGAAAGAAAGAAAAGAAAAAAAGACAACAGTGGTCTTCTTTCAACTCTGAGAGGGTTTTTTTAAGTCCAAAGTAGGAATCAATAAAGTTTTGGCAATGGTCTCGGTGCTGACTTCCTTAAGGGGCTAAATTAGGTTCAAATTGATGACTCCTCTGTCCCCTCCTGCATTGGAATCCTCAAATGTGTGTGTTTTGTTCCATTTGGATGTCCTGTCTTTCCCCTTTTAGGGTGTAAGCTACAGCAAGGGCTGGTCCTCCTGTTTCTGTTGTCACCTTCTAGCTGTTGTCATCTACAGGCAGTTGTTAATGTAAAAAGAAAGAAGAAGGAAAGAAAGAGAGAGAGAAAGGAAAGAAAACAGAAACAGAAAGACAAGAAAATAAAAATGAAGACAGAAGTGAAATAGCACATGTTTCACAGCAGGCCACTCTAGGATGGCCACAACAGTGACTTCTTCAGCAAGAAGAAAAACCATGCTCAAGGATTTGTTTGAGAGGGATAAATGTGAAATTACAGGACAAAGAGAAAGAAAAGTCCCACCTAGAAGATGTAACAAGAAAGGCAATGTTTGTGAGGCCAGATAATAACTAACTGACTTGAAAAGAAGTCAAAACATTAGGTAATGCAAAATTCTAAGCCTGAAACCTTGACTCTAACATATATTGCATGTTTTTTCCTAATTCAGTTTTGTCTGTATGACATTCCGGCCAAATGTTCTAACCAAAAGCCCTTGGGGAAAGACTGAACATGAGACAATAGTTCATAATTCAATTCCATCAGCATTCACTGAATGCTTACTATGTGCTCCACTTTCTGTTTGGTGCTGTGGGGAATGTGTAGAAAGCAGAAAATACAGTCAATGCCTGAAAGAAGCTTGTCATTTTATTGGGGGGTGGGGGAGAGAAGACTTCCAAACATAAAACAATTAAAATAATTTAATTAGAAAATAAAGACGTAGTAAAAAACCAAAAGAAACATAAGTTACAGCAAAGATGTATGGTTCAGGCAAGAATGAATAATTAAACACCATAAAAATTCTGAAAACAGTAAGAAGAGGTCTGCAGGATACAAATAAGGTAGCCTCCTGGGATGTAGGGACAAGGCCAGCCAATGTCACTCTCCGAAACAAGAAAAACTCTAGCCATCGATGCTATTAAGACTAGGGTACTATCTCAAAATCAGCAAGAGACTGAGAGTGGTTTCTAAAATCTCAACCACAAGGGATCAATTTAAAGGGCTAACCAATACAAAATAAGTTATCTTGATCTGGTTGTGACGAAAGTTTTTGGTAACCGAACGTGAATACTGAATAAGGACATCTGGATTGTAAGACGTTCTCAGCAAGTGTGTGGCATTGTTTAAGGAAGAGGACGTAAGTTCTTTAGGCCATCAGAAAGATACATTTTGGGCCGGGCGCGGTGGCTCACGCCTGTAATCCCAGCACTTTGGGAGGCCGAGGCGGGTGGATCACCTAAGGATAGGAGTTCGAGACCATCCTGGCCAACATGGCGAAAGCCCCATCTCTACTAAAAATACAAAAATTAGCTGGGTGTGGCACATGCCTGTAATCCCAGCTACTAAGGAGGCTGAGGCAGAAGAATTGCTTGAACCAAGGGGGCAGAGGTTTCAGTGAACTGAGATCATGCCACTGCACTCCAGCCTGAGCAACATAGAGAGACTCCATCTCAAAAAAAAAAAAAAAAGAAAAAGAAAGGTATATTTTGGATGGGACCAGAGGAAACAACCTAGATGCTACTCTTCTCCCCGCTCCCTTCGTTATGATTCCTTAAAGAATAGTGGATACCCTAGAATTATATCAGGTGACCCCGCCACTTATTACCCACATAGCCTTGGGGACTGACTTCATTTCTCCAAGCCTCTGTTGCCACTGCTGTAAAATGGGAATTATCATAATACCTGTCCCCGCTGGGTTATAGTGAGGAGTCAATTAAGTAATAAATGTTGAGTGTTTAGCACAGGGCCAGCCACATAGCAAGGGCTCAGTATATTGTTTTTGTCCATCGGAATAACGTCCTGATTGTCACTAAAGGCTAGATAAACTACTTATGAGTTTTGGCTTTGGACTCAGATCAGAGTCTACCTGTTGACTCTCTGTGCTCTGCTATTTACAAGCTACGTGACTTTGGGCAAACCAGGCTATTGGTTATTATTATTTTTGCAGTTTGCTATTTTTGTACTACCAGCCTGGGTTCCTAGGTACCTTGATACTGGGATTGGAAGTTAGAGGACACAAGCATTTCAGGTCCTGGAAAGACACATACTCCTTGTCATTGAATAAATTGGTGTTCCAGATTACAGTCTCTTCTGAGTCCAGTGTGTGTGTATCAGTCTCCCAGAGTCTCCACTGGGTGATCTGGGAGTCCCTGTCTCAAGGACAAGCCAGACTCTCTTGTCACCATCTACCTTCCAAAATGAGAAAGCTTTTGGCTCATAAAACTAGAAATCCAGAGGCACATGGCTTCAGGGCCAACATAATTCTGTAGCCCTGGTTCCTTTTCCCCACTCTTCTTTTTGTCCTGGCCTCCTCCCCCAGTTGACTTTACCCTCAAGCTTGAGTGAGATGTCTGCAGCAGTTGAAGACCTCACACCCATGTATGACAACATATGGAGTGAGAGAGATCTCTTTCTTAACAATGAGGAAGCTTTCCTCAGAAACCCACTGCAAACTTTCCTTCATCTGTCATTGATATGAATTTAGTCATATGCCCATTCCCAAGCCAATCCTTGTAGCGAGGTATAGCTGAAAAATCCAGAGACATGGCATCACCAAGATTGGCTCAGACTAATCAGGCTCCACCCACTGGAGCTGGAAGCAATCCCCAAAACTATACTTACGTTAAACAATGTAAGAGGTAAAATGGATGGTGGGATGTCAAACCACAATGGCTACCATCTTAAGCGTAGGAGATCTGTACTTCTTAATGTTACAGATAATGAAAAATAACCCTACCATAAATAATTGGCCAGTCCCTGAAAGCCAGTTGAAGTTAAGGTCTATCTCAGTGACCTCTTTGGAACTATAGTCATATCCGCAGTAACAGGAATGTCACTGCCTGGAAAAACAGGGTCCTTTTCTAAAATGGGCTTTCCCTTCTGGCCAGACTCCTTGGTCCAGAACTGCAGTTGATAGGATCTTTGGGAGAGGTTTCCTTGGCCTTTTGTTTGAATATTGTGCCCCCTTTATGATTCTATACATGAAAAGGAAACCAGCCCTTTCCAGCTATGTCAGGACCCTGATTAATGCCTCAGTAGCAAGCACTACCCAAACCACAGTGAGTCCAGTTCCTTCCTTTCCCAGAAGGAAGCTAACATGCTCTCCCTTTGTTGCAAGGTGCTGGGTTAGAAAACACCAGCGTTAGTTTCAGAGGGAGGTAAGTAACCCCTAAAATCTGTTCCCCTCCCCACCTCTCCCTTGTTTTTGTTGAATTTAAAATGAATCAGCTTGAGAATTGAAGACTCACCCAAGCCAAGGTTGAGGATAACACACATTGACATAGGCAAAGCCAGATTACTTGCAGTGCTCAGTGTGACACTCTGTTCTGGAGGGTATACAATCAAAGGCCTGTGGCCTGAGGTTCAGTTCCCATCATCAGCTTCCTCCTTGACCTGTTTTTAATTTTTCAAAACTCCCACCCCTCTTGCAGAATAGTTCCACTTCCTTGTCTGACCTCTGCTTTGTCTCGCTGGGCAGGTTGCCTTGTTCTCCTTCAGCTGGCCAGGCTGGCTGGCTGCCTCATTGTCCCAAGAGACAGGAAGGCACCCTTTACATCTCTCTGCTGTTGGTCCATTTTTACTGCCTTTCTGGAGTTAACATCAAGGACTTTAGAAACATCTTGGTAAAGGCAGATGTAGAGGCTAGATAGGATTGTGGTCACCTTGGCCCTCATTTTTCTTGCTGCTTACAGAGTAGGAAAATTGAATGCTGTTTTTGGACTTGACCCAATACCTCTTCTGTCCAGAAAGCCCATAACTCACTCTCCAATGACTTGTTTGGCTCCACTGGCCATATCACGTATCATATATTATAGATGATATATCACAGTCATTGGCAAAGTTAACTGATGCCCAGGCTCCAGTCACAGATCTCAGCGTCGAGACTGCCAGAGGTAACCATACATTAACATTAGTGAGACATGGTGGGCTGTTAAACCAATCTGCACAATTTGAGGTGAAAGGGTGGAAGTGAATAGACTTCCAAGTCTCTTGGATTAGTATCAGTATAATTTCTTTTGGACTGTAAATACTTCAGAAGATCGTATTTTCTACATTGCTTGGATTTTGTTTTTCAAATCATGTGAATATTGTTTACAGAACATTGTGCTCAATGTTCAAGGGGCTACAGGGTTTCACTAAGGGATACAGGCCACATGCTTCAGAAAAAATAAAAACAGCCCAAGGCAGTATATGCTAAGAGGAATGGTATAGAGTAGGCAATAAGGGGGACAGAAGCACAGAGGACTTTAACCTTAGTTGATGTGTAACAGCTTAAACTCATTTCTAAGCATTGCCCTCAGGCCTTCTCATTCAGGACAATGACATACTCTGGGAGAGGTGGGGTGGAACACCACCGACCACCTAGAGTTAAATGAAACCTCTCATTAACCCATGGCCAATCGGCACCAAGAGCAGCCTGTTTAGTTGCTTGTTTCCTGTGGCTAACACCTGCCTATCCAGGAGGCCAAAAGAGCATATGCCCAAAAGTTTGTGTGGCAGCTTGCATTCTGATGGAGAAGAGAAGATAAATGAGGAGGGGGTGGGGAAAGTGGTGACCTGACCTCCCTGGGAAACACCCTGCTATATTTCGAGTTGCCTGGTCACTCAGCTTAATGATTTTAAAAGAAGACATTATTTTGTTCGGTGGCCTGTAGTGAAGTTTGCACTCTGCCAAGGAAGAGAAAATAAATGTGTGTGGGAGTGGGGAAATTGTAGGGACCTCCTTGGGAAATTATCTGCTAGTCACTCAGCTTATTAATTTTTAAAAGAGACATTATGGGATCAGAAAGAGAATCCTGGCCTGAGAGTCAGGAAACTTGCTGTGTGGTGGTCCTGTGAGCAGATGCACGGAGAACATCAGCCTCTGGGAACCCCAAAGAGGCATTCATAATGATGATAATGCCACAAATATTACAATGTACACCACTTAACACTTTTCAAAGCACTTTTGCATTCACTACCATAAAATCATAGAATATTAAGAGCCAGGAAAGGACTTCAAAATTATCCAGTATGGCTTCCCACCCTAGACAAGAAGCCCTGTGAGAAAGCCAGTTTAGCAAGTAGCACAATCTCCATTTTATAGAAAAACAAACAGGATTTAGAGTTTAAGGCCAAGGTGATCCGGTCAGTTAGTGACAAAATTGGCCTTAGATACGCTAATGCCAGGTTCTCTCTGTGCTATCACATGTCTCTTTTGTTTTTAAAGATACAGGTTCAGCTGCATGCAGTGGCTCACGCCTGTAATCCCAGCATTTTGGGAGGCCGAGGTGGGCGGATCACTTGAGGTCAGGAGTTGGAGACCAGCCCGGCCAACATGGTGAAACCCTGTCTCTACTAAAAACACAAAAATTAGCCGGGCATGGTGGCAGGCGCCTGTAATCTCGGCTACTCAGGAGGCTGAGACAGGAGAATCACTTGAACCCGGGAGGCGGAGGTTGCAGTGGGCCAAGATCACGCCACTGTACTCCAGCCTGGGCGACAAGAGAGAGACTCCATCTCAAAAAAAAAAAAAAAAAAGTACTGGTTCTAGTCACCTTCTGGGCCTTACCATGTAAGTTTACATCTAATTGTTCTCGAATTGCTTTAGAAGCTTCAGATCTGTAAACCCAACTAGAGTACAAATCTTTGAGGGCCAGATTCATATCTGATACCGCTACTGAATCGCCTGTCTTCTCCCCACATCACCAATGGTAAGGGATCTTGGAAGATATTTAACAAATGCCTGGATGAACAAATTGAAATTCTAAAATTTCTGAGTGACTCCTTATCTCTTAGAGGCATGCCAAATTCTACTTTCAGCAGTTTTATTCTCATCTTTGAAAACTTAATTTGGTCGTAGCTACTGGTGTTACTCAGGCAGCTTGAATTACTCTGGTATCAGGGTTTAAATGGGGGGAACGTCTTGATATTTTACAGCAGATGGATGAAATGACTGGCAAGACAATTACCTAGGTCTGATATTGGCAGGTTGAGGCTCTAACATCTGTTTTATTTCTCTTTAAATCCCTAGCTGGAACTATAGAGACTGGAGAAGTCGTATTGTCCCTTACTGGCCACTGGAACATATTGAACAAGACACATTTTGCTTACTTTAAATTTTAATGTTAGAAGAAGAGTTCTAATCAGGGTTACTCACTGTCATGGGTTTTTGACACGAATCAGCCTTTTCTAAGAGTGTTAGGCTGCAATGAAAACAAGAATCAGGCTGGGCATGGTGGCTCACACCTGTAATCCCAGTGCTTTGGGAGGCCAAGGCAGGAGGCTCACTTGAGCCCAGGAGTTCGAGACCAGCCTAGGCAACATGATGAAACCCTGTCTCTACAAAAAATACAACAATTAGGCGGGCTTGGTGGTGCCTGCCTGTAGTCCTAGCTACTTGGGAGGCTGAAGCATGAGGATTGTTGAGCATGGAAGATAGAGGTTGCAGTGAGCCAAGATCGTGCCACTGCACTCCAGCCTGGGCAACAGTGTGAGACTCTGACTCAAAACAAAACAAAACAAACAAACAACAACAACAAACAGGCACGGTGACGTTTGCCTGTAGTCCCAGCTACTCGGGAGGCTAAAGTGGGAGGATCCCTTGAACCTGGGAGGTTGAGGCTGCAGTGAGACATGTTCAGGCCACCGTACTCCAACCTGGGTGACAGAAGAAAACAAGAACCAAATGCCTACACAGAAATATCCACAGGACTGACGAGGTAGCCAAAGAGTGCACTTGTTTCTGAAGTCAAAAATTTGAGCTTGTTGAGATATTTCTATCAAAAAATCAAGATTTTAAATTGCTGCCTAATACCTGGATTTTAAAGAAAACTCTGTTCAGTTCATAATTAATTCTTTTCGTGTTATTAACATATAGAAAAATACTAGCTGATCAGTTTCCATTTCTATCTGCTCATTCCTTTAATTTTTCTCCTTTCCCACAAATAGAAGCTGTATTGCAATAAGCATATCTTGCCCCTGGCCTCCATTCCAAGAACATCTGGAAAGAGTGTTAGTTAAATAGCAATGGGCTTACACAGTGCTATAATTTTTCTAGCTATAAGGAAGCCCCCACCATCTCCACTCCTATCACCAGAGAGGCGTGGGTGAGCTACCCGAAAGCTCTTTTGCTTGGAGAACAAGCAATGGAATCTTGCAGATAACCCTAACCAAACACCACCCAGGCAGAAGGGCCCTAACCTGCCTAGTGAGATTCCTCTAAATACATTTTATACTATCAAGGCTTAAATTCATCAGAAAAAAAAACCAATGGAATTTATCAGAAGATGTTTAAGAGAGAGTAACAGAGCTGCTGGGATATACTCAAACATAACTTTCTAAGCCTAAATTGCATAATATCCTTTTTCCAGATCCTTTTAGTTTGTTTCTTATTCCAGAAAGAACCTTATATGGAATTGCACGCATTTGGCTCAGTACAAATTTGGCCCATGTTGAGCCTCTTAGACTTGGCCCACCACAAACTCATGCTGTCAACCACAGTTTGGTTCCCATCACTGCCCAGTTGTTCCTGATATACCGTATGCTGTGAATATCCCAATCTTTCTCCTCGGGTCCCCAAATCTTCTTCCTCTCAACTCTCCCATTTTTAGTAGATGAGCTTGACAATTCGGTTGCTGAAAACATTTACGCTATGGGTCTGAACTCCCCTAGCTATTGGAGATGTGAGAGCATCTCTCATCAGATGAAGATTTTTCCTAAATACTAAGTTACTGCCTCCTACTCTGCTCTAGAATTCATCTCTTCCCATTTTCTTACTCCCACATTTATTTTCTCCTTATAGACCTCTGCTGTCCTAGATAGTAACCTCTTGCCACGTGTAGCTATTTAAATGTAAATGAATTATGACCGGACGCAGTGGCTCAAGCCTGTAATCCCAGCACTTTGGGAGGCCGAGGCAGGTGGATCACCTGAGGTCAGCAGTTCAAGACCAGCCTGGTTAACATGGTGAAACCCTGTCTCTAATAAAAATACAAAAAAAAAAATATATATATATATATATATATTTATATATATATTTATATATATATATTTTTATATATATATATTTATAAATATATATATATATATTTATATATATATTTATATATATATATTTTTATATATATATATTTATAAATATATATATATATATTTATATATATATATAGCCTGGTGTGGGGGCGCCACCTGTAGTCCCAGCTACTCAGGAGGTTGAGGCAGGAGAATCGCTTGAACCCAGGAGGCAGAGGTTACAGTGAGCCAAGATCATGCCACCGCACTGCAGCCTGGGCAACACAGCAAGGCTCTGTCAAAAAAAAAAAAAAAGGAAAAGAAAAATGTAAATGAATTATAATGAAATAAAGCTAAAAATGAAGTTTCTTGATTGTGCTAGCCACATTTCAAGTACTCAACAGCCACGTGGTGCTGGCGGCTCCTGAATGGGACGGTGCAAATGTATGTAATTCCCATCATCGTGGAAAGTTCTAGTGGACAGCACTGCTCACCAGGGACCTCTGATTTATTTCCTATCCCATTGGCTCTTCAATCTCATGCAGACAACTGCATCACCATCAACAACAACAACAACATCAACAACTGCTCTACAAGTGACCCTCCTACCCTTCCAGCTACCAGTCTCTAGAATGCTGCCAAACTTTTAGAATGAATGCTGCATTCCTTTCTTGCTCCTCTGCAATCTGACTTCCGACCTTCTCGACAGAAATAAAGCCACTAAAGACTTTTGGGGCATCTTCTACCATTTTGTTTTCATTCATCACCCTCCTAAAAATGTCTCCTCTCTATCCTGTTCCTCCCATCTCTTGTCTCTGGCACACTACCAATGCTGAAGAAGTGTTGGTTAAATAAGACAATAAGCTTCCCTCCTTGATCATTCACTCCTCCAGGATCTTTCATCCTACATCTCCCTTCTGTTGCAAAAGCCCGGTCCTCTGCTCTTCTTTTGTCAACCCTTCTCTCATTAGCTCATCTTCTCTCACTTGCCTTTAACTATCTGCTCTGTATAAAAATGGGTCTCAGTTTCACAACTCAAGCTGTCAATTTCTCACTTCCATGACTAGCATTACTGGAGAACACCAAGAATAAATGTTTGTATTATTAATGGCTGCTCCCAGTGATGCAAGGAAACCTGCTTTCCAACCCAGTTAATTCCTATGTCCCTTGCAAAACTGTCAGGGCCAACTCTGTAGAAGTTATCAGTGCTTTCCTGTGAGGCTACATTGTGAGGAGATTTCTGGGCTTGTGAAGAGTTAGGGACTCAAGGGGGCAGAAACAAAGGCTGCAAGATGAAAGACATGGGATGGCTCTGGCTAAAGGAACTTTGTCCATATAACAATTCTGCTACAGTCTTTTCTCAGGACTAGTTTCAAAGTCTCAGGATGATATAGAAGTTCGTTTTTCTTTTCATTTCTTCTTTGTTTGTTTTTTTTTAGAGAGGGAAGTGGGTTAGTAACCTCCACATTGCCTCTTCATTGAGAACTACATAATAGCTATAGATTAAAATGAAAAACCCGTCACTTTCAGAAGGGCAATATCATGCAATAAGCCTGCAGCAAATTATACCTTGGTGTTACATGAAGGAAGTTGACAGGACAACACTTTCTTCCCCTTCTCAAAATGAATGTAGAAAGTACACTCTAACCTTTACCAGCATATGATGTCTATAACTAACATGAAGGAAAGTCAAAACTTTTTTTTCTCCCCTTGGCTTTTTTTTTCTTTCAACAGACACATTGCTCTGCTGATAAGAAAGCTAAGAAAGTGGGTAGGTAGAAATATACAGCTCATTCAATTAAATGAAAATTAATGTAATGCAGACAACACAGTGCAGGCTGCTTGATTTTGTTACATTTAACTTAAAGACTACCAGGCCCTGACAAACATCCTTGAAATGTAAATTCAACATTCAAAACCCACAAGTCACACTAAGAGCACTGGGAAACAGGAGAAATACACACTGGACAGATGCAGGCAGTCCCAAAGCTCGGTGATCTTTTACAGCTAGAAGGTCAAGGCAGTTATTTCACAGTGATTTGTATGAAAAGAAAAATAAATTGAAAAGAGGGCATTCATGTATATATGAGATAATTGACATAGCAAAAATAACTCCCAAAGTGAGCATTTACTAGGCAATTTAGGTTAAAATGGTATAAAAGGCAGATTGTTTGGGCCAGCACATCCGCCTTTCTTGCACTTAAAGATAATTTGTAGATGAAGAAACTGCTCTCTTTAAAAAAAGAAAGAAAAAGAAAATCCTCCTCCACAAAGCCTCCTTTCCCACAGCCTTCTACCAAACAGATTATGTTGCTAGGTAAACATAAGCTACCAACAATTTCTGTACCAATATATATAGCAAATTATACTTCAGAGGAAGCCTGCAAGCTTATGAAACAGATGGCAGATTTGTGTCGTGGCCCGAGAAACAATTGTGTTTTGGTAAAATGAGCCACTGCAAGTCTCCCTGACATTTTCCTAGCCTAATCGACATTGACTTTTCATGTCACGAAGTTGCATGAAAGAGCGGGATCATGTAGAAAAGCAGATAAGCATCAGAAGCAATGGCAAAGATGATGCCCTTTTAGAGCTGGAATCATCAGTTTTAAACTTTGAGTTTAAATATACGATAACAGCAAAAAGTAAACCAACACAGCTCCTAATGTATCGCTCAGACCTGCCATCTGGGCTGGAGTCAAATTTAATAAGCCCAACGACATCAACTCTACTTCTCCAGCACTATAACTAATCTTAGGCTGTTTAAACAATCAGGGGCGGGAACGAGATGGTATAATCTTCTGTGAACTGGATGTAACTGGAGAATATATCCATGCTTATTTAGATTTTATAAAAAGAAATTTCGGAGACTTGAGGTCCTTACAGCTCACATTTCTCATCCAAACTAAACTGTTATTTGTTTAATAAGCAACTGGTTCACAACTGGACTTCAACTGTCCCACCACATCCTGGAACAAAGTGTTGAATCACACTCAGATCCACACTGACATCTGCAGGTAATTGAAACAGGACTTCTGTGAATTGATTTCTCGACTCGGGAGTCTCAAACCATTCTCCAGAGTAGTGTGCTAAACCATAAAACTTAAATACCCCGGATGACACAAAATATTTCTTTAAAAAATACTATCAATGTTTAAGTGCTTCCATAGACTAAAATATTGCATATAGCATCTGAGTTCCATCACATAGAAAACCCCACAAACACACAGCTGTCTCTGCCTGGCGTAATTATGGTGATTTTTATTTTCACTTTAAACTTTTTTCTATTTTTCATTACTTTTCATATATTATCCAATGAGCATATGGTACTTTTACAATACGTTATGGCAAGGTTGCTACCTAAATTTTAACCTCAAACTTTCTGTTGTCCCTATCAATTTATATTCACATTAATCAAAGCTTCAACAAAATCCAGCAGAATATTGTTTTATTGTAATAACTGCTGCTATGCAGCACACTTATTTATATAGGCTATCAAAACTCCTAAACATTCACAAGATAGGGAGTAGATTCAAGCTGCTTTAGGCTAATACATGAGATTTTTCTATAGTGCCTTTCCACTGAGCAAAATTTTAAAGTAACATTTATTGGATCGATCTATAATTATAGTATTAGAAAAAAATGGAATCTGCTACCAAGAGACTCCTTTTACAATGACTGTCTAGGGGGAAGCCTATTTTTCTGGGCTTGTAAAAATCAAGTAACTCGCTCAACTTCTGAGGTAAAAGTCAACATAGATGGAAGGCTTTATTCTATGTGTTGAAAATTAGATGTAATAGAAAAATCCATCAAGGATTTCTAGTGGTAGGAGAAAAAGGGGCAATTTCTTAAGGGCTCATTAACAAATTTAATCAACAGGCACTCATAAACAAGCTGTCTTCCAATTTACAAATGTGCTACATTTCGAACATTTATTGTTCTTTTTTTTTTTTTTTTTTTTTGGTGCCTACAATGCATTTTCTTGAAGAGACAAGATTACGCTGGTTAGAGTTCCAATTTGATTCACAAAAGTAAAGCTAAAATACTGTAGGTTTGCAATGAAACGGTAGGAAGCAGTTTTAGCAATAAGATAAATGTTGGAATGACTTTAACAATAAATTATTTTTCAGTTTTCTTATTTTGGTGCATAAGAAAATAATTATAGAAACATAAGAAAGCAGGCCATTTTAAAGCACTTCAGATGCTAACATCCAATTTATCATGTAAATTTGCAACTTTTCTTATTTTTGATCTAGGCACACATTTTATGAGCATAGGCCATGCTGAAGGTTTTACTTTAGCTAGCATGTGGAAATTAGATGGAAATTAGGGAGAAAAAATAGGAGAGAGAGTTTGCCATGGAAAGTGGGCAAGAACTGAAAGAGAAGCGGGGAGAGAGAACTACAGAAAACATAGATTTAGATTCAATTCCTTGCCTCCACGTTACTCATTCATTCATCCAACTATTAAGTGGTAGCTCTTATTGGTGAGTATAAGTACTCTGTAGTTTGTTTGTTCATTGATTTGACAAATGTTAATTGAGCATTTACTTTGTGCGTGGAGCTGGGGATACCAGTGTGAATAAGATAGTCTTGGTCACTATTCTTATACATTTGGTAACTAGTATGGAAGACAGACATTAAACAATCACTGTAATTACAAGTCAGATAAGTGCCATAAAAGGTGAAGCCCAGGGATATCAAGGAGTGCCTAAATGGGAGAACTTAACCTAACCTGGCATTGCTCCTCCTCTCCAAATGATCCAGATGGTCAAGTTGACTGTGTATTTTAAATATATTTGCATCTCTTACTATGTGTGAAGTTGAGTATCTTTTCATATATTTAAGGATCATTTGTATACTTTCTTCTGTGAACTGTGTATTCATGTTTTTGCCCATTTTCCTCCTGAGACTTTTTAGCCTTTTTTCTTTAGATTTAAAAAGTTCTTTATATGTTTGGGATATTGGACCTTTATTTATGTATACATTATAAGTATTTTCTCAGTTTCATCATCTTTCTTTTCTTTTTCCTTTTCTTTCTTTTTTTTTTTTTTTTTTTTTTTTGAGATGGATTCTTGCTCTGTCACCAGGCTGGAGTGCTCTTGGCTCACTGCAACCTCTGGCTCCCGGGTTCAAGTGATTCTTCTATCTCAGCCTCCCAAGTAGCTGGGACTACAGGTGCCCACCACCACGCCCGGCTAATTTTTTGTATTTTTAGTAGAGACGGGGTTTCACCGTGTTAGCCAGGATGGTCTCTATCTCCTGTCCTCGAGATCCGCCCGCCTTGGCCTCCCAAAGTGTTGGGATTACAGGCATGAGCCACCACGCCCGGCCTTCATCATCTTTCTTTTGACTTTGCCTATCTGATTTTTGCCATGCAAAAAAAGGTTTTTACTTTGATTTTTATGTACTTGAAAATACTCATCATTTTATGGCATTTGGATTTGGAGTCATATTTTAAAAGGCTTTCCCCACACCCAGATTATAAAGAAATTAATCGACGTTTTCTTCTAGTGCCTATATGTTTTTTTTTTTAATATTTGGACCACCTGGTACCTATATGGTTTTATTTTTTATTTTTTAAATATTTTATATAATAAGCTCCATTTGGAGCTTATTCTAGGGTACAATGTGAAGTATGGGACCAAATTACCTTTTTGTCCAAATGGCTATCCAGTTGTGCCAATAGAATTTATTTAAAAAGTCCATCTTTGCCCCAGTAATAAACTGTTTATTAAATATTACATTTTCGGCCGGGCGCGGTGGCTCACGCCTGTAATCCCAGCACTTTGGGAGGCCGAGACAGGCGGATCACGAGGTCAGGGTATCGAGACCATCCTGGCTAACACAGTGAAACCCCGTCTCTACTAAAAATACAAAAAATTGGCCAGGCGTGGTGGCGGGTGCCTGTAGTCCCAGCTACTCAGGAGGCTGAGGCAGGAGAATGGCGTGAACCCGGGAGGCGGAGGTTGCATTGAGCCGAGATTACGCCACTGCACTCCAGCCTGGGGGAAAGAGCAAGACTCCGTCTCAAAAAAAAAAAAAAGATTACATTTTCATATATACTTGGGTCTATTTCTGGACTTTCTGCTTTGTTTTGTTGATCTGTCTATTCAGGCACGAGTCCAATAATGGTAACAGGTTATACAGATTAATTTTAAAAAAGAATTTGAAGTGACATGAAAAACAAAAGGGGTCAGCTTCCTTTACAGACGAATGGATAGCTAATAAATGTGGAAGGAACAACAGAATTGGGAAAACGTACCTTTGCAGCCACTGTGTTAAAAACTGATTCAGATAGGGATTATAATGAATGCTAAAACTATCAGATGAAAATTATTGGGGAACAGAATATTTACATGGTCATACTTTAAAGATATTAATTGAATATTAATTACAAAGGAGGAGAATGTGCCTTTACATGGAGAAATCTGGATTACACTACTTTGGTCAAGTGATCCAACTTGGCAATAGGACAAATTGACATTGTATACACCTCCTGACGTGAGGCAATGGAAACCACCTATGTGGTATCTTTGCCAAAAGTGTTTAACCTGAATATATTCATGAGGGAACAATGTGACAAATCCAAATTTTAGGCCATGATACAAGATAACTGGCCTAGAGTCTTCAAAATGAATATTTCATGAAAGATGAAAAAAGTGGGAAACTTTTATATGAAAGACTACTAGAGATATGACAAGTACATGAATTTGTATGACCTTTGATCCTGAATTTGGGATCCTTGATTGAAACAAACAAAAAAAAGCTCTAAATGACATTATTGGGGCAATCGGGAAATTTGAATATGGGCTATGAATAAAATAATATTCTGTCAATCTTAAATTTCTTGGGTGTGCTAACAAAATTGTGATTATGTAGGTAAACACCCTTGTTTTTAGGCAATACAGGCTGAAAAAGTGTCTTGATATCTCCAACTTAATGTCAAATGGTTCATAAAATATGTATATATATATATGTATGTTCTATGTAGTGTTATATATATGTATACACACAGAGAGAGAACAAATGTGGCAAAATGTAAACAAGTGTTTAATCTTCATGAAGGGTATATGGGTTTTTATTGTACTATTCTTTCAACTTTTCTGTAGGCTTGACTTCTTTTAAAATAAAAAGTTGCAGCATACAAAATCAATGTACAAAAATCATTAGCATTTCTATATGATGGCCAATAATGATCTAGACATGAAAGAAAAGAAGGCAATCCCATTTACAATAGTTACAAAAATAAAATATGTAGGAATAACTTCAAACAAGGAGGTGAAAGATCTCTATAAGGAAAACTACAAACACTGATAAAAGAAATTGAAGATGACATAGACAAATGGAAAAAAAAAACCCATGCTCATGGGTTGGAAAAATTAATCTAGTTAAAATGACCACATTGCCCAAAGCTATCTATAGATTCGATGCAATCCTTATCAAAATACCAACATAATTCTTCACAAAATTAGAAAAAACAATCCTAAAATTCATACAGAACAAAAAAAGAGTCCAAGTAACCAAAACAATCCTGAGCAAAAAGAAAGCTGGAAGCATCACATTACCTGACTTCAAAATATATTGCAAGGCTATAGTAACCAAAACAGCATGGTAATGGTATAAAAACAGACACATATACCAATGGAACAGCATAGAGAACTCAGAAATAAAGCCACATACACAGCCAACTGATTTTTGACAAAGCCAGCAAGAACTTTCCCTGGGGAAAGGACACTTTCTTCAACAAATAGTGCTGGGAAAAATGAATAGCCACATGCAGAATGAAATTGGACCCCTATCTCTTACCATATACAAAAATCGACTCAAAATGGATTAAACATAAGACTTGAAACTATAAAAACACTACAAGAAAACCTATGGAAAACTCTCCTGGACATTGATCTAGACAAAGAATTTATGACTAAGACCTCAAAAGCACAGGCAACAAAAACAAAAATAGGCAAATCAAGCTAAAAATCTTCTGCACAGTAAAGGAAACAATCAATAGAGTTAAGAAACAACCTGTTGAATATGAGAAAATATTTGTAAACTATTCATCTAATGGGGACTTAATATCCAGAATATACCAAGAACTCAAATAATAGGAAAACAACAAATATTCCCACTAAAAAATGGGAAAAGGACATGAATAGACATTTCTTAAAAGAAAACATACAAACAGCCAACAGGTATATGAAAAAATACTCTACATCGCTAATCATCAGATAAATGCAGATCAAAACCACAATGAGATATCATCTTACCCCAGTCAGAATGGCTACTACTGAAAAGACAAAAAATAAGAGATGTTGGTGAGGATGCAGAGAAAAGGAACTCTTTTTTTTTTTTGAGACAGAGTCTCACTCTGTCGCCTAGGCTGGAGTGCAGTGGTGCAATCTCAGCTCGCTGCAACCTCCACCTCCTGGGTTCAAGTGATTCTCCTACCTCAGCCTCCTGAGTAGCTGGGACTACAGGTGTGCGCCACCATGCCTGGCTAATTTTTGTATTTTTAGTAGAGAGAGGGTTTCAGCATATTGTCCGGGCTGGTCTCAAACTCCTGACCTCTTGATCCACCCGCCTCGGCCTCCCAAAGTGCTAGGAGTACAGGCATGAGCCACCAAGCCCGGCCAGGAACTCTTATACATTGGTGGTGGGAATGTAGACTAGTATAGCCACTATGGAAAACAGTATGGAGATTTCTCAAAAAACTAAACATAGAATTGCCATTTGATCTAACAATCCCATGTATCTACCCAAAGGAAAAGAAATCAATATATCAAAGGGATACCTGCACTCCTATGTTTACTGCAGCACTCTTCAAAATAGCAAAGATACAGAATCAACCTAAATGTCCATCAACAGATGAATGGATAAAGAAAATGTGGTACATATACACAATGGAATACTATATAGTTATAAAAAAGAATGAAATCATGTCATTTTCAGCAACATCAATGGAACTAGAAGTCATATCTTAAGTGAAATAAGCTAGGCACAAAAAGACAAATATTGAATGTTCTTACTTATATGTGGGAGCTAAAAAACTTGATCATATGTAGATAGAGAGTGGACAGACAGATAACAGAGACTGGGAAGGGTGAATCGGGGGTAGGGAGGAGGATGAAAAAAAGTGGGTTAAGGGGTACTTACAAATATACAGTAAGACAGAAGGAATAAATTCAGTGTTTGACAGCACATTAGGTTGACTATACTTAACAAAAATATATTGTACTTGGGTTATGGACACCCTAAATACTCTGACTTCATTACAATGCATTATATACATGTAACAAAATTTCACTTATACCCCATCAATTTGTACAAAAAAATAAAAATTTTAAATTATGAACTTCCATTTCTTTTTTCTTCATTTCTATTTTTAGTTTAGTCTCCATACAGACTGTCAAAAAATGCCAACGCCAACTATATTTCAAGCCATCATGGCGGGGTACTGGGAAAAGTTTTCAATTAGCAATAATCACTCCTCAGATAAACCTCACTGGCTATGATGCTGCCACTGCACAAAACTGAACTTCTATTTCTTTAGAGTGGAAAAAAAATTACAAAATTTTCAGTTTAATTTGGAAGTCACTATCAAACATAATAAATATATATACCTTTTGACCCAGTAATTCCACCCCTAGGAATTTATCTGACATATGTTCAATGTTATTCATTGCAGCATTGTTAGATAATAGCAAAAGACTGGAAGCAATATGTTTCCTTCAATAGGGGGCTGGCAAAATGAAATAGAATAAAAAACAAAGAAGCTCTTTGTGGACTAATATGAAGTCATTTCCAAGATACAGTGTTAGGTTAAAAAAAAAAGGTTAAGGTACATAACAATACCTATAGTATTGTATTTGATAGAATAAATGGCCCCAGCTCTTCCCCTCCCTAAGCCCATACACCCTGCAACGTGACTTTGCAGCTCCTCACATTCCTTGAATCCGGGCTAGCTAGCCTGTGGCTTGCTTTGGTCGACAGAATAAGACAGTTACGTTGTGCCAGAGCCAAGTCTAGGCCTCCAGAGGCCTTCTGTGCTTCTGTTCTTGTGGAGTCCTCACACTACGATGGGAACAAGCCCAGACTAGACTGCTTGTGGGTAAGAGACCTCATGGAGTAGAGCTGAACAATCCCAGCTGAAGCCATTCTAGACCAACCAATCCCCAACTGACCCATCAACTGACCAGCCAAGATGATCTGAGCCTGGCCCTGAATAGCAGATACTCCCAGCTTACCCATAGGCTCATGAGAAAAAATGAATAATTGTTTTAAGTCACTTAGGTTTTTGAGGGGAAAAGGAGAGGGAGGTCATGTAGTAATCGCTCATACAAATATGCTGCCATTTGTGTAAAATTTCAGGAAAAAAAAAATATATAGATGGATTTGTTTACATATGCAAACTTTCTCCGTAAGAATGCATTAGAAACTGAAAACACAATTGCTCTGGGGGAAAGGAGCTATGACAGCTAGGGGATGAAAGTGGGAGGCAGACGTTTTGCACCTTTTGAATTCTGAAGCACATTAATGTATTGCCAATGGATGAATGAATAAAACCTGTTCCTTTTTACTCAAATATTTTCAGAACCCCCAAATCATCCCTGGCCAGGGTTCGGGATCGGGGGGAAGGGAACTCTTAAACGCTATTGACGAGATTATAAATTGGTACAATCTTGATGGGGTGGTGGTATGGCTTTAAGCAATGCCTTATAAGGATATGTAAATATATATGCAATGTACACAGTATCTCTGTTAGAACCTGCCAGAAGCTGGTAACACTGGTTGCTTCTGAGAAAGGATCTGATGGGACTGGAGGTCAAGGGTAAGAGGAAAACTGACTTTTCCCTATATGTCCTTTTTATTTGCTATTTGATTTTTTTACACTGAACTTGTCTTACCTTTCCAAAAAGAAAATAATAAAATGCACATGTCCTCTGACCCAGCAATTTATCACTTCTAAGAATCTCTCCTGAAGAAATACATACAGAAGCGGACAAATTTAAATAAATAACAACATTTACTTGTGTATACTAAAAAATTATAAAGAACCTCAATGATCATCATTTGAGGGTTAAATTATGGAATGTTCACACAATTGCTAAAAATGAACCCATAAACAGTCACCTATCTCAGTGCAGAGCATTCGAGAACTTTTGAAGCGCCCTCTAATGCCCACTTCCAGTCATTCACTCTATGAATGATCACAAACGCAATCAACCCAAGTAACCATCACCCAGGTCCACAGAGAACATTCCAGAACTCTTGAGGTGCCCCACAATACCTACTTCCAGTCATTCACTCTTTGAATGCTGACAAAGGGAACCTAAGCAAACATCAGTCAGGTCACATAGAACATTCCAGAACTGTTGAGGCACCCCCCCCCCAATGACCACTTCCAGTCATTCACTCTATGAATGATCACAGACTGAATCAACCCAAGTAACCATCGCCCAGGTCCATAGAGAACATTCCAGAACTCTTGAGTTGTTCCCTACTGGCTCACTTTCTGCCATTTACTCTCCAGGAATTATCACAAATGAATAAACCCATGTAACCATCACCCAGGTCACAGAGAACATTCCCCCAGAAGATCCAGTTTGTGATAATTCATCAACCTGTATACTTTTTGTATATACATTACATTTCCATAAAAATTTTAAAATATGCATGTGCATCTATTACAAATATGTTCGCCTATGTATAGAAAAAGATAACTAGGGCCGGGCACGGTGGCTCACACCTGTAATCCCAGCACTTTGGACTTTGGGAGGCCGAGGCGGGTGGATCACGAGGTCAGGAGTTCAAGAGCAGCCTGGCCAACATGGTGAAACCCCGTCTCTACTAAAAATACAAAAATTAGCCAGGCGCAGTGGCGGGCGCCTATAATCCCAGCTACTCGGGAAGCAGGAGAATCACTTGAACCCGGGCAGCAGAGGTTGCGGTGAGCCGAGATCATGCCACTGCACTCCAGCCTGGGTGACAGAATGAGGCTCTATCTCAAAAAAAAAAAAAAAAAAAAAAAAAAAGAAAAGAAAAGAAAAGAAAAAGATAATTTGGTACACAAATCAAACTATTACATTATAGATGAAAACGCTGAAGGGGGAGTATTTTTTTACTTTGCATACTTCTATGAGGTTTCCACTTTTTGTAACAAGCTTTTCTCCTCCATAATTCAAAAATAAATAAAAATGAATAAAGATGAAAAACAATAACAGAAATTAAACCACTGCTATGAGATGTTAATTTTGTCTCTGAGGTAGAAATATACATGGTCAGGATTACAAATCCTAGAATTATTAACCCCTCACCTACAACAGCCACAGCCTCTCTTCCCCTCTTCCTCCCCGCATCCCACAGGTCTCCGAGGGAGATGGATGCTTACAGGGAAGATTCAAAGAAACACTTCACCAGCTAGGGCTTTCACCCCAGACTACTTCAGTAGTCATGAGGGGAACTAGACTAAAAATTCCTCTTGCCCAAAGAAGGCAGGCCTCAGTGATCCAGACTAGAAGCTCCTTTCTCTGAGGGCTGCATGCTGACATTAGCTCTGGAGTTCTAATCACTTTTTTAGTCAGAAGAGATAGGTAAGCAAACCAGGCCTTAAGTGCTCTTTAGCCCCACTTTACCTCAGCCCCTCATGTTCCCCCCAGAAGCTAAAGGAGAGAGGTTCCTGACCTGTCTTACCACACCTCACAGGAGAAGAAAAGTGCAGAATAGGCTGGGCACGATAGCTCACGCCTATAATCCCAGCACTTTGGGAGGCCGAGGCAGGCGGATCACCTGAGGTCAGAAGTTCGAGACCAGCCTGGCTAACACGGTGAAACCCCATCTCTACTAAAAATACAAAAATTAGTCGGGCGTGGTGGCGGGTGATTGTAATCCCACCTACTCAGGAGGCTGAGGCAGGAGAATTGCTTGAACCCGGGAGGCGGAGGTTGCATTGAGCCGAGACGGCGCCACTGCACTCCAGCCTGGGCAACAAGAAAGAAACTCCGAAAAAAAAAAGAAAGAAAGAAAGAAAGAAAGAAAGAAAGAAAGAGAAAAGAAAAGGGAAAGGAAAAGCGCAGAATCCCAAAAAAGAGGAAATCTAAAAAGAACCCGGCAAGAGCATTCCACACAGATTCCACAGCTTCTAACTTCTTCATACAGACTGTTCCACACACCACTGTGACCCAATACTTTCCTGGATCGAAGTAATTATGTATATTTTAAGATTTGGGCCATATCTGGCTATGGATCGTTCATACTATCATTTACTCAAGACGTATTTAAATTAAGTCACTTTTCCTTTACTATACGACCTGCCAAGTTTACTGTAATAAAAAGCTTCCTATCACTATGATAAATGGAACATCAGTATCACATGCCACAAACATAAGGTACATATTAGGTATATATTAATAAAGATTACCAAAGGGTGGCACTCCTTGACAGACTCCTCGTGTAAGTTTTCCTCGGGAATGTCTGGAAGACAAGAAGCTTCACCCTCCTCCTAGAGGTGAGAGTGTGTGGTTAACACTTCCCCGGAGATTTACTTTCAGCTTCTCCTATAGGTTCATTCCCTAGTGATTTTCTTTCAGCTTCTCCTATAGGTTAGCACTCCCTGTGGTTTTCTTTCAGCTCCCTCTATAGGTGAGAGTGACTTTCTTTTACTCCCTCTATAGGTTAGAGCGTGGGGTTACCTTGTTCAACAAAATTTTATTGAGTGACTATTCTATTTCAGATAGGATAACGTGGGGTTACTTAGTTTAACAAAATTTTATTGAGTGACTGTTCTATTTCAGATAGGATAGCGTGGGGTTACTTAGTTCAACAAAATTTTATTGAGTGTTCTATTTCAGATAGGATAGTGTGGGGTTACTTAGTTCAACAATATTTTATTAAGTGACTGTTCTATTTCTGATAGGATAGTGAGGGGTTACTTAGTTCAACAGAATTTTATTGAGTGACTATTCTATTTCAGATAGGATGCTAGCTGCTGAGGATACAGAAGGAGAAAATGGGAGAGTTTGTATTATGATTGAGCAAGGGTTGGGAAAGAAAAGAAGGGAAAAAAGGAAGTCGGCAAGTGGACGTAGACTATAACATACACTCCTTATCTCTGTCTCCTAAGATTTGGGCCATATCTGGCTATGGATCATTCATACTATCATTTACTCAAGATGTATTTAAATTAAGTCACCTTTCCTTTACTATACAACTTGCCAAGTTTACTGTAATAAAAAGCTTCCTATCACTATGATAAATGGAACATCAGTGTCATATGCCACAAACAGAAGGCTTGTTTAAACCACTGCAATTCAACTTTGGCTCCTTCAACCTCTAACAGTACACTAATGAGAGCCTCCAGAGGACCTTCTAATTTTAAGATCCAATGGGAAAATTTCAGTCCTCATTTCAATTGACCCTGTAGACCACCACTCTCTCCTTATGGTTCACTAGGCCATCCCTTCTTATCTTCAGTCGGCCTCTTTTTTTTTTTTTTTTTAATTGAGACGGAGTCTTGCTCTGTCGCCAGGCTGGAGTGCAGTGGCGCAATCTCGGCTCACTGCAAGCTCTGCCTCCCGGGTTCAAGCAATTCTCCTGCCTCAGCCTCCTGAGTAGCTGGGACTACAGGTGCACACCACCACGCTTGGCTAATTTTTGTATTTTTAGTAGAGACAGGGTTTCACCATGTTGGCCAGGATGGTCTCGATCTCTTGACCTCGTGATCTGTCAGCCTCTTAAATGATGATGCTTATCAGGATTTTGTCCCTAACCTTCTTGTCTGGATGATCTTCCTGTTTACATCTACAGCTATAGCTTCCACCTACATAAGCTAAAGACTCCCAAATCCCCAAAGAACAGATGAGGTCTGTTTTCCTCTCCAGCTGCATCTCCTATATTAGCAAATTACTAGCATTTCTGTAACGGTGCTTTAGTCTCTTCTCACCTGTATCTTATTTCCCTCTACCTAACTCCTTGACTCATGCCAAGTTTGTTCTTCAAGATTCAGCCTTAGTGTTCCCTCTTCTGGGAAGCATGGGGGGGAGGGGGGTGTTCTCCCTTGATGCTCTCCAACACACTCTATCAGTGCGCTTCCAGTAATCAGTGTGCCTGACTATTCTGTTCTACTGCTCTCCTTGAAGCCATGCTTTTTTTTTTTTGAGATGGAGTCTCACTCTGTTGCCCAGGCTGGAGTGCAGTGGCACGATCTTGGCTCACTGCAACCTCAGCCTCCCAGGTTCAAGCAATTCTCCTGCCTCAGCCTCCTTAGTAGCTGGGATTACAGGGGCATGCCACCACACCCAGCTAATTTTTGTATTTTTAGTAGCGACAGGTTTCACCATGTTGGCCAGGCTGGTCTCAAACTCCTGACCTCAGGTGATCCACCTACCTTGGTCTCCCAAAGTGCTGGGATTATAGGCATGAGACACCGTGCCCGGCCAAAGGCATGAAATTAATCTGCATTTACAGTTCACAGCACAGGGCTCAATAAATATTTGTTAAATTGATGAATGTAAGAAATTCCCAAGCTGTGAACAGTCAAGCACAGAAGATAAGGAGCTTGTGGTGGTTGGGGTGGGTGTGAACCAGGGATATTTAAAACTTGAGGACTTAGATCCTCTTTCCTTCCTTCCATCCAGGCAGCCAGGACTGGCAGGCCATCAGGGTCAGAGCCAAGGAGATGGATGGGGCTGAGGAGGCAGGCCGGGTAGCCAGCTGGCAGGGTAGGAAATTGGTTACACATAGGAGAAAGGAGTAATTACACTGAGATAAACACTGGAATGAACCCTGTGGTACTGAATTGGAATCAGAGGTATAGTTTGAACTCATTATATTTAATAAACAAATATAGATGTGTATATACATTTACATGGTGTATATATACACATACATGTGTTTTTCTCTGTGATCTGAGGCCTTTAAACAATGATGCCCCAATAGCGATGATATACCTAGTTCCCCACCTTGGTTTTTAAACATTGTTCTCTATTAAAAGGAATCAAGGGGCTCCTCAGAGAAATGGCTGATCCCAGGGGCTGGGGCAAGCAGAGTATGAATCTGGGACATCTTGAGCCAGAAAAGTAAAAAACTGCTCAGAAACTGATAGGGATTTGTCCAAAGGACACAGGGACAAGTTGGAGGGGCCCTCATTTTCCAAATCTGAGGCAACTTGAATATCAAAACAATCATGGTAATGAAGTAAAACTAACTAAAACAGGAGTCCATGAGTCCACACTGATGCAAAGTGGTGGAGGAGAGTGTGTTCTCCTTTACAGTAGAATGTCAACTAATAAATTAATGATGGAATTAGAGCCAGCATTAGGTAGCCATCATGATACTATCAGGCAGCCATCATAATACCATCAGACAAGAAAGATCAATGAATGCTAAAACTAGGGGGTCAAAGTTTAATGAGTAAACAGGATATTTATAGTCTCAAAGTACCTCCACACAAAATACTTTAATTTCAATGGGAAAAAGACAGTAGACACCACCTTATCCAAGGGATCAAAGTTATCATCACTAGTAACAGGACAAAGTAACACCATGTGCCTCCTCTAGAAGAAATAGGGGTCTCTCCCCTATTGAAGTAGTCTGAATAAAATCTGTGTTGCTAACTATGTCTGGTATTGTTCCTCTTTGACAAGGGCAAGAAGATATATCTCAGAAACAGTATGAAAAGTCATGCTGAAAAATTATATGCAAGGAATGAAAGTAAGCAACAAGTCAAGGTTAACTCCTGGGTTCTTGGTTTGAGTAGCTGGGTGGGTGAGGGTGTCAGTTACTAAGATAAGAAAGTCTCCTCCTCCAGAAGAAAAAAAAAAGATTTTTTCCCTTTTGCCAAAAACGGCATTATCACAACTATAGGCAAAAACTGAATGGGTCTGTAGATCAGAGGCAGTTTAAAAAAATCTTTTTATTTAAAAAAAATATAGATACCAGGGTCTTGCTATGTTGCCCAGGCTGGTCTCAAACTCCTGGACTTAAGTGATCCTCTCGCCTCAGCCTCCCAAAATGCTGGGAGCCACTATGCTCAGCTAATAGATGGCAGTTTTGTGTCAGTTAATTTTCTGATTTTGATAGTTGTAATGTGGTTATGTAGAATATCTTTAAGAAATTTACGCTGAAGCATGTAAGGGCAATGGGGCATCATATGATTCAGGAAAAAAATGTATACGTGCATATATATATATATGTATATACATCCCCCCCACACAGAGAGACACAGGGAGAGACAGAATGATAGTGCATATATAGGAGAGACAGATAGACAAAGCAAATGTGGTTAAATGTTAACAATTAAGGAACCTGGGTGAAGGATATATAGGAGTTATTTGAGCTACTCTTACAACTTTTTTGTAAGTTTGAAATTATTTCAAATTTCAAAATGTAAAGGTTTTTTTTTGTTTTTTTTTTTTTAAACAGTCTCGCTCTGTCACCCAGGCTAGAGTGCAGTGGTGCAATCTCAGCTCACTGCAACCTCTGCCTCCCAGGTTCAAGCGTCAGCCTCCCAAGTAGCTGGGATTACAGGCGCACGCCACCACATCCAGTTAATTTTTGTAATTTTAGTAGAAACAGGGTTTTGCCATGTTGCCCAGGCCGGTCTCAAACTCCTGGCTTCAAGCAATCCACCCGCCTTGGCCTCCCAAAGTGCTGGGATTACAGGCGTGAGCCACCATGCCCAGCCCAAAATGTATTTTAAAATAAAGCAGCTCATGTTATTTCTTAAAAACTGAAGATAGGGCCAGGCGAGGTAGCTCACGCCTGTAATCCCAGCACTTTGGGAGGCTGAGGCAGGTAGATCACCTGAGGTCAGAAGTTTGAGACCAGCCTGGCCAACATGATGAAACTCCATCTCTACTAAAAAATACAAAAATTAGCCAAGCATGGTGGCGGGCGCCTGTAGTCCCAGCTACTCAGGAGGTTGAGGCAGGAAGAAATGCTTGAATCCAGGAGGCAGAGGTTGCAGTGGGCAGAGATTGTGCCACTGCACTCCAGCCTGGTCAACAAGAGCAAAACTTTGCCTCAAAAAAAAAAAAAAAAAAAAGAAACTGAAGATAAACTTAATAATCTGAATCACACATAAAAGGCTTTTTGCCTGTTTTTTGTTTTTTTAAGATGGAGTCTTGTTCTGTCACCAGGCTGGAGTGTAGTGGCACAATCTCGGCTCATAGCAACCTCCGCCTCCCGGATTCAAGCGAGTCTCCTGCCTCAGCCTCCCGAGTAGCTAGGACTACAGGTGTGCACCACCATGTCCAGCTAATTTTTGTATTTTTAGTAGAGACGAGGTTTCACCATGTTGGCCAGGATGGTCTTGATCTCTTGACTTCGTGATCTGCCTGCCTCAGCCTCCCAAAGTGCTAGGATTACAGGCGTGAGCCACTGTGCCCGGACCCTTTTGCCTGTTTATCTACCCTCATCTTTTTCTAAAAATAATTTATAGAGGCTTATCAATATGTAAAAATTTTAACAAGATAAACCAAATTGAAAACGAGGAAGAAAGATGTATGACCCTGGCAAGAACCTTCTAAGTTGTCAAATTCTACAAAATACTCTTGAAAATTTGATTATGTGGAGAGGTTTCACTTCGTTTTGGCAAACAGCCCCAACTTCAACATAGCTATTCGTTCTTTTGTGTTTCTGATATCCTTTTATTCAAACTTGACCTGCAATTAGACACAGAGAATAAACTACTGGGATATAGGGGCAGAAAATAATTATTATTAAGAACAAAGGACAGACTTTTAAAACACTAGTAAATTTTATGCATGTATACACACTTTATTAAATTTGCATTCTAAGATATACACAAGGCCAGCATTTCACAAAACTTCCTATTATTCCAAAAGCAGTAATCATGAAACAGTGATTATATAAGTCAATCAAGCAAAAAACATTATCTATAGGGTTGTATCATATCATCTCTTATACCTGTTTTCAAATAGAAGCCTGAAATATATGATATATATTAGAATAGGAAGAGAGAATTTTACTTTATAACAATCGCTTTTCAAATATTAGACTTTATATAAAAATAAAGGGGTCTTAACAAAGTTCATCTGTGAGTTAGCATATCTCTTTATTTCAAAACAATCCCTGCAAAAACTTAACTTTCCAGTCCATTTAAACAACAAAAACTAAAAATGAAGCTTGGTTTAAATAATAAAGTGAATCATCTTGTCTCCTAGTTCTCACACCATTGGAACAACTTCCATTTCCTGACCTAATTCTATCCCACCATTGAATTTCAAAAATTAATGTAAATACCATCATATTTCAGTTATTTCTTAACAGTGTTAAGTTCGAGCCTAAAAATGATGGCCAAGTGTCCCTTTAAGGCAAAGAAGACAGTAGGTGGATAAATATCCTGAAAGACAAAACCATCTATTATCATTATAGAGGCAGAACATTTTGACATGATCTTTTACAAACAGAATAGATACACTGCATACCATCGAAGAATTTTTTCTTTATAATGGCATACTAGGGGACAAGCTTCATAATAGATTTATGTTACGTTTGAAGAAGTAGAGACTTTTCCCAGATGAGAGCAATACAAGAAATAAAGCCATTAATGGCTGTTATGGTTACAATTTAAAATAAAGGACACATCGGATGCTGTAACAGAAGTACTGCACGCTAAGTGATGCTCTCTTGTAATTGAAAGAGAATGGGTTTCCCTTCAAACCATATGCTATTACTAGTCTCTGAGTGCCTTCAAAGCACATACTCTTCCTTTAAAATCCAAGGATCCTTGCCTTCAAAAGACACAAATGCAGTAGTTTTCATTTCTTACATTCACTTAAAAATGGATTATGATTCCAGCAGGCAAATCTGCATATTAAATATAGACAACCCAACCACAGTATCTGAACGTTAAAAGAAATCTATCACGACAGACATTTTACCTAGTTATAAATAACGTAACAATAGATCACACTCAGATTTCTTAAACAGCTCACTCAGGAGTTTCCTCTTTTAAAAATTAAATAACTTATGGTACCTCACACTTATAGCACATACACAGTTCATAGCTGAAACAGCTTCTTAAAAGCAGAATGCACAATCACATTGACTTTTTCAGCTTCTAAAAGCTTCTTTGTAGATATTAAACTGCCCTCACTACAAGGCAGTATGAACAAGAACTGGATTCTGATTCTGGTGGCAACACAATAACTATAAGGCAGTAAGAACAAGAACTGGATTCTGATTCTGGCAGCAACACAATAACTAAAACACCATTCACCACATGACAAAACAAACAAATCCAATGACAAAAAGGAATCGGAAAAAAAGCAGCAACAGAAACAGTATGTGGCAATCATTCACATAAGGCCCCTCTTCCACCATACCTTATGATATACATCCCTTATAGCATGACAATGTACCCCAAGGCACCTGAGGCCTCATAATACCACTCGAGACACTGACAGCTCCATGGACGCTTTTGTACACAGTGGTTTGTGTGTAAATAACTATTCATTCATTTGTAGATGCTCCACACATCTGGTCAAGGCAGGAATTTCTTCTCCTTGATAACACCACCTAGAAATATCAACAATATTTTATATATTCCTTAGGGCAACAGGTTTGAGGAGAAATATATCAACTGTGGTAGCAAAGTCATAAGAACCTGTGATGACTAATCCAAGCATCCTGTAAGTCCGTTTACATTCTCAGCACTAAAATCAATGCTCACTTCACACACCCCAACAGCAAAGAAGCAATAAGAGTAATGAAAGCAACTACGTATTTCTTCCCCTCTGTGAGAAATGGCATAAGCGGCTCAAACAGGAAAGGGAAACAAAATAATGTACTTGAAGCTGATGCAGAAAAATAAAAATTTAATATAATTAAAAGCAATTTATATATCATCATGAAATAAAGAGAGATTTGAAACTATGTAGTCAACAGAGGACAAAAAAAAATCTCTCAAGCAAGAGAATTTCTGATCAAATCTGTCATATCACTGCTGCGGAAAAGGACCATTAAAGGCAATACACATCAGTGCCTTTCTTAAATGTATAGACTCAAAATAGGTGTTTTTTGAGGCACTAAGAAAAAAGATTCCTCTAAGCAATCAAAAATCAGCATTTGAGATTTAATCACTAAATCCAAAATGAGATCAGCAAAACCAGATACTAGTAAGGTCACTAGGCTCACAAAATTGAACTTTGGAGAAGAGAGATGCCAAAGAGTAATAATAGCATCAGAATGTGTGAAATCTGTAAAACTTTAATCCTCATTATGGATCAAAGTTCTCTGCGTTCCCCACTAAACATTTTATGTAGGAAACAGCAGTTAAAACGTTGAATCAGAAATGGTTAAGTCACTTGGGTGAGAGATCATCCATCAAGATGAACGAAGAGCATGAATTGGAGCATGCTACTGGAGACTCTGCGGTAGCGCTGCCTTTAGCCAGCGGGTCTGAGGATAAGCCACTGCTGCTACTACTGCCATCCAAAATATCTGAACTGAAGACAAAGCAAAAAGAATTATAAGCAAATGCAACTATCAGGGTAAACATAACATGCAATGACACAGTTTCAAGAGCTCACAAATCAGTAAATCACTTGTAAATAATAAAAAAGCATAAAGCCACAGCAATGAACTACATAATATACTACATTATAAAGCCACAGAAATCCAAAGTAAGACTCTTCGAGGTCCTGTATCATTTGATTGTCCCCCCTAGAGGCACCAGACCGCCTAACCTACAATAAACGTTCCTCGTGACATGCCATGGTTTTCGGGAGGGAGTTCCTTCACTTCACTTCAGCTCAAGAAATTTCTATTCTTATGTTTACCTTCCCATCAGGCTTGGAGCAAGAGGAATGGTTACTTATTGAGGTAACCATACTCGGACTATCAGAGGTGTTCGATCAAGTACACTGCCTCATAGTTCCTCTACTCTAAAACAAAGTCTTTCAACTCCCCTAGAGTTATCACTTCCCCATTCCCAAAGGGCCTTCAATTCAAACACATTTTTTAAATGATTTCCCCCTCCAATTCTATGCCATTTATAATTCCTTACACTATTTCCTTTCTTCTTGCTTTCAAAACCCAAAGGTCTATTTCTAGAAGAGTCCCTTTCTTTGATCCCTTCAGTTATTCTCCAGTTAAGCTTCTACAATGAATAATCTACACTTGTGGTCTCAATACCCGTTGTCTATTGCCTCTTTATCCTGACAACTGGCTCCTGTTCCTATCCTTCCAGTAAAACTCCAGATCTGGACATCAAGAACCTCTATACCCAGCCCAGGGATTCCTTCCCTATCCAGCCTGGGGGCTCACTGTTCCCCAACCATCAACCTGGCCTGACTCATGAATCTGGCTCCATACTTCAGCAAGGAACTGAGAGCCTTTACAGTCTGGCATCAAGCTGCCTTTCTGGCTTTGGTTTCCATCAATCCAGTAATAAGCTCTATGCTTTATATTTGCCCTGAATTCAATCATTCACTTATTCTAATATTTACTGAGTGCCTGCCAAGTGCAGGAAGCACACTAGATATTAGAAATACAATGGTGTTTAAAACAGACGTGGTCCCAGCCCTCATTGAATTTACAGTATTGTGCAGGAGACAGACATTTAAATAATCATGCTAATAAATATATAATTATAATTTGCAGTAAAAGTGATAAAGGAAAGATACAAGGGGCTATGAGAATATATAACATGGGTAACCTAACCTAATTCGGAGGAATGAGAAAAGGTTCCCCAGAGATGATATTTGCTATAATCTGAAGGATGAGCAGGTATTAACTAGTTAAGATTTGGGAGGAAGCAAGGGTAGTTCCAGGAATCAGTGACAGACAAATCAGGAGAGGTAATTGGGCAGTTTTAGAATTTACACAGACACTTTTTATTTTTGAAAAGGAAAAAAGCATCGAATTGGAGAAGGAATTATGAATCAGGAAACATGGGTTCTAGTTTAAGTTTGGTCACTAGCTCCTTTGAAAAAGCCCATTCCAGTCTAACATGCTCTGAGTCGAAATGTTAGGAGTCTTTAATATTATCATTTATCTGAATGTCCAAGTTAATGTACTTCTAGTGTTAAAAGTAACCTATGGTACATTAGAAAGTTTCTGGGCCCTGTACTACCCTCAGTGAAATATATCACCCCCACCCTTGCTTCTCTACTCTTCTGCTTTTCTTTAAAATGTCATTTCATTCCATTGCTTGTGGATTGTTTTTAGATGGAGACAGACTACAAATAGGCTTCAGAAAAGTAAAAGTAAAAATGGAAACAGTATATTCCACACTACTCCTACTCTACGCTCACTGCTGTCAAATGCATCATTAATAATACCACTGTTAAGTAAGAAGTTTGGAAATTTTAGCTGGCTCCGATATTTTTTCAACCAAATGGCAAAATGGATCTAAAATATGAATTATTCAAACTACTGAAAGAAAGTTGCACAGATAATCCAAGACATTGGAAAATCAAAAGACCTTTCTATTTGCCTTTGGAACATATGTGATTTTTCCTCCTGCAGCTTTTTGCCTAGACTAATATTAAAATGAATTTACTTTCCTAAAGCACATATTGGCCGGGCAAACGAAGGACACGCTCTTTGCTACTTGGCAGGAAGAAATGGGCTTAGATTAAAACTTGGCCACCAAGCAGATAATCTGAATATAAATAAAGAATTCTTTATTCTAACCACCAGACTTACGGTGAGCCCTGGGTTAAAAGATTCCATTTGTAATAAGGCCTGCTTGCTTGGGTGAATCCTGTATTCATTCAAAAACACAAAACATGACTCATGCAGTGAAATTTGACTTCTAACACTGCTGATTACCTTAAGAGAAATAAGCTAATTGAGGAGCAGAAAAAAAAAGCCCTGAACATTTTATTTCAGAATGTCTTCCCTATTATTAAAATATAAATATATATAATTTTGTTCATTAACAGAAAATAGCACACTTACATTTAGTTTCCACTGCAATTTAGATTCAGAACTTGGTAAATCTTTAACCAGACATTTTCACTTAACTAAAATCTAGTTTCTGTTTGAATTAATCTGGTACAACTACTCATGGTCATGGAAGCAGAGACTTCACGTCACAAATCACTCATTGTTATTCTATCCATGTCAAGTAAGACTTACATGATTTTTTAACCCACAGCAACATCACTGCACAAAAGTAATTTTCACAGTCTACTATTAAATCTTCTACTAGAGCTTCTAAAAGCAACAAGTTCTGGTCTAATTTGAGTTTATCTCTTCTTTCTTTCCTAGCTTAAGCTCTGATGGAAGTGCTAATGAGCCTTACTTAGACTAATGGCCGAAAGCCAGACAACAGTAAAAAAGGATCTGGACAATTCAAATTGGACATAGGAATCCTTGAATCAAAACTGAACAAATTAATTCCAGCCACTGAATATACATATTGAGGCAATATTTGAATCACACAACCAAAAGTACTTATGACTTGGCTGGGCGCGGTGGCTCATGCTTGTAATCCCAGCACTTTGGGAGGCCGAGGTGGGCGGATCACGAAGTCAGGAGATCGAGACCACGGCGAAACCCCGTCTCTACTAAAAATATAAAAAATTAGCCAGGCGTGGTGGCGGGCGCCTGTAGTCCCAGCTACTTGGAGAGGCTGAGGCAGGAGAATGGCGTGAACCCGGGAGGCGGAGCTTGCAGTGAGCTGAGATTGCACCACTGCACTCCAGCCTGGGTGACAGAGCAAGACTCCGTCTCAAAAAAAAAAAAAAAAAAAAAAAGTACTTATGACTTAAAGTAATGCCCTCTGTCTAGAAAAACTAAGGATGAAGTATGAGCAACTCATTAAAACAGTCCAATGATAAAGTAATAACAAAGGTAGGATGTCCAGTGTGATTCATGCTATCACCCCATCTGGCTGAGCCACTTTGTGCCTTGTCTAGTCAATAAGCCGGGTCCTATCAGATTAATGACGGGCAGGTAAATGCACTAGAAATTAGTCACAGCCCTATCAAGCCTAGCACAAATTTTGGTATAAGGTATGACTATAGGGCATCCCCACACCCCTTGCTCTGGGTTAAACTGATATATATGGCATGTTCTCTGGTCTCTACTATCTTATCTTAAGGGTCCCAGTATTATCCTTCTGAATAACCTCTAAGTTTTTAAGATCACATATTTAAATATCAGTCTGCAGTCATGCTGAGGACAGGAGTGTTTTTGTTGTTTTTTCTGTTTTAACTTGCTCATTTTTATGGTGAAGGTAGACAGGAGTTTTAAACTATCAGCACAGATGTCTAAGTTGCTCACATAAACATCTCTAAAGTGTGTGTGTGTGTGTGTGTGTATACACATGTACTTTAGAGATGTGTACAGACATACACATTCCTGTTAATTAATGATTAAAACTTATGTTTTGTACTTGTCACATATTCATGATGAAATTTTGACATGACACATATAACATTAAAAATAGTGTTAGAACCACTAAGACAAATTTAACAAAAAATGTGTTAAAACTATCACATTAACACTGAAGCACGGGGTAAGGAAATTTGTAAGTTTTCCGTTCATAAAAAAGAAAGACTATCATTTAATCATCACCGTATGGCCAGCAGCCCTGAAAACTCCTTTATTTTATATAGTATGCTGCAGACACACACAGTCTCACCCCCAAAAGAATGAAGAGCAGATTAAGAGCTCCCAGTGTGCAGAAAGAATCAAAGGTAGACTTCTGAGTTATGCTCAAATTTTGATGTCCATAAGGACTAAATACAGAATGACATAATTCCTGCCTTGTGGTTGATAATGTCCTCCAGATTTGGTTGGCAAAGACTTGGGAATTTTCGTTTAGTAAAAGAAAAGAAAAGAAAAGAAAAGAAAAAAAAAGTATGCCTAACTGGACACAAACTCCAAATGGGTCCACACTCAAATTTCAAACTTAATTTATGCTTCAAAAGATGTCAGATTTTAAAGATTGTTATCTAGTACATAAACTTTAATCTAAAGGCTGTAAAAGCCATCTCTCCTTTTGTTGGGTGGGGCAGGGAATAGACTATAAATATTTAAATGACAAGATAACATCTAATGATCTGATCCTTTTTCTGCTCTCTAAAAGATAGAGGGCAGTTGTTTCTGTAGTTTCATTAAAATAGGAAATCATTAAAACCATCCAATGATAAAAGTAATCACAAAACTAAGATATCCGGTTTGATTCATGTTATCACCCCATCTGGCTGAACCACTTTGTGTCTTGTTCAGTCAATAAGCTGGGTTCTATCAGATTAACAGCAGGTAGGTAAATAAACAAAAAATTAGCCGCAGCCCTATCAAGCCTAGCACAGATTCCTTAGTTTTGTTATCAAGTAGGTTGCCAACCTTGGTAGCAGAAACCAGAACACAGCTGATTCCTATCTCTATCCCCATTTCTAAGAATATGAACATCTGATTCTGATTAATGAAACTACATTAAAGAGATAAAAGAGCCTGGGTGCGGTGGCTCATGCCTGTAATCCCAACACTTTGGGAGGCCAAGGCACGCAGATCACTTGAGCGCAGGAGTTCAAGACCGGCCTGGGCAACATGGCGAAACCCGGTCTCTACAAAAACAGAAAAATCAGCTGGGCGTGATGGTGCACACCTGTAGTCCCAGCTATTCGGGAGGCCGAGGTGGGTGGATGGCTTGAGCCCGGGAAGCAGAGGTTGCAGTGAGCCATGATCACACTACTGTACTCTAGTCTGGGCAATAGACCAGATCTTGTATCAAAAAAAAAAAAAAAAAAAAAAGGCCAGGTGAGGTGGCTCACGCCTGTAATCCTGTAATCCCAGCACTTTGGGAGGCCGAGGCGGGTGGATCACCTGACGTTGGGAGTTCGAGACCAGCCTGACCAACATGAAGAAACCCCATCTCTACTAAAAATACAAAATTAGCCGGGCGTGGTGGCACATGCCTGTAATCCCAGCTGCTCTCGAGGCTGAGGCAGGAGAATCATTTGAACCCAGGAAGCGGAGGTTGCAGTGAGCCGAGATTGCACCATTGCACTCCAGCCTGGGCAACAAAAGCGAGACTCCGTCTCAAATAAAGTTTCTGCAAAAGCAGGATCCAGTTTTTGTTTGTTTGGTTGGTTTTTTTTTTTTTTTTTTTTTTGAGACAGAGTCTGGCTCTGTTGCCCAGGCTGGATGGAGTGAAGTGGTGTGATCCTGGCTCACTGCTACCTCTGCCACCCAGGTTCAAGCAATTCTCCTGCCTCAGCCTCCCAAGTAGCTGGGATTACAGGCATGCGCACCATGCCCAGCTAGTTTTTGTACTTTTAGTAGAGACGGGGTTTCACCATGTTGTCCAGGCTGGTCTTGAAACTCCCGACCTCAAGTGATCCGCCCACCTCGGCCTCCCAAAGTGTTGGGATTACAGGCGTGAGCCACCGTGCTTGGCCAGGATCCAGTTTTTATATAAAAAAAATCGGGCCGGGCGTGGTGGCTCACGCCTGTAATCCCAGCACTTTGAGAGGCCGAGGCGGGCGGATCACCTGAGGTCAGGAGTTCGATACCAGCCTCAACATGGAGAAACCCTGTCTCTACTAAAAAAAATACAAAATTAGCCGGGCGTGGTGGTGCATGCCTGTAATCCCAGCTACTCGAGAGGCTGAGGTGGGAGAATTGCTTGAACCAGGGAGGCGGAAGTTGCTGTGAGCCGAGATTGCGCCATTGCACTCCAGTCTGGGCAACCAGAGCGAAACTCCGTCTCAAAAAAAAAAAAAAAAAAAATCATATTTAAAAATCTCTTAATTATAGGCAAAAATATCAGCATCATTAGTATATAAGGTGTCCCCAAAGTCTTAGCACAATTGTAAGCTTTAATAACCTCAGGAGTACAGTTGCTGCAAACTGACTAAAAACATCAACTGGAAGTTTAATTAATGACTTAACTATCTTTGACACTTAGTTTTGTGAATTTTGAGTAACAGATTTCTTTTTCAGATTATTTGAACCACACTTGGCTTGTTGACACTCTATGAGTGGCTGTGAATAAAGCAAATGTCTCTTGTGTGACGCAACAACTTTTTTTTTTTTGAGACAGAGTCTCGCTCTGTCGCCCAGGCTGGAGTGCAGTGGTGCGATCTCAGCTCGCTGCAAGCTCTGCCTCCCGGGTTCACGCCATTCTTCCTGCCTCAGCCTCCCGAGTAGCTGGGACTACAGGCGCCCGCCACCATGCCAGGCTAATTTTTTTGTATTTTTAGTAGAGACGAGGTTTCACCGTGTTAGCCAAGATGATCTCGATCTCCTGACCTCGTGATCCACCTGCCTCAGCCTCCCAAAGTGCTGGGATTACAGGCGTGAGCCACTGTGCCCAGCCACAACAGCTTTTTACGTTTAAGAATCAAAAGTTGGCCAGGCGCAGTGGCTCATGCCTATAATCCCAACACTTTGGGAGGCCAAGGTAGGTGGATCACCTGAGGTCAGGAATTCAAGACCAACCTGGAGAACATGGCAAAACTCCATATCTACTAAAAATACAAAAATTAGCCGGGTATGGTGGCACGTGCTTGTAATCCAAGCTACTCAGGAGGCTGAGACAGAATAGCTTGAACCCAGGAGGCGGAGGTTGCAGTGAGTCGAGATTGCACTGCTGCACTCCAGCCTGGGCGACAGAGCGAGACTCTGTCTCAAAAAAATAAAATAAAATAAAAAGTTTCCTTCATCACCAATGTTGACGTTCCCAGGGCTCTCCTAGACATTCACGGGTCTACAGGGTAGGGGAGTAGTGACAAGGAAATAGAAGCCTCACAATAGCCACTGCTAGAGATGGTTTAGGTTGTGCTGCTCGGAGGAATAAATGTCTGGACAATGAGATAAGACCCTTCGTAAATACTGCACCTTCTCTTTCCTTTCTTACTTATTTGCATGAACCTGTTTTACAGCATCCTGCACTGTCAGCCAAAGACAATAAAAAAATAAGTCACCTCACCCTGTATGTTTTTAGCTTGGTAAAATGCTGTCATATCTTTTACTTAACTTGGTCACTTGGTTAGTAACTAGGTAAGCAAACCTATTTATAGCCATGTGCCTATTAAAACACACTTTACCATAAAAGTGAGATGCACTTTCCACTAAGGATAGAGTTTCATCCAATAGTCCTCTTGACAAGCTTCAGAAGTTTTCTCTTTGCCATCATCTACATACCTGGAAAGGCACTCTGTACCAAAATCAGCATACTGAACTAGCAAGGACAGACAGAGATGAGAGGAAAAGAGACCATGGAGCTGAAAATAGCTAGAACAATCTAAAAGGCATCTATCTGTTCCAAGGTTAGAATAGTACTGATCAACAAGACTAACAAACTAGAATAATCTGTGACTTCTTGGTCAACTAGAAGTACAGGTTATTTCACACGAAACAATGAACAAGTGATTTGGGAAGAAGGGATCATCCATTCTTATAGCTTATAAGTGGCTTATACACTCCTTCCATTTAAGGGGTATGATCTTGCTATTTTTAAAGTGAGTGCCCTCATGGGCTTTTTAAAAAGATCTTCAGGCCGGGCACAGTGGCTCACGCCTGTAATCCCAGCACTTTGGGAGGCCGAGGTGGGCGGATCACCTGAGGTCAGGAGTTCGAGACCAGCCTGGCCAACATGGCAAAACCCCATCTCCACTACAAATACAAAAAAAAATAGCTAGGCGTGGTGGCCCATGCCTGTAGTCCCAGCTACTCGGGAGGCTGAGGCAGGAGAATCTCTTGAACCCGGGAGGCAGAGGCTGCAGTGAGCCAAGATCACACCACTGCACTCCAGACTGGGCAACAGAGCGAGCCTATCTCAAAAAAACAAAACAAAAAAAATCCTCAGCTGTAAAACTCAGGGAACAAAAAAAATTCTGAAAAACAGTACACAATTGATTACACAAGTATTCAGTGAGTTGATCAGAACATACTGAAATATTTCAAAATATTACCTGGTCACTGCTACTTATCCCTTCCCCTTCCTTCCAATGTGCACATGAGCACTCAAGTGCTCAACTTCAGGTATAGGAAAAGAAGTTAACGTTCTCATGAAAACACTGAAGGCCCTTAAAGACCTAAACTAGGATGAGTAAGATTTAAAAAACATGTGTGTGACTAGACCGTAAGAATCAGGAAATGTTATTATAAAAATGAAACCTTAGCATTGTTCTGAAATATTTCATAATTTTCTAAAAGATAACAATAGATAATGCTAATCAGAGAATACTATGCTTAAGAGAATCCTGGTATCCTCTGCTAAGTCAAAAGGACTGGATACAAAATGCAGGCAGAGCAGCTACAATCAATACACATTACCCACAGCCACCCAGAGACTCTTTCTCACACCAGCCAGCAGTTGGCACTGCCACACCATTGGCAACTAATGACAGGCTGACCTAACAGGAGCTGGGAACGAAAGCGAAGGTGTCAGAAAGACATATATATTTCCAAATGAAATACTGTTGACTTTGAAATAATCTGTTTTTTCACATTATCCTCCATAGAGATTTCCCCTTCATGGGGGCATGGATAAGAAGTTGAAAATATTTTAAATTAGAATCTTTGGACAATTTTGATGGTAAGGAGCTGGGGGGCAGAAAGCATAATTTTATTGAGCTAAACACCTCAAGTGAAGCTTCTTCAGACTTGAGGTGATGAAAAAATTTTAAAACTTAAAAGAAGAGAAGCTTCTTCATTCACTGTAATAATTTTTAAAAATCTGTTAGTTACCAAGTCACCATGTTTTAGGACCACATTTCTGGATTCCTAGAGAATGCCATTTACTATGACTTGATAAAAATCTAAGTCAACTGCTATTCAGATTCATTTGCTATTAACGAAGCACCTGTATCAACTCTTTCTAATCTCTTTGCAATGGTGTTTTGAGTTTTGTCAGGTATCTGTTTTATAATATTGTCACATCCCCAAAATAATGATATAAAAAATAAATATTAACAAAATTCAAAAAAAAATATTTTAAATTATCCCAATATACTTTCAATGTGGCTCTTTTAAAATGGATTATACTCTAATATACTTTTCATTTTATTTCATTTTTTTACCATGAACTGAGATCAGACAGTTGCGCGGCATCTGGAGATAACATATTGGTAGTGCCTTGGAAGAGTCTCTTGGGCTGACTTTCTGTCTCCATTTCACCTAAAACAGAAAGAGATGATGCTACTATAAAACAATTTTACAAATACAGGCGTGGTGCTAACATATGATGACCTTTGTTTAACCAAAGCTCAGAATACTTCTTCAAACCACTTCTTAAAACTATTTTCCCATGTGCTTTAACATGGAAGAAATATGCTTCCACATAAACTCAATCAAAAAGTTGGCAGCCCTAAAAAACTTCTCACTCATTATCCACAGCGTGCTATGGACATATTCACATTAATAGGAAAGTAGAACACTGACTGCATCAGGCAAAATGAAGCAAGGCTGACCACAGTAGAGATAAGGAATTCCCAAATAACTGAAACTCACAGTCAATATTGTATGCTACATGGTTAGCAAGGCCTATTGGTTTTATATATTTTGATACCTGAACATTTCCTGAGATGGTGTCAAACTGGTTTAAAAATGTGTAGTCTGATAAGTAGTGTATAAGTAAAAAGTTGCTTTCACACTATTTAATGAAAATGAAGATTAAAAAGATAAGTTTGAAAACACACCTGTAATCAAAAGCAAATCTTACTCAATTCACAAAACTGGTATTGTACTGACCACCTCAATCATACAGATCTTCTCAGAATTGCTAATAGAAAAACTTTGCACCAACAGGGATAATGCTTAACATTTTGCTACCAGGAGTACAAAGAGTAAAACCCTAAGTTAGAATAATCTCCTTTAAAATCAGGCTCTGATTTTATTTAAAACATACACATTCCTTGGTTCTGAAGCTCTTCATCTGAGCTTGAAAACGGAATGTTCAAGACAATTTAATTCATGAGCCTGTCTATACTCCAGTAGAAAATTAGTAACTTTGAACTTAAAACTGTACAATTAGAATGAAAAAAGATCAAGCAAGAACAAACGCAACATTCATTTTGTCCATGTTATCAACTAATTCATATTATCTTTCCTCTGGGACTATTCTGAAAATTGCTGAAAATCCTCAAAAGTTGTTTTTTTCCATGCTTTAATATGCAGCTTTTAAAAGTTGCTGCTGGGCTTTTGAGTTCGCCTCACTAGCAAAAGACTTTAGCTCTTTTGAGCAAAGAATTCCTCCATCTGCTGGTGTATTTCGGAATAGCTGTAAAACTAAACAACCATACTAATTCCTTCAACTTCCTGCAACAAATTTTAAGTTAGTAATAATAACAACAATAATAGCTTTATTTCCAACTGTTATTTTCACTTACTGGCTACTGAGAACATTCCTAGGACTACAAATAACTCCCTATAAGATTAAGGAAAGACTGTTTATAAAATAAAACTTATAAACTAAATACAAATATTGTCACCATATCAGGAACTATTTTCCAGAGCACACCATCTTTAATTTTAAGTTGTTTGAAATACAGCACTTTTGGAATCTGTGTATGATCCTATGATTGGAAAGTTTTCAAAGCCACAAATACCTGTTCCCCTAACGTTAGAAAAGTTGGTCTGTTTATTGGCCCTGAAGGTGATCCGCACAAAGAAACCACTTGCTGAATTGCTTTTAAAAGTACGGTTGGCCAGGCACGGTGGCTCACGCCTGTAATCCCAGCATTTTGGGAGGCCGAGGCAGGCAATCACCTGAAGTCAGGAGTTTGAGACCAGCCTGGCCAACATGACAAAACCCCATCTCTACTAAAAATACAAAATTCTCTGGGCGTGGTGGTGTGCACCTGTAATCCCAGCTATTTGGGAGGCTGAGGCAGAAGAATAACTTGAACCCAGGAGGCGGAGGTTGCAGTGAGCCAAGATCATACCACTGCACTCCAGCCTGGGTGACAGAGCAAGACTCCGTCTCAATTAAAAAAAAAAAGTTATTGTTAATGACTGGTCTCAATTAAAAAAAAAAAGTTATTGTTAATGGCTGGGCATGGTGGCTCATACCTGTGTAATCCCTGCAATTTGGGAGGCCAAGGCAGGTGGATCACTTGAGGCCAGGAGTTTGAGGACAGTGTTGCCAACATGGCGAAACCCTGTCTCTACTAAAAATACAAAAATTAGCTGGCCATGGTGGTGTACTCCTGTAATCCCAGGTACTTGGGAGGCTGAGGCAGGAGAATCGCTTGAACCCAGGAGCCCAGGAGGCAGAGGTTGCAGTGAGCTGAGATTGCACCACTGCACTCCAGCATGGGTGACAGAGCAAGACCTTGCCTCAAAAAAAAAAAAAAAAAAGTTATTGTTAAGACTCGTTTAAAATGACACGTTGACACTTGCAATCATGTAGTCATATCCCCAGGAATAATGAATAAACCTGTGTTGCCGGCTGGGCGTGGTGGCTCATACCTGTAATCCCAGCACTTTGGGAGGCCGAGGCAGGTGGATCATCTGAGGTCAGGAGTTCAAGACCAATATGGTGAAACTCTGCCTTTATTAAAAATACAGAAAATTCGCCAGGCGTGGTGGTGGTGGGTGCTTCTAATCCCAGCTACTCGGGAGACTGAGGCAAGAGAATCGCTGAGCCCAGGAGGTGGAGGTTGCAGTGAGCCAAGATCACGCCACTACACTCCAGAGTCTGGGCAACAAGAACGAAATTCGGTCTCAAAAAAAACAAACAAAAACCTGTGTTGCTTTTTTTTTTTTTTGAGACAGGGTCTCACTCTGTGGCCCAGGCTGCCATCTCGGCTCACTGCAACCTCTGCTTCCTGGGCTCAAGGAATTCTCCAGCCTCACCCTCCCAAGTAGCTGTGACAACAGCACAAGCCACCAACGCCTGCTTAATTTTTGTATTTTTTGTAGAGACGTGGTTTTGCCATGTTGCCTAGGCTGGTCTCAAACTCCTGAGCTCAAAGCAATTCTCCTGTCTCGGCCTCCCAAAGTGCTGGTATTACAGACCTGTATTGCCTTTTTAAAGAGATGCCATCAGGTGCCCTTTATAAGCATCTAACACTAGTGTTGACTGATACTAAACTAAACTATTTTAGCCTACTGCTTTGTGGTTCAAAATAAGGTAACTGAGAGCACCCTGTTATATAAAAAACTCCATAGAATTGAATATAAGGCAATTCTTGCTTTGATGAGGCATAATTTGATGAGGGGGTAAACCTTACCTTATATTTGAGTATACAGCACATTTATGGATATGTTTGCTACGGCATTAGCATATATTTCTGCAGTTTATAAACTATGCATCTCTTTCATATTTAGATAACAGAGAGGCAATTTTTTGAATATATAATGATAATATGAATATATGAATAAAACTGTTATGAAGTATAAGAAAATATAGATGTATCAAATAACTCATTTACAAAATTGAGAATCAGCACAGCAAACATTTGGAAGAATACTTTTGAGTTTCCCTAGAACACAAGAGAGCAATGCTGTTAGCTCATTTCAGACAGGAGTTCTAGTTTTTAATTCAAGCTTGGCTAGGTATAAGACCAGAAGCGTGATGCTTATCTTTTTCTTTTTCCCCCCAGCTTTACTGAAGTATAAATGACAAATAAATTTATATATATTTAAGGTATACAATGTGATGATCTGATGTATGTACATACTGTGAAATGATGATCACAGTCAATTTTTTTTTTTTTGAGATGGAGTGTCACTCTGTTGCCCAGGCTGGAGTGCAGTGGTACGATCTCAGCTCACCACAACCTCCGCCTCCCAAGTTCAAGCGATTCTCCTGCCTCAGCCTCCCAAGTAGCTGGGATTACAGGTACCTGCCACCACGCCCAGCTAATTTTTGTATTTTTAGTAGAGATGGGATTTTGTCATATTGGCCAGGCTGGTCTCAAACTCCTGACCCGAGGCGATCCACCTGCCTCGGCCTCCGAAAGTATTGGGATTACAGGCGTGAGCCACCATGCCCAGCCCACGGTCAAGTTTTTAACACATCTTTTGCTTCACCTAGTTACCTTTCGTATGTGTGTGGTAAGAACACTTAAGATCTACTTTCTTAGCAAATTTCAAGTATGTGACACAGTAGCATTAGCTATAGTCACCACGCTGCTACATACCTTTTCTTTTAAGAGGACCAAGAACACTGGGTCTAATGCACTTGACTGGACTCTGACTTCTCCTGCTTTGATGAAAAAACAAACAGGATAATGTGAAGAACATCCACGATGCAAGATAAAACAGCAGTCCAGCCCAACAAATACATAAATAAAATGGACAATCTTATCAATGACTGAAATGGAAAATTCTTCTGTAATTGAGTAACTGAAATCCAATACATGATTTGAACCAGCATATGGCAACCTGGAATAATACAGCATTTTAAGTCCTTTAAAAAATATTCTATATGACAAAATACCCCCAACAGTTTAAAGAAAAAAAGATACCCTATTTAAAAAGTATTTTGGGGCTGGGCCGCAGTGACTCACGCCTGTGATCCCAGCATTTTGAGAGGTCAAGGTAAGCAGATCATCTGAGGTCAGGAGTTCGAGACCAGCCTGACCAACATGGTGAAACTCTATCTCTACTAAAAACACAAAAAATTAGCCAGGCGTGGTGGTGCATGCCTGTAATCCCAGCTACCCAGGAGGCTGAGACAGGAGAATCACTTGAACCCGGGAGGCAGAGGTTGCAGTGAGCTGAGATCGCACCATTGCACTCCAGCCTGGGCAACAGGAGCAAAACTCCGTCGCAAAAATAAATAAATAAAGTAATTTGGATTTGATTGATCTATGAACTTTAACATTTTTTCCTTATTCTTAAAAAGGATGTATTATTGTGGGGGGTATGTATGTGTGTCTTTCCCCACTAAATATAAATCAGCATTAAATTCCCCCTAAAAAACTCTGGGGCTGGGCGCTGTGGCTCACGCCTGTAATCCCAGTACTTTGGGAGGCCGAGGAGGGCACGAGGTCAAGAGATTGAGACCATCCTGGCCAACATGGTGAAACCCTATCTCTACTAAAAATACAAAAATTAGCCGAGGGTGGTGGCGCATGCCTGTAATCCCAGCTACTTGGGAGGCTGAGGGAAGAGAAATGCTTGAACCCAGGAGGCAGAGGTTTCAGTGAGCTGAGATCACACTACTGCACTCTAGCCTGGCGACAGAGTGAGATTCCACCTCAAATACAAAAAAAAAGAAAAGAAAAAACTCTGGTTAAAATGTTAATGGTAGATTATAGGCAGTGGGTATATGGTTGTTCACTGTGAAATTCTTTCACTTTTGATGTCTGAAAATTTCACAGTGAAATATTGGGAAAAAGAGTTAATCTTCTTTTTTTTTTTTTTTTTGAGACAGAGTTTTTGCTCTGTTGCCCAGGCTGGAGTATAATGGTGCGATCTCAGCTCACTGCAACCTCCGCCTGCTTGGTTCAAGCGATTCTCCTGCCTCAGCCTCCCGAGTAACTGGGATTACAGGCGCCTGCCACCAGGCCCAGCTAATTTTTCTATTTTTAGTAGAGACGAGGTTTCACCATGTTGGCCAAGCTGGTCTTGAACTCTTGACCTCAGGTAATCCACCAGCCTCGGCCTTCCAAAGTGCTAGGATTACAGGTGTGAGCCACTGCGCCCAGCCACAAAAAGCTAATCTGAGAGATAAATGTAATGAATGGTACTTCAACCACATTTAAAATTCAAGTTTGCTTACCTTGAAAATCGTCTTGGACTGGGAACTGGACTTGGTGGCAATCCACTGCTGCTCACGAACATCTGTAAGAAGGGTGAAAAACATTACTAGAAAAAACATATTCAATATTAAAATAGTTCTAGCACTCCAGTTTTCTTTCTTTTTTTTTTTTTTTTTTTTTTTTAGAGACAGGGTCTCTCTTTTGCTCAAGCTGGAGTGCAGTGATGCGATCATAGCTTACTGCAGCCTCGAACTCTTGGGCTCAAGCCATCTTCCTGCCCCACCTTCTTGATGAGCTAGGACTACAGGTGTGCGCCACCATGCCCGACTAATTTTTTTGTATCTATTTTTTTTTTTTTAATGTAGAGATGGGGTCTCGCCATGTTGCCCAGGCTGCTCTCGACCTCCTGAGCTCAAGTGATCCTCCCACCTTGGCCTCCCAAAGAGTTGGAATGATTACAGGTATAAGCCACCATACCAGGCCCACAATCATTTTCAAAAGGTTCTTTTCAAAATGACAGAAACAATATCTTTAGAATTGCTTGGCTGTCTGTGTGTCTCATAACTAAATTACATATATATATATGTAATATATATGTAATATACACGTTATATATATGTAATATACACGTTATATGTGTAATATATACACGTTATATATGTGTAATATATACACGTTATATATGTGTAATATATACGTTATATATGTGTAATATATACACGTTATATATGTGTAATATATACACGTTATATATGTGTAATATATACACGTTATATATGTGTAATATATACACGTTATATATGTGTAATATATACACGTTATATATGTGTAATATATACACGTTATATATGTGTAATATATACACGTTATATATGTGTAATATATACACGTTATATATGTGTAATATATACACGTTATATATGTGTAATATATACACGTTATATATGTGTAATATATACACGTTATATATGTGTAATATATACACGTTATATATGTGTTATATATGTTATATATGTGTTATATATACGTTATATATGTAATATATACGTTATATATGTAATATGTTATATATATGTAATATATATGTTATATATATATATATTTTAAGAAGACCAAGAATATACATATATATATGTATATTTTCCAAATTACTGCTGTAGATTTTCATTGATTTTCCTTCAAGGCATTGGATACTTTAAAAGTGGGGTGATTTGTGTGTGTTTTAGAGTAAACAGCTCAGTTTGTGAAATACACTTAATATCTTGTCAGTTATCCTACCTTTCCGAATCCCCTGGTGGGTGAAGGTGCTGGAGAAACTGGAGTGAAGTCAATTCTCTTAGGAGAATATAATTTCTCCGGCTTGTCAAAATCACTGTCACTCTGTAAACATAAAGTGTCATCTCCTCATAATAAATTCAGCACATCACAGCTCTTACTTACTACTATAACACACCCAGATTTTCCAAGGAGAAAGGTATAGACTCTAATATTCTGCTGGAAAAGCAGAGATCAAAAAACAAGTATCAATTTGGAAGTAGAAGGGGAAAGAAGTGTGCGAAAAAATTAATGAACCTAGTGAACAACATAAAAGTTTCTAGAAAATGAAAACCAAACAGACATGAGCAAACTTTACCAGGCTCAAGCTCTCATCCCATGATTGGCTTATCTGCATTGCCGTTTGCATTTCCCTAAAATAAACAAAGGGAAGGGCCGTCAGTGTTTACAAACAAGACACTTATTAGGCTAGGCCCTGCTCTTGCAAAGCACTAACCTTTCATGTGCAGTTTCTCTGTTCACCATATCCAGGCCTTCTTCCTGCAAAGACAAACATATATGCTAAAAAGGCAGGATCACTGACAAAATATTAACTCTTCCACACACTGCAATTTTTATCCACATAGTTCTCTGCTTCAAATAAAATAAAAAGACTTTTTCTACCTCATTGACATAATCACAGTAGAGTGGAACATTCATGCCGCTTGTATATTTTATCTACACGCTCCAGAAGAATTATAATCTGTCTCCAACTAACCAGAGTTGCATCCTAATTCATTTTAATATCTACGTCTTTAAAATAAAAATGTAAAATCCAAAAAATTTCCAATCTGAGCTAGTAAGTAAAATTTACCCTTTTGATCTGATGCAGTCTGCTACTAGGAATACGATTAGGTGAGGATGACAGCAACTGGAAAGAAAAAGTAAACATTTACTATTTTCTGAATCACAAAGCAGCAGTCTGCTGTCAGTACTGGCGTACAACCTCTTCCTAGGTAAGTTTTCATATTCTTCTTCAAAATTTAGCTCTTTAGATCACTGAACGTTAATGCACTAAAGGCAGTACATTTAGTCTTCAAAAAGTACACCAGGTGTCCAACCTCAAAGCGCCATCTGTTGCTAGACAGACACTGACTTCAGCACTTTTCCCAAATGAATGTGAAGCTACGTAAATTTAGAGAAATAAAGACTATGGGCCTTAGAAATATCCATTATCCCACTTATCTAAAATAAAGAACAATATGAGAAGGGAAAGAAAAAAAAACACCAATGTTATTAATTTTTATTATCAATGCAGCAATGGGGGAAGACAGGCTAATAAGTCTAGTATATAATATTTTGTCTATGATTGATGATTTTCAAAAACACTTTAAAACTGCAATAAGGAGGTTTTGCTTTCACGATCCAAATCCATTCTAAAATCTCATCATATGCTATCACTACAAATCTTACTAGTTAACAAAAAACAATTTGGAAAGACAAGGTGTATCTTTAAAATAACTGATGCTTTCCCTTAGATCATCATTTTTTAATAACACAAAGCAGAAATGATTTGGAGGCCAAATTATGTTCCTTCACAATAATTACAAGCTGGTCACAAACTGTAAGACACAATTCATATCAACAGGTCTTAGAGAGTTCTAGTGGTCATAATATAAACGACTACTATTTATTCTATAACGAAATGCAAGTGAACTTGTAATACTATAAAACCAAATAACAATTATCCTGTTTAAGAGGCCCTACACTATTAAAACTTATTTGAATACTAATGTAGTGAGCAGTATAAAATAGTGATAAAATGCTCTAAGTTTCTTTTTATTTTTTTTTGAGACAGAGTTTCGCTCTTGTTGCCCAGGCTGGAATGCAATGGCATGATCTCTGCTCACTGCAACTTCCGCCTCCCAGGTTCAAGTGATTCCCCTGCCTCAGCCTCCTGAGTAGCTGGGACTACAGGCACACACCACCATGCCCAGCGAATTTTTACAACCATTAAGGGAGACTGGAGTATAAGATAAATGTATTTTAGTAGAGACGGGGTTTCATCATGTTGGCTAGGATGATCTCGATCTCCTGACCTCGTGATCCTCCTGCCTTGGCCCTCCAAAGTGCTGGGATTACAGGCGTGAGCCACTGCGCCCAGCCACTGGTGAACTCTTAATAAGATCATTTAGAAAACACCAAGCTACAAGGCAAGCAAATACAGCAGGAAGACTCTCCAACAGGAGACTGTGGAAGAGAGCGCAGACGTGTCACTTAGGGAAACCCAAGAAACTGAAGAAGCAGTGAAATGATCAGGAAAGCTGACATGAGGATGGCCAAAAACTAACTGGGGAGAAAGTCAGAAATTTACATGCTACATTTACATAATATACAACTTGACAATTTTAGACAAAACTGGAAAGAAGACCAGAAAGAAGAACAGAGCAAAGCTGTGTGTAGTACCAGAAACAACAGGGCAATGTGTCGGCTTAAAAAAAAAAAGAAAAGAAAAAGCCAGAACTCCAAGGAGGTGCTGGCTAATGGGGTTAAATAAAGCAAAGAGGTCAAGGGGGATAAGCAACGAGGCCCCTGACATTGGCAGTTAAGTGGGTACTGGTGACTTTTGCAAGAACAGTTTTTTAATGGAGTTGTGGTAGAAGCAGCATGATTACAAACTGGCCAGAAATGAGGAGACAAGGAATTAGAGGCAGTGGAGTGTAGATTATGCTTTGAAAGAACTTGGAGAGGGGAAGGAAAAGGGAAGGAGAGACCTACGAAAAAGAAAACAGTTTGTTTTCCCCCATCAGATGAGTGAGTCTGGAGAAGGTGGAAAGAAGAGAGCCCGTGAGGAATAGGGAAAAGATACAAGATAGAGAGGAGATGATAGACCGAGCAAAGCAACAGGAGAGTCAAAAGCATATGAACCATTGGGGAGAAATGCCATATGTGAAGCTAAAGGCATTTCAAGGCAAAGAAAGCTGACATTTACACAAGATAGGTGTCTGTCTTCTTTGTAAAGTAAGAAGGGTCATCTGCTCAAAGTAAAAAGTGGTTACACTGGAAGCGGACAGAATCTTTTAAAAAAGTGAGAATACTGCTTTGAAGAATATCATGGGGCCAGAGGCACCTTAAATCCAATTATGTCCCAAAGAATTCATCTTTTTCCCCTTCAAACTACCAATCTCTACTCCTACTAAAGGCAGCGCCAACCCCCGGTCACCAAAATACAAAATTTCCATCACTTGGAGTCTTCCTTCTCTTAGTCCTTATATCTAATCAGCTGGTGAGCCATGAAGATCCTACATCTGCATATCCAGTCCATTTCATTTGTAAACACCTTACTCATCACAGGTTACCATGGGACACAGATAAACGTACTAAGATTTATAGCACATCCTGTGATAGAGTGTATATAGTGTAATTAATATTATGATAGTTGTGGAAGCCTGCCCAAAGGAGATATAAGGATTAAACTGAGTTTTGGAAGACCAAAAAGCTAGAAAGGAGAGGGGTAGGAATGAAAAGATGATAAGGATCAACAAAGAGCAGTGAGTCACCATGGCCCTTTCAGAAAACTAGGTATTTCAGTGAGAGATGAACCTAGACCATGGTTGATAAGAATCTTCTCATCTTACAAAAGAGGTAAGTGAAGTGTAGAGAGGCAAATTCACTTTCCCTTCTTTGCTATGCTACTGTTATCAGGAGCATGGCTGTATAACATGTATAAACATTTTTTCATATATCCAGCAAAAATAAGTAATATTTTCCAGTGTCCTCAGAGAAGGAGGTGAAATGAATGAAACCTCCAGATAGCTAACATTTCCCCCTGTAAGTATTTTCAGCCATTTCAGTTGGAAATCTTTCTACAATGTGTTCTATTTTTCCCTTTCTTAAACAAATTATACCAAACAGAATTGCACTGGGAGATCTCTATTCTAATCCCAGTTCTACCACTTACTAATTGTGCGATTCTGAGCAAGTGACTTCTAACGTCTTGAGTTTTAGCTGCTGCTTCTTTTAATTGGGAAAAATATCTTTGCCCTCCCTATTTCATAGGGGCTGTTATGACAATTAAATGTGTGAAAGTACTTTGTAATACGTAAAATACTATGCAAGTGTAGGTATTACTAGAATTTATGAATAAGTTAATGACCCAGGTATCCTTAAGAACGTAAATTATTATATGATTCTACACCAGTGACACGCTTGGGGTGTACTAACAGGCTCTTAGCCCTTATACTAATTAGCCACAAACTAATTTTTTAAAAACATCTGTTTTTCAGTTTTTCCCTCTCCTCCCTTGCTAGCAGCTATTAGTATACTTTTAACCAAAATGCATCTCTTCTAATTTGCTGCTTCTCACACACTATTGGATTGGAAGCTTATTATAATTGTGCATACATTTTAGATGATTCAGAGGTCAGAGGCTCTCCTATAAATAAACCGATGAACCTCTGTGCACAGACTATGGAAATCTAGTTCTGCCATTTAGGGATCTATCTTCTTTCACCTCGGATGTCTTCCAGAGAATTGAAGCTGCTTGATAAGTGAGTTCCACATGTGAACTGCTACTATATAAAAAACCTCATCATAATTTCTCCCAATGCGACCAACTAATAAAGCAATCCCTGACAGCTCTGGCTATAGAGATCAGTCACAATCAGTAACTCTTCAGAGAATATAAATACAAGCATTTTAAAGGAGTCTTCATTTTGGAAAACCAGCATTGTTTAACAGGTAAGTGTCAGAAACAAACACTCTGCTACCTTTAAGTGATTTGTGCATCCTACGACAAATGAAGACCACTGTTCTCAGCTATAATTAGGAGTTAATCCTGACTTACCTCACAAGCCTGATGCAAGTAGTGACAAATAATAATGAACAATTTTAAAAAATACAAAGTCACACAGCAAAGAAAAATTTTTAACCATGTATCCTTTTGGTACCAAAAGCTGAATGGCCACAGCATAAGCAGTAAACAACATAGGTAAAATCAATCTTTTCTTTCTTAAACAATTGTGCATAGCACATCATTTTAAGAAAGAACTCCATTTCAAAGTATTTTCCCCAATCTAAATCACTTCAGATACTTACTTCTATACTTACCAGGCTGTGACGGCTCATAATTGTTGTACTATTCCTCCGAGTTCTAAGTGTGTAAGGTTGGAAAACCTGTGAAAGGTCACTGAAAAAAACAAAAACAAACAAACAAAAAAAACAAAATTAGTAATGTTTTCTAATGGAAGATCTCTTTCAAATACATTAGCATCAGTTATCTAGTTAACAACGAAATCTTCCATGGCTCCTCATTTCATACAGAGAATGAACTCCTCACCGTCCTCTCTGCAGAGCTTCCCAAGTGGTATGCTGTGGATTATGGGTTTGCAGAGATACTGATCTCAGTGGTCGGGGGGCAGCTGGGAGAGGTGATGCAGGCGGAGCTCCAGACTGGTTGACTCTAGCTGCTTCTGGTCAGAGCTACGCCCCCAAACCGGTTACCACCAGACCTGAGCAGCCTCATCTGTTTACCCCAGAGAACCAATGAGTACTGTTTTCTGTGTTTGCCATGATGCGAAAAGGGGTGAGGAGCATTGTTCTACAATATGAGCTGGATCAAGACATCTCCCCTCTCACCCTAAACATGTGTCCTACCTTTGAACACTGCTGTTTGATGGAATAAACATAGCTGAGATTGTTGCCCCTTCTGCCTCAAATGCTCTCCCTCCTGCCAACATCTATTAAAATCCTTCCTGTCCTTCCACATCCATCTTGAATGCCATACCCTTCAGTGAAGGCATGGCACAAACCTCTCTTCAATCCACAAACGGAATGCAATCACTCTCTCCTTTGAACCCAAAGAGTACACTGGGAGATGAGATGCTTCTTGAGACACCTACTTTGTCTCTTAATTAAAGAGAAATGTGGATGTGTCTTAAACCCATTGGTAGAGAGGTGTTTTGTTAATCTTTGTATAATATCCCTGCAGTGCCTAGCAGAGGGCGATGCCCACAATAAGGATGAGAATTCCAGAAGGATTTTCAGAACTGAACTGCACTGGGCTTTCAGGGCCCACTGAGATCACCTAATTCAGCTCTCTTAATTTTCAAAGAGAGAACAGCCTCAGAAAGGTTAAATGACTCATTCGTGATCATAGCTAGTTAGTGAAAACTGGGACCAGGCCTGGTCTCCTTGCCCCTTCTTGTGTCACATCATGCTGTGTTTTCAGTGATTATTTAAATCATGATTCAAAAAACAGTATGTTTTTGCTACAATAGTCTAAATACAGGTCAATAGAATTGCTGAAGTCCCTAGCAATTGCTTGCTTATGAGATTTCAAAAGACAATCAGAAAAAGACCAGTTTATTGTTATAGTAACCAAAATAAATGCAGGGCCAAGGACAGCAACAGGAAAGCAAAAAGTCACTCCTACATTCCCTCAGTTTCAAAATTATACTTAATAAATGAAAAAGTCAACCTGTTTTTTCCCCAAAATATGGATGTTATAATCAGTTCAACAGCAAGGATTATCTCTTTCTTTGCCTTCACTGTGCTTGATTAATATGTTTTTGGCTAATTGTACTCTCATCTCCTTTTTTGGACTAATGCCATTTCTACAGGGTCTCGCAAATTGGCTCTCTACCTAAGATGAATTGTCTCCTTATAAAAGTGAAATACAATAGGCTCAGGAGGTGAGCCAACCTAACCTTCACTATTACAAGATGCTACCTTAAAACAGACCCTCGATGACTTATTGACATGAAAACACAAGACCCTACCACTGAAATTGAAGAGTCGATTCTCTCCACCGTTTTCTAAAACCTGCCTTTTCACTGACCCTAAGCTACAGACCACCCTTCTTTTTTATTCACTGCAATGCATTTCAGGCAGTTTTAGAACCTGAAAACATTAGGGCAAATCCAAATCACGTACTACGATGTGAACATACCACTTAATTACAAGTTATTAGATAAATTGTGATTTATTAAAGTAAACATCTGTTAATGCCAGGATTCCTAAACTAAGCTTAGAAATAGCAGCTCTGAGAGACAGGTGTCAAGTTGCACATCTAGTTCCAGGGGCTTCGATCTGACATTCCCTGGTGTAAGTTAGTCGGGGCAAGCAACCTGTCAGAAGAGCCAGAAGCTTTCTGCAGTTCCTTTTACAGAGGGACAACATGGCCCCAGGTAGAGGGGGACCGTTTCCTCCACACTGCCCAAAGTTGGAGATTAAACTTTCACTCCACCTTGGGACCCAAGTCACTGTCAAGCAAACAAGTCGCCACCCCCTCAGGTTGAAGAGCCCAAATGAGCTCAAACGTGCACTTTAAGGAAGGAAGATTGCTTGCATGGGGGCAAGGAGCCCCTGAATCCTGTACTCCATCCTCCCCAACCCTGCTCACCTGAGCCCATGGATTAGGGGAGCGCTGCTGGATCTCCTCAGGGTTCCCCCATAAGATGTGTCAGGCTCAAGGTCCAGCTCCATTTTCTCCTGAGCCATGTCAGACTTGCAGGCAGGCACAGCGGGCAGTGCTCAGCTCCTGGTGCTTAGCTATGGACTCCCAAGACTCTCACTGCAGGACTGAGCTGCTGGGGACTGGCAGCTGGGGGCGGGGGCTAAGGGGCGGAGGCTTGGGGACGGGGGCGGGGGCTGGGGGCGGAGAAAAGTAGGAGAGGAGGAGGGAAGGAGGATGATGATGAGGAAGGGAGGATGATGGTGAGGCAGGAGAGGAGGACGAAGAGGTAGTGGTGGAAGGTGACAGAATGAAGGAAAAGGATGAAGGAAAGAAGGATGGAGGGAAAACAAGGATGGAGGGAGGAGGGAAGAGGGAGGGAAAAGGATAGGTGGAAAAGCAGGAGGACAGAGAGGATAAGAGGAGGGCAGAGGGGGGAAAGGGAGAGGAAGGGGGCGGAGGAGGGAGGGGAAGGGAGAGGGCAGAGGGGAGGGAGGAGGACAGAGGGTAAGGGAAAAGAAGCGCAGGGGCGGGAAAGAAGGAGGTGGTCTGGGAAGAGGAGAGAGGAGGGAGAAGAGGAGGGGGAGGAAACTAGGCAGCGGCGGAACTCATGCTGCTATCTTTCCGGCTGAGGACCACAAGCGGGGCCGGGCTACAGATGCTGCGGCTGCCCGGGCAGCGCTAGCACCGAGGACCTGACAGTCGGGTAGGACCCGGCCGGGCGGCCTTGGCGGCTCCAGCTCCCCATGCTCGGGGACCCGGTCCAGCCCCCCATGCTCCCGGACCCGGTCCCGGAGGCTCCTCAGCCCTGGGATCGGTGCTTCTCCCCTCCCTGCCCCCCTCCCGCCTCGAGGACAGGTTGGGGGTTCGGCCTCTCAGCCGCCGCCGCGGTGCCTCCTCTTCCTCTCTCGGGTTCTAATGGTCTGGGGGAACCCGTTGGGGCCAAGACCAAAATCTACAACCTGCAGTCTCTTCCGCCTCCCACGCTTCAGAAGCGGGAACCTCCGCTGGGCCAGTTCTTCCGCGTCCGGGCACCCATCGGGTCCTGCGCACGCGTCCAGCGGCCACTCCAATGGGCCCGCGGGCACGGAGCGTGCGTGGGAGCCCCGCCTCGAAATCCGCCTCCAAAGGGGAGGAGCGTTTCCAGGGGGCCCGGCGCCTTCCTCGATGGCATTGGCCTGGGGACCCTGGCGCCCAATTTTGAAAAGAACCAATAGTTTGAAAATGCTGGAGCATCAGCTTTCAGGAGGAGTTTGGGCCAATATTCATGGGAAATAGAGAAAAACATGGGGTTTCCATGTTATTTCACTCCTAATTTGTACGCTCCGACCTCTGTGATCCCCACTCATGCCTTAAATCCCTCGATTTTGTTGGTCTTTGTCTGCAGGGGCTGATTTCTTTTTCAGATCATCCATTCGGATGCACTAGACAAAAGAGAAGTGGGAAAACAAACGCAATGGGTAAAAATAAAGCGAATATCATGACAGTTCGTATAGCTAATGAGAAACTCAGCTCCCTTTTGCAAGCACCTTTAGATTCAACAAAACTAGGAAAAGTCCTGAAGAACGGGTAGCAAGCAGAACCAAATGTTTTTTCTTACTAGGAATTACAGAGTCCCTAACAATCATGCCTCAGCGTGGGTGAGATCTGGATTTTTTTTTTTTTTTTTTTTTTAAACAGAGTCTCGCTCTTTCGCCCAGGCTGGAGGGCAGTGCACGATCTTGTCTCACTGCAACCTCTGCCCCACCCCGCCTGGGTTCAAGCGATTCTCTTGCCTCAGCCTCCCAAGTAGCTGGGATTACAGGCGCCTGCCACCACGCCTGGTTAATTTTTTGTATTTTTAGTAGAGACGGGGTTTCGCCATGTTGGCTAGGCTGGTCTCGAACTCCTGACCTCAGGTGATCCACCCGCCTCGGCCTCCCAAAGTGCTGGGATTACAGGCACGAGCCACCGCGCCCGGTCAAGATTTGGATTTTTTATTTAACAAACACCTACATAACACTTGTTATGTGCTAGGCACTATTCTAAGAGTTATAGAAATATTAACTCTGTCGTGGGTGTGACTGGCCAGTGGTGCAGGTGCTAAAGAAATTTACGGAGACAGTCACAGGTAACGAAAGGCAGATTTATTAGAGAATATATGAAAATATGTTGCAAGGATGCAATGGGCAGCACTGCAGAGGAGCTGTCTGCAAAGAGGCAGGGGCTGGAGGGAAGTTTTATAGGGTCATGCTGGAGGCGGGTAGGTGCAGAAAGAGGTCATGCTGCTGGGGCCACTGTGTGGAAGGTGTGCCCTCTGGTTGTTTGTGTTCATTGTTCTTCCCCACCTGGGGCCCACCTGGCCCCTTTCTCATTGTTGCTTATTCTCAGGACTCCACATCCCACCACCGTAACACCCCTCAGAACACCAATGACAAATCTTTGACACTGGGGCTGAGGTCTCATCTTCCAACTGCTTCCTGCTGATTAGGGGTGTGGAGTTGACCCCACCTATGGTTGTTGGTCTGTCAAGAGACCCTGTGGGTCATTGTCCCAGATTGTGGGACTTAGGATATTGAATCTTGCTGGAGGAAGGGACTCATCACAGAGTGGGAGTATGTCAAGGCAAAACTGGTGACCAGCCGAATCCAGGGGAGACTCATAAAGGTAGCAGGCATCACTGGGGAGAGACTGATATCCCATTTACGCATTACTTGAAAGTGAAACTGCTGAATTCTAGAAGATAAAAGTTTGTTTCTTAAGCCAGTTACTGAAAAGGCAAACAAACAAACAAACAAACCCCACAACCATTTGCAGTGTGACTGTTTTTCCTTATTGGAAGCCCATTTAGTTAGCCTGGAAGTTAAACTCAATGAAAAAGTGTTTAAATGTAATTAGACACAAGAAGAGTGTATTCAGGGTTATGAGTATAGCAGGTGAATACATAACTCTTAGGAAAAGCGTGAAAAGTTTTTTTTTTTACATTGAGAATTTAGACATATTTTTTAAAAGCCAAGCGTACAGAATTAAGTTATATTAGAGGAAAACATTGCTTAATTTTTTTGATTTTCAAGATGAAATATTTTAGCATTAGGCCATAATAACAGAATTGGAGGAAAAAGTTACAGGAGCTGACAAAAAATGAAGGAGAGAGTTATTATCTTTGGCATTCTCCGGGAAGAAAAAGCTGAAAGCAGCAGGGCACAGCAAAAGTTGAACTGAGATATTATTCTGTGAAGCTTTAACTTCTTACAGTTTTATTAAGACCAGATTAATATCTTAAGAAAATCTTGTTTTTAACATAGGGGACCAATGTTAGACTATCCTAAATAATTCCCTTTCAGTTATAACCAACTTAAACACATAGAAAATTCCTTTCATAACTTCTCCTTTGCGAACCTTCTCACTACTTGCACAGACCATTTATGACATGGACTTTCTGACTTGGACATCAGGGCTTTCTGACTTGTCCTAAACACCCCTTTCTTAAACAACAGGTCATTTTACTTTAGGACAAAAATTTGTCATACAAGATCCTTTCTTGGCTGGGCGTGGTGGCTCATGCCTGTAATCCCAGCAATTTGGGAGGCCGAGGCAGGCGGATGACTTGAGGTCAGGAGTTCAAGACCAGCCTGGCCAACATAACATGGTGAAACCCTGTCTCTACTAAAAATACAAAAATTAGCTGGGTGTGGTGGTTGGCACCTGTAATCCCAGCTACTCCGGAGGCTGAGGCAGGAGAATCACTTGAACCTGGGAGGCGGAGGTTGCAGTGAGCTGAGATCACACCACTGCACTCCAGCCTAGGCAGACTTGGTGTCAAAAAAAAAAATCCTTTCTCATATAAAATTTTTATTTAAAACCTTCCTTACCGGCCGGATGCAGTGGCTCACACCTGTAATTCCAGCACTTTGGGAGGCCGAGGTGGGTGGATCGGTGGATCACGAGGTCAGGAGTTCGAGACCAGCCTGGCCAACATGGTGAAACCCTGTCTATACTAAAAACACAAAAGAATTAGCTGGGCATGGTGGCAGGTGCTTGTAGTCCCAGCTACTCGGGGGGCTGAGGCAGGAGAATCGCTTGAACCCGGGAGGTGGAGGTTGCAGTGAGTTGAGATCACACCACGGCACTCCAGCCTGGGCAACAGAGCAAGACTCCATCTCAAAAAAAAAAAAAATAGCCGGGCATGGTGGCATGCGCCTGTAAATCCCAGCTACTCTGGTGGCTGAGGTGGGAGAATTGCTTGAACCTGGGAGGCAGAGATTGCAGTGAGAGATCACGCCACTGCACTCAGCCCGGGCAACAGAACCAATATTTCTGGCTTTGGAACCTTCTACTAAAGGTAACCTCCTATGTGAAATTAAGAAGCCTTGGCCAGGCGTGGTGGCTCACGCCTGTAATCCCAGCACTTTGGGAGGCCGAGGTGGGCGGATCACAAGGTCAAGAGATCGAGACCATCCTGACCAACATGGTGAAACCCCGTCTCTACTAAAAATACAAAACTTAGCAGGGCGTGGTGGTGCTCGTCTGTAGTCCCAGCTACTCAGGAGGCTGAGGCAGGAGAATCGCTTGAACCTGGGAGGTGGAGGTTGTAGTGAGCCAAGATCACACCACTGTACTCCAGCCTTGCGACAGAGCGAGACTCTGCCTCAAAAAAATAAAAAGGAAGCCTTAACTGAGGGGATGATTTAAACATGGACACATGAGGTGTCTCCAAAGAGATGGCAAGCAATTTATAAGATCTAGAACTGCCCGAAAGGTAACTCAGAGAAAAGAAAATTTCAAGACAGGAAATAAGAAGCTGTCCATGGAGGGAAAAATAATCAATACATGGCAAAAGTACCACAAGTATTAAACCACAAAGGACTGACTTTCAAAGCCAGGAATTGAACCCAGGCGCCATTGTGATAGGGCAAAGCCTTAGCAACTGACCTACAGCACAAGGTGACTACTGTTGTTTTACCATGAGTTTAGAGCATTTTCAAGTTTGCAAAAGGTTTTAACTGCTCAAGAGAATTTTCTAAGACTAGCCATGTTACTATTATGCATCCTTCTTTTAATTTAACCATTTTCTTTTCATGGTGCACTCAATTCCAATAGTGACTCAATCTAAATAAAAGTCCAGATAGTAATTTTCCAGGTTTTTACCACATAAGCAAAAGGTATTTCCAGAAAGGGGTAGAGGGGGCATCTCCATGATAGGCAGCATTTTAACTCAAAAGGGAAGTTTATAATACTTGCCACCTCCAGAGTTGCCCTTGGTTTTGTTTTGTTGATGACTCATGTTTGATCTGGAAGCTAGCCAAAGCAGAAAGCCCCCATTCAGCTTAAGGCCTGATGATCATCAGGGGTTGGGATTATGTCCCAGGGACCCTTTGGCCCTCCAGGGCAGTCCCATTTCCAGTGGCCGAGCTTGTGGCAGAGGGGGCAAGCCATGCGGGGGTTTTTCGTCATTCATGCCATAGGGCCAGTTTGCCTTCCAGTGGCCTGGGCTTCTGCACTGATGGCAGTTATCTGGAGGAGTATCCTTAGGGCAGCCTGGAATGGAGGCTGGGGGCTTGCAAAGCAGCCAACAGTTGAGCCTGCTTCTTGTCCCTGCATTTTTCTTTCTCCTTAGCCCTGTCCTTATCCTGCTCTTGGTTATAAAAGACTGAGGAGACTGATTTGAGGTTTTCTGCATAGGGGCCATGCTGTATTACAAAAGAAAATTCGACTTTTTTTTTTTTTTTAATCTGAGGGTTACATTTGTCTCAGCGTTTTGGGATGCAACTCATAGGTGAGTCTGACGGAATAGAGGAGGTTTGTCCCATGGTGGGACTGGAAAACGATGAGCTGCCGGGGACTAACGTCTGCTGCAGACACGAACCACACTCTCTCGCCGCCCCCACCCCCCTGCCCCACCAGGAAGAGGGCTCAACTCACATCTGCTGAGGGATTCCAGTGCACTTTCTTTTCTTTTCTTTTGAGATGGAATCTCGCTTTGTCGCCCAGGCTGGAGTGCAGTGGTGGGATCTCGGCTCACTGCAACCTCCGCCTCCCAGGTTCAAGCGATTCTCCTGTGTCAGCCTCCCAGGTAGCTGGGATTACAGGCATGCACCACTACGTCCAGCTAATTTTTTGTATTTTTAGTAGAGATGGGGTTTCGCCATGTTGGCCAGGCTGGTCTTGAACTCCTGACCTCAGGTGATCCACCCACCTCGGCCTCCCAAAGTGCTGGGATTACAGGCATGAGCCACCGTGCCCGGCCTCAAGTGCACTCTCTAAAGGGGCATCCCACCTATTAGAAAGGACATCTCAGCGCTGGGGCCTTACGCTGGATGGTTAGCCCCGGTACAAGGAAAAAGGGTAAAGGAAGAACTCAGCCTGGTCCCATCCCAGGAGAGAGGACCAGAATGGGGAGACTCACTGCTCTGAGGCTGCTTGCTATCACCTAATTTGGGAACGTCCAGAGCAGGAGGTCTGGCTGTTTTTGCAGGACTATTTAGAGTAAGAAAGAGGGGCTCTGAGCTCCCCAAAACATATGTGCCAATTGCACTACATAGGGATTGCAGACCTTTTCGCCAGAAGAGATAGGAGAGGGCCTTCTTCCCTTCTAGGCAAGGCAGCCAAACCTGTTCACACCCGCTGGCCTTGAGGCCACACCAGGAAATGGCCCTGACCAGTTGCCATCAATTGCCAGAGGGATACTAGAATTTGTCCTCTGGAAGACTGAAAAGTAAAGCAAATTCTGAAGTCTCACAGAATCGTGGGACAGCAGTCTGGTGTCTTTCCACCAGGACCTTCTGGTTCCCTGGGGAGCAGCCCCGGCCAGGGACTTAAAATTATCTCAGGGTTTTGACACTGTCCAACGAGAGGTTGGAATTGGAGGAAAGGGAGAAAGTAGGGGAGAGGCCCATACGAACTACCAAAATGTTGCAGGTGCAGCTGGCCAGTGGCGCAGGTGGTAAAGGAATTGACCAAGACAGTTGTAGGTAAAGAAAGGCAGATTTACTAGAGAAGGTATGGAAGTATGTTGCAAGGAGGCAAAGGGCAGCACTGCAGAGGAGGAGCTGTCTGCAAAGAGGCAGGGGCTGGAGGGAGCTGGAGGGGGCTGCATGTGGAAACAAGTCATGCTGCTGGGGCCACATGTGGAAGGAGGTCTTTGTGCCCTAGGTCTCTCAGAACAATTTTTCATTGTTCTTCCCCACCTGGGGCCCCTTTCTCATTGTTTCTTACTTATCTTATCAGGACTCCACAAACTCTTTTAATCCTCACCACTTGAATGGCCCTGGGGAAGAGAAGGCCATTGCATTGAAATGTAATAGTTCTGAAATTGCTTTCAAAATTCAGCCAGAAATAATAATTTTGCCTGCCTCTTTTCAATTATCCCATACTAAACTTGCCAAGGCCAATTATCATTTTATTCCTCACTGTTTATGCTTTCTGCCTGCAGTATGAGGGATTTGTAAGTACTTTTAGATAGTTTCCTTTAAATTGCCTGTATTTTTCTCCCAGCTAGATTAGAAACAACAACCTCTGTTTTTGAGCAACTTAGGTATCTCTTTTTATCTCAAGGTCTCAGCAACCCTTAAGGCCAGCCCCACCTCCTACTCCCTGCTCAAAAGAAATTATAATACATTCTTTTGTTCACAATAGCTACTAAACAATCATTTGTTGACCACATGCATGCACTGACCTCAGGAGCTTAACAATTTAGGAGAACGCGAGGAGAATAATGCTACTTTGGCCATCATTTCTAGGTTTTATTAACATCATTCTTGCCTGCTAGTTTTTTTTTTTTTTTTAACCTTTCATGTAAATCTTTTGGGAAGGTTTGGGGTGTTTGTGGTTTGTAGATTTGGGTTTGACTTGTATTTGACTTGCTCTTGTGGTAACTAAAGGTTACAACGTAGCTTCAAGGTTGTCATGACAACTGGTAAAATAAAGAGCTGATTATCACATGTTTGTTGGTTCCCTTTTATAGGTGAGGGCCTGGGACAGACGCAGCAGACTGGGATATGCAAAGAGAGGAGTAGCCTAATTGTCAAGTCTAGATCTAACAAAAGCAGTGTCCCAAGATCATGGCATATTTCCCTGGAACTGGAAGGACTGATCAAGAAACACAGCTAGGTTGGTATAATAATGTGTGCGTAGAAATGGGGAGAAGTAAAAACAATTTCTTTAATGTTGTGTTTGCCATTGTAGCATATAGAATTCTTGCTGTTTTTGTATTACTTGTTCCTTTTGATATTCCAATTTGTGTATGTACTATGAGTCCTATTTATATCTTTACAGGTTTGGGGTTCCTGACATGTAGCTGTTCTTTTGTAAAAGAGAGCTCCTTCTCTTTGATAATAGCTGTAAACTTATTACCATCTCATATATTTAGTTATTTCATATTACTCCTTTTCTTAGAAACATAGTCCCTTAGTCACTCTTCCCTTGTCATTTTATTATACCTATTTTCTTAGTGTTGTTGTACTTATTTAAAAATTAGATACTTGTAATGCTTAGGCAGGATGAAATTTTGTCTATTTATTCAAAATATACGTATGAAACCTTACTACCTGCCAAGAATACTAGCAAAAGTTGAAAATTAAAATGAACACAATGGAGGTAAGATTCCCTTGTTCACTGGCCTGCTTCATATTTTTCTGTTATTCAGACAATTTGTTTTTTGACTCTGTTCTGTCTTTAATCACTGCCTTCTGCATTCATCCTGAATTTACTCAGCTTTAACCACCATCTTTTATAAACGTTCAGGTACCCTGGGAATTTTAACAGTGGCTTTTAGGACATCTTGATACTAGCCTGAATTCTCCTGCTATCTAATTATGTGCCATTAATCTCTTTGGAATTTTATCCAACTGTAAAATAGAAATGATTTACCTACTTTACAAGATAACTATGAAAGATAGGCTATTTAAACCTGCATTTATTCATAAAATAATTTCAGAAGTATTTATCAAGTGCTTATGAGTACAGAAATTCAAGGAGATATTCTGAGGCATCTCATTTTTTTTTTTACTTAAACAGAAGGGCAGAGGAATCTTGGCTTTGCCACTTAGTAGTTGCAACTTGAGTAAACCCCTCTGGGCTTTGGTTTCCTCCTGTGAAAAATGGGCATTGTGATGGTGCCTACCTCAAAGAATTATTGTAAACTTTAAATGCAATCACCTATTTAAAGTGATTAGGACAGTACCTGGCACATAGTAAGTGCCCAACAAACGGTAGCTATTACTAATCTGTCTTATATAAGGAATGGAGACTCCACATCATCCTCATGTCTGGGATTTAAGTAATCTAATTCTGCCTAATATACTCAAGTTTGTCTTATTCTATTCCCAGAATGAACAAAGAATACATATTTATTACCTTACATGTCATAACTTGTCACGAACTATCTCAAGACTGTCCCATTATTTTAAGTTCACCACTGGGTAGCTGAGCAGGGTTGATGATTGAACCAATCCAGATAAGTATGTGAAAACATTTTGTAGGCCAGGCGTGGAGGCTCATACCTGTAATCCCAGCACTTTGGGAGGCCGAGGCGGGTGGATCACCTGAGGTCGGGAGTTCGAGACCAGCCTGACCAACATGGAGAAACCCCATCTCTACTAAAAATACAAAATTAGCTGGGAGTGGTGGCACATGCCTGTAATCCCAGCTACTCTGGAGGCTGAGTCAGGAGAATCGCTTGAACCAGGGAGGTGGAGGTTGTGGTGAGCCAAGATTGCGCCATTGCACTCCAGCCTGGGCAACAAGAGCGAAACTCCGTCTCAAAAAAAAAAAAATGTTATCCGTAAAGTGCTATACCAGTGTTATGACTATTTTAATTAATAACTCCCATTTCACTAGGTTTATTTGCCTTGTCTGCCAGTTCTCTATATGGTTACTAAAATGTGTGGTTTTACAAAATTATTAGCATGGAGTTAAGATTTCAGTACTCAGTGTGGCTCATTAAGTGATGGTGAAAATTTCTAAAAGAGTAGTTCTTAAAACGATATGAGCCATGGCAGCATTCTTAGAATGTATGTAGCTTCTAATACTACCTGAAATGAAAACACTGATTTGCATTGATACTAAATTCTGAGATATTTGTTTTTAAAAAAGCCTCACTGCTTTAACTCAAATCTTTGTAAATTAGCTGAGGTCTTTATTTTTTATATGAATAGCTGTGAGGAGCCAGATTATATATAATGTAAAAATACACACTGAGGCAGGCGCGGTGGCTCACGCCTGTAATCCCAGCACTTTGGGAGGACGAGGCGGGCGGATCACCTGAGGTCCAGGAGTTCGAGACCAGCCTGGCCAACATGGTGAAACCCCGTCTCTACTAAAATACAAAAATTAACCAGGCGTGGTGGCGAGCACCTGTAATCCCAGCTACTCGGGAGGCTGAGGCAGGAGAATCGCTTGAACCTGGGAGGTGGAGGTTGCAGTGAGCCGAGATCGCGGCCACTGCACTCCAGCCTGAGCAACAAGAGCGAAATTCCATCTCAAAAAAAAAAAAACAAAAAACTGTACGATTATGGTTTAAAAAAGAAAGAAAGAAACCACACTGAAAACAGTAATTCGTTTGCCAAATGAGCTCAGTTAGGTTAGCACCTTAGCAAGACCCTTTGGGACCAAGTGGCCTCTAAGCACTTAGGTAGCAGTATCTTTTTTTTTTTTTTTTTTTCAGACTTTTGCTTTTCTAAAATTACAAAGGTGTAGTGTGTCTGCTGTTACAGGATGGAAAAATGCATCATAGGAGGTTAGAAGCTTGTTGGCCTCAGTCATAAAGGGATAAGAAAAATGAGAATTAGGCATAGGGCAGGAAGGACCTCACTCCTCCCAACGCTTTCATTTCTAAATAATGCTTAAGGAAACCATGCCAGGGTTAGTAAAAGAGTAGAGGCACAACCACGGTAAGTGGGCATTGGGGAAAGAGGAAGGAGGGCAGGACATGGGGATAAAGCGGTTTCTTAACTGCGCGTGCGCCCCTGGCAAAGCTGACTAAGGCGCCTGAAGTGACGTCATTGCCTGCATCACAACAGGCGTCGTCCGGCTGATAGCTTATCGCAGGCTCTGAGGGGCGGGACCCAACTGATTGTCAAAGGCGGCAGATTGTAGTTTTTGTTTTGGCCGGAAAGGCTTACCATGAGTTGCCAGGGCTGAGAGAGATGGAGAAGGATTCGCGGCGGTGACAGATTAAATTCCCCAGTTACATTATAGACTTGGAGGTGGGGGATCTTCTCATCGTTAGAGGCCCCGATCATGGGAGATAGGCGGTTCGGAGCCAGTTCTGCCTAACTTTGTGTTCACTGATGTTAGGGCTGCTAGGGCTGCAAAGGTGGGCACCCCTACTCGCCTAAGAGCTTTCTCCTCTCTTCTCTTTTTCCCCTTTGCCTCTCTCCTTACATCACCTGCCCACTAAGTAGACTTGTCCTTGTGTGGACGGGAGCCGGAAAGCCTTGAGAACTTATTCCTCGACCCGGACATGGCACAGGAGAAAATGAAACTAGGTTTCAAGTCGCTGCCGAGTTCCACTACCGCAGACGGCAACATTCTGAGAAGAGTCAACAGTGCCCCTTTGATCAATGGACTTGGGTGAGCCGGGTTGAGATACTGGAGGAGGCAAGCGGTGGGGAGGAGGTGTTCGGGAAAGTGATTTCCTATAGAATTCCCGTCCCTTTATTTGTTGAGGTTCTGCAGGTAACTCCCTTGTTCCTGGTGTCCGGAGATCCCACCCTCAACCTTGGGTGGGGGTAGTGGGACGGGCTGACCTGAGGGGGAGCGCGCACCCACCCTGAGGTTGACAAACATCTGAATCTGAACATCCTCCCCTGATAGTCCACTCGGACCCGAAAGTAGCAGCCAGTTGGTGTGGAGCACGGCTTTTTTCTAACTTCAACCCATTTCTTACCCACTCCTTTGAAGAAACTTAGTATCCTCCCCCACTCACCTCCAGATCTTCTGCCATGACTGTAATATTTGTCATTTCAGCTGCTTTGTCACCTCTGACCTTCACCTCCAGCCGCTTGAATGGAAATGGTTGTCAAGCAAATAAGCTTTGGACTTTTTTACATTTTTTTTTTTGTCTTTTTTTGAGACGGAGTCTTGCTCTGTCGCCCAGGCTGGAGTGCATTGGCACGATCTCAGCTTACTGTAACCTCCGCCTCCTGGCTTCAAGCAATTCTCATGCCTCAGCCTCCCTAGTAGCTAGGATTACAGGCGCCCACCACCACACCTGGTAATTTTTTGTATTTTTATTTTTTATTTATTTGTTTATTTATTTTTGAGACGGAGTCTCACTCTGTCGCCCAGGCTGGAGTGCAGTGGCGTGATCTCGGCTCACTGCAAGCTCCACCTCCCGGGTTCACGCCATTCTCCTGACTCAGCCTCCCAAGTAGCTGGGACTACAGGCGCCCACCAACACTCCCGGCTAATTTTTTGTATTTTTAGTAGAGACAGGGTTTCACCGTGTTAGTCAGGATGGTCTTGATCTCCTGACCTCGTGATCCGCCCGCCTCGGCCTCCCAAAGTGCTGGGATTACAGGCGTAAGCCACCGTGCCCGGCCTAATTTTTTGTATTTTTAGTAGAGACAGGGTTTCACCATGTTGGCCAGGCTGGTCTCGAACTCCTGGCCTCAGGGGATCCGCCTGCCTCAGCCTCCCAAAGTGCTGGTATTACAGACGTGAGCCACTGCTCCTGGCCTACACCTATTTTTTATTGGAGCAGAAAGTTTTGGTACCACAGAAGCTTGATCTCCTAAATTACACATTCTCACTGGGTGATACTTCCCCCAAGGGGAAGAGAAAATAGTTCTTGGGGGAGTGTGAAAAATTTTTACTCTTTTTATGTATAAAGCGCAGATATACATACAGTATGTACACAGATATATACTATATATGTGTTATTAAAATTTCACGAAGGGGGAGCAATTAGGGGAAAAATGTCTAAAAAGGCTTTTTAGAGGGTCAATAATGAAAAAAGGATTTAGAAACACTACACTAAATGATGGTTAACTGTATTTCTGAAGATCTGGGATTACTAAATCTTGTTTCCTTTTTTTTTTTTTTTTAAGACGGAGTCTCACTGTGTCGCCCAGGCTGGAGTGCAGTGGCATGATCTCGGCTCACTGCAACCTCTGCCTCCCGGGTTCAAGCGATTCTCCTGCCTCAGACTCCCGAGTAGCTGGGACTTCAGGCACCCGCCACCACGCCCACCTAATTTTTTGTATTTTTAGTAGAGACGGGGTTTCACCGTGTTAGCCAGGATGGTCTTGATCTCCTGACCTTGTGATCCGCCCACCTTGGCCTCCCAAAGTGTTGGGATTACAGGCGTGAGCCACTGCGCCTGGCCTAAATCTTACTTCTTAAACTAGACTTTTAAAATGAGATGTTGGATTTCACATTTCAGTATTATAAGGTTTTCTAGATACCGTAAAAATGTCTGAAAAATGCATTCACTACATATGTTACTAACTTTGCTCTTCACCTTTTGTTGCATCATACTAATTGATAGTTGTAATTCACAGTACCATAGACTATCAGGAAGGGATTCAGAGACCAGCTTTACCCTCCTTGTTTAACATATGAGGAAACTGAGGCCCATAAATCTCCAAAATGACGTTTAGTGGCAGAGCCAGTACTAGGAAGCTCTGTTTCCTGACTCCTAAACTACTGTTCTGGCCACTACTAACCAATACCTAAGCTGATTAACTCTAAATGAATGCAGCTTTTGGGTCATTTGAGGTAGGAGAGAATATATTGTTCACAAAATGAAAAGCAAACTAAGATTGACCAAAAAAAAATACATTACCTTTTTAAAATAGGCAGGTAGAAAAACATAGAAGGGGGACTCTGCATGTTGTGCTGAGAACAAGAACATTTTATTCACTCAGGATTTTGCTCTAATTCTGTTGTGGGAAAAAGGAATTATGGGACCCACTCTACTAGTAGAAGAGAGCAGTAGGGAGAATGTTGGATTTATTGAAGACAATATAAAAAGAAGAAATAGGTTGCAAATAGACGATGGAAGATGTGTACTGGAAGGAACCTGTGGATCCTCTTTAATGTATTAAATACACCAGAGAAGGAGTGGACCCTTCCCTAATCCTTAAAGCCCTGGAAACAGAGAGATCTCAGTTATCCCTTCATACCTTGCTTTGTTCTGCAAAGGATTTTTTTGTTTTGTTTGTTTGTTTTTTGCTTATATTAGAGCATAGCTACAGTGTTACATTCCATAGCTTAAGATCCTGATGCATGAAGTAAAATTTGTACAGAAAGATAAGGGTCACTAGCATATTTCTGTAGTAGGAGTTTAAAGATACAGAAACCACAAAGTGGACGGAGTCCAGGGACTCTAGTCTGTCAGAAAGAAGTAACATAGGAATGATGTGTGACATCCCTGAGATTAGGGGACTTGCCCAGATGATCTGAGGGCATATTTTGTGCTGTTGTAGAAAATGTAGGGCATAGTCAGAGAAGTTATTCTGAAGCAAGAAAAATTTAGAGTAGGATTACACTGAGCCTTAGTTGAATTCATTTTCACCTCAGTTCTCATTTGCATATGTATACTGCTCACTTTTCTCCCTTTTTTTTTCCTTCCTTGGCCCTCTAATACTTGAGTACTTCCTCTTTCTAAACTATACCTGGCCAGTAAAGCATTCTTTTCAGAAAGGTGAAAGTCACTAGCATATTTCTTTAGTAGGAATTAAAGATATAGAAACCACAAAGTGGACAGAGTTCAGAGACTCCAGTCCCTCAGAAAGAAGTAACATAGGAATGATGTGTGACATGCCTGAGGTCAGGGAACTTGCCCAAATGATCTGAGGGGATGTTTTGTGCTGTTGTAGAAAATATTTAGCTTGCTAAACATTGTTGCACCTCTTTCAAGTAATTTTCGAACTTTGCTTGATGTTTCTTCTATATAAAGACCCTCTTGCACCAGCATTTGCAGAATTAAATTCCTTAGGTTTGTTTCTTTCATATCAACTCTTTAATACAGTATTACTGTTTTAAAGAAGTATCTGCACTGTTTTATGTATATCTTGAACTAATAAAAATTCCAACGTCAAAAGTTTTGAACCTCTTGGTTCTTTATACTCTTTATCTCTGTAATTGGCTGACTTTATTACTGGTGTCAATAACTATACTTAAAGCTAGGAGTTTTTTCTTCTCTTTCTCTGACCCTTATTCAAAGACTCAGAGATTAGGTTCTTGTATTCCTGCCAGTGCCTCCCTACCTTAAAAACCTCTACCTTGACCCTGCATTTAAACTGTTACTGCCTCAATTCTTTTTTTTTTTTTTCCTGAGATGGAGTCTTGAGGCTGGAGTGCAGTGGTTCAATCTCGGCTCACTGCAACCTCTGCCTCCTGGGCTCAAGCGATTCTCCTGCCTCAGCCTCCGAGTAGCTGGGACTACAGGCATGCACCACCACGCCAGGCTAATTTTTGTATTTTTAGTAGAGACGGGTTTCACTATGTTGGCCAGGCTAATTTTTGTATTTTTAGTAGAGATGGGTTTCACTATGTTGGCCAGGCTAGTCTTGAACCCTTGACCTTGTGATCCACCCACCTTGGCCTCCCAAAGTGCTGGGATTACAGGCGTGAGCCACCACTCCTGACCCTCAATTCTATTTGAAAGGCAAATTACTGCCCCAGAGCCAAATGCAGCCCACCACCTGGATTTGCAAATAAAATTTTATTGGAATGGAACCATCCCCATTTGTTTAGTTGTTATCTATGGCTACTTTCCCACTGCAGTGGCAGAACTGAGGAGTTGCAACAGATACTGTATGGCCCACAAATCCTAAAATATTTACTCTCTGGCCCTTCGCAGAAAAAGTTTGCCCATCTTCTGGTTTATTGAACTTTTACGAACGTGGAAGAATAGCAGCCATGAGAAATGATTGCTTTGGGAATATAAGTGACATAAATCTATTATAGTTTAGACAGAGCTGTTTATTGATCATTTGATGTGGAACATTGAACATCCATCCAGTTATACTACTTCTGCTTTTTCCGAGTTAAAAGTAGCACTTAGTTCAGATATCAGCTAGGGTTTTATAAATTCATGTTGAATGATGCATACCAGTTGAAGTATATATTGCCTGAATTCTTTCTTTCAGTTATAGTCTTACTAAAATTGGCAAACAAATTTAGGGTAGACTATATCATTGTCAGCCCTAAGTATTAAGCCCCCTACACATGTACACAAAAAAGAATGGAAAGAAATAGCCCATTAGTGTCCCTCCAATTTTCTTATGAGTGACTGCCAGAACATATTCCTATTCTCACAAAGAAAATGACTGGGAAAGTAAGTAGAATTAGATACATCCATATACCTTCCATTCACAAAATATTAAGTTACTGCCTGTTATATGCAAATTATGATGTTGCAAAGATGTATCTCAGGGCTCAATAAGCTTTAATAGGGAATATAAATACTAGAAGGACTTAAATATATGGTAGAGTAAGATAAGTGCGTAGGGAGCTTAAGATAAGTGCGTAGGGAGCTAAATAAAGTGCTAGGGGAATTCAAAGAAGGAAGGGAGAAATTACAGCGGGACTGGTGAGGGAGAAGGAAAAGTTTATGAAGAAGTTGGCATTTGAGATGGGCCTTCATGGATTGATAGGATACACCCTGGAAAAGAGGGGGAACAATGGTTGGGATAGTATTTTAAGTATTATATGTAGAACAGACTTGAAGGCAGAAAAGCATAGATGTGTTCCAGAGAACTGAATGGTCCACTTTGCCTGAACCCCTGACTCCCAGATGTTCATCTGCTGATCAGTGCTGATCTCAGGTGAAGTTTTTACCAATCCGTGCTTTTAAAAGAGTTAAGTACAGCATAATTAAAGATGTCATTATGTAGTTGTTAATTATCTTTCCTGGGCAGGACTGTACTGTACTCTGAGATTGTTATTCTCTTATTTTCTTAATACCAAAGGGTCATTTTACAAATGAAATGATGGTATTGGTCAATGGTGGGATTTAAAAAAAAATGACTTGGCAAAAGAAAAAGGTGGCAACTGTATGTTTCTGCCTAGATTTTGTTTTGAAATTGTACTAGTCCTTGAAATTGAAGAGTCTGGAGCCAAACCGTGGATGGCTTTGAATGTCATAGTAAAGAACGTAACTGAATTTGACAGGCACTGAAGAGAGTCACTGAAAGTTGTGAGCAAACTGTTCTTTAGGAAGATGCCCCTGGTAGTCTGTTAGCCTAGAGAAGGGAAAGAAGAGAGGCGAGGAGCCCAATTAGACTATGCAGTCTGTGGAAAAGGAAAAAGACCTTGAATTGGTTTTTGGCAAGGAGCCTGACAAGAATCAGGTGGTTATCAGAGAGCGAGTATAGAGGTAAAATCTAAAATACTGGCAGTTGATTGGATATAGGCAGCTAAAACAAAAGTATTACAGATGATTTCTCACATTGGAGGAACCTGGATGAAGGGTACATGTGAACCATCTGTATTCTTTTTGCAACTTCTTGTGAGTCTTAAACCGTTTCAAAATAAAAAGTTATAATAAAAAGGAAAAGATGCCGGGCACCGCTGGGATCTGTAGTCCTAGCTACTTGAGAGGCTGAGGCAGGAGCATCGTTGAGCCTAGGAGTTTGAGGGCAGCCTAGGCAATATACAGCGGGACGACATCTCTGAAAAAACAATGAAATGATGATTTCTTCAGGATTACAAGGTCAAATAGGACCAAGTTCACTTGAGTGGGCAACCATCAAAGCTGAGGACACTGACCTGTCTTCAGTGGGCATCAGCTGCACAACTTCAGTCCATTGTTATCATGGGAATGTGGCCCAGTGTTGCAAAATCTTGCAACTTTTCAATAGAAGCCAGAACGTTGGAATCTGGGTGTTTTTTTTTTTTTTAATGTGAAATCTTTCAGTGTGCAAAACAAATTCAAAAACATTTTTAACACTGTAGGCCAAACCAAACACATCTGTGAAAAATCTGAGTTCCATCAACCCCTGCTATTGGTTATTCCTCGTATTCATGTGAAACTTTGGGAGTTGAGAGGGAATTGGTATTTGCACGTTGTATCTCTGACCATAAATTTAAATCATTTACAGGTTTACACTGAAAATGATGTATTTCCAAGTTCACAATAAATTATATTCATTCTCCGTAGCATGATTAGGAGTAAAGTAGTGTGCTTGAGAATTCCTTACCTTATATGGAGACTTGTTTAGGCCCAGCCAACCAAGGCTGTATGTGTGTGTGTGTTTTAATTTCTACCTTTGCACAGCTTGCCTTTACCCTTGCTGTTTAGGTATTTGAAATCTTTAAAAGAATTTTGTGGCCGGGCATGGTGGATCACGCCTGTAATCCCAGCACTTTGGTGGGCCAAGGCGGGTGGATCACCTGAGGTCAGGAGTTCAAGACCAGCCTGGCCAACATGGTGAAACCTCGTCTCTACTAAAAATACAAAAATTAGCTGGGCATGGTGGTGCGTGCCTGTAATCCCAGCTACTAGGGGAGGCTGAGGTAGGAGGATTGCTTGAACCTGGGAGGCAGAGGTTGCAGTGAGCTGAGATCGTGCCACTGCACTCCAGCCTGGGCAACAGAACAGAGCGAGACTCCGTCTCAAAAAAAAAAAAAAAAAGAATTTTGTAATGGATTTTATATAACACATGTTTTTGTTTTTCTTTTTAGTTTTAATTCACAGGTGTTGCAAGCTGACATGTTAAGAATTAGGACAAACAGAACAACATTTAGGAATCGACGCTCTCTGGTAAGGAAATGCTTATAGTGGCCTCCCTGTCTAAGACTTGTGCTTATTGGTCTCAACCAATGGTCTTCAAACTTGAGCATTCACAGGGAGGGCTTATTAAAACACAGATGGCCAGCGGGAGTCTCACCCCCAGGGTTTCTGATTAAGTAGATGGGGGTGGAGCATGAGAATTTGCATTTCTAACAAGTTCCCACTTTGAGAAACACTGCTCTAAACATTACTGAAGGAAAAATAAACACATTGACTACAGTTATGATTGCTGCAGCTGCAACAGAATTAATTTTTAAATCCCATATGGATTTAACATCGAGATTTTATGTATAAGACCATCTGGTTTCCCTTTTTTTTTTTTAAAGAAAATTCTAACTTTGAGAGGAAAATTTGCAGACTCTCCTAAAAGTAATTTTCAGGCTTTTAGACTTTTATCTCACATTTATCTTGAATTGTAAATAAGATTTGCTTTTCATGGTATTATCATGCAATCTCTAAATTATAACTCTTTTCTACTAATTATCCTGTAAACATAGGGAATATACTTGTAGATCAGTAAGCCAAGGTGAATACATGATTCATTATATGATTTTATTGAGGTGAAATTCACATAACATTCAATTAACTGTTTTAAAATATACAATTCAATGGCATTTAGTGTATTCACAATGTTGTTCAACCAGTACCTCTCTCTAGTTTCTAAAGTGCATACATATCCTTGTCTTGTTCCTCATCATTGAATATGATTTTAGCTGTGAGTTTTTGGTAAATGTCCTTTATCATGTTAAGGAAATGTCCTTCTACTCCTACTTGCTGAGTATTTTTCTTTTTCTTTTCTTTTTTTTTTTCTTTTTTTTGAGACAGAGTCTCACTTTGTCACCCAGGCTGGAGTGCAGTGACATGATCTCGGCTCACTGCAACCTCTACCTCCTGGGTTCAAGCTATTCTTCTGGTCAGCCTCCCAAGTAGCTGGGACTACAGGCGTGCACCACCATGCCCAGCTAATTTTTTTGTATTTTTAGTAGAGACAGGATTTCACCATGTTGGCCAGGCTGGTCTCGAACTCTTGACCTCAAGTGATCTGCCCACCTCGGCATCCCAAAGTGCTGGGATTACAGGTGTGAGCCATTGAATCCAGCCTTGCTGAGTATTTTTATCATGAAAGTGTGTTGAATTATTTCAAGTGCTTTTTCTGCATCTCTTGGGATGATCATGTGTTTCCCCACCTTGTTCAATTAATATGGTATATTACATTGATTTTTTTCCATGTTGAATTACCCTTGCATTCCTGGGATAAATCTTTTTGTATCTGTATTCATAAGAGATATTGACCTGTTGTTTTCTTGTGGTATCTTTTGCTAGCTTTGGTATCAGAGTAATGCTGGCGTCATAGAATGTATTAGGAGGTACTCCTTTGTCTTCTACTTTTGTAAGAGCTTGAGTAGGATTTTATGTTGATTCTTGTTTTTTGTTTGTTTGTTTTTGTTTTTGTCTTTTTGAGATGGAGTTTTGCTCTTTTTGCCCAGCTGGAGTGCAGTGGCACGATCTTGGCTCACTGCAATCTCTGCCTCCCGGGTTCAGGCGATTCTCCTGCCTCAGCCTCCTGAGTAGCTGGGATTACAGGCACCCGCCACCACGCCCAGCTAATTTTTTGTACTTTTAGTAGAGACGGGGTTTCATCATGTTGGCCAGGCTAGTCTCAAACTCCTGACCTCAGGTGATCCACCCGCCTTGGCCTCCCAAAGTGCAGGGATTACAGGTGTGAGCCACTGTGCCTGGCCTGGTGTTGATTCTTTAAATGTTTAGTAGAGTTCAGCATTGAAACCATCTGGTCCTGGACATTTCTTTGTTGGGAAGTTTTTGATTACAGACTCTATCTCTTGTTATAGGTTTGTTGAGATTTTCTATTTCTTGAATCAGTTTGGTAATTTATGTGTTATGTGTTATGTATTATAGATTTCTCTTATAATATGATTTGTAATGTGATAGAATCTCTAGAATACATTTTAGTGAAATGTTATAGCTTGATACCAATTTAAAAATATTGCTCGTGGCCAGGCGTGGTGGCTTACACCTGTAATCCCAACACTTTGGGAGGCCAAGGCGGGAGGATCACCTGAGGTCAGGAGTTCAAGACCAGCCTGGCCAACATGGTGAAACCCCATCTCTACCAAAAATACAAAATTAGTTGGATGTGGTGGTGCATGCCTGTAATCCCAGCTACTGGGGAGGCTGAGGCAGGAGAATCGCTTCAACCCGGGAGTTGGAGGTTGTGAGCCAAGATCGCGCCACTGCACTCCAGCCTGGTGACAGAGTGAGACTTTCTCTCAAAACAAACAAACAAACAAACAAAAACAAAAAAAAATATTGCTTGCTAATCTTAAAACTGGACATTTTCTTCTTCATAGAATGATATTCAATATTGTTCCCACAAATGCATTAATTTTATAGTGGGAGAAATTATAACTGTTCATTAAATAAATATTTCTTCTTTCTACTCATTTACTCATCCATTCAACGATATTTGTTGAGCACCTGCTTGCCTCTCAAAGCCTTCCATACCTATCCAGTCTTCTACTCAACGAAGCCAACATAGTGGTTTAGGACCCACTATGTATTAGGCCCTGATCTAGTTGCCAGGGTTGATCTAACTGAGTTTGGGGAGGAGATAACATCTTAGTTGAGATCTTACTGATGTGAGAGGGTTAGCTAGTTTGGGATATTGGTGGCAGGGGTAGACAATATTCCTGGTAGAAAACAGCATGCTTGAAGTCCTGGAAAAGGAAGTGTGGTGTATAGATAAAAGAGTGTGTATAAAATTTGAAAGAAGTGCATTTTAGCTACAGTGAAAGCAAAGATACAGTGGTGAGAGATGTGGTTGAAGAAGTAGACTAGTGCAATATCTTGTAGGGCCTTCAAGTCATGTTAAGTATTTTGCACTTTATCCTAGGGTCAGTGAGAAGCCATTGAAGAGTTTTGAGCCAATGATTGACATGATCAGATTTGTTAAAAGATTGCCCTGGCTGCAGAGTGGAAAGTGGATTGGAAGAGGGCAAACGTATATGCAAGAAGATCAGATAGGCTACTGCAATCACCCTGGCAAAGAGCTGATGGTAGCTTGGACTAGTGTGATGGTAGTGGAAATAGAGAAAAGTTCCAGATTCAGGAGAAATTTCAAAGATGGAATCAATGGACGGTGGGAAACAGTGGAGGCAAACCTGACTCCTAGGTCTCTAGCTTGGGCAGCTGATGGGATGGTAGTGACACAGAATAAGAAGGGACCATTGCAAGAAGAGTAGATTTACAAAGGAGGATGAGTTTAGCTTTGTACATGTTACATTGGAGGTTCTCTTGGACCTGTAAACTAGTGATGTTCGATGTACTAGTTTGAAGCTCAGGAGTGAGAGCTGGACTAGAGATAACCATTTGGGAATCATTGGTAGATTGTTATTTAAAACTGTGGGAATTAATGATATGACCTACAAAGAGAGTATAGAAAGAGCAGAGAAGAAGTTGCAGGACAAAACTTTAAAAATCACCAACACTTAAAAATCAGTCAGAAGAAGAGTGATGGACTAAGTAGAGAGGCAGGAGGAGGCTTCAGAAGAGAGTAGTACCATGAAAAAACAAGGAAAAGTAGTAAGTCATATGCTGTCAAGCCGTCAAACAGACTGAAAAGTGTCCTTTGAATTACCAAAACAGATATTACTCATGAATTCTTATATTTGAAAGCACTTTCAGTAGAAGGAGGAGTGGGGTGAGATTAAGCCAGATTTGATTTTGAAGAATAACTGAGAGCCAAGGACCTATAAATGGCACTGTACATCCAGGCTCAGTTATTTGGGAGGCAAATCCCTCATCTGTAAAATGGGAATGTAAAAGTAACTGCTTTGTAGGTTTGTTGTGGATTACCTTGGTCAGTATGAAGCACTCAGCACAGCACTGGCACATACTAAATGCTCAATAAATATGTGGGTTTTTTTAAATCAGTAATAGTACATATAGTCAGCAACCGGTGCACCTGGCTTTTTAAAAATTATAATTTTAAAATCTTTTTTTCTAGTACCAAATACTTAAAGGATATTTTTTCTTTCTTTTTTTTTTTTTTTTTTTTTTTATTTGAGACAGATCTCTTGCCCAGGCTGGAGTGCAGTGACGTGATCTCGGCTCACTGCAACCTTCGCCTCCTGGGTTCAAGCGATTCTTCTGCCTCAGCCTCCTGAGTAGCTGGGACTACAGGCACGCGCCACCACACCTGGCTAATGTTCGTATTTTTAGTAGAGATGGGGTTTCACCATATTGGCCAGGCTGGTCTCAAACTCCTGACCTCGTGATCCGCCTGCCTCGGCCTCCCAAAGTACTGGGATTACAGGCATAAGCCACTGTGCCCGGCGATTCTTGGCATTTTAAAAATGCATAACATTCCTTAGGAATTCTAGGCTCCTAATTTGCATAACGTTCAGTTTAATATAATGTATATTTAAAATAAACCATCTTATATAACAGATTGTGTTTGGCAGAATTGAAGTCATTTTAACTTATTGGATGATGGGGATTTCAAGGCTTGTTGGTTTAGCTTGCTATAGCAATACTATGCATATGCTTTTATTGTGTCTAAGTATCACTTCATTATTATTATAAGACATAAGTAAGTATATACTTACCTTTAGTATAGAACTGCTGAATTTTCTAGGAGAATGACATGATGAATTAGAATGCTTTTGGCAAAAGCAGTAAAATCCAATTAGAAGAGACTTAAACAGCCTGGGCGAGGTGACTCAGGCCTGTAATCCCAGCACTTTGGGAGGCCAAGGTGGGCGGATCACCTGAGGTCGGGAGTTCAAGACCAACCTGGCCAACATGGTGAAACCATGTCTCTCCTAAAAATACAAAAATTAGCCGGGCATGGTGGCATGCGCCTGTAATCCCAGCTACTCAGGAGGCTGAGACAGGAAAATCGCTTGAACCCGGGAAGTGAAGTTTGCAGTGAGCCGAGATCACGCCACTGCACTCCAACCTGGGTGACAGAGTAAGACTCTGTCTCAAAAACAAAAACAAAAGCAAACAAACAAACAAAAAACAGAGAGACTTAAACAATAAGGAGCAATAAGGAGCATTATTATCTCAAATAATAAGAAGCCCCAAGAAAAGGAGGTTCTAGGCCGGGTTAGTTCAGTGGGCCAATGACATCATCAGAGACCCAGGTTCCTTCTATCTTTCCACCCTACCATCTTCAGCAGCCACAGTTAATTATGTAACTAGTAATTAGACCCAGGGTTCAAAATCAATGGATAGCAAGCTCTTATATATATTTAAAGATGTCGAGAAGGATATCTATCAACCTATCTTTAGTAGATATCTCTGGAGCATGACATTATAGGCAGAATTTTATTTTTACTTTATGCATTTCTATACTAGTTGGATGTTTTTCACAAAGCATGAGCAATACAGGTGTTTTCATTTCTAGTAGATATTATATTACAAAATAGAAACATTATTCTTGAAAAAATACAAATATTATTGAATGATATCATAAACTATAAGTTTAATGGTTATGTCCTATACTGGTCTATCCTTAAAATTGGTGCCACAGGCATCTAAAGTAGCCAAATTCATAGACACAGAAGGTAGAATGGTGGTTGCTAGGGGCTGGGAGGAGGAGGGAATGGGGAGTTGTTGTTTAAAGGGTACAGTTTTGCAAGGGTACAATTTTAAAGGGTTTCAGTTTTGCACGATGAAAAGAGTTTTGGAGATTGGCTGCACAACAGTGGGAATGTACCTAACACTGCTGAACTGTATACTTCAAAATGGTTAAGATGGTAAGTTTCACGTTAGTGTATTTTACCACAATTTTAAAAATTGGTGCTGCTTTTCATGTATTTAAATATGGGTAAAACAGGCTGGGCACAGTAGCTCACGCCTGTAATCCCAGCACTTTCAGAGGCCGAGGCAGGCGGATTACTTGAGTTCAGGAGTTTGAGATTAGCCTGGTCAACATAGTGAAACCCCGTCTCTACTAAAAATACGAAAAATTAGCCAGGTCTGGTGGCACGCGCCTGTAATCCCAGTTACTTGGGAGGCTGAGGCAGGAGAATCTCTTGAACCCGGGGAGTGAAGCTTGCAGTGAGCTGAGATCCCGCCACTGCACTCCAGCCTGGGCGACAGAGACAGACTCCATATGAAAAAAATATATATATACACATATATATGTATATATATATATTTTATATTATATGTGTGTGTGTGTGTATATATATATATATATGGGTGTGTGTGTGTATACATACGTATATAGGTAAAACCGTGTTTTAGAAACAAATCACTGTGACAGAGGGCATTGAAGAGCCATGGGTTTTTGTGTTGAATGAACACAAAAATAAAGATGCGTATTTTCCAAGCATTGTAAAAAAAAAAAAAAAAAAAAAAACTGTTCCCTCACAATTATTTTGTTTAATTAAGTGCAAATATTTTCTTCACTTCTCTCAGGAAATTACTTCACCCACTTCTGTTGAACAGAAGCCCAAAGACCTCTTCTGACCTTGAGACTATGCCTTCTCCCAAATCGCCCCTTTGCTTTATCTCCTAAGAACTCTGAAGTTGCCATGCCTGTTCCTTTCTCTCCCACCAGGAATTCTGGCACTTCTGCTCAAGCCGGATGTCACTGCGTCACTTCTCCATCCCCACCCCCTCCTCTTCCAAAGGAAGCAGGGGAAATGTCTCATCTTCCTAAGAGAAAAGGTTGTGCTTTTCTTGAGCAATTCATCTGTTCTAATTTTAGGCCTACTGACATCTGTCTCATTAGGTTTTGCTTTTCCTATTGGCAACCACAAACCCCAAATCTAGTGTATGGCCCACAAAGTTGCAAGCATGTAATACATTCCTGATCCTGCTTTATGCCCTGCACATCTAGCCCATGTTCAGTTCATGTTAAGTAGCATTATAAACCATCTTAAATCATTTCTGAAACTAGGCAGAGACATTTATAAACACAGTGTACAACCCTTTGTTTAGGATTTTCTGAGCATTTTATCTCTAGTTACTATAGTAGGAAATGGCTTAAAAACAGCAAACCTAGGAAAATGAAAAATAATTTTTAAAAATCTTAATGTCTTTACAATATGAATTTTCTGTGATCTCTCTTAAATGGAACTAAGCTTGGTTTTTCCTCCTATCTTAATCCTTTCACTGGAGATAATTCTTAGTAATTAGCTTCACCCAGCACCCTCCCTAACCTCCCGCTACTTCTACTCCCAGCCACCTTCACACCATGACATCATTCCTTGGTGCTGATACTCTTGGTTCCTTCCAAGGACTTTTCTTTCTTCCTGGAGTGTGAGAAAAAGGCACAGTGGGAAATTTACACAAAAGATACCAGTGATGTTTATTACATCTCAGTGAAGTCATTATTTCTATTTTAATACTTTGTTTCATGTGGAAAAATTATCTAAGGTAATTCCTTTGCAAACGCCACTTGTAGTACTTAATTTGGGGAGAATTCTCTTCCAGAAGCCTTGTTTTCTGCAATTAATTTCTCACATTATTACTAAAAGAATCAGCCAATACAAGATTTGATCCACATTTTGTCCAATTAAAAAATTCTTGTAGCTTATGATTCTGTAGCTCAAGTTCAAATCCTACCTACCTCAGACATTTCACACTATCTCCCTGCTGGTGTCATCAATTTCAGTCTATCTTCTCATGATTTCCTGGATGAAGTTTTTCAGTGGGAAATCCTAAGCCTTTGCCTGAACCTAAATTGGTTCCTTCCCATCCCTTAGGTATAAATTAAAAATAATCTCTTCTAGGGAAGTCTTTCATCATTATTTTATGAAGGAAATTTGCCATACCATGTTTTCTCACTTATAAGTCGGAGCTAAATGATAAGAACTTATGAACACAAGGAAACAACAGACACTAGGGTCTACTTGAGCGGGGAGGATGTGAGGAGGGAAGCAGAAAAGATAACTATTAGGTACTGGGCTTACTACCTGGGTGATGAAATAGTATGTACAACAGGCCAGGCGCGGTGGCTCACACCTGTAATCCCAGCACTTTGGAAGGCCAAGGTGGGCAGATCACCTGAGGTCAGGAGTTTGAGATCAGCCTGGTCAACATGGTGAAACCCCATCTCTACTAAAAATACAAAAAAATTAGCTGGGCATGATGGTACGTGCCTGTAGTCCCAACTACTCAGGAGGCTGAGACAGGAGAATTGCTTGAACCTGGGAGATGGAGGTTGCACTGAGCTGAGATTGCACCACTGCACTCCAGCCTGGGTGACAGAGCGAGACTCCGTCTCAAAAAAAAAAAGAAAAAATATGTATAACAAATCCTGGTGACACATGTTTACCTATGTAACAAACCTTCACATGTACCCCCAAACCTAAAATAAAAGTTAAATAAATAAAAAATTAAAAAATAGAAAGTAATTGTCTTATTTATGACATGTCATTATAATACAGCCAAAGTGTCATAATTTCTATAGAAAGTATATGTATACATTTAAGTTCAGGTTATATATCTTTTTCATTAGATTATAAACTTTATAAACCATAGTGTTTCATGTTATATATTGTGAATTTTCTGGGCATTTGATTGATGCAGATGTGAACCTTAGTAGCATGAATTAAACGTATTAAAATTCTGCCTCTTCAAAGGTGTGTGTGTGTATCTGTATATATGTGTATATATATGTATATTTGTATACGTGTATTCTATGTACATATATACATATATACATACACGTATACATATATATGCATATACATGCAAAATGTATACATGTACACATATATATCCATGTGTATATGAGAGTTTTTCAGGAAAACCTAAATTTTTCAGATTCTGTTCATGCCACTGCACAACTTCTCAATTAGTGTTATTAAAGGGAAACACTGAGGAAGAATCTCCAACACTGTATAAATCACAATGTTTTCTGCTTGCTTTGAAAGTTTGATTATTTTTATAGTATGCCTTAAGAATGGGCACGTAAATATTTTTTAAATTAGCAATATTTGGGGTTCAAAGTAAAAAAGAAAAAAAAGTCACAGTATCTAATGTTGAGAGGGTATGAGGAAATAGGTATTCTAATACACTACTGGGAAGTAAATTTGTATAAGTTTTCTGGAGGGCAGCTTGGTGATATGTATCAACAACCTTGCAACCCAGAAACTCCAGCTCTATGAATTGATCCTAAAGAATTAATTAAGGATGTGCACAAACATTAGCTTAAAAGATATTATTACAACATTATTTATAAGAGCTAGCAAAAAATATGGCAACAGCCTGAATGTCTAACAATAGGGAATAGGTCAATCGAAAGAGCCTTCGTTACGTGTATTTGAATTCCAGTTCTAGCAATGACTGCATAACCCCTTGGACAAGTTGCTTAATCACTGTAGCCCTCAGTTTTTCTGAGGCAAAATGAAGGTGATAATAATGCCTACCTCATGGGGTTGCTGTGAGAATTGAGTGAGATAAAACGTGTGGCACATAATAAAAGTGCTGCTTATTATTATGGTACGTCCTTACAGTATAATATTCAGCACTTAAAATGGTGTTGCAGATGAATTTTAACATGGAAAGACTCAGAATGTATTAAATTATATATATTGAGTATATATGCTTTATAATGAGAAAAAATGTGAGCCTATTTCTGTTAAAAACAAAAAGATCAGGGCCAGGCCCGGTGGCTCATGCCTGTAATCCCAGCACTTTGGGAGGCCAAGGCGGGTGGATCACTTGAAGCCAGGAGTTCGAGACCAGTCTGGCCAACATGGAGAAACCCTGTCTCTACTAAAAATATAAAAATTAGCCGGGCGTGGTGGCGCACGCCTGTAATCCCAGCTACTCGGGAGGCTGAGGCAGGAGAAATGCTTTAACCCAGGAGGTGGAGGTTGCATTGAGCCAAAATTGGGCCACTGGCCACTGCACTTTAGCCTGGGTGACAGACTGAGATTCCTTCTCAAAAAAAGAAAAAAGAAAAAAAATAAAAGATCAGGACAAACAGGCAGAGCATAGGGGAATTTTAGGACAGTGAAACTATTCTGTACCATACTATAATGATGGATGCATGTCATACAAAACCCTTAGCATGTCCAACACCAGGAGTGAACCTAAATGTAAACTATGAACTTTGGGTGGTAATGATGTGCCAATGCAGGTTCATTGGTTGTAAAAAATGCACCATTCTGGTGAGGGATGTTGGTAGTGGGAGAGGCTGCACTTGTGTGAGAGCCGGAGGGGGGTATGTGGGAACTCTTTATAATTTCTGTTCAATTTCGCTGTGAACTGAAGAGTGCTCTAAAAAATAAAATATATTAAAAATAAATAAATGAAAGTTCAAATAGGAAAAGACTGGAAACTGCTGGGTAACAGGGGACAGATAGCCTAGTTTTATAAATACTTAGCATATAATTCAAATTGTTTATGTATCATTAAAGGATGTATTCTAGAGTGTTTGATGATGGTAGTAATAATGGTGGTAGTAGTAATAGTTACCATTTATTTAGCACAAACTCTGTGCCAGGTGCTGTGCTAAACACATTACATGTATTATCACCATTATCACATTAAATAGATGCTTAAAACAGCAACTCTAGCATGTTGTTCATAACACTATTGCCTATAGCAACAAATTATATATCCAATGTATCCCTTTAATATAAGTTTTATCCAGAAAAGATTTCTGACTTTTGTTAGAAGGGTCAGCTAGTAGCATTATTGATTTGAATTACAAATTTCCTTAAGATATCAACCCTGGAACATGATTAGTACAGGCCAGTCTGAGTTATGCGCCAGTCAAGAGTCCACAACTGTCAGATTTTTTTTATTATTATTATTTTTTGAGTCAGTCTTGCTCTGTCATCCAGGCTGGAATGCAGTTGATCTTGGTTCACTGCAACCTCCGCCTCCCAGGTTCAAGTGATTCTCCTGTGGCAGCCTCCAGAGTAGCTGAGATTATAGGCGCCTGCTACCACGCCCGGATCTTTTTTTTTTTTTTTTTTTTTGTCTTTAGTAGAGATGGGGTTTCACCATGTTGGCCAGGCTGGTCTTGAACTCCTGACCTCAAGTGATCTGCCTGCCTTGGCCTGTCAAAGTGCTAGGATTACAGGTGTGAGCCACCGCATCCAGAGTGACATGTTTATACCCATTCTCTGGATAGCAATAGAACCAGGCTCAGGGCTGATGATATGTATCTGAGTATATCTATTCCAAAGTTAAATAGATGGTGCTATTAGGTGTAACCTGCTCTTCTCCTATGTATAACAGAGTAGATCATTTTCCCACAGTTCAAACTCTTTGAGCATGACATTTAAAGCTTTCTAATATCTTCACGCTTTTGGCCTCAGAGTCCTTTCTCCCTCCACGAACTTGGTGTGCCACTCACACAGGGCCAGTATCCTGTCTTAAAACATGCCAAGCACTTTCACTTTTCTGTTGCTTATGCTGGCAAACTCCTTGTTCTGAAGGTCCAACTGAAATACCACCTTATGCCTTTCTTATTTGTCTTCCACCTCCCAGCCCCTACACACACCCACTTCATCTTTGCTTTTTATTCCCACCCCACTTTGCTTTCATTTGACATGCACTTCCTTGTCTCTTATATAAAATCTGCTTCCAAGACTGGTTTCTTCAGTGGATTGTAAGGTCTCTGAGTAATAACTGAGGGTAATAACAACAGCTTATTAGCTGTCTTTTTTTTTTAAGAAAAAAATTCTCTCATTCCCCTCTGAGCAGAAAAATAGCTCATTAAACATAGCAAGTATTCAAAAAATAGTGAAATACTTAACAGCTAGCCATATTTTGACAATAGCGAATTATTGTGGTGAAGTAGTTGTTGCTAATTGTCAAATAAAATTTATATGTAGTAAATTTTCAGTTACCCACATACCAATTTTCTATTGTTATTTTTACAACCTTGGCTGTTTCTTCTACTTTCTAGCAAATGATTTGAAAAAAAACAAACTGATTTTAATACTTTAAGCAACATATAATTAGTGAGGTGATATATTCCTTAAGCAGCAATATGATACATTTTAAAACCCAACAAAAATTCAGACTATCTGCTTCATAGAAACATTTATTTATCCAACACATACTTTATTTTATGTATGTATTTATTTATTTATTTATTTGGAGATGGTGTCTTGCTCTGTTCCCCAGGCTGGAGTGCAGTGGCACGATCTCAGCTCACTGTAAGCTCTGCCTCCCAGGTTCAAGTGATTCTTCTGCCTCAGCCTCCTGAGTAGCTGGGGTTACAGGCACCCGCCACCATGCCTGGCTAATTTTTGTATTTTTAGGAGAGACAGGGTTTCACTATGTTGGCCAGGCTGGTCTCAAACTCCTGACCTCAAGTGATCCACCCGCCTCCGCCTCCCCCTCCCGAAGTGCTGGGATTACAGGCATGAGCCACCACACATGGCCCAACACATACTTTTTGAACACTCATCTTCCCTCCACTCACTAACTCACTCCTCTTACTGCCTTTCATGGCCACACTCCATCTATTGGTTTCTACTGGGAACCTTAGCAACCTCTTTTTCAACCTTCTGGTCATTTCTCCAATCTACCTCCTTCTCTTCACTCTCCCTTTTTCATTTAGACCCTCACCATCTGTGACCTGGCCTGTGACCCTGCGTCTAGTCCCTCTTCCATCCACCATCAATGTGTTCTGCATGATGTTGCTAGGGTTACCTTTTTAAAGCAGATATGATCTTGTTTAAACAGCTTTGAGGTTTAAGAACTCAGAGGAATCTATGCTCTGGGTTTCCTATTGTGCTCAAAGGCTAAAGTCCAAAAACTACAATCTGGTTTTAGCCTAATTTCCCTAAATTTGTTTCCTGTTGTACCCTCGCAGGTACTAAGTTTCAGCCACCCTGAACCTTTCTGTTCCCTGAACATTCCTCTCTGCCTGAGTGTTTCCTCTCACTCCTTGAAATGTCCTCCCTCCTCTTCTCTATCTAATGAGTTGCTACTCCTCTATGAAGACTTCCTCAAGACCCACACAGAGTTCTCTGTCCTTTGAACTCTGTCCTTTGAACCCAAATCGTAACTCTGTTCTGCCATTTGGCTGTGACCTAGTTTCTGCTAACTAGACTTAGACTTTGACTTGCTCAAGGACAGGAAAATGTCTTATTTATCTTTCGATCTTCAGAGTCTAGCTCAGTGCTCTCTCTCTCTCTCTCTCTCTCTCTCTCTCTCTCTCTATATATATATATATATATATATGTATATTTGTAAAGGTGGGTGTTTGCCATCTTGCTTAGGCTGGTCTTGAACTCCTGGCCTCAAGTGATCCTCTCAAAGTGCCGGAATAATAGGCATGAGCCTCCCGTGCCTGGCCTCCAGGTCTTTTATTTTTCTTAAAAATCCCAAGTAGCTGGGATCAGAGGCACATGCCACCACGCATGGCTAATTTTTGTATTTTTAGTAGAGATGGGGTTTCACCATGTTGGCCAGGCTGGTCTTGAACTCCTGGCCTCAAGTGATCTGCCTGCCTTGGCCTCCCAAAGTGCTGGGAATACAGGCATGAGCTACCGCGCCCGGCCTCATTCAATATTTTGAATGTACAACTCAATGTGCTCTTAAGATAGAATTTGAAACTAAGATATGGTAAACACATTATCTGGCATTTTAAGAAATAACCACGGTACAGAAAGAGTTTACAGATGAATTCTGAAGGTAATTTTCAAGCCTCATTTTCACACTTAGCTTTAAATCCCTCCATTCTTTCATTCCCCTCTTGTGTGGGTCCTCATAAGCTTTGAGAAAAGACTGAAAAGGAAAAAGTAGCCCCGAAAAAGAGAAAGGACCTAGACAAGAAGTATCTTAGCAACCAAGAGTAAAATGTGCTAAATGACTTGAAAGTGATTACCTTAGAGTCATTTCATATTATGAAAGTTTGGTTTCCCAGCTAGATTCCAGGATATTTGATGTAGTTATTCTGTTTATGATTTTTGGGCAGTATGCTTGGCAAGCTAGCTACTGATTCAATGACTGTTTCAGCTTTTTGTTCTGGGTAATACCTCTACCTAAGCTTTAATGATGGGCTAAAACTGGCAAGAAAAATGAGGCAATTTTAAGATCTAGTGCCTTAGGAAAGAAAAGGTAGAGACAAACAAAATCCTCTATTGATGTTCTGCTCTGTATTTATTATGATAACAGTTATTTTGTTCTGTTTTGGAAAGTGTTGATTTTTGATTAGTATAATTTTCAGTCAAGATCCAGTTGGATCTTTTTTTAACTTTGAACCTAACTGATACTGTTGCTGGCATGCATAAGACACTAAATAAATATTTTAGGTAATTCAACATTGACTTAATGTTGAGATGTAATTAATCACAAACATTAAAGCAAGCTTGACTTCTATATTTTAAATTTCAGTTGTTGCCACCTCCTCCCTTTCATGGTTCCATCAGCCGCCTTCATCAAATCAAACAGGTAAGAAGACTTTCCAAACTGACAGCTGTTCATTTAAAAAAGTAAATTTTATTTTTCTTTGTGAAAATACCTATGTTTCAGTAATTCTAAGTGAGGTCACGTGTAATATTAAGTTTTTATTTCTAGGAATGATTTCTTCAAAAAAAAAACAAAACTAAGAAGCACTTTTTTTGGCTTATTAGCTATTTTAATTAATTAATAATTTCTAGAAATACTGCATACTCTTATACCTTGAGTCTAGCTTCTTTCTTCCAGGGATCTGAAAGTGGAATGCTACACATAAAAATTAATTTTCAGCTTCATAATAACTGTAGTTATTATTTTTTTAACCCTCAGATGAGTTTTTTTGACAGATAAAATGGCCTTCATGCTATTGTTTTGTTCTTAGTGATCTGAGTTCAGGGACACATTGTACCTCACTGGTTTATATTTTGTGCCCATGTGCACGCATGCACGTCTCTGTGTTTGTGTGTTTGTGTTTGTGTATGTGGTTGGGAGGGTGTATGTGGGTGGGTGGGTGTGCACTCATGTGCACATGCATGCTTAATAGCACAAGCATAATACAGAATTCAACCTTTTAATTATCCAAGGATTAGCCACAGAACTCAAAAGATCAAATCACCACTACCCCACAGGTGGTATTTTTTTCTTTGACCCAGCTACAAGCAGACATTTTTTCCCCCAAGAGAGGCTTAACTTATTATTCACTTAGTACTAACAGGTACTTTACATTTGTGGTCTCATTTTATCTTACAACAACTTTATAAGGTCAGAAACTAAAAAGGGGAGAAATTTAGCAATTTACCCAATCTCCAGAGTTGGTGAATGTCAGAGCCAAGATTTGGCCCCAGATTACTGGATTATTTTCCAGCTCCCCTTTCCCTGTTTCAGTGCACAAAGCCCATAATACCATCTTGTAATCCTAGTTATTAGTCCTCCAACTCTTGCTTCTTTTCCCTCTCTCCCTTTCACCCCTGTGGCATGGCTTCCCTAAGGTCAGCTTATCCACTAGCAAGAAAGTATGGTAAAAATGGTTTTTTTCCTTTTTTTTTTTTTTTTTTTTTTTTTGAGACAGAGTTTCGCTCTGTTGCCCAGACTGGAGTGCAGTGGCTCCATCTTGGTTCACTGCAACCTCCACCTCCCAGGTTCAAGCGATTCTCCTGCCTAAGCCTCCCAAGTAGCTGGGATTACAGACGCCTGCCACCACGCCCGGCTAATTTTTGTATTTTTAGTAGAGACGGGGTTTCATCATGTTGTCCAGGCTGGTCTTGAACTCCTGACCTCAGGTGATCTGCCTACCTCGGCCTCCCAAATTGCAGGGATTACAGGCGTGAGCCACCGTGCCAGGCTGTTTTTTTTACTTTTTAGTGGGTAAAACTTGCTTTTACTCCTGTCTTTGTATGTAGCTATTTTAGAAATTCTTAAGGAATGAAACAAGTTCAAAGGAGTAAAGTGACCTCGTGTTTATCTGTGCAATATGTTTCTTTGCTTCTCCTAAATTAAACCAAATATTTGAAAATGGGTTATGTGTTGCTATTTGCTGGTGAAGCTTGATATAAATCCTAATTTACACTGGTTAGGAATATAAGTTTAATGCAGTTTATTTCCATAGTAACATAATATGTATTATAAATATTTAAAAATGAAATATAAGTAGAAAATGAATGAGATGGGAAAAGAGAAAAACATTAATTTTCAATCTGGATACTGATTGAATGGAAAATTAAGACTTATTTTCAGCAGTTTAATGGTCTGATAGATATCTTAAGTTGCATATTTCTTTTTTTTTTTTCTTTGTTTTTGAGATGGAGTCTCACTCTGTCACCCAGGCGGGAGTGCAGTGGTGCTGTCTCAGCTCACTACAACCTCCACCTCCTGGGTTCAAGGGATTCTCCTGCCTCAGCCTCCCAAGTAGCTGAGATCACAGGTGCGTGCCACCACACCCGGCTAATTTTTTTGTATTTTTAGTAGAGATAGGGTTTCACCATGTTGGTCAGGCTGGTTTCGAACTCCTGACCTCAAGTGATCTGCTCACCTCAGCCTCCCAAAGTGCTGGGATTACAGGGGTGAGCCACTGTGCCTGGCATAAGTTGCATATTTCTTTACATGCATTCTTTGACTGACTTCTTTGTCCCTATTAAACTTAACCTTTTAAGTGCAAAACAGAAATGTCTGGTTCTCTCCCCATTACCTTCTGAACTTTCACTTTAACAACATTAATAAGGGCATTGATTTTTCAAAATGGGGGGAATAATATTGGCTATCTCATAGAATCGTTTTGAGGATGAAAAGAATTACAACTGACCCTTCAACAACCTGGGTTTTTAAAAAGTAATTAATTTAATTTTTACAGGTGCCATGGGGTACATGAGATACTTTGATATAGGTATGCAACATGTAATAATCACATCAGGGTAAATGGAGTATCCATCCCTTCAAGCATTTATCCTTTGTGTTACAAACAATTCAATTATCCTTTTAGTTATTTTTAAATGTATAATTAAATTATTATTGACTATAGTCACCCTGTTGTGCTAGCAAATACTGAGTCTTATTTGTTCTTTCTAACTATATTTTTGTACCCATTAACCATCCCACTTCCTCGCCACCCCTCATTTACCCTTCCCAGCCTCTGGTAACCATCCTTCTAATCTCTATCTCCATGAGTTCAAGTGTTTTAATTTTTACCTCCCACAAATAAGCAAGAACATGAGGCTGGGCGCAGTGGCTCACGCCTGTATTCCCGGCACTTTGGGAGGCTGAGGTGGGCAGATCACTTGAGGTCAGGAGTTCGAGACCAGTCTGGCCAACATGGTGAAACCCCGTCTCTACCAAAAATACAAAAATTAGCCGTGCGTGGTGGGTGCCTGTAATCTCAGCTACTCAGGAGGCTGAGGCTAAAGAATCACTTGAACCTGGGAGGCGGAGGTTGCAGTGAGCCGAGATCGCGCCACTGCACTCCAGCCTGGGTGACAGAGAGAGACTCCGTCTCAAAAAAAAGAAAAAAGAAGATAAGTTAGAACATGCGATGTTTGTCTTTCTGTGCCTGGCTTATTTCACTTAACATAATGACCTCCAGTTTCATCCATGTTGCTACAAACGACTGGATCCCTTTTTTTTTTTTTTTTTTTTTTTTTTTGAGACAGTCTTGCTCTATCACCCAGGCTGGAGTACAGTGGCGCCATCTCAGCTCACTGCAACCTCTGCCTCCCAGGTTCAAGTGATTTTCCTGCCTCAGCCTGCTGAGTAGCTAGGTTTATAGGCCCACGCCACCACGACAGGCTAATTTTTGTATTTTTTGTAGAGACAGGGTTTCGCCATGTTGCCCAGGCTGGTCTCGAACTCCTGACCTCAGGTGATCCTGCCTGCCTCAGCCTCCCAAAATTCTGGGATTACAGGCGTGAGCCACCGTGCCCAGCCTGGATCTCATTCTTTTTATGGCTGAATAGTACTCCACTGTTTATATGTATCACATTTTCTTTATCCATTCATCTGTTGATGAACACTTAGGCTGCTTCCAAATCTTAGGTATTGTAAACAGTGCTGCAATAAACATGGGAATGTAGATATCTCTTCTATATGCTGATTTCCTTTTTGGTGGGTGATATACCTTGGAGTGAGATTGCTGGATCATATGGTAACTCTATTTTTCATTTTTTGAGGAACCTCCAAACTTGAACAACATGGATTTGAATGGCGTGTGATGTGAAACCCTCCTATACGTATGGGTGACTTTTTGTATCCTCGGGTTCCAGAAGGCCCACTGTGGACTTGAGGATGTGTGGATTTTGGTATTGCAGTGGGGGGGTGCTGGAACCAATTCCCCACATATACCAAGGGATGACTGTAAGTAATTATGCATAATGCCAAGAGTACTGCATTAAAAAAAATCTTTTTAAATGGAAAATTTAAAACATGGAATATAGAATCTTCATGTACCTAACACCCAGCTTTAACAATTATCCACATTTTGTACATCCTTTTTCATCGATCTGCTTCTCTTTTAGGGGTGGGAGAGAGTGCTTTAAATTTCTGACATATCTTTTTACCCAAGTTTATGGGTATGAGAAGGACTTTTTTTCTCCATAATCACAATGCCATCATTATGCATAACAAATTACCTTATTCCTTAATGTCATCTAAATCCATGTTATATTTTTCCTAATTCTTAAAAATGCATTTTTTAACTGATCCAAACACAATCCAAATATGACATTTAGTTGATATATATCTCTTAGATCTCTTTTATTTAAAACAGCATTTTTATTTTATTTTATTTATGTTCCAGGATACATGGGCAGAATGTGCAGGTTTGTCACATAGGTATACGTGTTCCATGGTGGTTTGCTGCACCTATTGATCTGTCATCTAGGTTCCCTCCCCTCACCACCCACCCCGCAACAGGCCCTGATGTGTGTTGTTCCCCTCCCTGTGTCCATGTGTTCTCATTGTTCAACTCCCACTTAGGAGTGAGGACATGCATTGTTTGGTTTTCCGTTCCTGTGTTAGTTTGCTGAGGATGATGGCTTCCAGCTTCATTCATGTCCCTGCAAAGGACATGATCTCATTCCTTTTTATGACTGCATAGTATTCCATGGTGTATATGTACCAGATTTTCTTTATCCTGTCTATCATTGATGGGCATTCAGGTTGGTTCCATGTCTTTGCTATTGTAAATAGTACTGCAGTAAACATGCGTGTGCATGTGTCTTTATGGTAAAATGAATTATATTCCTTTGGGTATATACTCAGTAATGGGATTTCTGGGTCAAATGATATTTCTGGTTCTAGATCCTTGAGGAATCGCCACACCGTCTTCCACAGTGGTTGAACTAATTTACATTCCCACCAACAATGTAAAAGCGTTCCTATTTCTCCACAGCCTTGCCAGCATCTATTGTTTCTTGAGTTTTTAGTCATCGCCATTCTGACTGGCATGAGATGGTATGTCACTGTGGTTTTGATTTGCATTTCTCTAATGATCAGTGATGTTGAGCTTTTTTTCGTATGTTTGTTGGCCACATAAATGTCTTCTTTTGAGAAGTGTCTGTTCATATCTTTTGCCCACTTTTTGATGGGGTTGTTTGTTTTTTCTTGTTTCAGTTCCTTGTAGATTCTGGATATTAGACCTTTGTCAGATGGGTAGATTGCAAAACTTATCTCCTATGCTGTAGGTTGCCTGTTCACGCTGATGATAATTTCTTTTGCTGTGCAGAAGTTCTTTAGTTTAATTAGATCCTATTTGTCAATTTTTGCTTTTGTTAGAATTGCTTTTGGCATTTTCATCATGAAGTCTTTGCCCATGCCTATGTCCTGAATGGTATTGCCTAGGTTTTCTTCTAGGGTTTTTATGGTTTTGGGTTTTACATTTAAATCTTTAATCCATCTTGAGTTAATTTTTGTATAAAGTATAAGGAAGGGGTCCAGTTTCAGTTTTCTGCATATGGCTAGCCAGTTTTCCCAGCACCATTTATTGAATAGGAAATCCTTTCCCCATTGCTTATTTTTGTCAGGTTTGTTGAAGAGCAGATGGTTGTATATGTGTGGTGTTATTTCTGAGGTCTCTGTTCTGTTCCATTGGTCTATATCTCTGTTTTGGTACCAGCACCATGCTGTAAAACAGCATTTTCTGCCTGTTTTTTGTTCCATGCCTCTTATTTATTGAAGAAACCAGGGAGTCCATTTGTCCTGTAAAATGTCCCACATTCTGATTTTGCTTCCATGTGGTGTTACTATGTTGTTTTATCCTCTATTTCCTGTTAAATAGTTTTTTTAATTTTTATTTATTTATTTATTTAGACGGAGTCTTACTCTGTCGCCCAGGCTGGAGTGCAGTGGCACGATCTCGGCTCACTGCAACGTCTGCCTCCCTGGTTCAAGCGATTCTGTAACCTCAGCCTCCCGAGTAGCTGGGATTACAGGCGCCCACCACCCCACCCAGCTAAATTTTTTTTTTTTTAAGTAGAGAGGGGGTTTCATCATGTTGGCCATGGTAGAGAGGGGGTTTCACCATGTTGGTCTCAAACTCCTGACCTCAGGTGATCCGCCCATCTTGGCCTCTCGAAGTGCTGGGATTACAGGCATGAGCTACCGCGCCTGGCCTCCTGTAAAATAGTATGATGAAATTTGCTTTTAATTTTAAATGAACACACAGCTCCAAGTCAATGTTAGGTTCTGGGCCAATATTTGGTTTATGTTACACCTTTCCTATTAAGCAGGTAATGGACAATTTCTTCTCAACTGTTGTTGTTAGCTGTTTTCTAAGTATTAAAGAGACTGAGACATCAAGCTAGAAGTTAATTTTCTAAACACAGTTATTATTCCTACATAGGAATTATTTTGTGTAATTTTCCTTTCTAATAAAAATTTTATTTTATTTATTTATTTTTCAGACAGGTTCTTGCTGTGTTGCCCAGGCTGGAGTGTAGTGGCATGATCATAGCTCACTGCAGCCTCAACCTTCTGGGCTAAAGTGATCCTCTTGCCTCAGCCTCCCAACTAGCTAGGACTACAGGTGCACACCACTATGCCTGGATAATTTTTTTATTTTATTTAATTAATTTATTTATTTCTGAGACGGAGTCTCGCTCTGTTGCCTAGGCTGGAGTGCAGTGGCATGATCTCGGCTCACTGCAACCTTCGCCTCCCGAGTTCAAGCAATTCTCCTGTCTCAGCCTCCCGAGTAGCTGGGACTACAGGCACCCACCACCACACCTGGCTAACTTTTGTATTTTTAGTAGAGACGGGGTTTCACCATATTGGTCCGACTGGTCTAGAACTCCTGACCTCAGGTGATCCACCCGCCTCGGCATCCCAAAGTGCTGGGATTACAGGCATGAGCCACTACGCCTGGCCATTTTTTTAAATTTTTGGAGAGATGACGTCTCCCTGTGATGCCCAGGCTGGTCCTGAAATCCTGGCCTCAAGTGGTACTCCTGCCTCAGGCTCCCAAAGTACTGGCATTACAGGCATGAGCCACCACGTGTGGCCCCTAATAAAAATTGAGCTTGTATTCCAAAAGATCCGAATGCATTCAGTCTGTAGTTCCCTGTTTCCCAAAGCTCTAAACATAAATTAGTGCCATGCAGAAACAGTTTGTATATTTGCTCAGGCTGCCATTGCAAAGTATCACAAACTGGGCGGCTTAAACAACAGAAATATATTGTTTCACATTTCTTAGGGCTAGAAGTCTGAGATAAAGGTGTCAGTAGGGTTGATTCCTTCTGAGAACTGTGAGGGAGGATCTGCTCCAGGCCTCTGCCCTTGGCTTGTTGATGGCTATCTTCATGTTCACATAGTGTTCTCCGTGTACATGTGTTTGTTTCTAAGTTTCTCCTTTTCATGAAGGACAGCGGTCATATTGGATTAGGGCCCACCCTAATGACCTCATCCTAATCTGCTTGCTTCTGAATATATTCTGTCTCTAAATAAGGTCACATCCTGAGGCACTGGGGATTAGGACTTCAACACAGGAATTTGAGGGGACACAATTCAACCCATAACAGTCTGCTCACAGTTTTTTGTTATATAGCTTTATATTTAATTCCTGATTTGTTAAACAGGATATGAGTCATTGGCACCCAGTAACAACTTAACTTTCTCTGTAGTGTCTTAAGTAAAAATCAATAAGAAGAAATTGAGCTGGGCGTGGTGGTTCGTGCCTGTAATTCCAGTGACTTGAGAGGCCAAAGCAGGAGGATCACTTGAGGCCAGGAGTTCAAGACCAGCCTGGGCAACATAAGAAGACTCCGTCTTTAAAAAAATTTTTTTTTTAATTTGCTGGCCGGGCACGGTGGCTCACGCCTGTAATCCCAGCACTTTGGAAGGCCGAGGCGGGTGGATCACCTGAGGTCAGGAGTTCGAGACCAGCCTGACCAACGTGAAGAAACCCCATCTCTACTAAAAATATAAAAATTAGCCAGACCTGGTGAGGCATGCCTGTAATCCCAGCTACTCGGGAGGCTGAGGCAGGAGAATCGCTTGAACCCGGGAACCAGAGGTTGCAGTGAGCTGAGATTGTACCACTGCACTCACTCCAGCTGGTGTGACAAAGTAAGACTCCTTCTCCAAAAAAAAAAAATTTAAATTTGATTTTAGTTTACAGATTGTTTCATTCTTTCAACAAGCCTTTATTGGGTACTGTGCAGGCACTCAGTAACTAAAATCTTTCAGATGTAGTCTCCTCGGAGAGCAAAAGTTGGTAACTTACAGTTCCCATTTTTACCATGTATCCTGAAAAATGGAAAGCTAACTTTAACATCCAAGTATAACAATTCTCCTTAAACTAGGTTTCTAGTATACTGTACTCTGCTTCTTACAGTTATAATGCATGGCTGTTGACCTTTTATACTTATTTTAATAATCTTATTTTATTATAAACCATCTCAAATCCATTTTGGAAATAGGCAAGACATAAATGAAAAAGAGTCAACACTCTTCTCCTAACAACCTTCAATAGCTGATTTTAGCTAATGCTCCAACTTTCAGTGGGAGGAATATTAAGCAGAATTCTATCTCAGTTTCACAAAACTACCTGCTCTGTACTTGTTGACCGAATGAACTACAAAATACTTTGAGTTTCACACTAGAGGAGACTATCTATATAATATTAAATTGAAGAACTATACTAACAATTACATTTTGCTGAATTTACTGTTATTCCATTGCTTTTAAAAGACTAATTATCTTCTTAAATTACCTTTTCCAATTCCCTCATTTTCTGTACCTCATTGTGTGGTATCAAAATAGTCACAGTTTTAAGACTCAAAGCTCTCGATTTGATACCTCATTGTATGGTATCAAAATAGTCACAGGTTTAAGACTCAAAGCTCTTGATTTTTCTTCAGTTCTTCCTTATTTTTCTACTGTATCCAATTAGGCTTCTAATCCTACTAATTCTTCCTTGACAATATCCTCTTTGTTGTCACTGCTGCTTCCTTCTTCTGTCCCATGGGTCTAGATTACTGAAATAATATCCCAGTAGATTTTCTGTTTCTCCCAGTTTATCCAACTTCCACAATGAAGACCAAGATAAATGTTTTTTTTTTTTGGAACAGAGTCTCGCTCTGTCGCCCAGGCTGGAGTGCAGTGGCGCAATCTCGGCTCACTGCAACCTCTGCCTTCTGGGTTCACGCCATTCTCCTGCCTCAGCCTCCCGTGTAGCTGGGACTACAGGCACCTGCCACCACGCCCAGCTAATTTTAGTAGAGACGGGGTTTCACCGTGTTAGCCAGGATGGTCTCGATCTCCTGACCTCGTGATCCAACCACCTCGGCCTCCCAAAGTGCTGGGATTACAGGCACAAGCCACTGTGCCTGGCCAAATTTTTTTTTTTTAAAAAACATCATTTTCCTCCCTCTCCCTCTCCCCCTCCCCCTCCCCCCTCCCCCCCTCCCCCCTCCCCCTCCCTCTCCCCACGGTCTCCCTCTCCCTCTCTTTCCACAGTCTCCCTCTGATGCCGAGCGGAAGCTGGACTGTACTGCTGCCATCTCGGCTCACTGCAACCTCCCTGCCTGATTCTCCTGCCTCAGCCTGCCGAGTGCCTGCGATTGCAGGCGCGCGCAGCCACACCTGACTGGTTTTCGTATTTTTTTGGTGGAGACGGGGTTTCGCTGTGTTGGCCGGGCTGGTCTCCAGCTCCTAACCGCAAGTGATCTGCCAGCCTCGGCCTCCCGAGGTGCCGGGATTGCAGACGGAGTCTGGTTCACTCAGTGCTCAATGGTGCCCAGGCTGGAGTGCAGTGGCGTGATCTCGGCTCGCTACAACCTCCACCTCCCAGCCGCCTGCCTTGGCCTCCCAAAGTGCCGAGATTGCAGCCTCTGCCCGGCCGCCACCCCGTCTGGGAAGTGAGGAGCATCTCTGCCTGGCCGCCCATCGTCTGGGAGGTGAGGAGCCCCTCTGCCTGGCTGCCCAGTCTGGAAAGTGAGGAGCGTCTCTGCCCGGCCGCCATCCCATCTAGGAAGTGAGGAGCGCCTCTTCCCGGCCGCCATCCCATCTAGGAAGTGAGGAGCGTCTCTGCCCCGCTGCCCCGTCTGGGATGTGAGGAGCGCCTCTGCCCGGCCGCGACCCCGTCTGGGAGGTGAGGAGCATCTCTGCCCGGCCGCCCCGTCTGAGAAGTGAGGAGACCCTCCGCCTGGCAACCGCCCCGTCTGAGAAGTGAGGAGCCCCTCCGCCCAGCAGCCGCCCCGTCTGAGAAGTGAGGAGCCCCTCCGCCCGGCAGCCACACCGTCTGGGAAGTGAGGAGCGTCTCTGCCCGGCAGCCACCCCGTCCGGGAGGGAGGTGGGGGTCAGCCCCCGCCAGGCCAGCCGCCCCATCCGGGAGGTGAGGGGTGCCTCTGCCCAGCCGCCCCTACTGGGAAGTGAGGAGCCCCTCTGCCCGGCCATCCGCCCCATCCAGGAGGGAGGTGGGGGGGTCAGTCCCCCGCCCGGCCAGCCGCCCCGTCCGGGAGGGAGGTGGGGGGGTCAGCCCCCCGCCCGGCCAGCCGCCTCGTCCGGGAGGTGAGGGGCGCCTCTGCCCGGCCGCCCCTACTGGGAAGTGAGGAGCCCCTCTGCCCGGCCAGCCGCCCCGTCTGGGAGGTGTACCCAACAGCTCATTGAGAACGGGCCATGATGACAATGGCGGTTTTGTGGAATAGAAAGGGGGGAAAGGTGGGGAAAAGATTGAGAAATCGGATGGTTGCCGTGTCTGTGTAGAAAGAAGTAGACATGGGAGACTTTTCATTTTGTTCTGTACTAAGAATTCTTCTGCCTTGGGATCCTGTAGATCTGTGACCTTACCCCCAACCCTGTGCTCTCTGAAACATGTGCTGTGTCCACTCAGGGTTAAATGGATTAAGGGCGGTGCAAGATGTGCTTTGTTAAACAGATGCTTGAAGGCAGCGTGCTCGTTAAGAGTCATCACCACTCCCTATTCTCAAGTACCCAGGGACACAAACACTGCGGAAGGCCGCAGGGTCCTCTGCCTAGGAAAACCAGAGACCTTTGTTCACTTGTTTATCTGCTGACCTTCCCTCCACTATTGTCCTGAGACCCTGCCAAATCCCCCTCTGCGAGAAACACGCAAGAATGATCAATAAAAAAAAAAACAAAAAACAAAAACAAAACAAAAAAAACATCATTTTCACTTTCTTCCCCCCATACAAAATGTCACAATGGCTTCCCATTACCTATTGAATAATAATAAAAATAGCTAATATGTGTTAAGCACTGAACTGTTTGCCAGGCAGTGTGATGAGAACTGTACAGCCACCTCATCATCCTCATTCTTATCGTCATCTTCATATGGATGAAGAAACTGACGCTCAGGTGACGTCACCTGCCTAAGTTTGCACAGGTAGTAGGTTATAGAGCTGGGATTTGACTCAGTTCTGTTTGTCTCCAAAGCCGGGGTCCTGACAATGACGTGATTCTGCCCAAATTCTTTAAATTCAAACTGTTTGATTATTTAAGAACCTGTAAAACTGGCCCTGTCTTACCTCTCCTGTTTTCTCTCTCATTACTTTGTAGCACAAACTCAGTTTCAGCCAAGGTAGTCTCACTATCTCCAAATCTGTTGTATTTTTTTCCCTCTCCTAAACTTTTGTTCATATGGGTTCTTCTGCTTGGAATACCCTTCCCTCTACTCACTGCTTGTTCATATTTTATACATCTTTGAAGGACTAGGTCAAATATTTATTTATGTATTTATTTATTTATTGAGACAGGGTCTCATATTGTTGCCAGGCTGGAGTGCAGTGGCACAATTGTGGCTCACTGCAGCTTCAATCTCCCAGGCTCAAAAGATCCTCCCACTTCAGCCTCCTGAGTAGCTAGGTCTACTGACATGTGTACCACATGTGCCCGGCTAATTTTTTTTTTTCTTTTAGTAGAGATGAGGTCTTGTTGTTACCCAGGCTGATCTCGAACTCGTGAGCTCAAGGATTCCTCCTGCCTTGGCTTCCCAAAGTGCTGGGATTACAGGCATAAGCCACTGTGCGTGGCCAAATTTTAATTCTTTCGCACAACTCACACCACTCTTCTATTATGGACTACCCCAAACATGTATTATTTATACTATAGACGAAAATCTTTAAACTCTTTTGATCACACATCACATCAGGAGAAAATGTTTGAGTACATGCCTCCAACATAGGTACACTGCATTTACTTATACATTTTGGACATATACCACTGTGCTATTATGTGAATCATAGAATATATATAAAGTAGAAATATAAAAAAGGATGAGATAAGGATGAAACGATGTTTTTAGAAAATTTAAAAATTTGGCTGGGTGCAGTGGCTCACGCCTGTAATCCCAGCACTTTGGGAAGCAGAGGTGGGTAGATCATCTGAGGTCAAGAGTTTGAGACCAGCTGGCCAACATGGTGAAACCCCATCTCTACTAAAAATGCAAAAATTAACTGGGTGTGGTGGCATGCACCTGTAATTCCAGCTACTCGGGAGTCTGAGGCAGGAGAATCGCTTGAACCTGGGAGGCAGAGGTTGTACTGAGCCGAGATCGTGTCACTGCTCTCCAGCCTGGGCAACAGAGTGAGATTCTGTCACCAAAAAAAAATAAAAATAAAAATAAATAAAAAAATAAAATCCCAGTTACTTAGGAAGCTGAGACATGAGAATCACTTAAACCTGGGAGGCAGAGGTTTCAGTGAGCTGAGATTGCACCACTGCACTCCAGCCTGTGTGACAGAGTGAGATCCTGTCTCAAAAAATATATAAAAGCAACAACAAAAAAACTATCCTAATGGGGGTAAAGTGGCATCTCATTGTGGTTTTGGTTTGCATTTCCATAATGACAAATGATGTTGAGCATCTTTTCATGTGCTTTTTGGTCATTTGTATGTATTCTTTGGAGAAACATTCAGTCTCTTTACTCATATTTTAATTGGGTTGGTTTTTGTTGTCACTGTGTGGTAGGAGTTCTGTATATATTTTGGATATTCATTCCTTTTCAGATATATGATTTGCAGATATCTTCTCCAATTATCCAGTTGTCTTTTCACTCTCTTGATAGTGTCATTTGATGCACAAAAGTTTTTTTAATTTCTCTGGGCGCGGTGGCTCACACCTGTAATCCTAGCACTTTGGGAGGCCGAGGTGGGTGGATCACGAGGTCAGGAGATCGAGACCATCCTGTCTAACATGGTGAAACCCCGTCTCTACTAAAAATACAAAAAATTAGCTGGGCGTGGTGGTGGGCACCTGTAGTCCCAGCTACTCAGGAGGCTGAATCGGGAGAATGGTGTGAACCTGGGAGGTGGAGCTTGCAGTGAGCCGAGATCGCGCCACTGCATTCCAGCCTAGGCAACAGAGCGAGACTCCGTCTCAAAAAAAAGTCCGGGCACAGTGGCTCACGCCTGTAATCCCAGCACTTTGGGAGGCTGAGGCAGGTGGATCACCTGAGGTCAGGAGTTTGAAACCAGCCTGGCCAACACGGTGAAACCCCATCTCTGCTAAACATACAAAAATTAGCTGGGTGTGGTGGCGGGTGCCTGTAATCCCAGCTGCTCAGGAGGCTGAGGCAGGAGAATTGCTTGAATCCGGGAGGCAGAGGTTGCAGTGAGCTGAGATTGCGCCATTGCACTCCAGCCTGGGCAACAGGAGCAAAACTCCGTCTCAAAAAAAAAAAAGCATTAATTTGGCCGGGCGCCATGGCTCACACCTGTAATCCCAGCACTTTGGGAGGCCAAGACGGGCGGATCACAAGGTCAGGAGTTCAAGACCAGCCTGACCAACACGTGAAGCCCCATCTCTACTAAAAATACAAAAATTAGCCGGGCCTGGTGGCATGCGCCTGTAATCCAAGCTACTCAGGAGGCTGAGACAGGAGAATCGCTTGAACCCAGGAGGCAGAGGTTGCAGGAGCCGAGATCACACCATTGCACTCTAGCCTGGCCAACAGAGTGACACGCCATCTCAGAAAAAAAAAAAAGTTTTTTAATTTTGATGAAGACCAGTTTATCTGTTTTTTTTCTCTTGTTGCCTGTGCCTTTGGTATCATATCCAAGAAATCATTGTGAAATCCAGTGTCATGAAGATTTAACCTTATGTTATCTTCTAAGAGATTTAGAGTTTTATCTTTTAAGTTAAAGTCTTTAATTCATTTCGAGTGAATTTCTGCATAGGGTAAAAAAAAAAAAGGGGGTTCAACTTCATTCTTTTGCATGTAGAGCTCCAGTTTTCTAAACATCATTTGTTGAAAAGATTGTCCTTTCCCCATTGAATGGTCCTGGCATCACTGTTGAAAACCATTTGATCATGTATTATGTAAAGGCTTATTTCTTTTTTTTTTTTTTTTTTTTTTTGAGACGGAGTCTCGCTCTGTCGCCCAGGCTAAAGTGCAGTGGCGTGATCTCGGCTCACTGCAAGCTCCGCCTCCCGGGTTCACGCAATTCTCCTGCCTCAGCCTCCCGAGTAGCTGGGACTACATGCCCCTGCCACCACGCCCAACTAATTTTTTGTACTTTTAGTAGAGACGGGGTTTCACCATGTTAGCCAGGATGGTCTCAATCTCCTGACCTCGTGATCCGCCCACCTCGGCCGCCCAAAGTGCTGGGATTACAGGCGTGAGCCACCGCGCCCGGCTTGAAGGCTTATTTCTGTGCGCTCTATTCTGTTCCATTGCTATATGCATGTTCTTTTTTTTTTTTTTTTTTTTTTGAGACAGAGTGTTGCTCTCTGTCATTCAGGCTGGAGTACAGTAGTGCAATTTCAGCTCACTGCAACCTTTGCCTCCAGGATTCAAGCAATTCTTGTGCCTCAGCCTCCTGAGTAGCTGGGATTACAGGTGTATGCTACCACACTTGGCTACATTTTGTATTTTTGGTAGAGAAGAGGTTTCACCATGTTGGCCAGACTGGTCTCGAACTCCCAACCTCAGGTGATTCGCCTGCCTCGGCCTCACAAAGTGCTGGTATGCATCTGTTCTTATGCCAGAACTACACTGTTTTGACTATGTAGTTTTGTAGGAAGTTTTGAAATCAGAAAGTATGAATCCTCCAGCTTTGTGCATCTTTTCAAAGACTGCTTTGGCTATTTGGGGTCCTTTAATATTCCATATGAATTTTCAGATGGGTTTTTCTGTTTCTGTAAAAAATGTGATTGGGACTTTGGTAAGGGGCGCATTGCATCTGTTGATCACTTTGGGTGGAATTGTCATCTAAACATTGTCCCAATCCATGAACATGAATGTCTTTCTGTAGGTGGGTTATTAAAAAAAAAAAACTACCTATGTGAAAATGATACTTGTATATTAATAAAAAGTCAAATAATATAGCAATGTACAAAGGAAGAAAGAACACATTACTCCAGATCTCACTACTCATTGATAACCACTGTTAAGTTTCTGGTGAACATCTTTCTGAGCACCTCTCTTACAATTTTACATAAATAGGATCCATTTGTCTCCCATTTAATATGTAATAGTTGTTTTCTGATGTCAATGACTAGATTTAAATTATGTTTGTCTCATCATTTACTTAAGCAAACTTACCCTGATAGACATTTAATTTGTTGTCTGTGTACTGTGAGTAATTTTTATTAATATCATAGTATTAATGGCCATCCATAGCTATTGTGGACTAGTTTCTTCTCTGTCCTAGTAGACCTTTAAAAAGTTTAGGGAAAACTGTATAATTTTGAATGCTTAATGTTGTTGCTTTTGAATAAAGAAAAGTACAAAGTTTTTCATCTAATCAGTTCCTGCATATCTGATGTACTGTAATGCATAAATAATAGATCTTTGGTGTGATAATTTGTGAAGCAATAAAGGGCAGAGAACCAGATACTTGTTTAGAGATTTATTTATTCTCTAGTTCTTCTATAGCCTAGTGAATAAAAATAATGGTGCATCCAAATGAAATCAAATTTTATAAAACCATAGGAACTGGGTATTCAGTTTATTCTCATTTTCCTACCTTTACAGGAAGAAGCCATGGATTTAATAAATAGAGAAACAATGTCTGAATGGTGAGTACTGTACTTTGAATTACTATTCTGATAATTTGTATACTTAATTATATCTTTTCTTTCAGATAGGCAAACTGCAGTTTTGATTTCTTTTGTAGGAAGCTACAAAGTGAGATACAGATAAGTCACTCTTGGGAAGAAGGCTTGAAACTGGTATGATATTATAACTTCAGTTTTGTAGAAAATTTCAAATTTTTACTGACTTACAGTGTCGGCATATCTAGTTTTGCTGTAATTTCTAGAAATCTAAGCTCTATTTTGAAACAAAAATTGTATCTGTTGCATAAATAATTTTTGAGTGCTCTTTTTAATTTTTTTTTTTGAGACAAGGTCTCACTATGTTGTCCAGGCTGGTCTTGAACTCCTGAGCTCAATGGATCGTCCTGCCTCAACCTCCCAAAATGCTAGGATTACAGGCTTGAGCCATTGCGCCTAGCCCTTGATTGCTCTTCAGAAATACTTCATGATTTACTCATAAAAATAGCTATCATTATTTGAAAGTGGGGTTCAAAGTAAACAGTTTTGTGACACAAAACCATAGCTATTGTGGACCAGTTTCTTCTCTGTCCTAGTAGGCATAATAAAAGTTCAGTTGCACTAGTTAAAGTGCTTAGATAACAAAACAATAAATGATTTCACTCCCTTCTCCATAATTTATGAACTATATATTAGGAGTCTTAAACCACAGACAATAGACTCTCTAGAAAATTATTGCATTTTTATGCCTGTGTGTTAGTCCGTTCTCACATTGCTATAAGGAAATACCCAAGACTGGGTAATTTACAAAGGAAAGAGGTTTAATTGACTCACAGTTCTGCATGGCTGGGGAGGCCTCAGGAAACTTACGATTATGGCAGAAGGCACCTCTTCACAGGGCGGCAGGAGATAGAATGAGTGCCAGCAGGGGAAATTCCAGATGCTTATAAAGCCGTCAAATCTCGTGAGAACTCACTCACTACCACGAGAACAGCATTGGGGAATTTGCCCCCATGATTCTATTACCTCCCACCAGGTTCCTTCCACAACACGTGGGGATTATGGGGATTACAGTTCAAGATGAGATTTGAGTGGGGACACAGCCACACCATTATCAGCCTGTAACACATTCTCCCACTAACATTTTAATATAAAACCTTTAATTTAAACATACTTAGAATTTAGTTTCATCTCTTGTTAACATTTTTAAATGTCTGTGTGCACACTGTGGTTACCTAGTTGTGGTAGCTGAATGATATTTAGTGTTCTTTTCTATGGACATCCCAGATAGTGACAAAACAAGTACTGAGCTGAAAATTGAATAGGAGAGATTCTAACTAATGTCAATCTTCAGATTTGGGAATTATTTGATATGGAAATGGATCATCAGCAGAAGCAATGGCATTTTATTTTCCTTTGAGCCCTGAGTACCTTACATGAGCAGTTATCCCTGATTTTGGAGTAGGTCCAGGAGAATGAGTAGGTCATCTCTGGAGCCTGTCACTTTTTGTGTTTTGGTGCTAATACAATTGATCGATACTGCTGGAGTCCTTTAACTGGCCCAATTCTAATTACTTTAGGTATTGGCATGGATGAGTAAGAGAATCGTAAGTGTGTTAGGAAGAGGAAGGGCACATGTAATACACACTTGGCTTGTTTTAGAAAGAAAAGGGCAGATTTTAAAATCCTGAATTATGAAGTACTGATTTTGTCTATGTAAAATCTAGAGACAATTTCCATAAATGTAGTTATTCCTGCTGTCTCATTTGCTTCTAAGTTCTAGCCAAAACCTTTTTGGTCCTTTCCTGGATGTAGTATTATAGTTTTCAATAACAAAGCACAGGTCAAAGCCAAAGAGAAGAGCTTAAATTTAGGATTTGTGTTTATAGTGTTGAGTACTCACATTCTAGGACTTTCTGGCATGCTGGGAAGCCCCTCAATCACCATATAGCCCTCATCCCCAAAAGGGAAAAGGGTGCCTTTGCTTATTGAAGTGAATTTTGGGTTCCCTGATTGCTTTAGGATGGCGAGAGCTCTTCACCATGGTGCAGCCAGTGACTCAGTAGTAAGGACTCACTTCCCTGTGCAACAGGTATCTCAAGTATTTGATTAATAAGCAATTGGTGCTACAATTGTACACTGCTTTCTGCTTACACAGAATGACAATGGCTTACAGAAATCATCCTCTCTAAAGTGCATTGATTTAACTCCAGTATCCTCAATGGCTTCTTCCATCAAGAAGACTGGGAAGGTAAGAAAGGAGTACCTAAAAGTCTATGTCTCTTGAAATAGTTAGGAAATATTTAGGAACATTAATGGTCACCAAAACAAATATTTTGGGGGATATATTTTGTCACAGTACATCTGATTCTAACTAACATTTTTCCCTTCTTTTTCATTTCTTCAAGTATTACTTACATGTAATAAAATTCACCAACTTTAAAGCATAGGGTTAGATTAATTTTGGTAATTGTGTACAATCCTGTAGCCACAACCATAATCAAGATATTGAACAGTTCCCACACTCAAAACAATTTCCTAATGATCTTTTGTACCCCAGTCTCCCTCCCTACCATCCCTGCCCCTCCCTAGGAAACCAATGATCTGCTTTCCGAGAAAAGTGGCGGTTTTAAAACCTCTGTTCCAATTTGATTTTAGCAGTGTTTCTCTCCATCATTACAAACTTGTGTGAGTTGCACTGGTTCGCCTTCAAGTCCTATTCCCAGTCCTATGCAACAATACATCATGTAAGTTTATGTTATATGAAAATACCAAATTGCTTATAAAATAAGAATTATAGAAACCTAAAAGAAATTATAGCTCCAAGTTTTGTGCCAACCAAAGAAGTGACTTCTTTTTAGGGAAATTAAAATGTCATTGTTTCGGCTGGGCACGGTGGCTCCTGCCTGTAATCCCAGCACTTTGGGAGGCCGAGGCGGGTGGATCACCTGAGGTAGGAAGTTCAAGACCAGCCTGAGCAACATGGAGAAACCCCGTCTCTACTAAAAATACAAAAATAGCCGGGCATGGTGGTGCATGTCTGTAATCCCAGCTACTCAGGAGGCTGAGGCAGGAGAATCGTTTGAACCCAGGAGGTGGAGGTTGTGGTGAGCTGAGATCGTGCCATTGCCCTCCAGCCTGGGCAACAAGAGCAAAACTCCATCTCAAAAAAAAAAAAAAGTCACTGTTTCAGTTTATCATTTTGTATATTGAAAAAGTCAGGTGACTAAGAACATAAGAAGAATTTAGTAATTCCTTCACCCTGCTAATACATAATCTTTCTCTAACCAAGTTTGTTAATAAGGATCAGAGCTATCTCTAGAACTTTAAACAACTTCATCCGTGATTCTCACCTTCATTCAAGGCAAGTCCCAGCCAGGAATGTAGGTTTTTGTAGACTCTAGGATTCAAAATCCTGAATCCTTGAGAATTAGAAGATAGTTTGCTCCTAAGGCATTCCAGTTTTTACCCATATGTAAAGAAAAGCAGTAAAATGGCCGAGCATGGTGGCTCACACCTGTAATCCCAACACTTTTGGAGGCCAAGGCAGGCAGATCACCTAAGGTCAGGAGTTCGAGACCAGCCTGGCCAACATGGTGAAACCCTGTGTCTACTAAAAAAATACAAAATTAGCCGAGTGTGGTGGTGCATGCCTGTAATCCCAGCTACTTGGGAGGCTGAGGCAGGAGAATCACTTGAACCCAGGAGGCGGAGGCTGCAGTGAGCTTAAATCACGCCACTGCACTCCAGCCTCGGTGACAAGAGCCAAACTGCATCTCAGAAAAAAAGTAAAAATAAAAACAAAGAAAAGCAGTAAAATGATGTAATATCCTACACAGAGTCCCGTTTTTGTGTATGTCCTTAGATCTGTTATAATGAAATAGTCATTGTTGATTTTGTTAAAAAAAATTTCTTATAATGATCATGATGATTTTATTTTAGAAGAAGTCAAAATCCTACCAACATTATTAGACCAAGTATCCTTGGACCATTAAAAAGAAAAGGTACTTTTATCTAACAGTAGAAGTAAATATAACTTTAAGTTATTTTATAAAATATCTAAAATCAAATGTTATACAAAAATGTATTTTTAAAGGCTTTATTTATTTAAAATATATTTAATAAGCTATTAGAGGCCTTTCATTTTATGCAACTAGAAATATGTATAAGGACATTTTGAAAACTCTAAAATGCTATATAAATGTGAATTGAGAAATTTAATTCCAATTTAGTTGGCTATTAGGATTTTCAATATAATTCACCAAGGTAGCTATCTTCATTACTTTCTAAAACAATGTAGAGAATAAATGAATGAATGAACAGAGTGAGTCAGTCATCAAGTATTTTGCTGAATGTCAACCCCTGCCTCACTGCCACACACACACATTGCTATCATATGAATAAGTTGACACAAATTAGATCCACTTACAACACTAAAAATATATATGAAGGTGTATGTTCTTTGGTGTTTAGTTTCTTTATGGGAGTTATTTTTGGTTAAATATATGGAAAGTGACCCACCTACTCAGTAATAAAAGGGCAGTGGAAAGAATAAAAGGGCAGTGGAAAGATGTCTTTTTTAAAAACTCCTGCAATCCTGGATCCCACTTCTCAATGGTACCTCACTAAATTATGCTCTTCTTCCTTTTTTTTTTTTTTTTTTCTTGAGACAGAGTCTTGCTCTGTCACCCAGGCTGGAGTGCAGTGGCACAATCTTGGCTCACTGCAACCTCTTCCTCCCGGGTTCAAGCGATTCTCCTGCCTCAGCCTCACCAGTAGCTGGGATTACAGGTGCCTGCCACCATGCCCAGCTAATTTTTTTGTATTTTTAGTAGAGACAGAGTTTCACCATGTTGGCCAGGCTGTTCTCGAACTCCTGACCTCAGGTGATCCACCCACCTCGGCCTCCCAAAGTGCTGAGATTGCAAGCATAAGCCTGTATATTTAGTACAATTTTTGACTACAATGGGGAGGGGAAATGGGTGAATAGGAAAGGAGATTAAACTTAAAAATGTGTATTGTGAAAAATCTATTAAGGTAAGAAAGAGGAGTAAGAAGAATAAGAGGAGAGAAACTGAAATATGCTTTAATGTTCTTTGTATATTTTCGATTAATTAATGGCAGTCTTCCTAACAACATAACTAACTCAGCATGTACTTTTTGTATTCTAAGATTAAGGGCTAGATAAATTCTGGAAAATACTCTTTTCCAAAGTAAGCACATTGTTTTATGAAGATGCTTCGGTTACTAAGCTTAGGGGTCTTTTACCTGTGCTGTGAAATTCGGGCTAGTGTTGAAAAAATATTCAAATATATCAGCAGTTTAAGAGCTGTTAGAAGTCAAGGGTCAATTGAGTATTTAAAATAAAGTACGCTTAAATTGAGGAGTGTTTTACCAGATTAAAATAGTTCTCCTTTTGAGACATGTATACATAAATAGGTTATCACATGAAAAGTATCTCGAGTTTTCTTAGAATTTATGATTGAAAAATTATTTTTATAGATCAATTTTAACATAAAAGATGTAGTTTCTGCCCAGTGTCTTCGGAGATGTGACCTGTCTCACACTTGGTTTTCAGCTGCTCTGAAAGACGACTGCCTTATTCCTTTGAGGTGTCCCTGAGGGAACTCCAAAGCGAATTCTGTATATACCACCTAGTCCATATTTTCAGTCATACCCCACCCTCCAAAGCATGCCCTGTACAAATGTGCTGAAAATTCATTTGGCCATTTTTGGCCAGATACAATAACAGATAAACAGAAATTGAAATTTATTCATATATTTTGGAATATGCATATTCATTTGGGAAACAACAAACTATGTCCTATTTGGACCCCATTAATACAAATGAAATGTGGGAGAAAGGTACCATAAAAATAAAAGAGAGGTCCTGAGGCAGGGGGCGGGGGGAACTAAAAAGAATGATGATTATGTGAAGTGAGATCAAGATTAGAGTCTCCAAAGCATATGATGTCATATTTTATGGTGAGAAGCAGCAGTGACTTCCATTAGGAATAAGCAAGAGCATGGGCCGGGCACAGTGGCTCATGCCTGTAATCCCAGCACTTTGGGAGGCCGAGGCGGGCGGATGACTTGAGGTCAGGAATTCAAGACCAGCCTGGCCAACATGACAAAACCCTGTCTCTACTAAAAATACAAAAATTAGCCAAGGGTGGTGGTGTGTGCCTGTAATCCCAGCTACTCAGGAGACTGAGGCAGGAGAATCGCCTGAATCCAGGAGGCGGAAGTTGCAGTGAGCCGAGATCACACCACTGCACTCCAGCCTGGACAACAGAGTAAGACTCTGTCTGGAAAAAAAAAAAAAAAGGAATAAGCGAGAGCAAATAAGCCTTCACATCGGAATACTGCAGAAATTGGGCAGCTATAAATATCGTTTGACAAGTAATGCTGGTTTTAGCAAAGAAAGATCTAATTTTCTTTTATGAGGAATATGTTTTGATTTGTCATGTTTTCAATGTTAAACCAAAAAAGAGAGCTGAGTAGTTTTTCTGTAGTGACATAAATGTAATCTGGCAAGGCACGGGACACCAGACTTCTTTTAAACTTTATGAGCCATGATTACACTTCTGTGGAAGGTCTATGCAATATCTTAATGGTGACCTTAGGGTTTTATCATTCAAATAGAAGTTATGGGCTTGAATGTCAGTTTTGCTCAGGTCCAGAAATGATTATCATATGAATGTGAAACACTGTGCAGATTTTAACATTTACTTCAAGGCAAAGATTACAAAAATGCAGTTGTTGTTTTTTTTGAGATTAGATGTTCTACCTTAATCTCTAAAGATACAATTATTTTGTTCATTGTGTGCTGTAAAAGAACTTACCTATTTAGTTCATTGTGTACATTTAGCAAAATAAAGATAGCAACAACCTAAAGTTTTAAAATAAGGAATGACATTAAACTCATTAAACAGCCTTACTACATAGCTATATCAAATCATCTTGCAGGCCGGGCACAGTGGCTCACGCCTGTAATCCCAGCATTTTGGGAGGCCAAGGTGGGTGGATCACCTGAGGCCAGGAATTTGAGACCAGCCTGGCCAACATGGTGAAACCCCGTCTCTACTAAAAATATAAAAAATAGCTGGGCATGGTGGTTTGCACCTGTAATCCCAGCTACTCTGGAGGCTGAAGCACGAGAATTGCTGGAACCTGGGAGGTGGAGGTTGAAGTGAGCCCAGATCATGCCACTGCACTCCAGCCTGGGTGACAGAGCGACTTCTTCACAAAATAATAATAATAATAATAATAATATCATCTTATAGAATTTAGTTAATAATATAAGAAAATTATAATCATTGAAAACAAAAAGTAAATCTAAAAACATTATATACGGTACAAACCCAATTTTATTTAAAAAACAATTGTGTATACAACATATTCAAAAATTACTAAAGAATGGTTATGTCTGGATAATGATTACTTAAAATTGTTTTCTTTGTGCTTTTCTGTATTTTATAAATTAATTGCAGTGAATAAGTATTACTTTTGCAATTAAAATAATAATAAACATGTTAAATAAAACATCTACCTTGATCTGCTGTATTGTCATAGGTGAAATGGCATTTCAATATCAACCAAAAAAGATTTTCCAAGGCACAACCAACATGCTTTCTTCTGATACTTCCCAACTGTCAGAAAATAATGTGTAGTGAGTATTAACATGAGATTTTAAACATTCATTGATCATTTTTGCTTCGTTGTTAAGTCTACTTTGGCTATTGTACGTATTCAGAAGTATGGTACATTATTAACTGTTCTTAGAAGTTTTAAAACTAATATTCCAAGTGGATACTATAAACCTGAGTTATTTTATTTTCTTTTTTTTCTTTTTCTGAGGCAGGGTCTCACTCTGTCACCCAGGCTGGGAATGCAGTGGCACAATCTTGGCTCACTGCAACCTCCACCTCCCAGGCTCAAGCAGTCCTCCCACCTCAGCCTCCTGAGTAGCTGGGACCACAGTAGCTGTGCACCACCGCGCCTGGCTAATTTTTGTATTTTTTGTAGAGATGGGGTTTTTCCATGTTGCCCAGGCTGGTCTCAAACTCCTGAGCTCAAGCAATCCGCTTGCCTTGGCCTCCTAAAGTGCTGGGATTACAGGCGTGAGTCACGTCACCTGGCAGAGTGTTTTTCTTATGAGATGTGTGTGACACTAATATATGGTGGATACATTTTTAGAAGTGAGATTTTGGCATTAGATTAAGAGATATTAGAGAAATACATAAAAATGCATCCTTGGAAAAAGTCATCTTCTGCCCATCTTCCTTGGATTTTTGTCTACCTTGTTGGGTTGAGAGTATTATTGAAAAGCATGCCTAAGAAAGCATGTCTTAATGATAAAAATAGGAAATACTGGAATAGATTTCTTTCTTTTTTTTTTTTTGTTTTGTTTTAGACGGAGTCTCGCTCTGTCTCCCAGGCTGGAGTGCAGTGGCACCATCTCGGCTTACTGCAACCTCTACCTCCTGGGTTCAAACAATTCTCCTGCCTCAGCCTCCTGAGTAGCTGGGACTACAGGCGTGTGCCACCACACCTGGCTAATTTTTGTATTTTTAGTATAGATGGGGTTTCACCTTATTGGTCAGGCCGGTCTTGAACTCCTGACCTCGTGATCCACCTGCCTTGGCCTTGCAAAGTGCTTGGATTACAGGCATAAGCCACCACACCTGGCCATGGATTTCTATTTATTGTTACTGGTGGTTTCATTGTATGACTCTTAAAAAACTTTGCTTGTGACAAGTGCCAGTTGTTAGTCATGTATTTTGCATTCATGTGTAGACAAAGCAGAGTATACAGAGAGATCTCTTGAGTTCTGCTATCAATGAGTGGCATTTTCTTCTTCTAGTCTACTTCCAGCTACTTTTGATGGAAACGACAGCAATGCTGGATCTTCTGGTAATTCGTCAGCTGAAATCGGCACTGTCACAAACTCTCCTGTGTCACCTTCTGATACTGGTTCTCATTTGTTCTAGTAGACAAACTTTCAACTAAATGATTCACCCATCCCAAGACTTTCTCACCAGTGGAGAAACACACACATCAAGCAAACCAAGTCAGAGCAATGAGAATTGTACTGTATAATTTAAACTATCTCCTATTTATCTTTTTTCCTCAATTTCCTAAAATTCTATTTATCTACAGAACTTGCGTGTATAATTCTTGTGTACATCCTTAAATTTAATGTAATAACATGTTAAAGATGTTTTCCAAATCAGAACCATGTTGAAGATACAAGCGTAAATTGTTAGGCTGCTATTTTCTAGAAAATGCTGTACCTTGACTTTTTAAAATAATCTTATGAAACATAATTCTGATAAAATATAATTGTTCAATTAACAAAGTAAAATGATGTTTGACAATTATGTACTTAATGATCCATGCTAGTCTTTAATGCTATTTTCAGTAACTACTAGCTTCCACTTGGTAAAGAAAAGTCACATATCAAAGGCAATTTTTATGACTAAGTTATACCATACTGATCCAAGGATTGCTTATTTTGCACATGAATCCTTAGATATTCAATTTGTTGGGAAGCAGTAGGTAGGAGAAGAGCAAGACAAATTAAAGTTAATTGAATAGAAAGAAAATAATATGTAATTGAGGCTTCACTCAATTTGTACTCAACCTGATTAACCCTGATTAATTTTGTATTCTAATTAAGTGTGGGAAAATGTTGATAAGTTGTAGTCTTTTACATTTTTATCACTTACGTTTTATTCATCATCATGACTACCGATTTGATTAAATACAGGCTTAATATGTCAGGGCTTTTCTGCGAAAATCATGTGCTTCCAGTTGTTCCCTAAGGTCTATAAATGTTTGTTTAAACCCTGATTTTCTATTCGAAAATCTTAAGGGTTTTTTTTTTTTAAATAGGAAAAATTATGTGTTAAAAAATTTAAATTTAGGCTGGGCGTGGTGGCTCATGCCTGTAATCCCAGCACTCTGGGAGGCCAAGGCGGGTGGATCACAAGGTCAGGAGATCGAGACCATCCTGGCTAACATGGTGAAACCCCGTCTCTACTAAAAACACAAAAAATTAGCTGGGTGTGGTGGTGGGCGCCTGTAATCCCAGCTACTCGAGAGGCTGAGGCAGGAGAATGGCGTGAATCCGGGAGGTGGAGGTTGCAGTGAGCCGAGATCATGCCACTGCACTCCAGCCTGGGCAACAGAGCAAGACTCTGTCTCAAAAAAAAAAAATTAAATTTAAAATATGTGCTTTAAGTAATTGGGGGTAGTATTAGCATTTTGAAAAATAGAAACATACTCTTATGAAATGAAGCTGAGAATGGTTTAAATTGCCTCAGCTAATAAGACAGGAACAGTTATCTCAAATACGTATAAAAGACTTTTTTTCTTTTCATCGGAAAGAATCAGAATGATAGAAATCTGATGTGGGTATGCTGCCATATGGGAAAAAGACTGTGCCACTAACAATTTTTTGACAGTGACCCTGATGGAACTGATCAGAATTGATATATAAGTGGGAGAAGATTCTATTCAATTATGAATAGATGAAACCAACTATTTATAAAATGACTAGGATCATGATGGTCTCTTGAAACTGGGACAGGATTCTATAAATTGGCTAAGAACAAGGAAACTATAAATATTGCCTTTGTTACTTGCTTCTTTACTTGCCAGCCCTTTAGTGGACCAGTTGTGAGAGGGGCCCCTCATGGAATGAGGTGTGGTTGCAGTGATGTTTCTTGCTGAAACTGTAGATCATTGACAGACAAAGGTTCACATGTACTATTGACACCTTAGCCAAAGAGAGTTTCGCAGAATGTTCAAGCACAAGGACTAAGGATGCAGAAAGTAACTAATGGGGATAAGACTACCACTCAGTTGTATAAGGAACTTTTATCAGCAAATCTTGGTAATCTTGACTATCTCAATATACTTTTCTCAACTCAGACAATTCCTTTCCCTCTATTCAGTTATTTTTTTTTTTTTTTTGAGACGGAGTCTCGCTCTATTGCCAGGCTGGAGTGCAGTGGCATGATCTCGGCTCACTGCAACCTCCGCCTCCCAGGTTCAAGCAATTCTCCTGCCTCAACCTCCCGAGTAGCTGGGATTACAGGCGCATGCCACCATGCCCGGCTAATTTTTGTATTTTTAGTGGAGGTGGGGTTTCGCCATGTTGCCCAGGCTGGTCTCGAACTCCTGGCCTCAGGTGATCCACCCACCTCGGCCTCCCAAAGTGCTGGGATCACAGGCAATGAGCCACCCCACCCAGCCCTATTCAGTTAGTTTTTATTCAGTTAGTTGATTTAGCTGTACACTAGGATACCACAACTCACTGTAATATGCTCAGACTCAGGGATTCCATAGTTGGTTCTCCATTCTGTTACCTTTTGAGCTTGTGTATTGGGAGGATCCATTTCTAAAATGATTTTCCATTTATTGTTGATTTTAAGACCAAAATGATTGTAACTTTTACTTGCTATTCTGTGTTTGATTTTTTTAAATTATGGTAAGGCGGCCGGGCACAGTGGCTCACACCTGTAATCCCAGCACTTTGGGAGGCCGAAGTGGGTGAGTCATCTGATGTCAAGAGTTCGAGACCAGCCTGGCCAACATGGCGAAATCCTGTCTCTACTAAAAATACAAGATACTAGCTGAGCGTGGTGGCAGGCACCTGTAATCCCAGCTACTCAGGAGGCTTAGGCAGGAGAATCGCTGGAACCCGGCAGGCGGAGGTTGCAGTGAGCCGAGATCACGCCACTGCACTCTAGCCTGGGCGACAGAGTGAGACTCCGTCTCAAAGAAAAAAAAAATTATGGTAAGGCTATATTTTGTCTTCCTAAACATGCTGAAGAATTATCATATCAGTTTTCTATAGTGAAGGACATGCATTAGTTTCCCAGGGCTGCCATAACAAAGCATCAAAAACTGGGTGGCTTAAACAATGGAAATTTATTGTTTCACAGTTCTGGAGGCTACCAGCCTAAGATCAAGGAGTCACCTGGGTTGGTTGCCTCCGGAAGCTCTGAGGGAGAATCCATTCCTTGCCTCTCTCCTTGCTTTTGGTGGTTGCTGGCAATCCTTGGCTTACGGATACATCACTCCAATCTCTGCCTCAGAGAGAATCCTGTGATTCTCTCTGTGTCCTGTGTCGTCATATGGCCTTATAAAGATAACCAGTCATTGGATTTAAGGCCCACCCTAATCCAATATGACCTCATCTTAATTCGATTATATCTGCAAAGACCCTGTTTCCAGATAAGGTCAAATTCACAGGTCCTGGGGGTTAGAATTTCAAGATACCTTTTTGAGGACACAATTTAACACACAATGGTATAATTTTAGAATTTTGATTTTGCTTGTTTCATCTTTCCTAAATTAGTTTTTTAAAATTGTCTCTCCTATAACTCGTCTTAAAAATGTGAGAACAAGAGGTGACTATAAAGCATCATTATTAAACCTTAGATATGTGTTCAATCAAGTATTCCTATTTTACTTATAATCTTATAAAAGAGCAGTGCTCCAAATTTACCCTAATGATTCACTGATATTCAACATGAAAACTCACTGTAGTAATGAGTTGGGTCCTCAGATCAGGAAAATATATATATGGTTTTTAAAATTTATAATTACTAAATCAACCAATAACATTTATAATTTTAAATATATTCAATAAATATCTAATGAATACTTTCTGTGTACAAGAAACTGTACTAAAACTTTTATGATATATGAGGATGAGTGAGATACCTTATCTGTCTTCAAGTAGGATAACTAAATACAAAAATAATGATACAAGATAGTCTATCATAACATGACTATAGATACACATAAGAAAAGACACTTTTACTGTAAAAATAGGATATAAAGATAATACTGAGATCATGTAATCTTAGTATTCAGGGATTTTAGAAGTCTTTGAATCTACCTCTCAATGCAGAAATCCTTTTAAGAATTCCAGACAGGTTATTTTTTAGCCTTAGTTTGAAATCTTGTAAGAATGAATGGACTCTGTCACAAGACAGTTCATTGTATTGTTGGACAGCTCTAATATTTAGAAGTCTCTAACATTAAAAGGGGGGACGAGTGTAGAGTTTGTATTTAGGTGGCCTGTTTCATTGGCTCTTTAGAATTGAGACAAATCAAATGAGCTATTAAAAGCACATGAGTTAAGGTTCTAATTCTGCATTAATCTTTGTCCCTACTCCTGGAATTATTAGTACTCCCACTACAGGATATATTTAATCTCATCTCCTAAATGAATTTTGAAAATTCACCTAGAAGCAGCTATATATAAATATCCAAGATGAAAATGCATGTATGATACTTAGGTATCTGTGGGGAAAACTAATTACAATTTGCCTGAAGTGTTTTTAAATATTTTAGATCTTAAAAGTCGAGCTTGAAAAATCTATCATATAGGTAGACTTCACTGTTGGATAGTTACAATTGTGCATTTAGAAAAGGTCAGGGAACCATAAGTACCCCAGCAAATACGTAACTTCGTTTTCCTGAAATTCCGTAATGTCTCGCAGATTTCTTACAATGTAGTTCTTAACCCAAGGGTAAACAAGATTGATTTCCACAAGTGTCTATAACGTATAGGTGGAGAGAATCATACATCATATAGGAATCCCGGAAACTTGCTCAACCCCCTTACTAAAGGGAGACTTGATGACCATGGTCTCTCAGAAGAAATGCATTAAATGAATACAGTCATTAACTAAATCCTATAAGTTGTCCAACAGCTACATATGTGCAGTTGGAGATTTCTGTGGCTTTACTGACAGCAAAGTAAATCAGTAACATAAATGCTCATGTCAGCCTTTTGGGAGAGTGACCAAACTACATTATTAGTAAGTATAGGAGTCAGGAGATCTGACTTGTAGCTCCAGTTCTGCCACTAGCTATGTGGGTCTTTGGGCAGGTCACTTCACTGCTCTGGGCTTCAGGAATCCAATATGTAAAACAGATCAGACTAGTTATTTATAAGGTCCCTTCTGCCTCTAAAAATTTTATGGATTCTCTGAAAACATCTGCCTTCATCTTTGCTAGTATGACAGTAAAAGTCATGGTGGCATTTAAAATATTTAGGAAATTAGAGAGCTTTATACCTAATATTTTTATTCTTTCTGGCAACAAGAAACTCATTTTACTTAGCTTCATCAATAGTTTCCTCTCTTTTCTGAATTATGAATGATTTATGATGAAATATGGAAAGCTAATTTCCCCCTGGTTTCTTGTTTTGTGTGAATAAATGATCCTCTCAGGATTTCCATATTAATAACAAGTTCCCCCTGACACAGCACTCACCATAAAATTTTCATTGTACTGTAACAACAACTTGAGACAAAACAAAGATACGCTTGGTATGTTTGTTTCAGAGAAGCAAGAGAGACATGGCCAAAAGCTACATCAACTATAAAAACATCATCCCAATACAAATTCAGAAGTGCTCAATTCACACTAAAAAGCAGACTACCAGTAAAAGAGCTTTTTCTTTTTCCTTGATAATTATTATATGGCAATAAGAAAAGCCTTCTGACGTTAAGTTGGTACGTTAAGTTGGTTTATTTCTTGGCATGGCTCTTGTGCTTGGTAACTCTGCATTGAACACCAACAAAAACAGACAAACTTGAAAGTTGCAAGTAGCTGGCTTGTGACTTTGTTCTGAGAAAGGAAATACTTTAAAATTACATTATCCAGCAGAGGAACCTAATTATACTTTCCATTTCTAGTCTCCCTCTTCTGAGAGGAAGGGTTTAGTTTGCTTCCTTAACTCGACTTACATTAAACTCTATAAGAGTGGGGTCTTTGGAAAGGATGGTACTGAGGCCAGCATGGTAGGGCTGTGAAGGAAGAAGGAAGTTCAGCTAAAACTTCAAATTTTTTTTTTTTTTAACAGAGTCTAGCTGTGTCACCCAGGCTGGAGTGCAGTGGTGTGGTTTCAGTTCACTGCAGCTTCCACCTCCCAGTTCAAGCGATTCTTGTGCTTCAGTCTTCTGAGTGGGACTACAGACGCATGCCACCATGCTCATTTATTCTTTTGTATTTTTAGTAGAGACAGGGTTTCTCCATGTTAGCTAGGCTGGTTTCAAACTCCTGGCCTCAAGTGATCTGCCTGCCTTGGCCTCCCAAAGTACTGGAATTACAGGCGGGAGCCACCGCACCTGGACCCTTCAACTTGATTTGGAATACACCCATGCCACATTGATTAGCAGAAATTTTTAAAATTTTAAATAATATACAAGGCTGTTGAGAGTGGGGAAAGTGGTGTTTGAATTTACTGTGGTGGAGTCCTATTGTCCTTTAATGAGGAAGTTTGGTAGTGTGTATCAAAAGCCTTCAAAAAGTGCATCTCTTTGGGGATAGCAATTATAGGAATTTTTCTTAGGGAAAAATACGGGATAGGTTGAAAAAGATATTTATTGTAATGTTATTTGTAAATGTGAAAAAATCAATTATGAAAAAAAACTTACTGTCTTCAACAAGTGGTGCTGGGGCAACTGAGTAGTCACATGTAAAATAATGAAATTGGGCCATGAAAAGGAATGAAGTCTTGACACATGTTGCAACATGCATGAAGCACGAAACATTATCCTAAGTGAAATAAGTCTGACACAAACAGGATAAATATTATTTCACTTATATGAAATATTTAGAATAGACAAATTCATAAGGACAAAAAATAGATTACAGGTTACCAGGGACTAGAGGGAGGGAGGAATGGGGAGTTATTAACGGGTACAGAGTTTCTGTTTGGGGTGATAAAAAAAGGTTTGGGCTGGGCACAGTGGCTCACGCCTATAATCCCAGCACTTTGGGAGGCTGAGGCGGGCGGATCACAAGGTCAGGAGTTGGAGACCAGCCTGGCCAATATGGTGAAACCCTTTCTCTATTAAAAATACAAAAATTAGCCGGGTGTGGTGGTGGGTGCCTGTAGTCCCAGCTACTCAAGAGGCTGAGGCAGGAGAATCGCTTGAACCCAGGAGGTGAAGGTTGCAGTGAGCCGAGATGGCGCCACTGCACTCCAGCCTGGGAGACAGAGCGAGAACCTGTTTCAAAAAAAAAAAGGAAATAGTAGTGATGGCTGCACAACATTGTGAATGTAATTAAGGCTACTGAATTGTATACCTAAGCATGGTTAAAATAGTAAGTTTTATGTTAAAAAACCAACAACTAATGTGTAGTTACACTAAGATCAGTTAAATTCGCATTTCTCAGGGTGCTTTTTATTAGGTTGGTGCAAAAGTAGTTGCGGTTTTTGCCTTTAAAAGTAAAGGTTTGCTCTCTACTAAAAATACAAAAATAATTAGCCGGGCGCAGTGGCAGGTGCCTGTAGTCCCAGCTACTAGGGAGGCTGAGGCAGGAGAATGGGGTGAACCCAGGAGGCGGAGCTTGCAGTGAGCCGAGATAGCGCCATTGCCCTCCAGCCTGGGCAACACAGCGAGACTCCGCCTCAAAAAAAAAAAAAAAAAAAAGTAAAGGTTTGCTTTTAAAGGCAAAAACCGCAATTACTTTTGCACCAACCTAATAAAATGCGAATAAGTACACATATCCTGAAGAATTGAAGAGGAAGTCCAGGGGAAGTCCATGGTCAAGTAAGTTTGGAAAATTCAGTTGACTTGTTTGTTTAACATTCTGAAAGCCCAAGAAAGAGGATGTGGTATGAAGCATTTTCAAACTGTTTAACCCACATTCTCTTGTTAAGGGACAGCTTGTGGGATTGATGTTATATAGAATACCCTTTGGGAAACATTGGGTTAAAATAGATTGCAGTACATTCATTCCATGGAAATCTTGGCAACAATGAAGAATGATGGCATAGTCATATATCACTTGACATGGAAAGATGTTTACACTAGATTGTAAAGTTAAAAAGCAGTGTGATTAATGGGATCTCGTTTTTGTTTTTTTGTTTTATTGGCTGTTTTTTTTTTTTTTTTTTTTTTTTTGAGACAGAGTTTCACCCTTGTCACCCAGGCTGTAGTGCAATGGCATGATCTCAGCTCACTGCAACCTCTGCCTCCTGGGTTCAAGCGATTCTCCTACCTCAGCCTCCCGAGTAGCTGGACTACAAGCACCCGCCACCAAACCCGGCTAATTTTTGTATTTTTAGTAGAGACAGGGTTTCACTGTGTTGGCCAGGCTGGTCTCCAACTCCTGACTTCAGGTGATCTGCCCGCCTCAGCCTCCCAAAGTGCTGGGATTACAGGCGTGAGCCACCACACATTGCCTCATTTTTGTTTTTAAGAAGTGTATGTGTCTATATATGTTATGTAGATATATAACAGAAAAAAATTCTGTAAGCTTATATGCCAAAAACTTACAGTTTCTAGGAGGTAGGAAAGTTGATGGTTTTTATTTTTATTTGCTTTTCTCTTTGCCTTGTCTGTACTTTCAGATTTTTCCACATGGACTGTCTATTACTTGTGTAATCAAGAAACAATAGAAGTTAAATATATTTTAGAAACTCATATGCAGTTATTAATTTTGTAAGAGATGGGGTGAGAGGATCCAGAATTTTGCCTCTATTTAAGCTTTTATTGAATTAAAGTCTAAGAGTCTTTCACTGTTGGAAAGCTCTACTCATTTAAACATTCTTTCTGATATGGAACCAAAATCTACCTTCCATCCTTTGGTCCTAATTTGTCCTAGGGAATGCCACAAAATAAGCAAAACCCATCTCCTCTCCAATAGATGGACTTTCAGATATTTGGCAATGGCTATCATGTCTCCATAAATCTTTCTTCCTCTAGATTTTCCATTCCAGTCTTTTTTTCTTTGAGATAGTTTCCAGACCTTGATACTATCCCATTGGCTTCTGGACATTTTCCAGTTTATCAATATGTTTAAAGTGTGGCACTCAGAAATGACCACAACACTCCACCCTTTTTCTACATTTCATTCTCAGTTTCTATAAATTGTTGTGTTAGAGTTCTCTGACTAAAAAGTAATTTCGGAATACTTCCCAGTTCAGTGTGACTGTACTCTGAATCCTATCCTATGATTATGCAGAAGGAGCAGGACTGAAATAATAAAAAAGAAAGAAAAATAATAATGAAAAAATTAAGATTATATGAGAGACACTCAATTATCTATCCCTCCATCTTTTAATTTCTAAGGTTATATAGATGGATAAAGCTTTCCAGATCAATTTCTCATCCAGCCTCCTGCAATTATTAAAACATTAGTAGAACTTTTTACCAAACATTGAAAAAAAAATGAGAGAGCTTCTCTACTGATGGGGAAGGCAAAGGATTCTCTGTAGCTTGGACAAGGAATTTGAAGAATCTCTTGTCCTATACCATTTTCTACTCTTTGTCCCAGTCGTTGGTACCAGTTTTTCTGGCTTTTGATCAACATTAGAGCTGAGTTAGACAAGGTCAAGCTGCATGCAGATTGATTGGCCTCTCAACTGAGAGGCACCCCACAAGATGATAGTGAAAGGCCGGGGTTCATGGTGATGTGTAGAATATCATTTCTTGTCCTTGGCATGTTCTCAGCTCTCCTGCTAAACCCAGTGTACACCCTGATCTTCTTACCAGCCTAATGAGTCCTTTGCTTTTTATTCTTTTTGCCATTCCTCCTACATAGTAGGCACTTGTTATTAAAGTGTGATAAATATATGCACCAGCTCCAAATAATACTGAGCCCAACGACTTCCACCATGCATATGGGCCTGTGTGCTTAGTTTTTCAAAAGAGTACTTGCTTAATTGTAGGTACTGCATCTTCGTACACAGGATGCTTTATATTTCATGCTTGCTAAGCAGAAATAACTTTAAATCTTCAATTTTGAAGTTTTATATTTATGCAGCTTTTATTTTATTTTTATTTTTATTTTTTATTTTTGAGACAGTCTCACTCACTTTGTTGCCCAGGCTCGAGTGCATTGTCATGATCTCGGCTCACTGCAACCTCTGCCTCCTCAGTTCAAGTGATTCTCCTGCCTCAGCTTCCCAAGTAGCTGGGATTAATTTTTGTATTTTTTAATAGAGACAGGGTTTCACATGTTGGCCAGGCTGGTCTTGAACTCCTGAGCTCAAGTGATCCTCCTGCCTTACCCTCCCAAAGTGCTGGGATTACAGGAGTGAGCCATTGTACCCGGCCTTATGCAGCTTTTAAAATCAATTTTATTGAGGTATAATTTACGTAGTACAAATTGCAGCCATTTTAAGCTTACAACTAAGATACAGACCATTTCCTTTGCCACAGAAAATGTCCACTGCCCCTTTGCAGTTAATCCTCCTCCACACTCACTGCTGGCTCCAGGCTACACTGATCTACTTTTCATCACTGTAGATTAGATTTTCTTTTTATAGAACTTCATATATATGTAATCACACAATATGTACTCTTTTGTGTCTGGTTATTTTTGCCTGGAATAATGTCTTTGAGATCCATCTGTGTTGCTTCCTCCATCAGTAGTTCATTACTTTTTATTGCCAAATCATATTTCACTGTATATATGGTACAATTTGTTTATCCATTCATGTGTTGATGGACATTTGGGTTATTTCCAGTTGAGAGTTGTTACTAATAAAGCTGCTATCAACATTTGTGTTTAAGCCTTTGTGTGAACATATATTTTAACTTATCTTGAGTAAATACCTACTAGAATTGCTTTATTATATAGTGAATGCATGCTTAGCTTTATAAGAAATTAGAAGCCTGTTTTCCCAAGTGATTTTACCATTTTATATCCCTACCGGCAGTGCATGTTCATTTATGTAGTTCATATATGTAGCTCTTTTAAACAATGTTTTGATTTTGAGATCCTGATTTTCAAAATAATTTGCTGTGTTAAACGTTGCTTGACAAAAGAAAGACATCAATGAGCGTGAGGGAATATGTTTAAATATGTCTATTTTATTTAAAATGTTGATCTAATTTTTTTTTTTTTTTTTTTTTTTTTTTTTTTGCGACGGAGTCTTGTTCTGTCGCCCAGGCTGGAGTGCAGTGGCACAATCTTGGCTCACTGCAACTTCCGCTTCCCGGTTTCAAGCGATTCTCCTGCCTCAGCCTCCCAAGTAGCTGGGATTACAGGTGCATGCCACCACACCTGGCTGATTTTTGTATTTTTAGTACAGATGGGGTTTCACCATGTTGGCCAGGCTGGTCTCAAACTCCTGACCTCAGGTGATCCACCCGCCTCGACCTCCCAAAGTGCTGGGATTACAGGCGTGAGCCACTGCTTCTGACCAATCAGATTATTTTTGTTTTTAAAGAATTTAATTTATAGATCTTGGGCCTTGGTATTTAACCAGACACAATTATTCATTACTATTTAAAATGATCAGCTAAATGGCATACTTCCTTCAAAAGAAAATCTAATGTGATCTAGAGAATAAACTGACCTTTCTCTAGAGTCTCCTAAAATTCTTAGGAATAGCTTCATATGACATTCTACTTCTTTTATTTAACTTAGAAACTTGTGAAAAAGCATATTCAATTAAAGAAAGGCTGTGACTTGCTGAAGTTCCAGTGATCAGTGACATACTATATATCTAAGTGGCCTCCTGAACTCCCCCACTTACTGACAGGAAGAGAATCTGATTTCATAGATACTTGCCAATGTCCTATTGGTTAGGGGTGGCGGATATCTGGAAAGCCACAAAGCATGGTATCATCCTTTGGATCTTGGTGACAAGAAATGAATAAAAAAGCAAAGCAAAATAAAACAATAGATGTACTTGGTCTATTTCATCATACCAAGATCTAAGGGTTTATAAGAGCACATTGTTACCAAGCAACAAGCTTTTTGCTAATCACACTTTACCAAACTGAAACTCCAGCATAAGGGCCAGGGTTGTCTGAATCTTGTCTGTGGCTCCCCAAATGTGGGCAGGAGAGGGAAGGCATTTGTGTAGTAGATAATGAAGTCCCCCATTCAACAGGGTGTCAGCGAAAGGAATCTGATGTTTCCGTTCCTTAACTGTGAAATCAGGGATAATGTGCTTGCCTTTGGGGATTTCTGTCCTCTCCTAGATGGTCCACACTGAACAGATCCAACATTGTGTTCCTTTGTGTCACAGAGCCTACATAACCCATCACATCTGTGGGCTATGAGGGGTCATTAGGCAATGCCAGCCCTGCACCATCGATCTAACCCCTTCTACTCTTAGCTTTTTAGTTTCCATAAGAAGCTTTTCCTTACCCTCCAATTTCCTCTAAGCGATTTAAAAATATTTATTCTACACATGGGTTCATCTACTCCAATGCTCACATTCCAGGGTTACTACATTATATTGACTTTTTCTTGATTGTAAGTAAGCCTTTCAGGGAACGTGGGTTCGTCTGTGTGACTTCGTGGAATTCTCATTATTCAATGAGAACTAAAACCAGAGAAAGACATATCTCTGGTTCACAGTCTTTTTTTCTTTTTTTTTCTTTTAGACAGGATCTCACTTTGTCACCCAGGCTGGAATACAGTGGTGTGATCTTGGCTCACTGCTGCCTCAACCTCCTAGGTTCAAGTGATCCTCCCACCTCAGCCCCCAAAGTAGCTGGGACTACAGGTGCATGCCACCACTCATGGCTAATTTGTTATTTTTTGTAGAGATGGGGTTTCACCATGTTGCCCAGGCTGGTCTTGAACTCCTGAGCTCAAGTGATCCCTCGGCCTCCCAAAGTGGTAGGATTAACCAGTGTGAGCCACTGCACCTGGCCTGGCTCAAAGTCTTTGACCGAGTAGTTCGGAATCCAATATTATTTCCTATGGATGAAAATGACTTTTTTTTTTAAGATACAAAGATGACTTCTCAGGAAGTCGAATAGCAGTAGTATACTTTGAGAGACTAAGCAGGTTAACAGGACCAAGGTGCTGTCTCTCTAATGATGTATTATTTATTGTCAGTTAGATTCTGCTTCCTCCATAAAAGGACTTGAATTAGAGACAGCTGAAGCTGATAGGGTTCGTCTTTAGTTTCTTTCCACCTTGCTTTCTGCTGCTTCTTTCCCTCCAGCTCCCGACCCCCAACAGCTCAGAATCTACCCTGCTCTGACCTCTTCCAAAAAAGGGCCTATGCTCCCAAGGCACATCATCTTCCCCTCTTCTAATCAAAACCTCCCATCCTAGCAAGGCTGAAATCAATTTGGACATTCTGATTAAAGTTCTTCATAGGAAAATTAAAGTGACTAATAAATTTAACTCTGGGGAGAGGTGTTTTAAAGCAGTAATTTAGTTCTAATCTCAATTGTTGGCATTGGGAAGGCAGTCAGGGAATGCTGCAGCAGGGAGCCTCTGTCCCCTTCCTGTCCCCTCTCCAAGTCTCCCCTAAGCATGACATGGAGTGGGGAGAAGCTAATAGGCTCTTCTCTCCTGTATTCCCATTATTGTCTCCATTTATTTAGGAGGAAACTGAGGTTTGGGAAGGTTAGTCACTTTACCGAAGTTTCTTCCTAAACCAGCGGGGACAATAAAGGTACCTACCTCATAGGGTCATTGTGAAGATGAAATTATCTGCTGCATGTAAAACCCTAAGCTACCTGGAAAATAAGTACATAATTTGGTAAGTGCTTGTTTTTGCTGTTATTTAATAACTGACCTACAAAAGGAAGGGAAGAAGCCAGCGCTAGGTACTCTCCAGTTTCCCTTTCTATGTATTGATTTATTTTTTATTTTTTTATTTTTTGAGATGGAGTCTTGCTCTGTCACCCAGGCTGGAGTGCAGTGGCATGATTTCGGCTCACTGTAACCTCTGCCTCCTGGGTTCAAGCAATTCTCCTGCCTCATCCTCGCGAGTAGCTGGAATTATAGGAGCATGCCATCACGCCCGGCTAATTTTTGTATTTTTTTAAGTAGAGATGAGTTTTCGCTATGTTGGCCAGGCTGGTCTTGAAGTCCTGACCTCAAGTGATCCACCTGCCTCAGCCTCCCAAAGTGCTGGGATTACGTGTGTGAGCCACCGCACCCGGTCTCACTCTGCTGCCCAGGCTGGAGTGCAGTGGCACAATCACAGCTCACTGCAGCCTTGACTTCCTGGGCTCAAGTAACCCTCTCACCTCAGCCTCCCAAGTAGCTGGGACCACAGGTTCATGCCACCATGCCTGCCTAATTAAAAAGAAAAATTGTGTGTGTAGAGATGGGGTCTCCCTATGTTGCCCAGGCTGGTCTTGAATTTCTGGGCTCAAGTGATCCTCTTGCCTCGGCCCCCTCTAGAAAGGTCTTCCCTTTCTAGACATTTGTGACAGCAATCCTGGGTTTCCATTTATGCTAGTCTTGTGAAGTTTCCTTTGAAATAAATCTAAGTAGGGGAGGTAAGCTGATTTAAGGAGAATAATTAGATTATCAGGTATGTGGATTGTGGCAAGTTGGTGATAAGTATAAGTGACGCCTACTTCTTCATCGTAGAGTATGTTCAAAGTCCACAATGGGGTAGCCACTGTACTTCATATCGCAACTCTCAGCACTCCTGATCCCCTTTGGCCTGCTGTACTTTTCCTTTTCTCTGTAGAACTTATCACCTTCTAACATTCCATATATTGTTTGCCACTCTCTGCCAGAACGTAAGCTCCCCCAGGGTAGGAATCTTCTGTTTTTGTTCAGTAAGTGAACAAAGTATCTAAAACAGTACCTGGTCTGTAGTAGGTGGTCAATAAAGATTTGGTGACTGACTGAATAAATGACAGTGACATTCACGGTCCTTCATGATTTGGTCCCACTATATTTTCCTCAACTCTTGCCATTCTCACCTCTGTTAGTCATCAATACTAGCAGTTTCCCATGCACATCATTTGAGCCTCCACCTCTGTGCCCTTACTCATACTCTTTCCTCTCCTCTGGATAAATAATCGTGGATCTATGCAAAGATCCAGTTATAAGAATGTTCTTCATGGTCTGGGTTTGTATCAGTTAAAAATGTGAAACAGCCTCATTACTTCTTTGTAAGTTAAAGAAATCATAGTAACTTGCACTTGATGGAGGCAATTTGACTACATCTATCAAAATTACAAATGCACATAGCCTTTGGCCCAGAAATTCTGCTTTTAGGAGTTTATCCCACAGATATACTTGCTCTTGTGCCAAATGAATGTGTGTTGGTGAGTCACTGCAGTGCTTTAGTCACTCCTATTAGACACTGCAGTGACAGAACTCATTACATTCTCATGTAGAGCTATATTTGTTGACGTGGGAAGATCGTAACAGCTAACGTTAATTCAACTTGCTATGTGTCACTGTGATAAGTGTTTTTCTATATTTTTATCTCGAGTAATCCTCATAACAACCCTGTGAGGTAGTTACTATAATAGTCCTCACTTTACACAGGAGGAAATGGACTCACTCAAAGAAGTGCATTTACTTAACCAGTATTTATACTATGGTCCAATTTTGTAAAAAATACGTAAATGTATATATATATATATATATATATATATATATATATATATATATGCATATAAAAAGATTGAAAAGAAATACATGAATATGTCAATAGTTGGATGGTGGCATTGTGAATAATTTTGATTTTCTCCTTTTCACTTGTCAGTATTTCAGATTTTACTATTAAATTTGGGGGCCAACATGGAAGGAGGAAGTAAAGCCAGGAGCCACATGAATTGCTAAATTTTAAAAGTCCAGGCCAGGCGCGGTGGCTCACGCCTGTAATCCCAGCACTTTGGGAGGCCGAGGCGGGTGGATCACCTGAGGTCAGGAGTTCAAGACCAGCCTGACCAACATGGAGAAACCCTGTCTCTACTAAAAATACATAATTAGCCGGGCGTGGTGGTGCATGTCTGTAATCCCAGCTACTCAGGAGGCTGAGGAAGGAGAATCGCTTGAACCCAGGAGGTGGAGGTTGTGGTGAGCTGAGATCACGCCACTGCACTCCAGCCTGGGCAACAAGAGCGAAACTCCATCACAAAAAAAGAGTCTGGTGGTGATGTGGAACAATGACACAGATATGAGGGAAGTGTTTTTAGGCTGAGAGGAAAAAACTAGTGAGGAGGAAGAGCTTGCCCAAAGGGAAAGAGGATGGCTTCTGGGGCCGAGTGTAGGAGAAAGCAAGAGAATATAGTGCCAAGGACACAACTGGAAGGGGTAACCTTGAGGAGGAAGTACCTCCTTCTCATGAAGGTGGTGTGGGTGGATGAACAGGCATGGGTGAATGTGCAGAGAAGTGGGGGAAAGTGAGGTGAAGAGGGGGACATTGAAGGAGTTCCTGCTTGATAACCTATGTCCTGTCATTGAAATCCAAAGCCAGGCCCAGTACCAAGGGGTCTGGCACAAGGATGGGGTAGGGGATATGAGGAGAGGGAGAGGAGTTGGAACAATTGCTGAGAGAAATTTGATATATAAAAGGACTGCCTTGCAGCCCTTGGGGCCCAGCTGAGGCTGGCTGGCCTGGCTTTGTAGTGGAGCCAACTTCATGACCTTCTCCAGCAACAGCTAGCCGCCTGGGAGCAGGCAATGGAGAGAATGTATGGTGGGGCTTTCACAGGGCCAGGGATTGGCAGAGCAGGTGCTGCCGAAGGTCACGGGGAGAGTGAGTCCGGGAGATCAACGCTAGCAGAGCTAAAATGGCCGATGGTGGGGCTGACTTGGAAAGAGGAGAGGAAGGCAGGAGGATGCTGATGGTCTCTGGAAAAGAAGAGAGGAGGAAGGATAGGCTGGTGGGTGTGGGGCCCAAAATGTGGTTGAGGGAGACCAATAGGAGGCTAAGTTCGGAGGGGCTTTTCTAAATTTGAGATGTGGAAGTGGTCCCTTGACCCTTGGAGTAAGAGGAAAGGAGCAGCAAGGAAACTGTGCATAATGAAAGGGTGTAGACAGCATTCAAACAGCTCTTACCTTTTGGAGGCCACTGGGCAACTGCTATCATAATTACAAATGCACACCCCCTTCTATCCAGCAATTCCATTCTGAGGAATTTTTCCTACAGATATACTTACTTGCTTTTGTGCAAGATGAATGTATAAGGCAAATCACTGCAGTATTGTCTGTAATGGCAACAGGTCGGAAACTGCCTAAAAGTCCATCAGTAGTAATTTGATTAGTTAAATAAATTATGCTTCATAAAATGGAATGCTAGGTAGCTGTTAAAAAGGAGGAAGATCTTTATGTACTGATATGGAATGATCTCCAGAATATATTGTTAAATGGAAGAAGCAAGGTGCAGAACACTGTGAGTAGTTTATAATCTCTTTACTAGCATATGCATAAAACATCTCTGGAAGGATCCATAAAAAAACTGTTGCTGGGTGCAGTGGCTCATGCCTGTAATCCAAGGGCACTGGGAGGCTGAGGCGGGAGGATCTCTTGAGCCCAGGAGTTCAAGGATATGGTGACCTATGATCATACCACTGCACTCCAGCCTGAACAACAGAGCAAGACCCTGTTTTTAAACAAAATAATAAAACTGTTACTATTCATTGCCCCTGAGGAGAGAGAGCTGTTGGCAAGTGAGCAGGGGTTGGAAGGGAATTTTCACGTATCCTGTTTTTTTGTACCTTTTGAATTGTGAACCATCTGAATGTATTACTTACTGAGAAAATAATTAACTAAAAACATATATACACGTAATTTGAATCTCTTAATTTTAATACTATGTGTACATATGTAATTCGAATCTCTTTTATAGATATTAAATCATTAAAACAAAAGCACAACAAAAACTTCCACCAGAGATTTCCTTTATATCAGTCAGTTTATTGGAATAATGGGTGGGGATTTGGAGGAAATGAAATTGACCATGTGTCAATAATTGCTGAAGCTGGGTTATGGGTATATGGGGGTTTGTTTTCACTTAAAACACAAAATTGCCATGTTTGTAGATCAAAAATGGTCAAATTTTGGCAATTTCATGTGGCTTAAACTAATGCTGTTGTCATTATTTTTGTAAACTTTTCATAGCACAAAAGTTTAAAAAGAAAATAAAACTCCCACTAGGTCCTTGCTAACAACATCGGTGTACTTTCTCATCCTGGCTCTTGTATCTCATAATTGAATGGAAATTCCCATTCCCACATCAACTTCTGAAACAGCAGTACTGCCTCCCCTATTTCCCTTTATTACGGGACCTGGTACTGTCCTCAGGATTTTTTCTATTAACAACAATCTCTCCCCATCCTGTTGTGTGTTAATTGGCTACTACCTTATCCTTATTGCTGGTAAAGCTCATCCTGTTCTCAAAAAATCACTTCTTTAGTTTCTTATGATCGCTTGACATTCTCTTCCTGCCGTGACATTTATTATTAGCAACTTAAACTAATTTGGGGTCATGCCCTTATCCAGGTTACTTGTATTTATCAATCTGGGGCCTGATACCTCTCGGGCATCCATTATACATCACCGCAAAGGTCATCAGTAAGCACACTTGTGTTCAACCTTTCAGCCCCAAGCTGTTTTGCTGGTGTCTGTGCTTCTTATGTTACCTTAGAGGCTATAACAACCTCAGCCTGGCCTCTGACACCTGCTAATCTGTGCCTTGTTGTCTGTCCTCAGGAGGCAGGTGGCTTCCTCTTGCTGCTTAGAGGTCCAGGCTTGGCTTCTTCCCCCCAACTTCTTGCATGTCTCACTGGCACCCCAAGCTAAATAAGTTATCCCAACTCTAAGCCTCCTCTTTCCCGCCTCTGTAGAGAGCCCCACTGACTCCCTTGCTTGAGAAGTCTGGGTTTAGCGTACCTCCTCTGTGTGCTCACAGCATCCTTCATCACAAGGAATTGTGCTTGCCACTTTGTCTCCCTGCTTCAGACTGTGAGCTAAAGGTAAAGATCATGTCTTGTTCTCCCTTGAATACCTCACACCTAGCACAGCATCAGGCACATCGTTAAATGCTGAAAATAATATATTTTTTAATTTTTAATTTGAAGTACTTTCAACTTACAGAAAATAGTATGCAAAAACAGTAAAAAGAACTTTCACATACCCTTTATCAAGATGCATCTCTTGTAAGCATCTTCTTACAACTGCTTTATCATTCTCTCTTTCTACTCATACGCACACAGACACACATATTTTTTCTAAAACACTTGAGAATAAATCGCAGACGTCATGTTCCTCTTCTCCTTAATACTTCAAACTGTGTTTCCTAAGAACAAAGACAATCTGTTATATAAAGACAGTAGAGTTATGAAATTCAGGAAATATAGCATTATTGCAGTGTACTAATATATAATCTGCCGTCCATATTCAAATTTTAATTGGCCCAATAATGTCCCACATAGCTTTTTTTCATCCATGATCCAGTCTAGGATCACACATTGTATTTAGTTTTTATGTCTCTTAATCTCTTAAGTCTTCTTAAATCTGGAACCGTCCTCAACCTTTCTTTGTCTTTCGTGACATCAACACTTTGGAAGAGTACAGGCCAATTATTTTGTAGAATGTCCCTCAACTTGGGTTTGCCTGATGTGTCCTCATGAGAGCTAGGTTACACATTTTTGGTGGGGGTGAAACATAAAAACGCATGTGATGGTTGGTGATGTTAACCTTGATTCCTTGGTTAAGATGATGTCCGCCAGTTTTTTCCACTGTAAAGATATTATTTTGTTTTTATGCTTAATAACTAACAAATGGGGAGATAGTTTGAGACTATGTAAATATCGCATTTCTCATAAAAATTTCGCTCTCTAGTTTAAGGATCTGTTGATGACTCTTGCCTGAATCAGTTATTACTTTGTTGGTTGCCAAATAGTAATTTTTCAAAATAAGACATATGCACTGATTAAATGAATCAGCTGTCTGTCCTACAGAAGGGATACCTCCTTTGCTAGGATGGCAGCCTCTGGTTGGTTGCAAGAGTAGAGGAGTCTAGGCAGAGACAAGCTGTCAGCCTGGCTCTGAAGCACATGATACAGTATAGCTGGGTATATTAGTCCATTCTCACGCTGCTAATAAAGACATACATACCCGAGACTGGGTAATTTATAAAGGACAGAGGTTTAACTGACTCACAGTTCAGCATGGCTGGGGAGGCCTCAGGAAACTTAACAATTATGGCAGAAGGGGAAGCAAACACGCCCTTCTTCACATGGTGGCAGGAAGAAGAAGAATGAGCAAAAGGGGGGAAAGCCCCTTATAAAGCCATCAGCTCTCATGAGAACTCACTATCACGAAAACAGCAGCATGGGGGTAATTACCTCCCACCAGGTCCCTCCCACAACACGTGGGGGATTATGGGAACTACAATTCAAGATGAGATTTGTCGGGGGGACACAGCCAAACCATATCACAGAGGTATTCAATCTTTTGGCTTCCCTGGTCTGCATTGGAAGAAGAATTGTCTTGGGCCACACATACAATACATTAACACTAATGATAGCTCATAATGTTTTAAGAAAGTTTGCTAATTTGTATTGGGCCACAAAGCTGTCCTAGACCACATGTGGCCTGCGGGCCACAGGTTGGACTAGCTTGCAGTATAGTTCTTGGAAACCTTAAATGAGGCTGGTTTTCCTGCAAGCCCCTGGCCTTTATCAGGGCCCAGAATGGACCCCCCGGATTTCCCAAGATAGTCTCCATGCTGAGAGCTAGCAGCAGCAGCTGTTTACTCAGCAGTTCCCATGCCTGTGGGTCTCATGCCTGCCTGCTCTTGCTATTTTCCATCAAACTTGAGAACAGAAAGCGTAAAGGAGGGCAACCTTGGCTTCCACCTTGACTTATTTGAAAAATGTGCAATGGCCGGGCACGGTGGCCCACGCCTGTAATCCCAGCACTTTGGGAGGCCAAGCAGGTGGATCACGTGAGGTCAGGAGTTCAAGACCAGCCTGACCAATACGGTGCAACCTTGTCTCTACTAAAAATACAAAATTAGCTGGGCGTGGTGGCAGGCGCCTGTAGTCCCAGCTACTCAGGAGGCTGAGACAGGAAAAATGCTTGAATCCGGAAGGCAGAAGTTGCAGTGAGCTGAGATTAGCCTGGGCAACATTGTGAGACTCCGTTTCAAAAAAAAGAAAAATGTACAATGAAATTCAGAATTCCATGCAAGCTCTTCTGCCATTCTGGTGACCCACACTTTGAGGCTCTTGTATCGAGGCATTGTTTATTATGTGGATTCAAGTGCAGAAAAGGAAGGGGCGTCTGACCACCTGGAGAACAGAGGGAAGGGCTGTGGCTGTTTTGGAACTGTATTGGTTTCCTGGGGCTGCCATAACACAGTGCCACAAACTGGGGGGCTTACAACACAGAAATCTATTCTCTCACAGGTCCAGAAGCTAGTAGTATGAAATCAAGGTGTTGGCAGGGCCGTACTCCCTCTGAAGCTTGTAGAGGAGGATCCTTCCTTGCTTCTTCCAGTTTCTGATAGCCCCGAGCATTCCTTGACTTGTGGCTGCACAACTCCACTCTCTGACTCCATCTTCACATGGCCGCCTCCTCTGTGTGTCTGTGTGTGTCTTCACATGGCATTCTCCTTTATCTGTGTCTGTGTCCAAATTTACCTGTTGTAAGGACACAAGTCATATCAGGCTAGGGCTGACCCTTATGATCTTATCTTAACTGGATTACATCTGCAAAAACCCTATTTCCAAATATGGTCAAATTCACAGGTACTGGAGGTTAGGACTTCAACATTACATTTGTAGGAACGTGGTTCATTTCATAATGGGACCTTATCTGAAATCCAACCCACTTGAGAACACAAAGTGGAGTGCTATTCTCTGTAACACGTAGCCCAGCACAGCATAACTCTCTTTGTTTCTCCTGCTCACTCTGGTTTTGGTTGGCTTGACAACATGTGAGGAAGGAAAATGAGACAGGCAGAACATGTTCAGCCCCCTTGAAATAGACTTAGGACATAATTTTCAAGTGATCACAAGCTATTCATGTAACCATTACATAGAGGACAATAATAGAGAGCAAGCACAGTCTGCAGAGCTCTCGCCCCTGCATTCCCTCATATAATTCTAATAATTACTTTATGATATAAATATATCTGTCGCCATTTGGCAGATGGGGAGCATGAGACCCAGAGAGATGAAGTGATTCCCGCAGGTCACACAGCTACAAATGTAGTAAATTCCATATGGGGCAGGATCAGGTCTGTTATGCATAGAGCCTAGCCCCATGTTAGGCATTCAGTAAGTGTTTTTTGGCTGAATGAGTGAATCTGGGACTCCAGCTCTGGTCTTCATTTCCTGATCCATTACTCTTTCCATTGGACCTCACAAATGACTACTGACTGAGGTATGGTCCCAAGACAGTGATTAGGTATGGATGTAACAGGGTCAATTTCAGATTCTTATGTTAGAATTGATAACCTTCTGAATTCTGTGGCAATAAGCATGTCAGTCTGTAATTGCTTCTTGTTCCTACTTCACATCTGCAATAGATCAAGAAGCGATTTTGTCAAGATACTTAAACCATTGGCTTCTAATTTTACTTGAGCTGCATAACTGGTGTCTAAAATTATGTTTGCACTAAAGGCAGGACTTAGCACATGAGTTTTGCTATAACACTGTATCAAGGAAGTAAAGAATTCAGCATGTTGGCCGGGTGTGGTGGCTCATGCCTGTAATCCCAGCACTTTGGGAGGCCGAGGCGGGTGGATCACATGAGGTCAGGAGTTCAAGACCAGCCTGGCCAACATGGTAAAACCCCATCTCTACTAAATAATACAAAAAATTAGCTGGGCGTGGTGGTGGGTGCCTGTAATCCCAGATACTTGGGAGGCTGAGGCAAGAGAATCGCTTGAACCTGGGAGGCAGAGGTCGCAGTAAGCCAAGATCACGCCATTGCACTCCAGCCTGGGCAACAGAGCGAGACTCCATCTCAAAAAAAAAAAAAAAAAAGAATTCAGCATGTTACCCTCATATCACTAAAATGGAACGTTGGCATTCCCTTATGTTCATTTCAGGTCCCCATCAGCATTACTGAGGCAGCCAGGAAAAGTCCATTTAGCCTAGCCAATGAGGAGTCATTAACAAGTTCTTGTGTGCCCAACCCTAGGCTAGATACTGGGTGAGAAAGAAGGGAGGGAAGCTCCGTGAAGGAGCTTACAATCTAGTGAGCGATGTGCCATTCACATAGGAAACAATGAGCAGAGAAAGGAGAAAGCTAATATCTGCTGAGCACCTGTTAGGCGCCAGGCACCTTACGAACCCTGTAAAGCAAGTTTTGCCCCCATTTAACAGGTAAGCAAACTGAGGGGCAAAAACATTTAGACAACTTGCCCAAGATCACACAGCTAGTAAGTGGTAGAACTGGGATTTGACCCTACGCTCCTCTAACTCAAAATAAGAGAATACTGTGAGATGACTTATCGTCAAGTGCTAGGTTGCATGGGCCAAAGAAGATGCAATGGAATAAATGTAGGAAGGCCAAGATGGGGCCTCTGGGAGCTAGGGTGTGTCAGGAATGGGGCAGCCTGCAGCAGATGCTCCCATCCCAAATCCCTTTATGACCTGTGCCCGTTACAACCACCTGTTCCCATCGAAGGGCTCAGGCTTTGTTCATCTCCTCTTCTGGTGTAGTTAGGGAGGCTGGGAGGGAAAGCTGGTTCAGATTTCTACATTCAACTCAAACTGCTACCCTCTCTGAGGCTAGCTTTCAAGTGCCTGATGTCCTGGGCCAATTTCTCTGTGTGTCTCAACCCCAAAAACACAGCTCCTCCTGAGCTGAGAGAAGCCCCTCTGCTTTGTGTGGTGGCCTGGTGCTTCTCATTTCAGAACCACAAGACCCCACACTCTCCTGGCCTTCCCCTCCTTCCTTCCTACCCTTATGCTTCTATTCACATCAAAGGGATGAAAGGAATTTAGCATGTTTCTGCTTTTATTCCGTGGCAGTAAGAAGAGCTGGCTTAGCTGGCTATAGAAGCTTTCCAGTCTGCTCAAGCCATTACTAGTGGAATAGCTCCATCAGAAATATCGGATCCATAGATAAAATAAAAGAAGGGCACATATGTTCTCTGACTTTTTTTTTTCTCCCAGTGGAGAAATTAAGATGGAAAAGTTTGTTTCTAAGTCTGTAGTCCTAGTTCTCAAGAGTCAAAGAGCTATGGTATATGGGGTAGGGGTGGGATGGGACTCTCTTGAAAGAAAAATTGGATAAATGAAGGATTTTGTAGGGCCCTTAAAACAAATGCAGGATTGCCCAGGCATGGTGGCTCATGCTTGTAATCCCAGCACTTTGGGAGGCTGAGGTGGATGGATCACCTGAGGTGAGGAGTTTGAGACCAGCGTGACCAACATAGTAAAACCCCATCTCTACTAAAAATACAAAATTAGATGGGCGTGGTGGCACATGCCTGTAATCCCAGCTACTTGGGAGGCTGAGGTGGGAGAATCACTTAAACCCGGGAGATGGAGGTTGCAGTGAGCCGAGATGGCACCATTGGACTCCAGCCTGGGCAATAAGAGTGAAACTCCATCTAAAAAAGAAAGAAATGCAGGATTGTGCTTGAAGGTTTAACTCTTTAGATTCACAGGAAGTTGCCCTTCAGCTAGTATCCCCCAATGATTACATCTCACATAATTATAGTACAATATAAAGGCCAGAAAATTTGACATAGGTACAATGTGTGTTGGGGGGTTCTATGCCATTTTTGTTTGGTTGGTTTTTGTTTTGCACTAACTGTTCCTTCTATATGCCATTTTATTACATGTATGTATTCGTGGCACCACCATTGCACTCAAGATGCAAAACACTTCCATCACCACAAAGATCTCTCCCATGTACTCCTTTATAGTCACACGCCTGCCCCCCACCATCCCTAACCTCTGATAACCATTGATTTGTTCTCTATCTCTATGATTTTGTACTTTAAAAGGTACAGTTTCTTTAAGAAAATAGATTGGCACCTCTAGTTTTCACATAATCTCAGGCTTGAAGAAGTGGCTTCTCCAGCCCAGACTTGTGTCCCATACCCAAATTCCCTCCACAATATCCCTGCCAAGTGTCCATCCAGACCCTACCACGTGCAAACCAGAACCTCCTCTGGGATTTTAGGAGTAATGAAGAATTTGATATAAACATTTAGAGCAAGGACATTGTTTCCTTCCATAAACCCATTCCATAATTAGCGAAATTCTTACCTTTAGATTAACTACTACAAAATGGTTTCTCACGTGCTGATTTCCCCATTACACACTGTTCTGTCCCAAACAAGCATCTACTTTTTCTGTTCCTTTTACCTAATGAGAGGGATGAGGTTCAAGAAGTCTGGAAGGCTCACAGAAAATTCCAGAAATCCCCTCCTAATTACAGACTAAATAGCCTGGCCTCTAGCAGTAGGCACCCTTCAAATAAATGTGGTTCATGTGTGGAGTTTCATTCCCAGGCTGATTATGAATGTGTTATCTAAATGATATCTATACTTATTGATCCATGAGATCATTTGAACTGGACCCCAATTCCCCAGCACTCTTTTGTGGTTAGGAGAGCTATACTGGACACTCTATTGCCCATCGCAACAACATCAGAAAGTACTGTCAACAAATATAAAGCCAATCCCTCAAGATGGATCCCAAGTGACTAAATTTTTAATGGAATCAAGTAGCCATCTGCTGACTAGAGGTCAGAAAACCCATACTTCTGTTTAACTTTGGGACTTTCAGAGCTCCCCTGAAGCAACCAATCAGAGCTCACCTGTAGCAACCAGTCGGGGCTCATCTGTATCAGCTAATCAGATCTCAGCTGTGTTGACAAATGAGAACTAATCAAATTTGAATCCTTCATTTGCATAAAAGGAATCTGATTGAGAACCTGAACAGGAAGTTTTGCTATAAAACCTGGACCATCCCTTTATTAGAAGGCTGTGTTTCCTCTCCACCCTCTGCCCCCCACCAGTTTATTCACTGGAATAAAGTCTCTTCTTCCAAATTCCTTATGACAGAACTTTTGTTCACAGTAATGACTCAAAGTCATGTTAAGACTGTAAGAGGCTAGCAGAAGTGAAGCCATGGTGATGCCACAGGTAGGATCAATTTGGATCCCCCACCCCCTCTCCCCTGGCCTCTTGACATCTTTTCACTTTGCACAAACTTCACTTGTTCTTCACTTCAGGAGGAGCACCGTAGTCTCCTCAGCTGCATAGCAGCCCATACACAAAGCCAGGCTCAGATCCATTAGGATGTGGTGCTCTTTGGAAGAAGTGACTTCAGGCTGGGCGCCTGAATCCCAGCCTGGCTCAGCCTGTAATCCCAGCACTTTGTGGGGGCCTGAAGCAGGCGGATCACCTGAGGTCAGGAGTTGGAGACCAGCCTGGCCCCATCTCTACTAAAAATACAAAAATTAGCCAGGCTTGGTGGCAGGCACCTGTAAACCCAGCTACTTGGGAGGCTGAGGCAGGAGAATCACTTGAACCAGGAAGGCAGAGGTTGCAGTGAGCCAAGATCGTGCCACTGCATTCCAGCCTGGGTGACAAGAGAGAGACTCCATCACAAAAAAAAAAAAAAAAAAAAAGAAGTGACTTCAAACTAATGACTCCCTTCACAGTCAGCCCCAGAGGCAGCGATCAGGGCAGGCATCTGCCTTTGATCCAGGAGACACTGCAGCCCAGGAAACAAGGCCCCAGTTCCCTACTTTTTGAGTAGAGACCACTGCTTTCCAGAATACTCCTCACTTCCCCTTAGGTGAGGAGAAGATGAGCAGTGAGGGAGGGAAGGGGAGGATGAAGCTGGCTCTGTGCCCCACTCCAAGGGCCACGGGTTTGGGTCTACGCCACAGCCCACAACCAAGGGCCATCATAAGCACAATGAGTGCAGCTTCTTATGTCTCAAGTTTTCTGCCCCATCAAATAACCCACCAGGTGTAATTTTGTAATTTCCAAAGAGAAAAGGTATTTTCAACTAATTTAGTAAACCTGACATGTTCTCAGTTGCCTTGGTTTTTGTAGGAGGTCATTTTTGTGGCTACTGTCGCGCTGTCTTTTTCTTCAACTTATGGGAAGTGGAAAGAATGCAGGGCTGGCACGTGATCTGCATGCTGGTCTTGGCTCTGCATCTTACTCACTGGGAGGCCTTTTTTCAGAGGGCAAGTAACTTCAACTTCAGAGTCTCAGTTTTCTCAGCTGTAAAAGAGAGATAAATAATAACTGCCCTTCCAATCTTACAATGGTGATCATTGAAATAAAATTATGGCTTAGAAAAGTCTCGTGAAGCTTTGGAGGGAAAATACAGTGATTAATACATTATCAAAATACAGTACTAATAGTACCCTATTTTAAAATGTTCTTCAGTGTTTAGAAAAACATTCTTAGAATAACTCTTAAGGTCTTATCTATTTACCCTATATGTTTTTTGGTTTTGTTTTTGCTTATGTTGACTCTATTAATATTGTTCATTACATTTTTTAGTATGAGGGCAAGGTTGGCCATGAAATATTAAATTCATTAGAATGTGGGATAAAATGACCCAAATGGTTATTTACATGGCAGGGGAGATACACTAAGAATTTGATCTCATGTATAAAGACAATTAGCTTTGTTGAGCCAGTAGGTTTACTACTTTTCCATAGTATATTACTGTTTCACAACAGCATATTATGTCCAGGTCATTTGGTTATAAAGTAGAAAGTCAATCATAACCCCATGGAGTCCTATCATCAGGCCAGTTTGTGAACCTCTTCACCTGGTCTTTTTGATTATGAGAGCAGATTGCCCTGAACTGGATCCCTGGAGCTTTGAGCTAAGAACTTCATCAGATTCCTGCTAGAGGCTAATTAATCATCAAATCAGCTCATTGCAAAACCAAGTAGCCATGCTGATCCATTAATGCAAGTCCCCAGAGTCATTAGGGCAGCGAAAGAGAAGGAAATGGCCTAATCTCCTCCCAGGATTAGAAGGGAGAAGTTCCTGAGATCTAATGAGTTCCTGCTAAACTGGGAGTTGTGCTCCAAGAATTATGCTTTTTCTACCTTTTCCAGTAATATTCCTTTCAAAAAGCTACCCAGAAACAAAAGCGCCTGTTGTATTGCCCTGCAGTGCTCAAGCATTTAAGTTTCTCTTCTTGGTGTAAGCAATTCAACACTCATGCAGAGCTACAGGCTAAGGTCACTCAGTGGGTTAGAAAGAGAAATAGCAATCAACTACCTGCCCTTTCTGCCTACATGAAGTCAGACTGATCTGACTGATTTTTTAAAATGCCTTTACCAGTTATGTGGGACTATAGCAAATCTTCTCTTTGTTCTGGAAGAGCATGTGGTTTGCAATTTGGTTCCTATTTGGGTTAACAGTCACTGACAAGAGAGAAGAACTTTGATAATTGCTCTAGGTTTTTTTCTGATTGCTCTGAAATATTTAGCTGTCCAACATGACACCATAATAACTGGCTGAAATGTGAAAAGCCTTCTAGTGGAGCAAGTAGCATGCAAGTAGCTTGCGTGGTAGCAGTTTGGTTTTCTGCTGTTGTTGCTGAGATGACTGGTTGTTTTGGTGTTATGTATACACATACCATCCTGGTTTCTTTTTTTCACTGAGTTGCCCTAAAAGTAAGCTCCTTTATTTTATTTATTTATTTATTTTTGAGACGGAGTTTCGCTCTTGTTGCCCAGTCTGGAGTGCAGTGGTGCAATCTCAGCTCACCGCATCCTCCTCCTCCTGAGTTCAAGCGATTCTCCTGCCTCAGCCTCCCTAGTAGCTGGGATTACAGGCATGCGCCACCAGGCCCGGCTAATTTTTGTATTTTTAATACAGACAAGATTTCACCATGTTGGTCAGGCTGTTCTTGAACTCCTGACCTCAGGTGATCCACCCGCCTCAGCCTCCCAAAGTGCTGGGATTACAGGTGTGAGCCACAGCACCCGGCCAGTAAACTCCCTTTAAAAAAGCGAACTCTTGGCCGGGCACGGTGGCTCACGCCTGTAATCCCAGCACTTTGGGAGGCCGAGGCGGGCAGATCACAAGGTCAGGAGTTTGAGACCAGCCTGGCCAACATGGTGAAACCCTGTCTCTACTAAAAATACAAAAATTAGCTGGGCATGGTGACGGGTGCCTGTAATCCCAGGTACTTGGGAGGCTGAGGCAGGAGAATCACTTGAACCCGGGAGATGGAGGTTGCAGTGAGCTAAGATCGTGCCATTGCACTCCAGCCTGGGCAACAAGAGCAAAACTCTGCCTCAAAAAAAAAAAACAAAAAAACAAAAAACAAAAAACCACGAACTCTCTGAGAGGAAGCATGCTATAAATCATAGACTCTGAAGCCAGACTGACCTAAGTTTATTAGCTGTGGGATCTTGGAAAAGCCAAATAACATCTCTGCACTGTACTTATCTCATTTTGTAAATCTGACATGATGATATCTGCCTTGTGGTCTTGTTGCAAGATTGTTAGGAGGCTGTTTAGAGCCTACTCTGTGCCAGGCAGTCAGTACTTCCTAACTTTCAATACACAGACAGAGCACCTGGGGAATCTTGTTAAACTGCACACCCTGGTTCAGTCAGTCGTGGGTGGAGCCTGAGGCTCTCCATGGCCAGTAAGCTCCCAGGTAAGCCCATGCTGCTGGGCCACGGACCACACATGGAATAGCAAGGGTCTAGATATCATTTGCAAAGTGCCTAACACAGCTAATGCTCAATACTAATGCCTGTTTACCCTGGAATAATTCAATCACTCATTTTAAAGTGGGTGAGAAGTCCCTTTTCCACAAAAGTAATATCAGTCTGCCAATAGCTATGTACTCATATCCTTTACAAAATCCATCTTGGCCCCGCAGGTGGCTCACACCTGTAATCCCAGCACTTTGGGAGGCGGAGGCGGGTGGATCACTTGAGGTCAGGAGTTCGAGACCAGCCTGGCCAATATGGTGAAACCTCATCTCTACTAAAAATGCAAAAATTAGCAGGGCATGGTGGCACGAGCCTGTAATCCCAGCTACTCGGGAGGCTGAGACAGCAGAATCGCTTGAACCCAGGAGGCGGAGGTTGCAGTGAGCCGACATTGTGCCGCTGCACTTCAGCCTGGGCAACAGAGTGAGACTCTGTCTCAAAAAAACAAAACAAACAAAAAACACCAAAATCCATCTCATCACGATTGGCCATGGTTGGTAGTTTCTGAAGGCAGGTGATAGGTACATAGGCAGAGTTCATTTATGTTATTCTATTGACTTTTGTAAATATTCAAAATTTTCCATAAGAAATATTTTAAGGTAAGAAAGAAAACCCCAACAGAGGATTTTTAGGGCATTGAAACTACTACCTGTGATGCTATACTGGTGGGTGCATGTCATTAAACATTTGTCCAAACCCATAGAATATATTACACCAACAGTGAACCCTAATGTAAACTATGGGCTTTGAGTGATCATGATGTGTCAATGTAGGTTCATTGATTGTAACAAATGTACCGGTCTGGTGAGGAATGTTGCTAGTGGGAGAGGCTGTGCATGTGGGGGAGGGAGGATGGAGTATATCTGAACTCTGTACTTTCTGAACAATTTTGCTGTGAACCCAAAACTGCTCTCAAAAATAAAGTCTATTTAAAAAAACACACAAAGAAACAAAAAACATCTGCTCCCTAGCAGCCTGAGAACAGCAAAAGATACAGGTTATCTAGTACAGTGATTAGCCGCAAAAACATGTTTATTAGGAGAGAGGGTGCTTTTGTTTAATAGATTGCATTCCTGGCCGAGTATGATGGCTGACACCTGTAATCCCAGCACTTTGGGAGGCCGAGGTGGGAGGATTGCTTGAACCCAGGAATTCGAGACCAGCCTGACAAAGTGAGACCCCCATCTCTATAAAAAATAATAATAATAAATTAGCCAGGCGTGGTGGTGTGTGCCTGTAATCCCAGCTACTTGGGAGGCTAAGGTGGGAGGATCACTTGAGCCTGGGAGGTTGAGGCTGAAGTGAGCCATGATCACAATACTGCACTGCAGCCTAGGCGACAGAGCAAGGCTCTGTCTCAGACAAAAAAAAAAGAAAGAAGGAGAGAGAGAGAGAAAGAAGGAAAGAAAGAGAAAGAAAGAAAGAGAGAAAAGAAAAAGAAAGAAACCAAATCCATTCCTAACCGTGCCTCCTGTGACTTATGATTGTGCAAAAGTAATTTACTGTGGGATTTCATCTGTGTGTATGCGCGCGCGCCTGTGCCACATTTACATTCTGCTTTCTATTCCAGGGGTTGGCAGTTCTCTTAACATAATCACACCTCACACTTCGTTTTGTCAAGACAGATTTCGCATTGTTTTCTCTACCCTGGTGGACTAAAAAATCTGTCTGTATTCTTACGAAATAATTTCATTTATTCTTTTCACTTTATCAAATCAAGCCTTTCCCCCACCTACCTGGATCACATTCTGAATTGTCTAGCTTATGTGTTTGTTAAGTCAGTGATTCACAAAGCAATCACCCAGCTAATTGGCAAACGTATTTAGTGAGCTGGACATTCCTCACCATCATCTTCTTTGAACTGGACCCAGTTTCTATTAGGCGCTGAAGCTAACATAGCCCATGGCAGGTGTCACTTTGATCTTGTTGACTATCTTTTGATTAACTAAGTGATGGGCAAATCACAGAAAACCTAAATGAACAAAATAAACAGCCAGCTTGCATTTTTGTTCTCTTGGTCATATAAAGCCTCTCCAAACCAGTGTCAATTTATTCCTCCTTTTTCTGCCCATGGCTTACTTAAAGGGTCTTTGATGTGGTAACTGGACAGGCCTCTCTTAGGTGGTCAACTCTTTGTTATTCTGTTTGGTATTTAATCCCGGAGACTAATGTTCTGCTCTGGTATGTTGTTTATCACTTCCAGATTATAGGTGTAGCAAATACTTTCCTAATGAAATAATCACTAACTTGACATTCTGCTTCTAGGATAATGCAGCTAGGCTGGCTGGGCCCCTCCATTTGAATCTTCTAAGATAGCTCTATGGTCCCAGTTCCTCCCACCCCCTAACTTCCTTTAGGTCTAAATTGTTCCTTTTAGGCATGCTTTCTCTAAATGGCAGGGTTTTAGGTACCACTTGAAATCTTCAATCTCTTTCATAATAGTCAAGTTTTGAAACCTTAGCGTCTATTTCCGTGTGTGTGTGGAAACCCTGTAGATATCACCTCTGCAGCTGCTATAGTCCTTCAACTTACTCGTTCAGTGAATGAAAATACCTGGGAGACACTCGTTTCCAGAATCTTTTCTAGAAACTTAAAACTTCACATGCCGACTTTGTACAACTCCTTTTGAAATGAACTCGGGTGGCAGAACTGTGCTGGCCTAACGATTTCGAGGTGGCAGAAACACCCGCAGTGACAGATAATTGCAACTATTGCCATGTCTCTTGCTGTGTTTCCTGTTTGCTAGCTGCCTTCAGGATGAATCATATTTGTTTTCACGAATTACTTCTTTACCTCCTCTCTGACTAAATTTTGTGATACCTGTGGCCCCTTCGCTAGCTTAGTTCTTTCCTCATGAGCCTGTGTTCATCCCCATGAGTCATGGCAGTAAAGTTTTCTTCACAGCAGACAGGAAATAATGGAATACACAACAGCCTCATCTCCCTAGACATTATTTCAAAACAAATCTCACCTTGTGGCACATCCTTGCCTCTTCTTGTGAATCCAATTCCTCTCTGTATGTGAATTAAACTCACCCTTCCAGAGCCAGCTCAAACCCCAGGTCTCTGACTACTCATGATACTATTATTGTTTCTATAGAAAAGAAATAAGAATATACAGGTTGAGCGCCCCTAATCCAAAACTCCAAAGTCTGAAATGCTCCAAACTGAAACTTCTGGAGTGCTGACATGATGCCCCAAGTGGAAAATTCCACACCTGACCTCATGTGATGGGTCACAGTCAAAAGGCAGGTGCACAACAGTTTATTCAATGTCCCCAAGGGAAAAATAAAATTACCTGCTATGTGTATAAGGTATGCATGAAACAAATTTCATGTTTAGAGATGGGGTCCTATCCCCAAGCTATCTCATTATGTATATGCAAGTATCCCCAAATCTGAAAAAATTCCCAAATCCTAAACACTTCTGGTCTCAAGCATTTTGGATGAGGGATACATTTTGGATAAGGGATACTCAACTTGTATATGTTTTGCATAAAGAAACAGAAGTAGCCTGGCCAACATGGCAAAACCCTGTCTCTACTAAAAATACAAAAATTAGCCAGGTGTGGTGGTGCAAATCTGTAATCCCACCTACTCAGGAGGCTGAGGTTGCAGTGAGCCGAGATTGCGCCACTGAACTCCAGCCTGGGTGACAGAGAGAGACCCTGTCTCAAACACACACACACACACACACACACACGTATATTTAAACTAATAAAAGTGGTCACTTGTAAGGGGCTGGGTGCACCGGGAGGGTGAGGAGTGATTTTTCACTTTATATCTATAGTTTTCTACTTTTGAAACATATGATTGTTACCTATTCAAGAAGTTAAATTACAAAGTGAATTAAATCCCTTGGTAAATCAAGCTGATATATTTCACTGTTTCTATTTTTCCTATGTCAGTCACAGAAATATGAGACAACTTTAGGAAATAGGAGAGCTAAAACCTTAAGTTCCTCAAAGATAAGTCAAATAAAATGTTTAAATCAATGTGAAGCTCAGGTCTCCATTTCTGTTTATTTTTTAAAGTAATTTCTGTTCTTTACAATGTGTTATTACACACACACATGTGCACTTGCACACACGTGCACACACAGGACTTGAGATGGAGAAACAAGAATAGCCTCCACACATCATTTTTACAAAGTTCAAAGTAGATTACATTTATGTGCTTTTCATTCATTACACAATGTACAGACATGATCCGTTTAATGACTTAGGCTCCTCACATGGTTAAACAGTGAGGATTTCCTATGGAAGACTAGACATAGAAGTTTTTAGAAGCAGAGACTGTTTTCTGCAAAAACCAACCTCAGGCATACATTTGTGTTTACATATATTCCTTGAGAATACTACAGTAGCAGTGCATAAGTTCATTCTGTAAAAAGATCTGAAAGATGATTTTCAAGAGACTCAATACATTGTGCTTTCAGGTAAAAATCCTTAGACAAAAGATCAGTTACTATGAAAATAACAGTTAAAACTGCATATGTGTTAGAGATCAGAAGAGGCTATAAAGAAATGTAAATAGTTGTGCTTAGGGGACTTTTTTGGCAAAGTTGTCTTAATAATAAATAAAAACTTAAAAAAAAGTCTCAGTGACTGATATAAAATAGACATAGCTATCAAGAGTTTCTTACACTTGGCTTAGAGTTTAAAGGTGAAAAATCATCTCCACATAAATCACCTGGTATCTGGTAATCCCAGTCTGGGTAAGTCAGGCAGGGAGGGGCTTGGAAGAAAAGATAAAGTGATTTTTCCTTCCTATTAACACAAAGCATTAACCAGAGGTAAAGCCAGGGTGAACCAACTAATTAAACAGATGCCTACCTTCCTTTAGAACTCTTAGACCAAAGAGAGAGGTCACCCTACTTCTATTAGGTTTTTTAAAAAAAAACCCCTATGATTCTTGGTGTCTGGACCACAACCTGTTCTGTAATTCACAAGATTAATTAAATATGTCCTCTCTTCTGTGAGACCCTAGGATAAGCATGATCCCTTAGTACTTTATGCTTTGTTTGCCCTCTACACATTAATGGTAAAACACTTATTTTTAGAAACACCATGGCAACCATTTATAATGATAGAGGGCAAGGTATAATTAACATAATAACGCTGATGTTTGTAGCTAGGGAATAAATGTCATTTTAGTTTTAGGCCGGTCAGTTTGCTCTTTTAGTCCTGTAACTTCGAAGCATACATGACCCCTAGCAATCAAAGTGAATTAGAAAAAAAGGTGAGAAAATAACAAATGTTTTAAAGTTTCTTACACAACAGGTATAGATATAAAAAGAATTTCTTCAAATAATTTCCTAGGTGTCACTCAGAAGCATCCTTGCTGTCTGTAAAATAATGTTCTGCAGTCCTTCAAATTAAATTATAATTTAAAATATATATTATACATTTGCAATTATTTGAAATCATTCAATAGTTTGTTGCATGTTAATGGAGTGAAATAGAGATAAAAGGCAGTCCACATTCATATTTTCAAGACAGATTTACTTCAGAAGTCAATTGAAATCCTTGCTCATGTTCTAAGTATGGCCATTGTGATAAGACCTGAAAGAAGAAAAATGGAGAACAGTTAAAGGTATGCACCTAACAGAATCTTTCATTCAATAAGCAATTGTTTGGACCTCAATGAACAAATACAACATAGCACATAGGCAGGCACTCTACCAAGAACCCAAAGTCAATTTGAATTTTGTTGATATCATAAAGAAGAAATCCAATTTATAGCAATGGGCAGTCACTGGAGAGATTTAATTAAATCACTAATGTCTGGCCATAGCAAATCTATCTATCAAACATACCTCCTACTTTATCCAGTCACATCAAACATAATAATAGCAGATGTGCCATTTTGAAGCATGGGTAAAGCCAGTGGACTTTGTTAACAGAAGCACAAAGAGTCTACCTGTATCCCAGGGCCCTAGGGCCACAAAGAGACAGAAGTATGGCATTCCTACTTTGCTTCTCTCTTTTGAAGAGAGAATATATAAAATATAAAATAGTAAGAATATGCTCAGTCCTAAATGAAGGATGATGAAAGTGTGATAAAAAAAAAGTACAGAGAAGGAGGATAATCACATGGGACTGGGGCAGTCAGAAAAGTTGCCCCCAATGATAAAAAGCTGCTTTAAAAGATGGACAGGGGCTAGGCATGGTGGCTCATGCCTGTAATGCCAGCACTTTGGGAGGCCGGGGCAGGTGGATCACACGAGGTCAGGAGTTCAAGACAAGCCTGGCCAACATGGCAAAACCCCGTCTCTACTAAAAATACAAAAATTAGCCGGGTGTGGTGGCAAGCACCTGTAATCCCAGCTACTTGGGAAGCTGAGGCAGGAGAATCCCCTGAACTGGGGAGGCGGAGGTTGCAGTGAGCCGAGATCCAGCCAGCCACTGCCCTCCAGCCTGGGTGACAGAGCAAGACTTTATCTCAAAAAAAAAAAAAAAAAAAGATGGACAGGAAAGAGAGAGAGAACGAGGAGATGGGCAGGCATTTCAGGTGAGGGAATGGCATGAGTAAGGGCCTGGAGAACCGGGCCGCTAGAGGAGCTTTTCCAGAATGAGTGAATAATCTAAAAGGCTTTATGCAGTGATTTACAGAATGAAGTAGCTAGATAAAATTGGCTCAGAGAGGTCTCAGATTGTGGAGAGTCTTAAATGCCAAGCTATGGCACTGAAGGTTATATACTTCATCCTATGGATTATGGGGAACCACTGAAGGTTTCTGACTAGGGGGTGGTTGTGAGAGCAAAAGAGAAATTAATCTGACAACATGATGGATGGTTGGGGGTGGGAATGAATGGGGGAAAGAAATAGGGAGAGAAGGAACACAGACAGAAGGGAGAGAGACAATCAAGATGATTTCAAAATAAAAAAGAGAGAGCGGCCAGGTGTGGTGGCTCACGCCTGTAATCCTAGCACTTTGGGAGGCTGAGTTGGGCGGATCACCTGAGGTCGGGAGTTCGAGACCACCCTGACCAACATGGAGAAACCCCATCTCTACTAAAAATACAAAATTAGCCTGATGTGGTGGTGCATGCCTGTAATCCCAGCTACTCGGGAGGCTGAGGCAGGAGAATAGCTTGAACCTGGGAGGCGGGGCTTGCAGCGAGCCGAGATGGCAACATTGCACTCCAGCCTGGGCAACAAGAGCGAAATTCCGTCTCTAAATAAATAAATAAATAAGAGAAAGCACATATGCCAGGGAATACTGAAAAGAGTTGGCATCTAAGCAAAGGTGAGAGGAGAACATGAGGAAAGTCATTCATCACCAGAACACTAATCCTCGACACATGGAAGGTACGGAATAAATATTTGTTCAATTGAAACAATTAACTCTAAGATTTCAAGCCAGGATGACTGAAATAGTGAATCAACAGGAAATAAGGGAATTAGTTTAAAGAGAAAGGTTCTGAACATGGTGGCTTCAAAAGTAAAGAAAAAATAATAATAAAAGAGAAACGTTCACAATATTAAACAAGGCTGCACTGTTCATCTTTATCACTGTATGTACTTTGTCTGTTTCCCTAGGAGCAATTCCTAAAAGTAGAAATGCTGTATCATGGAATGCATGCGTCTTACATTTTATACATGTTTTATGCCATTGTAAGTCAGCAAAAGGAAAATAATTGAATATAGTATCAGGTACTAGATAAATAAGCTAAAAAGAACTAAATGTGAGTTAAAAAAGTCTTCAAAGGCACCTGACCTCAATATGCTCTTGAAGCATTTCTTTACCTGTTCTTTGGGAAAAAAAAAAAAAATCAAACCACCACCACCCTACCACACACATAAAGCCCTACACATATGTCCCAAATGCATCTTTAAAACCCTTACCTAAGATATAAGCAGCCACTAATTTTTGATTCACACTTAAGTGGAGGTAGAGAGGCACCAGCGATTCCACATCCCCCAGTGTAGGCAGCATCAGGGCTGCAATGCACACCACTCCCAGGAAGACAGTTAGTAAACTAGGTCCTGAGGATACAGCTCTGTTTTCTGTAAAAAGACAAAAATCCCTAAGCTTCCTTCTAAAAACTTTAAGACAAAAGTTCCTTCACAAACACTGGCCACCACAGACCAGTATTCTGATTTTGTCTAACTTCTCCAATTGTTTCCCCATCATTTTTTCCATCTGAGAGTTAACTGCTGGGCTGATGTGGAAGCCCATGTCTTAACTGGTCTGAATCATTGCAGGATGGAATGCTGACGTGGCATTGTGAGGTAGTGAGTTCTTACTGAAAGGTGGTCACCAACTCCCCCGACCATCCCACCCTAGTCAGTAGAAAGTATTCAAGCATGTATCATCGATGTATGCACATTTTAAAATTATATGCACAAGTTCTGTACTGTGTTATGCTTAATATAAAACATACAAATAGATTTTTGGAAGAATGTGCTAAAAATAAATATAAATTGAAGTTCTGATACTTTCTTCCAGTACCCCAGTGGCTTGCCTGTGTATATTCAATTTGAGCCTGCCACACTAGACCTCCACTACCTTTATGAGAATATTTTAAGGAGCTCCCCAGATAGGTTTGATCCTAATAACTGCACATCCCGCTATCAATTTTGAAAATGTTAAGGAACCAAAAGTGTTTCCCTCTGCTCTAACCCATTTATAGTAAAGAAGAAAACAGCAGAAACAGTATCTGGCAAATACGCTAAGAGAAATAAGCCAGTCACAGAAGGACAAATACTGCATGATTCCACTTACACAGGAAATCTAAAATAGTCAAACTCATAGAAGCAGAGAGCAAAATGGGTGGTTGCCAGGGGCTGGAGGAGGAGGATAATGCAAATTGCTAATCAATGGGCATAGGTCTCAATTATGTAAACTGAGTGAGGCCTAGAAATCTACTCGACAATTGTTCCCACATTTAACCAATATTTTATTTACATGAACATTCATTAAGAGAGTAGATCTCATGTTAAATGTTCCTAAAATAAAATTCTAAAAGATTTTTAAAAAAGGCTGGGCACGGCTCACGCCTGTAATCCTAGCACTTTGGGAGGCCAAGGTGGGTGGACCATGAGGTCAGGGGTTTGAGAACAGCCTGGCCAACATGGTGAAACCCCATCTCTACTAAAAATACAAAAATTAGCCGGGTGTGGTGGCACGCACCTGTAGTCCCAGCTACTCAGGAGGCTGAGGGAGAAGAATCGCTTGAACTCGGGAGGTGGAGGTTGCAGTGAGCCTAGACTGCACCATTGTACTTCAGCCTGGGTGACAGAGCAAGACTCTGTCTCAAAAAAACAAAACAAAAAAGATTAAAAATGTTATCAGACCTGCTATTCTACAGTTCTGGCTCTATGTGTATAGTATACATACTCATATTTTTAAGAAACCCAATAACAGCATTTTCTGTCATATGGCTTTTCCCACTACCTTTCCTTTCATTGAAAGGAATAGCCAACAGCAACACAATCTTTGTGTTTCATTAATGAAATAATGCTGTTCATTCTATTATTAAATGGAACTTTTCTAAATTATTAATACCTTAGCTGTTGTGTGGAGTTTAACTGTACTTCATCAGAGCCAGAGAGGTGAAAACAAATTCAAATTTTATAGTAATTATTGTTTGGAATGAAACAATAGCAGAAATACCTAAAAGAAAAACCCCAAGTCTTGTTTCAGTTAATAGAGTACCTTTATAGTTATCTTTGTTGCAAGGATGAATTCTCAAAGAAAACAGTTATTTATGACAAGTACGCCATTCACTGCAAACCCACAAAAGATAATTTCAAATAATTTTTAGTAGAGAACATTTAGTATTTAGAGAAATTTGGAATTTTTAGTATTCGAAAAACATTTGCATAAATGCTTGAAATTTTTCAAAATGGAAAAAGCTTTTTTCCCTAGTACTACAGGATCGTTGTAAAATATGTTATAAAGATACAGAAAACGTAAATGTTCCTCCATAATTCCACCCTCCTAGAGCTAACACTGTTAACAGCTTGGTATGTATCCTTTTAGATTTTACAAATGCCCATATAAACATGTAGAAGAATCTTTTACATAAATAAGGCCATATTATACATACTGTTATATAACTGTTTTTTTTTCCTTACTTAGAAATATATTTGAAGCTCTTTCTATGACAATGTATAAGCATTCATCATTCTATCAGATCCTTGTAAATGTCTGCCTGGCACACTATCTTATGAATATTTATAATTTAATCAATTCCCAATTGATGGACTTTTCGGTTATTTTCAATTTTGTATTATTATAAACAATAATTAAGACCATAATTTTCTGAAGCCAGAGGGCACTAACTCAAACATTATAGCATAGACACAGCAGTTCATTAATAATGTAATTAAGACAAACCCACTAAGATTCAGATGTATCTTTTAAAATGGCTTTTTAATAACCTGAACTCTAGCATTTTATGAAAGTATACTTTGTAGGTTTCCCTTAATTTAACAGTTAAATTTCTGTTGAATGAAAAAAACTCACAAAATATACTCACAAAATGTACTTATGCACATAGGCAAGGTCTGGAAAGTAACATGGAACACTTATATAAGCAGATTTGTTAAGTGTGTGAGATTACAGGTACATTTTCTTATGTTATTGCTATATGTGTTTTATACAATAAACTTAAATTTTTTTCTCGTTTTTACTGACTTTCAATATATTTCAAAATCCAAATTTTTCATAATGAAGCCATCAACCATTTTCCTGCTAAAAGTGAGTCTCACAACACTGCTGCACCTCTAATACTTTAATAATACGCATTTGTTGAAATATTCTCTAAGCTAAGGACTTGTAAAAGTAATGACATTTCAAAGCCTCCCCAAAACAATCTCAATTAATTTTCAACATTTTAGTTCAGAAAAACTTAAAAACCTGAGTTTTCCACATGTTGGAAACTACACATAAATTCCTGTAAATTTAATAGACAGGAGACTAAATCAGTCATCATGATACTCTATTAAAGAAGAAAACTTTACTCAACTTACTTCCAGGTAATTAGGCACATTGGGGTAACTACCCATAAACGGGACATGTTGGCCAGGACTGTGAATGGGGCTCTGCTGTGGTATCACCTTTCCTCTAAACAGCTGTCATAGCCATGAAAACCTTGTAAGCCAAAACAAAACAAAACAAAAAAACCATTCCCACAGACCCTCACCAGACCTGAAGTCCAGCCTTCCTAGCTCAGCCCATTTACAAGTTCATTATGTAACTTCTCTGTGCCAGGCCCTGTGCTAGGTGCTGAGGATATAAAATTACTAGGAAAAGTGCCTGCCTTCATTGAGCTTCCTTACAGGAATGGATTAGATAATTTTTTCCCTCAAAACAGAGATCACCATGTGTTATGCTAGCATCACCTATCCTCATTCATCTGCCTACTCCAATTTTACTATTAGAAAAATTCTTTAATATACTTTAGATACCAAGGTTTGTTAGAAAACTAAAATAAGGCCAGGTGCGGGAGCTCAGGCCTGTAATCCCAGTACTTTAGGAGGCTGAGGCAGGAGGATTGCTTGAGGCTAGGTAAGACGAGCCTGGGCAACATAGCGAGACCCTGGGTGTGGTGACGAGCACCTGTAGTCCCAGCTACTCGGGAGGCTGAGGCAGGAGGATTACTTGAATCCAGGAGTTGGAGGCTGCAGAGAACTATGATGGCACCACTGCACTCTAGCCTGGGCGATAGAGAGAAACCCTTTCTCAAAAAATAAAAAATAAAATAAGACAATACATACTTTAATTATTTAGCCTTTTTAGCATGATCTTCACCTGAATTTTAATAAATTTAAAAATAAAAGGAATAAAGTTCTCCTTACATATATTTACATACACATATACCCCTAAATCTTACTCCTTATTATTCTTGGTTATTAAACCAATCTGTTAAATACAAAACTGAACTTCAAAGACCATTTTAAATTACAAGTGTAACTTCAAAAAACAAATACAAATTAAATGGCCTTCTTTGTACTAGAGGAAGTATTTTAAAAAGGGAATCTTGCATTTCATAACTATGTTAACTTTACAATATTGATCTGATAAAGTGACACTGGACAAAGGTTCTCTTTCAGCTTCAAAAGATGAAAAGCTGGTCCTGTCAGTTGATAATAGTTGCTGAGAATAAAACAATCCACTATAGGTTGGTGCAAAAGTAATTGCGGATTTTGCAATTAAAAGTAATGGCAAAAATCGCAATTGCTTTTGCACCAACCTAATAGCTACTACCTAGTCACTAGTCCTGGTATTACCAGAAAATCTAGATGGTCCCTAATGGACTAGGAAAAAACTCTTGGCTACAGTAAATCAAAGAGGCACTACTCCCTGTTATTGAAATGAACATCCTAAAACAAACAAACTGATACGACTGAATGTAACAGCAAGTAGATTTTTTTTAATCCTTCATAAAATGTTGCAATTTCAAGGACAGCTGCTATCATATTCATGTACCAGTATCACCATCAAAAAGTTTCCAGTTTCCCTGGTTTTCTATGGAAAATTTTATCATCCTCCTATTACAACAGGTTTAGGAGGAGATAATGAGAAGTTAAGAAGACGGGATAATGACGTCCAAAGAGTTGAATATGAGGGTAGTGTCAATGTTGAAAGAATATATCATAACACTTCTGAATATCTAAGCTGGAAGGAAATGAGGGCTGGAGAGGGATTCAATTAATAGCCCACAGGGGATATCATAATCTACTTAGTTTAATTAACTTCAACTTTAATGAGATTTTTTTTTTTTTCAAAATAATATGAACAGTGCACTAAGCTTGGCCTATTGCCAAACACAATCTCTCTCTTCCTTGGAACTAATTAAATGAGAAAGGATATAGGAAAGTCATGGAAACAAAAGTATAGGAACTGCCAAATTGTACTAGCTTCATAAAGTATGGTGCCTGCAGTCTTAGATATATTTATGTTTATGTTTAAATACAGATATATTTAAAAGGCTACAGCAACATCTACCCGCTCCTTACAGCCTGGTCCAGTGAGGGGTATTCCCTCCTCTCAAAGTCCACCTCCAGGCTTCTTGTTCTACTTCAGGTACCTGATTCTCTAGGTGCAGTTTTGAAGTAGTTGACCATGTTTGAAGTGGTAGATGATTTTTCTAGTAATTATTCTTAGCTGCCTGATTATTTTAAAGTTAATAATGTGTAAGACCTCAAAAGGGCTTTAAAAACAACCCAAAACTACCTGGTTGAAACGACTGCTCAAAAAATAAACTTTCAGTTAAATGTTCCTTTAATCTTTTTTCCTCTTCTTCCTTTTGTTGTTCTTTTGCTGATGGGAGAAGAGTAGCAACAACCTCTTTTCTTCCCAAAGCCTTCCTTTGGCTTTGCTCGGAAACTTGGAGACGGAATTTGTCTATTACACCATAGTGACAGGATCGAACATCTCGATGACGAATCACACTGAAAACAGCAAAAATAACAAATGCTGTTTAGATTTCTGGGGGCCGGCCAAACAGAAGGCAGTGAGATATTTTAATATATTAAACAATATTAACTGACTACAACCAAATACTCAAAAACAGAAATTTGCTAAGATGTTAAAAAATCACAGTATAACCCAAAAGAAATGAGTAATTCGGAAACATTGGATGAAAGCACATAATCTAAAACACAGAATAAAAGTCTTAAGCAAAAAAATAACAGGTAAAGAAAATTCCTTTTTGGTCAGGCGCAGTGGCTCACACCTGTAATCCCAGCACTTTGGGAGGTTGGGGCCTGGAGTTTGAGACCAGCCTATGCAACACAGAGACCCCGTCTCTACAAAAAAAATTAAAAATTAACTGGCTTGCTGGTGTGCGTGTAGTCCTAGCTACTTGGGAGGCTGAGGTAGGAAGATCCCTTAAGCCCAAGAGGTTGAGGCTGCACTAAGCTATGATCGCTGCCATAGCAAGAGAGCAAGACTCTGTCTTATTAAAAAAAAAAAAAAAAAAAAAAGAAAGAAAAAAAATTCTCTTTAGCAATCACATTTTTTTTTTTTCTGGATAACTCAGTGCAGCAACATTTACTAAATAGGAATACATGCAATTGTTTATTCCCCACAAACATCTCATAAATTTCTATTGCTACTTACTTATTGTTTAGGCAACAAACCTCGCCCTACACTTAAAATTGAATTCCATGTATGCAGGTAGAAACAAGCAATCAAATAAGTAAGTAATCCACTATTACCAGTGCAACAGAAGGCCAATAATACACCTCTACTTCTCTAAAGAGAAAAGAGTATACAGCACTGTAATTTTATTTTATTTTTTGAGACGGAGTTTCACTTTTGTTGCCCAGGCTGGAGCGCAATGGTGTGGTCTCGGCTCACTGCAACCTCTGCCTCCTGGGTTCAAGTGATTCTCCTGCCTCAGCCTCCCAAGTAGCTGGGATTACAGGCACCTGTCACCACGCCCAGCTATTTTTTTTTTTAATTTTTATTTTTAGTAGAGACGGGGTTTCACCATGTTGGCCAGGCTGGTCTTGAACTCCTGACCTCAGGTGATCCTCCCACCTCAGCCTCCCAAAGTGCTGGGATTACAGGCGTGAGCCACTGCACCCAGCCAAACACTGTAATTCTTATGGGTTTTCTGCAATTCCATTTATTTTATTTTGTTCGTACTAGGGAACACAAAACAATTAGGTCAAAGTAACACATTTATTTGGCAAGAGACTACATTTCTTTGTAATAGCTCTTGCTTACTGTGTACTGAATGAAAATTTTTAAAAATGTGCAAAAACGTTCTCAAAGATACATCATTTTATGGCTTTGAGCTGGTGAAAAAGTATTCAAAAGAAAAGAATTCTGCTTCTCATTCTCACAGAAGATTTAAACAAATACAGTGTACTTGGTAGCTTAAATTAAGGGCTGGTCAATGGATCCATCTGGTCACCACTAGTTCTAAAATAAAAATTAAATATGAACAGCTTGAACAATCATTTATCTGACACTCTAAGATGAAATTATCTGGAAGAGCTCAAATAATATTTTACAGATGAGTGGTTGCACAACTGCTTCCTGTTTATATAGATTAACTTCCAGGCTTTTAGTTGAATCACTTCAGATGAACTTATATTACCCTTGTTCTTAGACTGTAGTATTACATTTTTCCAAATGTCACTATAATAGCAGTATGTTCCAAGGAAAGCTAAATCCCCTATTATAGCTGGAGAAATTTAAAGGAATAAGTCAGAACTTTACCTTTATAAGCATCCCTGGTATGACTAAAACCACAACAATGAGAAAATGTTCATGGAGATACTAACATATACATGAGCTCCAACGTAATAAAATATTATTAAGTATTTGGCCGAATCTCTTAGAAACAATTTCGATAGACAAACTTTCGGCAAAAATTCAAAATATAATAAATGCCTATGTGAGAACAGCTTCAAGAAAATATCTTTTTTTTTCAAGTTAAAAACATAAATATTAACACACTTAAAACGTGTTACCAGGAATTGATCTTGACTTACATATCCACACAACACTGAGGCTTTACTGCACCTGCAGCATCAACGACAACATACTTATTTGGAGTAGTACACAAAACTGAAAGAAAAAGTCACAATGGCCATTAGTGTTTTTTTTTTTTAATTAGTTTCTACAAGTAAAAAATTAGTAGGGACCAGTTAAAAACCCAGAAAATAGAGCTAGGAGACTCACCTTTGAACTTTAAGGCAAACTCATAGGGATTGTACAGTGTCAACACTTGCTTATGTGTTGACTGATCATCTGCATAAAATATGAGCTCCGTGGGGAACACGAAAACAGGAAGATTTCCTTCCACTAACTCTGGTTGTCTTTTTTGTTGATGCATTGGCACTGAATCCCCCTTGCTGCAGTTTCTGTTTTTACAGTCTCAAATCTATTTTGGACTTTTCTTAGATTCAGTTAAAAACTCCAAAGCATTTTGGCAATCTAGAAATAGAAGGAGAAAGCGAGAAGAAAAGTGAATGATCCCAATTTTCATTAATCTATAGCCCCTACACAAAAAGTATATTTAGCATGCATTAAAACAGGCCCCTGAATCGGCCAGGTGCAGTAGCTCATGCCTGTAATCCCAGCACTTTGGGAGGTCGAGGCAGGCATATCACTTGAGGTCAGGAGTTCCAGACCAGCCTGGCTAATGTGGTGAAATGCTGTCTCTACTAAAAATACAAAATACAAAAATGCAAAATCAAAAATACAAAAATTAGCTGGGTGTGGTGACATGCCTGTAGTCTCAGCTACTCAGGAGGCCGAGGCAGGATAATCGCTTGAACCTGGGAGGTAAAGGATGCAGTGACCCGAGATCACACTGCTGCACTCCAGCCTGGGCTACAGAGGGAGACTCCGACTCAAAAAAAGTCCCCAAATCACTTAAACATGGCTTTTGACTTTTTCCCTTGACTTACTTGTATAGCTTTTACCAAATTATGCAAAGAAGTTTATACATGCTCCTTTCACATTGAGGATTTTAACCTATGATTAATAATCTAAATACTCAAAGGAATAAAGAAGTCTTTCTCAAATTAATGACCCCCTTTCAAAGAGGTGAGATCAAAGGGATATCGCTCTTTTTAAACCTCAGATTTTTTAAAAAGTAGAATAAATTAAGTATCGTCACAACTGATTTTGCATGAGTCCAGCAGAATTCTTAAAGACTAAAAAATAAACACAAAGTAAGTTTCCATGATTTCTGGAGAAAACCATGAGAATCATTTTTACACTCATGTCAACAATACTTTATTTAGTGCCTTCTTGGCAGCATGGGTGGGAGAGTTCTTTTAATCTTTTTTCTACTGAAACCAGAAACAAGCTAAAATGTCTTGAAAGGAGGCCGAATGACCACACATGCTAAGCAGTCCTTGGAATTTTTTTATGAAAATGTGAAGTCAGTAAGTAGGGCTTTGGCATGTGAGTGGCACTGTGCCTCTCCCTCCTACATCAAGTACACATGCTTTGTGAGAGCTATTCTCCAACTTCAGAGGCTTTTTTGGATTCCCTCTGGGTTCCTGAATATGTTCCAGATAGCTATAACTGACAGAAGTCTGAATGCCTGATAAGCGTGATGTTTCTGTATTTATTTCCTAATCTCATTATAATCAATATTCTTATTTACCAAGCACACCAAGTGTGCCTTTTTTTTTTTTTAAGAGACAGGGTCTCCCTATGTTGCCCTGGTTGGATTTGAACTCCTGGCCTCAAGCAATCCTCCTGCCTCAGCCTCTGGAGTAGCTGGGACTGCAGGCGTGCCCCCACAATTGAAACATAGCTTTTAAAAATAAAATGCAAAAGCTAAAATGTACAATCAGAGAAAATATCTGATTTTTACCCTGTGGATCACACCTTTAAAATAGACTATAAGCCATTTAACAGTTTCAAGTTCGGGTTCTCATACATTCAAAGAGAAATAAAACGAATGAATGATTTGGTTTTACCAGCTATTGAGGCTCGTATGCTCTGATTCTGATAGAGGCCTTTCCAACTTCTATCAAATAGGAGCTATATAGTCATGTATGCAAATATTTATTCTTTTCTTTCAGCTGGACATCTATTATATGCCAAGAACTATGTCAGAAGCTGAGCAGAGATACAAAGATGAATAATGCATAGGCTCTACCCTCAAGAAGTTCAAGTCTAATTGACAAGCAAAAATATTGAAGCTACCTCTATTATAATAGATACTTATAAGGATACCATGGTATATATGGTGCTAGAGAATCAGAAGACTACATGAATAATTCTACCTGTAAGAAAGGCCAGGAGTTGGCCGGGCGCGGTGGCTCACACCTGTAATCCCAGCACTTTGCGAGGCCGAAGCGGGCGGATCACTTGAGGTCAGGAGTTTGAGACTAGCCTGGCCAACATGGTGAAGCCCCCGTCTCTACTAAAAATACAAAAATTAGCCAGGCATAGTGGCGGGTGCCTGTAATCCCAGCTACTTGTGAGGCTGAGGCAGGAGAACCACTTGAACCCGGGAGCAGAGGCTGCAGTGAGCCAAGATCACACCACTGCACTCCAGCCTAGGTGATAGAGCAAGACTCTATCTCAAAAAAAAGAAAGGCCAGGAGTTGATATTTGAGGTGGTCTTGGAAGAAAAGAAGGGTACACACTTAAGTGTTGAGGGGAGAGCATTCAGACCAAGGGAACAACAAAGGCACAGAAACATGAAGGTAAAAAGGAAGGCACTTAATGCATAGGCTGCTTCAGATAATCATTCTACTTTATTTCCATACTTTATAGCATGAATGTAATTAACAACAGTGTCGGATGTGTTTTTGTTTTTTTGACTGAGCTGAAAGCGCCTATCAACATTTTCTTAGTAAAGATATCTAATATTTGTATAATTCATAACAGATTATAAACTTTTTAATAATTATATAGACTGAATGAATTAATATACTGTATGTAAAGCTCTTGAATAACACTTACTAAAGGCCAGGCAATGTTCTAAGTGTTTGTTGTTATTATTATTATTTAATTATGAAGAGACCAGACTGAGACAAAAACAAAAACAAGGTTGAAGCCTGGCGCCATGGTGGCTCACGCCTGTAATCCCAGCACTTTGGGAGGCCGAGGCGGACAGATCACCTGATGTCAGGAGTTCGAGACCAGCCTGACCAACATGCAGAAACCCCATCTCTACTAAAAATACAAAATTAGCCACGTGTGGTGGTGGGCGCCTGTAGTCCCAGCTACTCGGGAGGCTAAGGCAGGAGAATTGCTTGAACCCGGGAGGCGGAGGTTGCAGTGAGCCGAGATCGCTGGGCAACAAGAGCGAAATTCCGTCTCATAAATAAATAAATAAATAAATAAATAAATAAATAAAACAAAAAACCAAAGTTGACAGGCCTCCTGCCTCCTAGTCCAGTATTTTTTCCACTGTCTGTCCACTTCAATAAATAAAACTAAGGCTAGATGCGGTGGCTCATGCCTGTAATCCAAGCACTTTGGGAATCCAAGGTGGGAGGATTTATTGAGCCCAGGAGTTCAAAATCATCCTGGGCAATATGGCAAAATCCTGTCTCTACAAAGAATACAAAAATTAGCTGGGGGTAGTGGAACATGCCTGTAGTCCCAGCTACTCAGGGGGCTGAGGTGGGAGGATCATCTGAGTCCAGGGACATTGAGGCTACAGTGAGCCATGACCACGCCACTGCACTCCAGCCTGGGTAACAAACTGAGATTTTGTCTCAAAAAAAGAAGATAAAATAAAACAGAACTAAGATTACCAAGTTCCTGGGTTTATACAAAAAAAAAAAAAACCAAAAAAAAACCAAACTAAGATTATTCTAAAAGGCTTCCGATTAAATAATTCTAATTTTGCATTTTTATTTCTTCTACTCAAAAGCATACACATTTCTATTGGGATAATGTGCTCTCAGAAGTTTGATGTGTTCTCTTTTTTTTTTTTTCAATAAAAAATGGTAAGCTGTATAATTACTATCTTAGGAAGCATTAGGAAGAGAACATCCAAATTTGGCATCACAAAATTATATGCACCATCTCATTCTAAAACTCTGTCGAGATGAGAATTTAATTTAGGATAAAAGGTGGTATCTCTGATTTGTGGAGGATAGATTAATCAATAAATGCTGGCTAAATCAGGTATCTATCTAGAAAAAAAATAATTTATCTTTCACTCCTTAATCAGGGAAAATTCTAAACAGATAAAAGTTTTTTTTAAAAAGTAAAATTAAAAAATAATAATAAAGCCATAAATACTCTAGAAGAAACAATGAGAAAAACAAACAAAAAAACCTCAGGCTTTCTAACAGTGATGTAAAAACAGAAACCAAATTGTTTTTTTTTTCACTTAGAAATTGTCCCTGGCTGGGCACAGTGGCTCACGCCTGTAATCCTAGTGCTTTGGGAGGCCGAGGTGGGCGGATCACCTGAGGTCAGGAGTTCGAGACCAGCCTGACCAACATGGTGAAACGCCGTCTCTATTAAACATACTAAAATTAGCCAGGCGTGGTGGCGTGTGCCTGTAGTCCCAGCTACTTGGGAGGCTGAGGCAGGAAAATCACTGGAACCCGGCAGGTGGAGCTTGCAGTGAGCCAAGATCGTACCACTGCACTCCACCCTGGGTGACAGAGTGAGACTCCATCTCAAAAAAAAAAAAAAAAAAGAAAGAAAGAAAAAGAAACTGTTCCTGAAGGCCAGGCTCGGTGGCTCACGCCTGTAATCCCAACACTTTGGGAGGCCAAGGCAGGCAGATCACGAGGTCAGGAGTTTGAGACCAGCCTGGCCAACATGGTGAAACCCGTCTCTACTAAAAATACAGACATTAGCCAGGCATAGTGGCGTGCGCCTGTAATCCCAGCTACTCGGGAGGCTGAAACAGAGAATTGCTTGAACCTAGGAGGTGGAGGTTGCAGTGAGCCGAGACTGTGCCACTGCACTCCAGCCTGGGCAACAGAGCACGAATCTGTCTTGGGAAAAAAACAAACAAACAAATGAAAAACTGTTTCTGAAGACAGAAACAAACAAAAAATGATAAATTCATCTGTATAACTTTTTAAACTCTGCATGGCAAAAAAACTTTACTTCATAGAAAAGGGACATAGAAATTGTCCTTGAACTTACAAAAGGATGTTTAACCTCACTCACAGCAAAGGAAACCCAAACTAAAGCCATACTATGACACAATTTTTTACCTGTCCCATTAGTAAAACTCAAATTTTGATAGCATATGATGGGAACGATCAAGCATGTGCTTACATTGCTTGTGGGGAGGTGAATTGGCATAACAACTACATGTGCCAAAATTAAATGCACATAGCCTCAGTTCCAGAGATCGTACGTCTAGGGATTTATCTGGCATATATATTCCCCTTTTTGTGTGAAGTCATGTAGGTGAAAGGTTTCTCTGCAGTGCTGAGGGTTAAATAAAATGATTTATGTGAAACAACATGGAACAGAACTTGGCACCCAGTAAGAGCTAGTTTTTTGTTGTTAATAGCAAAAGACTGGAAACAAGCCAGGGGAGGTGGCTCACACCTGTAATCTTAGCGCTTTGGGAGGCCAAGGTGGGCGGATCACCTGAGGTCAGGAGTTTCAGACCAGCCTGACCAACACGGTGAAACCCCGTCTCTACTAAACATACTAAAATTAGCCGGGCGTGGTGGTACACACCTGTAATCCCAGCTACTAGGGAGGCTGAGGCAGGAGAATCACTTGAACCCGGGAGGCGGAGGTTGCAGTGAGCCGAGATCATGCCACTGCACTCCAACCTGGGAGACAGAGTGAGACTCCATCTGAAAAAAAAAAAAAGAAGATTGGAAACAGCCCAACTGTCCATTAAAAGAGGATTCATTAAATAAAGTACAGTCTATCCATTCATTGGGATACCAGATATCAAGAGGAGACTGTGTAGTTGGAGATGGACTGATCTTCAAGTGGTAGTGTTAAGTGAGAAACGCAAGGAGCGGTGCAGTGTGTAATGCATGCTGCCATTTGTATAAAAAGGGAGATAAGGCCGGGCGCGGTGGCTCACGCCTGTAATCCCAGCACTTTGGGAGGTCGATGCGGGCAGATCATGAGGGCAGAAGATCGAGACCATCCTGGCTAACACAGTGAAACCCTGTCTCTACTAAAAATACAAAAAAAAAAATACACCACGCCAGGCGTGGTGGCGGGCGCCTGTAGTCCCAGCTACTCAGGAGGCTGAGGAAGGAGAATGGCGTGAACCCGGGAGGCAGAGCTTGCAGTGAGCCAAGGTTGCACCACTGCACTCCAGCCTGGGCGAGAGAGACTCTGTCTCAAAAAGAAAAAAAAAAAAAAAAAGGGGAGATAAGAATATGTAAACCTATTATCTTGGATATGGGTGAAATTCTTTGGAAGGATATCCGCGTTTGTCCCTGGAGAGAGAAATGGGGGTGGAAGGAATTTTTCTCTGGATATCCTTTTGTATCTTTTGAATTCTGAAGTCTTTGAATACTTATTTAAAAAAAACGAATATTTAAAAAAAAAATTAAGTAACAACTCTACTAGGGCCTACTTTGAAAAAGGTGCCTGTTTTTGAAAACACAAGAGGGAATTTAGAAACAATGTGAAAAATCTCTGTTAACTGTATTTTCTAGTTTATAATCCTCTAAAAACATATTGAAAACCTTAAACTGTGGGCTAAACAGAATAATTTCGATTATTTAAAATAATTTACATGCAACAGAAACATAATGAGAAAAAGATTTAAGATAACTTGCAAACTTAAGAACATGTATAACTCTAATGTGAAACTATTTGTTTTAAAAGAGTATGAAATGGTTCATAAATCTGACTGGGAAGTCAAAATTAACCACACAGACAAATGCTAAACTCTTGGTTCTAACTTTAAGAAGAAGTTAGTCAACAGAGGTCAAAGTAGAAATTTTACTTTTACTATCTTTGAATAATGGCATAGTAGAAATTCTTTTTCTTTTAATTTCAAAGCTTTCTCTTTGTGAGTTGAACATGTACACATTTTCCCATGAATCACGAATAGGCTATCTCCTTGTTACTATAAAAGAAGTGTTTAATAATTTTTGAGCAGTTTACTATTATTTCTTTTCCTATCTCTGTTCCCATTTATCACTTTTTTTTTTTTTTTTTTTTTTTGAGACGGAGTTTCGCTCATTACCCAGGCTGGAGTGCAATGTCATGATCTTGGCTCACCACAACCTCTGCCTCCCGGGTTCAAGCGATTCTCGTGCCTCAGCCTCCCGAGTAGCTGGGAATAGAGGTGCACGCCACCACGCCTGGCTAATTTTTTTTTTTTTTAATTTTTGTAGAGACGGGGTTTCACCATGCTGGCCAGGCTGGTCTTGAACTCCTGACCTCGTGATCCGCCCACCTTGGCCTCCCAAAGTGGTGGGATTACAGGCATGAGCCACCGCGCCCAGCTTATCTTGGCTAAGATATAAGTTGCATCCTAAACTCCAACCAGTGGAAATTAGGGAAGAATTAGCACCAGGTCAACAGAGCAATATTAGCAACTGTGCCAATGAACATAATAAGGTGTAACACCTGCCTTGAATTGATAGTTTTCTGGAGACTAACACTTTCTCTTTGCTGCAGTCCATATTACAAAATGATAAAGTGCAAAAATCCTGGGGAAAGATTATATACTAAACTGGTAAAAACTTACTGCAAATCGGTTTATGAGGTTGCTTTCCAAAAGTCAAGTGCACACCAAGTCAGAGTTAGTTGGTTCCCACTTTTCTAATTTGACAGATGTGGGAAGCAGGCCCAGGATGGTTAAGAGACTTATCCAAGGTTGCACAGGGTATTGGTGGCAGAACTCTGGTCTCCAGGCTTCCACTTCCTTATACAGTCATCCCTTCTATGTCTCAAGTAAGTCCTGCCTCGGCCTGGCACGGTGGCTCACGCCTGTAATCCTAGCACTTTGGAAAGCTGAGGCGGGCAGATCACCTGAGGTCAAGAGTTTGAGACCAGCCTGGCCATCATGGTGAAACCCTGTCTGTACTAAAATACAAAAATTAGCTGGGCATGGTGGTGTATGCCTGTAATCCCAGCTACTCAGGAGGCTGAGGCAGGACAACTGCTTGAATCCGGGAGGTGGAGGTTGTATTGAGCCGAGATCGCACTACTGCACCCCAGCCTGGGCAACAGAGCGAAACTCCATCTCAAAAAAATAAAAAAAATAAAGTCCTGCTTCCCTGATGCTGACTACCACACATGCCCTAATCTGTAGCAATTGTCCCTGCTTATCAAGATCAGAGTTCTCAAAGGATGATCCAAAATTCAAGTCACAACTAAGTCTGCATTATCTTCATTTGTGTTTCCTTTTCAGTTTTATAAAGAAAAATCAAGAGACAATTTCACTTACTGAGTGGCACACACTATTTTCCTGATGATGAAACAGCTATAGTTGTCAGGAACTATTCATCAGGGCATTAATAATGAAGGTTTGCTGCATTCTTCCTCTCTGGACAGCAAAATTTTACTCATTTTTCAAAACCTAATTCAAATTCCCCTTCCCTGGCTGGGCACAGTGGCTCACGCCTGTAATCTCAGCACTTTGAGAGGCCGATGCGGGCGGATCACTTGAGGCCAGGAGTTCGAGACCAGCCTGGCCAACATGGCGAAACCCCGTCTCTACTAAAAACACAAAAAAATTAGCTGGGCGTGGTAGTGCACACATGTAATCCTAGCTACTCAGGAGGCTGAGGCAGGAGAATTGCTTGAACCAGGAAGACGGAGGTTGCACCCAGGCTGGAGTGCATTGGCACGATCTCAGCTCACTGCAGCCTCAAACTCCTGGGCTCAAGTGATTCTTCCACCTCAGCCTCCCAAGTAGCTGGGACCACAGGTAAGTGCCACCACTCCTGGCTAATGTTTTTAAAAAATTTATGTAGAGACAGGGTCTCCCTATGTTGTCCAGGCTGGTCTTGAACTCCTGAACTGAAGCAATACTCCCACCTTGGCCTCCCAAAGTGCTGAGATTACAGGCATGAGCCACTGCACCCAGCCAGAATGGAATATTTTGACATTTGTTTTGTGTGCATTAATTTTGACTTCTCAGTTAGATTTTAGGTATAATGCCATATTGTTGTTTGGTGGGATGCTTTTGTTTTTTGCACCCCTCACAGGCCCAAGGTCAGTGCTGGGCACTTAGCAGATAGCTAAAAGCTTATCAGTTATCCTACAGATGTCTACTAATAACTGTCTCCTCCACTGGGGAACATTCCCCCCACCACTCACCCGTCATAGCTGAACACACTTTGTCTATACAAGACAAGCAAGGGATCCTAATTAGAGGAGCAGTAAATCTTAAGTGGCTGCTCACCATGGGTTGGGGTAAGAGGAGAGCAGAGAGAATCAGCACTCCCAGTTACCTCTCTTCCCCTCTTCTCCCCTCCCCTCCTTCTGTTTCCCTCTGATTTTCCCTGGCTCTTCAGTGCCTAACTGTGCCAGCAAGCATTTAGAAATCTGAGGCTCCAACACACTTCTGACCTCACAGGCAGAGAGCGCAGCTGAGATCTGGTGATACAGGAAACTGTCTTGTCTTCCTCCCCTGTACCAAAGGCACAGAAAAACAATCCTGAATGAAATTATAAAGAAAACCTTATGTGTGCACACCACCTTGTGACCAGTTTGCAAACTACTCTGACACAAAAAGACGCATAAACACTCTGAGATATTCACACATGCCTGCCACTACCATCAATCCAAGGAGACCAGTACCCCAAAGTATGATGGTTTTTTCCATTTTCCTCACTTTGCATTGACCAGAGGAATGAAAAGATAAGACTTTGAGATAAACAGGAATCCATTTTACCACCATAGATACAAAACTTAGAGACCGTTAAGGAGCACTGAAACCACTTTCATAGCATTTTCTCATTTGCACCCTGCAACCTGTTTTTAGAAAGAGGAGGCTGCAGGCCGGGCGCGGTGGCTCACGCCTGTAATCCCAGCACTTTGGAAGGCCGAGGCGGGCGGATCACGAGATCAGGAGATCGAGACCATCCTGGATAACACAGTGAAATCCCGTCTCTACTAAAAATACAAAAAAAAAATTAGCCGGGAGTAGTGGCGGGTGCCTGTAGTCCCAGCTACTCGGGAGGCTGAGGCAGGAGAATGGCGTGAACCCGGGAGGCGGAGCTTGCAGTGAGCCGAGATCCGCCACTGCACTCCAGCCTGGGCGACAGGCGAGACTCCTCAAAAAAGAAAAAAGAAAGAAAGAGGAGGCTGCAAGAAGCAAGTGAAGTAAGTGGATCGAAGTTTGAAAACAGTTAAGGATGATTCAAAGTACAGCCCTCACCCAGAAACTGGTGACCCATCTGCTTGGTCACAGTGTACCAGCTACTTAACTATCTCTCCCTGGCTCTTGCTGTTTACTCTGATTAAGGTTCCCAGCTCCACCTTCAGGTCAGCTCCCTTTTATCTGGGCACAGGGGCTATCTCCTTCTTCCATACTCTGTGCAATCCTTGCCAATGACCAACTAAATACTAAATTGTTAAGAGCGATATGTTATTTTCCTTTAGTCTCACTAGCATTAAAACCTCCTTCCCTCCCACTTCATAAACTCAGTTGGCCTCCTCTGAATTCCCAGTATTGTTAATTGGGGTTTTTAATTGCTGGCATTTTCCTAAAGTCATAACAAGTGATGTTCTAATGTTTACTTTCTACTTTAATGTTCATTGCTTAATATTTGACACTTTTGTTTTTATATATTTTCTAGATTTTTGGTATGCTTTGCTATTTTAACTAATGAGATTGACTGCTATAAATAATATGTAGTGATTGGCTCTTCTATATTCAAGATTTAAAAGTTGAGTAGTATACATTTTAAGATTTTTAAAAAAAAGAATAACCTAATGTCTCTTTGAAAACAATTCATATTTTCAAATGTGTTATTTACAACCCGGTTATAATTAATGTGTTGTTTCCATGTTTTACAACATCTCAGTATGTCATTTCAAGATGCGCAATTCTCAAAGCAAAATCCATATTATATGATTATATATATATGTTGCTACATGAAACACTCAGAAGTTTTAGAATCACAAATTCATGGCCGGGCGCAGTGACTCACGCCTATAATCCCAGCATTTTGGGAGGCCGAGGTGGGCAGGATCACCTGAGGTTAGGAGTTCAAGACCAACCTGGCCAACATGGCGAATCCTCATCTCTACTAAAAATACAAAAATGAGCTGGGCATGGTGGCGGGCGCCTGTAATCCCAGCTACTTGGGAGGCTGAGGCAAGAGAATCACTTGAGCCCAGAAGGCGGAGGTTGCAGTGAGCCAAGATCACACCACTGCACTCCAGCCTGGGCAACAGAGCGAGACTCTGTCTCAAAAAAAAAAAAATCACAGATTCACTCAACAAACATTTCCTGAGCACTTATTATATACAAGGCACTGTGCTAGGGAATATGGAGACAAGATGAAAATATTTTGTCAGCCTTCCAAAAACTCAGACTAGCAGGAAAAACAGATATACAGCAGTAATTAAGATATGATGTGAGCAGTGTTAAACTGCTGATAGATATAAAGTGCTCTGGGAGCATAAAGAAAGTGATCATCTGCCTTAAGGCTAGTCTGCAGTAGAAGTGGAGGGCCGGGTGAATTCCAGGAAGAATGTGTGTAGAAGCATGAAAGGGATGCTTAAAATGAGCTTTGGCATTGCATATGGTTAAAAACAGCAAATATGGGGAGAGGGGCAAGTTTCGGCTAGAAAGGTAAGTTAGAGGCAGATTGTGCAAGATTTTGTGAACGTTTGGGGGTTTAGACTTGATTCCCTATGCCAGTGGTTCTGGCTTGTTAGAAACACAAATTCTTGGTTCTCACCCTAGACCTACTGAATCAGAAATTCCGGGACTGGGGCCCAGCCATCTGTTTTAACAAGTCTTCCAGGTGATTCCGATCCACACTAAACTTTGAGAACCACTGCTGCAGGCAATAGGAAACCACTTAAGGATTTTTTCTTTTTTAAATATAGGGATAAGGTCTCGCTATGTTGCCCAGGCTGGTCTTGAACTCCTGGCCTCAAGCAACCTTCCTGCCTTGGCCTCCCAAAGCACTGGGGTTACAAGTGTAACCTACGATTTTGCCTGGCCTTAAGGATTTTAAGCACAGAACTGACCAATTCAGATTTGAAGTTGGACAGGGGTTGCCATTGACCATTCAAGCACAACACCTGACTCCTGAGTAGTTACTATAAAAAATTAAAAAACTGTTGAATGAATGTGGCATGAAGCAATGATGAGGGCCTAGGCTAAGGCTGCAGGAATGGAGAAGAAACAGATTTTAGAGATGTTTTACATGTGACCCAATTCAACCAGGTGACTAGGATATATCCATACAAAGGTGTAACTGAAATGGTTTTTATATAAAAGAAACCTGTAATTCTGTGGAATATACTAACTGCTAGGCTTGAAAAAAGTGGTCCTCATAGAACCTGGAAAAAGGGGAAGTCAAGAGCAAGTTCTTTGTGTTTCCATATAGTCAATAGCAAAGCTTGCCTTGGCTTGTACGTGAGTCTTCTGGTCTGTTTGGCAGTTCTCACTGAGAGTTAGCAAATTGCCATTCATGCTCATAGAAATCTTTTGAGTTTGGTTGGTGTGAATCAATCAGTGAGACTGACAATTTCTTGATGTGCCAATGAAATTTTGAACCTGGAAAAGCTGAAAACCAGACATTGGTTCTGGTGATCTAACCAAGGTACTGCTAAAGTAAGACACTGCTAGAGCCTTCCTTCTTAAAAAAAATTCTAACTTCATCACTAATAACGTGGTCTGCCTAATCCAGGAAGAAGCTGGAATGAGTAAAAGAATCAGACTTTGTTTTCTGCCCTGAAGGTCAAGAAAGTCAACTGAAACTGTTATTTCTAATTTTGGAGGCAGGATTTAGCTGAGGCCATCTTCAATTTCCCGATGAAAAGAGGTATAGGTCAACCTATATGGTTAAAATACCTAATGAGAATTTTGCACGGTGCAATTCCTATTTCTTTTTCTTTTTGAGACAGAGTTTCGCTCTTATTGCCCAGGCTGGAGTGCAATGGTGCCATCTTGGCTCACCGCAACCTCTGCTCCCAGATTCGAGCGATTTGCCTGCCTCCACCTCCTGAGTAGCTGGGATTACAGGCATGCGCCCCACGCCTGCCTAATTTTGTATTTTTAGTAGAGTCGGGGTTTCTCCATGTTGGTCAGGCTGGTCTCAAACTCCCAACCTCAGGTGATCCGCCTGCCTCGGCCTCCCAAAGCTCTGGGATCACAGGCGCCTGCCACCATGCCCAGCTAATTTTTCTATTTTTAGTAGAGATGAGGTTTTGCCATGTTGGCCAGGCTGGTCTTGAACTCCCTCAGGTGATCCACCTGCCTCGGCCTCCCAAAGTGCTGAGATTACAGGTGTGAGCCACCACTCCCCACCTTTTTTTTCTTTTTGAGACAGGGTCTTCCTCTGTCACCCAGGCTGGAGTGCAGTGGCATGGCTTCAGCTTAATGCAGCCTTGATCTCCCGGGTTCAAGCAATCTTCCCACCTCAGCCTCTCAAGTAGCTGGGACCACAGGTGCCAAGCCACTATGTTCAGCTAATCAAAAAAAAAAACTGGCCAGGCGCAGTGGCTCATGCCTGTAATCCCAGCACTTTGGGAGGCTGAGGCGGGTAGATCACGAGGTCAGGAGATCGAGACCATCCTGGCTAACACGGTGAAACCCCGTCTCTACTAAAAATACAAAAAATTAACTGGGCGTGGTGGCAGGCGCCTGTAGTCCCAGGTACTGGGGAGGCTGAGGCAGGAGAATGGCGTGAACCCAGGAGGCAGAGTTTGCAGTGAGCCGAGATTGTGCCACTGCACGCTCCAACCTGGGCGACGGAGACTCTGTCTCAAAAAAAAAAAAAAAATTTTGGCCAGGCACAGTGGATGACGCCTGTAATCCCAGCACTTTGGGAGGCCAAGGTGGGCAGATCACCTGAGGTCAGGAGTTCGAGACCAGCCTGGCCAACATTGGGAAATCCCTACTAAAAAATACAAAATAAAGTTGGCTGGGCGTGGTGGCTCACGCCTGTAATCATAGCACTTTGGGAGACCGAGGGGGGGCAGATCACTTGAGGTCAGGAGTTCGAGACCAGCCTGGTAGACATGGTGAAACCCTGTCTCCACTAAACATACAAAAAGTAGCTGGGCATGGTGGTGCACTCCTGTAATCCCAGCTACTCGGGAGGCTGAGGTGGGAGATCGCTTGAGCCCAGGAGGCAAAGGTTGCAGTGAGCTGAGACTGCACCACTGCACTATAGCCTGGGTGACAGAGCAAGACCCTGTCTCAAAAAATATATATATTTTTGTAGACATGTAAAATGTCTATATATTCCATTTTAAACTTCTTTAAAAACAGAAAAAGAATAGTAGCAAATTACTTTATTGACCTATTAGGGAATGGAATAGCTTCTCTGATCATTTCTTAACTGTTAGTTTTCAGAAAATGGAGTTAAATGTAAAAGCTCTCTAAGAAAAGAAAAATAAAACACTTGGGAAGCAAATGTACATAAACAATTTAAGGAAGAAGCATGCATTGTTTTACAAGCTATTTGTTCTATTGTCTATTTTTGCCTATAAAGGAGTAACTTTATACTGAATATTGTCCATTACATTTAATTATATATTATTAATACATGTATGGAGAATCTATCACAGCTATCCCTTACAGAGTTGAAAAATTCCAAAATTTCAACTCTCCTAGTATTTAGGTATACCTGTTGTTTTAAGAGTTCAAGAAATGCTTCAGAAACTAGTTTAATCTCGCATCCTGATTGGGTATGTAGACGTGAACAACTTGAAAGACACATTTGGCCGTTTCCTGTTTTCCAAACTTCCCACTACCAACTATAAGTGTAATCTAAAAGTTGGTATCCACTCCATATTCAATATCCTGTATATAGTCTTTTCTAGGCAAAGAGATTTTCCAGTACTCAGAGTAAGTGTGGACAAGATATTCACCAAGAATATTAAATCCCATGTGTGCCTTGCCTGAAAAAGTAGACTTTCTCCTTTCTGTCTGGAATTCACATTAAGAATGCAATGCACTCTGAAAGAACAGGACTGCTTTTTAGGCAAGATCCAAAGGACACAATTTTTCACGTTTGAGTCCTCTTCTTATCTCCCTCAAAGGTCAATTTTCACTTAGCATTTGTCCTCTCGTTCCCCGACGTGAGATCTCTCAGATTCTACTGGGGCAGATCTGCTACTTCAGCTGGAGAGGGCAGATGTCAATTACTTTCTTTCAAAGGGGGAAACCGCAGAACATTGATTAAGGGCAGGAGGGCTGGAGAGGGAGTACAAAATGGACTGTCCTAGGATTTCAGCTCCACCTGACTGGGGCCCAGCCTTCCCAGCCCACGTCCCCACACCGGCCGCTCCATGTGAAACCGGTCATGTGAGCCTGTTTACAGCAGAGCAGCTGGTGCAACCATCAAGATCCGTGCAGAGGTCTGGGGAGGGGGAAGGATACAGGCCACGCACCCCCTACACCCTACCCCATTTTTCCAAGAAGGCGTTCGCTCTCCCCTCCCCGCCTCTCCACCCTACTTTCATCTCCCTCCAGGCAAAGAGAGTAAAGCTGAGGCTATCCCGGGACGCCTCGCTCCAACCCTGCCGATTTCCTTCCAGTTGCTCGCTGGGGCAACCGGCTAGGCTGGAGGAAGGGCGAGGACGGTGTCACCCCAAACGGGGAGTCAACTTCCCTCCCCCAGCCGTCCTCGGTGCATCCACCGAAGAGTTGTCCCGCGAGCCGCATCCCCGGGGCAACCGAACTCCGTCGGGCAGGCACCGAGAGGCTCCCGAGCCTGCCTTTGCCCGGGCAGGAGCGAGCTACACACCAGCTGGCCAGACCCTGGGGCCGGGCGCCGCGGGCGGCGGAGCCACCGCCAGTCACACACGGGACAGGAAAGGATCCCCTCCGTCTCCTCCCCGCCGCCCACCCGCATCCCGGCGCCGCGGAGCCCCGCTGTCAATCACAGAGCCAAGCTCCGGCTGTGCGGATGGGTCATTCTTTGGCGGGGGGCTCTCAGCCACGTAACTTCCACATTTTCCCGAAGTCAGAGGAAGTGGGTGACGGGACGGTGGGGGACTCTCACCTCGGCAACACCGGCTTCCTCGGAAAGCAGCTGCGACTGCTCCTCCGCTCCTTTGTCAGCGTCTCTAGGCTGCACTGCCTGCTGGGATACCGGAGGACTCAAATGCCACCTCTCTCCGCCCTAGAGGATGAGCCGCGGCTCGGGGGTGGGAGGCGAGAGGAAGAAGAGGTGGGGCTGGGGGCGGGGCCGGAGCCTGGGGCGGGGCTTCGGCCTTGCCACCTGGCCTCTTGGGGTTTCTTCATTCATGCTCTAAACTTCTTCCTTCTCTGTCCTCTGATCTGCCCCTCCCCTCCCGCCTCCCCTTGAAGAGACAGACTGGAGGCTCTCACAGAGGGCCATCTCTGTCTGCGCTCCTTAGGCAGTCCCTCTTGCCTCCTGTCCTGTCTCACTCTCCTGCACACACGCACCCAGTGAGTACTCAAGGCTAGTGGCTTCTATTCATACTTCCGAGACATGTCTTGTTGACCGCCTCAGGCTCCACCCCATCCTCAGAACCTGTTTAGGCCCCATGACTTTTTGCTTGGACTCCTTCAGTAGCCTCCTGTTTGAACTCTGCTTCCACTCTTACCTCAGTCTAAACCATCTCCCAGAAAGCAGCCAGAGGTATCGATCTAAGATGTACACATGACCACGTTACTTTTCTCCTTAAAATCTTTCAGTCTCAACAGTACCTACGACACCTTAGCATGGTATATAAAGTGGGCCAAGGCAGGCAGATCCCTTGAGGTCAGGAGTTCAAGACCAGCCTGGGCAACATGCTGAAACTCCATCTCTACTAAACATACAAAAATTAGCCAGGCGCCGTGGCTCACGCCTGTAATTCCAGCACTTTGCGAGGTTGAGGTGGGCAGGTCACTTGAAGCCAGGAGTTCGAGACCAGCCTGGCCAATATGGCAAAACCCATCTCTACTAAAAATACAAAAATTAGCCAGGTGTGGTGGTGCATGCCTGTAGTCCCAGCTACTCTGGAGGCTGAGGCATGAGAATCGCTTGAATCTGGGAGGTACAAGGCTGCAGTGAGCCAATATCATTGTGCCACTGCACTCCAGCCTGGGTGACAGTCAGATGCTCTCTGAAAAAAAAAAAAAAAGAAAAGAAAAATAGAGGTTGTACATATTTTCGGAGTTCAGGTGATATTTTGATATCTTCATATAATGTGTAACAATCAAATCAGAGTAATTAGGATACCCATCACCTCAGAAGTTTGTCTTTTCTGGCCGGGCACGGTGGCTCAAGCCTGTAATCCCAGCACTCTGGGAGGCCAAGGCGGATCACGAGGTCAGGAGATCGAGACCATCCTGGCTAACAGTGAAACCCCGTCTCTACTAAAAAATATAAAAAAATTAGCCAGGCGTGGTGGCAGGCACCTGGAGTCCCAGCTACTAGGGAGGCTGAGGCAGGAGAGTGGTGTGAACCCGGGAGATGAAGCTTGCAGTGAGCCGAGATCACGCCACTGCACTCCAGCCTGGGCCACAGAGTGAGACTCCATCTCAAAAAAAAAAAAAAAAATAAGTTTGTCTTTTCTTTATACTGAGAACATTCCAATTTTTCTCTTCTACCTATTTTGAAATATACAATAAATTACTGTAAACTATAGTTACCCTACTGAAGTATCGAATACTAGCTCTCATTCCTTCTGAAACTATGAAACAACTAGAAAAACATATTGGGGAAATGCTTCAGGACAGGGCAAAGATATTTTGGGTAAGACTGCAAAAGCACGGGCAACAAAAGCAGAAACAGACAAATGGGATTACATCAAGCTAAGAAGCTTCTGTGCAGCAAAGGAAACATTCAACGAAGAGAAGAGACAATCTACAGAATGAGAAAAGATATTTGGGATCTTGGCTCACTGCAGCCTCAACCTCTTGGGCTCAAACCATCCTCCCACCTCAGCCTCCCGAGTAGCTGGGACTACAGGCGCATGCATTCATAGCTAATTTTGATATTTTCAGTAGAGACGGGGTTTCCCCATGTTGGCCAGGCTGGTCTTGAACTCCTGGCCTCATGTGATCCACCCGCCTTGACCTCCCAAAGTGCTGAGATTACAGGCGTAAGGCACCACGCCCAGCCTGGAGGTCATTATCTTAAGTGAAATAAGCCAAGGACAGAAAGACAAATATTCAATGCTCTCACTCATTGTGGGAGTAAAAAAGTGGATCTCATAAAGATAGAGAGTAGATTGGTAGTTATTAGAGGCTGGGAAGGGGAGGGGAGAAGGGTGTATTGAAGAGAGGTTGATGAATGGGTAGAAATATTTTCTCCCATTCTGTAGATTGTCTCTTCACTTTGTTGAATGTTTCCTTTGCTGTACAGAAGCTCTTAAGATTGATGTAATCCATTTATCTATTTTTGCTTTTGTTGCCTGTGCTTTTGCAATCTTACTCAAAAAAATCTTTGCCCTGAAGCATTTCTCCAATATGGTTTTTTTTTTTTTTTTTTTTGAGACAGAGTCTTGCTCTGTCGCCCAGGCTGGAGTGCAATGGTGTGATCTCAGCTTACTGCAACTTCCACCTCCTGGGTTCAAGCGATTCTCCCGCCTCAGCCTCCCGAGTAGCTGGGATTATAGCCACCCATCACCACACCTGGCTAATTTTTGTATTTTTTTTTTAATAGAGACAGGGTTTCACCATGTTGGTCAGGCTGGTCTTGAACTCCTGACCCCAAGTGATCCACCCGCCTCAGCCTCCCAAAGTGCTGGGATTACAGGCGTGAGCCACCGCACCCAGCCTCCAATATGTTTTGCTAGTGGTGTCATAGTTTCAGGTCTTAGATTTAAGTCTTTCTTTTGATTTGATTTTTGTATATGGTGAGAGGTAGGGGTCTAGTTTCATTCTTTTGCATATGGTTATCCAGTTTTCCCAGCACCATTTATTGAAGAGGCTGTTCTTTCCCCAAGGTATGTTCTTGGGATCTTTTTTCAAAAACGAATTGGCTGTAAATGCATGGACTTTTTCCAGGGTTCTCTATTCTGTTCCATTGGTCTACAGGTTTGTATTTATGCTGGTAGCAAGCTGTTTTGGTTACTATGGCTTTGTAACCAAAGTATACTTTGAAGTAAGGCAGTGTGATGCCTCCAGCTTTGTTCTTTTTGCTCAGGATCTCTGCAACCCTCTTCTTCTTTTTAAAAAAATATGGAATGCTTCATGAATCTGTTTGTCATCCTTGTGCAGGGGCCATGCTAATCTTCTCTATGTTGTTCCATTTTTAGTATATGTGCTGCCAAAGAAAGCACTGCAATCCTCTTCTGATGTACCCTATACTCTAGCCCAATACATTTGGCCATCCGTAGAAGAGAGCAGGGTCTGGGACAACTCAACCAGCACTGGCTACCTCAAATACTCTCCCTTGAAAGGAGGCCACACTATCAGTAACTTCCATAGGTCCCTTGGAGTATAACTAAAGATACAATTTTCAAAATTAAATTGTATTGATGCTCACAGGAAGAGTAAGGTGAAGTGTTGACCGATCCCCTCTCCATAAGAAAAAGGCCCAAAGAATTCTCCCCAGTTGCCCTACCCAGGCTGCCAGTAGATCTTCCTTAAGCTCATGCCTCTGATAACTTTGTTCACAGATTTCCTCAATTTATAATGCCCTTCTCTGTCTTTGGAATACCTACTTATCTTTCAAGGCCCAGTGGAAATGCTCCTTCCTCCACTAACCTTCCAGGATCTTCCATGAGAACTATTAACTCCTGCTCCATCACCATAGAATGTTGCTTATTCTGCTTTACAATTCATCTTAGGTAATCACTAGCCACATGTATATCTTCCTTTCTCTCCTACCTAGACTATGAATTCTTCAGGATGCCAGCACAATGCCTGATCCAGAAATGACATTAATACCATTTGATGAAATAAAATCCGTCATCTCCATTGCATCTGAAGCCCTAAGTAGGCCCAGAAAGGACCCTAGGCAAGGCCTCATACAACAACCATCCACCCTTCCCTAGGACATCTCCAACTTAAACTGGCCATGTGTCACTTTTGCAAATACAAACTGGTTAGGCAGCAGGGCGTTGCAAAAGGACCAATGCTTGTACTTCCCTTGCAGGTCAGACTGGTTTGTGGTATAATATGCGGTTGTGGAAAATGTAACTGGTACAGCTCACATAAGAATCCAGTATGGAAGGCCAGGCACAGTGGTTCACGCCTGTAATCCCAGCATTTTGGGAGGCCCAGGCAAGCAGATCACCTGAGGTCAGGAGTTCGAGACCAGCCTGGCCAACGTGGTGAAACCCCGTCTCTACTAAAAATACAAAAATTAGCCGGGCCTGGTGGCAGGCGCCTATAATCCCAGCTACTCAGGAGGCTGAGGCAGCAGAATTGCTTGAACCTGGGAGGCGGAGGTTGCAGTGAGCCGAGATCCCACCATTGCTCTCCAGCCTGGGCGACACAGTGAGACTCCGTCTCAAAAATAATAATAATAATAATCCAGTATAGAAAAATTGTATGGTGCCATAAAAAACAACTGAATTTCCAAAAGGAGACACGTCTCCCACCTCTGGGAGGCTTTTGACTCCTATTTGCTTTAGACTACCCTTGGGCTTGTTATCTCTTCAGATCTTATAAATTGGAAGATTTCTTCTTTTGCAAAAGTGGGCATCTTGTTTTGTGTTGTTCTTGCATCATTTAAGATACATTTGCTTTCTTTCCAATTATATCACAAGTTACACTCTGGAGGGTTTGCAGGTTGCAGTGAGCCAAGATCACACCACTGCACTCCTGGGCAACAGCCTGGGCAACAAAGAAAGACTTTGTCTCAAAACAAACAAACAAACAAAAAGGGTGAATGGTCTCCCTTTTAGTAAAGCCTGTGTTAGTTACTTCAGGAAAGATGCAGAGTCCGCTAGGCATTGGCACTGGCAGTCTTGGGATTAGGACTCAGTGAGAGCCTACTGTTCATAGCCTTTATATACGAGTGCTATTTTTGAGCTGAGGTGAGTTTGAGAGGGGCCTTATGAGAGGAGTGGGGAATATTGCCTAGTTCTCCCATTACCTTGAGGCAAGGGCTGGAGACCAAAAGATGTGGCTAAAACAGGGTTGAACACCAATAAGGCTTCGGCTGCATTCTCATTAGCTGACAATCCAGACACATGGTCAATCCAGCCATAAAAAGGTACTAAAAATCACACCTTTAATTCTAGACTGTTCAGACATGTTGCATTGCCAGTCCATTTTAGTAGCCTTTGCCCAGAGCTCCTCTCCTGTTATTTCTTGCCATAGCTCATTTTGGAAAAAAATTAAGGAACAGGAATCATAATTGCAGTCATTCAGTGGCAGAGCAGACAATAGAGACCCGTTTTAATTCCCTAGAGCACTTTTTGCAAAAGTAGGAACTGATTTCCACTGTTGCACTAACTAGCTGTACCTTTTTTCTTCCTGGGCCTTGAAATTCACTTCATAAAATGAAGCTGCTGGACTAGAACGAGTCTGTGGCAGGCCTGGTCAGAAATTTCTGTTCAAGGTCCTGGAACTAGCCTTTCTCCTGTCTTGATTCCTTGTGCAAGTTTATAGAATCAAGCCACAGAGAAACTGCCCTGTATTTCTCATCACTCCTACCCCATGACCCATATAAGTTAAATAAAAATGACTAATCAAGTTAATCAAGAGCACTTGAATTGCCTGCTAGACGTCAACACTATGTATGAACAACTTTGTTTTATTCTTTAAATAGTGGGAGCATTTTCCATGCTCCAGAGCTTGGGGTGGCCTCAGGGATGCCAAGAACCCTATGACTTAGTGAGCCTGTGGGCAGAGCTAAGGATGGTTTTTCACCTTCTGTAGTAGCAACCAGGGCACCTGTACTCTTTGCACCTGTCAGGTTACAACACTGTTACACAAGGCTATCTATTCACCATGCTAGAGAAAATTGACCAAGACAAGGAGACTGTCTTGGGCATAGTATTAAGGGGAAAGAAATAAAAGTCAGGAATTCCTTGTGAATGTGGAAAATAACCATGGAATGAGGCATATGAGGCAGTGTGGTTCACTGGAAGAAACATAGAGTCATGAGCTGTGGAAACTGGCGTAAGTTGCTTAAATTCTCTGAGCTCAAGCCTAGGCAACATGGCAAACCCCTTTCCTGCTAAAAATACAAAAAATTAGCCGGGTGTGGTGGCACACGCCTGTGATCCCAGCTACATGGGAGGCTGAGGCACGAGAATTGCTTGAACCCAGGAGGTGGAGGTTGCAGTGAGCCAAGATTGCACCACTGTACTCCAGCTAGGGGGACAGAGCGAGACTCCATCTAGAAAGAAAAAAAATTACCTGAGCTCAGATCCTTCATTTGTGAAACTTTCCTTCATAAGGTAGCCTGAGTAGAGGAAATAATGCATGTCTGTAAAGTGACTAGAACACAGAAGGCACTCATATATATGTTTATATTATGAAGAAGCTGGGACTTGATGAAGAATGAAATAAAGGCCATGGCCACTGAGATTAGTCAACTTTGTTGTAAAAATTCAAGAGGCTGTTGATAATGGGGGAGGCTGTGCATATGTGGGGGCAGGGGCTAAATGGGATATCTTGGTACCTTCCTCTCAGTTTTGCTATGAACCTAAAACTGCTCTAAAACAATAATGTCTTTAAGAAAAACTATCAAGGGGAGGACAGGCAGTGGCTCACACCTGTAATCCCAGCACTTTGGAAGGCCGAGGCGGGCAGATCACGAGGTCAGGAGATTGAGACCAGCCTGGCCAACATGGTGAAACCCCGTCTCTACTAAAAATACAAAAATTAGCCAGGCATGGTGGTGTGTGCCTGTAGTTCCAGCTACTCGGGAGGATGAGGCAGGAGAATCGCTTGAACCCAGGAGGTGGAGGTTGCAGTGAGCTGAGATCACGCCACTGCACTCTAGCCTGGGCGACAGAGTGAGACTCCGCCTCAAAAAAAAAAAACAAACTATCAAGCGGAAACAAAAACAAAACAAAACAAAAAAGCAAGGGAATCCATCTTATCTAATGATGTTGTAGACCAGATACTGTCTTAGGTCACCCTCAATTGCAGCTCATGTCTCAGCATCCTCCAGGGATTTCCAAGTGGTAATTCATACTTGGTGTCTCCACGCTCTTGGACATTTGTGCATGCTATTTTCACCCTGTCCGGTACCAAACCCTGATGAGTGTTGCTATTTTCCACAAGAAATCCAGATACAATCAGCATTTTCTAAATTTGTCAATTTTACTGCAATTCTTAAGGATTGTGGGGGAGATCCCACATCATACCCTGAGTAGCTTTGTACTATCCCACTGTCTCTACTCTCTTCCACTCTGTTCCTTTCCAAAGTCTGTACTTCCTGTGGCCTTATCCTTTATACTTAGCTCCTTGGCTTCTCTCATAAATGGCAGGCCCACAAGGTTCATCTGGAATTCTCTATCTAGCAATCTGGTAGGTGCTCAATGAAACATATTTAAAACTTAAAACTGGACTGAGACTTTTGAAACACCCAGTTGAGGGAATATGCCAAAGGGCATCACTGAAATTTCATTAAGCATCCAAGATGTATAACTTACCACCCTCACCTACTTACCTACTTTCTTCATGGGCAAACTTGGAAGGCAGACTGAACTAATAATATACCTAGAAAAAACCCCACAAGTTTGTTGTTGTTGTTGTTGTTTTTTGAGACGGACTTTCACTTTTTTTGCCCAGGCTGGAGTGCAATGGCGCCATCTCTGCCCACTGCAACCTCTGCCTCCTGGGTTCAAGCAATTCTCTTGCCTCAGCCTCCCAAGTAGCTGGAATTATAGGCACCCACCAACCATGCCCAGCTAATTTTTGTATTTTAGTAGAGACGGGGTTTCACCATGTTGGCCAGGCTTGGTCTTGAGCTCCTGACCTCAGGTGATCTGCCCACCTCAGCCTCCCAAAGTGCCGGGATTACAGGCATGAGCCACTGTGCCTGGCCAAACCACAAGTTTTTAAGGTAAGCATGTGCGTCACAGCACTTCTGGGAATATGTCCTCACAGAGGCACAGATGATTTCAATGACTGGGGTGAGCAAGCCACAGCAAGGGGAGATTCTGCAATAACATATACTTAAGATATAGCTTGTATATAATTATACTCCACTTCAGCCCATGTGATTTTGTACTTCAAAAGTGACCAGCTCTATAATCCAGCTGTAAGTATTTTCCCAAATGTCCACTGCAAGAGGCAGGTATACTATACTGCAGTGCAGTGGTTAAGAGCGTGGATAAGAGGCATTCAGACCTGGGTTAAAACTTCATTTTGAAACTTACTAGCTGTGTGTGACCTTGGGCCAGTTTGCCTCTTGTAGCTTCAGTTTCCTTATTTGCAAAATAGGGGTGATTATATAAATGTTGATGTTCTCAGTATAACTCTTCAAAACACATTTTTAATGTTGGCATTTGGAGTAACACCAGCATCTAGATACATATTTAGAATCAGTAACTTTCCTAAATACATGAAATTCAGCATTTGAAATATCTAAACTACATTTTTAAAAGCCAATTCTAGTTTAAGCTGGTTACGCACACCCAAACAAGTTCCTAGTCTTTGAAGTAAAACCCCCAAATAAAAAACCAGTAAAAAACTAAGTTACACAAGATTATGTCCCCAGAATACACTTTCACCAGTGGTACTTTATTATTAATTTTTTTTTTTTTAGAGACAGGATCTTATTCTGTCTCCCAGGCTGGAGTGGAGTGGCACGATCATAGCTCACTGCTGCCTTGAACTCCTAGACTCAAGGGATCCTCCTGCCTCAACTTCCCGACCTGCCTCAGCCTTCCAACCCACCTCAGTCTTCCGAGTAGCTGGGACTAAAAGCACATGCCATGACACCTGGTTAATTTTTTATTTATTTTTTCTTTTTCTTTTTTTTGAGACAGTCTCATTCTGTCGCCCAGGCTGGAGTGCAGTGGTGCGATCGCAGTTCACTGCAACCTCCACCTCCCAGGCAAGCGACTCTCCTGCCTCAGCCTCCTGAGTAGAGGGGATTAGAGGCATGCGCCACCATGCCCGGCTAATTTTTGTATTTTTAGTAGAGATGAGGTTTCATCATGTTGGTCAGGCTGGTATCGAATTCCCAACCTCGTGTTCCGCCTGCCTCAGCCTCCCAGAGTGCTGGGATTACAGGCATGAGCCACTGCGCCTGGCCTAATTTTTTATTTTTTGTAGAGATGGGGGTCTCCCTTTGTTGCTCAGGCTGGCCTCAAACTCCTGGCTTCAAGCAATCCTCCCACCTTGGCTTCCCTGCCTCCTGCTTGGGATTACAGGTGTAAGCCACTGTACTGGGTCTACCAGTGGTACTTTTAAGCTGGCATGCTTAAACTTGCCTAACTGTATATGCTCAGCAGTGATAGTCCATGATTGCCTGTCCCCTTGTTCAGAACACTTGGGGCAATTTTTGTTTTTTTCAGAACAAAGGCATATCTGCCTCAAAGAAGTGTACAATTCCATACTTCTTAAGATACAGAAAATGCTGGCTGGGCATGGTGGCTCACGCCTGTAATCCCGGCACTTTGAGAGGCCGAAGCGGGTGGATCATGAGGTCAGGAGATTGAGACCATGCTGGCTAACACGGTGAAACCCCGTCTCTACTAAAAAATACAAAAAATTAGCCGGGCAGGGTGGCAGGCACCCATAGTCCCAGCTACTCGGGAGGCTGAGGCAGGAGAATGGCGTGAACCTGGGAGGCGGAGCTCACAGTGAGTGGAGATTGGGCCACTGCACTCCAGCCTGGGTGACAGAGCAAGACTGGTTTGGTCTAGCTCCTGTTTTCCACCGCACAGAAAGCCAATCATTGACACAACAATTATTGCCAAGGAAGAAGGAAGAAGGCTTTAACTGGGTGCTGCAGTCAAGAAGATGGGAGCTCAGTCTCAAACCCATCTCCCTGACCCACTAAAACTAGGGGTTTATATCGCAGGGAAAAAATGTAACAATGTATAAGAAAGTAGGAACTAAGGAGAAGCAAGGAAGCAATCATGACTAATGAGGAGTCCCACATCTCATTATCTGGATGTGCTTATCTGATGAGTTTCAGTTCTCGATACTTTTCCTGAGAGGCCTGAAGGTCATCTCCTGAGGAAGTAACTCAGATAAAACAAATATAAGTTTTATGCTTTAAGATCAGAAGGCTCAATTTCTGTTTATCAAAAAAAATAAAAATAAAAATAACTATCTATGAGACTATTGGGTCAGTTTCACTTGCAGCTTTGAAATGAATGTTGTTGTTGCTGTTTCAAACCTTAGCTGTATTCTGGAGACCTGAGTTTGCTCCTCCCAGAGGCTGTCAGGACAAAATCTAGGATAGCTTAAGCCCCTCTAGTTACATATTACTCCCACTGAGAGGTGACAGCGTGCTGGCAGCCCTCACTCGCTCTCCGCACCTCCTTGGCCTCGGCGCCCACTCTGGTCCCACTTGAGAAGCCCTTCGGCCCGCTGCTGCATTGTGGGAGCCCCTCTCTGGGCTGGCTGAGGCCGGAGCCGGCTCCCTCTGCTTGTGGGGAGGTGTGGAGGGAGAGGCGCAGGTGGGAACTGGGGCTGAGTTCCAGGTGGGCGTGGGCTCGACGGGCCCCAAGCTCAGAGTGGCCAGGCTGGCTCCGCAGGCCCGGGGCACTGAGGGGCTTAGCACCCCGGCCAGCAGCTGCGGAGGGTGCGCCAGGTCCCCCAGCAGTGCCTGCCCACCAGCGCCGCGCTCCAGTTCTCCCCGGGCCCCTGCTGCCTCCGGAGGGGCAGGGCTTGGGACCTGCAGCCCGCCATGCCCGAGCCTCCCCCGCACCTGGGGCTCCTGCACAGTCCAAGCCGCCCCCTGCTCCGTGGTGCCCCGTCCCATCGATGGCCCAAGGTCTGAGGAGTGCGGATTCACTGAGTGCTGGACTGGTGGGCAGTTCCGCCTGTGGCCCCTGTGCAGGATCCACTAGGTGAAGCCAGCTGAGCTCCTGAGTCTAGTGGGGACTTGGAGAACCTTTGTCTAGCTAAGGGATTGTAAATACACCAATCAGCACCCTGTGTCTAGCTCAAGGTTTGTAAATGCACCAATCAGTGCTCTGTGCCTAGCTAATCTAGTGGGGACTTGGAGAACTTTTGTGTCTAGCTCAGGGATTGTAAACACACCAATCAGCACCCTGTCAAAATGGACCAATCAGCTCTCTGTAAAATAGGCCAATCAGCAGGATGTGGGTGGGGCCAGATAAGAGAATAAAAGCAGGCTGCCTGAGCTCAAGTGGCAACCTGCTTGGGTTGGCTTCCACGGTGTGAAAGCTGTTCTCTTTTGGTCTTTGCAATAAATCTTGCTGTTGTTCACTTTTTGGGTCTGCACTACCTTTACGAGCTGTAACACTCACTGTGAAGGTCTGCAGCTTCACTCCTGAGGCCAGTGAGACCACGAACCCACCAGAAAGAAGAAACTCTGAACACGTGTGAACATCAGAAGGAACAAACTCCAGACACTCCGCCTTTAAGAACTGTAACACTCACCACGAGGGTTCGCGGCTTCATTCTTGAAGTCAGTGAGACCAAGAACCCACCAATTCCGGATACACCACCATCTCCCAATTATGCTTCTTGCCCTAATTCTCTGCTTGTCCTATTACTTGAAGTTCCACTCTTCCCTCAGCAACCAAAAACTTCTATCATGCCTTTTCTGGAATGGCTGCTATATAACTATGACGTACCTTTATATCCTCAACACCTTTTATGAGCATTTTTCCACCTCCTTAGTGGAAATCTGATTTTCCTCTGAGAACACCATTTCCTCTGTAGCCCCGTTCAATGGTAGCTACTTAATCTCTCAGCACTCCACCTTCCATAGTCTGGGAGGTGGGGTTGGTGTCTTCCACACTGGGGAATGCCACTTTCAAACCATTACTCCTTCCTTTGAGTTACATGCTGTTTGGCTATGATAATGCTTCCCCATCTTGGTCCTTGTTATCTACTGAACTCCTGGCCACTCCTGTGTATTCACTGGAGACTTTAGCAAGTGGCTTTTAGTCTTGCTGTCTACTGTAAGTCCTGCTGCCATCATTCTGGGGGACTTAAGTGTCCACATGGTCAACCCACCCATTAACCTGGCCATTCTGTCCGTTGACCTAATTTTTTTTTTTTTTTTGAGATAGAGTCTCATTCTGTTGCTCAGGCTGGAGTGCAGTGGCGTGATCTCAGCTCACTGCAAGCTCTGCCTCCCGGGTTCATGCCATTCTCCTGCCTCAGCCTCCTGAGTAGCTGGGACTACAGGCGTCCGCCACCATGCCCGGCTAATTTTTTGTATTTTTAGTAGAGACGGGGTTTCACCGTGTTACTCAGGATAGTCTCAATCTCCGGGTCTCGTGATCCACCCTCCTTGGCCTCCGAAAGTGCTGGGATTATAGGCGTGAGCCACTGCGCCCAGCCTTACCTCCTAATTTCTAATGACCTTCTCCTCCACACAGCCACCCACTTCAACTGTTGCACCCTAGACCTTATAAACAGCAGAAACTTACCCTACCTAATTCAAGCTTGTCCAATCCATGGTCCATGGGCTGCATGCAGCCCAGGATGGTTTTGAATGCAGCCCAAGACAAATTTGTAAACTTTCTTAAAATGTTATTTTTTTGTGATTTTTTGTAGCTCATCTGCTGTCTTAGTGTATTTTATGTGTGGCTGAAGACAATTCTTCTTCCAGTGTGGCCCAGGGAAGCCAAAAGATTGGACACCCCTGCCCTAATTTGAAATTCTACTTTCTGATCAAACCTCCCCGTATGCCATTTTCCCTTCAATTACTCCACTATACCTGTTTTTTTTTTTTTCTTCGACGAGGAGATACTTGGCTGGCTATGAACACTAATTCTGTTCCTCTTTGATGCTAACAGAAACCCACTTTTTTTCCACGATCCATCTTTTAGGGAATGTGATTCTATTTATCAGCTTTGGGGTCAGTCCTGATTAATCTAAAATGACAATTTTCAAATTGTGGTCCATATTGGTCCCTTTCCAAGGTTTCATAAAGTCAAAACAACTTGCAAAATAATAGTCATTATTTGCCTTTTTTTTTCTTTGTGGGCAATTTCACTGATGGTGTAAAAGCAATGGTAAGTAAAACTGCAGGTGCACTGGCACACAAATCAAGACAGTAGCATCAGCCTACTAATGGTCATTATACTTTTCCCCACCACACACTTGAAGAAAGAAAAAAAATCAAATTTTACCTGATTAAGCAGTGAAAATTACTAATTTTATTAAATATCAACTTTTGAGTACAGGTGTTAATATTCTGTGTGACAAAATAGGAAGTATGCATAAACCACTCTGTATACAAAAGTATGATGGTTATCTCAAAAATAAAAACAACTTGTTATTTGAGTTGCAAACTGAACTAGCTGATTTTGTCATGGAACTCCATTTTTACTTGAAAGAATAGCTGACAGACAAACTATGGTTATTTAGACTTGAGTATCTGGCAGATTATTTTTCATAAGTGAATGAAGTGAGCTTGTCACTTTAAAAAAACAACCTTTGTTCTTCACTGCTTTCAACTGTGACAAATGCTCCTGAGCAATCAAAGAAGATGAAAAACAAAAAAATCCATTAGATTTAAGAACATGAAGGTACTGCTCACCTTCTCAAAAGATTTCACTAGAATGGTGTGGGCGGAATACAGATTAAGGTAGATTGAGAAATGAGTGGGAAGTGAAAAAAATGGAAGCAGTAAGAATAGACAACTCTTTGAAGAAGTTTAACAATGAAGGGGAAAAGGATAGAATGGTAGCTGGAAGGAGGAGTGGGATCAAGGAAAATTATCCTAAAGATGTGAGAGACTTGAGCTTGTATAAACAATGATGGAATGGAGAAAATATTAGGTTGGTGCAAAAGTAAGTGCGGCTTTTTCCAATTAAAACTAATGGCAGGCTGGGCGCGCTGGCTCACGCCTGTAATCCCAGCACTTTGGGAGGCCAAGGCAGGCTAATCACGAGGTCAGGAGTTTGAGACCAGCCTGGCCAACATGGTGAAAACCCGTCTCTACTAAAAATACAAAAAATTAACTGGGCGTAGTGGCAGGCGCCTGTAATCCCAGCTACTCGGGAGGCTGAGGCAGGAGAATCATTGAACCTGGGAGGCAGAGGTTGCAGTGAGCCGAGATCGTGCCACTACGCTCCGGTCCAGGAGACAGAGTGAGACTCTGTCTCCAAAAAAAAAAAAAAAAGTAAAGGCAAAAATCGCAATTACTCTTGCACCAACCTAATAAAAAGGGAGTGACCAAAGATACAGAAAAGGGAGAGAATAGTGGGTAAGATTCAGGAGAAGAGTTTGGGATCTGGGGCTCAGTTGATGATGATGGTAGTGGTGGTGGTCGTGGTGTGTGTTTGTGTGGATTGAGTAGGGGTGGTAGAAGTTTTGAAGAAGGTGGAAAAGGTAAATTGTCATTGTAGAAAGTGGGAGAGCAAACAGACCAAAGAAACAAAGTAGTCTTGCTAGGCAGTGTTGATCTTGAGCTCATTCTCTCCCCTTGCTTCTCCCTCCCTCTATAAGTTGCTGGTTTCCAGATCTGTACCTCTAGTCCATGCACTCACTGCCTCTTGATACCAGTGGGCTAGGTGAGATCCCCGAACACTGGTGGGACCTTGACCCTGCCCGTTGTCCAAGCTCTTGACTGTGTCTTGAGAAAGAATTCAAGGACAAGTCAGAAAATAGTGAAAGCACACTCTCAAGAAAGGGGCGTGCAAGTGTACTCAAGAGAGTCGCACCCAATAGGCTTTGGGGCTTCTATTTTTATGGGTTTCTTTAACCAAGGGATGAAATATTCATGAAGACTTCTGGAAAAAGGTGAAGATTTCTCAGAACTGTGGCACCACCCATTTTTACACCAAATATGGGTGTTCCCAGAACTGTTATGGTGCTGGTGGATGTGAGATTATGTTAATGAGCATATAGTGAGATCCTATAGGTCAAATCCAGGGCCATGTTGGGTCCAGTCATTCTTAGCCAGCTTGGCCCACATCCTGTTATTCAGGGTCTTATGGGTCCTTAGCATATGCAGCTGTTTCAACAGTTTCCTTTTACTAGTCATGTAAAACTGCTGCCTGAAATTTTCTATTCTCCTGCGACCACCTTATATTATTCCTGTCCCACTCTGACCTCTAGACCCTCATATCTAACTAACAACTGGATATCTCCACTTGGGTGTCACACAAGTGTTTCACTCACAACATCCAAAAGCGAACTCGTGATCTTCTCTCCCAAATCAGGTCTTCTCTTAGTGTTCCTTATGCCAGTGAATGATGTTATCATCCATCCTGTTTTACAAGACAGCACCCTAGGAGTCATCTTGTTTTGTCAATTTTCTTCTCCCTCTATATTCAACCAATTACCAAGTCCTATTCATTCAGTTTCCTTCACAAATCTTAAATCTATCCATATCATTCATTACCCCTACTACCACTTTAATTCAGGCCAGTATTATCATCTGCACTACTGCTATATCCTCCTACCTTCCTCTCCCACCCTTTTATTTTGTTATAAGCAGTCTGAGTGATCTTTTTCAAAAGCAAATATGTCACACCTCTATTTAAAACCCTTTAAGAGCTTTTCATTGCCTCTAGGATAAAGAGCAAAATCTGTAGCTCTTCCTCTTTCCTTCCGTCTGCACCTCCACCCTCTGTCACACGGCTCATATTCCCAACCCTTCATCCTTCCCTACGTTATCTTTTTTTTTTTTCCATAATCACCTTCTTCTTCTTCTCCTTTTTTTTTTTTTTTTAGGGTTTTGCCATGCTGTCCAGGCTGATCTCGTTGAACTCCTGGCCTCAAGGGATCCCCCCACTTTGGCCTCCCAAAGTGCTGGGATTACAGGTGTGAGCCACCACACTCGGCCTCCATAATCACTTTCTAACAGTCTATATACTTTATTCGGACTATTATTTGTTGTCTGTCTCCCTCCCTCCTCTAGAATGTAAGCTGCATGAGTCCATGGATCTTTGTTTTGCACACAGCTATATCGCTAGTTTGCACCAAATTTGCCCCCTCAAGCCTGCCCCCCACCCCGCCAAAATTCGTATGTTTAAGTCTTAACGCCCAGTACCTCAGAATGTGACTATATTTGACATAGGGTCTTTAGGAGGTAATTAAGTAAAATGAAGTCATTAGTATGGGTCATAATTCGATCTGACTGGTGTCCTTATAAGAAGAGATGAGGGCTGAGCGTGGTGGCTCGTGTCTGTAATCTCAGCACTTTGGGAGGCCAAGGCAGGTGGATCATCTGAGGTCAGGAATTTGAGACCAGCCTGACCAATATGGTGAAACCCCGTCTCTACTAAAAATACAAAAATTAGCCGGGCATGGTGGAGTGCACTTGTAGTCCCAGCTACTCGGGAATTGCTTGAACCCGGGAGGCAGAGGTTGCAGTGAGCTAAGATTGTGCCACTGCACTCCAGCCTGGGCAACAGAGTGAGACTCCATCTCAAAAAGAAAAAAAAAAAAAGAGATGAGGACACAGACACATATAGAGGGAAGATCATGTGAAGACACAGGATGAAGGTGGCCATCTACAGGCCAAAGAAAGAGGCCTCAGAAGAAACCAACCGTACTGACACCTTGATCTCAGACGTCAGCCTCTAGGACTGTGAGAAAATAAATTTCTGTTGTTTAAGCCACCTGGTCTGTGGTACCTTGTTACTGGGCAGCCCTGACAAACTAATACACTCCCAAACACCTAGGACAGCTCCCAGCGCATAGTAAGCACTCAGCAAATATTTGCTAAAAGACTAGATAAATGTGAGGCTGTTTTGGAAAACTTTCAAACTGGTTTTTTCCTCTGCTTTCACACCACCACAGCAATCATCACAACAGAAGAAGAATTCTATGACCAAAAGTGGTGGGGGGGTTCCCCCACACACTAAGTCCTCCAATTGAATTCCAACACTCTCTACCTGGAGATACTGTCAGATCCCACAAAGGGAGGGCTCGGTCTCCAAGGCTGCCCCTCCACACACACTAGGTGCAAGTCCAAGCCTCCAGAACTTCTGACTGACTGGTTTAAGTTGGGGTTCCCACAATCACCTCTTTGGGTTCCATTAATTTGCTGAAGCAGCTCAGAGAACTCAGGAAACAAGTTTACTGGTTTATTATGAAGGGTATTGAAAAAGATACAGGTAAAGAGATGCATAGGGCAAGGTATGGGGCAAGGGGCGCGGGGCTTCTACGATCTCCCTGGGTGCAGCACCCTCCAGGAACCTTTATGTGTTCAGCTATCGGGAAGCTCTCCAAACCCAGTCTTCTTGGGTTTTGACGGACGTGTCATTATGTCAGCATTCCTTCCCCTAAGGTATGTGGCAAGACTCTGTCAGGAGAGGGTCTTAAGATCCATAATCAGAAAAGTGGGGGAAGGATTCGAGTTCTGCCTTGCGGCAGGTGAAAGGAGAGTGGGAGAAGATCAGATTCTGTTTCCTGAGGCCAGCTTCTGAGGCCTAGCACACCCAATATTATAACAAGAGTGTAACAAGGGCTATGGGAGTTATGAGCCAAGAACCATGGGCGAAAACCAATATATATATGTACATCATAACACCGCAGAGGCCCTCCTTGATCTGGCCCCTGCTGTTGTCTCCCAACATCCCCTGCAACATTTCCCTTTGATCTCTCAACTCTATCCAAACAGGACTTTTCCGAAGTCCTGAAACATGACTTGCTTTCCCCACTCAGAACCTTTACATACTGTGCTCTCTGTCCCGGAGTGCTCTCCCCATCATCCCACCAGCCCTCCCCCACACCAGCACCACAGTTTGGCATGATTTATCCTTCAGGTCTCAAATGAAATTCAAAAAAATATTTTCTCAAGCAGATTAATTGGCTCTCAAATGAGGTTAGTTAGGCCTTTGTGTTCTGCTCTCCCATCTATTCATCTCTTCTCTGTGTGTACGTTGCTTAGAAGGAATGTTGTGTTGGTTTGGAAGAATGACTGATAAATTACTCAGAGGAGGGAGTAAGACCCACAGTGAGACATAAGGAAAGTAATTTTTTCTCTTGAGTGGGGTGCAGATAAAAGGAAGGAGAGAATAAAAGCTTCAGATTCATCTGCTATAACTTGTTTTTGTTGTTGTTGTTGTTGTTGTTTTTTGTTTTTTTTTTTTTTGAGACAGGGTCTCTGTCTCCCAGGCTGGAGTGCGGTGGTGCCATCACGGCTCACTGCAGCCTCGACCTCCTGGGCTCAAGTGATTCTCCCACCTCAGCCTCCCGAGGAGCTGGGACTACCCATGCCTGGCTAATTTTTATATTTTCTGTAGAGACAGGGTTTTGGCATGTTGCCTAGGCTGGCCTCAAACTCCTGGGCTCAAGTGATCTGCCCTCCTCAGCCAGGATTACAGGCATGAGCCACCGTGCACCCACTGGTGCCCAGTCTCATCTGTTATAGTTTGACAAATACCTGGTATTGGGACCATTTCTGAGCTGTTTGTTTGAGAGACTGATGGAAGATATTGAGATAAGTTTTAACTACACTTTTTTTCTAAACAAGGAAAGGGTCTAGCACTGTGATTTCTGCTTGTTGTGGGGTCCTATCATTTATGGAACTTTCTTATATCTTTTATATTTTTTTTGAGACAGAATCTCGCTTTGTTGCCCAGGCTGGAGTGCAGTGGCATGATCTCGGGTCACTGCAACCTCCGCCTCCCGGGTTCAAGCGATTTCCAGATATTTTTTGTATTTTTAGTAGAGACGGGGTTTCACTATGTTAGTCAGGCTGGTCTCTAACTCCTGACCTCAAGTGATCCACCCGCGTCTGCCTCCCGAAGTGCTGGGATTACAGTCATGAGCCACCGCACCCAGCCCCTTTCCTATATCTTTTAACCCAACATCCACTAGCTATGACCTTCTACTCACTCCATTCTCCCTGTATTCACCCCTCCCCAGACAAACCCCACCTCCTTTCACTGTTCCAATCTGCTTCTCTCACAGCTCTCTGTCCATTTCTGTGACTGGCTGCTGGATTTGATCCAGCAGCACAGAAACCAGCAACCCAGTGAAGGTAAGATACCCACCCAGCAGCCTGGCTCAAGTTCCAGGCATACAGAGCCCTGTTTCCAATCCTGTTGGTCCTAAAAATATACCAACCCTTGGCAGGTGGCTGGGCTATTTTCAACCTTGGGGGCCGCAGGAATCAAGGGATTCGTGCCAGGTCAGGAAGCAGAAAAGCAGGCTTTCATTGGTGGGCTTCATATAGAAACAGCTGTCTTGTGGCATGAGTTCAACTGATTCTCAATTGTCTATTTACTGGCATTGCCATTTTGCTGTTTCCTTTTTAAAGCTCAATCACATTTTCCAGTTCCACCCTAAAACATGAACCTGGGATAGCAAATGCAGATATTGGGAGGGGAGGGTGAAAGTCCAGAGAAATATCTTTTTAAAACCTGTCCACCTTCATGTAGTTCTGGAATTACAGAGGAGCGCTGAAGGAACACTGAGTGACTTCTAGTTTCTCAGCAGTTTCAGGCTTAAACATCATGTCTAAAAAGTGGGTCATGGTGCCTGTTTCTGCTGGCAAAATTAAAGTACTATTATTATCCCCATTTTACAGGGGAAGAAACCTGAGGAACAGAGAGGTTAAATTACTTGTCCAAGCTCACACAACTAGGAAGTGGCAAACTCAGATCTGTCAGGTTTCAAAGCTTATGCTCTTAATCACTAGTGTTTCTGACACTGTGGTCCTCAAGTTGTCCCACAGAATGGTATTAAGTCAATGACCATCTTATAACCAAATACTGTCATGCAATTTCAGCACTAAAATTTGCATTTCTGTTTACAATCATAATGGTACCAAAGATTACTACTTTAATTCTTTTGGATCCAAGGGAAAAGAACAGAGGTAGACATAAAGTATAAGTGATATATTTCCTTCAAACGAAGCCAGATAACATCAAAGTTAATTCAGAGGAATTGTTTTAATAATGCACATGCTAATATTCAATTCACACTGGGGCAAGTGATTTCATTTTAGCAAAACAACACCATCCATTATATTAAACTAGTGTTAGTGATTTGAGTTGTATTGATTTTTTAGTTTTGTTTGCATTTAATATGTGAAATCATTCTGGATTTACAGTTGTTTAAATGCTATGAGTATAAGGAGTTTATGTCTTGTTTTATGTTATCATATATGTAAGTAATATTATAATAGAAGATCAACACTGAGGGCCTGAAATAATTATTTTCTGATGGAAAGTGTCCACACATTGTTCCTATTTGAGAATCTGCTGTACAGGGCATTGAAAACTGTAAAGAGCTGCATGACTGTCCAGGAATTCTTTTTGTTAGAATTTTGTTTTTGTTGCTGTTATCACCTTGGAGATATGTGAAGGACTCAAGGTGACCCTAACCTCCCTTAAACCACTGGCGCATGTAGGCAATAAAACTAGACATCTTTGGCATGTCTTGACTATTCAGTCTAATTACTGTATCTTGGTAATTTGTGTTTTAAGCTATTGCTAAAAGATCGGACAATTTTCTCATTTGTTTCTCCAAACAAAAAGGATGCAGTGGCAGGTCTTAAGGTGAGGAAAGAGAAAAAGGGGGATAATTTCTATTTTCTTTCACTTCCTCCAAATTGCATATCATTTTCAGCTCCTTTCAAACCTGAACGTAGTTATGAAATTGGGCAAATTGGTTCAAAATGATTGCCCACTCCCTATTCTCCAAAAAGAAAGAAATGGAATGAAATCAAAGCTCCTCACTCCATCCCCAGAGTAAAGGGAAATGTTTGATGCAGCTCAGACTGGAACTCTAATTCTGGCTTTGCAATTTAGAAGCTCTGATCCTCAGTTTCCTTACATGCAAAATAGGGATAAGATAATACTATCTTCAACCTCATAGAGCTGTAGTGAAGATTAATGTAAATGAGATAATATGTGTATATCATCTAGATGGTGCCTATCACAAAGGAGGTACTCAAAAAAACTTGATTTTTTTTTTTGAGACAGAGTCTGGAGTGCAGTGGCGCAATCTCGGCCCACTGCAACCTCCGCCTCCCGGGTTCAAGTGATTCTCATGCCTCAGCCTCCCAAGTAGCTGGGACTACAGGTGTCCATCACCACGTCTGGCTAATTTTTGTATTTTTTGTACAGACAGGGTTTCACTATTTTGGCCAGGCTGGTCTCGAACTCCTGGACTCAGGTAATCCTCCTGCCTCGGTCTCACAAACTGCTGGGATTACAAGCCTGAGCCATCACACCCGGCTGAAAAACAGTGATTATTATCATCTTCAAATCTCTCTCCCAGCAGGACTGCACAAATGTTTTATTCTTTTTTACTTTTGTAAAAATTATTTTGTTACTACTTTAATGCTTTCAGTGGAATCAACAAATGTTTTATTAACTTACTAATTCCCTCTAACAACAGAGCCTATTTTATTTTTTTTGTCCACATTCTTTCAGGGCAAACACATGGAAAAATGCTTAAGATATAATGTTAAGCCAAAAAAAAAAAAAAGGGAAACAAAAGTACGTGTACATGGAACTTACAACCAAGGCTGGGCCTCTGTCTTCCTCTTTGCTGTATCTCCAGTCCTTAGAACAATGATTGTTGCCTGGTAAGTGGTATGACTTAATAAATACCTGTGGAATGAACAAACTATGGAAAAATTTGAAAGCAGCTGAACAAGGTCAGAAGGAAGCATCTAGGAGTGAAAAATACTGGGATTGGATTAGAGCAGAAATGTGACTCTTTTCCTTCCTTCCTCCCTCCCTCTCTCCCTCCCTTCCTTCCTTCTTTCCCTCCTTCTTTCCTTTTTTTCTTTTCTCCCTTCCTTTCTTCTTTCTTTTCCTCCTTCCTTTCTTCTTTCTAAAATTTTTTAAAGTATTAAAATATATTTACAGTTGAAACATGGGAAAATGAACGTATCCTGTTTGCCTTACAGAAAAAATGCACGTTAAAAATTTCAGTCAAGCTGGCCAAAGGAGCCACAGATGTATTATTAAATTGTAATCTGGCATTATAAATTATAAGCAGGCTTTGCTGGGAATGTTCCTTGGTCCTTTTATTGCACTGTAAGGAGAAAATATTCAGAACACTTTGAAGCATTCGCACTTCAAATAAACATAAAAGAAAGGGGCAACTTGGCAATGGGTGAAATGCCATGCAGGCTTCAACATGTGGACCTAATAGAGTTGCTGTAGAGAGCTTGACAAGTAAATTTATTAGAATTTGTTCATGAAATAATTTATTTATAGTGTATGGACAATGAACCACATTCAACTTTTCTATTTAAACTCTTGGAGTTTTGAATGTACCTTGAAAGAGTTCAACTTCTTCATTTTACAGATGAGAAAAGTAATCCCAGTTTGGGGATGTGACTTCTCCAAAGTCACATTTGTATTTCTATCCCTCAGCAGCCTCATCCCAATCAATCTCCACACTTGCATAGGGCTTGAGTTCTCTTTTTTTTACTTTTGAGACAGAGTCTCACTCTTTTACCCAGGCTGGAGTGCAGTGGTGGGATCTCAGCTCACTGCAACCTCTGCCTTCCAGGTTCAAGCAATTTTCCTGTCTCAGCCTCCCAAGTAGCTGAGACTACAGGCACACACCACCAGGCCCGGCAAATTTTTGTATTTTTAGTAGAGATGGGGTCAGGCTGGTCTCGAACTCCTGACCTCATGTGATCCACCCACCTTGGCCTCCCAAAGTGTTGGGATTACGGGCGTGAGCCACCTTGCCCGGCCACCAGGTTTGAGTTTTGTTTTTCTTTTTTCTTTCCTTTTTTTTTTTTTTTTTTTTGAGATAGAGTCTTGCTCTGTCACCCAGTCTGGAGTGCAGTGGCGCGATCTCGGGTCACTGCGACCTCTGCCTCCTGAGTTCAAGCGATTCCCCTGCCTCAGCCTCCCACGTAGCTGGGATTACAGGTGCCTACCACCATGCCCGGCTAATTCGGGCTTGATTTTTCAAAGTGCATTGACACACATCTTGGTGTCTCAGGTTCTCCATGTACAAATTGGGGTTAATTATGGAAACTACCTCGTTCAAGACTACTGTGAGAATTAAATGAAATAGCCTCCAGTAAGCATTAACAATTGTTATTATCTTCTTAAATAAAAATTGTGGGAAGCCAATTGTTTTGGACTGAGATCCTGGACTAGGCCTAACAGAGCAAACCAAACCAGAATGGAGTCACTAGTTCTAGGTGCCATGTAATCAAACTGAACTTTAAAATGAGCCAACTTTCCAAAAAATAAGATATTCACAGTGGCCAATCAGAAGGGGCCCAGTTTATCTGAGCCAGTATGATAATGAAGTCCCCTCTATTCTAACCCTGTAAGGAAAGTAACTTTGAAATGAACAATTTGCTGGGTGTGGTGGCTCACACCTGTAATCTCAGCACTTTGGGAGGCCAAGGTGGGAAGATTGTTTGAGCCCAGGAGTTCCAGACCAGCCTGGGCAACATAAGGAGACCCTGTCTCTACAAAAAACTAAAAAATTAGCTGAGTGCAGTAATGCGTGCCTGTGGTCCCAGCTACTTACGAGACTGAGGTAGGAGGATTGCTTGAGCCTAGGAGGATGAGGCTGCAGTGAGCTGTGATCACACCACTGCATTCCAGCCTGGGTGACAGAGTGAGACTCTATCATTAAAAATAAATAAATAAATAAAAACAAGTGAAAAAAATGAACAATCTACTTTTTGTTCTCTATTTTTGCTTCTTTACCACTTTTCTGCCTATAAAACCAACCCTCTCTGCTCTGCTCATTGGAATTCCTTCTATTTTATGGATGGGATGCTGCCCAATTCATGAATCATTAATAAAAGCCATTTAGATCTTTTCAACTCAACTTGTTGAAAGTTTGCTTTTCGACATCATTATTGTTATAATTACTATCTTGTGGAATTTCCTCCACAGCTTTGGAAGACAGGCAGCATACGCCCTCCCATCATTTTACCTGTGAGCATATGAAAGACAGAGGGGTTAAGTGGCTCATCTAGCTTGTAAGTACCACAGTCACATCTGGAACTCTGATATTCTGCCACCCCATGCATTGATCAACTCCTTCAAGATCCTTTCCAACTCTAAAATTCTGTGGTTTCAATATAAATGAATCTCAGGGTCAGCATTTTAAAAACTTTGAGTTTTTTGTCTCAAGAAAGTAGCAAAGGGTAGGGCTCACATTAGATAGAGTCGTCCCTCTGTATCTACAGAGGATTGGCTCTAGGACCCTCATGGATACCAAAATTCTCAGATGCTCAAGTCTCTGATATAAAATGGCGTAGTATTTGCACATAACTGATGCACATCCTTCTTTATATAAACCATCTCTAGATTACTTATAATACCCAATACAATGTAAATGCTATGTAAATACATACACTGCATTGTTTAGGGAAGAATGACAACAACAACAAAAAATCTGTACATGTTCAGCACAGGCATTTTTTTTCAAATATCTTTGATTTCAAGTTGATTGAATCCACAGATGCATAACCCACAGATACAGAGGGCTGTCTGTACTAATAAATCAGTGGTGTCCCATTTAGTGCATTTAATTTATGCAGATTTAACTGTGTGGGTATGCTCTACCAATACAGGAAAATAAAAGAAATAGAAAAAGCAAATCCATTTGCCATTCCATTTAGTAAGTATATGCCACAGAATGAGCATGAGACAGGAGTAAATCAGTTGGACAGCATATATGCAAGGGCATGGATAGTATACTTTATGGGAAATTATTGGAACTTTCAAGAAATATATATATATATATATTTTTTAGACAGAGTCTTGCTCTGTTGCCCAGGCTGGAGTGCAATGGTGGCATCTCGGCCCACTGCAACCTCTGCCTCCTGGGTTTTCAAGCAATCCTCATCCCTCAGCCTCCCAAGTAGCTGGAATTACAGGCATGCACCACCAAACCTGGTTAATTTTTGTATTTTAGTAGAGACAGGCTTTTCCCATGTTGGCCAGGCTGGTCTCGAATGCTGGCCTCAAGTGGTCTGCCTGACTCGGCCTCCCAAAATGCTGGGATTACAGGTGTGAGCCACTGTGCCTAGTCCTTTCAAGAATAATTTTTTTTTCTTTTTTATTTTGAGATGGAGTCTCACTCTGTCACCCAGGCCAGAGTGCAATGGAGCAATTTCGGCTCACTGCAACATCTGCCTCCCAGGTTCAAGTGATTCTCCTGCCTCAGCCTCCAAAGTAGCTGAGACTACAGGTGCCTGCCACCACGCCCGGCTAATTTTTTGTATTTTTTAGTAGAGACGGGGTTTTGCCATGTTGGCCAGGCTGGTCTTGAACTCCTGACCTCAAGTGATCTGTCTGCCTTGGCCCCTCAAAGTGCTGGGATTACAGGCATGAGCCACTGCGTGTGGCCTGCTAGTATCTTTTTTTTTTAAACGCTTTTTTTTTTTTTTTTTTTGAGACAGAGTCTCACTCTGTCACCAAGGCTGGAGTGCAGTGGCGTGATCTCAACTCCCTGCAACCTCTGCCTCCCGGGTTCAAGCAATTCTCCTGCCTCAGCCTCCCGAGTAGCTGGGTATACATGCTCCCGCCACCACGCCTGGCTAATTTTTGTGTTTTTAGTAGAGACGGGGTTTCACCATGTTGGCCAGGCTGGTCTCGAACTCCTGACCTCGTGATTCGCCCACCTCGGCCTCCCAAAGTGTTGGGATTACAGGCATGAGCCATCGCATCTGGCCAAGAATAATTTTAATGTGATTTTTGGCTTGACATGCTGACTCTGTAACTTAACTTTCACATTAGATATGACACTGCAATACTACTGCTACTGCTACTACTAACAGTATAATCTACAGATTACTACATGTTGAAGTGTTAAGTTATTTTTAAAGTGCATTACCTTATTTAATTACCATAAGAATCCTATAAGAACAGGTACTTAATTATCCCCATTTTCTTTGGGAATTTATGATACTAGTAATAATAGTATTGTAATAAAAGCTGCAAACTTTTGAAAGTCTAATAGCTCAGAAAGGTCACTTTGTTCAAAATCTTAACAGCTCTTAAGTATCAGACCCAGAGTTACAACCCACATTGGTGAAGTTACACAGACAGAACTCATAAAATGTGACAGGCATTGAGAAGTGATTTCTTTCTTTTTCTTTTTTTTTTGAGACAGGGTCTTGCTCTGTTGCCCAGGCTGGAGTGCAGTGGCACAACCTTGGCTCACTGCAACCTCCGCCTCCTGGGTTCAAGCGATTCTCCTGTCTCAGCCTCCTGAGTAGCTGGGATTACAGGCACAAGCCACCACGCCCAGCTAATTTTTGTATTTTTAGTAGAGATGGGGTTTCGCCATGTTGGCCAGGCTGGTCTCGAACTCCTGACCTCAGGTGATCCGCTCGCCTTGGCTTCCCAAAGTGCTGGGATTATAGCGGTGAGCCACTGCACCCAGCCGAGAAGTGATTTCTTATTGGTCATCATATCTCCATGAGAAGTTGTATCTAAAAGCCCTGGAATGTCATTTGGAATGGATGTATTTGTTTGAGAACATGCATTTAAATCCTGGCCAAGACCAGAATGGCTTTGCTGTCACCCTGACGGTTGTTGAGCCGAAGTATTTGTTTCTCTAAAATTATTTGTATAGGTTCCTTTTAAAAAGTTATTGGCTGGGCAAGATGGGCCTGTAATCCCAGCACTTTGGAAGCCAAGGCAGGAGGATTGCTTGAGGTCAGGAGTTCGAGACCAGCCTGGGCAACATGGTCAAACTCCATCTCTATAAAAAATACAAAAATTAGGCCAGGTGGGGTGGCTCACGCCTGTAATCTCAGCACTTTGGGAGGCCAAGGCTGGCAGATCATGAGGTCAGGAGTTCGAGACTAGCCTGACCAACATGCCAAAACCCCGTCTCTACTAAAAACAACAAAAAAATATTAGCCGGGCATGGTGGTGCACGCCTGCAATCCCAGGTACTCAGGAGGCTGGGGCAGGAGAATCTCTTGAACCCGGGAGGCGGAGGTTGCAGTGAGCAGAGATCGAGCCACTGCACTTCAGCCTGGGCAACAGAGGCAGACCCCGTCTCAAAAAACAAACAAACAAAAAAACACAAAAAAAACCCAACAACAACAACAAAAAACAACAAAAATTAGCTGGGTGTGGTGGTGCACACTTGTGGTCCCAGCTATTCAGGAGGCTGAGGTAGAAGGATCACTTGAGCCTGGGAAGCAGAGGTTGCAGTGAGCTGAGATTGTGCCACTGCGCTCCAGCCTGGGTGACAGAGCAAGACCCCATCTTAAAATAAATAAATAAATAAATGTCATTTTGTAAGGTAGCTATTGTTTTATCTAAAAATGAAAATCTGTTCAACAGAAGCAATGCCTGAAGTTTCAAAAATCATGTAACTTTAGAAACTCTGATAAGAGTTTGTCCATGAGCTTTAAACTGATTTCCCTTCTACAGTAAAGTAGAAATTTGGAGGCCAGTTTCTGCAAATGCTCTGGGTGACTGTGGCCAACACGCCTCCTCTAGATGGTCCTCAGTTTTTTTCCTAAATTTGAGATGTTATTTTAGGATTCCATCCAGCTCTATTATATGAATTGAAATATTCCTGGTTTCTCTTAAATACTTGGATAATTCTGGTCCTTATAAATGGCTAATTTTTATTTCATCAGTTACTAAGTCTAAATATCACCTAGAATATGAAGAGTAAAACTTTCAAAGAGCTCTTCAAAATTTGAGATGTTGTTTTTCACAGTGATATGTTTGTGCCAACAAATAAGAAAACAAGTTGTAGGTATATAAACCATTTGTAAGAGCCCATCGACACTGAATGCAAAAGTGGGGATTCTCCTAAACAACTGTGGAAACCACTTTGAAAATAAATATTGTTCTCTTTTATAATACAAGGTTGAGGCCAGGCGCGGTGGCTCACGCCTGTAATCCTAGCACTTTGGGAGGCTGAGGCGGGCGGATCATGAGGTCAGGAGATTGAGACCATCCTGGCTAACATGGTGAAACTCCGTCTCTACTAAAAATACAAAAAATAAGCCGGGCATGGTGGTGGGCGCCTGTAGTCCCAGCTACTCGGGAGGCTGAGGCCGGAGAATGGCGTGAACTTGGGAAGTGGAGCTTGCAGTGAGCCGAGATCGCGCGCACCACTGCACTCCAGCCTGGGCGACAGAGCGAGACTCCGTCTGGAAAAAAAAAAAACATACAAGATTGATGTTAAAGACAAAATCTATTTCATACTTCCTATGCATTCCTAAAAGTCAACTTTAACTCTTGTGCTGTCTCCTTAACATTTGTTGTATTTTCAAGTCATATCTTTATTTTCCCAGAACTTTCTCATTTTCTGATTGCTTTTTCTGGTTTTATGTTTGTAATATATTTTTTCATCTTTCTGGGGGTCGTTTTTGATTTTTTCATTATCTGCTTCCTTCAGGATCAGCTGTTTCTTTGTTCTTTTTTTTTTTTCTTGAGATGGAGTCTCACTCTGTCATCCAGGCTGGAGTGCAGTGGCGTGACCTCAGTTCACTACAACCTCCACCTCCTGGGTTCAAGCAACTCTTCTGCCTCAGCCTCCTGAGTAGCTGAGACTACAGTCATGCACCACCATGACCGGCTAATTTTTGTATTTTTAGTAGAGATAGGGTTTCACCATGTTGGGAAGGCTGGTCTCGAACTCCTGACCTCAAGTGATCTGCCTGCCTCAGCCTCCCAAAGTGTTGGGATTACAGGCGTAAGCCACCACGCCCGGCCTTGAACTTCTTTTATGTTGTTTTCCTTCAAATTGTTGGTGTTCCTTAGTTGACCATTTGTTTATAATTGGAGGACTTTGATGAATAGGTGAAATAGCTTGTCTTTGAATAGATCTATTTACCCTAAGGTCATCATTCCTGTAAGGACTATCTGCCTGCAGCCTCTGTAAGAGCAGATGGGTCCCTTAATGAGCAGGCTTGCCTTTGGGTACCAGGCAGTGAGGCCAGCTCAGGTCATCCTCCCAACATATTCATTGCTAAAGCAAGGAGGACTTTATTCTTTGTGTACTTTACCCCTGGGTGCTGCTTCGTTTCCTTTCTTCCCTCTGGGTCTGCCGTGGAGGCTGGAAGTAACCACAGGCTCTGTCTGCCTCTCTCCTTTGTCCCAATACCCATTTCTAGGGCTGGCAAGATAAACTACCTACTCCAATAAAGAAGAGGTTATTGAGTGGGTGCTGGTTACAGATGCTGCTTCATATACCTTGGAAACAGGGAGGAACCTTCAGTCCTAGATGTTCCACCCTGATTTCTGATCCTCAATCTACTTTGCTTTCTGTACCTATGAACTTCAAGACCTATGAGTTAGTCCTATGTACTTTTTGATGGTGGGGGACATGTCTCATTCACTGTCGTATCTCCAGAATCTAGAATAGTATCTGCCACAGAGTAGGTGCTCGTGAAGTTTTCATGATTCAATGAAGGGGACCAAATTATGGAGGGCCTTGGTGCCAAATTATTTTATCCTGAAGAAAATGAGGAGTTACTGAAGATTTTTTGAGCAAGGGGAAGTCATGATTGGATCTGCAGTTTTGAAAGATCATTTTGACTGCAGAATGGGCAGTTAGAGGAAGTCTAGAGACCTGTTAGAAGACTGTTCCAATTATCCAAACCAGAGATGATGATCAGTGCTTAAACTAAATTTGTGGCAATGGGGATAAAGAGATGGGAATTGATTCAAATGTAAACCAAAAATAAAATTCTAACCCCCCCCCCCCCCACCGCCCCCAATCATCTGAATGGACTTCTTCCTCGGCCAGGGCACTCTCAAAATATAACCTGAGAGACTGGCTCAGGCCTTGACGGGAAGTGGGGGCCAGACATGCCTTCTTATACTTCTCTGGTATTAACATCAATGCAGTCTGGTAAGAAGCATTTATGGCCAGGCACGGTGGCTCATGCCTGTAATCCCAGCACTTTGGGAGGCTGAGGTGGGCGGATCACCTGATGTCAGTGTTAGGTCTCTGAGCCCAAGCTAAGCCATCATATCCCCAGTGACCTGCACGTATACATCCAGATGGCCTGAATCAACTGAAGATCCACAAAAAAAGTGAAAATAGCCTTAACTGATGACATTCCACCATTGTGATTTATTTCTGCCCCAGCCTAACTGATCAAAGTACTTTGTAATCTCCCCCACCCTTAGGAAGGTTCTTTATAATCTCCCCCACCCTTGAGAATGTACTTTGTGAGATCCGCCCCGTGCCCCCAAAACATTGCTCTTAACTCCACCGCCTATCCCAACACCTATAAGAACCAATGATAATCCCACCACACTTTGCTGACTCTCTTTTCGGACTCAGCCCGCCTGCACCCAGGTGAAATAAACAGCCATGTTGCTCAAACAAAGCCTGTTTGGTTGTCTGTTCACACGGATGCGTGAGACAGTCAGGAGTTCGAGACCAGCCTGGCCAACATGGTGAAACCCCATCTCTACTAAAAACACAAAAAATTAGCTGGGCGTGGTGGTGCATGCCTGTAGTCCCAGCTGCTCAGGAGACTGAAGCAGGAGAATCGTCTGAGCCTGGGAGGCAGAGGTTGCAGTGAGCGGAGATCTGTCACTGCACTCCAGCCTGGGTGACAGAGTGAGACTCTGTCTCAGTAAAAAAAAAAAAGAAGCATTTACAATCTATTCTCTCTGAAGCCTGCTACCTGGAGGCTTCATCTGCATGATAAAACTTTGGTCTCCACAACCTCTTATCACATCTCAGACATTTCCTTTCTGTTGATACCAGGTCTTCAGATAAACTCAACCAATTGTCAACCAGAAAGTTTTAAATCTACCTATAACCTGAAAGCCCTCCTCCCTGCTTTGAGTTGTCCCACCTTTCTGGACCAAACCAATGCACATCTTAAATGTATTTGATTTAAGTCTCGGGCCTCCCTAAAATGTATACAACCAAGCTGCACCCTGAGCACCTTGGGCAAATGTTCTCAGGATCTCCTGGGGGCTGTGTCACAGGCCATGGTCACTCATATTTGGCTCAGAATAAATCTCTTCAAATATTTTAAAGAGGTTGACTCTTTTTGTCGACACAAACAAATATTTATTGTGCACCTAGCAGGTGGCAGGCTTAGTCCTAGATGCTGGGGATGCAGCAGTGAATAACACAAAGTTTTACCCTTATGGAGCTCACATTCTAGGGGCGGAAGGAAGAAAAATAAACAGCAATTTCATATATTACCTTTGTGAGGTCATAGTAAATACTAAGAAAGATAAAGCAGAAGAAGAACGCAGAGATCAAGTAGGGTAGATGTCAGGCCTCAGAGTCCAGGCTAAGCCATCATATCCCCTGTGACCTGCACGTATACATCCAGATGGCCTGAAGTAACTGAAGAATCACAAAAGAAGTGAAAATGGCCTGTTCCTGCCTTAACTGATGACATTACCTTGTGAAATTCCTTCTCCTGGCTCATCCTGGCTCAAAAGCTCCCCCACTGAGCACCTTGTGTTCCCCGCCCCTGCTCGCCAGAGAACAACCCCCTTTGACTGTAATTTTCCTTTACCTACCCAAATCCTATAAAACAGTCCTACCCCTATCTCCCTTCGCTGACTCTCTTTTCGGACTCAGCCCTTCTGCACCCAGGTGAAATAAACAGCTTTATTGCTCACACAAAGCCTGTTTGGTGGTCTCTTCACATGGATGCGAGTGAAAGTAGAGACATGCCATTTATGATATGGTGTTCTGTGAAGCAGTGGAGAAAAGACTGAAGGAAGTGAGGAAGCCGCAAGAAAACCTGGGGAGCCTGTGGTGGTTCACGCCTGTAATCCTAGCTTCTCAGGAGGCTGAGGTGGGAGGATTACTTGAGCTCTGGAGTTTGAGACCAGCCTGGGCAACATAGTGAGACCCTGTCTCTACAAAAATAAAAAATTAGCCGGGTGTGATGGCACATGCCTGTAATCCCAGCTATTTGGGAGGCTGAGGCAGGAGGATTGCTTGAGCCTAGAAGGTTGTGGCTGCAATGGGCCATGATCTGGCCACTGCGTTCCAGCCTGGGGACAGAGTGAGACCCTGTATTAGTCAGTTTTCACACTGCTATACCCAAGACTAGATAATTTATAAAGAAAAGAGGTTTGACTCACAGTTCAGCATGGCTGGGGAGGCCTCAGGAAACTTAAAATCATGGTGGAAGGCAGAGGGGAAGCAAGGCACCTTCTTCACAAGGCAGCAGGAAGGAGAAGTGCTGAGTGAAGGGGGAAGAGCCCCTTATAAAACCATCAGATCTCGTGAGACTCACTCACTATCACAAGAACAGCATGGGGGAAACCACTCCCATGATCCAATTACCTCCACCTGGTCTCTCCTTTGGCATGTGGGGATTATGAGGATTACAATTCAAGATGAGATTTGGGTGGAGACACAAAACCTAACCATATCAGACCCTGTCTCTAAAAAATAAAAATTTAAAAAAAAGAAAAGAGGCCGGCGCGGTGGCTCACGCCTGTAGTCCCAGCACTTTGGGAGGCCGAGGCGGGCAGATCACGAGGTCAGGAGATCGAGATCATCCTGGCTAACATGGTGAAACCCTGTCTCTACTAAAAATACAAAAAATTAGCCGGGCATCGTGGCGGGCACCTGTAGTCCCAGCTACTCGGGAGGCTGAGGCAGGAGAATGGCATGAACCCGGGAGGCGAAGCTTGCAGTGAGCCAAGATCGTGCCACTGCACTCCAGCCTGGGCTACAAAATGAGACTGTGTCTCAAATAAAAAAAAAAAGAAAAAAGAAAAAAAAGAAAGTTTGGGGGAAGAGCATTCCAAGCAGAGGGAATAGTAATTGCAAAGGCCCTGAAGTGTATAAAAGCTATTTAGAAGTTCAATGTGCCATTCAATAATGAGAAGCTGACCTCAGGTGGGTTGGTTGGTTCTATAATCTGAGCCCAAAAAGCAAGGACCACTTTCTCTTTCTTTCTTGCTTTCTTCCTTCCGTCCTTTCTTTTTTTTTTTCTTTTTTTTTTTGACAGAGTCTTACTCTGTTGCCCAGGCTGGAGTGCAATGGCACTATCTCAGCTCACTGCAACCTCCGTCTCCTGGGTTCAAACAATTCTCCTGCCTCAGCCTCCCAAGTAGCTGGGATTACAGGTGTCCGCCACCATGCCCAGCTAAGTTTTTGTAATTTTAGTAAAGATGGGGTTTTGCCATGTTGCCCAGGCTGGTCTCGAACTCCCGACCTCACGTGATCGACCCGACTCAGCCTCCCAAAGTGCTGGGATTATAGGTGTGAGCCACCACACCTGGCTGCAAGGACCACTTTCTAGGCAAGAAAACCAATAAAAGAAGAAATTCTGAGAAGACAACACTGGCTAAGTAGGGAAGGCTCTGTTACCAGAAGGCTCTATTGTAGAAGGGCCCAGATGCCAGAAAATGGCCCTGAGCCAGGGAGCCAATGTCACTCTGGAAACAGGTCAGTAGTGTGAAGGGAGAGGCTCTTTCAGATGTCCCTGGCATGAATATTGTGGCAAGCAGAATAATGGAGCCCCAAAGATACCCATTTTGTAACTCCCAGCATCTGTGAATATGTTACATGGCAAGGAGGTGTAAGCTAAAAGAATCCAAAGTCCCTCCACCGACTGAAGGGACTCCTTCTTGGCCAAGGAGACCTCTCACAAAAACCTTAAAGACTGAATTCCTGGCCATGACAAGAAGTGAGATTGAACGTGCCTCATTATACCCCCACCCCTTTGGAGCTTAGGCACAACTGACCAGCATTAAGGTTAAAATAGAGATCATAACACTGACAAAACAGACTCTTTATGACTAAGATACCCAATTATAAACAAGACCTAAGGCTATGCAAGTCAAAGGTTAAATTGCAGTTGCCAGTCATTGATCTTGTGACATAGCATCCTTATCTTAAAACATTCCTTTCTGTTGACTCCCAAGTTTTAGACAGAGCTTTACTCCTTTAACCAACTGCAAGTTAAAGAATCTCGGAGGCCACCTATGACCTGTAAACCCCCACTTCAAAATATCCAGCTTTTTTTGGCCAAACCAATGTATAAACTCTATGTACTGATTTATGACTTTGCCTGTAACTTCTACTTCCCTGAAATATATGAAACAGAGTTGTGACCTAACTGCCTCATGACCACTTACTCAAGGCTTCTTGGATTTGTGTTTCTTCCTGGGCCCCAATCACTCATGTTGGCTTAGAATAAGTCTCTTTAAAATATTTTAGAGTTTGTTTTTTTGTTAACTGAAGAATTAAGTTTGTAGGTGGAATTAAGGTTGCTGATCAGCTGACTTTGAGATGGAGCGATTATCCTGGATTATCCAGGTAGGCCCAATATAATCATAAGGATCCTTATAAATAAACAAAGGAGGCAGGGAAATTTGTGTCAGAGTGATTTGATATGAGAAACGCTCAACCTATGCCTTTGAAGATAGAGAAAGTGGGTCAGTCATGAGTCATGTGGTGACCTCTAGAAGCTAGACAAAGCCAGGAAACGGATTCTCTTCTGCAGCCTCCACAAGGGAATGAAGGCTGGCATCTAAACTCAATCAGCAAAATAAATTCAATAAGGAAGATTTGAAGATCAAAGACCTTCCTCTCTCTGGCTTCACATTTCTCATCACTAGGTCAGTGATGTTCAAATCATTTTTAGGTGATAGTTTTATGTGTCAACTGACTGGGCCATGGAGTCAAGAGGGTTTGGTCAAGCATTATTCTAGGTGTGTCTGTAAAGGTAGGTAGGTGTGTGTGTGTGTGTGTGTGTGTGTGTGTGTGTTTTAATATAGAGATAGGGTCTTGCTCTTGCTCTGTTGCCTAGACTGGAGTGCTGTAGCATGACTATAGCTTACTGCAGCCTCAGCCTCCCAGGCGCAAGCAATCCTCCCATTCCAGCCTCCCAAGTATCTAGAACGACAGGTGCATGCCAACACCTCTGGCTAATTTATTTTAATTTTTTTTTTGTAGAGACAGGGTCTTGCTCTGTTGCTCAGGCTGGTCTCGAATTCCTGGGCTCAAGTGATCCTCCTGCCTCAGCCTCACATAGCCCTGGGATTACAGGTGTGAACCACTGCACCCAGCCTGTAGGGTGTCCCTGCATGAGAATAATATCTAAATCAGTAGGCTGAGTAAAGCAGATTGCCCTTCCTAATATGAGTGGGCCTCATCCAACAGTTGAAAGCCTGAAAGAACAAAAAAGCTGACCCTTCCCTGAGTAAGAGAGAATTCTTCCTGCGTGATGATCTTCAATCTGGGACATTGACTTTTTTTCTGCCTTTGGCCTGAAACATTGGCTCTCCCTGGGTCTCGAGCCTGCGGGCCTTTGGACTGGAACTAAATTATCAGCTCTCCTGGGCCTCCAGGTTGTCTATTCACCCTGCAGATCTTTCAACTTGCCAGACCCCATAATTATGTGAACCAATTCATTATAAAAATAAATCTCGATTGCTGGCAAGATGGCCGAACAGGAACAGCTCCGGCCTGTAGCTCCCAGCGAGATCGACATAGAAGGTGGGTGATTTCTGCATTTCCAACTGAGGTACCTGGTTCATCTCATTGGGACTGGTTGGACAGTGGGTGCAGCCCACGGAGGGCGAGCCGAAACAGGGTGGGGCATTGCCTCACCCGGGGAAGTGTAAGGGGTGGGGGAATTTTCACCCCTACCCAAGGGAAGCCATGAGAAACTGAGCCTGAGGAACTCCAGCACAGATACTGCGCTTGTCCCATAGTCTTCACAACCCACACACCAGGAGAATCCCTCCGGTGCCCACCCCACCAGGGCCTTGGGTTTCAAGCACAAAACTGGGTGGCCATTTGGGCAGACACCCAACTAGCTGCAGGAGTTCTTTTTTTTTTTTTTTTCTTGAGATGGAGTCTCACTCTGTCGCCCAAGCTGGATTGCAGTGGCGCAATCTCGGTTCACTGCAAGCTCCACCTCCCGGGTTCACGCCATTCTCCTGCCTCAGCCTCCCGAGTAGGTGGAACTACAGGTGCCCACCACCATGCCCGGCTAATTTTTTGTATTTTTAGTACAGATGGGGTTTCACCGTGTTAGCCAGGATGGTCTCGATCTCCTGACCTTGCGATCTGCCCGCCTTGGCCTCCCAAAGTGCTGGGATTACAGGTGTAAGCCACCGCACCCGGCCTGCAGGAGCTCTTTTTTTTTCCATACCCCAGTGGCGCCTGGAACACCAGTGAGACAGAACCATTCACTCCCCTGGAAAAGGGGTGCAGAAGCCAGGGAGCCAAGTGGTCTGGCTGAGCGGGTCCCACCCCCATGGAGCCCAGCAAACTAAGATCCACTGGCTTGAAATTCTCGCTGCCAGTACAGCAGCAGTCTGAGAGCGACCTGGGATGCTGGAGTTTGGTGGGGGGAAGGGCGTCCGCCATTGCTGAGGCTTGAGTAGACCGGTTTTACACTCACAGTGTAAACAAAGCCACTGGGAAGTTCGAACTGGGTGGAGCCCACTGCAGTTTAGCAAGGCTGCAGTGGTCAGACTGCCAGATTTCTCTTCTCTGGGTGGGGCATCTCTGAAAAAAAAGGCAGTAGCCCCAGTCAGGGACTTACAGATAAAACTCCCATCTTCCTGGGACAGAGCACCTAGGGAAAGGGGTGGCTGTGGGCGAAGCTTCAGCAGACTTAAAGGTCACTGCCTGACAGCTCTGAAAGAGAGCAGCAGACTTCCCAGCACAGCATTCAAGCTCTGCTAAGGGTCAGACTGCCCCCTCAAGTGGGTCCCAAATGGAACCAACCCAAATGCCCATCAATGATAGACTGGATAAAGAAAATGTGGCACATATACACCATAGAATACTATGCAACCATAAAAAAGGATGAGTTCATGTTCTTTGCAGGGACATGGATGAAGCTGGCAACTATCATTCTCAGCAAACTATCACAAGAACAGAAAACCAAACACTGCATGTTCTTACTCATAAGTGGGAGTTGAACAATGAGAACACGTGGAAACAGGGGGGGGAACATCATACACTGGGGCCTCTCGGGGGGTGGGGAGCTAGGGGAGGGATAACATTAGGAGAAATACCTAATGGAGGTGACGGGTTGATGGGTGCAGCAAACCACCATGGCATGTGTATACCTATGTAACAAAACTGCACGTTCTGCACACGTACCCCAGAACTTAAAGTATAATAAAAAAGAAAGAAAGAGAAAAAAGAAATGATTGATGGTGTTTTTCAGAGGACCCCAGTCCCATTATCTGCCTTGGAAATGGGACTGGGGTCCTTTGAAAAACACCTTTTATCATTTCTTACGTTTTTTTTTTTACACAATTAATACCATACCACTGCAGAAAATGTGTATCAGTAAAAAGGAAATAAAACCACTGGCATTTCTACCACCCAGAGAAAAAAATAATAATAAATCTCTTTTGGCCAGGCTCGGTGGCTCACACCTGTAATCCCAGTACTTTGGGAGGCTGAGGCAGGTGGATCACTTGAGGTCACGAGTTCGAGACCAGCCTGGGCAACATGGCAAAACCCTGTGTCCACTAAAAATACAAAAATTAGCCGGGCACGATGTTGTATGCCTGTAGTCCCAGCTACTCGGGAGGCTGAGGTAGAAGGGTCACTTGTGCCTGGGGAGTGGAGGTTGCAGTGAGCCGAGATCGTGCCACTGCCCTCCAGTCTGGATGACAGAGTGAGACTCTGTCTGCCTCCCCTAACAAAAAAAATTTTGAACAAATGTAAGTGCATTCTTCCAAGGACAATTCCTCTTTGGAGAGTTGGTGGACCAGAAGATGTTGTGAAATGTGAGCTCGCTGGATGTTGAGTTTTCCAGGTGCTTAAGTCCTCACTGTGCTGCCCTTGTGACCTTCAGGCCTAGGTCATCAAGATGCACAGCACAGGACAGAAGCCCCTCTAGTCCTGCACCTGGTGACATGGAACTGCTGTGCTGGTCCACACAGACACAGCCTCCAACCAAGCCTGGCTCCTACCCATCACAGTTCTGTAGGCTGCCCATTTGCAGAAGGCCTTCCATCTGACACTCCTCCTCGCCTGCTTGTTCTCCAGCCATGTTGTGGCCAATTTGCCATGAGGAGGTTGCAGTGGCCAAGACTGTTGGAAACTGTGCGGTGTAGCTGGGAGAGAAAGGACACACTCTAAATGTTCTTACTGCCTGTGACGATGCAGCTACAGCGATGTACTAGCTGCTCACAAGCCTGTTCCTTCTTCCATTGTAGGGCATGAAGAATTCCCTTATCACTGGGTAAGAAGGGGGAACAGAAGTTTTTCTCATGCCTAATTTTGCGTTTTCAGTAAGGTCTTTTTCAGCTTGTCCAGGAGAAACTGGAAAAAAAAAGATACTTGAAATAAACTGAAGGACATTTAAACAAAGAAACACTTGAAATAAATTGAAAAGAATTTTTTTTTTCTTTTTTAACATTAACATATTTTGCAGGAAGAAAAAATATAAAGGACACTAGGGGCAAATAAATTTCTGTGTTTACAATAGCAAAGACCTGGAACCAACCCAAATGCCCATCAATGATAGGCTGGATAAAGCAAATGTGGCACATGTACACCATGGAATACTATGCAGCCATAAAAAGGAATGAGATCATGTCCTTTGCAGGGACGTGGATGGAGCTGAAAGCCATCATCCTGAGCAAACTAATGCAGGAACAGAAAACCAAACACTGCATGTTCTCGCTTATAAATGGAAGCTGAACAGTAAGAACACATGGACACAAGGAAGGGAACAACACACACTGGGGCCTGCTGGGGTGGCAGGGGGAGGGAGAGCATCAGGATAAATAGCTAATGCATGTGGGACTTAATACCTAGGTGATGGGTTGATAGGTGCAGCAAACCACCAAGACACACGTTTACCTATGTAACAAACCTGCATGCCCTGCACATGTATCCCAGAACTTAAAAAATATGTGTGTGTGTGTGTGTGTGTGTGTGTGTGTTTAAATGGAAAACCATCAACCAAGAGAGAGCAGTATCCACTCGCAGATTCGGATCCCAGAGTCCTGAGGCCTTACATGTCTGGAATCAATGCATTCTCAACTGGTCCTGTAGTAAGATGCTCATGGGGTTTGTCTTCAAACTCACTGTTAGAGGACTTTTTAAATCACAGGCTTAGCAAACCGGCCAAATTACTGCCACTCTTCTAGGTGGGAACTCTCAGCTGTTGCTGAAGGCCCCAGATGTTCCTGTGCTACTCATTCAGATTCCTCACGGTCACTTACACTCCTTCCTTTTTTGACTAGCAGGAAACAGCAGGATGGGCCAGATTCTCACTTGCCTATCTATCGCTCTTGGATGATTCTTCTCAATTGTGATGCTTCTGTGGCACATTGACCATCTGTACCTCTAGAACCTACACAAGGGATTGCTTCTTCTTCTCCTTCTCCTTCTCCTTCTTCTTCTTTTTTTTTCCTGAGAGGGAGTCTCGCATTGTCGCCCAGGCTGGAGTGCAGTGGCAGTCTCGGCTCACTGCAACCTCCAACTCCCTGGTTCAAGTGATTCTCCTGCCTCAGCCTCCTGAGTAGCTGGGATTACAGGCATGCACTACCATGCCCAGCTAATTCTTGTATTTTTAGTAGAGATGGGGTTTCACCATGTTGGCCAGGATGGTCTCGATCTCCTGACCTCATGATCTGCCCGCCTCAGCCTCCCAAAGTGTTAGGATTACAGGCTTGAGCCACCGCGCCCGGCCAGGGCTTGCTTCTTTTAACCAGCCACGGGCTGGCTTTGTCTGGTGACCTTATCTGCCTGCTATTTCACTGTTCCTGCTTCCATTCACCAATTCCAGTGGTGTAGCATGCTTTCAGCCCTTGGCCGGCGGACCAGCAAGAAGATGGACCTTTACATTCAAGCAAAGGTGGCTTTATAACAAGAAGAACTGAAGGCTGAAACAATCTCTTGCTGCTGCAAAGAACAAATTTTGTGTTTCTTTTTCTAATCTTGAAAAATGACCTCTTGAAGAGATTCCATGCTACTTTCTCTTTCTCCCTGTATGGGACCTTAATGTAGCACAGTGAGACTCAAAGAGGTGCACATTTTCTATTACCAGTGCTCTGGGCTGTGGGGCTTTCAGCTGCTGCTGCCAAAATCTGGTCGTCTAAAATTCTTCCAGTAGAGGCTAAAAGATGATACAATTCCTTAGGGTTCTTAATCGCCACCTGGTTGTTTTCCTATTCTTTGCTATCTACCTGCGCTGGCTTGGAAACCTGCTAAGAAAGGCACAATGTGGTGCTTAGGGCATCTCCAGAAGCCCAAGACCATCAGGCAATTGCCATGTATTCAGAGGGAAGTTTTTTTTTTTTTTTTTTTCATCTGCAACTCAGGAGCTGGGCCTCTGCTACAGGCACTTACAAATGATGTTTTCATTTTAAAAGACTTAACAATCTGATATTCAATATGGCTCATGGTGGAGCTCCAGCATTTCTCCCTCCCTCCTGGTTTACCTACAGAGGTAGACTCAGAAGGAGATTGTGGTCTGCGTTTCCTGTTAGGAACGTATCAGTGCTCATCTTATTATTATAAGCCCCTTACTTTTGCGAATTTAAAGTAGTACTGACAAGCCTGGATTGTGAAGTGGGCTTTGCTTGGTCCTTAGGAGGCTAGCCTAGATTTTGCCACTGGGGAAGATCAGTTTTCAGTTTCCCACAGTATGCTGTTTTTTTTTTTTTTTTTTTTGGAGACAGAGTCTCACTCTGTTGCCCAGGCTGGAGAGCAATGGCATGATCTCAGCTCACTGTAACCTCCACCTCCCGGGTTCAAGCGATTCTCCCTGCCTCAGCCTCCAGAGTAGCTGGGATTACAGGCGACCACCACCATGCCGGGCTAATTTTTGTATTTTTAGTAGAGACGGGGTTTCGCCATGTTGGCCAGAATGGTCTCCAACTCCTGACCTCAGGTGACCCTCCCAAAGTGCTGGGATTACAGGAATAAGCCACCATGCCCGACCAGTATGCTGCTCTTGTAGTGGCCTTCTTGAGTCCACTCTTACCTCTTGGTGTAGAAGTTACACTGCTATGTCAGTGTAACTTCTGAGGTCAATGTTTCCAAGTGAGATGAAGCCAGTGCTTTGAGCTGGGCTTTGAGCACAAGTGAGCAAACACCAACATTCTCACACTCTTTTTTTTTGAGACGGAGTTTTGCTCTTGTCGCCCAGGCTGGAGAGCAATGGCACGATCTCGGCTCACTGCAACCCCCATCTCCCGGCTTCAAGTGATTCTTCTGCCTCGGCCACTCCAGTAGCTGGGATTACAGGCTCCTGCCACCACATCCGGCTATTTTTCTTTTCTTTTCTTTTCTTTTTTTTTTTTGTATTTTTAGTAGAGACAGGGTTTCACCATGTTGGCCAGGCTGGTCTCAAACTCCTGATCTCAGGTGATCCACCCACCTCGGCCTCCCAAAGTGCTGGGATTACAGGCATGAGCCACCGTGCCTGGTCCCAATTTGCTGTTTCCCAGAAAATCTTATTTCTTTTTATTTAGAGAATGCATGTCTTTTGTGTTAAGAAACCAAAGAGAAATAAAGAACACTTCTTATATATATATATTTTCTATATAATTCCATATAGATCCACCTAAGGTTTTATTAATTAAATGAGAAGAGAATTACTGTTTTTAACCCTAAAGGGTATTGATTATGGTAAAACTGTCAATAAAAAATGGGTTGCAGGCTGGGCACGGTGGCTCACACCTGTAATCCCAGTACTCTGGGAGGCAGAGGCAGGAGGATTGCTTGAGGCCAAAATTTTGAGACGAGCCTGGGGAACATGGCAAGACCTCATCTCTCCAAAAACCTTATTTATTATTTACTTTTATTATTATTTTTTTGAGACAGAATCTAGCTCTGTCACCCAGGCTGGAGTATAATGGCACAATCTCGGCTCACTGTGACCTCTGCCTCCCGGGTTCAAGTGATACTCCTGCCTCAGCCTCCTGAGTAGCTGGGATTACCAGCACCCACCACTGCTCCCAGCTAACTTTTGTATTTTTAGTAGAGACGGGATTTCACCATGTTGGCCAGGCTGGTCTCAAACTCCTAACCTCAAGTGATCTGTCTGCCTCCCAAAGTGCTGGGATTACAGGCGTGAGCCACTGTGCCTGGTGCCAAAAAACTTTTTTAAAAAAATGTTAAAAAAATAAAAATTATCACGCCACTGTACTCCAGCCTGGGTGACAGAGTGAGACCATATCTCAAAAACAAAACCAAAACACCTTTTTAATTTAATTGTAGATTCACATGCAGTTGTAAGAAATGAAACAGAGAGATCCCATATACCCTTCACCCAAATTACCCCCACAGTCACATCTTGTGTCACTACAGGACACTGTCACAACCAGGAAATTGACCTTATTTGATTTAATCAGTTTTACGTGTGTGTGTGTGTGTGTGTGTGTGTGTGTGTGTGTATTTAGTCCCATGCAGTTTTATCACATGTAGATACATGTGACCACCACCGCAGTCATGAGACAGAACAGTTCCATCACAAAGATCCCTTGTGGTAACTTTTTTTTTTTTTTTTTTTGAGACAGGGTCTCACTCTGTCATCCAGGCTGGAGTGCAGTGGCATGATCTCAGTTTACTGCAACCTCTGCCTCCTGGGCTCAAGCGATTCTCCAGCATCAGCCTCCCAGGTAGCTGGGACTACAGGTGCACACCACCATGCCTAGGTAATTTTTGTATTTTTTGTAGAGATGCAGTTTCACCATGTTGCCCAGGCTGGTCTCGAACTCCTCAGCCTCCCAAAGGGCTGGCATTACAAGCATGAGCCAACATGCTGGCTGATTGTGCTAAGCTTTTCTAGCAACAGCCATCCCCCTCCCTTCTCCAACATCCTTGAGCCCTGGCAACCACAACCCTGTTCTCCATCTCTATAATTTGCCATTTCAGGACCATTATATAAATGGAATTGTACAGTATGTAACCTTTTGAGATTGCCTTTTTTTCACTCAGCGTAATTCCCTGGAGAGTAATTTGGGTTGTTTTATATGCCAAAAGTTCTTTCCTTTTTTATTGCTGAGTAATATTCCATGGTATGTGTGTACCATGGTTTGTTTCACCATTTAAAAAGTGAAAGACATTTTGGTTGCTTCCAAGTTTGGACTGTCATTAATAAATCTGCTAGTTCATTTTCCTACTTAAAAAAAGTTGACTTATTGTCTACATCAGTGATCTTTATACTTGAGTCCATGAACTCTTAGGGAGTCCATTAACATCCTAAAATTCTATTCAAACTTGTTGTTTTTCTTTGAAGAGGGTCCATTGCTTTAGGTGAGAGAGACTCTTACTCCAGTACTCATGTTTCCATAGAGGAGAGGTGACTTCAGTACTCTCTAGGAGACACATTTCTTTTTTTATTTTAATTTAATTTTATTATTATTTTTTGAGACAGAGTCTTGCTCTGTCACCCAGGCTGGAGTCCAGTGGTGCGATCTCAGCTTGCTGCAACCTCTGTCTCCTGGGCTCAAGTGATTCTTCTGCCTCAGCCTCCCGAGTAGCTGGGATTACAGGCACCCACCACCATGTCCGGCTAATTTTTGCATTTTTAGTAGAGACGGAGATTCACCATGTTGGCCAGGCTGGTCTCGAACTCCCGACTTTAGGTAATCCACCTGCCTTGGCCTCTCAAAGTGCTGGGATTACAGGTGTAAGCCACCACGCCCAGCCTAGGAGGCACATTTCTACTCCCTCTCCACCCTTTATTTGCTTCTCCCCACAGGAGGAGGAGTAACTAATACTTAGGATGGTCTGCTTTTCATTGGTCCCAGTTCTGGGCCAGGTTAACATGTTCAAGGTCACTGCAAATAAATGATCTGACCTCTTGCTCCATTTGTCTGTACAAATGGCAAATATTTTGTTTCCTGCTTCTGTGGCCAGGTCATGGCTTCTCCTGCCTGTGGCTGGATGGCTAATTCTGTCTAAATTAGGAGGAAGAAGTAGGATGTCCATTTTGGCCTTGGGGCTCTTCTATGTTCTCCAATACAGCATTAATATTAGCAAAGCTCATACTTTAACTCCCATCTCATTCTGTATATATTTCATTTTTTTAAAAAAATGTGATACTGTTTATTTAACTTCAAAAACATTTCAGCATTCTAAACATACAAAAGGATAACAGAATGTTGCAAATCGTGTTTGAGTACAGAAGGTTCTTGAACTTTCATTGATGCAGGGGCTCTTTGCTTTGCTAACAACGAAGAGTTCTATAGTTTGTTTTAAAACAAACAGTTTAAAAACTACCACACACACACACACAAACCCAAAAACTTCTCATGCCAGCTGACCCCACTTTGTTCACAGCTAAGATGGCAGCAGAATGCTATGTCAATATATACAGAAACAAGACAACCTGAAGCTAAATGGATGACCCCTGCAGAGTCAACAGGTCCAGCCTTACACTGTATGCCCTGCGCTACGGCCCCTCCAAAAGGCATCTTCCCCACAGCCTCAACACCAAGCAAGGAGCATCAAGAGTTTTTCTCCGGTGTTTTGTTCTTTTTACAAACTATAGATATATACAGTTGACAACTCAGGATTTCTAACCAATAACCATATAGTTAACACCACCTTACAAAAAAAAAAAAAGCCAAAAACATCATTAAGTGCCTTCCCACACCAACAGCAAAGTGCACAGAGTGAGGGGAACAGCAGAGTACCTTTTCATTTTAAAAATGTTTGGAAACTCTCCCTCTCCCTCTCCCTCTCCCTCTCCCTCTCCCTCTCCCTCTCCTCGGTCTCCCTCTCCCTCTCTTTCCACAGTCTCCCTCTGATGCCGAGCCAAAGCTGGACTGTACTGCTGCCATCTCGGCTCACTGCAACCTCCCTGCCTGATTCTCCTGCCTCAGCCTGCCGAGTGCCTGCGATTGCAGGCGCACGCCACCACGCCTGACTGGTTTTCGTATTTTTTTGGTGGAGACGGGTTTCGCTGTGTTGGCTGGGCTGGTCTCCAGCTCCTAAACGCGAGTGATCCGCCAGCCTCGGCCTCCCGAGGTGCCGGGATTGCAGACGGAGTCTGGTTCACTCAGTGCTCAATGGTGCCCAGGCTGGAGTGCAGTGGCGTGATCTCGGCTAGCTACAACCACCTCCCAGCCGCCTGCCTTGGCCTCCCAAAAAGCTGAGATTGCAGCCTCTGCCCGGCCGCCACCCCGTCTGGGAAGTGAGGAGCGTCTCTGCCTGGCCGCCATCCCATCTAGGAAGTGAGGAGCACCTCTTCCCCACTGCCATCCCATCTAGGAAGTGAGGAGCGTCTCTGCCCGGCCGCCCATCGTCTGGGACGTGGGGAGCGCCTCTGCCCCGCCGCCCCGTCTGGGATGTGAGGAGCGCCTCTGCCCGGCCACGACCCCATCTGGGAGGTGAGGAGCGTCTCTGCCCGGCCGCCCCGTCTGAGAAGTGAGGAGACCCTCTGCCTGGCAGCCGCCCCGTCTGAGAAGTGAGGAGCCCCTCCGTCCGGCAGCCACCCCGTCTGGGAAGTGAGGAGCATCTCCGCCCGGCAGCCACACCGTCCGGGAGGGAGGTGGGGGGGTCAGCCCCCCGCCCGGCCAGCCGCCCCGTCCGGGAGGCAAGGGGCCCCTCTGCCCGGCCACCCCTACTGGGAAGTGAGGAGCCCCTCTGCCCGGCCACGACCCCGTCTGGGAGGTGTACCCAACAGCTCATTGAGAACGGGCCATGATGACAATGGCGGTTTTGTGGAATAGAAAGGGGGGAAAGGTGGGGAAAAGATTGAGAAATCGGATGGTTGCCGTGTCTGTGTAGAGAGAAGTAGACATGGGAGACTTTTCATTTTGTTCTGTACTAAGAAAAATTCTTCTGCCTTGGGATCCTGTTGATCTGTGACCTTACTCCCAACCCTGTGCTCTCTGAAACATGTGCTGTGTCCACTCAGGGTTAAATGGATTAAGGGCGGTGCAAGATGTGCTTTGTTAAACAGATGCTTGAAGGCAGCATGCTCGTTAAGAGTCATCACCACTCCCTGATCTTAAGTACCCAGGGACACAAACACTGCGGAAGGCCGCAGGGTCCTTTGCCTAGGAAAACCAGAGACCTTTGTTCACTTGTTTATCTGCTGACATTCCCTCCACTATTGTCCTATGACCCTGCCAAATACCCCTCTGCGAGAAACACCCAAGAATGATCAATTAAAAAAAAAAAAAGTTTGGAAATATGTACAACTTTGATACAGTTTCAGGGTGCTCTGGACACCCATGGCCACATCATGTAAACCACTGACAATCTCTAGAACACTTTGAGAGACTACAATATGATCGTGATCAAATTTTGCAGTTAAGCCTAATGAGGGCAACAGACACTTCTCAAATAAGAGATGTGTCCATTACTGCGCTCCACGCAGCGCCTGTAATCCTCCACTTTGGGAGGCTGAGGCGGGCAGATCACCTGAGGTCAGGAGTTCAAGACCAGCCTGGCCAATGTGGTGAAACCCCGTCTCTACTAAAAATACAAAAATTAGCCAGGCATGGTGGCTCATGCTCGTAATCCCCAGCTACTCGGGAGGCTGAGGCAGGAGAATTGCTTGAACCTGGGAGGCAGAGGTTGCAGTGAGCTGAGATTGTGCCACTGCATTCCAGCTTGGGTGAAAGAGTGAGACTCCGTCTCAAAAATAAAACAAAAACAAAAACAAAAAATTATGGCACTCCCCTACTCTAAGGTATTCACAAGGAGACAGATAAACAGTTTTTAAATTCATCCTCCTCGTCCTCCTCCTCCTCTTCTTCCTCCTCATCTTCTTCATCTTCCTCTTCCACCTTTATCTGGGCAACTTCAGCAGGACTCTTTGCGCCATCAAACTTTCCTTTCGACTTATACTCAGCAACATCCTTCTCATACTCCTCCTTCAGTTTTGCCGCCTTAGTGATGTAAGGCTGCTTTTCACTGTCATTTAAGTTATTCTACATCTCACCAGCTTTTTTGCCACGTCTCCAATAGAGATGCCAGGGTTTGTGGATTTTATCTTGGGGTGGAATTCTGAACAGAACAGGAAGAATTCAGATGGTGGCCTTTTGAAGGTATTAGAATCCTTCTTCTTCTTGCCTCCTTTAGCTGGTCCATAATCCTTCATTTCCCGATCATAGCGTACTTTATCCACCTTTGCCAGTTTATCAAATTTAGACTTTTCTTTCCTGGACATTGTCTTCCACCTCCTGGAGCACTTCTTGGAAAATTCTGCAAAATTGACAGGGACCTCTTGGTATTTCTTCTTACGTTCTTCTCTGCACGTCTGCACAAAGAAGGCATAGGCAGACATCTTGCCATTTGGTTTCTTGGGGTCACCTTTAGCCATCCTGACTGTATTGTTCACTAGTCTGGGCAGCGCAGGGCATGACACGCAGCTCTGCGCTCCCCAGCCTCACGCTAGCTGCCTCCAGGAGAGCTGCCTCCTCCTTCCTTTCTTTCTTTTCTTTCCTTTCCTTCCTTTCCTTCTCTCTCTCTCTTTCTTTTCTTTTTTCAGAGTCTCTCACTTGTCGTCCTGGCTTGAGTGCAGTGGTGCAATCTCAGCTCACCGCAACCTCCGCCTCCTGGATTCAAGCGATTCTCCTGCCTCAGCCTTCTGAATAGCTGGGACTACAGGTGTGTGCCACCACGCCTGGCTAATTTTTGTATTTTAGTAAAGACAGGGTTTCACCATGTTGGTCAGCTTGGTTTCGAACTCCTGACCTCATGATCCGGCCACCTCTGCCTCCCAAAGTTCTGGGATTACAGGCATGAGCCTCCACGTCCGGCCCTCCTGTATATATTTCTTTATTGGCTCAGATTCCGTAGGGAAGGTGATTAATTAGCACTCTTGATCCCCTTCCCTATTATGTACATAGCTTTCCATTGAAGAGGATCCCATTACACCACACACACACACACACACACACACACACACACACACACACACCCCTTTACCTTAAGGACCTATACCTATAGGGTATAGTCCACAACTCTTTATCTGAGATTCACGTTCTTCTCAAACCTGCCTCTCCATACTTATCCCCTACTGTCTCCTGAAACAAACCCTTTGTTTCAGTCAGACCACTTCACCCAATTATATTCCAGACACTGGATCTCTGCTTAGCCATTTCCTCTCCCTGAGAAACTCTTCCCACTGTTCCCTGCCAGTCCAAATCCTACCATATTTCAAAGCCGAGGTCATCTTTCTCTGTGAAAACTCTCCTGGACATTCGTACACAGAGTAAATTTATTTATTACCTGTAGCATAAATTAGGATTAACTTTTCTCTTTCTTTGTCTATACATCCATTCTCCCCACAACTAGATTTGTGAGTCCCTGGAGAGCATGGGTCACATTTTCTCTCTTTGTTCCCTCAAAGCTTAGCATGAGTTAGAATCTCAACAAATATTTGTGGCTAGAATTTATCTTCTATTTCCCTATTTCAGACCACCAGTTTCCTGAGCTAGTGGTTTTAAGGATATGAAATTGCTCCTCAGCCACCATTAATAATAGCAATAGATTATCTTATAAAAATACTTTAATAGCTTCCATTTATTACACATTTACTCTGCCAGTCACCACACTTTACCTGGATTAACTCACAGACTCCTCATACCAACACTTTTAGAGATTCAGAATGCTTAGGTAATTTATTCAAGGTCCATCAGCCCATATGTGTAGAACAGAAACCTCTTCTTCTACAACAGAAAACAATAATCTTGACCGGGTGCCATAGCTCATGCCTGTAATCCCAGCACTTTGGGAGGCTGAGGCGGGCAGATCATGAGGTCAAGAGTTCGAGACCAGCCGGGCCAATATGGTGAAACCCCGTCTCTACTAAAAATACAAAAATTAGCCAGGAGTGGTGGTGGCACACCTGTAGTCCCAGCTACTCAGGAGGCTGAGGCAGAAGAATCGCTTGAACCCGTGAGGCGGAGGTTGCAGTGAGCCAAGATGGCACCATTGCACTCCAACCTGGGTGACAGAGTAACGCTCTGTCTTAAAAAAAAAAAAAATCTTATACAGATGTTTACTGTAGCCCTAGCAAGGGCAAATAAATCTCTGCCCTAAGCCTCTTGCTAAGTATCTGCATGGGTTATGACTTAGTAAAGTACCTACAGGAATTCCGTTAATGCTAAAATTCCTTTCTTAAGAACATTCACATAATGAATAGCAACACTCAGCATTCATTCATGAAGATTTAAAAACTAGTAGCAACACCATTCTTTAATCCAGTCCAATTTCACCAGTGCTATCAAAGCAATGCTAAGATTGTCTCTTAGCAATCTTAACTTGATTACCTCTTGAAAGGCCCTATCCCCAATACAGTCATATCCAGAGGTCCTGGGGGTTAGGACTTCAACATAGGAATTTTGGGAGGCAACAACTCAGCCCATTCCATAGCGGCCCATTATGGTGATTACTTCAATCTTGCCTAGGTCAGTTAAATATCATCATTTGGCTTCTGTATTCTGGAATTCTATAATCTGCATTGATACTGGGAGGCCCAGTTGCACCACAGCATCTCTTACTGTCTCTCTGGTCTGCAGAAGACAACCACTATTGATCTCAAAAAAGCTGTCGTGTCTGCTTACCAGTGCACTCCTGGTGAAGGAATGTCTTCTCAGCCTTCCCAGGGAACATGGTCAGGAGGTAGTTTGATATGGTTTGGATCCGTGGTCTAATGGATCTGGTCCCACTTTGTAACTTTGTATTAGGCCATTCTCGCATTGCTGTAAAGAGATACCTGAGACTGGGTAATTTACAAATAAAAGAGGTTTAATTGGCTCATGGTTCTGCAGGCTGTACAGGAAGCATGGCAACATCTACTTGGCCTCTGGGGAGGCTTCAGGAAGCTTACAATCATGGTGGAAGGCAAAGGGGGAGCAGGCACATCACATGCTCAGGGCAGGAGCAAGAGAGAGAGCGGGGTAGCGGGTGCTACACGCTTTTAAACAACCAGATCTTGCAAGAACTCACTCACTATCACGGGAACAGCATCAAGGGGGATGGTGCTAAACCATTCATGAGAAATCCACCACCATGATCCAATCACCTCCCACCCAGCCCACCTCCAACATTGGGGATTATAATTCATCACGAGATTTCGGTGGGGACACAGATCCAAACCATAGCAAACTCCATTCTCACATATCCACATACCTTGTATTTTGAGCTTTATGATACCTTCTCCAGTATCAGTTCTGGTATGCCCACTTCCTCCCCACTCCCCCATTCCCTAGCTTCAAGGAGCAATCCTAGCAGCATATTAGTACTGGCACCACGTGTCCTTGCCAGGCCATTAAACCCTGAGTCACAGGAGGGTGCTCCTGTGACAGTGAGTTCTCCCCATTCCAATCTCATCTTTCTCCCCTTTGTCAAACCTAACTATCCAGGCATCCTAAGGCAGGGACAGCTTGAGGCTGCTCCTCTAGGATATAACCACTTATCCTACCAAAGGACAAGTACATCTTCCAGAAAGTTCTGCCTTGGGACAAAAGCCTGCAGTGGTATCTGCTCTGCAATCTCAGAGGATGACATTCTTTTCTCAGACTAAATAAACGCAGTTTAATGAACAAGCCACTAGGGGGCAAAGCTGCTTTAGTTTAGTAAATTTAAATTGCTGCTTTTTTTTTTTTTTAAGACGGAGTCTCACTCTGTCGTCCAGGCTGGAGAGCAGTGGCGCGATCTCGGCTCACTGCAACCTCCGCCTACCGGGTTCAAACGATTCTCCTGCCTCAGCCTCCCGAGTAGCTGGGATTACAGGTACATGCCACCACGCCCGGCTATTTTTTGTATTTTTTGTAGAGACGCGGTCTCACTATGTTGCCTAGGCTGGTCTGGAACTCCCGGGCTGAAGCAATTCTCCTGCCTGGACCTCCCAAAGTGCTGGGATAACAGGAATGAGCCACTGAGCCCGGCCCGAATTGCTTCTTTCTTATTACAAAAGTATGGGCCGGGCGTAGTGGCTCACGCCTGTAATCCCAGCACTTTGGGAGACCGAGGAGGGCGGATCACCTGAGATTGGGAGTTCGAGACCAGCCTGACCAACATGGAGAAATCCTGTCTCTACTAAAAATACAAAATTAGCTGGGCGTGGTGGTGGATGGCTGTAATCCCAGCTACTCAGGAGGCTGAGTCAGGAGAATCGCTTGAACCTGGGAGGCAGAGGTTGTGGTGAGCCGAGATTGCGCCATTGCACTCCAGCCTGGGCAACAAGAGCGAAACTCCATCTCAAAACAACAACAACAACACTAGCTGGGCGTGGTGGCGTGCACCTGTAGTCTCAGCCACTCAGGAGGCTGAGGCAGGAGAGAATCGCTTGAACCCGAGAGGTGGATGTTGCAGTGAGCTGAGATGGCGCCACTGCACTCCCGCCTGGCCACAGAGCAAGACTCTGTCTCCAAAAAAAAAAAAAAAAAAATGTGGAATACAAGGAAAATAGAGATAAACTAATAAAAGAAGATAAAAATCACCTGATATCCCATACCTCAGATAACCACTCAGGACTTTATGGCATTTTGTTTACATTATTGTCCCCCTCCACCTAAATGTAAATAAAAAAAATTTAATGTGGTATTTCTCTACATATTATCTGGTTTCTACTTTATAATAAAATCTTGTTTACTTGTCTACTTTGATCTCTTCTTGGCTTTTTGTCTACTTTGATCTCTTCTTGGCTTTTTGACTAAGTGTAGTACTTGTCTACTTTGTAATAAAACTTTTCCAAGATTTTAAATATTCTTTCGTGGCATTTTCTTTTTTTCCTTTCTTTCTTTTTCTTTCTCTCTCTCTCTCTTTTTTTTTTTTTTTTTTTTGAGACAGAGTCTCACTCTGTCGCCCAGGCTGGAGAGCAGTGGCGCGATCTCGGCTCACTGCAAGCTCCGCCTCCCAGATTCACGCCATTCTCCTGCCTCAGCCTCCCGAGTAGCTGGTACTACAGCCGCCTGCCACCACACCCGGCTAATTTTTTTTTTTTTTGTATTTTTAGTAGAGATGGGGTTTCACTGTGTTAGCCAGGATGGGCTCAATCTCCTGACCTCGTGATCTGCCCACCTCGGCCTCCCAAAGCATTGGGATTACAGGCGTGAGCCACCATGCCGGGCCTCTTTCTTTCTTTTTATTTTATTATTATTTTTTGAGACAGACTCTCACTCTGTCACCCAGGCTGGAGTAGAATGGCACGATCTCGGCTCACTGCCACCTCCGCCTCCCGGGTTCAAGCGATTCTCCTGCCTCAGCCTCCTGAGTAGCTGGGATTACAGGTGCCCACCACCGCGCCCGGCTCATTTTTGTATTTTTAATGGAGATGAGAGTTCACCATGTTGGTCAGGCTGGTCTCGAACTCCTGACCTCGTGATCCACCCGCCTTGGCCTCCCAAAGTGCTGGGATTACAGGTGTGAGCCACAGTGCCTGGCTGTGACATTATCTTTCTAATGTTTAATTATTATTAAAAACATGGACAGTATAATTTATCATGATTAAAATTTTTTGCACATCATTGATGAACTCCTTGGCTTAGCTTCTCAATAACTAAAAGAGGAATTGCTGGCTCAGAAGCAATGTAATCCTTTTAGGTTTGGGGCATGTATTGTCAAATTATTTTCCAGAAAGGGGGTGACAACTACAGTCTCGCTAGCATCCTGAGAGAATGCTGCTATGACTCTCTCATTGGCAACACTGCTCATATCTTTTGAAATTTTTGCCAATTTGACAGGTAACTTGTTGCATTGTGGTTGTTTTTAATTGTACCTCTTCAAAAATCAAATGTAAAAGAAATATTTATTGAGCATGGATTATTTGTCATGCACTGTGCTAATCCCTGGGAATCCAGGAGGGAGTAATGCAGATATTGTTCTTGCTATCTTTAATCTCACATTCTAGAAAGATGAGGGCATGCCAGAAACAAAGTAAACTGATACACAAGTAGTTATGGATTGGAGGAAGCGTCATAGAGGAAAGAAACAGGGTAGTATACTACAGATAGTAAGGGACATGCTCATTGGCTTCTGATAATTTCAACAATTCTATCCTTTATGCTCATCAGCTACCATGTTTCTTCTTTTGTGAAACAGGGAGAAATAGAGGCCCGGGTAAAGGGAGGCTGATAGGAAGTTTGCTGCCATAAAGATGATATTTTACATTTAGTAAAGGGCACAGTCAACTCCTACACCATTCTCTCTGGGGTGGCAACTCTGAAATGCTGAGGTGGCCTTGGACTAGTAGGAGATCTGTTCCTTATCTCACCACACAAAAGCAGATACCAGAACAGCAGGCCCAGTATGGATGCATTCTTTCTTTCTCTCTCTCTCTCTCTCTCTCTCTCTGTCACACACACACACACACACACACACACACACACACACACACAGAGAGCATACACCAAGGTAAGTCATTGTTCCTGATGGGATTAGACAGAAATGATCACCCCAAGTCCCTGAGCAGAAGCCCTGAAACCCACTTCCATCCTTACATGAACCCATAGGTGGGAAGCTTCAAGCCTCAAAATAGGGGATTTTAAATGCAATGTGTATTCTTATTGTGGGAAATTTGTAAGAGTTGAGGATGGCCCACAGCCTCTAAAATACCTCCGTCAAAAGTCCTGTCACTGCTCTTCCTTGAATTCCTAAGTAGTCGAGAGATAAAGTGAGCTCTGGAGGGTTAATTACACCTTCTAGACAGAGCTTGTAACGTTAATTACGTTTAGGATTGCATCTGTCATTGTAGACTTGCATTGGGTCTGGAAGTGTTGACTGAGGAGAACATGCTTTTCACAGCTAATTTTTTTTTTTAATTGCTGCATAACAACTTCATAGCAACAACAAGGAAAATGCATGAGAGAAAAAATGACCCCAATCCCCCGGCATTAATGCATCAAGTGCAGTGCAATTATTTTTCCTCACCTCTTTTTATGTGGAACATGCCTTCTTTATGCCATTTGAATGACACAGTAGTTTCTAGAAGATCTATGTACTTGTTACTATTGGCGGTAGACCATGAGGCTTCAGTGGGGTATGACACCAACACCAGCCCACAAGACACAGCAGATGGGGTCTCCTGGGCCAAGATGAATAGAGCTGCCTCTCGTGGGATGTGAGGTCCAAGGTGTGGTTCAGGAAGGGCAGAGCCTGGGCAAACCACCTTGTGTATCCTTACCTGCCTCTCGGCCCGGTCTACTTGCTAATGCTCTTATACAATGGAGTTATGGTGAGTGTGAACACACAAGAGAGTTTGACAAGGAGCCAGAATTCAGAAAATGGCAATGGGCAGCTTGGAAGATGTGTGTTGGAGAGGGCACAGACCCACCTCTGCACCCTGCTTCCCTGAGGGTGGCTTGTAGACTGCTCATTTGAACGTGGGGTTCAGTAGCTTTTCTCTGCCTCCTGGAAAACAGTCCCTGACCAGCTGCCAGCAATGCAGTGCCCTAGGGAGCCAGGGCCTAGAGCAATTGATCCTGTGTATCAGATCCAGATGGTAACTCAGTGTTTACTAGGCAAGCTTTGCAGGTGGGCAGCGGGATGGGGAGGTGCGGGACCTGCCTGGCCTCACCTATTGCTCAGTAGTTCTGGTTGTGGTATGGTTCACAGGCCTCTATATGTTTCATGCTTCCAGAAAAAATTAGACTTTCAGCCTTCTCCATATGGGTTTAAAGAGAATGAGAGTGAAAGCTTCAAAACCTTCTTGAATAGTCTCAGAACTCCCAAAATGTTTCTTCTACCACATTCCATAGGTTGAAGCAAGTCACAGGCCAGCCTAGATTCATGGGGATGGAGAAACAGACTCTATCTCTTGAAGGAAGGAGTGGCAAAGTCACAGTGCAAAGGGCTGAGCATCCAGGGAAGGGAGAAACTTCTGTGGCCTTTATTGCAATCAGTCTACCAGTCTACTTGGAATCAGTATTTTACCACTTCAAGTGCCAGAGAATTGTTCTGGAGTACTAAGCCATGTAAGGACTCACCACTCCTTCTCTATCCATTTTAAATGACATCCAGATGTTTCCCTCTGGCAATGGTTGCTTGTCATGCTTAGTAACTGATTCTCATGGTTAAATGGTAAGTCTGAGAAACAGGCCATGAGAAACATGGGCTGGGAATTGAGCAGTACCATTAGTTGTACATAAATATGTTCATTAGCGTTCTTGCTTTCAGACAACATAATGCACTCTTAACTAGTTTAAATTAGCAGACACTTATTACAGGGTATTAGGTATAATACAGAATCTGTGGAACAACTGATGGAACAAACTGGAGGCTGGACTTTTTGGGCCAACTCTGATGGAGTTGCCAGGGAGAGCTCACAACCATGCTTCATCTGCTACTACCACAGGAAGCTGCTGCTATGAGCCTCGCTCCCAGAATCTGAGTCTGCTGCTGCACACCAAGAAAGTGGATGCCCCTGTGGCCTGCCTCTGTCCATATTTAACTTACCTTCAAATCAAAGCCTAGCACACTTGCATCTGATTGGTAGAACCTAAGTCATAGGTCTACACCTTAGTGGCAAGAGAAGCTGGGATAGGCACCGAGTTTTTTGGGAGAGGGACGGGTACACACAGTTCTATGAATTTTAACAATCAGATTACAAAAATTTCTATTACCTCCCCCAAAAGATTCTCTTTCATAATCCATTCATAGTCACACCCTCCCCCAACTACTACACTCTAGCAACTTACTGACATTCTCTCTAATACTCTAGTTTTGTCCTTTTAAGAAGGCCATATAGGGCCGGACATGGTGGCTCACGCCTGTAATCCCAGCACCTTGGGAGGCTGAGGTGGGAGGATCACTTGAGGTCAGGAGTTCAAGACCAACCTGGCCAACATGGCGAAACCCCATCTCTACTAAAAATACAAAAAAAAAAAAAAAAAAAAAAAAGGCCAGGTGCCGTGGCTCATGCCTGTAATCCCTGCACTTTGGGAGGCTGAGGTGGGCGGATCACCTGAGGTCAGGAGTTCGAGACCAGCCTGGCCAACATGATGCAATGCCGTCTCTACTAAAAATACAAAAAATTAGCTGGGCATGGTGGTGCATACCTATAATCCCAGCTACTCAGGAGGCTAAGGCAGGAGAATCACTTGAACCTGGGAGGCGGAGGTTGCAGTGAGCCAAGACTGCACCACTGTACTCTAGCATGGGCAAGAAGAGCAAAACTTCATCTAAAAAAAAAATTCCCCCCCAAAAAAAAGCTGGGTGTGGTGGCATGTGCCTGCAGTCTTAGCTACTTGGGAGGCTGAGGCTGAAGAATTGCTTGAACTGAGAGGCAGAGGTTGCAGTGAGCCAAGATCATGCCACTGCACTCCAGCCCAGGTGACAAAGCAAGACCCCATCTCACACACACACACACACAAAAAGCTTTATAAATGGAATAATATAGTATGCAATCTTTTGAGACTGGCTTCTTTCACTCAACATAATGCCTTTGAGGCTCATTTAAGTTGTCAAGTATATCAAGAGTTCATTCCTTTGTATTGCTGAATAGTATTCCATTTTATAGATATACCAGTGCTTGTTTATCCATTCACAGGTCAAATGATATTTGGGTTGCTTCTCGTTTTTAGCAATTATGAATTGAGATGCTATACATATTCATGTACAGGTTTTTGTGTGAACATAAATTTTCAATTCATTAAGTAAATACCTAGGAGTGAGATTGCTGGGTCATGTATGGTATATGCATGTTTAACTCTATAAGAAAGTGCCAAACTTTTTTCCAGAGTGGCTGTACCATTTTGTGTTCCCACCAGCAATATATGACAGTTCTGGTTGTTCTACATTTTTGCCAGCATTTGGAATTGTTTTAAATTTTAGTCGTTCTAATAAGTGTGTAGTGGAATGTAATAGTGGGTTGGAATTTGCATTTTCCTAATGGAATGATGCTAAACATGTTTTCATGTGCTTATTTTTCATCTGTATATTCTCTTTGGTGAAGCATTTGTTCAATCCTTTTGCTCACTTTTAAACTGGGTTATTCTTTTAGTGTGTTTTGAGTGTCCCTTGTATATTCTGGATAGAAGTGCTTTGTTAGATATGTGATTTGCAGTATTTTTCCCTGATCTGTATCTGTTGGGAGAGGCAATTCACCATGGGCCATGTGTATCCCTGCACATTCTTTCTGCGTAAGGCTCCAACCACTCTTTACCCTGGCCATTTATCAGGGTTGTGTTAGCTGTGAACAATCTTGAGGAGTGAGTTGTCTCACCACAGGCAATGAACGGGCTTGCTTCTGCTTGTTATAAAAGCAGTGAATCTCCCAAGCTCAGTGTTCTTCTATAACACAGGCCCATTGCATATGCAGGCACCCATCATGGGCCCTTCACATCACCCCCACGGGATTGAGGTGCATGGAGACTGGCACAAGCATCATACAAACTCTGGCTATTTCTTTTACAGTGAATAGTAAAGTCCCTTGTCACTGATTCTGTAGTCTCATGTTTTCTGCCAGCATCCATGAAACAGTAACAGGCTAACTTGTCAATTTGTAAGTAGGATAAAATCTTAGATTCTGCACAGTGCTTGATAGTTTTGGCAATATGGATGGAATACTGATAGAGACATAGATTTCTGGAAGAGAAAGAATGAATGCCCACACATGCCAGGTTAGGGGATATAAGAAGACTTCCTGGGACCCAGTAGTGACTTCTTTTGCCCAAATGGTGGGGAAGTGAGAAGGAGTAGGAATCACTGCTATCCTACCTGATATGGTTTGGATCTGTGTCTGCACCCAAATCTCGTGTTGAAATGTAATCCCTGATGCTGGAGATGGGTCTGCTGGGTGGTGATTGGATCATGGTGGTAGTTTCTCATGAATGGTTCAGCACCATCCCCCTAGTGCTGTTTTCATGATAGAGTTCTTACGAGAACTGGTTGTTTAGAACTGTGTAGCACTTCCCCGCTCTCTCTCTTCCTCCTGCTCCAGGCATTTAAGACATGCCTGCTTCCCTTTCACCTTCTGCCATAATTGTAGGTTTCCTGAGGCCTCCCCAGAAGCTGAGCAGATGGCAGCATCATGCGGAACCACGAGTCAGTTAAACCCCTTTTTAAAATAAATTACCCAGGCTGGGTGCAGTGGCTCACACCTGCAATCCTAGCACTTTGGGAGGCCAAAGTGTGCGGATTACCTGAGGTCAGGAGTTTGAGACCAGCCTGGCCAACATATAGTGAAACCCTATCTCTACTAAAAATACAAAAATTAGCTGGGCATGGTGGCACACGCCTGTAGTCCCAGCTACTTGGGAAGCTAGTGCAGAAGAATCGCTTGAACCCAGGAGGCGGAGGTTGCAGTGAGCTGAGATCATGCCACTGCACTCCAGCCTGGGCAACAGAGCAAGACTCTGTCTCTCAAAAATAAATACATAAATAAATTACCCAGTCTCAGCTATTTCCTTGTAACAGGGCAAGAACGCGCTAATACACTACATGCATTAGTCCGTTTTCACGCTGCTGATAAAGATACCTGAGACTGGGCAATTTACAAAAGAAGGAGGTTTATTGGACTTACAGTTGTACATGGCTGGGGAGGCCTCACAATCATGGCAGATGGTGAAAGGCATGTCTCACATGCCAGCGGCAAGAGACAGAATGAGAGCCAAGGAAACGGGTTTCCTTGTATAAAACCATCAGATCTCATGAGACTTATTCACTATCATGAGGACAGTATGGGGAAAACTGTCTCCATGATTCAATTATTTCCCACTGGGTCCCTCCCACAACAAGTGGGAATTATGGGAGTACAATTCAAGATGAGATTTGGGTGGGGACATAGAGCCAAACCGTATCACTATTACCTGATCATGAACGTTAGAAACTAAATGAGAATAAGTAAGACTGAAACAAGCCACCTCGTTGGTACCTTATTCCTTGATCCCTCTCCTCCAGGTGGGCAGAGGAAGGGATATTATCATGACAATGGGAACAGTAAGCCTAGGAGCCCTAGTTAGAAAAGAATATGGCTATGGCTGCTGAGTCAAGGGGTTAGCTAAGCTGAAAGAAAGTCAGAAATGAGAATGTAGAGCTTTAGGTAGGTGGGAAACATTGGAAGTTTATTTGGTGAGCCTGAGTGGGCAACCACTCCAAACTGCAAGTAAACGAAAAGCCTTGCTTACTGGGGCAGAGCTGCTCTCTCCCTCGACACACCCTGCTGCCTCTCTCTTCCTCTACTCTGATTTTTTTTTCTTTTTCTTTTTCTTTTTTTTTCTTTTGAGATGGAGTCTCACTCTCACCCAGGCTGGAGTGCAGTGGTGTGATCTCAGCTCACTGCAACCTCCACCTCCCAAGTTCAAGCGATTCTCCCACTTCAGCTTCCCAAGTATCTGGGATTACAGTCTCCCACCACCATGCCCGGCTAATTTTTGTATTTTTAGTAGAGACGGGATTTCACTATGTTGGCCAGGCTGGTCTCGAACTCCTGACTTCAGGTGATCCACCCGCCTCAGCCTCCCAAAGTGCTGGGATTACAGGTGTGAGCCACTGTGCCCGGCCACCCTATTCTGATTTCATGTGCTTTAAAGAACAACAACAAAAAAAGAGTATGCAGAGGAACGAGGTTGTGGGATAGGGTGGAACTCAAACATGTATGGGTTGGTTGGAAACAGGCATCTAAGTCATCATCCTACCCAGTCCTATGGCAGGAGAGGGCACTGGGCACAGAGGTAGCCATTGGCATTGAGGTATCCAGGGTAGAGCTGTGGCATGTGAGGAGGCAGAAAATAAGTGTCCCTGAGGAGGTGGCACCCATCCTGAGGCTAGGAGCCTCCCTGATGGCTCCAGCCACTCCTCATGGGCTGCACTCTTCCCTCTTCCCATTCCCCCTCCCATAGTTGGAACTCCTGGACAGGAGATAAACTCCTGGCAGCTGCTTTTGTAACTCCCGAAGTGCAAGTGTTAAACTCCTTTGTCTGTGTTCCCACAGGGAACAAAAAAATCTGAACTCAACTGATAAGGTGTGAGCAAAACTCTCAGTGAAGAAAAGCAGTTAAAGTGACTTTATGGGTGAGAGCCTCTATGCTAATTCAATCTACCGTTATTAAAACATAGGAGGAAATTGATATGATAAATGCTTATACTAGAAATGTTCATAAAGCGTCAGAGGAAATTCTCCCATTTAGGGCACTGACACAAGCAGAGAAGTACTACTGGGACAAACTCCCCTGCCATTTGCCACCATGGGGGTGGAGTGGGGGTCAGCATTTATTGTGAGTGCCTTTATTCTCTGATGTCCAGAGCTTTCACTGTATAGATTATGTCCTGGTGGTTGGCAAGTTGGAATTCTCCAAATTAACGGCCCTGACTGCACTGTTATTACACTTCCACTCAATGGGCAGAATTCAAGGCTGCTCTCATAAGTCTGACCAATACTGCCCTTGATAACACTTGTTATATTTTTACTGACGTGCGACTGTTGCTAATGGTCTAGACTTTTGTCTTTCAAAGACAGTAGAAAGACTACAGACTGGTAGACTAAAGACACCTCTCTTTGGAATCGTAACTGTAGAAACAAATTGTGGATGCTGATGGGACAATGTGGGTCACTCATAGAGATGCACAAAGTAAGGGCCTGCTTTCTGATGAGATCAACTAAATTCAAGCTGACGATCAAATCTACACTGCCCAGACTGCCATCACACATGGCAACACATCTGGTATCAGGGACTGGGCACAGAGTAAAGGACCTGATGTTTCTGATGCAGAAGCCACTACAACATGCCAGACTTATGACTCTTGCCAAAAGTTGACCTGTTTTTCTTGCAACAAAAGAGGCCACATTGCTTGGGGGCATTGACCCCTATTGGCTTCTGACAGATTGGCTACATCAGAGTGACTACTACATTGACTGTCTCCCTTAGTGCTACCAATGTTCTCTTCACTTTTAATAATGTTTCAGTTTACATGTTGCTGTTCCAGTGTAATCAGCCAACTCCAACAACACCATTGAGGCTCCTGAGTCTTAGCTATGTTATGTTTTCAGCTTTCCAACCTATTTTCAGTCTGACAATGGTGCAACCTTTTTTTTTTTCTCAAATGTCACCCAGTAATGAGCCGATAGTCAAAGTACTTGATGAACATTCCACACTCCTTACCATCCACTGGTATCTGGTATTGCTGAGTGATGGAACAATGTCTGATCCTACTTCTACTTGGCCCACACAGAGTAGTAGGACAATTTAGTCACTGAATGTGGATGTCCCCAAAAAGTGACCTCTTGGCTGCCTTCTGTGCAAGGATCAGAATACAAGATTGGGAGGCAAGTGGGGAGTGAGTGGGGAAAAGGTGAAGCTATAGGTACTCGGATGGGACATACTGATTATGTGGCAGTGGAGGGAAAGTGCCGACCCTGGTACTTTGGGAGAGAACACCTTAGATATTGGGAGATGCAAGGATCAGGGGCAAGGCAATTAATGTTCTCTTTGTCCTCTAGATCCAGCACTGATTGTCACCTGAGCCAAGCAGCAGCTGTGCTGGCAATCTGACCTGCTGCTGAATTTGTAATTTCCTTCTATGTGCTATGAAAACAGAAAAACTTATGTGGATATGACTGATCTGGAACTATTTTGTTATGCCTGATGCCATCAATGACAGCTCTGTAAAGTGAATATGTACGGACACATGATCCAGTGCAAGAGCGTTTCACTGTAATGCAAAGTTATATGTTTCTTTCTCTCTTTTTTTTTTTTTGTTTTTTTTGAGATGGAGTCTTGCTCTGTTGCCCAGGCTGGAGTGCAGTGGCACGATCTCGGCTCACTGCAAGCTCCACCTCCCAGGTTCATACTTTTCTCCTGCCTCAGCCTCCCGAGTAGCTGGGCCTACAGGCGCCTGCCACCATGCCTGGCTAATTTTTTGGTATTTTTTTAGTAGAGACGGGGTTTCACTGTGTTAGCCAGGGTGGTCTCAATCTCCTGACCTCATAATCTGCCCATCTTGGCCTCCCAATGTGCTGGGATTACAGGAGTGAGCCACTGCGCCTGGCCATATGTTTCTCTTGATAACTGAATGGCCTTGGGTTATACCATGTATGAAGATTGAGGCTATAAATACTTAGTGACACCACCCATGTGGCTTAATCAAACCAATGTAATGATGACAACAAATCCTGAACTGTGCCCCTTTGGATTATATGTTTATATGTGAGGGAGAGTGGGCCACAGAATGTCTCTCCATTGGTGATGGGGATTGCTTTTTGGCCCATCTCTTGCTCCTTATAATTATTGGCAATGACACCAAAGCTGATCAAGGGAGCCTAAACTCTGTATGTGAGTTGTAGTTGATAATAGACTAGCCTTAGATCACATTCTTACTGTTTGAAAGAAGACCCAGTGGTCCTCATGGGATTTCTTCAGAGTTAAATGAGACCAGGACTTTGCGAGGTGTGGATGGGGTCACTACAGCAAGGTGGCCTCATCCTGCAGCATGGAGTTCTGTTGAAAATGATTTATGAGATTAATTAAACAGATTTGGTCCCAGATTCTGTTGGTCAGATTAATCAGAGTGACGTATTCATGTATAATTCCATATTTGGCCAAGAATGTGTTGGACTGATGGGTGGCTTGTTGAGAGAGTCAATCCACCATGGGCTGTGGGTATACTTTCACATATTTTTGCTGATTATGACAAGATTGGAAGACCCCAGCTGCTCTCTACCTGGCCATTTCACAAGATTGTATTTGAATTACTGAAAACAGCCTTGAGGGATGAGATGATGTCTTCCCTCAGACAGAGAGGGTTTGTTTCCACTTGCTGTAACAGTAATGAATTCCCCAAGCTCACTGTTCATCCCCTATTATGTAGCCCACTCTGTGTCCCTATCCATGATAGGTCATTTGCTTCACCAACGTGAGACTTGGGGAGCACAGATAACCAGTGGGAACATGGGTAGCCAGTATGTGCATCATGCTGATGCCCTGGCTACTGCTTTTGCCATAAGTAATAAAGCCATTTGTCTCTGACTCAGGAGTCCCATGTCTTCTGCCAGTATCCACAAAACAGTAACAGGTTAACTGTTTGATAAGTAGGGGAAAATCTCATGCCTTGTATAATTCTCTACAATATCTTGTCTTTTCATTTTCTTAACAATGTCTTTTAAGAGCACAAGTTTTTAATTGTGATAAAGTTCAATTTATCAATTCTTTTATGGATTGTGCTTTTGTGTCTTACCTAATAATCCTTTGCCTAATCCCAGGTCCCACAGATTTCGTTTTGCCTGTGTTTTCTTCTTAGACTTTTGTAGCTTTATGTCTCACATTTAGATGTATAATCCAGTTTGGATTAATTTTTAAATAAAGTGTTATTTTAGGTCAAGGTTCAATGTTTCTTTTTCTTTTTGCCTATTGATGTTTCAATTATAGCAACACATCTGTTGAAAGGCTATCCTTCTCCATTCAATTGCTTTTCCATCTTTGTAAAAAACCAATTAGCCATATAAGTGCAGGTCTATTTCTGGACTCATTATTCTGTTCCATTGATATGTTTGTTTATCTCTTCTTTAATACCATACTGTTTGATTACTATGACATTATATACATGATAATTTAAAAAGTGAAACAAATTAAAATGCAGACATAAATCTTGATGGTATATTTCCATTACAGAATGTATTTGCTACAGTGTGGAATGAGAGTGTAATTCATATTCCATATTGTATATAGTATTACATACTGCATGCAAACATATAAACTAGTGAGTTTATTAAGTATTAAATAACGAGATGTGTAATCTTTTTGATGTGTTGTTGAATGGGGTTTACTAGTATTTTATTGAGGTTTTTTGCATCAATTTTCATTGGAAATAGTGGCTTGTAGTTTTCTTTTCTTGTTGTGTCTTTGTCTGGCTTTGGTACCAGGATGATACTGGCCTCATAAAATAAATTTGGAAGTATTCCATCCTAGTCCTTTTTTTTGGAAAAGTTTTTAAAAGGATTGATATTAATTCTCCTTTGAATGCTTGGTAGAATTCAGCCGTGAAGCCATCTGTTCCTGGGGTTTTCTTTGTTGGGATGTTTTAATAGCCACTTCAGTACCTTTATTTGTTACTGGTCTGTTCAGGCTTTCTATTTCTCCCTAAGTTAATTTTGGTAAGTTGTATGTTTCTAGGAATTCATCCATTTCCTCTAGATTATCCAATTTGTTGGCATATAGTTGTTCAAAATAGTCCCTTATGATACTTTTTAAAAAAAATTCTGAGGCATCCATTGTCACGTCTTCACTTTCTGATTTCATTTATTTGTGTGTCTTCTCTTTTCTTTCTTAGTCTAGGTAAAGGTTTGTCAATTTTATTTTTTCAAGAATTAGTTTTATTCATTTTTCTATAGCTTTATTATTCTCTATTTGATTTATCTCTGTTCTTATTTTTATTACTCCCTTCCTTCTGCTAACTTTGGGTTTAGTTTGTTCTTTTTCCTAGTTCCTTGAGGTGTAACATTAGGTAGTTTGAGATGTTTCTTCTTTTTTGATGTAGGTGTTTGTTGCTATATGCTTCCTTCTTAGAACTGCTGTTGCTGCATCCCATATGTTTTGGTATGCTGTGTTTCCACTTGTCTCAAGATATTTTTACATTTCCCTTTTGATTTTTATTTGACCCACTGGCTGCTCAAGAGCATGTTGTTTAATTTCCACACATTTGTGAATTTTCCTCCTGTTACTTATTTCTAGTTTCATATCATTGCAGTCAGAAAAGGCACTTGATATGATTTTGATCTTTAATTTTTTAATTTTTTTGAGATGGAGTCTCGCTCTATCGCCCAGGCTGGAGTGCAGTGGTGCGATCTCGGCTCACTGCAACCTCCACCTCCCGGGTTCAAGGGATTCTCCTGTCTCAGCCTCCTGAGTAGCTGGGATTACAGGCACCCGCCACCACGCCTGGCTAATTTTTGTATTTTTAGTAGAGACGGGGTTTCACCATGTTGGCCAGGCTGGTCTTGAACTCCTGACTTCAGGTGATCCACCCGCCTCGGCCTCCCAAACTTCTAGGATTACAGGCGTGAGCCACCGCGCCTGGCCTCATTATATCATTCTCATGTCTTTGTGTCCTGATAGCTTAGCTCCCACTTATAAGCGAGAACATATGATATTTTGTTTTCTATTCCTGAGTTACCGCACTTAGACGAATGACCTCCAACTCCATCCAAGTTGCTGAAAAAGACATTATTTCATTCCCTTTTATGTCTGAGTAGTATTCCATGGTGTATTATACCACATTTTCTTTATGTACTTGTTGGTTTATGGGCACATAGGTTGGTTCCATATCTTTGCAATTGCAAATTGTGCTGCTATAAACATGCGAGTGTATATGTCTTTTTCATAAAATTACTCTTTTCCTTTGGGTAGATATCCAGTAGTGGGATTGCTGGATTGAATGGTAGTTTTATTTTTAGTTCTTTAAGAAATCTCCATACTGTTTTCCACAGTTGTTGTACTAGTTTATATCCCACCAGCAGTGTAAAAGTGGTCCCTTTTCCCCCACATCCATGCCAACATCTATTGCTTTTGGACTTTTTAATTGTGGCCATTCTTGCAGGAGTAAGGTGGTATTTCATTGTGGTTTTAATTTGCATTTCCCTGATGATTAGTGATGTTGAGCATATTTTCATATGTTTGTTGGCTGTTTGGGTATCTTCTTTTGAGAAATGTCTATTCATGTCATTTGCCCACTTTTTGTTGGGATTGTTTTTTTCTTGCTGATTTGCTTGGGTACCTTATAGATTCTGAGTACTAGCTCTTCTTCAGATGCATAGTTTGTGAATATTTTTTCCCACTCTGTGGGTTGTCTGTCTGATCTGTTGATTATTTCTTTTGTTGTGCAGAAGCTTTTTAGTTTAATTAGGTCCCATGTATTTATTTTTGTTTTTGTTGCATTTGCTTTTGGGGTCTTAGTCATGAATTCTTTCCCTAAGCCAATGTTCAGAAGAGTTTTTCTGATGTTATCTTCTAACATTTTTATGGTTTCAGGTCTTAGATTTCAGCATTTGATCTATCTTGAGTTGATTTTCGTATAAAGTGAGAGATGGGGAACCAGTTTCATTCTTCTACATATGGCTAGTGAGTTTCCCAGCATCATTTATTTAATAGGGTGCCCTCTCCCCATTTATGTTTTTGTATACTTTGTCAAAGATCAGTTGGCTGAAGTAATTGGCTTTATTTCTGGGTTCTCTATTCTGTTCCATTGGTCTACATCCCTATTTTTATATCAGTATTGTTTTGATAATTATAGCCTTGTACTATAATTTGAAGTCTGGTAATGTGATGTCTCCAGATTTATTTGTTTTGCTTAGTATTGCTTTGGCTACGCAGGCTCCTTTTTGGTTCCATATAAATTTTAGGATTGTTTTTTCTAGTTATGTGAAGAATGATGATGGTATTTTCATGGAAATTGCATTGAATCTGTAGATTGCTCTGGGCAGTACGGTCATTTTCACAATATTGATTCTTCCCATCCATGAGCAAGGGATATGTTCCTATTTGTTTGTGTCATCTGTGATTTCTTTTAAAGAGTGTTTTAATGACATTTGGGAAAATTGGTTTGGATAAGCTGTGAATACATTATTATTTTTCCCATTTAAATTAATGAAATATAGGCCACTGCTATCCAAACAATTTGATATCCAACACATTTTTAGCAACAGATTACATTTAAATAACCATAGGTACCTATACACTCTTTTTCCATACTTAAAGTTATAAATAATAACAACAGCAATAATAACATGCTGCCACCTAACATAGTTCAACTATGCCTTGTAGAAGACACATCATACTCAACTTCTCTCCAAAAGATGCCCAAAGTCTCATAAGTCTCATAAGTTATTAAATCCAGCTCTAAATTCAGGATTGTTGAACAATGTTTATTCCTCTTTAGGTCATCAAAATCTTGTACTGATACTCTGTAATTTATAGACTGGATTATGAAGTTTAACTACCATCAATCAAAGTATCTTATATAAAGTGGCAGGGTGAAGAAAATGTCCTACACACACACACACACACACACACACATGCACACACACACGCAGACACAATAAGGAAAAAAAAATATGAACAGCTACTTCCACCTTGTTTCTGAAAGTAGTCACAAGGACATAGTTGGTAGTTATGTAACTTCTTTCTTCAACTACCGATTCCATTTTCCCTTGCCTTCTTCCAGTTTCTTAGCTATCTTATTCTCTTTGCCTGGTGGGCTGAGATAAAGCTTCATTACTGAGAGGCTTGAGCCCTTGTGGTCTCAAGGGCTCTAATCTTTTATTAACATTTACCATTGAACATGACAGTATTAGGAGGAGTTCCAGAGTCTCATAGTTTTACCTGCCTGCCCTATGTAAGACCAACCAATTAACCCCTTGATGACCAGGATCAATCACACCGATCAAACCTATATTTTGCCTGTTGGTCCAGTGACAAAAATAGCTCAAAATAAGTAGGTTGAAGTCTTAACATCCAATCCAATGGAATGATTGTTTTTTCTACTGGTAGATGTTATCCTTCCTTAATCAGATCTCTAAATCAGCAGAGGACAAAATCAAGGGGACAGGAAGAAAATATTTGAAAACGGATGTTAAATAGGCAATATACCATTCTAGATGATGAAGAATAAGGTACAACTAGTGTGAATTCTGTTTAGGCCTTTCTTACCTCCTATTGCTATAAAATGAGTTCTTTATTCATAAGCAGTATGGTATGAAATATCATAATTGTGAATACGCCCATGAAAGTGTTGCTGGTTGAAGTGTTGCAGTCAAGGAAAGCAAATTGATACTGCAGTCCCCTGCACAATGGAAGGGAACCAAAACAAATCAAACCTGACTTCTCCCCCAAAAAGGATGCCCAAAGTCCCATAAGTTATTATCTTTTGTTTTAGAGCAAAGTGAAAGCAAATTTATTAAGAAAGTAAAAGAATAAAGAATGGCTACTCCTTAGGCAGAGCAGCCCCATAAGTTATTATCTTATGAACAGCCTGCCACAAGATGGCTGGTTGTAGTCCCCTCGCCCTCCCACACAAGGAAGTGGTATATACTGGAGGTTCAGTATTGGCCTCTGCTGCTGGGAAGTTGGGATTGGACACACAACTTTTATGATCAGCCGTGGTGAGGGGAAGCCCATGCAATTGAGCCCATGTAGAGCCTTCATCTCTGCAGCCATGGGCATTTTGTACATTGGCCCCTTGAGTAAGCTTCAAGATAGTTGGGGAAAGAGGTTGACATTCTAATGCAAGTAATCTTGTTCACATAGTTATCGATACCCTCCATCACAGTTGATGCCCTCTGTTGGGCACTTATATGGAACACAAATGTATTTACCATTAGTAGAGGTCCAACCACATACCACTTCCCCAAAACCTTCTTGTTACCAATACTATAAATTTTGTTCATTCCAAGTCCCTGAACCATATGGTATAGAGCCATACCTTAGGCCACTTCTCCTTCCAAGCAAAGTGAACAACCAGATATACCACTTGAAATTATGTTCTCAGAAAAGACTCTTCTTCAGTGACCTTCCGGGCTACCCCTGTGTGGGGCTGTGATCTACAACAATGTGCTCTGGCTGGTGCCCTTAGGTCATGCAGAAATGTGCTAAAATAGGTTTAGATGTTCTACTCTTCAAATAGCTGGTTATACAGAGGTCCCTGTATTAGTTTGCTAGGGCTGCCATAACAAAGTACCACAGACAGGTGACTTAAACAACAGAAATGTATTTCCTTACAGTTCTGGAGGCTAGAAGTTCAAGATCAAGCTGTCAGCTGAATTGGTTTCTTTTTGCTACAATTTGAATGTTTGTGTTCCCTCCAGAATTAATGTTGAAACTTAATCCCCAATGCAAGAGTATTAAGAGGTAAGGCCTTTAGGAGGTGATTAGGCCACGAGAGCTCTGCTGTCATGGATGGGATCAGTGCCTTGTGAAAGGGCTGAGGGAACTAGCTAGGCCCTTTTGCCCTTCTGTCCCTTTTGCCATGTGAGGAAACAGTGTTCGAGGTGCCGTCTTGGAAGCAGACACCAGGCCCTTACTAGACAACGAACTTGCTGTCAACTTGATCTTGGACTTCCCAGGCTCCAGAACTGTGAGAAATAAATTTCTATTATTTTTAAATTACTCAGTCTAAGGTATTTTGTCATAGTGGCAGGAATGGACTGAGTCACTTCTGAAGGCCTCTATTCTTGGGCTTATTGGTGGCCGTCTTCTCCATGTGTCTTGACATGGTATTCCCTATGTGTGTGTTTGTGTCCTAATCCCTTCTTCTTAGAAGAACATCAGTGATGTTGGATTAGGGTCCACCCTAATGACCTCATTTAACCTTAGTTACTTCTTTAAAAACCCTATCTCCAAATATAGTCGCATTCTGTGATTCTGGGGGTTAGGGCTTCAACATATGAATCTGGCACGGACACAACTCAGCCCAAAGCAGTCCCCATGAAACTGTAAGTGTGGGTTGCGAAAGAGAAGGCAGTGTGGCAGGTGTGAACACACTGGAAGTGTGAGCCACTGCTTAGGTACCTTTGTTGTGCCTCCAGAACCTGTTCAAGGCCAATCCATATATACCACTTCTAATTTAAGCTTCCTCTGTATTCTTCTCTAGTGAAACAGGTTCATCAAAAAGGAATGTAATAGGGATCACTACTCCTTAATTTTCTGAGTCTTGATGATGGCCCTAATTTCTGTCAGTTTCCTTTGCATGTACTATTGATTTTGGTTTACTATTTTGACAGTGTAGCACAGTGGTTGAGAGCATGAACTCTGAAGCTAGTTTCTGGTTTACATTCCAGTTCTACCAATTACTAAGTAGTGACCTCGGGCAAGTTACTTAAGCTTTTAATGCCTTAATTTCCTTTTCTGTAAAATGTGTACAATTATAGTACCTACCTTGTAGTGCTGTTTTGAGGAATAATATGTTAACATATGGAAAGTGCTTGAAAGAGTGTCTGGCATGTAATAAGTGCTATGCATGTGTTTGCTATCACTGCTATAATTGGAAGGGAGAGTAAGTTCCAGGCTTCCACCTGGCCCTTCCTATCATAAAGATTCTCACTCTGCAGGTCAGGAAGCCAATTGAGCTGTTTTGCCAGTTGCTAGTTTTATTGATTACAACTGTAAATCCAGCAACTGGGGAAATCACCAGAGTGGATTTATAGACCCACTGAGCCCACCATGAGTTGAATTTAGGCCAAAACTCCAATTATCATTTGATCTTCACAAGCCCTCACTCTGACTGTGGGCAACAGTGTTGTTCCGAGTTCCCAGGATTAGTGGCAGCTCAGAGCTATTGTCCCATAATCCCCGAAGAGTGCGTGTATTTGAACATTTACCTTGGTAAATTGCTGCAGACCTCTTCTGGGGATAGCTGGGAATATTTATAGTACATAATTGCAATGTTGCCATAGCATCCTTCCTCAAGGTACTCAGTCTCCCTTTTATTCTAGGGAATCTGGGTATATGAACTGAGGAGCTGTGACACTCTATCATGGTGACCCAACTTTCTGTTTGCCAAAATTCCTTTGGTTAAGCAGATCAAGTCTGTATATCAGTCCTAGGGTTCCTATGATTAATTAATTGCATGACAGATCACTGTGGGTCAAGCCATTTTGATTGTCATTCAGTAGCTCTATTCTGGGACATGGTTATCAGTTAGTTTTTGCTGTGAAACAAACCACCGAAAGCTTACACAACCACCATTTATTTAGTTAACGATTGTTGGGGGTTGACAATTTGGGCTGGGCTCAGCTGGGCTAGTCTTCTGCTTGCATCAGCTGAACTCACTCATATGTCTGTGGTCTGCTGCTGTTGGTTTCAGTGACACTACTTCTAGGGATTGGTTGGCCATGAGTTGGGCCAAAAGGGATGGTTGGAGCATGTATCTCTCGACATCTGGTTTGTTTGCATGATAGCAGCAGGTTTCCAAGACTAGCAAGCCCCAATGCAAAAGCACTTTTCCAGCTTTTGCGTGCACCATTTTAGCCAATGTCCCATTGACCAAAGCAAGTCACACAGCAGATTCAAGAGAAAAGAAATAGATCCAAATAGTTCTTCAAATAATCATCTGATTTTATGTGATCCTCCCACTTCCACTCTCTGTACCTGGAGAGCAGAGGGTGCTTCTTCCATGAAAATGGCTTCCACCTATGCTGCAGCCTTTTCCTGAGAATCATTGGTGCAGTATACTCTGATTTATTTTTCAGTTTGATCCACTCAGCATTCATTTCAGGAAGCTATCAAAGTCTTTGCTCTGCCATCCTCACCCTCTCCACTGCTTTTATGAATGAATTTATACTTCTTTATAATTGTTTCTATTTGTTTTGGGAAGGTAAATACCTGTGTTCAATTGAGTATCTTGCACCACAACAACCTCAGATTACATTTTAATCTACTATCTATAGATCAATGGTAGCAGTGCAAAAAATTATACGTATATGTACTATATTCTTCCTATATGTACATGTATATGTATGTATATATGTACACACATACATAAGCATATGTAAATAACATATATATGTGTGTGTATATATACATATATATATATATATAGAGAGAGAGAGAGAGAGAGAGAGAGAAGCTTGCTCTGTCACCGAGCCTGGAGTGCAGTGGTGAGATCATAGCTCACTGCAGCCTTGATCTCCTAAGCTCAAACAATCCTACCGCCTCAGTCTCTTGAGTAGCTGGGACTACTACAAGCATGTGCCACCACGAGTGGCTGATTTATTTATTTATTTTCTTTCTTTCTTTCTTTCTTTCTTTCTTTCTTTCTTTCTTTCTTTCTTTCTTTCTTTCTTTCTTTTTTCTTCCTTCCTTCCTTCCTTCCTTCCTTCCTTCCTTCCTTCCTTCCTTCCTTCCTTCCTTTCTTTCTTTCTTTCTTTCTCTTTCTTTCTTTTTTGAAATAGAGACAAAGTCTCCCTATGTTGCCCAAGCTGGTTCTGGACTCCTGAGCTCACACAACTCTCCTGTATCGGCCTCCCAAAGTGCTGGGATTACAAGCGTGAACCACCATGCCTGGCCTCTTCCCGTATATATAGAGTGAGTGGTTCAGACAAAAGAATCAAGGCATATGCACTCTACCGTGAGAAAGAAGAGCAAAAGATGACTTGTATAATTTTCCAAAGAGAAGAACTTTGACCTAATTCTACTGTTTCATATTTGGTGTCTAGCATGAGAGAGAAGGGTGCATTTCCTTTGCTTAATGCATTACTTTAGGCCATTTTGACCACTCTATTTCTCTCCCAGGGCTCTGGTTGGGATTTTATCAATTTTAGGCTGCTTGTGCTGTTCTGTCTGCCTTAGGCAAACTTTTTTTTTTTTTTTTTTTTGAGACGGAGTCTCGCTCTGTCGCCCAGGCTGGAGTGCAGTGGTGTGATCTCGGCTCACTGCAAGCTCCGCCTCCTGGGTTCACGCCATTCTCCTGCCTCAGCCTCCCGAGTAGCTGGGACTACAGGTGCCTGCCACCATGCCCGGCTAATTTTTTTGTATTTTTAGTACAGACGGGGTTTCACCATGTTAGCCAGGATGGTCTCAATCGCCTGACCTCGTGATCCACCCGCCTCGGCCTCCCAAAGTGCTGGGATTACAGGCATGAGCCACAGCGCCCGGCCTAGGCAAACATTTTAATATAGAAATGAGCAAAGGGGCCAAGGCCTAGGCAATATGAGGGGCAGGGAGATATGAAAAGGCAAGGAGAAGGCTGCCTAGCCCTCTTCCTTGCTGTCACAGCCACCGCCCCTGGGGTTTCCACAGCCTAGTTGTAAGCCTTCTGCGTAGCCACCAGTCATCCCACCCATCTGGCTCTCCTTCCTTTTGACGCCACTACAAATGACCAATAAGCATAATATTAATCCACAGCAGTAATCAAATATAGGTAAATTCAAAATAACTAGGGCCGGGCGTGGTGGCTCACGTCTGTAATCCCAGCACTTTGGGAGGCCAAGGTGGGCAGATCACCTGAGGTCAGGAGTTTGAGACGAGTCTGGACAATATAGTGAAACCACGTCTCTACTAAAAATACAAAAATTAGCCGGGTGTGGTGGCACATGCCTGTAATCTCAGCTACTTGGGAGGCTGAGGCAGGAGAATCGCTTGAACCTGGGAGGCCGAGCTTGCAGTGAGCCAAGATTGCACCACTGCACTCCAGCCTGGGCAACATAGCGAGACTCCATCTCAAATAATAATAATAATAATAATTAGAAAGATTATTTTATTTTACATTATGATATTAAAATAATACATAATAATATGGGTGAGGGTGTGGAGAAATGAACAGCTTTGTAAATTGCCTGAGGGAGTGGGAATTGTTATAACTTTTTCATTTAATTTATTTTTTTTGAGACAAGGTCTTGCTCTGTTGCCCAGCCTGGGGTGCAGTGGCACAATCACGCCTCACTGCAGCCTCAGCCTCTCAGGCTCAAGCAATCCTCTCACCTCAGCCTCCTGAGTAGCTGGGACTACAGACCTGTGCCACCGTGTCCAGCTAATTTTTTACTTTTTTTGTAGAGATAGGGTCTCGTTATGTTACCCAGGCTGTTCTCAAACTCCTAAGGCTCCAGCAATCCTCCTGTCTCTGCCTCCTGAGTGCTGGGATTACAGGTGTGAGCTACCACGCCCAGCCTGGAACAACTTTTTACATAGGAATTGGAAATAGCTATTAAAATTAAGACTGCAAAACTTTAAAAAAATTAATTTACTTATTTATTTTTAGAGATGGGGGTCTTGCTATGTTGCCCAAGCTTGTCTCAAACTCCTGGGCTCAAGCAATTCTCTCACCTTAGCCTCCCAAGTAGCTGGGACTACAGATAAGCACCACTGTGCCGGGTAAGACGGCAAAACTTGACAGAGTGGTTCCTTTCATAGAGATGTGCAATGCTATATACACATAAAAATGAACTGTTAATACGTGGATCTATTTCTTTTCTCTTGAATCTGCTCTGTGACTTGCCTTGTTAATGAGACATTGGCTAAAATGGAGCAACCTTGCTAGTAATCAAACCGTGCAAATTAAAACATCAGTGAGATACCCTTTTCACCTATCAGAATGTCAACTGATTAAAAGAATGTGAATGCCAATTGTTAGGAACTGCTGACGGTATGTTCATGTGTATATTAGTACAAGCTAGTGGAAGGCAGTTTGACAATACGTATCAAAATCCTTACATGAAAACCCTTTGAGCTAAGAATTCCACTTCTATGAATGTATCCCTGGAAAATATCAGAAAGGTGTACAATGATGTGCATGCAAAATATTAATCTCAGCATTGCTTATGATTGCGAAAAATTTGAAACCATCCAAAAATCCATCAACAGGAGATCAGTTAATTATTGGCCATCCATAAGGAATAACACACAGCCAATAAAGTATCAACATGGGAACATATGCAAGACATATCATTATGTTTAAAAGCAAAGGTGGGGACATATGTTGTTTTGTTTGTTTGGTTTTATTTGGTTTTTGTTTGTTTGTTTTTGAGACCGAGTCTAGCTCTGTCACCCAGGCTGGAGTGCAGTGGCACGATCTCGGTTCACTGCAACCTCCACCCCTGGGTTCAAGCGATTCTCCTGCATCAGCCTCCTGAGTAGATGGGACCACAGGCGAGTGCCACCACACCCAGCTAATTTTTGTATTTTTAGTAGAGACAGGGTTTCACCATGCTGGCCAGGCTGGCCTTGAACTCCTGACCTCAGGTGATCCGCCTGCCTCAACCTCCCAAAGTGCTAGGATTACAGGCGTGAGCGCCCGGACTGCATATGTTTATCTGATTCCATTTTTGTTTTACGATTTGTAAATATATCTATGTGCGTATACATGTTTGTGCTTATAAATATACGCAAACAATTGATAAAAACATATACAAATTAGTAGTCTTTCTCTCTAGGGGGTTATGAGCCTAGGAATTTTACTTTTCTCATAATAAATATGATGTTTAATGTTTTACAAGCCATCAGAAAAACAATATTGAAAACTTCAGAAATTTAGAAAAGTTGCTCAACTGCACTGACAATTAAATGAATGCAAATTAGAAGAATAATGAAATGTACTGCCTATCATATTGGTAATAAAAAAATTAAGATTGTTAACACTCAAGGTAACATAGAGCCCTGATCTCTAAACTTTTTTGATCAATCGCATGTATTAGTAAAACGTTTTGGCTTTGAACACTAAATGTATATGTATATGTAATTGTTTTCATAAACAAAGATGGGGTCATATTATTCCTACTGTTCTGCCACTTGTAAATTCATATGTACAGTGATGTTCACTGAAACAATTTTTGACATATGAAAAACTAGAAACATTCAGAATGTCCATCAATAGGGATCTGGTTAAATAAATTATTGACCACTATTAGTCAACATGTACATAGATCACTATTCAGTCATCAAAGAGAGTGAAGTAGATGTACATTCTTGAAAAGGTAAGAGCAATATATCAATACATAAAGTCGGGAAGTAGATACAGCAAACGTAATAGTAGTTCATGGCAAGGGTAGGAGGGGAAAGTGAAGCTATGCAGGGAATTTGCTTTCTATTGTTTTACATATTTCTGCTTTGAAAATTTCTAAAAACTTGATTGAATGACTTTTCCAATCAGAAGAATACGAAAGATCTAACACAAAAACAGAAGTATTGCTTGAATTATTCAAGCAGAATGCACACATTTTAATGTCCAGAAAAGTTGCGGGTTTTGTATATTTGTACTAGCTCAAGAGTTGAGGATTGAAAAACGTTCCTAAAGGGATGAGACAACAGGAAATGGGTTTGTGCTTCTGAGTTGCTCAAGATCATGCTTATGAAGGACATTTTATATCGTTTTGAGCAAGTTTTGTGTTCCTTTTGTTAAAACTTAAAAAACTGAAAAAAACTTAAAAATTAAACATAATTTTAAAGAAAAGACAGCCCGGGTTAGGAAGCTAGGTCTCCCACGTCAGCACGTGCCCTGCCCTTCCTGGGGTTCTGGGGCCTGGGCCAGGACAGTTAGGCTAAACTGACTCTAGGCCACGCGGACCCCGTGGGGCGGGGCGGAACCTGGCAGGGCGCCAGTGACCGCTGGGGCCAGAGCCCTGCCGGGAAAGGAGGGCTTCCGCCTTGCAGCGCAGCTCGGATCAGCAGCAGCCCAGGAGGCCTCCCGCCCGTACTTTCCCGCGTCCATCCCTCTGTCCCACGGTCGGTGAGTCAGCGGAGCCTGATGGAGGCCTTGGGCTCTGGGCACTATGTGGGAGGCAGCATCAGGTCCATGGCGGCGGCGGCCCTGTCTGGCCTGGCGGTGCGGCTGTCGCGCCCGCAGGGGACCCGCGGCTCTTACGGCGCCTTCTGCAAGACGCTCACGCGCACGCTGCTCACCTTCTTCGACCTGGCCTGGCGGCTGCGCAAGAACTTCTTTTACTTCTATATTCTGGCCTCGGTGATTCTCAACGTCCACCTGCAGGTATATATTTAGAGCCACTAACTTTGTGGCATTTGGGGGCTCCTCGTCAGGATGGCTGACTTCCACCCACCTGCTCACCCACCCTAGAGCAAAGCGACCAACTCCGCTCCTGCATGCAGACTTGCCACTCATTCTTTCCATTGCCTCATCTTTTAGTATAAATGGGTGGCAAAAAAAGAAAAAAACAGCATTTGTGGAAAGCCTGAAATATAACCCAAATCGTCTAAGATAGAATGAAAAATTGACTCTCAAGGAAATATTTGAAGGAACAGAATACAGCTTAAAAATTTGAAAATCCTTAAAAATATCTGAGAAGTTTTTGCATCCGTAAAACAGAAAACAGCACGAACTTTAGGAAATGACAATGGGCACAGAATGCAATAAAAAAAAAAAACGGGGAAAGGTAACTAAAAACTTAAGGAAAGATAAACTGAACAAGAATGGCTCAGACAGCAGGCAAATCTCCCCAATTAGAAACGAAGTGAATAGACCCAATTGAATGAGATGAATTCTAAGCAATAGATGGATTGAATAATAAGCTGGAGGACATTAATAACATGTTCTGGAAGGCATACATTTCTTCAACCCAAAGGAAAAAAAATGACAGAAAGAAACTACAGGGAAGAACATTAAAAACTGTGCAAGAAACTTATGTTTCACATATGAAGCAACCTCAGATGTGGCATGGTTTTGAACAGTTGCCGAAAGTGTGAGAAAGGGAATCTGTTTGAATATTGGCACATGGATCAAGACTCTGGAGTCGGTGATGAGAAAATCCAATCAGAGCATTCCACTTTGCTATTCATTGAACCAGGTAGCCAACAGAAGAGTTAAAAATTAGTGATATGACTATATTCAGGGGGAAGGAGAGCTGAGGGGGGCGGCAGGAAGTCAGCAGAAAATGCCTCATGTCATTAAGTCAAGAAATAGTAATAAAGGCATGTTATTGAAAAAGGGGGTGTAATCTCTAAACAAGCACGTGTAGAAGTTTGTGTTTCTGATTTGGGGAAGCAAGAGTTGAGAAGGAGGGACAGTTCTATTACTTTTCATTATATGTCCTTTTTCTACTGTTTGATTTTTAAAAACTATACACATGTATTGCTTTTGCTTCGATTAAAAATCAAGACATTAAAATGAATTTATTGCATTTAGAATGAAATTTGGGGGGGGGGTTGCTAAGAGTGTCAGGTGGACTCTGAGTTAAAATAAGTGCCTTCCTATCTTTCTTCAGTAGTATCTGTATATCCTACAAGGTTCCTGGGTGATCACACAAACTATGATTTCCTTGACTTTGTAAATGTCTTGTTTCCAAACAGACCACAGGCCATATGGAAATGCTTTAAAACTAAAAATGGGCCGGGCGGGGTGGCTCACACCTGTAATCCCCAGCACTTTGGGAGGCCAAGGCAGGTGGATCCCCTAAGGTCAAGAGTTAGAGACCAGCCTGGCCAACATGGGGAAACCCTGTCTCTACTAAAAACACAAAATATTAGCCGGGCATGGTTGCGGGCACCTGTAATCACAGCTACTCGGGAGGCTGAGGCAGGAGAATCGCGTGAACCCAGGAGGCAGAGGTTGCAGTGAGCCAAGATCATGCCATTGCATTCCAGCCTGGGCAACAGAGCGAGACTCTGTCTCAAATGAATAAATAAATAAATAAAAACATAAAAATAAAAACGGCCAATAGTCTTCATGTAGCCCAGAGCTTCTTCACACCATGAAACTTCTCATGAGCAAATCTGTGGAATGTCATAGTTAAGATAAAAATTAAACAATAAATATGTGATTAATTTTCAAAACTTAAAAATTGAAGGCTGGGCACGGTGGCTTACGCCTGAAATCCCAGCACTTTGGGAGGCTGAGGCGGGCGGATTGTTTGAGCTCAGCAGTTCAAGACCAGCCTGAGCAACATGGCAAAACCCTGTCACTAATAAAAATACAAAAATTAGCTGGGCATGGTGGTACGTGTCTGTAGTCCCAGCTACTCAAGAGGCTGACGTGGGAGGATGGTTTGAGCCAGGGAGGTGGAGGTGGTAGTGAGCCAAGATCGCACCACTGCACTCCAGTCTGGGTGACAGAGCCACACTCTGTTTCAAAAAAAAAAAAAAAAATCGGACAGGGGCCCAGTGATGTTTATATAATCTTAAATTTTGGTGTTGACCATAAGAGCAAAACATGAGTTCACCTGGGGTCTAATTAAGAAACTAATGTAAAATTAAAAAAAAAGAGAAAGAAATATATAATAGCAGAACAGTGGAAATAAACTCCTACATCCAACAGTAGGAGCTGGTTAAATCAAAATAGTACATCTATATAATAGAATACTATGTGGCCATTAAAATGATAAGGAATTATATTTTATTGATGTGGAATGAATTTAGTAAATGTGAAGCCACCTAATCAATGATTCAAGTGATTGAGTCAAAGAGTGATACATGTATATTATATATTCATATACTCAACTCAGTTATAGAGAAATAATAAATGGAAAGAGTGCACACTTACAATATGCCATACAATGTTCTAAGCACTTTATATACATCATTTTTTTTTTTTTGAGATGGAGTGTCATCCAGGCTGGAGTGCAATGGCGCGATCTTGGCTCACTGCAACCTCCGCCTCCCAGGTTCAAGCGATTCTCCTGCCTTAGCCTCCCAAGTAGCTGGGATTACAGGTGTGCACTACCATGCCCGGCTAATTTTTGTATTATTAGTAGAGACGGGGTTTCACCATGTTGGCCAGGCTAGTCTCGAACTCCTGACCTCAGATGATCTGCCCACCTCAGCCTCCCAAAGTGCTGGGATTACAGGCGTGAGCCACCACGCCCGGCCTATATACATAATTTAATCCTCACAACAACCCTGAGATAGGGACTATTACTAGCAATTTTCAAGAGAAGAGAGAAACACAGAGAAGTATAGTGGCAGAGTGATAAAATAAAATATTGCAAACAATATTATTCTTCCTACTAATATGAGACACTCATTGCATGACTAACTTTTAATCGTATTTTTATTATTTAAGAAATTGGGGCTGGGCACGGTGGCTCACACCTGTAATCCCAGCACTTTGGGAGGCCGAGGTGGGTGGATCATGAGATCAGGAGTTTGAGACCAGCCTGGCCAGCATGGTGAAACCCCATCTCCACTGAAAATACAAAAAAAAAAAAAAAAAAAATTAGCTGGGCATGGTAGTGCATGCCTGTAGTCCCAGCTACTTGGGAGGCTAAGGCAGGAGAATCGCTTGAACCCGGGAGGTGGAGGTTGCAGTGAGCCGAGATCGTGCTACTGCACTCCAGCCTGGGTGACGGAGTGAGACTCCGTCTCAAAACGAACCCCCAAAAAACCCAAAAAACAAAAAAACAAAAAACAACACACAAAAAAAAAAAAGAGAAAAAGAAATTGGAAGGCATCCTTTAAAATTTTCTTGTAAAATTCATGCTGCAAGTGGATGCCATGGATCCTGGAATTTGTGGAACCAAGGCTAGACACTCCATTCCTGCAGCCTCATTTCAGCACTCCCAAGCCGTTGCACCACTGCACTATGGAGAATTGATGGAACTCATAGTCACTTAAAAAAGAGGGTGGGAATTCTTTATGTTGTTTTTGTTTGTTTTTGTTTTTTGTTTTTCAGACAGGGCCTCACTCTGTTGCCCAGGCTGGAGTGCAGTGGTGCAGTTTCAGCTCACTGCAACCTCTGCCTCCCGGGCTCAGGTGATCCTCCCACTTCAGCCTCCTGAGTAGCTGGGACTACAGGCACATGCCACCACGCCCAGCTAATTTTTGTATTTTTTTGTAGAGGCGGGGTTTTGTCATGTTGCCCAGGCTGGTCTGAAACTCCTGGCCTCAAGCCATCCGCCCACCTTGGCCTCCCAAAGTGTTGGGATTACAGGCATGAGCTGCCACGCCCGGTCAAGGATTCTAACAAAAGAAATTATTTTTAATGAAACATCAAAAGTATTCTTTTTTTTTTTTTTTTTTGAGACGGAGTCTCGCCTGTCGCCCAGGCTGGAGTGCTGTGGCGTGATCTCGGCTCACTGCAAGCTCCGCCTCCCGGGTTCACGCCATTCTCCTGCCTCAGCCTCCCAAGTAGCTGGGACTACAGGCGCGCCCTACCACGCCCGGCTAATTTTTTTTTTTTTGTATTTTTAGTAGAGACTGGGTTTCACCGTGTTAGCCAGGATGGTCTCGATCTCCTGACCTCGTGATCCGCCCGCCTCGGTCTCCCAAAGTGCTGGGATTACAGGCGTGAGCCACCGCGCCCGGCCTAAAAGCATTCTTTATAAAAGGTACTCAAATCAAATTGGTTTTAATGTGGAAATTGTAAATAGTTAAATGTCACGTTTTTCTCAGAAAACACAGCTTTTTGCCCATTAACAGAACATGTTAAAATATACACATTTCTAAAGTTACTCACAGTTTAAAATTTTAACTTGCAAATAGTACAGGCTTTTTGGCTTTATTATTCACTTTTCAAATAATTTCCTCCACTTCACTGCAGGTGTAATTCCTCTCATACTACAGTACTGCTGCCCCACCTCCCCACAAAAAAAGGCAAGACAGCCAGTGAAACTACAGCATCCTCTGATTTATCGACCTGCTCTCTTTCGTGATTGCTGGGCTTTCATGAGCTGAATATCTCTGGCAACTTTTGGCATAGATTTAACCGTAGAGTTAACTGAAATTCTCTTGAGCACTACTAACACGCTTCTGAGCAACAGAAACTCTTTTAACTCAGACTTTCATAAAGGTACAATTCTCTGAAAGCACCAAATGGGAGGGATCTCCTCTCTTATATGCCAGATCAAAGGCGAATTCCTGTTCTACCCTGATTCTTTGTAATTTCCTGTTTCCTTTCCTCTGGGTCCTCTCCTGATATTCCCAGACTTCTGGCTTTACAGGCAGAGATGCAGGTTTCAGGCCCCAGACTTCCCTCAGACCGATCTACAGCCTGGGCTTTCTGTTGCCATCCTTGACCTCTTCCTTGGGTGCAGTTTTGTAACTGCATTCAGACTCAGACAGATACTGGTCACCTGAATGACTACTGGCATTGATCTCCTTCTCCAGAAACTCAGAGAGACTGTTTTTAGAACCCTCATCTCCCAATATAGGGGTGGGAGTGGTCAGAGAGTTATAAATATCCTGTCTTCCAAGGCATGGCTTACCACAAGTCTCCAGTTTGAATAGTTTTAGTACAAATCTAATAGCTTTGTTTCAAACCTTTCCTGAAACATGCTTGGGAACTTAGAGGTGCGGTTCATAAGCCAAGTTTTGTTGAGCCAAATAATCTAAATGATTCTGGGCAAGGTAATCAAATTCTTAACAGGCAGAGAGGCTCCAGGACAAATAAGGGTATCTATCCAATATTTGGGGCTTTACTGGGTACTAATGTCTGTCTGTCACCTGCATTTATCCTCCAAGTACTCCTTTGTTCTAGAGAAGTGAATCCCGGTGATTTTTAGCAGTTCCCCCAAAGAGAAGATGTTAGGTATTAAAAAAAAAAAAGTAACATAGACAATAATTACTTTTCATTCCTTGTATTCCCAGCATGTATAAACAACCTTCTCCCATTCATATGATGCCTCTTGGCATAATTTAATTATTCCACATGCAACCAAGAGAGAGGCAACACGTACAAACATTTCCAGCTACCACAGTCAGAGGTGAAGTCATGGGGCCTCTGTTTATAGTTCACGTTCTCCCAGTGATGTCTTTTCTTTCTCTACTTCTGCCATTATCCCAATTTGATATTCTGTAATCCCATGATCTAAGTGGTGAATTCACCATCACCACTGTACCCTATTTATAATACTAAAGAAAGAAGAGGTGAGAAAAGTTTCAAAAAAGGAAGACAATAAACAGGGAAATATAAGTAGAGGGTAGAGTCTTCATTGCTGTACATAGCCATGTGGTGGTCCTGTTACTCTATCAATTCCACATTCCCTTTGCTTTAGCCACTGGGGAGGCTCAGTCCTTCAATCCTAAGGAGTCTGAGCCCTTGGGAGTCCTTTGTAGGGTTGCAATATTATGTCATGCACCCCTCAGGATTGTAGTATAAAAAAATACCTTAGAGGACCCCCTGAGAATCATCCATATTACTCTCTGTCCTCCTTCTATAGCAGAAACCACAAAATCACCTTTTTTTTGCATGGCTCTGGGGATCTAAGAGTGGCTTCAAATTCAGTGAAACCATTGTTTTGTCTACTACTAAAAGTGTTTCTTCCTAGGAAATTTAAACCTCTAATCTAGTAGAGATCAGAGTTGTAGGTATGGGAAGCAAAACTGTTGCAATGGGTCAGGTGTAATTATGAGAGACACTACCTTTATTTCCACTCCTCTGCTCCCAGACTTGCTAATCTTGGCAGTGGGAGGAATAGCTCTATATATTGGTTGCTGGTTCATAGTATGTATTGCATCCTAGCAGCCTCCATGGTGAATCTCCTATCAGGGCTTGCCACAGGCTCCATATGGCATTCTTTTTTTTTATTTGTAGAATTTCTGTTTGCTAAACCCATATAGCATTATGATTTACTCCAAACATCTTGGGCACCATTGGATCTGCTAGATGATAAGGGCCAACGGGCAGACCTACCAGCACAGTAGCCTACACCAGCTGGAGAGCCTTGTTTTAGCTGTGGATTCACACTAACTACATGTGGCAGGAATGACATCTGCATTTTCCAAATCTTGAATAGTGGCAAAAATCCCTGAAATTCCCACAAGAATATGCTATTGCATTTATTTCCTCTGTTGAGGAGGAGGGGGAGCTCTCGTAGCTTCCATTTTCCCCCTGCTTACCCTTATAACCCCTTTCTCCAGGGCCCAGGTAGCCCATGTGGCCATATACTGGAGACTAGCATCTGTTTCTGCCTGGAGATTTCTGAAGTCAGGAGGCTTGCCTGTACCAGCAGGGTGAATAGGGAACATGATATGGTGGAACTAGAAAGAAAAGGATGGGGGAAACCTCCCATTCCATGCCTTCGCTCTGCATTCCTCAAAGGGTGCAGAAGATAACTATCGTGCTTTCCATGATACCATGTGTTGCAGCACAGAAGTTAGAGGAAGCAACAGAACCTCAGGGCAGCCCCAATAGCCACTAGCCAGATGAGGAACACTCCATCTGGAAGCAATGTGTGGATGCTGACTGATGCTGAGCATGTCCAGGCAGTGGTGGAATAATCCCAGAGGAGGGTTTAGGGTCTCACTCAGCTTACTGGCGGACAGACTCAGAGAAAAACTTCAGTTTCCCCTAACCTCGGTAAATGCCCCCTTCACTCTGAGGTAGGCACTACTGCAGGAGTGTTCTGGTCCATTGGCTTTAACATTAACTTAAAGTCAGTTTCCAATTCATTTCTTTCTTTTTTTGTGGGGACGGGGGGCATGGTTTCACTCTGTTGCCCAGGCTGAAGTGCAGTGGAGCGATCATGGCTCACTGCAACCTCTGCCTCCCAGGTTCAAGTGATTCTACTGCTTCAGCCTCCTGAGTAGCTGGGATTACAGGCGTGGCCACTGTGCCTGGCTAATTTTTGTATTTTTAGTAGAGGCGGGGTTTCGCTGTGTTGTCCAGGCTGGTCTCAAACTCCTGACCTCAGGTGATCCACCCACCTTGGCCTCCCAAAGTGCTGGGATTACAGGCGTGAGCCACCGTGCCCAGCCCCAATTCATTTCTGAAGGTTTGGGGCTATCCTTTCCACTGTAAGTTGCTAAGGTCAATGAGGTACAAGTGTTTTTGGGGGAAGATCAAGGGGGAGATTCACAAGTGTTGTAACAGATTGCTTACTCAGGTTCTCCCGATCATCCCTCATTCTAGAGGCTCTGGGTCTGTTTAATTAATGGCTCATGCCTGGGACTTGTACGTGAGCTATCCCTCTGGCTGCTAGGCTAGTGTGATGGCTGAAATGCCAGGCACCGCTGTTGGTTAGACCAGAGAATCATTTTGGTAGATTTCATTTCTGGGAGCTGCAAAGTTAATTATCCATAGCCAGAGATCCTTGCATGTGTGTTAGTCAGCTTAGGCTGCCATAACAAAATACTACAGATTGGGTGGCTTAAACAACAGACATTGATTTTCTCACAGTTCTGGAGTCTAGAAGTCCAAGATCAAGGTGGCTACCAGGGTTGGTTTCTGGTTGGTTTCCCAGGAGAAGCTGCTGTGGACAGAGTTATTGGCTTAATTGGCCACAATAGACTCCACAGAAAGAACATGCTTGTAGAGTGATAGACACTCATTCGATTAAACCATTGCACTGCCATGCTCAAATTCATCCAATAAATTGCTCAATGTTTCTGCTTGTGCAGGCACAGACTAAAACCAAGAAATAGACTGCCATCTAGAGTCCGTTTATATAATGGGGAAAAGGGTTCAAAGATTAGATTATTTGTTCTATCCATACATGGGCAAGTCATTTCCCCTTCTGGGATCTCAATGTCCTTGCCAGCAAAATGAGAATGTTGCCTTAGACCCGTAGTTTCCAAACTCAGCTCCACAAAACATGCATGCCTTTAATGGTTTGTAATTAGAGTCGCTCATCAGAATGATCCATGATCCTTGAAAATATACATACCCCCATGCTTCACCCTAGATACTCTGATTCAGAAGGAGGTGTGGAGCAGAGTGAGGGCCTGGGCACACGTATAAAACAAAAAAACATTTCACAGGTGCTTCCCAAGCCCTCCCCAGGTAAGGAATCAGTGATACAGATGTTAATAGGTACTCCTTTAACAATGGTGCTATGGTTTGGATATGGTTTCTTTGGCCCCTCTATGTTTCATGCTGAAATTTAATCCTCAGTGTTAGAGGTGGGGCCTGGTGGGAGGTATTTGGGTCATGGGGCTGGATCCCTCATAAATGACTTGGCGCCATTCTCACGGGAGAGAGTGAGCTCTCACTCTTAGTTCCCGCTAGAACTGGTTGTTGACAAGAGCCTGGCACCTCCTTCTCTCTCTCTCTCTCTCTCTCTCTCTCTCTCTCTCTCTCTCTCGCCTCCTCTCCTGTCATGTGATCCCCATGCACCAGCTCTCCTTCGCCTTCTGCCATGAGTGGAAGCTCCCTGAAGCCCTCACCAGAAGGCAGATGCTGGTGCCATGCTTCTCATACAGCCTGCAGAACTGTGAGCCAAATAAACTTATTTTCTTTAAAAATTACCCAGTCTCAGATAGTCCTTTATAGCAACACAAACAGACTAAGACAAACAGCAACCAAATCTCTTCATTCCAGGGCTTCTGGAAGCCTTTAATATTCTAAAGTACAGTGCAGATCTCCAATAGGTATTTATCTAATGTGCCATTCACAGAGGGGTTTGACTATAGAAGCAACACATACCAACAGCTGAGGCCTATCAGTGTTCCTCAGGTCATAGTTGAGAATACCCTAGGCTAGGATATATTCAGGGCCACTATGAGTCTATATCCAAAGATTCTAAGTAAACATTTTATTTTGATGAATCATTGTACACGATATTAAGGAATTTTCCATGGGGAAAATAGCACAGAGCAACTTTACAAGGATGCATTTTCAAAGTGTCCTTAGCACCCCCAATGAAATATATTGCCAAAGAACAAAATACTACTATGGTTTCTAATATTTTTGGCGGTTTGTCCTTTTTTATTAAGATGGGAACCAAAACAGAAACTAACACTCTGGGCCTTCTCAGAACGCTATCCATATCACAGTCTCACCTCTGAACTTTGCACAATATTTAAATTATGGCCTAGAGAGATGTTTATTTTGTCTTCTACTCTCCTGGAGACAGACAGAAGACACCGCTTTATTTTCAATTCTTCTTAGGGTACAGAGAGGGAAGAGTGAGCTGAAATTCCAACCCCTTGCAAAGCCAGAGATGGTTCCTTTAGACCCAACAGTAGATTAGAAGACATTCACACTCCTTGGGTAAGCTTCTATCTCAAATACAGACTTTGTTCCTATATATTGGCTATTGCCCTTTTATAAGATACTACTCTAAGTATTGGCTCACATTTCCATATACATAAAGTAGTAGGCTGATTCCAACGCAGGCCACAGCAGTTCCTCTCATCCCTGGATGCTCAGCAATTTGCACTGTGACTTTGCCACTCCTTCCTTCAATAAGTGGAGTCTTTTTCTCCACCCCCATGAATCTGGGCTGGCCGGTGACTTGCTTCGACCTTATGGAATTGGTAGCAGAGACATTTTGGGAGTTCTGAGCCTATTCAAAAGGCTTTGAAGTATTCACTCTCATTCTCTACCCATACAGAGAAGGCTGAAAGCCTAAATTTCCTGGAAGCTTGAAACATATAGAGGCCTGTGAACCATACCACAACCAGAACTACTGAGCACTAGATGAGGCTAGGCAGGTCCTCCCACCGCCCCGCCCCACTCCCACCCACCTGCAAAGCTCACCTGGTAAATACTGAGTTACCATCTGGATCTGACACACAGGATCAATTGCTCTAGGCCCTGGCTCCCTAGGGCCCCGCATTGCTGGCAGCTGGTCAGGGACTGTTTTCCAGGAGGCAGAGAAAAGCTGCTGAATCCCACGTTCAAACAAGCAGTCCACAAGCCACCCTCAGGGAAGCAGGGTGCAGAGGTGGGTCTGTGCCCTCTCCAACACACATCTTCCAAGCTGCCCATTGCCATTTTCTGAATTCTGGCTCCTTGTCAAACTCTCTTGTGTGTTCACATTCACCATAACTCCATGGTATAAATGCACTGGCAAATAGGGCCGAGAAGCAGGAAAGAGCAGTTTGCCCAGGCTTTGCCTTTCCTGAACCACACCTTGGACCTCACATCCCATGAAAGGCAGCTCTATTCATCATGGCCCACAAGACTCCATCTGCTGTGTCTTGTGGGCTGATGTTGGTGTCATATCCCACTGAAGCCTCATAGTCTACAGCCAATAGTGACACGTACACACATGCCAATAGTGACATGTACACAGATCTTCTAGAAGCTACTGTGTCATTCGAATGGCATGAAGAAGGCATGTTCCACATAAAAAGAGGTGAGAAAAAAATAAATGCACTTGGTGCATTAATGGGGTGGGACTGGGGTCATGTTTCCTCTCTTCATACAATTACTTTCCTTGCTGTTGCTATGAATTTGCACTGCTGGTGAGAATGTAAATTGGTCCAACCAAATGAGAAACGTGTTTGGCATTATCTAGTAAAGTTAAACATAAGCATCCCCCGTGATGCAACAATGTAATTCCAAGTTCTTTACCCAATGGAAACATGTACATATGTTCAACAAAAGATATTTACAAGAACTGGCCATTATCAAGAAAGTGAAGAATTAGATAGGCTAGTTAAGAGGCTATTAGAATAATCCAGGAGAGGTGTAAAGGTGTTTTGGACAGAGGTCATAACAGTGGAGGTGCCAGGAAGTGGTCAGATTCTGGTTGTATGTTGAAGGTAGACTTGAGTTAATGTGGGGCATGAAAGAAACAGAGGATTCAAGGATGACAGCAAGGCCTTTAGCTTGAGCAACAGAAAGGAAAGAGTTGCCATTTACCAAGATGGGGAAGACAGAGGAAGTGTAGACTTGGGAGATGAAAAATATAAGTCTTGATAAATCCATCATGATTATTAAATCATTCTATTTATTTAAAAAAGCAGGCTGGGTGCAGTGCCTCATGCCTGCAATCCCAGCACTTTGGGAGGCCAAGGCGGGAGGATCACCTGAGGTCAGGAGTTCAACACCAGCCTGGCGAACATGGCAAAACCTCGCCTCTACTAAAAATTAAAAAATTAGCCAGGCATGGTGGCATGTGCCTGTAATCCCAGCTACTTGGGAGGCTGAGACAGGAGGACTGACTGAACCTGGGAGGCAGAGGTTGCAGTGAGCCAAGATCGCGCCACTACACTCCAGCCTGCACAATAGAGCGAGACTCCATCTCAAAAAATAAAAAAGTAAACCGGTAACAGTGAAACTAAGCTTCTCTTAAATGTTCCAATATTATATGTATATATATGTAGTATGTAGTATGTATGTATATATGTAGTATGTATGTATATAAAAATTAGTAAGAGTTTTACTTAAAATCCTAACTCTAAACCCATGATTAAATTATGTATTTTAAATTCGAACCGCATCTTCTTTGGGCTGAGCTGTTTTGGGCATCCAAGGGGGGTTGACACACAGCAGTATCTCATAAAAACACATGATTCATGAAAGAAACAGAAGTGTCATTAAAACTGACTGCCCTAAGTAAATGGTGTATTATGTGCATATATGTGATTATGATGTTAAAGAAAGTAATGTAATGATCAGAGTGGCAATTCAATTTTGTGGTGTTGGTAAAACACTAAAAGCAAATGTTTCTGGTAAAATAATACAATCCCTCCTATTTTTATATTTTCAGCATCTCTGAAGATGTCCTATAATTATTTTCATTTAGTGTCCTAATATAGCAAATTAATAGATTTCTGAACATTTAACCCACCTTCTATTAACTGTTCATGGTGCATTACTCTTTGAATGTGCTGCTCTGGATGTTTGCTAATATTTGGGGCTTTCCTATTAATGTTTCAAAGTAACCACATCTGCGGCCAGGGAGCCAATAATCTGGCTGAGAGATGCATGAAGGAGGAAAATGTGTTCACAGAACCTCACTCCAGTGGCGTCCACAGCCGAGAGTCAGTAAAGGGACACGCTACAGCTGATGAGTTAGGTGAGGGGAGGAGTACGGTAGGAGGCCGCATCACCTTCCAGAACACGTGTCCTCTGCTCTCTTTGGGCAGCGGGCGCAATCTCCCCTCACACCGCAAACTGTCCTGGGATCTTCCCCCGCGCACCGCCCCTCGCCCGCGCCTGCCTTGGGAAATCTTGGCCCCACCTTTCTGATTCAGACCCCGCCTCCTGAAGAGAGTTAAGCCCTCCCCCACGTTCTCACAGCCGCGGCCCGGCCCCGTTCTGAGCTTGCGCACTAGTGACCATCGGGCTTTGGGGGCGGAGCCCGCGCAAGCACTCAGGCCACGCCCATGGCCAAGCCCACATTCCGCCCCATGGACAGGCCCACATTCCGCCCCATGGACACGCCTCCACAACCATGCATTTCCGGTGATGCTTAGAAATATAAAGATCGGAGTGGTAATGTAATTTTGTGACGTTGGTGAAAGACTAAAAGCAAATGGCAAAATCATACCCACTGACCTGAAATAGGGTCCAAATCGGGACAAAAAGGACATTTTTCTTTGCCTCCACCCTCTGACACAGCCTTTAGGAGGACAATGCCCTACGGCTGCCCCCAGCTGCCTAGAATCCACTCTACCCCAGACTACAGTGACAATTCTAAGCCCACCTGTCTTATGCAGAAACCGGGAGGCAGAAGGGGGCACACAACAGGAAGGGGAAGAAATGTTCTCTGAGGGAGAAACAGGTCCGTTTGGCACTTTCCACAGATGCACCCAACTCCGACTGGAATAACTGCTGCTTACTCCTCTGCTCATTGTGTCTTTGCAATTAAAAGAAAAAATTGAAGTAATTATCTCTGGTGAGTCACTTTCTGTATAGTTCACTTGTTATTCTCTCCTTTGTGCCATTATGAATTGACAAGTCCTTTGCAATAAGATAGAGAACAGTTTTGTAATAAAAAAGAACACAGTTGTTTAAAAAAAAACATGAAAACACAGGTTACAAAAAATGAAGCAATAAGGTAATGCACATAAATTAAGTCAAAGCAATGGAAAATAAATTGCAAACACAATAGAGTTATAAATATATATGGAAAAGAAGGACTAGATGACAATAAAACAAGATATAAACTGTTTCAGTTTATATGGTAAGAATAATGCTATTTTTTTCTAATAATCTCTGTTTTCAAATTTTCTTTAATGAATATCTGTGTACCAGCCCTTGTCCATTCTAGGGTGCTGTGGGGTTAAGATCAAACAAGGTATAGAATCACACATGCCTGGGTTTTAATCCTGCCTCAGCAAATTACTAACAGTATGTCCTTGAGCAAGTGACTTGACTTCTCTGAGACATACATATAGGGCCTGGCTGCCCAGATTACTATAAGCATGAAGAAAGATGATACAGACTAATGCTCAGCACAGGGTCTGTCAGAGGTAGTAACTGGGCTAATTGTAGCTATTACAATAGGGAACTTGATGGGTTTGTGATTTTGCTATTTATTTATTTTATTATATTACTAATCCTCAGTTAAAAATACATGTGAGAAGCATCCCCCAAATCTCACCAAATTTTTCTTTAGTTTCTTACCCTGTAGGTCCTATTTCTTCCTTGAGGGCATTTACCGCATCTTGCCCTCATATAATGTCTCTTTCCCCAGACATTGCCCCTCTCCATCCAGGCTCCTCATCGTCACTTACAGTTTCTCTGGGGAGTTAGGATGGCAGGGTGAACCAGCCTTATATACTCCCTAGTCTATGGATGGTGATAGCTCAGGGAACCTCCAGCAGCAGCAATTCCTGTCTCAGTGTGTCCCTGGCTTTCTGAGACAATGGTCATCTTAACTCACACATTCCCTTGTATAATGAAAAAATGAGGGAAGATGACATGTACTTGGCCAATGACCCTCCACTATCTGGGGGCCAGTGCAACTGGGCATCGAAAGCCTTATCTGGGCTGAGTGGCAGTGGCTCACACCTGTAATCTCAGCACTTTGGGAGGCTGAGGCAGGAGGATTGCTTGAGGCCAGGAGTTTGAGACCAGCCTGGGCAATATAGCAAGACCCCCCTCTCTACAAAAAAGAAAAAAATAAGCTGGGCGTGGTAGTGCATGCCTGTAGTTCCAGCTACTCGAGAGGCCGAGGCAAGACAATCGCTTGACCCCAGGAGTTGAAGGCTGCAGTGAGCTATTATTGTACCACTGCACTCCAGCCTGGGTAACAGAGCAAGATTCATTACTGGATGCCCATCACAAGCTTTCAAAGACTGTGTGTGGCCGCCATCGGCTGAGACAGTGCTAGAAGGGAATTTGGTTAATGGTAATAACTTGGACGTCACTGGCCATCTGCTCCCTAATCCTTCAGTCCCTTTCAAACTCCCCACTGCCCAGAACAACATTTCAGAGAATCTCTGGGAAGAGTGGCACACATATGGAGGCGTGGGCAACAGTAGCTGGCTGGGAGTGGTTCACAGCCTAATGTGAGACTCATTCTGTAACACAAGAGAGGGTAATAAAAGGCATATCAATCAAGTTTCAGCTGCAATTGGAGAAGTGATTTGAGCTTAGCATACTAGTAAAACCCTAACACAAGAGGTGAGACACTGCAGCTTGGGCCCCTCTAGACTGAATGGAAAGAATAGAGTTTCTGAAACCGGCTGTTTAAGATCACTATGAAATCCCAGGGAGAGAGCCATGCCCAACCACCCAGTGTAGCACATCTATAGGCAGGACAGACTGTTTGCAATGGTCTTGTTCTCCTTTTCTGTGGGGGCAGATTTTTTTTTCTTCTTGCTTTGATAGGAAAGGGTGGAGATTTTAATGATCACAACGATATGGTTATTTGATGAAGTGTTTAAATCAAGGTAAGCTGCACAGAGGGTAGGTAATTTTAGTTAACTGGGGATTTTATACAAGCAGTAGAAACTGTGCTGATATGTTTATTTTTTATTTTTTGAGACAGAGTCTTACTTTGTCGCCCAGGCTGGAGTGCAGTGGCGCTATCTTTGCTCACTGCAATCTCTGCCTCCTGAGTTCAAGCGATTCTCCTGCCTCAGCCTCCCGAGTAGCTGGGATTACAGGCACCCGCCACCACGCCCGGCTCATTTTTGTATTTTTAGTAGAGATGGGGTTTCACCCATGTTGGCCAGGCTGGTCTTGAACTCCTGACCTCAGGTGATCCACCCACCTTGGCCTCCCAAAGTGCTGGGATTACAGGCGTGAGCCATCGCGCCCAGCCTGATATGTTTAAAGAACAAACAATGCCAAAAAACTTCTACCCATTTAACTAACTTAATTCTGCTATTACAAAGCCTTTATAAGACCTAGTGGTGTGTTGTAATGAAAGATGCCTCAGACACAAAAGACCAAGATTCTAATGCAGGGTTTACCAGGAATTAACTGTGTGTCTTCTGCTTCCAGCTGTGGTCCTCATGACTTTTGCAACAATCTTCTGCTGACATACTGGTCATCTTGCCTTCTGTCTCACCCTTAGCAGTATCAGGATATTCCCCCAACACTCTCACAATCTCCAAATATGTGTTTGTGTCCTTCATGAAGTGGTCAAAAGGATCAGTTCTCCTAAGGAGGTATTAGATCACCTACTATCTTTAGGAGAATACTGCTCTAGACAAAGGGGAGAACTTCCATCATGGCCAGAAGACCTCACACTCTTGCCATGAAGCCCCTGTCCTCAATCTATCAGATTATAGAGTTCAGAGTTCTTCCCTGGTTCATGCAATGATGCACATGGCAGAGCCATACTAGCATTCATTGTGAATAATACAAATCTACAAGTGGAATCTTCTCAAACATTTTATTGGAAGAACACAAATATTTTATAAAATGCAAGAAACCAAAGTGACAAACACTTTGAAAACACAGAAATGAGGCCGATTGAGGTGAACTCAATGGCAGGACTTCTAAATTACATTATCTGTAGTGAAAAAGTATTAACGAGACTTAACAGGTTGTCACTCATTCTTCAGTCTAATTTCAAGAGCATGACTGGCTCAACTAGGGTGAGGTGAAAGGTACCAAACCAAGTAGCTATGGCCAGTCACATAGGAAACAGAAGGGTGTGGAAAGGTCTCAGAGAAAAGCTGCTTCCTGGACAGACCAATCAGCCTGAGACTGCTGCCTTCCACCCCAGTACATAGATACAGTACATACATGTTTTGACCCGTCCCCGTATGTAAAATATTTAAAACCATCTCTTGAGTAAGTACTAAAGCACATATCATGAACAATGAAAACAACCCAAAGTCCAAGCCAATCCCAAAGTCAATTCCTGTTTGTATGTATAAATAGCTGGTGTCATGGGGCCATTCCTTGAGACAAAGTCCTCCAGATGAAGTGCATGGCTTCTGTAGAACTGTTGGATTTGATGAAATTCAAAAACCTATGGACTAAACGTTAACCTTAAACACTGCCAATGTAAAATACTACATGTAAATTGAAGAATCAAGGCAAAAAATAATATGGAAGCAGTAATGGCATTACCCATTTCCCATGGAGAACCATTCTCCTTTCCTTGTGTTCTAAAATCTAAAAACATTTGGTGAGGAGAATTCATCTGTAATCATAAAAAGTTCTATGCTTACCTCTAACCCCAGGTTCCCAGATCCACCATTTCTGGACTTTGGAGAAGCACAGGTGCTTGTTTTCTGGCTTAAATTATATTCCACATCCTGTAGATCAGCATGTTGACTGCAGAACTAGTAGTCCAAGCTGACACTGGAGTGGAGTCTACAACAGGCCTTTCTAGCATTCTGTAAGGCATCATGTCTGACTGATGGGGAGACCGGGAAAATCCATGAATCCCACTAGGATTCACTGAATACAGCCCACTGCTATTCTTTTCTCAAATTAAGCAGCACTACACTAGGTTTGCATGTGAATACGAAGGTACAAAGAAAGCTCAGAAGACCAACACAAATCTAAACTGTTGGGTGGCCACCCTGGCAGCTGTCAGCAATCCATATACTGCATGACTGGAGTCAGCACAATGGGCTGAGAGGACAAACTCCAATCCAGAGGGATCTGGAGGAACTGATTCAAACTGTATGGGAGTGCATACATTTTGCACATTCTTTCATACCTTTTGGAGAGGCCCATGCACTAAATATCCAGAAGAGAGGAACTGGGTCCTCATCTACAGCCAAAAATTCTATCAGGCGGTAGATATAACAAGTCATACAAAGTAAATGTCTGTCTACTACAGGAAACCAAACCTCTGCTCATTTAGGACTCAAGGACAGGAGGATATGAGATAAATTGTACAGCCCCACTTGTCAACAGACCATTGACATCAACATGTCAATTTAAGCCATCTGTAAACAAGGCTAATGGTTTGATTCCTCACTCCAACTGGTTATAAAGAACCCTTCATAAAAACACTGGTATGGGTAAAAGCATGCACAGGCTAGAAAATGGGCAAGTGCTCATACTTATTATTTGTCCTTGAGGTCCTGTTTGCACAAGTCCCACATGAGGAACTTCTCTGCACATGCCTGGCTTGAGCAAGGACACAGGAGTCATCATTGTGAAGGGCAAATTGGGGGAACTGGTATCACATGGCAGCATGTTGAAAGGGCAAATACAAAGGAAAATAAGAAATAAAAGTTTAAATCTCCCTGGTGAAAAAAGAATAGACCTAACAATTCCCTTTTTTAAGAAGATTTACTTTGGAAAACTTGTAAATTCTTCCTCTGCTTCTTTGCAAAGCATGCAAATCTTTTTGAAAGCTAAGTAAGCCTCTTGCCAATTTTACAATCATGAATAAAAGGGGACAGGCAGCCAAAATAATTGGCAGGCATGAGAACAAGGTAAAGAGGAAACTTAAGCAGTTGAAACTAGAACCTCAGCTCAGCCCTCCTGAGAAACATAGAAGGAAATGCACATCACAGGCAGTGTCCAGAATGCCAATAAAGCTACAAGAGAACACCCTGGATTATTAACAAGATGAGGGTATACAGCCTATCAGTGAGGATACAACAGCATCAGCAAAAGTAACAGCAGTAACTTTGCAGAAGTCCTCCACATTATAGCACTATGTAACAATATAAGAGGGAGAAGCGCCACCTACCTCTGTGGCCATTTTTCACAGGCTTAAAGCAATACACAGAAGAAGGCTGAGGCAGCAACGCCTTCACCAACAGACAAGGCCACCACTCACTGGGAAAACGGAAAATAACAACCTGTCCCCATCATCCATGTGTGACGTTTGCCAGTGGGCACTATATGCACATATCACAGCCTTTGATGTGCATTGTTGTCCTGTGTCCTCCAGGTATGCTGCTCCAAAGGTACTGTGAGAAAGGGGAAAAAGGACAGAAGGCACTTCCCTGAATCCTAATGCCCATTGCAACGTTCACATCAAAGACCCTTGTCCTCTGAACTGTCTGTATTTTCCTCATGTGCAGGAGATTCTTGACATTCCTGCTTGAACTGTTAGGTAGACTGAAGTAGGGAAACCCGCTCCTCTTCTCAAATTGTGGAAAAGGATTGGCAGCAAAAATGTATGGCCTGCACAAGAACTAGGTAAAGAGAAAATAACTTAAGCAGTTGAAACCAGGATCTCAGCTCAGCCCTCCTGAGAAAGATAGAGGGAAATGTGTATCACAGGCAGTGCTCAAGACTTGCAAAAAAGCTATAGGAAAACACCCTGGATTATCACCAAGGTGAAGGCACATAGTGCGTCGCATCAGTATGGATACAACAAATCAGCAAAAGCAAGAGCAGTAACATTGCAGGAGTCCTCCACATTATAGTACTGTGTAACAATATAAGTGAGTGAAGGGTCACCTATCTCTGTGGCCATTTTTCACAGGCCTTTAGCAATACACAAAAGAAGGCTGATGCAGCAACGCCTTCACCAACAGACAAGCCCACCACTCAGTGGGAAATGGAAAATAAGAACCTGCCCCCATCATCCATGTGTGACGTTTGCCAGTAGACCATGTATGCTCATATCACATCAGTCGATATGCATTGTTGTCCTGTGTCCTCTAGCCATGCTGCTCCAAAGGTACTGTAAGGTCAGGGGATACGGGACAGGAGGCACTTCGCTGAACCCTAATGCCCTCTGCAACTTTCCCATCAAATACCCTTGTCTTCTGAACTGTCTGTATTTTCCTCATATGCAGGAGATTCTTGACATTCCTGCTTGACCTGTTAGGTAGCCTGAACTAGGGAAACCCCTGTGCCCTCCTCTTCTTACATTGTGGAAAAGGATTGGCTGCAAAAATGTATGGCCTGCATGAGAACTAGGTAAAGAGAAAATAACTTAAGCAGTTGAAACCAACATCTCAGCTTAGCCCTCCTGAGAAAGATAGCGGGAAATGCATATCACAGGCAGTGCTCAAGATTGCAATGAAGCTATGGGAAAACACCCTGGATTATCACCAAGATGAAGGCACACAGTGCATTGCATCGATGAGGATACAAAAGCATCAGCAAAAGCAACAGCAGTAACTTTTCAGAAGTCCTCCACATTATAGTATTATATTACAATATAATAGGGTGAATGGCCTCGTACGTCTGTAGCCATTTTTCAAAGGCCTAAAGCAATAAACAGAAGAAGGCTGAGGCACAACGCCTTCACCAGCAGACAAGCCCACCAGTCACCGGAAAAAGGGAAAATAAGAATCTGTCCCCATCATCCATTTCTGATGTTTGCCACTGGACCATGTATGTTCATGTCACATCGGTCGATATGCATTGTTGTCCTGTGTCCTCCAGCCATGTTGCTCCAAAGGTACTGTCAGGGAAGAGGAAAAGGGACAGGAGGCACTTCGCTGAACCCTAATGCCCACTGTAACTATCACATCAAAGTCCCTAGTCCTCTAAACTGTCTGTATTTTCCTCATATGCAGGAGATTCTTGACATGTCTGCTTGACCTGTTAGGTAGCCTGAAGCAGGGAAACCCTCTGCCCTCCCCTGCTCAAATTGTGGAAAAGGATTGACAGCAAAAATGTTTGGCCTGCATGAGAACTAAGTAAAGAGAAAATAACTTAAGCAGTTGAAACCAGCATCTCAGCTCAGCCCTCCTGAGAATGATAGCGGGAAATGCGTATCACAGGCAGTGCTCAAGACTTGAAATAAAGCTATTGGAGAACACCCTGGATTATGACCAAGATGAGGGCATACAGTGCATCCCATTCGTGTGGATACAACAGCATCAGCAAAAGCAACAGTAGTAACTTTGCAGAAGTTCTCCACATTATAGTACTATGTAACAGTATAATTGAGTGAAGGGTCACCTACCTCTGTGGCCATTTTTTACAGGCCTAAAGTAATACACAGAAGAAGGCTGAGGCAGCAATGCCTTCACCAACAGACAAGTCCACCACACACTGGGAAAATGGAAAATAACCTGTCCCCATCATTCATGCCTGACGTTTGCCAGTGGGCCATGTATGCTCGTATGACATCTGTGGATGTGCAATGTTGTCCTGTGTCCTCCAGTCATGGTACTCCAAATGTACTGTGAGGGAAGGGAAAAAGGGAATTGGGGGCACTTCCCTGAACCCTAGTGCCCACTGCAACTTTCATATCAAAGTCCCTAGTCCTTGAACTGTCTGTGTTTTCCTCATATGCAGCAGATTCTTGACATTCCTGCTTGACCTGTTAGGTAGCCTGAAGTAGAGAAACTTCTGTGCCCTCTTCTTTTCTAATTGTGGAAAAGGATTGGCGGCAAAAATGTATGACCTGCATGAGCACTAGGTAAAGAGAAAATAACTTAAGCAGTTGAAACGAGCATCTCAGCTCAGCCCTCTTGAGTAAGATAACGGGAAATGCGTATCACAGGTAGTGCTCACGACTTGCAATAAACCTATGGGAGAACACTCTGGATTATGACCAAGATGAGTGCCTACAGTGTATGGCATCAGTGAGGATACAACAGCATCAGCAAAAGTGACAGCAGTAACTTTGCAGAAGTCCATCACATTATTGAACTACGTGACCATATAGAAGCCCATCATTCACTGAGGATATGGAAAATAATGACCTGTCCCTTTCATCAATGTCTCAACTTTGCAATGGGCCATATATGCTCATAGGACATTTATCGATGTGCATTGTTTTCCTCTGTCATATTCTGGAGATTCCTTGCATTCCTGCTTGAATTCTTAGGTAGCCTGAAATACGGAAAGCAGTGTGCCCTCCCCTCCTCAAACTGTGGCTTCCCCTTATCCTGTAACAGCTGCAGTAGCTGGAGTACTATACAAGATGTATAAATCCCTCACGGTTGTGTCTGTAACACTCTCTGCTTGAAAGCACAGGCAAGGTCATTTTGAGACCATGTAATTTCCCCTCTGAGAGGACCAAATGGCAGATGGGTCAGATCACCAAGTGGCAACAGCTTATAAACAGGGAAACTGACACCTACAGCCTTGAGGTAGGTGCCATTTTCAGCATGAGGAATAGGAGAGATTAAGCTGCTAGCCTGGATACCTGACATGGGAGCTTCCTGAACACTCAGGCTCTTCTACAGATACCTATGAGGATCAAAATTTCACCAGCTTCATGTACTGGTCATTGACAGGAACCACATGACTTTTCTGTCCCCACCAATGTGCAGAGTATGATCAATGGAAGAGTGCAAGAAGCTAAAACAGAGAAATGCTTGAATAAACTTCAACTGCGTTCCTATTCACTGAATCAGGGGTCCTCATGATGCCTGACATGCCATTCCTCTTCACAGTGGAAACCATGCAGTTCAGCACATTAGTGTCTGAGCACAGAATCCTGACAGAAGGCCATCACCAGTTTCTTCTCTAGACCCCAAATTTCCCGTGCCCAGAATGCTGCCAATGCCAGTGTGTGTTTCCTGTATTACCTTGCACAGGCATTCGAACCATTGGAGCATGGAAGAAAAAAGTTACTGGGTCATATGTTAGAAGAACATATCAGCAACAGCATGTCACTTTCCTAATTCTCTGCTGGTGAACACAGCTCACTACAGATATGAAAGACTGTGTGCTCAACTCAACCAAGACTGACAGCTTCCCAGAAACACTCGCAGTTGCTTCTCAGATATCTCCCTCAGATTGCTCTACTAAGCTACAGTAAAAGAGGTATAGCTCACCTTTTCCTGAGCCATTTTTCACAGGCTAAGGGTATACACAGAAGCTAAGCCTTCACCAGTAGCCAAGTCTGGAATTCTCAAGGATAATGGAAAGTAAGGTTCTATCCCCATCATAAAAGTCCTGTCTTTGCCAAAAGGTATACTTCTCACGTTACACTCAACAATATGCTTTGTTGTGGTGCCAGGCATGGAGAAGGGAGTAGGAAACACTCCCTTGAATGCAGAGTGCCCAGGGCAACTTTCCCACCAGAGTCCCTTGGCCTCAACCTCTAGGAAGCAGCTCCACACAATGCCACTGCTTACAGCCCCTTTCCCACCTCTAGCCTGTAGGCCCCTGGTGAAGGGAAGATGTGTCACTCCATCTTTCCTGATCAGAGAAGCCCTTCCCCTTTTCTGAGCCTCTAACCTCTATAATTCTTGTTATTAAAACAACAGATAAAATGGCTGGGGATCCATGAAATCCATTTACTTCAAAACATATTGTCCCTTCTTTTCACAAGCATTTTTACCATCTGTTATCTCTACAACTGCAAAATCACCTTGTGTGTCCTCTGGACAATTATATTGACTGGAAAGTGAAGAGGAGATAGAGGTTGGGGTAACTAATGCTTTTTTCTAGCAACAAAAACATACTTTAAAAGGCTTCTTACAGCTTATGATAAATCCCACAGAATTCAAGGCCAGTTAAAACCTAGATCTGAGTCCCTCTCCACCAGCACTCACAATATTTTGGCTGTGATGCCATGTCAAGGTAAGTATATGTTCTGTAGTCATTAATGTTCTTTGAAAAACAGAGAAAATAGCAGTATTTAATACACATTTTTATAGGATTAGATAAGAAACTTCTCGGTTTTAGTAAGGATTTTATCAGTGGTAGCTTTGGCTGATTTGTTTTAGCATCATTACCACCACTCTCATCATCACCATCGCCATTATATCTTCCTTTCTAGTAGAATAAGATGTCTCTCAAAATGACCATTGTTGTCCCAGTTACACTACTGGATGCATTTAACAGGGAACTAGTATAACAAGGAATACAATCAGTTGCATTTTTCTCACTGGCTAATATCTCCCACTTGTGGCTGGCCCTTATGCTCCAAAATAACATGTTGGGCACTAAGAAGACTCAAGTTGGCATTTAAGTTAGGAGAGACAAGCCTTCAATTCCCAGGGATAAAAATGTCCCTTTCTCATGACTACAAAATAAAAAAAAAATTGTATCAAAGACTTTTTCAAATTTCTGAGTGTGAGAGCATAAATTTACTTGATAAAAATTAATGTCAAGAGTCCTAATTTTTTAAAAATGGGTATTGTCAAGGAACAGCCTAACTGGAAATGATCCAAAATGGTCACAGTGAGTGTAATTCTATGTAGACAGATTTTTAGTGAATTTGATTTCATTATATTCTCCTGAAATCTCTCTACTTTGTACATGAGCACGTATTATATCTGTAACCCAAAATGTCATTTTAAAAAAAGATAAAAATATCAGTCTTCATATTTGTTTTTCTGTTTGAGTGAATACTAGTGAAATAAATTGCCTCCTACATATATAACCCATAGACTTTCAGTCCAAAGCCTTGCTTTAAAGTGTCCATTATCATGCATTCCCTTTCCATGACATAAGAGGCCTCTTATTTCCATGAAATAAGAGGCGTGAAAAAACATGTTAAGGCAAATGTGAGTTTGACATGGAACACTTCACACGAAAATTTGTAGCACATTAACATTCCCATTAGTGAACAGTCATTCATTGACTACATGCCTGATGAGACTGCCTGTGCTGGCCTAGGAATGAACTCCTGGGAAGGATCTAAGGGGCAAGGTCCCACTTTAAATTCAGAGGAGGCCCACTTTCTTTTTCATCCAGCATCCTGATCCCTGAAACTGTCACCAGAGAGACACCTTTTTGGATCCCCCTACTTTATGAATGCTTCTAAAGTGCCAATAGAGCCAGGCATAATGGCTGATGCCTGTAATCCCAGACTTTTGGGAGGCTGAGGAAGGATTGTTTGAGCCCAGGAGTTTGGAGCCAGACTGGGCAACACAGCAAGACCCCATTTCCACAAACAATTTTTTTAAACCCCAAATTTTAAAATGCCAATAGTCAGTAGAATTACCAACTAAACCATCATTTAGGTTTTCCCCACAGTCTCTTCCACAACAGTGAAGTGACTTAAGATGACTGTGCCATTGCAGGGGCAGAGGGCACAACACACGCGTGTGTAACAGAGAGGAGTCACAGTCACCTTGTTTCACACCTACTTTTGACTAGGAAATAAGCCACTCTAGGTCACTATCACATTATTTGGTTAAGAAACATAGGTTTGGGGTAAAGCTTTTCTATGTATATCTCAGGTCTCAGTTTTTCATTGGGTGGCAAATAACAATGACCCTCATCATCCAAGGATTTAAAGTAACTTAACAAAATACAGGGATAAATCAGAAGAGTGTGAATGTCACTGTGTTGGATAAAGGCTAGACATTTTAGTGTCTATTCAAAAGGAAGTGTGGAATTTGACCTAAGGTGTGTGGCTTCAGGTTCTGTGATGCCACCTTCTGAATGAAAATTGTGTCAAGAGAAAGGTAGAGAAACCAAACGAGAAGTATCTACTGGGACTAAAGGTTAAAAGTCTCTTTGAGAACATTTGAGAAGAGTGCATATTTCCATCTAGCACTTTTCTTCTCTCTGTCAAATTGTCAAATGTCTTCACCTGAATTTCAATAAATTAATCACCACACCTAAAAGAAATTACTTTACATAGGCAAAGAAAGAGAAGAGACCTCTCTGGCACTGCTAGTCAACAGGCTCCCTCCAGGCTGCTCAGTTTACAGACGGTAGTGAGTCCTGATGGGTGCTGGGTGTTGAGCCCTGTCAGCCTCCATGTAAGGTGTCCGAGCTGGCCAGAACAGAATGTGGCTCAGAAAAAGGAAAAGCTTGGGGTCCTGGCTGCCTCTTACTTCACAGCAGGATTAATGAGGTATGGTTTCCAAGGAGATGCCTCAGTAATCCCTGAGGAAGCTTGCTGGCCCTGGGAAGGCAAACAAACATTTAAATGACATTATGGCAAAGTCAAACAGATTGGACAGGAGTGGGGAAGCAGTGATAGGAAGGGAGTGAAACCAAGCACCCTCATGTTCTCCAATATATGGATTTAGGAAGTAAGATACTAATTCCTTAACCATCTCTTGTGTGCTAGGCCCTTATCAAGGATGATCACACTTGATTCTACAATATCCCTGAAACCATGGTATGAATCCCATTGTGCATATGAGGAAACTGAGGCTCAAAGATGATAGTGAGAAAGGGCCATGGGACTTTCAGACTCAGATACTGGAAACTGGGAATGAGACATGATATGTGGTCCCAGCAATGTCCGCAAAGCAAAGAACTGGCCAACAGTGCCTGACTGGGTGAAGATTTGAAGGTGCATCAATGTATGTATTACTTTCATTGTTAGCCTATGCCTTCCTGGACTCCTGACAAGTAAATGTCCTCCCCTTCATGGTGCAGGTAGACTGGCAGAGTACCATTCTCCACCACCCACTTGGTCCACGAGTCCTATCTTTCCCCTTTTTTTACAGATAGACATGGCCTTAAATTACCTTCAGATCCATGTTTTTACACCAGACATAAGACACCTGAGTAGCACTCCCACAATCTTTTCATTCCTGGAGTTTATTTTTGACTGTCCAGTTCATCTTGCTGCTGACTGTTACTGCAAGAGTTCCAAAGAGGATCAAAAGATCAAAACTTTGATGGCACAATGTCAAGATCAGGTTTTTTTGAAATCAGCGTAATTCAAATAAATTAATTTGTCTGTAAGTGGCACCCACACTGAACAGAGAAATACAAATAATGACTAAAAAGAGATGCTACTCTCTAGCAGGGTCTCTACCATGGAGTTAATAATCAGTGTCCATGGACTGACCCTAACATTGTTGGTAGTTACTAGCTTAGAGATTCTGGAAACGGGTTTCAACACCATCATAAATGATGGTACACCTGACGGGAGACAGGTGGTGCCCTCCACCCAATACCTATCACTTCATACAAGATAAGGTTGCTCTTACTTGTCTGGCTGTTCTGGACAGTTTGTTCTGGCTCCACTGTATCCATGTTACAGGCTCACAGGCTGACCAGTCCTGGACATTCCCACCACAGGTCCTGAAGGAGATAGTGGCTGTATAAATCTACAAGGAGACTTGCCTATGGGTGGACAACCCAGCACCACTGTAAGTATGTACTTGGAAATTCATACGATAGGTGGCTGGGCTACTCATCCTCATTCCCTTATGTAGAAGTCCTTCTGAAAATACCTGATGGGGACTGAGTACTCAATCATGTATCCTGTGCCAGGTAGGCTGAAAGAGTGAAAGGTAACTTACACTGAGCCTCGGTGTAAGACTGAGACTGCATAAGGACAATTAACACTGCTTTTCAGAGGCCTGATTGCCCCTGCCAAAGGATACCATAGGTCTTCTTGCTTTAAGTAAACATCACAGGGAAATTATAAAATATTATGCCAAGACACAATACCCCCCTTTTTTTTTTGCTAGAAGGGGAGTTTCAGAGGAGTCCTTTTATGTTGTTATTCTTCAGTGACAAGGCAATTGATTTATGCAAAACTATGGGTAACAAATCTTTGGTTTTCCTCACTTTGTTACTGATTAGTGACACTCATACCGTGCAATATTATGCATAATAAATTTCCAAATGGATTTCAGCTGAGTATTCAGTATGTTACTGAATACTGGCACTGAAGACCATGAAATGCACATAATAGAACTGTACTTTTGGTGTGTTACTGTCAGTAATCAGTAACATAACTTAGAAAATTTCTTAAATTAAAATGAAGTTAACATCATTTAGAACAGTTTCATAAAGAATTCCTTATGCTAAGTAACGTTATTATCATCTGACATTGAACATAGTTTTTTTTTTTTTTTTTTTTTGGAGAAAACAATGGCAAAAATCGGACAGTTGGTAATACAATGTAAATCTGGGAGATTTGCTCTTAATTGGCAAGTATACCTTTAGGATACTATGGGCAACGGGTATGTAATACAAGTTCTTCATTCCATAAGGAGATATTGTTCAAGGTCCAGGGCTCTGCCTGAAAAGCCAAGATTAATGAGGCTAGTTAGCATCCTAATTTCTCAAATTTGCATTCCTGCCAGTAACAAATACACAGATAACACAAAATCCAAATACCAGCAATCAATCTTACTGATTTGTAAATATAATATAAGTGGATTATACTTAGAGAACGTCCATGTTCACCAATATAGAAGTCATTAAATCATTTCAAGAAGCAATATACACATTTCTAGTCAGTATCAAGAATTAACCAGCAAAAAGGCTAATAAGCAAACACAACCATCACCATTATAAAAGGGAAGTATTTGTGTTTTACTTCAAACCAAGCACCAGGTTACTCTCAGTGTTTACCGTCCTCAGGTTTTAGAGCAAAACAAGGGTTTTCCTTTAATGTTTCCCTTTCATACTAGATGTCATACAATGTAGGCATGAGTATAAGGAGGCAGGCATTGTTCATTTCTTACTCCTATATACTTGCACTTGAGGTATTAAGACACAGTCAGCCCAGGTGGCCAAAGGGGTGGGGACAGCACATGATGGAATGGGGGAAGAGCAGCCTATTCCAGCCAATTCTTGTCTTGACCAGCCTGGCTCTAGATCACTCTTCTTTAACTCGTTTGCATATAAAAACTACACACATCATGTTTTCTGCGGGAGAACACCTGGAAATGAGGCCCAAAGCCAAATTTAAAGAAAAACAGTATATTAAATACACAATTATGGTTTTAAAATAAAACTGTGCAACGTGACCTGCAAATGTCATTCATTCCAGAAAACTGAACGCATTCAATCTGACCATGAATTTACTCATTTTTAAATTGAATATTCCCTATAAATTTCAAGGGAAACTTATGCAAAATACTAGGAACAGAATTGGACTGAATAACGTGATTTTCGACACGCAATTCACTTGAGATATAAGATTACAAACAACGTTCAATCATGATCGGTGACCAACACTTCAGGCATTCACTGTCGTAAAACAAGTGCTGGGTCTGTTCTCACTCATAGGTGGGAATTGAACAATGAGAACACATGGACACAGGAAGGGGAACATCACACACTGGGGCCTGTTGTGGGGTGGGGGGAGTGGGGAGGGAAAGCATTAGGAGATATATACACCCAATGTAAATGACGAGTTAATGGGTGCAGCACACCAACATGGCACATGTATATATATGTAACAAACCTGCATGTTGTGCACATGTACCCTAAAACTTAAAGTATAATTTAAAAAACAAACAAACAAAAGAACAATAACAACAAAAAAACAAGTGCTGGGTCAATATATGTGGTTTTACATTGAATATACTACAAAACTTCCTTCATTTTTGGTATATCTATGAAATAAGCTACACAAAGACTAAAACTTCACCAAATACAATGGTATTAAAGCAATTTAATGGTAAAATAAAATCAAAGTTCAGGCTACCTGGTAACTTGAGGCCAGAACTGTTGTAAAGCAGGAGGCACAAAGCCAATTAAAACATTTCCCTTATTGTGCATGGAAAATAACAAAAAATTTTTTTACCCAAGCTTATGAAATGTACCAGGATCACATGTAATTGAATAAAATGATACCAAATACCCAATTCTTCTGCAAAATAAAACCCCCTGGTCATCAACCAGGTTTGTATCTAAATTAATGATCTCATTTCTGCATTTCCCCCCACTACCTACATAATCAAGAATTTATAAATGCTTTTGAAAAGCACCTATATAATTCTGTTGGTTCCCTGAATCATGGGTTGAGTAAAATTTTACAGCTGTTCACCAATAATCTGTGTGGGATTTATGGTTTGTAACAATTTGGGAATTGTGTTTTCAAACCACTTTCTGGAAATGAGGATACATTTTCCAAGAGCCTGCTGGCTGACTTCTCACATAGTGTTGACCAAAATGAGGTAACGATTCATTTACTAAGAGGCTTGGGATAATCCTAACTGGTTTAGAGGATTCAACATCTGGGACAGAAGGATCACCAGTGGGGACACTATCCCCCAGGTTACCACAGGACTCTATCTTAGATGTTTTATAATGCAGGAGTCAACATCAGTCACTGAATGGCAGGGGATATCGCTTCTGAACAAGATATGGACCACATTTACAGGACCAGGGAGGGAAAGGTGCCATATTCATTCAGACTCTATTTCTTTCTCAATAGTGTCTGACATTTATTGAAAATATGGAAAATACTTTTCTCCAGGTAGTATAAAGGAGTTAAGCAGAAGATACAAGTTATTTTGTTGATCAAAAAGCACCTGAGAAAATGCTGCAAATTCAGAAGAGAAATGGATTCTGGGCAAAACTAACTGGTCCACAAGAGAAAATGAGAGACTCGATTTGGCTGCCAGGCACAACTGAGCCCTGGCAGCCATGTGGCAGGAGCACAAAAAGTCTCTGGGATTGGGGAGGAAATGGGTCTCGCTGAAGGTAACAGGTCCCTTGAGGGGCAGCCAGCTGTCTGGATCATTGTCCAGGGGCTGTGTCCAGCCCAGATACCTCCGAGGTGAGTACAGATCACTAGAAGCAGCAGTCTGTCGGTGGAATGCGATGGATGGCGATGGCAGTGGCAGCGCAGGTCTGTGGGCAGCATGATGTAGTCGTCTGGAAGTCTGGTGAGGAGGAGGGGGGTTGGCAGCGGCGGCTGTCAGTGGTCTGTCAGTGTGTAACAGGAGCTCAGCTTTGTGCAACTGGAGCGCAGGACAGCGTCCAAATGTGCATGGGAGGGGCTGAGCTGGCACGAGAGGGCGGAGGCAGCCCGCTCCAGAGTGAGGCCCAGGGGCGGCAGCAGGAGCCTGGAGCGCTATTCCTGGAACAAAGGCAAGCACTACGCGGGAGGGGACAGGAGCGCAGGGGACATCGTGGCGGCTCGAGGGGGAGGGAGGCGCGGAGGGAGGGCGCCGGTGGCGACCCTGGCGGCGGCCAGTAACACAGCGGACCCTTCCCAGAGCACCGGTCCCCAGGCCCGAGGGTCTCCCGGCCTAGAAGTCCTCGTCCTCCTCCCATCCAAAGACCCGCTTCATCTCAGCCAGGAAGCCCCGGTAATCACTGAGGAGGGGGCTCTCCTTCTTGATGTAGGGGATCACCCACTGCAGGGCGGGCCCCGTGAGGCGGGTGATGAGGAACGTCACCTTCAGGGCGTCGTTGGAGAACGTGTTCTCGTCCACGAACATGTAGGAGCTCGTCTGCACGATGAACTCCGGGAGCCGGTCGGTATCGCCATCAAACGTCTCGGGAAAGGGAATCGGGTTCCTCCAGCGACGCGCCGCGGGCCGGAGGGGCCGAGCCAGGAGGGCCTTCATCAGCTGCACTCGACCTTCCATCGCGCCGCGCTGGCTCCGCTGAGTTTAGCTGAGCTGCGCTGGGCTTCGCCGGGGGCTGCACCGAGGCGTAGCGGGAAGTGCATGTCGCGGGAGGAGAAGCCGGGATGTGGGCGGAGCCATGGGGAGGGCCCAGGCGCTTTGGCAAGCTCTGCCCAGAAGGCCTGGAGGTCATTAGTGCGCCAGGGGGTCCCGGGGCACCCAGCGGAGCAGGTGGTGGGAAATGTGGTGGCTGGCTTAACTGGTCAAGGAGGCAGGGTCGCACCGTAGGGGTGGGGCAAAGTCTTTCTAGGCGGTTGGGGAGTGAGGATTTTTTTGGTGACGTCCAAGCCCATGTGCTTGGAGAGCAAAGCCTGTAAGTTCTTTAAAGCTGATTAGTCAGCCTGGTATATCTATTCCTTGTCCCATGCTCTCTGTCCTTCCATGTTCCTTCGCAAACCCTCAGCTATGACACTTTTGAAAATTATTGGTCAACAATTTTTTTTAAATGTCCCTAGATTTGCTTTCCTCTGATGTTTTCTCATGATTAGAATCAGTTATTTTTGCCAGGTATACTACAGCAAAGATTTTGTGTGTTAGTTTATCATATCAAGGTGTTCATGATGTAGTATATTTTGTTATTGATGATGTGTACCTTGATCACTTGTTTGCCATAGATACTTTCAACGCAGTTGGGTTGACTAGGTTATGTAAGTCCTGATGAGCAGAGTAGCACCCATATTTCCGAAACATCCATACAGGCCATTCAGTAAAAGTGTCCTACCAGTACAACTAAATGTGATATATCTTTCCTCCAAATTACAAGATACCCTCCATGAATTTTATCTATTTCTTAATAGGAAATGAAATCAGTCAAATGCATTTTCTGTGTCTATTGAATATGGTCCTATGGATTTTCTCTTTGCGTTAGCTTTTTGTTGCTGTCTTAACGAATTACCACAAATTTAGTGGTTTAAAACAACACAAATTTATCATCTTATTGTTTTGTAGGTCAGAAGTTCCATATGGGTCATACTAGACCAAAGTCATAGTATTGGGAGGCTATGTTCCTTTCTGGAGATTCTATGAAATAATTTCTTTCCCGTTCAGTTAGACTATTGGCAGAATTCAGTTCCTTGTGGTTGTAGGATTGAGGTAGTGTTCTTGCTCTGTAATATGAGGGCCATTCCCAGCTTGTAGAGGACGCCATATTTACTGGCTCAATGCCACCTTCTTCCCCTTCAAAGTCAGCAATAGTGGGTGTCAAATTTTTCTCATGTGGCTTCTTTCTAATCCTCTCTGCCTTCATCTTCCACTTTTAAGAGTTCATATGATTAGATAATTGATGATAATCTTCATATTTTCAGTGCAACTGATTAGCAACTTTAGTTCTGTCTGCAGCTTTAATTCCTTCTTTGTAGGGAGACCCCCTGAAACTATTGCTATGGAATAAAAGATGAAATACTCCTGATTATTGTAAATACAAAATTGCATGCAGGATTGTATAAAGACAATGCCAGGTTGGAATGCCACAAAGAGCCAACAGCACGTGATGTGCTTCCCCCTGCAGAGAGCCTATGAATGGATGTGCAGTCAGGGAGGTTTCACATCACCGAGATTCCTATCCCAGAAAAGCTGATGTTCATAGCTCTGGGAATGGAATGCGACCCTCGTGGAGAGCCTATAAATGAACGCATGAAGGGTGCCTGTCCATATGGATAAGATAGGGCTATAAATGCCCTCATCTTGCCACGGCTCTTCTAGGCCTCTTTAGGGTTAAGGCATACTCCCTTCTGAGAATTTCTGGTCTAACCAGTTGTCTAGCTTCACGTCCTGTTTCTATGGATTGTTTGTAACCAGTTTTTGCTGCAACTGTTACTGCTGATTAATATCTTGCTAATCATAGGTTATGGAAAGACTGTTTCTGTTTTAAGGCTCTGTTAGAAATTACTGATGCACACACTATATTGTAAATTCTTTTCTCTGTATACTGTACTTCTGCATACAGATGTTATGTTAAAGAATTACTTAATCCCCATGTGACCATCTCACCTCATAATCAAATGACCTTAAATCCCTCACTAACCTACCCCCGCCCTCACTAAACTTAATAATAAATGCTGATATATCCAGTGCATTGTTGGCACCGCGGGACCAGAAGGCGGTGACCCCCCGGACCCAGCTTTCACTATCTTGTGTGTGTCTATTATTTCTTGACCTGCTGATCTGCCTGGGAACAAAGAGAGAGCCCCGTTGCATTGCCGGCTGCTGGCCAGATCCCGCAGTACTTCTTGCTTTATATTTTCAGGTTCTGGGAATTAGGACACACACATCTTTGGGGGATTGCCATTTTGTCTGCTACAGTTCCTTTTAGTTAGTACAGTAAATTATAATTGATTTTGATTCATAAAACAACCTTGCATTGCTGGGATAATTTCATTTAATCACGGCATATTATTCTTTTTATATTTTACTAGATTAGGCAAATGGATAAATAAATTATCGCATAGTCATACAATGGAATTCTGTATTAGTACACACAGCAATGTGGAGGAATGCTACAGATGTTACATTGAATAGAAGTTGTGAGGCACAAAATTTGTATATACTTTAGGATTCCACTTTATATCAGTGTTAAAAATAGGCAAAGCTAAATGCTTATAGAATTCAGAATAGTGGTCATCTCAGGGGAGGAGGAACTATAGTGTGTAAAGCTGGATAAAAGAAACTTGTAAGATGCCAAAAATGCTTTCCCAAGTGGCTAACATTCTGTATTCCCACCAGCAATATATGAGAGATTAAGTTGCTTTTCAAACCCATTTATGCTCAGTATTGTCAGGTTTTGTTTTGTTCTGGGTTCTTTATTTGTTGGTTTTCTTTTTTATTTCAGCCATGCTAATAGGTGTGATTGTGGTTTTAATTTGCAATTCCCTAACTTCATAAATTAGGGAACACAGAACACACATAGACACAGAAAATGCATTTGACTGATTTTACTTCCTACTATTAAGAAACAGATAAAATTCATATGTCCCTGAACACCTTTTTTGTTGCTTATTTGTCATACATTTATCTTTTTTAGTGAAATGTCTCTTCAGATATTTTTTTCCATTTTAAATCAGGTTGTTGACCTATACATTGTTGTTTTGAGAGTTCTATATGTATCCTGTATTCAAATCTTCATTAGATATGCCACTTACAAATATTTTCTCCCAGCCTGTGCCTTCTCTGTTCATTCTCTTAACATTGTCTTTTGAAGAGCACATGCTTTTTAATATGAAGTCCAATTTACCAAATTTTGCTTATGAGAATTGTGCTTTTGTTGTGATAGCTAAGAAATCTTTGTCTAATCCAAGGTTTCAAAAGTTGTTTTTTCCTGTTTTCTTCTAGGAGCTTTATAATTTTAGGTTTTACCATTAGGTCTATTAACGTTTTTTAGTTAATTTTTGCATATGGTGTGAGATATGGATCAAATTAATTTTTTTTGTAAATAGACATTCAACTTTTCCTGCATCATTTTGAAAATATTATCCCTTTTCCACTGAATTGCCTTTACAACTTTACAAAAATCAGCTGTCCATATATGTGTGGGTCTATTTCTGAATTGCATATCCAGTTCTATTCATCTACAGTTGGTCCTCTATATCCATGGGTTCTGCATCTGCAGATTCAACCAATGGCAGATCAAAATATTCTGGAAAAAAATAATAAAAAATAATTTGTATACATTGATTTTGTATGCTGTGACTATACTGAATTCGTTTATCAGATCTAGGAGCTTTCTGGATGAGTCTTTAGGATTTTCTAGGTATAGAATCATATCATTGGTGAACAACAACAGTTTGACTTCCAATAAATATAGTACATTTATTGATTTGCATATATTAAACCATCCCTGTATCCCTGGTATGAAACCCACTTGATTATAACATATTATCTTTTTGATATGCTGTTGGATTCAGTTAGCTAGTATTTTATTGAGGATTTTTGCTGCTATACATCAATAATGACCAAGCCGAGAATCAAATTAAGAACTCAATCCCTTTCATAACAGCTTCAATAAAACTACTTAGGAATATACTTAATGAAGGAGGTGAAATATCTTTATAAGGAAAACTACAAAACACTGCTGAGAGAAATCATTGATGACAGAAGTGGAAACACACTCCATGCTCATGGATGGGAAGAATCAATATTGTGAAAATGACCATACTGCCCAAAGCAATCTACAAATTCTATGCAATTACCATCAAAATACCCTCATCATTCTTCACAGAAGTATAAAAAACAATCTTAAAATTCATATGGAACCAAAAAAAAAGAGCCCACATAGCAAAAGTCATACTAAGCAAAAAGAACAAATCTGGAGGCATCGCATTTGCTGACTTCAAGTTATACTACAAGGCTGTAGTTACCAAAACAGCATGGTACTGGTATAAAAATAGGTATGTAACAGAATGGAGAACCCAGAAATAAAGTCAAACACAACCAACATATCTTTAAAAAAGCATACAAAAACATAATTTGGGGAAAGGACACCCTATGCAATAAATGGTACCGGGAAAACTGTCAAGACACATGTAGAAGAATGAAACTGGATCCCCATCTTTCACCTTATAAAAAAATTCAACTCAAGATGGAGCAAAGACTTAAACCTTAGACCTGAAACCATAAAAATTCTAGAAGATACCATCATAAAAACTCTTCTAGACATTGGCTTAGGCAAATAATTCATGACCAAGACCCCAAAAGCAAATGCAACAAAAATAAAAATAAATAAATGGGACCTAAAAACTGAAATCTTCTGCACAGCAAAAGAAATAATCAGTAGAGTAGACAGCTAGTATTAACAAACTATGCATTCAACAAAGGACTAATATTCAGAATCTACAAGGAACTAAAAAAAATCAGCAAGAAAAAAAACTCATCAAAAAGTGGGCAAATGACATGAATAGACATTTCTCAAAAGAAGACACACAAACAGCCAGTAAACATGAAAATATGCTCAACATCACTAATCATCAGGGAACTGCAAATTAAAACCACAGTGAGTAGTGCCGCAATAAACATACGTGTGCATGTGTCTTTATAGCAGCATGATTTATAGTCCTTTGGGTATATACCGGCACTATTCACAATAGCAAAGACTTGGAACCAACCCAAATGTCCAACAATGATAGACTGGATTAAGCAAATGTGGCACATATACACCATGGAATACTATGCAGCCATAAAAAATGATGAGTTCATGTCCTTTGTAGGGACATGGATGAAATTGGAAACCATCATTCTCAGTAAACTATCGCAAGAACAAAAAACCAAACACCGCATATTCTCACTCATAGGTGGGAATTGAACAATGAGATCACATGGACACAGGAAGGGGAATATCACACTCTGGGGACTGTGGTGGGGTCGGGGGAGGGGGGAGGGATAGCATTGGGAGATATACCTAATGCTAGATGACACGTTAGTGGGTGCAGCCCACCAGCATGGCACATGTATACATATGTAACTAACCTGCACAATGTGCACATGTACCCTAAAACTTAGAGTATAATAAAAAAAAAAAAAATAAAAAAAAAAAATAAAACCACAGTGAGATACCACCTTACTCCTGCAAGAATGGCCATAATTTAAAAGTCCAAAAACAATGGATGTTGGCATGGATGTATGGAAAAGGGAACATTTTTACACTGCTTGTGGGAATGTAAATTAGTACAACCAGTGTGGAAAACAGTATGGAGATTCCTTAAAGAACTAAAAGTAGAACTGCCATTCAATCCAGCAATCCCACTACTGGGAAATAAGGAAAAGAAAATAAGTCACTCTGTGAAAAAGACACATGCACATGCATGTTTATAGCAGCACAATTCGCAACTGCAAAGATATGGAACCAACCTAAGTGCCCATCAACCAACGAGTGGATAAAGAACATGTGGTATATATACAACATGTACTACTACTCAGCCATAAAAAGGAATGAAATAATGTCTTTTTCAGCGACTTGGATAGAGCTGGAGGCCATTATTCTAGGTGAAGTTAACTCAGGAATGGAAAACCGAATGTTGTATGTTATCACTTACAAGTCGAGTTAAACTATGAGGATGCAAAGGCATAAGATTGATATAATGGACTTTGGTGACCCGGGGGGAAGGATGGGAGGGGAGTGAGTGATAAAAGACTACGTATTGGGTACAGTGTACACTGTTTGGGTGACAGGTGCCCTAAAATCTCAGAAATCACCACTAAAGAACTTATCCATGTAACAAAAAACCACCTGTACCCCAGAAACTATTGAAATAAAAGTAAAAATTAGAAAAAGAGTACAACTAAAAATATGAGGTAACAACTATTTACATAGCATTTATATTGTATTAGGTATTATAAGTAATCTAGATATGATTTAAAGTATATGGGAGGATATACATAGGTTATATGCAAATATTATACCATTTTATATAAGGGAGTTGAGTGTCCTCAGATTTTGGTATTTGCAGGGGTCCTGGAACCAATCCCTTGTAAATTCTAAGGGATGACTGTATTTGTCTATTTTGATAACAATATCACATTGTCTTAATTGCAGTAGCTTTATTATAAATCTTGAAATCAAATATTATTAGTCCTCCAACTTATTTTTTCAATTTCAAAGCTGTTTTTGCTAATGCATTTTTTTTTTGCATTTCCCTACGAATTTTAGAAGCAATTAGTTGTTTTTTATATGTTAAAACACTTGCTGGGACTTTGAATCTATACATCAATTTTGGGAGAATTGATATACTAACAATATCAAATCTTCCAGTTCATGACTATATCTCTCCAATATTCAGATATTTTGTAATATATGTCAGGAATGTTCTGTAGTCTTCAGGGTACAAGTCTCATCTCCTTTGTCATATTTAACCCTAACATTTTTTACGTTTTTATGGTGTTTAAAATTCTAGCTCAAATTTCTCTCGTTCGTTACTAGGATTACAATTGATTTTTGTATATTCGCCTATGTCCTGCAACCTTGGGAAACTCGCTTCTTAGTTCTAGTATTTTTTGTTGATCTTAGAAAATCTGTTTTCTATATACATGATCCTGTTGTGTATGAATAACAGAAGTTTGCCTTTGCCCTGTCCAATCTAGATGCCTTTTATTACTTTTTCCTTTCCTTATTTTCTTTGCCCTCATTGCACTGTCTAGAATCTCCAGTACAATATTGCACTAAAGTGATGAGAGTGGGCATATGTACTTGTTTTGTTGGTCTTTTTTAACTTTCAAGTTCAGGGGTACAAGTGCAGGTTGTTACATAGGTAAATTTGTGTCATGGGAGTTTGTTGTACAGATTATTTCATCACCCAGGTATTAAGCTTATTAGCCATTAGTTATTTTTCCTGATCCTATGCCTCCTCCCACCCTCCACCCTCTGATAGGCCTCAGTGTGTGTTGTTCCCCTCTACATGTCTTGTTCTTGATCTAAGAGTGAAAAGCATTCAGGCTTTCACCTTTGAGTACGATAGCTGTAGGTTTTTTGTAGATGCTCTTCCTCAGATTTAGGAGCTCCCTTCAAAGTTTAATGAGAGTTTTTATTGGGAACCATATGACACAAATCTTTGCTCTAGGAATTTACTCTAGAAAAATGAAAACCTATGCTCACACAAAAATCTGTACATAAATGCTTATAGCTGATTCCTTTGTAATTTCCAAAACCTGTAAATGTGCCAAATATCTTCCAACAAATGAATGGATCACCAAATTTGTATATCCATGCTGTGGCAGACAGATTCTAAGGTGGCTCCCAACATCCCAATGTCCTGGTCATATCTTTCAGTGCAGGTGGGGACTATGGCTTGCTTCTAACCAATAGAATGTGGCAAAGGTGATGAGATGTAACTCCCATGATTACGTTAGTTTATACATGACTTGTGGGGAAAAGAAAGAGAGATCAGACTGTTACTGTGTCTATGTAGAAAGAAGTAGACATAAGAGACTCCATTTTGTTCTGTACTAAGAGAAATTCTTCTGCCTTGAGATGCTGTTAATCTGTAACCCTAGCCCCAACCCTGTGCTTGCAGAGACATGTGCTGTGTTGACTCAAGGTTTAATGGATTTAGGGCTATGCAGGATGCACTTTGTTAAAAAAGTGCTTGAAGGCAGTATGCTTGTTAAAAGTCATCACCATTCTCTAATCTCAAGTACCCAGGGACACAATAGGCTGCCGAAGGCTGCAGGGACCTCTGCCTAGGAAAGCCAGGTATTGTCCAAGGTTTCTCCCCATATGATAGCCTGAGATATGGCCTCCTGGGAACGGAAAGACTTGACCGTCCCCTAGCCCGACACCTGTAAAGGGCCTGTGCTGAGGAGGATTAGTAAAAGAGGAAGGCCTCTTTGCAGTTGAGATAAGAGGAAGGCATCTGTCTCCTGATCGTCCCTGGGCAATGGAATGTCTCGGTGTAAAACCCGATCATATGTTCCATTTACTGAGATAGGAGAAAACCACCTTAGGGCTGGAAGTGAGACATGCTGGCGGCAATACTGCTCTTTAATGCACCAAGATGTTTGCATACGTGCACATCAAGGCACAGCACCTTTCCTTAAACTTAATTATGGCACAGAGACCTTTGTTCGCATGTTTTCCTGCTGACCCTCTCCCCACTATTACCCTATTGTCCTGCCACGTGCCCCTCTCCGAGATGGTAGAGATAATGATCAATAAATACTGAGGGAACTCAGAGACCAGTGCCAGCGCGGGTCCTCCGTATGCTGAGCGCTGGTCCCCTGGGCCCACTTTTCTTTCTCTATACTTTGTCTCTTCTTTTCTCAGTCTCTCGTCCCACCTGACAAGAAACCCTCCCACAGGTGTGGAGGGGCTGGCCACCCCTTCATGACTCCATCTTTCAAGGAGACACATTCTCCCTTTGTTCCATGAAGAAACAAGCGGCACTGTTGTGAACTGCCTGTGGACAGGGCAACATGGCAGAGAACTGAGGGCAGCTTTTATAACAAATTAAGAGATTTCTTAATATTTAACCCTCCTTACATTAACTGCTCGTGGTATATTATTCTTTTTAAAAAATTATTTATACTTTTTGTGGGTACATAATAGGTATACGTATTTATTGGATACATGAAATGCTTTAACATAGGCACACAATGCATAATGATCACATAATGGTAAATGGGGCATCCATTCCCCTCAAGCGTTTATCCTTTGTGCTACAAACAATCCAATTATACTTTTAGTTATTTTTAAATGTACAATTAAATTATTTTGACTGTAGTCATCTTGTGCTATCAAATACTAGGTGTTAATAATCACATCATGGAGAATGGAGTATCCATCCCTCAAGCGTGGTGCATTACTCTTTGAATATGCTGCTCTGGATTGTATTTGCTAATATGTGGGGCTTCTCTATTAATGTTGCAAAATAGGGAGCCAATAATCTGGTTGAGAGATGAAAGCAGCAGCAGGAAAATGTGTTCACAGAACCTCATACGAGTGGCGTCTAGGGCCAAGGCTCCTTGAATGCATACCCAAGGGCTGATGAGAGGTGGGGACGAGTGCTGCCGAAGGACTCCTCAACTACCAGAACTACGTAGGGCCCCTAACATCCCCTCGGAGCGAGCTCCCCGCGCCCCGTACACCACCAGGTCTCCCTGGTTCCTCTCCTGCTCCCCGTCCCGCTACCTCAGGAAACTTTAGCCCAGCCTCTCCGATACAAGCCGGCCTCCTTGAGGGCTTTAGGCCCCTCTTCGCCAGTGTATACCCCACGACACGCCTGCGTACTAGGGACCACCCGGCTTTGTGGGCGGAGTCCATGAGAGGGTTGGAGCCCCGCTCGTGGCCCCGCCCACCCAAGCCTAGGCCGGCCTTCGTGGACACGCATTTCCGGCGACGCCTCGGTACTGACCTCTGCAGAGCCGGGTGGAGCCCATTGACGTCCAGCGAAGCGAGGAGCAGCGATGGACGGTCGGGTGCAGCTGATAAAGGCCCTCCTGGCCTTGCCGATCCGGCCTGCGACGCGTCGCTGGAGGAACCCGATTCCCTTTCCCGAGACGTTTGACGGCGATACCGACCGACTCCCGGAGTTCATCGTGCAGACGGGCTCCTACATGTTCGTGGACGAGAACACGTTCTCCAGCGACGCCCTGAAGGTGACGTTCCTCATCACCCGCCTCACAGGGCCCGCCCTGCAGTGGGTGATCCCCTACATCAAGAAGGAGAGCCCCCTCCTCAATGATTACCGGGGCTTTCTGGCCGAGATGAAGCGAGTCTTTGGATGGGAGGAGGACGAGGACTTCTAGGCCGGGAGACCCTCGGGCCTGGGGGCGGGTGCTCTGGGGAGGGTCCGCTGTGTTACTGGCCGCCGCCAGGGTCGCCACCGGCGCCCTCCCTCCGCGCCTCCCTCCCCCTCGAGCCGCCGCGATGTCCCCTGCGCTCCTGTTCCCTCCCGCGTAGTGCTTGCCTTTGTTCCAGGAATAGCGCTCCAGGCTCCTGCTGCCGCCCCTGGGCCTCACTCTGGAGCGAGCCGCCGCCCTCTCCTTCCAGCCAGCCAGCCCCTCCCATGTACATTTGGACGCTGTCCTGCGCTCCAGCTGCAAGCTGGGCTCCTGTTACACACTGGACAGACCACCCACTGCCGCCGCTGCCAAGCCCTCTCCTCCCCACCAGACTGCCAGACGACTACATCATTCTGCCCACAGACCTGCGCTGCCACAGCCATCGCCATCCATCGCATCCCACCGACAGACTGCTGCTCCTAGTGATCTGGACTCACCTCGGAGGTATCTGGGCTGGCCACAGTCCCTGGACAGTGATCCAGACAGCTGGCCGCCCCCCAAGGGATCTGTCACCTTCAGCGAGACCTATTTCCTCCCCACCCCCAGAAACCTCTTGTGTTCTTGCCTAGGCCCAGGTGTTCCTGGCAGCCAAATCGAGTCTCTCATTTTCTCTTGTGGACCAGTTAGTTTTGCCCATAACGCAGTATTCTGAGTTTGCAACTGTCTCTCTGATGTGTGCCTTTTGTTCAACACAGTAACCCCTGCATTCTGCTCTGCTCTAATACACTACCTGGAGAAAGTCTTTTCCTTATTTTCAATAAATGTCAGACATTATTGAAAAGAAATGGTCTCAATGAATATGGCACTTTTCCCTCCCTGGTTCTGTAAATGGGGTCCATATCTTGTTCAAAAGCTATATGCCCTGCCATGCTATGACTGATGTTGACACAGAGTCCTGTGGTGTCCTGCAAATGGAGATCTTACCAGTGACCAATCCCAGACGATTAATGTTGTAAACAAGCAGTTTTGTGCCTCTTAGGAAATGAACCTTAATCTGAATGTGGCCAAGATAAGGTAAGGAATAGTCAGAAAGGGTGCTTTTTCTTCCCTCATTTCCAAAAAACTGTCTAAAAGCATATACCCCAAATGGTTACAAGCCATACATCTCACACATTTGTTGGTGAACACCTCTCACAGTTTTATTTAACGCATTATCAGGGAACCAGCTAAGTGGCTTAGATACTTCAGAAAAAGCATTTACATTTATATTGCTTTAATTGGGTAGGTAGTGGAGAAAGGAATGCAGAACTGTAGTTAATTTAGGTACAAACTTGTTTAATGAATGACCTGAAACACAATACAATTACCACCTTCCCTAATGGGCAGAAAAAAAAATTATCTTCAACATATCTCTGCATGCTAATCTTTGAAATCTACTGTGCTAACATGCCTCTGCCACCCCATCTATCTCTGGGAAAAGCTCAATATCCCGATAGATTATCCTAAGGTGGGCTTGCAGGGCAGCACTCAGTCAACAACTCTCTGCCTTCTTTTTTTTTTTTTTTTTTTTTTGGGATGGAGTCTTACTCTGTTGCCCAGGCTGGAGTGCCGTGGCATGATCTTGGCTCACTGCAACCTCTGCCTCCTGGGTTCAAGCAATTCTTCTGCCTCAGCCTCCCGAGTAGCTGAGACTACAGGCACGTGCCACCACACCTGGCTAATTTTTGTGTTTTTAGTAGAGACAGGGTTTCACCATGTTGGCCAGGATGGTCTCAGTCTTCTGGCCTCATGATCCCCCAGCTTTGCCCTCCCAAAGTGCTGGGATTACAAGTGTGAGCCACCATGCCTGGCCTCTCTGCCCCATTTCTAATATGTGTTATTTTTCCAGAGCATACGAATGAGGAATAAATCACAAGAGTGTTTTTTTTGTTGTTTATTTTATTGCTTCTCTCTCTTCATTTAAATAGGTGAAAATTTGCCATTCAGCAGTGATTCATAGGGCGGTATGTGGAGGTGGAGGTACATTATTATCTGTATTAGGTATGTGATAATATTTGTATTCCCAGAAGTAGTGGAAACATCACGAATTTGTAGTTTGTCATATAATAGGTCAAAATCTTTTTGAAATCAGAGATAAAATTCAAATTGCTTAATAAAATAAAGTTTTTATGATTTACAGGGCTCTTAAAACACTGAAACCGGGCTAATCATGAAGGCCAATTCAAGGTGCTGACAGCCTTCCTGGATGGGTATGAAGAAAGATTGTGTTAAGCATATTCACTGTTTAGTTTTAAACACAGATTCTGCTGAAGTGGTTGGAAAAGTGCTTGGAAGCAGTTTACATTACTGAGTAGGTCCAGCATATTCCCTGTGCTCTCTGTCCACTGGCTCTGGAGGTAGGTAGAATGGGCAGGGACCTTCTAGGTATCCTTTGAACAATGTCAGTAACCCCCAACTTCCCTCAACAACGATGCCCCAGCAGTTTTCTTCCTCCTACAAGAATGAGACTTATTCCTTGATCTATGCTAGTTTTATCATCTCAAGGGTCCTCTTTTGTGCTGCAAATGTCTTGGGTAGGGTAATAATTCACAGTCATGAACATCTTCACAGGATTCCATAAAGGGACAAAGGAATGGCATTTGTAAGAGTAGAAGGGGCTCTTTTGTATTACTTTGCAGTCTCACCTTTTCAGTTGTCACTGTTTCCCTCACTTCATTCTCTGCAATGTGGTCAATACCCAAGCAAGAGGCCTTACCTCCAAAGGATGGAGAAACATAAAAAGTGACAATATGGAAGATGAATATAAGAAAGAGAACAGAAATACAATTAACCTCTTTCTTTTGGTGATTGGGACCAGTAATGACTTGAAGCCTATAATTAAGATAACTTTAAACAAATTTTTGTGACACTCAGATCCACAAAGATTTAATAGGGGAACAAAGTAGCCTTTGGATGGTTCAGTGCCCTGAGGCCTTGGTTCTCAGGGGAATCCTGGTAGAATATACTAGTGAAAGGTCACTCCCCACTTACTACCAGTGGCCTAACTGCAATCCTGTACACAGAGTCAACCTTAAGGCAGAGATGTAGTAAGGAAGGGGATTTCAAAGGGACCCTTTGTGAGTGTCCCTGATCTGCCTGTCACTAGGAGGCTGGAGGGCCAAAGGAGTAGGCTGAGAGATTGAGTACCAGAAGTCCTAGATGCAGGGATGCTTCCTCCAGGTGCCACTGCAGAGGTCTGATGACCTGCCTGCTTCTATAGATACTGCAACACTGTTTTGTCTTCCATCATGAAGGTCACTCAGATTACACAGGTACTGCAATAAGCAGTTCTGAGCATCAAAGAGCCTAAAATGAAAAGTATGAAATCTGTTGGGACCAGGTATGGGATGGACAAAGGTCAGTCAGAACACATACCCAGTGAAATGAAGTAAAATGAAAGGCCATGATGATCTCAAACTATTTAATGACATGGGGAAATGATCTCATCTGAACAGTAAAGAATAAAAGGAGTCTACAAAGCCTTCAAAACTTGGTGAGGGCAATCAAAGTCCCTCTATCTTACCACCACTGAAGCTCATCACGGACCCCATACTGAAAGTACCTGGACTTTATGTGCATGAACAATCCCTGACTTTATGATGATGGAGAAGGTGGTTCAGGGAAGGCTGCCTGGCTTGATTCTGTAGCTGCCGGCCCAGAACTGAGCTCCTTCTCTTCCCCGTACACAGCTGCTTTTGGCCCTCTTGACGGTTGTACCACCTTCTTTCACTTGTCCCCAGTCCTCTTCATACCCACTCTCTTACTGGTCCTTAACAGATGGTCACCAAATTCATTCTGCCCCCTGACTCTCACTTCAGTGGGTCTCTCTTTTCCAACCCTGAGGCAGTACCCCGATTCTAATGCCTGTCCCCTTTAGCCCACTGCTTGCAGAGGCCCCGCCATAGTGCCCAGCTGATCCTGGAACCTATTTTTCTCTCCCTGATGTGGCTGTTGCTGTGTCTTAGGCTGCTGAGAGCATATTGTCACATGATCAAAAAGAGAACATTTAGGATTTCACAACCCTGAAATTATAGTAAGCCTGTTAATTTGGGTCTTGGGCTAAAGACTGCAATAGTACCCACTCTGCAACCTGAGTGGAGGACTGCATATTTACTCACATTAGAAGCAAACAAAGTTTTGGTAAGATCATTAGGATAGATTCCTAAAACTAATGTATATATCAAAGGCCATGCAATTTTAACTGTTTGTTAAAAATCTCACTCCAGAAAGATTGTTTTCAAATTATATTCTCATGAGTAATGAGAGGGAATTTTTTTTGCCTCTATCATTACTAAAACTTTAATTTCAATAAAGATAATATTCCCAAAAATAAATACTTTTTCCCACAATAAAATTCCTTTTTTTGGGTCCTGTTTCACCTCTATCACCAAAAAGGTAGGCTTTTACAAAATGTTTACTTTCTCCCTCTCTTTTGCCCTACCATAATTGAAACAATTGGAATACTTTTAATTCTACTTTCACACCCTACTCTCATCCCCCAAACCATGGGGCTGGTGGAGATAGTTGATGTCTGAAGGTATAAAAGTAATACAGCTAAGGATTTTTTTAAAAAATCATTTTTAGGCCTCTATAGGGAGCAATATTTAACTTATAATATGAAAGCCTATTAATCAGCTTTCAGATATTGAGCATTAAATGACATTTTTAGGGATGAAGACAACAGCAAAGTTGAATTTAGACCTTGTCAAAATTTAAGGAGGTCTCCAACATTAAGGTGTTCCCAACTCCCCAAAAGAATATAAGTATATTCAAATAATGAGTTAGCAAAGTTACCAAGTACAATGGTGAAAGAAAAAAAAAGAATACCTGCCCATAAGATGTTGTGAAAAAATACGAGGATCAAACATAAAAAAAAAAATTCAGATGTAACCACCCACAAATTTGGGGGCCACATTCACATTCAGCAGGAAATCTTAAGGAGGAGAATTTATTCTAAAGTGGTTCTGGGCTGGTTGTGTAGAGAATATAAGGTTAAAGGATATGTACATTCAAATTGACTTTCAACTTAAAAGATTGCCTACAATCCTTCCAAAGGCTCCACTGCTCCCAGTTTGATCTGCCTTCATGGAATCACAGAGATAGCCTATGTTGGAAGCCAAAGCTGTGTAATACCCTGACTATAATCATCATTCTCAGTGCTTTCCTTTACTGTTATTACCTGAGTGGGAATATTACCCTGGCTGAATTTGGAGTCCCTCTCTCACCAACTGTCCAGCCATTTCCAAAGTGAGTTTAATGAGTATTCTTATATCTCTAGTGTTAGCAGAAGACTAGACAACAGAGTGCATTGAACAGGACTCTCCTGGGCAACGCTGGAACCTCAGACCAGCATGGGTCATTTGAACCCATTCAATGAATTAGCGTCTACACAATGTATGTAATCAAGGCCATCAAGATGAGAGTAAGGAACTTGCCATGTAAGTAGCCATGACATCAGATCCAGCCTTGTCCCCTCTGCCAAAACAAAAACATATTAATTTGTAATACTTAAAAATGATGAAGACATGTGTAACGAGGTCCTAATATGTACAAAGAAATGTTAGATGTGCCTCATGCGCATGACCTTATTTCATCATCATTTTAAGATGGAGTCCATATTTCTGCCTACTCTTTTACACCAGTACAGATAGAGAAACAGGCATTTGCAAACAAGAGATTATACTCCAGGTATTTTTTTAAATTGGAAATTTTAAGAATGTTTTCTCAATAGTTAATATAACAACTAGACAAAATACCAGCACGGACATAGAAAATCTAAAGAATAATACACATGTCTAGAACACTGTATCAAACAGCTAATACACAGTGTTTTCGAGTGCATGTGGTACATTCACCAAGATAAGCCATTTACTAAGGCATTAAACAAGTCTCGATAAATTTTAAAAGCTTGATGTTCTTTGGTCATAGTAGGAGAAAAAGCATTTGACAACATTGAACATCAGTTCATAAAAAATCCCAGCAAATTGGGATTGGAAGGGAATTCTTGTCTGATAAGGAGCTTCTACAAAAACCTATAGCTAACGTCATACTTAATGGTAAAATGTTGAGTGTACTTCAGGTATTTTTAAGTGGGTATATTTAAGCCCTTAGTTCATATAATTGCAAGCAAGGCTGAGGGAGAAGGATCTAGCTGTCATATTATTTTCCATGGTGTTAAGATTAATACCCACTAAAACAGATACTGTTAATATTCTATCTTTATCCCCTTGGTACTCTTGGCCATTTTAATCCACCTTAGCTCTGCTTTTGCTTTTTCCCCCAATAGCCAGAATCTGTGGCTTTTTGTCACAGGACTACAGAACCAACCTCCTTTTGTCTCCAAGCATGAAGAGCCAGTATCTGAGAATTAAAGTCCTCCAGAGAGTAGACTTTAGCTAATAATTGGTAGATATATAGTTATAAGTATTCCAGCTCTGTTGTTCTGTTTGAGACAACTGTGATTTGTGACCTGTATTGTCTCCAGTGTCCCCCTATTGGATTGTGCCAAAGTGATCCTAAATGGTACCTTGGTTGATATCAAAATATTGTTCGGCCTTCTTCCTCTCCCTGTTGCATGGTCCCACTCCCTGGTCACTATATTTTTACTTGGACCACTTCCTAATATATCACTTTCCGATGAGTCCTCAATCAGAGTCAGCTTATGGGGAACCCAATCTAAAGGCACAGCCAAGTTGTTTTCCAAAATATTTCTTTTACTTTACACTCTTGCCCTCAATGTTTGTGGTCCCATTTCCTCACTAGTATTTGGTACCATCGGTCTAACTTTTTGTCAAGTGTGTTGCTTTAATTACTTTGTATTGACTAAATTTATATGTTAACTATGCATATTAACTTTTTGGAGTGATCACTAAAATAATGTAAATAGAATGTATAACTTCTTAATGAGTAGAAAAAAGTAATGAATTAATACAAGGAACTTAGAACGTTTTAATTACAAATAATTGCCTCCCAGGGTAAATGTTCTTCTTCTCATTACTTTAGCTCTGTTTTTTCATCTTCAAATTAGACATTTATGCTATTGTTTGTTTAGATTTAGCCATGTATTTGCCATTTTCTTTGCCAGCATTCCAGACATTTATACTAGTACATTTTCCTTCTTCTAAAGTATATCCTATAGATATACTCCTTTAATAATGGTCTATTAGGGAAACTGTGATGTCTTTCATTTTCTGAAAAGTTATTTTATCCTCATTCTTTTAAAATTATTCTTGTTGAGTCTCTTTGACTTGTGGAACCATTCATATCTCTTTTTTTCTATATAATATTGTATTATGTACCACCAAAACCTTAGTGATGCAATAGTTCTTAAATGACAATTTCACTTTTTTGTCCTAAATTTTTCCCGTTAATCCATCGTCATCAGTTTGGCAAGTTTTGATACAGGTGCTTTTAATGTTTGCATGTAAGCAGGCAGTAACTATTATGTCACAGCAGCCCCTGGGCCAACAACAATTCATAATTTTGATTGATTGTAATAAACACCTTGATATAAGAGATATTAAAAAGTGACAAATTTGAATAGAATTGATGGAAACAGCATTATTCTGTAGTCTTTTAGCTTCCATTTTTGCTATTAAAAAATTATTTGTCAGCCTAATTTTGTGTTTCCTCTTTAGTTGTTTGAAAGATCTCTTTGTGTTTGGTGTTCTGTAACTTTTCTACTGCTTATCTAAATATACAATCCTTTTTCTTTTTCTGATATTAAAAAAACTGAGATATGTTACATCCAGCAAAGGATAAAAATCTTAAGTGTATAACTAGATGAACATTTACATATGTATACATCAGTATAACACCACTCAGATCAATGTATAGAACATTTCCAGCATTCAAAAGGACTCTCATGCCCCCTCTCAGGCAGGAGCCTCTTATGTATAAACATTCTTCTGACCTTTATTACCAAAGATAAACTTTACCTGTTTTTGAACTGCTTGTAAATGAAATTATACAGAATTTATGCTGTATGTCTGTGAGATTCATCTATGTTGTGTGTTTCAAGTGTTCACTCTTATTTATTGAGGTATAAGTTGATAAGTCTGTGGTGATATCTCATTGTGCTAAATTTGCATTTCTAGGCTGAGTGAAGTGGCTGACACCTGCAATCTCAGCACTTTGGGAGGCTGAGGTGGGAGGATTACTTGAGCACAGGAGTTCCAGACCAGCCTGGACAATATAGTGAGACCATATCTCTAAAAAAAAAAAAAAAAAAAAAAAATTAGCTAGGTGTGGTGGTATGCACCTGTAGTCCCAGCTACTCAAGAGGCTGACAGAATCACCTGAGCCTGGGAAGTCCAGGTTGCAGTGAGTTGTGATTGTGCCACTGCACTCCAGCCTGGGTGACAGAGTGAGACCCTGTTTCTAAAAAAAAAATTACATTTCTATTATTACTAATGATAATGCGTGTCTCTTCATATGCTTTTTACCCACTTTGCTACCCTTTTTAATGAAATGCCGATTACTATGGTTGGAATATTTGTCCCCACTAAAACTCATGGTGCAACTTGATATGGTTTGGCTGTGTCCCCCCAACCCAAATCTCATCTTGAATTGTAATCCCCATAATCCCCACATGTTGTGGGAAGGACCCAGCAGGAGGTAACTGAGTTATGGGGGCGGTTTTCCCCATGCTATTCTTATGATAATGAGTGAGTCTCACAAGAGCTGATGGTTTTATAAGCATCTGGCATTTTCTCTGCTGGCTCTCATTCTCTTTTTTTTTTTTTTTTTATTTACCTGCAGATTAAAGTGTTCTTTATTTTTCTGCCTCTCTTTCTTAATTTTTTTTTAAATAATATGGATTGTAGTAAAGAGAAAGAAAAGAAAGAAAAAAGAAGGAAGGAAGGAAAGAAGAAAGAAAAGGAGGAAATGAGAGAAGGGAGGGAGGGAGGAAGGGAGAAAGGCAGGAAAGGAGAAAAAAGAAAGCAAGAACTCAAGAAAGAAAGTGAGAAAAGAAGGAAGGAGGAAGAGAGAATCTGGCTCTCATTCTCTATCCTGCCACCCTGTGAAGAGGTGCCTTCCACTGTGATCCTAAGTTTTCTGAGGCCTCCCCAGAACTGTGAGTCAATTTAACTGTGAGTCAATTAAACCTGTTTTCTTTATAAATTACCCAGTCTTGGGTATTTCTTCACAGCAGCATGAGAACAGACTAACACAACTTAATCCCCAGTGTGGCAATATTGAGAGGTAGGGCCTTTAAGAGGTGATTGGATCATCTCTTAAAGTAAATGGATTAATTCATTCATAGATTAATGGATTAATGGGTTGTTCTGGGAAAGGAACTGGTGGCTTTATAAGAAGAGAAAGGGAAAGGGAAATCTGAGCTTGCAAGTTAGCACACTCAGCTCCTTCACCATGTGATACCCTGCACCATATTGGGACTCTGCAAACAGTCCTCACCAGCAGGAAGGGTCTCATCAGTTGTGACCCCTTGACTTGGACTTCTCTGCCTCCATAACTGTAAGAATACATTATTAAAAAAAAAATTACACTGTTTCAGGTATTCTGTTATAAGCAACAGAAAATTAACTAATACACTCATTCAAAAATCTCACCTATTTTTTATTGGTTTCTCATTTTATTGACTGGTGGCAACTATTTATATGTTCTTTTTTTAAAAAAAATTTTAGTTTCAGGGGTACCTGTGCAGGTTTGTTATATAAATTGCATGTCGCAGGGCTTTGGCATACAGATTATTTTGTTGCCTAGGTAATAAGCCTAGTACCCAATAAGTAGTTTTTCAATCTTCACCCCCATCCCACCCTCCAACTTCAAGTAGGCCCTGGTGTCTATTGTTTCTTTCTTTGTGTTCATGTGCACTCAATGTTTAGCTCCCACTTGTAAGTGAGAACGTGGTATTTGGTTTTCTGTTCCTGCTTTAGTTCACTTAAGATAATGGCCTCCAGCTCATTCCTTATTGTTGCAAAGGACGTGATCTCATTCTTTTTTATGGCTGCCCAGTATTCCATGGTGTATATGTACCACATTTTCTTTATTGAGTCTACCATTGATGAGCATTTAGGTTGATTCCATGTCCTTGCTATTGCTAGTGCTGCAATGAACATATGCATGCATATGTCTTTATGGTAGAACAATTCATATTCCTTTGGGCATGTACCCAATAAAGGGATTGTTGGGTTGAATGGTAGTTCTATTTTAAGTTCTTTGAGAAATTGCCAAACTGCTTTCCACAGTAGCTGAACTAATTTACATTCCCACCAGCAGTGTATAAGTGTTCCCTTTTCTCTGCAACCTTGCAAGCATTCTCTTATTTTTTGACCTTTTAATAATAGCCATTCTGACTGGTGTGGGATGGTATCTCATTGTGGTTTTGATTTGCATTTCTCTAATGATTAGTGATGTTAAGCATTTTTTTCTTATTTATTGGCTGCTTGCATGTCTTCTTTAGAGAGGTGTCTGTTCATGTTGTTTGTCCACTTTTTAATGAGATTTTTTTTTCTCATTGAAATTGTTTAAGTTCCTTGTGGATTCTGGATATTAGACCTTTGTCAGATGCCTAGTTTGCGATTATTTTCTACTATTCTGTAAGTCATCTGTTTATCTGTTGATAGTTTCTTTTGCTGTGCAGAAACTCTTTAGTTTAATTAGGTCCCATTTGTCAATTTTTGCTTTTGTTGCAATTGCTTTTGGTATCTTCATCTTGAAATCTTTGCCAGGACTTATGTTCAGAATGGTATTTCCTAGGTTTTATTCAAGGGGTTTTATAGTTTAAAGTTTTACAGTTAAGTCTTTAATCAATCTTGAGTTGACTTTTGCATATGGTGTAAGGAAGAGGTCCAGTTTCAGTCTTATGCGTATGCTAGCCAGTTATCCCTGCACCATTTATTGAATAGGGATTCCTTTCCTCATTGCTTGTTTTTGTCAACTTTGTCGAAGATTAGATGGTTGTAGTTGTGTGGTTTTCTATCTGGGCTCTGTATTCTGTTACATTGGTCCATGTGTCTGTTTTTGTACCAGTACCATGCTGTTTTGGTTACCGTAGACTTGTCGAATGGTATGAAGTCGGGTAGTGTGATGCCTCCAGCAGTTTTGTCCTTTTTGCTTAGGATTGCTTTGGCTATTCGGGCTCTTTTGTGGTTCCATAGAAATTTTAGAATAGATTTTTCTAGTTCTGTGAAAAATGTCATTGGTAGTTTGATAGGAATAGCATTGAATCTTTAAATTGCTTTGGGCAGTATGGCTATTTTAACAATGTTGATTTTTTTCTGTAGATGAGCATAGAATGTTTTTCCATTTGTTTGTGTCATCTCTGATTTCTTTCAGCAGTATTTTGTAATTCTTGTTGTAGAGATTTTTCACCTTCCTGGATATCTGTATTCCTAGGTATTTTATTTTTTTGTGGCTATCGTGAATGGGATTTCATTCTTTATTTGGCTCTCAGCTTGGATGTTGTTTGTGTATAGAAATGCTACAGATTTCTGTATACTGATTTTGTGTCCTGAAACTTCGCTGAAGTTGTTCATCAGATCCAGGAGCTTTTGGGCAGAGACTTTGGGGTTTTCTAGGTGTAAAATCATAGTGTCTACAAACAAATAGTTTGACTTCCTCTCTTCCTTTTTGGATGCCTTTTATTTCTTTGTTTTGTCTGATTGCTCTTGCTAGGACTTCCTATATTCTTGATGTTCATATCTTCCAGGAAAAGACCACTAGGGACATCTTGTCATTGAACAAATATTGAGTTTATTATTCATTGCAGTGAAGGAGAACATACCATAGAGAACTGTTGGGAATCTCAGCAAAAAGGTGTTAGAAAATGTTTGAAGTGTTTGGGCGTATATTAGGTGATTTTTGAGAAGTTTAAGGAAGTGAAGCTTTGCTCTGGCTTGGATGCTGTCAGGAAGCAGGGCTAATTGTATGCTGAGTGTCTTAATAAACATTTTATCTGGGAGGGCAGACATTATTAGTGTTTTTTTGTGTCCTGTTTAATACATCTCTGCCAAACTTAATATCATAGTCTCCTATACTTTCCTCTAATATCGTATTTTAGCTTTCAAATTTAAGTCTATGATCCATACTGAATTAATTTTTATGTATGCTGAGAGGTAGGGACCAATGTTCATTTTTCAATATAGGTATCTAATTGATCCAATAGCACTTATTGCAAAGACTATTCTTTCCCCCCAGTGAATTGCAATGGTGCCTTTGTTATAAATTAGGTCACCATATATGTGTGAATTTCTTTCTGGACTGTTTATTGTATTGCATTTTTCTGTCTATCCTTGTACCAATACCATACACCTTAATTTATGTTCCTTTATAGTAAGTCTTAATATCTGATAATGTAAGCCATCTAACTTTGTACTTCTTGAATATTACCTTGGCTATTCTAGATCCTTTGCCTTTCCATATAAATTTTAGAGTCACTTACCAATGTCTTTTGTGTAAGAAATCTTTGTCTAACCCAATATCATGAAGATACACTCTACTCTTATGTTTTCTTCTAAAATCTGCTTGATTTTTATTGGGATTGCATTGAATCTAAAAATAAATTTAGGGAAAATATATACTGTAACAATTTTGAATTTTCCAATTCATTAACATCTTATATCCTTCCATTTATTTAGTTGTTTAATTCATCTTAATAATGTTTTGTAGTTACTAGTGTTGAGGTATTGCAGCTATTTTATAGATTTATTTCTAGATATTTGATACTTTATAACACAACCATAAATGGTATTATTTTGTTAAATTTTATTTCTACTTTGTTGTTATTAAATAGAAATACAATTAATTTTTTATAACAGCTTTATTGAGATATGATTCACTTACTATAATATTACCCTTTAAAAATATACAAGTCAGTGGTTTTTAGTATACTTGCAGAGTTGTCCAACCATTACCATTATCTAATTTTAGAACATTTCTATCACCCCAAGAAAATACCCTATGCCTCCCTATTTTCTCCTTCCCCAAGCCCCAGGCAACCTCTAAATGATTTTCCACATCTATATATTTGTGTATTCTGGAAGTTTCATTTAAATGGAATCATACAATATGTGGTATTTTGTGACTGGTTTCTTTTATTTAGCATTATGTTTTCAAGGTACATCCAAGTTGTAGCATGTATGTAGCATTCATTCCTTTTTAAGGTTGAATTCCATTGAACGGATATACTATATTTTATCTATTCATCAGTTTCTGGAGTTTTGGGTTGTTTCTCATTTTTTGTTATTATGAATAATGCTGCTATGAACATTCATGTACAAGTTTTTGTGAGGTCATATATTTTCAGTTCTCTTGGATATATACCTAGGAATAGAATTACTGTATGGCAACTCTCTGCTTAACAATATTAATAATTACATATTATCACCAACTCCTACTGATGACACTTATGTTGCTTCAAATTTTGGCTACTGCAAACAGGGCTGCTGCTTATGATCTATAGGTTGCTCACTTCAGAAGTGCCTCTTACCAAATGAGTGACTGAGGCTACAATCTAGCCCCTACCCAGTCCACCATGTGAACCAGTGGGGCTGCATACACACTTAATAAGGTTTGCTTTTTTTGAAGCACAAAATTACTAACAGTTTAACAAACTCAGCATTCATGGGGCTGCTTTCCCCAAGAGGAGGTACCTTTTATTAATTTAGATAAAGGTACTATGCAGCTTAGCAGAGGTACTAATCATACATACATTTTTAAAAAATGCTATTGTCAACATCCTTGTTGGAATTGCTTGGTTGTAGGATATGTTTGTCTTAAACTGTACAAGGTGCTGCCACATTCATCTCCAATTTTGTTGTACTATTCTACACTGTTATAAGCGGTATATAAGAACTCTCATTTCTCCATAACCCCTCAACACTTAATATGGTCATTTTTACTTTTTTTTTTTTTGAGATGGAGTCTTGCTTTGTCACCCAGGCTGGAGTGCAGTGGCATGATCTCGGGTCACTGCAACCTCCGCCTCCCGGGCTCAAGCGATTCTCCTGTCTCAGCCTCCCGAGTAGCTGGGATTACAGTCACACACCACCACACCTGGCTAATTTTTGTATTTTTAGTAGAGACGGGATTTCACCGTGTTGGTCAGGCTGGTCATGAACTCCTGACCTCAGGTGATCCATTCGCCTTGGCCTCCCAAAGTGCTAGGATTACAGGCATGAACCACCATGCCCGGTCTAATTTGGCAATGTAATGCTTTTGAAATGATACTGTTTTTGTTCTATTTAAAATCTCTCTGATTACTATTGCAATTATCCATCTTTTCAAATGTTTCTCACTTGGAATTGATTGTTCACATATCTCTTGGATACCTTCCATTTGCTCTTCCAGATTCACTTTCCACTCTCCTCTATCCTGGAACAGGGTCAGCTCTGTTCCTAGAGGCTGACCTTTATGGACTGCATAAACCATTCCCTTGCTCTCTGGCTTCTGGTTGAGTTTGTCCAATGGTAGAGCTCCATCTCTACCAGATTAAGAGGTGGCTGTGGCTGAGTTCCTCTATCAAAGGCCACAGGTCCTTTCCAGGGATTCTCTTCTATAGCTAGAGCTCTCTGTGTTCCAGTAACCCCTCCCTGCCCTTACCCTTTCATGCCTTGGTGGGAGGCAACAGCTCATTACTGTTGCTAGCCTCAGGATAATTCAAAATCCATTGTTGGTTTCAGTATTAGTCAGCTATTGCTACAATAATGCTGTATAAGAAATCTCCGCCAAATTAATTAACAATCATTTGCTCTCTTTGCTCATGTGCTATGGGCCATCTGGGGCTATTCTTCTCCAGGATGCAGTTCATGTGGGCTTGGCTCTGGGATTCAGATTGTGTTTAGATCTGTTCCATGTGAATCACTGTATGGCCCAAGCTGAGGGATCAGCAACAACCGGGGGCATGCTCTTCTCATGGCAATCATAGGAGGGCAAGAAAACAAGCAAAACCACTCAAGCATATTTAAATCCTCTCTTCATGTCATGTCTGCTCATGTTCCATTGAAAATAACAAATGATGGCCAAGCTTAGAGCCAGGGGAGCAGGGAAGTACACCCACCATAGGGGTGTGGGGAAGTGAGGAGTGAATATTTGTGGAACAGTTATCCAATCTATCATAATTTATCTGAAACCTACCCACACATCTGTATATAGTCTCTTCTTTTAATTCTCCTCAATCATCCCATTTGTGTATACCTTCTGTTTCTTTTTGGGACCCTGATGGATACTATATACCCCTCACAAATTTCTATAGATTTTTCAGTTTTCAATGCCATACATTTAATCTCCCTGTGTTTTAGAGCAGCCTTTTTTTTTTCTTTCATTTTGTTGTGTGCATCCCCCTCTCTAAGGCCCTACTCCATCTCTGGCATCAACCTTTCCTCCCGTCTTGTGGCCCGCACTAACACCCTAGTGTGTATGTCTATATTTTTCTTCATACTTAGCTTATTGTGTGTGCGTGTGACTGTGTGTGTGTATTCATATGTAGGCCTTTGGGGTTAACATCTGTTTAACAAAAAATGGGCCACACATTATTCACAATAGCAAAGACTTGGAACCAACCCAAATGTCCAACAATGATAGACTGGATTAAGAAAATGTGGTACATATACACCATGGAATACTATGCAGCCATAAAAAATGATGAGTTCATGTCCTTTGTAGGGACATGGATGAAATTGGAAATCATCATTCTCAGTAAACTATCTCAAGAACAAAAAACCAAACACTGCATATTCTCACTCATAGGTGGGAATTGAACAATGAGAACACAAGGACACAGGAAGGGGAACATCACACTCTCGGGACTGTTGTGGGGTGGGGGGAGGGGGGAGGGATAGCATTAGGAGATATACCTAATGCTAGATGACGAGTTAGTGGGTGCAGCGCACCAGCATGGCACATGTATACATATGTAACTAACCTGCACATTGTGCACATGTACCCTAAAACCTAAAGTATAATAATAATAAATTAATTAATTAAAAAAAAAACAGAATACAATTTTCCAGTTTAATTTGACAGATGGTTTTTTCTTTAAAAAAAAATACAAGTAGTAACTGCCTTTGTTAATAACTGCCTTTGTGAATAAAAGGTAACACTACAAGTAGGTATTGCATAAATATTAAAAATTCTCCATCTTATTCTCCACTAAAAAAAAAAATGGGCCACATTATGCAGTTTTCTGCATATTGTGTTTCTTACTGAACAAAACCTTGCAAAAATCTCTCCAAAGTAGCTAGCATAGGTCTATCTTCTTCCTTTTAAATGGTGAATTAAAGAAAAAAAAAGGAGTACACCACCTCCTCCAGGTAACACCACATCAAAAAACTAGTCAATGTGGCCTCTCCTCAATTCAGACAATTTTTTTTCTTTTTCTTTTCTTTTTTTTAGACAAGGTCTTCTGTCGCCTAGGATAGAGTGCAGTGACGTGATCATAGCTCACTGCAGCCTCTAATTCCTGGGCTCAAGCAATCCACCCACCTCAGCCTCCTGAGTAGCTGGGACTACAGGTGTGCACTACCACACCTGGCTAATTTTTAAATTTTTTGTAGAGACAGGGTCTCACTGTGTTGTCCAGGCTGGTCTCCAACTCCTGGCCTCAAGCAATCATCCTGCCCAGGCCTCCCAAAGTGCTGGGATTACAGCCGTGAGCCACTGTGTCCGGTCTCAAATTAGAACATTTCTGAATGGCTGTCCCAACTTTAGATATCCCGTGGGATCAGGTGAGGCGTCTGTTGTAACTGTATGTGTCTTCATAAATTCTCCCTCTGCTGGATCCTACTTCAATCACTCCATTACAAGTGTTGTTCATGAGAGTCTGTTTCTGAGGGAACTTAAAGTTTAATACTTGGTGTTAGCGGTGGTCATGAGGCAGATTATAAAATTGGATTTTGGAGCTTGATTACCTGCCAGGTGGCTAGAAATGGGAACTACATCACTATTGGTAAAGGAAGTACTGATAACCTGCTATGTGGTAGTGGTGCAATTGTCAAAACTTTCACCAGTGGTGAACTGAGATAGGATACCAATGGAAGGAAATTTAGTGACAGGTGCAATATCTCAAGAATTTGAAAGGTTCAGAGGAAGTAGTAATTATAAAGATTATGTGATCATATGGTTGTTACTAGAGGCTATTGAATTGCAGAGAGACAATGAAAGGCTAAGGGTGATTAATCACCAATTTAAGTTAAAGTTGAAAGACAAAGAGTCTCATCTCCCCAAGGCAGAGGACAGAAAACTATAAGGATTGGACCTGTAAGCACCAGTCCTTTTTGTGGTGCAATCAGTCTGTTTTCATTTTCCACCCACGCATCAGGCAAATCTATCTACACACTCAGCCTATTCCCACCTCTTTACATGTTCTGGAAATTCACACAAATTAGAAATAAGGGACAGAGTTGGATGCGTGATCTTTTAATACCAGAGTGCTGTGCTATTGGGTTCTACTGGAATAAATTTCACCAACAAATTTGAACATCAAATAGTTGATGGAACAGAGGCTGTTTATAGCACTATAGATTTAAGAGATTAGCCTACAGATAAAAAGTAATGAGTATTAACTTTTATTCTGCTCATTAGAGAAAGTTATAATTGTATTATAACTAAATTATAATACAATTATATAATTGTATTATAATTGTATTATATACAATTGTATAATACAATTATACAATATAATAATATAATATAAATTGTATTATAACCTAAATTAATAATCACAGCTCTGCATCCCTTTCCCCATTACCTCCATATTCAAGGTTTTATAAATATAAAACACCTCTTTCATAGAACACCTCTGCAATTCTGATGTTTCATTAATGAATCTCTGGTTAAATAAAACTTTGACAGGTGTTCACAAACAAATGTATGGGATTTCTGGTATGTAGCAATTTGAGATTTGTGTTTTGTAGCCATTTTTTGAAAATAAGGAAACCTTTTACAAAAAGCTTTTCCACAGCTTTTGACATTGCCTTGGCCAAAATCAGATCAATGTCTGCCTCAAAAGTGGCATGAAACTGCGTGGTTTAGAAGGGTCATCATTTGGCATTAGATGGTTGCCGATAAGATCTCCATCCCTAGGACACTCCACAGGACTCAGTCTTTTGTTTTTATAATGCAAGAGTCAACTTCAGCCGTAGTATGACAGGGCACATAGCATTTGAAGAAGACATGGACCCTATTTACAGAACCAGGGAGGGAAAGGTGCCATATTCATTGAGACTCCATTTCTATTTAATAGTGTCTGACATTTATTAAAAATAAGGAAAAAACCTTTGTACAGGTAGTGTATTAGAGCAGGGAAGGGAGCAGGGCTTACTGTGTTGAACAAAAGGCACCCATCAGAGAGACAGCTGCAAATTCAGAAGAAAACAGGATTCTAGGCAAAACTAACTGGTCCACAGGAGAAAATGAGAGATTCGATTTGGTTGCCAGGCACACTTAAGCCCTGGCAGCTATGTGGCAGGAACACAAGAGGTCTCTGGGGATGGGGAGGAAATGGGTCTCGCTGAAGGTGACAGGCTCCTTGGGGGACGGCCAGCTGTCTGGATCACTGTCCAGGGGCTGTGTCCAGCTCGGATACCTCCGAGGTGAGTCCACATCACTAGGAGCCACAGTCTGTTGGTGAGATGCGGTGGATGGCGATGGCAGTGGTAGCGTAGGTCTGTGGGCAGAATGATGTAGTTGGCTGGCAGTCTGGAGGAGTGGAGGTGGGTTGGCAGCAGCGGCTGTGGGTGGTCTGTCCAGTATGTAACAGGAGCCCAGCTTGCACCTGAAGTGCAGGACAGCGTCCAAATGTGCATGGAGGGGCTGGGCTGGCAAAAGAGGGCGGAGGCAGCGCGCTCTAGAGTGCGGCCCAGGAGCTGCAGCAGGAGCCTGGAGCGCTATTCCTGGAACAAAGGCAAGCACTACGCGGGAGGGGACAGGAGCGCAGGGGACATCGCGGCGGCTCGAGGGGGAGGGAGGCGCGGAGGGAGGGCGCCTGTGGAGACCCTAGCGGTGGCCACTGGCACAGCGAACTCTTCCCAGAGCACCCGCCCCCAGGCCCAAGGGTCTCCCGGCCTAGAAGTCCTCGTCCTCCTCCCATCCAAAGACCCGCTTCATCTCGGCCAGGAAGCCCCGGTAATCATTGAGCAGGGGGCTCTCCTTCCTGATGTAGGGGATCACCCACTGCAGGGCTGGCCCCGTGAGGCGGGTGATGAGGAACGTCACCTTCAGGGCGTCGTTGGAGAACGTGTTCTCGTCCACGAACATGTAGGAGCTCGTCTGCACGATGAACTCCGGGAGTCGGTCGGTATCTCCGTCAAACGTCTCGGGAAAGGGAATCGGGTTCCTCCAGCGACGCGCCGCGGGCCGGAGGGGCCCGGCCAGGAGGGCCTTCATCAGCTGCACCCGACCGTCCATCGTGCCGCGCGCGCTCCGCGGAGTTTCGCTGGGTTGCGTGGGGGTCAGCGCTAAGGCGTCGCCGGAAGCGCATGTCGAGGGTGGGGGCCCGGGCCGGGACGGGCTGTGGGCGGAGCCATGGGGGAGAGCCCAGGCGCTTGCGCGAGCTCCGCCCACAAAGACTTGTGGTCACTAGTGCGCTGGTGCGTCACAGGGCGCGGAAGGGCAATGCCAGGAGTTCTGGGGTGGGTCTCATACTGTGGAGGAGGCCGTGTAGCCTCAGAGGAGTAGGGCGGAGATTATGCGAGGCGCGCCAGTGGGGCTCTCAGGACAGCAGGCGGTGTGCGGGGAGGCTGAGCCTGTTGCCCCTGGAGAGCAGAAGATCCATGTTCTGGAGATCGATGCGGCCTCCTGCCGCACTCCTGACCCCTCACTCTTTAGTCCTTGGACATTGCTTTCAGAACCCTGGGCTCTGGACGCCACTTGAGTAGAGTTCTGTGAACACATTTTTTTTTGCTTCTTCGTATATGTCTCAGTCAGATTATTTGCTCCCTGCTTTGCAACATTAATGGGAAAATCCCAAATATTAGCAAATATAATCCAGAGCAGCATATTCAAAGTGTAATGTGCCATAAGCAGTTAATGAAAGGTGGGTTAAATTCTAAGAAATCTCTTAATTTGCTATATTAAGACACCAAAAGGAGGACAATCAGTTGATTATCACAAGAGAAGTTGAAAGAGGAAAATGAGAATGGTTGGGTGCTTTCCAAACATGACATTATACGTGTTAATACATAAGAATAAAGGAAAGAAATAACAAAGTTTCACAAATTGGAAAGGGGGAAGGAAAATTAAGCATTACACTTTGTATCCTAATTTAGTTGTGTGGCTGAGTACAAAATTAATAGTAATTCATCACTAGATTTCACATATGCAGAAAATAACCTATTAAAATATATAATTTGGCTTTGAGAGGCCGAGGTGGGCAGATCGCGAGGCCAGGAGATCGAGACCATCCTGGCTAACACGGTGAAACCCTGTCTCTACTAAAAATACAAAAAATTAGCCCGGCATGGTGGCGGGCACCTGTAGTCCCAGCTACTCCGGACGCTGAGGCAGGAGAATGGCATGAACCTGGGAGGCGGAGCTTGCAGTGAGCCGAGATCGCGCCACTGCACTCCAGCCTGGGCGACAGAGTGAGACTCTGTCTCAAAAAAAAAAAAAAAAAAAAAAAAAAAATATATATATATATATATAATATAAATTTGGTTAAAGACCCAATTTGAAAAGTAATTCAAAATAAATAGGGATTTAGAAATAAACATTAAAAATTATAAATTGCCACATAAAACTTTTTTTATTGCTGAAGAGGAAAACAAAAGAATACTCAAAAAATGAAAGGATATCCCTGGATCTGGGATAGGATGACTCAACATCATAAAGATGTTAATTTTCTTTATGTGAGGAGATGGAGGAGTTGTAGATTTATACCATGAACTTCACATACTGCCCCAGGAGTTGGAGAAGCTGAAGGAGGAGACCTAGCAGGGCTAAATGAACTACAGATCCAGCTATTGCCCCATACCAACAAGGTGACACAACAAATTTGCCTTCACCTCTGTGAATTGCAACAGTACCTGGTGACACCATAACCTTTCACATGCAAAATATCTGGCAGGCCTGATTAAGGCAGTAGTATTCAGAGAAAGCTGTTCTGAAAAGTGTTGTTCCATTAATGCTTAGTTGATACAATATAAATACATTACAACTGTGGTGATAAACCAGTTTACCCCACTGTAATACAGGCAACACTTTTTTCTTCTGCTTGGCTGGTCCCATGTCAGCACTGAGCTACTCAGGAGGCTGAGGCAGGAGAATGGCGTGAACCCAGGAGGCGGAGCTTGCAGTGAACCGAGATTGCACCACTGCACTCTCTGTCGCCTGGGCGACAGAGGGAGACTCCATCTCAAAAAAAAAAAAAAGTAAGGACACATTATATATAGGATTGCATATAAAAGTACATGCATCCATCCAGATATGTAGTCAGGGGTATTCTGGGTGGATTCACGGCCTCACCACTGCAGTCCTGCCTCTGCTAAATTTAAATAGGCCATTTTGAACATTGTCTCTGATAATGTTACTCTTGTATAATATACTGAGAATAAAAAAATGTAACTGTGGTAGATTGTATTATTGTTTGCTAAATAGTCTGGTTGCTACCCTTCAGTGTTCCTTGCTAGGTAGCACTCCCTGTCCACATACTTGTCCTGTTGAATGCATGTTGAATGCATTACATGGTCATGTGACTTGCTTTGACAATGAAACATGGGCAGAAATGTTATGTGTCACTTCAGGGTAGAAGCTTTAAAATATATCAGATGGGTTACCATGTCTTTCTTCCTTCTTTCCTGGTGACTGCTAATATCTCAAACAGGCTTCTCTGTCAGCTTGGATCCTGGAGTGGAGATGATGTGGAGCAGAATCTTACATGACCCACAGTGGGCATGCTGTATGAGCAAAAACCAAAATTCTGTTGTTGGAATATAGTGAGATTTTTGGTTGTTTTTTTTCCTCAGCCTACCCTGTCTGCACCAACAACAAAATTATTTTGCCTCTTCAAAATTTGTAATGACATACTGAAGGTGGAAAGGGGCTTTGGCCATTTCTTCTTGACAACAACTTAATCTGAAGAGATTTTAGAGTAATTACTATAGGATTAGCTACGGAAGGAGATTATGTTTTTTCCTTTGTACATTAGTAAAGTTGGCTGTTAAAATTCATTGCTTGGGAAGGCTGAAGTGGGGCTAGAATTTCCACACTCTGATGATGGTCTTGTGAATTGAAACACCATTTAAAAAACAGCATAGCAATATGTAGGAGTCACTTTGACTCACTGCTATGGACTAAATTGTGTCCCCCAAAATTAGTATATCAAAGCCCTAACATCCAACATGATGGCATTTGGTGATAGACCCTTTAAGAGGTAATAAGTGTAAGATGATGGTGTGAGGTAGGGCCCTCATGATGGGATTAATGTCCTTATAAGAAGAAACACCAGAGAGTTTGCTCTATGTCTCTAGGATGTGAGGACACAATGAGAAGAGGGTCATATGCAAGCCAGAAGGAGAGCCTTCATCAGAACCTGACAATGCTAGCATCTCAGACTTCCAGCCTCCAGAACTGTGAAAAAAAAAAAAATATATATATATATATATATATATATATATATGTTGTTTAAGATAGTAGTGCCCAACCTTTTTGGCACCAGGGACTGATTTCATGGAAGACAATTTTTCCATGGATGGGGCTGGGGTGGGGGATTTCAGGATGAAACTGTTCCATCTCGGATCATCAGGCATTAGATTCTCATAAAAAGCATGTAACATAGATCCCTCACATGTGCAGCTCACAATAGGGTTCCTGCTCCTATTGATACGGGAGTGCTGTGAAGGGAAGAGTGTGGTCTCTTTAAATGATATGGGAGGGGGGAAGGGAAGTGCTGGGTAGAGAAAGGTGGGTCCCTGGCTAGAGCTCCACCCCCACGGACCTAGGTAAGGACAGGCACTCCTGCTTTCACGCCCAAATGTTGCATTTTCCAAGACCATCCTGGCCTGCCATGCCCCCATCCTGAGCCTATAAAAACCCAAGACCTAGCAGGCAGACCCAAGTGGCTGGACGTCGTGAGGAACACATTGGTTGTCGAAAGCACGCTGGTAGAAGAGCACATGGACGGGCACTGGCAGGCCGGCAGGCCATGGACTGGTGGAATGACATGGAATTTGGCCAGAGTGGTTAGAGAAGAGTTGGGCCACCGAGTGGCCTGACTCCAGGGGAAAACCATCTCCTATCTGGCTCCCCAATCTGCTGAGAGCTACTCAGTAAAACCTTGCACTCATTCTCCACGCCCATATGTGATCCAATTCTTCCAGTACAACAAGACAAGAAACCCTGGGATATAGAAATCCTTCTGTCCTTTTGATAAGGAAGGAGGTCTAATCGAGCTAACACAAGTCGCCTATGGACGGCTAAACTAAAAGAGCACCCTGTAACACATGCCCACTGGGGCTTCAGGAGCTGTAAACATTCACCCCTAGATACTGCCATGGGGTTGGACCCCCACAGCCTGCCCGTCTGTATGCTCCCCTAGAGGTTTGAGCAGCGGGACACTGAAGAAGCCAGCCACACCCCCATTGCATGCCCTGCGAGGGGGACAGTGGAACTTTCGCGGTTCGCTATGAGAATCTAATGCTTCACACTGATCTGGCAGGAGGCAGAGCTCAGGCATTAACGCTTGCTTGCCGGCTGCTCACCTCTTGCTGTGCAGCCTGGTTCCCAACAGGCCACAGACTGGTACCGGTCTGCAGCCTGGGGATTGGGGTCCCCTGGTTTAAGCCACTTAATCTGTGTTATTTTGTTATGGCAGTCCAAGCTGACCAAGACATTCGTTAATCCAACACTTGAGAATTAAAAAGAAAATAATTTAACAGAAGAAAATATTATTGAGGCATAGAGATATCCATAACAAGAAAATCTATAATCCTCAAAATATGAAAACCCTAAATATCCAATGAAGGAATAGCCTACACATTAGTATTTACTAATACAATATATATGCAGCCATTAAAATAATTATGAAAACTAAACAAATTAGCAAAATATTATCTTAAAAAGCGGAGTCCAAAATGGTATAAGATGATTAAAACTATGCCAAAGTTAAAATTTGCTGTGTGTAGCAGCACCAAACATCTGATGTTATGAAGTGGCTGTCCAGTCAGGTAGCACATTTCTAATCCTCTTTGAATCCTCCTGGGTCTATGTGCTTAAGTTTTGGTAAAAGGAATGTATGCAGAACTTCCATGCCTGTCCCAGATAATAGAACAAAAGAGAACGCTATAGAACTGATTTCATGAGGCTGGCAAAACTTGACATGAGAACCTGCCATGGACATTATGAGGCAGGAAAATCACAGGCTGATCTCACTTATAAACACAGATGTAACAATCTGAAACAACATAACAGCATATTGAATCTTGCAATATATAAAAATCACAATATTTTATCATAAACAAGTTTGGTTTATTCCAGGACTATAGAATAAAAAAATCAATATAATCCACAATTTTAATTAGAAAATGGAGGAATCATTCATATAATGATTTCTTAAAATCTAGAATAGAAAAAAAAGCATTTGACAAAACTCAGCTACCATTCATGATAACTATTAGCAAGTTTGGAAAAGTATAGAACTTTATTATTTTGGTAAGCAGAATTAAATTCGTTAAATGGGTAGAAGTTTTTTGGCATTGTTTGTTCTTTAAACATATCAGGCCGGGCACGGTGGCTCATGCCTGTAATCCTAGCACTTCGGGAGGCTGAGACGGGTGGATCACCTGAGGTCAGGAGTTCGAGACCAACCTGGCCAACATGGTGAAATCCCTTCTCTACTAAAAATACAAAAATAGCTGCACGTGGTGGCTCACCCCTGTAATCCCAGCTACTTGGGAGGCTGAGGCATGAGAATCGCTTGAACCTGAGAGGCAGAGGTTGCAGTGAACCGAAATTGTGCCACTGCACTCCAGCCTGGGTGACAACAGTGAGACTCCATATTAAAAAAAATGGTACATATACACAATGGAGTATTATTCAGCCATAAAAAAGGAATCAGATCCAGTGATTTGCAACAACATGGGTGGTACTGGAAATCATTATGTTAAGTAAAATAAGCCAGGCACAGAAAGACAAACATTGTATGTTCTCACTTGTTTATGGGATCTAAAAATCAAAACAGTTGAACTCATGGACATAGAAAGTAGCAGGGTGGTTACCAGAGGTTGGGAATGGTAGTGGGAAGGTATGGAGGAGGTCGGGATTGTTAATGAGTAAAAAAAACAAAAGACACACAAAAAAACCCAGAAATAATTAATAAGACCTAGTATTTGATAGCACAGCAGGGCGACTATAGTAAATAATAACTTAATGATATATTTTTAAATAACTTAAAGATTGTAATTGGATTGTTTTTAACTCAGAGTATAAGTGCTTGAGGGGATGGATAAAATAATAATAAATTAATAAATTAGAAAAACATTTGGGGAAGAAACAAGCACCACTCGAACACAAAGAGGATAAAAAGCAGAGAATACCTCCCAACTTATTGTTAGGGTCAGCAAGACTTTAAATGCAAAATTTGACAAGGAGAGTCTGATAAATAGAAATTATGAAGCTATCTTACTTAGGAATATAAATGCAAGCATCCTAAGCAAAACATTACCAAGCCAATTCCAGCTATATATAAGACAATCAAGTTGGGTTTATTCTGGGAGAGCAAGTTTGGTTTAGCATTAAGAAAACCTCTCAACATAATTCATGATACGATTGTGAGGTAGGAGATTGGCAAGACTTATTTCCTAGACCAGGGGTCCCCAAGCCCTGGGCCATGGACTGCTACCAATTTATTAGAAACCAAGCCGCACAGCAGAAGGTGAGTGGCAGGTGAGCAAGCATTTCCACCTGAGCTCTGCCTCCTGTCAGATCAGTGGTGACATTAGATTTTCATAGGAGTGTGAAACCTGTTGTGAACTGTGCATGTGAGGGATCTAGGTTGTGTGCTCCTTATGAGAATCTAACTAATGCCTGATGATCTGAGGTGGAACAGTTTCATCCCGAAACCATCCTTCCCCAACCCCCATCCTTGGAAAAATTGTCTTCCAGGAAACCAGTCCCTGGTGCCAAAAAGGTTGGGGACAACTGTCCTAACCAGACAGGAAACTGGCCAGAACCAGCAAGTGATTCTGTAAGCAATCTCTAGTTGCCCTCACTGCCCATCAGCATAAGACACTCCCACCAGTGCCATGACAGTTAACAAATGCCATGGCAATACCTGGAAGTTACCACCCCTTTCCATGGCAACACCAAAGGTTACCACTCAGTTTTTAGAGATTTCTGAATAACCTGTCCCTTAATTTGCATGTAATTAAAAGTGGGTATAAAGCTAGCCAACAGCCCATACACTGCCACTCTTGGTGCACAGCCTATGGGCTTGCCATGCTCAACAAGGGGCAGCCACTGGGCTGTAACACTGTCACTTCAGTAAAGCTGCTTTCTTCCATTGCTGGTTTGCTCTTGAAATCTTTCCTGAGTGAAGCCCATAACCTGCCCTGCATCATCTGGTGCCTGATGTGGGGCTAGGGAAGATGGTGGCAATAGCAGAGGTAGCTAGGCAGCAAGATGCAGAGAGGCAGCGACTGGAGAGAGAAGGCAGTGAGGTAGCAAGCCAGTGAGAGGCAATGAGATGGCAAATGGCAAGAGACAGTGAGACAATCTGTGATTGAAGCTGCAAGAACTGTAACACAGAGGTTATAAGGCTAAACAGCTGCTAATGCTGAAGAGCTATAACACTAGTCTAAGGCTCTTTTCAGAGCCATCATCTTTCCTGACAGGTGGAGGCAGCAGAGCTGTGTGGACGGGTCAGTGGCTGCGCAGTGCTACCACCTTGTGTGGGACCAACTGTCTTGGCTGGCAGGTCACTGGTGTGTCAGCTGGACCCCCGTAACAGCCGAGCCTGCCCAAGCTGGTGGAATCTGGGGAGAACTTCACCCATGTCCCACATTGGAGACTGGTCAGCACCATTTAGGCACTTGAAGATGGGTGAGTGTCCTCTCTGCCCCTCCTTCAATATCAGGTAAAACAAGAAATAAGGCCTCTGTCTAGGTGGTCAATTCAATGTCCGCCATCATTTGGGTGCCCGGAAGAGAAGCATGCCTGACCACCTACATTCTTGTCACCCCTTCTCTTGATCCTTTCTCCTCTAATGCTATTTTATTTGGGGCATTTGGTGAGGGAATCCTCAATGGGTGTTACTTGGGTGCATTGGGGTTTTTTGCACTGGGCTGTTGTCTACCCCCTGAATGCTCTGGCGTTTTTGACATTGGCATTCCCTCTAGGATTGTGGGTTATAGCCCCTCCCCCTGGGAGAACCTTGGTCTTTGATAGGGTTTTGGTCTGTGTCCCCATCCGAATCTTATGTTGAATTGTAATTTCTAATGTTGGGGGAGGGACCTTGTGGGAGGTGATTGGATCATGGGGGCAGATTTCCCACTTGCTATTCTTGTGATAGTGAGTGAGTTCTCATGAGATCTGGTTGTTTGAAAGTGTGTGGCACTTCCCCCTTTACTCTCTCTCTCTCTCTCATGCTCTGCCATGATAAGACATGCTTGCTTCCCTTTCACCTTGTGCCATGATTGTAAGCTTCTTGAGGCCTCCCAGCCATGCTTCCTGTACAGCCTAAGGAACTGTGAGTCAATTAAAACTCTTTTCTTTAGAAATTACCCAGTCTCAGGTAGTTCTTTATAGCAGTGTGAGAATGGACTAATACAGTCTTGTTTTTTCTGCACTGAAGTTGGAAATTATCATTTTCTATAACAGCCAGTTGTGGGCCTCTCCCTGTGTTCTGTCTTCCTTTCTGTCCAATAGACTGCCTTGCTCAAGCACATCTTGGACTGTTGGTTGAAGGGACCAGGGGTTCCCAGACCCCTGGCCTGACAGATGAGTACCCGCAGCAGTGGATGAGTGGCCTCCTTAACACTTTCTTTGGTGTCTCTACTGCTGGGTGGATTATCCAGTAGCTGAAGGTCTCTGAGGTCTCCCTTTGAGCCATGTTGTTCGCCCATACTCTTCCTCCGTTCCACAATCACTTTCTATTTTTTTAAAATCCATCTTTGCCCAAACTGAAATGCTTTCTTCACTCTCTTTGGAATTCAGACCCATCATTCTACTGCCCACTCATATCTCATGATCCACTTTTGTAATGCTTTGCTAGCTATACTAACACCTTCTCTGCAGGACGTGAGAATTTGAAAGGGAAAGTAAGGCTCTCACTAAACTTAGGCAAACTTGAAAACCTCCTGTACAGATTCTTACTGGACAATGGGAACAATGGTGACCATCCTGGAAGACTCAACAGTAGGGTGTCTTTTAGGCAATTGGTGCAAATTCAAATTAGAAACTTTAAAAAGAAAAGGAACTCATTTTCTATTGCAACACCATTGGGGTCCAATATAAATTGGGAGACCAGGAAATTTGGTCTAAAAATGGTTCTTTATGTTAAAATATAATACTATTTTACAATTAGACTTATTCTGTAAAAAAGAAGGAAAATGGGGAGAAGTTCCTTATGTGTAGGCTTTTATATGCCCTCTACCAGGATCCTGACCTAAGGGATAGCTGTAGAATGTATCAGACTCATGTTACTTCCAGGCACCAAGAAGCTGTGCCAGGTATCATAGGTGACCCCCTCCTAGCTGCTCCCACTGGGAGGTCCATGCCCCCCTTGGAGCCTCCTCAGTCCTGCAGTTCTGAGAGGAATTCTGCCAGTTCTCCAGCACAGGATTCCACCCCAAGGTCATCAGGCACCCCTACCCCTTATCCAACTAGTCCTGTTGTATACCCCTGTTACCTGAGAATGTAAGCCCAACCAGTACTACCAGGAGCAGGGCCCCGTATCAGCCCCTAAAAGTGAAACTGTGTCCATTGTGGGTAGCTGATGGAGATGGGGGAACAATCAGAGTATATGTGCCATTTACTGTATCAAATTTGGCTTTATGCAAGGAGAAATTTGGCTGGTTTTTGGAGGATCCATGGAAGTTTATAGAGGAGTTTGATACATTTACCATGTCCTCTGAAATAACTTGGCATAACTTGTGCTTATTATTATCCACTTGCTGTACCATAGACATAGAGGAGAAACAAAGGATTCTAGGTATTACCCATGAATTTTCAGATGGAGTGGCCAATAATATCCAAGGCCATGCCATTTATAATGTGGGGGGAGAGGCAGTTCCTTATTTGCACCCTCAATGGGATTCCCAGAGGGGTTCCCAAGATCTCAAACACAGAAATTACATGCTAACTTGTTTAGTAGAAGGTATGAAAAAGTGTGTGGTTAAACCAGTTAGTTGTGACAAGGTTAGAGAAGTAACTCAGGGAAAATATGAAAATGCCACTTTATTTCAAGGCCACTTAGTGGAGGCCCTCAGGAAATATACTAATGCAGATCCTGACTCTCTGGAAAGGTGAGCTCTCCTGGTCATGTATTTTATTACTCAAACTATCTCTGACATTAGGAGGAATTTACATAAGGCAGCAATAGAGCATCAAATCCCCATGAGCCAACTTTTAAATATGGCCTTTGGAATTTACAATAATAGGGACAAGGTGGAGAAAGAGGTGAAAACTAAAAGTAATAGCTAAAAAGTGCTATTATTCGTGGCTGCCTTAAGCCCCTTACTGCCTTAGGGTTACAAATGTCAAGAAAGTGTTACGAGAGTCGTGGTTGGGATGCCCAGATGAAAGCCTCTGACTTCTTGGCCCCTGGGCCAAAATCAATGTGCCTATAAGCAAGAGGAACACTGAAGGAAGGACTGCCCCAGGCTTGAAAGAGAGTCTGAACCACTCAGACCCATAATGGCTGAGAGAACAGAGGACTGACAGGGCCTGAGGTCTCTTATGGTTTCCAATGGACACCTTACTATCTCCATAGAGGAGCTTTGGGTAACTCTTGATGTGGCAGGCAAAAATAATGAGTTTTTGGTGGACATGGGAGCAGACTTCTCAGTTTCAACCTATTTCTCAGGGCCATTGTTTTCCCACTCTTGTACCATAATGTAGATTGATGGCCAGCCAAAAGTTAGGTGATTCACCCACCCCCTCAGTTACACTGTGGGGAATCATGTGTTTTCCCATATCTTTCTGCTTATGTCTGAGTGCCCTATTCCTTTACTGGGAAGAGACTAACTTTCCCAATTACAGGCCACAGCTCAATTTGGAGAGCCTTATGAGAAGGCAATAGGCCAGGGAAAGACACTTCTTCTAGCTCCAAGTACATGCCTTAACACAGATAAATAAAAGACCTCTCTTTCACTGCATCTTACTTCTCAAGTAGACCTCTCTGTTTGGGACATGAAAGTTCTTGGTAGAGATGTTAATGTACTCCCAGTCCAGGTTATTTTGAAACCCAGAGTTAAGTATCCATACAAAAAACAACGTACCTTGAGACCTGAAGAGCAGAGAGGCATTCAACCCCTAATAAGGAAGTTCCTAAAGTATGGATTACTACAGTCCCGTCAGTCCCTACGTAACACCTCCATTTTGGTTGTGAAGAAACTGAATGGGGAATACAGATTTGTTCAGAATCTGAGGGCAGTTAATGAGGCAATAGTCCCAGTCCACTGAATAGTTACTAATTCATACACAATATTGACCCAAGTCCCTGAAGATGTTAATAGTTCATGGTATTAGGCTTAAAGGATGCTTTCTTTTGTATACCTTTACACGTGGACACCCAGTATATCTTTGCTTTTGAATGGACTGATCCAGACATTCATGCTGCATCTCATCTTACGTGGGCTGTTCTTCCTCAAGGTTTTAGGGACAGTCCCCATTTCTTTGTCAATACATTGGCAAAAGAATTAAGGAAACTCTAGTTAAATAATGGGTCTCTTTAGCAATATATGGATGATCTATTAATTTCCAGCCCAACCAGGGAAGGCTGTGACAGGAACACAATCCAGATTCTTAATTTTTTTGAGAAGATGAGGTTATTGGGTATTCCTACAATAAAGCCCAAATTTCTGCACAAAAGGTTAAATATTTGGAGTATGTGTTAACTCCTGGGGCAAACACCCTGGCCCAGGAGTAAAAAGAGACCATCTTGGCACTCCAGCCCCCTCAGACTAAGAAACAATTAAGAATCTTTCTGGGAATGGCCAGATTCTTCTGGATTTGGAGTCCCAGGTTTGGGCTCATAGCAAAACCACTCTATGAAGCTCTAAAAGAGAGTGATCATGAGCCTTTGAATTGGGATGGAACCTGCCAACAGGCATTCTTAACCCTAAAAGAAAAATTGGGAACAGCCCCTGCTTTGTGACTCCCAAACTTAGAAAAACCTTTCACCCTATATGTGGCTGAAAAACAAGGGACAGCTTTGGGTGTTCTAACTCAAAGTCTCGTGAATAGCCCTATACCAGTGGCTTACTTTTCTAAACAGCTAGACCAAGTGGTGGCTGGGTGGCCAGGATGCTTTTGAGCTGTGGCCACCACCACTCTATTGGTAGAAGTCAGTAAGTTTACCTTGGGACAACAATTAGATGTAATGACCTGCCCCCATCAAATACAGGGGATCCTAGAGGCAAAAGGACACCAATGTCTAACAGTGGTTCAATTACTTAAATGTCAGGTTCTTCTATGTGACACCGCAGATGTTACTTTTAAAATATGTTGTTTTAAATCTTGCTACCCTGTTGCTGGACTTCACGTCCCAGTCCCCAACTCATTCACTCCTGTGTGGAAACTATGGAACAGAGCTCCTCTAGCAGGCCTGACCTTAAAGATGAGTCCCTGCCTAACCCCAATGTTGAGTGGTTTAGAGATGGAAGTAGCTTTATTCATGAGGGATTAAAAAGGCAAGTTATGCTGTGGCTAGTCAACAATAAGTCATTGAGGCCAAAGCTCTTCCTCCCCAGACCTCTGCTCAAAAAGTGGAATTGAATGCTCTAATTAGGGCCCTCCAACTGGGAAAAGACTTAAGAATCAATATATTTACTGATCCAAACATGGGTTCCTGGTGCTCCATGCTCACAAGCCATATGGAAGAAAAGGGGACTGTTAACAGCCATAGGATTCCCCCATACAACATCACTCTGAGATCTTGGAACTTTTAGATGCTGTCCAACTCCCAAAAGAGATAACAATTATTCACTGCTGAGGACACCAAAAGGGAGACACCTCTATTATCAGAAGAAATGTCCTGGTGGATAGAGCAGTCATGGCCTCCGCTAAAGGAAGATCAGTACTGCTGGCTGCTGCACTAATACCTGATGCTCCACCCATGTCAACAGTGCCATATTATACACCTTAGCAAATTAAACGGGCAGAACAGAAAGGCTTACAAAAGGATCCCTCAGAGTGATTTCTAGAAATCAATAAACTCTTTCTCCCTGAGGCTGAGCAATGGAAAATAATTAAGCATTTCCATGACTCCTCACATTTAGGATGGGATTCTGTATTCAAATTTGTTTCCCTAATATTCTTGGGAAAGGGACTATTCCAGACTATAAAAAGGGTCACCAAGACCTGTGAACTGTGTGCTCATAATGACCCAGGAAGCCACCCCATACTCCAATCCCTACTCAAACCTGTACAACACCAAGGAACATACCCTAGGCAAGACTGCAAATAGATTTCACCCAGATGCCACCTTATAGGGACTAAAATATTTTCTACTATTTATGGACACTTTCACTGGGTGGATAGAAGCTTTCCCTACAAAGACAGAAAAAGCATTGGAAGTGTCCAAATTCTTAAAGAAAACATCCCCAGGTTTGCATTACCAAAAAGTTTGCAAAGTAATAACTGACCTTCGTTTACAGCTAAGGTGACTGAGCATGTTCCCTCAGCCTTAGGCATTATCTATCATCTTCACTCCTTCTGGTGGCTTCGATCTTTAGGTAAGGTAGAAAAAAGCCAACCATGTTCTAAAAAGGACATTAGCAAAACTGCGTCAGTAGACCTCAGAGGCCTGGGCTTCTCTTCTACCATAGCCCCTTTGTACATAAGGATGGCTCCAAAGGGAACCGTAAAACTTAGTCCATTTGAAATGACCTATGGGAGGCTTTTTTTTTTCCTTCAGGCCTCCTGCTTAATAAAGAGACACATAGAATGCTCACATGTATTATCAACTTAGGCCAGGTTCGAAAGGCCCTTCAAGAATACGGAAATGAAGTGTTGCCTCCTCCCACAAGGGAAAGAATTAACTCCATCAACTCCTTCATTCAACGAAGAGACTTAATCTTACTAAAAACTTGGAAAGAAGGATCCCCTGAGGATCAATTACAACCCAAATGGAAGGGTCCTTATCAGGTGTTAAGTACCCTTATTGATATAGTTTGGATATTTGTCCCCATAGCAATGCAAGAATGGCCTAATATACCCACTGTGGGTGGCGAGCCACCCAGGTGCCAAGGCAAGAGACCGAGGGCACAAGCTGTTCCAGTATAATAAAGAAAATATATAGAATAAGAATAGTTATACTAGAAATAGATTATAGATATGATTATATATGAATATTATTAATCATTAGTTTGTAGCATACTCTTTATTCCAATATTGTAATAATCTTTGTTCTACAATTATAACCTAGGAAAAACCAGGCCATACAGAGATAGGAGCTGAAGGGACACAGTGAGAAGTGACCAGAAGACAAGTGTGAGCCCTCTGTTATGCCTGGACAGGGCCACTAGAGGGTTCCTTGGTCTAGCGGTAGTGCCAGTGCCTGGGAAGGCACCCGTTACTTAGCAGACTGCGAAAGGGAGTCTCCCTTTCCCCTGGGGGAGTTAGAGAAGCCTCTGTTCTACCACCTCTTGTGGAAGGCCTGATATCAGTCAGGCCCGACCGCAGCCATCCGGAGGCCTAACCATCTCCCTGTGATGCTGTGCTTCAGTGGTCATGCTCCTGGTCCACTTTCCTGTTCCACCCTGTACACCTGGCTCTGCCTTCTAGATAGCAGTAGCAGAATTAGTGAAAGTACTAAAGTCTTTGAAATGCATAGAAGAAATAATGACGTAAGCTGTCCCCTCTCTCTCTCTCCGCCTCGGCTACCAAACAGGGAAGGGCCCCCTGTCTGGTGGACACGTGACTTGCATGACCTTACCTATCATTGGAGATGGCTCACACTCTTTATGCTGCCCCCTTGCCTTGTATCCAATAAATAATAGTGCAGCCAGGCATTCGGGGGCCACTACCGGTCTCCACGTCTTGGTGGTAGTGGTCCCCTGGGCCCAGCTGTCTTTTCTTCTATCTCTTTGTCTTGTGTCTTTATTTCTATGATCCCTCGTCTCTGCACATGAGGAGAAAAACCCACAGGCCTTTTAGAGCTGGACCCTACAACCCACTGCTGTGAAACTTCAGGACATCACTAGCTGAGTACACCTATCCAGGATGAAACCCATTTCTTATGAGTCCCCACAAATGCAAAAGAAGAACACCATGACCTATACCTGTGAATCTTTGGAGTACCTCCACTACCTATTTAAAAGAATCAACACTCAGCCAGAAGTGGTAATGTGATGCTGTGAGTGGGAATAGGAACATTAATTTTTCTCTTCTTCCTGATTGTATACTTCTTTTCTATTGCTTTGGCCACTTGCCTCCTCCTGGGAAATACCTCTTTTGTCCTTGTTGGGTGTAGAGGCCACTCTAAGGTCCAACCAGACACCATGCTGCCACTGTTAATCCTGTTTGCCATCCTGATTAACCTAATCCAGTGTGGTGGGAATAAAACTCTACAGTAAATATTTCAAAAATCATAACATCAAGGAATCATCTTCATGATTGCTGCATTTGTCATCAACATCCCCACGATAAAGAGTTCCACTTTCTGACACATCTGGAAAACCTCATGGCCATCTCCCTGGACCTCCTAATTAACCATAGTGATCCCTTAGTACCCAGATCCTTACTTGTTAGGTGGAACTCTTTCCCACTTAATGAATTTGACCTAACTGCCCCTGCCACTATTACCTGGACCTGGGAGATTGGGTACCTGTACTTCAGGTGTCCTAATGACACTATGTTTTGCACTCATTGTGTTAATGACACAAAAGTGGATACTTTCCTGACATGCTCTGATCCAATCCTAGTTGCCAAATTCCTGAGGCCACAGACAGGTAAATGGGATCCCACTTGTAAGTGAGAAAACAACACATGGTGCTTCCTCCTCGATCAGAACATGCAAGGGGAAAATAACTGTCTAATCTAGGAAGGTAAGAGTACTGGCTTCTTCTGGAAAACAAAGGATGTTTGACTACCCCCATTGGAGCAAGGGAAATATATCTATAGACACGACTGGGTAACAAAGGATAGACATCACATCTCATAGGACTTCTATTTGTGCCCCAACTGGGCTTATTTTTGTCTGTGGCCATGAGTAAGTAGAAGTCCCACCTCATAACCACTCCTGACTCCCTGGGGAGCTATCTGTTCTTTTAGGAGTAGCTTTTCCTTGTATACTAAAAACTAGAAATGGGGTGAATGTATACTGGCCATCATTGCCCCTCTGGGAGTCACCATCTATAATCCCATAAGGCCCAGGAATATCAGAAATAAATGAGCAATAGGGTTAATTCTGGCAGGAATCGAGACAGTAATAGGACTAGTGGCCCCCTGGGGTGGCTTTGTCTCCCATTAGTCAATCCTAAAGAACTTGACTCAAACCCTAGAATCACTGGCCACCAATATAGGCCAGGCATTAAACAGAATTCAAGAGTTCCTAGACTCTTTGACAAATGTTGTCCTTGACAACAGACTAGCATTGGATTATTGGATTATTTGCTAGCTGAACAAGGTGGAGTCTGTGCAGTTATTAATATGACCTGCTGCATGTACATTAATAACTCTGGAAAATCGAGGTTAACATTAGGAAATCTATGAACAAGCTACCTGGTTAGATAGATGTAACCAGGGCACTGACCCCAGCTGTATCTGGTCACTTATCAAAAGTGCCCTCCCAAATCTTGCCTGGTTTTTACCTTTCCTAGGAACTTGCTAGCTATCCTGTTACTACTAATTTTTGGCCCTTGCTTGTTTAACCACTTAGTAAAGTTTGTGTCTTCCAGATTACAGTAAATCCATGTAAAGAATGCTGGCACAAGGCTTCCAACCCATCCTGTATTCTGACCTGGAGAATGAAAATATCCTGCCCTTGGTTCCGTTAGATCAGATATCCAGAAATTTTTACTCCTCCAATGCTAGGCAGGGCCTATGCCCATAAAAACAGCAGGAAACAGTTACAGAAGATGGATCTCTGACCTGCAGCTCCTTTAAGATTAAGGAGGCATATCTAATCTCCGAGCAGGGGAATGAGGTAGGAGAAAAGTAGCACTTGTTTTCTGGACCAGATAGAAAACCAGCCAGAACCAGCAAGTGGCACCAAAAGCAACCTCTGGTTGCCCTTGCTGCCCATCAGCATAAGACACTCCCCCCACCGGTGCCGTGACAGTTTACAAACTCCATGGCAGCACCCAGAAGTTACTGCCCATTTTCTAGAGATTTCTGAATAACCCACCCCTTAATTTGCATGCAATTAAAAGTGGATATAAATACAGTTAGCCAACAGCCTACACATTGCTATTGTTTTTAGAAAATTTTTATTTTTAATTTTTGTGGGTACATAGTATGTGTATATATTTATGGGTTACATGTGATATTTTGATATAGGCATGCAATGCATAGTACTCACATCAGGGTAAATCAGGTATCCATCACCTCAAGCATTTGTCCTTTGTGTTGCAAACAATCCAGTAATACTTAGTTATTTTAAAATGTACAGTTAAATTATTTTTTACTATAGTCACCCTGTTCTGCTAGCAAATACTTTGTCTTATTCATTCTTTTAAACTATTTTTTGTACCAGTTAACCCTCTCCACTTCCCCCAACCCCCATGAGCTTCCCAGCCTCTGATAACCATCCTTCTATACATGCTGCATTACCTATGGGCTAGCCCTGCTCTGCAATGAGCAGTCACTGAGCTGTAACACTGCTACTTCAATAAAGCTGCTTTCTTCCACCACTGGCTCGCTCTTGAATTTGTTCCTGGGCAAAACCAAAGACCTGCTCTGCATCAATTGGCTGTGTAGAATACCCAGAATTATCCACAGATGCATCATTAGAATATATCACTGTTGCTGGATACAAAATCAATATGCAAAAATCAATTGGTATTTCTGTATAACAGCAACATTTAATAAATGAAATTTTAAAAGGCTCTACCATTTAAAATTGTATCAAACTATCAAGTCTTTAAGTTTAAAAAATGTGTGCAAGACCGCTAAAGAAAACACTCTAAATGCTTATTGATATATATTAATGAAAATTAAATAAATTTAAAGTTACACTATGCTTATAGATTGCAGGACTCAATATTGTGAAGACTCTTAAAGAAACAGGAGGAAGGATTTGCTTTAGCAAATGTAAAGTTATTATAAAGCAATAGTAATTAGGACACTTTGGTACCAATATAGTGATGTACACATAGATGAGTGGATAGGCTAGACAGCCCAGAAACTGACTCTGAGCCTGCTTTCATGGCTGCTTGATTCGTGACACTAGTAGCATTGCAGAGCATTTAGAAAAGAAAATGTTTCCAACAAATAGTGTTGAGACAACAGGTTATACACTTGGAAAGAAATAAAAATAAATCCCCTACTTCACACCAGATATGGGAAAACAATCTCAGGTGTATTTTAGAGCAAAATGTCATAGGCAAAATAATAAAGCTTGTAGAAAAAAATGTAGAAGAGCTTTTCACACCCTCTGGGTATGGAAGGATTTCTCAAACAAGTCAAAAAATACTAATTATAGTGGGAAATGTTAAAAAAATTATGAACCACATTAAGATTAAGACCTTTTGTTCATAAAAAGACAACATTACTAGCAGGAAAAGGCAAGCCACAGAATGTAAGAAGATATTTATCAAATATTTAGGTGACAATAGCTTAGTTCCAGAGCACATAAACGATTCTTAGAAATCAAAGAGAGGAAGACAAATAACACAATAGTAATGGCCAAGAGACTTAAACAGAACATTGTCCAAAGAGGAAATCCAAATAGCCAACATTATTAATCATTAGAGAAATGCACAGTGAAACCACACTGCAGTATCATTTTATATACCCACCAAACTGACTAAACTTAATGAGTCTAGTAATATCAAGAGTTGGTGAGGATGTGGATCAGTAGGCAATTTCTTTTTGTTTTTTCTTTTGGAAACTGATGAGTGCTAAAGTAGGCAATTTCATATACTGCTGTTGAGAGCACAAATTAGTTGAATTGCTTTAGGGAAGAGTTTATTGTTTGTTATGTATTCAAGATGAAGATACACATTCCCTTATGACCCAACCATTTATTTCCCTCTTAAATATTTACCCCAGAGGAATTATGCGTATGTGCACCAGGACACAAGTAAAATAATGATCATGTCAACATTATTTACAATAACCCCAAATTGGAAACAACTTGAATTCCCATTGAGTGTAACCTGGATAAAATAATTGTGATAGATTTGTACAATGGAACACTATGCATCAACAAACATGAAAAACTGAAATCACACATGGAAAATCCTGGATTAATTTTGAAAATATATTATTGAATGAAAGAAACCAGACCAAAACAAGTACGCACTAGCGTGATTATATTTCCATAAATTTTAAAGCCAAGAAGAAACTCTGTTGCTTAGAGATGCATATTAAGAAGGTAAACCCTGTAGAGAAAAGCAAGGAACTGATTACTGTAAAGGACATCATGATTGCCTCTAGGAAGAATACTGGAGTTGTCAAAGGGAATGGATTATGCCTGTTGCTGATATGTTTCTGTAAATATCTGGATGCTTTATAATAGTTTAATAAACTGTACATTTAGTCTTTATGTACTTTTCTGTATGTTATCTTTAATAATTAAAACGATTAAATTATGTGTTGCCTAAAGGTTTTTTTTTTTAATTTTTGAGATTTTGGCCAGGTGTGGTGGCTCATGCCAGTAATCCCAGCTCTTTGGGAGGCTGAGGCAGGAGGATCACTTGAGCCCAGGAGTTTGAGGTTACAGTGAGCTATGCTGATACTGCTGTACTCCAGCCTGGGTGACAGAATGAGATGCTGTTTCTTAAAAAAAAAAAAAAAAGAAGAGAGTGCGTAATATAGGCAACATGGGTTATTAAAGATTGGATACATTAAAAGGGAACTGAATTTAAAGTCTAGAGGCCTAGGTTTGGTCTCCAGCCTTACTATTCAGTAGCTCAGTAGCTGCGAGCCTTTGGGAATATTTTTTTCTTACTAGAAGAAAAATTATATTTTAATATTTCATGAAAATAGAAGTAAATTAATGTTTTAAAGGCAAGCCATTATAGTATTTTAGCTATGCTTTCTAGTTTGCCTGGGAGAGTCCTATTTTATGCCTGTTTTCCTAGAATAATTTTTTTTAATACTTTTAAGTTCTAGGGTACATGTGCACAATGTGCAGATTTGTTATATATGTATACATGCGCCTTGCTGGTGTGCTGCACCCATTAACTCGTCATTAACATTAGGTATATCTCCTAATGCTATCCCTCCCCACTCCCCCCACCCCAAGACAGGCCCCAGTGTGTGATGTTCCCCTTCCTGTGTCCAAGTGTTCTCATTGTTCAATTCCCACCTATGAGTGAGAACATGCAGTGTTTGGTTTTTTGTCCTTGTGATAGTTTGCTAAGAATGATGGTTTCCAGCTTCATCCATGTCCCTACAAAGGACATGAACTCATCCTTTTTACGGCTGCATAGTATTCTATGGTGTATATGTGCCACCTTTTCTTAATCCAGTCTATCATTGATGGACATTTGGGTTGGTTCCAAGTCTTTGCTATTGTGAATAGTGCTGCAGTAAACATACGTGTGCATGTGTCTTTATAGCAGCATGATTTATAATCCTTTGGGTATGTACCCAGTAATGGGATGGCTGGGTCAAATGGTATTTCTAGATCTATATCCTTGAGAAATTGCCACACTGTCTTCCACAATGGTTGAACTAGTTTACAGTCCCACCAACAGTGTAAAAGTGTTCCTATTTCTCCACATCCTCTCCAGCACCTGTTGTTTCCTGACTTTTTAATGATTGCCATTCTAACTGGTGTGAGATGGTATCTCATTGTGGTTTTGATTTGCATTTCTCTGATGGCCAGTGATGATGAGCATTTTTTCATGTGTTTTTTGGCTGCATAAATGTCTTCTTTTGAGAAGTGTCTGTTCATATCCTTTTATTTTCTATTTTTTATTTTTTTATTTTTATTTTTTATTATACTTTAAGTTTTAGGGTACATGTGCACAATGTGCAGGTTTATTACATATGTATACATGTACCACGTTGGTGTGCTGCACCCATTAACTTGTCATTTAACATTAGGTATATCTCCTAATGCTATCCCTCCCCCACCACACCCCCAGCAGGCCCCGGTATGTGATGTTCCCCTTCCTGTGTCCATGTGTTCTCATTATTCAATTCCCACCTATAAGTGAGAACATGCCCACTTTTTGATGGGGCTGTTTGTTTTTTTCTCGTAAATTTGTTTGAGTTCTTTGTAGATTCTGGATATGAACATGCCCACTTTTTGATGGGGTTGTTTGTTTTCTTCTTGTAAATTTTTTTGAGTTCTTTGTAGATTCTGGATATTAGCCCTTTGTCAGATGAGTAGGTTGCGAAAATTTTCTCCCATTCTGTAGGTTGCCTGTTCACTCTGATGGTAGTTTCTTTTGCTGTGCAGAAGCTCTTTAGTTTAATTAGATCCCATTTGTCAATTTTGGCTTTTGTTGCCATTGCTTTTGGTGTTTTAGACATGAAGTCCTTGCCCATGCCTATGTCCTGAATGGTATTGCCTAGGTTTTCTTCTAGGGTTTTTATGGTTTTAGGTCTAACGTTTAACTCTTTAATCCATCTTGAATTAATTTTTGTATATAAGGTGTAAGGAAGGGATCCAGGTTCAGCTTTCTACATATGGCTAGCCAGTTTTCCCAGCACCATTTATTAAATCGGGAATCCTTTCCCCATTTCTTGTTTTTGTCAGGCTTGTCAAAGATCAGATGGTTGTAGATGTGTGGTATGTTTCTGAGGGCTCTGTTCTGTTCCGTTGGTCTGTATCTCCGTTTTGATACCAGTACCATGCTGTTTTGGTTACTGTAGCCTTGTAGTATAGTTTGAAGTCAGGTAGCGTGATGCCTCCAGCTTTGTTCTTTTTGCTTAGGATTGTCTTGGCAATGTGGGCTCTTTTTTGGTTCCATATGAACTTTAAAGTAATATTTATAATCTTCTCTGACACTATTTGTTCAACTACAAAATAGGCATAGCACTTACTGCTTTACTCATATATATCGATGAGGCCATGCTTTTGAAAGACATTTGTAAGCCATTAAACACCACACATGTACAGTGTCTATAAAGGAAGAACAAAAGGCAAAATATAAAAAATAAATGATTTAAAAACATTGATGTCTGTGAGAGAAAATAGTCACAGGAAGACATTCCTAGGTCAGTTTGCTGAATTATCTATCTTGGAAAGGTGGTTTAAAACAGATTTAATAAGATTTTATTTTTTCTGGCATCAGAAGTTAGGACTTGTAATTTGTCCCTAAGTCTGCTTTCCTTTACCAGCTACCCAGGCATAAAAACTTGTCTATAGGGAAAATGTTTTTGTACATGGGATGAAACAATATAAATTCAAAATTTACATGCGAGGATTGTCTTGATCTCATCTCTTTAAAAAGTTTATATGAATATCCAGTCAAAACCAATGGAAAATCTCCCTTGAAATTTTATATAAATGGAATTCCAAGTATGCTGCAAGACTGCATACTGTCTTGCAATGTCCTCTGAAGACTCTGACATTGATCATGTAATAAAACTCAAGAGTCCTTACTTTCAAATGGAAAGTAAAATGGAATGGAAGAAGAAAAGACTGAGGGATAAAAGAAACTATTTCAACTTGATCTTCTTTCATTGTGGCTGTGATGCCCTCCTTCTTTTCCTCCTCAGAAGTCTCTCTGCCTGGCTGGGCGCGGTGACTCACCCCTGTAATCCCAGCACTTTGGGAGGCCGAGGTGGGTGGATCACCTGAGGTCAGGAGTTCGAGGCCAGCCTGGCCAACATGGTGAAACCCCATCTTTACTAAAAATACAAAAATATTAGCTGAGTGTAGTGGCACATGCCTGTAATCCCAGCTACTCAGGAGGTTGAGGCAGGAGAATCACTTGAACTCAGGAGGCAGGGGTTGCAGTGAGCCAAGATCATGCCATTGCACTCCAGCCTGGGGGACAGAGGAAGATTCTGTGTCAAGAACAAAACAAACGAAAAGTCTCTCTGCCCCCCAAATCCTATGTGGTCTCTGCCAACAAATCCACCTTTGCCTCTTCTTCCACCCCCTTTACCTCCAAATTCTCTTCTGCCTTCTTCAGCACCTCCAAAGCCATCTTTGCTTTTAGGCTTGGCCTAGTCTAAAGTAACTTCATTTTCATTAATTTTGCCATCTTCCATGGCCTCCTTAGTGGATTTAGCATTTTCCTTACTGCTGCAGTCGAGAAACCAAACCCATCCTGGTTGGTGACTATCCTGACATGAACAGAAGCATCAATGAACTCTTTCAATGTTTCTTCTGTAGTGTCCTCAGACAGACCCTGAGAAACACTTTCAGATGGCTGGCTTTTTGCATTAGTTGCTCTGGGTCTTTGCAGCTTCAGTGTGATTGCTCTGCCCTTGATTTCTCTTTTATTACAGGAATTTAAAGCTTCTTTAGCATTTTCAAAGGAAGCAAATCCTATCAGTGCATACCCTATAGATCTGCCATTGTGGTTCTGGGGCACCTTGGATAGAAGTTGCCTTCACAAATACTTCCTGCAAAGTTTCTTCTGTTACATTTTAGGAGAGGTTGTTTAAAACCAGTTTTCAATGTACTAATCCAAGAGGTACGCTTTTCACATCTGTAGTCCTGATTTTGATCTTTTTCTCCAGTTTAGTAGAGGGAAATAGACTTCCCTTTGGCTTCTGTTCCCTGCTTTCCTTCCAAGGTTTTCTCTGCATCAGCTTCTGTCTTAAATTCAATGTAGGACATCCCTTTGCTCTTTCCATTGTCACTGACTAATCTGATCTCCATAGAGTCTTCAAACACTTCTTTAAATTCATCCTGAATGACTCCAAGACAGAATTTTGAATAAAAGTGTTATGAAATCTCAATCTTATTTTTTCCCTTTGGCTTTTCTGGTTTAATTTTATTGCCAAACGCTTTAGAACTAGTGAGTTCCAAGGCTTTTTCCAGGTCAGAAGTTTCAAAATTCACACAGCTAAGCTCCTAAGATCCATTAATACTGACATCCATTTTCTATTTCTTGGCTTTGGAAGCTGGTTGCTGTTTGGACATTTCCTTCTTCCATTTTCCAGGTGCTTCTTTGGTAGGCTCTTCCTCATCATTGTCACTGTCTTCCCCCTCATTCTCCTCTTCTTCACCATCTTCCTCATTGTTCTCATCATCTTCATCATCGTCCCTGTCCTCTTCATCCTCCTTGTCCTCAACCATGCTTTTGGCCTTCACAGGAAGAGATTTTGCATGAACTTTCTTTCCTATCAAAATTATAGTAAATTCATTGCATCTTCTTTAGAGTTATTTTCCTCTTCATCACCTTTGTCCTCCTTGTTGTCTTTGTCATTTTTGTTTTCCTCATCATGGCATTCTTAGTATTCTTTTCCTCCTTAGCTGGTGTGGTGGTTCCCTTCTAGCTAGTGGTTGCCTCAACTGCTTTTCCCAGTGTGACTTCTTTCTTGCCACATATTGCTGCTGCTTTGCCCAGTGCGACTATCTTCTTGACTGACAATATCTGCTGCCATTTTGCCTGGGATGACAGGTGCTTTCTTGACAGGTGTGGAAACTTCAACCTTGTTGCTTTTGTCGGAGTTGTGTCTTATTGCCTTTTCCCCCCTGAGGTATAATAAGCTCATTTTCGCTGCTATCTTTATCATCTCACATGTCCTCATCTTCACTATCTTCTTCTATCTTCTTTGGGGTATAAGCCATTTTCTTGAGTGTGTCTTAATTTTAACCAGTCATCATAAGCTTCACCATTATGGTCGCTTGTGACTGTGCAGTGTGTCACAGTGGGTCCCAGAAGAAGCCACACAATGTTGATGGTGACTGGAGGCTACTGAAGATACAGAAGCACACATATCAGGCTGCTAGCTAGAGTTCAAGACTGAGGCAAAAGAATAGGAATGTTTTTAAAAACAGCTTTAATAGAAATGGTTCATTTCTCATGACAGAAGGTGAAATATATATTTCTGCTTATTGAATTATACTTCTGTATATTTGTAGTAAAATTTTTAGCATTTTCACCACGATGTTTGTAGGTTATGCTTTTTCTCCAATATTTGTGGCCACTGTCTGTTTTGCCAACATCATAGTATTTATTTATTTATTTATTTATTCACTTATAGCATTTTAAAGAGTTTCACCAATGAACTGGTTGGTTTTCCCCTCACGATTTTATATGTATGGTTACTATGCTTTAGGTTTTCAGTGCTAATATATATAGAACTCTTCTGGGTATCCCCATTTCCTTTCTACTTCTTTGAACATGTTCAGGAGGAATTTTATGTAAACTTATCAGGGTGGCATATCTTAAATGCTCCTTGCTAGAATTCAATTTCAGCATTTTATACTTGACAATTTTTTTGAGCTAATTCTGATTTTCTTCATGTTTTGATAGTAATTGTAATATAATTATAATTTAATTAAATAGACACTTTAGAGGTAAATTTTATTATTTATTAATTTATTTATTCGGGACAGAGTCTCGTTCTGCTGCCCTGGCTGGAGTGCAGTGGCACCATCATAGCTCACTGTGGCCTTGATCTCCTGGGCTCAAGTGATTCTCCCACCTCAGCCTCCTGAGTGGCTGGGACTACAGGTGTGTGCCACCACACCTGGCTAAATTTTTAAAAAATTTTTTTGTAGAGACGAGATGTTGCTATGCTTCTCCAACTCCTGCCTTGGCTCCTGCCTCCAACTCCTATTGCTCAAGCGATACTCCTGTCTTGGCTTCCCAAAGTGCTGGGATTACAGGCATGGTCACTGTGTCTGCCCAGTAAATTTTATTGCGAATTCTAATTCTTCAAGATGCTTTAGACTGTAAATTAATTTTTAATTAAACTTTAATCCAAGACAAATGAATTGAACTTAAATTTAAAATTGAATTAAAATGTAGCATTTAAATTCAATTTATTCATTTTAAAGTTTAATTTATAATTCCAAGAAATAACATATCAACCTGAAGAATTTGAAAAAGAAAATCCAAAGTGATTATGGTTTGAAAAAATAGAAAATAAGATTTAGAAAAATTTAAAAAGTCAGGTGCTTTTCAGGTATAAACAAAATTTTAGATGGGAAAAGTAGGGTTTGGTACAAGAATATTTCAATTTATACTTATGCTGGTCCCTGATTTTGAAGTTTTCCCTCACTTACTAAGGTATATGCACATTATCTTAGGTAATATTCAAACACATTTATTCTAGCTTTAATAAACAAAATGAAACGTTCTTGTTGAAGCTGTTTGCAGGCATAATAATCAGTAAATTTGGCAAATATAGTGAATGGATCGTTTGGTAAATTCCTTATGTGGTAAACTGGATTTGAAGAGTTGACCTGCATTTAGAGAGCTGTGGTCCTGCATCACAAAGCAAGGCAGAGAGACTCCTCAACACCATGGCTATGCCTGGCTAATCTAAACTGCATGCTTATGCATGGAAGAGAGGTGGCTCCTTGTTGGCAAGGTGTCTTTTCAGCCCCACTTGGATTCTGGTCCCGTACTCACAGGTCCTATTATAGGTTTCGAGCTTTCATGCCACACTGAGAGTAACTAATAGTAATTTTAGCTATCATTTGTTATGTCTTTACTACTTGTCAGGCACCATACTCAGTGCTTTATAAACCCTGTCTTTTATAATACCTACAGCCTCCCCCACCTCAATTATTATCCTCATTTTTCCAAATCAAGCATCTAAGGCTGAGTGTGGCTAAGTAATTTGCCCAAGGTCACACAGCTAATGAGTGGTAGACCAGGAATTTAAAATCATATTAGTTTCCCTCTTAAATAGTATACTATGTTTTCATCTGGGTGATCTTGACACCTTTGAAGATTTACTTTCCTAGGACACTAGAATGTCTTTAGAAATCAAGCCTTAAACATACTGGTAATTAGTGGATAGGCAGACATTTTCTTTAGGCTCAGAGGATTTCACAGACATAGACATAGTCTACTGTGCAAATCTTTGATTAATGACCAAGTGAATACTTATGGGGTATGCAGAAATTCAGTTGAAAGGAGGATGGAGCTACAGTTCCACACTGTGGTGTTTATGGTGGTCTCTAGGGATCTCCCTCCTCCTTTTTTTTCCCTAGAGGTTATCAAGAGTTGGTAGGGTAGTGGGCCAGGTCAAGATGAAACAAGCTATTTCAGTAGAAATCCCTAAATTGTGCTAAGGAGTCATTTGAAAGAAAAAAGTAATTGTTCAAATCAACCTTTGTTTCTTATTTGCTCATAGTAGAAGTCTCACCAGTACTTTATCAGCTCTGTGACTTACTTGACACTCTCAGTATCCTGACCTGGTTAGAAAGGAAACCCCAGTTATGCCCAGAAAAATTAGTTAGGGTACTGCCAAAAATTTCAAGAAACATGGTCAGAGACAACTACTATGTACCATTCATATCTTATTGAGTTAAAATATGATTTGATAAGCAGGTGCAAGATTGGGGATCATTCTGGTTCAAAAATTTTAGTTGAATTAAATTCACTGGAACGTGACCATCTTCTTAAGAGCAGAAGCAGTATGCTGTCTGTCTTTGTTTACAGAGCTTCTGGAATGGTTCCTTTCACATGATGGGGCAGAATATTTATTGAGAAGTATCTACATACTCAATACACTGTGTTCTTGGCAACAAACATCAAATTAGAAAAATACAATGAAAAATTGAACAGACATTAGCACTTATTATGTGCTCAGGATGTGTGTAGTACACCAGAAAGAGCTTAATGGCCCTGGGTTCAAATCCAAAGCCTGTCACTTAATGTCTGTGGGACTTGGGTAAGCCATTTAACCTCTGAGCCACAATTTCTTCATCTATATGTGGGGAAACACATACCCACTTTGCAGAGTTGTTTAAAGGATTCATTTATTCATTTTACCCTTTGATTATTAAGCCTTACTGTGTGATGTGATGGGCAGTGTGCCAACCTTTACAGCCCAAGAAACTGGTGCTCAAATAATCTCTTAGTGATATCAGAATGTCCAATTAGGGGTACTTCCTGGAAAGATTGGAAAGAGGTGATCTAGGCAGGAAACAAAACCTCTTAAAGATCACTTGTTCTAATACTTCATTTTACACATAAGTAAAATGGGACTCACTAAGAATGTGTGTCCATATGTAATTGTTGGCGTAAAACCAGTCTCCTAGTCCAGCTTCTTTTTACCACACCAGAACAGACCAGAACAATATTCATAGGCCACTTAATGTCTTAAACTCCAGAACCATATTGAGTTAAAGGGGCAAAGGAGATACAATTCTAGTCAGGAAGCTGGGCAAGATGTGTTAAATGAGGCTGTTTGAAAGGAATGTTGAGAGGGAGTGAATGGAGTGTTCAGGGGTAGCTGGCAGATGTGCTTCATCTAGTTGGGCCTTAGGTCCCAAAACAGCCATGCCAGTGAACGCGCAGCATTAGGACAGGTGGAGATTTTTGTGCATCAAGGACCTCTACTCTCTGGCTCTTGAGGACTTTCCTCTTCCTGTTAACAGTTCTGAGAATTGCAAGAACAAATGTTAGAGCTATAATACTGTTCATGATACCTACCGCAATGAGATAGACAAGGACTGGAGAAATAACATTACTTCTATTTTTGAGGAAGAACTATTTCCATGAGGTAATTGTTCACATAAACATTTTGTCATTGGCAAAACCAAGGGACATCCCTTGTAATAACAAGGGATCATAAACTGGAACTAGCCCTATTATCTTACTCTTAACTCTAGTATACACCATTAGAAATCATCATGAGCAATATTCTAGTAAAGTATTGCTTATGATCAGTGAAGTTAGCAGTCATGTTTGTCATAGAATTTGATGCATACTAGAATGGATTTACTTGTAAGAGAAGGGGAGGAAGGGGGAGGTGGAGACAGACAGAGAGAGAGAGAAGAAAATAAATGTTGAGCATACAAATGAATTTCAACATTCACGTTCCAAAAACATCACATAGTCCGCGGAGATAAAAATACACAAAGAATTATGTAACATAAGTTTGACACATATTAAATTCCTGAAATTCAACTGTGTGACATATAAAAAGGGCAGCTTCACATGGTTCAACACAGTGCAATAGTAAAATAAGCAGACGTTGTTCAATCTGAGGAAGCTGATTGTCCCCCACTCCCCCAAAAATAAAAGAAACAAGCAGATGTTACACAAAGTTCATAAGTAGGTTGGGCGTGGTGGCTCATGCCTGTAATCCCAGCACTTTGGGATCCCGCCTTCCCTGACCTGCAGATCACCTGAGGTCAGGAGTTTGAGACCAGCCTGATCAACACGGTAAAACCCCATCTCTACTAAAAATACAAAAATTAGTCAGGTATGGTGGCGGGCGCCTGTAATCCCAGCTACTCGGGAGGCTGAGGCAGGATAATCACTTGAAGCCAGGAAGTGGAGTTGCAGTAAGCCGAGATTGTGCCACTGCACTCTAGCCTGGGCCACAGAGACACTCTCTCTCAAAAAAACAAAATGAAACAAACAAACAAACAACAACAACAAAACAAAAAACAAAAAACAAAAAAACCAAAGTGCATAAGTAAAGCAGGGTCTAGGTTTGGGTGGTGGAGAGTAGGGTGAGGGTGGAGGGGTGGGCATTAAAATTCACAAACTGTATAGACCTGGAAGAAGAGTAGAAATTGGATCTTTAGTTATTGTTGGCACTAATGTTTTAAATGTTTATGAATGCAGTTGATAATTTGGAAATCACACTAGAGAAGACTCGATTCCTATGGTAAATTCCTTTGAAAAATTAAAGAATATTGTGCTATGTAAATATTTTCCTCTAGTTATTTCTGTTGTAAATTCATACTGGTTCTCTTAAAGGGTGGCACCAGATTAACAGTGTGTGTGCTCAGAACTTGTGTTGTCATCAGACTGAATAATTCTGAATGTTAATAATTAGCATGTAGAGCTTCAGGCATACTGTTTATTCTATTAACCCTCACTCCTCTTTTTGTGTAGTGGAGTTCCTTGTGGAGTTTTCCACCCATGCACTCCTAACAGCATGGTTGCTATCCAGACTTACTGCAAGCTGTCATTCTGATACTTCTCTACTTGCCTTTTACTCCCTACACTCTCAAGCTTCTTTTTTCTCCCCATTTGGGCAGTAATACATCTTTAAGTAGTTTCCCTGAATGAGTCTTGGTATGTGAACTTCCTGAGATTGTGCATTTCTGAAAAGGTCTTCAAACTGTCCTCACCTTTGATTAATATATTAAAATGACTATATTATATACAAGTGGGTAGTGACCACTGTTGTGATGAACCCTATTCCAATCTTTGAACGGTTATTCATTTCTCTTTGAGCTGTTCAGATGTTTTAGTCTGCTTCCTGCATTATAGGGTTGCAGTCACTCTACCTAAGATAACTGTTTTCTGCTCTACAGGGGCATGTTCTCTCTGCTAATGAATACTTCTCCTGACAGGGCTCAGTTTCTAGAGCATAAAGAGGAGGTCAAAGTTCTCATGGAACTATGAAGGGCACAGTTGTTGGTTCCAGCTCATCTTTTTTTTTTTTTAATTTATTAAAAACTTTTTTTAAGTTCTTTTTTTTATTATACTTAAAGTTCTAGGGTACATGTGCACAATGTGCAGGTTTGTTACATATGTATACATGCGCCATGTTGGTGTGCTGCACCCATTAACTCATCATTTACATTAGGTATATCTCCTAATGCTATCCCTCCCCCCTCCCCCCACCCTATGACAGGTTCCAGCTCATCTTTTAGTGCCAATCCCTGGGTGTGATGTAACAACCAGGCCAGCTCCAAAGTAAACTCTAATAAATAAAAGATAAATTTGAGAAAGCCAACACCATTTAAACAACAAGACAATAAGATTATTCCATAAATTTGACAGGGAAATGGACTATCTGGAAAAATGACATTTACATTGTTATACTACTATGGAGTAGAATGTAGAGCATCCAGGAATAGACTCACACACATAGTGTTACTTGACTTATGATAAAGTGATAGAGTAGTATAGTTGGAAAATAAAACTGCTAGTTCAACAGGATATCCATTTTTAAAAAATGAATTATTCATCCCCATCTTAGAAAATACTCCAGGGTAATGATTTGGGCTAAAACAAATACTCCAGGCAACTGATTGTCATCAAAGAACTAATGATAGAGGTGAGATGCACCTACCCAGGGAACAAGAGTGGGAAGGAGAGATTCTCCTGATGAGATTCATCATTCACGCTAGTGTACTGGTTTAAGAAATGTTAATAGCAATGGAGCAGAATGTTAGACTGCAGACTACCAATTAATTTGAAAGGTTTTCCATATTTTTATAAAGATAAAAATAAGAGGTAATTTCTCTGTTGACTCAGTAAACTTTTAGAAGAATCTGTTGCTGTCAATGTTCTAATCCCTTGATTCTTTTTTGCCTTTTGCCATTTGTGATTGTTAATTTTATATGTCATCTTGACTGGGTTAAGGGATATCCAGAAAGCTAATAGAACATTATTTCTGCATATATTCATAAGGGTGTTTCCAGAAGAGATTAGCATTTGAATCAGTAGACTGAGTAAAGAAGATCATCCCTCACCAGTGTAGGTGGGCATTATGCAATCCTTTGGGGGCCCGCATAGAATAAAAAGATGGGAAAAAGGCAAATCTGCTCTCTTTTCAGGAGCTGGTATAAGCCATCTCTGCTGCCCTGGGACATGAGAGCTCCTGGTTTTTGGGCCTTCAGACTCCAGGATTTACTCTGGTTTTCAGGCCTTTAACCTTGGACTGAGTTACAACACCAGCTTTCTTGGTTCTCTGGCTTGCTGACTGCACATCATGGAACTTCTCAGCCTCCATAATTGCATGGGCCAATTCCCATAATAAATTTCCTCTTATCTATTGGTTCTGTTTATCTGGAGAACCCTATTACACCTTCCATAGTTCACTAGACTGTTAACCTATAATTTCTGAGACTATAAAAAAAGGTTTTTGAAGTGGCCTAGAGTTTGTCTTTTAAATAGTTAAGAACTATTCAATATATTTGTTAAAGAACAGATACAGAAATCAGAAGTGAGGGGTATCTCTCTTACAGCAAAATGTTTGTTCAAAATACCTCTACCTCATTTCATTTGAAAACATTTCTTCATTCGAAAACATTATAATATGCAAATTGTTATTCTTGTTGTATCTTCTTATCAGCCACAAGAATCTCAAGAATTTTATATTTGTTTTTATTTATTTATTTATTTTTGAGATGGAGTTTCGCTCTTGTTGCTCAGGCTGGAGTGCAATGGTGCGATCTTGGCTCATTGCAACCTCCTCCTCCCAGGTTAAAGTGATTCTTGTGCCTCAGCCTCCCAAGTAGCTGTGATTACAGGCGTGTGCCACCATGCTTGGCTAATTTTTGTATTTTTAGTAGAGATGGGGTTTCACCATGTAAGTCAGGCTGGTCTCGAACTCCTGACCTCAGGTGATCCACCTGTCTTGGCCTCCCAAAGTGCTGGGATTACAGGCATGAGCCACTGTGCCCAGCCAAGAATTTTATTTTTCATAATAAACCCCGACATGATGAATTGTAAAATTCACATTCATTTGAAATGAAAATCAAAATGAAAAGAAATTGAGACAATATATTCCAAATGATTACATTCATAATAATATTTTCAATGAATAAGGACTCATAAAATATATTAGAAAAAGTCTTTCTTGGGTTAAATCTGCTTGGTGTTCTGTAACCTTGTACTTGAATATTAATATATTTTTCTAGATTTAGGAAGTTCTCGATTATCCCTTTGAATAAACTATCTACCGCTACCTCTCTACTTCCTTTTTAAGGCCAATACCTCTTAGATTTGCCCTTTTGAGGCTATTTTGTAGACCTTGTAGGCATGCTTCATTCATTTTTATTCTTTTTCTTTTGTCTCCTCTGACTCTGTATTTTCAAATAGGCTGTCTTCAAGCTCAATAATTCTTTTTTCTGCTTTATCAATTTTGCTAGTAACAGACTCTGATGCATTCTTTAGTATGTCAATTGATTTATTAATCTCCAGAATTTCTGCTTGATTCTTTTAAATTATTTTAATCACTTTGTTAAATTTATCTGATAGGATTCTGAATTCCTTCTCTGTGTTGTCTTGGGTGTCATTGATCTTCCTTAAAATAGTTATTTTGAATTCTCTGTCTGAAAAGTCATATATCTCTGTCTCTCTGGGACTGGTACTGATGTCTTACTTAGTTCATTTGGTGAGGTCGTGTTTTCTTGTATTGTTTCGATGCTTGTGTATGTTTTTTCATGTCTGGGCGTTGAAGAGTTAGGCACAGCACGAGGACTTGCACAGAAATTGCAGGCTTTGTGACCTAGACTGCATTTCAAGTTTATTTAGAATCCCAGATAACTTTAGCCTGTGGTGGTGAAGCTTGCTGGAACTCAGGTTCCAGCCATTTGATGGGGAATTTTCCTCCGGTTAGGGCTGGTCTAAATGCTCCCTCTGTGGGTGCCGGCTGACTCCCGCCCCATGTTGCTTTCTGCTGTGACAGGGGATCACTGAGTTTCAAGGCAAAGTCCCACTATAACTACACTCTCCCTCCCCCAAGTGCACAGATTCTCTCTCCATGCCACACAACCACCCCTGTGGAATGAAGGAGGGGTGGTGTAGGTGATTCAAGACTGTGTTTCCTACCCCCTTTATTGCTTTTTTTTTTTTTGAGACAGAGTCTTGCTGTGTTGCCCAGGCTGGAGTGCAATGGCACGATCTTGGCTCACTGCAACCTCCACCTCTGGGTCCTCCCGAGTAGCTGGGATTACAAGCACGCGCCATCACGTTCAGCTAATTTTTGTCTTCTTAGTAGAGACGGGGTTTCACCATGTTGGCCAGACTGGTCTTGAACTCTTGACCTCATGATCTGCCCGCCTCGGCCTTCAACATTGTTTCTTTTTTAATAGGATGTTAAAACCAGGTACTATGATTGTTCATTTGATTTTTGGTTCTTATGGAAGTACTTTTTTTGTGTGGATAGTTGTTCAGTTTGGTCTCCTGCATGGGGACTGATCACTGGAGGCTTGTATTCAGCCATCCTGCTCTGCCTCCTTTCATTTTTGTTGTTTTAAGTGACCCAGTTTGTAGTAATTTCTTTCCACATTTCTAGGAAACTAATACAGGCACCGTAATAAATATTTACTTGTGTACATTATTTCATTGTTTCCTCATAGAACCCTATGAATTACTCATTATTTTACAAATGAAGAAAGTGAAGCCAAGAGTATGAGGGATCTGCCAAAGTCACCCAGCTCATAACCTGGAAAGCCAGGATTTAAGCCCAGCTGGTTTCTCCCTCCAAAGCCTGCTTGAACCACATGGTGCCTAATGTAAAACAGGGGGTTGAACCATCTCCCAGTGTTTATTGGTGTTCTGAGAAGGTCCTTGTGACTTATCTGGGTATCTGAGTCTCCAGTCTTGTTTGCAAATCTCTGTTGTAGTGTGTGTAGGAATTAAAAGAACATAACCACCTCATAGGTTCTTATTTGCTTAAGATCGTACACCTTGTATAACTTTTCAAACCTATTATCTCATTCTTATGGGCTATTCAATTACAGAAAGCTAATTTTGTCAAAGCTGTTTGGTGAAACGCCTCTTTTCTCAGCTCACCTGGCTTGCGCTAATGAGAATAGTGCCATCTGTTGGCCACTTCCTTGAACTATATCTAAAAGCCCTTGGGAGGGTGTTGCTAAGGCTTTCAGCAAGAGACACAGTCATCACTGCATCACAGGCTTTGATAAGGGAAAAAGAAAGGCTACAAGGCCATGGGGCACAGGAAAGGAGTGAAGGAAGCAGGTGTCAGTGTGAGGCCGCAGAGCCTCAACTTTAAACATTTTGCTGTGATTCCCAGGGTAATATGATCTGACATTTTATTAAATTTGACATTAAACCTGCAGTCATTCCCAGGTGGCATGTATGTGGAGAGTTGCTGTCACCAGGAAAAGTCACAGAAAGTGAGAAACTAGGCAATGGAAGAGAGACGGGTCTGTCAGTTTCAAATGTTAAAAGGCACTGTGAACGTTGCTTCCTCTTCATGAACCGCTGTGCCCATGGGGCAGAAAGGGAGGCAGGTGCAGAGGGGCACAGTAACATGCTCATGTTCCCAGGGCTGGTGAGCCAGAAGCTGAACCTCCAAGCCAACCTTTGAGCTCCCAGGCTGACCTCTTCCCTCTGCACTTCCATGGGCAAAAGCCTGTAGAAAAGGGAAGTGGAAAGAGGAGTATGGGAAATACAACTGAGGGTCTGGGGCAAGGCTTTGCATCACATCTGAGCAAAAACTGCTTTAACCAGTGCTCAGATTTGCCATGGTGTTCACTTGGAAAGGCCTTTAGAAAAGACATTCCAGGAAAACTGCACTGAGAGCGCTTTTGTAGTATTAATGGAATCACCTTCCAGCTGTGTCTGGTGTGTCCAGTGGGATTCATGTTGCATGTGCCCTGATATTTCTTTTTAACATGCATGATTTGAAAAATGAAATCCTTGGGTGCCAGTCTCTGGGAACTGGGAAGGCCATCTTGCTGCTCTGCTGGTCTGGGTGGCCCAGTTTTTCTGATTCCACCTTTTCCCTAAAGGTAGCGACGTCACCCATACCCTAGATTACTTCCTTGGTAGTGGTGAGGAGCATCACATTCCTGTTAGTTGAGCCCTCACTCACACCCTGGCTCCTACTCTGCACTTACATGTTCCTGTGAGCTCCTCCTCTAACTGCCCACAGGGAATATGTGCCTGGTGCCCACCACAGGATCAGACATGGAGAGGGGCTAGAGAATAAGTCATGAGTCCATTTTCAAGGTGTCCTGAAGGGCTTTCCTGGAGCATGAAGGCCTTCTGATTTTGCCAGGTGGTGGGGGATTGTGGCATGAATTAGTATATGTGGGGGGAAAGAAGGGAGGTTTGGTTAATGAGTGAACCCCTGATATCTGTAGGAAGTGGTGTTTTGAGTGGAAAAGCAGCCATGGTTGTTACAGATGGATTCTGGCGGCCAGGAAGAGGAAGTGCTGTCATGGCCGCCACAGAGGGAGCCTTCCAAGAAATGGCTAGTGGCAGGCATGAGTCAATCTGGACTCAGAAGGCCCTGGGGACTGCTCTGCCAAACTGGGAGAGGGCCCAAGTTTCAGCATGGTTCCAGGTGGCCAAGTTGGAACAGATGGCAACAGCGACTGGTGTGTTTGCCACAGTCAGCATGGCAGTGGGAGGAGAGCCAATAGGGTACAGCCTGCAGCAAGACTGTCTCCCAGTCTCAGGGCTCAGAGAGCAAACTCTTGGAAGTTACAGCCTGTTGGTCCTTCTGAATCTCTGAGGGTCTGCTCACCCCACTTGTGAGACTCTGATATGGTTTGGCTGTGTCCTCATCCAAATCTCATCTTGAATTGTAGTTCCCATAATCCACACATGTTGTGGAAGGGACCCAGTGGGAGGTAATTGAATCATGGGGGTAGCTATCTCCATGCTGTTCTCATGACAGTAAGTTCTCATGAGACATGATGGTTTTATAGGGTGCTTTTCCCCCTTTGTGCTGCACTTCTTTCTCCTGCCACCATGTGAAGAAGGATGTGTGTGCTTCCCCTTCTACTATGATTGTAAGTTTCCTGAGGCCTCCCCAGCCATGAGGAACTGTGAGTCAATTAAACCTCTTTTGTTTATAAATTACCCAGACTCGGGTATTTCTTCATAGCAGTGTGAGAAAGGACTAATACAGTAAATTGGTACCAGGAGTAGTGAGGTGTTGCTATAAAGATACCTGAAAATGTGGAAGTGACTTTGGAACTGGGTAACAGGAAGAGGTTGGAACAGTTTGGAGGGCTCAGAAGAAGACATGAGAATGTGGGAAAGTTTGGAACTTCCCAGAGGCTTGTTGAATGGCTTTGACCAAAATGCTGATAGTGATAGGGACAATGAAATCCAGGCTGAGGTGGTCTTAGATGGAGATGAGGAACTTGTTGGGAACTGTAGTAAAGGTCACTCTTGCTATGACAAGAGATTGGCAGCATTGTGCCCCAGCCCTAGAGATCTGTGGAACTTTGAACTTCAGAGAGATGATTTAGGGTATTTGGTGGAAGAAATTTCTAGGTGGCAAAATGTTCAAGAGGAAGCAGAGCATAAAAATTTAGAAAATTTGCAGCCTGATGATGTGACAGAAAGGAAAACCCCATTTTCTGGGGAGAAATTCAAGCCTGCTGAAGAAATTTGCATAAGTAGCGAGGAGCTGAATGTTAATCACCAAGACAATGGGAAAAATGTCTCCGGGGCATGTGAGAGACCTTCATGGCAGCCCCTCCCATCATAGGCCTGGAGGCCTAGGAGGGATCAATGGTTTCCTGGGCCAGGCCCAGGGCCACCCTGCTCTGTGCAGCCTCAGGACATGGTGTCCTGTGTCCCAGGTGCTTCAGCTCCAGCTGTGGCTAAAAGAGGCCAAGGTACAGCTCAGGCCATTGGTTCAGAGGGTGCAAGCTCTAAGCCTTGGTGACTTCCATGTGGTGTTGAGACTGTGGGTGCACGGAAGTCATGAACTGAGGTTTGGGAACCTCTGCCTTGATTTCAGAGGATATATGGAAATGCCTGGATGTCCATTCAGAAGTTTCCTGCAGGGGCAGAGCCCTCATGGAGAACCTCTGCTAGGGCAGTACAGAAGGGAAATGTGGAGTTGGAGCCCCCACACAGAGTCACCACTGGGGCACTGCCTAGTGGACCTGTGAGAAGCGGGCCACCATTCTCCAGACTGCAGACCCCAGAATGGCAGATCCACCAACAGCTTGCACCGTGTGCCTGGAAAAGCCACAGATGCTCAATGCCAGCCTGTGAAAGCAGCTGGGAGGGGGGCTGTACCCTGCAAAGCCACAAGGGCAGAGCTGCCCAAGGCCGTGGACATCAGCATGACCTGGATATGAGACATGGAGTCAAAGGAGATAATTTTGGAACTTTAAGGCATAATGACTGGCCTATTGGATTTCGGACTTGCATGGGGCCTGTAGCCCCTTTGTTTTGGCCGATTTCTCCCATTTAGAATGTATGTATTTACCCAATGCCTGTACCCACATCATATCTAGGAAGTAACTAACTTGCTTTCAATTTTACAGGCTCTTATGTAGAAGGGAACTGCCTTGTCTCAGACTTTGGATTTGGACTTTTGGGTTAATGCTGGAATGAGCTAAGCCTTTAGGGGACTGTTGGAGAGGCATAGTTGTGTTTTGACATGTGAGGACATGAGATTTGGGAGGGGCCAGGGGTGGAATGATATGGTTTGGCTGTGTCCCCACCCAAATCTCATCTTGGATTATAGTTCCCACAATCCCCACATGTGGTGGAGGGGACCCGGTGGGAGGTAATTGAATCATGGGCTTGGTTACCCCATGTTGTTCTCATGATAATGAGTGAGTTCTCATGAAATCTGATGGTTTTATAAGGGGTTTTTCCCCCTTTGCTCGGCACTTCTCTCTCTTGCCACCTTGTGAAGAAGGATGTGTTTGCTTCCCCTTCCACAATGATTGTAAGCTTCTTGAGGCCTCCCCAGCCATGCAGAACTGTGAGTCAAGTAAACCCTTTTTCTTTATAATTACCCAGTCTTGGTTATTTCTTCATAGCAGTGTAGGAATAGACTAATACAGACTCAATGTCTGCTCTTCATCAATGTCATATTTAAATATTGTGGCAAGTGACTGAGCCGCCTCGGCTGGTTGCTGTTGCCTGGGGTCCTGCTTGTCACTTGATCCTCTTCCTGGGAGGAACTGGGAATGTGAGATGATGTGGGGTTGTGTCCAGAGGGTCAGGCATTCATGTGTTTGTGGCATCCATTAACTACAAGGCCAAGACATCCATGTCCAAGGAGAAGGCCCCAGGGTTAGAGCCAGGAGCCCAGACTAAAGGCAGTGTGGGCGAGCCTGCCAGCATGGGAGGGGAATGTTCTGCTTTTTCTCCAAAACAGGAGGCCAGGAGGAAGAGTCAAGGAGTCTGTGCTGTTCTCCACTGGTCAGGCAGTTGAGGAATATGGCCAGATCAGTCCTCAATGATCCCATCGTTCACTAGAGATTCCCACTCTCTGAGCCACCCTAATGGGGAAGGAGTTGAGGGCTAGGATTGCTTGGGAACTAATGGGATGGGGCTACTTTTGTAAGCTTTTTATACCACAGGGGCAGGACAAGGGCTGCAGGGGATTGAATGAAAGGCCAGGAGAGAAGTTCATCTATGGAAAAGGCCCAGTGGTGAGATAGTAAAATGTGTCAGCAAATTTTGTTTTCATTATTGAGTTGAAATCCACATAACATAAAATCAACCATTTTGAAATGTATAATTCAGTGGCATTTAGTACATTCACAATGTTGTGTAACCATCACCACTGTTAGTTCCAAAACATTTTCATCTCCCTAAAAGGAGACCCTGTACTCATTAAGCAGTCACTCTCCATCCTTCCCTCCCCTAGACCATGGCAACCACTAATCTGCTTTCTGTCTGTATGAATTTACATATTCTAGACATTTCATATAAATGGAATCATAAAATTTGTAATCTTTCGTGTCTGATTTCTTTCACTTAGCATAATATTTTCAAAGTTCATCCACCTTGTAATATGTATCAAATCCTTCATTGTGGGATTATTTTGGGGCTGAATAATATTCCAGTGTATAAATATACCAAGTTTTGTTTATTCATTCATCAGTTGATAGACTGATAGACATTTGGGTTGTTTCCACCTTCTAGCTATTGTAAATAGTGCTGCTATGAAAATTCATGTTTGAGTACCAGCTTTCAGTCATTTGAGTATGTACCTAGGAGTGGAAATGCTGGGCTATAGGATAATTCTAGGTTTAACTATTTGAGGAACCACCTGTTTTCCACAGTGGCTGCTGTACCAGTTTACATGCCCATTAGTAATGAACAAGGGTTCCAATTTCTCCACATCCTCACCAACACGTGTTATTTTAATTTTTTTAAAAAAAGTTGAGCTGTGCGTGGTGACTCACACCTGTAATTCCAGCACTTTAGGAGGCTGAGGAGGGTTGATCACTTGAGGCCAGGAGTTCAAGACCAGCCTGGCCAACATGGTGAAATCCCGCCTCTACAAAAAACACAAAAACTAGCCAGGTGTGGTTGTGCACGTCTGTAATCCCAGCTACTTGGGAGGCTGAGGCATGAGAATCACTTGAACCCAGGAGGCAGAGGTTGCAGTGAGCTGAGATTGTGTCATTGCTCTCCAGCCTGGGCATTGAAGACTCTGTCTCTAAATAAATAAATAAATAAATAAATATCCTAATGTGTGAAGTGGGTGAGGTGAGCTCATTGTGGTTTTGATTTGCATTTCCCTAATGACTAATGACATTGAGCATCTTTATGTGCTTGGTGGCCATTTGTATCACTTCTTTGGAGAAATGTGTATTGAAACTCTTTGCCCATATTTTGATTGGGTTGTCTGTCTTTTTTTGTTGAGTAGCTAGAGTTCTTTTTATATTTCTGGATACAAGTCTCTTATCAGATATATATTTTAAAATATTTGCTCCCACTCTGCAGGTTGTGTTTTCACTGTCCTGATAGTGACTTCTTATGCACAAAAGTTTTTAATTTTGATGAGGTCCAACTTATCTGTTACTGGAATGTTTATAAAAACAAAACCACAGAAAAAAACCAAACAACCAAGAAACCAAACTCCCCAAATAAACAATAAAGGGAAACAACCAAGAGGCATGAGAAATGCATGATACCTTCACACAAGAGACTACTAGGTGGCTTTGGATATAGAAAAATACCTAATAACATGGAAAGATAAAGATGAAGTGGGAGGAGAAGTTTTCAAAGTAGTATGTTCTTTCTCCTTCCCTCCACCAACACAAAGTAGAAATTTGTCCAAACGCAGCAGTTTCCCTTGTGGGTGGGTGAACAGGAGTAGGATGAGGTTTTGCATGCTCTTTATATTTCCCACTTCTTAATGTATTTGCTCTGGTGCCCCCGGAACTGCCTGCTTAGCTGCTCTCTTGCCCTCTCCTGACTCAATCTCTTAGGTCCCAATCAATCTCTGGAGGGAGGATGGAGAAAAGACAGGTGAACCCATCTCAGGGTGGCCCCAGCTGCGCCCACTGGGGAGCTCCATTTGGAGAGGGCTCCCAGGTCTGTCCCCCATCCAAGCCCTGGATTTTTCTTTTCTTTTTCTTTTTTTTTTTTTTTTCAGACGGAGTCTGACTGTGTTGCCCAGATCTTGGCTCACTGCAACCTCTGCCTCCCAGGTTCAAGCGATTCTCCTGCCTCAGCCAACCAAGTAGCTGGGACTATAGGCATGCGCCACCACGTCCAGCTAATTTTTGTATTTTTAGTAGAGACGGGGTTTCACCATGTTGGTCAGGCTGGTCTTGAACTCCTGACCTTGTGATCCGCCCGCCTTGGCCTCCCAAAGTGCTGGGATTACAGGCATGAGCCACCGCACCCAGGCACACCTGGATTTCTTATCTGCCTCCTGGACCCCACCCAGAAAGAACAGGGTCATCTTCCACCTTTGCTATTCCATTCCACCATTACTCCAGCCCAATTCCCTGCCTCTCCAGGGGCACTGGGAGCTCAGGAAAAGAGATTCTGCTTGGGGTTCTATTTCAGACTTGGTTCCTGTCCTTGATTTCTCTGTAAAATGGAGATAAAGGTTAGGTGGTTGTGGGATTATGATGAGATTAGGAATGCAAAGCACCTAGAATGGTGCCTGGCACATGGCAGGCTCTCATCGGATGTCCGTTCCCTTCACTTGGTTCCCTTTCCCCACAGTAACAAGGCTTCTCCAGGTGAGAGCTGATGACAAACGTTGAACAGACATTGTATTCGCTGCTGACAAGCATCCCAAAGGAACCTTACTAAAAACTCCAGGTTGTGCAGTTTGCCTGGCACCATACAGTAGTAAGTGGAAGAGCTGGATTCACGGCTCAGGGCTTTGGTCTCCTGGGGTCCCATTTGAGCAGAACCGGCCTTCCTGCCTTCCCTTCCTCTGTTGCAAGGATGGGCCTCTTCAGGAGGCCTTGGAGCCAGGCTCTGGGGGTATCATCCCCCATCTTGGTTTGCCAAGTCACGTGATCCCTGGAGTGGGGATGGGACCATCAGGGACTGAAGAGGACCATCTAGACAAAGGGGAGGGAAGCTCAGGGACTGGGGTCCATTTCTCCTGTGGTGGCAGATGCCATAGGATGTTGGCACTAGTGCTTTTGGAGGGGTTCTTATCAGGGTGCTGTGACCCCTGGGTAGCCCTTGGCAACAGGAGTGCCCCCAGGGCCCCTAAACTCAGACTGCACTCCTGAGTCTGAGCATAGCCCTGTGTCCTCAGGATGCCTCTCACCTAGGCATCTTCCTCTAACACTCCCCTCGGCCTTCCCTCTCCCACCTTTTGCCTGCTTGCCAACCCTTACAGCAGCCATTAGGGAGCTCTCTCCTGTGGGAGCCACTAAGGAGGGGGACTCTGATGGGACAGAGTTTGCCTCCAAGGCTGGGGAAGGGAAGGAGGCTTCTAGGGCCAGGTCCTTTATCTTCTCCAGGGTTCTGCAGTAACCTGGCTGGTAGGGAGGCAGTGGGAGGTGACCTCAGGCAGGGAGAAGGGTCTCAGCGCTACACGAAATGACCTGCGTGGAGTCTGTTTCAGTTCACTTCACCCTAGTCCACCCTCAGGATTCTACTGACTTAGGCACTTTTGATCACCAGACTCTAAAACGGAAGAGGACTTATGTTTTGGGTCATTTGAACAGAGACTGTCAACAGGACAAGCAGCCACCTCTCAGGGCCAGGCCAGGCTGCTGCCTGCTTCTCATGGGGCAGTGGTCTGGGTCAAGTCGGTTCTCAGCACAGCCTCTGAACAGGAAACACGGTCCCTGCCACAGCCTCCCCCAGCCCTACTCCTCAGAGGCTTTTCCCTGCCAGCTCCTGGCCATGGGAGCCGGTGACCTTGCCATGGGAGCCGGTGACCTCACCATGGGGCCTCTCTCCACCTGGGGCCATTGCATCACCCCCACCAGACACGGAAGGCCTCCAGTTGGGATTTTAGTGTATTAAACCAAGGACTTTTTTTTTTTTTTAAACTTAGAGAAAACAAGAAGACGTGACAACACCAGAAACAAGAACATCTCTCTGGCCAGCCTGTGCTGACCAGTACACAGTGAATCACACACAGAAACGTATGTCATTCCGGTCGGTGTCTAGAAGCTCCACCGCCTAGAAAACAGACTGCAAATAAATAAAGTGCATGGAGACCCCATCACGCAGCAAGGGCCCTGTAGGGGAGAGAAGAGGTGGGGAGGGGAGGTAGAGAAGCAGCAGGCGGGGCTACCACTTCAGGCAGCAGGGGTGAAAAGGCAGGGACAGGAGCAAATGCTGAGGGCTTAGCCCTGCTCCTCCCCAGTCAGCCCCTCTAGGCCAATATAGCCACAGCAGAAGCCACGGGGGGTGGGCGGACATGGACATCCGTGACCCTCTTATGGGGTGGGTTCCCTGCAGTCGGGGGTCTCTGAGGGTAGGGACCCCTGCAGCTCCGACACACATTTCTCCCAGTAGGGAAGCAGCTTCCAGAGTCCCAGGATGAGCCCCTTGCATGGGGAGGGCTCAGGCACCCCCCACTGTATCACACATGCAATCAGCAAAGAACTTTCCTCCACCCTTCCTGGCTGGCCCAGGAAGAGGCTGGAGCTAGGGATCCAGTCACCCAGAGGGTGACACCAGGGTTTGAAAGGGCCACATCTGTGCATCAGACACAAGGAGGCCCCTCACTCCTCTTCTCCTCCAGCTCTGTATCACTCTTGTCCCACAGAGGCTGCCCCCAGAGATCTGTTGGGGGGACCAGCAGGCTGACAGGCCCCCAGAGGTGGTCAAGGGTGGACAGGGTTGGGGCGGATGAGAGAGGCCAGCAAGGTCAGGGGTTCTCAGGAGACTTGGGACAAGGAGGCACCCCATCGGGCCCTGGCTGTGGGAGACTGCAGGGGGCACGAGGCAGCCACTGTCCAGCCTCTTCTGGGGTGAGGCAGGCGGACAGCTTCATTCAGGACCTGGGTCCAGTGGCCTGCTGAGGAGGGTACGTGGTAGGTGGTTGGATCACTCTGTCCCTGGAGCTGGCCAGACTGCTGCAGTTTTCAATCCCAGGAACTGAGAATGTGGCCCTCAGGGTACCAGTGCAAGAGATGCGGAAATGGGGATAGCAGGTGAGGGCGAGGGTCCCTTCCTGGCTCCCCTCTGGGCTGCTCTTGAGCATTGTACACCAGTTAGCAGCACAACCGGGGGCCCCCAGGACCAATCCAAGCCGTGAGGATGAGATTCTCCTGTGTGATCCTGGGGATGGCGGGGGGGTCGAGCTTGAGGAGAGAGAATTGGGGTCATGCCATGGGTCTCAGCCCCAGCCCACCCCAGGTTTATCCCTTCACCCTCCTGGTTATGTCGTGTCTCCAGGAGCCATGACACCACCATCAGCCCCACTTGCCCACCAAACTGGGAGGTTTGTGCCACTTCACTGCTGAAAAGCCCTTGGTGAAGCTCCAGGTGGGGTGGGGAGGCTAGGCTGTGGGGGAAAGCTTGGCTCCCCAGGGATCCTGGGGCCCATCTCTCCTGTCTGCCATCTCAGCTGTCTGTCCTAATCTTTCCTGTGATCTTCTGTACTGCTCCAAAGAAAGCGAGATCCCCAGATTCCCTACCCTTGGGCCCCTCTCCCTTGGTGCCCTAGGAGCCCTATGCTTCCCTCTTCACTTTCCCCTCCCTCCTCCCATCATGCCAGGTCTTGGAGAAGACTGGGGAGGGGTGTGGGAGCCTGCAGGCCCAGGGGCACACGCAGTTCCTCCTCATCCTATCTGCATGTCAAGGGCAAATCCCCCCCTCCCCGAAGCCTCGGTTTCCTCTGTCATTAGGAGGGGGAAATACACCTCTCTCACAGTGCTGCTAGCCGATTTCAGTTCCCAGGGAACTCAGACCTTCCCTCCCAAGCCAGGACTCGATCACTGGGCACCCCCACCCCTGTGAGCCTTTGTCCATGCTGTGCCTCTACTAGGAAGGCCCTTCTTCTCCTCTTGTTCAGGCCCTTCACGCTGCCTCTGCCCAAGCAGGTCCAGGGTCAGAGGTGCCCCAGGGTAGGGATGAGACTCTTGGCAAGGCCAGAGAAGGGGCGGGTCACCGCCTACAAACGTCAATGCCTGAAAGAGAAAGAAAGAGATGGGGACCTCAGTTGCCTGGCCACCAGATACGTCCTTGCTTCCCCCAGGAATGGCCTCCTCTGCAAGCCCCTCCTCCATCTGCTCTGCCCACCCCAGGCTGAGAGCTGCTGTGTGCTCAGGGAGGTCTCTTTTTCCCAGATCACTTCAGTACACAGTGGGCTTCTCGAGGCCGTCTGGGGCTGGAGGATGGGACTCTGGCCCTGGGAGGGCCTTGCTAGCTACGGTCCTTAGGGAGCATGGGCTGACATGGCGGAAGAGCAAGACTGTGGGGGGAGGGGACGGTAGGAATGCGTCTCTCCCACTCTTCCCAGTCTCCAAATGCAAAGCTTGCAGGGTGCCCTCAGGTAGGGGCAGGGGAACACGACGGACAGCAGGAGCAGGGAGAGACCAGTCCTCTGGCCCCAAAGACAGGGCAGGAGGCAGTTTTGCCAAGGGCTGTGCAGGAGCTGCAGAGAGACCCAGGGCTGAGGGCTGAGAAGAGAACAGACGTAGGGCTCGGCCTAGAAGAGAACCGTCCTCCCTATGCCCACCGACTGGTGGGGAAGAGAAGGGTGGGGGCATCGTTGCTCCTCTAGGGCCTTCCCGGGGCCGCCCCCAGCCCACTACCTTCCATTCCCCAGGTTTCAGTGGACACCCTGGGGGCCTCTGCGGAAAGGGAGGCCGGCACTGGGGAATGAGCGGGAGGCGGCTGCCCCTCACCCTATCCTGCAATCATGACTGGGGAGGAGGGGAGAGCCTGCGGCTGCCTTTCCTTTCCCCACCTGGGCTCCACAGCTCTTCGGGCTGGTTTGCTCCGGTGCCTTCCATATTTCCCCCCAACTGCCAAGGCGCCCCGACCTCTGCAGGGCAGAGCCACAGCCCCTCCCCCATTCCAACCTGTCGCCTCCTACCTTTCTGCTCGGGGCGGGGAAAGTCAAGTCGCCGCAGCAGAATTCCCTCCTTCTGGTTTCCCCCTCTTTTGCCAATGTGAGGCAACAGGTAGTCCGAGCTCAGGTAGTTTCTGGAGCCCAATTGTAGGGGCCTGTTCAGTGCATTTCTGCGCGATCCGGGGTCCCGGGCTGAGACCGCGGCCAGGGCCAGGGCTGGGCCTTCGTGCCCGGGCGGCGTAGGTCTAGAGTCCAGGGGCCCGGGCCGCCCCACCTCCGCCCCCCGCCGCGATCCAGCTGTCCTTCATGCCCGCGACCCGGCCGGGGGCGGGCGGGGACACTGTCGCCCCTCCAGCCGGGCCTCCGCGGCCGCCGCCGCCGCCGGCGCTCACTCGATCCGCACTTGCAGGCGGACGTTGAGCATCACCGAGGCCACGATGTAGAAGTAGGGGAAGTTCATGCGCAGCCGCCAGGCCAGGTCGAAGAAGGTGAGCAGCGTGCGCGTGAGCCCCTTGCAGAAGGCGCCGTATGAGCCTCGGGCCGCCGCCGAGCGCGACAGCCGAACCGCCAAGCCAGACAGGGCTGCCGCCGCCGCCGCCGCAGACAGAGCCGCCGACGCCGCCATGGGCCCGGGCCCCGCGCAGGCCCCGCCGACCGATCGACCCGCAAGAGCTCGAGCCTCAGGACGGCGGGACCCCAACACTAGCGCGCCCCGCCGGCCGCCGGGAGAGCGACGTCCGCCCCGCCCTCGCCCCACCCTCGCCCCGCCCTCTCCCCACCCTCGCCCCGCCCTCGGGTTCTCCAGACTGAGCCTTGCTTCAGGGGCCACTGCCTCGGTCCCTCCTCCACGAGCCCGCACAGCTCCATCCGCTCCACATCACGTCACTGCGGGCCCCGCCCCCCAGCATAGCTCCGCCCCTAACAGCCTCGCCCCCGGCAGAGAGGCCGTCGGCGTAGCGGCCCCGCCCACTAGACCCGCCCTGCATTCTCAGCTCCGCCCACCGCCCGGTTCCGCCCACAAAGCCCTGCCTCTTTTCGGGCGCCTCCCAAGGCAGGAGCGGATTGAAGGGCGGAGCTGCCAGGGATCGATTGCTGTGACACTGTCTCCTAGGGTGGAGCAGGAGTGGAGGAGGACAGTCTGGACCGCTAAGCTGATTCTGTACAGAAAGCACATGCAGAAGACTCTGCCTGTTCATATCACTCCCCTTCTCCCACGGTCTCCCCTGAAAACTTGCCAGCCAAGACCTTTCTTTAATTCGCATTTCTCTTTAATGCGCATAGTGCAGTAATTCTGCGCTAAAGAGTGCCACCAAACCCACAAGCGTGCATTTTTCCCTTTCTGTTGTATTTGCTGGTCACGTATATCTCTGTGTTGGCGAATTTCCCCGTTGTCCTTCCCTTTCTCAGCAGTCTTCTTGATCCATACAATGTTGTCTCGGGTTTTCATTTGCTCTTATTTATGGCCTTTTTTTTTTTTTGCCGGTGTGCTTAAAAGCCCTTTTGTGGTTTCATTCAATCTTTATTAAATGTAAACCAATCAAAACCCAGTAGCGTTTTTTCGGACTGTTTAATAAAGCCGGGAAATACTCACACTTTGTTATGGTCATGACTTTTGAAAAACTGTCCGCAAGAAGAAGGTTCACCCGACCCCATCCCAGTTTTCACAGCAAAGATTGACGTGGGTATTTAAGAACTCTCAAAATACCTGTTCGCCGTCACACTTGATCATCTCTATGGTATCCCACGTAACTGTTTAAGGAACGTAGTAGATTCATATACACTGATTAGGCAATTGTCCTACCTACATGATCATGTAAAAAAAGACAAAACTGAGCATCAAGGAAACTGAAGGAAATGGTGTGGTGCAGGGCTGATTGGTAGTCCACTTTTCCACCTGCTGCCAAACACAATTAAATAATTTTTTAGAGAAAGGGTCTCACTCTGTTGCCCAGGCTGCAGTGCAGTGGTTTAGTCATAGCTCATGGCAGCCTTGAACTTCTGGGCTCAGGCGATCCTCCTGCCTCAGGCTCTGGAGTAGCTAGGACAATAGATGGGGCTACAAATTCTATATCCATGAATACATCTTTTAAGGATGAAATGGAAATAAAGATATTTTCAGATAAAAGAAGATTAAGAGAATTTGTGAGTAACAGACCTATGCTTAAAGAATGGCAGAAAGAAGTTCCCTAAACAGAAATAACAGAAAGATGATGGCATTTCAGGAAGGAAAAAGAACAATTGGAAAGAGTAAATATAGGGGTAGATATAATAGACCATCCTCCTCATGAGTTTTTAAAATGATGTTTGATGGTTGAAGCAGAAACTATTATGTCATCTGATGTGATGCTTAATATATAGAGAGGAAATACTTAAAACATTTGTATTAAAAGTGAGGCAGGTAAATAAACCTAAATGGAAGTAAGATTTCTACAACTTACTGGAAGTGGTTTAAAATATCCATGGTAGTAGAATGTGATAAGTTAATATGTATATTGTAATTCCTATTGATATGGTTTGGCTCTGTGTCCCCACCCAAATCTCATCTTGAATTGTAATCCCTATAATCCTCACATGTCAAGGGCCAGACCAGGTGGAGGTAATTCAATCATGGAGACAGTTTCCCCCATGCTGTTCTTGTGATAATGAGTGAGTCTCACAAGAGCTGATGGTTTTATAGATGTCTGTGTCTGGCATTTCCCCTGCTTGCACTCACTCCGTCCTGCCACCCTGTTAAGAAGGTGCCTGCTTCTCTTTTGCCTTCTGCCATGATTGAAAGTTTCCTGAGGCCTCCCCAGCAATGTGGAACTGTGAGTCAATTAAACCTCTTTCCTTTATAAATTACCCAGTCTCTGGTATTTCTTTGTAGCAGCGTGAGACCGAACTAATACACCTACAGTAACCACTAAAGTAACTATACAAAGACATATATTTTTTAAAAAAGCACTATGGATAAATCAAAATGAAGTTCTAAAGAGTGTTCAAGTAACCCAAAGGAAGGTAATATATGGAAACAGAAGAACAAGAAACAAAATTAACAAAGAAAAAACATATAATAATATGTCACACTGAAGTCCTAATATATCAATAATTAATGTACATGTAAGTGGTCTAAGCATACCAATTAAAAGATAGAGATAGGTAGAATGGATATAAAACAAAAACCATGACTCAAGTATATCCTATTTATAAGAAACTCACTTCAAATGTTCTTAATTTTAAAGATTTACTCATTCTCAAGCATAATTTAATGTTCCCCATAAACAAACCATTTCCCCCCAAAACTATACATAATTTTATAATGGAAATAAATTTTAGAAATTGAACTTGGAAGCTCAAAATCTTACAATTGGAGAGGATCTTTAAGACCATCTATTTTAATATCCTCCCTCATAGAGGACTTATTTTAACAATATCCCTGACCAATGATGAATTTCCAGCTGGTGCTAGAACGATTAAGTGACAGGAACGTTATTGCTTCTCAAGATGGTCCATTCCTTATTTCGAACAAAGACAGTTTCAATCCATTGGTATAAATTCTAAATTTTGCACAATAGTAGGTTAACCCTTTAGCATGGTAGACTTTCAGATAGTTGAAGTTAACACTCATGTTTCCTTACTAAATATTTGTTCTCTAAACAACAAACTTTTCTTTCAAGTGTTCTTCATAAGGTCAGTTCCTTTATCATCTGCATCGCAGTCCTCTGGAAATAGGCCATTTTATCAATATTTCTCTTAAAATGAGGCACCTGCAATGGGACTGTATACTACATATGTGGGGTACCAGTTTTATTTTATTTTTTCTATATAGATGTTTGGCTTCAGAAAGAATGAGATTAGAACATGCTTATTTATTTACTAGTATTTATTTTTAACAGATTTTTTGAGATATAATTTATATATCATAAAATCCATCCTTTTAAAATGTGCAACTCAATAGTTTTTAGGATATTTGCAAAGTTGTACAACCATCACCACTATCTCATTTTAGAACATTTTTCTTCCACAAAAAAGAAACTCTGTACCCCTTAGCAATGAATCCCCATTCTCCCCTCCCCCATCCCCTTGTAAGGGGGTATTTTGATTTATCTATAGTGTTTTTTTTTTTTAAATATATGTCTTTTTATGGATACTTTAGTGGTTACTCTGGGTATTACAATATACATATTAACTTATCACAATCTACTGGCATCGACATTTTAAACCATTTCCAGTAAGGTGTAGAAATCTTCCATTTAGGGCTATTTACCCTCCTCACTTTTAATACAAATGTTTTAGGTATGTCCTCTACATATATTGAGCATCGCATCAGATGACATAATAGTTTCTGCTTCAACCATCAAACACCATTTTAAAAACTCATGAGGAGGATGGTCTATACTGGCAAAAGTTAATATACCTTCTATCTCATGGATTTGCCTATGTTGGACATTTCATATAAATGGAGCATACAATATATGGTATATTGTGAACTGATTCTTTTACTTAGCAGAAAGTTTTCAATGTTCATTATATAGTAAATATCATTATTTCATTTTTTTATGGCTGAATAACATTCAGTTGCATAGATAGAGCAAATTTGGTGTAAATCAAAAGTATCTATGAGAGGTCCCAATCAATTTAGAAAGTTTATTTTGCCAAGGTTAAGGATGCATCTGTGACACAGCCTCAGGAGTTACTGATGACATGTGTCAGAGGTGGCTGGGGTACAGCTTGGTTTTATACATTTTAGGGAGACATGAGGCATCAATCAATACATGTTAAGATGGACATTGCTTTGGGCTAGAAAGGCAGGACAACTAGAAGCAGGGGAGTGGGAGACTTCCAGGTTATATGTAGATTTAAAGATTTTCTGATTGGCAATTGGTTGAAAGAGTTATTATCAATAGAAAGGAATGTCTTGGTTATGAGAAAGGGTTGTGGAGACCAAGGTTTATCATGCAGATGAAGCCTTCAGGTAGCAGGCTTCGGAGAGAATAGATTGTAAGTGTTTCTTATCAGAGTTAGAGTTTCTTCTATCAGTAATTCCAAAAGGGAGGAGGGTATAATGAGGTATTTCTGGGTCCCCCTTGCAATCATGGCCTGAATTAGTTTTTCAGGTTAACTTTGGAATGCCTTTGGATGATAGGAGGAATCCATTCAGATGGTTGTGTGACCTAAGAATTTTATTTTTGGTTTATGATGGACGTTTGGGTTGTTTCCATTTTTTTAACTATTGTGAATAATACTGCTGTGAATGCTTATGTACAAATTTTTGTGTGGGCATATATTTTCATTTCTCTTGGGTATATAACTAGCGGTGAAATTGCTGGACTATGTGGTAACTCAATGTTTAACTTTCTGAGGAACAGCCAGAGGGTTTGCCAAAATGGCTGTAACATTTAACAATCCCACTAGCAATGTATGAAAGTTATAAGTTCTCCACATCCTTGCCAACATTTTTTATTGCCTGTCTTTTGTATTGTAACACCCTAGTGGATATGCATCTCACTGTGATTTTGATTTTTAAGCACCCAGTGACTAATTATGTTGAGTATGTTGTTGTGTGCTTGTTGGCCATCTTTGGCACAATGATGTGCAACCATCACCACTATCTAGGTCCAAATCTTTTTTACCACCCCAAATGATACTCATTAAGCAGTTACAACCCATCCTCTTCCTGGTCCTAGCTCATGGCAACCACGAATCTGCTTTCTGTCTCTTTAAATTTGCCTATTCTGGATATTTCATGTAGATGAAATCATATAGTATGTGTTCTTTGTCATTAGCTTATTTCACTTACCATAATGTTTTTGAAGTTCATCCATGTGGTAGCATCTCTCAGTGCTTCATTTTTATGGCTGAATAATAATGGATGTACCAAATTTTGTTTATTCATCCATTTAAGGGCATTTGCTTCATTTCCACCTTTTAACTATTGTAAATACTGCAACTATGGACATTTTGTACAAGTATGTGTTTGAATGTTTGTTTTCAATTCATTTGGGTGTACGGTACGTGAATGTTTGTTTTCAATTCTTTTGGGTATACTACCTCAAAGAAAAATTGCTGGGTCATATGGTATTATATGGTTTGGATATTGGTCCCCTCCAAATCTCATGTTGAAATATGACCCCCAATATTGGAGGTGGGGCCTGATGAAAGGTGATTAGATCATGGGGATGCATCTTTCATGAATGGCTTAGTGCCATCCTCTTGGTGATGAGTGAGTTCTCTCTCAGTTCGAGCAAGATCTGGTTATTTAAATGAGTCTGGGATCTCCTCCTTCACTCTCTCTTGCTTCTACTTTTGCCATGTGATGTGCCTGCTCCTGCTTCACCTTCTGCCATGATTGTAAGCTTCCTAAGGCATCACCAGAAGCTGAACAGATGCTGGTGTCATGCTTGTACAGGCTGCAGAACTGTAAGCCAATTACACCTCTTTTCTTTACAAATTACTCAGCTTCAAGTATTTCTTGATAGCAACACAAAAATGGATAAATGCATGGCAGTTCTGTATTGAACATTCTGAGGAAATGCCAAACTGTTTTTCACATTGGGTGCACGTTGCCTCTCTCCCTTCACCTTAACCTCTGGAAGATCTCATTCAGTGAGAGACTTCCCTTTATATGCAAGTCATGTAAATGAAGATTGTTGTGTGCTGTGTCCACCTCATGGTCATATCTTTTTCTTTGATCAGCTCTGAAATCCCTCAAGCTCACTACACTCTTCTAGAACAGATTTGTTTTAGTGAGATTTTAGTGAAACAGCCCTGGCTGGAGCATCTGCACCTCAACATGGCCCTGCCCTCCAAAAAGTAACCCAAGCCTTCCTCTGCCCCGCCACTTTCATAGCATGCCATGTGCTCCAGCAAAGGGGCATGGCAGCTGGAGAGAGGAAAATGCCCCTGCTTCATAAGCAACTGGATATCGTTTCTTAATGAATTAGCATTTTGCACATCAGCCTGAGCTCCCAGCAGCTGTGCTGGGGCCACTGAGGCTCTGCCTGCCTGCATCTGCCTGCTGCCCCCTGTATGGGGGAGTAGTCTGTGTTTTGGACAAAGGGATACTTTGCAGGTAGCTTTTAGAACACAACAGCCAGTGAAATTTCTTCTGTCCAGCCACAGCAAATGGAGCCCTAGAGCCCTCCAACTTTCCGGTCAACATTGAGATTTAGAGGAAATATCACCCCGTGCCTCTCTTCCTTACTTTTCATTTCTTCAGTTTATAGTGTTCTTTCTGAAATCCTGGAATTCTGGCAGAAGCTGTGGAACTTCCATTTCCTTTCCAGCACTAATGGTTCCCAACCCAAGGATTATTTGGAACGCAGAAGGTGGCCATTGCCACCAATCGAGAGAATAGTTTGTCATTTTATGTGTCTGTTTCTAATATTTTATTGAGAGTGAGAGAACAGTCCTCCTCTTTTTAGAATTTTAAAAAACATTTTTGTAAATGTATCAAAAATTGTTGCTCACTGGCTGTTAAAACTCCAAGTTCTTCAGTTTTTACAGACTGAATTTCCTGTTTGTAGCCAGCTCTAGTTGTCACCTTGTCTGTGGGAGGATTCAGAATTGGGACCAAAAATTGTTGTAGCCTCATTTATCTTCCCCAGGTACCATGCCAGCTGGCACACACAGAAACGTGGTGATGATCGTGTCAGGTTTCTATCAAGTCATAAAATATTTCCATTGTAAGAGTCTGATTGTTATATTCATGTTGCACTTTAGCTTTTTTAGCATCTTTAAATTTCAGCAGCCATCTTGAAGAGTAATTATCGTCTAAAATCCAGTAATTTGAAAGGGTTGTGACTAAAGGGTTGTGACAGGTCTCTGTTGCCTGTACTTGCAGTGAAGGGGGCTTGTAAGGAGGTGGAAACTGAGGCTCTGAGATAGGTTAGGTGGGAGTCTGTGAACCCAGTGTATTTGCATTCACAATCAGCATTATTATTTATTTATTTTTAAATTTCAACTTTTATTTTATTTTATTTTCTGAGACAGGCTCTTGTGCTGTCACCCAAGCTGGAGTTCAGTCATGCGATCTTGGCTCACTGCAACCTCTGCCTCCCAGGCTCAAGCAATCCTGCCTCAGCCTCTTGAGCAGCTGGGACTACAGGCCATGCCACCATGCCCCGCTAATTAAAATTTTTTTGTGTAGAGATGGGGGTCTCACTATGTTGCCCAGGCTGGTCTCAAACTCCTAGGCTCAAGCAATCTTTCCACCTGAACCTCCCAAAGTGCTGGAATTACAGGCATGAGTCACTGTGCCCAGTCTCAGCTTTTATTTTAGATACACAGGGGTACATTTGCAGGTTTGTTACATGGAAATATTGTGTGATGCTGAGGTTTTGGATATGAATCCTGTCACCCAGCTAGTGAGCATTGTATCCAACAGATCGGTTTTCAACTCACCCTTCTCCCTTCCTCCCTCCTCCCCCTTCTAGTAGTCCACAGTGTCTATTGTTTCCATATTTATATCCATGTGTGCTTAATGTTTAGTTCCCATTTTTGAGCTGGAACATGTGCTATTTGGTTTACTGTTCCTGTGTTCATTCGCTTAGGATTATGACCTCCAGCTCCATCCATGTTTCTGCAAAGTAGTAAGATTTCATTCTTTTTTATGGCTGCATAGTATTCCATGGTGTATTTGTGCCACATTTGTTTTATCCAATCTACCATTGATGGGCACCTGGGTTGATTCAGTATCTTTGCTATTGTGAATAGTGCAACCATGAACACATGAGTGCATGTGTTTTCTTGGTATAATGATTTATTTTCATTTGAGTATATACCAGTAATGGGATTGCTGGGTTGAATGGTAGCTGTTTTAAGTTTTTTGAGAAATCTGCAGACTACTTTCCACAGTGGCTGAATTTATTTACATTCCTATCAACAGGTATAAGCATTCTCTTTGCAGCCTCGCCAGCATCTGTCATTTTTTGACTTTTTAGTAATAGCCATTGTGACTGGTGTGAGATGGTATATCACTGTGGTTTTGATTTCCATTTCTCTGATGATTCGTGATATTGAGCATTTTATAATATTTGTTGGCCACCTGTATGTCTTCTTTTGAGAAGTGTCTGTGCATATCCTTTGCCCATTTTTAATGGAGTTATTTGTTTTTTCTTGTCAATTTAAGTTCACTATAGATTCTAGATATTAGGCCTTTCTTGGATGCATAGTTTGTGAATATGTTATCCCATTATGCATGTTATCTGTGTTTTTTTTTTCTCTATTGACAGTTTCTTTTGCTGTGTAGAAGCTCTTTAGTTTAATTAGGTCTTATTTGTCCGTTTTTGTTTTTGTTGCAATTGCTTTTGGGGACTTAGTCAAAAATTCTTTGCCAAGGCTGATGTTGAGAAGAGTATTTTTTAGGCTGTCTTCCAGGATTTTTAGAGTTTGAGGTCTTACATTTAACTCTTTAATTGATTTTGAGTGAAATTTTATATATAGTGAAAGGTAGGGTTCCAGCTTTAGTCTTCTACATATGACTAGCCAGCTATCCCAGTACCATTTATTGAATAGGGAGCCCTTTCCCTATTGCTGGTTTTTCTCGGCCTTGTCGAAGATCAGATGGTTGTAGATGTGTGGCCTTATTTCCAAATTTTCTATTCTGTTCCATTGCTGTATGTGTCTGTTTTTGTACCAGTACAAAAAGCTGTTTTGATTTCTGTGGGTATATAATATAATTTGAAGTTGGGTAGTATGATGCCTCCAGCTTTGTACTTTTTTCCTAGGATTGCATTGGCTATTCAGGCTCCTTTTTGGCTTCATGTGAATTTTGGAATAGTTTTTTTTTCTAATTCTGTGAAGAATGATGTTGGCAGTTTGATATGAATAGCATTGAACCTGTAAATTGCTTTGGGCAGTATGGCCATTTCTATATTAGTTCTTCCTACCCATTAGCATGGAATTTTTAAAAATTTATTTATGTCATCTCTGATTTCTTTCATCATTGTTTTGTAGTTGTCCTTGCAGAGATCTTTCACCTCCTTGGTTAGCTGTATTCTTAGGTATTTCATTTTCTTTGTAGCTATTGTAAGTGGGTTATGTTCTTGATTTCACTCTCAGCCTGGATATTGCAGGTGTGTAGAAATGCTCCTGAGTTTTGTACAATGATTTTGTATCCTGAAACATTACTAAAGTGATTTATCAGTTCTAGGATCCTTTTGGCACAGTCTTTAGGGGTTTCTAGGTACAGAATCATATAGTCAGTGAAGAGAGATAGTTTGACTTCTTCTTTTGCTATTTGGATGCCTTTTATTTCTTTTTCTTGCCTGATTGCTCTAGCTAAGACTTCCAGTACTATGTTGAAAAGGGGTGGTGGGAGTGGGCATCCTTGTCTTGTTCCAGTTACCAAGGAGAATGGTTTGAGCTTTTGCCCACTCAGTATGAACCTGGCTGTGGGTTTGCCATAGAACCTTATTATTCTGAAGTTTGTTCCTTCAATGCTTAGTATGTTGAAGGTTTTCATCATGAAGGGAAGCTGGATTTTATTGAAAACTTTTTGTACATCTATTGAGATGTTCATATGATTTTCCTTTTCATTCTGTTTATGTGGTGAACCTTGTTGATTGATTTGCATATGTTGAACCAGTCATGCATCTCAGGAATGAAGCCTACCTGATCATGGTGTATTAACTTTTTGATATGCTGCTAGATTTGGTTTGTTAATATTTTGTTGAGGATTATTGCATCTATGCTCATGAGGGATATTGGTCTGAAGTTTTCTTTTTTCATTGTGTCTCTGCCAGATTTTGGTATTAGGCTGATGTTGGCTTAATGGAATGAGTTAGAGAGGAACCCCTCCTCCTTGATTTTTTTTGGAATAGTTTCACTAGGATTGATATTAGTTATTCATTGCACATCTCATAGAATTTGGTTATGAATCCATCTGGTCCAGGGCTTCTTTTGGTTGGTAGATTCTTTATGACTGATTCAATTTCAGAAGTTGATATTGGTCTATTCAGGGTTTCAATCTCTTCGTGATTCATTCTTGGGAGATTGTGTGCTTCTAGGAATTTATCCATTTCCTGTAAATTTTTAGTTTGTATCCAGAGAGTTGTTCATAGTCATCTCTCAGGATCTTTTGTGTTTCTGTGAGATCAGTTGTAATATTGCCTTTGTCATTTCCGATTGTACTTATTTGGATCTTCTCTTTCTTTGTCTTTGTTAATATAGCTGGTGATCTATCAATCTTATTTCGTTTTTCAAATAACCAACTCTTGGTTTCATTGATCTTTTGTATGTATTTTTGCATTTCATTAAGTGCTTCTCTAACTTTAGTTATTTCTTGTCTTCTGCTAGCTTTGGGTTTTTTTTTTTCAAGTTCCTTTAGGTGCAAAGTTAGATTGTTAATTTGAGATTCTTCTAACTTCTAGCATTTAGGGCTATAAAGTTTCCTCTTATTAACACTGGTTTGGTTGCATACCAGAAATTTTTGATGTGTCCCAATTTTCATTAATTTCAAATAATTTTTAAATTTCTTCATTAATTTTGATGTTCACCAGGGATTTATTCAAGAGTAAGTTATTTAATTTACATGTATTTTTGTAGTTTTGAGAGATATTCTTGATATAAATTTATATTTTTATTGCACTGTGGTCCAAGAGTTTGGTTGGTATGGTTTTGATTTTTTGAATTTATTGAGACTTGGTTTTATGACCAAGAATGTGGTCGATCTTAGAATATGTTCCATGTGCAAACGAGAAGAATGTACATTCTGTGGTTGTTGGGTGGAGTGTTCTGTAGATGTTTATTAGGTCCAGTTGATCAAGTGTCAAGGTTACGTCAAGAGTTTTTTTTTTTTTCTGCCTTGATATGTGTCTAACACTATCAGTGGGGTGTTAAGGTTTCCCACTATTGTTGTATGGTTGTCTACATTTTTTCAGAGGCCAAGAAGAACTTGTTTTATGAATCTGGGTGCAGGTATATTTAGGACATATATATATATATACACACACACACACACACACACACATATACACACACACACACAGACACACACACACACACACATATATATATATATATCTCCAACATATATATCCAATGTTGGTGCATGTATATTTAGGATAGTTAAGGCTTCTGGTTTGATTATACTCTTTATCATTATGTGATGACCTTCATTATCCTTAATCTTTAATGGTTTAAAATCTGTTTATCTGACATAAGAGTAGCAACTCCTACCCTTTTTTGTTTTCCATTTGCATGGTTGATCTTACTCCACCTTCTTACTTTGAGCCTGTAGGTGTCATTACATGTGAGATGTGTCTCTTGAAGACAACAGATGGTTGGGTCTTGTCTTTTTATCCAGCCTGCCACTCTGTATCTTTTAAGCCATTTACATACAAGTTTCAAACTGATATGTTGGATTTTGATCCTAACATTGTAATGTTAGCTGGTTGTTATGTAGACTTGATTGCATAATTGCTTTACAGTGCCTGTGGGCTACATGATTTAAGTGTGCTTTTGTGGTAGCAGGTGTTGTTCTTTTGAATCCATATTTAGCACTTTATTAAGGATCTCTTGTAAGATTGGTCTAGGTGTACACTATTCCTTCAGCATTTGCTTGTATGAGAAGGATTTTATTTCTCCTTCATTTGTGAAGCTTAGTTTGGTGGGATATGAAATTCTTGGTTGGAATTTCTTTTCTTTAAGGATGCTGAAAATAGGTCCACAATTTCTTCTATTGTAAGGTTTCTGCTGAGAGGTATGCTGCTAGCCTGATGGGATTCCCTATGTAAGTGACCTGCCCTTCTTTTCTTTTTCTTTCTTTCTTTCTTTTCTTTTCTTTTCTCTTTTCTTTTTTTTTTTTTTTTTGAGACGGAGTCTTGCTCTGTCACAGGCTGGAGTGCAATGGCACGATCTTGGCTCACTGCAACCTCTGCCTCCTGGATTCAAGTGATTCTCTTGCCTTAGCCTCCTGAGTAGCTGGGATTACAGGTGCCCACCACCACACCTGGCTAATTTTTGTATTTTTAGTAGAGACTGGGTTTCACCATGTTGGCCAGGCTGGTCTCTAACTCCTGACCTCAAGTGATCCACCCGCCTCGGCTTCCCAAAGTGCTGGGATTACAGGTGTGAGCCACTGCACCCAGGCCTGCCCCTTCTTTCTAGCTGCCTTTAAGATGTTTTATCTGGCTGAGCACAGTGGCTCTAACCTGTAATCTTAGCACTTTGGGAGGCTGAGATGGGTGGATCACTTGAGCCGAGGGGTTAAAGACCAGCCTGGGCAACATGGTTAAACCCTGCCTCTACAAAAAATGTACAAACTAGCTGGGCATGTTGGGATATGCCTGTCATCCCAGCTACTCTGAAGGCTGAGATGGGAGAATCGAATGATCCTGTTAGGCTGAGGCTGCAATGAGCCATGATTGTGCCACTGCACTTCCAGCTTGGGCAACAGAGCAAGACCGTGTCTCAAAAAAAAAAAATTATTTGCATTGACCTTGGTGAATCCGATGACTATGTGCCTTGAGGATGGTTTTTTTGTATAGTATCTGACTGGGGTTCTCTGTATTTCTTGTATTTGTATATCAACCTCTCTAGCAAGATTAGGGAAATTTTTGTGGACTATATCCTCAAATATATTTTCCAAGTTGCTTATTCTCTCTCCTTCTCTTTCAGAAATGCCAGTGAGTCATACATTTGGTCTCTTTACATAATTCTATATTTCCCAGAGGTTTTGTTCTTTTTTTCTAATTAATTTTCTTTATTTTTGTCTGACTGAGTTGATTTGATGAACCAGCTTTCAAGCTCAGAGAATCTTTCCTCAGCTTGGTCTATTCTGCTGTTAATACTTTTGATTATATTATGAACTTCTTGTCGTGAATTTTTCAGCTCAAGGAGTTCAGTTTGGGTCTTTCTTAGAATGGCTATTTCATCATTCAGCTCTTGGATCATTTTACTAGATTGTTTGGCTTCCTTGGATTGAGTTTCAGTTTTCTCCTGGATCTCGGTGAGCTTCCCTGCCATCCAGATACTGAATTCCATGTATGTTATTTCAGACATTTCAGACCGGTTAAGAACCATTGCTGGGGAGCTAGTAAGTTCCTTTAGAGGTAAGCGGACACTGTGCCTTTTTGAATTGCCAGTGTTCTTGTGCTGATTGATTATTTCTCATCTGGGAAGGCTGGTGTTCCTTCAACTGTGGTGTAAGTTAAATATAGTCATCTGGCTTTATTTCTCGAGGTTCCCAGAGGTCTAAGGCTCTGTACAGAACATTTGTTTTTTGTTGAATTCTTGCCCTTGGTTTCTCAGTAGCGGGACAATCAGTAGTTTTTTGTTGTAGTTTGGGCTGCGATCCAGTAGATGGCACTTGAGAGCAATGGGCAGTAGACAGGCTCTTAGCCACATGACTCTTGTGTATCCTTGCATTTGCAGCTTTATACTGTGGTGCTGGGGGAGAGAGGTGGGTGACCTCCTCACCAAGTCCACTCCTGGGCCTTGGGGGAGCCACCTCTGATTACTAGCACTGTGCTCGTAATTTTGTTGCTGTCGTTGTTAGGTCTTTTGGGCTACAGGTCTCCCTTGGGGGAAGGCCTGGAAGGGAGATAGGCCACATCCTTACCAGACAAGCCCTGTGGAGGGAGGCATCCCTAGGCCCCACACCAGCCAGCAAACCTTTACAACTCACCTCTTTCAGTTTTCTGAGAGTGTGGGCTCCTCCTCTACTCAAGTACTAAGCACAGACCCCAGCTCAGCACTCCTGAGCTGTGGGCTGCAGCCTTGGTGCACCAGGACCTGCTCATAGCTCCCTCCTCCAGATCCTTGGGGTTGGGTTCCAGGTGCACTGGCAGATCCAAAGGACTCCCAGCCTGCCAGAACACACTCAGGTGGAGCAAAGCACCCAGGCCAGGCAGCTGAGGCTGCACTGTGTACACATTTCTGTGGGGTGGCCAGTCAGGGGCCCTGTGAGGGCACTGTGAGGGGCTTGTGGGCAGATAAGTCTGCAGGACAGACATGCCCCAGTCCCATGGGGTAGCAGGCCCTGCATTCTTCCTAGTAGTTAGCTGAGACCAGAGCCTCTCCAAAAGAGGTGAGCAGCCCTTGGGGGTGGATGCTTATGGCCAGGCTCCACTGGAGCTGTCCCATGCTCATAGGTCCCCAGCTTTGCACCCGCTGTAGCTCCCTCTCTGTCTAATCTCCAGAGAGATTCCCCTTCCAGCCCAAACATCCACAGAGGGTGGGGTCCCCTGCAGCTAGGATCCCAGAGTTCTGTGGCGAGAGTGGGCAGTCCCAAAGTCCCTTCACTCACCTTCCCCAGGCACCGTCTGGGGCCGAGAACCAGCCATAGTGTTTGGCACCTGTATTAGTCCATTCTCGCACTGCTATAAAGAACTATCTGAAACTGAGTAATTTATAAAGAAAAGATGTTTAATTGGATCATGGTTCTGTGGGCTGTACAGGCTTCTGCTTCTGGTGAGGCCTCAGGAAACTTACAATCATGGCGAAAGATGAAGGGGAAGCAGGCACATTTTCACATGCCTGGCAGGAGAGAGAGAGCATGAGGGGGGAAGTGCTACACACTTTCAAACAACCAGATTTCTTAAAACCAACCATGCTGGCGCCTTGATCTTGGACTTCTAGCCTCCATAATGCTGTGAAAATAAATTTCTGTTGTTTAAGACACCCATTCTATGGCATATTGTTATGACAGATGGAGTTGACTAAGACAACATGCCTTTCATTCATTCACTTATTCATTTATTTATTCATTCATTTATTCAACAAATATTTATTGAGTATCTGCTATGCACTAGGCACTGTGCTATGTGTTTTGTTGAGGACACTGAGGAACCAAACAAATGTGGTCCCTGCCCTCATGGAGCTGATTATTTAAAAGATACACATGAAAAAGATGATTATTTCAAGTTGTGAAAAGTGCCGTGGAGGAAAAGTACAGAGCACTATAGGAACATATACTAGGAAATTAACTGGAGTCACTTATAAGAGCAGTGAGTTGAAAATAACCTGCACAACCATGTAGTGGAGAATGGTTCAAGAAATATCAATTCATCTACTTGAAGGTTAATTACAAAGCCATTTAAATGTCCTTTTGTAAAGTATGAGAAATTGCTGGTGATTTAATGTTAAGGGAAAAAATGGATAAAAATTTGTGGGCCCAGTATGACTAAAACTATGGGGAGATAGAGGGAGAAAAGAGAGAGAGAGAGAGAGAGGTTAACTCCTCCCTCCTCCAAAATTTAGGCATAAAAGACAAAGAATGGAGGAAGAAATGGTAAGATATAACTACATTTATTAATTCATTAATGGTTTATTTTCTTTTTCTGCTGGTTGGGAACTTCTCTCATCCATTAAATCATAATGAATAATATACTTAATAATATATGTCATCTAAAGCAACTAATGCTATTATAAGTTTGGAGAAATGTTTGTCTAAACATTAGTAAAATATTCATTGGCAGAAGAGCTTTTGTAGCTTTAAGAACACCATTTTACTACACAAACCCTAAATTATCAAGTGATTCACCTACAAGTTATTGCCACAGCCTGAGCCCTGTCAACAGGTCACAAAACCAGGAAGAGGCAGAGTTGAAATGAGATCTCGTGTCTTCTGAGAAATACCCCTTCTGTTTAGAGCCATTCATAACATTATCATAAGTAAGGACAAATAGTGTTTAGAAAGAGGGAAGTGAAATATTCTGATTTGGTCTGACTCACCTTGAAACCAGACTCTTTCGCTAGATCTCCTGGAATTGCCCCCTACCTTACCTTTCTCTCATTCAATTATTCTTCAAATATTATTGAGTACTGACTATCAGACAGGAGTTTTTCTAGGGCTTGTAGGCATGACAGAGAACAACAACAACAATAAAACCCTTGCCCTCAAGTTGCTGATATGAAGGAAACAACCATAGGGAAAAAAGCCAGAGGAAATCCATGTGGAGGGAACAGTTATTGCAAAGGCACTGAGATAGATTCTCCCTAGTGATTGTTGATGAGGTCTTTGCTTCAGCCCTTCTTGGAGATTATACATATATATATATGAAATATATATTATTATATAATATATTATTATATATAATATACAATCTATTACTATATAAGTATTAATATATAATATACAATCTGTTACTATATAATGTATTCATATATAATATACAACCTGTTACTATATAATGTATTCATATATAATATAATATACAACCTATTACTATATAAGGTATTCATATATAATATAATATACAACCTATTACTATATAATGTATTCATATATAATATAATATACAACCTATTACTATATAATGTATTCATATATAATATAATATACAACCTATTACTATATAATGTATTCATATATAATATAATATACAACCTATTACTATATAATGTATTCATATATAATATAATATACAACCTATTACTATATAATGTATTCATATATAATATAATATACAACCTATTACTATATAATGTATTCATATATAATATAATATACAACCTATTACTATATAATGTATTCATATATATTATTATATACAACCTATTACTATATAATGTATTCATATATATTATTATATACAACCTATTACTATATAATGTATTCATATATTTTATTATATACAATCTATTACTATATAATGTATTCATATATATTATTATATACAATCATGTTACTATATAATCTATTAATATATATTATTATATACAATGTCTATTACTATATAATCTATTTATATATTATTATATACAATCATCTATTACTATATAATCTATTAATATATATTATTATATACAATATCTATTACTATATAATCTATTTATATATTATTATATACAATATCTATTACTATATAATCTATTAATATATATTATTATATACAATATCTATTACTATATAATCTATTAATATATATTATTATATACAATATCTATTACTATATAATGTATATCTATTAATATATATTATTATATACAATCTATTACTATATAATCTATTAATATATATTATTATATACAATCATCTATTACTATATAATCTATTAATATATATTATTATATACAATCTATTACTATATTACCATATAATCATCTATTAATATATATTATTATATACAATCTAATCTATTAATATATAATCTATTAATATATATTATTATTATATATAATATATAATAATATGTGTGGGCACTGGCTGCACCCTGCATGGATTTGTTTTCAGCTGTGATAGGGCAGCATTGAGTTCAAGGTAAAGTCCCCCACTTGCTGCACTCTCCCTCCCCAAAGTGCACAGACTCTCCACGCTGGTGGATGGAGGAGGGGTAGCATTGGTGGTTCCAGACTACCTCTCTTGCCCTGTGCAATGCCTCTTTCAGTGATATGAAGTTAAAACCAGGTGATGTGATTGCTCACCTAATTCTTGGTTCTTGTGGCAGTGTTTTTTGTGTGCAGATAGTCGTTAAAATCTGGTGTTCCAGTGAAGGGAGATGGGATGAGTGGTGTAGGTTTCTATTCTGCCATCTTCATCTATCCCCTGCCAAGGTGACTTTCCCTTCACCCAGTCAATGTGAATGTGTAGGAAACTTTCTTGTAACCATTAGAGTTACAACTTAGGTTCCACATGGTATTATAATCAAATTGACCTCATCTGTTATGATAAGATGGCTCACAACACTGTGTATGCTACCATGTGTTGGGCAAGGGTTTTATTCCTCTGATTAAAGCAACAGTGGTGGAACAGTAATGGAAGTAGAAAAAAGTGGTGAATTGATTTGATTCTTCTCAGTTTGTCCAACTAGATATATGCTTCTCTGCAGGGCTGTGTGTTCCAGAAGGCTGATACCATGGAAGACATCACCTTGGCTTCCTGGCTGTCTGGTTAGTGATTTGAGCAATGAGAGGCAGCAGCTAGAAATGAAAGAGTAGAAGAAGAGAGTGTCTCCTGACACTGTGTGCATGGTCTCCAGTCAGCCTCTGATTCCTGTGAGTCAGCTGCATCCAGATTCCCACCCCCTTCCCCGTCCCGAGAAGGTTACATTTGGCCGCCACTAAGATCTCCTGAGAAAAATCTCTTCAGAGGAATTTTGGCCAAATCTTCTCTCCCTCTCCTACAGCCACTTTCCTCCTGAATTTCTTCCTTGTGAGTGTCACTTCTGGAAACAAAAGTCAAGTTCTCTAGGTGAACACTGAGTAGCCCCAACCTTCCAGTGAATTTGAAGTGTAGGAAGTTTTCCTCGTTTAAACTCGGCACAGCCTCCAATCCCTGGGAAGCATGCCTCTCTGGTCTCCAACCCACCCAGACTTCCAGTGTGAGTAGACACCTGTAGGTGAGTGAGTGGTCAGAGGTCACATGATTGTGATTGCCTTCTTTACCAGGCCTCCATTGTTAGGCAACTCCTTGCAAGATGGGAAATAGTTGGTACCAATTGTTTTGGGGCACTAGTCAAGTCGGAAAGTGGACAGAGTTCCACTTGAATGTGCTGCTGCTCTAGTTTGGATAACTTTACTGTCTATGTATATACCCAAGTACTGCTTGGCACAGTTGGGTTTCTCTTTGGTACATAATTCTGTGCTACTTGTTTTCTCACTCAGTATGATGGTGAGATTTATCCACACATAACTCTGTATCCTAAATTCTGTCTCTTCTGTTGTGTGGCCATGGAGTGTAGGAGGTTGGCTGTTATTGGCCTCTGCTCCTGTGGGTTTGGCTCCTTCTTGCCCTACCTGCTGCCCTTTCAGCCTCCATTCCCCACCTATTCTCCACCTCACAGCCACTGTTTGATGCTGGGCTGCAGGTAAATAGTCACCGACATAGCAGTGTCCAGGCAGCGTTCCTCCCAACGGTGCACCCAGGAGGCCCCTCTACCTGGCAGCCTCTAACCCCTCCTCTCCATCCTACAGCCAGCTGCGTCCTCTGAGGAGAGGCTGGTGGCTCTTTTTTGGCGATGCTGCATCAGTGCAGGGACAGAGAAGGTGACAGGGACAAAGAGGACAGTGAAAAGGACATAGAGCAGTTTAACTTCGTACCACATAAAAAATCTGGAAGAGACCTGGCTAAGGGAAGAGAGAGTAACAGCCCCTTAGATGTAGGCGGGGGAGGGGACACAGGAAGGGGCCTTGGGGAATGCTGGACAGGTTGTGAGAACACAGGGAATTGGGGAGGAGGGGAAGAGGGGACAGAGGACTGCTTGCAGGGGCTTATTTTGCAGCTCACGTGAAAGGACAAGAGAAATGCTTGGAATCTGTGATGGCTTTAATGGTTCACCTTATGTAAATTTCATCTTACTCCTCACTTAGGCTTGCCCATGTTTGCCACGGCTCTGACCTCTTTGCTCTCCCTGTCCCCTCTTCAGCTTTAACTCTCACTTGTCAGTGACCAATTGCCCACATAGTTCCCATTTCAGGTTTCTCAGAATGAGTATCTGACTTGCTCAGCACATTCCTTGGGGACAGAGCTTCTTCAATGGGAGCCATCTCATGTGTGTTGTTGTCCTACCAGGTGGCTTCATTTCAGTCAAATGAATTATCTTTGGCTGTGGCCTGAGCAGGTTTGTTTGACATGACACAAAAAAGTGACCAGAGCATTCTATACTTTCCTGGGGACAAAGGGCAGAGCGGTTGCCTCTGGAAGGCTCTGTGGATATGACATTGGCAGTATTAAAACATATCCCAAACCCCCAGGCCAACTGTTGGTCTGCTCTTAAACAATGTCTTTTCACTAGGACAAGCATTGGGTTTTAGAGGGGAACACCAGGGCAGTCTCTTCAAAATGGCTAGGGAGAAGAGTCTTTGGTCCTCAAATGCCAAGTACTACATCACTTTGACTTTGCAGTGTTTTTCAGATTGATGGTGGGAGAGATCTGGTGTGCAGCATGATCTCACCCTCTCCCCTGGGTCTAAGCACCCCTGCACAGCATGTTAGGATGAACAGAAGCCCCTTCCAGTGTAACCCAAGAACACCCTGTCAGCAAACACACATCCAACCTCAAGGAGTGAAATGACAGACTCTGTTTTAATGACTCAAACATGGGAGGAGTTTATTGTTCTAATTATATTTAATTTCTCAAAAATATGGGCAGGCTTCAGCATGTAAGCCACATGACTTTTTGTCCAAGGCCATGTCCACCCTAGAGTTGCTTTATGACAGCATCCACACCCATCTTGACAGGTCGATGTCACTTCTGTGCCTGCCCAGTTGTCTGTTGATTAAAAAGATCAGCACATTTTCGGTGGGCTTCTTGCGTTTGAAGGATTTGTCTGACTTCTTGATGTTCAGTGCGGGCTCCCTGGGACTGCCTTTAGGGACTTCTTTATCCATGATGTGTTGACTCCACCCAACCTCAGTAAAACAGCACAACCGAGGAAGTCTGAAAAAGATGATGTATTCTAGGTAATCAAGTGTACCCGGCAACCTCTTCCTCACTGGCACAAAACCACACACACACACACACACACACACACACACCCATACACACACACACTGCTACCAGCAGTAGTCACAGGAGATTGCTTTGGGTCATCATCTGATTTGAAGCACCAACCATATTGTTTCTTCTATCTGTCTTACACATGGGGCTGTGCAGCAGCCTGATGGGACCCGGGACATTAAAGACACACTATTGCATCCCTCTAATCATTACCTGACACACACAGGCTTGTTAGATTGTACTCAAAACACTACCTCATAGCTCAAATGTCATTGTAATTCTTATATCCACACTAATTTTAACTCAATTCTATGTTGCTCTTTTTCAGAGCTGCCTCTTCTCACCTCTGAGTTTTCCCTGTACCTGGGATATGGGCTTCCTTCTGAACTCCATTATTCATGTTATGCAGAGTAATTCTCTTTGGTAAATCCATCCATGACAAAGTTCAGTACTTTACATTTGCATTTCTTCATTCTACAACTTGCAGGCTGCTATAATTTGTTTCCTCATTCCAAATCTCTTTATGTGACTTTAGCTTCAAATAGGATTTGCCTCCTTTGAAAATCACTGGTGAAGCAGGTATGAATCTTACTCCAAACCCCTGTGTAAGAGATAAACTGGACATTCTCAAGTACTACCGAGTTTCTGTTTCTAAGGTCCATCCTGCTGATTTTCCATCCTGGGAACGTAATCACAGTGGCTTAAAGATTGTACTCACCTCTGATGCCTGGCCCTGCCTCATCCCCAAAAACCCAGTTCTGCATTTCATTTGAATCTAGCACAGTGCCAAGGCTAGGGGTGGATGCTCACTGTGTTCTCTATTTTGACCTCCCAAGAGAGACTAAAAGACTTGCCCAAGTGACAGAGAGGTGAGATTGGAACTGAGAAAGCCTGTATCTGAAGCTTCTGCTTTTACCCACTGCTCTATAGTGTCTCTGTATCAGTTTGAACAAATGACTCTCTGATAACCTCCCCCCATTACCAAACAGGGTTGGGGTTTATCAGGTAGGTTAGTTAGTTAATGGCACAAAAGGATGCTCTATGATCTTGGTATATCAGGATATTTTACCTGTGAGACCACTCAGGTTTCTTCTGAAGAAAGATCTGGGCCAGAGGGTAAACAGTAACAGCTTGGCACTCCCTCTCTTTCCTTGAGTCCCAGGGCCTGATTGGTTCAGCACCAAGTGAAGTCATAGTCACTATGGTGACTCACAATTGTCCTCAGAACCTAGTGCCAACAGTCTGCAAGATTCAAACACTGGCCACCATGCCTGGCTTCCTTCTGGTTCAAGCCTGAATAAGGTGAGTGGAAGTTGCTGGGAGAGGAGGTGGGTATATCCTGTGGCTGGGTGCCATCTGCATGTCTCCTTCCTAGACAGAACCCTCAACTACCCTGGCCTCAGAGCTTGTTCCTGGCTTGTATAAAATCCATTAAAATTTCTCCTTTCTGTAAATAAACAGCACCCATTGCATCTTGCCTTGTCCCCTGGGTAGTGATCAGCAACTTTGTCCGCCATGTTCCAATCCAGGAATTAGTTCCAGGTCAAACTTCCTACCTGCTTCTCAATCTTGCATCCATCTTTGGTCATGACTCTGCAAGTACTCCTCCTATAATACACAATTCATGTAAATGGAGTGTTTAGTTGCAGAAATTGAACACTGCAATTAAACATTGCTGTGTCTCCCACACTTATCTAAACCCTCCCAAAGCTCAGTGCAGTGGAGCCCCTCCCAAAGCTCAATGCAGTGCAGCTTCACACCTTTATTCTGTGGACCTGGGATGCAGGTGGGCTTTTAATGCTTTGGAAAATCTTATGCTAAAACTGGACCAGTTCCTTGAGACATACTCATATGTCTCAAGCCATATTCCCTTCCAAGTCTCTGATCTAGAATAACTACATTGTTGCCATTAAAGTGTGACCCATGTGGGTATTGTCTAGATGCTGGACATGGATTTTCCAGGCTGTCAGAGGGATAACGGTGAGGACAGCGCTTTGTGTTTTTTGTAGTGTGGTTCTCATGAGGAACTAAAATGACTATTATGAGATGTGGCTTGCCTCCACACTGGCTGCCCACTCAGTCTTATGTAAGAACGGAGGAAATTGACGTTACTGTAAAGTGACCCAGGTCGCACACTCCCTTTCTTGAGTGGCAGGGAAGGAAGGCTCACTCCTCCAGGTTTTCTCCTAGCCCCCGTAGAACCATGCTTTACATGGTTCTGAACACCCTGAGGCCGTGTTCAGTGTTCTAAACAATTTGGAGAGGGAAGAGAACATATTGGTGTATTTTATTAACAAAGAAAGTGGAAAACTGTCTTTCTTTTAAGGAATTGACATCCTAGAAATCCAAGTCAATCACCTAGGAAATAGACCAGGAGAGGCTGATTGAGAGAAGTTAAATGCATAAAAACTTTGCATACTAGGTCAGGCACAGTGGCTCTCACCTATAATCCCAGCACTTTGGAAGGCTGAGGGGAGTGGATCGCTTGAGCCCAGGAGTTCAAGACCTCCAGTTGGCCTTGGGTCATATCCAGCATGTTCCAACTGTAAGACAAAAAGCCCCTAAGGCAGAGAGTCATGGTGATTGCCATAAGCAGCCCTGTAGATGCAAGGATGAGATGTAGCTCTGCAGGGCCAGAGTCTAAATACATAAGTCAGTGTCAGAATCTTTTTGGCACTGTCTGTTCCTTAAATAGGTCAATATTCACCGTTTGTGAAAATTTTCATTGAACTGGAGCTACGTTTCCTTTCTATACATAGCATGTTTAAAAAAATTTTTTTTTTAAAGCGACCCAGGTCACACACTCCCTTTCTTGAGTGGCAGGGAAGGAACGCTCAGTCCCGCAGGTTTTCTCCTGGCCACATAGAACCGTGTAAAGACCCTGAGGCCATATTCATTGTCCTAAACAATTTGGAGAGGGAAGATAACTTATCGGTGTATTTTGTTAACAAAGAAAGTGGAAAACTATCTTTCTCTTAAGGAACTGACATCCTAGAAATCCAAGGCAATCACCTAGGAAATAGGTCAGGAGAGGCTGATTGATAGAAGTTAAATGCGTAAAAACTTTGCATACTAGGTGAGGCACAGTGGCTCTCGCCTATAATCCCAGCACTTTGGAAGGCTGAGCGGGGTGGAGCGCTTGAGCCCAGGAGTTCAAGACCAGCCTGGGCAACATAAGGAGACCCCATCTCTACAATAAAAATAAATGAATACATAAATAAATTAAAAATTTGCACAGTCTTCCAATAAATAGGGAATATCATAGATTTAAGCTATCCCATTTACATTGGTTGCAAACGTTATGAAACACCTAGAAAAATAATGAAGGTAAATACAAGGAAAACACACATGCCACTTTTTATGAGCCTTCAGTTTGAATAGTCACATAATATTTTAAAATACTACATTTTTCTTAAGAGGAAGATCAATTTTTTCAATGGCATCAATTCGCCTCTAAATAAATCAGTATATCCAGTACAATCCTAATGATAGTTTATAGCAGAATTTTGAGTGTGTGTGTAACTGGAAGATCGGATGAAATTATATTCCAAAAAAATGTGAAGGATTATGCAAGAGGGGTAGCTTGTCATTCTGGACTCAAAACTTACTCTGTAGTATTGGTGAATGAGACAAGAATTGATAGACATGTCCATGGACCAACGAAGAGATTCTAGAAATATACTCATGCATATGTGAAACTCAAAGAAATTTAAAAATCACAAGTTGCCACAAAGCTGACTTTTATGATTGTGTGTGTGTGTGTGTGTGCACATGCACGCATGTGTGTTAGGGAGGAGAAATGCAGAGAGGCTTCTGGGGCTACTTGATGCTTCTCCTTCAGGTAATTCTAGATTCTATCAACTTTCACAGGTCCCTCTTCTGTGCTGTCTTCCTGAAGCCATCTGTGGAGTCAAGCAGTCATGGCTCAGGGACACTCTGAAGTAGGTCCCAGCACATCTGCGTGGAGCATCAGGAGGAAGGTGGATGAATACTTAAGACCCAGCCTGGCCTCTAAATCGGTGCTGAGCGTTTTACTCAGTAGACAGCTTGGGAATCATAGAAACGATGTGGATCTGACAGAGTGGCTGTGGACACTGAAGCAAGCCATACCAGGGTGGACCTGGCCTTTGCCGACACGCCACACAATCAACCCACCTCTGCCCCCTGGGGAGGATAGAAAATCCAAGAAAATGGTGTGGATCAATAAATCCTTCCCCTGATGCAACCATTACAAGTGGAAGCTGTGTTCTCACTGCTTTTGGCTGGACATGGTCTTTGATCACCTGGTTTCTTGACTTCTGACCCGTCTCTGTGTTACCCGAGGCCACAGCAGATGAACTTTACCTACTGCCCTCCGAGAAGGTGTTTACTAACGTTGTAGAGTCTGGGGATGTTGGAGACACGAGGGGCCCTGCTTAGAGAAGCTGGAAGGGCAGCTGAGTGGAACATGGAGAGGCCCTGCAACCCTAAATTTCTAGGGGGAGGGGACTTTCAGGAGCCCACTTAGAGGTCTTGATTTGTCTCCCTTGAAGTTTGGGGGAGAGCATGGGTAGAAATTGAAATCAAATAAATTTAAAATGAGAGTGGCTTGCAGAGTGGGGAGGGAATTCTCGCAAGAGATATACTTCTTAAATTGAGAAAAAAAGAAAGGCAGCTAAAGAGGTAACCAGAAATGCCCAGGAAATAACGAATGGTCTTTCAAGTGTTGGTGCAAAATAACTTTGAGCCTACAATTCTACTTCTAGCCAGACATTCAAGTTCGAGGATAAATTAGCATACAAGGTGTTCAAGTGTGGGTTCCCTGGAAATAGACCCTGAGGCACACTTGTGAGTGGAAAACACTTACTTGGGAGGGAGTCCCAGATAGCACAGGTAAGGGTGTGGGGAGGTGAGACATACAAGGAATGCAGCCAATTTAAGTGGGAGGAATAAGCTAGCAGGTTTCCACTGTGGGCGACTGGAGCTAATTCCCAGGGGAACCCTATGGGAGACTTTGTAGAACACTCACCTCACATTCATCCCAAGTGCAGAATGAGATGGCTTGGGGGTATTTAGACACCAAATACCCAACCATTCTTGATAAAGTACTTCCCCCATGGGAGATATAAATCCCTGTCACCTTCAGTTGGCCTTGGGTCATATCCAGCATGCTCTAAGGGTGAGACAAAAAGCCCCCAAAGCAGAGCGTCACGGCGATTGCCATAAGCAGCCCTATAGATGGAAAGGTGAGACCTAGCTCTGCAGGGCCAGTGTCTAAATACATAAGTCAGTGTCAGAATCTTTTTGGCACCGTCTGTTCCTTAAATAGTTCAATACTCGCCGTTTGTGAAAATTTTCAATGAACTGGAGCTACATTTCCTGTCTATAGATAGCATGTTTTAAGTGTTTTGCCGATTATCAGTTTTAATTGGAAACTGATTGCAGGACCTCTGTCCCAGAGAATTGTGAGATACGTGTTTAGCCATGGAAGGAGCATTGCAGACATCAAAATCTTCCCCTTGGGGAAAAGAAAGCAGGATTTTTGTAGTGTGTCCTGCCTGCAGATGTGCCATGCTGGGTGTTAGGCACAGGTCTGTCCCTGGGATTTCATGGAGATCTTGGGCTGCATTTGTCAGAAACTCTATTCTTGCCATTCAGCCTAGTGGAATCCAAGCTGCAGCGTCTCACCTCTTACTGAGGGGTTCCTCAGCACGTGGAATTTCAAGAACCTCCTCCTCTCCAGGTCTCCCATAGCAGCTGGAACTTTATTCATGTCCCTATCATTACTTTCTCTATGGAACGGGATGAGTAGCTGGTTAGGTTGCTCCCACCCACCTATGCCCATCCAGGCCCACGCTCAGCACACTGTCCCCATAGTGGGTGCCCCTGTCCCCAGGGATTCTTGGAAATGCTGTTCTGGGGTGGTGACTCCATTTCAGCACTGACATAGCCACTGGCAGCAACAGATGGCCTTCTCAAGCTTGTGTTGGGAGTCTAGTAATGAATCCTTTTTGTCGCAGTTCAGATGGGACTCGCAATGCCCAGCTCCACTGCTGTTGCTTTTCACCTTTCTTCTGTCTCCAGTCTTACAAGTCATTGATTATTGAAGAAATGCCAAGAAGCTGCAACAACTCCCAGCTGCTCTCTCTGAACACAATGTTAGGTGACTGGGGTCTCCTGTTCAGTTGAAGGGCTCCAGTTGAATGTCTTCTGGATTAGCTTTAAAAGAGTTGAATTAGACCAGGCATAGTCCCCATTAACAGCAATGCAGGCTATGGCAGCTTGGAAAGAGGCTATACTTAAGTGGGGTCCTATTCTTAGAGAGAAAACCAAGAGGGAGATTCAGAGCACGACCAGCGCAGCGTCAGTCAAAGCAAATTTGAGAAGGGAAAGGATCTTTGGAGTCTCACTGCCCATCCTTTATGTCAAATACCCCTTTTCACCACATTACATTATTCAATTATATTTCTGAAACTGTTTCATGGAATACTAGATCTATGAGATGTTGCTAACTGTCCTGTAAACAATGTACTCTCTTGGCCAGTATGTTTGGGCAACTATTCTGTGCTATATCCCCCAGTGGGTGCTATACGAAGTCCATCAGTGTTGAAGACTCCAAGAAGCCCTCGTGCACTCCTTTACCACTCCTCCTACTCTTCCCCTTACTCTGTCTATTCATCTTCCTCTCCTCCTTCCCCAGCCTCTCTTCCTCTCCCTCCTCTTTTTTCTCTTCTTCTTCCTCAGGAGGCTATCTGGATACAGAGAGAACTTAAATAAGATGACTGCACAAGAAGGATGGACCTGCCTCTTGGCTGTCTCATCTCCCTTGACCTTTGGATGTTGGCCATTGTCTGCCCTACACCTATGGTGGATATAATTGATTCTGCCTGGCCCTAGGCATACACCGGCGTCTGAGGCTGGTGTCTGCCGCTGCTGTTGTGGCTTGCAATTAGGAGAGTTACACGCTTTGGGTCTTCCTCTTTTCTGTCCCTGGCCTCATCTTGTTGAGCTGTTCTCTCAACTCTTCTGTGGAGTCTCTTTCTGGACCTGCAGCTATAACTCGTCTGTGCTACAAACGACTCATGGGGGACCCCAGGGCACCATGTCAGAACCTTGCTTTCCTAAGTGCCAGGATGTCATTTCTGAGCTCCTGTTGCCTCCTCCTGTTGGAGTGGAGCACTGAGAGCAGGTCTCCTTCCCAGGATGTGGGGCCAGGTGCTTTTCTGCTCTGGGTTTCCCCTGTCTTGAATCTCAATTCATGTTTCCTGTTCCAATACGCTTCCCTTCCTTTGCAAGCCTCTCAATACTTCACCATTTCCTTCCAGTGTCACTGTGTGCAGTTATGCATACAGGTGTGTGTGTGTGTGTGTGTGTGTGTGTGTGTGTGTGTCTGGGTAGAAGCTTCTGGAAGAGCCCAGTGGTTGAGTTGGGACGGTTATGGGAGCTACAGACACCAGGTGCTCTGGGGCTGGCCAGGGGCTTTGGTGGGGAAGTGCAGTGATGGGAGTGGGGCTGGGGTCAAGCAGGTGTAAAACCCTGCAAAGCAGCTCTTGGTGAGTCTGTCAGGGGAAGGGGACAGGCATCCAGTGGGAAGGAGTGGGACGGGAGTAAGGGCAGCATCTATAGTGCTGAGCTTTCCAGGAAGAAAGAAGCAAATTCTCTATGCATGCAAAATATTTCAAAATTTAAAAGTTGAAGGGTAAGTTAAAAATAAAAATAAAGGTCAGGGATTAGGCCAACGTCAAAACATTGTGCTGAGGTTTATAAGTTCTCCTGGGGGTGTATAGATGAACATTTCTAAGATTGCTTGAATGGGTACTGGGTTAGACAAATAAGTTAATGGATGTGTGATGGTAGAAGCCAGATTTCTCACTCTTGGTGAGGAAAGTTAGTGAAGTAAATGGGACAGCTACGATGACTCATGTGATAAGGGATTAGAGTTGGAGAGATTGGTATGAACTCATGCTTATGTTAATAAAGATGAAGAAGGGTATATGTAGAAACATTTATAGGTATGTGTGTACACAAGATGTATTAGTGTCCTATTGCTGCTGTAACAAATTTCCACAAGTGTAGTGGCTTTAAACAAACAAAAATTTCTCTTAGAGTCTGGAGTTCAGAGGTCTAACATCAGGTTGCTGGTTAGGGCTATGTTCCTTTTGGAGACTTTAGGGCAGAGTTCAATTCCTTGCTTTTTTCAGCTTCTAGGACCGGCCTGGCTTCCTTGTTTCATTATTCCTTGCTGGCATCACTCCAACTTCTTTCCATAGTAATATCTCCTGTGATGCACTCTGATCCCTCTGCCTCCCTCTTAAAAGTCTCTGTGGTTCATGTATTTGGGGATTAAAGAAGGAAGAGAAGGGACTGTGAAAGCCAGTCGCACAGAAGCTATACTGGGACCATGCTTGGACAGGGTTGTATGAGAGGCAAAGTCTCTGCAAGACACCTTCCAGAGACAGCAGCGTGGAGCCACCACCCAGAAGGGGATGAGGGCAAGGGGATTTCTGAGAAAGAGGAGGAAACCAGAGAGGGGGCTTACATGAGTGGGTGATGTCATCAGCAGCAAGGTGGGGAGTTCTCTGGGTCACAGAGCTTTGAAGGGCAGCAGTGGTTTGGGGGTCTTTTATAGCTATTGAGTTTGTCTTTTCTATGGTTAGCGGATATTGGGAGCAGTTTTGTGAGAGATGGAAAATAGGTACATTCTAAAGGACTTAAAAATACATTTTCAGATTATATTTAAAGAGACTGAATATATGAGAATGTGAGCGGCACCAGTGGGCTTTGAGGCAATAGTCCTAGCCTGCTGTGAAGAAGTAAACTACATGGGGATCATTTTAGGCCGATAGACAGGGTGCATTTCTGGCTCATTTATAGAACATGACGCTTGTGATTATATGTGGCCCACTCCCATAATGTGGGATAATCTCCTCATGTCACGATCTTTAACTTAATCATATTTGAAACTTTCTTTTTTCGTGTAAGGTAACATATTCACAGGTTATGGGGATTGTGAAGTAGACATCACTGGGGGATCACTGCTTACCTACCACACGCGAGTCAGCTTGCACACACATGATTTCTTGCTCTGTCAGCTGAGAGAGCCAAGAAGCAATGACACCCAAGTAGTAAAGAGCACACCTAGAGCCCAAACCTTGGTTTCTAATGTCATCCAACAATAAAAGGAGCCAGGGCTCTTTGGCTAAACGACTGATTCCAAGGCTGAGCCTGGGATTGTGCAATATGAGCCTGGAGAATCTTGTAATACCAGTAAGCACACACACAAACACACACACAATGATGGGAGTATGGCAAAGAGACACAGGAGCCTGCTAAAAGTGCTCCCAATGGCTAAAGCTGGAGCAAGCTGGGCAACAGAACAGATACAGTGCTTTTGGATTATAACTTAAAATACAAAATAAATATCCATGAGTCCATACTGATATAAATAAATAGGGCGAAGAGACAAATCTCCTTTGCAGAATAATTCCAATTTTTCGCAGATATTTTACCCAAGATAAGGTAGAAAAGAACTCTCCCCTCCTTCAGCATATGCTGTGCGCAGTAACCTCCTTCCAAAGAGTAGAATGTGGAAAGGCAGAAAAACATACCTTTACTGCTGAGAAACCTGATCCATACGACCTCAGCCAGGTGACCAAGGTTGAACTTAACTGTCATGTCATGTGGATTGTATGCTCTCTTGATAGGGGGTGATGAGAATGGCACTTAACTTTCTTGGTCTTCCTCTCGAAAACCCGTAACCCCAGTGTCATCATGAGAAAATCACCTGGCAAATCCCGGTCGAAAGACATTCTGCAAAATACCTGGCCAGTAGTCATCAAAGCTGTCAAGAGTCATCAGAAACAAGGGAAGTCTGAGAAACTATCACAACCAAGAGCACCCTAAGACGGCATGATTATTTTAAATATAATGTAGCATCCTGTATGTGAGGCTGAAACAGAAAAAGGACATTTGATTAAAATGGAGGAAGTCTGAATAAAGTGAGGACTTTGGGTCATAATAATGTATTAGGATCGGTTCACTAACCGTATCAAATGCTAATGACACTTTAGTGCAAGATGCATAGGGGAAACTGGGTGAGGGATATGAGGGACCTCGCTGTACTATCTTCACAACTTTTGTATAAATATAAATCTCTTTTAAGGTAAAATGTCTAGATAAAACAAACAACAACAACAAGGCCACTGCCAAATCTAGTCTGAAGACAACAAAACAGGAACATTGCCCAAGTCACAAAAGGCACCAAACACCTGCCATCCTGGCTGATGTGAGTGACTACTCCTTCTGTGCCAACAATAGCTTTTTTCAAATCTTCGTTCCTCTAGGATAAGGTTTACAAATATACCCAGTCACAAAATTACCCCCCACTTCCTGGCAGCATCCAATCCAGAGCCAAACCCTGCTTCAGGAAACCCTCCTCTAAATCACCTAGCTGAAGCCCAGATCTTATTTCTTTCTAACACTCTCTTCCTGAGAGTCTCCATGGTTCCCTCATGCCTTGCAGTCTCCTTTTGTTCTTTGAGTAATGAACTCAACTTGTTCATCAAGCAATAAACTGTACTCAGAAAGTTGAGCTTGTTTAACTACGGGTGTGTTCCTGGTGGTCTTTGACTGCAGAGTGGTGACAAGATAAAGAAAATGCCTCTAGCTTCTTGAAAATCCATTTTACCTCCCTGGAGACATCTTTACCTTTCAAAATTTCCCCATCCTCATGCGGCCTGTTCAACCCTAGTTTTGGACCTTTCCCCTGGCTGCCTTTATTCCTTTGGCATCAACCTTGCTCTCATCTTTAACTTTGCATTTTTGCAAACCTCTCTTCAAAAATTGTCCAGCATTTGATCCAACCACACGTGTTCTGCTCCAGTAAGTGGCTCTCTGCTGTCCTTGGCTGTACATGCTCACAGGAACCTAGGAGGATTTCCTATGCATGGGCAGTCTCCACTGGGAAAACAGTTGACCAAGCCAGTGGTTGGAGAAGGCACAGCGGTGTTGACTCACCACTGTGGGCATGTAATTACATGGCTGTATTTCCACCTCCCTGCCATCTTCCTAGATCACTTACCTTCAGGCCACACTGGGCAATTACTTATAAAATATGAACACCTTAAATGTCTATCAGGAGGTGCCTGTCTGAATAGATTTTGGTGAATCCATTCAGTGGATTACCTTGTAGCCATTAAAAAACATGTGGTGGATTTCTGTATAGTAATGTGTAAAGATGGCCACATACATCATTACAAGAAGCAAGCAAGCAAGTTGGAAGTGCGTACACTGCACACCCTGTGACGCCAGTTCTACAAACAATGGTAAGCTTTTTTAGTGTTTAAATATTTGGATGGATACATAATAAATAACATGCGGCCACAATGGAGTGTAACTGGAGAGAGAGACAATGTGATTTTTCCTCTGGGGGCTGTATATTTGATTGGTTTTCTGTGAGCACTGAAATGCTTCCTGTCACATTACATATAATCGATGCATAGAGTCCAGGGTAAAATTATATAGAACAACAGAAAATATGACCAGCTAAGTGTTAGAGGGGGCCTTTGATCTTTTTCCTCATAACTGGTATAAACAAAACTTGTTAAAATCCCACCAACCAAGTGAGATATCTATCTATACTTCCACTTTGAACTTTCCATTTGTAAGGGGGTTATCCATCAAGACGCTTGCCCTGTTTGCTTTCCCCAGGTAAACATATATCCAGACTGTGTTCGACAATGGATCCATGGCCGTGTGAGGTAGCAATTTTGTACTCGGATCCTTGTCATCGCCTTGCCACATTCACCTGCCTGTCCCCCTTGCCAGGGGGTTATCAGTTGGAATCAACTCACATGTCTATCAACAGGGGCCTGTCTGAATGCACTCTGGTGAGTCCGTTCTGTGGATGACACAACATTCATTGAAAGCAATGTGATGGATTTTTGTGTGCCAATGTGCAATGAAGCCCGTGTACATTCTAAAACGAAAAAAGCAAGTTTACAGGACAATGTATGTAATATGAAATTATTTTCGAAATGCCAGAGAAGACTTCTATAGCAAAATATCTGAAAGGAATCACGGAAATATCATGATTGCCTCTAGACTTTAGAACTGGACAAGAGAGAAGTTGTGCTTTTCACTCGGTGTCCTGTATTTTGATATTTTTCAATGAGCATTTAAACATGTTTTGCCCCCACAAATATATTCTGTAAATGTATATTTTCAGCGTGAAGCAATATGGGAAAACAGAAAATGTAGCAAATTTAATGTGAAAGGGGGCCTTTTATGTGTCTGCATAACACATCCAGCTAGAAAGTGTTAAAATCTCACGCTGTGAGGTGTTTGTTTCATGCAAGTACAGAGGATTCAGAAAGTGATTTTTAAAAGCAGATTGTGCTCATAGAGAAACAAATCTGTGAGGTTTTCCAACTGGGACGTGTTAATGACACAAGGCAAATGAGGAACCTTTAGCCAATATGGAAGTAAACACAGCACAGAACTCTCTTCAAAGGAAGCATAAACACACACATGCATACACAGGGCAAGCATCAAACTAACACAGACACAGACCTTTAACTGGTGCTCAACGTCTGTCCCCTGTACCCCTAGAGAACAAAATGGAAGCAGTGCTGTCTTCTAGGACCTCGCCTCAGAATCCACACAGCTTCACTTGTGCTGTACTCTGTTAAAGCTGGCTCAACCTGTCAAGATTCAAGGGCAGGGGGCATAGACCCCCCCTCTTGATGATAGGTGTAGGAGCTTCCTACTGCTGTATAACAAATGACCACAAATTTAGTGGCTTAAAACAGCACAAGTTTATTTTAGTACAGTTCTGGAAGACAGAAGTCTAAAATCAAGGTGCCAGCTGGGCCGAGTTCCTTCTGGAGGCTTTTCTGGACAAACTATTTCCTCACCTTTTTCAGCTTCCAGAGGACACCTGCGTTGCTTGGCTCAGGGTCCCTTCCTGGCATCACTCCAAACTTTAGCTCCTGTCCTCATATGTCCTAGTACTCACTCTGACCCTCCTGCCTCCCTCTTGCAAGGTCTCTTGTAATTACTTTGGATTGACCTGGATAATACTGCATAATGTCCCTAACTGAAGACCCTTGACATGATCACATATGCACACTTCCTTTTGTGTTGGAAGGTACCATATTAATCTGTTCTGGGGAATAGGTCTTGGACATCTTGAAGGGCATTTTTTCTGCCTGCCATAGATTGTTAGGACATCATTTACAGCCATCTTTAGCACAACCACAACAAAGAAAGTAACAAAGACCTGGAGACTTGTCGAGGCGCTTCAGTTGGTAAACATTTGGGAGATTTCTCAATGCTAATTATGTCATCTCTCATAATGAAGGGGAAGAATTGTAGCAAGAACCACAGATGTCCTTCACCCTTCTTTCCTGCCTTGGCGCATTGGAGGGCTCTTTCGCATGGGGGAAATTGCCCTGAGAGTAACATCTTGGGAGGAGGAACTTCACCCTGCCCAGGATAGACCGAAGAGGGTCAGCAGGTAGAGCAGTGGAGGTCTCGCCTCTCATACTGAAGACTAGGATGAGAGGCCTCCTGTCTTTCACTGCCTGCCTTTCATACTCTCTCCTTCTTAGTGAGGGAACCTAGTTGGGAAGAGATGTCCGAAGAAGAATTTTTGTAAAATGTAATGCTGATAAGACTCAAGAGACCACTCTCAGACCTGGTGATACCATCTGACTCTTTTTAAAAGGCCTCACATTTTAGTTCTTGAAGTCGTCTTCAATAATTTATACGTTCCTATTCTTGTGTTCAGTATTAGAGATGCCAATTGAAAGTAATTATCTAAAATATATCAATATGTTTGTAACATTTTAATACTCAAGATCCTTAACAATGTGAAACCAACGCTTGCTAGACCTCCGAGAAGTCCTGTCTGAACATGCAAACTAAACAACTGGATGGGAGAAAGGAATCCAGCAACATCCGCAAACCCAACTGTTAACAACCAAGAAGTGGGGGCTGAGTGAGCTTAGTGTAAATGCAAAAGAGAGCCAGAGGGATGAGCTCTGGATGCATTCTACTTCACATCTGTTACAGAGGACTGGAGGACAAGAAGTAGAGGGCTGGCCCGGGTTTAAGGGTGAGCTTTGTTTATATATGGCAGTATTCAGCCCATATGACCGGGCTAGAAATGAGAAAGTGTTGCAAGAAGAAAGCCCGTGCAGTTTCCTGGAGGTGCCCATGACTGTTTCTGCTCGGGATGGCCTGTGTGCTGCAGGGGCAAGCGGACAAAGTGTAATGTCTCTCCTCCCTTACCTGATGCTGAGCCGCCTGGGGGCTGATTCCCCTGTGTATTCCTTACTTTCCTGGATTTTAGCCTGGACAACATACCTGGCACACTATGGAACCATCCCTGCAGACTCCGGGGTGGGGGGTGGGGGTAAGGGGGGTGGTCAAGGTTGCAAAAACCTTAGAGGGACCCCTACAGGTCCTCTCTATGTTCAGGAGGGAAGACAAGTAAGGGATTCTGGAGGAGACTGTTGTCAGCCTGATTTAGAGAGGCTTGGTCTTTCCTAGGTTTTCAATTTAACCTCCCTTTTCTATTGCTACCTTCATACCTAGGCAACTGTTAAGCATTACTCCGTAACAGAGAACATCTCTATAGCAAAATCACTCTATGACAAAAGATTACAAATTGCTCTATGACAGCAAATTCTTAAGAAGGAATGGAGAGTACAAAAATGCAGGCATTCAGAATGGGGAGCAAGGCCATCTACTCTGTGTCCTGATGAAACAAAAGCAATTGTGAGTCCCCAGACTGCATGCTACAAGTGCGCTCTACAAATCAAATCCTGATTTTCTTATGGTCTTTAGGATATAATCCTTCAAGAACATCTAAGTAAACTTCAAAGGAGAAATGGAAAGAACCCCAACTATTAATCAAAGTGCAATATAACAAAAAATTGACCGGTACATGTCCACATTGTCCAGTTCTTGAGGCAAGGAGGAAATGAAATCGAAACTGAAAAGAGAAACGTGCAAAATCAGAAGTAAGAACATTGTCTATAACTTATGGAATGTGACCAAAGCTAGACTTAAAGTACAAGTCATAGCCTTAAATGCACTTATCGTTTCAAACAACATAGAAGGAGAGTACAATAGGCTGATATTTTTGGAAAGCTCACTGTGAATAGCACCTGCACACCAATATTTCATCTTCCTGCTATGTATGTGTTGGCCAGTGTTTCCTGTCCCTCGTAGTGCTTATGAGTTGCCATTATTTCTTCGAAATAGTCCATACTTCAAAGGTGGACTGTGTTGAAGGCTCAAAGCATGCACAAACAGAACACTGTGGTTGTATTGAAGAAAGGGATCCTGGCACGTGCTGGGGGCAGGAGTCAAGAGAGATACTTTTCGCCACCGTTCAGGGAAGCATCTCCAACCTCAATTGCTCAGACAATGTGGTAATGAGACTGAAATAGGAAGAGCATATGCCTGTCCACTTGATTAAAATATTGCATAGATAAAGATCAGTCGGGCACCTCATGCTTCCTGCTGTATGGTCCTGAGTTCTGAAAGGAATGCCACTGCTTACATACTCCTTACCCCTATGATGTGGTTGGCTTGGGACAAAGACATTTTTATCGAAATGATGAAGCAAGATCTGCCTAGGCAGAAAAATATGCAATGTAGGGCAGTGGCAAGGGTAGGTGAACATTTAATAGCAAAATGCAAAGCTATTCTCTTAAATGAGGTAGACGAAAACTCTACTTCCAAGACAGCCTACCGCAAGCAAAGGCCTTTATGAGTAACTGTTCATTTCTGTAGGACCTGTTTCCCTCAAGATATGCTTAGAGAACTCTCTAAAGTGTGCAGCTTGGTGCATCATATGGTCTGCTCTCTTTATGAAGCTTTTAGAGCAGTGCCTACATTTGTATGGCTTCTCCCACGTATAGATTCTTAAGCGAATAACAAGACTTGATCTCTGTCTGTAGCTTGTCCCGCAAGTATCACATATAAATGGTATCCCCTCAGCGTGTGTTCTCGGGTGCAAAAAAGAGCTGTCGACTGACTAAAGCTTTCCCCACAACTGTGACAACCTTGAGATTTTTCACCTGTGAAAGCATTCGGGTGTCCTGTCAGACTTGATCTAGGAGAAACACCTTTCCTGCACTCAAGGCACTCATACATTTCCTTATCACAACGTCTTCACAGGTGCTGTGAGGTGCGACTTATTATTCGCTTGTTATGCACTGTGCATTCACAGGGGTCTCCCACACGTGAACTGGCTGGTGCCGATAACGGTTGGACCTATGAGGGAATCCTTTCCCGCATTCAGGGCACTTGTGAGGCAGCTCTCCTGAATGAATGTTGAAGTGCCTAGAAAGTAGCTTCTCTCAAGCAAAACATTGTCTGCACTGAGAACTGCAGGATTCAAAGGGCGTGATTCAGTTACCTGACCCCAAGAGAGGTGGGCAAGTGTTCACTGAACGCCTGGGAAGAAAGAAAAGAAAAATGCAGCCTTAATCACGGTAAAGAGGTTTAGGATGTTGCTTGGGAGCTTCTACCTTTCCACTAGGCATCGAAGATGGCTCTTCTTCTTCTCCATCTCTCTGTTCTCCTTGGAGCGGGGTGACATCTGCAATTCCTATCTCTTCTCTCGGGTTTGATATTGGCAAAGAAAATGAAGAAAAAATGTCAGAGCAGAAAAAAAAAAAAAAAACTGGAGAGCGTGTATTCATTTTTTGTTTCTTTAGACAGGAATGCACTTCATGGTCGCAATTTACAAAAAGACTGTGAATGGCCCGGGCATCACCCCGCGCTCCCCAAGCCCCGAAGAGCAGCTACTGGGTGACACGACGTCTGTGGACTGTCAGAGTCCCTGTGTAGCAGAGACAGCGGAGAGCTCAAACCCAGAGGTGCCTCTCAAGCCCAGAACCCACAAGCAAGAGTCCCGCAGAGAAACCTCCTCATTGTTCTCAGAGTTCAATTGTTTTAATTTTTAGCTCCCACAGATGAGTGAGAAGATGCAAAATGTGTCAAAATGTGTCTTCCTGTGCCAAGCTTATTTCCCTTAACATAATGTCCTCCAGTTTCTATTTATTCCTGATTCTCTGTTGGTAGCTTATACGTATCTAGGAATTGTCCCATTATTTCTAGGTCTTCCAATTCGTTGGCATATAATTTTTGATAGTAATCTTTTATGATCCTTTGTATTTCTGTGGTACCAATTGTAATGTCTCCTCTTTTATTTCTGGTTTTCTTTATGTTGTCTTCTTTCTGTTTTTCTTAGTTAGTGTAGCTAACAAAGACGAATTTGTTTATCTTTTAAAAAATCCAACTCTTGATTTCATTGCATTTTTTCTATTGCTTTTATAGTCTCTTTTTCATTTATTTTTGCTCTGATTTTTGTTATGTTCTCGCTTGTGCTAATTTGTTCTTAGTGTGTTTGTCTTTCTCTAGTTCCTTGAGGTGTAATGTTAGCTTTTTTATTTAAGATATTTTTGCTCTCTCGATACAGGCATTTGCTGCTATGAATTTCTCACTTGGAAAGGCTTTTACTTCATCCCATACGTTTTGGTATGTTGTATTACCATTGTTGTTTGTGTCAAGGTACTCTTTATCTCACTTTTGAGTTCCTCTTTGGCCCATTTGTTGTTCAGTGGCTCGTGCGTCAATTTCCACATATTTATGAATTTCCTGATTGCCCCAATTATTGGTTTCTAGATTCATATCATTGTGATCAGAAAACATACTTGATATGACTTCAGTCCTCACAATCAATTGTTTTGACGTGTCTTGTGGCCAAACATAGGACCAATCTATCCTGGAGAACGTTCTGTGTGCACTGGAGAAAAACGTGTATTTCTGTTACTCTCCGATGGAATGTTCTGTAGAAGTCTGTTAGGTCCATTTGGTCTAAGGTGTAGTTTAAGTTCAATGTTCCTTTTGTCTGGATGATCTTTCCATTATTGAAAGTGGGTGTTAAACTCCCCTACTATTATTGTATTGTGGTTCATCTTTCCCTTCAGATCTACTAATATTTCCTTTATGCATGTTGGTGGTCTCGTATTGGCTGTACTTATACTTACAATTGTTAAATCATCTTGAGTAATGGATGTCCGTATTATTATAGAGTGACTTTATTTGTCTCCTTTGCTCTCTTTTGACTTACAGGTATTTCATCTGATATGGGTAAAGATACCCTTGCTCTCTTTTTGGTTTCTGTTTTCATAGAATATATTTCTCAATCCCTTCACTTTCAGTCTATGTGCTTCTTTCATGTGACGTGAGTCTCTTGTAGGAGGATAGAGTTTGGTAAGACTGAAAGCTTTTCCCCTGAGATCAGGAACAAGATAAGGATGCCAGCTTTACCACGTCTATTCAGTATTGCACTGGACATTTGAGCCAAATCAATATAGAAAAAAAAGAAAACAAAGAAGGAGTTTTTGAAGCGGAAAGTTAAAAGCCATCTCTATTAAAAAATGACATGATATTAAATATGCAAAATATAGAGAGAATGTCATGAGAGGTAATAAAGTTTTGGTCTCTGTGGGGCCTTGTAGGGCCCTGAAAGTGTTTCGGACGTTACTGTACGTGACATTTGAAATCCCTGAAAGGTTTGGAGCTTTCCAGTGATCCCTCGGGCCGTGTGGTTATGAACAGGCTGGAAGGAGCCAAAACATGAAGCAGGGTGACCAGTTAGGATGGGTCTTCTGTAATTCCTTGGCACTGTGACTGTAATCTGTTTGTCTTTCCTCTCCTGTAGAGAAAACAGGCATGATCACTGCAAAAGATGAACACACAGAGGGAGGGGGAAAGTGAGGGTCTTAAGAACCAGGTGGAAGCAGTGCTGGGGCATCAAGAGAGGTCTACAGGGTGGAGGACAGTAGTCCCCAGTGCAGCGGGCTGGAAGGGTTCACTGAACGTAGAGGAATGCTGAGAGTCATGGGAATGAATTGGGGTGGTAATAGGTCATGAAAGGAGCATAGTGTGCGTGGCCTGTCTTTTCATCATGTCTCAGCATGAAAAACACAAGAGAGGGGAAGGAAGATGAATGCAGGCTCCTTCTTTATGGTACTTGTAATTGCAGAGACTTAGAGAGTATGTAATCTATGCTGGACACAGTCTTGTGCCCATTATGTGTGACAACTAACTTAATCCTCAAAGCTCTGCAAGGCAGGGATTATTATCATAGCTTTTTTTGTAGATGAGGAACTGAATGTCTAAGGAAGTTGAACAACTTGCCTAAAGGCCCCAAGCCTGGGAGAATTGGGATTTGGGTCCAAGCAGCCTGGCTCTGTCATCGGTGCCCATAAGCACAGTGTTTGACTCAGTAGCCTGAGGCCAGTTACCTGCTGAGTGCAGACACCCATCCTTCTGTTTCCTTCTTCCTCCCTTCATTCAGGAAACACTCCCCAGGGAGAGGTAAAGACCCTAGAGGGAGGGGGTGGTTGACAGATCAGGACAAGACTTGACATGTATCTGTGGCCATTTAGAGACATGGTGGAGGGACTGGCTTCACACAGAAGGAGGTGATAGGGATCCCTCACTGGGGCTCCGTGACTGCACTTCTGGGGGTCTCTGAATTGTACCAGACGGGTTGTGGTTCAGGAGGTTTTAGGAAGGAACAGGTCCACGTTAGCCTCAGATTTTCCAAGGCATAGAAAGCCCACCTGTATCCCACGTCCCCAAAATAAAAATGTGAGGCTCTACTGCTCTGAGTTAAAGAATGCAGTTAGACAAGTGTGTGGGTAGCAGCAGGGATCCCACAGCATCTACCGAGTAAGAGCGTGATGGGACCCAGGACATTATGGACACATTGTTAGACAAATCTGTTCATCACCTGACACACATAGACTTGTTAGATTGTAATAGCAGTGCTAGATTATTTCTCAATTGTTCCCTTAATCTACATACTCAAGATTTTTAGACTAATAGACTATATTTGTTTTAAAGAAAAATTGAGTGGAAAGTACTGACAGTTCACATATGCCCACCACCACCGTCTCCTCTATGATTCACATCTTGCACTAGTGTGGGACATTTGTTACCACCGAAGAGCCAGTATTGATACATTATTATTAACCAAAGCTGGTAATTTATATGGGGCTCACTCATTGTGTTGCATAGTCTATGGGCTTTGACAAATGTAATCAATCGCACTTGGTCATGGCGTATATTTCTTTGTACACCTTATTGGATTTAATTTGATAATGTATTATTGGGAATATTTACATTGGTGTTCGTGAGAGATATTAGCCTATAGTTTTCCTTCCTTATAACATCTTTGTCTGATTTTGGTATTAGGGTAATACCGGCCTCAAGGAATGAGTTAGGAAGAATTCTCTTTGATTCAAACTTTTGAAGAGATTGTAGACAATTCGTATAGTTTAAAACTTAAATGTTTGGTAGAATTTCCCAGTAAACCCAGCCGGGTTTCCTGATTTCCGTTTTGGAAGGTATTAATTATTGATTCAATTTCCTTAATAGTCATAGGCCTATTCAAAGTATCTGCTTCTTCTTCTGTGTGTTTTGATAGATTGTGCCTTTTCAGAATTGTTTTATTTCATCTAGGTTATGGAATCTGTGGGAGTTAAGTTGTTTATTATTCATTTAATGTACCTGGGATCATTGGTGGTGGCCCCTGTTTCACTTCTGATATCAGTATTTGTGTTCTCTCTCTCTCTCTTTTTTTTTTTACTTAGCCTAGCTAGAGGTTCAAAATTGTTTTGATCTTGTCAAAGAGCCACCTTTTAAAAATTCTTTCCAACTTTTATTTTAGGTTCAGGGGGTACATGCACAAGTTTGTTATATGGAAAATTGCATGTCATGGGGGCTTCGTATACAAATTAGTTCATCACACAGAAAATAAACATAGTACGCATCAGGTAGTTTTTCTATCCTCGTCCTCCTCTCACCCTCCACCGTCACATAGGCCCAGGTGTCTATTTGTCTATTGTTTGTTTCCATGTATACTCAAGGTTTGGCTCACACTTGTAAGTGAGAACACGTAGTACTAGGTTTCCTGTTCCTGCATTTATTCATTTAGGATAATGCCCTCCAGCCCCACCCTGTTGCTGCAAAGGACACAATCTCATTCTTTTTGATGACTGTATAGTATTCCATGGTATAGATACACCAGATATTCTTTATTCAGTCTACCATTGACGGCCACTTACGTCGATTCCATGTATTTGCTATTGTGAATAGTGCTGCAGTGAACATATGTGTGCATCTGTCTGTACAGTACGATGATTTATATAATTAGTTAGGTATATACCCAGTAATGGGATTGGTGGGTCGAATGGTAGTTCTGTGTAAGTTCTTTGAGAAATCTCCAAACTGCTTTCCACAGTGGCTGAACTAATTTACATTCCCACCAGCAGTGTATGAGCATTCCCTCTTCTCCACAGTCATGCCAGCTTCTGTTATTTTCTGACTTTTTAATGATAGCCATTCTGACTGACTGGTGTGACATGGTCTCACACTGAGGTTTTAATTTGCATTTATCTGATGATTAGTGATGTTGAGCATTTTTTCATATGCTTCTTGTGGCACGCGTATATCTTCTTTTGAGAAGTGTCTGTTCGTGTCCTTTGCTCATTTTTAATGGGGCTGTTTGTTTTATGCTTGTTAATTTCTTTAAGCTGCTTATGGAATTTGGATATTAGACCTTTTTCAGATGCAGAATTTGCAAATTTTACTCCCATTATAGAGGTCGTCAGTTTACTTTGTTGATAGCTTGTTTTGCTGTGCAGAAGCTCTTTGGTTCAATTAGGTCCCATTTCTCAATTTTTGTTTTTGTCATAATTGTCTTTGGTGTTTTCATCATGAAATCTTTGCCAGGGCCTATGTCTAGAATGGCATTTCTTAGGTTGTCTTCTAGGATTTTTTTTTTTTTTTTTATAATTATCTGTTTACATGTAAATCTTTAATCCATCTTGAGTTGGTTTTTGTGTATGGTGAAATGGAGGGGTCCAGTTTCACTCTTCAGCATATGGGTAGCCAGCATAGGGAGGTATCAATTAACTGCCATATTTCTTACCTCAAGAACCGGGAGATCATCCCTCCTGATCTGGAAACCTCTACACCACTGCCACCAATCTCCTCACCTCCGTGCACAAGATTATAAAGGTCAGAGCTCTGTGCTGGTACATGTGAGGATGCATGTGGCAGCTCCACAAGTTTCCTTGATCACACTTGTGCTGTTGGCTACTGACAGCAATCCATGAGTGGGAACTCTACAACAAATTTTTATCAGAAGACCATAACTATTCTACAAAATCTGAGAAATAGAAGCAACTGATAAGCTTGATAAAAACAAGAACGCAGGTAGCTCAGGAGAACTCAACAGTGGATCTTCTAAATCACATTTTCTGTAAAGAAATGGTATCATCAGACTGAGCAGGAAAATACTCAGTCATATAGTCTAGTCCAGAGCTCCAAAATTGGCAGGACAAAACCATGATCGACTCCGCTAGGTTGAGGTGAAAAGTATGAAACCAAGTAACTACGGCCAGGGGACTCAGTCAATAGCAAACACAAGGGTGTGTATGCAGTGGGCAGTTCTCAGAGAAATGACACCAGCTGGATGGACCAATCAGCGTGAGACCCCTGCTTTTACCTGAAGGATACAAATACAATACATGGACATTTTGACATGTCCAGTAAGTAAAACTCAAAAATTAGTTCTTTAAGTAGAAATGCACGTATAACACACAATGGAGACAACTGAAAGACAAAGACACACCCAAACTCACAGCATCCCTTAAGGTAAACCCTGTCAAAACCATGAAGAGCTAATGTCATGGGACCATGCTTTGACTCAGAGTCCTCCAGGTGAATTTCCCCACTGCTGTAGGACTGCTGTAATGTGTTGAGACTCAGAAAACTATGGGCTAATGTTTCCATGTTGTTACACGGCCATTGCAAAATATTACATGCGATTTTAAGAATCAAGGAAAAGCAATTACGGGCATACCTCTGACCTATTGCATTTTTGGGTCTTCACCACTGCAATAAAGTGAGCCACACAAATATTTTGATTTACCAGTGCATATGAAAGTTTCATTTACCGTATAAAGAAATATATTTAGTGAGCGATAGCATTATGTCTACAAAACAATATACACACTTTAATTAAAAAATACTTGATTGCTAAAAAAGACTAACGATGGTCAGAGCCCCCAGCAAGTCATCATCTTCTTGCTGGTGGAGGGTCTGGTCTTGATGTTGATGGCTGCTGGCTGACCAGCGTGGTGGTTGCCGGAGGGTGGAGTGGCTTTGGAAATTCCTTAAGAGAAGACAACGATGAAGTTGGTCACATTCATTGACTCTTCCTTTCATGAAAGATTTCTCTGTGGCATGCAATGCTGTTTGATAGCATTTTACCCAGAGTAAAACTTGCTTTAATATTGCACCCAATCCTCTCAACAATCCCCCCCACCCACACACACACACACACACACACCTGCTTTGTCAACTGCATTAATGTAATATTTTAAATCCTATGTTGTCATTTTAACAACGTTCACATCTTCTGCACTGGGAGTCGATTCCATCTGAAGAGAACACTTTCTTCACTCATCCGTAAGAAGCAACTCATCCATTCGAGTTTTATCAATTCACTCACATCTTCAGGCTCCACTTCCAATTCCAATTCTCTTTTTATTTCCAATACATCTGCAGTAACTTCTTCCAATCAAGTCTTTAACCATCAGTGTCAGCCAGAGGTTTGTAATCAACATCTTCCACACTCTTGTTGACATTCATATTTTGACCTCCTCCTGCGACTCATGAATGTTCCTAATGGAATCTAGAATGGTGAATCATTTCCAGAAGGCTTTCTGTTTACTTTGTCCAGCTCCATCAGGGGAGGTTTTCCATTTACTTTGTCCAGCTCCCTATGGCAGCTGTAGCCTTATCAAATGTATTTCTTAAATAAGACTTGGCAGTCAGTCAAAATTACTGCTTGATCTATGGGCTGCAGAATGGATGTTGTGTTAGCAGGCATGGAAACAACATTCATCTTCTTGTACATTTCCATCAGGGCTCCTGGGTGACCATTGCATTGTCAATGAGCAATAATATTTTGAGAGGAATCTCTCTTTTCTTTTTCTTCCTGAGCAGTAGGTCTCAACAGTGGGCTTAAAATATTCAGCAAACCATGTTGTAAGCAGGTGTGCTGTCATCCAGGCTTTGTTGTTCCATTTATAGAGCATGGGTGGAGCTGATTTGGCATAGTGCTTCAGGGCCCTAGCATATTTGGAATGATAAACGAGCATTGGTTTCAACTGAATATGTTTAGGTGAATTAGCCCTTAACATGAGAGTCAGCCTGTCCTTTGAAGGTTTGAAGGCAGGGATTGGCTTCCCCTCCCTAGCTATGAAAATCCTACGTAACATCTTCCAATAGAAGACAGTCTAATTCAGACTGAAAATCTGTTGTTCAGCGTAGCCACCCTCATCATCTTTTTTTTTTTCATTGTACCATCTGTTTAATTGTTTATTTTTACAAATACAAAGATTTCCCATGTCATGTTTTTAGATATCTTGGGGGAAGAAATTTCTTTGTTTTATTTCTTTTTTTAAATTTTATTATTATTATACTTTAAGTTTTAGGGTACGTGTGCACAACGTGCAGGTTTGTTACATATGTATACATGTGCCATGTTGGTGTGCTGCACCCATTAACTCGTCACTTAGCATTAGGTATATCTCCTAATGCTGTCCCTCCCCCCTCCCCCCACCCCACAACAGTCCCCGGTGTGTGATGTTCCCCTTCCTGTGTCCATGTGTTCTCATTGTTCCATTCCCACCTATGAGTGAGAACATGCGGTGTTTGGTTTTTTGTCCTTGCGATAGTTTGCTGAGAATGATGGTTTCCAGCTTCATCCATGTCCCCACAAAGGACATGAACTCATCCTTTTTTATGGCTGCATAGTAGTCCATGGTGTATGTGTGCCACATTTTCTTAATCCAGTCTATCATTGTTGGACATTTGGGTTGGTTCCAAGTCTTTGCTATTGTGAATAGTGCTGCAGTAAACATACGTGTGCATGTGTCTTTATAGCAGCATGATTTATAATCCTTTGGGTATATACCCAGTAATGGGATGGCTGGGTCAAATGGTATTTCCAGTTCTAGATCCCTGAGGAATCGCCACACTGACTTCCACGATGGTTGAACTAGTTTACAGTCCCACCAACAGTGTAAAAGTGTTCCTATTTCTCCACATCCTCTCCAGCACCTGTTGTTTCCCGACTTTTTAGTGATCGCCATTCTAACTGGTGTGAGATGGTATCTCATTGTGGTTTTGATTTGCATTTCTCTGATGGCCAGTGATGATGAGCATTTTTTCATGTGTTTTGGGGCTGCATAAATGTCTTCTTTTGAGAAGTGTCTGTTCGTATCCTTCGCCCACTTTTTGATGGGGTTGTTTGTTTTTTTCTTGTAAATTTGTTTGAGTTCAGTGAGATTCTGGATATTAGTCCTTTGTCAGATGAGTAGGTTGCAAAAATTTTCTCCCATTCTGCAGGTTGCCTGTTGACTCTGATGGTAGTTTCTTTTGCTGTGCAGAAGCTCTCTAGTTTAATTAGATCCCATTTGTCAATTTTGGCTTTTGTTGCCATTGCTTTTGGTGTTTTAGACATGAAGTCCTTGCCCATGCCTATGTCCTGAATGGATTGCCTAGGTTTTCTTCTATGGTTTTTATGGTTTCAGGTCTAACATGTAAGTCTTTAATCCATCTTGAATTAATTTTTGTATAAGGTGTAAGAAAGGGATCCAGTTTCAGCTTTCTCCATATGGCTAGCCAGTTTTCCCAGCACCATTTATTAAATAGGGAATCCTTTCCGCATTGCTTGTTTTTGTCAGGTTTGTCAAAGATCACATAGTTGTACATGAGTGAACTCCCATTCACAATTGCTTCAAAGAGAATAAAATACCTAGGAATCCAACTCACAAGGGATGTGAAGGACCTCTTCAGGGAGAACTACAAACCACTGCTCAATGAAATAAAAGAGGATACAAACAAATGGAAGAACATTCCATGCTCATGGGTAGGAAGAATCAATATCGTGAAAATGGCTATACTGCCCAAGGTAATTTATAGATTCAATGCCACCCCCATCAAGCTACCAATGACTTTCTTCACAGAATTAAAAAAAACCACTTTAAAGTTCATATGGAACCAAAAAAGAGCCCGTGTTGCCAAGTCAATCCTAAGCCAAAAGAACAAAGCTGGAGGCATCATGCTACCTGACTTCAAACTATACTACAAGGCTACAGTAACCAAAACAGCATGGTTCTGGTACCAAAACAGAGACTCTGGATAACGTGCTGCAGCCTCAACTTCTGCATTTGATGCTTCATCTTGCACTTTGAAAATATTTTCTTTTCAAGTTTTTAGAGGCAGCATCTTGCTCTTTTACCCAGGCCAGAGTAAAGTGGCATGATCACAGCTCACTGCAGCCTCGAACTCCTGGGCTCAAGTGATCCCCCACCCACCATAGCCTCCTGAGTAGCTGAGACTACAGGTGTGTGCCACCACCCTTGGCTCATTTTAATTTTTTTTTTTTTTTTTTTTTTTTTTGTAGAGGCAGGGTCTCACTACGTTGCCCAGGCTGGTCTCAAACTCCCTGCCTCATGCAATGTTCCCAACTCGGCCTCCCAAGCTGTTGGGGTTACAGGCATGAGCCACCCTGCCTTGGTGCCTATTGCACTTTTATGTTATGGAAACGGTTTAATCTGCTAGCTTACTTCTGCAGTTTCATTACCTCTTGCAGCCTTCATAGAACTGAAGAGAGCTAGGCCTTGTTCTGGATTAGGCTTTGGCTCAAGGGAATGTTGTGGCTGGATTGACCTTCTATCCGGACCACTAAAACTCTTCACACCGCTATCAGACTGTTTCTCGCTTTCTTATCATTGGTGTGCTCACTGCAGTAGCACTTTTGATTTCCCTCAAGAACTTTTCCCCTTTGCGTTCACAACTTGGGTGACTGGTGCAAGGGACCTAACTTTCAGCCCGTCTTGGCTTTTGACATGCCTTCTTCAGGAAGCTTAATCATTTCTAGTTTTTGATTTAAAGTGAGAGACTTGTGAGTCTTCCTGTCACTTGAACACTTAGAGGCTATTTTGGGGTTATTGCTTGGCCTAATTTCCATATTGTTGCGCCTCAGGGAATAAGATATCCTGAGGAGAAGGAGAGAGATGGGGAACAGCTTGTCGGTGGAGTCATCAGAACACACACAACATTCGTTTAGTTCGCTGCTGTCTGATATGGGTGTGGTTCTTGGTGCCCCAACAGAATGACAATAGTAACATCAAAGATCACTGATCACAGATTACCATAACAGATATCACAGGAATGAAAAAGTTGGAAATAAGAGTTACCGAAATGTGACACAGGAACACAAAGTGAGCACACGCTGTTGGATAAATGGCACCAATAGACTTGCTCGACATAGGGTTTCCACAAACCTTCAGTTTCGAAGAAACACAGTAGTTGCAAAGTGCAATGAAGAGAAGTGCAGTAAGATGAGGTATGCCTGAATGTAGAAGCCGTAAATGGCACTTTATTAATGTTCCCTGATAGGAGAATTCTCCCCGTTGGGTGTAAAATCTGAAAACGTTGAGGGAAGGGGCACACATCTGTAATCATGACAGATTCCATGCTCATGTCTAAGTACAAGTTCCCAGAGCAGCGTTTTCTGGGCTACGGAGGAGAGGTCAAGATGTCTCACTTCTGGCATAAAGTGCACTCCACGTGTGTTGGCTCAACACTCTAACAGAAAAACTTGTAGTCCCCAAGTTGATACTAGAATGGAGTCTACAAGAGACCTTTCCAGAATTCTGTAGGACAGGCTGTGTCTGACTGATGGGGAGACTGAGAAAGTCATAGCAATTCACTAGACACAGCCCACTGCTGTTCTTGGCCAAGTGGATCAGAAGCAGTACAGCAGTTCTGCATACAAATAAGAGGAGGTGAGGGGAGCTCAGAACACCGACCCAAATCCACAACATTAGGAGGCCAGCTAGGATGGCAGTCAGTCTTCCTTATTTTGGGATATCATAGTAAGCACAATGGGCTGAGAGGGCAAATGCCAATGCATAGGAACATAGGGGAGATTACCAAAATTACACGTGTGTGTGTGTGTGTGTGTGTGTGTGTGTGTGTGTGTGTGTGTGTTTATTCTCTGGACACGTTTTGAGAGTCTTGCCTATTCAAATAACTCCAACACAGAATCTGGTCCTTACTTGGCGCCAACTATTCTTTCAGCTTCTGTGTATCAAAAGTACTAAAGATCAGGTATAACTCCCTGTGAAGACATAGTTTTGAATAAAGCATGAGAAGGGGAGAGGTGTGAGCAAATTACTCGTCATTCCTGCTTGTGCCTTCAGGTCCCATTTGCACAAGATCCACTTGATGGGGTTGTCTGAAAATGTGTCGCTTTGCCCAGATTCGGGAATATACAGTTGTGGGTGGCAATTGGTGACATGCCATCATGGTGAGATGTTCCCAACGATTCTGTGCTCACCCCCAAACTCAAGTTCCAAGACCAGTCTTTTCTGGACTACGGAGAAGTACAGATGTTTACTTTCTGGCATCAATCCAAGTGAAGTTAATGAAAAGAAGAAGGGAGCATGGTCTCTCTCTAGAACACCACTGTGCATTGGCAAGAACCTCCTCTTGTGGCTTGTCGTGATCTACATAACATGTCTTGATATGCTGCACAAACACCCTCATGCACTGCCCCTTACTGCCTGCTATGGTTGCTTGCATCCCAGCCTGAATCCCCTGGAGAGATTTCTTCCCCTGTGGGACTGAATACCTGTTTTAATATAGGATATTTAAGGTAAAGAGCACCCCTCCAATGATTAGAAGAGACACAGATGGAAATAGGCATTTTATCACTTGCCGATCCTGGAGGGTACCTGGCACACCTGGAGGGCACACATGTGTGGCAGGGAGCCCAGGCAGGGAGAGAGAAAGGGACCCGTGGGCCAACAACCTTATGCGCATCCCAGGGGTTATCCAAACGGGTTTCCCGTGGGGAGTTTTAATTGGTGGGCTTAAAGCAGGCAGACACATGTTTCAGGAGGTCACACTATGACTGAGCAGTGGTCATTGTGGCCTATCTGTGCAAACTGTGCAGGGTATCAGGGTCAGTGGGGCTGGCCAAGTAGGCTATATGTACATCTTCATATGTACAGACCTGAAACATCTCATGATGTTTCTTAAAAAGAGGAGGTGGCTTACATGGAATACAACTGATTATAGGTTGATAATGAAGACACATAATACGCATGTATGTATGTGTGTGTGTATATGCATGTATGTACATTTTAACATGTATATTTATTATCTTACACACACACACACACAGAGAAATAAATTCTCCTGCTTCATTTATGTTTCCAGCATAAACTCTTAGGAGTGGAATTTCCTGTTCAAAGGTTTCTGATGAAGATTCAATCCATTGAGTTTTAAATCACTTTTCATGTTTCTCATTTGAATAGCCTAGTTCATAGCACATACCACTTCACAATTGGTGTCTTTACAACCGTCCATACCAATGTCATGGTATTTCCCCTGTATTTGCTTTCACTGAGGTCTTGTGCACCAAGGTCTTGTGTCTCTCTATACCACTACTTGTGTCACTCTCCTAGTGGATGACCCATAAGACACCCCGGCCTCTCTGCTCCCCGACTCCTCTCGTCCTCACAGTCAAACCTCAGGCTTCCCCTCAAGTTTCATTTCTCATCCCCAACCCTCCCTCCTCTGTTTCATCTCCTTTGCAAACACCATCACCTGTCAAACTTCATTCACTTTGTCATTCTCCGCTGGCAAAACTGGAGTCTAGTAAGGCCCAGCTATCCAACTATTCTCCACCTGCACCCAAGTAACAGAACTCTGCTGCATAAATTATAACACCAAATGCAGCTATATAGACCCATACCAAAATAGGGACACACATTTCACAGGGACCACTCAATACTACCCAATAATCCTACTGTATTACCCCCAGGAAGTATGATTTTCCACAATCTGAGGTTATCTATGCTTCTAAATGTAACACAGCTGTGTTAATTTCCTAGGGAGGCCAAAACACATTACCCCAACTGGGCGGCTTAAGACAACAGAAATTTATTCTGTGGCAGTTCTGCAGGCTACCAGTCTGAAATCAAGTTGTCAGTGAGGTTGGTTCCTTCTGGTGAGCTCTGATGGAGAGTCTATTACAAGTTTCTGGAGGTTACCAGTAGTCATTGGTGGCTTTTCTTGGGTTGCAGATGCATCACTCCAAGCACTTCCTCCTTCATCTGATGGTGCTCTTACCTGTGTGTCTGTGTGTCCAATATCCCTCTTCTTATAATGCCACCACTCACTAGATTAGTGGTGTATGACCAATCCTAATGCTGTGGGACCTCATCTTAATTTGACTTTTTCGTTTTTTATTTTATTTTTTTGCAAAGACCCTATTTCCAAATAAAGTCACATTCACAGGTATTGGGACTTAGAACTTGAGCATAACTCTTTAGGGGCGAAACTGAACCCACAACAACTGCTCTTGTACATTTTGATTACTCCAATATTCTATGATTGTCAATGAAAAATTAGGACACACAGATAAGCAGACATTTCCTCTTATTTCTCTGAGAAAACAAAGGCCATAGCCGGGCGCCGTGGCTCACGCCTGTAATCCCAGCACTTTGGGAGGCTGAGACAGGTGGATCACCTGAGGTCAGGAGTTGGAGACCAGTCTGACCAACATGGTGAAACCCCGTCTCCACTAAAAGTACAAAAATTTAGTTGGGCACGGTGTGTGCCTGTAATCCTAGCTACTCAGGAGGCTGAGACAGGAGAATCGCTAGAACCCAGGAGGCAGAGGTTGCAGTGAGCCGAGATCACGCCATTGCACTCCAGCCTGGGGAACAGAGCGAGACTCCAATTCAAAAAATAATAAGAATTTTTTTTAAAAAAGAAAACAAAGGCCGTGAGACAGGAGCTCCTCTGCGAACCTCCTGACACCCATCCTGGCTTTCTCTTCCTTCTCTCTTGTAACAGTGAAAGGACATATCAGCCCCTTCCCAGGGCTGACCCTCCACTGAGCACATGGAACCATTCTCTTGACACATTTTCTCTGAGGATGTCGCTTCTGTTGCTATTGTCTCTCTTCGTCCTGCGTCAACAACCATTCTTTTTGAATCTTTGCTTCTAATGGAATAACATGCAAACATACACAAGAATCACCCATCTTAAAAACGTCACAGACAAGTAACTCCCATCTTTAAAAATGTGCATAGATAAATAAGCTTCCTTGGCCTCATTTCCCCTTCAGTCCCATTCCTCTGCATCCTGTCCCCCACAGCAAATGCTATTTCAAGAATCACCTCTGCTCACTTGCTGAGCTCCCATTCCCTCCTTATTCCTCTGGCATTAGGCTTTTACCGACATCATGCCCCTAACTTGCTCTTAAGATGGCAGGAAACCTCCAGGTCACCAAATCCAGTGGTCAATATGCTAAGCTCTCATCACTCAACCTCTCAGTGTTTGACGGAGTTGAGGACTCCCCATTTCTTGAAATAAGTTCTTCGGTCTTCTGTGTGACCACCCTCTCCTAGAAAGGCTCCTTCTCGGCTTCTTTTGCGAGATCTTCCTCCTATCAGGATCCCACGAGACTGCTCCAGGGCCCAGGCCCTGAATGGCTTCTCTATCCACACGCCAGCCCCATGGCATCTAACGGCAGGTAACTCCCAATCCCATATATATACTGAGTCACACACATGGTTGTCCCATAGACGACTCAAGGGTAAGGTGTCCAAAATTTCACGTGCCCTGAGCTTCCTTCAACCCCTGCACCTCCTTAAAACTTCTCCGTCTCAGACGATGTCAGCTCAGTTCACACAGTGGGTTAACATCATATCCCTGCCATAACCCTTAGTTTTCTCCATTTTCTTTACACTCTTCACGCCATCCATCAGCAAAAACTATCAATCCTTTGAAAACATACCTGTAGTCTCACCACCTCTAAAGAATGATTGAAAAAAAAGTCACTGGGTCAAATGTTTTAGTTTCCATCATGGCACAGAAGAAAGCAGAAAGAACCAAAGAGACAGCAGCCACTCAGACATATGAAAACATGCCCAAAACCCTTCCATGTGTCCCTGCTGGCACAAATAGAGCTAATAACGGATGCTGCAGCAAGAGATTGGTGCTAAGAAATCGCCTTAGAAAGAGGTAAGAAATAGCCTTCTCTGGCAAACTTCACTAAGTCAGACTCAGCCTCCTCTGCAGGGTTCAAACTCTGTTGGCAGAGAAGCTACAGGTAGATTCCAGCACCAGGAAGACAGGTCCCTGCTGAGAGAATACTGCAGAACAAAGAAGGGGCTCTTCTATACCAACCTGCTGGAAACACTGTGAATGATCTTTGTGGTAGGAGGTGCCTCCAGAGGCCCGGAACACATCAGATAAGAAATGGCTGCTGGACCTGAATGCCAGGGGATGAATTCCACTGGGCCACAGAGCAGCTGTGCGCCCCCTCTTTCCTGTTTGTGTCCCTGACTTGGCTGTTGAATGGACACGACGCTACTGGGACTTCTTTCATAGGATTCTTTGTGAGCATTAAATGACGTGTGTGTCCCAAGGCCCTTAGCCCAGTGCTTGGCATATACAAGGGCTGGACACAAAGTAGATTAACAGCAATTCTGAACAAGGATGCCATGCACCCCATTAAACCTTCTCACATTTTAACTGTCTCCCATGAACAAAATGCACACCTTCACAAGTATCCATGAAGCAATCATTCAGTGCCAGATTCCAGCAAAGATATAACCATGTGATTCGCCTTCTTGGCTTCTAGTGACCTGCATGTTTCACTCTCAAATCAGGGAAACTGACTCCGACTGAAAATATTGAAAACCATCTGTTCGTGGTCACTGCCATCAAAAACCTCTTATCAGAATCACCTGCTTACATTTCTTTCTGTCACTAACTGCTAGACGGAAATTCTTACTTATTCATATGCTTATCAGAGTATTTATTGTCGGTCTCTTCCCACTTGTATGTCAGCTTCATGACTGCAGAGCTTTTGTTCGTGGTTGCTTTTTCCATCTGCTGGGCCTTCAGCATCTAGAACAGTGCTGGGCACATGGTAGGTTCTCAATAAATACCACAGCAATTAGTTGAATCAGAAAAGGGTAAGATCCTGAACCATTCCAGCAACCTGAGAAAGGATCTGGTTTTAAGGCAATTCACACCAAATCTGACTACTTTGCTTTGCTTTGTGCATCTACCTAAACAGTATTGGGCCTCATTCAGAATTATGTTGCAGCTGGCTGTAAATGTAAGAGCTGTAGTTTTGAAGACACTAGATCCCGGCTCAACTCAACTTTTTCCTGGCTTTGCAACCTGTCCCCAGGAGTGTGACCACAGCAGAAACTTATAACGATTATAGGCCAATAAGTTGGGTTCTCTTGCATGTCAGTGACTCAGCCTCCCTTGTGTACATGAATTGCACCATGGAGTAAAATGTTACTCCTTCCATTACAAAAGCTACACTGGAAATAAGTGTAAATAAACACTGGACTAGTGTTTAGACAAACATTTCTATCAGAATAGAGTGACAAGGTTTAGATGACATGTATCAATACATGTATTATTCATTATGATTTAATGGATGGGGACAATTCCCATCCATGGGAATTTTGGGATCCTCATGTGATGGGAGTTTTCCCAATCCATATCTTTGTTTTTGAAAACACAATGAGTGTATGGATGGCTTTTATTTGTTACAGAATGTCAATGTTAGCTCTCTGTTGTCTTAGCTTGGTCTGCTATAACACGATACCACGGAAATTTATATTGCACAGTTCTGGAGGCTGGCAGGTCCAAGAATAAGGTGCTGACTGATTTGGTTCGGGGCAAGGGCCCTCTTTCTGGATCGAAGATTGTCAACTTCTGGCTGTTTCCTCCAATGGAGGAGTGGAAGCAAATGCTGGCTTCTTTTCCTCTTCTTCTAAGGATACAAATCCCATTATGGGGCTCTAGTCTCATGACCCCATCTAAGCCTGACAGCCTCCCAAATGCCCCTCCTCCATATATGATCACATTGGGGATTACGGCTTCAACAAAGGAATTTTTGGGGAACACAGATGTTCAGTCCTCCTAACCACTGTGAAGTATGTTCTTTATGCTGTCAAAATAGCTTGTACCTTTCCTTTTGTTTCCTTTCCTTTTCTTTTTTATCTTTTTTTTTTTTTTTTTTTCGAGATGGAGTCTCCCTATGTCGCCCAGGCTGCAGTGCAGTGGCAGGATCTTGGCTCACTGCAACCTCGGGCTCCTGGGTTCAAAGGATTCTCCTGCCTCAGCCACCTCAAGTAGGTGGGACTACAGGCGCGCGCCACCACGACTCCCTAAATTTTTTGGCATTTTTAGTAGAGACAAGGTTTCACCATGTTGGTCAGGCTGGTCTCAAACTCTTGACCTCAGTTGATCCACCCAACTCGGTCTCCCAAAATGCTGGGATTACAGGTGTGAGCCATGCACCTGGCCACCTTTTGTTTTCTTTCAATGGAACTTCAACAATAAGGTTATGCTTTTCACCCTTTGTATATACAGTAGGCCTTCAACTATGCAGAGGATTTGGGGAATGAAGTTTCTAATTCACCTCATTTAGGGTCGACTGGGGCAATGCTCTTAGAAAGTGAAACCACGGTAGGATGACGTTGCCCCAGCAGGGTGAACTCTTTTCCTCCCCCTTATGAGACCAACAAGAGTGCTAACTGATCTGAGTCCTCAGTTATGGATGTTTAGACTGATAGTCCTTAACCAACCCCAACCCTTCACTCTTCTGGCCAGGCCAGCAGCTCTGGAAAGAAACTCATGAAGCATTTAACCCAGGCTGTCCTAGGTGACTATTACAATGAAATGGTGACTAAAAGCCAGTTCTGTGAGCAGTTCCAAAGGCAACAGAGAGCCTTTTTCTCTAGCCCTCCCATCCCTGTAGAGCAGGGCACCCAAGTTTAGGAAGGCAGGCATGGAGCCTGCCAAAAAATGGTTCCAAGGAGGCCTCCTGCAAGCCAGGGTGCATGAGAAGAGGGAGTTAGAGAACAGATGGAAGGCTGTCCACAGTAGGAGAGCATATACGGTAGGATTGTGCAAAGAAGTAAATACACAGAGGATAATGGAAGGTAGGGTTCCCCAAAGCTGAGAAGGAAACAATACACATGGAAAGGTGGAAAGAGAGGAAAACATGGAATAAACTCTGTATTCCTGGGCTGGATACTGGAGGTTTACGTGCAACCTCAAGTTTGCCAACAGAAATAAGAGCTTCAATTCAAAACATCATATTCTCCAACACCAAGGGAACAGGGATCCTTCTAAATAGGGCTGATTAAGTAGAATTTGAAATTTTGACAAAACAGAGAACTACACCCTAAGCATAACAAAGAGGGGTTGTTTACATTCACAGAGTATATCCCTTTGGCAGATGTACAGTTAAAGATTTATGCATCTCACAAGAGGAGTGAAATGACAAACCAGAACCTCTGAAAGCTACAGGTGGTTAGAGGATGAAACCACAATCACGATGAGAGGCTTCAATGTACCCCTTTGATTAACAGTATGCATTATCATGACAGCGAGAACACTAGGTTCAATCTATTGGGCCATGATTAGGCTCCGGGTACCTAAGTATAACTTTATGTTTTAGAATCATTGCAGGCATCAGGCCAGAATTGGCAGAAGGGCCATAGTTTGCCAAACCCGGCTAAAGATCATTATCTTATTTCATTTTCTTCATTGCATGTATCACTAAATGAGCTGAGAGGCATCTGATATCAGCACATCTGCAACGCCTTCACGGCATGGGGCAGTTGGAAGCTCCGTGGCAGAACACTGGCGCCCCAGAAACTCGTGGTGACAGGTCCCTGTATTTTCAATCCAAATCTTTTGTACGTGGGGAAAGCACGTTTCTGACACAGTCTACTATTTCCTAGTCCCTGAGTCCTTCCGTCCTTGTGCCGTGAGGTCATCCATTTAGGGACACAGGTGTGATGGGGGTGAGATGATCAAGGACCATTCATTATCAATTGTGGGAAAGAGCCTTGGCATAACACATCCCTGAGGCAAAATATTCAAAATGAACCGCTTGGTCTGCCTTATGAAAGCAAAGCAGTTCTGGGCTTTGCTATTTGAAAGAAGATAGAGGAAATGTATCCAATCCCTGCCCCACTGCCCAGCTGAACTGCTGCCTCCCAGGTGATCTTCAGTCCTGTGAGGAAGTTTGTGAAACAGTGGCTGTGACTGAATCATCAGCTGATTGGGCTTATCATAATACATTGTAACTCCCAAAGAACATTCTTCCACATCAAACAAACTGCAGAATTAAATGGGGAGGTAGTGAAAGTCATGACCCTTGCATCTCTCAAGTCCAACGTGGACTGCTCTGTAATTCCACAGGGTGTGGGGTTGCTTTTGAATGACGACATTCACAGGGACCTGGTGTTGCCACAGCTCCCACTTACCCCTTTCAATCATAGGAGCTACTGCTGCATGGGTCAGGAAGCCGAGGACGGTGGGGGTGCCGGGGGGGTGGGGTTGGGGCATTGAAAGAACACAATTCCATTAGGGCCTGGAATTTTGTCCTTTTGGTTAAGGATATAACTCTAGAGCCTCAACAGTGCCTGGCACATCAAAGAGAATCAGTAGGATTTTGTGGAGTGAACCAGTGAGTGAAAATGGGAACTTTACAAGACCTTCACTGTTTCTATCAAGCGGGAAACAAATCCCTGGATAACTGAGAGGTCTCACTGGATCTGTAGTGGAAAGTCAAAACACAACTCTGTTTATTCAAGGACCGGTGGTAATGGTGGAATTATGAATCACAGGACTCAGGGTAAGTTTACAACGACACTCAAGCTATGCCCAAAGGTCTGAATATATCCCTTCCCCTAGGTCACAGCTACCTGGTTAAATATTCTATTAGAAGAAAGCATGAAGTTTCCTGGAGTTTACTTGTGGGATTTTAGTATAACCTTTCCCAGTGGGTAAGCAGCTTGTCCTTCCCTCAAGGGGCTCTGTGTTTGTACGTTTCTTCGTGACTTCACATGAGCTGCACCCCTGCAACAAAGTGGCTCACAGAGGCTCATGTACAGCAGAGTCGACTTTCTATGGTTGTTGGTGTTGTTTAAAAATCAACAGAGAGGTCTTAGTGCATTGCTCAACAATTTTATTCCTAAGGAACCAGTGATGAATGAACCACAGGTAAGTATCATTGCTGGCCCAGTCATTCAGTCATTGAACTTAATAACATTTTATCTGCTCATTGAGTCTGCCAGGCACTCTTCTAAGTGCTTGGTGATGCTTTAATGACAACAGAAAAAAAAAAAGAAAGAAAAAAGAAAAAAAAAAACCAGATTAAAAGACATCCTGCCATTGTGGAGTTTACATTCTAGCATGGGGAAGAAGGAACAAGTAAAACAACAAACACCGCAAGTTATGTGGGTGACAGAAGATGAAAGAGGCTATGGAACAATACAGGTTGTACAGGCAGCATAACGGGGCTCAAAACTGAAGTCAAATTGTAACTTTAAATCATGCCTTTAACATGCTGTCCCTGATGCCTTTTCAGTTAAATGCTTTGGCTCCGACGTTCCCTTTTGGGCCGTCCCAGGCCTCCGTCATCCTGGAATCCGCTGCTGCTAATGGGAAATATGGAATTCAAATTTAATGGCCGTGTTCATTTTAATTAAGAACTCCTTTCCTCCAGTGACTAGCAAGCTAATTTAGCATGCTTTTTAATTAATAAGTTATTTCCCTAAGCTGGGTTCCTGGTCCAGTTGGACTGGCCAGTGTCTCAATTAGATTTGCCAGAAAAGTCATATATAAAATACTATTTAGGCTTACTAAGCTAACCTTTTAAGTTAAACCAGCCCCTTTACTGCTCATAAAAGGAAAGATAAACAGAATAAAAATGCTTTGTCATTACGATTTATGCACTGGGGTGATAGAAATCGCTCTCCAAATAAAGCAGAACTGAATGCTCTCCACCATGACCACATTGACGATATCATCTACTTGAGGTACGTATCCATCAGGAAGTTTCACAGAATCCAAGGTGAAAAAAATAGTATAATCTATCACCCCATTTCTTCCATGTACGCTAGTAATGCAGACCTGTGAGTATAAATAATGGAAATGATTATGGAAAAGCCCAATAAGCACTGTAACCAGCTTTGCACCTCCTCACCCTGGGTCCTGCATGAGTGCAGGTCACTTCGATGCAAATCATTGATTTCCAACCTGGTTGGCCCATTGCTAACACCAGGGGTGCTTTGTAAGGATACCCATGTCCACGCTCCACCTCAGACCAATTAAATCAGACTCTCTGGGAATGAGGCCTGGGTCTCTGATGAGAAATCCTGCTCTAAATATTACCAAAATATGTCCATTACCCTCTGTTGCCTTGAATTGCCTGTGCATATTCAGGCTTTAATAACCAAATCATTCTTAGCATCTACTGGTCAGCTCAAGTCCCACAACACACTCCGTTCATTCTTTCCCTATAGTTTTCTGGCACAAAGATTGTTTTTCTTCCTCCTGTCCTTGGAAGATTCTAATAACATTTGGGTATCGAGTAAAATGCACAATTTAGAACTTAATCATGTGCTTGTTCTATATAATTTTCTAATTATTTCCTTTGGAAAATTCTGCCTTTTCAATAAGAAAAGTGGCTCCTTTGTTGGCAAAGAATGTATTTCTTCATATTTTCTGGAATTCCCATTATACCCAACAGAATCCTGGTCACGTAAATTATCACCAAAGGAAGAGTTAGCAGAAACTGCTGACGGGAGCAACAGGAAAGAAATTACCTCTTCCGTATGAATACAACGGATGGGCTTCACAGAAGTTGCCTTGATGTTTGAGATGCCTGGCTCAGTGGAATATTCAACTTCTAACAAGTCACCCTTATAAGGCACAAAATCTAAAACAGCCATGGAGAAATGTGAGTGTCATGATCTCTTAACTAGGTCACTTTTAATTTCACATGTTATTTGATAGTGTACTACTTTAAAGTCAGTTCTGCTAAATCTAAAGTCCATTTTGTGCATATTTAAACAGACACTACAAATCTCTAAGTCCAAAAAGAAGTTTATAATCCTTAGGCATTGATTCTCCTCTACTGATTTAACAAATTTAAATGGAGGAAAGTGTGAAGCATGCATCACAGCCAATATGAGGGAGCAGCACAGGATTTACTAAACAACTGTTAGTGTTCACAATTGCTTAGTGAGAGGCAGTCAAACATATAGGTAAGAGCACAAGTTTGAACCTGGCTATGTGGCTTCGAATCTTGACACTGCCACTCACTCAGTTGGCAACCTTAGCCAAGGTGGTTAATCTGTCTGTGCCTCGATTTCTTCATCTATAAAATGAGAAGCACAGTAAGTAGCCTTCATGGTACACAGCTGCCTTGAGAATTAGTTGATATGTGTGATACGCACAGAATCATCGCTGGCGCATAGCAACCACCAAATAACTGTTGATTGGTAGTAGTGGTAGCAGTACCGCTAGGAAATGTTGTTACTTTCAGAATGAATCAATTTCCCCTGGTGTTGTGTTCAACTAATGAACTCTTAAGTATGTGCCTTACAGGTTACAGTTAAGACCATCAAGTTTCAAACAGAAGTTTGCAATAAGTTAAAAGTGAGTCACAGGATAACAAAGTTACGTGAAAGAATCTGGAGCAAGTGGAAATCCCAACTGCAACTGAGACAGTAAATTGCCACAATGAAAACTAGTGATATCAACAAAGTTAAACATTTCTTCACCTTAGGACCCAACACTGTAGAATGACATAAGACACTGTGTTAGACCTGTTCTCTCTCTCTCTCTCTCTCTCTCTCTCTCTCTCTGATAATTTACATACATTTCTTTTGTGTGGATTTGACATATATCTATATGCTTATAACTCCAAAATGTATATGCCTCCAGTTCTAACCAACCTCAGGGTCAATTATCCATATGCTTACACCAATCTAACGTGTGTAAAGCTGAGTTGTTGGTATTCTCCATATTCACCAACTTTTGTTTGCCTCAGTCGTCTACATCACAAACTGGCAACTCCACTCTCACAACTGCTCAAATCAAAAACTTTGGAGGTACCTTAGACTCATTTTCCCTCCACAACAAAGATCTAATCCATTACCTCCTGGGTTCTTCTCTCACTTCAAAATATATCCAGAGTCAACTCAATCCTCAGGTTTTCCACTTCTCCATTTTCATTCACATCTCCATCATCTCTCACCAGGAATATTACAACGTTTTCCTGACTGATTTCCTGACTCCACCCTTCCCCTCATAGTCTCTTCTCAACAAAGCAGACAGAGTCAGCATCGTCAAACAAAATGCAGGTCAGAATCCTGCTTTTGCACCCAAGAAAACAAACTAGCAAGCTGCCTGGGGAAGCGGAGCTAATCTCTCCATTTATACCCAAGCTATACGACAGCTGCAGTAGACAAAACAGACAAAAAAATATCGTTGGGTAGAAGCTAAATATTAGAATATATCTGCCGATTACAAAGAGAATTCAACAACAACACACACACACACACACACACACACAAACAGACAACCACAAGGCGCTATCTCCAATCCTAAGTTTGAAGCATTTGAAGTGTATTCTTTTAAAATTTGGTAGTCTACCTTGTCACAGAAACTTCTCTAGTAACCAACTACAGAAATGATGCCTGCAAGTATAGTCTTTGAAGGGTATTAAAAATAGTGTCTCTATGCACTTGTAGGATTGTTTTCTTGATTAGAAATTAAATTCTCATATGAATGAATAGTATATCCAGGCATTACTGAGGGCATTGAACAAATGAACACACAATAACCAACAGCACACAATTTATAATACTGTCTATTTGCCCCTATACTGTACTTAATTTCGATTGGAACAGTCTACCTCTAACACTGAAGAGCCATTGACTGAAGCCAAGTACACTGTAAAAGTTGTTCCAGGACTAAAATCCTCTCAAAAAATTAAGAATTACATCATATATTTCAAAATATAAATCATACCTTCAGAAACAATGGCTATGGAAAAATAAATGCTGTTACTAATATAAATATTATCTTCATTTATAGAAGTAACACATCCAATTAAAACTCTGGTTCCTGAGTCTGAGGGTCCAGCACCATAAAGATGGCGAGGCACAACATCCACCTGTAAGATTTAGGAAAGAGTTTACTTCAAAAACAATACAAATTTAAACATGGAACTTACATGATTAAAAGACTTGTATTCAAAAATATTTTCAACAGCCATCCTAAACACTGGAGAATATAGTTCACTTGGTAAGTGGACCATTGACTTGAGATGACAGTAAAAGTCATGTGCGTGCTTCAAGAATTGTGAAATGTATCCCAAAACATTAATTGCATACCCAAGTTTAATGTCCTTGTACCATTAGATTCCAAGATTAAAATAATACCGTCCTTCGCCTGCAGAAATTCACAGTGAAATGACGGTAAAGTGGAAAGGTATATAGTCATAAGCAGGTTGCGATGAAGGATATAAAACTAGTTCAAAGATGGTTTCTGTGAATTATCTAGAGGGAGAACATTTCAGACAGGGAGAAAATAGAAGCATTGTTTAGGGGAAGTCAGATTTGTGCTGGGTTGGGAAAGAAGACGGGGTAAAGGAGCAGGGAGGCAGAGAGAAAAAACAACAGAAGTTAGGAGCCTAGGGAGCAAAACCCTAACATCCGAGATCCAGGCCTAGGAGACAGAAGCATGAGATAAAGTTGGAGCAATAACCTCAACTGGGGGAGGTTCGAAAAACCAAGTCAAATTAGGGCTTTACTTTATCTACAATAGAGAGGCATACAAACCTTTTCCCTTGTTGGAAGTGTAATAGTCCTTATTTTATAATCCTTAAAACTTACAAAAATAGTGTAAGCTTGTTATACTAAAAGTAGGAAAGAAAACAGATAAGCAGACAGCAAAAAGCAGTTACCCCACAATCCATAATTCATTACCAAGAGATCACCAGGGACTACATTTTTGGCAGTAACACTCATCCTGATGTTTTTGTCTGTGCACAAATATATATACATGTGTAAATGCCTGTTTTAAAAGCAAATTAGCATGGTATTCAGTGTTAAAGTATCACATTAAATGAACACAAAAGTTTTTAAATAACAAGAGAGGACGGAAAGAGTCATAGGGAATCCCAATTAATGGATGTGCCGTAATTTACTAACCCAATTTCACATAATTAGACATTTCACTTGTGTCATAGCATTTGGACTACTTGCCTGACTTAACTATAGGATAAAATCCTAGGGTTGGCATTTGCTGAGCAGAGACTTCTGATGGAAACTTGAGCCACTGAGTTGTAAAGAATTTTTCATGGTTTTAAAAATAGCCTAGTTTGCTGCTATTCTCATTTCTAAACTGGTGTCTTTCCAGCTGTCAATACCAATCTGATGTTTATTATCCCCTCACTTACTGTCATGAAGGAATGAGGCATTAGCCTCCCATCCACATATCTATCACCACTTCCGTCAGTATCCCAGTGGATGATCCACAGCACCCTCGGACCTCTCTGTTCCTTGACTCCACGCCAACTCACAGACATATGCAGACTAAAGCTTTGCCCATGTCTCATGGCTCCCAGCTCTGTTTCTTATGCCTTGCAAAGACGACCAACACAACAGCCGGTACAAATAGATTCAAATGTTTACGATAATGTGTTGTATGACACAAGTGGCATTTCAATAAAAAGGGGCAATGTGGATTATACAATTAATGTTGAGGGACAACTGAGTAGCCAGTAGTGAAACAAGATGTGGATCCTTCTCTCAGTCCTGCACATGAAAAGCAAACCCAGGCTGGCTGTATGTTTAGATATAAATAAATGAATGACTTTCAGAAGAAAAGCTAAGTGAATACTTGTGTAAATTATGTCTTAGAATTAGCCTAAGGATACTTCCTGAACCCAGAAGCCACATGGACAAGATGGACATATTTATAGTATGTAAAAATTAAGCAGATAGAGGAGGAGGGGAGCAAGATGGAGAAATGGGACTCTCCAGTGATTGTCCTCCTGCAGAAACATCAATGTGAAAAACTATCCTTGTATGAAAATATCGTCACTTGACATAAAGAAACCAGGTGAGAGACCATGGTACCCGGTTATAGCATGAAAATAAGAAAACATGCACTGAAGAGGGTAGTAAGGACAGTTTTACATTACCCACATCACCCCTTCCCCGACCTTCAACAGCAAAGCATAAATAGAGATACCATCCATCCAGAGGAGAGAGACAGTAGCAAGCATAGGACATTGCCTAGGAACCCAATATCAGGCCACCACTTGACAGATGCCCATGGCCCCTGACTCTCAGATGGTACTTGTGGACAGAGTCTCTAGACCCACCCTGGCACCAGACAGGAAGCCACAGCCACAGCAAAACAAACTCAATATCTGGCCCACATCTCTCCCTAGTGATTCCAGTGGCCTTATGCTCAGAATAATCTACAGCAACAGGGAGTTCTCAGTGAATGGAGGCTTGGATTCCAGTCTCACAAGGGACCAGCCTCAATAGCTAGGGGAATCCCAGCCATCCTAGCACCTGCCGCTGTGTCCCTGTGAATAGGCATCCCCCTAGTGCTTCAATAGCTGTAGTGTTCACAAGCATAAGGACCAAAAGAGACCTATATAGAGTTTCTGGACAGGCTTACTGCTAAAGGATGTCCCCTAAAAGCTAGACTGCAAAGACCGAAATGGATACCTACTTCTTCAATACGCAGATATAAACACATTACCACAAAGATCAAACACAATAAGGAAAACATGACATCACCAAACTGACAAAACAAGGTGCCAGCAATTGACCCTAGAGAGACAGGAATATATGAGTTGTTTAACAAATAATTCAAAATATCTATTTTCCACATGCTCTGTGAACCTTGAAAACAATTACAGAGAAATGATTCAGGATTTATCAAAGTAAGTTGCAGGAAAGATTGAAAGAATTGTTAAAAACCAAGCAAATCCAGAAGTTGAAAAATACAGTGAAGGAAGTACACGATAGAGAACATCCAAAGAAGAATTGATTGAGCAAAAGAAAGAATCTGTAAACTTGGAGACAGGTTCATTGAAAATATACAGTCAGAGGAGACAAAATTAAAAGGAAGGACACGGAATGAAAAAAAACTAGATTTCTGGGACAATATCAGAAGAGCAATAGTATGAGTCATTCACATTCAAGAGGGAGGAGTGAAAAAGAGGTAAAAAGATCATTTAAAAAATAATAATGGAGAGCCATCCAAACCCAGAGAAAGTTACAAACGTCTAGGTACTGGAAGACCAAAGTTCTGCATTCAGATACAATCCAAATAAGATTACCCCATGACATATTAAAATCAAACTGTCAAAGATGAAAAATAAAGAAAGAATCCTGAGAGCAGTAAGAGGAAAGAAGCAAATCACATATAAGGCAGTTCCAATATGCCTACCAGAAGACTTCTCAGCAGAAGCATAATAGGCCAGGAGAGAGTAGTATAGTATACTTTAGGAACACAAGGAAAAAAATCTCTAAGCAAGAATAATGTACCCAGCAGTGAAGGGGAGATAAAGACTTTTACAGAGAAATCACAGCTGAGAAATTTCCTCACCACCGCAACTGTCTTACAAGAAATGCTAGGGAGAGTTCTTCCAACTGACGTAAGGGACGCTAATGAGTAATGCAAAAACATCTGAAGGTATAAAACTCACCAGTAAAGGTAACGACACAAATTCAGAATACTCTAATAAGGTAATGGTGGTTTCCAGATCACTTATATCTTTCATGTAAAGGTTAAAGAACTGAACTAGTAAAAATAAAATAAGTACAATAATTTGTTAAGGGATACAAAATATAAAAAATTGTAAAGTGTGAAATAGAAAACTCAAAATCCCAGGGTGGAGTTAAATAGTAAAGTGTTTGTATTTTGTGATCAAAGTTATGTTATCAGTAAAATAATCTGCCGTGATTATGTTTCCGTAAGCCTCATGCTATCCACAAAGAAAAACATCCTGTAATAGACACACTAAAACAAATACAAACAAAACCACAAAACACACTAATAGAGAAAAATCTCTTATCCATCAATGAAAACAGTAAAAGAGAAAGAAAGGAAGAAATTACCTACAAAATAGATAGAAAAAAATTATCTAAATGACAACAATAAATCCTTACCTATCAATAATTACCTTGATAGGAATGGATGACATCCCCCAATTAAAATGCACAGAGTAGCTGAATACATTTAAAAAGCAACAACAAAAACAATCAAACCTATGAGAGACCCACTTCTCCTTAAAGGGCATTCGTAAACTGAAAGTGAAGACATGAAAAAAGATATTCTTCCATGTAAAGGGAAACCAAAAGAGAGCAGGAGCTGCTAAACTGATTTCAAATAAAATAGAGTTTAAATCACAAACTGTAAAAAGAGACCAAGATCATTATAGAATGATGAAGGGGTCAATTCATCAAGAGGATATAATGATTTCCAAAAATATGCACCCAACATAGCAGCACCTAAATATATGAAGCAGACATTAAGGTATAAATGGTGAGATAGAGTGCAATGCAGTAATAGTAGGGGACTTCAACACCCAACTTGCAGCAATGAACAGATTGTCCCGACAGAACATTGACCCCACAAAAAGTGGGATTTATCTGCACTCCGGACCAAATGGACCTGACAGTCATTTACAGAACATTCCATCCAAATACTCCAAAACACATATTCTTTCCAACTGCATGTGGAACATTCTCGAGGATAGATTATGGGGCAGGTCATAAAACAGGTACTAGCAAATTAAGGGAATTTGAAATAACATCAAATCAGTTCTCTAACCACAACGGTAAAGTATTAGAAATCAATAAAAGTAGGAACTTTGGAAACTTTAGAAGTGGATGGAAATTAAACAACATGCTCCTAAATAACCAATGGGTCAATGAAGAAATTAGAAGCAAAGTGTAAACATTTCTTGAGTTGAAGCAAAATGAAGGCACAACATACGAAAACCCATGAAATACAGCAAAAGCAATTCTAAAAGTGAAGTTTACATCAATAAAACCTACCTCAAAAGAAAAGATACATCTTAAATAAACAACCTCACACTGCACCTTGGGGAACTAGAAAAACAAGAAAAAAATGCAATGCAAAATTAGGACAGAAATCATAAAGGTCAGAGCAGAAATAAATGAATAGAAATGAGAAGAACAATACAAATATCAATGAAACAATGACTTGGTTTCTTGAAGAGGTAAAGCAAATCAACAAAACTTTAGCTAGACTAAGGAAAAAAGAGAGAAGATTCAAATAACTAAAATCAAAGATGAAAAAGGACACAGCACAAATGACATCACCAAAACAAAACGTATCATAAGGAAGATTATGAACAATCATCTGCCTACAAATAGGACAAGCTAGAAGAAATGGCTACATTCCTGGACACATACAACCTACCGAGATGTAATGGTGAAGAAATGGAAAATCTGAACAGACCATTAATGAGTAAGGAAAGTGATTCAGTAATAAAAAATCCCCCATCAGTGAAGAGTCCAAGACAGAATGACTTCCCTTCCTAATACTACCAAATTTATATATAAAGAAGAATAATTAATAGCTATACTTTTAAACCTATTCCAAAAAAAAAAAAAAAAAAAAAAAAAAAACGGACAAGAGACGAACACTTCCGAACTCATTCTGTCACAACGCATTACCCTGGTAGAAAACCCAGATGAGGAAACAGAAAGAAGAGAAAACCAAAAAAAACTACATGCCAAAATTCCTGATCAACACAGTTGCAAAATCTTTAACAAAGTATTAGTAAAGCAATTTCCACAGCACATTAAAAAAATCATTCACCATGTTCTAGAGGACTTCATCCCTGGGATGCAGGGAAGTTTCAACATACACAAATCAATAAATGTGCTATATCACGTGAAAAGAATGAAGGAAAAAAGCCATAGGTTCATTCCAATTTCAGCAGGAAAAGCATTTGATTGAATTCCACACCTCTTCGTGACTAAAAACTCCACAAATTAGGTATAAGAGGAGTGCACCTCAACACAATAAAGGTCATATATGATAAACCCACAGATAACATCATACTGAATGGGGAAGTGTTGCAGGCTTTTCCTCTAAGACCTGGAACAGGACAGAAATGCCCACTTTTGCCCTTTCTATCGCACATAGTTCTGGAAGTGCTAACCAGAGAAATTAGGCAAGAAGAAACAAAAGGCATCTAAATTCAAAAGGAAGAATTTAGATTGGCCCTGTTTGCAGACGGGAAGCTGTTACTTATAAATAACCCTGAAGACACCACCAAACAGCTACTAGGTCTAATAAACAAATTCAGGAAAGTGGCATGAGACACAACCAACATACAAGAATCAGTAGTATCTCTATACACCAATAGGGAACTATCTGGAAAAGATATCAAGAAACAATCCCATTTACAACACCTTCAAAAAAATTAAAATAGGAATAAATTTAACCAAGGAGGTGAAGGATTGCAACACTGAAAACTATAAACCATTGACGAAGCAAATTGAAGGAGGCAGGAATGAATGGAAATATATCATGTGTTCATGAACAGGAAGAATAAAATATTGTTAAAATGTCCGTAACCTAAAGCAATCTATAGATTCAATGCAACTGCTATGAAAATACCAATGACATTCTTCTTGGAAATAGAAGAAATACTCCTAAAATTTGTATGGAACCATGAAAGATTCCAGACAGCTGAAGCAGTCTGGAATACAAGGAACAAAGCTGGAGGCATCACACTATGATGTCAAAACATATGACAAAGCTATAGTAAGCATAACAGCACAGTACCAGTATAAAAACGGACACATCAACCAATGGAGCAGAATACAGAGCCCGGAATTAAATCTGTGCATTTACAGTCAACTAATTTTTGACAAAAGGCCCGAGAACACACAATGTTGAGAAAGTACAGTCTCTTCAATAAATGATGTTGAAAATAACTGGATATTCATCTGAGAAAAATGAATTTCCACCCTTATCTCTCAGCGTGTATATAAATCAACTCAAAATGATTTAAAGCTTTAAAATGAAGACCCAAAGCTGTGAAACTACTAGAAGGAGACATAGGGGGAAAGCTCCATGACATTGTTCTGGGCAACGATATTTTAAAAACAGGACCTCAAAAGCAAAGGCAAGAAAAGGAAAAATACACAAATGGGATTACATTGAACTAAAAAGCTTCTGCACCACAGAGGAAACAATCAAAGAGTGGAGAGACAATCTATGCGATAGGAGAAAACATTGACAATCTATGTATCTAGTAAGGGGTCAGTTTCCAAAATGTAACTCCAACAACACAATAGCAAGAAAACAAATAATCCTATTAAAAATGAGCAAAAGACCTGAATAGACATTTCTCAAAAGGAGACATACAAATGGCTAACAGGCATGTGAAAAAACACTCACCTTCTCTAATCATCAGGGTAATGCATATCGGAACCACAGAGATACCGAGTCACGCATGTTAGAATGGCTAACATTAAAAAGACAAGATATAACAAGTGTTGGCAAGGATGTGGAGAAATTGGAAGCTTTATGCACGGTTGGTGGGATGTAAATTGTTACAGCCACCATGGAAAACAGTATGGACATTCCCCAATATTTTAACAATGGAACTATCACACTATCCATGAATCCCACTACTGAGCATGTATCCAAAGAGAGTGTCATCAGTGTGTCAAAGAGATGTCAGCACTTCCATGTTTGTTGCAGCCCTATTCACAATAGCTATGAAATGAAAGCAATCTAAGTGTCCATCTACGGATGAGTGTATAAAGGAAATGTGGTATAAATACACAAGGGAATGCTATTCAGCCATAAAACAGAACAGAATATTGCCGTTTGAAATAACCTGGATGAACCTGGAGAATGATATGTAAGTGAGATAAGCCAGTCACACAAAGACAAATACTGCACGGTCACATTCACATGCAGAAGATAAAAAAGTTGATCTCATAGCAGTGTAGAGTAGAATGGTGGTTACCAGACGCTTGTGTTGTTAGGGTGGACAGAGGAATGAGAAGATGTTGGTGAAAGAACATATAATTACAGTTGTATAGAAGGAACCTTTTTTAACTGTCCAGAATATATACAAACAGAAAGTGGATAAGTGATTTCCTGGAGCTGGATGTTGTTGGGGGAGGGGACAGTTGGGGGAGCACGAAGAGCTTCCTTTTGAGTAATGAAAATGTTCTAAAGTTGATTGTGGTGATGATTGCATAACTCTGTGAACAAATTAAAAACCACTAGATTGTTCCCTCTAAGTGGGCCAATTGTATAGTCACGTGACTTATATCTCAATAATGCTGTAAAAGAATGAAAGACATAAAGCAAAGGAAAAAGATGGTATCAGACGAAATACTACAAGGGCTTCATACACAAACTTTCCTATTACAAATCTAATTTTCCTACCATAGAGATAGCCATAAATATCCCTATTGTATCAGTAGGTCTAAGAAATAAAACTTACTGTAATCTCATGAAGACCCTTAATAATTCCAAATGAATGATGAGACTGCTTTTCCTTTCTCATATGTGCAAAGATTTCAGATCGATAGTATTGTTGTCCTTGCCTATATGGGCAGATGGGCAGTCTCACCTCCTATTGCTGAGAGAATCAATTAGTACAATAGAGCTAAAGAATAATTTCATAATAGCCACTGAATGGGCAAATATCTGGGCTCAGGTGATGTTGCCAGGACTCCGTAAATCTGCAAATGTTATTGAATTGTACCCTTAAGAGAGTTTTGTGGTTGGTGAATTATAATTCCATGAAGCTCTTTTTAAAATATTTACAATGCACATGGCTTGACATAGAAATTCCACTGTTTTGAATGCACACTACAGAAAATGTTTTTTTACCTGATAAGGGAAGTTGTAAGATTATAAAGAGTTCAATAATTATTATTGTTACTCATATTGTTTAAAGACTAGAATAATAGATAAGTAAGCTTTTATGTTTTACAGCACAAATTACTACAAATATTACAACAGAAGAAGCTACAGCTTCAGAGGAGGGGGGCTTCAAATTGCAGTCTACATCCACTCTACGGATCACAGCAGAGATGTCGGATTAACTCAAGAAAAGAAAGATGGAGAAAGAAAGCCCACTGGGATAAGACACAATTCCCAAACTCATGCACATCTCACCTTGATTGCTCTCAATCCATAATGTGGTTTATCTTCTTCCACAACCACATTAACTTTTTGTCCAACTTTTAGAGGCACGTTGCCAGTCACAACATCACTACTGAAGTAGATCGACTCATCAATCATGCCATAATCACCACAGAAACTTGTGACAACTCCCTGCACAGTTGTCAACTGGGTGTCACCTACAAGATAAAGAAACAAGGTCACATTATTAGCCTCAAATGCAAACACCTACTACAAGTAAGTCTTACACTCACCATCTGCATAACCCTGGGCAGAGAAGTTTTATAACGTCTCTGACCTTGTTTTCATCTGTCAATCCACAACAATCACAATTTCGCCTAATAGGGTTGTTGTAGGTTTTTAAAATATTTTTAAAAATTTATTAAAATTTAAAAATTTTAATTTTTAATTATTTTTTAATTTTTTGAGCAGAGTCTGGCTCTGTCGCCGGGGCTGGAGTGCAGTGGCGCAATCTGGGCTAGCGGCAACCTCTGCCTCCTGGGTTCAGGTGGTTCTCATGTCTCAGCCTCCCCAGTAGCTGGGACTACAGGTGTGTACCGTCACACCCAGCTAATTTTTGAATTGTTAATAGAGACGGGGTTTTGCCATGTTGCCCAGGCTGGTCTCCAGCTCCTGGCCTCAAGTGATCCACCTACCTGGAACTCCCAAAGAGCTGGGATTACAGGTGTGAGCCACCGCGCCCAGCTTACGAATATTAACTGACACATGCACATCAACTGTCGAGAGCTCTGAGTGCCTTGCACAAGAGTGTGTAAATGTTACCTGTTAGCATTTCTACATATGAGTCTTTAAGCTTCTGCTCCTATTATATTCCTTCATCATTATCACCAACATGATGAGTAGCACCTTCTATAGATACTTAACCATCTCAGCAGACAAAGTACTAAAAGATATCTGGAGATTGAAGGCTAGCCCAAAACGGCATCTGAATGGTTTTCTTTATTTCTCCTTCTTCTTCTTCTTCTTTTTTTTTTATTCTGCACAAGCCTAGCTGATCAGCAATACTTAGGGATCAAACCTCAGCAGTCGCCGGCAGGGGTTCTCTGCCTTCCTTTGGGATCAGATAAGTATGAGGCATCAACTTGGCTTCAAATTACATTCCCGTTTGGGATACAAGCCTAAATTAACTCGCAAATTAGGGAGTTTCTCGCCTACTGGAAATATAAATAGGCATGTGCTGTGCGACCACGTGGGGGAAAAGCACAGGCGGTACAGACCCCAAGGTCTTCTCTGTCAACACCTTCCCGCTTTAGATGGACAGGAGAGTTTGGGGGTTGGTTCTCAGGGAATTGTTGAGGACTCGGGTTGCCTCGGGTTGCCTCCCCATGCACGCACAAGATGGAGCCACCGTCACGTGCAGTACCCACCCGAGTTACAACAGCCTCATTCCGGGGGTGAGGAGAACCCCTATTGGGAGGCTTCTGGGGTGGGGGACAAGGGGACACACAGAGGAATACCTTGTGGGAGGCCCTGCTGCTGTGGGCCCTGTCGCTCTGCAGGGTCGGCCGTCCTCCCGTAGAAGGCCAAAGCAAGTCTCAGAAGCCTGAGCATCGTCCCAGTTGTCACCACCGGCCTGGGCACCGCTTGTGGCAGATGAAGCACGAGGCCTCCTCAGTAAGGGAAGCCCTCAGGTCACGGCGTCTCCTCAGGGACTCACTTCCTGCTTCTCCTCAGACACTGTGGCATGGGACCCACCCGTTAGTGAGCCCCCCTCAGGAGAGTCAGGGACACCGCAGCCTCCAAAGGAGCTCCCAGCTTCTCCGCTGACTTCTCCCTCTGAGCATGCGCTCGTCAGGGCCCGCCTCTACCACTGTCCAACCAATGGGCGTGCAGTGGGTGGGCGGGCAGGTTCTTGTGGCTACTAAAAGGCGATGGGTGGGAACATCGTGGCTTCTCCCATCAAGGCTGAGGGAGCCATTAGGATGGCCTGGGGAAAATGGCTTGGGAGCTTGGGTTCTGCATTTACTAAGGAGATACAGGGCTCTTCTCTTGGGTTCCCTGGGAGGATGGGTGCCTGAAACACCGGCTGTGCAACCAAAAATCCTGCTCCTGCCCTTGTATTCGTGGTGCTTAGCATAAGGAGTCACCACTCAGTGGGCGGTCAATAGTTACTCCTCACCAGGGATCAATTTTGTGGAGAGAGGGCATCATGTGGGTAGGCAATGTTTTAGTGATGGCAAGTACGTGTCTTGTGTACTAGGACTGCCATTTTTAGTCCAGTGATAATTTATAATAGAATCCTTTTATGATCATTGCTACCATGTACTCATCGCTTACCTGGTTATGCTTACATTACTCTGATATACACATTACCCTTATTCATTCATTCAGCAAAACTTGTAGGGCACTAACTGTGAACCAGACACTGTTCTGTGTTCCTAAAATTTGTTAATGAATGAAAGAGTCAAGAATCTTCACCCTGTGAGGGTAGATTTTTCACAGGATGACGAAAGGGTGACACTAAACATCACATAATAAAATATATGGTATGTTAGAAGGCAATAAATGCCATGGAAAAATATAGCAGGACAAGGGAGATCCACAGTGCTGGGCATGGGGTATTGGATTGCACTTTACAATAGCATGGTCAGAGTAGCCCTCATTGGAAAGCAATAGTTGAGAAAGATGTTGGAGTTAGCCAGGCAGCTATTTTTGGAGGAGCCGTTCAGACGGAGGGCACAGTTTGTGCAAAGACCATACAGCAAGACTGTGCGTGATGTATTCAAAGAAAAGCAGTGATTAGAGCAGAGGCAGTGAATAGCTAGAAGAGTGGGAAGTATGGTAAGAGAGATAATAGAGGTTCAGGCTGCATGTGGGATAGTGGGGCACTGGAAGTCCTTTGGCTTTTATTGTCCATGACACGTAAAGTCCCTGAAGGATTTGGAGCCTCCAGGGATCACTCCAGGTGCTTGGTTGTGAACAGGCTGGAAGAGGTCAGAGCAGGAAGCAAGGAGAACAGTTTGGATGATTCTGATGCAATCCATGGGCACTGTGGATGAAACCTGTTTGTCTTTCCTCTCCTACTGTGAGAACAGGTAAGAGCATTGCTGAAGATTATCATCTGGTTAACAGGATCGGTTGAGGGCTATCTATGTCTCAAAATGTAACACAACTGTGTTAATTTCCTAGGGAGGCCACAACACATTACTACGACTGCGTGGCTTTAAACAACAGAAATTTATTCTTCTGCAGTTCTGCAGGCTATGAGTCTGAAATCAAGGTTTCCGTGAGGTTGGTTCTTTCTGGCAAGCTCTGAGGGAGAGTTTATTCCAAGATTCCGTAGGTTGCCAGTAGTCATCGGTTGGCTTCCTTCGGTTGTAGATGCATCACTCCAATCTCTTCCTCCTTCATATCATGGTGCTCTTCTCCATCTGTCTGTGTGTCCAATACACCTCTTCTTATAAGGACACCACTCACTGGATTAAGGGTATATGACTAATCCCAATCCTGTAGGACCTCATCTTAACTTGATTTTTTTTTTTTTTTTTTTGCAAAGACCCTATTCAAAATAAAGTCACATTCACAGGTACTGGAGCTCAGAACCTGAGCATATCTCTTTCAGGGCAAAATTCAACCCACAGCAACTGCTCTTGTAAATTTTGATTACTCCAATATTCTATGATTATCAATGAAAAATTAGGACACACAGGTAAGCACACATTTCCTCTTATTTCTCTGAGAAAACACAGGCCATGAAACAGGAGCCCCTCTGTGAAACTCCTGGCACCCATCCTGGCTTTCTCTTCCTTCTCTTTTGTAACAATGGAAGGACATCGCAGCCCCTGGCCAGGGCTGAAACTCCACTGAGCACATGGAACCATTCTCTTGACACATTTTCTCTGAGGATGTTGCTTCTATTGCTGTTGCCTCTCTTCATCCTGCATCAACAATCTTTTTTTTTTTTAATCTTTGCCTGCAAAGGAATAACATACAAACATACACAAGAATCACCCATCTTAAAAACTTCACAAATAACTCCCATCTTAAAAATGTACATAGATAAATAAGCTTCCTTGGCCTCATTTCCCCTTCAGTCCCATTCTTCTGCATCCTGTCCCCCACAGCAAATGCTATTTCAAGAATCACCTCTGCTCACTTCCTGAGCTCCCATTCTCTCCTTATTCCTCTGGCATTAGGCTTTTACCCACATCATGCCCCTAATTTGCTCTTAAGATGACAGGAAACCTCCAGGTCTCCAAATCCAGTGGTCAATATGCTAAGCTCTCATCACTCAACCTCTCAGTGTTTGACGCAGGTGAGGACTCCCCATTTCTTGAAATAAGTTCTTTGGTCTTCTGTGTGACCACTCTCTCCTAGAAAGACTCCTTCTCAGCCTCTTTTGTGAGAAGTTCCTCCTATCAGGATTGCACAAGAGTGCTCCAGGACTCAGACCCTGAATGGCCTCTCTATCCACACACCAGCCCCATGGCATCTAAGTGCACGTACTCCCAATTCCATATGTATACTGAGTTACACACGTGATTATCCCATAGACGACTCAAGGGTAAGGTGTCCAAAATTTCATATGTCCTGAGCTTCCTTCAACCCCTTCACCTCCATAAATCTTCTCCATCTCACACGATGTCAGCTCAGTTCACACAGTGGGTTAACATCATATCCCTGCCATAACCCTTAGTTTTCTCCATTTTCTTTACACACTCCATGCCATCCATCAGCAAAAACTATCAATCCTTTGAAAACATACCTGTAGTCTCACCACCTCTAAAGAATGATTGAAAAAAAACATCACTGGGTCAAATGTTTTAGTTTCCATCATGGCACAGAAGAAAGCAGAAAGAACCGAAGAGACAGCAGCCACTCAGACATATGAAAACATGCCCAAAACCCTTTCATGTGTCCCTGCTGGCACAAATAGAGCTAATAACGGATGCTGCAGCAAGAGATTGGTGCTAAGAAATCGCCTTAGAAAGAGGTAAGAAATAGCCTTCTCTGGCAAACTTCACTAAGTCAGACTCAGCCTCCTCTGCAGGGTTCAAACTCTGTTGGCAGAGAAGCTACAGGTAGATTCCAGCACCAGGAAGACAGGTCCCTGCTGAGAGAATACTGCAGAACAAAGAAGGGGCTCTTCTATACCAACCTGCTGGAAACACTGTGAATGATCTTTGTGGTAGGAGGTGCCTCCAGAGGCCCGGAACACATCAGATAAGAAATGGCTGCTGGACCTGAATGCCAGGGGATGAATTCCACTGGGCCACAGAGCAGCTGTGCGCCCCCTCTTTCCTGTTTGTGTCCCTGACTTGGCTGTTGAATGGACACGACGCTACTGGGACTTCTTTCATAGGATTCTTTGTGAGCATTAAATGACGTGTGTGTCCCAAGGCCCTTAGCCCAGTGCTTGGCATATACAAGGGCTGGACACAAAGTAGATTAACAGCAATTCTGAACAAGGATGCCATGCACCCCATTAAACCTTCTCACATTTTAACTGTCTCCCATGAACAAAATGCACACCTTCACAAGTATCCATGAAGCAATCATTCAGTGCCAGATTCCAGCAAAGATATAACCATGTGATTCGCCTTCTTGGCTTCTAGTGACCTGCATGTTTCACTCTCAAATCAGGGAAACTGACTCCGACTGAAAATATTGAAAACCATCTGTCCGTGGTCACTGCCCTCAAAAACCTCTTATCACAAACACCTGCTTACTTTTCTTTCTGTCACTAACTGCTAGACGGAAATTCTTACTTATTCATATGCTTATCAGAGTATTTATTGTCGGTCTCTTCCCACTTGTATGTCAGCTTCATGACTGCAGAGCTTTTGTTCGTGGTTGCTTTTTCCATCTGCTGGGCCTTCAGCATCTAGAACAGTGCTGGGCACACGGTAGGTTCTCAATAAATACCACAGCAATTAATTGAATCAGAAAAGGGTAACATCCTGAACCATTCCAGCAACCTGAGAAAGGATCTGGTTCTAAGGCAATTCACACCAAATCTGAATACTTTGCTTTCCTTTGTGCATCTATCTAAACAGTACTGGGCCTCATTCAGAATAATGTTACAGCTGGCTGTAAACGTCAGAACTGTGGTTCGGAAGACGTTAGATCCCAGCTCAACTCAGCTGTTTCCTGGCTTTGCAACCTGTCCTCAGGGTCTGACACAGCAGCAACTTGTAAGTAAAATCAGCCAATAAATTGAGTTTTCTTGCAGATCAGTGATCCAGCCTCCCTCGTGCACATGAGTTGCACCATGGAGTAAAATGTTACTCCTTTCATTACAAAAGCTACACTGGAAATAAGTGTTGGACTAGTGTTTAGACAAATATTTCTATAAGAATAGAGTGACAAGGCTTTAAATGACATGTATCAATAAGTATATTATTCATTATGATTTAATGGATAGGGACAATTCCCATCGATGGGAATTTTGGTTTCCTCATGTGATGGGAGTTTTTCCAATTCATATCTTTGTTTTTCAAAACACAATAAGTGTTTGGATTGCTTTTATTTGTTACAGAATGTCAATGTCAGCTCTCCGTTGTCTTAGCTTTGTCGGCTATAACAATATACCACAGACATTTATATTGCACAGTTCTGGACGCTGGCAGGTCCAAGAATAAGGTGCTGACTGATTCGGTTCGGGGCAAGGGCCCTCTTTCTGGCTCAAAGATTGTCAAATTCTGGCTGTTTCCTCCCATGGAGGAGTGGGAGCAAACAGTGGCTTCTCTTCCTCTTCTTCTAAGGATACTAATTCCATTATGGAGCTCTACTCTCATGATCCCATCTAAGCCTAATAGCATCCCAAAGGCCCCATCTCCATATAGATCACATTGGGGATTACAGCTTCAACAAAGGAATTTTAGGGGAACACAGATGTTCAGTGCCCCTAACCACTGTGAGGTATGTTCATTATACTATCAAAATAACTTGTACCTTTTGTTTCCTTTCTTTTTCTTTCTTTGTCTTTTTTCTTTTTTCTTTTTTTAGGTGGAGTCTCCCTCTGTCGCCCAGGCTTGACTGCATTGGCATGATCTTGGCTCACTGCAACCTCAGCCTCCTGGGTTCAAAGGAGTCTCCTGCCTCAGCCACCCCGAGTAGCTGGGACTACAGGCACCCGACACCACGACCACCTAATTTTTTTTTGTATTTTTAGTAGAGATGAGGTTTCATCATGTTGGCCAGGCTGGTCTCAAACTCCTGATCTCAGGTGATCTGCCCGCCTCGGCATCCCAAAATGCTGAAATTACAGGCATGAGCCACCATGCCCAACCACATTTTGTTTCCTTTCAATGGAACTTCAATAATAAGGTTATGCTTCTCATCTTTGGTATATACAATAGGCCTTCAACTATCCATAGGATTGGGGGAATGAAGTTTCTAATCCACATCATTTAGGGTCAACTGGGGCAATGCTCTTAGGAAGTGAAACCACTGTAGGATGACGTTGCCCCAGCAGGGTGAACTCTCTTCCTCCACCTTATGAGACCAACAAGAATGCTAACTAATCTGAGTCCTAAGTTGTGGATGTTTAGACTGATAGCCCTTAACCAACCCCAACACTTCACTCTTCTGGCCAGGCCAGCAGCTCTGGAAAGAATCTCATGAAGCCCTTAACCCAGGCTGTCCTAGGTGACTATTACAATGAAGTGGTGACTAAAAACCAGTTCTGTGAGGAGTTCCAAAGGCAACAGAGAGCCTTTTTATCTAGCCCTCCCATCCCTGTAGAGCAGGGCACCCAAGTTTAGGAAGGCAGGCATGGAGCCTGCCAAAAAACAGTTCCAAGGAGGCCTCCTGCAAGCCAGGGTGCATGAGAAGAGGGAGTTAGAGAACAGATGGAAGGCTGTCCACAGTAGGAGAGCATATATAGCAGGATTGTGCAAAGAAGTAAATACACAGAGGATAATGGAAGGTAGGGTTCTCCAAAGCTGAGAAGGAAACAATACACGTGGAAAGGTGGAAAGGGAAGAAAACATAGAATAAACTCTGTATTCCTGGGCTGGTAATGGAGGTGTACTTGCAACCTCAAGTTTGCCAATAGATATAAGAACTTCAATTCAAAACATCGTATTCTCCAACACCAAGGGAACAGGGATCCTTGTAAATGGTGCTGATTAAGTAGAATTTGAAATTTTGACAAAACAGAGAACTACACCCTAAGCATAACAAAGAGGAGTTGTTTACATTCACAGAGTATATCCCTTTGGCAGATGTACAGTTAAAGATTTATGCGTCTCACAAGAGGAGTGAAATGATGAACTAGAACCTCTGAAAGCTACAAGTGGTTAGAGGATGAAACCACAATCACGATGAGAGGCTTCAATGTACCCCTCTGATTAACAGTATGCATAATCATGACAACGAGAACACTAGGTTCAATCTATTGGGCCATGATTAAGCTCCGGGTACCTAAGTATAACTTTATGTTTTGAGAACCATTGCTGGCCTCAGGCCAGAAATGGCAGAAGGGCCATAGTTTGCCAAACCCGGCTAAAGATCATTATCTTATTTCATGTTCTTCATTGCATGTATCACTAAATGAGTTGAGAGGCATCTGATATCAGCACATCTGCAACGCCTTCATGGCGTGGGGCCAGTTGGAAGCTCCGTGGCAGAACACTGGCGCCCCAGAAACTCGTGGTGACAGGTCCCTGTATTTTCAAGCCAATTCTTTCCCACGTGGGAAAAGCACATTTCTGACAGAGTCCACTATTTCCTGCTCCCTGGGCCCTTCTGTCCTTGTGCCGTGAGGGCGTACATTTAGGGACACAGATGTGATGAGGGTGAGATGATCAAACACAATTCATTCTCAACTGTGGGAAAGAACCTTGGAGTTAACACATCCTTGAGGCAAAATATTCAAAAAATACCGCCACTTGGTCTGCCTTATGAAAGCAAAGTGGTTCTGGGCTTTACTATTTGAAAGAAGGTAGAGGAAATGTATCCAATCCCTGCCCCCCTGCCCAGCTGAACTGCCGCCTCCCAGGTGATCCTCAGTCCAGTGAGGAAGTTTGTGAAACAGCAGCTGTGACTGAATCACCAGCTGATTGGGCTTATCATAATGCATTATAGCTCCCAAATAACATTCTTCTACATCAACCAAACTGGAGAATTAAATGGGGAGGTAGTGAAAGTCATGACCCTTGCATCTCTCAAGTCCAACGTGGACTGCTCTGTAATTCCACAGGGTGTGGGGCTGCTTTTGAATGACGACATTCACAGGGACCTGGTATTGCCACAGCTCCCACTTGCCCCTTTCAATCATAGGAGCTACTGCTGCATGGGTCAGGAAGCCGAGGATGGTTGGGGGGTGGGGGCATTGAAAGAACACAAGTTCCATTAGGGCCTGGAATTTTGTCCTTTTGGTTAAGGGTATAACTCTAGAGGTTCAACAGTGCCTGGCACATCAAAGAGAGTCAGTAGGATTTTGTAGAGTGAACCAATGAGTGAAAATGGGAACTCTATAATACCTTCACTGTTCCTATCAAGCGGGAAACAAATCCCTGGATGATTGGGAGGTCTCACTGGATCTGTAGTGGAAAGTCAAAACACAACCCTGTTTATTCAAGGACTGGGGGTAATGGTGGAATTATGAATCAGAGGAGTCAGGGTAAGTTCCCAACCACATTCAAGCTACACTCATAGGTCTGAATACATCCCTTCCCCTAGGTCACAGCTACATGGTTAAATGTTCTGTTAGACAAAAACATGAAATTTCATGGGATGTACTTGTTGGATTTTATTATAACCCTTCCCAGCGGGTAAGCAGCTTGTCCTTCCTTCAAAAGCTCTGTGTTTGTATGTTTCTTCATGACTGCACATGAGCTGCACCCCCGCAACAAAGTGGCTCATGGAGGCCCATTTACAGCAGAGTCTGCTTTCTATGGTTGTTGGTGTTGTTAAAAAAATCAACAGAGGTCTTAGTGCATTGCTCAACAATTTTATTCCTAAGGAACCAGTGATGAATGAACCACAGCTAAATATCATTGCTGGCCCAATCATTCAGTCATTGAACTTAATAACATTTTATCTGCTCAGTGAGTCTGTCACGCCTTCCTCTAAGTGCTGGTGATGCTTTAATGAAAGAAAAAAAAAAGAAAGAAAAACAAAACCGACCAAAAGACATCCTGCCATTGTGGAGTTTACATTCTAGCATGGAGAAGAAGGAACATAAGGAATAATAAACATTGCAAATTATGTGAATGACAGAAGATGAAAGAGGCTATGGAACAATACAGGTTGTACAGACAGCATAAGGGGGACTCAAAGCTGAAGTGTAACTTTAAATCATGCCTTTAACATGCTGTCCCTGATGCCTTTTCTGTTAAATACTTTGGCTCTGATGTTCCCTTTAGGGCCGTCCTAGGCCTCTGTCATCCTGGAATCTGCTGCTGCTAATAGGAAATATGGAATTCAAATTTAATGGCAGTGTTCATTTTAATTAAGAACTCCTTTCCTCCAGTGACTACTAGCAAGCTAATTTAGCATGCTTTTAATTGATAAGGCACTTCCCTAAGCTGGGTTCATGGTCCAATTGAACTAGCCAGTATCTCAATTAGATTTGCCAGAAAAGTCATATGTAAAATAGTATTTAGGCTTACTAAGCTAACCTTTTCAGTTAAACCAGCCCCTTTACTGCTCTTAAAAGGAAATATAAACAGAATAAAAATGTTTTGTCATGATTTTTGTACTGGGGTGATAGAAACCGCTCTCCACTTAAAGCAGAACTGAATGCTCTCCACCATGACCACATTGACGATATCATCTACTTGAGGTACGTATCCATCAGGAAGTTTCACAGAATCCAAGGTGAAAAAGATAGTATTCTTTATCACCCCACTTCTTCCACGTATGTGAGTAATGCGGACCTGTGAGTATAAATAATGGAAATGATTATGAGAAAGCCCGATAATCACTGTAACCAGCTTTGCACCTCCTCACTCTGGGTCCTGCATGAGTGCAGGTCACTTCAATGCAAATCATTGATTTCCAACCTGGTTGGCCCATTGCTAACACCAGGGGTGCTTTGTAAGAATACCCATGTCCACACTCCACCACAGACCAATTAAAACAGGCTCTCCAGGGATGAGGCATGGGTCTTTGATGAGAAATCCAGCTCTAAATATTACCAAAATATGTCCATTACCCTCTATTGCCCTGAATTTGCTGGTCATGTTCAGGCTCCAATACCCAAATCATTCTCAACATTTACTGTTAAGCTCAAGTCCCACAACGCACTCCGTTCATTCTTTCCCTACAATTTTCTGACACAAAGATTGTTTTTCTTCCTCCTGTTGTTGGAAGATTCTAATAAAATTTGGGTATTGAGTAAAATGCACAATTTAGAACTTAATCGATTAATATGCTTGTTCTACATAATTTTCTAATTATTTCCTTTGGGAAGTCCTGCCTTTTCAGTAAGAAAAGTGGCTCCTTTGTTGGCAAAGAATGTATTTCTTCATATTTTCTGGAATTCCCATTACACCCAACAGAATCCTGGGCACGAAAATTATCACGAAAGGAAGGGTTCACAGAAACCGATGATGGGAGCAACAGGAAAGAAATTACCGCTTCCGCATGAATACAACGAGTGGGCTTCACAGAGCTTGCCTTGAAGTTTAAGAAGCCTGGTTCAGTGGAATATTCAACTTTTAACCAGTTGCCCTTATAAGGCACAAAATCTAAAACAGCCATGGAGAAATGTGAGTGTCATGATCTCTTAACTAGGTCATCTTGAATTGCACACGTTATTTGATAGTGTACTACTTTAAAGTCAGTTCTGCAACACCTAAAGTCATTTTTGCACATATTTAAACAGACACACTGTAAATCGGTAAGTTCAAGAAGAAGTTTATAATCCTTAGGCATTGACTCTCCTCTACTGATTTAACAAAGTCAAATGGAGCAAAGTGTGAACTGTGCATCACAGCCAATCTGAGGGAACAGCACAGGATTTACTAAACAACTGTTCGTGTTCACAACTCCTTAGTGAGAGGCAGTCAAACATGTAGGTAAGAGCACAAGTTTGAACCTGGCCATGTGCATTTGAATCTTGACACTGCCACTCACTCAGTTTGTAACCTTAGCCAAGATGTTTAATCTCTCTGTGCCTCGTTTTCTTCATTTATAAAATGAGAAGCACGATAAGTAGCCTTCAAGATACTGAGCTGCTGTGACACTTAATAGATATCGTTGATACACACAGAATCATCACTGGTGCATAGTAACCACCAAATAACTGTTGATTGGTAGTAGTGGTAGCAGTACCACTAGGAAATGTTGTTACTTTCAGAATGAATCAATTTCCCCTAGTGTTGTGTTCCGCTGATGAACTCTTTTTATTATTATTATTATTATTATTATTATTATTATTATACTTTAAGTTCTAGGGTACATGTGCACAACGTGCAGGTTTGTTACATATGTGTACATGTGCCATGTTGATGTGCTGCACCCATTAACTCGTCATTTACATTGGGTATATCTCCTAATGCTTTCCCTCCCCACTCCCCCCACCCCACAACAGGCCCGGGTGTGTGATGTTCCCCTTACTGTGTCCAAGTGTTCTCATTGTTCAATTCCCACCTATGAGTGAGAACATGCGGTGTCTTAAGTCTGTGCCTTAAGGGTTACCGTTAAGACCATCGAGGTTGAAACAGAAGTTTACGATAAGTTAAAAGTGACTCACAGGATAACAAATGTACGTGAAAGAATCTGGAGCAAATGGAAATCCCAACTGCAACTGAGACCGTAAATTGCCACAGTGACTCCAGAAAACTAGCAATATCAACAAAGTGAAATATTTATTCACCTTAGGACCCAGCATTGTAGACTGATACAAGACACAGTGTTAGACTTCTGTCTCTCTGTCTGTCTCTGTTAATTTGCATACATTTCTTTTGTGTGCGTTTACTGTATATCTATGGGCCAATAACTCCAAAATGTATATGCCTCCAGCTCTAACCAACCTCAGGGTCAATTATCCATATGCTTACACCAATCTAATGTGTGCAAAGCTGAGTTGTTGGTATTCTTCATATTCACCAACTTTTGTTTGCCTCAGTCGTCTGCATCACAAACTGGCAACTCCACTCTCACCACTGCTCAAACCAAAAACTTTGGAGGTACCTTGGACTCATCTTTCCTCCACATCAAAGATCTAATCCATTACCTCCTGGGTTCTTCTCTAACTTCAAAATATATCCAGAGTCAACTCAATCCTCAGGTCCTCCACTTCTCCACTTTCATTCACATCTCCATCATCTCTCACCAGGAATATTACAACGGTTTCCTGACCAATTTCCTGACTCCACCCTTCCCTCATAGTCTCTTCTCGACAAAGCAGATAGAGTCAACATCTGAAAACAAAATTCAGGTCAGGGTCCTGTTTTTGCATCCAAGGAAACAAACTAGCAAGCTGCCTGGGGAAGTGGAGCTAATCTCCCCTTTCATACCCAAGCTATATGACTGTTGCAATGGACAAAAATAGCAAAAAAAAAAAGTGTATCTTTGGTTATAAGCGAAATATTAGAACATATCGGCTGATTACAAACAGAATTCCACAACACACACACACACACACACACACACACACACAGCCACAAAGCACTATCTCCAATCCTAACTTTGAAGATTTGAAGTGCATTCTTTTAAAATTTGGTACTGTGCCCTGTCACAGAAACTTCTCTAGTAACCAACTACAGAAATGATCCCTGCAAGTATAGTCTTTGAAGGGTATTAAAAATAGTGTCTCTGTGTACTTGTAGGATTGTTTCCATGATTAGAAACTAAATTCTTATGTGAATGAAAAATATATCCAGGCATTACTGAGGGCATTGAACAAATGAACGCACAATAGACGACAGCAGACATTTTAAAATACTTCCTATTTGCCCCTATATTGTACATAATTTCAATTGGAAAGGTCTACCTGTAATATTGAAGAGCCATTGGCTGAAGCCAAGTACACTGTAAAATTTGTTCTAGGACTAAAATCCACTCAAAAAATTAAGAATTACATCATATATCACAAAATGTAAGTCATACCTTCAGAAACAATGTCCATAGGGAAATAAATGATGTTACTAATATAAACAGTATCTTCACTTATAGAAGTAACACATCCATTTAAAACTCTGATTTTTGAGTCTGAGGGTCCATCATCGTTAAGAGGGTGAGGCACAACATCCACCTGTAAGATTTAGGAAAGAGTTACTTCAAAAATAATACAAATTTAAACACAGGAACTTACATGGTTAAAACACTGGTATTCCAAAATATTTTCAAAAACCATCCTTAACACTGGTGAATATAGTTCACGTGCTAAATGGACCATAGACTTGAGATGATGGTAGAAATCATGTGTGTGCTTCATGAATTGTGAAATGTATCCCAAAACATTAATTGCATACCCAAGTTTAATGCCCTTGTACCATTAGATTCCCAGATTTAAAAAATACCGTCATTCACCTAAAGGAATTCACAGTGAAATGACGGTAAAATGGAAAGATATGTAGTCTTAGCAGGTTGTGATGAATGATATAAGACTAGTTTAAAGATAGTTTCTGTGACTTACCTAAACGGAGAACATTTCAGACAGGGAGAAAATAGCGGCATTGCTTGGGGGAAGTCAGATTTGTGCTGGGTTGTGAAAGAAGGCAGAGGTGTAAACTTGTAAACACGAGTAGAGGAGCAGGAAGGCAGAGAGGAAAAACAACACAATTTAGAAGCCTAGGGAGCAAAACCCTAACATTCCAGATCCAGGTCTAGGAGACAGAAGTTCAAGTTAAAGTTGGAACAATAACCTCAACTGGGGGAGGTTCAATAAACCAAGTCAAATTAGGGCTTTACTTTATCTACAATAGAGAGGCATACAAACCTTTTTCCTTATTGGAAGTGTAATAGTCCTTATTTTATAATCCTTAAAACTTACAGAAATAATGCAAGTTCATTGTACTAAAAGTAGGGGAAAAAAAAAACAGATATGCAGACAGCAAAAGGCGGTTACACCATAATCCATATTCCATTACCAAGAGACCACCAGGGACTACATTTTCTCAGTAACACTCATCCTGATGTTTTTGTCTGTGCACAAATATATATACATATGTAAATACTCATTTTAAAAGCAAATTAGCATGGTATTCAGTAGTAAAGTATCACATTAAATGAACACAAAGTTTTTCAAATAACAAGAGAGGACAGAAACACTCATAGAGAATCCCAATTAATGGATGTGCCGTAATTTACTAACCCAATTCCACGTAATTAGACATTTCGCTTTTGTCTTAAAATTTGTACTACTTGCTTGACTTAACTATAGGATAAACTCCTAGGGTTGGAATTTGCAGATCAAAGACTTCTGATGGAAACTTGAGCCACTGAGTTGTAAATAATTTTTCATGGTTTTAAAAATAGCCTAGTTTGCTGCTATTCTCATTTCTTAACTGGTGTCTTTCCAGCTGTCAATACCAATCTGATGTTTATTTTCCCCTCACTTACTGTCATGAAGGAATGAGGCATTAGCCTCCCATCCATGTGTCTACCACCACTTCCGTCAGTATCCCAGTGGATGATCCACAGCACCCTCGGACCTCTCTGTTCCTTGACTCCACGCCAACTCACAGACATATGCAGACTAAAGCTTTGCCCATGTTTCATGGCTCCCAACTCTGTTTCTTATGCCTTGGAAATACCACCAACACAACAGCAGGTACGGACAGATTGAAATGTTTGCAATAATGCGTTGTATGACAGAAGTGGCATTTCAATACGATAGGGGCAAAGTGGATTATACAATTAACGTTTAGGGCAACTGAATAGCCAGTAGTGAAACAAGACGCGGATCCTTCTCTCAGTCTTATACATGGAAAGTAAACACAGGCTGACTGTACGTTTAGATATAAATAAATGAATGACTTTCAGAAGAAAAACTAAGTGAATACTCGTGTAAATTATGTGTTAGAATTAGCCTAAGGAAACTTCCTGAACCCAGAAGCCACATGGACAAGATGGACATATTTATAGTATGTAAAAATTAAACAGATGGAGGAGGAGGGGAGCAAGATGGAGAAATGGGACTCTCCAGTGATTGTCCTCCTGCAGAAACATCAATGTGAAAAACTATCCTTGTATGAAAATACCATCACTTGAGAGAAGGAAACCAGGTGAGAGACCGCAGTACCCAGTTATAGCATGAAAATAAGAAAAGATGCATTGAAGAGGGTAGTAAAGACAGTTTTACATTACCCACATCACTCCTTCCCCGACTTTCAACAGCACAGCATGGAGAGAGATACCATCCACCCGGAGGACAGAGAGAGTAGCAAGCATAGGACATTGCCTGGGAACCCAATATCAGGCCTTCCACACTATATGCCACCACTTGACAAACGCCCATGGCCCATGGCCCCAGACTCTGAGATGGTACTTGTGGACCGAGTCTCTAGACCCACCCTGGCAACAGACAGGAAGCCACAGCCACAGCAAAACAAACTCAATACCTGTCCCACATCTCTGCCGAGTGATTCCAGTGGCCTTATGCTCAGAATATTCTACAGCAACAGGGAGTCCTCTGTGAATGAGTGGAGCCTTGGATTCCAGTCTTGCAAGGCACCAGTCTCAACAGCTAAGGGAATGCATGCCATTGCAGCATCTGTCGCTGTGTCCCTGGGATTAGGAGGCCCCCTAGTGCTTCAATAGCTGTAGTGTTCATAAGCATAAGGACCAAAAGAGACCTATATAGAGTTTCCGGACAGGCTTACTGCTAAAGGATGTCCCCTAAAAGCTAGACTGCAAAGACTGAAATGGATACCTACTTCTTCAATACGCAGATATAAACACATTACCACAAAGATCAAGAACAATAAGGAAAACATGACATCACCAAACTGACAAAACAAGGTGCCAGTAATTGACCCTAGAGAGATAGGAATGTTTGAGTTGTTTAATAAATAATTCAAAATATCTATTTTCCACATGCTCTGTGAACCTTGAAAACAACTACAGAGAAATGATTAGAATTTATCAGAGTAAATTGAAAGAAATATTGAAAGAATTTTAAAAAACCAAACAAATACAAAAGTCAAAAAATACAATGAAGGAAGTATACAATAGAGAACATCCACAGGAAAATTGTCGAGCAAAATGAAGAATCTGTAAACTTGGAGACAGCTTCATTAAAAATATACAGTCACAGGAGACAAAATTAAAAGGAAGGATATGGAATGAAAATAAAACTTACTGAATTTCTGGGACAATTATCAGCAGAGCAATAGTATGAGTCATTCATGTTCAAGAGGGAGGAGTGAAAAAGAGGTAGAAAGATTATTTAAAAATTAATAATGGGGATCCATCCAAACCCAGAGAAAGTTATAAACGTCTAGGTACTGGACGACCAAAGTTCTGCATTCAGATACAATCCAAATAAGATTACGCATGACATATTAAAATCAAACTCTCAAAGATGAAAAATAAAGAAAAAATCCTGAGAGCAGCAAGAGGAAAGAAGCAAATCACATATAATGCAGTTCCAATATGCCTGCCAGAAGACTTCTCAGCAGAAGCATAACAGGCCAGGAGAGAGTGTGATGATACATTCAAGGAGATCAAGGAAAAAAATGACTAACCAAGAATAATGTACCAAGAAGTGAAGGGCAGAAAAAGACTTTTACAGAGAAATCACAGCTGAGAAACTTCCTCACCACCACAACTGTCTTACAAGAAATCCTATGGAGAGTTCTTCCAACTGACATAAGGGACGCTAATGGGTAATGCAAAAATATCTAAAGGTATAAAACTCACTAGTAAAAGTAACCACACACATTCACAATACTCTATTAAGGTAACAGTGGTGTCCAGATCATGTATATCTTTCATGTAACAGTTAAAAAAGGAACTAGTAAAAATAAAATACGTACAATAATTCATTAAGGGATATAAAATATAAAAAGTTGTAAAGTGTAAAATACAGAACTCAATCTGGGGGTGGAGTTAAATGGTAGAGTGTTTGTGTTTTGTGATCAAAGTTATATTATCAATAAATAAACTGTTGTGATTATGTTTTTGTACGCCTCATGCTAACCACAAAGAAAAAAATCATGTAATTGACACATTTTAAAATATCAAGGAAACAAAACATATTAATAGAGAAAAATCTCTTATTCATCAAGAAAGACAGTAAAAGAGAAAGGAAGAAATTACCTATAAAATAAGTAGAAAAAATTATCTAAATGACAACAGTAAATCCTTGCCTATCAATAATTAACTTGATAGAAATGGATGACATTCAACTAAAATACACAGAGTAGCTGAATGTATTTAAACAACAACAACAACAACAACAACAACAACAACCAAACCTATGAGAGATCCACTTCTCCTTAATGGACATTCGTAAACTGAAAGTGAAGGCATGAAAAAAGATATTCTTCCATGTAAAGGGAAACCAAAAGAGAAGGGGAGCAGCTAAACTAATTTCAAATAAAATAGGCTTTAAATCACAAACGGTAAAAAGAACAAGAAGATCATTATATAACGATGAAGGGATCAATTCATCAAGAGGATATAATGATTTCCAAAAATATGCATCCAACATAGCAGCACCTAAATATATGAAGCAAATATTAAGGTCTAAATGGTGAGACAGATTGCAATGCAATAACTGTAGGGGACTTCAACACCCAACTTGCAACAATGAGTAGATTGTCCAGACAGAACACTGACCCCACAAAAAGTGAGATTTATCTGCACTCTGGACCAAATGGACCTAACAGTCATTTACAGAACATTCCATCCAAATACTCCAAAACACATATTCTTTCCAACTGCATGTGGAACATTCTCGAGGATAGATTATGGGGCAGGCCATAAAACAGGTCTTAGCAAATTAAAGGAATTTGAAATAACATCAAATCAGTTCTCTAACCACAACGGTAAAGTATTAGAAATCAATAAAATTAGGAACTTTGGAAACTTTAGAAGTGGATGGAAATTAAACAACATGCTCTTAAATAACTAATGGGTCAATGAGGAAATTAAAAGCGAAGTGTTAACATTTCTTGAGATAAAGGAAACTGCAGGCACAACATACAAAAACCCATGAAATACAGCAAAAGCAATTCTAAAAGTGAAGTTTACATCAATAAAGCCTACCTCAAAAGAAAAGATACATCTTAAATAAACAACCCCACACCACACTTTGAGGAACTAGAAAAAAAAAGAAGAAAAAAATGCAATCCAAAAGTAGGAGGACAGAAATCATAAAGGGCAGAGCAGAAATAAATCAAATAGACATGAGAAGAACAATACAAATATTAATGAAACAATCAGTTGGTTTCTTGAAGAGGTAAACCAAATCAACAAAACCTTAGCTAGACTAAAGGAAAAAGGGGAGAAAATTCAAATAAATAAAAGCAAAGTTGAAAAAGGAGAAACCAAAACTGACATCACCAAAATAAAACGCATCATAAGAACTATTATGAACAATCATCTACCTACAACAGGACAAGCTAGAAGAAATGGATACATTCCTGGACACATGCAACCTACCAAGATGTAATGATGAAGAAATGGAAATTCTGAACAGACCATTAACAAGTAAGGAAAGTGATTCAGTAATAAAAAATCTCCCATCGATGAAGAGTCTAAGACAGAATGGCTTCCCTTCGTAATACTACCAAAATTTATATATAAAGAAGAAGAATTAATAGTTATACTTTTAATGCTATTCCAAAAAAATGATAAGAAAGGAACGCTTCCAAATGCATTCTATCACACCCGCGTTACCCTGGTAGAAAACCCAGACTAGGAAACACAAAAAAGAAAAAAGCAAAGAAAACTACATGCCAAAATTCCTGATGAACACAGTTGCAAAAATCTTTAAGAAGGTGTTAGTAAACCAAATTCCACAGCACATTAAAAACACCATTCATCATGTTCCAGAGGTATTCATTCCTGGGATACAAAAAAGTTTCAACATACACAAATCAATAAATGTGCTATATCACATGAACAGAATGAAGCACAAAAGCCATAGGATCATTCCAATTTAAGCAGGAAAAGCATTTAACCGAATTCCATATCCCTTCGTGATAAAAACTCCACAACTTAGATATAGGAGGAGTGCACCTCAACACAATATAGGTCATATATGATAAACCCACAGGTAACATCATACTGAATGGGGAAATGTTGCAGTCTTTTTTCCTCTAAGACCTAAAACAAGACAGAAATGCCCACTTTTGCCCTTTCTATCGCACATAGTTCTGGAAGTACTAGTCAGAGAAACTAGGCAAGAAGAAACAAAAGGCATCTAAATTCAAAAGGAAGAATTTAGATTGGCCCTGTTTGAAGACGGGAAGCTCTTACTTATAAATAACCCTGAAGACACCATGAAAAACCTACAAGGTCTAATAAACAAATTCAGGAAAGTGGCAAGATACACAACCAACACACAGGAATCAGTAGCATTTCTATACACCAATAGGGAACTATCTGAAAAAGATATCAAGAAACAATCCCATTTAAAACACCTTCAAAAAATAAATAGGAATAAATTTAACGAAGGAGGTGAAGGATTGCAACGCCGAAAACTATAAACCATTAATGAAGCAAATTGAAGGAGGCAGGAACGAATTGAAGTGTATCATGTGTTCGTGGACAGGAAGAATAAATATTGTTAAAATGTCCGTAACCTAAAGCAATCTATAGATTCAATGCAACTGCTATGAAAATACCAATGACATTCTTCTTGGAAATAAAAGAAACACTCCTAAAATGTGTATGGAACCGCAAAAGATTCCAGGTAGTCGAAGCAGTCTGGAATACAAAGAACAAAGCTGGAGGCATCACACTACTTGATGTCAAAGCATATGACAAAGCTATAGTAAGCATAACAGCATAGTACCAGTGGGTACATCCACGAATGGAGCAGAATACAGAGCCCGGAATGAAATTCGTGCATTTACAGTCAACTGATATTCAACAAAAGGCCCGAAAACACACAATGTTGAGAAAGTACACTCTCTTCAATAAATGATGTTGAAAATAACTAGATATTCATCTGAGTAAAATGAGTTTCCACCCTTATCTCTCAGCATGTATATAAATCAACTCAAAATGATTTAAAGCTTTAAAATGAAGACCCAAAGCTATGAAACTACTAGATAGAGATATAGGGGGAAAGCTCCATGACATTGTTTTGGGCAATGACATTTTAAAAATAGGACCTCAAAAGCAAAGGCAACAAAAGGAAAAACAGACAATAGGATTACTTTGAACTAAAAAGCTTCTGTACCGCAAAGGAAATGATCAAAGAGTGGCGAGACAATCTACAGGATAGCAGAAAACACTGACAATCTATACATCTAGTAAGGGGTCAGTTTCCAAAATGTATGAGTAACTCCAACAACTCATAGCAAGAAAACAAATAATCCTATTAAAGATGAGCAAAAGACCTGAATAGACATATTTCAAAAGGAGACATACAAATGGCCAACAGGCATATTAAAAAAATGCTCACCTTTTCTAGTCATCAGGACAATGCAAATCAAAACCACAGAGATACTGCCTGACACATGTTAAAATGGCTAACATTAAAAAGAAAAGAGATAACAAGTATTGGCAAGGATGTGGAGAAATTGGAAACTTTATGCACGGTTGGTGGGATGTAAGTTGTTACAGCCATTATGGAAAACAGTATGGAAGTTCTCCAAAATATTAACAATGGAACTATCACATGAATCCATGAATCACATGAATCCATGAACTACTGAGCATGTATCCAAAGAGAGTGTCATCAGTGTGTCAAAGAGATGTTAGCACTTCCATGTTTATTGCAGCCCTATTCACAACAGCCAAGAAACAAAAGCAATTTAAGTGTCCATCTACGGATGAGTGGATAAAGGAAATGTGGTATAAATACACAATGGAATACTATTCAGCCATAAAACAGAATAAAATCTTGCCATTTGGGACAACATGGATGAACCTGAAGAATGATATGTAAGTGAACTAAGACAGTCACATAAACACAAATAACTGCATGGTCTCATTCACATGCATAATATAAAAAAAGTTTACCTCATAGCAGTGTAGAGTAGAATGGTGGTTGCCAGATGCTTGGGTTGTTAGGGTGGATGGAGGAATGAGGAGATGTTGGTGAAAGGACATATCATTACAGTTATATAGAAGGAACCTTTTTTAACTGTCCAGAATGGGCAAATATATATAAACAGAAAATGGATAAGTGATTTCCTAGGGCTGGATGTTGCAGGGGGAGGGGACAGTTGGGGGATCAGGGAGAAATGGGAAAAGACTATGAATGGTTATGGAGCTTCCTTTTTGAGTGATGAAAATGTTCTAAAGTTGTTTGTGGTGATTGTTGCCTAACACTGTGAACAAACTAGAAACCACTGGATTGTACCCTGTAGATGGGGGAATTGCATGGTGAATCACGTGACCTATATCTCAATAAGGCTGTAAAAGAATGAAAGATATAAAGCAAAGAAAAAAGATGGTATCGGAGGAAATGCCACAAGGACGTCATATACAAACTTTCCTATTACAAATCTAATGTTCCTACCATAGAGATAGCCATAAATATCCCTATTGTATAATAAGTCCAAGAAAGGAAACTTGCTGTAATCTCATTAAGATCCTTAATAATTCCAAACGAATGATGAGACTGCTTTTCCCTTCTCATATTTGCAAAGATTTCAGATTGATAATATTGTTGTCCTTGCCTATATGGGCAGATGGGCAGTCTTACTGCCTATTGCTGAGAGAATCAATTAGTACAGTAGACCTAAAGAATAATTTCATAATAGCCACTGAATGGGTAAATATCTGGACTCAGGTGATATTCTCAGGACTCTGTAAATCTGCCAAATGTTACTGAATTGTACCCTTAAGAGAGTTCTGTGGTTTGTGAACTATACCTCCATGAAGCTCTTTTTAAAATGTTTACAAGGCACATGGTTTCACATAGCAATTCCACTGCTATGAATGCACACTACAGAAAATGGTTTTTTACCTGATAAGGGAAGTTGAAGGATTGTATAGAGTTCAATAATTATTATTGTTACCCATGTTGTTTAAAGATTAGAATAATAGATGAGTAATTTTTATGTTTTAAAGCAGATATCACTACAAATATTAGAACACAAGAACCTACAGCTTCAGAGGGGTGGGGCTTCAAATTGCAGTCTACATCCACTCTACGGATCACAGTAGAGATGTTGCATTAATACAAGAATAGAAAGATGGAGAAAGAAAACCCATTGAGATAAGACACAATTCCCAGACTCATGCACATCTCACCTTGATTGCTCTCAATCCATAAAGTATTTTATCTTCTTCCACAACCACATTAACTTTTTGTCCAACTTTTAGAGGCACGTTGCCAGTCACAACATCACTACTGAAGTAGATCGACTCATCAATCACGCCATAATCACCACAGAAACTTGTGACAACTCCCTGCACAGTTGTCAACTGGGTGTCACCTACAAGATAAAGAAACAAAAGTCACATTATTAGCCTCAAATGCAAACATCTACTACAAATATGTCTTACACTCACCATCTGCATAAACTTGGGCAGAGAAGTTTTTTAACGTCTCTGACTTTGTTTTCTTCTGTCAATCCACAACAATCAAATTTTCACCTAATAGGGTTGTTGCAGTTTTCTTTTTTTTAATTTAAAAATTTTTTAATTTTCAAGTAATTTTTAATTTTTTGAGCAAAGTCTGGCTCTGTCACCCAGGCTGGAGTGCAGTGGCGCGATCTCGGCTCTCAGCAACCTCCGCCTCCCAGGTTCAGGTGGTTCTCATGTCTCAGCCTCCCGAGCAGCTGGGATGACGGGTGCATGCCGCCACACCCGGCTAATTTTTGTGTTTTTAGTAGAGACGGAGTTTCACTATGTTATCTCAGGCTGGTCTCAAACTCCTGGACTCAAGTGATCCACCCGCCTGGAACTCCCAAAGAGCTGGCATGAGCCACTGCGCCCGCCTTGTATTAACTGACACATGCACATCAACTGTCGAGAGCTGTGGAGTGTCTTGCACAAGAGAGTGTAAATGTTACTTGTTATCACCATATCTACATGTGAGAGTCTTTTAGCTTCTGCTCCTACTATATCACTCCACCATTATCACCAACATAATGACTAGTACCTTGTATAGATACTTAACCATCTCAGCAGACAAAGCACTAAAAGATATCTGGAGATTGATGGCCAGCCCAAAACGGCATCCAAAAGGTCTCCTTCTCCTTTTCATTTTATCTCTCTCTCTCTCTCTTTTTAATTCTACACAAGCCTAGCTGACCAGCAATATTTATGGATCTGACCTCAGCAGTTGGCCCGCACAACGGGTTCTCTGCTCTCCTACAGGACCGGATATGTATGAGGCATCCACTTGGCTTCAAATTAAATTTCTGCTTGGGATACAAGCCTAAATTCACTCGCAATTAGGGAGTTTCTTGCCTACTGGAAATATAAATAGGCATGTGCTGCACATCCATGTTGGGGAAAACCACAGGCGGTACAGCCCCCAAGGTGGTCTCTGTCAACACCATCCCGCTTTAGATGGACAGGAGAGTTTGGGAGTTGGTTCTCAGGGACTTGTTGGGGACGCAGGACGCCTACCCATGCACGCACAGAAGATGGAGCCGCCGTCACGTGCTGTACCCGCCAGAGCCACCAGATCCTCATACCGGGGGTGAGGAGAGCCCCTATTAGGAGGCTTCTGGGGTGGGGGCCAAGGGAACACACAGAGGAATACCTTCTGGGAGCCCCTGCTGCTGTGGGCCCTGCTCCTGTGGGCCCTGCTCCTGTGGGCCCTGCTCCTGTGGGTCCTGCTGCTGTGGGCCCTGCTGCTGTGGGCCCTGCTCCTTGTGGGTCCTGCTGCTGTGGGTCCTGCTGCTGTGGGTCCTGCTGCTGTGGGTCCTGCTCCTGTGGGTCCTGCTGCTGTGGGCCCTGCTCCTGTGGGTCCTGCTGCTGTGGGCCCTGCTGCTGTGGGCCCTGCTGCTGTGGGCGCTGCTGCTCTGTGGGGTGGGCTGTACTATGGAAGAAGGCCAAAGCACGTCTCAGAAGCCTGAGCATTGCCTCTGTTGTCACCACCGGCCTGGACACCGCTTGTGACAGATGAAGCACGAGGCCTCCTCAGTAAGGGAAGCCCTCAGGTCACGGCGTCTCCTCAGGGACTCGCCTCCTGCTTCTCCTCAGCCTCCGCGGGACGGGACCCAGCCGTTAGTGAGCCCCCCTCAGGAAAGCCAGGGACACCGCAGGCACCCAAGGAGCTGGCAGGTGTCCCTCTGGCTCCTCCCTCTGGGCATGCGCTTGTCAGGGCCTGCCTCTACCACTGTCCAGCCAATGGGCATGCAGTGAGTGAGCGGGCAGGTTCCTGTCGCCACTAAGAGGTGGTGGGCAGGAACATCGTGGCTTCTCCCATCAAGGCTGAGGGCGCCATTAGGATGGCATGGGGAAAATGGCTTGGGGGCTTGGGTTCTGCGTACTCGGGTGACACGGGGCACTTCTGTGAGGTTCCCTGGCAGGATGGGTGCCTGAAACACCAGCTGTGCAACCAAAAATCCTGCTCTTGCCCTTGTATTCATGGTGCTTAGCATAAGGACTTACTAGGCAGTGGGTGGTTAATAGTTACTGCTCAGCAGGGATCAGTTTTGTGGAGAGAGGGCATCATGTGGGTATGCAATGTTTTAGTGATGTCAAGTACGTGTCTTTTGTACTAGGACTCCCGTTTTGAGTCCAGTGATAATTTATAGTCGAATCCTTTTATAATAATTGCTACCATGTACTCATCGCTTACCTAGTTATACCTACATTATTCTGCTATACACATTACCCTTATTCATTCATTCAGCAAAAATTTATAGAGCACTAACTGTGAGCCAGACACTGTTATGTGTTCTTAAAATTTGTTAGTGAATGAAAGAGTCAAGAATCTTGGCCCTGTGAGGGTAGTATTTTCACAGGATGACAAAAGGGCGACACCAAACATCACATAATAAAATATATGATACGTTGGAAGGCAACAAATGCCGTGGAAAAATATAGCAAGACAAGAGGGATCCACAGTGCTGGGCATGGTGGGTTGGATTGCACTTTACAGTAGCATGGTCAGAGTAGCCCTCATTGGAAAGCAATAGCTGAGAAAGATGTTGGAGTTAGCCTGGCAGCTATTTTGGAGAGAGTCATTCAGATGGAGGGCTTAGTTTGTGCAAAGGCCGTACAGCAAGACTGTGCCTGATGTGTTCAAGGAAACGCCAAGTGGTTGGAGCAGAGGCAGTGAGAGCTAGAAGAGTAGGAATTATGGACAGACAGGTAATAGATGTTCAGGCTGCGTGTGGCCTTGTGGGGCACTGGAATATCTCTGGCTTTTATTGTCCATGATGTGTAAAGTCCCTGAAGGGTTTGGAGCCTTCCAGGGATCACTCCAGGTGCTTGGCTGTGAACAGGATGGAAGAAGTCAGGGCATGAAACAAGAAGAACAGTTTGGATGATTCTGATGCAATACATGGGCACTGTGGGTGAAACCCTGTCTTTCCTATCCTGCAGTGAGCACAGGCAAAATCTTTGCCAAAGATGATCATCTGGATGAAGGGATCAGTTGAAGGTTATCTATGGCTCAAAATATAACACAGCTGTGTTAATTTACTAAGGAGGCCACAACACATTACTACAACTGGGTGGCTTAAAATGACAGAAATTTATTCTCTGGCAGTTCTGCAGGCTACGTGTCTGAAATCCAGGTGTCAGTGAGGCTGGTACCTTCTGGCGAGCTCTGAGGGAGAATCTATTCCAAGATTCCGTAGGTTGCCAGCAGTCATTGGTCGGCTTTCCTTGGGTTGTAGATGCATCAGTCTTACCTCTTCCTCCTTCATCCCATGGTGCTCCTCTCTGTGTGTCTATGTGACCAATATCCCTCTTCATATAAGGACACCACTCACTGGATTAGGGGTGTATGATTAACCCTAATGCTGTAGGACCACATCTTAACTTGATTTTTTTTTTCAAAGACCTTATTTCCAAATAAGGTCACATTCACAGGTACTGGTACTCAGACCTAGAGCATATCTCTTTCGGGGCAAAATTCAACCCACAACAACTGCTCTTGTACATTTTGATTACTCCAATATTCTATGATTGTCAATAAAAAATTAAGACACACAGATAGGCAGACATTTCCTCTTATTTCCTGGGAAAAGAAAGTCTGTGAGACAGGAGCTCCTCTGTGAACCTCCTGGCACCCATCCTGGCTTCCTCTTCCTTCTCTCTTGTAACAATGGAAGGATATCTCAGCCCCTACCCAGGGCTGACCCTCCACTGAGCACATGGAACCATTCTCTTGACACATTTTCTCTGAGGATGTTGCTTCTATTGCTATTGCCTCTCTTCCTCCTGTGTCAACAATCATTTTTTATCTTTGGCTCTAATGGAGTAACATGCAAACATACCCAAGAATCACCCATCTTAAAAACTTCACAGACAAATAACTCCCATCTTAAAAATGTACATAGATAAATAAGCTTCCTTGGCCTCATTTCCCCTTCAGTCCCATTCTTCTGCATCCTGCCCCCCACAGCAAATGCTATTTCAAGAATCACCTCTGCTCACTTCCGGAGCTCCCATTCCCTCTTTATTCCTCTGGCATCAGGCTTTAACCCACATCATGTCCCTAATTTGCTCTTAAGATGACAGGAAACTTCCAGGTCACCGAATCCAGTGGTCAATATACTAGGCTCGCATCACTCAACCTCTTAGTGTTTGACCCAGTTGTAGACTCCCCATTTCTTGAAATAAGTTCTTTGGTCTTCTGTGTGACAACCCTCTCCCAGAAAGGCTCCTTCTCAGCCTCTTTTGTGAGCTCTTCCCTCTATCACGATCCCACAGGAGTGCTCCAGGGCCCAGGCCCTGAATGGCTTCTCTATCCACATGTCAGCCCCATGGCATCTAAATGCAGGTAACTCCCAATCCCATATATATACTGAGTCACACATATATTTGTCCTGTAGACATCTCAAGGGTAAGGTGTCCAAAATTTCACATGTCCGGAACTTCTCCCAACCCCTGAACCTCCCTTAATCTGCTCCATCTCAGATGATGTCAGCTCAGTTCACACAGTGGGTAACATCATATCCCTGCCATAACCCTTAGTTTTCTCCATTTTCTTTACACACTCCATGCCATCCATCAGCAAAAACTATCAATCCCTTGAAAACATACCTGTAGTCTCAGCACCTAAAACAAATGATTGAAACAACATCACTGGGTGAAATTTTTTAGTTTCCATCATGGCAGAGAAGAAAGCAGAAAGAACCAAAGAGACAGCAGCCACTCAGATACTTAAAAATATGCCCAAAACCCTTCCATGTGTCCCTGCTGGCAGAAATAGAGCTAATAAAGGATGCCGCAGTGAGAGATTGCTGCTAAGGAATAGCCTTAGAAAGAGCTAAGAAATCGCCTTCTCTGCAAACAGAAGCTTCAGGTAGGAATCTATCTTCTCTGGCAGACAACCTACAGGTAGATTCCAGCACCAGGAAGACAGGTCCCTGCTGAGAGAATACTGCAGAACAAAGAAGGGGCTCTTCTATACCAACCTGCTGGAAACACTGTGAATGATCTTTGTGGTAGGAGGTGCCTCCAGAGGCCCGGAACACATCAGATAAGAAATGGCTGCTGGACCTGAATGCCAGGGGATGAATTCCACTGGGCCACAGAGCAGCTGTGCGCCCCCTCTTTCCTGTTTGTGTCCCTGACTTGGCTGTTGAATGGACACGACGCTACTGGGACTTCTTTCATAGGATTCTTTGTGAGCATTAAATGACGTGTGTGTCCCAAGGCCCTTTGCCCAGTGCTTGGCATATACAAGGGCTGGACACAAAGTAGATTAACAGCAATTCTGAACAGGGATGCCATGCACCCCATTAAATCTTCTCATGTTTTAACTGTCTCCCATGAACAAAATGCACACCTTCACAAGTATCCATGAAGCAATCATTCAGTGCCAGATTCCAGCAAAGATATAAACATGTGATTCGCCTTCTTGGCTTCTAATGACCTGCATGTTTCACCCTCAAATCAGGGAGACTGACTCCGACTGAAAATATTGAAAACAATCAGTCCGTGGTCACTGCCATCAAAAACCTCCTATCACAAACACCTGCTTACTTTTCTTTCTGTCACTAACTGCTATACAGAAATTCTTACTTATTCATATGCTTATCAGAGTATTTATTGTCTGTCTCTTCCCACTTATATGTCAGCTTCATGACTGAAGAGCTTTTGTACGTTGTTGCTTTTTTCATCTTCTGGGCCTTCAGCATCTAGAACAGTGCTGGGCACATGGTAGGTTCTCAATAAATACCACAGCAATTAATTGAATCAGAAAAGGGTAACATCCCGAACCATTCCAGGCAACCTGAGAAAGGATCTGGTTTTAAGGCAATTCACACCAAATCTGAATACTTTGCTTTCCTACGTGCATCTATCTAAACAGGATTTGGCCTCATTCAGGATAATGTTACAGTTGGCTGTAAACATAAGAGCTGTAGTTCAGAAGACATTAGATCCCGGCTCAACTCAGCTGTTTCCTGGCTTTGCAACCTGTCCCCAGGAGTCTGACCACAGGAGCAACTTATAACAAAAATCGTCCAATAAATTGGGTTCTCTTGCATATCAGTGACTCAGCCTCACTTATGTACATGAATTGCACCATGGAGTAAAATGTTACTCCTTCCATTAGAAAAGCTACGCTGGAAATAAGAGTTGGACTAGTGATTAGACAAACATTTCTATAAGAATAGAGCGACAAGGCTTTAGATGACATGTACCAATAAGTATGTTATTCATTATGAGTTAATAGATGGAGAAAATTTCCATCCTTGGGAAGTTTGGGATCCTCATGGGATAGGAGTTTTCCCAATCCATATCTTTGTTTTTCAAAACTCAATAAGTGTATAGATTGCTTCTATTTGTCACAGAATGTCAATGTCAGCTCTCTGTTGTCTTAGCTTGGTCTGCTATAACACAATACCACGGACATTTATATCGCACAGTTTTGGAGGCTAAAAGGTCCAAGAATAAGGTGCTGACTGATTCGGTTCCTGGGGAGGGCCCTCTTTCTGGCTTGAAGATGGTCACCTTCTGGCTATTTCCTTCCATGGAGGAGTGGGAGCAAATGCTGGCTTCTCTTCCTCTACTTCTAAGGATACAAATCCCATTATGGGACTCTAGTCTCATGACCCCATCTAAGCCTAATAGCCTCCCAAAGGCCCCACCTCCCTATATGATTACATTGGGAATTACAAAGAAATTTTAGGGGAACACAGATTTTCAGTCCCCCAGCCACTGTGAGGGATGTTCTTTATGCTGTCAGAATAACTTGTACCTTTTGTTTCCTTTTCTTTCTTTCTTTCTTTTTCTTTTTTTTTTTTTTTTTTGAAATGGAGTCTCCCTTTGTTGCCCAGGCCGGAGTGCAGTGGCATGTTCTTGGCTCACTGAGACCTCCGCCTCCTGGGTTCAAGAAATTCTTCTGCCTCAGCCTTCCCGAGTAGCTGGGACTAAGGTGCATGCAACCATGCCAAGCTAATTTTTTTGTGTGTATTTTTTAGACGAAGTTTCACCACTTTGGCCAGGCTGGTCTCAAACACTTGACCTCAGGTAATCTGCCCGCCTCAGCCTCCGAAAGTGCTGAGATTACAGGCGTGAGCCAACGTGCTCGGCCACTTTTTGTTTCCTTTCAATGGAACTTCAAAAATAATATGCTTTTCACCCTTTGTATATACAGTAGCCCTTCAACTATACAGAGGATTAGTGAATGAAGTTTCTAATCCACATATTTAGGGTTAACTGGGGCAAAGCTCTGAGGAAGTGAAATTGCTGTAGGATGAGGTTGCCCCAGCAGGGTGCACTCCCTTCCACTTCTTATGAGATGAACACAAGTGCTAACTCATCTGAGTCCTCAGTTGTGGATGTTTAGACCGATAGGCCTTAACCAAGCCCAAGACTTCACTCTTCTGGCCAGGCCAGCAGCTCTAGAAAGAATCTCATGAAGCACTTAACCCAGGTTGTCCTGGGTGACTATTACAATGAAGTGGTGACTAAAAGTCAGTTTTGTGAGGAGTTCCACAGGCAACAGAGAGCCTTTTTTCTAGCCCTCCCATCCCTGTAGAGCAGGGCACCCAAGTTTAGGAAGGCAGGCATGGAGCCTGCCAAAAAATGATTCCAAGAAGGACTCCTGCAAGCCAGGGTCCATGAGAAGAGGGAGTTAGAGAACAGATGGAAGGTTGTCCACAGTAGGAGAGCATATACGGTAGGATTGTGCAAAGAAGTAAATACACAGAGGATAATGGAAGGTCGGTTTCTCCAAAGCTGAGAAGGAAAGAACACATGTGGAAAGGTGGAAAGAGGAAAATATAGAATAAACTCCATATTCCTGGGCTGGTAATGGAGGTGTACGTGCAACCTCAGGTTTGCCAATAGATATAAGAGCTTCAATTTGAAACACTGTATTCTCCAACACCAAGAGAACAGGGATCCTTGTAAATAGGGCTGATTAGGTAGAATATGAAATTTTGACAAAACAGAGAACTACACACTAAGCATAACAAAGAGGAGTTGTTTACATTCATAGAACATATCCCCTTGGTAGATGTATAATTAAACTTTTATGCATCTCACAAGAGGAGTGAAATGACGAACCAGAACCTCTAAAAGCTACAGGTGGTTAGAGGATGAAACCACAATCATGATGAGAGACTTCAAGGTGCCTTTTTGATTAACAGTATGCATAATCATGATGAGACGAACACTAGGTACAATCTACTGGTCCCTGATTAGGCTCCAGTTACCTAAATAGAACTTTATGTTTTGAGAATCATTGCAGGCATCAGGCCAGAATTGGCAGAAGGGTCATAGTTTGCCAGATCCGGCTAAAGATCATTATCTTATTTCATTTTCTTCATTGCATGTATCCCTAAATGAGCTGAGAAGCATCTGATATCAGCACATCTGCAACGCCTTCACGGCGTGGGGCCAGTTGGAAGCTCCATGGCAGAACACTGGAGCCCCAGAAACTCGTGGGGACAGGTCCCTGTATATTCAAGCCAATTCTCTCCCACATGGGAAAAGCACATTTCTGTGGTGATTATGGCATGATTGATGAGTCGATCTACTTCAGTAGTGATGTTGTGACTGGCAACGTGCCTCTAAAAGTTGGACAAAAAGTTAATGTGGTTGTGGAGGAAGATAAAATACTTTATGGATTGAGAGCTATCAAGGTGAAATGTGCATGAGTTTGGGAGTTGTGTCTTATCCCATTGGGCTTTCTTTCTGCATCTTTCTTTTCTTGTATTAATCCAACATCTCTACTGTGATCCGTAGAGTGGATGTAGACTGCAATTTGAAGCCCCACCCCTCTGAAGCTGTAGGTTCTTGTGTTCTAATATTTGTAGTGATATCTGCTTTAAAACATAAAAATTACTCATCTATTCTTCTAATCTTTAAACAGTATGGGTAACAATATTAATTATTGGACTCTAGACAATCCTGCAACTTCCTTTATCAGGTAAAAAAAACGTTTTCTATTGTGTGCATTCATAGCAGTAGAATTGCTATGTGAAACCATGTGCCTTGTAAACATATTAAAAAGAGCTTCATGGAGGTATAGTTCACAAACCACAGAACTCTCTTAAGGGTACAATTCAATAACATTTGGCAGATTTACGGAGTCCTGAGAACATCACCTGAGTCCAGATGTTTACCCATTCAGTGGCTACTATGAAATTATTCTTTAGCTGTACTGTACTAATTGATTCTCTCGGCAATAGGAGGTGAGACTGCCTCTCTGCCCCTATAGGCAAGGACGACAATATTCTCGATCTGAAATCTTTGCAAATATGAGAAGGGGAAAGCAGTCTCATCGTTCACTTGGAATTATTAAGGATCTTAATGAGATTACAGCAGGTTTCCTTTCTTAGACCTACTTATACATTAGGAAAATTTACCGCTATCTCTATGGTAGGAAAATTAGATTTGTAATAGGAAAGTTTGTATGTGACGTCCTTGTAGTATTTCCTCTGATACCATCTTTTTTCTTTGCTTTATGTCTTTCATTCTTTTACAGCCTTATTGAGATATAAGTCACGTGATTCACCATGCAATTCTCCCATCTACAGGGTACAATCCAGTGGTTTTTAGATTTTTCACAGGGTTAGGCAACAATCACCACAAACAACTTTAGAACATTTTCATCACTGTAAAAGGAAGCTCCATAACCATTCATAGTCTTCCCCTTTCTCCCCGATCCCCCACTGTCCCCTCCCCCTACAACATCCAGCCCCAGGAAATCACTTATCCATTTTCTGTTTGTATATATTTGCCCATTCTGGACAGATAAAAAAGGTTCCTTCTATATAACTGTAATGATATGTCCTTTCACCAACATCTCCTCATTCCTCCATCCACCCTAACAACCCAAGCATCTGGCAGCCACCATTCTACTCTACACTGCTATGAGGTCAAATTTTTAAATTCTGCATGTGAATGAGACCATGCAGTTATTTGTGTTTATGTGACTGGCTTATTTCACTTACATATCGTTCTTCAGGTTCATCCATGTTATCCCAAATGGCAAGATTTTGTTCTGTTTTATGGCTGAATAGTATTCCATTGTGTATTTACACCACATTTCCTTTATCCACTCATCCATAGATGGACACTTAGATTGCTTTTGTTTCTTGGCTGTTGTGAATAGGGTTGCAATAAACATGGAAGTGCTGACATCTCTTTGACACACTGATGACACTCTCTTTGGATACATGCTCAGTAGAGGGATTCATGGATTCATGTGATAGTTCCATTGTTAAAATTTTGGCGACCCTCCATACTGTGTTCCATAATGGCTGTAACAATTTACATCCCACCAACCATGCATAAAGGTTCCAATTTCTCCACATCCTTGTCAACACTTGTTATCTCTTGTCTTTTTAATGTTAGCCACTCTTACATGTGTTAGGCAGTATCTCTGTGGTTTTGATTTGCATTGCCCTGATGATTAGAGAAGGTGAGGATTTTTTTATGCTCATTGTCCATTTGTATGTCTCATTTTGAGAAATGTCTATTCAGGTCTTTTGCTCATTTTTAATAGGATTATTTTTTTTCTTGCTATTGAGTTGGAGTTACTCATACATTTTATAAACTGACCCCTTACTAGATGTATAGATTGTCAATGTTTTTCCTATCCTGTAGATTGTCTCTCCACTCTTTGATCATTTCCTTTGTGGTGCAGAACCTTTTTAGTTCAATGTAATCCCATTTGTGTGTTTTTCCTTTTGTTGTCTTTACTTTGGAGGTCCTATTTTTAAAATTGTTGCCCAGAACAATGTCATGGAGCTTTTCTCCCTATGTATCCTTCTAGTAGTTTCATAGCTTTGGGTCTTCCTTTTAAAGCTTTAAATCATTTTGAGTTGATTTACATACATGCTGAGAGATAAGGGTGGAAATTCATTTTTCTCAGATGAATATCCAGTTATTTTCAACATCATTTATTGAAGAGGCTGTACTTTCTCAAGATTGTGTGTTCCTGGGCCTTTTGTCGAAAATCAGTTGACTGTAAAAGCACGGATTTCATTCCAGTCTGTGTATTCTGCTCCATTGGTTGAAGTATATGCTTTTATACTGGTACCAAGCTGTTATGCTTACTGTAGCTTTGTCATATGTTTTGACATCAAGTAGTATGGTGCCTCCAGCTTTGTTCTTTGTATTCCAGACTGCTTCAGGTATCTGGAATCTTTCACGGTTCCATACAAATTTTAGTAGTGCTTCATCTATTTCCAAGAAGAATGTCATTGGTATTTTTTTAGCAGTTGTATTGGATCTGTAGATTGCTTTAGGTTATGGACACTTTAACAATATTTATTCTTTCTGTCCATGAACACATGATATATTTCCATTCATTCCTGCCTCATTCAATTTCCTTTGTCAATGGTTTATTGTTTTCAGTGTTGCAATCCTTCACCTTCTTGGTTAAATTTATTCCTATTCTATTTTTTGAATTTTCTGTAAATGGGATTGTTTCTTGATATCTTTCTCGGATAGTTCATTATTGGTGTATAGAAACGCTACTGATTCTTGCATGTTGGTTGTGTGTCATGCCACTTTCCTGAATTTGTTTATTAGACCTAGTAGCTGTTTGGTGGTGTCTTCAGGGTTATTTATATGTAAGAACTTCCAGTCTGCAAACAGGGCCAATCTAAATTCTTCCTTTTGAATTTAGATGCCTTTTGTTTCTTCTTGTCTAATTTCTCTGGCCAGCACTTCCAGAACTATGTGCGATAGAATGGGCAAAAGTGGGCTTTCTGTCTTGTTCTAGGTCTTACAGGAAAAGCCTGCAACATTTCCCCATTCAGTATGACATTACCTGTGGGTTTATCATATACAACCTTTATTGTGTTGAGGTGCACTCATCCTATACCTAATTTGTGGAGCTTTTATCAAGTAGGGATGTGGAATTTGGTTAAATGCTTTTACTGCTTAAATTGGAATGATCCTATGGCTTTTGTGCTTCATTCTGTTCATGCGATATGTCACATTTATTGATTTGTGTATGTTGAAACTTCCTTACATCCCAGGGATGAATCCCTCTAGATCACGGTGAATGATGTTTTTAATGTGCTGTTGAATTTGGTTTACTAATACTTTCTTAAAGATTTTCGCAACTATGTTCATCAGGAATTTTGGCACTTCTTTTTTTTCAGTTTTCTCTTCTTTGTGTTTCTTTGTCTGGGTTTTCTAGCAGGGTAATATGATGTGATAGAATGCATTTGGATGTGTTCCTTTCTTGTCTGTTTTTTTGAAAGAGTTTTAAAAGTATAGCTATTAATTCTTCTTCTTTATATAGAAATTTTGGTAGTATTAGGAAGGGAAGCCATTCTCTCTTAGACTTTTCATTGATGGGGGATTTTTTTTTATTACTGAATCACCTTCCTTACTTGTTAATTGTCTGAACAGATTTTCCATTTCTTCACTATTACATCTCGGTAGGCTGTATGTGTCCAGGAATGTATCCATTTCTTCTAGCTTGTCCTATTTGTAGGCAGATGATTGTTACAATAGTCCTTATGATCCGTTTTATTTTGGTGATGTCAGTTGTACTATCTCCTTTTTCATCTTTGATTTTATTTACTTGAATATTCTCCCTTTTTTCTTTTAGTCTAGCTAAAATTTTGTTGATTTGGTTTACCTCTTCAAGAAAACAACTGATTGTTTCATTGATATTTGTATTGTTCTTCTCATGTCTATTTGATTGATTTCTGCTCTTACGTTTATGATTTCTGTCCTCCTACTTTGGATTGCATTTTTTTCTTTTTTTTTCTAGTTATTCAAGGTGGAGTGTGAGGTTGTTTATTTAAGATGTATCTTTTCTTTTGAGGTAGGCTTTATTGATGTAAACTTCACTTTTAGAATTGCTTTTGCTGTATTTCATGGGTTTTTGTATGTTGTGCCTTCAGTTTCCTTCATCTCAAGAAATGTTAACACTTCGCTTTTAATTTCCTCATTGACCCATTAGTTATTTAAGAGCATGTTGTTTAATTTCCATCCACTTCTAAAGTTTCCAAAGTTCCTAATTTTATTCACTTCTAGTATTTTACTATTGTGGTTAGAGAAGTGATTTGATATTGTTTCAAATTCCTTTAATTTCCTAAGACCTTTTTTATGACCTGTGGGCAGCAAGCCACCCAGGTGCCGAGGCAAGAGACCGAGCACGAGCTGTTCCAGTATAATAAAATATAAAACAAGAATAGTTATGCCAGATATAGATCTTAGATATGATTATATATGAATATCATTAATCATTAGTTTGTAGCAATTACTCTTTATTCCAATATTATAATAATCCTCGCTCTATAACCATAACCTAGGAAAAACCAGGCCATACACAGATAGGAGCTGAGAGGACACAGTGAGAAGTGACCAGAAGACAAGAGTGTGAGCCTTCTGTTATGCCCAGACAGGGCCACCAGAGGGCTCCTTGGTCTAGTGGTAACGCCAGCGTCTGGGAAGACGCCCGTTGCCAGGCGGACCGTGGTCTAGTGGTAGCCTCAGTGTCAAGGAAAAACACCGGCTACTTAGCGGACCGGGAAAGGGAGTCTCCCTTTCCCCCGGGGAGTTTAGAGAAGACTGTACTCCTCCACCTGTTGTGGAGGGCCTGACAGTAGTTGGGCTCAACTGCAGTTATCCGGAGGCCTAACCGTCTCCCTGCGATGCTGTGCTTCAGTGGTCACACTCCTAGTCCGCCTTCATGTTCCATCCTGTACACCTGGCTCTGCCTTCTAGATAGCAGTAGCAAAATTAGTGAAAGTACTAAAAGTCTCTAATAAGCAGAAATAATGGTGTAAGTTGTTTCTCTCTTTGTCTCCTCTCTCTCTCTCTGCCTCGGCCGCCAGGCAGGGAAGGGCCCCCTGTCCAGTGGACACGTGACCCACGTGGCCTTACCTATGATTGGAGATGGCTCACTCTCCTTATCTTGCCCCTTTGTCTTGTATCCAATAAATATCAGTGCAGCCTGGCATTTGGGGCCACTACCGGTCTCCGCAACTTGGTGGTAGTGGTCTCCCGGGCCCAGCTGCCTTTTCTTTTATCTCTTTGTCTTGTGTCTTTATTTCTACACTCTCTCGTCTCCACACACGGGGAGAGACCCACCGACCCTGTGGAGCTGGACCCTACAATGACCTTCCACATAATCTATCCTCCAGTATGTTCCACATGCAGTTGGAAAGAATACGTGTTTTGCAGTATTTGGACGGAATGTTCTGTAATGACTGTTAGGTCCATTTGGTCTGGAGTGCAGATAAACCCGACTTTTTGGGGGGTCAATGTTCTTTCAGGACAATCTGTTCATTGCTGCAAGTTGGGTATTGAAGTCCCCTAATATTATTGCATTGCACTCTATCTCACCATTTAGACCTTGATATTGGCTTCATATATTTAGGTGCTGCTATGTTGGGTGCATATTTTTGGAAATCATTATATCCTTTTCATGAATTGACCCCTTCACCATTATATAATGACCTTCTTGGTCTCTTTTTACAGTTTGTGATTTAAACCCTATTTTATTTGAAGTCAGTTTAGCTGCTCCTGTTCTCTTTTGGTTTCCCTTTACATGGAAGAATATCTTTTTTCATGTCTTCACTTTCAGTTTACGAATGTCCTTAAAGGAGAAGTGGGTCTCTCATAGGTTTGGTTGCTGTTGTTGTTTAAATCCATTCAGCTACTCTGTGTATTTTAGTTGAAGAATGTCATCCATTTCTATCAAGTTAATTATTGATAGGTAAGGATATACTGTTGTCATTTAGATAACATTTTTCTATCTATTTGGTAGGTAATTTCTTCCTTTCTTCCTCTTTTACTGTTTTCCTTGATGGATAAGAGATTTTTCTCTATTAGTATGTTTTGTTTTCTTTATTTGTTTTAATGTGTCTATTACAGGATTTTTTCTTTGTGGTAAGCATGAGGCTTACAAAAACATAATCACGGCAGTTTATTTTACTGATAACATAACTTTGATCACAAAATACAAACACTGTACCATTTAACTCCACCCCCAGATTTTGAGTTCTCTATTTTACACTTTACAACTTATTACATTTTATATCCTTCAACAAATTATTGCAATTATTTTATTTTTACTAGTTCAGTTCTCTATCTGTTACATGAAAGATATAAGTGATCTGGAAACCACCATTACCTTATTAGAGTATTCTGAATTTGTGTAGTTACGTTTACTGGTGAGTTTTATACCTTCAGATGTTTTTGCGTTACTCATTAGCGTCCCTTATGTCAGTTGGAAGAACTCTCCCTAGCATTTCTTGTAAGACAGTTGTGGTGATGAGGAAGTTTCTCAGCTGTGATTTCTCTGTAAAAGTCTTTATCTCCCCTTCACTTCTGGGTACATTATTCTTGGTTAGAGATTTTTTTTCCTTGAGTTCCTTACATATACTATACTACTCTTTCCTGGCCTATTCCGCTTCTGCTGAGAAGTCTTCTGGTAGGCATATTAGAAGTGCCTTGTATACGATTCGCTTCTTTCCTCTTGCTGCTTTCAGGATCCTCTCATTCTCTTTCAACTTTGACAGTTTGATGTTAATATGTCGTGGGGTAATCTTATTTGGATTGCATCTGAATGCAGAACTTTGGTCGTCCAGTACCCAGATGTTTGTAACTTTCTGTGGGTTTAGTTGGCTCTCCATTATTATTTTTTAAATAATCTTTCTACCACTTTTTCAATCTCTCCTCCCTCTTGAATGTGAGAGATTCATACTATTGCTCTGCTGATAATTGTCCCAGAAATTCAGTAAGTTTTTATTTTCATTTCGTGTCCTTCCTTTTTCTTTTGTCTCCTCTGACTGTATATTTTCAATGAAGCTGTCTCCAAGTTTACAGATTCTTTCTTTTGCTCAATCAATTGTCCTCTGGATGTTCTCTATTGTGTATTTCCTTCATTGTGTTTTTTGATTTCAGGATTTGTTTGGATTTTTAAATTCCTTCAATCTTTCTCTCAAATTCCTCTGTTAAATTCTGAATCATTTCTCTGTAATTGTTTTCAAGGTTCACAGAGCATGCTGAAAATAGATATTTTGAATTATTTATTAAACAACTCATACATTCCTATCTCTCTAGGGTCAATTACTGGCACCTTGTTTTGTCAGTTTGGTGATGTCATGTTTTCCTTATTGTTCTTCATCTTTGTGATCATGTGTTTATATCTGGGTATTGATGAAGTAGGTATTCATTTTAGTCTTTACAGTCTAGCTTTTGGGGGACATCCTTTGGCACTAAGCCTGTCCAGAAACTCTATATAGGTCTCTTTTGGTCCTTATGCTTGTGAACGCTACAGCTATTGAAGCACTAGGGAGCTTCCTAATCACAGGGACACAGCAACAGATGCCGCAATGGCATGCAATCCCTTAGCTATTGAGGCTGGTGCCTTGCGAGACTGGAATCCAAGGCTCCACTCATTCACTGAGGACTCACTGTTGCTGTAGATTATTCTGAGCATAAGTCCACTGGAATAACTCAGCAGAGACTTGGGCCAGATATTGGGTTTGTTTTGCTATGGCTGCAGCTTCCTGTCGGGTGCCAGGATGAGTCTAGAGACTCTGTCCACAAGTACCATTTTGGAGTCAGGGGCCATGGGCGTCTGTCAAGTGATGGCGTATATGTGTGACAGGCCTGATATTAGGTTCCCAGGCAATGTCCTATGCTTGCTACTCTCTCTCTCCTCCGGGTGGATGGTATCTCTCTCCATGCTGTGCTGTTGAAGGTTGGGGAAGGGGTGGTATGGGTAATGTAAAACTGTCTTTACTACCCTCTTCAATGCATCTTTTCTTATTTTCATGCTATAACTGGGTACCGTGGTCTCTCACCTGGTTTCCTTCTCTGAAGTGATGGTATTTTCATACAAGGATAGTTTTTCACATTGATGTTTCTACAGGAGGACAATCACTGGAGAGTCCCATTTCTCCATCTTGCTCCCCTCCTCCTCCATCTGTTTAATTTTTACCTACTATAAATATGTCCATCTTGTCCATGTGACTTCTGGGCTCAGGAAGTTTCCTTAGGCTAATTCTAACACACAATTTACACTAGTATTCACTTAGCTTTTCTTCTGAAAGTCATTCATTTATTTACATCTAAAGATACAGTCAGCCTGGGTTTGCTTTCCGTGTGTAGGACTGAGAGAAGGATGGGTGTCTTGTTTCACTACTGGCTATTTAGTTGCCCTGAACATTAATTGGATAATCCACTTAGCCCCCATTTTGTTGAAATGCCACTTCTGTCGTACAACACATTATTGCAAACATTTGAATATGTCTGTACCTGCTATTGTGTTGGTGGTATTTGCAAGGCATAAGAGACAGAGTTGGGAGCCACGAAACATGGGCAAAGCTTTAGTCTGCATATGTCTGTGAGTTGGCGTGGAGTCAAGGAACAGAGAGGTCCGAGGGTGCTGTGGATCATCCACTGCGATACTGACGGAAGTGGTGATAGATATGTGGATGGGAGGCTAATGCTTCATTCCTTCATGACAGTAAGTGAGGGGAAAATAAACATCAGGTTGGTATTGACAGTTGGAAAGACACCAGTTGAGAAATGGGAATAGCAGCAAAGTAGGCTATTTTTAAAACCATGAAAAATGCTTTATAACTCAGTGGCTCAAGTTTCCATTAGAAGTCTCTGATCAGCAAATTCCAACCCTAGGAGTTTATCCTATAGTTAAGTCAGGCAAGTAGTCCAAATGCTATGACACAAGTGAAATGTCCAATTATGTGAAATTGGGTTAGTAAATTACGGCACATCCATTAATTGGGATTCCCTATGACTCTTTCCGTCCTCTCTTGTTATTTAAAAACTTTTGTGCTCATTTAATGTGATATTTTAATACTAAATACAATGCTAATTTACTCTTAGAACAGGCATACATATATGGCACAGACAAAAACATAAGAATCAGTGTTACTGCCAAAATGTAGTCCCTGGTGATCTCTTAGTAATGGAATATGGATTATGGGGTAACCGCCTTTTGCTGTCTGCTTATCTGTTTTTTTCCTTACTTTTAGTACAATGAACTTGCATTATTTTTGTAAGTTTTAAGGATTATAAAAGAAGGACTATTACACTTCCAATAAGGAAAAAGGTTTGTATGCCTCTCTATTGTAGATAAAGTAAAGCCCTAATTTGACTTGGTTATTGAAACTCCCCCAGTTGAGGTTATTGTTTCAACTTTATCTCATGCTTCTCTCTCCTAGGCCTGGATCTCGGATGTTAGGGTTTTGCTCCCTAGGCTCCTAAATTCTGTTGTATTTCCTCTCTGTCTCCCTGCTCCTCTACCCCTGTTTACAATGTTACACCTCTATCTTCTTTCACAACCCAGCACTAGTCTGACTTCCCCCAAGCAATGCTCCTATTTTCTCCGTGTCTGAAATGTTCTCCATCTAGATGATTCACAGAAACCATCTTTGAACTAGTTTTTTATCTTTCATCACAATCTGCTTATGACTACATATCTTTCCACTTTACTATCATTTCACTGTGAATTTCTGCAGGCGAAGGAAGGTTTTTTTTAATCTTGGAATCTAATGGTACAAGGACATTAAACTTGGGTATGCAATTAATGTTTTGGGATACATTTCACAATTCTTGAAGCACGCACATGACTTTTACTGTCATCTCAAGTCAATGGTCCATTTATCAAGTGAACTACATTCTCCAGTGTTTAGGATGGCTGTTGAAAATATTTTCAAATACAAGTGTTTTAATCATGTAAGTTCTCGTGTTTAAATTTGTATTGTTTTTGAAGTAACTCTTTCCTAAGTCTTACAGGTGGATGTTGTGCCTCGCCATCTTTATGGTGCTGGACCCTCAGACTCAGGAACCAGAGTTTTAATTGGATGTGTTACTTCTATATGTGAAGACATTATTTATATTAGTAACTGCATTTATTTCTTCATAGACATTGTTTCTGAAGGTACGATTTACATTTTGAGATATATGATGTAATTCTTAATTTTTTGAGAGGATTTTAATCCTAGAACAACTCTTACAGTGTACTTGGCTTCAGTCAATGGCTCTTCAATGTTAGAGGTAGACCTTTCCAGTTGAAAATATGTACAATATAGGGGCAAATAGGCAGTATTATAAAATGTCTGCTGTCGTCTATTGTGTGTTCATTTGTTCAATGCCCTCAGTAATGCCTGGATATATTTTTCATTCACATAAGAATTTAATTTCTAATCATGGAAACAATCCTACAAGTACACAGAGACACTATTTTTAATACCCTTCAAAGACTATACTTGCAGGGATCATTTCTGTAGTTGGTTACTAGAGAAGTTTCTTGTCTGTAGTTGGTTATTAGAGATATGTACCTAATTTTAAAAGATCTGTACCTAATTTTAAAATACACTTCAAATGCTTCACATGTGAGATTGGAGATAGCGCCTTTTGGCTCTGTGTGTGTGTGTGTGTGTGTGTGTGTTGTTGAATTCTCTTTGTAATCAGCAGATGTGATCTAATATTTAGCTTATACCCAAAGATACACTTTTTTGTGTTATTTTTGTCTATTGCAGCTGCCATATAGCTTGGGTAAAAAAGGGGAGATTAGCTCCGCTTCCCCAGGCAGCTTACTAGTTTGTTTTCTTGGGTGCAAAAGCAGGATTCTGACCTGAATTTTGTTTAAAGATGTTGACTCTGCTTTGTCGAGAAGGGACTATGAGGGGAAGGGTGGAGTCAGGAAAACGTTGTAATATTCCTGGTGAGAGATGATGGAGATGTGAATGAAAATGGAGAAGTGGAGAACCTGAGGATTGAGTTGACTCTGGATATATTTTGAAGTTAGAGAAGAACCCAGGAGGTAATGGATTAGATCTTTGATGTGGAGAAAAGATGAGTCCAAGGTACCTCCAAAGTTTTTGGTTTGAGCAGTGGTGAGGGTGGAGTTGCCAGTTGTGATATAGACGACTGAGGCAAACAAAAGTTGGTGAATACGGAGAATACCAACAACTCAGCTTTACACACGTTAGATTGGTGTAAGCATATGGATAATTGACCCTGAGGTTGGTTAGAGCTGGAGGCATATACATTTTGGAGTTATTGGCCCATAGATATACAGTAAACCCACACAAAAGAAATGTATGTAAATTAACAGAGACAGAGACAGAGAGAGAGAGAAAGAGAGAAGAGTTCTAACCCTGTGTCTTGTATCAGTCTACAATGCTGGGTCCTAAGGTGAATAAATGTTTCACTTTGTTGATATTGCTAGTTTTCTGGAGTCATTGTGGCAACTTAGTGTCTCAGTTGCAGTTGGGATTTCCATTTGCTCCACATTCTTTCATGTACCTTTGTTATCCTGTGACTCACTTTTAACTTACTGTAAACTTCTGTTTGAAACTCAGTGGTCTTAACTGTAACCTGTAAGGCACATACTTAAGAGTTCATCAGCGGAACACAACACCAGGGGAAATTGATTCATTCTGAAAGTAACAACATTTCCTAGTGGTACTGCTACCACTACTACCAATCAACAGATATTTTGTGGTTGCTATGCGCCAGCGATGATTCTGTGCGTATCGCACATATCAACTAATTCTCACAGCAGCTGTGTATCATGAAGGCGACTTATCGTGCTTCTCATTTTATAGATGAAGAAAACGAGGCACAGAGAAGTTAAGCACCTTGGCTAAGGTTGCAAACTGAGTGAGTGGCAGTGTCAAGATTCGAACGCACATGGCCAGGTTCAAACTTGTGCTCTTACCTACACGTTTGACTGCCTCTCACTAAGGAGTTGGAACACAAACAGTTGTTTAGTAAAACATGTGCTGCTCCATCAGATTGGCTGTGATGCACTGTTCACACTTTGCTCCATTTAAATTTGTTAAATCAGTAGAGGAGAATCAATGCCTAAGGATTAAAACTTTTTGAACTTAGAGATTTACAGTGTGTCTGTTTAAATATGCACAAAATGGACTTTAGATTTAGCAGAACTGACTTTAAAGTAGTACACTATCAAATAACATGTGAAATTAAACCTGACCTAGTTAAGAGATCATGACACTCACATTTCTCCATGGCTGTTTTAGATTTTGTGCCTTATAAAGGTAACTGGTTAAAAGTTGAATATTCCACTGAACCAGGCTTCTCAAACTTCAAGGCAAGCTCTGTGAAGTCCACCCATTGCATTCATGCGGAAGCGGTAATTACTTTCCTGTTGCTCCCACCATAAGTTTCTGCGAACCCTTCCTTTGGTGGTAACTTTCGTGCCCAGGATTCTGTTGGGTGTAATGGGAATTCCAGAAAATATGAAGAAATACATTCTTTGCCAACAAAGGAGCCACTTTTCTTATTGAAAAGGCAGAATTTTCCAAAGGAAATAATTAGAAAATTATATAGAACAAGCACATGATTAAGTTCTAAATTGTGCATTTTACTCGATACCCAAATGTTATTAGAATCTTCCAAGGACAGGAGGAAGAAAAACAATCTTTGTGCCAGAAAACTATAGGGAAAGAATGAACGGAGTGTGTTGTGGGACTTGAGCTGACCAGTAGATGCTAAGAATGATTTGGTTATTAAAGCCTGAATATGCACAGGCAATTCAAGGCAACAGAGGGTAATGGACATATTTTGGTAATATTTAGAGCAGGATTTCTCATCAGAGACCCAGGCCTCATTCCCAGAGAGTCTGATTTAATTGGTCTGAGGTGGAGCGTGGACATGGGTATCCTTACAAAGCACCCCTGGTGTTAGCAATGGGCCAACCAGGTTGGAAATCAATGATTTGCATCGAAGTGACCTGCACTCATGCAGGACCCAGGGTGAGGAGGTGCAAAGCTGGTTACAGTGCTTATTGGGCTTTTCCATAATCATTTCCATTATTTATACTCACAGGTCTGCATTACTAGCGTACATGGAAGAAATGGGGTGATAGATTATACTATTTTTTTCACCTTGGATTCTGTGAAACTTCCTGATGGATACGTACCTCAAGTAGATGATATCGTCAATGTGGTCATGGTGGAGAGCATTCAGTTCTGCTTTATTTGGAGAGCGATTTCTATCACCCCAGTGCATAAATCGTAATGACAAAGCATTTTTATTCTGTTTATCTTTCCTTTTATGAGCAGTAAAGGGGCTGGTTTAACTTAAAAGGTTAGCTTAGTAAGCCTAAATAGTATTTTATATATGACTTTTCTGGCAAATCTAATTGAGACACTGGCCAGTCCAACTGGACCAGGAACCCAGCTTAGGGAAATAACTTATTAATTAAAAAGCATGCTAAATTAGCTTGCTAGTCACTGGAGGAAAGGAGTTCTTAATTAAAATGAACACGGCCATTAAATTTGAATTCCATATTTCCCATTAGCAGCAGCGGATTCCAGGATGACGGAGGCCTGGGACGGCCCAAAAGGGAACGTCGGAGCCAAAGCATTTAACTGAAAAGGCATCAGGGACAGCATGTTAAAGGCATGATTTAAAGTTACAATTTGACTTCAGTTTTGAGCCCCGTTATGCTGCCTGTACAACCTGTATTGTTCCATAGCCTCTTTCATCTTCTGTCACCCACATAACTTGCGGTGTTTGTTGTTTTACTTGTTCCTTCTTCCCCATGCTAGAATGTAAACTCCACAATGGCAGGATGTCTTTTAATCTGGTTTTTTTTTTTCTTTTTTCTTTCTTTTTTTTTTTCTGTTGTCATTAAAGCATCACCAAGCACTTAGAAGAGTGCCTGGCAGACTCAATGAGCAGATAAAATGTTATTAAGTTCAATGACTGAATGACTGGGCCAGCAATGATACTTACCTGTGGTTCATTCATCACTGGTTCCTTAGGAATAAAATTGTTGAGCAATGCACTAAGACCTCTCTGTTGATTTTTAAACAACACCAACAACCATAGAAAGTCGACTCTGCTGTACATGAGCCTCTGTGAGCCACTTTGTTGCAGGGGTGCAGCTCATGTGAAGTCACGAAGAAACGTACAAACACAGAGCCCCTTGAGGGAAGGACAAGCTGCTTACCCACTGGGAAAGGTTATACTAAAATCCCACAAGTAAACTCCAGGAAACTTCATGCTTTCTTCTAATAGAATATTTAACCAGGTAGCTGTGACCTAGGGGAAGGGATATATTCAGACCTTTGGGCATAGCTTGAGTGTCGTTGTAAACTTACCCTGAGTCCTGTGATTCATAATTCCACCATTACCACCGGTCCTTGAATAAACAGAGTTGTGTTTTGACTTTCCACTACAGATCCAGTGAGACCTCTCAGTTATCCAGGGATTTGTTTCCCGCTTGATAGAAACAGTGAAGGTCTTGTAAAGTTCCCATTTTCACTCACTGGTTCACTCCACAAAATCCTACTGATTCTCTTTGATGTGCCAGGCACTGTTGAGGCTCTAGAGTTATATCCTTAACCAAAAGGACAAAATTCCAGGCCCTAATGGAATTGTGTTCTTTCAATGCCCCAACCCCACCCCCCCGGCACCCCCACCGTCCTCGGCTTCCTGACCCATGCAGCAGTAGCTCCTATGATTGAAAGGGGTAAGTGGGAGCTGTGGCAACACCAGGTCCCTGTGAATGTCGTCATTCAAAAGCAACCCCACACCCTGTGGAATTACAGAGCAGTCCACGTTGGACTTGAGAGATGCAAGGGTCATGACTTTCACTACCTCCCCATTTAATTCTGCAGTTTGTTTGATGTGGAAGAATGTTCTTTGGGAGTTACAATGTATTATGATAAGCCCAATCAGCTGATGATTCAGTCACAGCCACTGTTTCACAAACTTCCTCACAGGACTGAAGATCACCTGGGAGGCAGCAGTTCAGCTGGGCAGTGGGGCAGGGATTGGATACATTTCCTCTATCTTCTTTCAAATAGCAAAGCCCAGAACTGCTTTGCTTTCATAAGGCAGACCAAGCGGTTCATTTTGAATATTTTGCCTCAGGGATGTGTTATGCCAAGGCTCTTTCCCACAATTGATAATGAATGGTCCTTGATCATCTCACCCCCATCACACCTGTGTCCCTAAATGGATGACCTCACGGCACAAGGACGGAAGGACTCAGGGACTAGGAAATAGTAGACTGTGTCAGAAACGTGCTTTCCCCACGTACAAAAGATTTGGATTGAAAATACAGGGACCTGTCACCACGAGTTTCTGGGGCGCCAGTGTTCTGCCACGGAGCTTCCAACTGCCCCATGCCGTGAAGGCGTTGCAGATGTGCTGATATCAGATGCCTCTCAGCTCATTTAGTGATACATGCAATGAAGAAAATGAAATAAGATAATGATCTTTAGCCGGGTTTGGCAAACTATGGCCCTTCTGCCAATTCTGGCCTGATGCCTGCAATGATTCTAAAACATAAAGTTATACTTAGGTACCCGGAGCCTAATCATGGCCCAATAGATTGAACCTAGTGTTCTCGCTGTCATGATAATGCATACTGTTAATCAAAGGGGTACATTGAAGCCTCTCATCGTGATTGTGGTTTCATCCTCTAACCACCTGTAGCTTTCAGAGGTTCTGGTTTGTCATTTCACTCCTCTTGTGAGATGCATAAATCTTTAACTGTACATCTGCCAAAGGGATATACTCTGTGAATGTAAACAACCCCTCTTTGTTATGCTTAGGGTGTAGTTCTCTGTTTTGTCAAAATTTCAAATTCTACTTAATCAGCCCTATTTAGAAGGATCCCTGTTCCCTTGGTGTTGGAGAATATGATGTTTTGAATTGAAGCTCTTATTTCTGTTGGCAAACTTGAGGTTGCACGTAAACCTCCAGTATCCAGCCCAGGAATACAGAGTTTATTCCATGTTTTCCTCTCTTTCCACCTTTCCATGTGTATTGTTTCCTTCTCAGCTTTGGGGAACCCTACCTTCCATTATCCTCTGTGTATTTACTTCTTTGCACAATCCTACCGTATATGCTCTCCTACTGTGGACAGCCTTCCATCTGTTCTCTAACTCCCTCTTCTCATGCACCCTGGCTTGCAGGAGGCCTCCTTGGAACCATTTTTTGGCAGGCTCCATGCCTGCCTTCCTAAACTTGGGTGCCCTGCTCTACAGGGATGGGAGGGCTAGAGAAAAAGGCTCTCTGTTGCCTTTGGAACTGCTCACAGAACTGGCTTTTAGTCACCATTTCATTGTAATAGTCACCTAGGACAGCCTGGGTTAAATGCTTCATGAGTTTCTTTCCAGAGCTGCTGGCCTGGCCAGAAGAGTGAAGGGTTGGGGTTGGTTAAGGACTATCAGTCTAAACATCCATAACTGAGGACTCAGATCAGTTAGCACTCTTGTTGGTCTCATAAGGGGGAGGAAAAGAGTTCACCCTGCTGGGGCAACGTCATCCTACCGTGGTTTCACTTTCTAAGAGCATTGCCCCAGTCGACCCTAAATGAGGTGAATTAGAAACTTCATTCCCCAAATCCTCTGCATAGTTGAAGGCCTACTGTATATACAAAGGGTGAAAAGCATAACCTTATTGTTGAAGTTCCATTGAAAGAAAACAAAAGGTGGCCAGGTGCATGGCTCACACCTGTAATCCCAGCATTTTGGGAGACCGAGTTGGGTGGATCAACTGAGGTCAAGAGTTTGAGACCAGCCTGACCAACATGGTGAAACCTTGTCTCTACTAAAAATGCCAAAAAATTTAGGGAGTCGTGGTGGCGCGCGCCTGTAGTCCCACCTACTTGAGGTGGCTGAGGCAGGAGAATCCTTTGAACCCAGGAGCCCGAGGTTGCAGTGAGCCAAGATCCTGCCACTGCACTGCAGCCTGGGCGACATAGGGAGACTCCATCTCGAAAAAAAAAAAAAAAAAAAGATAAAAAAGAAAAGGAAAGGAAACAAAAGGAAAGGTACAAGCTATTTTGACAGCATAAAGAACATACTTCACAGTGGTTAGGAGGACTGAACATCTGTGTTCCCCAAAAATTCCTTTGTTGAAGCCGTAATCCCCAATGTGATCATATATGGAGGAGGGGCATTTGGGAGGCTGTCAGGCTTAGATGGGGTCATGAGACTAGAGCCCCATAATGGGATTTGTATCCTTAGAAGAAGAGGAAAAGAAGCCAGCATTTGCTTCCACTCCTCCATTGGAGGAAACAGCCAGAAGTTGACAATCTTCGATCCAGAAAGAGGGCCCTTGCCCCGAACCAAATCAGTCAGCACCTTATTCTTGGACCTGCCAGCCTCCAGAACTGTGCAATATAAATTTCCGTGGTATCGTGTTATAGCAGACCAAGCTAAGACAACAGAGAGCTAACATTGACATTCTGTAACAAATAAAAGCCATCCATACACTCATTGTGTTTTCAAAAACAAAGATATGGATTGGGAAAACTCCCATCACATGAGGATCCCAAAATTCCCATGGATGGGAATTGTCCCCATCCATTAAATCATAATGAATAATACATGTATTGATACATGTCATCTAAACCTTGTCACTCTATTCTGATAGAAATGTTTGTCTAAACACTAGTCCAGTGTTTATTTACACTTATTTCCAGTGTAGCTTTTGTAATGGAAGGAGTAACATTTTACTCCATGGTGCAATTCATGTACACAAGGGAGGCTGAGTCACTGACATGCAAGAGAACCCAACTTATTGGCCTATAATCGTTATAAGTTTCTGCTGTGGTCACACTCCTGGGGACAGGTTGCAAAGCCAGGAAAAAGTTGAGTTGAGCCGGGATCTAGTGTCTTCAAAACTACAGCTCTTACATTTACAGCCAGCTGCAACATAATTCTGAATGAGGCCCAATACTGTTTAGGTAGATGCACAAAGCAAAGCAAAGTAGTCAGATTTGGTGTGAATTGCCTTAAAACCAGATCCTTTCTCAGGTTGCTGGAATGGTTCAGGATCTTACCCTTTTCTGATTCAACTAATTGCTGTGGTATTTATTGAGAACCTACCATGTGCCCAGCACTGTTCTAGATGCTGAAGGCCCAGCAGATGGAAAAAGCAACCACGAACAAAAGCTCTGCAGTCATGAAGCTGACATACAAGTGGGAAGAGACCGACAATAAATACTCTGATAAGCATATGAATAAGTAAGAATTTCCGTCTAGCAGTTAGTGACAGAAAGAAATGTAAGCAGGTGATTCTGATAAGAGGTTTTTGATGGCAGTGACCACGAACAGATGGTTTTCAATATTTTCAGTCGGAGTCAGTTTCCCTGATTTGAGAGTGAAACATGCAGGTCACTAGAAGCCAAGAAGGCGAATCACATGGTTATATCTTTGCTGGAATCTGGCACTGAATGATTGCTTCATGGATACTTGTGAAGGTGTGCATTTTGTTCATGGGAGACAGTTAAAATGTGAGAAGGTTTAATGGGGTGCATGGCATCCTTGTTCAGAATTGCTGTTAATCTACTTTGTGTCCAGCCCTTGTATATGCCAAGCACTGGGCTAAGGGCCTTGGGACACACACGTCATTTAATGCTCACAAAGAATCCTATGAAAGAAGTCCCAGTAGCGTCGTGTCCATTCAACAGCCAAGTCAGGGACACAAACAGGAAAGAGGGGGCGCACAGCTGCTCTGTGGCCCAGTGGAATTCATCCCCTGGCATTCAGGTCCAGCAGCCATTTCTTATCTGATGTGTTCCGGGCCTCTGGAGGCACCTCCTACCACAAAGATCATTCACAGTGTTTCCAGCAGGTTGGTATAGAAGAGCCCCTTCTTTGTTCTGCAGTATTCTCTCAGCAGGGACCTGTCTTCCTGGTGCTGGAATCTACCTGTAGCTTCTCTGCCAACAGAGTTTGAACCCTGCAGAGGAGGCTGAGTCTGACTTAGTGAAGTTTGCCAGAGAAGGCTATTTCTTACCTCTTTCTAAGGCGATTTCTTAGCACCAATCTCTTGCTGCAGCATCCGTTATTAGCTCTATTTGTGCCAGCAGGGACACATGGAAGGGTTTTGGGCATGTTTTCATATGTCTGAGTGGCTGCTGTCTCTTTGGTTCTTTCTGCTTTCTTCTGTGCCATGATGGAAACTAAAACATTTGACCCAGTGACTTTTTTTTCAATCATTCTTTAGAGGTGGTGAGACTACAGGTATGTTTTCAAAGGATTGATAGTTTTTGCTGATGGATGGCGTGAAGAGTGTAAAGAAAATGGAGAAAACTAAGGGTTATGGCAGGGATATGATGTTAACCCACTGTGTGAACTGAGCTGACATCGTCTGAGACGGAGAAGTTTTAAGGAGGTGCAGGGGTTGAAGGAAGCTCAGGGCACGTGAAATTTTGGACACCTTACCCTTGAGTCGTCTATGGGACAACCATGTGTGTGACTCAGTATATATATGGGATTGGGAGTTACCTGCCGTTAGATGCCATGGGGCTGGCGTGTGGATAGAGAAGCCATTCAGGGCCTGGGCCCTGGAGCAGTCTCGTGGGATCCTGATAGGAGGAAGATCTCGCAAAAGAAGCCGAGAAGGAGCCTTTCTAGGAGAGGGTGGTCACACAGAAGACCGAAGAACTTATTTCAAGAAATGGGGAGTCCTCAACTCCGTCAAACACTGAGAGGTTGAGTGATGAGAGCTTAGCATATTGACCACTGGATTTGGTGACCTGGAGGTTTCCTGCCATCTTAAGAGCAAGTTAGGGGCATGATGTCGGTAAAAGCCTAATGCCAGAGGAATAAGGAGGGAATGGGAGCTCAGCAAGTGAGCAGAGGTGATTCTTGAAATAGCATTTGCTGTGGGGGACAGGATGCAGAGGAATGGGACTGAAGGGGAAATGAGGCCAAGGAAGCTTATTTATCTATGCACATTTTTAAAGATGGGAGTTACTTGTCTGTGACGTTTTTAAGATGGGTGATTCTTGTGTATGTTTGCATGTTATTCCATTAGAAGCAAAGATTCAAAAAGAATGGTTGTTGACGCAGGACGAAGAGAGACAATAGCAACAGAAGCGACATCCTCAGAGAAAATGTGTCAAGAGAATGGTTCCATGTGCTCAGTGGAGGGTCAGCCCTGGGAAGGGGCTGATATGTCCTTTCACTGTTACAAGAGAGAAGGAAGAGAAAGCCAGGATGGGTGTCAGGAGGTTCGCAGAGGAGCTCCTGTCTCACGGCCTTTGTTTTCTTTTTTAAAAAAAATTCTTATTATTTTTTGAATTGGAGTCTCGCTCTGTTCCCCAGGCTGGAGTGCAATGGCGTGATCTCGGCTCACTGCAACCTCTGCCTCCTGGGTTCTAGCGATTCTCCTGTCTCAGCCTCCTGAGTAGCTAGGATTACAGGCACACACCGTGCCCAACTAAATTTTTGTACTTTTAGTGGAGACGGGGTTTCACCATGTTGGTCAGACTGGTCTCCAACTCCTGACCTCAGGTGATCCACCTGTCTCAGCCTCCCAAAGTGCTGGGATTACAGGCGTGAGCCACGGCGCCCGGCTATGGCCTTTGTTTTCTCAGAGAAATAAGAGGAAATGTCTGCTTATCTGTGTGTCCTAATTTTTCATTGACAATCATAGAATATTGGAGTAATCAAAATGTACAAGAGCAGTTGTTGTGGGTTCAGTTTCGCCCCTAAAGAGTTATGCTCAAGTTCTAAGTCCCAATACCTGTGAATGTGACTTTATTTGGAAATAGGGTCTTTGCAAAAAAATAAAATAAAAAACGAAAAAGTCAAATTAAGATGAGGTCCCACAGCATTAGGATTGGTCATACACCACTAATCTAGTGAGTGGTGGCATTATAAGAAGAGGGATATTGGACACACAGACACACAGGTAAGAGCACCATCAGATGAAGGAGGAAGTGCTTGGAGTGATGCATCTGCAACCCAAGAAAAGCCACCAATGACTACTGGTAACCTCCAGAAACTTGTAATAGACTCTCCATCAGAGCTCACCAGAAGGAACCAACCTCACTGACAACTTGATTTCAGACTGGTAGCCTGCAGAACTGCCACAGAATAAATTTCTGTTGTCTTAAGCCGCCCAGTTGGGGTAATGTGTTTTGGCCTCCCTAGGAAATTAACACAGCTGTGTTACATTTAGAAGCATAGATAACCTCAGATTGTGGAAAATCATACTTCCTGGGGGTAATACAGTAGGATTATTGGGTAGTATTGAGTGGTCCCTGTGAAATGTGTGTCCCTATTTTGGTATGGGTCTATATAGCTGCATTTGGTGTTATAATTTATGCAGCAGAGTTCTGTTACTTGGGTGCAGGTGGAGAATAGTTGGATAGCTGGGCCTTACTAGACTCCAGTTTTGCCAGCGGAGAATGACAAAGTGAATGAAGTTTGACAGGTGATGGTGTTTGCAAAGGAGATGAAACAGAGGAGGGAGGGTTGGGGATGAGAAATGAAACTTGAGGGGAAGCCTGAGGTTTGACTGTGAGGACGAGAGGAGTCGGGGAGCAGAGAGGCCGGGGTGTCTTATGGGTCATCCACTAGGAGAGTGACACAAGTAGTGGTATAGAGAGACACAAGACCTTGGTGCACAAGACCTCAGTGAAAGCAAATACAGGGGAAATACCATGACATTGGTATGGACGGTTGTAAAGACACCAATTGTGAAGTGGTATGTGCTATGAACTAGGCTATTCAAATGAGAAACATGAAAAGTGATTTAAAACTCAATGGATTGAATCTTCATCAGAAACCTTTGAACAGGAAATTCCACTCCTAAGAGTTTATGCTGGAAACATAAATGAAGCAGGAGAATTTATTTCTCTGTGTGTGTGTGTGTGTAAGATAATAAATATACATGTTAAAATGTACATACATGCATATACACACACACATACATACATGCGTATTATGTGTCTTCATTATCAACCTATAATCAGTTGTATTCCATGTAAGCCACCTCCTCTTTTTAAGAAACATCATGAGATGTTTCAGGTCTGTACATATGAAGATGTACATATAGCCTACTTGGCCAGCCCCACTGACCCTGATACCCTGCACAGTTTGCACAGATAGGCCACAATGACCACTGCTCAGTCATAGTGTGACCTCCTGAAACATGTGTCTGCCTGCTTTAAGCCCACCAATTAAAACTCCCCACGGGAAACCCGTTTGGATAACCCCTGGGATGCGCATAAGGTTGTTGGCCCACGGGTCCCTTTCTCTCTCCCTGCCTGGGCTCCCTGCCACACATGTGTGCCCTCCAGGTGTGCCAGGTACCCTCCAGGATCGGCAAGTGATAAAATGCCTATTTCCATCTGTGTCTCTTCTAATCATTGGAGGGGTGCTCTTTACCTTAAATATCCTATATTAAAACAGGTATTCAGTCCCACAGGGGAAGAAATCTCTCCAGGGGATTCAGGCTGGGATGCAAGCAACCATAGCAGGCAGTAAGGGGCAGTGCATGAGGGTGTTTGTGCAGCATATCAAGACATGTTATGTAGATCACGACAAGCCACAAGAGGAGGTTCTTGCCAATGCACAGTGGTGTTCTAGAGAGAGACCATGCTCCCTTCTTCTTTTCATTAACTTCACTTGGATTGATGCCAGAAAGTAAACATCTGTACTTCTCCGTAGTCCAGAAAAGACTGGTCTTGGAACTTGAGTTTGGGGGTGAGCACAGAATCGTTGGGAACATCTCACCATGATGGCATGTCACCAATTGCCACCCACAACTGTATATTCCCGAATCTGGGCAAAGCGACACATTTTCAGACAACCCCATCAAGTGGATCTTGTGCAAATGGGACCTGAAGGCACAAGCAGGAATGACGAGTAATTTGCTCACACCTCTCCCCTTCTCATGCTTTATTCAAAACTATGTCTTCACAGGGAGTTATACCTGATCTTTAGTACTTTTGATACACAGAAGCTGAAAGAATAGTTGGCGCCAAGTAAGGACCAGATTCTGTGTTGGAGTTATTTGAATAGGCAAGACTCTCAAAACGTGTCCAGAGAATAAACACACACACACACACACACACACACACACACACACACACGTGTAATTTTGGTAATCTCCCCTATGTTCCTATGCATTGGCATTTGCCCTCTCAGCCCATTGTGCTTACTATGATATCCCAAAATAAGGAAGACTGACTGCCATCCTAGCTGGCCTCCTAATGTTGTGGATTTGGGTCGGTGTTCTGAGCTCCCCTCACCTCCTCTTATTTGTATGCAGAACTGCTGTACTGCTTCTGATCCACTTGGCCAAGAACAGCAGTGGGCTGTGTCTAGTGAATTGCTATGACTTTCTCAGTCTCCCCATCAGTCAGACACAGCCTGTCCTACAGAATTCTGGAAAGGTCTCTTGTAGACTCCATTCTAGTATCAACTTGGGGACTACAAGTTTTTCTGTTAGAGTGTTGAGCCAACACACGTGGAGTGCACTTTATGCCAGAAGTGAGACATCTTGACCTCTCCTCCGTAGCCCAGAAAACGCTGCTCTGGGAACTTGTACTTAGACATGAGCATGGAATCTGTCATGATTACAGATGTGTGCCCCTTCCCTCAACGTTTTCAGATTTTACACCCAACGGGGAGAATTCTCCTATCAGGGAACATTAATAAAGTGCCATTTACGGCTTCTACATTCAGGCATACCTCATCTTACTGCACTTCTCTTCATTGCACTTTGCAACTACTGTGTTTCTTCGAAACTGAAGGTTTGTGGAAACCCTATGTCGAGCAAGTCTATTGGTGCCATTTATCCAACAGCGTGTGCTCACTTTGTGTTCCTGTGTCACATTTCGGTAACTCTTATTTCCAACTTTTTCATTCCTGTGATATCTGTTATGGTAATCTGTGATCAGTGATCTTTGATGTTACTATTGTCATTCTGTTGGGGCACCAAGAACCACACCCATATCAGACAGCAGCGAACTAAACGAATGTTGTGTGTGTTCTGATGACTCCACCGACAAGCTGTTCCCCATCTCTCTCCTTCTCCTCAGGATATCTTATTCCCTGAGGCGCAACAATATGGAAATTAGGCCAAGCAATAACCCCAAAATAGCCTCTAAGTGTTCAAGTGACAGGAAGACTCACAAGTCTCTCACTTTAAATCAAAAACTAGAAATGATTAAGCTTCCTGAAGAAGGCATGTCAAAAGCCAAGACGGGCTGAAAGTTAGGTCCCTTGCACCAGTCACCCAAGTTGTGAACGCAAAGGGGAAAAGTTCTTGAGGGAAATCAAAAGTGCTACTGCAGTGAGCACACCAATGATAAGAAAGCGAGAAACAGTCTGATAGCGGTGTGAAGAGTTTTAGTGGTCCGGATAGAAGGTCAATCCAGCCACAACATTCCCTTGAGCCAAAGCCTAATCCAGAACAAGGCCTAGCTCTCTTCAGTTCTATGAAGGCTGCAAGAGGTAATGAAACTGCAGAAGTAAGCTAGCAGATTAAACCGTTTCCATAACATAAAAGTGCAATAGGCACCAAGGCAGGGTGGCTCATGCCTGTAACCCCAACAGCTTGGGAGGCCGAGTTGGGAACATTGCATGAGGCAGGGAGTTTGAGACCAGCCTGGGCAACGTAGTGAGACCCTGCCTCTACAAAAAAAAAAAAAAAAAAAAAAAAAATTAAAATGAGCCAAGGGTGGTGGCACACACCTGTAGTCTCAGCTACTCAGGAGGCTATGGTGGGTGGGGGATCACTTGAGCCCAGGAGTTCGAGGCTGCAGTGAGCTGTGATCATGCCACTTTACTCTGGCCTGGGTAAAAGAGCAAGATGCTGCCTCTAAAAACTTGAAAAGAAAATATTTTCAAAGTGCAAGATGAAGCATCAAATGCAGAAGTTGAGGCTGCAGCACGTTATCCAGAGTCTCTGTTTTGGTACCAGAACCATGCTGTTTTGGTTACTGTAGCCTTGTAGTATAGTTTGAAGTCAGGTAGCATGATGCCTCCAGCTTTGTTCTTTTGGCTTAGGATTGACTTGGCAACACGGGCTCTTTTTTGGTTCCATATGAACTTTAAAGTGGTTTTTTTTAATTCTGTGAAGAAAGTCATTGGTAGCTTGATGGGGGTGGCATTGAATCTATAAATTACCTTGGGCAGTATAGCCATTTTCACGATATTGATTCTTCCTACCCATGAGCATGGAATGTTCTTCCATTTGTTTGTATCCTCTTTTATTTCATTGAGCAGTGGTTTGTAGTTCTCCCTGAAGAGGTCCTTCACATCCCTTGTGAGTTGGATTCCTAGGTATTTTATTCTCTTTGAAGCAATTGTGAATGGGAGTTCACTCATGTACAACTATGTGATCTTTGACAAACCTGACAAAAACAAGCAATGCGGAAAGGATTCCCTATTTAATAAATGGTGCTGGGAAAACTGGCTAGCCATATGGAGAAAGCTGAAACTGGATCCCTTTCTTACACCTTATACAAAAATTAATTCAAGATGGATTAAAGACTTACATGTTAGACCTGAAACCATAAAAACCATAGAAGAAAACCTAGGCAATCCATTCAGGACATAGGCATGGGCAAGGACTTCATGTCTAAAACACCAAAAGCAATGGCAACAAAAGCCAAAATTGACAAATGGGATCTAATTAAACTAGAGAGCTTCTGCACAGCAAAAGAAACTACCATCAGAGTCAACAGGCAACCTGCAGAATGGGAGAAAATTTTTGCAACCTACTCATCTGACAAAGGACTAATATCCAGAATCTCACTGAACTCAAACAAATTTACAAGAAAAAAACAAACAACCCCATCAAAAAGTGGGCGAAGGATACGAACAGACACTTCTCAAAAGAAGACATTTATGCAGCCCCAAAACACATGAAAAAATGCTCATCATCACTGGCCATCAGAGAAATGCAAATCAAAACCACAATGAGATACCATCTCACACCAGTTAGAATGGCGATCACTAAAAAGTCGGGAAACAACAGGTGCTGGAGAGGATGTGGAGAAATAGGAACACTTTTACACTGTTGGTGGGACTGTAAACTAGTTCAACCATCGTGGAAGTCAGTGTGGCGATTCCTCAGGGATCTAGAACTGGAAATACCATTTGACCCAGCCATCCCATTACTGGGTATATACCCAAAGGATTATAAATCATGCTGCTATAAAGACACATGCACACGTATGTTTACTGCAGCACTATTCACAATAGCAAAGACTTGGAACCAACCCAAATGTCCAACAATGATAGACTGGATTAAGAAAATGTGGCACACATACACCATGGACTACTATGCAGCCATAAAAAAGGATGAGTTCATGTCCTTTGTGGGGACATGGATGAAGCTGGAAACCATCATTCTCAGCAAACTATCGCAAGGACAAAAAACCAAACACCGCATGTTCTCACTCATAGGTGGGAATGGAACAATGAGAACACATGGACACAGGAAGGGGAACATCACACACCGGGGACTGTTGTGGGGTGGGGGGAGGGGGGAGGGACAGCATTAGGAGATATACTTAATGCTAAGTGACGAGTTAATGGGTGCAGCACACCAACATGGCACATGTATACATATGTAACAAACCTGCACGTTGTGCACACGTACCCTAAAACTTAAAGTATAATAATAATAAAATTTAAAAAAAGAAATAAAACAAAGAAATTTCTTCCCCCAAGATATCTAAAAACATGACATGGGAAATCTTTGTATTTGTAAAAATAAACAATTAAACAGATGGTACAATGAAAAAAAAAAAGATGATGAGGGTGGCTACGCTGAACAACAGATTTTCAGTCTGAATTAGACTGTCTTCTATTGGAAGATGTTACGTAGGATTTTCATAGCTAGGGAGGGGAAGCCAATCCCTGCCTTCAAACCTTCAAAGGACAGGCTGACTCTCATGTTAAGGGCTAATTCACCTAAACATATTCAGTTGAAACCAATGCTCGTTTATCATTCCAAATATGCTAGGGCCCTGAAGCACTATGCCAAATCAGCTCCACCCATGCTCTATAAATGGAACAACAAAGCCTGGATGACAGCACACCTGCTTACAACATGGTTTGCTGAATATTTTAAGCCCACTGTTGAGACCTACTGCTCAGGAAGAAAAAGAAAAGAGAGATTCCTCTCAAAATATTATTGCTCATTGACAATGCAATGGTCACCCAGGAGCCCTGATGGAAATGTACAAGAAGATGAATGTTGTTTCCATGCCTGCTAACACAACATCCATTCTGCAGCCCATAGATCAAGCAGTAATTTTGACTGACTGCCAAGTCTTATTTAAGAAATACATTTGATAAGGCTACAGCTGCCATAGGGAGCTGGACAAAGTAAATGGAAAACCTCCCCTGATGGAGCTGGACAAAGTAAACAGAAAGCCTTCTGGAAATGATTCACCATTCTAGATTCCATTAGGAACATTCATGAGTCGCAGGAGGAGGTCAAAATATGAATGTCAACAAGAGTGTGGAAGATGTTGATTACAAACCTCTGGCTGACACTGATGGTTAAAGACTTGATTGGAAGAAGTTACTGCAGATGTATTGGAAATAAAAAGAGAATTGGAATTGGAAGTGGAGCCTGAAGATGTGAGTGAATTGATAAAACTCGAATGGATGAGTTGCTTCTTACGGATGAGTGAAGAAAGTGTTCTCTTCAGATGGAATCGACTCCCAGTGCAGAAGATGTGAACGTTGTTAAAATGACAACATAGGATTTAAAATATTACATTAATGCAGTTGACAAAGCAGGTGTGTGTGTGTGTGTGTGTGTGGGTGGGGGGGATTGTTGAGAGGATTGGGTGCAATATTAAAGCAAGTTTTACTCTGGGTAAAATGCTATCAAACAGCATTGCATGCCACAGAGAAATCTTTCATGAAAGGAAGAGTCAATGAATGTGACCAACTTCATCGTTGTCTTCTCTTAAGGAATTTCCAAAGCCACTCCACCCTCCGGCAACCACCACGCTGGTCAGCCAGCAGCCATCAACATCAAGACCAGACCCTCCACCAGCAAGAAGATGATGACTTGCTGGGGGCTCTGACCATCGTTAGTCTTTTTTAGCAATCAAGTATTTTTTAATTAAAGTGTGTATATTGTTTTGTAGACATAATGCTATCGCTCACTAAATATATTTCTTTATACGGTAAATGAAACTTTCATATGCACTGGTAAATCAAAATATTTGTGTGGCTCACTTTATTGCAGTGGTGAAGACCCAAAAATGCAATAGGTCAGAGGTATGCCCGTAATTGCTTTTCCTTGATTCTTAAAATCGCATGTAATATTTTGCAATGGCCGTGTAACAACATGGAAACATTAGCCCATAGTTTTCTGAGTCTCAACACATTACAGCAGTCCTACAGCAGTGGGGAAATTCACCTGGAGGACTCTGAGTCAAAGCATGGTCCCATGACATTAGCTCTTCATGGTTTTGACAGGGTTTACCTTAAGGGATGCTGTGAGTTTGGGTGTGTCTTTGTCTTTCAGTTGTCTCCATTGTGTGTTATACGTGCATTTCTACTTAAAGAACTAATTTTTGAGTTTTACTTACTGGACATGTCAAAATGTCCATGTATTGTATTTGTATCCTTCAGGTAAAAGCAGGGGTCTCACGCTGATTGGTCCATCCAGCTGGTGTCATTTCTCTGAGAACTGCCCACTGCATACACACCCTTGTGTTGCTATTGACTGAGTCCCCTGGCCGTAGTTACTTGGTTTCATACTTTTCACCTCAACCTAGCGGAGTCGATCATGGTTTTGTCCTGCCAATTTTGGAGCTCTGGACTAGACTATATGACTGAGTATTTTCCTGCTCAGTCTGATGATACCATTTCTTTACAGAAAATGTGATTTAGAAGATCCACTGTTGAGTTCTCCTGAGCTACCTGCGTTCTTGTTTTTATCAAGCTTATCAGTTGCTTCTATTTCTCAGATTTTGTAGAATAGTTATGGTCTTCTGATAAAAATTTGTTGTAGAGTTCCCACTCATGGATTGCTGTCAGTAGCCAACAGCACAAGTGTGATCAAGGAAACTTGTGGAGCTGCCACATGCATCCTCACATGTACCAGCACAGAGCTCTGACCTTTATAATCTTGTGCACGGAGGTGAGGAGATTGGTGGCAGTGGTGTAGAGGTTTCCAGATCAGGAGGGATGATCTCCCGGTTCTTGAGGTAAGAAATATGGCAGTTAATTGATACCTCCCTATGCTGGCTACCCATATGCTGAAGAGTGAAACTGGACCCCTCCATTTCACCATACACAAAAACCAACTCAAGATGGATTAAAGATTTACATGTAAACAGATAATTATAAAAAAAAAAAAAAAATCCTAGAAGACAACCTAAGAAATGCCATTCTAGACATAGGCCCTGGCAAAGATTTCATGATGAAAACACCAAAGACAATTATGACAAAAACAAAAATTGAGAAATGGGACCTAATTGAACCAAAGAGCTTCTGCACAGCAAAACAAGCTATCAACAAAGTAAACTGACGACCTCTATAATGGGAGTAAAATTTGCAAATTCTGCATCTGAAAAAGGTCTAATATCCAAATTCCATAAGCAGCTTAAAGAAATTAACAAGCATAAAACAAACAGCCCCATTAAAAATGAGCAAAGGACACGAACAGACACTTCTCAAAAGAAGATATACGCGTGCCACAAGAAGCATATGAAAAAATGCTCAACATCACTAATCATCAGATAAATGCAAATTAAAACCTCAGTGTGAGACCATGTCACACCAGTCAGTCAGAATGGCTATCATTAAAAAGTCAGAAAATAACAGAAGCTGGCATGACTGTGGAGAAGAGGGAATGCTCATACACTGCTGGTGGGAATGTAAATTAGTTCAGCCACTGTGGAAAGCAGTTTGGAGATTTCTCAAAGAACTTACACAGAACTACCATTCGACCCACCAATCCCATTACTGGGTATATACCTAACTAATTATATAAATCATCGTACCGTACAGACAGATGCACACATATGTTCACTGCAGCACTATTCACAATAGCAAATACATGGAATCGACGTAAGTGGCCGTCAATGGTAGACTGAATAAAGAATATCTGGTGTATCTATACCATGGAATACTATACAGTCATCAAAAAGAATGAGATTGTGTCCTTTGCAGCAACAGGGTGGGGCTGGAGGGCATTATCCTAAATGAATAAATGCAGGAACAGGAAACCTAGTACTACGTGTTCTCACTTACAAGTGTGAGCCAAACCTTGAGTATACATGGAAACAAACAATAGACAAATAGACACCTGGGCCTATGTGACGGTGGAGGGTGAGAGGAGGACGAGGATAGAAAAACTACCTGATGCGTACTATGTTTATTTTCTGTGTGATGAACTAATTTGTATACGAAGCCCCCATGACATGCAATTTTCCATATAACAAACTTGTGCATGTACCCCCTGAACCTAAAATAAAAGTTGGAAAGAATTTTTAAAAGGTGGCTCTTTGACAAGATCAAAACAATTTTGAACCTCTAGCTAGGCTAAGTAAAAAAAAAAAGAGAGAGAGAGAGAACACAAATACTGATATCAGAAGTGAAACAGGGGCCACCACCAATGATCCCAGGTACATTAAATGAATAATAAACAACTTAACTCCCACAGATTCCATAACCTAGATGAAATAAAACAATTCTGAAAAGGCACAATCTATCAAAACACACAGAAGAAGAAGCAGATACTTTGAATAGGCCTATGACTATTAAGGAAATTGAATCAATAATTAATACCTTCCAAAACGGAAATCAGGAAACCCGGCTGGGTTTACTGGGAAATTCTACCAAACATTTAAGTTTTAAACTATACGAATTGTCTACAATCTCTTCAAAAGTTTGAATCAAAGAGAATTCTTCCTAACTCATTCCTTGAGGCCGGTATTACCCTAATACCAAAATCAGACAAAGATGTTATAAGGAAGGAAAACTATAGGCTAATATCTCTCACGAACACCAATGTAAATATTCCCAATAATACATTATCAAATTAAATCCAATAAGGTGTACAAAGAAATATACGCCATGACCAAGTGCGATTGATTACATTTGTCAAAGCCCATAGACTATGCAACACAATGAGTGAGCCCCATATAAATTACCAGCTTTGGTTAATAATAATGTATCAATACTGGCTCTTCGGTGGTAACAAATGTCCCACACTAGTGCAAGATGTGAATCATAGAGGAGACGGTGGTGGTGGGCATATGTGAACTGTCAGTACTTTCCACTCAATTTTTCTTTAAAACAAATATAGTCTATTAGTCTAAAAATCTTGAGTATGTAGATTAAGGGAACAATTGAGAAATAATCTAGCACTGCTATTACAATCTAACAAGTCTATGTGTGTCAGGTGATGAACAGATTTGTCTAACAATGTGTCCATAATGTCCTGGGTCCCATCACGCTCTTACTCGGTAGATGCTGTGGGATCCCTGCTGCTACCCACACACTTGTCTAACTGCATTCTTTAACTCAGAGCAGTAGAGCCTCACATTTTTATTTTGGGGACGTGGGATACAGGTGGGCTTTCTATGCCTTGGAAAATCTGAGGCTAACGTGGACCTGTTCCTTCCTAAAACCTCCTGAACCACAACCCGTCTGGTACAATTCAGAGACCCCCAGAAGTGCAGTCACGGAGCCCCAGTGAGGGATCCCTATCACCTCCTTCTGTGTGAAGCCAGTCCCTCCACCATGTCTCTAAATGGCCACAGATACATGTCAAGTCTTGTCCTGATCTGTCAACCACCCCCTCCCTCTAGGGTCTTTACCTCTCCCTGGGGAGTGTTTCCTGAATGAAGGGAGGAAGAAGGAAACAGAAGGATGGGTGTCTGCACTCAGCAGGTAACTGGCCTCAGGCTACTGAGTCAAACACTGTGCTTATGGGCACCGATGACAGAGCCAGGCTGCTTGGACCCAAATCCCAATTCTCCCAGGCTTGGGGCCTTTAGGCAAGTTGTTCAACTTCCTTAGACATTCAGTTCCTCATCTACAAAAAAAGCTATGATAATAATCCCTGCCTTGCAGAGCTTTGAGGATTAAGTTAGTTGTCACACATAATGGGCACAAGACTGTGTCCAGCATAGATTACATACTCTCTAAGTCTCTGCAATTACAAGTACCATAAAGAAGGAGCCTGCATTCATCTTCCTTCCCCTCTCTTGTGTTTTTCATGCTGAGACATGATGAAAAGACAGGCCACGCACACTATGCTCCTTTCATGACCTATTACCACCCCAATTCATTCCCATGACTCTCAGCATTCCTCTACGTTCAGTGAACCCTTCCAGCCCGCTGCACTGGGGACTACTGTCCTCCACCCTGTAGACCTCTCTTGATGCCCCAGCACTGCTTCCACCTGGTTCTTAAGACCCTCACTTTCCCCCTCCCTCTGTGTGTTCATCTTTTGCAGTGATCATGCCTGTTTTCTCTACAGGAGAGGAAAGACAAACAGATTACAGTCACAGTGCCAAGGAATTACAGAAGACCCATCCTAACTGGTCACCCTGCTTCATGTTTTGGCTCCTTCCAGCCTGTTCATAACCACACGGCCCGAGGGATCACTGGAAAGCTCCAAACCTTTCAGGGATTTCAAATGTCACGTACAGTAACGTCCGAAACACTTTCAGGGCCCTACAAGGCCCCACAGAGACCAAAACTTTATTACCTCTCATGACATTCTCTCTATATTTTGCATATTTAATATCATGTCATTTTTTAATAGAGATGGCTTTTAACTTTCCGCTTCAAAAACTCCTTCTTTGTTTTCTTTTTTTTCTATATTGATTTGGCTCAAATGTCCAGTGCAATACTGAATAGACGTGGTAAAGCTGGCATCCTTATCTTGTTCCTGATCTCAGGGGAAAAGCTTTCAGTCTTACCAAACTCTATCCTCCTACAAGAGACTCACGTCACATGAAAGAAGCACATAGACTGAAAGTGAAGGGATTGAGAAATATATTCTATGAAAACAGAAACCAAAAAGAGAGCAAGGGTATCTTTACCCATATCAGATGAAATACCTGTAAGTCAAAAGAGAGCAAAGGAGACAAATAAAGTCACTCTATAATAATACGGACATCCATTACTCAAGATGATTTAACAATTGTAAGTATAAGTACAGCCAATACGAGACCACCAACATGCATAAAGGAAATATTAGTAGATCTGAAGGGAAAGATGAACCACAATACAATAATAGTAGGGGAGTTTAACACCCACTTTCAATAATGGAAAGATCATCCAGACAAAAGGAACATTGAACTTAAACTACACCTTAGACCAAATGGACCTAACAGACTTCTACAGAACATTCCATCGGAGAGTAACAGAAATACACGTTTTTCTCCAGTGCACACAGAACGTTCTCCAGGATAGATTGGTCCTATGTTTGGCCACAAGACACGTCAAAACAATTGATTGTGAGGACTGAAGTCATATCAAGTATGTTTTCTGATCACAATGATATGAATCTAGAAACCAATAATTGGGGCAATCAGGAAATTCATAAATATGTGGAAATTGACGCACGAGCCACTGAACAACAAATGGGCCAAAGAGGAACTCAAAAGTGAGATAAAGAGTACCTTGACACAAACAACAATGGTAATACAACATACCAAAACGTATGGGATGAAGTAAAAGCCTTTCCAAGTGAGAAATTCATAGCAGCAAATGCCTGTATCGAGAGAGCAAAAATATCTTAAATAAAAAAGCTAACATTACACCTCAAGGAACTAGAGAAAGACAAACACACTAAGAACAAATTAGCACAAGCGAGAACATAACAAAAATCAGAGCAAAAATAAATGAAAAAGAGACTATAAAAGCAATAGAAAAAATGCAATGAAATCAAGAGTTGGATTTTTTAAAAGATAAACAAATTCGTCTTTGTTAGCTACACTAACTAAGAAAAACAGAAAGAAGACAACATAAAGAAAACCAGAAATAAAAGAGGAGACATTACAATTGGTACCACAGAAATACAAAGGATCATAAAAGATTACTATCAAAAATTATATGCCAACGAATTGGAAGACCTAGAAATAATGGGACAATTCCTAGATACGTATAAGCTACCAACAGAGAATCAGGAATAAATAGAAACTGGAGGACATTATGTTAAGGGAAATAAGCTTGGCACAGGAAGACACATTTTGACACATTTTGCATCTTCTCACTCATCTGTGGGAGCTAAAAATTAAAACAATTGAACTCTGAGAACAATGAGGAGGTTTCTCTGCGGGACTCTTGCTTGTGGGTTCTGGGCTTGAGAGGCACCTCTGGGTTTGAGCTCTCCGCTGTCTCTGCTACACAGGGACTCTGACAGTCCACAGACGTCGTGTCACCCAGTAGCTGCTCTTCGGGGCTTGGGGAGCGCGGGGTGATGCCCGGGCCATTCACAGTCTTTTTGTAAATTGCGACCATGAAGTGCATTCCTGTCTAAAGAAACAAAAAATGAATACACGCTCTCCAGTTTTTTTTTTTTTTTTCTGCTCTGACATTTTTTCTTCATTTTCTTTGCCAATATCAAACCCGAGAGAAGAGATAGGAATTGCAGATGTCACCCCGCTCCAAGGAGAACAGAGAGATGGAGAAGAAGAAGAGCCATCTTCGATGCCTAGTGGAAAGGTAGAAGCTCCCAAGCAACATCCTAAACCTCTTTACCGTGATTAAGGCTGCATTTTTCTTTTCTTTCTTCCCAGGCGTTCAGTGAACACTTGCCCACCTCTCTTGGGGTCAGGTAACTGAATCACGCCCTTTGAATCCTGCAGTTCTCAGTGCAGACAATGTTTTGCTTGAGAGAAGCTACTTTCTAGGCACTTCAACATTCATTCAAGAGAGCTGCCTCACAAGTGCCCTGAATGCGGGAAAGGATTCCCTCATAGGTCCAACCGTTATCGGCACCAGCCAGTTCACGTGTGGGAGACCCCTGTGAATGCACAGTGCATAACAAGCGAATAATAAGTCGCACCTCACAGCACCTGTGAAGACGTTGTGATAAGGAAATGTATGAGTGCCTTGAGTGCAGGAAAGGTGTTTCTCCTAGATCAAGTCTGACAGGACACCCGAATGCTTTCACAGGTGAAAAATCTCAAGGTTGTCACAGTTGTGGGGAAAGCTTTAGTCAGTCGACAGCTCTTTTTTGCACCCGAGAACACACGCTGAGGGGATACCATTTATATGTGATACTTGCGGGACAAGCTACAGACAGAGATCAAGTCTTGTTATTCGCTTAAGAATCTATACGTGGGAGAAGCCATACAAATGTAGGCACTGCTCTAAAAGCTTCATAAAGAGAGCAGACCATATGATGCACCAAGCTGCACACTTTAGAGAGTTCTCTAAGCATATCTTGAGGGAAACAGGTCCTACAGAAATGAACAGTTACTCATAAAGGCCTTTGCTTGCGGTAGGCTGTCTTGGAAGTAGAGTTTTCGTCTACCTCATTTAAGAGAATAGCTTTGCATTTTGCTATTAAATGTTCACCTACCCTTGCCACTGCCCTACATTGCATATTTTTCTGCCTAGGCAGATCTTGCTTCATCATTTCGATAAAAATGTCTTTGTCCCAAGCCAACCACATCATAGGGGTAAGGAGTATGTAAGCAGTGGCATTCCTTTCAGAACTCAGGACCATACAGCAGGAAGCATGAGGTGCCCGACTGATCTTTATCTATGCAATATTTTAATCAAGTGGACAGGCATATGCTCTTCCTATTTCAGTCTCATTACCACATTGTCTGAGCAATTGAGGTTGGAGATGCTTCCCTGAACGGTGGCGAAAAGTATCTCTCTTGACTCCTGCCCCCAGCACGTGCCAGGATCCCTTTCTTCAATACAACCACAGTGTTCTGTTTGTGCATGCTTTGAGCCTTCAACACAGTCCACCTTTGAAGTATGGACTATTTCGAAGAAATAATGGCAACTCATAAGCACTACGAGGGACAGGAAACACTGGCCAACACATACATAGCAGGAAGATGAAATATTGGTGTGCAGGTGCTATTCACAGTGAGCTTTCCAAAAATATCAGCCTATTGTACTCTCCTTCTATGTTGTTTGAAACGATAAGTGCATTTAAGGCTATGACTTGTACTTTAAGTCTAGCTTTGGTCACATTCCATAAGTTATAGACAATGTTCTTACTTCTGATTTTGCACGTTTCTCTTTTCAGTTTCGATTTCATTTCCTCCTTGCCTCAAGAACTGGACAATGTGGACATGTACCGGTCAATTTTTTGTTATATTGCACTTTGATTAATAGTTGGGGTTCTTTCCATTTCTCCTTTGAAGTTTACTTAGATGTTCTTGAAGGATTATATCCTAAAGACCATAAGAAAATCAGGATTTGATTTGTAGAGCGCACTTGTAGCATGCAGTCTGGGGACTCACAATTGCTTTTGTTTCATCAGGACACAGAGTAGATGGCCTTGCTCCCCATTCTGAATGCCTGCATTTTTGTACTCTCCATTCCTTCTTAAGAATTTGCTGTCATAGAGCAATTTGTAATCTTTTGTCATAGAGTGATTTTGCTATAGAGATGTTCTCTGTTACGGAGTAATGCTTAACAGTTGCCTAGGTATGAAGGTAGCAATAGAAAAGGGAGGTTAAATTGAAAACCTAGGAAAGACCAAGCCTCTCTAAATCAGGCTGACAACAGTCTCCTCCAGAATCCCTTACTTGTCTTCCCTCCTGAACATAGAGAGGACCTGTAGGGGTCCCTCTAAGGTTTTTGCAACCTTGACCACCCCCCTTACCCCCACCCCCCACCCCGGAGTCTGCAGGGATGGTTCCATAGTGTGCCAGGTATGTTGTCCAGGCTAAAATCCAGGAAAGTAAGGAATACACAGGGGAATCAGCCCCCAGGCGGCTCAGCATCAGGTAAGGGAGGAGAGACATTACACTTTGTCCGCTTGCCCCTGCAGCACACAGGCCATCCCGAGCAGAAACAGTCATGGGCACCTCCAGGAAACTGCACGGGCTTTCTTCTTGCAACACTTTCTCATTTCTAGCCCGGTCATATGGGCTGAATACTGCCATATATAAACAAAGCTCACCCTTAAACCCGGGCCAGCCCTCTACTTCTTGTCCTCCAGTCCTCTGTAACAGATGTGAAGTAGAATGCATCCAGAGCTCATCCCTCTGGCTCTCTTTTGCATTTACACTAAGCTCACTCAGCCCCCACTTCTTGGTTGTTAACAGTTGGGTTTGCGGATGTTGCTGGATTCCTTTCTCCCATCCAGTTGTTTAGTTTGCATGTTCAGACAGGACTTCTCGGAGGTCTAGCAAGCGTTGGTTTCACATTGTTAAGGATCTTGAGTATTAAAATGTTACAAACATATTGATATATTTTAGATAATTACTTTCAATTGGCATCTCTAATACTGAACACAAGAATAGGAACGTATAAATTATTGAAGACGACTTCAAGAACTAAAATGTGAGGCCTTTTAAAAAGAGTCAGATGGTATCACCAGGTCTGAGAGTGGTCTCTTGAGTCTTATCAGCATTACATTTTACAAAAATTCTTCTTCAGACATCTCTTCCCAACTAGGTTCCCTCACTAAGAAGGAGAGAGTATGAAAGGCAGGCAGTGAAAGACAGGAGGCCTCTCATCCTAGTCTTCAGTATGAGAGGCGAGACCTCCACTGCTCTACCTGCTGACCCTCTTCGGTCTATCCTGGGCAGGGTGAAGTTCCTCCTCCCAAGATGTTACTCTCAGGGCAATTTCCCCCATGCGAAAGAGCCCTCCAATGCGCCAAGGCAGGAAAGAAGGGTGAAGGACATCTGTGGTTCTTGCTACAATTCTTCCCCTTCATTATGAGAGATGACATAATTAGCATTGAGAAATCTCCCAAATGTTTACCAACTGAAGCGCCTCGACAAGTCTCCAGGTCTTTGTTACTTTCTTTGTTGTGGTTGTGCTAAAGATGGCTGTAAATGATGTCCTAACAATCTATGGCAGGCAGAAAAAATGCCCTTCAAGATGTCCAAGACCTATTCCCCAGAACAGATTAATATGGTACCTTCCAACACAAAAGGAAGTGTGCATATGTGATCATGTCAAGGGTCTTCAGTTAGGGACATTATGCAGTATTATCCAGGTCAATCCAAAGTAATTACAAGAGACCTTGCAAGAGGGAGGCAGGAGGGTCAGAGTGAGTACTAGGACATATGAGGACAGGAGCTAAAGTTTGGAGTGATGCCAGGAAGGGACCCTGAGCCAAGCAACGCAGGTGTCCTCTGGAAGCTGAAAAAGGTGAGGAAATAGTTTGTCCAGAAAAGCCTCCAGAAGGAACTCGGCCCAGCTGGCACCTTGATTTTAGACTTCTGTCTTCCAGAACTGTACTAAAATAAACTTGTGCTGTTTTAAGCCACTAAATTTGTGGTCATTTGTTATACAGCAGTAGGAAGCTCCTACACCTATCATCAAGAGGGGGGGTCTATGCCCCCTGCCCTTGAATCTTGACAGGTTGAGCCAGCTTTAACAGAGTACAGCACAAGTGAAGCTGTGTGGATTCTGAGGCGAGGTCCTAGAAGACAGCACTGCTTCCATTTTGTTCTCTAGGGGTACAGGGGACAGACGTTGAGCACCAGTTAAAGGTCTGTGTCTGTGTTAGTTTGATGCTTGCCCTGTGTATGCATGTGTGTGTTTATGCTTCCTTTGAAGAGAGTTCTGTGCTGTGTTTACTTCCATATTGGCTAAAGGTTCCTCATTTGCCTTGTGTCATTAACACGTCCCAGTTGGAAAACCTCACAGATTTGTTTCTCTATGAGCACAATCTGCTTTTAAAAATCACTTTCTGAATCCTCTGTACTTGCATGAAACAAACACCTCACAGCGTGAGATTTTAACACTTTCTAGCTGGATGTGTTATGCAGACACATAAAAGGCCCCCTTTCACATTAAATTTGCTACATTTTCTGTTTTCCCATATTGCTTCACGCTGAAAATATACATTTACAGAATATATTTGTGGGGGCAAAACATGTTTAAATGCTCATTGAAAAATATCAAAATACAGGACACCGAGTGAAAAGCACAACTTCTCTCTTGTCCAGTTCTAAAGTCTAGAGGCAATCATGATATTTCCGTGATTCCTTTCAGATATTTTGCTATAGAAGTCTTCTCTGGCATTTCGAAAATAATTTCATATTACATACATTGTCCTGTAAACTTGCTTTTTTCGTTTTAGAATGTACACGGGCTTCATTGCACATTGGCACACAAAAATCCATCACATTGCTTTCAATGAATGTTGTGTCATCCACAGAACGGACTCACCAGAGTGCATTCAGACAGGCCCCTGTTGATAGACATGTGAGTTGATTCCAACTGATAACCCCCTGGCAAGGGGGACAGGCAGGTGAATGTGGCAAGGCGATGACAAGGATCCGAGTACAAAATTGCTACCTCACACGGCCATGGATCCATTGTCGAACACAGTCTGGATATATGTTTACCTGGGGAAAGCAAACAGGGCAAGCGTCTTGATGGATAACCCCCTTACAAATGGAAAGTTCAAAGTGGAAGTATAGATAGATATCTCACTTGGTTGGTGGGATTTTAACAAGTTTTGTTTATACCAGTTATGAGGAAAAAGATCAAAGGCCCCCTCTAACACTTAGCTGGTCATATTTTCTGTTGTTCTATATAATTTTACCCTGGACTCTATGCATCGATTATATGTAATGTGACAGGAAGCATTTCAGTGCTCACAGAAAACCAATCAAATATACAGCCCCCAGAGGAAAAATCACATTGTCTCTCTCTCCAGTTACACTCCATTGTGGCCGCATGTTATTTATTATGTATCCATCCAAATATTTAAACACTAAAAAAGCTTACCATTGTTTGTAGAACTGGCGTCACAGGGTGTGCAGTGTACGCACTTCCAACTTGCTTGCTTGCTTCTTGTAATGATGTATGTGGCCATCTTTACACATTACTATACAGAAATCCACCACATGTTTTTTAATGGCTACAAGGTAATCCACTGAATGGATTCACCAAAATCTATTCAGACAGGCACCTCCTGATAGACATTTAAGGTGTTCATATTTTATAAGTAATTGCCCAGTGTGGCCTGAAGGTAAGTGATCTAGGAAGATGGCAGGGAGGTGGAAATACAGCCATGTAATTACATGCCCACAGTGGTGAGTCAACACCGCTGTGCCTTCTCCAACCACTGGCTTGGTCAACTGTTTTCCCAGTGGAGACTGCCCATGCATAGGAAATCCTCCTAGGTTCCTGTGAGCATGTACAGCCAAGGACAGCAGAGAGCCACTTACTGGAGCAGAACACGTGTGGTTGGATCAAATGCTGGACAATTTTTGAAGAGAGGTTTGCAAAAATGCAAAGTTAAAGATGAGAGCAAGGTTGATGCCAAAGGAATAAAGGCAGCCAGGGGAAAGGTCCAAAACTAGGGTTGAACAGGCCGCATGAGGATGGGGAAATTTTGAAAGGTAAAGATGTCTCCAGGGAGGTAAAATGGATTTTCAAGAAGCTAGAGGCATTTTCTTTATCTTGTCACCACTCTGCAGTCAAAGACCACCAGGAACACACCCGTAGTTAAACAAGCTCAACTTTCTGAGTACAGTTTATTGCTTGATGAACAAGTTGAGTTCATTACTCAAAGAACAAAAGGAGACTGCAAGGCATGAGGGAACCATGGAGACTCTCAGGAAGAGAGTGTTAGAAAGAAATAAGATCTGGGCTTCAGCTAGGTGATTTAGAGGAGGGTTTCCTGAAGCAGGGTTTGGCTCTGGATTGGATGCTGCCAGGAAGTGGGGGGTAATTTTGTGACTGGGTATATTTGTAAACCTTATCCTAGAGGAACGAAGATTTGAAAAAAGCTATTGTTGGCACAGAAGGAGTAGTCACTCACATCAGCCAGGATGGCAGGTGTTTGGTGCCTTTTGTGACTTGGGCAATGTTCCTGTTTTGTTGTCTTCAGACTAGATTTGGCAGTGGCCTTGTTGTTGTTGTTTGTTTTATCTAGACATTTTACCTTAAAAGAGATTTATATTTATACAAAAGTTGTGAAGATAGTACAGCGAGGTCCCTCATATCCCTCACCCAGTTTCCCCTATGCATCTTGCACTAAAGTGTCATTAGCATTTGATACGGTTAGTGAACCGATCCTAATACATTATTATGACCCAAAGTCCTCACTTTATTCAGACTTCCTCCATTTTAATCAAATGTCCTTTTTCTGTTTCAGCCTCACATACAGGATGCTACATTATATTTAAAATAATCATGCCGTCTTAGGGTGCTCTTGGTTGTGATAGTTTCTCAGACTTCCCTTGTTTCTGATGACTCTTGACAGCTTTGATGACTACTGGCCAGGTATTTTGCAGAATGTCTTTCGACCGGGATTTGCCAGGTGATTTTCTCATGATGACACTGGGGTTACGGGTTTTCGAGAGGAAGACCAAGAAAGTTAAGTGCCATTCTCATCACCCCCTATCAAGAGAGCATACAATCCACATGACATGACAGTTAAGTTCAACCTTGGTCACCTGGCTGAGGTCGTATGGATCAGGTTTCTCAGCAGTAAAGGTATGTTTTTCTGCCTTTCCACATTCTACTCTTTGGAAGGAGGTTACTGCGCACAGCATATGCTGAAGGAGGGGAGAGTTCTTTTCTACCTTATCTTGGGTAAAATATCTGCGAAAAATTGGAATTATTCTGCAAAGGAGATTTGTCTCTTCGCCCTATTTATTTATATCAGTATGGACTCATGGATATTTATTTTGTATTTTAAGTTATAATCCAAAAGCACTGTATCTGTTCTGTTGCCCAGCTTGCTCCAGCTTTAGCCATTGGGAGCACTTTTAGCAGGCTCCTGTGTCTCTTTGCCATACTCCCATCATTGTGTGTGTGTTTGTGTGTGTGCTTACTGGTATTACAAGATTCTCCAGGCTCATATTGCACAATCCCAGGCTCAGCCTTGGAATCAGTCGTTTAGCCAAAGAGCCCTGGCTCCTTTTATTGTTGGATGACATTAGAAACCAAGGTTTGGGCTCTAGGTGTGCTCTTTACTACTTGGGTGTCATTGCTTCTTGGCTCTCTCAGCTGACAGAGCAAGAAATCATGTGTGTGCAAGCTGACTCGCGTGTGGTAGGTAAGCAGTGATCCCCCAGTGATGTCTACTTCACAATCCCCATAACCTGTGAATATGTTACCTTACACGAAAAAAGAAAGTTTCAAATATGATTAAGTTAAAGATCGTGACATGAGGAGATTATCCCACATTATGGGAGTGGGCCACATATAATCACAAGCGTCATGTTCTATAAATGAGCCAGAAATGCACCCTGTCTATCGGCCTAAAATGATCCCCATGTAGTTTACTTCTTCACAGCAGGCTAGGACTATTGCCTCAAAGCCCACTGGTGCCGCTCACATTCTCATATATTCAGTCTCTTTAAATATAATCTGAAAATGTATTTTTAAGTCCTTTAGAATGTACCTATTTTCCATCTCTCACAAAACTGCTCCCAATATCCGCTAACCATAGAAAAGACAAACTCAATAGCTATAAAAGACCCCCAAACCACTGCTGCCCTTCAAAGCTCTGTGACCCAGAGAACTCCCCACCTTGCTGCTGATGACATCACCCACTCATGTAAGCCCCCTCTCTGGTTTCCTCCTCTTTCTCAGAAATCCCCTTGCCCTCATCCCCTTCTGGGTGGTGGCTCCACGCTGCTGTCTCTGGAAGGTGTCTTGCAGAGACTTTGCCTCTCATACAACCCTGTCCAAGCATGGTCCCAGTATAGCTTCTGTGCGACTGGCTTTCACAGTCCCTTCTCTTCCTTCTTTAATCCCCAAATACATGAATCACAGAGACTTTTAAGAGGGAGGCAGAGGGATCAGAGTGCATCGCAGGAGATATTACTATGGAAAGAAGTTGGAGTGATGCCAGCAAGGAATAATGAAACAAGGAAGCCAGGCCGGTCCTAGAAGCTGAAAAAAGCAAGGAATTGAACTCTGCCCTAAAGTCTCCAAAAGGAACATAGCCCTAACCAGCAACCTGATGTTAGACCTCTGAACTCCAGACTCTAAGAGAAATTTTTGTTTGTTTAAAGCCACTACACTTGTGGAAATTTGTTACAGCAGCAATAGGACACTAATACATCTTGTGTACACACATACCTATAAATGTTTCTACATATACCCTTCTTCATCTTTATTAACATAAGCATGAGTTCATACCAATCTCTCCAACTCTAATCCCTTATCACATGAGTCATCGTAGCTGTCCCATTTACTTCACTAACTTTCCTCACCAAGAGTGAGAAATCTGGCTTCTACCATCACACATCCATTAACTTATTTGTCTAACCCAGTACCCATTCAAGCAATCTTAGAAATGTTCATCTATACACCCCCAGGAGAACTTATAAACCTCAGCACAATGTTTTGACGTTGGCCTAATCCCTGACCTTTATTTTTATTTTTAACTTACCCTTCAACTTTTAAATTTTGAAATATTTTGCATGCATAGAGAATTTGCTTCTTTCTTCCTGGAAAGCTCAGCACTATAGATGCTGCCCTTACTCCCGTCCCACTCCTTCCCACTGGATGCCTGTCCCCTTCCCCTGACAGACTCACCAAGAGCTGCTTTGCAGGGTTTTACACCTGCTTGACCCCAGCCCCACTCCCATCACTGCACTTCCCCACCCAAGCCCCTGGCCAGCCCCAGAGCACCTGGTGTCTGTAGCTCCCATAACCGTCCCAACTCAACCACTGGGCTCTTCCAGAAGCTTCTACCCAGACACACACACACACACACACACACACACACACACACACACACACCTGTATGCATAACTGCACACAGTGACACTGGAAGGAAATGGTGAAGTATTGAGAGGCTTGCAAAGGAAGGGAAGCGTATTGGAACAGGAAACATGAATTGAGATTCAAGACAGGGGAAACCCAGAGCAGAAAAGCACCTGGCCCCACATCCTGGGAAGGAGACCTGCTCTCAGTGCTCCACTCCAACAGGAGGAGGCAACAGGAGCTCAGAAATGACATCCTGGCACTTAGGAAAGCAAGGTTCTGACATGGTGCCCTGGGGTCCCCCATGAGTCGTTTGTAGCACAGACGAGTTATAGCTGCAGGTCCAGAAAGAGACTCCACAGAAGAGTTGAGAGAACAGCTCAACAAGATGAGGCCAGGGACAGAAAAGAGGAAGACCCAAAGCGTGTAACTCTCCTAATTGCAAGCCACAACAGCAGCGGCAGACACCAGCCTCAGACGCCGGTGTATGCCTAGGGCCAGGCAGAATCAATTATATCCACCATAGGTGTAGGGCAGACAATGGCCAACATCCAAAGGTCAAGGGAGATGAGACAGCCAAGAGGCAGGTCCATCCTTCTTGTGCAGTCATCTTATTTAAGTTCTCTCTGTATCCAGATAGCCTCCTGAGGAAGAAGAAGAGAAAAAAGAGGAGGGAGAGGAAGAGAGGCTGGGGAAGGAGGAGAGGAAGATGAATAGACAGAGTAAGGGGAAGAGTAGGAGGAGTGGTAAAGGAGTGCACGAGGGCTTCTTGGAGTCTTCAACACTGATGGACTTCGTATAGCACCCACTGGGGGATATAGCACAGAATAGTTGCCCAAACATACTGGCCAAGAGAGTACATTGTTTACAGGACAGTTAGCAACATCTCATAGATCTAGTATTCCATGAAACAGTTTCAGAAATATAATTGAATAATGTAATGTGGTGAAAAGGGGTATTTGACATAAAGGATGGGCAGTGAGACTCCAAAGATCCTTTCCCTTCTCAAATTTGCTTTGACTGACGCTGCGCTGGTCGTGCTCTGAATCTCCCTCTTGGTTTTCTCTCTAAGAATAGGACCCCACTTAAGTATAGCCTCTTTCCAAGCTGCCATAGCCTGCATTGCTGTTAATGGGGACTATGCCTGGTCTAATTCAACTCTTTTAAAGCTAATCCAGAAGACATTCAACTGGAGCCCTTCAACTGAACAGGAGACCCCAGTCACCTAACATTGTGTTCAGAGAGAGCAGCTGGGAGTTGTTGCAGCTTCTTGGCATTTCTTCAATAATCAATGACTTGTAAGACTGGAGACAGAAGAAAGGTGAAAAGCAACAGCAGTGGAGCTGGGCATTGCGAGTCCCATCTGAACTGCGACAAAAAGGATTCATTACTAGACTCCCAACACAAGCTTGAGAAGGCCATCTGTTGCTGCCAGTGGCTATGTCAGTGCTGAAATGGAGTCACCACCCCAGAACAGCATTTCCAAGAATCCCTGGGGACAGGGGCACCCACTATGGGGACAGTGTGCTGAGCGTGGGCCTGGATGGGCATAGGTGGGTGGGAGCAACCTAACCAGCTACTCATCCCGTTCCATAGAGAAAGTAATGATAGGGACATGAATAAAGTTCCAGCTGCTATGGGAGACCTGGAGAGGAGGAGGTTCTTGAAATTCCACGTGCTGAGGAACCCCTCAGTAAGAGGTGAGACGCTGCAGCTTGGATTCCACTAGGCTGAATGGCAAGAATAGAGTTTCTGACAAATGCAGCCCAAGATCTCCATGAAATCCCAGGGACAGACCTGTGCCTAACACCCAGCATGGCACATCTGCAGGCAGGACACACTACAAAAATCCTGCTTTCTTTTCCCCAAGGGGAAGATTTTGATGTCTGCAATGCTCCTTCCATGGCTAAACACATATCTCACAATTCTCTGGGACAGAGGTCCTGCAATCAGTTTCCAATTAAAACTGATAATTGGCAAAACACTTAAAACATGCTATCTATAGACAGGAAATGTAGCTCCAGTTCATTGAAAATTTTCACAAACGGCGAGTATTGAACTATTTAAGGAACAGACGGTGCCAAAAAGATTCTGACACTGACTTATGTATTTAGACACTGGCCCTGCAGAGCTAGGTCTCACCTTTCCATCTATAGGGCTGCTTATGGCAATCGCCGTGACGCTCTGCTTTGGGGGCTTTTTGTCTCACCCTTAGAGCATGCTGGATATGACCCAAGGCCAACTGAAGGTGACAGGGATTTATATCTCCCATGGGGGAAGTACTTTAACAAGAATGGTTGGGTATTTGGTGGCTAAATACCCCCAAGCCATCTCATTCTGCACTTGGGATGAATGTGAGGAGAGTGTTCTACAAAGTCTCCCATAGGGTTCCCCTGGGAATTAGCTCCAGTCGCCCACAGTGGAAACCTGCTAGCTTATTCCTCCCACTTAAATTGGCTGCATTCCTTGTATGTCTCACCTCCCCACACCCTTACCTGTGCTATCTGGGACTCCCTCCCAAGTAAGTGTTTTCCACTCACAAGTGTGCCTCAGGGTCTATTTCCAGGGAACCCACACTTGAACACCTTGTATGCTAATTTATCCTCGAACTTGAATGTCTGGCTAGAAGTAGAATTGTAGGCTCAAAGTTATTTTGCACCAACACTTGAAAGACCATTCGTTATTTCCTGGGCATTTCTGGTTACCTCTTTAGCTGCCTTTCTTTTTTTCTCAATTTAAGAAGTATATCTCTTGCGAGAATTCCCTCCCCACTCTGCAAGCCACTCTCATTTTAAATTTATTTGATTTCAATTTCTACCCATGCTCTCCCCCAAACTTCAAGGGAGACAAATCAAGACCTCTAAGTGGGCTCCTGAAAGTCCCCTCCCCCTAGAAATTTAGGGTTGCAGGGCCTCTCCATGTTCCACTCAGCTGCCCTTCCAGCTTCTCTAAGCAGGGCCCCTCGTGTCTCCAACATCCCCAGACTCTACAACGTTAGTAAACACCTTCTCGGAGGGCAGTAGGTAAAGTTCATCTGCTGTGGCCTCGGGTAACACAGAGACGGGTCAGAAGTCAAGAAACCAGGTGATCAAAGACCATGTCCAGCCAAAAGCAGTGAGAACACAGCTTCCACTTGTAATGGTTGCATCAGGGGAAGGATTTATTGATCCACACCATTTTCTTGGATTTTCCATCCTCCCCAGGGGGCAGAGGTGGGTTGATTGTGTGGCGTGTCGGCAAAGGCCAGGTCCACCCTGGTATGGCTTGCTTCAGTGTCCACAGCCACTCTGTCAGATCCGCATCGTTTCTATGATTCCCAAGCTGTCTACTGAGTAAAACGCTCAGCACCGATTTAGAGGCCAGGCTGGGTCTTAAGTATTCATCCACCTTCCTCCTGATGCTCCATGCAGATGTGCTGGGACCTACTTCAGAGTGTCCCTGAGCCATGACTGCTTGACTCCACAGATGGCTTCAGGAAGACAGCACAGAAGAGGGACCTGTGAAAGTTGATAGAATCTAGAATTACCTGAAGGAGAAGCATCAAGTAGCCCCAGAAGCCTCTCTGCACTTCTCCTCCCTAACACACATGCGTGCATGTGCACACACACACACACAATCATAAAAGTCAGCTTTGTGGCAACTTGTGATTTTTAAATTTCTTTGAGTTTCACATATGCATGAGTATATTTCTAGAATCTCTTCGTTGGTCCATGGACATGTCTATCAATTCTTGTCTCATTCACCAATACTACAGAGTAAGTTTTGAGTCCAGAATGACAAGCCACCCCTCTTGCATAATCCTTCACATTTTTTTGGAATATAATTTCATCCGATCTTCCAGTTACACACACACTCAAAATTCTGCTATAAACTATCATTAGGATTGTACTGGATATACTGATTTATTTAGAGGCGAATTGATGCCATTGAAAAAATTGATCTTCCTCTTAAGAAAAATGTAGTATTTTAAAATATTATGTGACTATTCAAACTGAAGGCTCATAAAAAGTGGCATGTGTGTTTTCCTTGTATTTACCTTCATTATTTTTCTAGGTGTTTCATAACGTTTGCAACCAATGTAAATGGGATAGCTTAAATCTATGATATTCCCTATTTATTGGAAGACTGTGCAAATTTTTAATTTATTTATGTATTCATTTATTTTTATTGTAGAGATGGGGTCTCCTTATGTTGCCCAGGCTGGTCTTGAACTCCTGGGCTCAAGCGCTCCACCCCGCTCAGCCTTCCAAAGTGCTGGGATTATAGGCGAGAGCCACTGTGCCTCACCTAGTATGCAAAGTTTTTACGCATTTAACTTCTATCAATCAGCCTCTCCTGACCTATTTCCTAGGTGATTGCCTTGGATTTCTAGGATGTCAGTTCCTTAAGAGAAAGATAGTTTTCCACTTTCTTTGTTAACAAAATACACCGATAAGTTATCTTCCCTCTCCAAATTGTTTAGGACAATGAATATGGCCTCAGGGTCTTTACACGGTTCTATGTGGCCAGGAGAAAACCTGCGGGACTGAGCGTTCCTTCCCTGCCACTCAAGAAAGGGAGTGTGTGACCTGGGTCGCTTTAAAAAAAAAATTTTTTTAAACATGCTATGTATAGAAAGGAAATGTAGCTCCAGTTCAATGAAAATTTTCACAAACGGTGAGTATTGACCTATTTAAGGAACAGACAGTGCCAAAAAGATTCTGACACTGACTTATGTATTTAGACTCTGGCCCTGCAGAGCTACATCTCATCCTTGCATCTACAGGGCTGCTTATGGCAATCACCATGACTCTCTGCCTTAGGGGCTTTTTGCCTTACAGTTGGAACATGCTGGATATGACCCAAGGCCAACTGGAGGTCTTGAACTCCTGGGCTCAAGCGATCCACTCCCCTCAGCCTTCCAAAGTGCTGGGATTATAGGTGAGAGCCACTGTGCCTGACCTAGTATGCAAAGTTTTTATGCATTTAACTTCTCTCAATCAGCCTCTCCTGGTCTATTTCCTAGGTGATTGACTTGGATTTCTAGGATGTCAATTCCTTAAAAGAAAGACAGTTTTCCACTTTCTTTGTTAATAAAATACACCAATATGTTCTCTTCCCTCTCCAAATTGTTTAGAACACTGAACACGGCCTCAGGGTGTTCAGAACCATGTAAAGCATGGTTCTACGGGGGCTAGGAGAAAACCTGGAGGAGTGAGCCTTCCTTCCCTGCCACTCAAGAAAGGGAGTGTGCGACCTGGGTCACTTTACAGTAACGTCAATTTCCTCCGTTCTTACATAAGACTGAGTGGGCAGCCAGTGTGGAGGCAAGCCACATCTCATAATAGTCATTTTAGTTCCTCATGAGAACCACACTACAAAAAACACAAAGCGCTGTCCTCACCGTTATCCCTCTGACAGCCTGGAAAATCCATGTCCAGCATCTAGACAATACCCACATGGGTCACACTTTAATGGCAACAATGTAGTTATTCTAGATCAGAGACTTGGAAGGGAATATGGCTTGAGACATATGAGTATGTCTCAAGGAACTGGTCCAGTTTTAGCATAAGATTTTCCAAAGCATTAAAAGCCCACCTGCATCCCAGGTCCACAGAATAAAGGTGTGAAGCTGCACTGCATTGAGCTTTGGGAGGGGCTCCACTGCACTGAGCTTTGGGAGGGTTTAGATAAGTGTGGGAGACACAGCAATGTTTAATTGCAGTGTTCAATTTCTGCAACTAAACACTCCATTTACATGAATTGTGTATTATAGGAGGAGTACTTGCAGAGTCATGACCAAAGATGGATGCAAGATTGAGAAGCAGGTAGGAAGTTTGACCTGGAACTAATTCCTGGATTGGAACATGGCGGACAAAGTTGCTGATCACTACCCAGGGGACAAGGCAAGATGCAATGGGTGCTGTTTATTTACAGAAAGGAGAAATTTTAATGGATTTTATACAAGCCAGGAACAAGCTCTGAGGCCAGGGTAGTTGAGGGTTCTGTCTAGGAAGGAGACATGCAGATGGCACCCAGCCACAGGATATACCCACCTCCTCTCCCAGCAACTTCCACTCACCTTATTCAGGCTTGAACCAGAAGGAAGCCAGGCATGGTGGCCAGTGTTTGAATCTTGCAGACTGTTGGCACTAGGTTCTGAGGACAATTGTGAGTCACCATAGTGACTATGACTTCACTTGGTGCTGAACCAATCAGGCCCTGGGACTCAAGGAAAGAGAGGGAGTGCCAAGCTGTTACTGTTTACCCTCTGGCCCAGATCTTTCTTCAGAAGAAACCTGAGTGGTCTCACAGGTAAAATATCCTGATATACCAAGATCATAGAGCATCCTTTTGTGCCATTAACTAACTAACCTACCTGATAAACCCCAACCCTGTTTGGTAATGGGGGGAGGTTATCAAAGAGTCATTTGTTCAAACTGATACAGAGACACTACAGAGCAGTGGGTAAAAGCAGAAGCTTCAGATACAGGCTTTCTCAGTTCCAATCTCACCTCTCTGTCACTTGGGCAAGTCTTTTAGTCTCTCTTGGGAGGTCAAAATAGAGAACACAGTGAGCATCCACCCCTAGCCTTGGCACTGTGCTAGATTCAAATGAAATGCAGAACTGGGTTTTTGGGGATGAGGCAGGGCCAGGCATCAGAGGTGAGTACAATCTTTAAGCCACTGTGATTACGTTCCCAGGATGGAAAATCAGCAGGATGGACCTTAGAAACAGAAACTCGGTAGTACTTGAGAATGTCCAGTTTATCTCTTACACAGGGGTTTGGAGTAAGATTCATACCTGCTTCACCAGTGATTTTCAAAGGAGGCAAATCCTATTTGAAGCTAAAGTCACATAAAGAGATTTGGAATGAGGAAACAAATTATAGCAGCCTGCAAGTTGTAGAATGAAGAAATGCAAATGTAAAGTACTGAACTTTGTCATGGATAGATTTACCAAAGAGAATTACTCTGCATAACATGAATAATGGAGTTCAGAAGGAAGCCCATATCCCAGGTACAGGGAAAACTCAGAGGTGAGAAGAGGCAGCTCTGAAAAAGAGCAACATAGAATTGAGTTAAAATTAGTGTGGATATAAGAATTACAATGACATTTGAGCTATGAGGTAGTGTTTTGAGTACAATCTAACAAGCCTGTGTGTGTCAGGTAATGATTAGAGGGATGCAATAGTGTGTCTTTAATGTCCCGGGTCCCATCAGGCTGCTGCACAGCCCCATGTGTAAGACAGATAGAAGAAACAATATGGTTGGTGCTTCAAATCAGATGATGACCCAAAGCAATCTCCTGTGACTACTGCTGGTAGCAGTGTGTGTGTGTATGGGGGTGTGTGTGTGTGTGTGTGTGTGTGTGTGGTTTTGTGCCAGTGAGGAAGAGGTTGCCGGGTACACTTGATTACCTAGAATACATCATCTTTTTCAGACTTCCTCGGTTGTGCTGTTTTACTGAGGTTGGGTGGAGTCAACACATCATGGATAAAGAAGTCCCTAAAGGCAGTCCCAGGGAGCCCGCACTGAACATCAAGAAGTCAGACAAATCCTTCAAACGCAAGAAGCCCACCGAAAATGTGCTGATCTTTTTAATCAACAGACAACTGGGCAGGCACAGAAGTGACATCGACCTGTCAAGATGGGTGTGGATGCTGTCATAAAGCAACTCTAGGGTGGACATGGCCTTGGACAAAAAGTCATGTGGCTTACGTGCTGAAGCCTGCCCATATTTTTGAGAAATTAAATATAATTAGAACAATAAACTCCTCCCATGTTTGAGTCATTAAAACAGAGTCTGTCATTTCACTCCTTGAGGTTGGATGTGTGTTTGCTGACAGGGTGTTCTTGGGTTACACTGGAAGGGGCTTCTGTTCATCCTAACACGCTGTGCAGGGGTGCTTAGACCCAGGGGAGAGGGTGAGATCATGCTGCACACCAGATCTCTCCCACCATCAATCTGAAAAACACTGCAAAGTCAAAGTGATGTAGTACTTGGCATTTAAGGACCAAAGACTCTTCTCCCTAGCCATTTTGAAGAGACTGCCCTGGTGTTCCCCTCTAAAACCCAATGCTTGTCCTAGTGAAAAGACATTGTTTAAGAGCAGACCAACAGTTGGCCTGGGGGTTTGGGATATGTTTTAATACTGCCAATGTCATATCCACAGAGCCTTCCAGAGGCAACCGCTCTGCCCTTTGTCCCCAGGAAAGTATAGAATGCTCTGGTCACTTTTTTGTGTCATGTCAAACAAACCTGCTCAGGCCACAGCCAAAGATAATTCATTTGACTGAAATGAAGCCACCTGGTAGGACAACAACACACATGAGATGGCTCCCATTGAAGAAGCTCTGTCCCCAAGGAATGTGCTGAGCAAGTCAGATACTCATTCTGAGAAACCTGAAATGGGAACTATGTGGGCAATTGGTCACTGACAAGTGAGAGTTAAAGCTGAAGAGGGGACAGGGAGAGCAAAGAGGTCAGAGCCGTGGCAAACATGGGCAAGCCTAAGTGAGGAGTAAGATGAAATTTACATAAGGTGAACCATTAAAGCCATCACAGATTCCAAGCATTTCTCTTGTCCTTTCACGTGAGCTGCAAAATAAGCCCCTGCAAGCAGTCCTCTGTCCCCTCTTCCCCTCCTCCCCAATTCCCTGTGTTCTCACAACCTGTCCAGCATTCCCCAAGGCCCCTTCCTGTGTCCCCTCCCCCGCCTACATCTAAGGGGCTGTTACTCTCTCTTCCCTTAGCCAGGTCTCTTCCAGATTTTTTATGTGGTACGAAGTTAAACTGCTCTATGTCCTTTTCACTGTCCTCTTTGTCCCTGTCACCTTCTCTGTCCCTGCACTGATGCAGCATCGCCAAAAAAGAGCCACCAGCCTCTCCTCAGAGGACGCAGCTGGCTGTAGGATGGAGAGGAGGGGTTAGAGGCTGCCAGGTAGAGGGGCCTCCTGGGTGCACCGTTGGGAGGAACGCTGCCTGGACACTGCTATGTCGGTGACTATTTACCTGCAGCCCAGCATCAAACAGTGGCTGTGAGGTGGAGAATAGGTGGGGAATGGAGGCTGAAAGGGCAGCAGGTAGGGCAAGAAGGAGCCAAACCCACAGGAGCAGAGGCCAATAACAGCCAACCTCCTACACTCCATGGCCACACAACAGAAGAGACAGAATTTAGGATACAGAGTTATGTGTGGATAAATCTCACCATCATACTGAGTGAGAAAACAAGTAGCACAGAATTATGTACCAAAGAGAAACCCAACTGTGCCAAGCAGTACTTGGGTATATACATAGACAGTAAAGTTATCCAAACTAGAGCAGCAGCACATTCAAGTGGAACTCTGTCCACTTTCCGACTTGACTAGTGCCCCAAAACAATTGGTACCAACTATTTCCCATCTTGCAAGGAGTTGCCTAACAATGGAGGCCTGGTAAAGAAGGTAATCACAATCATGTGACCTCTGACCACTCACTCACCTACAGGTGTCTACTCACACTGGAAGTCTGGGTGGGTTGGAGACCAGAGAGGCATGCTTCCCAGGGATTGGAGGCTGTGCCGAGTTTAAACGAGGAAAACTTCCTACACTTCAAATTCACTGGAAGGTTGGGGCTACTCAGTGTTCACCTAGAGAACTTGACTTTTGTTTCCAGAAGTGACACTCACAAGGAAGAAATTCAGGAGGAAAGTGGCTGTAGGAGAGGGAGAGAAGATTTGGCCAAAATTCCTCTGAAGAGATTTTTCTCAGGAGATCTTAGTGGCGGCCAAATGTAACCTTCTCGGGACGGGGAAGGGGGTGGGAATCTGGATGCAGCTGACTCACAGGAATCAGAGGCTGACTGGAGACCATGCACACAGTGTCAGGAGACACTCTCTTCTTCTACTCTTTCATTTCTAGCTGCTGCCTCTCATTGCTCAAATCACTAACCAGACAGCCAGGAAGCCAAGGTGATGTCTTCCATGGTATCAGCCTTCTGGAACACACAGCCCTGCAGAGAAGCATATATCTAGTTGGACAAACTGAGAAGAATCAAATCAATTCACCACTTTTTTCTACTTCCATTACTGTTCCACCACTGTTGCTTTAATCAGAGGAATAAAACCCTTGCCCAACACATGGTAGCATACACAGTGTTGTGAGCCATCTTATCATAACAGATGAGGTCAATTTGATTATAATACCATGTGGAACCTAAGTTGTAACTCTAATGGTTACAAGAAAGTTTCCTACACATTCACATTGACTGGGTGAAGGGAAAGTCACCTTGGCAGGGGATAGATGAAGATGGCAGAATAGAAACCTACACCACTCATCCCATCTCCCTTCACTGGAACACCAGATTTTAACGACTATCTGCACACAAAAAACACTGCCACAAGAACCAAGAATTAGGTGAGCAATCACATCACCTGGTTTTAACTTCATATCACTGAAAGAGGCATTGCACAGGGCAAGAGAGGTAGTCTGGAACCACCAATGCTACCCCTCCTCCATCCACCAGCGTGGAGAGTCTGTGCACTTTGGGGAGGGAGAGTGCAGCAAGTGGGGGACTTTACCTTGAACTCAATGCTGCCCTATCACAGCTGAAAACAAATCCATGCAGGGTGCAGCCAGTGCCCACACACAGGTGTGTGTGTGGGGGGGTGCATTTGGACCAGCCCTCGCCAGAAGAATCACCCTTCCCATCAGTTGAAACTTGAGCTTCTTCTCAAGCCTCGCCACTGTGGGCAAAAGCGCTCTAGAGTCCTGTGTAAACTTAAAAGGCAGTCTAGGACACAACGACTGCAGTTTCTAAGGAAATCCTAGTGCTGGACTGGGCTTACAACCAGTGAACTCAGGTGGCACGTGACCTAGGGAGACAGCAGCTGACATGACTAGCGGAGCCCTTGTGCCATCCCTCCTCCAACCCCTGGTAGTGCAGCTCATAGCAATTAAAACGTCCCCTTACTTCTGCTTAAGGAGAGGAGAGTGAATAAAGGTAGTCCTTTATAGCAGTATAAAAATGGACTAACACATTAAAGGGGACATTATGTTGCATCTTTGATACCAGCTGAATCACAGTAGAATAGGGCACTGGGCAGAGTTGTAAGGCTCCTTTTCCAGGCCCTAGCTCCTGGGCGACATTTCTAGATGCACACTAGGCCAGAAGGGAGCCCATTGCCTTGAAGGAAAGGACCCAGTCCTGGCAGGACCTATCACCTGCTGACTAAAGAGCCCTTGGGCACTGAATAACACCCAGCGAGATGCAGGGAGTAAGCCATGGGCCTTGGGCTCTGAGGCGTGCTGACTTCAGGGATGACCCAGCGTCCTCCCAGCTATGGTGAAGGACTCCTTCCATTTGAAACAAGAACAGAGAAAAGTAAAGGGGACTTTGTATTAGACCCTAAGTACCAGCTCAGCCAGTGCAGTAGAGCAAGAAGCAGGCTGTTGGGGTCCTCGAGTCCAGGCCTCAGCTCTTAGCATTTCTGGACCCGCCCTGGGCCATACGGGAGCCCACTGCCCTGCAGAGTGAGCCCCAGGCCTGGTAGCATTCACTACAAGCTGATGGAAGAGCCCTTGGGCTTTAAGTGAACATCAGTGATGGCCTGACAGAACTCCCCATGGACCAGTGGTGATGGTGGCCACAGGGAGAGACTCCTATACTTTTGCAAAGGGGAGGGAAGAGTGGGAAAACTGTATCGTAGTTGGAGCGCCAGCTTAGCTGCAGTCGAACAAAACAAAAGGTAAATTGCGAAGGTATTTTACTCTAATCCCTGGCTCCCAGACTGCATCTCTGGACATACCCAGAACCTGGGGGAACTCCCTGCCTTGAAGGGAATGACCTTGGGCAAGGCCCACTGCTGTGATGGCTTCACGTCAGGCCCAGTACAGTCCCAGTGGTGGTAGCCACAGAGGACTTGCATCACCACAAGCCAGTGCCAGGTGTTCAGCACAGAGCACCATACTCCATTTGCATGGCATCTGTTTCTGGAGGAGGGGAGGTCTCCGCATGGCAATCCAAGGAATTCTTAGAGATCTTTTATTATTATTATTATCATCATTATTATTATACTTTAAATTCTAGAATATATGTGCACAACATGCTGGTTTTATACATGTGCCATGCTGGTTTGCTGCACCCATCAACTCATCATTCACATTAGGTATTTCTCCTAACGCTATTCCTCCCGGAGCCCCCCCACCACCCAACAGGCCCTGGTGTGTGATGTTCCCTGCCCTGTGTCCAAGTGATCTCATTGTTCAATTACCACCTATGAGTGAGAACATGCAGTGTTTGGTTTTCTGTCCTTGTGATACTTTGCTGAGAATGATGGTTTCCAGCTTCATCCATGTCCCTACAAAGGACATGAACTCATCATTTTTTATGAATGCATAGTATTCCATGGTGTATAATCCAGTCTATCATTGATGGACATTTGGACTGGTTCCAAGTCTTTGCTATTGTGAATAGTGCTGCAATAAACATACGTGTGCATGTGTCTTTATAGTAGCATGATTTATAATCCTTTGGGTATATACCCAGTAATGTGATTACTGGGTCAAATGGTAATTCTAGTTCTAGATCCTTGAGGAATCGCCACACTGTCTCCCACAATGGTTGAACCAATTTACACTCCCATCAACGTGTAAAAGTGTTCCTATTTCTCCACATCCTCTACAGCATCTGTTGTTTCCTGACTTTTTAACGATTGCCATTCTAACTGGTGTGAGATGGTATCTCATGGTGGTTTTGATTTGCATTTCTCTGATGACCAATGATGAGGAGCTTTTTTTCATGTCCCTGTTGGCTGCATAGATGTCTTCTTTTGAGAAGTGTCTATTCATATCCTTTGCCCACGTTTTGATGGGGTTGTTTGTTTTTTTCTTGCAAATTTCTTTGAGTTCTTTGTAGATTCTGGATATTAGCCCTTTGTCAGATGAGTAGATTGCAAAAATTTTCTCCCATTCTGTAGGTTGCCTGTTCACTCTGATGGTAGTTTCTTTGCTGCACAGAAGCTCTTTAGTTTAATTAAATCCCATTTGTATATTTTGGCTTTTGTTGCCATTGCTTTCGATGTTTTAGTCATGAAGTCCTTGCCCATGCCTATGTCCTGAATGGTATTGCCTAGGTTTCCTTCAAGGGTTTTTACGGTTTTAGGTCTAATATTTAAGTCTTTAACCCATCTTGAATTAATTTTTGTATAAGGTGTAAGGAAGGGATCCAGTTTCAGCTTTCTACATATGGCTAGCCAGTTTTCCCAGCACCATTTATTAAATAGGGAATCCTTTCCCCATTTCTTGTTTTTGTCAGGTTTGTCAAAGATCAGATGGTTGTAAATGTGTGGCGTTATTTCTGAGGGCTCTGTTCTGTTCCATTGGTCTATATCTCTGTTTTGGTACCAGTACCATGCTGTTTTGGGTACTGTAGCCCTGTAGTACACTTTGAAGTCAGGTAGTGTGATGCCTCCAGCTTTGCTCTCTTGGCTTAGGATTGTCTTGGCAATGCAGGCTCTTTTTTGCTTCCATATGAACTTTAAAGTAATTTTTTCCAATTCTGTGAAGAAAGTCATTGGTAGCTTGATGGGGATGGCATTGAATCTATAAATTACTTTGGGCAGTATGACCATTTTCACGATATTGATTCTTCCTATCCATGAGCATGGAATGTTCTTCCATTTGTTTGTGTCCTCTTTTATTTCCTTCACCAGTGGTTTCTAGTTCTCCTTGAAGAGGTCCTTCACATCCCTTGTAAGTTGTATTCCTAGGCATTTTATTCTCTTTGTAGCAATTGTGAATGGGGGTTCATTCATGATTTGGCTCTCTGTTTGTCTTAATGGTGTATAGGAATGCTTGTGAGTTTTGCACATTGATTTTGTATCCTAAGATTTTGCTGAAGTTGCTTATCAGCTTAAGGAGATTTTGGACTGAGACGATGGGGTTTTCTAAATATACAATCATGTCATCTGCAAACAGGGACAATTTGACTTCCTCATTTCCTAATTGAATACCCTTTATTTCCTTCTCTTGCCTGATTGTCCTGGCCAGAACTTCCAACGCTATGTTGAATAGGAGTGGTGAGAAAGGGCATACTTGTCTTGTGCCGGTTTTCAAAGGGAATGCTTCCAGTTTTTGTCCATTCAGTATGATATTGGCTGTGGGTTTGTCATAAATAGCTCTTATTATTTTGAGATACGTTCCATCAGTACCTAGTTTATTGAGAGTTTTTAGCATGAAGGGCTGTTGAATTTTGTCAAAGGCCTTTTCTGCATCTCTTGAGATAATCATGTGCTTTTTGTTGTTGGTTCAGTTTATGTGATGAATTACATTTATTGATTTGCATATGTTGAACCAGCCTTGCATCCCAGGGATGAAGCCCACTTGATCATGACAGAGAAGCTTCTTGATGTGCTGCTGGATTCAGTTTGCTAGTATTTTATTGAGGATTTTCGCATAGATGTTCATCAGGGATATTGGTCTAAAATTTTCTTTTTTTGTTGTGTCTCTGCCAGGCTTTGGTATCAGGGTGATGTTGGCCTCATAAAATGAGTTAGGGAGGATTTCCTCTTTTTCTATTGATTGGAATAGTTTCAGAAGGAATGGTACCAGCTCCTCTTTGTACCTCTGGTAGAATTCGGCTGTGAATCCGTCTGGTCCTGGCCTTTTTTTGGTTGGTAGGCTATTAATTATTGTCTCAATTTCAGAGCCTGTTATTGGTCTATTCAGAGACTCAACTTCTTCCTGGTTTGGTCTTGGGAGGGTGTATGTGTCCAGGAATTCATCCATTTCTTCTAGATTTTCTAGTTTATTTGCATAGAGCTGTTTATAATATTCTCTGATAGTAGTTTGTATTTCTGTGGGATCGGTGGTGATATCCCCTTTATCATTATATTTTATTGTGTATATTTGATTCTTCTCTCTTTTCTTCTTTATTAGTCTTGCTAGCGGTCTATCAATTTTGTCAATCTTTTCAAAAAACCAGCTCCTGGATTCATTGATTTTTTTGAAGGGTTTTTTGTGTCTCTATCTCCTTCAGTTCTGCTCTGATCTTAGTTATTTCTTGCCTTCTGCTAGCATTTGAATTTGTTTGCTGTTGCTTCTCTAGTTCTTTTAATTGTGATGTTAGGGTGTCGATTTTATCTTTCCTGCTTTCTCCTGTGGGCATTTAGTGCTATAAATTTCCCTCTACACACTGCTTTAAATGTGTCTCACAGATTCTGGTATGTTGTGTCTTTGTTCTCATTGGTTTCAAAGAACATCTTTATTTCCGCCTTCACTTCGTTATTTACCCAGTAGTCATTCAGGAGCAAGTTGTTCAGTTTCCATGTAGTTGTGTGGTTTTGAGTCAGTTTCTGAATTCTGAGTTCTAATTTGATTGCACTGTGGTCTGAGAGACAGTTTGTTGTGATTTCTGTTCTTTTACATTTGCTGAGCAGTGCTTTACTTCCACCTATGTGGTCAATTTTAGAGTAAGTGTGATGTGGTGCTGAGAAGAATGTATATTCTGTTGATTTAGGGTGGAGAGTTCTGTAGATGGCTATCAGGTTTGCTTGTTGCAGAGCTGAGTTCAGGTCCTGGATATCCTTGTTAACCTTCTGTCTTGTTGATCTGTCTAATATTGACAGTGGGGTGTTAAAGTGTCCCATTATTATTGTGTGGGAGCTAAGTCTCTTTGCAGGTCTCTAAGGACTTGCTTTATGAATCTGGGTGCTCCTGTATTGGGTTCATACATATTTAGGATAGTTAGCTCTTCTTGTTGAATTGATCCCTTTACCATTATGTAATGGCCTTCTTTGTCTCTTTTGATCTTTGTTGGTTTAAAGTCTGTTTTATCAGAGAGTAGGGTTGCAACCCCTGCTTTTTTTTGTTTTCCATTTGCTTGGTAGATCTTTCTCCATCCCTTTATTTTGAGCCTATGTGCGTCTCTGCACGTGAGATGGGTCTGCTGAATACAGCACACTGATGGGTCTTGACTCTTTATCCAATTTGCCAGTCTGTGTCTTTTAATTGGGGCATTTAGCTTATTTACCTTTAAGGTTAATATTGTTAAGTGTGAATTTGATCCTGTCACTATGATGTTCGCTGGTTATTTTGCCCGTTAATTGATGCAGTTTCTTCATAGCATCGATGGTCTTTACAATTTGGCATGTTTTTGCAGTGACTGGTACTGGTTGTTTTCATGTATAGTGCTTCCTTCAGGAGCTCTTGTAAGGCAGGCCTGGTGGTGACAAAATCTCTCAGTATTTGCTTGTCTGTAAAGGATTTTATTTCTCCTTCACTTATGAAGCTTAGTTTGGCTGGATATGAAATTCTGGATTGAAAATTCTTTTCTTTAGGAATGTTAAATGTTGGCCTCCACTCTCTTCTGGCTTGTAGGGTTTCTTCCGAGAGATCCACTGTTAGTCTGATGGGCTTCCCTTTGTGGGCAACCCGACCTTTCTCTCTGGCTGCCCTTAACACTTTTTCCTTCATTTCAACCTTGGTTAATCTGACAATTATGTGTCTTGGGGTTGCTCTTCTCCTGGAGTATCTTTGTGGTGTTCTCTGTATTTCCTGAATTTGAATGTTGGCCTGCCTTGCTGGGTTGAGGAAGTTCTCCTTGATAATATCCTGAAGAGTGTTTTCCAACTTGATTCCATTCTCCCCATCACTTTCAGGTACACCTATCAAACGTAGATTTGGTCTTTTCACATAGTCCCATATTTCTTGGAGGCTTTGTTTGTTTCTTTTTACTTTTTTTTCTCTAACCTTGTCTTCTTGCTTTGTTTCATTAATTTCTTTTTCAATCACTGATACCCTTTCTTCCACTTGATCGAATTGGTATTGAAGCTTGTGCATAAATCACGAAGTTCTCATGCCATGGTTTTCAGCTCCATCAGGTCATTTAAGGTCTTCTCTACACTGTTTATTCTAGTTAGCCATTCGTCTAATCTTTTTTCAAGGTTTTTAGCTTCCTTGCGATGGACTCAAACATCCTCCTTTAGCTTGGAGAAGTTTGTTATTACTGACCTTCCCAAGCCTACCTTTGTCAACTCATCAAATCATTCTCCATCCAGCTTTGTTCTGTTGTTGGCGAGGAGCTGCCATCCTTTGGAGGAGAAGAGGTGCTCTGAGTTTTAGAATTTTCAACTTTTCTGCTCTGCTTTCTCCCCATCTTTGTGGTTTTATCTACATTTGGTCTTTGATGTTGGTGACCTACAGATGGGATTTTGGTGTAGATGACCTTTTTGTTAATGTTGTTGCTTTTCCTTTCTGTTTGTTAGTTTTCCTTCTAACAGTCAGGCCCCTCAGCTGCAGGTCTGTTGGAGTTTGCTGGAGTTCCACTCCAGACCCTGTTTGCCTGGGTATCACCAGCGGAGGCTGAAGAACAGCAAATATTTCAGAACAGCAAATATTGCTGCCTGATCCTTCCTTTGGAAGCTTCATCCCAGAGGGGTAGACGCCTACACGAGGTGTCTGTCGGCCCCTACTGGGAGGTGTCTCCCAGTTGGGCTACACAGGGGTCAGCAACCCACTTGAGGACATAGTCTGTCCATTCTCAGAGCTCAAACACTGTGCTGGGAGAACCACTGCTCTCCTCAGAGCTGTCAGACAAGGATGTTTAAGTCTGCAGAAGTTGTCTGCTGCCTTTTGTTCAGCTAAGCCCTACCCACAGAGGTGGAGTCTAGAGGTAGTAGGCCTTGTTGAGCTGCAGTGGGCTCGTCCCAGTTTGAGCTGCCCCTGCCACTTTGTTTACCTACTCAAGCCTCAGCAATGGCGGACGCCCCTCCCCTAGCCAGGTTGCTGTTTCGCAGATCGAACTCAGACTGCTGGGCTAGCAGTAAGCAAGGCTCCGTGGGTGTGGGACCCGCCAAGCCAGGCACAGGAGAGAATCACCTTGTCTGCCAGTTGCTAAGACCTTGGGAAAAGTACAGTATTTGGGCAGGGAGTGTCCCGTTTTTCCAGATAGTCTGTCACAGCTTCCCTTGGCTAGGAAAAGGAAATCCCCTGACCCCTTGTGCTTCCTGGGTGAGGCGACACCCCGCCCTGCTTCAGCTCGCCCTCTGTGGGCTGCACCCACTGTCCAACCAGTCCCAGTGAGATGAAACAGGTACCTCAGTTGGAAATGTAGAAATCACGCATCTTCTGAGTCGATCACGCTGGGAGCTGCAGACCGAAGCTGTTCCTATTTGGCCATCTTGGAACGCCCCCTCAGAGATCTTATCTAAGACCACCAAGGTGGTGCCTCTATGAGTCTTCATCCCTTCAAATTCCTTAGAATGGTGTGTTAGTTCATTTTCACACTGCTATAAAGAGCTACCTGAGACTGGGCAATTTATGAAGAAAAGAGGATTAATTGACTCACAGTTCTTCAGGCTTAACTGGAAACGTGACTTGGAGGCCTCAGGAAACTTACACTCATAGCAGAAGGGGAAGCAAGCACATGGTGGAGCAGGAGAGACAGACAGCAAAGGAGGGAGTGCCACACATTTTTAAACCATCAGATCTCATGAGAACTCACTATCACGAGAAGAGCAGGGGCAAAATCCGCCCCCATGATCCAATCACCTCCCACAAGGCCCCTCCTTTAACATGTGGCTATTACAATTCAACATGACGTGTGGGTGCGGCCACAGAGCCAAACCATAATAAATGCCTTCCCCAGAAGGACAAGCACAAACAAGCCCAGTCTGCATAGACTACAATGAATACCTAACTTTGCAATGCCTAGACACAGATGAACATCTACAAGCATCAACACCATCCAGAAAAACAAGACCTAAACAAATGAACTAAATAAGGCAGCAGGGACCAATTCATGAGAAACAGAGATATGTGGCATTTCAGACAAAGAATTAAACATTAGCTGTTTTGAGAAAAATAAATTCAAAATAACACAGAGAAGGAATTCAGAATTCTAGCAGATAAATTTCACAAAAGATTGAAATAATTAAAAAAGAATGAAGCAGAAATTCTAGAGTTGAAAAATGCAAATGACATCATGAAGAATGCATCAGTCTCTTAATAGCAGAATTTATCAAGCAGAAGAAATAATTAGTGAATCTGAAGACAGGATGTTTGAAAATACATAATCAGAGGAGACAAAAGAAAAAATAATAAAAAACAGTGAAGAATGCCTACAGGATCTAGAAAATAGCCTCAAAAGAACAAATCTAAGAGTTATTGGCCTTAGGCCGGGAGCAGTGTCTCACGCCTGTAATCCCAGCACTTTGGGAGGCCAAGGCGGGCAGATCACGGGGTCAGAAGTTCGAGACCAGCCTGGCCAAAATGGTGAAACCCCATCTCTACTAAAAATACAAAAATTAGCCAGGTGTGGTGGCATGTGCCTGTAATCCTAGCTACTCGGGAGGCTGAGGCAGAGGAATCGCTTGAACCCGGGAGGCAGAGGTTGCAGTGAGCTGAGTTCACGCCATTACACTCTAGCCTGGGCAACAAGAGTGAAACTCTGTCTCAAAAAAAAAAAAAAAGAGTTATTGGCCTTAAAGAGGATGTAGAAAGAGAGACAGGGGTAGAAAGTTCATTCAAAGGGGTAATATCAGAGAATTTCTCAAAGGTAGAGAAGAATGTCAACATCCAAGTACAAGAAGGCTATAGAACACCAAGCAGGTTTAACCTAAAGAAGACTACCTCAAAGCATTTAATAATCAAGCTCTCAGAGGTCAAATATAAAGAAGGGATCCTATACACAGCAAGAGAAAAGAAACAAATAACGTACAATGGAGTGCCAATACATCTGGAAGCAGACTTTTCGATGGAAACCTTATAGGCCAGGAGACAGTGGCATGACATATTTAAAGTGGTAAAGGAAATAAAGTTTTACCCTAGAATAAAAGCACATAGGCAAAACTGTCCTTTAAGCATGAAGAAGAAATAAAGACCTTCCCAGACAAACAAAAGCTGAGAGACTTCATAAACACCAGGCCTCTACTACAGGAAATACTAAACAGAGTTCTTCAATCTGAAAGAAAATGATGGTAATGAGCAAGAAGAAAACATCAGCAGGTACAAAACTCACTGGTATTAGTAAGCTCACAGAAAAACATAGACTACTATAGCACCGTAATTGTGTTATGTAAACTACAGTTGACATAAGTAGAAAGACTAAATGATGAATGAAAGAAAATAATAACTGCAACAACTTTTCAAGACAGGGACAGTAGAATAAGACATAACAAGAAACAATAAAAACTTAAAAAGCAGAGGGATGAAGTTAAAGTGTTGAATTATTATTAGTTTTCTTTTTGCATGCTTGCTTGTTTATGCAATCAGTATTAAGTTCTCATCAGTTCAAAATAATGGGTTATAAGATAGTATTTTTGAGCCTCATGGTAACCTCAAATCAAAAAACATATAACACATACACAAAAATAAAATGCAAGAAATTAAAACATACACCAGAGAAAATCACCTTCACTAAGAGGAAGACAGGAAGGAAAGAAAGAAGGAAGAGAAGACCACAAAACAACCAGAAAACAAATAACAAAATTGCAGAAGTAAGTTCCTATTTATCAATAATAACAATGAATGTAAATTGGCTAAACTCTTCAATCAAAAGACATAGAGTAGCTGAATGAATGAAAAAACAAGACCCAATCATCTGTTGCCTGCAAGAAACATACTTCACTCATAAATATACACACAGACTGAAAATAAAAAGATGTAAAAAGATATTCCACGCCAGTTGAAGCCCAAAAAGAACAAGAGTAGCCACACTTGTATTGGACAAAAGAGGTTTCAGGGAAAACCCTATAAAAAGAGACAAGGAAGGTCCTTATGTAATGATAAAGGGGTCAATTCAGCAAGAGCATATAAGGATTGTAAATATATATGCATCCAACACTGGAGCACCCAGATATGTAAGGCAAATATTATTAGAGATAAAGAAATATATAGACCCCAATACAATTATAGCTGGAGACTTCAACATCCCAACTTCAGCATTAGACAGATCTCCCAGACTGAAAATCAACAAAGAAACATCAAAGTTAATCTGCACTATAGAACAAATGGACTTAATAGATATTTACAGAACATTTCATCCAATGGCTGCAGAATACAATCTTTTCCTCGACACATGGATCATTCTCAAGGGTAGGTCACAAAACAAGTCTTAAAACAATCATAAACATTGAAAAAATATCAAGCATCTTTTCTGACCACAATGGAATAAAACTAGAAATCAACAAGAAGATGAATTTTTGAAATTATACCAACACATGGAAATTAAACAGCATACCCATGAATGACCAGTGGGTCAATGAAAGAATAAAGAAGGAAATTGAAAAATTTCTTGAAAAAATGATAATGGAAGCCCAACATACCAAAACATATGGGATATAGCAAAATCAGTACCAAGAGGGAAGTTTATAGCTATAAGTGCCTATATCAAAAAAGAAGAAAAACTTCAAATAAGTAACCTAATGATGCATCTTAAAGAACTAGAAAAGCAAGAGCAAACTGAACCCAAAATTATAATAACAGAAATAATAAAAAGCAGAGCATAAATAAACGAATGTGAAAAATGAAGAAAACAATACAAAAGACCAATGAAACAAAAGCTCAGTTTTTTTAAAAGATAAACAAAATTGGCAAACCTTTAGCCAGACTGGCTAAGAAAAAAATGGAGAAGACCCAAATAAATAAAATCAGAGATGAAAAGGGAGAGATTACAACTGATACCACAGAAATTCAAAAAATCATTAATGGCTACTATGAACAACTATTTGCCAATACATTGAAAAATCTAGAAGAAATGAATAAACTGCTAGACATATCCAACCTACAAAGATTAAACAAGGAAGAAATCCAAAACCTGAGCAGATCAACAACAAGTAAGGAGCAAAAAGCTGTCAGGAAAAGTGTCCCAGCAAAGAAAAATCCAGGACACAATATTCCAGTGCTGAATTCTATCAAACATTTAAAGAAGAATTAATATCTCTTCTACTCAAAACTGTTCTGAAAAGTAGTGAAGGGAACACATCCAAACTCATTCTGCAAGACCAGTATTACCCTGATACCAAAACTAGACAAAGATACACCAAAAAAAAAAAAAACCTACAGACCAATATATCTGATGAGTATTAATGCAGAAATCCTCATCCAAATACCAGCAATCAGAATTCAACAATACATTAAAAAGATCACTCATCATGAACAAGTGGGATTTATCCCAGGGATTCAAGGATGATTCAACATATACAAATCAATCAACGTGATACATCACATCAACAGAATGAAGGACAAAAACATATGATCCTTTTGATTGATGTTAAAAGTGCATTTCATAAAGTCCATATTTCTTCATGGTAAAAATCCTCAAAAGCTGGATATAGAAGGAACATACTTCAGCATAATAAAAGCCATGTAGGACAAACCCACATCTAGTATGCTGAATGGGGAAAAATTGAAAGCCTTTCCTCTAAAATCTGAAACATGGCAAGGATGCCCAATGTCACCACTGTTATTCAACATAATAATGAAAGTCTTACCTAGGGCAGTCAGACAAGAGAAAGAAATAAAGGGCATTAAAATTGCAAGGGAAGAAGTCAAATCATACTTGTTTGCAGATAATATGATCTTATATTTGGAAAAAACTAAAAACTCCACCAAATAAGTATTAGGACTGATAAATTTATGAAAGTTGCACATTACAAAATCAATATACAAAAATCAGTAGCCTTTCTATATGCCAACAGTGAACAATATGAAGAAGTCAATAATTAGTCCCATTTACAATACTCAGAAATAAAATTAAATACCTAAGAATTAACCAAATAAGTGAAGCATGTCTATTATGAAAAGTATAACACAGTGATGAAAGCAATTGAAGACAACACAAAATAATAGAAAGATATTCCATGTTCATGGATTGGAAGAATAATATCATTAAAATGTCCATACTACCCAAGGCAGCCTACAGATTCAATGCAATCCCTATTAAAACACCAATGACATTCTTCACAAAAATAGAAAAAAAAAATCCTAAAATGTTTATGGAACCACAAAAGACCCAGAAGAGCCAAAGCTGTCCTGAGCAAAAAGAAGAAAACTACAGGAATCACATTACCTGACTTCAGATTATAATACAGAGCTATAGGAATCAAAACAGCATGGTACCGGCATAAACACAGACACATAGACCAATGTAACAGAACAGGGAACACAGAAGAAAATCCACAACACCTACAGTGAGCTCATTTTTGACAAAGGTGCCAAGAACATACACTGGGGAAAAGACAGTCTGTTCAATAAATGGTGCTCGGAAACCTGGATATCCATAAACTGAAGAATGAAACTAGACCCCCTATCTCTCACCATATACAAAAGTAAAATAAAAATGAATTAAAGACTTAAACTTAAGACCTCAAACTTGAAACTACAAACAAGAAAACATTGGGGGAAATCTCCAGGACGTTGGTCTGGGCAAAAATGTCTTGAGTAACAACCCACAAGCACAGACAACCAAAGCAAAAATGGACAAATGGGATCATATCAAGTGAAAAACCTTCTGCACAGCAAAAGAAACAACCAACAAAGGGAAGAGACAACTCACAGAGTAGGACAAAATTTTTGCAAAGTGCCCATCTGGCAAAGGATGAATTAACCAGAACATATAAGGAGCACAAAAATCTCTACAGGAAAAAATCAAATAATCCAGTTAAAAATGGACAAAAGATCTGAATAGACATTTCTTAAAACATACAAATGACAAAGAGACATATGAAAAGGTCCTCAACATCATTGATCATCAGAGAAATACCAATCAAAACTACATTTGGATATCATCTCACCACAGCTAACGTGTTATTTTTCCAGAAGTGAGGCAATAACAAATGCTGGTGAAGATCTGGAGAAGAGGGAACACTTCTACATCTTTGGTGGTAATATAAATTACTACAACTGCCATAGAACACAGTTTGAAGGATACTCAAAATACTAAAAATAGAGCTACCACAGGATCCAACAATTCCACTGCTGAGTATATACAGCAAATAAAATTAGTATATCAAAGAGATATCGGCACTCCCATGTTTATTGCCGCACTGGTCACAATAACTAAGATTTGGAAGCAACCTAAGTGTCCATCAACAGAAGAATGGATAAAGAAAATGTGGTACATAAACACAATGGATTACTATTCAGTCATAAAAAGAATGAGATTCTTTCATTTGCAACAACCTGGATAAAAGCGGAGGTCATTATGTTAAGCAAAGTAAGCCAGGCACAAAAAGATGAACATCACATGTTCTCATTTATGTATATGGTCTAAAAATCAAAACAATTGAACTCATGGATATAGAGAATAGAAGGATGGTTGCCAGAGGCTAGGAAATACAGTGAGGGAGCAGTGAGGGAGGTGGGGATGGTTAATGGGTACAAAAAAAAATAGAAAGCTAAATAAGACCTAGTATTTGATAGCACAACAGGGGGATCATAGTTGATAATAATTTAATTGTACATTTTAAAATAACTAAAATAGTATAACTGGATTGTTTATAACACAAAGAATAAATTCTTGAGGAGATGGATACCCAATTGTTCATGATGTAATTATTATACATTGCAGGCCTCTACCAAAATATCTCATATATATATATATATATATATATATATATATATATATATACACATATTTATACATACCTATATACATATATATTATGTACCCACAAAAATTAAAAATAAAAATAAAAAATATTTATCTTACCTCCCTCCCTGTAAAACCATTTCCTTATACTCTGCCAGCACCTGGAAATGTTGGTGGATGTGTACCCGGTGAAATAACCTAAGAATTTGTTGCTGAAAGATAGGAATCCTTGGAAGTGATACCATTATGGAATTGCATCAGTTTTTCATGGAATATTACAGCTGGACATGGGAGTGCTAGGTGGTGCCATACTAAATCCCTTTGGGTCCAGAACTAGTTCTCTTCCCCACATTAGGAAGCAACAAGCCAAACTCCCCATGGTCATCTGGATCCCTCACCCATTCAGGACAGTGACCCCTTCTCAACTCCCACTCTTGTTACCCAAAGACCTGAAAATGGGCAGGGGACAAGGAGTCAGTGTCGGTTTCCAAGATAATGGAACCGTGAATATGTTCCATGGGAGAGGCATCTTGCCTCGAATATTTTAACCTCCAAACCATCCAATTCCTATTTTGGGGAGAAGGAAAAGAGAAAATCTGTGAATCATTTTTTGGATATAAGAGTGGGAGAGGTCACTCTCTATCCCATCCTGGCTTTGCAGAATGGCTCCATAGGTTGCTTGTGAGTACAGAACTTGAGTTATATCCTATAGAACAGCCCTTCAACCTTGCAGGCTTCTGTTTCCTCTATAATGCTACAACTGAGTTTTCACCAGGCCGCTCTAGCACTGTATGAGGCCAGGTGTTTCTGGGTCATGGTAAGACTGGTAGATTTCACAGACCTGAGCTCATGTACCATCTTCAGTTGCCATAAAAAGAGTTACTGGACAAAGTAATGTTTTGAAGAAACAACGGTATTAGGGAGCTTGTTTGTAAGTCCAAGAATTGTGGCTCTCATAGCATGACTAATATGGATGAAGGCAAATCTATGTCGTGAATATATGTGTACTCTTTTGTGGGAAATTTAAAAAGCCATTCATGATGAATGCATGCTAGACACATAATGGGTGTTTGATAAATATTAAGGAGGTATTAAAATAGTGCCTCTCATTTGCAGATTTCTAGAAATGAATGAAAGTAAGCCAATGCCCTCTCTTCCTAGTCTCCTGAACCAGAAGTGACTTCTATTAATGTCTTGCAAAGCCAGTGACTCTGCAAAGATGAATGCTGGATATAATGATCTCAGCATTCTTTCACGAAAGACAAAATGGGAGTCACAGCATGTTCTGGTCACCTCCTATTCACCCCATTGTTGAAGGAAGGATTCCATACTCTAAATAACTCCAGATGGCTGAACACATATTACCCATCACTGAAGAGATCAGATTGGCAGCAGTTTGTTGGTCTCATATACTCACCACCCTGGGAGGAGGACATAGCACAACACAGAAGACCACAACTGGGTTGCACTTAGGAGCAAAGTGAACCAGTAAGTCCTATGGGAGGTACACTTTTTACTCACATGGTGATGGCATGCCTACCTTCTTGTTCCTATGGAAAGACATGATTGTTTTTTGTTGTTGTTTTGTTTTTAATCGCTTCAGTCTGGCAGAGAACTGAATCTCATTTGGTTGAGGACCAGAGAAAGTGCAGCTGATCTGGCTGACATGGGAACAAGCTGAATGGCTGCATTGCTTATTACCACCACATCCAGAATGTTGTATAAAACTAAATCTGTACTTATGGCATCTGCATATCTCTTAAGAATTTCTCCTTTGCCCTCTTTCTCTTCTTACCAGCATGTAACTAGCCACATTCTGACCTGCTAACTGCATAGTGAGTGATTACTGGGTGTCTTAAGGGGCATTACTTCCTGCATAGGTATTACCCCTCTTCTCTGCTCATATCTAGCATGTCGGTTTCTGCTGGTCTCTGGGGTGTGAGATTTTCCAGATCTCCTTTTTATCTCAGGGTCTCCCCCTCCTGCTCATATCCAGCTATCTGCCTACTCTAACAGAGTCAGTAGAGGAGTTTCAAGGACAAGAATATTTAGCTTTCATAATTTCAACTGTATGCAACCATGTTTTTAGTGGGGGAAAACACTGTGTGTCGAAGTCATTTGAGTTTTATTAGTTGTGTTCTCATTACTTTCAAATATACAAAGCAGAGACTGAACAGTAACCCAGAACAGCATTTTAGGCTTATCTCAGTTGCGGGATGAAAATGCCTCAAGTGTAAATTAGATTTACTTAAAAATTAAAAGTGCAGAACACAATAAATTTGGGGAAAGAACTGCAGGTAAAGGTAGTAAAAGCACTAGAGAAGTGAGGCAGGAGAATAGAGTCTGGAGGAAGAGAACATAAGGCCAATTCACGCTGACTTCCTAGAACTACATCAAATGGAAACACTTCAGCTATGACAGGAAATATCCTCTCCATTTACATAGGGCGTACACCTAGTAAATGACTTTGTAACTTTACTTTATTCTCTTCATTTATGTAGGGTGTATACCAAGTAACCAATGGGAACCTCTAGAAGGTATTTAAACCCCAGAAAATGTTGTAATCTGGCTCTTGAGCCCCTATCCTCAGGCCCACTCCCACCCTGTGGAGTGTACTTTCATTTTCAATACATCTCTGCTTTTGATGCTTCATTCTTTCCTTGGTTTGTTTGTGTGTTCCGTCCAATTCTTCATTCAAGATGCCAAGAACCTGGACACCCTCCATTATAACATACTTTGGTGAGCCAGCCAGGAGGTAAGCCTAAAGTTTGGGATTTATTTTTCACCTTTTCCTTTCTGCTCCATACAGGGGAATATCTCCCTCTCTCTCTCTTTTCCTTTCCAACTCAGGACTCTTGATGGGCAGCGCCTAAACATGGAGGCAACTGCCGGGTTCTGGCTGGGGCCACTCTGAAGGAGTCTTTTCTATCTTTTTTGGTTGTGGTCTCTGATCCCTAATTGTGGAACAGCTCAGGGCAAACTCGCAGCTCAGGGCGAACTCACACATGTTTCAGGTAACCTAAACCTTCTTTTCTTATGCTAAATTCTTCCCTAATCCTACTTAACTGACTTAGGACAAAAGAAGCCCACCGAGCCTCCAGTTCCTATTATTACAGTTCATGGTTATCACTCTAGTGGAACAGAAAGCATGGGAAAGCATGGCCTTATCAAATCATAAGGATGCTAAAAGTCAGGGATTACACACAGGAACCAAAGGAAAGCTAATAGTAGGCCATTGCCTCTGGAGGGAAGACATGCAAAGCAGCACCAGTGCCCACCTAAGGTCAAAGAAGTCTGACACTCTAAGAGTGGACCCCAAAAAAGGAATGCCCCAGGGGATCTTCTGGACCTCAACCTCTCCAAGAGGGATCCCCTGGGCAAAGGCTCTGGGGCATAATACTAAGCCCTCCTTAGAATTTTCTCTTGCAGTTGCAATACTGTTTGGCCCCCATACTGTTTGGAATCTGGAGTTTGCTGTTGAATGGGAAAATGGAATGGAATTGCATGTATCCAGGCTTTGGTGCTGCTCTTCTAAACAGGGTCAGGCCTAATTAGTATGTGATGTTCTCCTTTGGTGCTGTTTGGTGCCAGTGTTCTTTGGAGTCTGAAGAAGGTTGGCCTTTAAAAATCAAACTGCCATGGAAACTGCTTTACCCAAAATTTTGGTTCACAGCCTTCATTGGATTACCTATTGAGGCAAACAAAGTAAAACCAGTGAGCTTGTATTGCTATCTCGTGGCTAGGGTTCCAAGGTAAAAGCTATTGAATCTTTCTTTGTGTGTGTATATGCATGCCTTGATATGTTTATTTGTATGTACACTTATAGCTATATGTTGTGTCCACCAAATTGTCTTGTAAGTAAAAGAGCACTCAGAAATTAAGTAACTAAGTCTACGCAATTTTCAAGTTCACATGACTTAAGTGTAACTTTACTAAACATGCTGGTTTTAAAATTATTGGTAAAATAAAAATGGAAATGCCTTCAGAATTGTCAGCATACATTTTTGTCTGGATTTTATATTTGTCTCTGCTAGATATTTTGAGGTGTCAGGGTTTGGCATAGAAGGTAATAAAACTATAAACCCAGCCAAAGCAAAATGTTCTTGGTTAGCATGCCTTTTTTTATGAAAAATGAGAGTAATTTAATGTTAGCTAAATCCTCTGAGTTATTGACAAAAATACCCATGTATTTAACTTTGAGGCTCTTACTTAGGTTTACATGAGCACCTAAATGATGCTCGCTGTTTATTAAAAGTATGGTTAACAAGGAAATAGCTAACTTTAAAAGATAGTGTCTAATATCTCAGTATACAGAAGTAATCTAGATAAACTGTTAAAAGTGAAAGAATTGTGTACAGTGAATGGGATAAATATTTTAGGCAAACGTGTAAATTAAAAACTTAAAATTATTTTTGATGCTCACTTAATATCTGGGTCATTTCCAATAAAGAAAGGGCTGTGATATGGTGAAATATGTTTCTAAAATCATGTATTGTTCTTATCTATAAATGCCCATATCTGACAGTTTGGGGTTTCTTGCTTTTTAGGGTTTCACTACAGTTTTAGGTTACCAAGGATAAGAACTCTAGGTAACACATAATTCTGCTTACAAAATGTGCCAGAAAGTGTTGTGCTAATAGTGAGAAAAAAGTAATTTTGTCTAATTCATAAGTTACCTAAAAGTTAGTTCAAATTACAGATTTGAAAAGGTTAGCCATGAAACAATGTAGTAAGGAACCAGTAAATAGGGGGAAAAGATGTAGAAAAAGTTAAGATAATAAAATATTCTTTAAAACCTGAAAGAGAATTGGCGAATTAACATTTTCATAGTTAAAGCTCTTAGTCTTGATTAATGCAAAATAAGTATTGTAAAGAAAGGCATCAGCAGTTTGGCAAATTTTTAAACTATAGTTAAGCATGAAGCTGGATTTAGTGTGGAGCCAAATTTATCACATGCATGCTTTCAATTGCTTCACACTATGTTTACTGTTTTGCATGTATAGTGCTGGCACTGGAGTACTTATTGGTTGTTTGCCTAGAGTAAATCTCTTGATTGCACAGGATGTATGATGATATTGGTGAACTTAAAGTTATTATTTTGTCTATCAGGAATAAAACATTCATTGTGTGGTTTTTTTGGGTCCCTGCATAAGACTGTAGCCTCCAAGGTAGATTGAGTAGAAAAAATTTAGGGCTGGTTTCCTGTTTATTTGTTTTTGTTTCTAATTTTTATTCATTTGCTGTTTATTTTCCTCTGGCGTTGCTTGTGTATGCACATATAAAACTATATATATATTTTACATATGTATATATAATATATTTATTAGTTTCTAGTGGAAGGCTTTCATTTGGTTCTGTGAATCGATATTTTGTTTCCTATGCATTTCTAGCAAGTCATCTTTTGTTCCATTTATCTGAAATTCCTAGGCTAACTTTGTTGGGACCACAGGAATTGATAGAACACACCAGCTTTTTAACCTTACACTAACTTTTGGGATTTTAGGCTTCCTGATACTTTAAATGTGTTGAGTATACTTTCGTAAACAGAATTTGAGTCATATTTCTCTCTCTGCCTGATTTCTCAAAAATTTGTAAGCTCTTTGAAAATATTCTTAATCCATGGCAATGGTTTGCATACAGTCAAGCAGGGTCACTAGGGCTGCTCAGGGAGAGGGAACCCAAAAATCTGGCAAGACAGCAAAAGGGTAAAAATTTCTTACCATTCAGACTCTGGCTTCTCTCTCTCTCTGTGCAAATTGGTTAAATGAATGGAATTACAAGACACATCCAATACCCAAAACAATCTTGAAAAAGAGGAACAATATTGGAGGACTCCCACTTCCTTATTTTGAAATTACTGCAAACCTATAATAATTAAAAACAGTGTTGTACTGGCATAAGGGTAGGCATATAGACAAATAGAACAAAATTGAGAGCCCAGAAATAAAATCATACTTTTTTTATATACCACATTTTCTTTATTCATCTACTCATGAACACTTAGGTTGATTTCATATCATGGCTATTGAGAATAGTGCAGCAGCAAATATAAGCTGCACTTCGACATATTGATTTCATTTCCTTTGAACAAATACCCAGTAGTGGGACTGTTGGATCATATGATTAGTTATATTTCTTTCTTTTTTAAATTATACTTTAAGTTCTGGGATACATGTGCACTATGTGCAGGTTTGTTACATAGGTATACACGTGCCATGGTGGTTGGCTGCACCCATCAACCCATCATCTACATTAGGTACTTCTCCTAATGCTATCCCTCCCCTAGGCCCCCACCCCCAGACAGGCCCCAGTGTGCGATGTTCCCCCCACTCCTATGTCCATGTATTCTCATTGTTCAACTCCCACTTATGAGTGAGAACATGCAGTGTTTGGTTTTCTGTTCCTGTGTTAGTTTGCTGAGAATGATGGTTTCCAGCTTCATCCATGTCTCTGCAAAGGACATGAACTCATCCTTTTTTATGACTGCATAGTATTCCGTGGTGTATATGTGTCACTTTTTCTTTATCCAGTCTAACAATGATAGCATTTGGGTTGGTTCCAAGTCTTTGCTATTGTGAACAGTGCTGCAATAAACATACTTGTGCATGTGTCTTTATAGTAGAATGATTTATAATCCTTCAGGTATATACCCAGTAATGCGATTGCTGGGTCAAATGGTATTTCTGGTTCTAGATCCTTGAGGAATCACCACACTGTCTTCCACAATGGTTGAACTAATTTACACTCCCACCAACAGTGTAAAAGCATTCCTATTTCTCCATATCCTCTCCAACATCTGTTGTTTCCTGTCTTTTTAATGGCTGCCATTCTAACTTGTGTGAGATATCTCATGGTGGTTTTGATTTGCATTTCTCTAATGACCAGTGATGATGAACTTTTTTTTAATAGTTTGTTGGCCGCATAAATGTCTTCTTTTGAGAAGTGTCTGTTCATATCCTTCACCCACTTTTTGATGAGGTTTTCTTTTTTTCTTGTAAATTTGTTTAAGTACATTGTAGATTCTGTATATTAGCCCCTTATCAGACGGATAGATTGTAAAAATTTTCTCCCATTCTATAGGATGCCGGTTCACTCTGATGATAGTTTCTTTTGCTGTGCAGAAGCTCTTTAGTTTAATTAGATCACATTTGTCAATTTTGGCTTTTGTTGCCATTGCTTTTGGCATTTTAGCCATGAAGTATTTGCCCATGCCTATGTCCTGAATCATATTGCCTAGGTTTTCCTCTGGGGTATTTATGGTTTTAGGTCTTACATTTAAGTCTTTAATCCATCTTGAGTTAATTTTTGTATAAGGTGTAAGGAAGGGATCCAGTTTCAGTTTTCTGCATGTGGCTAGCCAGTTTTCCCAACACCATTTATTAAATAAGGAATCCTTTCCCCATTGCTTGTTGTTGTCATGTTTGTCAATGATCAGATGGTTGTAGATGTGTGGTGTTATTTCTGAGGCCTCTGTTCTGTTACATTGGTCTATATATCTGTTTTGGTACCAGTACCATGCTGTTTTGGTTACTGTAGCCTTGTAGTATAGTTTGAAGTCATGTAGCATGATGCCTCCAGCTTTGTTCTTTTTGCTTAGGATTGTTTGGCTAAACGGGCTCTTTTTTTGGTTTCTTATAAAATTTAAAGTAGTTTTTTTTCTAATTCTGTGAAGAAAGTCAATGGTAGCTTGATGAGGATAGCACTGAATCTATAAATTACTTTGGGCAGTATGGCCATTTTCACAATATTGATTCTTCCTATCCATGAGCATGGAATGATTTTCCATTTGTTTGTGTCCTCTCTTATTTCCTTGACCAGTGGTTTCTAGTTCTCCTTGAAGAGGTCCTTCACATCCCTTGTAAGTTGGATTCCTAGGTATTTTATTCTCTTTGTAGCAATTGTGAATGGGAGTTCACTCGTGATTTGGCTCATCTGTCTATTATTGGTGTATAGGAATGCTTGTGATTTTTGCACATTGATTTTGTATCCTGAGACTTTGCTGAAGTTGCTTATCAGCTTAAGGAGATTTTGGGCTGAGAGGATGGGGTTTTTAAAATATACAATCATATCATCTGCAAACAGAGACAATTTGACTTCCTCTCTTTCTATTTGAATACCCTTTATTTCTTTCTCTTGCATGATTGCCGTGGCCAGAACTTCCAATACTATGTTGAATAGGAGTGGTGAGAGAGGGCATCCTTGTCTTTTGGTGGTTTTCAAAGGGAATGCTCCCAGCTTTTGCCCATTCAGTATGATATTGGCTGTGGGTTTGTCATAAATAGCCCTTATTATTTTGAGATATGTTCCATCAATACTTAAGTTTATTGAGACTTTTTAGCACAAAGGAGTGTTGAATTTTATTGAAGGCCTTTTCTGCATCTATTGAGATAATCATGTGGTTTTTGTCATTTGTACTGTTTAAGTGATGGATTATGTTTATTGGTTTGCATATGTTGAACCAGCCTTGCATCCCAGGGATGAAGCTGACTTGAAGGTGGTGGATAAGCTTTTTGATGTGCTGCTGGATTCGGTTTGCCAGTATTTTATTGAGGATTTTTTCATTGATGTTTATCAGGGATATTGGCCTGAAATTTTCTTTTGTGTGTGTGTGTGTCTCAGGTTTTGGTATCAGGATGATGCTGACCTCATAAAATGAGTTAGGGAGGAGTCCCTCTTTTTCTATTGTTTGGAATAGTTTCAGAAGGAAGGGTACCAGCTCTTATTTGTACCTCTGGTAGAATTCGGCTGTGAATCTGTCTGGTCCTGGGCTTTTTTGGTTGGTAGGCTATTAATTACTGCCTAAATTTCAGAACTTGTTATTGGTCTATTCAGGGATTCGACTTCTGCCTTGTGTAGTCTTGGGAGGGTGTATGTGTCCAGCAATTTATCCATTTCTTCTAGATTTTGTTGTTTATTTCCATAGAGGTATTTATAGTATTCTCTGATGGTAGTTTGTATTTCTGTGGGATCAGTGGTGATATCCCCTTTATCATTTTTTATTGTGTCTATTTGATTTTTCTCTCTTCTTCTTTATCAGTCTGGCTAGCAGTCTATCTATTTTGTTAATCTTTTCAAAAAAACAGCTCCTGGATTCATTGATTTTTTGAAGGGTTTTTCATGTCTCTATCTCCTTCAGTTTGGCTCTGATCTTAGTTATTTCTTGTCTTCTGCTAGCTGTTGAATTTGTTTGCTCTTGCTTCTCTAGTTCTTTTAATTGTGATGTTAGGGTGTCAATTTTTGATCTTTCCTGCTTTCTCCTGTGGGTATTTAGTGCTATAAATTTCCCTCTAAACACTGCTTTAGCTGTGTCCCAGAGATTCTGGTACATTGTATCTTTGTTCTCATTGGTTTCAAAGAACTTATTTATTTCTACCTTAATTTTGTTATTTACTCACTAGTCATTCAGGAGCAGGTTGTTCAATTTCCATGTAGTTGTGAGGTTTTGAGTGAGTTTCTTAATCCTGAGTTCTAATTTGATTGCACTGTGGTCTGAGAGACTGTTATGATTTCCATTATTTCGCGTTTACTGAGGAGTATTTTACTTCCAATTGTGTCGTCAATTTTAGAATAAGTGGGATGTGGTGTTGAGAAGAATGTATATTCTGTTTATTTGAGGTGGAGAGTTCTGTAGATGTCTATTAGGTCTGCTTGGTCCAGAGCTGAGTTCAAGTCCTGAATATGCTTGTTAATTTTCTGTCTTGGTGATCTGTCTAATATTGACAGTGGGGTGTTAAAGTCTCCCAATATTATTGTGTGGGAGTCTACATCTCTTTGTAAGTCTCTAAGAACTTGCTTTATGAATCTGGGTCCTCCTGTATTGGGTGCATATATGTTTAGGATAGTTATCTCTTCTTGTTGCATTGATCCCTTTACCATCATGTAACGCCCTTCTTTGTCTTTTTTGATCTTTCTTGGTTTAAAGTCTGTTTTATCAGAGACTAGGATTGCAACCCTTTCTGTTTGTTTGTTTGTTTCCATTTACTTGGTAAATATTTCTCCATCCCTTTATCTTGAGCCTATGTGTGTCTTTGCACGTGAGATGGGTCTCCTGAATACAGTACAGTGATGGATCTTGACTCTTTATCCAATTTGCCACTCTCTGTCTTTTAATTGGGACATTTAGCCCATTTACATTTAAGGTTAATATTTTTATGTGTGAATTTGATCCTGTCATTATGATGCCAGCTGGTTATTTTGCCCATTACTTGATGCAGTTTCTTCATAGTGTCGATGGTCTTTACAATTTTGTATGTTTTTGCAGTGGCTGGTACCGGTTTTTCCTTTCCATATTTAATGCTTCCTTCAGGAACTCTTGTGAGGTAGGCCTGGTGGTGACAAAATCTCTCAGCATTTGCTTGTCTGTAAAGGATTTTATTTCTCCTTTGCTTATTAAGCTTAGTTTGTCTGGATATGAACTTCTGGGTTGAAAATTCTTTCCTTTAAGAATGTTGAATATTGGCCCCCACTCTCTTCTGGCTTGTAGGGTTTCTGCCAAGAGATCCGCTGTTAGTCTGATGGGCTTCCCTTTGTGGGTAGTCCGACCTTTCTCTCTGGCTGCCCTTAACATTTTTTCCTTCATTTCAACTTTGGTGAATCTGACAATTATGTGTCTTTGGGTTGCTCTTCTCATGGAATATCTTTGTGGTTTTCTCTGTATTTCCTGAATTTGAATGTTGGCCTGTCTTGCAAGGTTGGGGAAGTTCTCCTGGATAATATCCTGAAGAGTGTTTTCCAACTTGGTTCCATTCTCCTTGTCACTTTCAGGTACACCAGTGAAATGTAGGTTTGGTCTTTTCACATAGTCCCATATTTCTTGGAGGCTTTGTTCCTTTTCATTCTTTTTTCTCTAATCTTGTCTTCATGCTTTATTTCATTAAAATGATCTTCAATCTCTGATATCCTTTCTTCTGCTTGATCGATTTAGCTATTGATACTTGTGTATGCTTCATGAAGTTCTCGTGCTGTGTTTTTCAGCTCCTTCAGGTCATTTGTGTTCTGCTCTAAACTGATTATTCTAGTTTGCAATTTCTCTCACCTTTTTTCAACGTTCTTAGCTTCCTTGCATTGGGTTAGAACATGCTCCTTTAGCTCAGAGGAGTTTGTTGTTACCCACCTTCTGAAGCCTACTGCTGTCAATTTGTCAAACTCATTCTCCGTCCAGTTTTGTTCTCTTGCTGGCGAGGAGTTGTGGTCCTTTTGAGGAAAAGAGGCATTACGGTTTTTGGAATTTTCAGCCTTTTTGTGCTGTTTTTTCCTCATCTTCATGGATTTATCTACCTTTGGTCTTTGATGTTGGTGATCTTCAGATGGGGTTTTTGTGTGGACGTCCTTTTTGTTGATGTTGATACTATTCCTTTCTGTTTGTTAGTTTTCCTTCTAACAGTCAGGCCCTTCTGCTTCAGGTCTGCTGGAGTTTGCTGGAGGTCCAATCCAGACCCTGTTTGCCTGTGTATCACCAGCAGAGGCTGCAGAACAGCAAAGACTGCTGCCTCTTCCTTCCTCTAGAAGCTTTGTCCCAGAGGGGCACCTGCCAGATGCCAGCTGGAGCTCTCCTTTATGAGGTGTCTGTTGACCCCTGCTGGGAGATGTCTCCCAGTCATGAGGCATGGGGATCAGGGACCCACTTGAGGAGGCAGTCTGTCCCTTAGCAGGGCTCGAGCACTGTGCTGTGAGATCCGTTGCTCTCTTCAGAGACTGTAGGCAGGAACGCTTAAGGCTGCTGAAGCTGTGCCCACAGCCACCTCTTCCCCCAGGTGCTCTGTCCCAGGGAGTTGGGAGTTTTATCTATAAGCCCCTGACTGGGGCTGCTGCCTTTCTTTCAGAGATGCCCTGCCCAGAGAGGAGGAATCTAGAGAGGCAGTTTGGCTAGCGTAGCTTTGTTGAGCTGTGGTGGGCTCTGCCGAGTTTGAACTTCCTGGTGGCTTTGTTTATACTGTGAGGAGAAAACCACCTACTCAAGCCTCAGTAATGGTGGATGCCCCTCCCCCCATCAAGCTCGAGCGTACCAGGTCGACTTCAGACTGCTGTGCTGGCAGCGAGAATTTCAAACCCGTGGATCTTAGCTTGCTGGGCTCCGTGGGGTTGGATCCAATGAGCTAGTCCACTTGGCTCCCTGGCTTCAGCCCCCTTTCCAGGGAGTGAAAAGTTCTGTCTTGCTGGTTCTCCAGGTGCCACTGGGTTATGACAAAAACTCCTGCAGCTAGCTCAGTGTCTGCCCAAATAGCTGCCCAGTTTTGTGGTTGAAACCCAGGGCCCTGGTGGCATAGGCACCTGAGGGAATCCCCTGGTCTGTGGGTTGTGAATACCATGGGAAAAGTGTAGTATCTGGGCTGGAATGCACCATCCCTCAGGGCACAGTCCCTCAGGGCTTCCCGTGGCTAGGGGAGGGAGTTCTCCCAACCCCTTGTACTTCCCGGGTAAGGTGAACCCCACCTTGCTTCTGCTCACCCTCCATGAGCTGCACCCACTGTCTAACCAGTCCCAATGAGATGAGCTGGGTACCTCAGTTGGAAATGCAGAAATCACCCACCTTCTGCATTGATCTCACTGGAAGCTGCAGACCAGAGCTGTTCCTATTTGGCCATCTTACCAGCCACCAAAATCATACATTTATGGTCAACTAATCATCCCAAGTCTCACACTGAGATACACAGAGCCTAAAGAGGGACAAGGGAAATCTTTCTTGGCATTGCATAGGTCCTCCTCCCTACTTCCTCCCTAACTCCCAGCCCTGGAGCAGAACTGCTTCTCAAAGCTGACCTGGCCTCCTTCCCTCTCTTCTTTCCCTGGGTTGTCCAGATCTAAGAGTGATATTATCCCTCTACTGCTCTCAAACATGGCTCCTGACCTCTCCCTTTATATCTCATGATTGATGGTCCTTGAGAGTTTCCCTGGCTTCCTGTCCCTTCTTCTCTACCAGTGTCTCATGCATGAACCCACAATGGTAGGAAGGATCAGGGAGCATGGAGGGAGAAGAGGAAGGCAAAGAAAACAAGAATGAGAATGGGAGGGCTTTGCTGTTGAGCTAAGAACAGAAGTTTGTAGGTAGCCCCCTCCTTTAAATGAGGAACAGCTTCCTCCCCAACATGGTCATCACCATGCCCACCTACCTGCCATTTAGTGTTTTTCAAGGATTAAAGGGGAAGTAGCAAGGAGAGCCTTTAAATTACTTGACAGAAGACTAGGCCATGATTCCGTTTTGTTTATTCTTCTCTCCCCAACTCTGCCTTTCCACTCTCAGTTATTGTGCCCATTCCTCTGGGAATAGTGGAACACAATAACACTCACTACACCCTGTCTTTGGGCCCCTCCTCCTCTCCTTCCCTGAAAGAATGGAAGTGGCAAAGTGGCAGGAGCAGGATTGGCCTGTGGCAGACAGAACAAGGCAATAAAGGAGGAAGAGGTTTCTTGGGAGTGGAGAAGGAGCTAGAAGGAACCCAAAAAGGCCCATGGGTAGAAACCATGTCATTGTTTGCTGGGAGGGAAAAGGTGGAGACCTGAGTCTGGCACAGGGTAGGCTTGACCCACTCACATGCTCTTGTGTCTCATCCACAGCAAGCAATGGCATTCGGCTCCCTGAGTCCCTGACTTCCAATCTCAGTCCTCACAAATGCACACAAGTGGAAAAAGCCTGCTAAACTCTGCTCTCCTAGACCCTTTCTTATCTTTCTCTGCTCAGCTCATCTTCTCTGGGAGCACAGAGACTGGAAAACGAGTTCATACCCCCTCACACTTGGTTCAGTTCTTCAGTTCCATCTCTGTCTGTGGGATCAAGAATTGGAGCATTCTGCCTCTTCACTCTGTCCCATGAATGAATAATCTGTCCATTTCTCCAGTTCCTGAGCTTTTGTATGCTGCCTTTCTCTTGTGTCCTCAGAAAGGCAATGGAGCTCATGTCTATTAGCCATGTACTGAGAAGGTGGTGGGCAGTTATGCAATAGAATGACATCTCTTCCCTTTATCTCATTCTGCCATTTATTTCCTTACTTCCCATATCTCCATGGACATACATTTCTCCTCTTTTTCTGAGTTGGCAAGGGATGACATGAGTAGTCAGGATGCACGGGGAATGTGGCCCTAGGAGACTGTGTCAGAGGGCTGAAGGGCAGACTGGGCACTAATGAGTCAGCCAGGAGCACTGATTTCTAGATCCTGTTCCACAACCTCAGGGATGAGAATGTGCTTTTTCCTGGGGCCCTTGTATTCAAATGATGGTGGAGTATCTGAACTTGGAATAACAAATCCCAGTTCTCTGTTTCTGCTCAGACCCATCTAAAGGCAGTCACTTCCTGCCACTTGCCTTAAATAATTGATCTCTCAAATAGAACCCATGTTCCCTGCTCTCAAACCCTGCTGATAATGATGCCAGTGTAGATGAGGACCTGCACGATAAGCTTTGAAGGTAACAGGTATTATAACAGGGGTAAGCAGCTTTAGGAAAGTGGAGTGCTCTTTTGCTGACTTGTTCTGGGGGACTTTGCTGATTCTCATGAGTATAACTGCTGGGTCCATTGACCTAGTACATCCTTGAATTTTTTAGTTAACCTCCCTTCTTTATAAAAGCTACATGAATAAATTTATTTGAATGGTGGTATGATAGCAGCTATCCAGGATGCTAGCAAACATGGATTCACACAAAGAGAATGGAGTCCCCTGCAGGAATTTGAATTTCCCATTTTAGTTTCAAGGGCACAATCTCAGATCATTCTAGGAGGAGGGGTGGTGAGGCAGTCATAGTCTCCAAGCCTTTGGGAATATGAGATCCTTTCCTCCCAGGTCACTTCCTCCTTTTGGCTTAGCACTTTCATTCTTTTTAGTCGCCATTATGTGCAGTCACCTCTTTCCTCTTTCATTTCTACTTTATTGGCTTGAGGATGCACCTAGTAGCATAAATACTGTCCACAAAAATTCCACCCCTAGCCATCACCTCCCCTCCATTTTCAGGAATCTCAAGTTGAGGGTTTGTAGTATATTTTGGTTTTGTTACTCATGAGCAGTATAGCTAGCTGAATTGGGACATCAGTGTATTGTTTCAGGCTGACTAGAGAGGAGCACCTCTAGAACCAAATGAATGTCATGCCAGAAGGCTACCATTCTGACCATCATTAGTGGGCCTAAAAACCAGCTAGAAATGATGGAAAACTCATTAATGAAGAATGCTTAAAAGCTGGGCAAGTAGACAAAGCTTATTTTCTTTTCTAAATAACTAGGTGAAGGAAGAATGAAGAAAGTTCCAAATGTTTAGGAAACACCAAATGTGGCCAATCATTGTGTCAGACATGCTCACATGTGTGCATTTAATCCTCACAGTAGCCCTAAGAAGTAGGAATTATAATCCTCATTTTATAAATTTGGAAACAGGCTTAGAACGGTCTCTTGGTGGAAAAAATATCTGAAGACATCCATTTCAAAAAAGCAAACATTGGCCATTTCTGAGTGATTTGGTAACAAAGTTTTGTTTATTGTCTAAATTTAAGATAAAATGTGTCATTTTCATTACGAAGTACAATTTTATGGAATACTAAATAAACATATATAAATAAGCCTTGGCCAACATTATAAACCAGGATCTGACATAGATATAAATCCATGCCTTCCAACTTCCCTTGACGTCACATTATCTTCTCTTAAGAGATAGTCACTTTGGCTAATAGGGAAAAGAAAACCAGTAACATCAGAAAACAATTTCCATCTGGCCTGGCTCTGACTGGCATCATCACTGTGAGCCATATGCCTTACTTTTCTCTGACACTTCAGGATGTTCCCTCCTGGTATCAGCTGTGCACCAAAGCTAAAAGTTCACAAGGCTCTCCTTGCCATTCTCAATAAATCAGTTTTGCAAAATCTCCAGGCCTTCTTGCAGAGTATTCAGGCATATAGGGTTGTAGTTGATCAGCCATAAAGATGGGGCTCCCTTTAGGTCCTGCAGCAGTATGGCACCAGTTTGAAAGCCTCCATCCAGTCCACATAATGAAAGTCAGAAAAAGACCATTTACCACTTATCTGTGCTTTCTACAAAAAAAAACCAGATACCTGGATGAGGGCCAAGACTGCCTCCCTCATCATTTCACTATATGTCTATGTTGACAAAGTCAGCAAGAGGAGAGATATCAAGTGCTTGCAAGGTCCCTAGGCCTGTCCTTACATTCAGACCTTCCCTTGCTACTTGTAATTCCTTGACAGAAGACATTGTGGTAGTGGGTACTCAGGAGAGAAGCAACAAGAATGGGACAATTCTCCCAGGGCAAACACTGAATCCTCTCTTTCTGTTACAGAGTAAAGTTCCCTGAGTCCTGGTCTTGATTGTTCATGTAGACAGAATGATAACTATTGAAACTGTCCCTAATTTAGTAATTCTCTCTGAGCTCCCTTAAGAGGGCCCAAGTACTCTTATTTTCCATTTCTCTTGACAAAGAGTAAAAAATGAGACTAAGAGCCTTGACTATCATATGTCTGTTGAGCACTTGATACCTGAAAAATTTAGATGACTGGGGGTGGGGAAGCTTTGAATAACCAGATATATACATATAGATAGATAGCTAAAGGAATCTCATCACTACACTTTCATTTTTTTATTTATAAAGTACTCCTTATGTATCAACTCTTGTGCTAGGCACAGAAGATGCAATGCTGAATAAAACAGACAGCTTAGATTCCTTTTTGTGAAGTGTAACATGTACCCTTCCCAAATGTTTTATTAATCACAGATTCCTATCATTGGGTGCCTCATAATTTTGTATTCTTTCACCACTTCTAAAGTCAAGCTCTACATGGTAACTTTCCTCAGTTTGGAGACACTAGACATGCTTCCCTTCTTCTGTGGAGTTTCTGGTGTCTAAGAAGGCTCGATCGCCTACTAAAGTTTCTCTTGCATAAGCTACACGTATAAGGCTGCTCACCTGTGTGAGTTCTCTGGTGTTTAATAAGGTGGGAGTTCTGAATGAATCTTTTTCCACATTCATCACATTTAAAGGGCTTCTCTCCTGTGTGAATTCTTTGGTGTGTGTGTAGATTTGTGTTATGACTAAAGCTTTTCCCACACCATGAGCATCTATATGGTTTTATTCCTTGATGGGTCATGAAGTGCTTATTAAGATCTGAACTCCATCTAAACCTCCTGTCACATTGTTGACATTTATAGGGTTTCTCTCCAGTGTGAATTCTGTGGTGTTTAATAAGATCAGAGCTAACTCTGAAGCTTTTCCCACATTCCTGACACTTAAAAGGTTTCTCCCCTGTGGGGCCTTTCCCATGAAGATCCATAAGTTTTGGAAGCTCTTGTTTACAAGTTGCAGGTTTCTTTCTTTTCTTCCTTGGAAAAGCTCGATGCCATTTCTGTACACTGTGTGTATCACCAGGATTTTCCCTGCCCATTGTTTTCTGGGCAATTTTCATTCTGGTCTTTTTTGATACTTCGCATCCTGATGTTTGTATTTCTGATGTAGAAACAGATATAGGATGATCATTTCCAGTGTCATTTTTTAGCTTTAACCCTGTTAGAATAAACAGAATAATCAGCCATCTGTGTCCCAGTGAAAGAAAGCTACATAAATGGAGAGAAAAGTCAATGATGATTGCTTTAAAAGAAATACAGGAACAAGTGATTTCTGGTCCAGTCTGGACAAAATGGCATAGACCCATTTCTCCTTGATCCTCCCTGATAGGCACAAAAACAAACCCATTAAGTGATATGAGATAACAAAAAGAAAATTCTAAAAATGGTAAGAAAAAGACAAACTGGTTTAGGACCCCAGAAAAAAAAAATAACATAGCAGGGTGGCTTATATCCCCACACCCAACAGAAGAAGGCAACTATCAACAGAAGGCTGCCTGGGTAGGCTTATTGTTTCCTGAATGTAAAAAGAAGTGCAAATAAAGACTTGTTGATTGAACTCTGGATAAAATAGAATATGTGACTAGCGCCAATGTGCAGTTGGTCTTGGGCAAACATACATGATTCTATAACTTTAGCACTGGAGCTGCTGGAAAGGTAAAAGCTAAATGGAGTTTCTGCTCTTTTTTACATTTTCCATGAACTAATGACAACTTCAGAAGACTAGTAGGATTGTGTACTTTGTAACTCAGAAGGCTGCATTTTTGAGCATTAACTTGCAGCATATTTCACTATATTTGTTATTTTCTATTTATTACAACTGGACAGCTCCAAACTCTTATACTATTTAGTATCTTGTAGCTAGGTAATAGTTCACTTTTTGCTTAATTTCTGCAAGCCAATAAAAGGAAATGTATTTAAGTATCGAGATGTTCAAAGGAAAGAGTAAAAAGTATTCATGGGGAAAAAGCTCTGTTTAACACAAGTCTTATTGTATTGCATTATTAGCTGATTTCACTCACTTTATATTTGCAAAATAATTGACATTTCTAATATTTACTGAAATTGCTTAATTTGCACACCCTGTACTCTACACACAAAAATGTATCAAATATAAGAATGAAGTTAAAATTGTGACTCTGATTCACTGTAGCAGCACTTTAAATTGCCCAGCTTTTTGAAGATATAAGCTACGATATTTGTACTTCCCTATGTCTGTGCCATAAATGCTTGAAAACGTTAAGGTTTTCTGTTTTGTTTTGTTTTTTATATATATCAAAATAATCAGTGTAAACCTTGGTTGGTCCCTGAGTTCACTGATATTTGAGGTAATGGGGACCTGCAGACATTCTGACTAGATTTACTACCATGTGCCTTTGCCTACTTCTCTTTGATATAGCAAAATATTTAATTGAGAAATCACTTTATGTTACCATGGTGGATTTTCACCGTGCTATAGCCGTTTTCCTTTGGATTCCCATCAGTGGTGCTGCTCAGTGGCTTGCATATAGACTTGCTATGAAGAAATGCAGAGGCAGCCCATGCTGCCCTATTTCAAAGTTGAACTCTTTAAGCCCTTGGGAGTGGGCTTCACCCGCTATTGCAGAGGCATTTTGCATTTGTTTGTGGCAAGAAATTCACCTTCTCAGGCCAGGCGTGGTGGCTCATGCCTGTAATCTCAGCACTTTGGGAGGCCAAGGCAGGGGATCACTTGAAGTCAGGAGTTTGAGACCAGCCTAGCCAACATGGTGAAACCATGTCTCCAACAAAAATACAAAAATTAGCCAGACATGGTGCCACACACCTGTAGTCCCAGCTACTCGGGATGCTGAGGCAGGAAAATTGCTTGAGCCTGGGAGGTGAAGGTTGCAGTGAGCCAAGATTGCACCACTGCACTCCAGCCTGGGTGACAGAGTGAGACTCTGACACACACACACACAGACACACACACACACACACACACACACACACACACACACACACACAGAAATTCACCTTCTCAAACCAGTAAAATACAGACTTAATTTGTAAGGACTGGAGCTACACATTAATATGTATCACCTTAGAGCAAGAGCTATGTTCTAGGAACCACATCACAATTTTCAGTCATGGAACAATATATCCCATGGCAGAAGACCTTTACGTGTGATCTGCTCTATTTTCATGTGATAATTTAAACTTTGATTGCCTAGTAGTCCTTTAAGTTAACATTTCTGCTTACTGCTACTGGATTTTTGTTGCAAAAATATATCAATGACCCACATGAAACATACTAAGTGAATCATGATAAACAAAAGGGAAAAAATGATTAAGAGAAAATTAAGTGACTGTGTTACACCGCTTATCCCAAACCAGAGAATAAGCCATTTCAAGCAACATCTTTGAAGAGTCGTGTGGTGTGAATTGGTTTGTATATGTTAGTATGTATTTATTCAAACATTCATATACACTCAAGATACAGTTGGCCTAATTATAAATGGGGGCATTGGTAAAACTTATGAAGTGTCCTCATACTGAATTGTAATTTTCTCTTACCTGTGAAGTAAAATTTAGATCAATCCCATGTCTTTGTTAAATATATTTTTTTACCATTCCTAAATTTAGGGTTTATTTCCAACTAGATCAAAATAAATGTAAGTTGTGGAACTCATTTTGAATATGATGGATATGCTCTACATTTAAATTTCAAGAGGCAATAATACTATTGGAATTATGTGAATTCTAACTCATTTTAACAAGGCAACCTGACCTGCATAGGATCACTTGAATGTTATCTTTCTTAGGATTACGCTAATATTCTTCTCACAAAAGATCTATAAAATATTGTAGTTGGAAAAAAATTGTATAAAAATGTTTGGAAATTAGAAACTTTTCCTTAACTTTTATTGATATTGACTTGAATTATTATTTTCTAAACTAAGAGCCATATGCCTACCTGTAAATCTTTCCACATATCATTTAAACTTTTGTTTGCATTGTTATTGTTGTTGATTTACAGATTAGTTATTAATTTTTCTGTGGAATAATGCCATTGATGTGCATGCTTTTATGTTTTTTAGAGAAGGGTGTGTTTGGATGAAAGATAAAAAAAGTAAAATCTTTCACAGTCAAAATAATTCCATTTAGAATGCAGAAGTGAGACAGGTATTTACAAAAAGCTCTCCAGGGGATCCTGATAATCCCTTTATTTCCCATACATCATCAAGTTGAGAATCAATCAGCTGTTGGAACAGTGGGACTCTCTCACAGGGGTGCATTTTCCATAAACAGAGGACATAATATATTACTTAACTTCTACACAATGGGAAGGAAGAATCTTTACCTAGAGAGATGACAGTCTCATAGATATCCTGCATTACATCATTGTAGAGAGTCTTCTCAAGAGGATTCAATAATTGCCACTCTTCCTCAGAAAAATACACAGCCACATCTTCAAATGTCAACAAACTCTAAAGAAGAGAATGGGCTATAGTTTAGTACTTGCCACTTCAGAAGCTGTCCTACCACCCATTTCTGAATTACATGGTAGGCCAGGTGCTGAAGATGTGAACAGTACAAGATTTAGGGGAAAAAAGTGAGAAGGCAGAAAGGAAGGAGCAAAGAGGATCAGTAAATCACCTGGGAGGTGCCCAGTTCCCACTGTGCCAAGCCTAGTTGCCTAGAGAATAACTGGGGCTAAAATGCCTCAAAGCACCTGCTGGACACTATGAGTCCTAGGCAATAGGGACAAGCAGAGGCAAGGCCACAGTCAAGTCACCTGAAAAAAGCCAGAAATAACAGCTCACCAGGGACTCAGGCAGGATGAGTTTAGATGCCATCTTCCAGTGTTTGATTCTTTTCTGCTCAGAAAGGGCTAACATCTGTTGATCATGCACAGCTGTGGGTAGAAAATAGCCAGGGAAAATTTCTGTTTCCTATTTACAAACATCCCAAGCTGATTTCTAAAATAAAGAACATCAGGATGCCTTCAGTAAAGATGGGTCACATTGACAAGTGTGTGTGTGGTGCCAAGAAGTGGCCATCTCATTGTAAATAAGAACCAAATATCTACCACTCATACAACCAGTTCCCCAGTTCATGAACTCTTTAGATTTCATAAAAGAAATTAATCAAAGGAAATCTATTCATTTTTCCTCTCATACCATAAGCTGGGCAAGAATTGAAGGTTTGGAAATGAAAGGCTCAGGTCCTCCAGTGTACAGTAGGTAATGTGGGAGACTTTTGTCTTTTATTACTTTTTCCTAGTGCACAATTTTTATCACATTCTGCCACTGATAGCCCATGTCTGTCCCCAATTTTTCCTACAACTTATGAGAGGGAGGTGGCCCCACCTGTCCCTGTTCCATCTTCTTCTCTCCTCTCAAGTTTCAAAGGAGTAGAGTCTATAGTGTGAATAGCAGGGTTCTGTGGTTTGGATATTTCTGTCCCCCAGGCTGACCCCCACCTTCAACCACCATCAACCCACTGTACTCCCACCTGGGAGACATCATAGCTGCTAGCATGGCTGGCCACCTGGAAAATTCCCAGGACATTCTAGGTGAACTAATTACTACCACAGCTCCCAGGAGAAGACAATTATGATGAAGCTCCTCACCTCTTTCATATACAGGCTGGGTTTCTTTGTGAGTGTTCCAGCCCAGCTGTTCTTGTAGTACCCGGTATGTATTCCAATATTCTTTCTGGAACACACCCATTGGTTGGGGCTCTGCTGGCTTCCACTTGAAGCCTGGGGCCACTGCTGTTCCTCCCAAGAGCACTGCCTCCTTTCCCAGCTCATGGGCTGTGACCTAGAAATAATCCCCATCCTCATTAGCACAGAACTTACTTTTGGTTTTGGGGTGGTAGTGGAGGGAGGAACAAGAGCAGAGCCCAGATTTGGGGAATGCATGACATTAGAGAAGTAATAAAAAGAATGAAGAGGTATTGTGCCACTATGTTCTCATAAAGAACTATACTCAAAATCTGGGATAATTAGGATAAAATAGAAAAAGCTGTGACTACTGCAGATCCCCGCCCCCCAACCCAGTGGCCCCCACCCAGATGCACAGAGCCCTGGCTCAAGCCACTAGCAGAGTTGGGTAGGCAGCCTGTTCCCCTGCTGGGGAACTTTCACTGGTTTACTTTCTTGACTTGGATCCTTGTTTTAGTGAATTTTTATCTTTTGGTTTTCTGTAAAAGAAAAGGAATTGAGTGAAATAAACTTTCCTGTTAGCCAGTTTCCAATCCTCCAGGAAAGAATTTCACAGGGAATGGAGATGGATGGAAGAATAAATGGGGAGAAGAGTTGGGCTCTAATCTCTCTTCACATGATTTGGTAGTAATAAGACACCAAAAATATGGCCTGCCCTGGATTTTTCAAGGTAGGCTCCTGAAAAAAGAAAGTGTGCTGCCATCTTCCAAGGACAAACCTTGGTTTCCCACTCACCAGAAGGGCCAATGACAAGCCACTAAGTGAGGGCAATGGAGGCTCTTTCCTCCCAGCCCAGAGATGTGTGTTTCTGCTATAGAAGATACTACCCCTTAGCATCCTGATTCCCTCCACTTCTCTGTTGGCAATTGTCGTCTTTCCATATCCTTGTTTCCTTTTTTTCTTTCCATTTTGTTCTCTTTCTTTGCAGTCTCCCCAGAGCCGCTTGATTCATACTTCTGTTTGCTAACCTCTCTCTCCTTTGGTCTCTGTAAGTGCTGCCCATCTTGTGGATCTTCTCCCCTTTCCCAACTCTTTCTTGCCCTTTATTTCTCTTTTTCTAAGAACTCAACTCTTGTCCTTGCCCATGCCAGACTAGGCCCACCACCATCAATTCACCCTGGCCCTAGAGAAGACAAAATGCATTTATTTTCTCTAAGACAAGGAAAGGCTCTGCCAGAAATCTTGAAACCTGTGGACTATTGATGCATGTATGTCATTTCAGATCCTTGCTAGCTGTCCTAAAGGAGCAACAGAAGAGCGACTTAATCTGTCTAATTCTCTGATAACTCCTCCATTCTGATATATCCACTTTTATCCTACTTCATTGTACATGTAGGCAATCTTTCTTCTTACCTCATTCTTTGTTCCATCAGGCTCCCTCTGCAAGAATTCCACCAGGACCAGAGCCTGTTTGACATTCTGTGGATGATGCTTCTGCACCCAGTTCTGGGTCTCCTTGGGCAGAATGCTCAGGAACTGCTCTAACACCAGCATTTCCAAGATCTGCTCTTTTGAGTGGATCTCTGGCCTCAGCCACTGATGGCACAATTTCTGAAGTTGGCTGATAGTCTCAAGCGGTCCGGTTGCTTCATGATAACGGAAGCTCCAGAAGTGCCTGCAAGCGCTCTCAGGACCAAGATTCTCTATTTTTGTGCTGTATTTCTTACTCTGACTGGAGTTCTCTTTCACAGACCCACTAGTCTCCCACATAGCCCCCATCTGGGGGCTTGAGCATGAATCCGCGTTCAGCTCTCTCATCGCCATTTGCTCTAGGAACAGTTTTACTCTTGTATGTGACACTGACACCCACCTGGTACCACCTTTGACAAATCAGGGTGCATCAGGTTGGTACCAAATCAATGAATTGTTCTTCCCAAGAGCACTGAGGGAGAGCAGAAGAAAAGTACATGTCAAGAAGAAAATCACATGACACATATTTACTTGCTATTTATTGTTAGAGGAAAATGAAGAGAAAAGTTCCTGTCTGGCTTCTTCTTTAAAATCAACTGCCAAGAATTAGAACATTCATGATTAGATTACTCAGGAGGTAAGTTTCTCTCCTTTTCTTTGTTTTTCAACTTTGAAACAAAGCACAGCTAAGAGAAGACAAATGTCAATCAATGTATTTCCTGTTTTTTTTTTTAACAGTTGAGGAAAGATTGGTGGGTGAGAAAACTGGCACCAATTGGCCAAAAGGAGCTTTGAGATTATCCAATACTTAATCTGTGGGTTTCCTGTCCTATATTGGCAAATAGGGCCTATTTGAGTTTCTCGAAACTTTAACAGATCATCCCAATCATTTTTCTTTAGTCAGAGGAAAAACAGTTTCTATATCCCTTCATCTCATTTAGATTGAAGCCTTTTACTAAATGGAACTCTTAATATTCCCTTTTATACTGTATCAATGCTGGTAGGAGAACTGAGACAGCAAGATCAGAGTAGAAGTAAAGTAATTAGAGAAAAAGTAAGCAAATGCCCTCCCGCTAAGCAAGCAGATCATCAACATTTGATGTGGCAGGGTGTAGTACTTCTTCGAAAGACTTATAAAGGGCACTGCACAGGTTTGTACTTGCGTATTAAATTTTTTGTTTACTTTAACTGGAAAAATTTACAGATGGTCTTCCTTTACATATATACAAATGTCAGGTGGTTAAAAACAAAAAAGAAAGAGAGATGGTGATGATTAAGGTTCTTTATAGATGGGAAGGGTCTTAGTAATGGTAACCTTTCTCCTGACTTAACATGTCCTCAAAACTGATTTTCCCTGAGGTGATCCAGCAGAAACAGTAACAAAATTCTTTCAAGGATGCCACAGGTATTCAAAAAAATGGTTGGCTCCTTGCTGACCATTCAGGCTCAGGAGGTACAGGAACACTTCTTACATTTTTTTGTCAGCAGAAGCCATTGTCTTTAATGTTGAAATGACCCTTTCTTTGGTGTTATGTTCATAAGCCATCAAAAATCAGGAAGTTTCGCTGAGTGTGGTGGTAGACATTACTGCCCCAAATCCCCATCCCTGATTCACTACAACTTATAGATCAACCACAGGGATGCCCACAAGAACTCTGAACGTGGGCAACCTTTGAGTGTGCTTCACTAGTATCCCTGGGTTATATTTGTACATCCGGTAGAAAGAAGTTGCTTCCATAGGTAAGAAGTGGCTGTAGGAGCCTGCGGCCAGGCGGCCTCGCTGTGGACAACTCCCACCAGCTCTCCAGGCGACCTGCCGCCTGTCAGTGGCGCCACTGCCCACTGAAAAATACTGTATCACATCCCCCACCCTCATTCCCTGCTACGCAGCAGCCCCAAAGGCTGCAACTGGCAGGAGCGGCCGGTATTTCTCAGGGGATCGCTAAAACGAATCTAAAGAGAAAATCAGCTTCTCGGTTACCTTCAGTCAGCTCTGGCTTCCCCGGAGGCCACTTTCCTCTTCCTCGGCTCGACTACGCCTCTGCCTCTGTGGCCACGCCTCCCTGCTGCTCTGGGTAGCAAAGCTCTCCGCTGCTGCACCACTAGGGGAAGCGACGTCAGGAAAGCGCGGGATGCCTGGCGAGTGAAGCTCCAAGATGTGGGGAGTCTTGGAATATCAGTTCCCTCATTCGATCCCTCCACCTCCCGAAGACCTGACCCCGACTCTCTCTTCCAGGGTCGAGTTCTGTGGACCTGAACCGGAATCAACCAGAAAATGAAAGATGCATTTCCGGTGGCTTTGTGACAGCTACGCCCAGCTATCCCCCTCCCTCTACCTGCGAAGTCTCAGCCTAGCCAAGTTAGGAACTGTCCCGGGGGTCCTTTCCATCCCAGAAGAACCAGCCTCCTGCTCCAGTTAGGTCCTGGATGCAAGAAAGAGTTAATGCTACCGAGTCTCTAGCCCTGCTGGAAGCCTAGAGGAGCCCCTCAAATGGCTCTTCCCTGGGAGCCATGTAGCTTACAGACTCCTGGTGCCAAGGTCTCCTATCCCTGATTTGCCACGTATTGTGCATCCAGATTGTTCCTGCTGGCTTCCTGGCGGCTGGCAGCCCATTCTACCAGGAGCCTCACCCAGTAAGAGATGCCACCTCAAAGGTCTAGGGGCCACGGAAGAGTGGCTCACAAAGTCAGAACCAGTTCAGCACTCTTGTGGGCAGAGCTGTGTTCTGGGCCTTCCTGAGTCCCAGCCAGAGAGAGCTCCAGCTGTAGTCACTAGACTTATCAAAAGCCTCCTTGAGTAAAAGGCAATTTGATCCTGGTCAAGCCTCTCGCTAGATCAGAAACAACAGTCCCTTACATTTTCAAAACCATATTCTAGTTATCAGACATGTGCTCCCCAACCATTATCTTGTTTTATTCTTGTTAGGTAGATTTTAACCTTTTGAGATAGGTCCCATTTATACTTCTCTTTGACATATAAATAATTTGAAATGGTATGACATGACATGACTTCACCTACTACTTCATGTTCAGGGTCACATAGATTACCAGTGGCAGATTTTAGCCAGGAATTTAGGTATCCTGTTGTCATATCCTGTCCTTTTTCTACTACATTATGCTTTCCCTGGAGGACAGAAATCTTGCTTCCATCTTTATCTCCTGCAGTGCTTAGCATAGTTCTCTGGGCAAGGTATTTCATATTTACAGAATCATCTTTCTAAGAAGCTGAATATCTTGGGTTGTCAGTATTCTCCAAGTTTTCAGTATTTACCAAGTGTTGAGCCATTTGGACAAAAATTGCCAATGTGAATCTAAACAGGAGAAACTGGGTGTAGCTTAGTTTTACAATGGGGATGAAACTGACATATTTTGGAAGCCAGTGTGAAAAACCACTCAGACAAGCCAAAGAGATGTCTGCATGTCCAGGAGGAAAGTAAAAAGCACCTGTTTGATTCTATATATAAATGCAGATGACACTAAGTTAAAGTCAATCATCATTCAAAATCGAAGCTCCCCAAAGGTGTGTAAAAGGACACAGTGCATTATCTATGATATATAAACTTAGTAAAAATGTTTGGTTCATCAGAGCATCGTCTTCAGAATGGTTCTTTCAAAACTATATTCTTCAAGTCAGGCATTTTCAACATAACATTTTATAACTCAATGAAGAGGAAGTCAGGGCACTGTGACTTCTGTATAATCCCCAGGCTTACATTTCAATGAATCACTAACCAGTGAGGATGGTCAGATAAAAGTCATTTTCTTTCCCCTAAACACTTCAACCTTGATTCACCCAATAAATCAAGGTGTGATCTTGAGCTGCAAACAACTTTATAGGTGGAAGCAACTTAAAGAGAATATTGTAATTTTGAATAAGGTCATGATGAGCAAGATAAAGAAGGAAAAAGAGTTTCCAAAGTCAAACCCACAAACCAAGAATGCGTAATTTTTAAGTGAGCAAAGTTGAGATGGAGTAAAACAAACAACTATAGCAAATACCTAAGACGTCTTTACAGAAAGGAATCTGAAAATGATGAAGGCTTAACCAGTAAACATTTCTCATGGTCTGGAAACTGGAAGTCTGACATCAGGGTGCCAGCATTGTTGTTGGGTTTATGGTAAGGGTCTTCTTCCTAGTCATGTCTTCACAAGGCCTTTTCATTGTGTGTATATGCAAAGAGACAGACTGAGATCTGATGTCTTTTTTTCTTTTTTTCCATAAGGGCATTAATCCCATCATGGGGGCTCCATACTAATGACCCCATCTAAACCTGATTACCTGCCAAAGGCCCCACCTCCAAATACCATCACATTGGGGATTACAGATTCCACCTAGGAGTTTTGGGTGTACACATTCAGCCAATAGCAGCTTAGAGGAGGAAAAATGTAGATCAATTTTCGAGAAATATGGAAAACTGGAAACCAACTTAGAAAAAGATAGGATATAAATGAGAATGAAGAAAAGGGTTACCTTCCCCCTCTCAAATTTGTGATTACAAAGGAAGTTGTTCAAAAAAAGAGGAGAGACTGATGAAGAACAACAACAGATGGCTAAATTTAAATGATGTGCTGTGAGACAGAGGTTGGACAACCTCACTGATTTTTTTTTATTTTACAACTGAATTTTAAAGGTTTCATTTCATGCCGAAGGAGATGCAACAAGTATTAATCAAACAAGTAGAATCTACTCTGAACAGTTTCAGAGTAGATTCAATTCTAAAATTGGTAGCTTTCAAAATCAAGGCCTCATAATAGTGAGTTGTTAAACATGACTTTGATTTCTGGTTCTAGTAATTAGAATTTTTTAAACAGCTAAATTATGATATAATTCACAAATCACATAATTCATTCATTTAAAGTATTCTAAATATCAGTGTTTTTTAAATATACTCAAAGAGTTGTGTAACCAATGTGGCAATCAATTATAGAATATTTACCTCACCCCGCAAAAAAATATTGAACCATGCAGCTTTAACTTCTCATTTCCTGTCATCCCCCACCTCCCAATCAGCACCAACCCTAGGCAACCACTGATCTACTTTTTCTTCTCTATACATTTCCCTGTCCTGGATATTTCATATAAATGGAATCATATGATATGTGATCTTTTGTGTCTCCCTTTTTTCCTTAAGCATAATGGTTTCAAGCTTCATCCATATTGTAACATGTGTCATTACTTCATTCTTTTTTACTGCTGAATAATATACCATTGTGTGGATATATGACATTTTGTTTATCCATTCATCAGTTAATTGGTATTTGAATTTTTTCAATTTTTGACCATTATGTATAATGCTGCTATGAACATTTGTGGACAAATTTTGTGTGGACATATATTTTTATTTATTTTACATACATTTGTAGTGGTGTAATTGCTAGATCATATGTTAACTTTATGTTTAAACATTTGAGGAGCTGCCAGACTATTTTCCAAAGGGACTACACCATTTTACATTCCCCCCAGTACTGTGTGAGGGTTCTAATTTCTCTACATTCTTGCTAACACTTGTTATTACATGCCTTTTTAAATTATATCCATCTTAGTGAGTGTATCCTGACATCTCATTGTGCTTTGATTTGCATTTCCCTTATAATTAATGATATTGAGCATATTTTCATGTGCTTATTAGGCATTTGTATATTTTCTTTGGAGAAACTTTTTTCAGATCCTTTGCTCATTTTTAACTGTTATTTGTCTTTTATTATTGAGTTGTAATCATTGTTTATATATTCTAGACACAAGCCAGACATATAATTTGCACATTTTTCTTCCATTCTGTGGATTAACTTTCAACATTCTTGATGGTGTCCTCTGCTGCACAAAAGATTTTAATTTTGTAATGGCCAGTTTATCTATTTTTTCTTTAGTTTCTTATGTCACATCTGAAAAACCAGCCACCTAATCCAAGGGCACAAACATTTACACCTGTGTTTTCTTTTAGACGTTTTATAATGTTAGCCCCTAATTTATTTAGATCTTTCATCCATTTTGAGTTAATTTTTGTGTATGATCTAAGATAGAGGTACAACTTCTTTTTTTTGCATATGGATATTCAGTTGACCTAGCATAATTTGTTGAAAGACTATTCTTTCCCTATTAAATTGTTTTGGCACCCTTGGTGAAAATCAGTTAACTCAAGGTGTATGGCTTTGTTTCTGAACTTTCAATTCTATTCTATTGATCTAAATGTCTAGTCTTATGCAAATACCACACTGTCTAGATTACTGTTGCTTTGTAGTAAGTTTTGAAATTACAAAATATGAATCTTATATCTTTGTTCTCCTTTTTCAAAATTGTTTTAGACTCTGGGTCCCTTGAATTTCCATATGAATTTTAGGATAAACAGGTCAGTTTCTGCAAATAAGTCATCTAGGAATACCATATTAATGTGGTATTCGGTGTTCAATCTTCTTTTTGCAGCAGAATGTCACAGCTGAACAAAAAATGATCAAAAGTTGGCCCTTTCTTATACAAAGAAGCAGAAGAAGGAAATGAACTGAATGTTATAAAGCTTCCCCTTGTCCTTGCCCCTGCACTTTTTTCCAGGCATAAAGTGATGGGACAAAGTAGGTAGCATTCACACTTGGAAATTGACAGCTCAGGGCCAAATGGACCCTATGCAAAAGGGGAAAGTCAGAAGTGGACCTTCATTGTGTCAACTTAAAAATCACACAATTTGGCTGCGTGCGGTGGCTCATGCCTGTAATCCTAGCACTTTGGGAGGCTGAGGCTGGTGGATCATGAGTTCAGGAGATTGAGATCATCCTGGCTAACGTGGTGAAACCCCATCTCTACTAAAAATACAAAAAATTAGCTGGGTGTGGTGGCACATGCCTGTAGTCCCAGCTACTCGGGAGGCTGAGGCAGGAGTATCACTTGAACCCAGGAGGCGGAGGTTGCAGTGAGCCGAGATTGCACCACTGCACTCCAGCCTGGGCGACAGAGTGAGACTCCATCTCAAAAAAAAAAAAAAAAATCACACAATTTATCCATTTAGAAAGGAGAACTTTATTTCTTAAGTAGGGGATGACAACCTGCAGGAGAGAAGTGCAGCCTCTGGCTGCAAACAAAAAGCAAGCGCTTTGAGGGAGGGAAGGATGAGGCAGGGCTTTATGCTGAACCATATGCATGCTTGGTTGGCCAAGCATAAATATTCAACAGGCGTATTAGTCTGTTTTCACACTGCAATAAAGAAATACCTGAGACTAGGTAATTTATAAAGGAAAGAAGTTTAATTGACTCACAATTCCACATGGCTGGGGAGGCCTCAGGAAACTTACCATCATGACAGAATGTGAAGGGGAAGCAGGCACCTTATTCACAAGGTGGCAAGAGAGAAGTGAGAAAGCAGGAAAAACTGCCATTTATAAAACTGTCAGATCTCATAAGAACTCACTCACTATCACGAGAACAGCATGGGGGAAACCATCTCCATGATCCAATCGCTTCCCTCACTCAACATATGGGGATTACAGGTCCCTCCCTCGACATGTGGGGAATACAATTCAGGATGAGATTTGGGTGGGAACACAGAGCCAAACCATATCATTCCACTCCTGGCCCCTCCGAAATCTCATGTCCTCACATTTCAAAACACAATCATGCCTTCCCAATAGTCCCCCAAAGTCTTAATTCATTCCGGCATTAACTCAAAAGTCCAAGTCCAAAGTCTCACCTGAGACAAGACAAAATCAAAAGAAAATGCATTACTTCCAAGATACCATGGGGATATAGGCGTTGGATAAATGCTTCCATTCCTAATGGGAGAAATTGGCCAAAACAAAGGGACTACAGGCCCCATGCAAGACCCAAACACATTGGAGTAGTCATTAAATCTTAAAGCTCTGAAATAATCTCCTTTAACTCCATGTCTCATATCCAGGGCATGCTGATGAAAGGGGTAGTCTCCCATGGCTGGCCTTGAGTGCCTGCAGTTTTCCAGGCACACGGTACAAGCTGTTGGTGGATCTACCCTTCTGGAATCTGGAGGATGGTGGCCCTCTTCTCACAGCTCCACTAGGCAGTACCCCAGCGGGGACTCTGTATGGGGGCTCCAACCCCACATTTCCCTTCTGCACTGCCCTAGCAGAGGTTCTCCATGAGGGCTCTGCTCCTGAATTAGACTTTTGCCTGGATATCCAGGTATTTCCATACATCCTCTGAAATTTAGGTGGAGGTTCCCAAACCTCAATTCTTGACTTCTGTACACCCACAGGTCCAACACCACGTGGAAGCTGTCAAGGCTTGGGGCTTGTACCCTCTGAAGCAATGGCTCAAGCTATAACTTGGCCCATTTTACCCGTGGCTGGAGCTGGAGTGGCTGGGAGCTATGACTATTCATGAAGCGGGGATATGTGCATGTGTGGTAAGCAAACACATATGTTACATGCATCTCATGTTCACTTTGGGGCAGAGACTTAACATTTAAATACATTATATTTAGGCCCTATACATCAAAGGTGAAGCAAGGATATGAAGGCATTCAGTGTGCAGCCTTAAACTGGCCAGAATCAGTTCATGTTCAGTGGTCTCTTATCAGGAGAGAGTTATTGAAATCCATCTCTTGTCCAATAAAAGCTGTAGTTATGGCTTGTGGAACAGGTGAGTGGAGGTCAGTAAGTCAGCAAGTGAGTGAGCTGCAATTGTTTCAATATTGCTTATCTCTAGGGCAGTGCTTGTTTAGCTGCTAGAGAGAAAGAAAAGTTCTGTGGCAATTAGAACATACTTTATTCTTTAAGTGTAGCAGAGCGGGACTTAACCCTTGACTGGCATGGCCTTAGGCTTTGTTTATAATTTGGTATCTTATTACCACAAAGAGTGCATTCAATTAGCCTTGTGATCTCTATTTGAACAGTAACCGTAGTCAGTCGTGATCTAAATCACAAAAGGGAAGGAGTATAATGTGATAGTGTGGTGCAAAGTTTTGCATAGGTCAGGGATGGGCTAGCCAGTGAAGGGGTGGGTTGCCCCTCCACACCTGTGGGTGTTTCTTGTTAGGTGGAACAAGAGACTTGGAAAAGAAGAGACACAGAGACAAAGTATAGAGAAAGAAAAAAGGGGCCCAGGGGACCAGCGTTCAGCACACGGAGGATCCCGCCGGCCTCTGAGTTCCCTTAGTATTTATTCATCATTATTGGGTGTTTCTCGGGGAGGAGGATGTGGCAGGGTCATAGGATAATAGTGGAGAGAAGGTCAGCAGGTAAACACGTGAACAAAGGTCTCTGCATCATAAACAAGGTAAAGAATTAAGTGCTGTGCTTTAGATATGTATACACATAAACATCTCAATGCCTTAAAGAGCAGTATTGCTGCCCGCATGTCCCACCTCCAGCCCCAAGGCGGTTTTCCCCTATCTCAGTAGGTGGAATATACAATCGGGTTTTACACCGAGACATTCCATTGCCCAGGGACAGGCAGGAGACAGATGCCTTCCTCTTGTCTCAACTGCAAAGAGGCGTTCCCTCCTCTTTTACTAATCCTCCTCAGCACAGACCCTTCATGGGTGTCGGGCTGGGGGACGGTCAGGTCTTTCCCTTCCCACGAGGCCATATTTCAGACTATCACATGGGGAGAAACCTTGGACAATACCTGGCTTTCCTAGGCAGAGGTCCCTGCGGCCTACCACAGTGTTTTGTGTCCCTGGGTACTTGAGATTAGGGAGTGGTGATGACTCTTAAGGAGCATGCTGCCTTCAAGCATTTGTTTAACAAAGCACATCTTGCACAGCCCTTAATCCATTTAACCCTGAGTTGACACAGCACATGTTTCAGGGAGCACAGGTTTGGGGGTAAGGTTACAGATTAACAGCATCACAAGGCAGAAGAATTTTTCTTAATACAGAACAAAATGGAGTCTCCTATGTCTACTTCTTTCTACACAGACACAGTAACAATCTGATCTCTCTTTTCCCCACAAGGGATGGGCTAGCCAGCTGTGAAGCTGGAGCAGATTAATGGTTGGTCCCCAGATGCCCACCAGCAACAGTTAGGTGTGTAGACTCAGGGATATACAAGTATAGAAGTTTCCCAGGAATATACTTAAGTATAGCCTCTTTCTAAGCCCCTATAGCCTGCATTGCTGTAAACAGGCACTATGCCTGGTCTAATTCAACTCTTTTAAAGTTAATCCAGAGGACAAGCAGTTGGGCTCCTTAAACAGAACAAACAGGAGGCCCCAGTCACCTAACATAATGCTCAAAGAGAGCAGCCAGAAGTTGTAGCTTCTCAGCATTTCATCAATAATCACTGATTTGTAAGACTGGAGATAGAAGAAAAACAAACAGCAACACCAGTGGAGCTGGGCATTGCAAGTCCCATCTGAACTGTAACAAAAAGGATTCATTACTAGACTCCCAACATAAGCTTGAGAAGGCCATCTCTGGCTGCCAGTGACTATGTCAGTGCTGAAATGGAGTCACCACCCAGAACAGCATTTCCAAGAATCCCTGGGGATAGGGGCACCCACTATGGGGACAGTGTGCTGAGCGTGGGCCTGGATGGGCATAGGTGGGTGGAAGCAAGCTAACCAGCAACTCATCCTATTCCATAGAGAATATAATGATAGGAACATGAATAAAGTTCCAGCTGCTATGGGAGACCTGGAGAGGAGGAGGTTTGTATTCCACGTGCTGAGGAACCTCTCAACAAGAGGTGAGACACTGCAACTTGGGCCCCTGTAGCCTGAATGGTAAGAATAGAGTTTCTGACAAATGCAGCCAAAGATCTCCATGAAATCCCAGGGAGAGACCTGTGCCCAACACCCAGCATGGCACATCTGCAAGCAGGACACACTACAAAAATCCTGCTTTCTTTTCCCCAGGGGGAAGATTTTGATGTCTACAATGCAAATGTTCCTTCGACGGCTAACCATGCATCTCACAACTCTCTGGGACAGAGTTCCTACAACCAGTTTCCAATTAAAATTGATAATTGATAAAACATTTAAAACATGCTACCTATAGAGAGGAAATGTAGCTCCAGTTCAATGAAGATTTTCACAAATGGTGAGTATTGACTTATTTAAGGAATAGACAGTGCCAAAAAGATTCTGACACTGACTTACATATTTAGACTCTGGCCCTGCGGAGCTATGTCTCACCTTTGCATCTACAAGGTTGCTTATGGCAATTGCCATGACTCTCTGCCTTGGAGGCCTTTTGTCTCACCCTTAGAGCATGCTGGACTTGACCCAAGGCCAACTGGAGGTGACAGAGATTTATATCACCCCTGGGGGAAGTCCTTTAAGAAGTATGGTTGGTTATTTGGTGGCTAAATACCCTCAAGACTTTTCATCCTACCCTTGGGATGAATGTCAGGTGTGGGTTCGACACAGTCTCCCATAGGATCCCCCTGGGAATTAGCTCAAATTGCCCGACACAGTCTCCCATAGGATCCCCCTGGGAATTAGCTCAAATTGCCCACACTGGTAACCTGCTAGATTATTCTTGCCACTTAATTGGCTGCATTCCTTCTAAATCTCACAACACCCCTACCAGTGCTACCTGGGACTCCCTCCTACATAGGCACTTTCTACTCATAAGTGTGCCTCAGGGTCTATTTTTAGGGAACCCACATTTGAACACCTTGTATGCTAATTTACACTCACACTTGAATGTCTGGCTAGAAGTAGAATTGTAGGCTCAAAGTTATTTTGCACCAACAGCCAAAAGACGATTCTTTCTTTCCTAGGAATTTCTGGTTACCTCATTAGCTCCCTCTCTCTTTTTCTCAATTGAAGAAGTATATCTCTTGCGAGAATTCCCTCCCCACTCTGCAAGCCACTCTCATTTTAAATTTATTTGATTATAACAGCTACCCACTCCCTCCCCCAAACTTCAAGGGAGACAAACCAAGACCTCTAAGTGGGCTTTTAAAGTCACCTCCCTCTAGAAATTTAGGGCTGCAGGGCTTCTCCACGTGCCCACTCAGCCGTCCTTCCACCTTCTCTAAACAGGGCCTCTCTTGAATCCAACACCCCCAGACTCTGCAATGTTAGTAAACACTCTCTCAAAGGGGAGTAGCTAGAGTTCATCTGTTGTGGTCTCGGGTAGCAGAGACAGGTGAGAAGTTAAGAAACCATGTGAACAAAAGGCACATCCAACCAAAAGCAGTGAGAAAACAGCTTCTATTTGTAACAGTTGCATTATGGGAAGGATTTATTGATCCACACCATTTTCCTGGATTTTCTACGCTCCCTGTGGTATAGAGATGGGTCAATGGCATAGTGTTTTAACAAAGGCCAATTCCACCCTGGTATGGTTTGCGTCTGTGTCCACAGCAACTCTGTCAGATTCGCATCATTTCTGTGATTCCCAAGCTGTCTGCTGAGCAGAATGCTCAGCATGGATTTAGAGGCCAGACTGGGTCTTAAGTATTTGTTTGCCTTCCTCCTGGTGCTCTGTGCAGATGCGCTGGGACTGACTTCAGAGTGTCCCTGAGCCATGACTGCTTGACTCCACAGATCCACAGATGGCTTCAGGAAGACAGGACAACAGAGATACATACACACACACACACACACACACACACACACACACACACACACACACACGGGATTATAAAAAGCTTTGTGACAATTTGTGATTTTAAATGTCAGCTATATCATTTCTTTGAGTCCCACATATGCATAAATGTATTTCTAGAATATCTTTGTTGGCCCATGAACATGTCTATCAATTCCTGTTTCATTTGCTAATACTACAGACTAAGTTTTGAGTCCAGAATGACAAGCTCCCCCTCTTACATAATCCTTCGCATTTTTTCCAGTATAATTGCATCTGTTCTTCCAGTTACACATACACTCAAAATTGTGCTATAAATTATGATTGGGATTGCACTGGATTTACTGATTTATTTAGAGGAGAATTGATGCCATTGCAAAAATTGATCTTCCTTTTCAAAAAATGTAGTATTTTAAAATGTTATGTGAATATTCAAACTGGAAGCTCATAAAAAGTTGCATGTGTGTTTTCCTTGTGTTTGTCCTCATCTTTCTAGGTGTTTCATAACATTTGCAACCAATGTAAATAGGACATTTTATTTCTATGATATTCCCTATTTAAGGAAGACTATGCAGATTTTTAATTTATGTATTCATTTATTTTTATTTTAGAGATGGGGTCTCCGTATGTTACCCAGACTGGTCTTGAACTCCTGGGCTCAAGCGATCCACCCACCTCAGCCTTCCAGAGGCTATAATCCAGCTGGGATTATAGGTGTGAGCCACTGTGCCTGGCCTAGTATGAAAAGCTTTTATGCATTTAACATCTATCAATCAACCTCTCCTGGCCTATTTCCTAGGTGATTGCCATGGTTTTCTAGGATGTCAGTTCCTTAAGAGAAAGAGTTTTCCACTTTCTTTGTTAATAAAATACTGAATACCAATAAGTTCTCTTCCCACTGCAAATTGTTTAGAACACTGAACACAGCCTCAGGGTCTTTACATGGTTCTGTGGGGGCTAGGAAAAAACCTGAAGGACTGAGCCTTCCTTCCCTGCCACTCAAGAAAGGGAGTGTGTGACCTGGGTCGCTTTACAGGAACCTCAATTTCCTCAGTTCTTACATAAGATTGAGTGGGCAGCCAGTGTGCAGGCAAGCCACATCTCCTCATAACAGTCATTTTAGTTCCTCATGAGAACCCCACTATAAAAATCACAAAGCCCTGTCCTCACCGTTATCCCTCTGACAGCCTGGAAAATCCATGTCCTGCATATAGACACTACCCACCTGCGTCACACTTTAATGGTAACAATGTAGTTATTCTAGATCAGATACTTGAAAGGGAATATGGCTTGAGACATATGCATATGTCTCAACAAACTAGTCTAGTTTTAGCATAAGATTTTCCAAGGCATTAAAAGCCCACCTGCATCCCAGGTCCACAGAATAAAAGTGTGGAGTTCCACTGCTCTGAGCTTTGGGAGGGGGTCACACAGTTGTGTGAGACACAGCAGTGTTTAACTGCAGTGTTAAATTTCTGCAACTAAACACTCCATTTACATGAACTGTGTATTATAGAGGGAGTAATTGCAGAGTCATGACCAAAACTGGATGCAGAGATTGACAAGCAAATGGGAAATTCAACCTAACACTAATTCCCTGATTGGAACATGGCAGACAAAGTCGCTGATCACTACCCAGGGAACCTGGCAAGATGCAGTGGGTGCTGTAATCTACACAAAGGATAAATTTTAATGAAGGGATTTTGCACAAGCCAGGGACAAGCTCTGAGGCCAGGATAGCTGAATGTCCCATCCAGGAAGGAGACATGTAGATGGCACCCAGCCACAAGATATACCTACTTCCTCTCCCAGCAACTTCCACTTACCCTATTCTGCTCTGAACCAGAAGGAAGCCAGGTGATGGTTGTCAGTATTTGAATCTTGCAGACTGTTGGCATTACGTTCTGAGAGCAGTCGTGAGTAATCATAGTAACCGTGACTTCACTTGGTTCTGAACCAATCAGGCCCTGGGACTCAGGGAAAAAGAGAGAGTGTGCTAAGGAAAGAAGTCATGTTTCCTCTCACTGTTTACTCTCTGGTCCAGGTCTTTCTTCAAAAGAAACCTGAGTGGTCTGACAGGTAAAATATTCTGATATACCAAGATCATAGAGCATCCTTTTGTGCCATAACCTAACTAATCTACCTGATAAACCTCAACCCTGTTTGGTAATGGGGGGGAAGGTATGGGAGAGTCATTTGTTCAAACTGATACAGAGAAACTATAGAGCAGTGGGTAAAAACACAGGCTTCAGATACAGGCTTTTTTCAGTTCCAATCTCACCTTTCTATCACTTGGGCAAGTCCTTTAATCTCTCTTGAGGTCAAAATAGAGAACACAGTTGGCATCCACCCCTAGCCTTGGCATTATGCCAGATTCAAGTATAATACCACTCAGCACTTTTTGGGGTGAGACTGGGTCAGTTATCAGAGGCGAGTACAATCTTTAAATAACTGAGATTATGTTCCCAGGATGGAAACTCAGAAGGATGGGCCTTAGAAACAGAAACTAGGTAGCACCTGAGAATGTCCAGTTTATTTCTTACACAAGGGTTTGGAGTAAGATCCATACCTGCGTCACCAGTGATTTTCAAAGAAGGCAAATCCTATTTGAAGCTAAAGTAACATAAAGAGATTTGGAATGAGGAAACAAATTATAGCAGCCTGTAGGTTGTAGAATGAAGAAATACAGATGTAAAATAATGAATTTTGTTATGGATAGATTTACCAAAGAGACCTACTCTCTCAACTTGCTGCACAAAATGCAGTAGAAGAAAGCCCCTATCCCAAGTACAGGGAAAACTCAGAGGTGAAAAGAAGGCAGCTCTGCAAAACAGCAACATAGAATTGAGTTAAAATTAATGCGAATGTAAGAATTACGTCGACACTTGAGCTATAAGCTAGCACTTTGAGTACAATCTAACAGGTCTGTGTGTGTCAGGTGATGATCAGATTGATACAACAGTGTGTCCTTAATGTCCCGGGTCCCATCAGGCTCCTACACAGCCCCATGTGTGAGACAGATTGAATAAATGATATGGTTGGCATTTCAAATCAGATGATGGCCCAAAGTGTGTGTGGGTGTGTGGCAGTGGGGAAGAGGTCCCCAGATCCACTTGATTACATGGAATTCATCATCTTTTTCAGGCTTCCTTGGTTGTGCTGTTTTACTGAGGTTGTTTGGGGCTGCTGCTTCATGGATAAAGAACTCCCTAAAGCCAGTCCCAGTGAGCCTGCACTGAACATCAAGAAGTCAGGCAAATCCTTCAAATGCAAGAAGCCCACCAAAAATGTGCAGGTCTTTTTAATCAACAGACAACTGGGCAGGAACAGAAGTGACACTGACCTGTCAAAGTGGCTATGGATGCTGCCATAAAGCAACTCCAGGGTGAACATGGCCTTGGACAAAAAGTCATGTGGCTTATGTGCTGAGGCCTGCCCAGAATTTTGAGACATTAATTATAATTAGAACAATAAACTCCTCCCATGTTTGAGCCATTAAAACAGAGTCTGTCATTTCACTCCTTTGGGTTGGATGTGTGTTTGCTGACAGGGCTTACTTGGGTTACACTGGAAGGGGCTTTTGTTCATCCTAACGCACAGTGCAGGGGTGCTCAGACACAGAGCAGAGAGTGAGATCATGCTGCACACCAGATCTCCCCCATCAATCTGAAAAACACTGCGAAGTCGAAGTGATGTAGTACTTGGCATTCAAGGACCAAAGACTCTAATCCCTAGCCATTTTGAAGAGACCACCCTGGTGTTTCTCTCTAAAACCTAATGCCTGTCCTAATGAAAAGACATCGTTTAAGAGCAGACCAACAGCTGGGCCGGGGGTTTGGGACATGTTTCATCATTGCAGATGTCATGTCCACAGAGCCTTCCAGGGGCAACTGCTCTATTCAGTGTCCCCAGGAAAGTGGAATGCCCTGATGGCTTTTTTGTGTCATGTCAAACAAACCTTCAGGCCACAGCCAATCAAAGATAATTAATTTTCCTGAAGTGAAGCCACCCAATAGTCCAACAAGACATATGAGATGGTTCCCATTGAAAAACCTCTGTCCCTAAGAAATATCCTGAGCAAGTCAGATACTCCAAGAAACCTGAAATGGGAACTATGTGCACAATTGGTGACTGAGAAGTGAGAGCTAAAGCTGAAGAGGGGACAGGGAGAGCAAAGAGGTCAGAGCCATGGTGGATATGGGCAAGCTTAAGTTAGGAATAAGATGAAATTAACATAAAAGGAACCATTAAAACCATAACAAATTCCAAGCATTTCTCTTGTCCTTTAACGTAAGCTGCAAAATAAGCCTGCAAGCAGTCCTTCTGTCCCCTCCACCTCTCCTTCCCAATTCCCTGTGCTCTCACAACCTGTCCAGCATTTCCCAAGTCCCCTTCCTGTGTCCCCTCCCCCACCTACATCTAAGGGGCTGTTATTCTCTCTACCCTTAGCCAGGTCTCTTCTGGATCTGTATTAGATAGAAAATTTAACTCCTCTATGTCCATTTAACTCTCCTCCCTGTCCCTGTCAACTTTGCTTTCCCTGCTCTGATTCAGCATTGCCAAAATAGAACCACAAGCCTCTCCTCAGAGGATGCAACTGACTGTAGGTTGGAAGGGGAGGGTTTAGAGGACATCCAGGTAGAGGGGCCTCTTGGGTGCACTCTTGGTGGGAAAGCTGCCTGGATACTCCTCTGTTGGTTACTATTTTGCTGCAGTTCAGGATCAAACAGTGGCTGTACCAGCTGGTAGAGAATCAGTCTTTTTGGTTGAATACCAGGGGATATGCAGCTGATCTGGCTGATAGGGGATGTAGCTGGGTGAGCTTTTCCCACTTGGTAGGGAGCATATCTGATGAGAGCAGGGAAAATCGTGGCTAGGCCTTTGATGCCCTGTGAGGCTCAATTATGCCAAGGCAGCACATGGAATTTCAGGCCTTGTAACACATGGCAGTAGACAAAATCGCTGAGAAGAGTGAATGAACTGAGAAGTGAGCCAGCAAAGCATGGTGAAGAAGGCTGAGACTCTGAGGGTGCAATCAGCAGCTGACAGCTGTAAGGCAGTCAGGAAGGAGAGCTGGGTGTAGACTCTAACCCACAGTGGGAAATGGCCTGATCTTTTAAATTAATTCATTTTTCATTGATAAATAAAAATTGTGTCATGTCCAACATCATGCTTTGAAATGTGTATACATTGTGAAATGGCTAAATTAAGCTAATTATATGCTTATCATTACATTATATGCTTATCATTTTTTTGTGTATGGTGAGAACACTTAAAATCTACTCTTTTATCAGTTTTCAAGAATACAATACAGTTAGTTACTAGCTGTAGTTAACATGTTTAACAACAGATCTGTTGAACTTGTTTCTCCTTTCTAACTGAAATTTTGTATTCTTTGACCAACATCTCCCCTCACTGTTCCAGGCCCTGGCAGCCACCATTATCTTCTCTGCTTCTATGGGTTCAACTTTTTAGACTCCACATAGAAGGGAGATCATGAAGTATTTGCCTTTTCTGTGCCTGGCTCATTTCACTTAGCAAAATGTCCCCTAGGTCCATTCAGGACATGGCTTGATTTTTTATTGATAATTTTGTACCTGTTTATGGGATACATGTGTTATTTTGTTACAAGCATGGACTATGTAATGATCAAGTAAGGGTATTTGGGGTGTCCATCTCTTCAAGTATTTATCATTTCTATCTGTTGGGAACATACCAAGTTCTCTCTCCCAGCTATTTTGGAATCCATAGTACATTTGATGTTAACTATAGTCGCCTTACTTTGTTATCAAACATTAGAACTTATCCCTTCCATCTACCTGTATGTTTGTACCCATTAACCAACTTCTCTTTATACTTCCTACCAACACACCCTTCCCAGACTCTGGTATCTATTATTCCATTCTCTCCCTCTATGAGATCAACGTTTTTAGCTATCATACATGAGTGAGAACATGAAATAATTGCCTTTCTGTACCTGGCTCATTTCACTTAACATAATCACCTCCAATTCCATCCATGTTGCTGCAACATGGATTGCGGAATTTTTTATGGCCAAATAGTATTCCATGGGTGTATATACACTACATTTTCTTTTTCCACTCATCCACTGATGGACACCTAGATTGATTCCATATCTTTGCTATTGTAAATAGTGCTGTGATAAACATGCGAGTGCAGGTATCCCTTTGACATACAGATTTCTTTTCCTTTGGATAGACACTCAGTAGTGGGATTGCCAGATCATATAGTAGATATATTTTTAGTTTTTTTGAGAAATCTTTATACTGTTTTTCATTGTGTTTGTACTAATTTCCATTCCCAAAAAAGTGTATGAGTTCTCTTTTCTCCACATCCTTGCCAGCATCTGTGACTTTTTTTTTTTTTTGTCTTTTAATAGTAGCCATTCAAACTGGGGTAAGATGGTATCTCATCGTGGTTTTGATTTGCATTTCCCTGATATTTAGTGATGTTGAGTACTTTTTTCGTATACCTGTTGGCCATTTGTATGTCTTCTTTTGAGAATTGTCCATTTATGGCATTTGCCCACTTTTTAATGGGATTATTTGTTTTATTATTCTTGACTTGAGTTTCTGGTATATTCTGAATATTAATCCCTTATCAGATGAATAGTTTGCACACATTTTTACCCATTCAGCAGGTTATCTCTCCACTCAATGGATTGTTTCCTTTGCTATGCAGATTTTTAGTTTGATATAGTCCTTTTTGTCTCTTTTTGCTTTAGTTGTCTGTGCTTTTGAAGCCTTAGCCATAAAATCTTCACTTATGCCAATGTCCTGAAGATTTTTCCCTATGTTTTCTTCTACTAGTTTAATAGTTTTGGGTCTTAAGTCTTTAATCCATCTTGAGTTGATTTTTGTATATGGTTAGAGGTAGGGGTCTAATTTCCTTACTGCACATATGGATATCCAACTTTCCCAGCACCATTTATTAAAGAGGGTGTCATTTCCTCAGTGCATGTTGTTGGTGCCTTTGTTGAAAATCAGTGGGCTGTAAATATATGAATTTATCTCAGAGTTCTCTATACATTGGTCTAAGTGGCTATTTTTATACTAATTCTATATTGTATTTGTTACCATAGACTTGTAATGTATTTTGAAGTCCAGTAGTGTGTTGCTTCCAGCTTTATTCTTTGTGTTTAGGTTTGCTTTGGCTATTCTGGCTTTTTTTGTTGTTGTTGTTCCATATGAATTTTAGGATAATTTTTTCTATTTCTGTGAAAAAAATGGCATTAGCGTTTTGAATCAGTAGATTGCTTTGGGCAATATGGTTATTTTAACAATACAAATTCTTCTGATCCATGAGCATGGAATGTCTTTCCATTTGTTTGTGTCCTCTTCAATTTCCTTCATCAGTGTTTTGTAGTGCTTTGTAGTTTTCCTTGCAGAAATCTTTCATCTCCCTGGTTAAATTTATTCCTAGGTATTTTATATTTTTGTAGCTAATGGAAGTGGTATTGTCTTCTTGCTTTCTTTTTCAGCTATTTCATTATTGGAGTACAGAAACAGTACTGATTTTCATATGTTGATTTTGTATCCTGCAACTTTATCACATTTGTTTATCAGCTCTAAGAGTTTATTGGTGGAGTCTTTTAATTTTTCTAAATATAAGATCATGTCACCTGCAAAGAGGAACAGTTTGGCTTCCTCTTTTCAAATTTGGGTGTGTTTTATTTCTTTCTCTTGCATGATTGCTCTGGCTTGGACTTCCAGTGCTGTGTTGAATACGAGTCATGAAAATGGGCATCCTTAACTTGTTCCAGTTCTTAGAGGAAAGGCTTCCAACTTTTCCCCATGAAGTATGATCTTACCTGTGGTTTTGTCATATATAGCGTTTATTGTTTTGAGATATGCTCCCTCCATGCACAGTTTGTTGTGAGTTTTTATCGTAAAGGGATGTTGAGTCTTATCAAATGTTTTTTTCTGCATCTATCAAGATGATAATATAGTTATTGTTCTCCATTCTGTTCATATGATGTATCACATTTATTGATTTGTATATGTTAAACCATCCTTACATTTCCTGTTATAACTCCCACTTGATCATGGTGTATTATCTTTTTTGATGTGCTGTTGAATTCAGTTTGCTAGTATTTTGTTGAGGATATTTGTGTCTATGCTCATCAGGGATATTAGCTTATAGTTTTCTTTTTTACTATGCCCTTGTCTGGTTTGGGTATCAGGGTAATTCTGGCCTTGTAGAATGAGTTAGGGAGAATTCCCTTCTCTTAATAGTTTGAGAAGGATTGGTATTGCTTCTTTACGTATTTGGTAGAATTCAGCAATGAACCTATCCAACCCCAGACTTTTCTTTGTTGGGAGATTTTTTACTAGTGATTTAATGTTACTACTTGTTATTGGTCTGTTCAGGCTTTCTCTCTTCCTGATTCAAGCTGGGCAGGTTGTATGTTTCCAGGAATTTACCAATTCCCTCTAGGTTTTCCCGTTTATGAGCATATAGGTGTTCATAATACTATGATGATCTTTTGTATTTCTGTGGTATCAATTGTAATGCCTCCTTTTTCATTTCTGATTTTATTTATTTGGGTCTTCTCTCTTCTTGATTATTCTAGCTAGTGGTTTATCAATTTTGTTTATCAACCAACTTTTCATTTAATTGGTCTTTTCTATTGTTTCTAGTCTCCACTTAATTCTGCTCTGATAGTTTAAGTTTCTTTACTTCTAATTTTGGGTCTGTTCTTAATTTGATAGTTCCTTGAGGTGCATTGTTTGATAATTTGAAATCTATTTTTTCAATGTAGCCTTTATTGTTATAAATTTCTCTCTTACCACTGCTTTTGTTGTATTCCACAGGTGTTGTTATGCTTTATTTTATTTTCATTTGTTTCAAAAAATGTTTTGATTTCCATCTTAATTTCTTCATTGAGCCAGTGGTTGTTCAGGAGCATGTTCTTTAATTTCCATGAATTTGTATTGTTTCCAAAGTTCCTCTTAATATTGATTTCTAGTTTTATTCCATTGTGGTCTGAGAAGTTACTTGGTATGATTCCAATTTTTATAATTTGTTGAGCCTTTTTTTGGTCGTGGCCTAACATATACTCTATCCTGGAGAATGTTCCATGTGCTGATGAAAAGAATGTGCATTCTGCAGTAGTTGGATGAAATGTTCTATAAACGTCTGTTAGGTCCATTTGGCTTAAAGTTGAGTTTAAATCCAATGTCACTTCTTCTTTGTCTAGATGACCTGTCTAACGCTGAGAGTGGGTGTTGAAGTCCTCCATAATTACTGTATTAGAGTCTAAATCTTTAGATCTAGTAATATTTGCTTTATGAATCTGGGTGCTCCAGTGTTGGTTGCATATATATTTAGAATTGGTATTTCTTCTTGCTGGTTTGATCCCTTTATCATTATATAATGACTTTCTTTGTCTTTACTATTTTTGGCTTAAAGTATCTTTCATCTGACATAAGCATAGCTACTCCTGCTGGCTTTTGGTTTCCATTAGTGTGGAATATACTTTTCCACCCCTTTACTTTCAGTCATACATGTCTATATGTAAAGTGCATTTATCATAGGCAGCACGTAGTTAGATCATGTTTTTTTTACCCTTTTACCCAGTCCATATTTTTAAGTGGAGAAATTAATCCTTTTATATTCAAGGTTACCATTAATATGTGAGGTTTTGTTCTGTCATGTTATTCATTGTTTTCTGGTTATTTTGTATAATCTCTGTTCCTTTTTTTCCCTTATCGTTTGTCACTGTGGTTTGGAAATTACCTGTAGTGGTATCAGTTGAGCACTTTTTCTTTCTCATCTGTATGTTTGCATTACCATTCAGCTTAATACTTAACATTTTGTTTTCATGGTGGTAAATGTTGTCCTTTTGCTTCTAGGTTTATGACTCCCTTGAGCATTTCTTGTAGGGGCAGTCTAGTGATGATGAATTCCCCCAGCTTTTGCTCATCTGGGAAAGACTTTATTTCTCCTCCATTTATGAAATATAATTTTGCCAAAAATGGTATCCTTGGCTAGCAGATTTTTTTTCCTTTTAGCACGTTGAATATATGATTTCATTCTCTCTGGCCTATAATATATCTGTGGGGAAATCTGCTGTTAGTCTCATAAGGGTTCCTTTATAGGTAACTAGATGCTTTTTTAGAATTATTTGTCATTGACTTTAGACATTGTAAATATAATGTACCATGGGGAAGATCTTTTTGCATTGTATGTTTGAGGATCCCTGGGCTTCCTGTATGTGAATGTCCAAACCTCTTGGTAGACCTGGAAATTTTTCATCTATTATTTCATTAAATAGGTTTTCAAAATCTTTTGTTCTCTCTTTGCCTTTTGGGACACCAATAATTTGTATATTTGGTTACTTTATGGTGTCCCATATATCACAAAGGCTTTGTTCATTCTTTTTTATTTTTGTCCAGGTTATTTCTAAAAACCTTTCTTCAAGATCTTAGATTCTTTCTTCTGCTTGATCTAGTCTATTGTTGGAGTTTTTCAAGTGCATTTTGCAGTTCAATGTAGTCTTCAGTTCCAGAATTTTTTTTAATGATAGATATTTCTTTCTCATTCATGTCCTAAATTGTTTTCCTGATTTCTTTTTATCATTTTTTAGAATTTTCTTCTATCTCACTGAACTTCTTTAGAATTGATAATTTGAATTATTTTTCCAGGATTTAATGAATTTCTTTTTGATTGAAATCTGGTTTTGGATAATTATTTTGTTCCTTTTGGAGGTGTCATGTTTCCTTGCTTTTTCGTGTTTCCTGCGTCCTTACATTGATACTTGCCTATCTGGTGTATCAGTCACTTCTTTCAATTTTTTGAATTTGCTTTGTTAGAGGAGGGCTTTTTCCTGAAGATCTATCTATAGTATTGGTTGAGTAGGGCACTTTGGCTGTTATTCTGGGTGCATGAAGTAGTGTAGTCTCTGTATGATTTCTTTGGCTATAAACAGTGTCAGTGGTATCTAAGGTTTCCTTGCTGGCTTATGGTGAAGTTATTGGTGGAGGCTGTGAAACAGTTTTGCGGGGGACTGGTACACCAAGTATGCCAGTCTTTGGACCCCACTGGTGGCAGCAGTGGGCTAAGCATGCCTGTCCTTGGGTCCCAGGGTGGCGTACACTGGCACCATTGTTAGCAGGTCCAGGCATGCCAATGCTTGGGCCTCCAGGTAGCTTACTTGGATGCCAGTAGAGGCATATATGGATCAGGCAAGTGAGTGGGTTCTCAGGATCCTGGGCAGTCAGTGTGGTGAGGGTGATGGCAGTGGTGGTGGTGGGATGATGCTCTGCTTCCCAAGTGGTTCATGCTGGTACGGGCAGTGGTGGCTGTAGTGGCCTGGAAACTGGCCCACAGGTAGGTGTCACCTGTGGTAGAGGCAGCTGGGTGGGTAAGAACAACCTCAGGCCCCTGGGAGGAGTATTCAGGTGCCAATGTTAGTGGACTGGGCTTGGTAATCCCCTGGCTCCTGGACTATGTGCTCTGTCTGAAGGTAGGATGAGGAGGGACAAAGCTTGGCCAGGATGGCTTGTCCTTGGGCCTCTTGATGATATGTACAGGTGCTGCCTATGAGAGGCAGGGGAAGAGCAATCATCAGACCACTGGCAGGATGCTTGGGTGGGCAGTAACAGCATAGCTGCTACTGGGTGCAGTGTCACCTTCAGTGACAGCAGCCTAAGTCGGTAGGTGGGGAGTGCACACACCACTCACACCTCAGCACTCACCTTAGCCCTGGGTGTGGTAGCCTATGCTCACTTGTGTCTAAGAGCCAAGGTGAGCAATGGCTTGATATATATATATATATATTTTTTTTTTTTTTTTGCGTATTGACAATGCAAGGGAATTTAGATCGTCCTGGCACTGGTTCTATCACTACTCTAGCTCTTGCACCTTTGTGATCTCTGCTTGCCATTTGCCTCTTTGCTCTCAGATGCATATCCTGCCATAGTGGTTGGAGATTAACTAATGCCTCTGGGATTTTACACAGGTGAAGGTGTTCAGAAGAGGTTCTGCAGAACTTGCCTGGTCACACAAAATGCACTACTGACCACATTTACCAACTTTCCTCTTCCAGCTCCAACTTTCTTTCTTTTCCTTTCTCTACTAAGCCTGACACAACTAGGTTAAAGAGTGTTTCTACATAATGTCTAAAAATGTTGATTCTGAGAAACAGTAGGACAATTTGGCAAAGTAAGAACAAGTTTGGTGTATTTCATTTCGGAACTTAGATGACCAAAATCCATTAAAAAATTAAAACTTTAATAATTATTAAAACGGTTTGCAGCTTTGTGACTGTTTATTAATTGGTTTAATATATATTCATTAACAAAATTAATATTCATTAACAATTATAAACAAAAATTAATAAACATATAAAACTTTCATGCTGTACATGCTAAAACATATTCCAGACAAAAGATGCCTTAAAATGTTCCTACCATTGGTTTAGAAATGGTATACCAAAAAACTAGCCTAAGGAAAAAAGAAAGGCAACTAAAACTGATGTGGCGTGGTATTTAGTACAGGAGGTCAAAGATATTTAAATCTTTGACGTAAGATAGACAAAATACTAGAAAAAGTAAATATTTCATAATATATGAAGGAAAACAGGGAGATGTTTTCTCTCACTAAGTTACATCTGTAATGTGGGTTGATATATGGTCATGAAAAATGGCAGTAGTCACAGACTGGTCATTCTGTCCAACAGACTCCTTTTCTCTGAGACCTTCCAACTGTACACACATTCTTCTATTTTCTGTGTGACTGAGTCCCATGGCCATTGCTACTTGGTTTGATACTTGTCACCTCACCCTAGATGAGCCAATCAGGTATTTTTCCTGATAATTTGGAGTTTGGAACTAGACCCCAAAACTCAGTGTTTTTCCTCTAAGTTTCATTACTGCCATTTCTGTATAGAGAACATTATTTAGAATACCTACTATTGAGTTCTCTTGAGCTACCCTTGTTTCTGTCCTTGCGAAGCATGCTTGCTGCTTTGGTTTCTTGGATTCTGTAAAGTACTTATGTTCTTCTAATTAATTATTTTGTTGTAGAAGTTCCCACTTTGTATTACATGCAACAAATATAAGCATTATCAAAGAAGTGTGTGGTTCTGCAATGTGCTTTATCAAGTGTACCACAGCAGAGCTCTGAAGTATGTCATCTGGTGCATTGAGGACAAAATATTGGCAGCAGGGGCATAGAGGCTTCCAGGCCAGGGTAGAAACTCTCTCCTTTGTAATAAAGGTAAGAAATGTAGTGGGTAATCTAACATCTTCCTATGAGGAGTGGTCTTTTTTGGCCATTACATGAGGCCACAAATACATTTTGAATGATTGTGGAGGTGATTAGGGAAATTTACTGAAATGTCTAAGGATAAGGCAAAGTTGGGGGGCCAATATGGTTCTGCAAAAGATCAGTTCAGAAGTCATGAGGACCTGAAATGGAAGTAATGGGCACACAGTTAATTCTTGGTCAAACCTGAAGTAGAACTTTTGTCTCTTAGTCAGTGGTGTTTTTCATTATACCATAGTGTTTAGTTTTGAAGGATGAGAGTCAAAATAGATAAGCCAGTGTGAGAATCTTTTTGGCATTCTCTAAATATTTTAATATTCTACCTACTGTTTCTTAGTTTTAAAAATTATCTTTGCAATTTCCAAACAGACATTTGTCAGATTTTTGACATATATAACAAAAATGATATAATTTCAGAACCTTAAAAGAGGATCTTGGCTGGGTGAGGTGGCTCATGCCTGTAATCCCAGCACTTTGGGAGGCCAAGGCAGGCAGGCCACGAGGTCAGGAGTTTGAGACCAGCCTGGCTAACATGGTGAAACCCTGTCTCTACTAAAAGTACAAAAATTAGCTGGGCATGGTGGCATGCACCTGTAATCCCAGCTACTTGAAAAGCTGAGGCAGGAGAGCCACTTGAACCTGGGAGGCAGAAGTTGCAGTGAGCCAAGATCGTGCCACTTCACTCCAGCCTGGGCAACAGAGTAAGACTCCATCTCAAAAAAAAAAAAAAAGATCTTAGAATCTAGAAAATAAAATATATGTTCCCAATCCATACTAATTGGCCTTTAGAGCAGAATATCCTTAATTCTTAAGGCATACCATTAATTTAATAATATACATTTAAAGTATATATATCTTATCATTATCTTCTTGATCTCAGAAATGTTAAAATGTAAAAAAGTAAGCATCTTGAAATACAAGAAAAACTGCTTATAGCCCTTATCTGGTTGTCTGGTTACTGTTTTATTGTATATACATGATACTGACAATTGCTTTGAAATATTTTTGATGGTTTTGGCAAATAAATGTTTATCCATATTAGGTAACTTTTTAAAATGATGAATGATGGTTTCCAACTGTGTTTTAGCATCCTCAAAATCTTCACTTTTTTTCCCTGTGAGCTCTTAACATGGAGAAAAATATGGGTCATTTTCCTAAAATTATGCTATTCTTACTTTATGGGAATAATCTCCATTTGTTACGATGTACAATTCTTCCAATGCATTATGGGATTTGTTTGGTTATTTTTCTTCAGGATTTTTGCATCTCCATAAATGGAAATGATCTCTCTTTATGCTCGTCTTGTCAGTTTTTGAAGTTGCTACAGAGGAAAGAAATGAGACTTAAGGGGAAGCAAGGTTGGGGGGGGTTATCTTAGTCCATTTTGTGCTGCTATAACAGATTATCACAGACTCGGTAATTATAAAGAACAGAAATGTATTTTCTCACAGTTCTGGAGGCTGGAAAGTCCAAGATCAAGGCACTGACACCTGGTCTGGTGAGGGCCTTCTTGCTGCATCCTCACATGGTATAAGGTAGAAGGGCTAGAGAGGATGAACACTGTGTCCTCATATGGCAGAAAAGTGAAAGTGGGTGAATCCACTCCTGCAAGCCCTTTTAATAACAGCATTAATCCATCCATGCATCCATGAAGATGGAACTCTCTTGACCTAATCACCTCCCAAAGGCCACACCACCCAGCACTGCTGTACTGGGGATTAAGTTTCCAACCCATGAATTTTGGAGGGGACACATTCAAATTATAGCAAGGTTTATTTATATAATTTTATATTTTTAAATAGATTCCAGAATTGTTTCTTTTGATTAATTAGAAAGAGGAAACATTGTTGATGTAGGAAGAGAAGCAATTAGTGTTGGATGTTTATGCAGGAGTGAAGTCCCCATAAAGGCAAAATCTTCATGAAGGCCATGTGCACAGTGGAGGGATTTGGGAAAGGGCTTAGACATCTCTCCATTGTTACAGAAGAGTAGGCAGAGAAAGCTGGAAGATGTCAGGATGTTGATAAAGGAGCTCATGTCTAATGGCTTTTGTGTCAGATTTGGGGAATGAGATGTGACTGCAGAAGCAGAGGTTGACGCGATGGGAACCAGCAACCAGTGAATGTGAGAAGTATGTAAAAGCTGGAAAAGGCAAGGGAATATATTCTTCCCTAGAGCTACCTGTGGGGGTTCAATCAGGCTGGTGGGAAAAATTTTAGTTATAATAGCCACAAATGCTCTTGGAAGGCCTGAGAGTTTGCATAACTTCGGTAATAGATCTGGCTGAAGGCAGCCAGAGTCTCTATGCAGGAGCCAGAGAGCTCAGGGTGCAAATACAAAGGAATGTAGAGTAGTTTATCTAACTAACTTGTTTACTCATGTGGTCCTAAGACTAACCTTTGATTTACTGCAGGTGCTTAATTGCTTTCTACTCGGGAAGTCCACAATGTCAATTACCCTCTAGTGGTGTTGACTCAAGCCTTTGTCAATTAATCTTTGCTGAATAAATGCGAGTCTCACCAGCTGGTCAGGACCTCGGCTGCTACTAAGTGGCCTGGACACTCAGCTGGACCGGCAAAGCAGAATACCTGTGTGTCAGTGTACTTTATTCATCCATTGTTGAGTCAGGGTCTGCAGGACGGACCCCCGCAGCTGCCAAAAGGAACATAATTCTGTCAACCCATTTTAGAATTCTGACACTCACAATGTTAATATATTTGTGTCATTTTAAGCTACTTAAGTTCATGGTTATCTGTTAGAGCAGCAACAGAAAACTAATACAAAGGCCTTAATCAAGGCCTTTCAACCTTGACATCAAAGTTGAGGAAATATGCCATGAAGTGCCATTTATTTTTTCCAAGTTTAAGAAAAGGTCAAATTGAGCTGTTAAATGGAGATACAAGGGAGATAATTACCACTTTCTCTCTTTCTCTCCAAATGTATTTATAGAGAGATAGATAGGTAGATAGACAGATAGATAGACAGATAGGATAGATATAGATATTGACATATAGATACAGATAATGGGTTTCAATACTTAAAGGACCTGTTTTAATTTATATTTGCCTGCATAATTTCAACTGGTGGAGATGAGGTAGTGTGCGCAGGGTCTATGGGGTCCTTTTAAAACTCAAGCTGATTGTGCCAAACACTTAATTTTAACTTTTTACTCATTTGAGTCTGAGTATCCATGCCCACTATGAGATAGGGCAATGGGGACTACGGCCATAGAAAATTAGGCAATGTAACAGTTCTGTTGTTTAAGGTAAGGCATACTTGTGTATCTTCTATTTTATGTTTGATAACTGCCCTAAGAGTATAGGGGGTACTTTGTTTAAATGTAGTGGGATCCCCAGATATAGCTGTACTTTGGACCCCAGTACTGATTAAGGACATGAAGGTTTACCAACTGGTGTATTTTAGCAGGTGTTAAAATTAATTCTGAATCCAGAGGTATAAAAACAAATCAGCACCCTTTTGTTTTTCTGTTGTATATAGTATTTTAGTAAATGCTTGCCTTCCAATTGGGTCAATTTTGTTTCTTCACCCTTGTATTCAGGTTTTTTAAGGAAATGCTAAATACACTTTGGGAGGTCTTCCCTACCCTGCTCATATTTATTGGTTTCTTCTTCCAGATAGTCTCAAGTTATTATTATCAGAGTTAGCAGCCTTCCTTATGGCAATGATTGCTTTACTGGGTTTAAGGATCCTGGGCTTAAGTCGGGTTTGAATGGACCCCTTGATTGTGCAACAGGGCACATGAAAATATCATTAGCATTTTCCAATAACATAATCAGGGGTTCTGTTGTTACAAAGTCATAGGCTGCAGTGACAACAAAAGCATTTTGTAGGGTCCTAGTGAGGCTTTTGCTTTTAGGAGCAAGAAGTCAGCCTGCCACATGGTAACTGCTCTTCCTCCATATGAGTGACCACCTCATGGGCACATAGATTGCACAGGGCATTATTCTTTCCATTGAGTTCTACAGAATGGGGCCAATGCCTGGTTGAGACTTACAGACAGTAGTCACAGGGTAAGATTCGTTCCCCTGAGCCCAGTGACAGTCATGGCTTATTCTGGAATTCAATGTAATCTGAGACACACAGATACATTTGGAACCAGACACATTACCCAGGGTCATTTTAAGGATGACCCCAATCCCATAATTCTATCCCCAAAGTTAACTGTTGAAATTTCCATATTAGGTTAGTTAAACTGAAGCTTGGTAGGATTCAATAAATGCAGAGCAAAGAAACATAGCTCAAAGAGCAAGCTTTCTAGCAGAAGGCAGCTCAAAGTGCATCCTTTCAGTCAGCAGCTGAGCCAGTGAGGAAGCCAAACCAAGAGATCAAAGATACTCTGTGATAGTGGACATTGTTTAGAAAGCATGCTCACTGTACCAATACTTGTTGCAGCACACACACACACACACACACACACACACACACACGCACACCCAAAGAAGGTTTTTAAGAGGTTTATTACTCACATACCGAGGCTTTCTGGGGAGAGGAGGGCAGGCAACCCGAGGCACTGATTAAAATCCGTCACAGTAAAAGATGAAAAATGGAGGTAAGATACTTGATGACACATTTTCTTGACAAACTTTGAAGTAGGAATGATTATGACCCCAGTTTACAGATGAGAAAATGAAGCTTAGAGAAGTGAACCCAATTGATCTAAAAATAATTTATAAGTGTCAGCAATGGAACTTGGATACACATTTACCTTATGTTAGTGACTATGTTCTTAATCCAGGCCAGGTAAAGTGGAAAACATTTGAACTAGTAAAAAGTTGATTTCCAAAGTAATGGAGAGACATTGTCTTATTATGTGTGGATACCTGTTAAATTAATAATAAATGCTGCAACAATTATGTGCAGTATACAATTATACTTTAAAACAGAGGATGCTGCTGTTAGTATACTAACTCTTGTTTGAATTGGACATTACATCAGTGCTTCTTAGTGCACTAATAAAAATATAGTTTCTTGCCTCAGGACACATACACCTCTGTGACACCAGTAACACTGTAGTCAGAGGCTGAAGGTCAGTGTGTCGGTAGGCTATTGGATCTCACAGTGTTGCAAGTGACTTAAGGTCATGACTCACCTGAGCACCATTAGTATCACCGGCAGCAGGGCTTCAGGCCCAGATGCCCACGCTCTAACATTAGGAGAACCAGAATTGAGGTCATGCATGGCTGCAAGCGTAGTTGTCTTAGGTCTCTGAGAATACGGTACATGCTGTGTTAGCCCAGCTGAGGTTCTCAACAGCAGATGCTAGCAGAAATCTCAGGGACAAAAATGGAATGTCCTTTCCTGAGTGAAAACAAGCAATTCCATAGCCAAGGACCTGACCATCGGCCATGGTGTAGAGACCAGCTTAAGACTCAGGAGCCCTGCCCCTTCTGCTACTGTGAGGACCATGAGCTTTGCCTTACTCTAAGATGTCTTCTTTGGAAATGGGAAGAAGGCAGGGGAAACAACCCTACTGATGAGACACACTTTCAAGGAAATGTATATCCAATGGTGACTGCTTAAATCAGAGGTTGGCTGAGGTGACCACATGATAAATGCTAAGGGAGGAGGATTAAATGAGATGATATTACTAAAGCACTCAGTACAGTGGCTGGCATGCAGAGAGTGCTCAGAGCCAGTGCATGCCAGCCACTGTTCTGAGTGCTTTAGTAATATCATTGAGAGGTGACAGCACGCTGGCAGTCCTCACAGCCCTCGCTTGCTCTCGGCGCCTCCTCTGCCTGGGCTCCCACTTTGGTGGCACTTGAGGAGCCCTTCAGCCCACCGCTGCACTGTGGGAGCCCCTTTCTGGGCTGGCCAAGGCCAGAGCCGGCTCCCTCAGCTTGCAGGGAGGCGTGGAGGGAGAGGTGTGAGCAGGAACCAGGGCTGCGAGCGGGCTTGCAGGCCAGCTGAGCTCCGGGTGGGCATGGGCTTGGCGGGCCCCGCACTCGGAGCAGCCGGCCGGCCCTGCCGGCCCCGGGCAATGAGGGACGTAGCACCCGGGCCAGCGGCTGTGGAGGGTGTACTGGGTCCCCCAGCAGCGCCAGCCCACCGGCGATGCACTCGATTTCTCACCCGGCCTTAGCTGCCTTCCCACAGGGCAGGGCTCGAGACCTGCAGCCCGCCATGCCTGAGCCTCCCACCCCCTCCATGGGCTCCTGTGCGGCCTGAGCCTCCCTGAGAGGCGCCACCCCCTGCTCCACGGCGCCCAGTCCCATCGACCACCCAAGGGCTGAGGAGTGCGAGCGCATCGCGTGGGACTGGCAGGCAGCTCCACCTGCAGCCCCGGTGCAGGATCCACTGGGTGAAACCAGCTGGGCTCCTGAGTCTGGTGGGGACGTGGAGAACCTTTATGTCTAGCTCAGGGATTGTAAATACACCAATCAGCACCCTGTGTCTAGCTCAGGGTTTGTGAATGCACCAATCGACACTCTGTATCTAGCTACTCTGGTGGGGCCTTGGAGAACCTTTATGTCTAGCTCAGGGATTGTAAATACACCAATCGGCATTCTGTATCTAGCTCAAGGTTTGTAAACACACCAATCAGCACCCTGTGTCTAGCTCAGGGTTTGTGAGTGCACGAATCGACACTCTGTAACTAGCTGCTCTGGTGGGGCCTTGGAGAACCTTTATGTCTAGCTCAGGGATTGTAAATACACCAATGGGTACTCTGTATCTAGCTCAAGGTTTGTAAACACACCAATCAGCACCCTGTGTCTAGCTCAGGGTTTGTGAGTGCACCAATCGACACTCTGTATCTAGCTACTCTGGTGGGGCCTTGGAGAACCTTTGTGTTGACACTCAGTATCTAGTTAATCTAGTGGAGATGTGGAGAACCTTTGTGTCTAGCTCAGGGATTGTAAACGCACCAATCAGCGCCCTGTCAAAACAGACCACTCGGCTCTACCAATCAGCAGGATGTGGGTGGGGCCAGATAAGAGAATAAATGCAGGCTGCCTGAGCCAGCAGGGGCAACCCACTTGGGTCCCCTTCCACACTGCGGAAGCTTTGTTCTTCCGCTCTTTGCAATAAATCTTGCTACTGCTCACTCTTTGGGTCCACACTGCTTTTATGAGCTGTAACACTCACCGCGAAGATCTGCAGCTTCACTCCTGAAGCCAGCAAGACCATGAGCCCACCGGGAGGAACGAACAACTCCAGATGCGCTGCCTTAAGAGCTGTAACACTCACCGCGAAGGTCTGCAGCTTCACTCCTGAGCCCGCGAGACCACGAACCCACCAGAAGGAAGAGACTCCGAACACATCCGAACATCAGAAGGAACAAACTCCAGACGCGCCACCTTAAGAGCTATAACACTCACCGCGAGAGTCCGCGGCTTCATTCTTGAAGTCAGTGAGACCAAGAACCCACCAATTCCGAACACATCATCTCATATAATCCTCAGAAATTCCCAAGAATGATGGTGCTATTGTTATCTTTACCATACAAAAGGGGAACCTGAAGATCACAGAGGTTTAGGGACTTGCCCAAAATCCCACAGAGCTTGGATTAAAAATCAGACCACCTGTCTCTTGAGCCTGTGTTCTCAGCCATGTCTGTATGTAATGATGTTTTACTAATTTGGACAAATGACAGTCCCCACCCTACCATTATACAGCAGGGGTGGAGTTCATGAGTTCAATTAGTTTGTTGATGGCAAGTAAAGATGCTACATTATCTGGTTGTATCTAGATGTTTTATCTCCCAGACCACTGAGCAGCCACAGTTCCCAAAGGAGTAGCAATTGGTCTGGGAGAGAGGGTTAAGAAGAGAGAGGAAAAATTAATTTCTCTTTCTCCTACATTGTTTCTCTGAGTCCCAGGACATGATTGGTTAAGTGCCAACAGGAGTCATGATGACTCACAATGCAGCTGAGAACCCTGTTACCATTTGCAATGACAAGAACTAAACACTAGCCACTACCACCAGGGTTACTCCTGGTTCAGGGCTGAATACAGTGAGTAAGTGGGAGGTGCTGGCAGAGGGGGTAGATATTACTTTGTAATATCTGTTCCCTAGACACTCAGTTATCTTGGCCTCAGAGCTATTCCCTGGCTCATGCAAAATCTGTTAACAGGCCAAGAACACTGTTAAAATATTTTGGTAACTTCTGTGGGAGGAGTTACCAAAATCTGTTAACAGTATTCATTGCATTTCCACAGGTCCACTGGGCAATGATCAGCAATTCTGACTTCAAGATCCAATCACCCAGTGAAAGCTACAAGAGAACTCAGTACAAGGTAGTATTCCCTTTTCTCTCTCAGTCTCTACACCCAGCTTTGGTCATGACTGTAATTATCACTTTTATAATACACAATTCATGTAAATGGGGTGTTTAATTGCAGAAATTTGACTGAGAGTACCCATATGTTTCAAGCCATATTCCCTTCCAAGTCTCTGATCTAGAATAACTATATTGTTACCATTAAAGTGTGACCCATATGGGTATTGTCCAGAGGCAGGACATGAATTTTCCAGGCTGACAGAGGGATAATGGTGGGGACAGAGCTTTGTGTTTTTTATAGTGCTGTTTCCCTGAGGAACTAAAATGACTATTATGAGTAGATGTGGCTTTTGTCCACACTGGCTCCCCACTCAGTCTCACATAAGAAGGGAGGAAATTGAGGTACAAGTGCCTGAAAGTGGGACGTTTGTGACCCAAGTCACAAACTCTGTTGTTTGAGTGGCAGGAAAGGCTTAGTCCTCCAGGTTTTCTTCTACCCCAGGTAGAACCATGTAAAGACCCTGAGGCCATGTTTAGTGTTCCAAACAAATTAGTTCTGAACCCAAACTAATTGGGTTCACATCCTGGTACTGCCACATACTAGCTATGTGACCTTGTGCCAATTCCATGATTTTCCTGTGCCTGTCTCCTGCCCTAGATAAATGGGAATGACAGTTGCACCCACCTCAAGGTGTTATGAGGCTAGATGAGTTTCTGCATGTCAAGCCCTCAGAGAAGTGCCTGGCAAGCAGACAGTGCTCAGCTGAGGAGGGTGAGTAATGTTCGTATTGCTGGTGTTGTTATTCTTCTCATTACTGTATTACTGGTAAAACAGAGGATGCCAAGGAAGCCTAAGGGACTAGACAATAGATGTCTTCACCTCTTCACTTTCCCAATGCAAGGAGAACCTCTTAAAGTCACAGACAGGGTTGACAATTTTCCCTGGCTACGTCTGTTCTCTTTCCTTGAACTCCATTGACAGGTTCATTGTCTATGTTTTTGTGGGTTTTTGGTTTTGGATGACTTCCCTCTGACCACGCTCCTTGTGTAACAATTCCTTTGGAAGAAATAGGTGAGACAATGACTGTAGGTCAACTTGCCTTAGTGTTGCCTGTCCATGTCTCAAATCTGTACCTCTGAAGAATCTTGTTTCATTTAAATACCACTGACAGAATTGGCTTGCACACATATTCTCATGCTTTTTTGTGGAAATACACTCAAAAATGACACTTATACAACTGATAGTCCCAACTCCTTTCTTACAGTCCTCCAACTTACATTTCTATACCAGAACTTCCATCATCACTATGCTGTAAATTCTTCTAGACCTTGTTTTCTGCATTTACTTTTATATATGGCTCCATGAAGAAACAAAAATAGGATGATAAAATGCATAATGTTTTGCAAGTTTCTTTCTTCAATTACCACTTTTTAGAGATATTTTTCATGCCTTTTTAAAAATTATTTATTTATTTATTTATTGAGACGGAGTCTTACTCTGTAGCCCAAGCTGGAGTGCAGTGGTATGATCTTGGCTCACTGCAACCGCTGCCTCTTAGGCTCAAGTGATGCATCAGCCTCCCGAGTACCTGGGACTACAGGCACATGTCACCATGCCCAGCTAATTTTTTGTATTTTAGTAGAGATGGGGTTTCACCATTTTTTCCAGGGTGTTCTCAAACGCCTGAGCCCAGGCTATCTGCCTGTCTCGGCCTCCCAAAGTGCTGTCATGCCTTTAAATAGAGAACCCCATCATCTTTTTCAATGGCTGCTTTTTATTTCACATTATTGATATAACAATCTATTAACAATAGGAATTCAGAAAAATTGCCTCTGTCAACCAAGGAAATCACCCAGTTTGACAAAAATGTAAGGTAGACACAAGCTAAACACATAAAAGAAGATATTGTATGCTCCTCTAAGAATAAATTATGAAATAATAGGAATAATATATCCAGTTCACACTGGCCATCAGATATACCTGAATATGATTTTTTTAAATACTGAGAATTATTCATGAAACATTTTTATATGTTTCCTGTTTGACACTATTATACCATTATTTCTAGATTGAAAAATTAATTACTATATCATTTCTGCCACCATTTTAATCTGTGAACTCAGTGCAAGCACAGTCATGAACCTCCATATGAATTTGACATGAAACAAAATGAGCTGATTATTCAATTAAAAGGACAAGAACACATATGGGAATAACCTTGATAGGGAGCTTGGCCTACAAGACATGAAAACCTACATAATAGATTTAGAAATTAAAACAGGGATGAAAATTGCCTCAATAAAACAGAGCAGATTCTAGATACAGACCCGTGTGTATGACAGAATGAAAGAAATAGTATCGTTGGCATTTTAAATCAGATCATGGCCCAAAGCAATCTCTTATGACTGCTGCTGGTAGCAGAGTGTGTTAGTATGTGTCTGTGTGGGTATGGGTGTGCGTGTGTGGGGGTGATGTGATAGGGATGTGATAGTGGACAGTGAGGAAAAGACCCCTGGGTCCACTTGGTTATCTTGATTTCATCATTTTTACCAGGCTTTCTTGGTTGTGCTGTCTTTCTGAGGCAACGTGGAGTCTACCAGTCACGGACAAAGGACTCTCTGAAGTCAGTCCCAGCACACCTGCACCAAATATCAGGAGGAAGGCAGATGAATACTTAAAGTCCAACATGTCCCCCAACAATGTGCTGAGTTTTTTACTCGGTAGACAACTGGGGAGGCACAGAAATGATGTGGATCTGACAAAGTGGTTGTGGATGCTGACACGAGCAATGCCAGGGTGGAGCTGGCCTTTGCCAAAAAAAATCACGTGACTTACAAGCACATGCCTACACAGAATCTTGGAAAATAATTTTTTTTAAAAAGTATTAGAATAAAATTCTTCCCTAGCTTCAGCTATTGAAATAGAAGCTGTGTTTTCATTTATTTTGGTTTGATATGTTTTTATGCTGATATGGCTTTCTTGAGTTACACTGGACAGGGGATTCTATTCATTCTAAACATTCTGTGCAGGAGCACTCAGACACAGGGGAGATACAGGTCATGCTGCAGATCAGATTTCTTCCACCATAAATCTTTCTTTTTTTTTCAAAGCAAGGGAGTACTTAGGTTAGTACCAGGCCATGCAAGGATGCAAGACTCCTCTCCCTAACGATTTTGAAGAGATATCCATCCAGTTCTCCTCTAAAACCTAATTGCTTACCCAGATGAAAAGATATTTGAGAATAATGAACCCATGAGTTGGGTGGGAGGTTTAGGATACCTTTTTATTCTGATGCTCATGAGAGCACCATTTAGAAACTACAGCATTGTGGATTTTTGGTTCTATTTAATATTAAAAAATTAGAGCACAAGGCATTTTAATATAGGGAACAGCATACTTTCAGATCCTTCTAAAAGCAGTTGTTCTTCTCATTGTCCCCAAAGAAGTAGAATCCCCAGGTGCACTTATTTGTGCCATCTGAAATAAATCTGTTTAGGCCACAGCCAATTGAAGAGAATTCATTTGACTGAAGTGGAACTAAACCAGAGGATAACAAGACTGTGACATGGCTTCCAGGAAAAAAAAGCTAAAGGACTGGGAAATACAGGTATTCGCTCTGAGACAAGTGAAATGAGAATTATGTAGGCAATTGGTCACTGAGAAGTGAGAGCTCAAGCTGAAGAGGGGACAGGGATTGCAAAGAGGTCAGAGCCATGGTGGATATGGGCAAGCTTAAGTTAGGAGTAAGATGAAATTAACATAAGGTCAACCATTAAAGCCATTGCAAATTCCAAGCATTTCTCTTGTCCTTTCCTGTGAGCTGCAAAATAAGCCTGCAAGCAGTCCTTCTGTGCCCTCTTCCTCTCCTCCCAAATTCTCTGGGTCCTCACAACCTGTCCAGCACTCCCCAAGGCCTCTTCCTGTCTCTCCACCTCCACCTACATCTAAGGCGCTGTTACTGTCTCTCCCCTTAGCCAGGTTTCTTCCAGATTTGTGTTAGGTAGAAAATTTAACCCTTCCATGTCCTTTTCACCCTCCTCTCTGTCCCTGTCGCCTTCTCTGTCCCTGCTCTGATTCAATATTGCCAAAAAATAGCCACCAGCCTCTCTTCAGAGGATGCAGCTGGCTGTAGGATGAAATGGGGAGGGGTTAGAGACTACAAGGTAGAAGGGCCTCCTGGGTGCACTGTTGGTGGGAACACTGCCTGGACACTCCTGCATCGGTGACTATTTTCCTGCAGTCCAGCATCAAACAGTGGCTGCGAGGAGGAGAAAAGGTGGGGAATGGAGACTGAAAGAGCAGCAGGTAGGCCAAGAAGGAGTAAAACCCACAGGAGCAGAGGCCGATAACAGCCAACCTCCTATACCCCATGGCCACACAACTGAAGAGACAGAAATTAGGATGCATAGTTACACATGGATAAATCTCACCATCATATTGAGTGAGAAAACAAGTAGCATAGAAGGGTCCAGTAGTGCTTATGCTATGCTCTGAAGGCTTGTTCCCCACCCCTCCACTTCATATGTTGAAATCCTAAGGTGATAGTATTAGGAGGTGGGGCCTTTGGGAGGTGATTGGGTCATGAGGGTGGAGCCCTCATGAATAGGATTAGTGCCTTTATAAAATAGGCCCAAAGGAGCTCATTCATCCCTTCTGCCATGTGAGGAAGCACTGTTATATAAACCCGGATGTGAGCCCTCTCCAGGAACTGAATCTGCTGGCATCTTGATCTTGGACTGCCCAGCCTCCAGAACTGGGAGCAATAGACTTTCTTTTTATTATGTTACCCAGTTTATGGTGTTTTGTTATAGCAGCCCAATTGGACTAAGTAAGACAAGTTTGTTACATACAAAGATAGTAAAGATTCAAACTAGTGTAGCAGGATGTTCAACTGGTACTCTATCTAGTCTCAGACTTGGCTGACTTCCTAGAAAAACTGATATCAACTACTCATCATCTCACAGGCAGTTACCTGTCCATCCACAGAGAATTGGTAAATAAGGTAATCACAAACAGTGGAATGAACTCTCACTATTCACCCATGTGAGAGTATGTACACACATGGGAGAATCTGGGTAGGCTGGAGACCAGAGAAGCCCCACTTCATGGAGGTTGTATAGTATGCTAAGTTTACAGAAGGAAAGTACCCTTCACCTCAAACTTACTGGGGAAATTAAGTAGTCTCTAAGTGTTCACTGAGAGGGCTTGATTTGTTGCTCCAGAAATCAGAATCACAAGTAAAAAATCCAAAAGGGGAGTGACTGGCAGAGAGAGAGAGAGAGAGGCAGAGAGAGAGAGAGAAAGAAAATTTGGCTGGGATTCTCCTAAGAAGAATATTCTTAAGTGATCTTAGAGGAGGTTATGTGTAACCCTAACAGAGAAATTCTTGGTGCAGGTGAACCTCAGGACCGGAGGCTGATTGGAGTGTTTTATTCTGTGTCATGGAAATACTCTCTCCTTCCACACCTCAATTTCTGCCTGCTGCCTCTTATTGGCCAAATACATATGCCTGCTGCCTCTCATTGGCCCCACTAGTCAGAGGGCAAGGAAGGCCAGGTGATATAGCCTTTATGTGTCAAGTACCTGAGGAACAGAGCAGTATAGAGAAGGAAGTAGGATATATCTGATTAAACAAACTGAGAATAACAAAAAATAATCCACCACTTTTCCCACAACCAGCACCCACTGTTGCTTTGAGCAGATGAAGGAACCCTTTGCCTAGCACAGGGTACCACACAAAGTCCCATTAGCCCTTATATTATCATAGGGTGAGGTCACTTTTTATCATAATCCCACTTGAAATCTAAATTGTAAATTGTAACCTTAAGGCTGATGAGACATTTTCCTACACAATATCATGGGATGGACAAAGAATAGATCATCCCACCTACCTTCCCGCAAAACAAATTCTGCCAAAATCTCAAAATATTGGTGGATCTTTACCTGGTGGGGCAACCAAAGTTTTAATTCCCCCCAAAAAAAATCAGTCTAAAAAATCTCAGTCTTTAGAGGTGATATAATTATGGAATTGCAGCACTTTTACAACGAACATCAGAACTGGACACAGGAGTACTAGGAGGTACCCCAGTGAATCCCCTCAGTTCCAGAAATAATCATCTTTTCATCGCTATGAAGCAGCAAACTAAAATTCCCCCTTAATAATCCAGTTTACTTACTTATTCAACACCCCTTCTCAGCTATCAGTTCTGCAACCTGAACAGCTTAGAATGGACAGGAAACAATTGGTCATTGTCAGTTTCTAATTTAATGGAACCATGGATATGTTCCATGGGAGAGGCATATTGTCTTGAAGACTTTAACCTGAAAACCACCCAATTGCTATTTTGGCGGAAAGGAAAAGAGAAAATCTGTAAATGATTTTTTGGTATAATAGTGGGAGGGGTCACTTTCTACCCCAAGCAATCTATGATGCCATTCCCCCAGGCCAGGTTGGGGTAGAGAGTGACCCTTCCCTGGGCCTGCTCCAGAGGACCAGTCATGTCCACACTCATCAGCCTTAGGATGCCTCCAGGCCTCTGGTTTCCTTTGGTTTGTCTAGGGGCTTACAGTCCTAGTCTGATAAGTTCACTTCCTGTGGAGCTTGACCAACATCCGTTGTCCTGTGCCTGAAGAACCAATGCCAAATATGCAGGGAGATCCTTGATCATTCCCAAAGGCTCTCAAAGAAAGCAGCACAATGCCCACCACTGCTCGGCCTTCTAGGGGTAGGAAAAGGAACAGGAACAAGAAGTAGGAATGAAACCAGGAAGGGGTGGACCCCCTCTCCCTCCATCTTTTCTATGGGCTGCCCTACTCTCTCTCACTCCACTTCAAGCTAGTGCCAGCTTGAAGGAAAAAAGATGAAGGGGCTCCCTGCTGTGTATGGAGGGGCCTGTGCTCTAGGCGATGATCATAACACACAGCTGCATGATTCCAGTGCAGGGTCTCTGATCATCGCCCAGTGTGTCATGTATATTTATTATACATGTGCATGCTAATACTATTTCTTCTTAGTGCCAGGGAATCCAGTGCCTGAAATACTTTCTTTTTAACCTCACATTTACCCCCAGGACCACAGTTATGAGGGAGCACATGGCCCAGAGAAGATTGGAGGTCCAGAATCTTTACCTCTTTACCTTCCCTGTATGCTGCTACTCCTGGGCCTCTTAGCAGTGGCAGCACCTTCCAAATCCTCTTCACCCCTAACCTCTGTTTTGACCCCAAGCAACTCTACAAACCCTCTAGTCCCAACTGCTGCAAGGACCTACTTCTTTTTACTTCCCAGTCTGAGAAAAGAATGTGTGTGAGTAAAGGACCTCATGGGGATTAAAGAACAGGAGGGCAGAATGGCTGGGGCAGTGATGAGAGGTTGAAGTTTGAGAGGAGGTAGACTGGGAGAAGTAGGCAGGGCCAACTTCTCCTAGGACCTTGTTATATCTGAGAAGGTTTGGGATCTTCTTCTAAGTTCGATGGAGAGTACTGACTATCCCCTTTCCCTATTCCAGTGCATCACGGGGAGCAGCTCCTGAATGCCCCTTCTCTGGGAGGCACTGCTCTCCTGGCTTGCTCTAGCTCGACCACCAGGACTTACCTAATGCCTCCCTGAAGTTGCCTTCTCACTCCCCTTCTGCCCCTCTAGCCAATTTAGTCTCCAGGACACTGTCCCTACCTCACAGCTATGGTGACTTAGGATCAACATTCAAGGTAAATCCAAGGAAATGATGAAGCCTTTTACTCTCCTTGGCAGGATGAGTGAGTTGTGTTCTGAGTGTTGGGAGAAGAAAACAGATCAAAAGCTGAGCTTGTGCTTTACCTGCCCTGGCATGGTATATAAAGACTTCACCTCCAAGTCCTGAGCACCCACATACATATACTCATATATAATTGTGCTATATGCATGTCTGTGTGTATGGATAAACCAGTACTTCACAGGTATACACAGCTCAATGATCCACCGCAAGTAAAACCTGGAACTGCCATCCAAATAAATAAATACAACTTGCCAGCAACTTTGAAATCTCACACCTGGCCCCTCTTAATCACAATATTCTCCCTCCCTCTTAAAGGTTACCACTATCCTGAATTTTATGGTAATCACCAACTTATCCTTTTTTTGTTTTTGCTTCCCACCTAAACTCGCATCATTAAATACTATCCTTATGTTTTCTTCATTAAGAAAAAGTAACCTTTTTGTTACTGTGGTTGCTGTCTGAATATTCCTGTCCCCACATAATTCATATGTTGGAACCTAATAATGTGATAGTATTAAGAAGTGGAGCCTTTGAGAAGAGATTAATTCATGAGGGCTGTACCCTCAGGAATGGGATTAGTGTCCTTTTAAGAGGCCTGAGTGAGTCCCCTACCCATTTGTGCCATGTGAAGATGCAGCAAGAAGGCACCATCTATGAAGCAAGGAGTGAAGCCTCTCTAGAGACCAAATCTGCTGGTGCCTTGATTTTGGACTCCCAACCTCCAGAGCTGTGAGCAATAAATTTCTGCTATTTATAAATTATCCAGTCAAAGGTATTTTGTTATAGCAGCCCAAATAGACAAAGACTGTGGTACATAATATGCACGAACATGTTCAAAGGAAAATGGAATGAAATATCTAACCATATCTGAGGAGTCTGGCTCCTGGCCAAAAACGTATGAGTGACTTTTTAGGCAGCCCTCATGATCTGGGTGAAAGGCTGCCCTCCTTACATCAGAGGTGGTCCACAGCCAATGCACTGCACTGTCCAAAGGGAGCTGCAGTCAAGGGCTCAGTCCCCTACCCAGGCAGCCATCCTCTTACCTATATCTGCATTCCTAGCCCTAGCCCTACTCCTAGCCCACTTATCCGGGGCCTTTAGCCCTGGTGCCTCTGCCTGAACTTCCTTATGGAGAGAGGAAAAGAAATCTTCAAGACACCTTTCTCCATGCTGGCTCAGTACTCAGAACTTTTTCACTCCAGACCTTCCCCTCTCCTTATTCCCAGGTTTGTAAACCACAGGAGCCTTTGTTCGGGGATCCCTTGACAGTGAGACTATTCTTCAAGTGTGATTTCTGTGCTTTACATTCAATCATTGGCCAATGTCATTAAGTTGTTAGGGACCTCCACTAATCAGATACCTGCAAAGAAGTCCTTGAAGTTCTTTCCCAAGGACACACAGCTAGTAAGTTGCAGAGGCACGATTGGAACTAGGTGTGTGTTATCTGTAGCCTGAGGGCCCTTAACCCCACAGCACCTAGAATGACATGGAACTTATCTGCGTGTGGGGGCAGGTAAACAGATATTCATTAAAGGTATGTTGAAAATGAAGATAAGGAAAATTAACTTTTTTCTTGCTATCTAAACAAAATGCTTTTCATATTTTGCTTTATTTTCTTCTTGTCCTTACTTTGTATACACACACATATATACAATGTATATAATTTTTTCTCTCTCAACTTACAGTCATTACACTGTTATTACTTTGTTTTTGTAACCTGTGTTTTTAATTTTATTTGAAAATAAGTGCATTCTTTCTGATTACAAAGCTGGTTTCTTACTGCAGAGGCCTTTTAGTTTCATAATTTCATAATGGCATAAAGCAGAGAATAAAGAGTGAACTATACTGCCATAATGTCAATTATCCAGAGAGAACCACTCAAATTTTTACTTTTATTCATTTTTTACTTTTTAAAATATTTGTAAACATTTTTATATATTTCCTTCTACTCAGTTCTCTACATACCTACCCATTTTTCCTGTTATAAAACTGGAATCACGTGAAAACTTTCAATTGTACCTTCTTTTTGCTCAGGACAGAGTCTTGAAGACACCCACATGTAGGTGGCAGGAATGGAGGAGTGCATTAGGTAAATGGTGTCAGAGGAGGTAAATATTGGAATCCTAAATGCAAAGAGAATTCTCCAAGCAGTCGTCAAATGCTTCTGAGAGGTGAGATGTGAAGGAAAACTGCTAAGAAGAAGTGGCATTCACTACCGAGATGTTCCCTTATGTCATTGGAAAGCAGGCCAGTAGGATGAGGGCGTCAGCTCTAGACTCAGGGCAAAGGAGGCAGGGAAGGGTCAAGAAGGAGAGGGAGCAAGGACAGGGTGCATCTCATGTCAATTTGGTGTGTGAGGTAAGCAGAGAGGAAAGATGATGCAATTTGAGGATTTTGGGGGTTGAGAAGCCCTGAGAGGTGAAGGATCTACTGTCATGTGAGAGAGGGATGAGATGCAAGGAGGAGGAAGGTCACTGATGCAGCAGGAGACAGAGCTCGCAGGATGGGGAGGGATCAGAGACACAATGAGCAGAGGAGGAAGCAACAGTTATTCCAGTTGGGGGTTGGGTGCATCTGTGGAAAGGTGCACTCAACAGACCTGTTCCTCTCTCAGAGAACATTCCTTCCCCTTCCTGTTCTGCACTGTCTTCTGTCTCCTGGCTTCTGCACAAGACAGGTAGACTCAGAATTGTCTCCGCAATCTGGGGTAGAGAGGACTCTAGACAGCTGGGGCAGCCTGAGGGCACTGTATACCTGAGGGGGTGTCAGAGGATGGAAGCAGATGGTACCCATCAGTACCAAAGATTCCAAGAAAGCATGCGATTACAAGTACATATTTCTTTTCTTTAACTCAGGTTTTCTTAATTTTGTTTTAGCATGGAGAACTTTCATCCATATAATAGCTGATAAGGTATTGTAAAACTGCTGTTTCATGAAGTTCAGCTAGAGAAATTTCCTAATGTACATGTAAGCATTTTGGCAATACTTGGAAACTCTGCAGATGTTGACACTTTCTAGTAGATCTGTAATTTGAAGTAACAACTGAGCTGATCAGAAATGTGACTCTCTTTATAACTCATCTCAACATGCTCATAAACTCTTATTTCTACTGATAGAAGAAACTACCAAACCTTGCCACTTTAAGGTGACTCAATTCCTTCTGGTTTAAAATATAATCACTTTTAGGCAATTAATTGCTTATTTTGTTCTTGATTTCAGTTGTGTAGATTTAAAGTCCAATATCCTTATGAAGGCTGCCCTGTCCCTCTCATGTGCCCTTCCCTACTCTCCCTCCTAATCCTTCCCCCTTTTCCTCTTTCTTCATCCCCTCCTCATGCCCCCTTCTCTTCACCTCCCTCCTGCTATTCTTCCTCCTTTACTTCTTCTCCTTGCTTTTCTCCTTCTTGTCCTCCTCTCCCTTCTCTCCCTCTCTCCCTACCCAATCCTCACTTCCTTCTCCTTCAACTCCTCTTCTGACTCTCACTCTTCTTCCCCTCGTCTTCCTCCCCAAGAAATTGTCTGGCTACAGATGACTGCAGCAAGGAGGATGGGCCTGTCCCTTTTGCTCCCTCATCTCCCTTGGTCTTTGAGTGTTTGCCATTTTCCCCTCTATCTTCAACAGATAAGACTGACTCTTCCTGGCCTTTGGCACACAGATGGTGGTATTGATGGTTTCCATCATGGCCTCTAGTCAGGACAGCTACATACTCTGAACCATTCTCTTTCAAGTCCTGGTCCTTGTCTTGCTGACCAGTCTTCTCAGTGCCTCTGTGGATTCTCTTTCTGGGCCTGCAGCTGGAACTCATTCATGCTACAAATGACCCATAGGGAATCTGACAGCACTGTGGCAGGACCTCTCTTTCCTAAATACCAGGCTGTCATTTCTGAACTCCTGTTGCTGCCTCTTGTTGGTGTGGGGCACTGAGGGCAGGTCTCACTCCCAGAGCTACCAGTAGGATGTGGGGCAGCATGCCATTATGCTCCGGAATTCCCAACCTTTCATGGTTCCTGTCTCAATACTCCCCACTTCTTTCCCAAGCCTCCCTCCAGGGTCGCTGCATACATTTACACATATTGTGCACTCTGCAATTAAAGTAGATTCATTCACATGCAATATATCCTGGAGTTGTGCAGTGTACAGCCTGCCTGACAGTACATATTTACCCTGTGCCCAGCCCCCTCCCTCGCTCCACCTTGCCCAGCTCTAGAAGAGCCCTACTCCCTCCTATGGGTCAGATATCAGCATCTATATCTCTCCGAAAGATTTGAGGTTCAGCAAATGTATACTTAAACACAAGTCTAGCTCTAAGAAATTGTGCTCTGAACTTCTCTCCATACACAGCAGTCACTGAAAGAGCTGTGCACAACTTTGGGCACCACAGTACTTAAACAGTGATAGGAAGAATGTGGAGATGGTCCCAATGAAGAGAGACAAATTCAGAATTAGTGCAAATGCTTTTACAGTTGTGATTCACTTTATGCACTTCATACATGAAAACAAACTAAAGCGTTATTCTTTCTTTTCATGTGTGCTCCAATGTAGAAATTATGTCATACTTAGGTCTTGTTTTATGTTTTCTAGACTTTCCCAAGCTTTTTTCTATGAGGATTTTCCTACATATGGAAAAGTTGGAAAAACTGTTCAGTAAACACCTGTACACCCTCCACCACAATCCAATGATTAGCTTTTGGTCATATTTTATGGGTATCATTTTTAATCTCTACATAATAGTTCATCAAATCAATGCATCTTAATTTTTTAGACAATCTCCCCATTTTGGATATATTCCTCGATTCCAAATCCCCAAAATTATAAGTAGTAATGCTTAATGATAATCTCTGAGCACAAGACCCTCCTTTCTGAATTTTTAAAGCCTGTGACAGCTGATAAGCTAAAATGTTGATGCCAGTGCCCCTGAAATTTTAATCTTTGAGGAAGGGTCTAAAGGGACTAATAGAGAATAGAAATTATAAGTGAATTCAGAAGAACAAGTACCTTGATATTGCTAGGAATCCAAATCTTAGAGCAGGCACAGTGTCCGGGGACTCTGTGAGTGTGTGTTTATGGGGGAGGGGTGTCACTGGATTCTACTTGTTCTGCCCAGGAGTACAGGCGTAAGCCACTGTGCCCAGCCCATGAAACGTTAAAGTGGATTGATCTGCTCACCCATGTTGGAGGGTCCAAAAAACATACGTCTCGTGACTGAGAAACAGATTTGTGAGAGGAGCCCCTGCAACCCCAAAAAGTTTTGTAATTGCTCTTCTTTATAGGTCAGAAATTCTAGAGGAAACTACTGCCACTGAACCGGTATAATTAAATGTAATGAGGATAGCTGGATTGTGGGGTGGCAGGGGCCAAGTGGGGGCACTTAATTGACAAAGACAAAGTGTGCATAGTTACTGTAATGGGCAGCAGATTCAATGCAGCAATAAGAATAGTCTGACTCACAGGGACATATGGCATTGATTAGTTGGTCATGGTGTCCCTTGAAGAGAAACAGATGGCAGTCTACTAAATTCTTCCTTGATATATATAAGTGGATGAGTTCTAGATTGAGTGCACAGAAGTCTAACCTGAATCACCAAAATAGTCCTAGCCCTTCGATCAATTCCCAGATTTGAGTCAATTTACAGACCCAGAACCCTATGAATAAAGAAGGACTCCACTCCACTCCACTGCCAAAAATATATACTGCTAATTTTCTGCAGCTTTCCCCAAAGAGATCTATGGCTTTAGGGGTGAATGTGCAGTAGGGAAAATGAAACAATCAAACTTTTCAGCGATTACTGTATATTGCTTCTGAACTAGCACTGATTCCAAAAGCCTCAAAATGTCACTGCAGTTCACCAGTCAGAGTTAACAGTTTATGGTGGTCAGGGGATTGATGGAGTTTTAGTTCAGCTTTGTCTCACAATGGGTCCTCCGGGTCTCTAAACTTATCCTATGGTTATTTCCCCAGTTCCAGAATGTATAATTGGAAGAAAAATACTCAGCAACTGACAGAATCCTCATACTATTTCCCTGATCTGTGGAGTGAGGACTAATGTGGTAGGAAAACGCAAGTGGAAGCCACTAGAACTGTCTTTACCTAGGAAAATAGCAAACCAAGAGCAATACCATACTCCTAGAGAGATTGCAAGAGATTAGTAATACCATCAGTGACTTCAAATATGCAGACATCCCCATTTAACTCACCTGTTTGGCCTATGCAGAAGGCAGATGGATCTTGGAAGATGGTAGTGGGTCATTGTAAACTAAGCCAGGTGATGACTCCAATTGCAGCTGCTGTTCCAGATGTGGTTTCATTTCTTGAGCAAATTAACATATCCCCTGGAACCTAGTATGTACCTCTTGACCTTGAAAATGCTTTTTTTCTCAATAACTGTTAGTAAAGACCACCAGAAGCAATTTACTTTCAGCTGGTAAGACCAGGAATACACCTTCGCCATCCTACCTCAGGCGTATTGTATATCAATTTTCAAGCCCTACATCATAGTTTAGTTCACAGGGATCTTATCACCTTTCTCTTTCACAAGACAACACACTAGTCTGTTACACTGATGACATGCTAATTAGACCTAGTGAACAAGAAGTAGCAACTACTCTACACTTCAGGGCTCCTCTAAGTATCCATTGGCTCCAGTTTGAAATCTCAGTATCCATTGGCTCAATGACTTTCATGCTGTTTTGTAAGGAAAAGGCTCTTCTGAAAACACTTCTGTGCTAGGTCCATGGTGTATGATCTAGGAACCAACCTGCTATCACTTATCATCATGACAGGGCTCGATAGAAAAGAAAAATTATGACAGGAATCTGCGTGTAAATCTTCAATAGAAAACCAGAGTCTGTCCATTTGGACCCAACAAGAGAAAGGGATGGTTTAAACTCAAGGTTTTTATGATGCCATGACCCAGAGTGAATGTGTGTATGTGCTTGTGTGGAGGGTGTGGGGAGAAAGCCCATTTCAGTACACACATGTCCCCCATAGGTCTTCGGTTCCTCCCCCACATTCTCCAGCTGCTCCTGTTCCTCTCAATTAGACAAGCTTACTTGGGTGGCCCTGGGGCAATGACCCCAAAGCCTCAGTGCCAAACTGTTTAAGTTCACAATTAACTGAGACCCATCTCTGCAGAGGAGACCAGACTGCTGCCCCTAACCTAACAGCAGCTCACAGTTTCAAGCACTAGCTGTGTGCCAGCAGTGCGATTATTACGGACATACTGCTCTCCCTTTAATCCTCCAAACAACCCCAGAAGGGTCTATTACCCTTTCTGCATTTGACCAGTGCAGAAAGTGAAGCCCAGCCAAGCAAAAGTCACTTGCCCAAAGTCGCACAGCTAGTAGGGAGCAGAGCCAGGAGTTGAAAGCCCCCTTTGATCTACCTCCAGAGCGGACACTATGACAGCGACACTGCCTCCCCGTGGAAACCAAAAGCAATAGCACACTCTTCACTGCACTGGGGGGAAATCTGGAGGATGAAGGTTCCAGAGAAGACAACAACAACAACAACAACAAAAAATCACTGGCCCGTGTAAGGTCTACTCAGGGCAATCAAGAAAATCTGAATGGGGAATTAAGACAGCGAGATGTCTCAGTCCTCTGGACCCACCAGACCCAGAACCCTATGAATAAAGGGGAGGCTGGGCCTCCTTGAGGAAGATGGCAGATAAAACCTCTCTCTCACTCACCTATTCCCTCAGTTTCACAAGCTCTCTCTTTTAAAAGTCATACATATACTTTAAAAGAGTTACAGCTTCTTCACAGCTCGCCCGTTGCAGCTTCTGCACCCTGCTGTGGATGTCCTGGGACAGGATAGTCAGGAACTCCTCCAACACCAGCAACTCCAGAATCTGCTCCATGGAGCGCATCTCAGGCCAAAGTCACCCATGGCGAAACTCCCATGGCGAAACACCCATGGCGAAACTGCTGGTGTCCCGGGCACCAGCAGCCTCTTGGAAGCAGAACCCTCAGAAGCACAGGTGGGAGGCCGCCAAGCTAGACCTTGGGTCGGGCGGGAGCAGCAGGAGTTCTGGCTCCGGGCGTAGGAACTTCCATAGTTTCCCTCTCACAGGAGGGGAACCTTTTCCGCTCGCGGGAGCCCAGGCCAGACGCCACAGTCAGGCTTCCAGACCACCTTGGCCCCGAAACCAGTTGTGCCCGCCGGCCAAGGCGCCCGGGGCCAGGAGAGAGAGATGATGGCTTCAGCAGGAGTCCGGCGTGCTCCGGTTTCAAGTTCCAGCCGGTGAGCCCAACTTTGGACCCGGCAGAGCTGTCTCCAGTAGCTTCGCCTCACTGGGCTTGGGACGCTGCAGCTCCTGTCCCCGTTTCGCTTCTACCAGGACCTCCGGGAGGCACAAAAGCAGGCAGCTTTCTCCTGTCTGTGTTGGACCCACGCAGGACTAGGCCCCCGGTCCACACGCAGAAAGTCCTAGCACGGAAGTTTGGCGTCCACAGACCAATTTGTCAGCTTAGGACCAACGTTAGGGCTGCGTTTCCCGAACGACACCATTGTATCAAGCGGCCATTGGATCAGGTCTAGCCACAATTCGCAGCTGACCAATCAGAAAAGAAAATTTGGCTCCAGGACGGGACCAGCGAGGGACCAATTGAAAGACAAGAGGCGGGGCCCGCAGGCAAACCTTAACCCCAGAGACCTCCGTGGCTGTTGAAGGCAGAGGGTAATGGGCGGGTTCGCTAGATCGAAGCTTAGGTCTTGAAGATGGGGATACTAAAAAGCAAATCCAAAGCCACTGTGAACTGCAGGCGGACGACCGGAGTCAAAATCTCCAGGATGGTTTATTAAAATGCGAATCCCCGGGTTCCTGTGAGATTCAATGCGTCAGGGTAGCGGGTGGAGCCCCGAAATACGACTTTTTAACAAGCTCTCCCTACAAATTCTCCCCACACAGCCAGGTTTAAGAATCACTGACCGGGTCGTAACAGATTTAAAGGTGGTCCCCACCCGCTCCAGTTACTCCAAGGCTCAAGGAGAAGCGCTCATTTGGATCACGACCCGGGGTTCGCCCCACCCAACACCCTGCGACTAAGAAGCGCTTAAACAGGAAACGGGAGCCCTTCCAAAACAGCTTGAGGCTGGTTGGAAGCCAGGAAGAGTCCCAGCCCCTCCCACGTCAGCATCCCTGTGGGCGCACAGCCCGGCGGGCGGCGTGTGGCCTGCCGGGAGATGTAGTCCGTAGCGCAGTCCCGCGCCTGCGCCCTGGGCAGTTGCCGGTGAGCTTGGGAGAACCGTGGGCGCTGAGGCGGTGAGTCCCCGAGCGGCCAGAGGGCGTGGCCGTTCCCTGGGGCGCGGGCGCGGGTAGCGGGGCTCCTTTCCGTGGCCGGGGCCATGCTAACTGGGTGATTCCAGCTGTGCCCCGGGCGGCGGGCGCCGGAAGGAGTGGTGGGCGGTGGGCCCCTATCCGGCCAGGGTCCCCGCCACCACTCCCTGCGACCCGACCGGGCCTTCCCGGGAGTCCTTCTGGGCTGGGAGCTCCCCTCCAGGCGTCGGGGCCTCGTCGCCCAAGAGCGAACAGGGGCCGCGCCCGAGACACTAGCATCCGAATTTGAATCAGCTTTTACACTTTTTAGGGACGTGTCACTCTTGCCGTTCCTCAAGTGCTCTCTTTACACACATCGCTTTTCTTATAGGCCCCATGAGGGTGGATTCCCTACGAGAAGGTTTGGAGAGAAATCACTGGTCCCACAGTGAAATGAACGTTTCTCTGGGAAGGGTCCATCGAAGGAAACCCGAAGGGTCAATTCCCTGGTAGACGTGGTGGAAGGTTTTGGGTCAGTCAGGGAAGGGCTGACCAGCTGTGAGGCTGGCGCAGATTAACGGGTGGGTCCAGAGCCAAAAACAGCACAGTTCCTGGATGCCCTCCAGCAACGGTTAGGTGCCTAGACTCTGGGAAATAGAGGCCCCCTAGGAATGACTCCTGACAAGCAATAAACTTTAATTGAGTGCTTCCTCTGTGCCGGGCATGCTGCTATTCGCTTCGCATGCAATTGGATCCATGCAGAACATTTTATAAAGTAGATGCTATGATTATCTTCTGTTACAAAAGAGGCACTGGGTGTCAGGGTCACACAGCTAGCAGGTTATTATACCTAAACCGATCTGCTAAAGTCGGGCTACCATCATGGTAAAGGGGGATACAAGGACAGAGTGCTGATTTAGGTTGACTGGGGAGGAAGAGAGTCATGAGTACTTTTTTTCCCTTGAATCCCCTCCAGAGAAGAGGACAACTACAGCAGCTGTCTCAGCACATGCAGAGAGAGAGGACCCAAGGCACATGGGCAGATACAGGTCTTGAGACCTGTAGAAACATGTATGTGACTGTCTCTGTGACCTCAAAGACTATACCAAGAACATTTTGATGTTTTTAGACCTTTTGATTGCTGGAGAATATAGATTTTGACGTAATCACCATTTCCCTCTGGCATTTACCATGTGACCTTAGACATGTTGTTCAATCCCCCTAAGCCTCAAACCTCAATTCCCTCATCTGTATCCAGGGGATAATACTAGTACCCAGCTCCTAACCTTGGGTGAGGGTTAACTGACAAGTATATGTAGAATGCTTAGAACAGTACCTGGCACATAGCATGAACTCAATAAATATCCGTTGTTGTGAATGCATAGCAAATTCCTAATGGCCTCCCTATTGCAGTGTATTTTTCACATAGGAGATCCTCTTGGAATGCTATGGTGGAGGGGAGTGGGGAAGGAATGGCATGGGGTTACTGGGGGAATTACGCAGACTCGGTGAGGACAAGAATGAGAGATGGACAATTTGCTGCCTTTGCAAACCATGGCTCTACCTAAGTTCACTTTGGTCGAAGGCCATTAGGAGATACTTAAAGCTAGATGGACTTTCAGAGTTTTTTGGAAGTATTGTTAGTATTCCTTCGCCATTTCTTTTGAGATCTACATATATTCAGAAACACATGACAATTGGAATTAAACTGGGAATGGGTTAAATGCAAAGAGATCTATAAGGGTTCATTTATTAATAAATTCACGGTCCTTAGCCTGGGACCATGGAATTCTAGAGCAGAACTGTCCAATAGACCTTTTTGCAGTGAAGTCTATTAAGCATTTGAAATTTAGCTAATATTACTGAGAAACTAAATTTTTGACTAAACTTAAAGTGTCACATGGGGCTGTTGGCTACCATATTGGACAGCAAGCGCAATTCTAGAGGCTTTGAGATTTTATAAACTTTTGAAACTAGATGCAGAAAAGGATGTGTATGTGTATTTTTCTAGGAAGTGAGTCTGAAGCTTTCATCAGATTCTCAAAACCAAGAGAAAAATAAAGAACTACTTTAGGTCTTTGGTAAAAAAGAAGTTAACAGGTTCTTTGGTAAAAAAGAAGTTGACCGAGGTAAGTAAGCCCTCTTGTGACCACTCCTGTTTCTCCTTTCTCATTTTTTTCTGTCCTTAGCTGTAGGTGGCTCCCTCCCACCCCAACGATTTCAGAGAGAAACAAGTCGGAATCTGAGAAGTGAGGCTCCAGATAAACTGTAAACTGCTGGAAGGGGGCGATGGCTGTGGCCCTGGGTTGTGCAATCCAGGCATCCTTGAATCAAGGCTCTGTGTTTCAAGAATATGATACTGACTGTGAAGTTTTCCGTCAGCGCTTCAGGCAGTTCCAGTACAGAGAAGCAGCTGGGCCTCATGAAGCATTTAACAAACTCTGGGAGCTTTGCTGTCAATGGCTGAAGCCAAAGATGCGCTCTAAGGAACAAATCCTGGAGCTGCTAGTGTTGGAGCAATTCCTAACTATCCTGCCCACAGAGATAGAGACCTGGGTGAGGGAGCACTGCCCAGAGAATAGAGAAAGAGTTGTGTCACTGATAGAAGACTTACAGAGAGAACTTGAGATACCAGAGCAGCAGGTAAGAAAAGAATGTGGGATCTTTGTGATTGGTCCAAAGGAAGTAGCTGAGGCAGCTGGGACTAGACCACACATTTGTCTCTATGTCATTCCCCAGCCTCAAGATTTCTCCAGAGTCCTCTTCCTTTTTCTCTTCTGCTGAACTCAGCAAATGAGTCAGTGCTTTTAACTCTATCAGACTCAATTCCCCTTCTATAACAAATAGTTTATAATGTCCACTTTACTATGCACAAATGAAATTGATAGACAACATAATCTACCCACATACATCAACCCAAAGCATCAGTAAATTGCTCCATGGCCTGAAGGCCAATTCTAGCCATACCCTGTTTATCTGTATACTCTGTATGTAATGGTTTTTTTATCTTGTTGAAAGGTCATTGAAAAAAAGAGGAAGGAGAAGAACTGACAGTGAATGTGCCCCACAGTGCCTAAAATATTTACTATTTGGCTCTTTATAAAGTTTGCCAACCCTGAATCAAGTCTAGAAGGAATATAAAGGAAAAGAAACATAGTTTGTTATAAATTGATAGGGATTTGTACATATATGTGCTTGGGCCTGACCGAATGTCATGAAGTTGTCAGATGTTTGCATCTATGCTTAGAATCATTGTGAATGGGACAGCCAGAAATTCAGACTGATAAAGCTCAAGTACTACGAACAGTGTTGCTCCTCGTCATGTGATTTTCCAAAATGGCATACGACTCTAGGTAAATCTGAACAATAAGCAGTGTAGTCTTTGCTTTTCACATTAGTGCATTCCTAGAAAATTTCATTTGTGCTGAAACTATGCAAAACAAAACAAACAATTGTACTTATTTGACCAACAAGGTGGGGTTCTTGACAGGTTCTTTTTACTCACATGAATGTTTGAGTGGGACATTCCACACTTGGTAGGGACCTAGAACAATTCTGCATTGTAAATTATGTTCCATTAAATTCTGATAGCCACCACCTGTCAGCATATCCAAAACTCCCCATGGGGACAGTGGCACTGTCTGCCATTCAGAATGACTGTGTAAAGCCTCTTTTCAGAAGTGCCGTGACTGAGAGAGGGCAGTATCTTTGGGAAAAGGGAGCAGGAGCTTCCAGATGGGCATCAGGGATACTCCAGTCTTGTCTATGGGGGTTCTCTGCAGGAGCTGTTAGCTTCAGGGCTCCTGAACAGGAGTCTTCTGAAGTTTTCTGTCTCCCTAGGGTACTTGGGTTGGTGGTTGCCCTTCCTTTCTCTGTCTCCTTGGTTTTGTTTACTATATAAGATTTTATCTTCATGTGGTCTAGACATTTGCTGCTGAATACAGTCACTACTAGTCATGTACAGCTCTTGAGCCCTTGAAATATGGCCAATACAAATTGAGATCTGCTGTAAGTATGAAATACACACCACATGCAGAAGACTTGGTATGAAAAAAGTAGGTGAAATATCTCACTAATAATTGTTCATATTGATTACATGTTGAAATCCTGATTGTTTGCACTGGATTAAGTAACACGTACTATTAAGATTGGCCTTACTTTTTAAAAAATTTATTCATATGGCCACTAGAAAATTTAAAATTACATGCATGATTCTCATACAATTCTACTGGGCACTGTTGGTCTAGACTTGAGAGTGATGGTTCTGGCATTTCCCCCAGGTTGATATGCATGACATGCTCTTGGAAGAACTGGCACCAGTGGGAACGGCACACATACCACCAACCATGCACCTAGAGTCACCTGCACTCCAGGTAATGGGACCTGCCCAGGAGGCCCCAGTAGCAGAGGCATGGATCCCACAGGCAGGGCCACCGGAGCTGAACTATGGTGCTACTGGAGAATGTCAGAACTTTCTGGACCCTGGTAAGGCAAGGGTTTCTCTCCTTTCTTTTGTTTCTGTTTTGAGAGTTCAGGAACTCTCAAGGGTTGGGGTTGGGTTAGAAACACCAATTACTCAATGGAAATTGACCACTCAGATAAAGAAGAGGAAAAAGTCTCTCTGGGAATAGTAGGGAACAAAGCACTTTGGATAGAACCCTGGGATTAGGAACCCTTTAAGCTAATGACCCTGATAAGGAGTCTTTTGATCAAGAATGTTACACAGGAAAACTATGGGAGTTTGGATTCTGGATAAGGACTCATTTCTCAGCCCAATTTTAATCAACAGGAACTGTGATGTGGTGGGCCCCAAGGGCCTCGGTTGCTTTTATGGCATCAGAGCCTTATTCAAACTTAATACTTTAGTAATATAGTCTATTTAGATCCTGTAAGATCAACCACTTACTGCAGTCTAAAGGAAATATCTACCTCATTAAATCAAAACCTATTACAGTGTTTTTCAAACTGTAGTAAGCAGACCATTTGCAGCATGAACACCACAGGTGCATGTTTAGCAAGCTCTGCAGGTGAGTGCTACACACACTAAAGTTTGAGAATCACTGGCCCAGACACCACAGGGATTAGTTCTAGAAGGAGAAAGTCCAAGTGGAGAAAGGCAGCACGATCACATAGTCCAGTTGCTCCTATATTTTATTCCCCTTTGGGGTTTTCTATTTTTTTTTTTTTTTTTTCTGAGACGGGAGTCCTGCTCTGTCGCCCAGGCTGGAGTGCAGTGGCGCAATCTCGGCGCACTGTAACCTCCACCTCCCAGGTTCAAGTGATTCTCCTGCCTCAGCCTCTCAAGTAGCTGGGATCACAGGCATGCACTACCACACGTAGAGACGGGGTTTCACCATGTTGGCCAGGCAGGTCTTTAACTCCTGACCTCAGGTGATCCGCCTGCCTTGGCCTCTCAAAGTGCTGGGATTACAGGCGTGAGCCATTACACCCGGCTTCTCCTTTGGGGTTTTCTTACCCAGTGTTCCCTGTACCTCTTCTACCCCTCACATTAAAGCTTTGGCCCGAGTGTGGCCAGAATCCTCTCCCCGACTCCCCCAGGTACTGTTTCAACATGTTCGCACGTTCAAGAGACTGTTAAATACTGAGACCACAGAAGACACATAAAAAATGAAAATAAGAACTGTCCAAGTTATAAAATATAAATGTCTGATCCATCCATAACTAGCTCAGTACCCAGGATTAGGAACCATGCCCCTTTCCACATCATATTAATATCATTTATTCATTTGTACACTATCTACGAGCACCTTTGAGGAGCCAGACACCATGCCAGACCCTGGGGATTCAGTAGCACACAAGGTTGGAAAGCAGCTCTGGTCATCTTGGAGATTACAGTTCAGTGGACAATTCAGATATGTTAGTAGGACGTTTTGTCCTGTATGTAACAGAAATCTGACAGTAAATGGTATGTTGGGAGGAATAGGATGCCCAGGAGCATGGAGGAGGGCCACCTAACCAGCTTTTGGCTGAGAGGGAAGTCTGGAGGAAGGAGGATCTGGGTTAAAACCTACAGGATGGATCAAAGTGAGCCTGTGGAGTGGTGTACATGGGAAGCGGAGAGGGCTGGGATCAAAAGCAACAACATGTGCAACGTTCTGAAGGCAGAGAGAAGACCTCCTGCTGCAGTGCAAGGGACATAGAAGAGCAGTGGGGCAGGAGTGGCAATAGAAGAGGCTGGAGAGAGAAGCAGGGTCCTGGGTCACGAAGAACTTGCAGCCTCATGGAGAAGTCACACTTGATTATCAGGGAAGTGGGGAACCATTTTGAGGTTCTCCAGTACCAGAATGATACACACAAATTTGCATTTTAGGAGATTATTCTGGCTATAGTAGGAATGGATACATACTACTGAAAGCAGGGACCCCATTTGGGAGGTTGTTGCCATCATTCAGGTGAGAAGATGTTGTTCTAGAGCAAGGGCATGTTGGTGATGATGGAGTGAAAATGTAATTCAAAAGATACTTAGCAGGTGTGAAATATAGAGCTTGGTGATTGGGTGTCAGGGTGATGGAGAAGAAGGGAGTAAGGATGGAATCCAGGTTTCTGGCCATTGAACTGGGTAGATGGTAATGTTATTCACTGACATGACAAACAAAAGAGGAAGATCAGATTCGGTGGGTCAAGTTGAGTTTAGATTTGAACATACAGAGTTTGAGGTGCTTATGGGTCTCCAGCATATTTTTAAATAAAAGTGACAAAAGAGGAAAACTTTACAAGTATGCATATTGTGGTCAAAGCAGAACTATATATTGCCATTTATGTTCCAAGCTTTACATCATCTACATTTCATAGTCTATTGAGGAATTCTAAAAAAAAAAAAAAAAAAAAAAAAAAACAAAACCGGGTTTATGTGTATATGCCTGGAACAAGTAGTAAAACTTAGCTAGTAATATTTTGAAGTATAACTCTTTCTGCATTTGCATTCTGATTCTCCATGTTAATTCGCTCCTTTTGTCAACACTGCAGGTACAAATACCACATAGTAGCAATATTTATCTGGTGTTAATATTTTGCTCTCTAAAGCACATGGAAATCTAGTATATTTAACAAAGGATAGGTAGAATTAATTAATTTAACAGATAAAAATTACAAATTGGAGGACAGGAAATTATCCTTTTCTTATCACCGTTTAAAGTGATATATTATGCTTTGAAAAATGTTGCAAGGCTTATTTTATTATTTAAAGGTTACTTAAACTTTTACTTTAAACAAAAGTATATTTGATGTATTACATGAAATACATTCTATTGTGGACTGAATGGAAAGCACAAGATGCCAGCTGAGTGGAAAAGAAATTCAAAAGTAATGGAAGAAGTCAATTGATTTTATATTAATGTTTGGAACCTATTTCCTATGAGCAAAAAATTAGGTTGTTGAGTATATATGAATTGTGCATATATATTTTTTCATGTAATATAACTGAAAACACATATACACATTCATTGCAAAATAAAAGAGAACTTAAGTGAACAATATAAAGTGACCTAAGGAAGACATAAACTTTAAAACAAAATCCCTTATTTGAATTCATGCTGGACACTTTGATGCCAGAGATAGGCAATAATATTAGAATGTATGCAATCAGAAAGAAAAGAGGCAAGGAGACGCTAGTCTTAAAAACATAAAATATATCATGCTTATCTTTGAAAATATGGAGTTCAAAATTCGTACACCAAAACTGGATTGCATTTTGAGTTGTCAAAGCTTTGGGTTTTTCATTTCAATTGATGAGGTTTCATTTGGAATGTGTGTGAAATGTAAAAGATCACATCTTTTTGGTGATGAAGAATATGAGAGATGAAAATTTAAAGTAAAATACAGGACAAACAAATGCTGTCTAGAAAGCATCAGAAGATTCTTATAACTTAAACTTCTTCAGATTATTCTACTATACCAAAAAATTTACCATAAGCTAATATCTAACCCCCAACTATAGTAATGACATTTCTTGGTGTAGTGAAGCTCTTACGAGACAGTCTTTGCTAATGGGGTTTAATGAAGCCATTCCCTGAGTTTAGGATGGGGGGAACATTCAATGAAGCACCTTCTTTGTTAATCTCCAATTGCTTTTCCCTCTTTGCATGGGATAGCTATTGAAGGGCAATTAATTATCCCCGAAACTTAGCAGCTTAAAGGAAAAAGTATTTATCATGTTACTATTTTTGAGAGGAATTCAGGAGTGATCTACTAGATGTTTATGGCTCAGAGTCTCTCTTGTAGTTGTTGTGAAGATGTCATCAGGGACTGGCAGGATGCCTCAATTCCTTGCCAAAGGAATTTCTCCATAGGTTACCTAAGTATCTTTATGATGGGGCAGCAGGCTTCCCCCAGAGCAAAGGATCCAAGAGAAAGCAAGGAGGATGACACAATGTCTTTGATAACCTACCTACATACCATACTTATACCATATTCTGTTCATTAGAAGAGTCACTAAGTCCAACCCACACTTAAGTGAAGGAAAAGGAAGTTCCACCTCTTGAAGGAAAGAATACCGAAGAATTTGGGAGCGTATTTTGAATCAACCATGCCTGGACTTAATAGCCTTTTACTTAAAAAAAAAATCAAAAATAATTTCCTTTTTTTTTCTTCAGTTAATTTTTCCTAAGTAAAATTTCTTCACTTAATTTGGTCAAATATAATATACCTATGATGGATCTCTTAGCTATAGCCAGAGGATGAGTTTAACATCCTGGGCAATATGTTATTGTCACTGGAAAACTAATATTCTAGACTATGGTCTCAAAACCAGGAGAGATGATTAAATTTAAGGTAACAGGCTTTGGTTTCTATCTGTAGGGCCCTCCTTTTTTCCTTTTATTTTTAATTGACATGTAATAATTGTACCTATTTATGGGATACAGAGTGATATTTTGATATGTGTGTACAATGTGTAATGATCAAATGAGGGTAATTAGCATATCTGTCACCTTAAACATTTATCATTTCTTTGTGTTTCTCATTCCTGTGGGAGCTAAAAAAGAAAATGAGCTCACAGAAGTAGAGTGTAGGGCCCTTCTCTTTTTACTGACCAGCAGTTAATGTTTCTTCTATTACTGTAAAACCACTCATCCAATAATAGTTGCTTTACAGATAGCTTACATTGAGGGTAAAGAAAAGAGCTCCTTGACAGAAGTAGGCATTAAGGCCTGCTTTTTTATTGCCACTCAACATTGACCCAGAAGCCATGGAGCCAAACTAGAAAACATTTGGAGAATACTTATATATGCGGGTATTGATATGATAAATTTCTAGAATTGGAATTGATTGATTAATGGGCATTTAAAACTTTAATAGATATTGTCAAATTGACTTCTGAAATTATTGTACCAATTTATCCTCCCACCACAATATATAGGAATGCCAAATTCTGCTCATCTTCACTTATCTTTGCTATGTAAGAGCCATAACTGTTCTCGCTATGTTGGCCAACAGAGTAGGGCAAATATCTGTGGAAACCCTTTCAGTAAGTGTCAGTTTTATTCAGCATTGGTGGTGGTATTTTATTCAATATATAAGAGTAGAGGATGGGAACTGATACCTAAAGGTGAGACATGGGTCAAAAGTGAATGGGAATTGGTTTTAGCTGACATGGACTGTGAAAATAAGGTTGAGAAATGCAAATAAATTGGTGACAGTGTCCAGAAGTATCTGAATATTACTCAGGACCACAGGGTTGTGGTGGGCTGTGCTACACATATAAGAAGTGCATTAGGTTGGCATCCATGAAGAAGCTCAACTATGAGCACCATGTTCTCACATCCAAGGTGTAGAGACTGTCCTGATGCACCCAATTTGGGGCCAAGCTTTTTGAAAGCTGGCACCAGGAGTATGATGCTGGGGACAAGGAACCAAAGCAAAAGTACTCAAACCTCTGTAATTTGGTGCTGTACATAAGGTAGCAGCTAGACTTGAGGGCCAATATGGGAAGCCCATGAGACACAGCTGCCTGGTAGTAACACTTCTGACCTTAGATCTCATGGGTACCAGATTCTGCTTCCAGGGCTACTTTTAGTCCTTCAGCTAGGTCGTAGAGCTTCTTTTACCCAAGGAGCAGGTGTCTGGGCCTGGTTTTGAAGTGATATTTGATTAAATCTATAACCTTAAGAGTTTCAAATCTGTGCTCTGTAAGATGAGAATAGCCATATGAACAATTCCTGTCATTCCCAAAACTGTTTTTCTGGCTTTCATATTGAGATCTCCTGGGCCTCCAGGCTTCTACCACCCTAAGCCTTTGCTACTTGCTGCTCTCCCCAGTTTCAATTCCTTCTCACTTCTGCTTGATGGCAGCTTTCTTTAATCTATGAACTCCAGTTTATTTTTTTCCACTAACTTTTAAAAATTTTTTTTTTAATTTTTGTGGGTACATAGTAGGTGTATATATTTATGAGGTATATGAAATATTTTAATACATTGCATGCATTGCATAATAATCACATCATGGTAAATGGGGTATCCATCTCCTCAAGTATTTATCCTTTGTGTTACAAACAATCCAATTCTACTCTTAGTTATTTTTTAAATGTATAATTTCTGTTTTTTTGGGGGGGCCTCTTCCACCACATCATTCAGTTATCCCACTCCTGGGTTTAAACCAAGCTTTGTTAACAAAATAGTGAGTTTATAAAACATTTTATTGGAAGTGTATTTTATATTTCTTAATCTAAAATCTATTGTTTTTTTCCCTGTGAAAATGTAAAATAAAGTATTTTACACCACTTCCTAGGATTTGATATAATGTACTGAAATCTAAATTTTACTTCAGATTAATGTTAGCCAAACTAATTTGTTAATATCATTTAATGATGTCAATATTTAAATTTTTTTTACATTTACATCTTTTTAAAATAGCGTTATTGAAATATAATTCACATACCATACATTGTCACCCCTTTGAAGTGTACAATTTAATGTTTTTTGGTATATTCACAATATGTACAACTGTCACCACCCTGTACCCTTTAGCTATCACTTTTTGGCCCCCATCTCTCCCACTCCAAAGCAACCACTAATTTACTTTTTGTCTCTGTAGATTTGCCAATTCTGGATATTTCATATAAATGGAATCATACAATATGTGGCCTTTTATGACTAGCTTCTTTCACTTAGCATATTTTCAAGGATCAACTATGTTGTAACATGTATCAGTACTTTATTCCTATTTATGGTTGCATAGTCCATTGTGACATTATACCACATTTTGTTTATTCATTCAACAGCTGATGAACATTTAGATTGTTTTTATATTTTGGCTATTATGAATGATGCTGCTATAAAAATTTCAGTATGACATTTTGTATTTATGTATGTTTTCATTTTTCTTGGGTATATACCTAGGAGCACAATTGCTATGTCATATGGTAACTCTATGTTTAAACTTCTCAGGAACTTCTAGACTGTTTTACAAACTGATTGCACTCTTTTACATTCCGACCAGCAGTGTACAAGCACTCTTATTTCTTCACATCCTAGGCGACATTTATTATTATTATTTGACATTTTTATTCTAGCCATCCTATAGGTATGAAATAGTGACTCATTGTGGTTTTGATTTGCATTTCTTTCTTTGAAGAGTAACGATGCTGAACATGCTTTCATGTGCTTATTGGTCATTTGTATATTTTCATAGACCTATTTAGTCCCCTTGCCCATTTTTAATTGAATTATTTGTCTTTTTATTATTGAATTGTATGTGTTCTTCATACAGGTGACCCTTGAGCAATGTGGAGGTTAAGGGTGCTGACCTATTGTGCAGTTGGAAATCCATATACATAACTTTTGTTTCTCCCAAATTTAACTACTAATAGCCTACTGTTGACTAGAAGCCTTACTGATAACATCAATGGTCAATGAACACATATTTCATATGTTATATTTGTTATATATTGTATTCTTACAATAAGTAAGCTAGAGAAAAGAAAATGTTATTAAGAAAATCATAAGGCAGAGAATATATTTATTATTCATTAAGTGGAAGTGGATCATTATAAAGGTCTTTATAGCAACACAAATGAACTAAGACAGTGTGGTACTTCCATAAGAATAGACATGTAGATCAACAGAATAGAGGAGAGTTTAGTCTTGCTGTCTCAGGGCTGTCAGAGGTGGAAGGAAATCTGCCTGTAAGTGTATTTGTGTAGTTCAAACCCATGTTGTTCAATGGTCAACTGTGTATTCTAGATAAAAGTCCCTTATTAGACATATGATTTGCCGGTATTTTCTCCCGTTCTGTAGGCCATCTTTTCACTTTCTTGATAGTGTCCTTTGTAGCCCAAAATATTTTTTTAATTTTGATGAAGTCATATGTAATTGTTTTTTCTTTTGTTGTTTGTGCTTTTGATGTCTTATCTAAGAAATAATTGCCTAATCCAAGGTCACAAAAATTTTCTCCTGTGTTTTCATCGAACAGTTTTATAATTTTAGCTCTTACATCTAAGACTTTGATCTATTTTTCATTAATTTTTAATAGGGTGGGAGGTAGAGGTCCAAATAATAATTTTTTCCCGTGGAGACATCCAGGTGTCTCAGCATTATTTGTTGAAAAGGCTATTCTTTTTATATTGAATATCCTTGAAACCCTTTTCAAAATCAGTTGACCACAGGACAGGTATATGGATTTATTGCTAGATTCTCATTTCTATTCTGTTATGTTTAGTTGGTTTATAGTATTTTCTATGTCTTGTATTATTGATCTTCTGCCTAGATTTTCTGTCTATTAGTGCAAGGAGTTATTGAAGTGTCCAACTACTATTGTTAAATTATCTGGTTCTTGTACTATTTCTGTTGAGTTTTGTTTTATATATTTTAGTACTCAGAAATTAAGTGCATACATGATTATAATTGTTATATCTTCCTGATGGATTGATATTTTTATCATTATAAAATGATCCTGTATATCTTAGTAACAGGGGTTTTTTTGTTTGTTTTAATGCCTATTTTGACTGGCTCTCTTGTGGTTGCTACTTGTATGATATATCTTTTTCCATCCCTTTACATTCAATCGGTTTGTATCTTTGAATCTAAAGTATACCTCTTATAAACAGTATATAGTTGGATCTTTTCAATCCAGTCAGACCTTCTCTGCTTTCTGATTAAGTCATTTAATGTATTTACATTTAATTTCATTTGTGATATGGTTGGATTTATATCTGCCATTTTGCTTTCTGTTTTCTATATGCCTCAAGTCTTTTTTGTTCTTCTATCCCTCTTTTACTGCTTTCTTTTTCATTAAGTAAATATTTCTCATGTAATATTTTACTTACTTTAATAATTTTACTACTTTTATTTCTTTAGTGGTTGCTCTAGGATTTACCATGTACATCTTATCATTGGTTTCAAAGTTATACTAACTTAATGCCAGTGAGATATAGAAATGTTTCTCCTATGTAGCTCTGTTCTCTTTTCCCCCTTTTTGTGATATTACTATTATACATGTTACATCAAAAATGTTTTAAACCCAAGAATACATTGTTATAATTATTGCTTTATATAATTTTAAGACTCTTAAGAAGCTGAAAGAAGAAAGGAAAATACATATATATTATAACTTTTGTTATATTAGCATTGTTTATCATTTCTGGTTTTCTTCATTTGTTCCTGTGGATTTGAATTACCAACTGGAGTCATTTCTTCAGTCCCATACACTTTGCTCTTACCCACCTCATTTCTGCTGTTATTGGGAAATATATTACATTTCTATATGTTGTATGCCCAGCAATACACTATATACATATTTTTATACAGTTGCCTTTTACATCTTTTAACAAAAGAAAGAAGCAATACTGTCTTTTCTCATTACGTAATTATTTTTACTTGTGCTGCTTTGTCATGTGGATTCAAATTACCATTCATTTAGATTATAAGTCAGTATTTTGTACCTAAGCCTTTGCTATTCTCTCCTATTCCAAGTTTCAATTGAAACTCCATCTTTTACTTCACAGCAGCTTTCTTTTGATCTATTACCTTGAATTTTATTTGACCTGTTTCATATTACCCTGTAATTTCACTCTTAGCTTTGAAATCCAAATGAAAACAAAATAGTGAATTTAAACAGCACTTTTATTTGAAATTCAGCTTTAGTTTCTTAATCTTAAAAAGGAAATTTTTTTTTCATGAAAAACTAAAACAAGGTATTTTAGCCCACTTCCTCTGCCTTGAATATAATGTTCTGGAATTTAAATTTTACGTCAGATTAACATTAGTCAAACTAAATTCCTAATGTCATTTTAATAATACTAATATTTAAACATCAGCCTACATTTAGATATCAAATTAGTAATTTACAGCCCACATTTCATTGAAGACCAGTAAACTTGATCAGAGATAAAGGAGGAGAATAAGGGGCTCAGAAAAGAGGATGTAAGCAACACCAGCTGTCAATGAGGAGAGGGGTGGTCAGACAAGGCGAGAGTGAGTGGTTGGAAACTTCACCTGGTTGTCCTTAGATTGACACTTTGAAATACTATTTTGTAGTCATTTTGGGTTATAGTCATTTTCACCTGTATAAGTTATCTGGGCTAATTTTAAGAGAATCCACTTTTAGACTTCAGCGGAAACCAACATAAATGCTGCTTTTGCTAGGTTCAACCCAGTTCAATTTTCGTTTAAATTCAAAAGACTCCACTGAAATTTTTCCAGTAAACACTTTACTACTTTCACCTCTCTTTCTTCATTTGGCACTCAATAGCAGTGTTTCCCAGTATTAATATGGCAAAACTTTATGAAATTTACTTTATATTTTAGCTCTAACCTAAACAAATCTAGTATCAAAATAGATGCTGAAATGATTTAGTGCATTGATTTCAGCACAGAATTTATTCACTCACCTTCCATAGATTAGAGAATAGCTTTGAATTGAACACCACCTCATTTTCATTTTGCTCTTATCTTTTAAAGAAAAGACTGTTGTAAGAGACTCAGGTGAAGTAATAGTAATGGAGAAGGAAGTAGATACTAAGAGGCTATCTGTCCAAGAAATCAGCCTAAATTTTGGAAAAACCTTTGATGAGCCAAACTGTAATGCTTCCCATCTTTCTTCTGGCCAGGATATCCATTACCAAAACTTGACATGAACTTCTCATTGGAGAATAGAGAAGAGCCATGGGTGAAGGAATTACAGGATTCTAAAGAAATGAAACAATTACTTGATTCCAAGATAGGTAAGTAATTGTTCTTTGATATACTAGTGGGAAAAAAAAAGAAAAATTTAACCTAAATAAAGAGTTTGGAATTCTATTTAGGAATTTCTATGTTCCTGCCACTGGTTTAACATAACTCTTCATTTTCCTTCACTTTCTTTTCTCCATGGAACACAATATCATCTGCAGTTTCTATTTCTTCTCTCAGGTTTTGAGATCGGGATAGAAAATGAAGAAGATACTTCAAAACAGAAAAAAATGGAGACTATGTATCCATTTATTGTAACTTTAGAGGGGAATGCTCTCCAGGGTCCCATTTTGCAAAAAGACTATGTACAGTTAGAAAATCAATGGGAAACCCCCCCAGAGGATTTACAGACAGATTTAGCAAAACTGGTAGATCAGCAGAACCCCACTCTGGGAGAGACACCTGAGAACTCCAACTTGGAAGAACCTCTCAACCCTAAACCCCACAAGAAAAAGAGTCCAGGAGAGAAACCTCACCGATGTCCTCAGTGTGGAAAATGTTTTGCTCGGAAGTCACAACTTACTGGGCATCAGAGAATTCATTCAGGAGAAGAACCTCACAAATGCCCTGAATGTGGGAAAAGATTCCTTCGTAGTTCAGACCTTTATAGACACCAACGACTTCATACAGGGGAGAGACCCTATGAATGCACTGTATGTAAAAAGCGATTCACTCGGCGGTCACATCTTATAGGGCACCAGAGAACCCATTCTGAAGAAGAAACATATAAATGTCTTGAGTGTGGGAAAAGTTTTTGTCATGGATCAAGTCTTAAAAGACATCTGAAAACTCATACAGGTGAAAAACCTCATAGATGTCATAATTGTGGGAAAAGTTTTAGTCGACTGACAGCTCTTACTTTGCACCAGAGAACGCATACTGAAGAGAGACCTTTTAAATGTAATTATTGTGGGAAAAGTTTTAGACAGAGACCAAGCCTCGTTATTCATTTAAGAATCCACACAGGGGAGAAGCCATACAAGTGTACTCATTGTTCTAAAAGCTTCAGACAGAGAGCCGGCCTTATTATGCACCAGGTCACTCACTTTAGAGGACTTATTTAAGAATTGCTAAGGGAAACAGGTCTTACACAAATTGACACTAACTCAAAAAAAATCTTAACCTGCAGCAGGCTGTTTGTCTTGGAAGCTTTTGTTTGAGCTTATAAGAACATAGACAGCTTTTTTTTTTACTAGTTTTAAAACCCATCTTCCAAGGTATATGAATTCTAGAGTATTTATCTACTCCTGTGATTTTCTTAGATTTGATTTCTTCTGTCTGCACAACTCTTCTTTTTTTAATTACAATGAAAAATTTTGTGTTCCAAGGCAACTGTATCATAGGTGTAAACATAAAGCATATAAATTATGACAATCCTTTTAGAGGTAGGGTCAATATAGTGGATAAACCTGTCTATCAGACGTATTGATTATAGCAGTACTATAGTTATTCTGCTGTCATTATTAAAGATGATTATATTCATTCAAAGCTTTAGATGTGTCCCATGTGGCAAGAAAGGAGACAGTGAATTTTGTCAAACAATAAAAATGTGTCAGGAACACAAGGATGAAGGGGATGTCATTTGCCTGGTAAGAACTGGGTTATTTCCACTGAAATTTGTTATGTTTAAGGAAATTAAGATTTTAAGCTTGAAATTATACAAGCAGAATCTAATTTAATTTTGATTGACTGAAGAACCAGGGTCTTTTGCTCTCCTTTGGTATTTCACTCTCCTTTGGTATTCAATCATGTGTCTTTTAGTGCTTTTTAAAATTTTACCCATTCTTTAATTCAGCATCTCCCTATGTATGTGTCATAGAATACTTAGTTCTGCTAGATATTCTGCAAATATATTTGGGAATTACTTCCTGCTGTTTCGCCTTCTTAGGTTCATAGTACACATCAGCATATGAGAATCTCTGAGAGGTCCTCTAGAAAGGAGAGAAAAAGCACCTCTTTTGGCTCAATGTTTTCCAAACTTATTTGACCCCAAAACCTTTTTCATATACCCAATAATAAGCTACAGAACTAATATTCTGCAAATGTCTCTTGGAACACACTGCCTTAAACAGATATTTCTATAGCTGTCAGTATAGTTATGTTGCTCCCAAGCCTAGTTATCTCCAGTTGTTTTAAGGGTGTTATGAAAAATTCTTAAAATATATATGAATTTGTGTAACACACACAGAGACACACACACATACTACTTTAAGGGGGTGAGGATCATTAATTCAGATAATTTTTAAGTTTCCTAGTGATTCTCAATCTCTTTGAATTTTACTTACATTTACACACACACGCACACACATATGTATATACACATATCATTTTAAGAAGCTGAGGATCACTAATTCAGATAATGTATAAGTTTCCCAGTGATTCTCAACCTCTTTGAATTTTACTTATAATTACATACACACACACACTGCTACTTATATAAATGTTCTCATGTAATCATGGTAACAGCTCAAATTCCCAAAGCAAGGGAAGACTTCTCATTGTCAGTTAAACCTGTTAAAACATGAAAATATTCATTGAGCCTAGTTCCTTGTTATAAAATACAAGAAATAAGACATTCAGGCATTTTCCCTTTATGAAGATGTTCAGTCATCCTTTCCTTGAACTACAATTAGGAAAAGTATATGTCTTTATTCCATTGAAGTTCTCGAGAGTGATATAAATACTTTGGGGGGTATCTACTATGTGCCTAACTAGTCCTGTTCTAGGCTTAGTGGAAGCTAGTAAAGAAATATAATTCATGGATCAGGCTCATAAAGATTTTATAATATTTTTAGTTAAACAAGAGTTGGGAAACAGGTGGAGAATAATGCAAGAGAGTTTGTAATTAAGTGCCAATTATACCAATTGCTAGACCCAGGATGTATCTTTAATTCTTGTCATCCAGGTCAACATATGATGCTGCTATAAGTCTGGGGCTCAAATTGATATCCCAGTAGCAATAAACATATAATATAGGAGGAGTCTGAATGTAGAGATGAAAAATACAGAATGTAATGGCTTCTCTTTTCTCTCTTGTGGAATTGCATTCAAACCAGAACAGTGCCTTAGAATGGATGTGCCCAACTGCTCTGTATTTATGCAATATTTGAATAAAGCGGAAATGTATGTGCTCTTCCTGCTTCACTTGCACTAATTAATTATTTGAACAACTTAGAGCTTCTTCCCTGAACAGTGGCAACAAGCATGGCAATTGACTCTGTCCTCATCCCAAGTTGGAATCGCTTTTCTCTCTGCAACCATGGCACTGTGATTATGCATCATTTTTAGCATTTAATACAGTCCATTTTTGGCTAGTAGGGTTAGTTGCAATCATAATATGAGTTGCATCCTCCCTCTCATTTATATCAAATATACTTGACTAGATTTTTACAAGTTAGAGAATGTCTAATATTCTTTGTTACAGTGCCCTATATATAAGAATAAATATTTCTGGTATTGAATCAAGAAACACATGAAATAGTTCTTGGAAACAGATAACATATTTAGAACATTGCATGGATAATTATACTTCTATGTCTAATTGTACTTCTGAGCATTTCAAAAAGATAAGGGCAAAATACAGTACCTACCTCCTAGCTATTATAAAGGGGAAATTACAGTACCTACCTCAAAAGTACTATGAAGATTAAATGAAATATATTTTGCTCTGGCCCTACACACTGTAAGCTTTCAATAAATATCCCCGTATTATATTCTCATTTTTGTAGTTTAATGATAAAAGCATTTAAAGCTATAGATTTCTTCTCTTTATGGCTTTGGACATACTTCATAGCTTTTATATGTAATGTTCTTATTGATGATTTCAAAATGGTTGTTGTTTTCATTATAATTCCTCTTTGACTTAAGAGATATACAATGTTGCCATTTTCCTCTTAATTTTTGGTTTTGCTACATTGTGATTAGAGAACAAGTTTCATTCTATTTCTGCTTTGAAAGCTCATTTAGGCTTTTTTAAAGACCTACATTTTATAAAATTTGTTAAGTATCCTAAAACCTTAGAAAATAAGGGCTCTATAGGGTGCAAATTTAGAATAGAGCCTTGGACCGCTCAATTACTTTAATGTCTTTAGGCGTATTCTTGGTGTTTGTGAAGGGTTGGTGACATCAAGATCGAATTGCTCCCCATTCTGCCTCCCTGAACCTTTGTACTCCCCCTTCCCTTGGTAAGTTTTTTCCACCACCTTTGGTCTGTTCTGTGGATGTTATACAGCAATTGTTAGTAGCTGCCTGGGCATTGAGGCAGGCAGTTAAAACAGGAAGCTAAAGGACCTAGGGGAGACCGGGACTCTTCAAACCAGGCTGAGAACGCTCTCCTTCAGGATCCCATAGTTATTTGTCTTTCTGAAAGCAGAGAGAACCTGCACAGGGCACTTTGAGGTTTTTGCGACTGTGGCCCTCCTGAATTCTCAGGGATTGTTTCATAGTGTACTGAGGATGTTGTGTAGGCTAAAATCCAGAGAAATAGGGAATAAACAGGGGAACCAGCCCCCAAGCCTCCCCATGAGGTGGGGGAAGAGAGTCATTACACTTTGTCCTCTTGCACCTGCACTCACCATAGAATCCCCAAGAGAAACAGTCTTGAGCACCTCCAGAAAACTGAGTCATCTTTATTCCTATAACCCTCTCTCATTTTTAGCCTACTGATATGGGCTGAATATTCTCGTAAATAACTGAAGCTTACCCTTAAATCTGGGCCCAGCCCCCTGCTTCTTTTATAGTCCTCTGTAACAGATGTGAAATGGGTTGGTAAGAGAGCTCATCTCTTAGCCTCTCCTTAGCATTGATAATCAGTTTACTCAGTTCCCAATCCCTGAGACTTTAACCACTGGGATTGGAAGTGGTGGTAAATCTTTTTCTCCCGGAGTGATACATAGGTTAGCCTCTATCCAGCTTTTTGTGCATTGTCAGAAAGGACTTCTCAGAGTTCTAGCAAGACCTAAGTTTACATTTCCTAAGGATTCTAAGATAGTAAAAATTACTAAAATATTGGTATATTTTAAATATTTACATTTAATGAACATCTTTATCACCTAGTACAAGAATATAAATGTATTAATTACTGAAGATAACTTCAGAACTCTAAAACTTGAGGCCTTTCCTGAAAATCATACCTTACCTGTTGGCCCTAGAAGAGATCTGTTTACCTCTACTTTGAAGTGTATTCTACAGTAATTCTTCAGCCACCTCTTCTCAACTAGGTTCCTTTCCTATGAATGCGGGAAAGTAGAGGGTGAGCAGTGAAGAACTAGAGGCCCTTCATTTTAGCCTGGAGTGGAAGGAAACACTTGTACTGCCTTATCTCCCAAGAAGTACAGTTCATCTTGGGAAGACTAGAGTCCCTTTCCCTAAGATGTTACTTACATGCTGCTGTAACACATACACACCCCACACACACATACCAAGGGAACAGGGAAGAGAAAAAGAAGTATACTTTTTTTTTTTTTTTGAGACGAAGTTTTGCTCTGTCGCCCAGGCTAGAGTGCAGTGGCACGATCTTGGCTCACTGCAATCTCCACCTCCCGGGTTCAAGCAATTCTCCCTCCCTCAGCCTCCCAAGTAACTGGGATTACAGGTGCCCACCAACATGGCTGACTAATTTTTGTATTTTTAGTAGGATGGGATTTCGCCATGTTGGCCAGGCTAGTCTCTAACTCCTGGGCTCAAGTGATCTGCCTGCCTCGGCCTCCCAAAGTGCTGGGATTACAGGCATGAGCCACCGTGCCTGGCCAGAAGTGTACAATTCTTAACCCCAATCCCTCCATTTACAAGCAGAGAGATTGTATAATTAACACCGAGAAGTTCTTTGTTTACCAAGCAAATGACCTTGACAAAGTCTCCAAGTCTTGATTTCTTTACCTGTTGGGAGTTTTAAAGCATACCCTCAAATTATTTTCCCATCAAAAATGGAGTCTCTTGTCCCCTGCCCTTGAATCTGGGCAGGCTTGAGACTGCTACTAAAGGAATATGGCAGAAATGATACTCTGTTACTTCTGAGGTGGGGTCATAAAAGACTTTGTAGCTTCCATCTTGTTCAGTAGAAGCACTTGCTCTTGGATCCCATGTAGGAAGTCTGATCAATATGGAGAGGCACCTGTAGGCTGTCTGGTGGTTATTCTGAACTGAGCTTGTTCTTCAGCCACCTCAGCCATCTCATTTTGTCTTAGAAGTGGATCCTTCAGCTCCAGCAGTTGCAACCCCGAAACATTTGAGTCATCCTAGCTGAGGCCCTACATATCTTGAATAGAGAAGAGCCATCCCTCTGTGCCCTGTCCACATTCCTAACTCACATAATTTGAAAGCATAATAACATGGCTATTGTTTTACACTGTTGAACTTTGGAGTGGTTCGTTACACAGCAGTAGAGAGTGGTAATATCTTTAAAGCAGATATAACATCTGGTAGGATGAACAACTGGGAAACAGACACTAAAGCATTTAGAAAACAGACCTATAGGCCGGGCGCGGTGGCTCACGCCTGTAATCCCAGCACTTTGGGAGGCTGAGGTGGGCGGATCACAAGGTCGGGAGATTGAGACCATCCTGGCTAACACAGTGAAACCCCGTCTCTACTAAAAATACAAAAATTAGCCGGGTGTGGTGGCGGGCGCCTGTAGTCCCAGCTACTCGGGAGGCTGAGGCAGGAGAATGGCATGAACCCGGGAGGCGGAGTACAGTGAGCTGAGACTGTGCCACTACGCTCCAGCCTGGGCGACAGAGTGAGACTCAGTCTCAAAAAAAAGAAAGAAAAAAAGAAAAAAGAAAACAGACCTATAAATAGCTAACGGGTATATGCTCAACATCACTAATCAGGAAAATGCAAACTAAAACGACAATGAGATATCATGTCACACCTGTTAGAATGGCTGTTATCAAACAAACAACAACAACAAAACAAGATAAGTGTTGGTGAAGATGTGGAGAAAAAAGAACCCTTGTATACTCTAGGTGGGAATGTGAATTGGTACAGCCATTATAGAAAACAATATTGAGATTTCTCAAAAAATTAAAAATAGAACTACCATCTGATCCATCAATACCACTTCTACATATATATTTAATTAAAATCAATATCCCAAAGAGATATTTACACTACCATGTTCATTGCAGCACTTTTCACAATAGCTAAGATATGAAATCAATCTTAGTATACATAGACTGATAAATGGATGAAGGAAATGTGAGATACGCATACAGGGATTTTGTTGTATTGTGCTTCACTTTATTGTGTTTTACAGATACTGCGTTTTTGACAAATTGCAGATTTGTGGCAACCCAGATTTGTGGCTAAAGCATGTGCTCACTTTGTGTCTCTTTGTCACATTTTGGTAATTCTCACAATATTTCAAATTGTTTCATTATTACTATATCTGTTATGGTGATCTGTGATCAATAATCTTTAATGTTAGTACTCTAATTGTTTGGGGGTGTGTATTAGTCTGTTCTCACTGTGCTATAAAGATACTACCTGAGACTGGGTAATTTATAAACAAAAGAGGTTTAATTGACTCACAGTTCTACATGGCTGGGGAGGCCTCAGGAAACTTACAATCATGATGGAAGAGGTAGGAGAAGCAAGTACCTTCTTCAGAAGGCAGCAGGAGAGAGAGTGCAGAAGGCAAATGCTAGACACTTATCAAACAACCAGATCTCCTGAGAACACCCTCATTATCACAAGAACAGCATGGGGGAAACTACCCCCGTGATCCAATCATTTCCCATGAGGTCCCTCCCTCAACACATGGGGATTACAATTCGATATGAGGTTTGGGTGGGGACACAGAGCCAAACCATATTATTTCACCCCAGCCCATCCCAAATCTCATGTCTTTTTCATATTTCAAAACAAATCATGCCTTCCCAACAGTCTCCCAAGGTTTTAACTCATTCCAGCATTAACTCAAGAGTTCAAGTCCAAAGTCTCATCTGAGACAAGGCAAGACCCTTCTTATGCTTATGAGCCTGTAAAATCAAAAGCAAGTTACTTACTTCCAAAATAAAATGGGGGTATCTTGGGTATTACAGTTGGGTAAATGTTCCCATTTCAAATAGAAATTGGCCAAAGGGGTCCAGGCCCCATGCAAGTCTGAAACCCAGCAGGTCAGTCATTAAATGTTAAAGCTCTGAAACGATCTCCTTTGACTCCATGTCTCATATCAAAAGCATGCTGATGCAAGGGGTGGGCTTCCACAGCCTTGGGCAGCTCTGCTCCTGTGACTCTAGAGAGTACAGCTTCTGCGGCTGCTTTCATGAGTTGGTATTGAATGCCTGAGGCTTTTCCAGGTGCATGGTGCAAGCTATCAGTGAATCTACCTTTCTGAGGTCTGGAAGATAGTGGGCCTCTTCTCACAGCCTCACTAGGCAGTGCCCCAGTGGGGCCTCTGTGTGGGGGTTCCAATCCCATATTTCCATTCCACACTGCCCTAGCAGAGGTTCTCTATGAGGGCTCTGCCCCTGCAGCACACTTCTGCCTGGACATCCAGGCATTTCCATACATCTTCTTAAATCTAGGCAGAGGTTCCCGAAGCTCAACTATTGTCTTCTGTGCACCTGAAGGCCCAACACCAAGTGGAAGCCACCAAGGCTTTGGGCTTGCACCTTCTGAAGCAATGGCCCTAGCTGTACCTTGGCCCCCTTTAGCCACAGCTGGAGCTGGAGTGACTGGGACACAGGGCACCAAGTCCTGAAGCTGCACAGAGCAACGGGGCCCTTGGCCTAGCCCATGAAGCCATGTTTTCCTCCTAGGCCTCTGGGCCTGTGATGGGAGGGACAGCCTTCAAGATCTCTGATATGCCCTGGAGACATTTTCTTCACTGTCTTGGCTATTAACATTCGGCTCCTTGTTACTTATGCAAATTTCTGTAGCCAGCTTGAATTCCTCCCCCAAAAATGGGTTTTTCTTTTCTACCAAATGGTCAGGCTGCAAATTTTCTAAACATTTATGCTTTGCTTCCCTTTTAAATGTAAGTTCCTATTTTAAATCATCTCTGTGAATGCATATAACTGTATGGTTTCAGGAAAAGCCAGGTCACATCTTGAATACTTTGCTGCTTAGAAATTTCTTCTGCCAGATACCCTGTGTCATCTCTTTCAAGTTCAAAGCTCCACAGATGTCTAGGGCAGGGACAAAATGCCACCAGTCTCTTTGCTAAAGCATAGCAAGAGTGAACTTTGCTCCAGTCCCCAATAAGTTCCTCATCTCCATCCACGACCACCTCAGCCTGGACTTCATTGTCCATATCACTATCAGCATTTTGATCACAACCATTTAACAACCTCTAGGAAGTTCCAAACTTTCCCTCATCTCCCTGTCTTCTGAGCCCTCCAAACTGTTTAAACCTCAGCCTGCTACCCAGTTCCAAAGTCACTTCCACATTTTCAAGTATCTTAATAGCAGTAAGCTCCCCACTATCCTGGTACCAATTATCTGTATTAGTCCATTCTCACACTGCTATAAGGATACTACCTGAGACAGGGCAATTTATAAACAAAAGAGGTTTAATTGACACAGTTCCACATGTCTGGGGAGGTCACAGGAAACTAACAATCATGGCAGAAGATGAAGGAGAAGCAAGCACAAGGCAACGGGTGGATGGGAAGCCCCACAAACATAAACCATCAGATCTCATGAGAACTCCCTCACTATCATGAGAACAGCATGGGGGAAACTACCCCCATGATCCAATCACCTCCCACCAGGTCCCTCCCTCAACACATGGGGATTACAATTCAAGATGAGGTTTGAGTGGGGACACAGAGCCTAACCATATCAGGCTGCCACAAATTGCACCCACATAAGATGGTGAACTTAATTGATAAACAGTTGTGTGTGCTCTAACTGCTCCATCAATCATCACTCATTCTGACATCTCTCTCCCTCATCTTAGGCCACCCTATTCCATGAGACACAGCCATGTTGAAATTAGGCCTATTAATGACCCTACAGTGACTTCTAAGTGTTTAAGTGAAAGGAAGAGTCACACCTCTATCACTTTAAAACAAAAGCTAGAAATGATTAAGCTTACTGAGGAAGCCATGTCAAAAGCCAAGATAGGCCAAAAGCTAGGTCTCTTGTACCAAATTGCCAAGTTTTGAATATAAGGGCAAGGTTCTTAAAGAAAATTAAAAGTGCTACTCCAGTGAACACACAGATAAGAAAGCAAAACAGCCTTGTTGCTGCTATGGAGAAAGTTTGAGTGATCTAGATAGAAGATGAAACCAGCTACAACATTTCCTCAAGCCAAAGCCTAATCCAGAGCAAGGCCCTAACTCTCTTCAATTCTATGAAGGCTAAGAGAAGTGAGGAAGCCACAGAAGGAAGGTTTAAAATTAGCAGAGATTGGTTCATGAGGTTTAAGGAAAAAGGCATCTCCATAGCATAAAGGTGCCAGCTGAAGCAGCAAGTGCTGATGTAGAAGCTGCAGCAAGTTATCCAGATCTAGCTAAGATAATTCATAAAGGTGACTATACTAAACAATAGATTTTCGATGTATACAAAACAGCCTTCAGTTGGAAGAAGAAGCCATCTAGGACTTTCATAGCTAAAGAGGAAAATTCAATGCCTGTCTTCAAAGTTTCAAAGGACAGACTGCCTCTCTTGTTAGATGCTAAAGCCGTTGGTGATTTTAAGTTGAAGTCAATGCTCACTTACCGTTTTGAAAACTTTAGGGCTCTTAAGAATTATGCTAAATCAACTCTGCCTGTGCTCTATAAATGGAATAACAATGCCTGAATGACAGCACATCTGTTTACACCATGCTTTACTGACTATTTTAAGCCCACTATTGAGATCTACTGTTCAGAAAAAAAAAGATCTATTTCAAAATATTACTGCTCATTGACAATGTAATGGTCACCCAAGAGCTCTGGTGGAGATCTACAAGGAGATAAATGTTGTTTTCATGCTTACTAACAACATCCATTCCAACTCTAACAACATCCATTCTACAGCCCATGAATCAAGAAGTAATTTTGACTTTCAAGTCATTATTTAAGATATACATTTTATAAGGCTATGGTTACCATAGTGGGTAGGAGAATCATTCTCTACCATTATTGATAGAGAGTGATTCTTCTAATCAATCTGGGCAAAGTAAATTGAAAACCTTCTGGAAGATTCACCATTCTAAATGTCATTAAGAACATTAATAATTTATGGGAAGAGACAAAAATACCAACATTAACAGGAGATTAAAAGTAGTTGTTTCCAACCCTGTAGATGACTTTGAGGAGTTCAAGACTTCAGTAGAGGAAGTAACTACAGATGTGGTGGAAATAGCTAGAGATCTACAATTAGAAATGAAGCCTGGAGATGTGACCAAATTGCTGCAATCTCATGATAAAACTTTACAGGGTGAACAGTTCCTTCTTTTGGATGAGCAAAGCAAGTGGTTTCTTGAGATGGAATCTACTTGTAGTGAAAATGCTATAAACATTATTGAAATAACAACAAAGGATTTAGAATATTACATAAAATTAGTTGATAGAGCAGTGGCAAGGTTTAAAAGGATGGACTCCAATTGTGAAAGAAGGTCTACTGTGGGTAAAATGATATCAAACAGTATTGTATGCTCCAGAGAAATTTTTCTTGAAAGGAAAATTCCATTGGTGCAGTAAACATCATTGTCTTATTTGAAGAAACTGCCATAGCCACCTCAGCCTTCAGTCGCCACCACCCTGATCAGTCATCAGTCATCAATATTGTGACAAGATCCTCTACGAGCAAAAAGACAACTTGTTGAAGCCTCAGATGATCATTAGAATTTTTCTAGTAATAATGTATTTTAAATTAAGGTATGTACATTGTTTTCATAGACATAATGTTATTGCACACTTAATAGATGACAGTATAGCATAACCATAACTTTCGTATGCGCTAGGAAACCAAAAATTTGTGTCACTCGCTGTATTGCAATATTTGCTTTATTGCAGTGGTCTGAAGCCTAACCTTCAATATCTCTGAGGCATGCCTGTATATACGTAAAATAGAATTGTATTCAAATGTTAAAAATAAGGAAATCCTTTTATTTGTGACAACATAGATTAATCTGAAGGACATTATGCTAAGAGAAGTATGCCAGGCACAGAAAGACAAATTTTGCATAATCTCACTTATATGTGGAATCTAAAAATGTTGAACTCATGCAAGCAGAGAGTAGAATGGTGGTTGCTAGGAGATGGAGGTGTGGGAGAAATTGGGAGATGTTGCTTAAAGGTTAAAGTTTCAGTTATGCAGGATGAATCAGTTCTGGAAGTCTAATGTACAGCATGATGAGTATAATTATACTGATTGTATACTTGAAATTTGCTAAGAGAGTAGATTTTAAATGTTCTCATCATACAAAAAAATGGTAACTGTGAGGTTATGGATGTGTCGATTAGCTTAATCATAGTAATAATTTCACAATGTGTATTAATCACATTGTGGACATTAAACAGATATAATATTTATTTGTCAATAAAGTTGGGTGGAAAAAGATTGAGATTGAGAACACAAACAGAAAGATACCCACTTGTGTAAGTATAGGGTTGAATGTCAGTCAAAAGCAAGAAATTTTCACTGGGAAAGGTTATGGTTCAGTGTGAAATACCAAGCATAATAACTATAGTAAAAAGATGAAGGTTCAGTGTGAGACATTAGCATGAAGATGGCCCCTGGAATAAGGTGCTCTCAATATGAGAAACAATTCCGAAGATGACTGCTGAAATAAGGTTAGGTTCTGTTTAAAAGAAAGACTAGCTGGGCACAGTGGTGTACGTCATAATCCCAGCTACTCAGAATGTTGAGGAGGGAGGATAGCTTTAGCCCAGGAATTCAAGACTAGCTTGGCCTAAGTAACATAGAGAGACCCTGTCTCAAAAAACAAACAAAAAAAAAAACCACACAAATTAAACAGAGTTTAATTGAGCAAAGACTGATTTACAAATTGGGCAGCCCTCAGAACCTGAAGACATTCAGAGAGCTCTGCTTTGCAAAGTGGACAGGCAGTATTTATGGACAGAAAATGGAAGTGAGAAAAAAAAAGAAGAAAAGAACATGGAAATGAGGGACAGAAATAGCTTGATTGGTTACAGCTTGGCATTTGCCTCATTTGGGCATGATCAATTGGCAGCCTGTGACTGGCTGAAGCTTGACTGTTGCAATTTTCTGAGACTCAGCTAGATGTTACCAAAAAATATATACTCCTAAATAAGGCTTTCAGTTTCTTTACAGACTTAAGGTAGGGAGACATCCTCAGGCCAAACTTAATTTAAATTAACAGTTTGGTTAAATTAAACTAAGTTTAACAACAAAAAATGAACTTTTTTGTTGTTAATTAACAACAAAAAAGATCACTAGATTAATAAATTTTAAGTTCAGTATGACACAGCCACCATGAACATGACTGCTAGAATAAGATAAAGGTTTAGAGTGTGACAACAAACTAGAAGTTAACTGCAGGAATGGGAGAAAGTTCAGTGTGACATAACAACAAAGAAAATAACTGATGCGTTATGAGTAAGGGTTAGAATGAGACAGTAAGCATGAAGATGACTGCTAGAATGAGGTTAATATTCAGCATGAGATAGCAATCATAACGACTAGATTAAAGCTATTCTTTAGTGTGTGATAAGATCTGGAAGATGAGTGCTGCAATAAAATTGTATTCAGTGTGAAGGCTGGGCGCGGTGGCTAATGCCTGTACTCCCAGCACTTTGGGAGGCCGAGGCCGGTGGATCACTCGAGGCCAAGAGTTTGGGTCCAGCCTGGAAAACATGGTGAAATCCCATCTCTCCTAAAAATACAAAAATTAGCTGGGTGTGGTGGTGCATGCCAGTAATCCCAGCTACTCAGGAGGCTGAGGCAGGAGAATCGCTTGAACCCGCGAGGCAGAGGTTGCAGTGAGCTAAGATCGTGCCACTGCACTCCAGCCTGGGCAACAGAGTGAAACTCCATCTCAAGAAAACAGAGTGAGTCTTGAAAAAAAATTGTATTCAGTGTGAACAAACATGCTGATTACTGCTGGAATAAAGGTTCGGAATGAGACAACAAATCTGAACATGACTATCAGAATATGATGAAGGTTCAAAGTGTGGCAACTAGTATGAAGATGTCTGCTGAGATAAGGTTAAGGTTTAGTATGTGACAATAAGCAAGTAGATGTCTTACCAAAATGGTTAAGCTTCAGTGTGAGACAACAAGCATGAACATAACTGCTGAAGGAAGGTTAGGAGGAAGGTTTGTCAGCATAAGACAAATAACATGAAAATGATCACTGGAATGAGGTTATAATTCACTATGATAAAACAAGCATGAAGATGATCAGTGTGAGCTTATAATTACGAAGAAATCCACTGGAATACAGATAAGGTTTATTGTGAGACATCAAGCATGAAGCTGACTGACTGCTGCTATTAGACTAATGTTCGGTGTGAGTCAACAAACCTGAGGGTGACCCCTGATACAAGGTAAAGGTCAAGTGTCACACATTGTCAGGAACATGATTTCTTGCATAAGATTAAGATTATGTGTGAGACTGCCCCCATGATAATGACCACAGGAATAAGATAAAAGTTCCTTCTGGAAGAGCAAGCATGATGATGGTTGCTGGAATTAGGTTAAAATTAATTGTGAAGCCAGGCGCGGTGGCTCACGCCTGTAATCCCAGAACTTTGGGAGGTCGAGTTGGGCAGATCATTTGAGGTCAGGAGTTTGAGACTACTGGGCAACATGATGAAACCCTGTCTCTACTAAAAATACAAAAATTAGCCAGGCATGATGGGGCATGCCTGTAATCCCAGCTACTTGGGAGGCTGAGGCAGGAGAATCACTGGAACCTGGGAGGCGGAGGTTGCAGTGAGTCGAGATCACACCACTGCACTCCAGTCCTGGCAACAAAGTGAGACTCTGTCTCAAAAAAAAAAGAAAAAAGAAAGATTCATTGTGAGACAAAATGCAGGAAGATGGCCAGTTGAATAATGTTTTGCTTCATGTGTGATATCTTGTATTCAGTTGGCCACTGGAATCAATATACAGTTTGCAACAAGAAGCATGAAGTACAGCACTGGAATAAGTTTGAGTTTCAGTCAGTGACAACCATCATAAAGATGACTGCTAGAATAAAGTTAAGGTTCACTGCAGCAAAAGAAAAAAAAAAAAGATCACTGTTGGAATAAGGTTAAAGTTCAGTGGGACCCAACACCATTAATGTGGCCACTGGAATAAGATTAAGATTTAGAGTATTTCAACAACCTATGGGAATAGGTTAATGTTTAGTGTGACACAACTACCAAGAAGATACCTGTTAGAATGAGAATGAGGCAACATTCAGATGAGACAAGAAGCATGAAGATGACGACTGGCATAAGCTTATGCTTCAGCGTGAGACATCAAACACGAAAATGGCCACGGTAATAAAGTTAATATTCAGTGTGAGGCAATAAGAATGAAGATGACTGCTGGGAAGTGTGAGAAAAACAAGTATGAATGTGACCGCTAAGGCCAGGTGTAGTGGCTCATGCCTGTAATCCCAGTGCTTTAGGAGACTGAGGTGGGAGGATTGCTTGAGGCCAGAAGTTTGAACCAGCCTGGTCAACATAGCAAGATCTCATTTCTAAAAATAAAAATAAAAAATAAAATTAGCCAGTTGTGCCACAGGTGACTTGTGCCTGTGGTCCCTGCTACTCAGGAGGCTAAGGCGGGAGGATCGCTTGTGCCCAGGAGTTCAGGGCTGCAGTGAGCTGTGATTGTGTCACTGCACTCCAGCCTTGGTGACAGAGTGAGACCCCATCTCTAAAAACAAACGAATAAACAAAAAGTGAGTGCTGTAATCAGTTTAAGATCAATGTGAGGACACCTGCATAAAGATAATTGCTGGAATATGGTTAAGATTGTGTGCAAAAGTAAATGGAACATTAACATGACTGCTTTAATGAAGTTAAATGTCACTGTGAAAAAACAGGCAGGAAAGTAAAGACCAAAAGTGGTTGTCTTTACTGTGCTTTACTGTGACACAGCAAGCAAGAAGATGACTGCTTGAATAAGGTTTAATTTGTTTTGTGTGGCAAAGAACATGAAGATGATCACTGGAATAAGGTTAAGATTTAATGTAAGACAGTAAGGATGATGATGACTACTGGAATAAGGCTAATGTTCAGTATTAGATAATAAGTCAAAGGATGACCTCTGGAATTAGTTTAAGATTCAGCATGTGACACCTTAATGATGATGACTGCTGGAAAAACTATTCAGCATGAAAAAAACAGGAATGGGCATGACTACTACAAATGATTATACTGCAGGGTGAGATAAGAGTGAAGATTAGCACTGGAACAAGATGAAGTTTCATTGTGGGACAGCTAGCATGATGAAGACAACTGGAAAATGTTAAGGTTCAATATCTTTAACAAAGACAACAAAAAAATGAATATGGGTCATATGCTGGAATATGATTCCAGGTCCATGTGAAATGGCAAGCATGATGATGAATACTGAAATAAGGTAGAGGTTTGGTGTAACATGAGAAGCATGAAGATGACTGCTGGAATAATTTTAAGGTTCCTTGTGAGACTACATGCAAGGAGATGACTGCTAAAAAATGTAAGGCTCAATATGTGACAAGCATGAAGATAATGACTGTACTAAGGTTATGCTTCAGTGGGAGATAATGATGACCACAGGAATAAGGTAAAGATTCATTATGAGCCTACAAGGATGAAGATAACCACTGTTATAAGGTTGATATGGTTTGGATCTGTGTCCCCACCCAAATCTCATGTTGAAATGTAATCCCCAATGCTGGAGGTGGGACCTAATGTGAGGTGATTTGATCATGGGGGTGGAGTTCTTATGAATGGTTTAGCACCATTGCCCCTTGGTATTATATAGTGAATGAGTTATCATGAGATATGGTTGTTTGAAAGTGTATAGCATCTCCCCTCGCTCTCTCTTGCTTCTTCTCCAGCCATGTAAGATGTGTCTTCTTCCCCTTTGCCTTCCACTATGATTGTAAGCTTCCTGAGGCCTCCCCAGAAGCAGAAGCCAAGCAGATGCCAGCATCATGCTTCCTATACAGCCTGCAGAACCGTGAGCCAATTAAACCTCTTTTCTTTATAAATAACCAGTCTCAGATATTTATTTATAGCAGTGTGAGGACAGAGTAATACAAAGGTTGAGGTCATTAAGAGACCACAGGCATGAAAATGAAAAATGACTACTATAATAGGCATGAAAGTGAACATTAGAATAAAGGTGAAGTTAGGTATGACACAACAAACATGAAGATGACCACTGGAAAAGTTAACATCACATGTGAGACTTCGAGTGTAATGATGACTGCTGAAACAATGTCAATGTTCAAAGTATGAGGCAAAAAGTATAAGGATGATTCTGAAATAAGCTAAGGTAAATGATCAACAAGCATTATGATGAATTCTGGTAAAGATTAAGGTCCTTTGTGACACAAAAACCATGAGGATGACAGCTGGAATATGTTAAGGTTCAATGTGCAGCAGAGAGCTAGAAGGACACTACTGGAATAATGTTACAGTTCAGTGTGAGACTGCCAGCAAGAAGATGACAGCTGGGATAAGGATAAAGGTAAGACCTGAACAATAAGGATGAAGGTTACTACTAAAATAAGGGTAGTATTCAGTGTGAGACAATAAGCAGGAAGGTGACCACTGGAATAAGGATAGCATTTGTTTTGAGAAAGGAGGCACGAAGATGACCTCTGGAATAAGGCAAAGTTTCAGTATGAGAAAAGGAGTACAAAAATGATGGATGGAATAAGGCTATAGTTCAATGAAACTATAATAAAAATGAAGGTGACTGCTGGAATATATTTATGGTTCAGTATGAGACAAAATACATAAAGATGATTGCAGAAATAATGCTAAGTTTCCCTTTGAGACATCAGCCATGAAGTGGAATCATGGGATAAGGTTAAGTTTCAGTGTATGAAAATTAGCATGAAAATGATTGCTTGAGTAATGTTCAGGCTCGATGTGAGACAAGCATGATAATGACTACTGGGATACATTTCTAATTCACTGTGAGAGAGCAAGAATGAAGATGACCACTTTAATAAGGTTATGTTTCACAGTGAGGAAATAAGCATGAAAATTACCACTAGGAAAATAAAAAATAAAAAAAAGAAAATTACCACTAGGATTAGGTAAAAGTTCAATTTATGACAACGTGCATGCAGATGACCACTGGAATAAGGTTATCCTTCTGTGTGAGAAAACCACCATGGAATGACACTGGAATGTGTCTATTTTTTTAGTGGGAGACAAAGAACAGGAATGTGAATACTGGAATAAGGAAAGAGTTTAGTGTGAGAGTAGCATGAAGCTGACCGCTATAATAATGTTAAGGTTCAGTTGAGACAGCAAGCATGAAGAATAATACTGGAATGTGCATATGCTTCATTGTGACACAACAATAGGAAAACATCCAACCAAATAAAGGTAAGGTTCAGTGTGCGACAACAACTATGATGATGAATGCTAGAATAATTAATCTCACCTATAAAATGGAGATAAAAATAGTACTTATAGGGTTTTTTGAGATGATTAAGTGAGATAGACATAAAGAACTGAGCACAATTCTTGATTCTAGTAAGCTTTAAATCATTGGTGGCTGTGGCTATTTTCTTATTATCATCTTTGCCAGCAACAGCAGCACCATCACAATGGTCATAATAGTCGTTTCCAGTAAATCAGTGCCCCTTTTAAATTGGCTGATGCTGTGTGGGTTCTTCTGTTGGCTGGGTTTAACAGGAAATCTTCTTTCAGGAAGAATATACAGAGTTACATTTTTTTTCCAGTGGTTAATGTCTCCCATCTGTGGTTGGAAACTAGGCAAAAAAAATTTAAAAAATAAAAATAAAAAAACTTAGCCACTAGGAAGATTAAAGATAGCATTCAAAGTGGGAGGTACACACTTATAGTTTCCAGTGGAGAAGGTTCCTTTCCCCTACGTAATGGTAAATTTTAGGTGTCCACTTTACTGTATTAAGGGATACTCAGATAGCTGGTAAAGTGTTGTTTCTGGATATATCTGTGAGAATGTTTCCAGAAGAGATTGGCATTTGAATCAGTAGACTGAGTAAGGAAGATCCTTCCTTACCCAATGTGGGTCAGCACCATCCACTCCACTGAGAGCCCAGATAGAACAAGAAAGCAGGGGAAAGGTGAATTTGCTGTCTCTTCTGAAACTGGGACACCCTTCTTCTGCCCTTGGATATCAAAACTCCAGATTTTCTGGCCTTTGGACTTTGAGACGTGCACCAGTGCCCACCCAGATTCTCAGGCCTTGGGCCTGGGACTGAGAGTTACACCACTGGTTTCCCTGGTTCTGAGGCCTTCAGACTTGTACTGAGCCACACCACCAGCTTCCCTAGTCTCCACCTTGTGGATGGCCTATCATGGGAATTCTCAGCTTCCATAATTGCATGAGCTAATACTCCTAATAAATACCCTCCCATATATCTATATCTATATATCTTATTGGTTCTGCCTCTTTGGAGAACTAGTATACCCTGCTGACAATTTTTTTAAAGTAAATAGGGCTACTTTTCTGTTACTCCCACATATCCTTACTTCTACAAGAATCCTGAGGGAGGGAGGCACTTTGCAGCTGAAAGGGAAACAGTAAAACAATAAGTTGGATGTGTTGGGCAGATATCACATTTAGAGAAGAAAGGAAGTCACCCTCTGAGCAGGAGGCTACATAGGTTCCTTTGTGCACCATAAATAGTCCTACCTCTCTCTCTACTCCTTTCCCACCATGTCTCTAGCCAGCATTTCCTACTCAATCTCCCTTAGTGAAGCCCTTGCCCAGACATCAATCAGTGCATCATCAGAAGGGGAAAGACCCAAGTAAGATCTGACTCTGATAGGAAAGCTCTAGTGAAAGCCTGTAGGTCTGCTCTTTGGGAATATAGCAGTTACTAGGCTATTCTGTGCCACTTAATGCACTACTAAAAGTAGAGACACATAGACATTCTATCCAGTATAGCTTGGGATTTGCAACCTAATCAGCTCTTTCCAAGCCTTGACACAACTTCTTGAATTGTGTCTTTATATGTAGACACAAAAACACTAGGCCTCTTCAATGCAAGGTTTGAAGTAGCTAGTCAGTGCCTCTTGTCCTTTGGGAAACCTGACATAACCCTGACAACCTTTTTGAGGAGATACCTTATTCTTAGAACCAACTCAGGACACCATGAGTGCAAATATCAACAGGAAATAGAAAATCCCTTCTCTTACTTCATTTACCTTTCTAAAAGCCAGACCGACAATTAGTCTGCATTAAGCCATACAAAGAAACAACAAATCTTCCTGTATGGATCATAGGGTTTTCATCACTCCTATATGTACTAAATTGAAGTTATACCTTTTGGATGCCACTCCATACAAATCTTTCCAGAAAACTATATTTTAAAAAAATTAGCATATCTAACAAATTCTCACTGGAGGAGCTGTCACTATGCCTTTTCTAACAGTGAGCATAATGTTTGCATATGAAAACACTTGAATGTAAAAAAAGAAACCACTGAATGAAGTCAAATTTCTGAGTGGGAAAGCATAAAGGTATTTGCTAAAAATCAATATCAAAGATCATAATTAAAAAGTGGATATTATCATAGGAAAGCCTAACTAGAAACACATGAAAATGGTAATAGTGGGTATAATTCTGGGTAGACAGATTTTTGGCAATTTAAAATTTCATTACACACTTCTGAAGTCTCTAGATCTTCTACCTAAGCATATATTACATCTATAATTTCAAAAATTATTCAAAAATTTTTGAACACATCCAGCCTTTTTGTGTGTTGTGATTTTTCATTAAATACTAGCAAAATTGTCTTCTCCATGGATAATTCATAGAGTCAATGTCAATGGCCTTGCCTTAAAATTTCAGTTATAATCCATTCTCTTTCCAGTAATGATAACAAAGGGAAGGAAAGCACACTTAATTTGATAATGCATATGATATGGAATACATCACCTTAATAATTAATATTCTCACCAATAAGGAACCATGCACTGAACAGAAGGAAGATGAGTAGAAGGCCGAAAAGTGGCCTAGGAGTCATCTCCTTGGGAATGATCCAAGGATCCATGTTCTACGATAAATCTGAAGACGAATCACCTTTTATTTCCCTGGGAAGTGTCCCTAGTTCTGGAGATTGCCACCAATTACAGTCACCTTTCTTGGACTCCTCCACTTTGTGACCCCAGAATGCCAGTCCTCATCAGAATTGCTCATTGAACCAAACAATGCATTGAGGTCTTCCTCAGCCTAGTGCAATAAAGATATTCAGGATGACTGAATTTCTAAGGTAGAAGAGGTTTCACAGATAAGTTCCAATTTCACAACCTTCTTTATCTACCAAATGAGCAACATTTTGGTCAAGAGCCAATTAAAGTCTGGATGGTGAGTGGCTGGCCCTTAGTCACCATCAAGTCACCTGATGGAAGACCTTGGCTACCATGGATCAAATAAGTGGTCTTAAGCTTTTTTTGAATACATGAAGCCTCAGTTTTTCACAGGTAGAAAATAACAATGATCCTAACCTTCCTCGGCTTTAACATAATTTAATAAATTATGATAATAAGTGAAAAGGCTTTGAAATATCAATGTGCTTTAGAAAAGTGAGGTAGAGTGTTTAGTTTCTAAGCAAATGGAAATTTAGGGGTTTTGACCTTCATGTAGGGAATACCTAGATTCATGGGTGTACAAACCTGTGCATTTGAACAAAGCCCCATGCTTGGTTTAATGCTTTGCTGTTGGCATCTTGAAATTCTGGATAATTTTTGCAAAAGAGAATTCTGATTTTATTTTGCTCTGGGGTCCTGCAAATTATGTAGCTTTTCCTGACATCAGGTGCATGACACCTCCCTGTGAATGAAACCCATGCATATAGAAGAATAGAATCACCAGAGTTATCTACTGAGAAGAAAGGTCAAAAACCTGAGAAAAAAGGTCAAAAGGATAAAAGTAAAGATCAACAGCAGCACCTACAGTGTACATTTGAGAACATTTTATAATAGTTCATATTTATATTTAGCAATTCCTCCCCTGAAATTATCAAAAGTCTTTGCTTTGATGATTCTTTGATCATCAATGAATTAATCATGTGTGCCCAGAAAAGAAGTGACTTCATATAGGCTGGAAAAGAGCAGAGACCTTTCTGGCAATGCTAGTTAACAGGCGCCCTCCAGCCCATACAGCTGGACAGATCATAGTAAGTCCTGCTGGGCACTGAGCTAAGTCAGCATCCATGTAAAATGTCTTGAATTGGCCAGAAAAGAACATGGCTCAGAGCAAGGAAAAAGCCCTGGGTTCTGGGCCACCACTTGCTTTCCTGCAGTATTACAGAGGTGTAGTTTCCAAAGAGAAGCCCATGTAATCTCTGAGGAAACTTGCTGGCCCTGGGAAAGGAAACAAACAATTAAAGGAAATGATGACAAAAGTCTAGTGTGCTTGAGTGTGCGTGGGGGATGGGAGGTTGTGTAGGAAGAAATACTAAACCAGGCACCATAATGTTCTGCTCCAATATTTGGATTAAGAAAATGGGGAACTAATTATGGATTAAGGAAACAGGGGTACTACCTTCTGTGTGCTGGGCACTTAACAAAGATAATCACACTCAATCCTATAACATCCCTGGTAGCAAGGTATGATTCCCATTTTATGACTGAAGATACTCAGGCTTGAAGATGAAAGTTGGTGAGAATGAGCCAAAGGTCTTTCAAACTCAGACACTGGAGACTTATTGTGAATAAAACATGCTTTGTGGTCTCAGCAATATCTGCAAAGCAAGAAAATGGACAACGATGTATGGAAAGTAAAGATTTTGAGAAGTATTGGCCTACATATTATGTTAATTTCTGGCTTATGCCTCCAGGACCCCTAGCAGAAGCCCACTCCACTCCATCACTACAAGAAGACACTGGCAGACTACCACTCCCCACCATCCACTTGGTCCACAGGTTCCATTTTCCCCTTTTTCATAGATAGAGCTAGCTTTAAATAACATTCCAATCCATGCTGTCACCCCTGAGACAAAGGCACCTGAGCAGCACTCCCACATTCCCTGGACTCCTGAAGTTTGTTTTCTACAATCTCATCCAGTCTACCCTCCTGCTGCTTCCCGCTATGTCAAGCCTTTCCAAAACAAAAAAAAAGATAAAAATAAAGATCAAAACTTTGGTGTTAAAAAAGTCAAAATCAGGTTTATTTGAAATCAGAACAGTCTAAGTTTGTCAATGTCTCTATAACAGTGGCTCCCATAGGGTACATGAGGAACACAAATAAGGACTAGAAAAAGATCCCCCTGTCTAATGAAAGGAACAGGTTATAGAAACAGGGTCTCTATCATGGAATGAGTCAGCAGTACTCAGGGAGTGACTGCCACTGTTGGCAGTCCCTATCTTTAGCATCTCCAGGAAGGGCTTTTCATATCATTGTTAATGATGCACAGGGGACAGGAAGAGGGAACTGCCCTTCACAAAACACCCGTAACCTTGCACACCATAAGGATACCCTGAACTTGTCTAGGTGATCTTGACAAGTGATTCCATTCCACCCTCTTCATATTACAGGCCCATAGGCTCACCGGTACTGGACTTTTCCATCACAGGTTCTACAGGAGATGGTGACTGTATGAATCTGCCAAAAGACTTGCCTGTGGGTGGACAGCCCAGCGCCACTGCAGAAAAATTATGTAACTTGGAAACTCATTTAGGTGAGTGGTTGGGACATACTTCCTCTTTGCTTTATCCAGAGGAACTTCTGAAAATGGTTGTTGACCCCAGGGTACTCAGTCATGCAGCCTGTGCAAAGTAATCCAAAAGAGTGAATGGTAATGCCAAACGATGTAGTAGATTGAATCATGTCCCCCAAAATTCATGTCCATCAGGAACCTCTGAATATGACCCTATATGGAAATAGAGTCTTCGCAAATATAATTAAGGATCTCCTCTCCATGTGCAATCATCCTGGGTTTAGAATGGGCCATGAATCCATTACGGGTGTTCTTCTAAGAAGAGGAGAAGACACAGAGACACCCACAAAGAAGATACACAAAGGAAGATATGTGAAAATGGAGGCAGAGATCGGAGTGATGCATTTACAATCTAAGGAATGCCAAGAATTGCCAATAGCCACCAGAAGCTGGGAAAAGACAAAGAAAGATTCCTCCCTAGAACCTTCAGAGGGAGCATGGCATTGCCGATACCTTGAATTCAGACTTCTGGCCTCCAGAACTGTAAAAGAATACATTTCTGTTGTTTTTAGCCACCCAACTTATGACAGCCTGTTGCGGCAACCACAGGAAACCAATACAGGTAGGGACTGCACGAAAAAAACCACAGTATCAGATAAGATTGCTGCCTCAGAGGCCTAAACACCCCTTACGAAGGAAATATAGTTCATCCTACTTTAATGGAACATTATAGAGTAATTATAAAACATTATACTGAGAAGCAAAGCCACTTATTTGTTAGAAGGGAGAGGTACAAAAGAGTTCAGTTTATTCTTCAGTATCCAGGCTAATGACCCATTCAGAATTATGGGTAACCCTTAAAATGGGGTTTGAGTTCTTACTTTGTTACCAATTACAGACACTCATATACTATGCAAGATTGTGGCTAATAAATTTTTGAAATGGGTTTTATGCGCTTCTTCCTATGTTACCCACTACGACACTTAATGCCATGAAATGCACATGATACAACTGCATTTTATGGTATATTAGTGTCATTAATTAGTAACATAGTAATTTGGAAAATTTCTTACATTAGAAGCAAACTAATAACATTCAAAACAATTTTGTTAAGAATTCCATATTATAAATGGGGTTGCTGCCATCTGACAACAAGCGTAAGCTCTTGGAATAGAAGACAATGGATGAAATTGAACATTCGCTCATATAATATAGGATTTGAGGACTTTGTTCTTAATTGGAAAGTATGCCCCTAGGATCATACTGGAAATGGGGATGCAATTAAAGTGCCTTCAAGCCTGATACCTGGACCTGATTTCCACACTTAGATAATGTTCAAGGTCTAGGGCTCTGACTGAATCCAGGATTTCTGAGGCTAGGTAATGTCACAATTTCTGAAATTTGGGTGACATGGAGTACCAAGGGCAGAGGTGCGCTATGATCCAAGTACCAGCAATCCATCCTTCTCACTTTAAATGTAATCCAGGAAGGTGATATTTGGAGAACACCAATGTTACTTCACTAAAGAAGTCATTGAATTATTTCTACTTGAGCTAACATACATAATGCAAGTCAATATCAAGAATGAACCAGACAAATGCTAATAAGCCAACTTAAATAGAATGATATAAAAGGGAAGAATTCTTGTTTTATCTTAAAGCAAGATTCAGGTTACTGTCAGTAATTATGGTTCTCAGGTTTTTGAAAGAGACAAGAGTTTTCCTTTCTTTCAGTTCTCCCCTTGACTACACGTTAGTTGTCACAAAATGGAGGCATAAATATAAATAGGCACTCAAGGAACTATTTCATCAGCCAATATGTGCACATTGGAAGTATTAAGGCACAGTCAGCACAGAGTGGCCAAAGGGATGGGCCCAGTGAACCCTAAGATAGGGAAGCCTATTCTCACCATTATTTGTCCTGACCAGCCTGACTCCTGACAACTCCCATCCGCCTTGTTTGTAAATAGAAACCATGACAACTCCCATCTTCCTTGTTTGTAAATAGAAACCACCACGCACATCTTTTTATGCAAGATACCTGGGAAAGAGGGTTGAGTCCAAAATTAAAAGAAATACCATTATATTAAATACACAATTATGCTGTCAAATGAAATTCAAAAGTGTACGACATGACCTCCAATAGCCATTCGCTTCCTGAAAACAAAGAGTACTTAATTTGACCATTAATTTCCTCATTTGCAAATTGAACATGTTCTACTTTTCAAAGGGAAATTTACAAAAAAAGAACAAATGGTCAAATTCAATTGAATAACATGACATTCAACATGCAATTGTTTTGGCGAATGAAATGCCAAACTACTTTCAGTGGCACTTCTAGGCATTTGCTGTTATTAAACAACAGGGGCTTGACCAGTCTGATGCTCAATGTGTAAAATTTTACACTGGAAACACCACAAAAAATTTAAATATTTTTAAAAATACTAGTTGTATTACTTAGGGTTCTCCAGAGGAACAAAACCAATAAGGTATAGGGTGTATATATATATATATATATGTGTATATATATATATATATATATATATATATGTGTATATATATATATATATATATGTGTGTATATATATATATATATATATGCCCTAATATATATGTATGTGTGTGTATATGTATACGTGTATACACACATGTACATACATATTAGAGCACATTGTATACGCACAATATAGGATATTTATATATATTTAATATATGATGCATATTATATATAATTTTTAGTATTATATATGTGTGTGTGTATATATATATCGTATTGCTTATATGTGTTATAAGGAATTGCCTAACACATTATGCAGGCTGACAAGTCCCAAGATCTGCAGAGTGAGTCAGCAAGCTTGAGACCCAGGAATGCTGATGGGATATGTGAAAGGAAAATAAATCTTGGGACCCCCAAATCACTGAGCTAAACGGAAAAGTCAAGCTGAGAACTGCTTAGGGCAAACCTGCCTCCCATTCTATTCAAAGTCATCCCTCTGCGTACTGAGATAAATGCATATCTGATTGCCTCATTTGGAAAGGCTAATTAGAAACTCTTTTTTTACTATTATACTTTAAGTTTTAGGGTACATATGCACAACGTGCAGGTTTGTTACATATGTATACATGTGCCATGTTGGTGTGCTGCACCCATTAACTCGTCATTTAACATTAGGTATATCTCCTAATGCTACCCCTCCTCCCTCCCACCACCCCACAACAGTCCCCAGAGTGTGATGTTCCCCTTCCTGTGTCCATGTGTTCTCATTGTTTGATTCCCACCTATGAGTGAGAACATGCAGTGTTTGGTTTTTTGTCCTGTGATAGTTTGCTGAGAATGATGGTTTCCAGCTTCATCCATGTCCCTACAAAGGACATGAACTCATCATTTTTTATGGCTGCATAGTATTCCATGGTGTATATGTGCCACATTTTCTTAGAATCCCACACAATAATAATGGGAGACTTTAACACCCCGCTGTCAACATTAGACAGATCAACGAGACAGAAAGTTAACAAGGATATCCAGGAATTGAACTCAGCTCTGCACCAAGTGGACCTAATAGACATCTACAGAACTCTCCACCCCAAATCAACAGAATATACATTTTTTTCAGCACCACACCACACCTATTCCAAAATTGACCACATAGTTGGAAGTACATCACTCCTCAGCAAATGTAAAAGAATAGAAATTATAACAAACTGTCTCTCAGACCACAGGGCAATCAAACTAGAACTCAGGATTATGAAACTCACTCAAAACCGCTCAACTACATGGAAACTGAACAACCTGCTCCTGAATGACTACTGGCTACATAACGAAATGAAGGCAGAAATAAAGATGTTCTTTGAAACCACCGAGAACAAAGACACAACATACCAGAATCTCTGGGACACATTCAAATCAGTGTGTAGAGGGAAATTTATAGCACTAAATGCCCACAAGAGAAAGCAGGAAAGATCTAAAATTGACACCCTAACATCACAATTAAAAGAACTAGAGAAGCAAGAGCAAACACATTCAAAAGCTAGCAGAAGGCAAGAAATAACTAAGATCAGAGCAGAACTGAAGGAAATAGACACAAAAAACCCTTCAAAAAATCAATGAATCCAGGAGCTGGTTTTTTGAAAAGATCAACAAAATTGATAGACCACTAGCAAGACTAATAAAGAAGAAAAGAGAAGAATCAAATAGACGCAATAAAAAATGATAAAGGGGATATCACCACTGATCCCACAGAAATACAAACTACCATCAGAGAATACTATAAACACCTCTATGCAAATAAACTAGAAAATCTAGAAGAAATGGATACATTCCTGGACACATACACCCTCCCAAGACTAAACCAGGAAGAAGTTGAATCCCTGAATAGACCAATAACAGGCTCTGAAATTGAGGCAATAATCAATAGCCTACCAACCAAAAAAAAGTCCAGGACCAGATGGATTCACAGCCAAATTCTACCAGAGGTACGAGGAGGAACTGGTACCATTCCTTCTGAAACTATTCCAATCAATAGAAAAAGAGGGAATCCTCCCTAACTCATTTTATGAGGCCAGCATCATCCTGATACCAAACTCTGGCAGAGACACAACAAAAAAAGAGAATTTTAGACCAATATCCCTGATGAACATTGATGCAAAAATCCTCAGTAAAATACTGGCAAACCGAATCCAGCAGCACATCCAAAAGCTTATCCACCATGATCAAGTGGGCTTCATCCCTGGGATGCAAGCCTGGTTCAACATATGCAAATCAATAAACGTAATGAAGCATAGAAACTCTTATCTACCTATGCCTTGGGACTCCCTTCCCCACTTTGAGTTGTCCCACCTTTGCTTCCAGTTGTCCCACCTTTCCGTACCAAGCCAATGTTCGTCTTACATATATTGACTGATGACTCATGTCACCCTAAAATGCATAAAACTAAACTGTGCTCTGACCACCTTGGGCACATGTTGTCAGGACCTCCTGAGGTTGTGTCACGGGTGCACATTCTCATGGCAAAATAAACTTTCTAAATTAACTGAGACCTGTCTCAGATGTTCGGGGTTCACAGGTAGTTCCATTCTAAAGGCTGGCAGACTTCAGGCCCCACAAAAGCCAATGTTTCAGATTGAGTCCAAAGGCAGGAAAAATTCCTTCTTACTTGAGGAAAGGTCAGCCTTTTTATTCTAGTCAGGCCTTCAACTGATTGAATGAAGCCCACTCACATGATGGAGGGCAATCTACTTTACTCCGTCTACTAATTCAAATGTTAATCTCATCCAGAAACACCATCACAGACACACCCAGAATAAAGTTTGACCAAATATCTAGGCACCCATTGTCCCAGCCAAGCTGACACATAAAATTAACCATCACGTTATTAGACAAGGAAAGGTATTAAATAATAAGAATTTTTAAACAGCAGAATGTTATAGAAAATACATTTATGTTATAAAACAAAACACAAAACTAGCCTTGCTGGCAGCTTGGGGATATTCAGTGGCATAAAACCATAAGCACTTAGCCAAATACTTTCCTTATTTATAAATTAAAAAGAAGAGAGTAAGTTAAATAAAGCTTTTGAAAAAGACCAGTCCCAAATTTTAGTTAAATAATAAAAGGACATTAAATAACAATTGTTTTGTATAACAAAATTCCAAACTGTATTCTTTGGCAACTGACTGGAGAGGCTGAATAGCATCTACTGTCATAAAACCCACAAGCACTCAGTCAGATGATTCATTTCCCTACCTGTCATTTTTAAGAAAATGTATGAAAAATAACCAAGACCAGAATTTAAACACCCGAAACCTACTTACATATTTTCTCCTTTTTCTTTCCCCCAAAATTAGGCTTAGTGGTTTGGAATTTTAAAAGCTCAAATCAAGAATGACTCTCCAAAGAAATGTATCTATGGTTCCATTAAATTGGAAACTGACACTGAGCTATTGTCCTCTGTCCATTTTCATCCCCTTGCCCCAAAAAACCGATAATTGAGAAGAAATTACCATACTGAAAGAGTGAGTGACTCATCCAGATTACCAAAGGGAATTTGGGTTGCTGCATCACAATGGGGAAAAGAAGACTACTTCTGGAACTGAGGAGATTCACTGGGGCATCACTTAGCACTCCCAAGTCCAGTTCTAAAGTTCAGTGGAAAACTGATGCAACTCCATGATGACATCACCTGCAAGGACTCAGATCCTTTGGCAATGAATGCTTGAGTCACCCTGCCAGGTAAATATTCACCAGGAACTTGAGCTGCCAGCATAGATTAAGGAGAACGTGGAATTGATGTCACAGGAAGAAAAGTGAGAATGCTTTCTCCCTGTGATTTTCATGACTATTGAAAAAGTACTGGTAATCATTAAGGTTATAATTTGGGTTACAGGTGGGATTATGATTGGTTTGACATCACCCCATGATAATATGTTGACTGATGGGCCTTTGTATCTTCCTTATGTTGTGAAGAGTGTTTTTCCATCTGAGTAAATGGCAACAGTAGATGAGTTTTAGCAATTGACAGTAGGAATGAAGTGTGTTGGTTATTTTTGTTTTGTCCACCTAGATATATCCTGTAACCTTTTCTGCAAGCTATGTGCCCTAGGAGACTGAGGCTTGTAGACTACATTACCTGGGCTTCCTTGCCTTCAGCTAATAGTTGGGTTTGGCCAGTGGTAGGCAACTGCAAGAAATCCAAGAGTGGGAGGAGAGAGGCCAACCTCACCACAAGCGTTACTTGTCACTGTATCTCTGGCAGTGGAGTTCTCACTCTACAATTACAGCTGTTGGTTAGTGGTGTTTTTTAGTGCTAGCCAATAACACTATTTCTTCCCCTTGCCACTGAAATTCCAGGTTTCCTAAAAATTTCCCATTCTTGCTGATCCAAACAGCCTATGTGGTATCTTCTCTCTGCCTACATATGCAAGTGGTTCCTTTATTAGAGTATGACTACTTGAACTATCTGATTCAAATTCTGTTTGCTGTTAGGTCCCAAATTGATATGGTAGTATATTTTTTAAATCCTTGTATAGCAGACTCCTGCGATGGTCTTCCTGTATCCCCTCAGGTCTCACCTCTAAATCTCAAGGCAAGTTACTAAAAACACCCATGAGTCTTGGCTCTGCAGAGCTAAGTCTCACCTTTGGATCTATAGGGCTACTTACTACACATGACTCTCTGCCTTAGGGGCTTTTTTTCTCACCTTTGGACCATGCTGAACATCAAACAAGGCAAGGTGGAGGTGACAGAGATTTATATCACCCCTGGGGGAAGTGCTTTAACAAGTATGGTTGGGTATTTAGTGGCTAAATACCCCCAGCCTCTTCACCCTACACTTGGGATGAATGTGAGGTATATGTTCCACACAGTCTCCCACAGGGTCCCCCTGGGAATTAGCTCCAATTGCCCACAGTGGTAACCTGCTAGATAGTTCTCCCCACCTTTGATTGGCTGCCTTCCTTGTGTGTCTCACGTCCCCACCCCCCTACCAGTGCTATCTGGGACTCCATCCCAAGTAAGCACTTTCTACGCACAAGTGTGTCTCAGGGTCTATTTCCAGGGAAAGTACATTTGAACACCTTGCATGCTAATTTACCCTCACACTTGAATGTCTGGCTAAAAGTAATGTAGGCTCAAAATTACTTTGCACCAAAAATTCAAAGACAATTCTTTATTTCTGGGGCGTTTCTAGTTGCTTCATTAGCTCCCTTTATCTTGAGAGAATTCCCTCCCCCCTTTACAAACCACTCCCATTTTAAATTCAATTTTGATTCCAACTTTTAACCACTGACTACTCCAAACATCAAGGGAGACAAATCAAGACCTCTAAGTGGGTTCCTTAAAGCCCCCTCCCAATAGAAATTTAAGGCTGCATGGCCTCTCCATGTGTCCACTCAGCCTCCCTTCCAGCTTCTCTAAACAGGGCCCCTGTTTACTCCAGCACCCCCAGACTCTGCAACATTAGTAAACACACTTTCAAGGGGGAGTAGATAGAGTTCATCTGCTTGTGACCTCTGGTAGCACAGAGATGGCTCAGAAGTCAAGAAACCACATGAACAAAAGCCACGTCCAACCAAAAGCAACACAGCTTCCATTTGTAATTGGTTGCATCAGGGGAAGGATTTATTGATCCACACTATTTTCTTGGATTTTCCATCCTCGCCAGAGGGCAGAGGTGAGTTGATGCCATGGTGTGTTGGCAAAGGCCAGCTCCAGCCTGGTGTGGCTTGTGCCAGCGTCCACAGTGACTCTGTCAGATCCGTGTCATTTTTGTGATTCCCAAGCTGTCTACTGAGTAAAATGTTCAGCACGTATTTAGCGGCCAGGCTGGGTCTTAAGTATTCATCTGCCTTCCTCCTGATGCTCCGTGCAGATGTGCTGGTACCTACTTCAAAGTGTCCCTGAGCCATGACTGCTTGACTCCACAGATGGCTTCAGGAAGACAGCACAGAAGAGATACCTGTGAAAGCTGATGGAATCCAGAATTACCTGAAGGAGAAGCACCAAGTAGTCCTGGAAACCCCTCTGCATTTCCCCTCCCTAACACACACACACACACACACACACACACACACACGCGCGCTTGACCAAAAGAGTCGGCTTTGCATGAATATATTTCTAGAATCTCTATGTTGGTCCGTGGACATGTCTATCAATTCCTGTTTCATTTACCAATCCTACAGAGTAAGTTTCAAGTCCAGAATGACAAGCTCCCCCTTTTACATAATCCTTCACATTTTTCGCAGTATAATTTCATCTGGTCTTCCAGTTACACAAACACTCAAAATTCTGCTGCGACTTATGATTAGGATTGCACTGGATTCACTGATTTATTTAGAGGAGAATTGATGCCATTGCAAAAATTGATCTTCATTTTCAGAAAAATGTAGTATTTTAAAATCTTATTTGAATATTCAAACTGGAAGCTCATAAAAAGTTGTGTGTGTTTTCCTTATATGTGTCTTCACCATTTTTCTAGGTGTTTCATAACGATTGTGACAAATGTAAGATATTTTATTTCTATTATATTCCCTATTTATTGGAAGACCATGTAAATTTTTCATTTATTTATTTTTGTTGTAGAGATGGGATCACCTTATGCTGCCCAGGCTGTTCTTGAACTCCTGGGCTCAAGCGATCTACCCCACTCAGCCTTCCAAAGTGCTGGGATTATAGGCATGAGCCACTGTGCCTGGCCTACAATGCAAATTTTTATGCTTTTAGATTCTGTCAGTCAGCCTCTCCTGGCCTACTTCCTAGGTGATTGCCTTGGTTTTCTAGGATGTCAGTTCCTTAAGAGAAAGACAGTTTTCCACTTTCTTTGTTAAAATATTCTATACCTATAAGTTCTCTTCCCTCTTCAAATTGTTTAGGACACTGAACATGGCCTCGTGGTCTTTACATGGTTCTACGTGGGGTAGAAGAAAACCCGGAAGACTGAGCCTTCCTTCCCTGCCACTCAGGAAAGGGAGTGTGCTGGGTCCCTTTACAGGAACCTCAATTTCCTCAGTTCTTACATAAGATTGAGTGGGCAGCCAGTGTGTAGGCAAGCCACGTCTCCTCATAATAGTCATTTTAGTTCCTCATGAGAACCCATTACAAAAAACACAAAGCCCTGTCCTTACCGTTGTCCCTCTGTGTGATGGTTAATACTGAGTGTCAACTTGATTGGATTGAAGGATGCAGGTTTGTTGATCTTGGGTGTGTCTGTGGGGTGTTACCAAAGGAGATTAGCATTTGAGTAAATGGGCAGACCTACCCTTAATCTGGTGGCCACAGTCTAATCAGCTGCCAGCGAATATAAAGCAGGCAGAGAAAAGTGAAAGGTAGAGACAGGCCTAGCCTCCCAGTCTACATCTTTCTCCTGTGCTGGATGCTTCCTGCCCTCCTGATGATGAAAGTGATAATGAAGCTGGGCGCAGTGGCTCATGCCTGTAATCCCAGCACTTTGGCAGGGCGAGGTGGGCGGATCACCTGAGATCAGGAGTTCAAGACCAGCCTGGCCAAAATGGTGAAACCCTGTCTCTATTAAAAATACAAAAAATTAGCTGGGCATGGTGGCAGGCGCCTGTAATCCTAGCTACTTGGGAGGCTGAGGCAGGAGAATCACACGATCCCGAGAGGTGGAGGTTGCAGTGAGCTGATACTGTGCCATTGCACAGTGCCTGGGCAACAAGAGCAAAACTTCGTCTCAAAAAAAAAAAAAAAAAAAAAGAATGTGATAATGAGAGCAAAATTTTTGCTTCCTGTTCCCATGACATTACATTCTGCTGGCCTAGAGGTCTTAGTTCCAGAGGGAGGAATGCTGCCACTAGGAGACACAACAACGATTCCATTAAAGTGGAAGTTAAGGTTGCCACCTGGACGCTTTGGGCTCCTCCTACCTTTAAGTCAACAGGCTAAGAAGGAAGTTATAGTGTTGACTGGGGTGACTGACCCAGACTATCAAGATGAAATCAGCCTACTACTCCACAACGGAGATAAGAAAGAGTACACATGGGCTGGGCACGGTGGCTCATGCCTGTAATCCCAGCACTTTGGGAGGCTGAGGCGGGTGGAACACTTGAGGTCAGGAGTTCGAGACCAGCCTGGCCAGCATGGTAAAACCCCGTCTCTACTAAAAATACAAAAATTAGCCAGGCGTGGTGGCACGCACCTGTAATCCCAGCTACTCAGGAGGCTGAGGCAGGAGAAGCGCTTGAACTCGGGAGGCAGAGGTTGCAATGAGCCGAGATTGTGCACTCCAGCCTGGGTGACTGAGCAAGACTGTCTCAAAAAAAAAAAAAAAAAGTGTATGCATGGAATACAGGAGATTCATTAGGGCGTCTCTTAGTATTACCATGCCCTGTGATTAAGGCCAATGGGAAACTACAACAGCCCAATCTAGGCAGGACTACAAATGACCCAGACCCTTCAGGAACGAAGGTTTCAGTCGCTCCACCAGGAAAAAGACCATGACCTGCGGAGGTGTTTGCTGAAGGCAAAGGGAATACAGAATGGGTAGTAGAAGAAGGTAGTCATCAATACCAGCTATGACCACGTGACCAGCTGCAGAAATGAGGACTGTAGTTGTCATGATTATTTTCTCCTTTTGTTAAAAACATGTTTGTGCATGTATACACTTGTACTAAGAAAATATCTTTATTTTATTTCCTTTATCATGTGACATAAGATTTATTGACTTTATATCAGCATTTAGTATTGTTAACTTTATGTAATAATATTTGGGTTGGGGATTGGTGCGTTTCCAGTTGTATGAAGGATAGTTGTATTATGTTAGACATAATTATGACCTTATTATTGTCTTTATTTGAAGATTATGTGTGCTCTGAGGAGATGTGTATGGGTTCAAGTTGACAAGGGGCGGACTTGTGATGGTTAATACTGAGTGTCAACTTGATTGGATTAAAGGATGCAGGGTGTTGATCCTAGGTGTGTCTACAGGGTGCTGCCAAAGGAGATTAGCATTTGAATAAGTGGGCTGGGGAAGGCAGACCCACCCTTAATCTGGTGGGCGCAATCTAATCGGCTGCCAGCAAATATAAAGCAGGCAGAGAAATGTGAACTATTGAGACGGGCCTGGCCTCCTAGTCTACATCTTTCTCCCCTGCTGGATGCTTCCTGCCCTCGAACATCAGACTCCAGGTTCTTCAATTTTGGGACTCAGACTGACTCTCCTTGCTCCTCAGCTTGCAGACAGCCTATTGTGGGACCTTGTGATCGTGTAAGTTAATACTTAATAAACTCATATATATATATATATATATATATATATATATATATATATATATATCTCCTATTAGTTCTGTCCCTCTAAGGGAACCCTGACTAATACACTTGGACAGCCTGGAAAATCATGTCCTGCATCTAGACAATACTCACATGGGTCACACTTTAATGACAACAATATAGTTATTCTAGATCAGAGACTTGGAAGGGACTACGGCTTGAGACATATGAGTGTGTCTCAAGGAACTGGACCAGTTTTAGCATAAGATTTTCCAAAGCATTAAAAGCCCACCTGCATCCTAGGTTCACATAATAAAAGTATGGAGCTCCACTGCACTGAGCTTTGGGAGGGGGGTAGGTGTGTGAGACACAGCAGTGTCAAATTGCAGTGTTTAATTTCTGCGACTAAACAAACACTCCATTTACATGAATTATATATTATAGAAGGAGTAATTGCAGAGTCATGACCAAGGCAGGATGCAGAGATTGACAAGTAAGTGGGAAATTCGACCTGAGACTAATTCCCTGATTGGAACATGGCAGACAAAGTTGCTGATCACTACCCAGGGAACCTGGCAAGATGCAGTGGGTGCTGTTTATCTACACAAAGAAGAAATTTTAATGAAGGAATTTTGTACAAGCCAGGAAGAAGCTCTGAGGCCAGGATAGCTGAGTGTTTCATCCAGGAAAGAGACGCAGATGGCGCCCAGCCACAGGATATACCTGCTTCCTCACCCAGCAAATTCCCTCACCCTATTGAGTCCTGAACCCGAAGGAAGCCAGGGATGGTGGCCAGTGTTTGAATCTTGCATACTGTTGGCACTAGGTTCTGAGGGCAATTGTGAGTCACCGTAGTAACCATGACTTCACTTTGTACTGAACCAATAAGGCCCTGGGACTCAGGGAAAGAGAGAGAGTGCCAAAGTATGTTTCCTCTTACTGTTTACCCTCTGGTCCAGATCTTTCTTAAAAAGCAATCTGAGTGGCCTGACAGGTAAAATATCCTGATATACTAAGATCATAGAGCATCCTTTTGTGCCATTACCTAACTAACCTATCTGATAAACCCCAACCCTGTTTGGTAATCAGGGGAGGGTATGGGAGAGTCATTTGTTCAAAGTGATACAGAGACACTATAGAAGAGTGGGTAGGAGCACAAGGCTTCAGATATAGGCTTTCTCAGTTCCAGTCTCACCTCTCTGTAGCCTTGGGCAAGTCCTTTAATCTCTCTTGGGAGCCCAAAATTGAGAACACAGTTGGCATCCACCCCTGGCCTTGGCATTGTGCCAGATTCAAATAAAATACCACACAGCATTTTTGAGGGTGAGACAGGGTCAGGTATCAGAGGTGAGTACAATCTTTAAATCACTGAGATTACGTTCCCCAGATGGAAACTCAGCAGGATGGGCCTTAGAAACAGAAACTAGGTATCGCTTGAGAATGTACAGTTTATTTCTTACACTGCGGGTTGGAGTAAGAGCCATACCTGCTTCACCAATGATATTCAAAGGAGACAGAGGTGAGAAGAAGGCAGCTCTGCAAAAGAGCAACATAAAATTGAGTTAAAGTTAGTGTGGATATAAGAATTACATTAACACTTGAGTTTAAGCTAGTGCTTTGAGTGCAATCTAACAAGTCTGTGTGTGTCAGATGAAGATCGGGTTGATGCAACAGTGTATCCTTAATGTTCCGGGTCCCGTCAGGCTCCTATACAGCCCCATGTGTGAGACAGATTGAATAAATGATATGGTTGGCATTTCAAATCAGATGATGGCCCAAAGCAATCGCCTGTGACTACTGCTGGTAGCCGAGTGTGTGTGTGTTTGTGTGTGTGCGTGTGCTTGATATGTGGCTGTGTGGGTGTGTGGCAGTGAAGAAGAGGTCCCAGGTCCACTTGATTACCTGGAATTCATCATCTTTTTCAGGCTTTCTTAGTTGAGCTATCTTCCTGAGGTTGTTTGGAGCCGCTGCGTCATGGATAAATAACTCCCTAAAGCCAGTCCCAACAAGCTTGCACTGAACATCAAGAAGCCTGACAAGTCCTTCAAATGCAAGAAGCCCACCCAAAATGTGCTGGTCTTTTTAATCAACAGACAACTGGGCAGGCACAGAAGCGACATCAACCTGTCAAGGTGGATATGGATGCTGTCATAAAGCAACTCCAGGGTGAACATGGCCTTGGACAAAGAGTCATGTGGCTTATGTGCTGAGGCCTGCCCAGAATTCTGAGATATTAATTATAATTAGAACAATAAACTCCTCCCATGTTTGAGCTATTAAAACAGTCTGTCATTTCACTCCTTTGGATTGGATATGTGTTTGCTGACAGGGCTTACTTGGGTTACACTGGAAGGGGCTTTTGTTCATCCTAACGCACAGTGCAGGGGTGCTCAGACACGGAGCAGAGAGTGAGATCATGCTGCACACCAGATGTCCCCCACCATCAATCTGAAAAACACTGTGAAGTAGTGATGTAGTACTTGGCATTCAAAGAGCAAAGACTCTTCTCCCTAGCCATTTTGGAGAGACAGCCCTGGTGTTCCCCTCTAAAACCTAATGCTTGTCCTAGTGAAAAGACATTGTTTAAGAGCAGACCAACAGCTGGGTTGGGAGTGTGGGGTATGCTTTAACATTGCAGATATCATGTCCACAGAGCCTACTAGAGGCAATTGCCCTGCTCATTGTCCCCAGGAAAGTAGAATGTCCTGGTGGCTTTTTTTTTTTTTTTTTTTTGGCATGTCAAACAAACCTTCAGGCCACAGCTAATCAAAGAGAGTTAATTTTCCTGAAGGGAAGCCGTCGGATAGTCCAACAAGACATGTGAGATGGCTCCCATTCAAAAAGCTCTGTCCCCAAGGAATGTGCTGAGCAAGTCAGATACTCACTCCAAAAAACCTGAAATGGGAATTATATGGGCAATTGGTCACTAAGAAGTGAGAGCTAAAGGTGAAGTGGGGACAGGGAGAGCAAAAAGGTCAGAGCCATGGTGGATATTGGCAAGCCCAAGTTAGGAGTAAGATGAAACTTACATAAGGTGAACCACAAAAGTGTTAACTTATGTAAAATCATAATGTTTAAATTTATAAAAGGAGACAAGGAAACTGTATTTCTTTCTTTTTTTTTTTTTTTTTTGAGATGGAGTCTGGCTTTGTTGCTCAGGCTAGAGTGCAGTGGCACGATCTTGGCTCACTGCAACCTCCTCCTCCCAGGTTCAAGGAATTCTCCTGCCTCAGCCTCCCGAGTAGCTGGGACTACAGGCGCCTGCCACCATGCCCGGCTAATTTTTTACTTTTAGTAGAGACGGGGTTTCACCATCTTGACCAGGCTGGTCTCAAACTCCTGACCTTGTGATCCACCCGCCTCGGCCTCCCAAATTGCTGGGATTACAGGCGTGAGCCACCGCGCCCGGCTATAGGTCTGTTTTCTAAATGCTTTAGTGTCTAAGAAACTCTATTTCTTAGAAAGGGTTGCAGCCTACACAGCAGCCATGCCACAGGCTGGGAAGTGTGCCTCTGGCCAAGACCACAGACCGGCACTTGGAAGGAGGAAGGCTTGGGGCAGGAGCTTTATGCTGAATGGGTTGGCTGAACATACAGATTCTACAAGTTACAGGAGGAGCTATGAATATTCATAAGGAGGATCTCACACATTCGTTTTCAAGAAACATCCCTGTAACATACCACTCATGTTCACCTTGGGGTGCAGGCATAACATTTAACTGTATCACATTTAGGCCCTATATGACAACAGATCTTTCAGGGCACATAGGAACACAAGTGCACAATCTCTATAATCCAGCCAGAGCCAGTCCATGGTCGGTGGTTTCTTATTAGGAGATAGTTACTGCAATCAATCAATCGATTGCCCAGTGAAAGCTGTAGTTATGGCTATGGTATAGGAGAGTGAGGGTCAGTTAGTCAGCATCTGGCAACAAGTGAGTTGCAATTGTTTCAATATTGCTTATCTCTAGGTCAGTGCTTGTTTAACTGCTAGAGAAAAAGAAAAGCTTGTGGCAGTGGGAATATACTTTATTATTTCAGTGTAAGGGTGCATGGCTTAACCCTTGCCTGACATCCTTGAATACTGTTTATAATTTTGTATCATATTGCCTCAAAAAGTCTGTTCTGTCCTTATTATGATGTCTATTTGAACATTAATGCTGATGAGTTGTGTCTAAACCATAAAAGAGAGGGAGTATAATGAGGCTTGTCTGACCTGCAATCTGCTCATGACCAGGAACTCAGTTCTAAGGTTCTTCTAGGGTCCCCTTGGCCAAAGGAGGGTCAATTTTGTTGGTGAGGGCTTAGGATTTTATTTTTACTTTACAAAAGCCATCACAAATTCTAAGCATCTCTCTTGTCCTTTAACGTCCTTTAAAGATGCAAAATAAGCCTGTGAGCAGCCCTTCTGTCCCCACTTCCTCTCCTCTCCAATTCCCTGTGTTCTCACAACCTGTCCAGCATTCCCCAAGGCCCCTCCTGTGTCCCCTCCCCTACATCTAAGGCTTAGGCTTAGTATTTTCTTGCCCCTTAGTCAGGTCTCCTCCAGATTTTTTTTTTTTTGAGACTCAGTCTCACGCTGTCGCCCAGACTGGAGTGCAATGGCACAATCGCGGCTCACTGCAATCTCCGCCTCCCGGGTTCAAGTGATTCTCCTACCTCAGCCTCCCAAGTAGCTGGGATTACAGGCACCTGCCACCATGCCCAGCTAATTTATTTCATATTTTTATTAGAGACGGAGTTTCACTATGTTGGCCAGGCTGGTCTTGAACTCCTGACCTCGTAATCCACTCACCTCGGCCTCCCAAAGTGCTGTGATTACAGGCGCGAGCCACCTCACCTGGCTTAGATTTTTTATGGGGTAGAAAATTTAACCCCTCTATGTCCTTTTCACCCTCCCCTCTGTCCCTGTTGCCTTCTCTGTCCCTGCTCTGATTCAGCATTGCCAAAAAGGAGCCACCAGCCTCTCCTCAGAGGATGCAGCTGGCTGTAGAATGGAGGGGAGGGGTTAGAGGTTGCCAGGTACAGGGGCCTCCTGGGTGCTCTTTTGCGGGGAACGCTGCCTGGACACTCCTGCGTCGGTGACTATTTACCTGCAGTCCAGCATCGAACAGTGGCTGTGAGGTGGAGAAAAGGTGGGGAATGGAGGCTGAGAAAGCAGCAGGTAGGGCAAGAAGGAGCCAAACCCACAGGAGCAGAGGCTAATAACAGTCAACCTCCTACACTCCATGGCCACACAACAGAAGAGACAGAATTTAGGATACAGAGTTACATGCAGATAAATCTCACTATTATACTGAGTGAGAAAACAAGTAGCACAGAATTATGTACCAAATAGTTACTCAATTGTGCCAAGCAGTACTTGGATATATACATAGACAGTAAAGTTATCCAAACTAGAGCAGCAGCACATTCAAGTGAAACTCTGTCCAGTTTCCGACTTGACTAGTGCCCCAAAACAGTTGATACCAACTAACTCCCATCTTGCAAGGAGTTGCCTAACAATGGAGGCCTGGTAAAGAAGGCAATCATAATCATGTGACCTCTGACCACTCACCCACCTGCGGGTGTCTACTCACACTGGAAGTCTGGGTGGGTTGGAGACCAGGAAGCCCACTTCACAGGGGTTGCATAGTGTGCTGAGTTCTCAAGAGGAAAATCCCTTACACTTCAAATTTACTGGAAGGCTGTGGCTACTCAGCATATCCTTATTGGGCTTGACTTGTGTCCCCAGAAGTCAGACTCACAAATAAATTTTACAAGGGGAGTGGCTGCAGGAGAGGGATGAGATTTGGCCAGATTCTCCTAAAGAGATTTTTCTCAGGAAATCTTAGTGGAGGCCATAAGTAGCCTCCTCTGGGGAAATCTGGACGCAGCTGATTGCCAGGGATTAGAGGCTGAGTGGAGAGTGCGCACACGGTGTCAGGAGACACTCTTCTTCTAATCTTTCATTTCTGGTTGCTGCCTCTCATTGCTCAAATCATCTACTAACCAGAGAGCAAGGAAGCCAAAGTGATGTGGTCCATGGTATCAGCCTTCTGGAACACAGAGCCTTGTAGAGAAGCATATATCTGGTTGAACAAACTGAGAATAATCTAACCAATTCACCATTTTTTTTCCACAGCCAGCACCCACTGTTGCTTTGATCAGAGGAAAAAATACCCTTGCATAACACACGATATGAGGTCGATTTGATTACAATACCACACAGATCCTAAATTGTAACTTTAGTGGTTACAAGAAAGTTTCCTACACATTCTCATGGAATGGGTGAAGGAAAAGTCATCTTATCTCCCTATGAAACTAATTTCTTATACTCTGTCAGCACCTGGAAATGTTGGTGGATGTGTACCTGGTGGAATAACCTAGGAATTTGTTGTTGAAAGATATGAATTTTTGGAAGTGATACCATTATGGAATTGCATCAATTTTCCGTGGAACATTAGAGCTCGACACGGAAGTGCTAGGTGGTGCCCCAGTGAATCCCCTCAGGTACAGAACTCGTCATCTTTCTCACATTAGGAAGCAGCAATCCAAACTCCCCTTGGTCATCTGGATCACTCACCCATTCAGGACAGTGACCCCTTCTCAACCCCAACTTTTGTTATCCAAAGACTTGAAAATGGACAGGGAACAAGGAGTCAATGTCAGTTTCCAAGATAATGGAACTGTGGATATTTTCCAAGGAAGAGGCATCTTAGCTCAAATATTTTAGCCTCTAAACTATCCAAGTCCTATTTTTGGAGAAAAGGAAGGGGGAAAATCTGTGAATCATTTTTGGGGGGCATAAGAGTGGGGAGAGTCATTCTGTGTCCCATCCTGGCAATGGAGAATGGCACTATAGGTTGCTTACAGGTCCAGAACTAGAGCCATATCCTGTAGGACAGCCCTCCAACCTTGCAAGTTTCTGCTTCCTACATAATGCTACAATTGACTTTTCAACAGGCCATTCCAGCACTGTATAAGGCCAGATGCTTCTGGGTGATGGTAAGACTGGTAGATTACACGGGCCTGAGCTCATGTACCATCTTCAGTTGCCATAAAAAGAGTTATTGGACAAAAGTGATATTTTGGAAAAACCACGGTGTGGGGAAGTAGATCAGCAATACAGAAATGTATAGGTAACAGTAGAGGAACTGCCTGTTTACTCACCTCCCAGCAAAGAAAATGCAACTTTAAACTAAAGGACTTCATTTGTCCCTCACGTAAGCTCCATTCTGAATTTTGGATTTGTCGTTCTCATGTCTGTATGGCTGTTGTGTAAAATAAGTAGAGGCCAAATTCAAATTATTTTGTCCCATAACCCCTCCCAATGTCCAAGCCACGTCCATTCTGCTGGGTTCTTTCATCTCTGCTCCCTATTATCAATCCTAGAGTTAGCCCTACACATTTTTTGATCACTGCTAGATAAGAACATGTATTTTGTGACCTTAGTATTCCACTTGGTCAGTGTTCAGTAATTTGTACACCCTGTCCAAGATAAACATCACAACTCTAATCTTCCCATATCAAAGCTTCTTGCTTCCCCCAGCTCAGGCTAGGTCTAGGCTGCAGCCTGCAGTGGGAAAGGGTGGTGACCCTTCCACTTGTACTCAGACATCATCTGCACCCCTCCCCTTTTGCAAATACTGGTCCACCAGGGTCTGTTGAACAGGGGGAAAGGCAAGAGTTTCAGGTCAGTAAACATCTCCCTTATCTGGATGGAGTTTAGCAGCTGTTTAAATCTGATTTTCTTTTTTTTAAGTGAGTGCATTAATGGCTGTTCAGGGACTAAATCACTAGGTCTCAAGTCCCTACAGTTCCCTGACATAAGGCCTCCACACAGATCTCTTGAGAAAACTTCCTTCAGAATACTCCAGACCAAACCAAATACTATTTCTCTCTCTCTCTTCCCTTCTCTTCCTCTCTCCCCTTTCTCTCCTCTCTTCTCTTTCTGCTATCCTAATTCCTTTTTAAGTTTCTTTCTGATACTATCTTTTGAGAAGCTGATTCAAACCCTTCTTGTGGCCCCTGTGAAGTGCCATCACTCCAGGAAGTTTGAGGTGAAGAGCATTTTCTTCCTGTAAGCTGAGGACACTATTCAACCTCTGTTAAGTGGGCCTCTCTGCTCTCCAAGTCACCCAGATTCTCTAATGTGAGTACATACTCACACATGGGTGAGTGGTCAGAGCTTACATGATTGTTTGTGATTGCCTTCTTTACCAGTCCTCCACTGATAGGCAACTCCTTGCAAGATGTGAAGCACTTGGTACCAATTTTGGAAGCATTAGCTAAGTCTGAGACTAAATAGAGTTCCACTTCAACATCCTGCTGCCTTTTGGATACCTTTGCTATCTATGTGTGTGTGTATCCAATATATGTACACACACGCACACACACACACACACACACACACAGCTTGACATGTTTTTCTTACTATTTGGTACATACTTTTATGCTACCTTTTTTCCCACTCAACCATTATAATTGTGAAATTTACCTACGTTGGTGTGTATAGTTCTATATCCTACATTTCAGCTCTTCTCTTGTATGTCAATGTACTGTAGCAGGATGGATATACCCATCTATGCTTCACTGTATGTGTTGTCTGTACCTGTTACATCATTGGAAAAAAGAAGCTCAGTGATTGGTGGGCAAGTTTTGGATTTTGTAGGCACCATATACTACACTGGAGTGTGCTCTGTTATCCCATAATCCCAGTAGTCTAAGTAAGACTACTACTTTTCAATGGGGACATTTTCTGTGCATGGCAATCAATCTAATTGTCCATCTGTCCCACCTCTTGCCCAATGGTCTTATGGACACAGAAACATGGACTTTCCCTAATGAAGGCTGATCTGGCTACCATTACTAGTGAGGTCCTAACCTGACAAATAGCAAAGAACAACACTATGCTCCAGATATGGCAATGTTCCCTGGGCAAAGCTGCCAGCAACTTGGTGGCAGGACAGTTACATTGGACCTCTTCCATTGTGGATGTGTGTCACAGTCCATTGAGGCTGCTATAACAAAATACAATAAACAAGGTAGCTTATATAGAACAAAAAATATTTCTCATAGTTCTGGAGGCTGGGAAGAACAAGAATAAGATGCTGGCAGATTCAGTGTCTGGTGAGAGCCTGCTTCCTGGTTCAAACATGGTACCTTCTCACTGAGTCCTCACATGGTGAAGGGAGCAAGGGGACTTTCTTGTGTCTCTTTTATATGGACACTATTCCCATTCATTAGGGCTCTACCCTCATGACTTAATCACCTCCCAAAAAACTTCACCTCTTAATATTATTACCTTGGGTATTAAGATCTGAACATATGAATTTGGTGGGGGGAATGGGACACAAACATCCATATTACGGCAAGGAGGCAGATATTTGTCCTCATCATAATAGACACATATTCAGGGTATGGATTATCTTCTCTATCCATAATGCTTATAGCAGCATCACCATATGTGGACTCACAGAATGCCACATACTTCATTATGGTATTCCACATAGCATTGTTTTTGATTGTACAATTAATTTCACATCAAAGGAAGTTCAGTACTGGTCTTATCATATAACCCATCACCCAAAAGTGCTTGATACAATTGAAAGGTGGATAGACTTAATGAAAAATCAGGAATCCCCTGGGTGACGACACCCTGAAAGGATGAAGTTCTATCTAAAAGGATGCAATATATGCTTTAAAACAGAGACCATTATATGGTGTTGTTTCCCCCATAGATAGAATACATGTGTCCAGGAATTAAGGGGTGGAAGAGGGAGCTCCTTCTCTCACTAGGACCTCTTAGCAGCCAACTCATAGATTTTTTGTTTCTTCTTCTTGCCACTTTTAGCTCTGCTGATTTGGAAGTGTCAGTTCCCAAGGAGGAATGCTTCCATCAGGGATCATATGAGTGGTTCCACTGAATAGGAAGATAAGACTGCCACCTGGCCATTTTGAATACCTCATGCCATAGAAACAACAGTCAAGTAGGGGATTATGTCACTGGCTGAGGTGATTTACCCTGATTACTAAGGGGAAATCAGATGCAGCTACATTATAAAAGAGAGAATGGGGGAGGGCCATATTTGGAATCAACTCAGGATTTTCTTGGGTTCCCCTTGGTGCTTTTATGTTCATACTAAAAGGTAATGAAAAGCTACAGTAATTAAAATAAATAGGCAGTACCATGGATGACTCAGACCTCTCAGAAATGAAGATCTGTGTCACATCTTCAGGCAAAGACCCCCAACAGCTGAGGCATGGGCAGAAAAAAGTGATGGCTAACTAAATAAGAAAATTGTAATTACTTTTAAATGTGTCTGAATCTAATAATATTACATCCTTAAAACACACAGATGTGGCCGGGCATGGTGGCTCACGCTTGTAATCCCAGCACTTTGGGAGGCCAAAGTGGGTGGATCACGAGGTCAGGAGTTCAGGACCAGCCTGGCCAAGATGGTGAAACCCAGTCTCTACTAAAAATACAAAAATTAGCTGGGGGTAGTGGCAGGTGCCTGTAATCCCAGCTACTCAGGAGGCTGAGGCAGGAGAATCGCTTGAACCCGGGGGATGGAGGTTGCAGTGATCCGAGATCGTGCCACTGCACACTCCACTCTGGGCAGCAGAGTGAAACTCCGTCTCAAAAACGTGGGGAAAAGAAAGAGAGATCAGATTGTTACTGTGTCTGTGTAGAAAGAAGTAGACATAGGAGACTCCATTTTGTTCTGTACTACGAAAAATTCTTCTGCCTTGAGATGCTGTTAATCTGTAACCTTACTCCCAACCCCGTGCTCTCTGAAACATGTGCTGTGTCAACTCAGGGTTAAATGGATTAAGGGCTGTGCAAGATGTGCTTTGTTAAACAAATGCTTGAAGGCAGCATGCTCCTTAAGAGTCATCACCACTCCCTAATCTCAAGTACCCAGGGACACAAAACACTGCGGAAGGCCGCAGGGACCTCTGCCTAGGAAAGCCAGGTATTGTCCAAGGTTTCTCCCCATGTGATAGTCTGAAATACGGCCTCGTGGGAAGGGAAAGACCTGACCGTCCCCCAGCCCGACACCCGTGAAGGGTCTGTGCTGAGGAGGATTAGTAAAAGAGGAAGGAACGCCTCTTTGCAGTTGAGACAAGAGGAAGGCATCTGTCTCCTGCCCGTCCCTGCGCAATGGAATATCTCGGTGTAAAACCCGATTGTATATTCCATCTACTGAGATAGGGGAAAACTGCCTTGGGGCTGGAGGTGGGACATGCGGGCAGCAATACTGCTCTTTAAGGCATTGAGATGTTTATGTGTATACATATCTAAAGCACAGCACTTAATTCTTTACCTTGTTTATGATGCAGAGACCTTTGTTCACGTGTTTACCTGCTGACCTTCTCTCCACTATTATCCTATGACCCTGCCACATCCCCCTCTCCGAGAAACACCCAATAATGATGAATAAATACTAAGGGAACTCAGAGGCCGGCGGGATCCTCCGTGTGCTGAACGCCGGTCCCCTGGGCCCCCTTTTTTCTTTCTCTATACTTTGTCTCTGTGTCTCTTTGTTTTCCAAGTCTCTCGTTCCTCCTAACGAGAAACGCCCACAGGTGTGGAGGGGCAACCCACCCCTTCAAAAAAAAAAAAAAAAACCAAACAAACAACAACAACAAAAAACAGATGTTGAGAGCACAACAAGTAGAAATATACAAATCCACAAATACAAAAGATTATAAGATAAATATCTTAGGAAATGGAGAGAACAACCAGAAATAAAATATCAGGAACCGTATAAAAAATGTAATGCACCTCAATCTCTGAGCACTTTCAACTTTAAGTTTATTCATTTTAGTATCCTGATTCTAACACTCTTTCATTCCCACTGCAAATTCCCATTCATTGATTCTATCACATTTACTCAAACCTGTGACGTCCTCTCTCCTCTCCTTACAGGGCTGAAATTCCATGTTAATCATTGTAATCACCGGGTTGCTGACCATCTCAATTACTGACCCTTGTCTTTCTTGGTCATAGACCATTGACAAAAACACAACTCTGGTCAAACATAAGGCACTGCTTTTCTCTGTACCTGCATTAGGTAGATGAATTTGGAGGGGAACTAACACCAGAATATGCAGACTTGCCACTAATTCACATAGATGAATGCTTTTACTCCTGTCTAAGGTCAAATCTCTAACTTGCACACCAGATCTGAAATCTTACCTTCTCAAGAGCATCACTCCACCAATTCTTCTTTCTCTGACTCTTTAGTCATCTGTTCTTTCTCCTCTTTGCACCAAACTTTTCTTGTCTGCATGTTGTGTCCCCAATTAACTGTTTCTCTTTTTTAAATTTATTTTTGTTTTTCATTTTTTAATTTTTCATTTTTCTATGGAGCCACAAGCATGTAAAATTTAAATATTACACACATTTTGATTTTGTATCCCCAGTTAACTCTTTCTCTGTTTTATTCATTTCTTTTTGTTGTTGTTTTTCATTTATTTTGTTTTCCTTTTTTATTGTTTTTCATTTCTTTTCTATGAAGCCCTCACACATGTAAAATTTAAAATATTAACATCAATAAAAATTGTAAACTTTTTCTCCTGTTTGCCTGTCTTTTGTCAGTTTAATTCACAGGCCCCAAAACAGAACCTGAGAAGATAAAAGCAAAGTTTGTCCTCCCCAACAATATCAATAGAAGTTGAAGCACATTTGACAAATTATAACATTCATTCATGATAAAAAAATTTCAGCAAACCATAAATAAAAAGGAACTTTACCAACTTGATAAAAAGCATCTATAGAAAACCTGCATATAACATCAGGCTTAGGGAAATGCCAGTTAAAACCCAGGAAATACCACTTTACCACCTAAAATGGTTAAAGTAAAGGGACATTAACACATTTTAGTGAGGATGTGGAGAAATTAGAATCCTCATACACTGCTGGTGGAGCAGCCATTTTGGAAAACAGTCTGATAGTTCCCCAAACAGTTAAGCAGAGTTACCATATGACCCCAAAATTCCACTCATATGTATACACCCATGACAAGTAAAACATGTGTACACACAAAAACTTGTATAATAATCATAGTGTCATTAATCACAATAATATAAAAGTGGAAACAACCCATAAGTACATCAACTTATGGATGGATTAATGAAATGTGATATATCCATACAATGGAATATTATTCAGCAATAAAAAGAAATGAAATAATGATACATGCTGCAACATGGATGAAATTTGAAAGCAGTATGCTAAGTAAAAGAAGCCAGACACAAAGGACAACATATGGTATGATTCTACTTGCACAAAAAATCCACAATAGGCAAATCTATAAAGAAAAAAGATTTATGGTTACCTAGGGCTGAGTTTACCAAAGAGAACCAGGGAAAGAAACAGTAAAGAAGATTTCTCCTGGGATCAGAACAAACCTCAAAGACTTTCGCTAAAAACCACATTTCCAAAGGGACTGAAATTTAAATGGATCAGGCTACAGAACAATGTATACTCTAAGGCATTGTGAAAACAAAGAGCTCTATCAGCAGGCAATTAGTGAGCCTAAAAAGGTGTGATCATAGAAAAAGATAGTCAAAGATAGCCCTACTAAAACCACTGTCATCTCAGGATGACTGTGCACATGCTGAAGTTCATGTGCACATGCTCAAGTTCAAGAACAACATCAGGGGCTTTCTGCTAGGGGGTGGGGGACAACTTCAATAAAATAGTCTAGCCAAGTCACTAAACAAACAAGCAAGCAACACCAACAGTAAGTCCACAGGAGATCAATATTCAGTGTTACTACAATATATTATCTAAAATGTCTAGTTTTCTACATAGCATAACATAACAAGGAGGGTGATGTCAGTGAAAATGGCAGAGTAACAACCACCAAAATTTCTCTCCTCCAAAATATCAACAAGGATAATGGCAATAATAGTTAGAATCAACATTTTCAGAACTATAGACATAACCCAAAGGCTTATAGCTAGCCAGAAAATATTTATTCAAGAAAACATGGCTGAATCAATAAAAATAGCAAGCTTTATGGCATTTTAACTTGCCCTAGTTCCATTCTCCACTCTCTAGCTCTGGCGCAACTTAAGAAACTAATGGGTCGTGTTGAAAGTGAAGCCTGACAGCTGACAGAGTTGCAGAACAGAGCTGGAGCTCTTACAAAGCTTAATTCCCAAAGAATTGTCATTATTTGACCCATCTGTTGGCTCTCTGGAAGATCTCACTCGCAAGACTCCTTGTTTTTGAACTGACTTGAGGTTCACTTAGTACAAAAAGCTTTTTCTCTAGTGACATTTGTAAGGGATGTTTTATAATGATAAAAGTGTCAATCCATCAGGAAGATAAATTATAAAAGCAATTTTATTTCTATTCACTAACAATGTATCATTGGAACATGAAATTAAGAAAACAATTCCATTTATAATAGCATCACAAAGAAGAATATACTTAGGAATAAGTTTAACAGAAATGCAAGAACAAAGTTGAAATAATTACACTACCTGATTTCAAGCTGCAGCAATCAAGATAGTGTAGTATTGCTTTAAGACTAGACAAAATTGTTCAATAAGGAAAAGAAAGTCTTTTCAACAAACGCTGCTGAGATAACTAGATTTTTAAAAATATACATTTAAACAATGAAATGAACACTGTCTCCTATCTCATGCCATAAACAAGCATTATTTTGAAATAGGTAACAGACCAGAATACTAAGCAAAAACTATAAGACTTCTAGAATAATACATGGGATAAGGTTTTGGTAACTTTGGGACAGGCACAGTTTTATTACATAGGACCAAAAGACATGAACCATAAAGAAAATACTGATAAACGTCATCAAAGTTAAAATCTTCTCCTCTTTGAAATACAACATTGCAAAAATTAAAAGGCAAGTCACAGACCGAAAAAACTATTTGCAAAACGTATATCCAACAAAGGCTTTGTATCTTAAACATATAAAGACCTCTTATAATTCAATACACAAACAACCTAATTGTTAAAGGGAATAAAAGATTTAAATGGACATTTTACAAGAAAATACATGTTGAATGGCAAAATATGTAAAGATACTCAGCATCATTAGTCATAACATAAATGCAAAGAAAATAACAAGTTACCACTATGCGTCCATTATGATGGCTAAAATTAAAAAGACTCACTGCCAAGTGTTGCTATTAAATGTCTTATAGTTGGAAACAAGTAATTAATTACGGCCCACTTTCAATGCTGGAGATGGCTCAAAGGAATAATACCAGGAGGTAGGGATCACTGTGGGCAATCTTAAAGGTTCCCTACCACAACAAATACATGGGTAAACAAATTGTGGTGTATTTCTACAATAGAATACTCCTTAACAATAAAAAGGAACTAAATATTCATACATGCAACAACATGATTGTATTTCAAAAATGTTATTCTTAGTCGAAGAGGCCAAACATAAATGAGTTCATTCTGTATGATTCCATTGGAAACCAAAGGGTTAAGCTGGTTAGGTCTGCCAAACTTAGCCTGCCCTACTTGCCTGTGGTTGCTTGCTTTTTGATATTTTTTCATAAAGCTGAAGGTCATGGTAGCTGAAGGCTGCACTGCTGAAGGCTAAAACTTAACTTTCACTGGCTACCTTGTAGATAACATTTAAAGGTCACCATGGTAACGGTTGCTTCAGTTGTTTTTCAGGAACTTGAAGCAGCTCTTGTCCAGTTCAAACCATTTGAAACCACTGACCCTTTAATTGGGCCTATGCAAATGCCTGAGAGGTGGCCTTTTTGACTTCTTTGTCAGAAGGCCAAAAACTCCAGCCACAGATCATGCTAACACTAACATTTTCTGAACATATGTCCTATGAAATTCCATAATCCCCAAATACACTTGCATAGATCATTGATTACTTCATTTTTTCCCCACTGCCAATCACCTTTCCCCATTCCTTAGGCCACCTCACTTCTCTAACCCATAAATATCCCTAAGCCTTATCTTTGGGGAAGTGAATTTGAGACCTATTCTCCCACCTACTCACTTGGCTGCCTCATGAATAAATTCTTCCTGTTTTGCAAAACCTGTCACCACAGTGATTGACTTACTGCACACAGGCAGCATGAACCTGGATGTGAATGATAACAAATGTATGTGAACCCCTAGGAAAACAAATCCAATCATTAGTGACAGAAAATAGATAGGGGTGTCCTTGGCCTAGGTGTAGAGGAAAGGTGTCGATTAGGAGGAGCACAAGATAACTTTCTGCTGTGATGAAAATGTTCTATATCTTGATTGTGGTGGTGGATACACAAAGATACAAATTTGACAGAACTGATCAAAACATCTACTTGATAAGGTTGCATTTAATTGTATTGTTATACCAGAAGCATATAATACCACAAGTATAGGGAAACTCTGAAGGTGTGTTAAAGCAAAATAAGTAAGCAGGATGCCATTAGCCTGAAGTTGTCTCTGTAACCAGAGCTCTTACGTAAGCAAACTGGGACTTAACTTAGAAACATTTCTTCTAACTGACTTAAAAGAAAAACAAGCCTCAGCCAATCACAAACAGCCAACCAGCTGACTGGCTATGTAATTAGAGACTTCGCATCAGCCCATACTCAAATAAGACAAATGCCTAGCTGTATAGCCAATCAGGTGATTTCTCTACTTTGAGTCAGTGATCACGCTATTAAAAACCTGCTGCTCACATTGCTGGGCAGAGCTCTCTGAACCTTTTCTGGTTCTAAGTGCTGCTCAATTCATGAATCATTCTTTGCTCAAATAAACTCTGTTAAATGTCATATGTCTGAAGTTTTTCATAACAGTTGGAAGTAAGGACTGCCTATGGACCTTGGGACTTGAGGAAAGACATGGTAGCAGTGAGTTACCTGAGTGTTCTTTTTCTTTTCTTTCTTTTTTTTTTTTTTGAGACAAGGTCTCACTCTGTCACACAGGCTGGAGTGCAGTGGCACGATCTTGGCTCACTGCAGCCTTGCCTCCTGGGCTCAAGTGATCCTCCCACCTCAGCCTCCCAAGTAGCTGGGACTACAGGCACGTGCCACTGATATGGTTTGGCTGTGTCCCCACCCAAATCTCATCTTGAAATGTAGCTCCAATACTTTCCATATGTTGTGGGAGGAACCCAGTTGGAGATAATTGAATCATGGAGGCAGTTTCCTCCATCCAGTTCTCCTGGTAGTGAATAAGTCTCATGAAATCTGGTGGTTTTATATGGGGTTTCCCCTTTTGCTTGGCTCTCATTCTCTCTTGCCTGCCACCATGTAAGACATGCCTTTTGCCTTCTGCCATGGCTGTGAGGCCTCCTTAGCCATGTGGAACTGTGAGTCCATTAAACCTCTTTCCTTCATAAATTACCCAGTCTCGGGTATGTCTTTATCAGCAGCGTGAAAATGAACTAATACAGCCACCATGCCCAGATAATTTTTGTATTTTTCATAGTGATGGGATTTTGCCATGTTGCCCAGGCCGGTCTTCAACTCCTAGGCTCAAGAAATTTGCCCAACTCCTGGGCTCAAGTGATCCACACGCCTCAGCCTCCCAAAGTGCTGGTATTACAGGCATGAGCCACTGTTCCTGGCTCCCTGAATTTTCTTTTTCCCTCTCATATATCCTTGATTGGGCACCAGAGAAGCCAGCAACCAAGAACTGCCAACAAAGAAAATCTCCAAGAAAAGCTTGTTTCCTCTAGCCAAAGGTTTTGGGAGAAATGGTGGCTTAACAGAGCAGAACACCTTTTTGACAAACCCCCTCACCTCAGTCAAAGTGACCCACTCATCTGTGCAGTTTCAGTAGGGCTGAGTGGGGAGTTAATATTCAGCCTCCTACCTCCCATGTGGAAGTAAGTGGTGGTGCTCTGATGTCTCTGATGACTGCACCAGGAATCCGATCTTCCACTCCAACCCCCTACCCAATAGAAACAAGCAGCACTCTGCTGGAGTTGTGTCAATAAGGTCTAGAGGGAGGAGGACTTCCTCCACAAATCATCACCAAGGAGGGAGATGAGAAAGTCCAAGGGAGAGCTAGTTAGTTGGCATTCAGCTTTTCCATTCACCCAGGTGTCACTCCCATCCGGCACCAAGAAAACTGAAGGAGGTGGTTCAGTGCAGGCAAGACTAGGCAGCCCTCCACTTTCCCATCCATTGTCAACCACTAATTCTATATCTAGCAAATATATCCTTCAGGAGTAAAGAGGAAATAAAGACATTCTCAGATTAATAAAACCTAAGAGAACTGGTTATCAGCAGCCCTTAAATAATGGCTAAAGGAAATTATCTAAACAGAAAGGAAATGATAACACAGGAAGTTGGAACTTCAGGAAGGAAGAAAGAATAATGGGATGAGTAAAAGTGGGGGTAAACATAACAGGATAACTTTCTCCTGATGAGTTTTTAAGATCATGTTTGATGGTTAAAGCAAAATGTATAACATTAGCTAGGGCAGGCTCAATGTACATAGAGGAAATGCTTAAGCTATTTATATTTAGATGGGAGGAGGGTGAAGAAAGCTAAATGGAAGTAAAATTTCTCTGCTTCACTCAAAGTGGTTTAAATGTTGATGCCAGTAGATTTTGATGTGTAATGTAATACATACAGTAGCCAACAAAAGATAATAATATGAAGAACTATATTCAAAAACACTACATATAAAGCAATGGCAACAAAAGCCAAAATTGACAAATGGGATCTAATTAAACTAAAGAGCTTCTGCACAGCAAAAGAAACTATCATCAGAGTGAACAGGAAACCTACAAAATCGGAGAAAATTTTTGCAATCTATCCATCTGACAAAGGGCTAATATCCAGAATCTACAAGGGACTTAAACAAATTTACAAAATAAATAAATAAATAAATAAATAAACAACCCCATCAAAAAGTGGGCGAAGGATATGAACAGACACTTCTCAAAAGAAGACATTTATTCAGCCAACAAACATATGAAAAAAAGCTCATCATCACTGGTCATTACAGAAATGCATATCAAAACCACAATGAGATACCATCTCACACCAGTTAGAATGGCGATCATTAAAAAGTCAGGAAATGACAGATGCTGGAGAGGATATGGAGAAATAGGAACATTTTTACACTGTTGGTGGGAGTGTAAATTAGTTCAACCATTGTGGAAGACAGTGTGGCGATTCCTCAAGGATCCAGAACCAGAAACACCATTTAACCCAGCAATCCCATTACTGGGTATATACCCCCCAAATTATAAATCATTCTACTTTGAAGACACATGCACATGCATGTTTATCGCAGCACTGTTCACAATAGCAAAGACTTGGAACCAACCCAAATGTCCAGCAATGATAGACTGGATAAAGAAAATGTGGCACATTTACACCATGGAATCATATGCAGCCATAAGAAAGGATGAGTTCATGTCCTTTGCAGGGACATGGATGAAGCTGGAAACCATCATTCTCAGCCAAGTAACACAAGAACAGAAAAGCAAACACTGCATGTTCTCACTCATAGGTGGGAGTTGAACAATGAGAACACATGGACACGGGGAGGGGAACATCACACACTGGGGCCTGTCGGTGGGTAGGGAGCTATGGGAGGGATAACATTAGGAGAAATACCTAATGTAGGTGATGGGTTGATGGGTGCAGCAAACCACCATGGCACATGTATACCTATGTAACAAACGTGCACGTTCTGCACATGTATCCCAGAACTTAAAGTATAATAAGTAAATAAATAAATAGAAACGAAACAAATGACTATAATGACCAGAGAAGGAATAGAGACAATGAAAAGTTACCTTTACTGAACTTTATATATATTTATACCAGTATAAAAAATAAAAATAAACATTATAGTACAAAAAAGGAAAAAAACACTACATGTAAATCAAAATGGAATTTTTACAAAATGTTCAAATATCCTACAGGAAGGCAAGAAAAGAGAAACAGAGGGATAAGAAACAAAATGAACAAACAGAAAGCAAATATTAAAATAGCAAACTTAAGCCCTAACATATCAATATACTTACTTTAAATGTAAATGATATAAGAATAGCAATGAAAAGACAGAAATTGACAGTGGATTAAAAAAATAACCCAACTCTATGCTACAAGAACCTCACTTCAAATTTTTACGAGATTTCACAGATTTATTCATTTTCAAGCATGGTTTTATGCTTCTTATAAAAAAAATATGTTTTCCGGCCGGGCACGGTGGCTCACGCCTGTAATCCCAGCACTTTGGGAGGCCTAGGCGGGTGGATCACCTGAGGTCGGGAGTTCAAGATCAGCCTGACCAACATGGAGAAACCCCATCTCTACTAAAAATACAAAATTAGCCGGGCGTGGTGGCAGGTGCCTGTAATCCCAGCTACTCGGGAGGCTGAGGCAGGAGAATCGCTTGAACTCGGGAGGCGGAGGTTGCAGTGAGCCGAGATCGCGCCATTGCACTCCAGCCTGGGCACAAAGAGCAAAACTCCGTCTCAGAAAAAAAAAAAAAATGTTTTCTGAGGACTACACTGAATTTTATTTTGTATGAATAAGCCAATTACAAAAAGACAAATATTGTATGATTCCACTTATATGAGGTGCCTAGAGTAGTCAAATTCATTGAGACGCATAGTCGAATATTGGTTTTCAGAGCATAAGGGCAGGAGGAAACGGGGAGTTGTAATTTTTTTTTATCTTTTGCAAGATAAAAAGAGCTATGGTGATTGGTTGCAGAACAATGTGAATGTTCTTAACATTACTGAACACTTAAAAACAGTTAACGTGATCAATTTTATGCTATGTGTATCTTACCACAATCCTAAATTTTTTAAATAAAGGAAACAAAAAATGAGACAACTGAGAAACTTTTTTCAAAAAAACAAACAAAACTCCCTAAAGTTAACATCATATCTAGTGGTGAAAGACTGAATGCTTCCCCCTAAGATCCCAAACAAGTCAGTGATGTTAGTTTTTCACCACTCTTTTTCAACCTAGTACTGGAAATTGTATCCACTGCAATAACACAAGGAAAGGAAATAAGGATTAGGAAGGAAAAAATAAAACTGTCCCAATTTACAAATGACATTAGTTAGAAAATTCCAAGGAATTGACAAAAAGACTCCAAGTGATACTCCAAGTGATACCAAGACTCCAAGTTTGGGGGAGGTCCCCAAACACTGGTTAGACTTTGACCCCAGCTGGTGTCCACGCTCTTGACACCATTGCAAGAAGGAATGCAAGGATAAGTCAGAAAAGAGTGAAAGTTCAGTGATTTATTGCAAAGCAAAAGTACACACTCAAGAAAGGGGAGTGCAGGCATACTCAGAGTGAGTCATGCAATGGAATTTGGGGCTTCTACCTTTGCGGGTCTCTTTAATCAAGGGGTGGAATATTCACAGAGATTCCCACAAAAGGTTAGAGATTTCTTGAAACTGTGGCACCACCCATTTTTACACCAAATATGGGTGTTCCTGGAACTGTCCTGGTGCTAGTGGATGTGTGATTTACTATGTTAATGACGGTATAATGACGTCCTAGGTAACACCTAGGTCAAATCCAGCACTGTGTTGGGTCCAATTGGTCTTAGCCAGCTTGGTCCATACCCTGGTTTTTTAGGGTCTAATCAGCCCCTAGCTTCTGCTGCTATTTCAGCAGTTTCCTTTTGCTAGTCATCTGAAACTGTTGTCTGGAATTTTCTATTCTTCTGCGACCACACTGCATTATTCCTGTCTCACAAGAAGTAAGAAAAAAAGTTCAGCTAGGTTGCAGGATACAAGATGAACAAAAAAAAAATTATCATATTTCTACATACTAACAATGAACAAGCATGTGGAAACTGAAATTAGAAACATAAAATCATGTATAATTGCTTCAAAGAAAGTGAGTACTTAGGAGTATATTTAACAAACATATATAGGATCTGAATGCTGAATATTCTACAGTTTTGATGAAATTAAGAATATCTAAATAAATGAAGAAACATACTGTGTTCTTGGATTTGAAGAATCCACACAGAAACTATGTCAATTTTCCCCAAAATTGGTCTTTAAATTGAACACAATTTTCAGCAAGCCTTTTTGTACCCATAGATCAGCTTATTCTAAATTGTATATGGACAGGCACAAGCCCTAGAGTAGCTAAAGAAATGTTCAAAAAAATAGAGAAAAGTCATGCTACCCCATTGATGTGGTCTGGATGTGTGTCCTCGCCCAAAACTCATGTAAAATTGTAATCCCCAATCTTGGATGTGGGGCCTGGTGGGAGGTGATTGGATCATGGGGGTGGTTTCTCATGAGTGGTTTAGCACCATCCCCTTGGTGCTGTTGTCATCATAGTGAGTTCTCACGAGATCTGCTTGTTTAAAAGTGTGTGGCACCCCCCAGCCCGCTCTCTCTCTTTCTCCTGCTCCACCCATGTGATGTGCCTGCTCCCCCTTTGCCTTCTGCCATGATTGTAAGCTTCCTGAGGCCTCCCCAGAAACAGAAGCTGCTATGCTTCTTGCACAGCCTACAGAACCGTGAGCCACTTAAACCTCTTTTCTTTATAAATTAGCCAGTCTCAGGTATTTCTTTATAGCAGTATGTGAATGGACTAATATTCCCATATTAACACGTACTATATCCAAACAGTAATAAAGACAGTGTGGTACTGTAGAAAGAATAGACACATAGGCCAATACAACAGAATAGAGGACATAGAAAGAGACCCAAGTCCGATTTTTGACAAAGATGAAAAAGAAGCTCAGTGGAGGAAGGATACCCTTTCCAACAAATTGGGCTCTAACAATTAGACATCCATAAATGAAAATTGAACCTGGACCTAAACCTCAAATATTATACCAAAGTTAACTCAAAGTGGGGCACAAATTTAAATGTGAAATATAAAACTACAAAACTTCAAAAAGAAAACGCAGGAGAAAATCTTTAGGACCTAGGGCTTGGTAAAGAGTTCTTACACATGACATCAAAACCATGATCCATAAATAAAAAGGACCAATAAATGGTACTTCATCAAAATTTAAGTCTTTTGCTCAGATAATGCCCTTAATAACAGAATGAAAAGACAAACTACAGAATGGGAGGAAAATTTGCAGACCACATATCTGTTAAAGGACTCGTATCTAGAAAATATAAAGAAGTCTCGAGATTTAAGCATAGAAAACAGTCCAACTAGAAAATGGCAAAAAACATTTTACCAAAAAGGATAAACAGATGGAAAATAAGCACATAAAATGATTTTTCACCTTCATTATTGGTATTTGCCGAATCATATATCACTATACGCCTATCAAAATGTTTAAAATAAAAAATAGTGATAACACCAAATGCTGGCAAGGATGCAGAGAATCAACACACTCATAAATTACTGGTGGGAATATAAAATGCTAGAGCCACTCAGGAAACAGTTTGGTAGAGTCTTACAAAACCTAACATGCACCTTATGACCTAGCAATCACACTTAGACATTTATCCCAGAGAAATGGGCATTTATCTTCACGCAATAAGCTGTAAATTAATATTCATAGCAGCTTTATTTCTAATAGCCAAAACTGGGAATACTCTGGGTGAATGGTTAGACAAACTGTGGTACAACTACACCAAGGAGTACTACTCAGCAGCAAAAAGAAATAAAGAACTATTGACACTTCACACCCCCAACAACTTGGATGATTCTCTAGAGAATGATATTGAGTGAAAAATGTCAATTCCCAAAGGTTACAATGTTGTATCATTCCATTTGTTTAACATTCTTGAAATGATAAAATTATAGAAATAGACAACACATTAGTGGTTGCCAGTCATTAAGGAGGGAGAGCAGGATGGAAGCAGATTTGGTCAAAAAAGGGCAGCTTGAGGGAATTCTGAATAGGATAGATGGATTGTGTCAATATCAACATCCTGATTATGATATTGTACTGTAGTTTTGAAAGATATTAACCAGTGGAACTGGTTAAAGGGAACATGGGATCTCTCTGTATTTTTTCCTAAAATTGCATGTAAATCTACAATTATCTCAAGATTAATAATGTAATTAAAATATTAGTTGCAGTTCTATATATTAACAATGAACACATGGAAACCAAATGTTTGACATGTAATCAAACTCACAATACCACTAGCAGTCACTGCAAAGAGGATGAAATAAATCTAACATAATATGTGCAGAGTGGCTGAATGTGAGTGCAAAGAGGTAACCCAAAGGAGGTTTTTTTTGGGTAATGGAATACTTTTGTATCTTCATTGTAGTTGTGGTTACACAAATCTTTAGATGGTGTAAAATTGTTAGGACTATATGTGTGCACACCCACACATTAATGCAGGTTTAAAAAAATATTCCAAGTGAAATCAGGCCTGCAGTCTGGTAAACAGTAATGTATCAATTTCAATTCTTGATTTTGATGTTATATTACATCAACAAAAAATGTTACTGTTGAGGGAAGCTGGATAAAAGGCACAAGGTCTTTTTTGGTACTATTTTTGAAATTTCCTGTGAGTCTATAATTATTTACAAACAAAATGTTAAAAAATAAATGAGATGAGGCCAAGGAGAGGTTTCAGAAATGGCTGGAAGCAACAGGGTCTGCAAATGAATGGGGTTCTAGCCAGTCTGGAACAATGGGTTTCTATGTGCCTTAAGTCTATATTTCTATGGCCCTTTCTTTTTCAAATATTACTAATTTTTTTCATTGTATTATACAAGGAATATGTACAGACATACATTTGGACATACAGACATATAGAGCGAAGTAAAAAGTTTAAGTCTCCCTATTGTCTTAACCAGAACAATATAGAGCAATTTGATATATCTGCCCTGGCTTTTTCTTTTTTGTAGTAGAGGCAGTCTCACTCCATCGTACAGTGGCAGGATCATAGCTTACAGTAACATTGAACTCCTGGGCTCAAGCGATCCTCCCACTTCAGCCTCCTGTGTAGCTGGGACTACAGGCATATGCTACCACACCCCACTAATATATTTTATTTTTTTTTGTAGAGACGAGGACCTTGGTAAACAGGCCCAGCCTTAAGTGATCCTCCCATCTTGGCTTCCCAAAATGCCGAGATTGCACGCCTATAATCCCAGCAATTTGGGAGGCCGAGGTAAGCGGATAACCTGAGATCAGGAGTTCCAGATCAGCTTGGCCAACATGGTGAACCCTATCTCTATTAAAAATACTAAAAATACAAAAATTAGCCAGGCGTGGTGTCGCGTGCCTGTAGTCCCAGCTACTTAGGAGGCTGAGGCAAGAGAATCGCTTGAACCTGGGAGGCAGAGACAGCAGTGAGCTGAGATCATCAGCGTGGAAGACAGAGTGAGACTTAGTCTCAAAAAAAAAAAAAAAGAAAAGAAAAAAAAAGAAAAAAAAGAATAGAAAAGAGAAAAAGAAAGAAAAGAAAAACCACGCCCAGCCTCCTGCCCTGGCATTTTTTTTTTTGATGCATGTATACCCATGCATGGATGTGTTGCGTTGTTGATAAAATCGTGATGTCCACACAATAACCAGAATCCAGTGATTCTGGAACTGGATTTTTTTTTTCTTGATCATGTAGGTAGGACAATTGCTCAATCAGTGTAAATGGATCCGCTGCGTTCCTCAGTTACGTGGGATACCATAGAGATGATCAGGCGTGACGGTGAACAGGTATTTTGAGAGTTCTTAAATACCCACGTCAACCTTTGTTGTGAAAACTGGGATGGGGTTGGGTGAACCTACTTCTTTCTTGCCGACAGTTTTTCAAAAGTCATGACCATAACGAAGTGAGAGCATTTCCCCACATCATTAAAACAGTCTGAAAAAACGCTACTGGGTTTTGACTGGTTTACGTTTAATAAAGATTGAATGAAACCACGAAAGGGCTTTTAAGCACACTGGCAACAAACAAACAAAAAGGCCATAAACAAGAGCAAATGAAAACCCAAGACGACCTTGTGCAACCACCATGGCAAACAATGGATTAAGAAGAGTGCTTAGAAAGGGAAGGACAATGGGGAAATTCGCCAATAAAGAGATATACGTGACCAGCAAATATACCAGAAAGGGAAAAATGCACGCATGTGGGCTTGATGGCACTCTGTAGCGCAGTTACTGCACCATGCGAATTAAAGAAAGATATAATGGCTTGGCTGGCCAGTTTTCAGGGGAGACCGTGGGAGAAGGGAGGTGATATGAACAGGCAGAGGCTTCTGCACGTGCTTTCTATACAGAATCAGCGTAGCGGCCCAGATTGTCCTCCTCCACTGCCGCTCCACCCTGGGAAATGGTCTCAAAGCGATCCCTGGCAGCTCCGCCCTTCAATCCACTCCAGCCTCCGGAGGCGCCCGGAAAGAGGCGGGGCTGTGTGGGCGGGACGGGGCAGTGGGCGGAGCTGAGCCTGCGGGGCACGTCGAGCAGGCGGGGTCGCAGCGCTGACGGCCTCTCTGCGGCTCCCGGTTGGGGGCGTGGCTAAGCCAGCGGCGGACCTATGCTGGCCTGGGGGGGTTCGGGGTGGGGGTTCGGGGGGGTGGCCCCCCGCAGTGAGGAGGTGTGGAGGGGGCGGCGTGTGCGGGATCGTGGAGGTGGGGCCGAGGCAGCGGCCGCCTGAGCCCCGCTCGGCCTTGGGAACACGGGGGCGGGGCGGCCGCGGCTCTGGGCGACCCGCTGGGTGCACTAGTGCTCGGGTCCCACCGCCCTGAGGCTCGCGCTCGAGCGGGTCAGTCGGTCGGCGGGGCCTGCGCGGGGCCCGGGCCCATGGCGGCGTCGGCGGCTCTGTCTGCAGCGGCGGCTGCGGCGGCCCTGTCTGGCCTGGCGGTGCGGCTGTCGCGCTCAGCTGCGGCCCGAGGCTCGTACGGCGCCTTCTGCAAGGGGCTCACGCGCACGCTGCTCACCTTCTTCGACCTGGCCTGGCGGCTGCGCATGAACTTCCCCTACTTCTACATCGTGGCCTCGGTGATGCTTAACGTCCGCCTGCAGGTGCGGATCGAGTGAGCGCCGGCGGCGGCGGCGGCGAAGGCCCGGCTGAAGGGGCGCCCGTGTCCCCGCCCGCCCCCGGCCGGGTCGCCGGCATGAAGGAAAGCTGGGCCGCGGCGGGGGGCGGAGGCGGGGCGGCTCGGACCCCTGGACTCTAGACCTACGCCGCCAGGGCACGACGGCCCAGCCCTGGCCCCGGCTGCGGTCTCAGCCCGGGGGCCCTGGATCGCGCAGAAACGCACTGAATGGGCCCCTGCCATCGGGCTCCAGAAACTACCTGGGCTCGGCCGACCTGTTGCCTCATATTGGCCAAAGAGGGGGAAACCAGAAGGAGGGAATTCTGCTGCGGCGACTTGACTTTCCAGGCCCGGAGCAGAAAGGTAGGAGGCGACAGGTTGGAATGGGAGAGGGGCGGTGGCTCTGCCCTTCAGATGTCAGGGCGTGTTGGCGGTCAGGGGGAAGTATGGAAGGCACCGGGGCAAACCAGCCAGAAGAGCTGTGGAGCCCAGGTGGGGAAAGGAAAGGCAGCCGCAGGCTCTCCCCTCCTCCCCAGTCATGATTGCAGGATAGGGTGAGGGGCGGCCCCCTCCCGCCCACGCCCCAGTGCCTGCCTCCCTTTCTGCAGAGGCCCCCAGGGTGTCCCCTGAACCCTGAGGAATGGAGGGTAATGGGCTGGGGGCGGCCCCGGAAGGCCCTAGAGGAGCAACGATGCCCCCACCCTTCTCTTCCCCACCAGTCGGTGGGCATAGGGAGGACGGTTCTCTTCTAGGTTGAGCCCCATATCTGTTCTCAGCCCTCAGCCCTGGGTCTCTCTGCAGCTCCTGCACAGCCCTTGGCAAAACTGCCTCCTGCCCTGTCTTTGGGGCCAGAGGACTGGTCTCTGCCTGCTCCTGCTGTCCCTTATGTTCCCCTACCCCTACATGAGGGCACCCCCCAAGCTCTGCATTTGGAGACAGGGAAGAGTGGGAGAGACGCATTCCTACCGTCCCCTCCCCTAGTCTTGCTCTTCTGCCATGTCAGCCCATGCTCCCTAAGGCCCCTAGCTAGCAAGGCCCTCCCAGGGCCAGAGTCCCATCCTCCAGCCCCAGACGGCCTCTAGAAGCCTACTGTGTACTGAAGTGATCTGGGAAAAGGAGACCTGCCTGAGCACACAGCAGCTCTCAGCCTGGGGTGGGCAGAGCAGATGGAGGAGGGGCTTGCAGAGGAGGCCATTCCCGGGGGAAGCAAGGACGTGTCTGGTGGCCAGGCAACTGAGGTCCCCATCTCTTTCTTTCTCTTTCAGGCATTGGCATTTGTAGGCGGTGACCCGCCCCTTCTCTGGCCTTGCCAAGAGTCACATCCCTGCCCAGGGGCACCTCTGGCCCTGGAACTTGCCTGGGCAGAGGCAGCGTGAAGGGCCTGAACAAGAGGAGAAGAAGGGCCTTCCTAGTAGAGGCACAGCATGGACAAAGGCTCACAGGGGTGGGGGTGCCCAGTGATCGAGTCCTGGCTTGGGAAGGAAGGTCTGAGTTCCCTGGGAACTGAAATCTGCTAGCAGCACTGTGAGAGAGGTGTATTTCCCCCTCCTAATGACAGAGGAAACTGAGGCTTCAGGGAGGGGTGGATTTGCCCTTGACATGCAGATAGGAGGAGGAGGAACTGCGTGTGCCCCTGGGCCTGCAGGCCCCCACACCCCTCCCCAGTCTTCTTCAAGACCTGGCATGGTGGGAGGAGGGAGGGGGAAGTGGAGAGGGGAGCATAGGGCTCCTGGGGCACCAAGGGAGAGAGGGGCCCAGGGGTAGGGAATCTAGGAATGTCGCTTTCCTTGGAGCAGTACGGAAAGTCACAGGGAAGATCAGGAGGACGGACAGCTGAGATGGGAGACAGGAGAGATGAGCCCCAGGACCCCTGGGGAGCCAAGCTGTCCCCCACATCCTAGCCTCTCACCCCACCTGGAGCTTCACCAAGGGCTCCTCAGCAGTGAAGTGGCACAAGCCTCCCAGTTTGGTGGGCAAGTGGGGGTGATCTTGGTGTTGTGGCTCCTGGAGACACGACATAACCAGGAGGGTGAAGGGATAAACCTGGGGTGGGCTGGGGCTGAGACCCATGGCATGACCCCAATTCTCTCTCCTCAAGCTCGACCCCCCATCCCCAGGATCACACAGGAGAATCTCATCCTCACGGCTTGGATTGCTCCTGGGGGCCCCCTGGTGTGCTGCTAACTGGTGTACAATGCTCAGGAGCAGCCCAGAGGGGAGCCGGGAAGGGACCCTCGCCCTTACCATCTATCCCCATTTCCGCATCTCTTGCACTGGTACCCCGGGCGCCACGTTCTCAGTTCCTGGGACTGAAAACTGCAGCAGTCTGGCCAGCTCCAGGGACAGAGTGGCCCAGCCACCTACTATGTACCCTCCTCAGCTGCCCACTGGACTCAGGTCCTGAATGAAGCTGTCCGCCTGCCTCATGCCAGAAGCGGCTGGACAGTGGCTGCCTCATGACCCTTGCAGTCTCCCACATCCAGGGCCTGATGACATGCCCCCTTGTCCCAAGTTTCTTGGGAACCCCTGACCCTGCTGGCCCCTCTCATCCACCCCAACCCTATCCACCCTGGACCACCTCTGGGGGTCTGTCAGCCTGCTGGTCCCCCCAACAGATCTTTGGGGGCAGCCTCTATGGGACAAGAGTGACACAGGGCTGGAGAAGAGGAGTGAGGAGCCTCCTTGTGTCTGATGCACAGATGTGGCCCTTTCAAACCCTGGTGTCACCCTCTGGGTGACTGGATCCCCAGCTCCAGCCTCTTCCTGGGCCAGCCAGGAAGGCTGGAGGAAAGCTCTTTGCTGAGTGCATGCATGGGAGTGTGGGGGGTGACTGAGCCCTCCCCATGCAAGGGGCTTGGCCTGGGACCCTGGAAGCTGTTTCCCTACTGGGATAAAGTTGCGTCAGCCGCAGGGGTCTCTGCCCTCAAAGACCCCCCACTGCAGGGAGCCCCACCCCATAAGAGGGTCACGGAAGTCCATGTCCGCCCACCCCCAGTGGCTTCTGGTGTGGCCGTATTGGCCTAGAGGGGCTGACTGGGGAGGGTCAGGGCCAAGCCCTCAGCATCTGCTCCTGTCCCTGCTTTTTCACCCCTGCTGCCTGAAGTGGTAGCCCCGCCTGCTGCTTCTCCACCTCCCCTCCCCACCTCTTCTCTCCCAGATGGGGCCCTTGCTGCGTGACGGGGTCTCCATGCGCTTTATTTATTTGCAGTCTGTTTTCTAGGCGGTGGAGCTAGACACTGACCGGAATGACATACTTTTCTGTGTGTGATTCACTGTGTACTGGTCAGCACAGGCTGGCCAGAGAGCTGTTCTTGTTTCTGGTGTTGTCACGTCTTCTTGTTTTCTCTAAGTTTAAAAAAAAGTCCTTGGTTTAATACACTAAAATCCCAACTGGAGGCCTCCCGTGTCTGGTGGGGGTGATGCAGTGGCCCCGGGTGGAGAGGCCCCATGGTGAGGTCACCAGCTCCCATGGCCAGGAGTTGGCAGGGAGAAGCCTCTGAGGGCTAGGGCTGGGGGAGGCTGTGGCAGGGACCGTGTTTCCTGTTCAGAGGCTGTGCTGAGAACCGACTTGACCTGGACCACTGCCCCATGAGAAGCAGGCAGCATCCTAGCCTGGCCCCGAGAGGTAGCTGCTTGTTCTGTTGACAACCTTTGTTCAACGACCCAAAACATAAGTCCCTTTCCTTTTTAGAGTCTGGCGATCAAAAGTGTCTTAAGTCAGTAGAATCCTGAGGGTGGACTAGGGTGAAGTGAACTGAAACAGACTCGACACAGGTCATTTTGTGTAGCACTGAGACTCCTCTCCCTGCCTGAGGCCACCTCCCACTGCCTCCCTACCAGCAAGGTTACTGCAGAATCTTGGAGAAGATAAAGGACCTGGCCCTGGAAGCCTGCTTCCCTTTCCCAACCTTGGAAGCAAATTCTGTCCCATCAGAGCCCCCCTCCCTAGTGGCTCCCACCAGAGACCTCCCTAGTGGCTGCTGTAAGGGTTGGCAAGCAGGCAAAAGGCGGGGGAGGGAGGGCAGAGGGTAGTGTTAGAGGAAGCCCCATAGGGCCCCTGGGTGGGGGTGGGGAGGCATCCTGAGGACACAGGGCTATGCTCAGACTTAGGAGTGAAGACTGGGTTTAGGGGCCCTGGGGGCACTCCTGTTGCCAAGGGCTACCCAGGGGTCAGAGCATCCTGACAAGGAGGACCCGTCCAAACGCACTGGTGCTAATGCCCTATGGCATCTGCCACCACAGGAGAAATGGACCCCAGTCCTTGATCTTCCCTCCCCTTTGTCTAGATGGTCCTCTTTATCCCCACTCCAGGGATCACATGACTTGGCAAAGCAAGATGGGAAATGATCCTCCCAGAGCCTGGCTCCAAGGCTTCTTGAAGAGGGAGGATCACCCCTCCCATCCCTGCTACAGAGGAAAAGGCAGGAAGGCCGGTTCTGCTCCGATGGGACTCCAGGAGACCAAAGCCCTGAGCCCTGAGCCCAGCTCTTCCACTTACTACTGTGTGGTGCCAGGCAAGCTGTGCACAACCTGGAGTTTTTAGTAAGGTTCCGTTGGGATGCTTGTAAGCAGTGAATACGATGATGTCTGTTCATTGTTTGTCATCAGGTCTCACCTGGAGCAGCCTTGTTACTGTGGGGAAAAGGAACCAAGTGAAGGGAATCGGCCTCTGATGAGAGCCTGCCATGTGCCAGGCACCATACTAGGTGCTTTGCATTCCTAATCTCATCATTATCACACAACCACCTAACCATTATCCCTGTTTTACAGAGAAACCAAAGACAGGAACCAAGTCTGAAACAGAGCCCCAAGAAGAAGCTCTTTTCCTGAGCTACCAGTGCCCCTTGGAGAGGCAGGGAATTGGGCTGGAAGAATGGTGGAATGGAATAGCAAAGATGGAAGATGACCCTGTCCTTTCTGGGTGAGGTCCAGAAGAAATCCAGGGCTTGGATGAGGGGTAGACCTGAGAGCCTTCTCCAAATGGAACTCCCCAGTGGGAGCAGCTGTGGCCACCCTGAGATGGGTCTACCTGTCTTCCTTCCATTCCACCTCCAGAGATTGATTGGGACCTAAGAGACTGAGTCAGGAGAGGGCAAGAAAGCAGCTAAGTGGGAAGTTTCAGGGGCACTAGAGCAAATACATTGAGAAATGGGAAATACAAACAGCATGCAAAATCACATCCTACTCCTACCCACCCCACTCCCAAGGGAAATTGCTGGGTTTTGGACGAATTTTCACTTTGTGTGCACCTTTTATGTATGTAAAACTACAAACATACTACTTTGAAATCTGATTCCGCTATTTCATGTTTGTCTTACCATGTTATTATGTATTTTCCTACATCCAAAGCTACCTAGTATCTCTTTTGTATGAAGGTTTCATCATGTATCCCCCAGTGCCCTTTGGTTGTTTTTCTTTGTTGTCATTTATTTTGGTGGGGGTTGGTTTGCTTTTTGTTGTTGTTTTTCCTTGTTTTTATAAATGATACAGTGACAGATGCCGTTGTGGATAAATGCTGTGGCATAGTCATCAATTCCTTGATATATATTCCTAGAAAGTGCACCAAAGGGTATGCATGGCTTAGGGCTTTTGATACTCTCCAGAGTTGGGATACCAAGTCACACTACTCACTGGAGTCAGGATGAGAGTTTTTTGAGACAATGGTGGCAATTCTGATTCAATAGATTAAAAAATTTATTACTACCTTTCATTGCCTCAAGCAGGGTGCATTTCCCTTCCTTCAAGATCAATATAATATTTAACGCATCACTTCTCTAAAATGTTTCCTTAAAAAAAAAAAAGCCTATAGCACCTGGTATTCCTGGCAGTCTCCCCTCCAAGTACTAACCAGGCCCAACCCTGCTTAGCTTCCAAGATCAGATGAGATTGGGCACATTCATGGTGATATGGCTATAGATGCATGTTTCCTTCTTGATCATCTCTACTTTAAGGCTAGAGCTAACTCTGTTTCCTAGGAGAGAGAACTTGATCCTTTCCTTCTACTCCACTTTACCTATCCCTGAGTCTCACAACGGGTTTGTCAATCTCACTATTTGATAGGTTAAAATAGTTTATTTTGATATGTTATTTTGTATTCCTTTGAATACATAATCAGGATTAAATATTTTCATAGGCCTATTGCTTAGTTGTACTTCTGTTTTTAACTATAGGGAGTAATTTTTTAAAAAAAGGAAATGAGATATGCCTTTTATCATTCAGTGATGGGCAGCAACTTCAGGTGAGGATGTCAGTTTGAACTAACCTGAAAGAACACCACCCTAATCCATTGCTTCCCCACCTTCTTTTCCAAACACACCATAACAATGGACAACATATTTAAAAAATATTTTTAAAATAGTAGCCATTCTCAAAAGTATAACAGGAAACCTCTAAGACCCAGAAGCAGAAGGAATGCAGAGCAGTAAATGGGACCTGAAGCTTCACAGCCCTTGGAGGCTAGCAAGGGAAACAGGTCTGAGAAGCCAGGAAAGAGAGCTAAACTGTAGGCAGGTACTGACGGAGCTAGAACTAGGTGTTCTGTATGGATCTAGGAGGTAGGAAAATGTTTTCATCATGAATGAAAACCAGAATATCTTGACCTATCCACCTTGGGTCTCTCCTGAAAGTGAGTCCCCTGCTTAAACCATGGTTTGAAACGAAGTGAAACATCTAGACTCTCAATCCCTAATTCTGCACTGTGCTCAGTGCAGGGTCGGGATTTGTACCAATATGGAAAAAACAAAAACAAAAACAAAAACTCAAGTGGTGAGTAGGATATGTACATACACAAAATATACCCCTGGGCCCCTTCAGTTAAACTAAACAACACTGAAGACAAAGGAAATATCCTAAAAGTCACTAGAGAGGAATGACACATTATCCATAAAAAGAAAAACAAACATAATCCACAACAATGGGTGCCAGAAGACGATGCATCAGTAAGGGTTCAGTTGCAGAAAACAGAACTCACTGTAGCTATTTTAAACAGAAGTTCAATTGAACTATGGACCAGATGCTTACAAAATTATTTTGAGGCTGAAAGAAATGTAGGTTGGGGCTCTAAAAAACACTCCTAGGGTACCACAACAGAACTGGCTCATTAAGGTAGGTAACACTTGTACTCAATTCAGATGGAAGGAAATTGGGAGCCCAACACTGAAGCTGTTAACTTCAAGAACACATCCCTGTAGCTGTGATTCAGAGATCAGAAATCTGCTGTCATATCACAACCACCTTTTGACACCATGAAGCTAGTTACTACACAAAGGAACACCGAAGCAGGAAAACATAAAGTCTGCATGACTGTATTCACAAGCAGAAAGACCCAAAGAAGCAGGAAGGTGGCTGCTGCTTCCCATGCATCATTTCAATCTCACCCAAGAGTACCTAACTGGTGGGATATCATTCATATTCAGAACCTCCTACTACAGGGTAATCTGAGAAATATAGATTTGGACTTTTCTGACTGTGAAGTCCAGGAAGGTACGTTAGGGGACTAGGATGGATACTTAGTCTCTATTTTCCATATGTGTCACAATTAATGTCTTCAAAGCATGACAAGATATCTGTAAGCCTAGAACTTATGAAAAAATGTGAAAGAGCACCTTCAGACACATAGAAGAACTTGGACATTTCACTATCCATCAACTGTCTCTGAAACAATTACTGAAAAAATCTATGTTAGCAATAAGAACGAGAAATCCACAAGGAAGGAATGGAAGTCAAGAAATAACAGCAAGTAAATAGTAATTAAAAGGGGTTTAAAAATCTCAACATACATTGATGGTTAAGCACACAAGGAAGGAGAAAAAAATAACATATTTATTGAGAACTTACTTTGTGTCAGGTACTGCTCTAAGCACATTACATATACTAAATAATGTAATACCATGACCCTAAAACAGAAACTTACATTATCGCTGTTTATAAACATGAGGAAACTTGGGCTCAGAGCGGTAAAGAAACTTGCCCAAGGTCACACACCTGGTGGAGCAAAGATTTGTGACCAGATAGTTTTTCTCCTGAGTCTGTACTCTCAGTCTGTACTCACACTTATGAAAAGAAGGATGGGTAGAAGGAAATGTATGGAGAAGGGAAGGAGAAAAGTTTTATGTGCACTCATAACAAGCTTATACTAAAATTCAAAACAATAACATGAGAATTGTGGAGATAGAGTGCTGAGGGAAGATAACATGGGTAAGGCTTTTGTTTTGTCAGGAAGAGAATTGAGCTGCTGAATAATTCGAAAAAATATAATTTTTAGTGTGCATGTTTAAAATTTAAGGTTAGGAAGATTCTGGGAAGGTGGTGGAGTAGGAATCAGTCTCCCCACTGAGACAAAAATTGCACTGACAGACCCTGATATAGCTGTTTTTGAACTCTTGAGTATATTGAAGACTTGCAATTTCCATGGGAAAGTTTGGAGGTAAAGTGTGTTCTTAGTCCACTAGCAACTATCTATCCAGCAGCCCCAGCCCTGTGGCAAGCACAGTGCTAGGGACACAGCACTGTGTCCCTAGCACTGTGGAACAGTTTCCACACAGCTTACACGAGCAAGGGTGGGCAAAAAGGAACTTGCCCTCCCAAAATTGCAGATCTGTACTCAGATAGCTGATTGCTGCTCCTGATCACAGACTTGCAGACAAAGAGGTGGGTGACCATTATTGTTGCACCTCTCTCCATTGTTGCAAGTCCCTCCCCCTCTGGCTGAAGCAACTTCCCAAGATTTAAAGGGTTAGCACCACTTTTCCTTTTCCCTCCTTCATTTTTCCCTTTTCTCCTTTTGGAAGCCAGAGATTAAAGACTAGGACATTCAAAAACAACTGCACATATGGAGGAAATTAGAAAGTGACTGCACATGCACAGGGGAAGCTGCAGGCTCAGAAAAAACCTGAGAAGATCTTAAGTTTACACCCCAGGCTAATCTTTGGCAAAGAAAAAACCTACAGCAATAAAAAGAACCACAATAAATAGAAACAATAACAAAAAACAGCAAACACCAAGGAAGGGGAAGAATCTGATTTCCAAAGTTCTCACATTATTATATTCAAATGTCTAATTTTCAACAAAAAATCACAAGGCATACAAAGAAACAGGAAAGTATGGCACATTCAAAGGAAAAAATAAATCGACAGTAACAGTCCCTGATCTAGTAGATATGACAGCAGATCTATTAGACAAAGACTGTAAAACAACTTTCTTAAAAATGCTCAAGAACTAAAGGAAGATGTGGAGAAAATCAAGAAAGTGATGCATGAACAAAATGGAAATATCAAGAAAGAGATAGAAAGCCAAAGAAAGAAATCAAAAATAAACTGTAGAGCCAAAAAGTACAAAAACTGAAATAAAAAAAATCAGAAGAGGGGTTTAAAGGCAGAATTGAGCATGACAAAAGAAAGAATCAGCAACCTTGAAGATAGGACAATGGAAATTATCAAGTCTGAGGAACAGGTAGATAAAAGATTGAAGAAAAGATGAACAGAGCCTAAGAGACTTTTGGACAACACCAAGCCCATCAACATATGCATTGGAGAAGTCCCAAAAGGAAAGGAGAGAGAGAAAGGGGCAAAGGAAACCTTTGAAGAAATAATGACTGAAAACTTAACAAATTTTATGAAAGACATGAATATAAACCTCCAAGAATCTCAATGAATGCCAAGTAAGATGAACTAAGAGATACCCCAAAACCACAGCACCTTATAATGAAACTTACAATAGGCAAACACAGAGAGAAAAATCTTGAAAGCAGCAAGAGAAAAATGACTCATCACATACAAGTGATCCTCAATGAAACTGTTAGCAATTTTCTCTTCAGAAAATTTAGATGCCAGAAGGCTGTGAGCTGATATATTCAAAGTGCTAAAAATATGTTGACTAAGAATGCTATATCTGGCAAAATTGTTCCTCAAATATGAGGGAGAAATTAAGATATTCCCAGATAAACAAAAGCTAATGTTACCACTACACCTGTCCTGCAAGAACTGCTCAAGAGAGTACTGCAAAGTGAAATGAAAGGGTACTAGATAGGAATTCAAAGCTGTATGAAGATATAAAGATTCCCCCCTCCTTTCCTCCCCTATTCCCTCTTCTCTCTTTTTCCCTCCCTTTCTCTCCCTTCTCCTTCATCCTTCCTCTTCCTTCTTCTTCCCTCGGATCCCCCCTGCCTCTGCTTCCCTCCTCTCCTGTCCTTTCCCATCCTCTCCCCTCTCAACCCCCATCTCGCTCCTCCCACGGCTGTGGTCACATGGGGGCGCCGCGGGATTTAAGCTTAATCTGCCTGGTGCTCAGCACAGCAGCCTGGCTGTGGGGCGTGCTGACTGAGCTAGTCTTGGGGTCCTGCAGAAGGGGGCTGGAGGGATGCCCACAGCCACCCCGCCATGAGCTTGGGGCTGTAGGGGCCACAGGAGGGCCAGCTGACACTGGAGACGGTTATCCGGACACTGGAGAGAAGCGTCCTGGGCCATGAGAAGGGCTTGGGCACGCGGGACCTGGCCCAGGACCCTCAGACCATCATCCTACCTGCCCGCATCAGGGAGATTGTCACCCGCAACCTCTCCCGGCCTGAAAGCCCAGTCCCTCTGCGGGCCACAGAGATGGCACTGCTGCTGTCGCTGCAGAAAAAGAACCAGCTGCTGCAGCAGGAGCTGTCGCGCGCGGAGGACTTACTGGCCCAGAGCCACGCCAAGCGTGATGAGCTCACCATTAAGCACAATGGGCTGGAGCAGGGTGTGCGTCTGGAGTCTGAGGAGCTGGAGATGCAGGAGCCCGGGGGCTGGTACAGCAGAGCGTGGAGTTGTGGAGGCAGCTGCAGGAGGAGCCTACCAGGAGGGCCAACAGTGGCAGGCCCAGCTTGTGCAGCAGCTGCAGGCCAAGATTCTCCAGTACAAGAAGAGGTGCTGGGAGCTGGAGCAGCAGCTGCTGGAGAGATCCAGAGAGCTTGCGCAGCAGCGGCTGAGGGACACAGAGCACAGCCAAGACCTGGAGAGCGCCCTCATTCGGCTGGAGGAGGAGCAGCAGAGGAGTGCCAGCCTGGTCCAGGTGAATGCCATGCTCCGAGAGCAGCTGGACCACGCAGGATCGGCCAGCCAGACTCTGAGTGAGGACATATGAAAGGTGACCAGCCACTGGACACTCAGCCGCAAGGAGCTGGAGCAGCGGGAGGCGGCATGGAGGCTCGAGGAGGAGTCCTTCAACGCCTACTTCAGCAACGAGCACAGTCGCCTGTTACTCCTCTGTAGGCAGGTGGGGGTCGGGTGACTGGTCAGCGAGGTGAAGATGTCCACCGAGAGGGACCTGCTGCAGCTGGGAGGGGAGCTGGCCTGGACATCATACGCTGTCCAGGAGGCGGGCCTGGTACTGAGCACGGGCCTGCGGCTGGCAGAGAGCGGGGCCGAAGCGGCCCTGGAGAAGCAGGCCCTGCTGCAGGCCCAACTGGAGGAGCAGCTGCAGGACAAGGTGCTCCATGAGAAGGACATGGCCCAGCAGCAGATGCAAAGCGACCTGGACAAGGCCGACCTCAGTGCCAGAGTGACAGAGCTGGCCCTGGCAGTGGAGCGTCTTCAGAAGCAGAATCTGTAGTAGGATTAGGTCAAGAAGCCCCTCGGCAAGCCTGAGGCCCTGGAATCCCTGCGGCTACAGGAGCAGGTGGCCCTGGAGACAGAGGATGGAGAGGGGCTGCAGCAGACCCCGAGGGACCTCGCACAGGCCGTCCTGTTGGACACTGAGACGGCGTCCAGCTGAGCGGCTCCGAGCACACTGCGGACGCGTGCGAAGGCAGCCTGCGGGGCTCTCAGGCCAGCGGATCCCATCCCCACCCACCGCAGTGCTCCTCACTGGGCAGCAGCCGTTCGCCCCACCGAAGCCGGTCCCTGGCTAGCTCAGACTCCTCCAGGCTCGCCCTGATTCACTCTGCCCTGCACAAGCGACAGCTGCAGGTCCAGGACATGCGTGGGCACTATGAGGCAAACCAGGACCTGCTGGGCACCCTGTGGAAGCAGCTTAGCGACAGTGAGGTTGAGCGGCGGGCCCTAGAGGAACAGCTCCAGCACCAGTGGGACAAGACCGATGGCGCCGTGCAGGCCCAAGAGGACGCCCAGCGCGAGGTACAGAGGCTGCGGAACGCCAATGAGCTCCTGAGCAGGGAGAAGAGCAAACTGGCCCACAGTCTGCAGGTGGCCCAGCAACAGGCCAAGGACCTTCTGAAGGAGCGTGAGAAGCTGCAGGCTGCCCAGGAGGGGCTGCGGCGCCAGCGGGACCGATTGGAGGAAGAGCAGGAGGAGGCGGTGCAGGATGGTACACGGGTGCGCCAGGAGCTTGAGCGCAGCCATAAACAGCTAGAGCAGCTGGAAGGGAAGCGCTCAGGCCTGGCCAAGGAGCTGGTGGAGGTGAGGGAGGCGCTGAGCTGCACCACACTGCAGCGGGACATGCTGCAGGCCGAGAAGGCCGAGGTGGCCGAGGCGCTGACCAAGGCTGAGGCTGGCCAGGTGAAACTCGAGCTCTCCGTGACCAAGCTGAGGGCAGAGGAGGCCTCCCTGCAGGACTCCCTGTCCAAGCTGAGCGCCGTCAACGAGAGCCTGGCTCAGGACAAGTTGGATCTGAACCGCCTTGTCGCCCAGCTGGAGGAAGAAAAGGCAGCCCTGCAGGGCCGGCTGCGGCAGGCGGAGCAGGAAGCCACCGTGGCGCGGGAAGAGCAGGAGCGGCTGGAGGAGCTGCGGTTGGAGCAGGAGGCGGCGCGGCAGGGCCTGGAGGGCTCCCTGCGAGTGGCAGAGGAGGTCCAGGAGGCGCTGGAGCAGCAGCTCCCCACGCTGCGCCATGAGCGCAGCCAGCTGCAGGAGCAGCTAGCCCAGCTCTCCCAGCAGCTGAGCGGGCGGGAGCAGGAGCTGGAGCAGGCTCGGCTGGAGGCACAGTGGCAGGCAGAGGCGCTAGCCAAGGGGTGCACTGGCCTGGTCATGCAGCTGGCGGCCGCGGAGCCTGAAGGCAGGACCCTGTCAGAGGAGGCCACATGCCTGCGCTTGGAGAAGGAAGCCCTGGAGGGCAGCCTGTTTGAGGTGCAAGGGCACCTGGTTCAGCTCGAGGCCCGCTGGGATCAGCTGGAAGCCGATGGGCAGGCCCTGCTGTTGGCCAAGGAGACCCTGACTGGGGAGCTGGCGGGCCTGCAGCAGCAAATAATAGCTACAAAGGAGAAAGCCAGCCTAGACAAGGAGCTGATGGCCCAGAAGCTGGTGCAGGCTGAGCAGGAGGCCCAGGCCTCTCTGAGGGAGCAGCGGGCAGCCCATGAGGAGGACTGGCAGTGAGTCCAGCGCGAAAAGGAGGCAGCATGGCGGGAGCTGGAAGCCAAGCGGGCCCAGCTGCAGAGTCAGCTGCAGTGCGAGCAGGAGGAGCTGCTGGCCCGACTGGAGATCGAGAAGGAAGAGCTGAGCGAGGAGATTGCTGCCTTGCAGCAAGAGCGCGACGAGGGCCTCCTCCTGGCCGAGAGCAAGAAGCAGCAAGCCTTGTCTCTGAAGGGGTCTGAAAAGACTCTGTCAGAGAAGTTGTCAGAGAAGTTGATGGGTACGCGGCACAGCCTGGCCACCATCTCCCTGGAGATGCAGCCACAGAAACTAGATGCCCAGAGCTGGCAGGAGCAGGACCGGAGCACCGTGAACGCTCTGATGTCCAAGCTGAGGGACCTATGGGCCCAGCTGGAGGAGGCTGATGTGGCCCACGCCCAGGAAGTGAGGAGGCTGCAAGAGCAGGCCCGAGACCTGGGCAAGCAGCAGGACTCCTGTCTTCGAGAGGCAGAAGAGCTTCGGACCCAGCTGCACGTGCTGGAGGATGCCCGCGACCGGCTTCGGCGGGAGCTGCTGGAGGCCCAGCGCAAGCTGCGTGAGAGCCAGGAGGGCCTCGAGGTGCAGCGCCAGGAGGCGGGCAAGCTGTGGCGCAGCCTGGGCGAGGGTGCCAAGGAGCGTGAGGCACTGCAGGCCGCCGTGAAGAAGGCAGAGAGCGAGCGCATCAGCCTGAAGTTTACCAATGAGGACAAGGAGCAGAAGCTGGCACTCCTAGAGGGCAAGGAGGCTGGGGAGCTTTGGACTGGGCTGCAGGAGGTGGAGCGCTCACGGCTGGAGGCTTGGAGGGAGCTGCAGGAGCTCCGGCGTCAGATGAAGATGCTGGACAGTGAGAATACCAGAGTGGGCCGCGAGTTGGCGGAGCTGCAGGGCCGCCTGGTGCTGGGCTAGCAGGCAGAGAAGGAGAGCCGGCGGGAGATCCTGCGCCTCCGGCAGAGGCTGCTGAAGGGCGAGGACAGCCTGGAGGCGACGCGGCAGGAGCTCCAGGTAGCCCAGCGGAAGCTGCAGGAACAAGAAGGCGAGTTCCGGACCCGCGAGCGAGGCCTGCTGGGCTTCCTGGAGGAGGTGCGCGGCACCGAAAAGCAGCAGCTGGACCACGCCCGCGGCCTGGAGCACAAGCTGGAGGCGGCGCGGGCCGAGGCTGCGGAGCTGGGCCTGTGGCTGAGCGCGGCCGAGAGCCGGGCACAAGACCTGGAGGCCGAGCTGGCCCGCGTGGAGGTGCAGCGGTGCGCGGTGGAGGCCCAGCTGGGCGGCCTGCGCTCGGTTCTGTGCCGGGGCCTCGCCCTGGGTCGCGCGCCCAGCCCAGTCCAGCCCCGCCACCAATGCCCGGCTCCCCTGCCCGGGACGCGCCCGCTGGAGGAAGCGGGGAAAGGCTAGGCCGCCCCAGCACCTTAGAATGCAGCCCTGGGTCCCAGCCACCATTTCCAGGACCTACCACCTCCCCGGCTCCTCTAGACCTGGACCCAGAGGCAGTGCGCGGGGCCCTCCGGGAATTTCTGCAGGAGCGGCGGAGCGCCCTGAGAGAACAGGACGAACTTCGGACCCAGAGTGCCCTGAATCGCCAACTGGCCAAGATGGAGGCTGAGAGGGACACCACAACCTCGAAGGCCAGGCAGCTGCAGAAGGCCAGAGTGGCTACAGTGGCTGAGAGTGAGAAAGCCCTGCGCAGTGTGGATGGACGGCTGAGCCGGGTCCAGGAGGAGCTGGCGCTGCAGGAGGAGAGTGTGCGGCGCAGTGAGCGGGAGCGCCAGGGCCACAGTGGACTAGGTGGCCGCACTGGAGAGAAGCCTGCAGGCCACTGAGAGCGAGCTCCGGGCCAGTCGGGAGAAGATCAGCAAGATGAAGGCCAACAAGAGGAAGCTGGAGGGCGACAAGTGGTGCCTGAAGGAGATGCTGGACGCCTCCGAGGGCCTCACCGTCAAGCTGGAACTGCAGCGGCCCTCGCTTGAGGGGGAGCCGTAGCGCAGCCACCTGGGCCTGAGCGGCCACGAGGCCCAAGCCCAGGCCCTCCAGAATCGGATGGACTCCCTGCAGAGACAGGTGGCAGACAGCGAGGTGAAGGCAGGAATCCTGCAGCTGACAGTGGAGTGGCTGAATGGGGCCCTGGCCAAGGTGGAGGAAAGGGAGGGGCTCCTGCACGTCAAGGTGCGGGGCCTGACAGAGGCCCTGGCCTAGAGCAGCGCCAGCCTCAACAGCACCCAGGACAAGAACCTGCATCTGCAGAAGGCTCTGACCGCCTGTGAACATGACTGCCAAGTGCTCCTGGAACGGCTGGACGCTGCCAGGCAGACATTGTCTGAGGCAGGGAAGCAGAGCAGCTCCCTTGGCGAGCAGGTGCAGACGTTGCCAGGCGAGGTGGCTGACCTGGAGCTGCAGTGGGCCGAGGCCGAGGGCCAGCTACAACAGCTTCAGGAGGTGCTGCAGCAGTGGCAGGAGGGCGAGGCTGCAGTCCTGCACACGGTCCTGAAGCTGCAGGACGAGCAGAGGATGCTGCAGGAAAGCCTGGGCAGCCTGCAGCGCACCCTGGCTCAGCTGGAAGCCGAGAGGCGGGAGGTGGAGCGCTCAGCCCTGCAGCTGGAGAAGGACCCTGGGGCCCTCAGGAGGGCACTGGACAAGGTGGAGCGAGAGAAGCTTCGCAGTCATAAGGACACAGTGCCGCTGAGCCCAGAGAAGGGCCGCCTGACCTGGACCCTCATGGGGGCTGAGCTGGAGCTGGCCGAGGCCCAGAGGCAGATCTAGCAGCTAGAGGCGCAGGTGGTGGCGCTGGAGCAGAGCCACAGCCCAGCCCAGCTGGAGGTGGACGCACAGCAGCAGCAGCAGCTGGAGCTGCAGTAGAAGGTGGAGCGCCTGTGCAGTGCCCAGGCACAGGCTGAACGTACCCTGGAGGCATGGGAGCGGGCCCACCGCCAGAGGGTGCACTAGCTGGAGGAGCAGGTGTCCACACTGAAGGGACCAAAGTTGCAGCAGGAGCTTCAAGGAGCTCAGCACCCTTCTCCCACCCTCAGGCCCCCCCAGAGAAATAAGCCCCTGCTGGCATCTGGAGAATGGCCCTGTGCCCGGGACAGGGGAGGGCCCTCCTCTTGGACACCCCACCCAGAGCATGGTCCCTTGGGGGCCTCGAGCTGAGGTGGAATGAGGAGGAGCCCCACTGGCAGTGCTGAGGAGAGGTACTCCAGCTCCAGGCCTGGAGAGCCTTCCCGGCATCGCCTGCGGACCCCACCTCAGTCCAGCCCCCTCTTCCAGGATGAGCCATTGTAGATCATAGAAGGTCTTCCTTGAGAGGTTGAGCCAGGGTTCGGGAGAGCCCTTGTCTCTGGTCAGCCTTGGAGCATGGGCTCGTGGGAAAGAGGAAGGGGACGGGGCACAGGGCAAGGATCAGAGGCCCAGGCTTCCAGAGATCTCTCCGCCTTAGTTCAGAGTGTGTGTCAGGAAATTCCTCAGAGAGCTCAGAGCCCCTACCCTGTATTTTTATACCTTTTTACAATGTTAACAGTTCAAAACTGTTTTCTGTGACAAGAAGACCTCCTTTTCTAAAAAAAAAAAAAAGTCTCAATAAATATATGGGCAATTATAAAAGACAGCATTATTGTAACAACCATTTGTAACTCTACTTTTTGACTTGTGCATGACTTAAGAGACTAACACATTTTTAAAATTATTAGTCTAAAAGCTTGTATTATTATAACTTTGGTTTGTAACTCCACACTTTGTTTCCCACATAACTTTAAGAGATGAATGAATTTAAAAGAATTAGTAGTTTATGTTCTTGGGAATACAGTGTGTAAGGATGTAAGCCTGTGATGTCAACAACTGAAAGGAGTGAAAACCAAGTTGTAAATAAACAGAGTTTTTATATGTTATTGAGGTTAAACTAGTATAAATTCAAACTAGAGTGTTATAACTTTAGGATGTTAAATGTAATCCCCATGGTAAGCACGAAGAAAATAACTACAATATGTACAAAAGGAAATGAGAAAAGAATAAACTGCTCACTGCAAAAGAGTCAACACAAAAGAAGACAGTAATGCAAGCAATGAGGTCCCCCAAAACTATAAAGAATATTAAAAATGAGTGCCAAAATATCAGAAGTCCTTCCTTATCCTTAATTACTTGAAATGTAAATTGATTATACTCTCCAATCAAAAGGCAGAAATTAGCAGAATGGATAAAAACACATGATCCAAATATATTCTTTCTACTATCAACAGAGTAAACAGACAACGTACATAATGGGAGAAAATATTTGCAAACTATGTATCTGACAAAGATCCAATATCCAGAATCTATAAGGAACCTAAACAAATCAACAAGCAAAAACTAAACAACCTTGTTAAAAATGGGCAAAGGACACAAACACATTTCTCAAAATAAGACATACGAGCATCCAACAAGCATACGAAAAAATGTTCAATATTACTAATCATTAGGGAAATGCAAATTAAAACCATAATGAGATACCATCTCGCACCAGTCAGAATGACTATTACCAAAAAGTCAAAAAATAACAAATGCTGGTGAGGATGCAGAGTAAAGGGAACGTTTATATACTGCTGGTGGGAATGTAAATTAGTTCAGCCACTGTGGAAAGCAGTCTGAAGATTTCTCAAAGAACTTAAAATAGAACTGCCATTTGATCCAGCAATCCCATTACTAGGTATGTACCCAAAGGAATATAAATCATTCTGCCATAAAGACACATGTATGGGTATGTTCATTCCAGCACTATCCACCATAGTGCCTAAATGCCCATCAATGGTAGACCGGATAAAGAAAATGTGGTACATTTACACCATGGAATACTACACAGCTATAAAAAGAATGAGATCATGGCCTTTGCAGCAATGTGGATGGATCTGGAGGCCATTATCCTAAGTGAATTAACACAGGAACAGAAAACCAAATACTGCATGTTGTCATTTATAAATGGGTGCTAAACACTGAGTACACATGGACACAAAGAAGGGAACAATAGACACTGGGGCTTATTTGAGGATAGGTAGTGGGAGCAGGGTGATGATCAAAAATCTACCTATCACGAGTTATGCTGATTACCTCGGTGACAAAACTATATGTGCACCAAACCCCTGTGACACACAATTTACCCATGCAAAATACCTGAACACGTACCCCTTGAACCTAAAATAAAAGTTGAAAACTATATGTATTTATATATATATGTATGCATAAAATATGTGTGTATGTATATATATGTGTGTGTGTGTGTGTATACATGTCTACTTTCTAAAGGAGACTCATTTTAGATCCAAAGACGCAAATGGATTGAAAGTGAAAGGATGGAAAACTATATGGTATGCAAATAGTAAACAAAAGAGAGCAGGAGTGATTATACTAATATCATACAAAATAGACTTTAAATCAAAAAAAGATTCAAGAGACAAAGCCATTATAATAAATAAATGGTTCAATACAGCAAGAAGATATAACAATTATATACACAATTATAATAACAGACCATCAAAATATATGAAGCAGATATTGACAGAATTGAAGGGAGAACTAGACAGTTCTGCAATAATAGTTGGAGACTTCAATATCCCACACTCAATAATGGATAGAAGAACCAGACAGAAGAGAAATAAAGAAATAGACAATTAGTTGTAGTTTATTATTAACACAATAAACCAACTAATTCTAACAGACATACACAGGCCACTCTACATAACAACAACACACACATTCTGCTAAAGTGCACATAGGACATATTCCAGGATAGATTACATGTTAAGCCACAAACTTAGTCCTAATAGATTTTAAAGGATAGATATAATTCAAAGTATTCTCCAATTACAACATGATGAAGTTAGAAATTAATAACAGTAGTAAAACTGGAAAATTGACAAATTTGTGAAAATTGAGACATTCTTAAACAATCGATGGATCAAAGAAGAAATCACAAGGAAAATTTAAAAATACTCAGAGGTGAAAGAAAAGACTATGCTTTGGGGAAAAGACATTCTTTTCAACAAATGGTGCTGGGAAAACTGGATGTCTTATGTGAAAGAATGAAGATGGAACCTTACCTAACATCGTACACACAAATTAATTCAAAGTGGATCAAAAACTTAAATGTAAGACCTAAAACCATAAGACATTTAGAAGAAAACAGGGTAAAACATCACAATATTGGATTTGCCAATTATTTGATGGACATGAAACCAAAGGCACAGACAACAAAAGAAAAAATAGACAAATTGGACTTCAGAGATCCTGTCATTTGCAACAACATGGATGGAACTGGAGGAAATTATGTTAAGTGAAATAAGCCAAGCACAGAAGGACAAACTTCATGTGTTCTCACTCATTTGTGGGAGCTAAAAACGAAAACAACTGAACTCACGAAGATCAAGTATAGAAGGGTGGTTACCAGAGGCTGGGAAGGGTAATGGGGAGCAGGGAGGAAAAGTGGGGATGATTAATGGGTACAAAAATATACTTAGATAGAATGCATAAGTTCTAGTATTTGGTACCACAACAGGGCGACTACAGTCAACAATAATTTATTGTACATTTTAAAATAACTAAAATAGTACACTTGGAATGTTTATAACACTAATAAATAACAAATGCTTGAGGTGATGGATACCCCATTTATCCTCGCATGATTATTACACATTGTATACCTCTATCAAAATATCTCATATACTCCATAAATATATACACCTACTAGGTACCCATAAAAATTTAAAAATGTGTGCATCAAAATACACTATGAGCAGAGTAAAAATGCAACCTACAGAATGGGAGAAAATATTTGCAAATCACATATCTGATAAGAGAGTAATATGAAGACTATATAGAGAATACATACAACTCAACAACAACAAAAACCTGATTCCAAAATGGATGAAGGACTAAAATAGACAACTCTCCAAAGAAGATATACAAATGGCCAATAAGCACATGAAACGATGCCCAAAATCGTTAGGAAAATGCAAATTAAAACTACAATGAGACCCAATAAGATGGCTACTATCAAACAAACAGAAAACCACAAATGTTGACAAGGATGTAGAGAAGTTAAAACTTTTGTGCACTGTTGGTGGGAATGTAAAGTGGTATAGCTACTGTGGAAAACAGTGTAGCAGTTCATCAAAAAATTAAAAGCAAAATGACCATATGATCCAGCATTTCCATTTCCAGTATATGCACCCAAAAGAATTAAAAACACGGTCTCAAAGAGATATTTGTACACCTATGTCATAGCTTTATTCACAAAATCTAAACAGTGGAAGCAATTCAAGTCTCCATTGATGAATGTATTTATGACTGTATTCAATTCCAATGAACTATACACTTAAAATGGTTAAGGTGATAAATTTTATGTTATGTGTGTTTTACCACAGTAAAAACAACTGAAAAAAAAAAGGACCAGGGATTCTTGGAGAAATCACTGATAAAGTGGCATTTTTAAATTCTGACAAAATAAATTTTTAAAACCACCCATTAAACATGAGAGAGGGGTTGTTTATACTCACAAAACATATCCATAAGGCAGATATATAGTCAAACTTTTATGCATCTTATAACAGCAGTGAAATAACAGACCAAGTAGTATATTACTACTATATAAGTAGTAATGGATGAAACCACAATTATGATGAAGACTTCAAAGCATGTCAATTAATAACATCCATAATCATGATGACAATAGTAAGTACAGTATACTAGGTCCTAATTAAATTCCAGGTACTTTAATAGAACTTCAATTTTTAAGAATCATTTCAGGCATCAAGACAGATTTGACACAACAGCCTTAGCTTTCCAACCCCTGCTCAAGATCATTGTCTTATTTCCTTTTCTTCATTGCATGTAATCCTGTGTCAGCCCATTCTCACATTGTTATAAAGAAATAATTGAAGCTGGGTAATTTATAAAGAAATAATTGAAGCTGGGTAATTTATAAAGAAATAATTGAAGCTGAGTAAATAAATAATTTATGAATAATAAAGTAATAATTTATAATTTAATAATATTTATGAAGAAATAATTGAAGCTGGGTAATTTATAAAGAAAAGAGGTTTTATTTGGCTCATAGTTCTGCAGCTGTACAGGAAGCATGGTGCTGACATCTGCTTTTGGTGAAGGCCTCAGAAAGCTTACAATCATGGCAGAAGGTGAAGGGCAGCCAGCGTGTCACATGGTGAGGGAGAGAAAGAAAGAGTGAGGAGGTGCCATGCTGTTTTTAACGAACCAAATCTCAGGTAAACTCCAAGTGAGAACTCACTCATTATCGCGAGGGCAGCACCAAGCCATTCATGAGGGATCCGCCCTCAAGACCCAACACCTCCCACCAGGCCCCACCTCCAAATTGGGAATCATATTTCAACATGAGATTTGGAGGGGACAAATATCCAAATCATATCAATCCCTAAATGAGCTGAAGGACATCTAACATCAGCACATCTGCAACCCATTCACAGCATACCAGTTGGAAGTTCTACCATAGAACACTGGAGCCCCAGAAACTTGTGGTGACAGGTTCCTGTATTTTCTTTTCTTTTCTTTCTTTCTTTATTTACTTTTTGAGATGGATTTTCGCTCTTGTTGCCCAGGCTGGAGTACAGTGGTGCGATCACGGCTCACTGCAACCTCCGCCTCCTGGGTTCAAGTGATTCTCTTGCCTCAGCCTCCCGAGTAGCTGGGATTGCAGGCATGTGCCACCATGCCCGGCTAATTTTGTATTTTTAGTAGAGACGGGGTTTCTCCATGTTGGTCAGGCTGATCTTGAATTCCCAACTTCAGGTGATCCACCTGCCTTGGCCTCCCAAAGTGCTGGGATTACAGGCGTGAGCCACTGCTCCAGGCCGGTTTCTGTATTTTCATGGCATTTCTTTTTCACCAGTAGAAAATATGCTTTTAACCCATCCTGCTACTTTCCTGCTCCCGGGGTTCTTGCACCATTTAGGAAGACCAGTATGTTGCTTCACTGAGGGTGAGGTTATCAAGAACCCTGCATTTGAAATTATGGCAACAAGCCTCAAAGTTGACATATCCATGAAGCAAATGTTCAAAGTATACTACTGCTGGACCAGCCCTAGAAAAGCAAATGGATTCTGGACTTTGCTATTTAAAAGGATGAAGGAAAATTATTCATGCAACCACTGCACCCCAGGTACCGAAGTAATTCACTCATTTCAGTCATGATGTCTGTGTAACACTGGCTATAATTGAATCACCACCTGACTAGGCTTACCTTAATCCACTGTTACTCTCAAAGAGCATTCTTCTACAGCAACTAACGCCAAAAATTAATTGGGGAGATGGTAGCATCCATGACCCATGTATCTCTCAAGTCCAATGGTGGCCTTCTCTGTAATTCCCACAGCTTATGGGGCTGCTTTTGAATGACGACTTTCACAGGGACCTGGAGCTGTCACAGTAAAAGCCTAAAATCTACAGGATATTCATGCCTACTATGTTCCTGTAAAATGGGAAACTAACCACTGGATGCTTGAAAGGTCTCAGTACACCTGTAAAGCAATTTCAGAACCAAACTTTCTTTATCCACTGAGCAGGAGATTATGGGGTAATTCTGAATCCCAGGACTGAAAGGGAGCTCACAGCCACTTTCCAGTGACGCCCAAAGATCTGAATATGTCCCTTCCCCTAGGCCACAGTTATCTGGTTAAGGCTCTATTTGAGGAAGAAAGGAAAACTTTTCATCAGGTGTATTTGTGGGATTTTAGTACCATCATAGCCCATGGGTAGGTAGCTTCTCCTTCCTTCAAAGGGCTCTGATTTGCCCCCTAATTCATGTATGGAGTTGGCCCGCACTTCTCCCAAAAGTAGATCTCCAGCCACTTTGAGGCTTATGTGCACCAGATCTGGAGACGTTTTTAGTAAAATATCAAGTGAAGTCTTAATGGATTGCTCAACAATTTTATTCCTAGAAAACAAGTCATTAATTACCCACACCTAAGCATTATCGTTGGCCAGATCACCCATTCATTGAATTTAACAACATTTAATCTGCCTTTAATATATGCCAGGCACTCTTCTAAGTGCTTTGTGATGCATTAAGGAGAAAAGCAGACCAAAATACGTTCTGGCATAACAAATTAGGTAGGTAAATATAAGATGAAAAAGGCTATGGAAAAATAAAAACAGCATAAGGGGGACTCAAAATTGAAGTCAGATTGTAACTTTAAATCATGCTTTTAACATGCTGACTCTGCTGCTTCTTCAGTTAAATTCTTTTCCTCTGATGGTGCCTTCAGGGCTGCCCCAGGCCTCTGCCATCTTATAATTCACTCTTGGTAATAGAAAACAAGGAATTTAAGGTGAATTGTTGTGTCTCCAGGAACACCCTACCTACAGTAACTTGCCAGGTTTAGCATGCTTTTTAATTGATAAGGCACTTCACTAAAGTGGGCTCATGGTCCAAGTGAACCAGCCAGTATCTTAATTGAATTTACTAGAAAAGTCATATGTAAAAAAAGTTTAGGTTTACTAAGCTAAGCTTTTCAATTAAACTAGACTCTTTACTGCCCAAAGAGGAGAAGATGAACAGAGAATAAGTGTTTTATTATTACAACCTTTGCACCGGTGTGATAGAAACTGCCCTCCAAATATAACAGGATTGAATCCTCTCAACCATGGCCATATTGACGATATCATATCTTTGAGGTATGTATCCATCAGGAAGTTTCAGAGAATCCAAGGTGAAAAAGATACTATCATCTATCACCCCATGTCTTCCATGTAGACTAGTAATGCAGGCCTGTAATTATAAATGGTGGAAATGACTATGTAAAAGCATAGTACACTTTAATGGGCTCTGCACCTCCTCACTCTGGCTCTAATCTTCAAGTCACTCCATCTTCTTCAGTGATTCCCAACATGGTTGGCACACGGGCAACACCAGGGGTACTTTGTAAAAATAATTATGCCCAGATTGCATTTTAAGCCAACTAAATCAGAGTCTCTGGGGATGGGGCCTAGGTCTCTGCTGAGAAGCTCTGTGCTGAATACTACATAGAATATCCATAAACCTCTGTAGTAAAGGTTGAGAGAGTGAAAGGGGTTGAATGAGAAAGGAATGTGGCAGTAAGTAGACTATCATTTTTTCCCTGCTTCCTCTGTCACTTTCCAAGCTCACTATTTCATCTGTACCTTTGTTAAAAATGAATTTCTTTCTCATTTTCAGGCTCTACTATCCAAATGATACCCAGCATTTACTGGAAAACTCAAATCCCACAACCCACTCCATTCATTCTCTCCCAACAATTTTCTGGCATACAGCATTTTCTGTCACACAGTTTTTCTTCCTGTTGTTCTCAGAACATCCTAATAACATTAAAATACCAAATATACTATACAACTTAGAACTTACTTATGTACATGTTCTACATGATTTTCTAATCATTTTCTTTTGGGAGTCCTGCCATTTCAGTAAGAAAACAGGCTACTTTTGATAAAAAACAAATATGTTTTCTCATATTTTCTAGATTTCCTAGCACACCCAATAGACTTCTGGGCATAAAAATTATCACTAAAGGAAGGTTTCGAAGAAACTAATGACAAGTGCAACATGGAAACAAATTACCTCGTCCACATATTTACAGCTCATGGGCTTCACTGAGCATGGCTTGATGTTTAAGGTGCCTGGCTGCATGTAATACTCAACTTCTAACCAGTCACCGTTATAAGGCAAGAGACCTAAAACAACCATGGAGAAATTTGAGTGTCATTATCTATTAATTGAGGTTATGTTAAATTTCACGTTACTTTGACATTGTAATACCCTAAAATAGCTTTTAGTAGATCCAAGGTACATTTCGCACATGTTTAAACAGACACCTTGTAAATCTGTCAGAAAGGAAGTTTATAATCCTTTAGGCATTGATTCTCCTTTACTGATTTAACAAAGTTAAATGGAGAAAGTGTGAACTTTTCATCACAGCCAATCTAAGGGAGAAGCACAGGATTTATTAAACAATTGGTCATGTTCACAACTCCTTAGTGAGAGGCAGTCAAGTACACAGGTAAGAGCAAAAGTTGGAACCTGGCTACCTGCGTTAAAATCTTGACAGTGTCACTTACTCAATTTGCAACCTTAGTCAAAGCGCTTAATCTCTCTGTTCCTCGGTTTCTTCATCTATAAAATGAGAAGCACAATAATAGTCCTCACGACATAAAAGTGTTGTGATAATTAATTGGTATATTTAGAGCTCAGAGAATAATGCCTGGCACTAGTAACCACCAAATAAATGTTGATTGGTATTAGTGGTAGAAATAACTATGTAAAAGCATAGTACACTGTAACTGGCTCTGCACCTCCTTACTCTGGCTCTAACCTGATACTAGGAAATATTGCTACTGTAAGAATGAATCAATTCCCTAGGTGTTTTGTTCAGTTGATAAACTCTTATTTATTTATTTATTTATTTATTTATTTATTTATTTATTTATTGAGATAGAGTTTCACTCCTGTTGCCCAGGCTGGAGTGCAATGGTGCAATCTCAGCTCATGGCAACCTCCACCTCCTGGGTTCAAATGATTCTCCTGCCTCAGCCTCCCAAGTAGCTGGGATTACAGGCGCCCGCCATCATCACGCCCGGTTAATTTTTTGTTTTTTTTGTTTTTTTTTTTTTTTTTAGTAGAGACGGGGTTTCACCATGTTGGCCAGGCTGGTCTCAAACTCCTGACCCAAGAAGATCCACCTGCCTCGACCTCCCAAAGTGCTGGGATTACAGGGGTAAGCCACTGCGCCTAGCTTGAACTCTTGGATAGGTATATTACGTGTTACAGTTATAAACAAGTAGTTTCAAATAGAATTTTACAATAAGTTAAAAGTGAGTTGCAGGATATAAATGTCAAGGATCTGGAGGAACTAGAAATTTCAAACACTGCAGGTGGGAGTGGAAATGGTCACACCATGTTGGAAAACTGGCAACATCCGCAATGTTAAACATTTCCTTAACTTACTATCCAACATTATAAATGACACAAGACACACGTCTGGGACCATTTCTCTTTTAATATACATACCTTTCTTTGGTGTGACTTTATATAATATCTGGGGGATGATAACTTCAAAATATGTACACCTCCAGCATTAACCAATCTCAGATTCAATTATCCACATGTCTACGCAAGTTTAATATGTCTAAAGCTGAGTTCTTGCTATTCTTCTTATGCACCCAATTTGGCTCCTCTCAGTTCTCCACGTCTCAAATTGGCAATTCCATCCTTACCACTTCTCAAACAAAAAACTTTGCAGTTACTGGCAGGAATAAGTGACATCAGCAAGATAGCGGAGTAGGAGTTCCAGCCTTTTTTCCTCCAAAACAACAACAACAACAACAACGACAACAACAACAACTTGACGGTCATTCATGAATAAAAACAGCTCCAAAAGAGCACAAGAGTCCACTTAAGAAGCTATAGCAACACAGTTGAAGAAAAAAACTGAGAATACTTGCACAAAAAAGGTAGGAAGGACAGTTTCATTTTACCTGCATCATCCCATCCCCCAGTTGACACTGCTCAGCATGGAGAGAACATTCCCTAGCTCGTGAGTTCCTCTTGCAGGGCAGGATGAACAACTGGCTCTCTCAGTCTTCAGGACACTGCCTGGGACTGATCTGCTCCAGTTTCACTCACTCAGAATGTTGAGAAAACTGCCAGCTGAATGCTTGGAGATGGTTAAGAACAAAGGAAATGGGTAGGGGATATCAGTGTCTGCCATGTAGGAGAAGCCACTGTGGTCCCCAGTAGCCTGCTTTGCACAGGACTCCAGCAGCCTTCTTTACTGAAGACCTTAACAGCCCTTGAAGCCTTTTACTGCTGAGGAAAATAAATCATGTCCTCTCAGCACTGCTGCAGTGGACAACCAGTGCCTCGAGGGCTGTGAAGTTTTTCACCTTCGCAGTCTCCAGCTGCCAGAGTCTCCACCCTTCTTCCACCCCTTCTCCTGGAACATCCCCAGTGGCTGCTGCTGTGGACACCCCAGCCCAGTGACCCCACACATCCACCTTGCATGTGTGCACAATCAGCCTGGGCCTGTGCTACAGGCCCCAACCCACCACTACATGTGTGTCTGACTGACCCTGTTAGCTGTATGTGTTCATGCACAGCTGGCCCTGACTCCAGTTGCCAGCCCCTACCATCACATTTATGTCGGCAGCTGATTCCTGCAACATGTGTACACACCAAAAGCTCTCGTGGTCCTTGCAGCTGACCAACCCCTGTTGCCAGGCTGCACAGTCCTGCACATGCCTATAGCTGACCCATGGAACTGTGTGTGTACTGGCCACCATTTGCATTCCCCATGGCTATGCATGCACAAGAAACCAGCCCTGACTGCTGACTCATGTCTCCAGCCCTTACTGCCATGCTCACTTCCACAACTAGCGCCTGTAGCAGTGTACATGCATGCTGCCAGCTCTGGTTATGTGCAGCTGTGCACATGCACACATCAACCCAACCTCCATCACAGGCCACCCATCATGCATGTGCCTGCAGATGGCGCCTGCAGCTGCACACATGCTGTCCAACAGCCCTGGCCCTGTAGCTATGTGTGTACTTGCACCTGGGCCCACCAACTGGTGCCTGCCCTCACTACCATGCTTACACATGCAACAAGTCCCTGCAACCATGCACAGGCATGCTGCCAGACCCAACTCCTGTACCTGTGCACGTGCAAGCCACCGGCCCCCACCACCACATGAGTACCTGCAGTCAGGCCCTGCTGCCATGCATATGCCTGCAGCTGAACATGTGTACACCACCAGTCCTGGCCCCCGCCACTGCCTACCCTAGTCTCTTGCCACTGAACCCGAAGCTCCACTGAGAACCCAAACAGCCTTTAGAACCACCAAGGACCATGCAGTTACCAGAGTTGTAGACCCTAGCTGCCCAAGCCAATGAGACCCTGCATCCTCCCCTGAAACTCGAGTGCCCAACAGAAGGTTCCAGTATGTTTCTATCCTTTGAAGATACTGCTGTTACAGAGAATAATAGGACATGTATGAAGCAGAGAATTATTCCTCGTCTTCAATCTGATATTAAGCTGAACAACAGGGGCAGCTGTCAATCTCTGTATCTGGATTTTTGTCAGCACCACTGCCAGATACACCTATTTTATGCAGCTAGTTTGAAAATCAAAAAACTATCCTGAATCTACCCTGGTGGTGAGTTTTGCCTTTGGGTCAGGACTTTTTTTTCTGTAACATATTTGCTGATGTGTTATTGTTTCACCACTGGGCCTTGTGTTAGTCTGTTTTGCATTGCTGTAATGAAGTACCTGACGCTGGGTAATTTATAAAGAAAAGAGGCTTATTTGGCTCATGATTCTGAAGATTTTACAAGCATGTCACCAGCATCTGCTCAGCTTCTGGTGAGGTCTCAGGAAGCTTTTACTCATGGTAGAAGGTGAAGGGGGAGCGGGCATGTCACGTGGCAGGAGAGGGAGCAATAGAAATGCCAGGTTATTTTAAACAATCAGCTCTCATATGAACTAATAAAGTGGGAACTCACTTACTACTGCAAGGACAGCATCAAGCCATTCATGAAGGATCTTCCCCCATGACCTAAACACCTCCCACCGGGTCCCACATCCAGCATTGGGGATCACATTTCAACATGAGATTTGGAGAAGAGAAACATCCAAACTATATCTGGCCTCTTCCATAGACTCTCTTGGCCTTTCTTTCAATCCCCTACAGCCCTTGCCCCACCACTGTGGTATTAAAAGCTTACAAAAGTAGCCCCATCCTATTAGTTCCCAAGCAATCCAAGCCCTCAATTATTTCTCTATCTGGTGGTTCAGAGAGTGGGGATCCCCAGTGAATGATCAGGTGATCCAGGACTGATCCAGCTACATTCCTCAACTGTCTGCCCAGTGGAGAACATCATAGACTTCTTCATTCTCCTTCCTGGCCTCATGCTTTAGAGAATGATCAGGGCATTCATCTTCCACCCCAGCAGGCTCACCTGCATTGCCTTTGGGCTGGGCTCTTGGCTCTGACCCTGAGGCCTTCTCCTTGGACACAGATGTCCTGGCCTTGTGGGTACATTGGATGCCACAAACACATGACTGCCTGCCCCTGGACCAAATCCTACATCATCTCACATTCTCAGTTCCTCCCAGGAAGAGGATCAGAGGGGCAAACAGGACCCTAGACAGCAGCCAAGGGGGCTTGGTCCCTTGCCACAACATTCCAAATATGACCTCATGGAGAGCAGACATTGAGTCTTACAAGCAGGGTGACCAGACTCGCAGAGATTTAGTGGGACCAACAGGCTGGAACTTCTAAGGGTTTGCTCCCTGGGCCCTGAGACTGGGAGACAGTCTTGCTGCAGGCTGTACCCCATGAGCTTTCCTCCCATTGCGATGCTGCTGGTGGCACACACAACAGTCACTATTGCCATCTGTTCCACTCAGCCACCTAGAGATCAGGCTGAACCTCAAGCCCTCTCCCAGTTCTGCAGAGCAATCCCCCAGGTCCCCCCAGGCTGGATTGACCCAAGCCCTGCCACCGGCCCTTTCTCAGCAGGTTCCCTCTGTGGCTGTCATGACAGCACACTCCCTCTCCCTGGCCACCAGAGTCCATCTGTAACAACTGCAGCTGCTTTTCCACTCACAACACCCCCTCCTACAGATATCAGGGGTCCTCTCATTAACCAAATCTTTCTTCTTCCCCTACCCACACAAACATACACCAATTCATGCCACATACCTCCAGCACTCGGAAATTCAGAAGAGCTCTGTGCTCCAGGGAAGGCTTCCAGGACACCCTGACAAGGGACTCCTGGCCTATTCCCTGATCCCTTTTTACATCTGACACTGCAGTGGGCCCCAGGCACAGATTCCCTGTGGGCAGTTAGAGGAGGAGCTTACAGGAACAGGTGAGTGCTGAGTAGGAGACAAGGTGTGCATGCAGGCTCAGCCAACAGGATTGCAACTCCCCCTACCAAAGAAATAGTATGGGGTATGGGTTTTGTCATTACCTCCAGGGCAAAGGTTAACTCAGACAAAACCAGACCACCCAGACCCTCGGAGCTACAAGATGGCCTTCCCAGTTCCCAGAGATTGGCACCCAAAGATTTCTTTTTTCAAATTATGAACGTTAAAAATAAATGTCAGGGCACATGCAGCAAGAACCCCAATGTACACACCAGATATCATGGCTGGAAAGTGATTCCACTTATACTCTAGAAGTGCTCTCAATGCAGTTTTCCTGAAATGTCTTTTCTAAAGGGCTTTCCATGTGAACACCATGGCAAATCTGAGCACCGGTTAAAGCAGTTTTTGCTCAGATGTGATACAAAGCCTCACCCCAGACCCTCTGTTGTGTTTCTCATACTCCTTTTCCCACTTCCCTCTTCCATATGCTTTTGCTCATGGGAGTGCAGAGGGCAAAGACCAGCCTAAGAGCTCAAAGGCTGGCTTGGGTGTTCAGCTCCTGGTTCACCAGCTCTGGGAACATGGGCATGTCACCGTGCCCCTCTGCACCTGCCTCCCTCTCTGCCCCATGGGCGCAGCAGTACATAAGGGGGAAGCAACGTTCACAGTGCCTGTCAACATTTGAAACTGGCAGACTCATTTCTCTTCCACTTCCTAGTTTCTCACTTTCTATGACATTTCCAGGTAACAGCAACTCTCCACATTCATGCCACCTGGGAATCACTGCAGGTCCATTGTCAAATGTAGTAAAATGTCAGGTCATATTATCCTGGGAATCACAGCAAAATGGTTAAAGCTGAGGCTCTGCAGCCTCACACTGACACCTGCTTCCCTTACTCCCTTCCTGTGTCCCATGACCTCGTAGCCTTTCTTCTCTTTCCATTATCAAAGCCTGAGGTGCAGTGGTGGCTGTGTCTCTTGCTGAAAGCCTTAGCAATACCCTCCCAAGGGCCTTCGGATGTAGTTCAGGGGAGTGACCAAGAGATGACGCTATTCTTGTTAGTGCAAGCCAGATGAGCTGGGAAAAAGAACATTTCACCAAACAGCTTTGACAAAATTGGCCTTCTGTAGTTGAACAAACCATAAGAATGAGATAAATGGGCTTTCAGAAGTTATAAGAGGTACCTGATCTTAAGCAAATAAGCCCCCATGAGGTTGTTACGTGCTTTTGATTCCTACAAACACTACAGCAGAGATGTGCAAACAGGACTGGAGACCCAGATACCCAGATAAGTTACAAGGGCCTTCTCCAGACACCAGTAAACACTGAGAGACAGTCAACCCCATGTTTTAAACTAGGCACCCTGAGGTTCAAGCAGGCTTTGGAGGGAGAAACCAACTGGGCTTAAATCCTGGCTCTTCAGGTTATGAGCTGGGTGACATTGGGCCGGTCACTCACACTCTCTCTTCCCAGCTTCTGGTGGCTGCCAGCAGTCTTTAGTGATCCTTGGCTTATAGGCATCACTCTAATTGCTGCTTCCATAATCACATGGCCTTCTCTCCTGTGTGTCTCTGTGTCTTTGTTCTTAGGAGAACAGCAGTCTCATTAGATTCATACCCTAATCCAGTATGACTTCATTTAAATGTAACTAATTACATTTTTAAAGACCCTATTTTCAAGTAAGGTCATATTCTGAGGTTCCAGGTGGACATTGACTTTGGGGTCACACTAATCAGCCCAGAGCAGTGCTTGACACATGGAAGTGGTTAGTAAACGAGTACTAGTCTTTTTTGTCTTTATTAGCTTTTAGCTTTACTTGTAGCTGTTCACATTGTGTCTTGGGGACATCAAATAGACATTCATCCTGCAGACTGCCATGGAGACCAAGTACAGCCATGCTTGTACAAGTGTCTGGTACATAGGAAGGGCTGCATACATGGAATTGGCTGTGGTCATATGCAAAACAGAAGCACCACTGCGAGTGCTCCTGCCCATGAAAACAACTGATATTTATCCAGCCTCGTCTGCACCTTGTTCATCTATTTGTTACGTGCCAGCCCTCAGTGGCAGAGAAGGGGTAGCAGACACAGAAGGCTTAAGAAAAAGAAGAGAAAAAAGAAAACAGAAAGTAGGGGGCATTCTACCCATCAGCATTGTTTCTGGTTTTGGAAAAGGTAGCCATTCTCTGACTTTGATGGTTGTACTCCAGCTGAAATCAACAGTGAGCCTTTCTGAAGCTCACAGCCTTCCTCTGCTCGTCCCCAGCTCTGTCTGTGTGTGCCTGTACCTTTGGTTTCCTGCAGCCACTGAAGCAAGCATCTTGCTGCTGTGTCTCCTCACAAGTTCCTCCAGGAGGAAAACTTAAGGAGAAGAGCTTGGCCACATTCCTGCCCCCGCTCCATTCCTTCCTGTGACTTTGCCTTTTCCCCCGCCAGAGAGAAGGCCTTGGAATGCTTTGTGCTGTTTCCTGTCCCTGCTTCCTGATAACTCCCCAAACCGGGCCCATTTATTCCCCACTTGGAAGTTCAGCCCTGCCAGTGAGGCTCCAGAGCCAGGCATTCTTTGTAGTGGGAAGAATTTTGAATCCCAGCCCAAAGATAATCTGTTTGCTTCTCTTTTTGTCATTTAAGTTCTTATCAGGTAGATATAAAGGGAAATGTACATGTACTTATTGAAGTTGGGTAGTGCCTATATGGGAATTTGTTATACTTTTGAATTTGGTATATATTTGAAATTTTCCATAATAAAATTTAAAATATTAACCCCACTCCCTGAGAAAGGGCTATAATCCATTGCTTTTAAGCTCTTTTTATTTTTCAAATAAAATCTTAGGTGAAGCCCTAAAATGTAAAACAAATCAAAGGCAAGCTACTCCTACTAAAACTGGGGAGGGGGTGATGACTTCTAATCTTCCATCCCCACCAGCAGATAGGCAACTGAGACACTTCTGTGGTCCTCTATGCTTGCCTGCTACTAAAAGTGTTGTCCAGAGACAAGCAGAACATAGTCATCTAGAAGCATGTGAGAAATGCAGTCTCTGAGGGCCCCACTGCAGACCTGCTGAAGCAGGACCTGGATTTTGGCAAGATCTCCCAGTGATTCACGTATATATTAAAGTTTGAGAGGCATGGCCCTGTAGTAGGTTGGGGCTGCAGAGGCTGAAACCCACTGACATAAGTGAATTTCTTTATTTTACAAGTGAACTAAGTAAGACCCATAATGTCGTGCATAAAGCCATACAACTTTTGAGTGGGAGAGCCAAGGCTAATAGCCAAGTTGCCTGGCTTTCACTTCATGGATTTCTGCCCTATTCTTGTTGATTGCACCCTGTGGCAGATCCTCTTCTAGTTCCAGAGGTCGGGATCATGCTTTGTTTCTAGGACAAAGCCCCAGGTTTATCCCTGGTGCCCACAACAGGGCCCCTTTCTCATGTTCCTGCATGTAAATCCATTACTTACTTCCTTATTGTCTTAGTCAGCTGAGGCTGCTATAACAAATTACCATAGACTGAGAGGTTTAAACAACAAACAGTCATTTCTCACAGCTTTGGAGGCTGGAAGTCCCAGATTAGAGTTCTTTCTTCTAGGTCATCAGGAACAAGTCTCTCTGAGCTTCATCTTCTTTTAAAGACTATTCTGGTTAGGTCAAGCCCACCTAGGTTAATCTCCTTTTGATTAACTCAAAGCCAACTGATTAGTGACCTAATCACTGAGTGACATCTCATACATTCACAGGTTTCTGTCCACACTCAAAAGGAGGACATTATGCAAGGTATGTATACCAGGAGCAGGGGCGGGAATCTTGGGCATTGTTTCAGAATTCTGACAACTCCACTGATACAACCCAAATTTGGAAAGTTCTAAGAGCTAGACAAGGACTGATTGTTTCTTCCACCTTAGGGAATGTAAATAGCTCATGACCTGTCGGTAAGGTTCTCATTTGCATAATAATTCCAATGCTTCTAGTAGGGGTCACCTCTAAGGACCTGGAGGGACAACTCTCAAAATGAGGAAAATTCTTATCCTGGGGTGCCTGGTAGCAGCTCCTCAATTATAAAGGGCACACAGCAGTTTCTCTACCCTAACATTAACTAGAGTAAACAACCCTGGATCCTTTCCTTCCATAAACATTCAAGCATGAACAACTATGGGTACTGCACACTTCTACACTGTTGCCATAGCATCCTCAGTGATCTTTTAAAGAAACTGTACAGAAAGACTTTTGTTCTTTACAGGAGTGGAGAGCCCTGGAATCTTCTTTTTAATGTGGCAAAATACATATAACATAAAATTTATCATTTTAACCATTTTAAAGTATACTATGTAATGGCATGAAGTACCTTCACAATGTTGTGCAACCATCACTAATTCCACAATATTTTCATCAACCTGGAAAAACCCTGTATCCATTAAGCAGTCACTTCCCATTCTCCCGTCCATCCCTGGCAACCACTAATCTGCTTTCCATCTCTATGGATTTGCTCATTCTGGATATTTAATAAAAATAGAATCATACAATATGTTATATTTTGTGCCTGGCTTCTTTTGCTTAGGATAATGTTTTCAAGGATCATCCATGTGATAGCATCTATCAGTACTCCAATACCTTTTATGGCAGAATAATATTCCATTGTATGGATATACCACATTGTATTTATCCATTCATTTGTTGATAAGCGTTTGTCTTGTTTCCACCTTTTGGCTGTAGTGAATGAATAGTGCTGCTGTGAACACTCATGTACAATTTTTTGTTTGACACCTATTTCCAATTCTTCTGAGTTTATACTTAAGAGTGGAATTCCTGGGTCATATGGTAATTCCATGTTTAACTTATTGAGGAAACACTAGTTTTCCATAACAGCTACAACATTTTACCTCTCCCCAGCAATATATGAATGTTGTTATTTCTCCACATCTTTTCCAACACTTGTTTTCCTTCTTTTCTGTCAATCCTAGTGAATGTGAAGTGGTATCCCCCTGGAGTTTTTATTTTTGTTTCCCTAATAACTAATGACATTGCGCATCTTTCCATATATTGTTTGCCATTTGTGTATCTTTTTTGGAGAAATGTCTATTCAAGTCCTTCACCCATTTTCTAATTGGTTGTTTGTCTTTTGTATTGTTGAGTGGTAAGAGTATTTTATATATTCTGGATACTAGATCCTTCTCAGATATACACTTTGTAAATATTTTCTCCTATTCCGTGGGTTGTCTTTTTAGTTTTTGATAACATCCTTTGGTGCATAAAAGTTTTAAAATTTTGATTAAGTCCAATTTATCTATTTTTTTCTTTTGTTGCCTGTGCTTTTTTATCCTATCTAAGAAACCATTGCCAATCCAAGATCATGAAGATTTACCCTTATGTTTTCTTCTAAGAGTTTTATGGTTTTAGCTTTAGTACTTAGGTCTTTGATGAATTTTGATTTGTTTGTTGCATAGTTTTTAAGACAGAGTTCCAACTTTATAGTTTTACATGTGCACATCCAGCTGTCCCAGCACCATTTTTTGAAAAAACTACTCTTTAGCCTATTGAATTATCTTGGCACTCTTGTTGAGAAGCAACTGACCATAGGTGTATGGATTTACTTCTGGAATCTCTATTTTATTCTATTAGTCTATATGTCTATCCATACATGAATGCCACACTGTTTTGATTATTATGGTTTTGTAATAAGTTCTGAAATCTGGAAGTGTGAGTACCCAAAATTTGTTCTTTGTCAAGATTGTTTTGGCTATTTGTAGAGTCTCTTGCAATTCCTTTAAAAATTTAGGATCAGCTTTTCAATTTCTACAAGAAAAAGGGCCATTGGCATTTTGATTCTGTTGATCTTTTTGGGCAATATTGCCATCTTAACATTGTCTCCCAATCCATGCATACAGGATGTCTTTCTATTTATTTAAGTCATCTTTAATTTCTTTTAGCAATGTTTTATAGTTTTCACTGTGTAAGTGAAAGTTTACACAGTATACAAGTGTAAGCTGAATATCAAGTGTAAATTTATTCCCATATATTTAATTTATCTTCATGGCATTGTAAATAGAATTTCTTTAAGTTTCCATTTCAGATTGTGCATTGTTAGTGTATAAAAATACAACTGATTTTTGCATATTGATCTTGTATTCTGCAACACTGCTGAATTTTTTATTAGTTCTAATTGTTTTGAAAATTTCTTAGGATTTTCTATATAAAAGATCCTATCTCTGCACATAGGGTTTTCCATTCTCCTTTCCAACTTGGGTGCCTTTTATTTCCTTTTATTGCCTAATTGCTCTGGGTAAAACTTTCAGTACTATGTGAATAGAAGTGGTGAAAGTGGGCATTTTTGTCTTGTTCCTGATCTTAGGGGGAAAGCTTTCAGATTTTCACAATTGAATATTATTTTAGCTGTGTGTTTTTCATAAATGTCCTTTATTATTTTGAGTTAATTCATTTCTATTATCTTATAATTCACTTTTTAGCCTTTCAATTTTTTATTTTGTACTAGCAGTTTAAACATATCTTTAAATAGAGAGCTGCTATATTTAAATATTTTTGTAGCAAAAAAACACATAACAAAATTTACCATCTTAATCATTTTAAGTGTATAATTCAGTAATGTTAAGTATATTCACACTGCTGTGAAGCAGATCTCCAGAACTTTTTCATCTTGAAGATCTGAAACTTCATACCCATTAAACAATAACTCTCCTTTTCCCCCTCTCTCAAGCCCCTGGTAGCCACCATTCTACTTTCTGTTTCTATGAATTTAACTACTTTAGATACTTCATATACATAGGATCATACAGTATTTGTCTTTTTGTGACTGGCTTATTTTACTTAGCATAATGTCCTTAAGGTTTATCCATAATGTATCATATAAAAAGAGTTTCTTTCTTTTTAAGGCTGCATAATAATCCATTGTTATATATACACTGCATTTTGTTTATCTATTCATCTGTCCATGCAAATGTGGGTTGCTTACACCTCTTGGCTCCTGTGACTAGTGCTGCTATGAACATGGCCATGTAAATATTCCTCGAAGACCCTGTGCTATGGTCTGAATGTGCCCCCTCCCAATTCATATGTTAAAACTTAATCACCAATGTGATAGTATCCCCCCCCCAAAAAAAAAGAGGTGGAGCCTTTAAGAGGTGATTAAGTCATAAGTGTAGAACCCTCATGAATGAGATTAGGGCCCTTGTAAAAGAGTTTGGAGAGTTGATTCACTGCCTACTATTCCTTCTGCCATGTGAGGACAAAGCATTTGTCCTTCCAGAAGATGCACCAACAAGGTGCCATGGTAGAAGTGGAGAGTAGGCCCTTTGTACCAGACATCAAATCCTGATACCTTGATCTTGAACTTAGCCTCCAGAATTGTGAGAAATAAAGTTCTGTTATTTATAGATTACCCAGTCTCAGGCATTTTGTTACAGCAGTGCAAACAGACTAAGACACGCTACTTTCAATTCTTTTGGCTGTATATCCAGAATTGGGATTGCTGGATGGCATGGTCATTCTATTTTTAATTTTTTGAGAAAACTTCATACTGTTTTCCACAGCAGTTTCCCCATTTTTCAATTCCACCAACAGAGCACAGGATTCGAATTTCTCTTTATCAACACTTGTTATTTTCTGGGTTTTGAAAAATAGTAGCCATCTAGGCCAAGCACGGTAGTTCATGCCTGTAATCCCAGTACTCTGGGAGGCCGACACGGGCAGATCCCTAGAGACCAGGAGTTCGAGACCAGCCAGGGCAACATGGCAAAACCTCGTCTCTACTAAAATTATGAAAATTAGCCGGGCATGGTGGCGCATGTCTGTAATCCCAGCTTCTTGGGAGGCTGAGGCACTGGCTCTGCCAAAGAAAAAAAAAAAGTGGCCATTTAAACAACCATTTAAATGGTTGTTACTCTCGTAATTCATTTTTGAACTACTTTACAAAACTATTTGTTTATACTGGATTGAAAACCGAAAAGCCTGGTTCTTTGCCACGGGTAGTTTGTGGAGAAGCCTTGCTATCAAGTCTGGTACTGGGGAGTCTTGGAACAGACACTATGTAACATTTCAGTCACAGAAGAACTTAGGCAAAGTCAGAACTAAATTTTTGAGTCCAAGACATTAGTGCTTCTTTCCAAACTACCGAATTCTGTGTTACCACCTTTTCATGGCTGAGTTTCTTAAAATAACAAACTTGAATCCATTCAACATTCACATGCTTTCTCAGGCCTAAACATTAAGTTCTTGATCTTCCCTGGCCTTCAGAATTGTTCCTGTTGTCATTCCATTGGCTCTGGAGGATTGTATATCTCTATAACTCATCTGTGAATACTGTGACTGCCTGAAAATTCTCACCATGGCTTTGCTGGCTGTGCCTGCCCAATACTGTCTTCTCCCCTTCTGCCCCAGACCAGCAAATTCCTAAGACATTTAGAAAGACGGGCAACAAAACCTTTCAATCCTAAATACCCATCTTCGATGTTTGTACTTAAAATTATGGGATCAATGACAGATACTTGTATTTGTTTCTTCGGCTATGGGGCAAGGTGCTAATGACCACTGTAGTCATGGGAGAGTGTGCCCTTGACACAGTCTTTGGTACAGCAGCAGTTATTGTCAGCACCAAGAGACGTGGATGACCACAGTGAGGGGAAGCTGGAGCTGAAGAGAACTGTTCTTCAGAGCACACATGAGAAATCCGTGAGATACACCAAAAAGTACTTAGGAGGCATTAGGGAGGGGATCTGGGGCTTCATCAAAGCAGGTTCAGTCAGAAAAGTACTGATTGGAGTTCATCATTACTATGACCCTATTTTTATCTCTATGCTGGTGTCCTGAGGAACACAGGTATATTAGGTGGTTCTTGCATTGCTATAAATAAATATCTGAGACTGGGTAATTTATAAAGAAAAGCAGTTTAATTGGCTCAGAGTTCTGCAAGCTGTACAGGAAGCATGGTTCTAGCATCTACTTGGCTCCTGGGAAGGCCTCAGAGAGCTTTTTCATGGTGAAAGGCAAAGTGGGAGCAGGCACATCACATGGCCAGGTCAGGAGCAAGAGAGAGATTTGTGGGGAGGGGTAGGTGCCACACACTTGTAAACAGCCAGATCTCATGGAACTCATTCATTATTGCAAGGACAGCGCCAAGCCATGAAGGATCTACCCCATGACCCAAACACCTCCTTCCAGGCTCTACCTCCAATATTGGGGATTACAATTCAACATGAGATTTGACGGGGACATATATTCAAACTATATCCACAGGTTACATTTTAGGAGCCTGATTGAATTGAAATATTTTAAGGAAGTCATGTTTCTTTCCATATCTGCTCAGCTGCTAAAGTACCAGAGGGTGCTTTTGGAAACAGATTTACCTCTCACAGGCTGTGAAGGTCTTTGAGGCACCATTACGAATGCCTTTTTTCCCACTCTGTGGGTTGTCTATTTACTCTGCTGACTGTTCCTTTTGTGATGCAAAAGCTCTTTAGTTTAACTAAGTCCCAACTATTTATCTTTGTTTTTATTGCATTTGCTTTGGGGTTCTTGGTCATGAAATTCTTGCCTAAGCCAATGTCTAGAAGGATTTTTCCAATGTTATCTTCTAGAATTTTTATAGAAAATCTTCACAATCTACACATCTGAGAAAGGAATCTAATATCAAGAATCTACATCAAATTCAAACAAGTCAGTAAGAAAGAAACAAACAATCCCATAAAAAGTGGGCTAAGGACATGAATAGACAATTCTCAAAAGAAGATATACAAAAGGCCAACAAACATATGAAAAAATGCTCAACATCACTAATGATCAGGGAAATGCAAATCAAAACCACAATGCAATACCACCTTACTCCTGAAAGAATGGCTATAATCAAAAAATCAAAAAACAGTAGATGTTGGCTTGGATGTGGTGATCAGGGAACACTTCTACACTGCTGGTGGGAATGTAAACCAGTACAGCATCTATGGAAAACAGTGTGGAGATTTCTTAAAGAACTAAAAGTAGAACTACCGTTTGATCCAGCAATCCCACTACTGGGTATCTACCCAGAGGAAAAGAAGTCATTATATAAAAAAGATACTTGCACATGTATGTTTATAGCAGCACAATTTGCAATTGCAAATTTGTGGAACCAACCCAAATGCCCATCAATCAATGAGTGGATAATGAAACTGTGGTATATATATACAATGGAATACTACTCAGCCATAGAAAAGAATGAATTAAAGGCATTTGTAGCAGTATGGATGAGATTCGAGACTATTATTCTAAGTGAAGTAACTCAGGAATGGAAAACCAAACACTGTATGTTCTCACTGATATGTGGGAGCTAAGCTATGAGGACACAAAGGCATAAGAAGGATACAATGGACTTTGGGGACTTGGAGGGAAGGGTGGGAGTGGGGAGAGGGATAAAAGACTACCAATAGCAGTGGCAGCTGTTGATTTTTCTACCATACTCGTAATACTGTTCATGCTGGACATGTCAGAGTGTATACTGCTCAGGTGATGGGTGCACCAAAATCTCACAAATCACCACTAAAGAACTTACTCATGTAACCAAATACCATCTGTACCGCAATAACTTACGGAAAAAATAAAATAAGAGTGTCTTTTTTTAAGGAAAACAAGGCATTTATGAAAAACTTGAAGCACTCCAGCTTTTGATACAGCTTTTGTTTCTAAGGCCCCAGCGAAACCCCACACCCAAGTTATCACCAACATGTACAGTCACTCCTGTGTTTGAAACTTAATCATTGGAGAGTGGGTAGAAGCTAAAATGAACAAATTACCTGATGTATCTAGAAGCCAAACCATCACAGAATCTTTCTTCCCAAATCACTTCCCAGAAGTGTTCAATTTGTGACTGAACACTTCAGTCACAAACAGTGCATGCACCCAAATGTTTTGCTCAATATGTTTTGAGTCTAATTCTGTATATTGCTGCTAAAGATTTCCAGAAAGTTGCAAAAGTTCGTCCTTATTGATAGGTGATTGGAATTCAGTGACACTGCTGCTGCTCTGTAGTGTGTGCAAAGGTCAAATCAAAGTAATAAATACGATATTCTCGATCATTTCTCTGTAAAACTAGGTTTCTAGCCAGGGCCCATGCCTTCACACTTGCTGAAACAAGTTCACCTTCTGCACCAGTGCTGCCAGAGAGAGCTCCCTGTGACATGGGAATCATGTTTCTGCACTTCCCATGCAGGAGCCACTCACCACATGTGGCTCCTGAGCACACGAAGTGTGGCTGGAGCTGGGAATGGCTGAAGAGTTAGTTCTATTTGAGTTTCAATAGTGCGGCAAGTGGCTACTTGGAAAGCAGCACACCACCTGAGATGGAAGGAAAAACATGAAAACATCCTCCATGCCACTGCAAAAATGTCTGCCTATACATCTTAGAGGAAGACATGTCCAGCATGAACATCATTATGAGTACGGTAGAAAAATCAACAGCTGCCACTGCTACAGGTTAATAGATTGCCTTCAACATGAAGATAAAATGCTTCCAGCACTTCCACTCTGCCCCATAGTCTCTTAGTTGAGCTAATGCCCTGCACAGCTTCTCTTCAACCAGAAGGGGGCACAGACACCAGGCAAGAGCCTATGCTCAGTGATACAGAATGTTCTAGAGCCCAGGAGACCGTTCCATCCACTGAGCTGAGCTGGTCAGACCTAACTAATGTCATCTTTTCCTTCTTAAAGGGAGATGCCAGGATGAGGAGGGAACAAGTTAAAACTGCTTCTGCTGTTTCAAGGTTGTAAGAGGCACTACCAACCACCAAGGTCAACAACTCAAAGCCACTTCACCCGGCCTCAACTTCTTGGTTTGGGGCCCAGGTGGGGGAATTCTCCAGCTGCTAATGCAGTCTCTCCTCTTTCTTCTTCAGATAGAAGGTCATGTTATCGAAGATGGCCTTGTAGAGACTGCTGAAGCTGGCATCTGTGACGTTAGAGCCTTCCAGCATGGCCCAGTTCCCATGAATAACACTGGAGACTTTTTTTTTTTTTTTAAACACAGTGCATTCAGGAACAGAATGCCACTGGCCACCTACAGGCCTGCAGAGCACCAAGGGGATTTCATGGCAGTCCGGCAGCACCCACAGCCCCTGGGTCTCCTCGAAAGCCACATCCCACACATGGTGCTAGCTTGACAGATGCTGCCTGTACACTAAGTTAGCAGTCTGAGAGCATCAAGCTGGAAGATGTAGATTACAGGAATACAGTTGCACAGAAGCGTCATGCAGTTCTCCTAGCACCAGAACGTGATCCCGGATGTGACAAACCTCCGGTGTCCCAGGGGCCCATCAGCACTTGCAGACTGGCCAGGTGATAGCAGTGCAGTTGATGGCCACTTCTGTACTCCCAGAGCCTAAGAGTGCAGTCCCTGGAGGAGGACAAGAAACAGTTCGGGCTGAGTGGGCACCACAGAGATGCGGCTCACAAACTCCGTGTGCCCGAGGCAGAAGGACTCGATACTGTGAGGTGCTGTGGCCTAGCTGACCTGGATCTTCTCATCCGGGTTGGCAGTGAGGATGAAGCAGTTATCAGGACTCACAGTCACCTCTAACAACATTGACAGGTGTGCCAGGTCAAGTCTGCCGCATCTGTGTGGCTCTGAAACCAAAAAGGAGTACACATCTCCAGATTTGTCGGCCACCAAGACCTTCTCCTCAGAGGCTGTAAGGTCAGGGCCCTACACCTCCTTGCCATGGTCCTGACACTCAGACATTGCCATGGTTTTGTATGGAAAAGAATCAGACGCTTGTGGTCATCTGTTAAAGCAAAATAGCGCCAGACTTGGAGGTGGATGCCAGAATCATGCCACTCCCCCAGACCAAGGGCAGCCCGTCCTCCCCTTTATTTTCTTGTGACTATTCTGCAGCACTGCAGTCATAGATGAAGAGGTTGTTGTCATCATTGTTTGCAGCAGAGGTGGCCAGGAAAAACCCAGAGACTCCACAAGAAAATGGTTAGAACTGATAAACAAATTCAGTAAATTTGCAGAACACAAAATCAACATAAAAAACTCAGTATCACTTCTATATGCCAACAACAAACAATCTGAATAAAAAATCAAGAAAGTAGTCCTATTTACAATTGCCAGAAATAAAATAAAATACCTAGGGTTAAATTTAACCAAAGTGAAAGATCTCTACAATGAAAACTATAAAACATTGATGCAAGAAATTGAAGAGGACACAAAATAATAGAAAGATATTTCATGTTCATGGATTAGAAGAATCAATATTGTTAAAATGTCCATATTAACCAAAGCAATCTACAGATTCAATGCAATCCCTATCAAAATACTAATGCCATTCTTCACAGAAATAGAAAAAAAAATCCTAACATTTATATGGAATCACAAAAGATCCAGAATAGCCAAAATTATCCTGGGCAAAAAGAACAAAACTGGAGGCATCACATTACCAGACCTCAAATTATATTACAGAGTGTAGTAACCAAAACAGCATAATACTGCCATAAAAACAGACGTATAGACCAATGGAACAGAATAGAGAACCCAGAAACAAATCCACACCCCTACAGTGAACTCGTTTTCAACAAAGGTGCCAAGAACATACACTGGGGAAAAGAGTCTCTTCAAAAAATGGTGCTGGGAAAACTGGATATTCATATGCAGAAGGATGAAACTAGACCCCCATCTCTGACCACATTAAAAATCAAATCGAGTGGATTAAAGACTTAAATCTAAGACCTCAAATTATGAAACTACTACAAGAAAACATCAGGGAAACTCTCCAGGACATGAGACTGGGCAAAGATTTCTTGAGTAATACCCTGCAAGCACAGACAACCAAAGCAAATGTGGACAAATGAGATCACACCAAATTTAAAATCTTCTGCACAGAAAAGGAAACAACCAACAAAGTGAAGAGACAACCCACAGAATAAGGGAAAATATTTGCAAACTACCCATCTGACAGGGGATTAATAACCAGAATATATAAGGAGCTCATACAACTCAATAGGAAAAAATCTAATAATCTGATTTTTAAATGGGCAAAAGATCTGAATACATATTTTTCAAAAGAAGATATACAAATGGCAAACAGGTATATGAAAAGATGCTCAACATCATTGATCATTGAGAAATGCAGATCAAAACTACAATGAGATATCATCTCACTCCAGTTAGAATGGGTTTTATCCAAAAGACAGGCAATAATAACAAATGCTGGAGAGGATGTGGAGAAAAGAAAACCCCTTGTACACTGTTAGTGGAAATGTAAATTAGTACAACCACTATAGAGAATAGCTTGGAGTTTCCTTAAAGAAACTAAAGTAGGACTACCATAAGGATTCACCAATCCCACCCCTAGATGTATACTCAAATGAAAGGAAATCAGTATGTTGAAGTGATATCTGCACTCCCGTGTTTATTGCAGCACTATTCACAATAGCCAAGATTTGGAAGCAACCTATGTGTCCATCAACAGATGAATGGAAAAAGAAAATGTGGTGTATATACACAATGGAGTACTATTCAGCCATAAAAAGAATGACATTCTTTCATTTGCAACAACACGGATGGAACTGGAAATCATTATGTTAAGTGAAATAAGCCAGGCATAAAAAAGACAAACTTTGCATGTTTTCACTCATTTGTGGGAGCTAAAAATTAAAAATAATTGAACTCATGGAGATGGAGAGTAGAAGGATGGTTCCTGAGGCTGGGAAGGGTAGTCACAAGGGAGTGGGGATGGTTAATGGGTACAAAAATATAGTTAGATAGAATGAATAAGATCTAGTATTTGATAACACAGCAGGGTGACTACAGTCAACGTAATTTATTGTACATTTCAAAATCACTAAAAGAGTATCATTGGATTGTCTGTAACACAAAGAAATGGTGAATGCTTGAGCTGATGATTACCCCATTTACCCTGATGTGGCTATTATGCATTGTATGCCTAATGTATCAAAATATCTCAGGTACCCTATAAATATATACACCCACTATGTACCCACAAAATTTAAAAATAAAAAAATTAAACATTTTTTAGAGACAATATATAGGTAGTTATATGGATTTTTGTATAGATATAGATTTAGTTGATAAATACTAACTACCCAACTTTGTGTGATTTGCCTACGGTGTGACTGCATTATCTCTTGGGAATCATCAGGAGAGGGAGTATCTTAGAAGCTAGTCTGTAAGGTAGAATGCAGAAACTCTGACTTTTGAGGGAGAAACTGACGCCTTTCCCTTGACCTGGAAGGTAAGTCTATGGTAAACTGTGTGGGTAAATTAAGAATTTTGGCTTGGTCCCAGCTACTCGGGCACAATTCTCTCAGAACTGGGGTCATGTTATTTGTGATGGTTTTTCTGATGTGTCACCTTGGGTAGGCTACAGTTTCCAGTTATTTAATCAAACACTAAATGCTGCTGTAAAGAGAGTTTTTAAATATAATTAAAGGCTATAATCAGCTGAATCTAGGTGAGGGAGATTATCCTGGTTAATTTGGGTTGGCCTGATTCAATCTGTTGGAAGGCCTTAAAAGCAGGGTTGAGGTTTCCCTGAGAGAGAAGAAATTCCACCTATGGATTTCAGCTTCAGCCTGTGCCTATGAATTCCAAGTTGTCCAAGACTTTTCCTTCCTGACTGCCTGCCATACCAACTTGTTTAGCCAGACCTCACAATTGCCAATTCCATGCAATAAACAGATAGATAGATGATAGATAGATAATAGATAGATAGATAGATAGATAGATAGATAGATAGATAGATGGAGAAAGAGAGAGATAGGTAAGATATAGATATAGATACAGATATCCTACCAATACTGCTTCTGTAATTGAGTTCTTACTAATACACTCTGCAAAGGCAATTGAACTAGGGTGTTTCTACCGGTAAGATGCTAGGGCCCCAGAGGAGGGTTTCGAATTGTGTCTATACAAACCATAGGTGGTGCATCATCTCCTTGATTGAGGTTGACCACTTCAAGGCAGTTGAATGTATGTTTGGAAAAATGAAAGCTAGCAGGGATTTAGTAACTTGTAGAATTCTTAAACTCTGGAAAGCAGGAGAAAAGAAAGCCTCAGCAAATATACTGATGTTGCAGAGGTTGGAGACAAGGCTTTGGCAAAAGAATGGAGAGGAGCAAATCAGATTTGTTTAGATCAAGTGAGAGTAGGAACTGTCTGAAATAGAATACTTCCATGGAAACATGAATGGCACTGGAATCCTGAAGTCCTCCACAGATTCTCACTTTTATCAGAATTAGTTTGTGAGGAGGATAGAAAGGAAGCAGCATGAAAGGCTTGCAGTAGTGAAGGTGACTAAGTCTTATATCATGAGCAGAAACATTTAGGGCAAACACCCAGGACCTAGGGAAGTACTGTTGTGGTCCTCCCAAGGGAGGGAATGTGGAGACAAGTAGGTCAGCTGTAGCCACTGGGAAAACCACCTGAGAGCATGTAGAAAGCTACTGGGAATAGAGGCACATCAGAAAAAGGCCACAAAACCTTCTGTAGTGAGGAAACTTGGCACTGAGAAGGATAGGCTTAACAAAGGATAGGCTGACTTCATGTACCGCCGTGGGCAACATGGAAGCCAAGATAGAATGAAGGCTGTGTTTTGCAGTATTGGATGGTGGATAGTAGTGACTATAATTGTCCAATACTTTCTATGAATAGCCCTTGACCATCTCCCACAATCATCTATTAGCTGGTGGAGTTACTTTACCTCCTCCAGCCTCTTTTCTCCTCAGTAAAATGGAGATAACAATAGTCTGTTTCCTAGGAATGTTGTAATGGCCTTATGAGAGGATGTATGCAAAGTGCTTCAGTCAGCTGCTCACATTTCATGAAGTATATAAGGTATTTCAGGCTTCCATGTCTTTTCTGGTTGTTCCTTCTACATGGTAGGAGAACATTCCCACATCTGGCCTCAACCTTCTCAGACCCAACTAGAAAATTCTTCAGCATGTTTCAAGGCTGAAATTAAGGGTCCTCCCTCCATGAGCCCTTCCTTGATGGTCCTATTAGGCATAGCTGACCACTCTCATTCGGTGAACAGTCAAACAAGCTTCTATAGATGTCTTGGGGGGATTCAGTGAAGAGCATAAAAAGTTCACGCCAATCCAGGCTCTGGATTCCTTGTCTCCCATCCAGGATGCTCCAATTCCTGACTGCTACTGCTTTTCAAGTGAATTATACTGGAATGGCAACCAGCCTACGTTAAAGATTTGTTTAAAGCCATGGCCAGTTGCAGAATAGACTAAATGCATCATTTAACTGTAAGTAAGAAAACCCCAGCATGGCCCCCTAAGGGATCAGTGCAGAGACACGCCTCTGTTTTATCTGTCTTGGAACCTTTTCAGGGCTGCAGCAGCCTTCTGAAAAGAGTTTGATGAATTAATTTCAAAGCAAATATATTACTCTTAGCTATCTAGTGCAAGGGATAATAGATGGGGCAAGCAATAGACAAATCAAAAAAGCCTGGGAAATAAGAGGCTAGGGGAAAAGATAGAAAGGAGAACGAGGGCTTTGTAAAGCTTCTGAGTACATTAAGGACTCTATAAGCCCGTGCACTTGCCCGGGAATGGATGGATACTCAAAGAAGACCTGAGAAGACCTTGATCTTTCACCTATGGCTGACATTTAAGCTCTGCACAAGCATATAGTGTAGGCTAGGTCAGAAATGTAATACAGAGTCAATCTACTATTTTTATTTTTGTCTCCTAGCATGCAAGGAAATCTCGGTCTTATTATTAGTGGACCACTAAGCTAACAGAACAAAGACTTTAGTGAACACACATAACAAAGAATAGAGTCTTTAAAAATGTTTCTAAAAGTCACCAAACAAAAGAACAAACAAACCTACAACCCACAATAAGCAGTAACAACAAGCCCTGGAGAGAGATAATCTGATTCCCTGAGTTACTGCATTATAATGTTTTAGACGTTCAATTTTCATCAAAAATATGTAATGCCTGCAAAGAAATTAAAAACTATGACTCAAGCACAGGAAGAAAAAGAACAGGTACTGTCCCTGAGGAAGTCTGAATGTGCTTCTTACTAGACAAAAGACATTAAATCTTACTAGACAAAAGACCAGGTGCCTCACCTGGGGATCCTGAGGCCTTTATGTCCCCACTACTATTAAAATAGACCTGTCTTGGGATCCCTTTCCTTTAACAATACTTCCTGCTTTCTAATCCATATTGCTAACTTAACCTGACCACTATAGTTCTCATTGAAAGTTGATTGGCATTCTACTTTGTAAATCAATCCTTGGTAAGTTTGGCTTAACTCTTGGCTCTTGCAAAATGTGTTCATGACTCTGAAAAGCTGAAGACCAGCCCTTAGACATGGTAACTGAGCAGATTCTGAACATATCTCTAACTGCCTATGGCACACTCAAATATAAAAACTCAAAATGTCCCAAGTTGAACTTGTCTTTTCTTAAAAAAAAAAAAAAATCCCTCCTTCTTTCTTTGTTCCCTCTCTTGAATGGTGTCACCATCATATACCTAGAAAGTCAGAAGACATCTCTGAGTCAGCTGCATCCCACTTCCCCAGGAAAAACAGTTAAGACAGACTTCACTTCTTATAGTTTCAAAAATCCATCCCACACTTCATCCTCATCAGCCTTAACTTGGTTTGGATACACTTTATGTTCCCCTATGTCACTGCAAGTTTTTTGTTACTGTCCCTGTTTCCAGGTTTTCACCCACATCTCCACCAATGCTAAATTTATCCTCCTCATCCCAGGTAAGGTGATCCATAGAAAACATAAATATGACCACGCCACTCCCCTCTCCAATATACTTCAACAAAGAATATCAACTTATGATAAAGTTTGAATTCTAAGACCCATTAAAATCTAATTGCTGCCCTTACACCACTTGTTCTCCCTCTCTTCCACCTGAGGATCTCACAACCTGATATATCCTCCACTGCTGACAGAGTGATGTACTCTCCACACAACCTAACCTTATCCTTCCTCTTTCAGTCCTTCTTCCCACCATGAACATATCCTCATTTCACCTGCTGTCTTCAGGATAAAGTTCAAACTCCTTTATCCCTCTGATGTTAGTGTTTGCTACACCTCCAACTTGGCTGGATTATAGATATGGTCACAAAGGCAGATGAAGAAGGGCATACTAAGCAAACTCAGGAAATGAGCTAGTCATTAATGTCAGGCAGACACTGGCAGTGGGGAAAGGAAAGAATATGAACAACTGAAATTCTTCCCAGAATGACTGTAGATAAAATAAGGGAGCAGAAAAGTTATCAAAACCATAGGCTGGAACCATATAGTGAAGGAATGAACTGTGACCATCACATTCGTTACTCTAAAAGCATAATAAGTGGAAATTAATGATATAAAAGTAATAATTGATAACAATTAATATTACATATTGAATTCGTATAAATTAGCAATAGTACTAGTATGAACAATTAATATTTATATAAGGATGATCTTCAGTCATCAGGAAAGGGTACATTATTTTCAGGGTACTTAGTTTAAGAAGCAGAGGTCACATGTAATTCTTTAAATTCCTATGAAAGAAGTATTAAAAGTTTGGGTGCTCAAAGCTGACACTGACAAGTAAAATGTATATATACATAATATATATAATAGTATATATATCATATATAGATAATATATACATATATTGCAATTCAATCCCAAAAGATGCTCGGTACACGCAACTAAGATACTTAAAACATATGTTAGATATTTGTTATCTGCTAGGACTTGTACCAAAAGCTTTCCTTTGATTTTGACAGATAGGTTGTGGTGAGTATTATTACTACTATTTACCAATTAGGAGATGGAGACTCAGGAATATCATCTACCTGCCCATGATCACAATCCGAGTGAGTGGTGGAGATAGGATCCACATCTGGGTCAATCTGACTCCAAAGCTATAATTTCCTTGTATCTCAGTTTCACAAACTTTCCCTTTCTTTTCATGGCAGAAGGGCCAGAAATTGGCAGAAGATGAAAGCAAACATATTTTTTGAAAGAGAGAAATGCAAAAAGTTTGCATAGTGGTGGAAAGTCTGGAATGGCAGGGTGAAACCCTCCATAAACTTGTTCCTCCTTAAAAAAATGCAAATACTGGCAAAAATTGTCACAATCAACTTTTTTAGAACTCTGGAAATTAAACAAAGGTTTGCAAGAATCTGAGAAGCTTTTATTAAACAAAAGCTGCTGAGTCTCAGTAAGAGCAGCAAGGCTTATGACTTTTTAACTTGAACTATCCCCATTCCTTTCTCCCCAGCTTCACAGAATCCTTAAAATCCAGCATCCTCAAAATCATGGCTGTGAAAACCATCAGGCTGAAAAAGGATTCCTCCTCCACAAAAAAAAGTCAAAATGTAAAAAGTCCAAATGTCCTTCCATTAGTAATGGTTATCTCTGAGTGTGGAGTGAGATTTGAGACTTGCTTTTTACTTTATAACACTTCTATACAATTAAATTATTATGAGTGTAACTTTTAAAATAAATGACACAATAAAGATAAAACAGGAAGAAATCATTTCTGAAAATGCTCTAATGAGTGAAGGATGGTAGATGGAAATTATACAGAATTGCTTATGACTATTTCTAATTTTAAAAGTATATAAAATATTGACTTTTTAAGTGTGGTGTTCTGTCTTTAACTTTCATTTTTTTCATTTAATGTTCATTGCAGCACTATTCACAATAGCCAAGATATGGAATCAACTTAAGTGCCCATCGATGGATGAATGGATAAAGAAAATGTAGTGCACATAGACAATGGAAAACTATTCAGCCTTAAAGAGGAGAAATCCTGGATCTGAAACAACATAGGTAGATCTGAAGGACATTATGCTAAGCTAAATAAGCCAAACACAGAAAGGCAAATACTGCATGATCTCATTTATGTGCAGAATCTAAAAAAGTCAAACTCATAAAAACAGAGACTAGAACAGTAATTATCAGAGACTGCCAGGTGGGAGAAATGGGGAGATGTTGTTCAAAGAGTACCAAGTTTATAAGGTGAATAAGTTCTGGGGATCAGGACCATGAATCTGGGGATCCGTTCCATGAACGGATCAGGATCTCTTCCAGGCCTTTGTCAATGCTGCTCTTTTCTGCTTGGAATGTCACTTCCCCTCTCAAACTCCTTGTCTAACTAACTCTTACTCATGTTTTATGCATTAAAATTATAGCATCACTTCTTCTTAAGTCCTTCCCTGCTCTCTAAAGTCTGGGTTAAGTTCCTTTCCTCTGAGCTCCCACAGATCTCTGGACCTCCTTCATATACCACTTATCATGCTGCAAAATGATTGCCTGTTCAGTTGCCTGTCACTTTCACCAGACAGCTATGGACTACCTTGTTCACCTTTGTGATCTAGCATCTCACCAAGATCATGGCATAGAGTAGGATCTTGTACCTACAGTATGTTTTCAAACGAAATCAATACAGCACTTTGTTGTAATACGACAATATGTAAATAAAAGAGCATGCTGTGTTCACGGGACAGAGATTGAATAGGCCTGACTAGAATAGAAGATGCAGAAGCATGCTAGGAGTTGTGGGAATTAAGGATGAGTGGGTGCCAGGATGAGGCCTGAAGGGAGGGTCTTGAAAGGCTAACAGATGAGTTTACACTTTCTGCTATTGGAAATCCATGGAGTCATTGAAAAGCTTAGTACAGGGGAGTGAGTGGTGTGTGTGATGTTGAAGGATCATTATTCTGGTATCAGTATGTAGGATGGATAGAAGGCAGGTATCACTGTGGTTATCCAGGCCAGCTAGTGATCATTTGGGCAGGAGAAATGAGGGCCTGGGCTAGGTTGGAGGTGGTAGAGTTGGAAAAGACTAGATGATGATAGTAAATTTTAAATGATCATCAACAGAAGCCTTGGAAAATCACCTCAGAATACATTTATAATAAATAAACAGATTATTGCAGTCTATTTTTCAAATTCAGATAAAATCAAGTTAAAATTTAAATCAAGTCTTGAAAATAGTCACAGATTAGGGTAATTGAATGTGGCTGCTAGGGAAGCCGATCTCACCACTTTACAGCCTCACTTCATGAACCTCAGGTAATTTTTATTTTTGGTGTGAGGGACTTATTCCCTCTCCAAGCCTCTGCACCCTCCATTCCATGAGTTCCAACATGGAAGAACTCCTAAAATCACCTCCCCAACTGGCCTTAAGTTAGGAATAATTCTGCTGACTTGATACAAGTTTTTTGTGTGTGCGTAATTCTGCTGACTTGATACAAGCTTGTGTGTGTGTGTGTGTGTGTTCAACTGTTCTTTCAGAGTAATAGCATCTAGAAACACAAAGCTGTTTTGGCAAGGTCCTTTATTTGATGGATGTCCTGAGCTGAAGAGTTGCTTAATACACACACATACATTCACGTGCACACACATGAATGTGCACACATGTATGCACATACACATTCTAAATAGAAAAAATGAATGAATTGAATGAGTTAGCCTAAATTAGAAGAATTTGCCATACAACATAGAAATAGAAGAACTCTAGTTTCTCTGCATAGATTAATGACAGTGAGTCCTAAAGCAATGCCAGTCAAAATAAGCTAGGAAGATATATCCAGAATGGGCATATAAAAGTTATTAGGAATATAAAACAGCATAGTCAATTGATATGTAGATTTAATTTCTTCATTTGATATTATATGGAACTCATTAGAGTGAGGTGTTTAAGAGAGCTGGTTTTGCAGTCAGTCAGACCTGGCTCAAGTCCTAGCCACCACTTGCTAGCTACGTGATCTTGGGTACTTTGGCCTGTTTACAACTCGGTTTCCTCAGATGTCAAATGGAGGTACATATAATACTAATTCCATACGTTTTTGATGAAGATTCAGAAAATAGATACAAAGAGGCTGATAGATGATAGTGCTAAATACATAATAGCTATTGTCCTTTAAATACAAATGTAAGGGTTTATGTCCCTTATTAGTAATGTTTTCTCAACTGGCCAGATGGAAGACCACCACAGTGGAGTCAGAGGATGATGATGGAGATTATTAAGAAGCCAGAGAGAAGAGTCTCCACTGAGGAATAGGTGAACTAGAGCCTTCATTACGCTAACGTATGTCTGAAGAACTTTATAATAATTGATTGGTACTGGCTGATCTTCTATAATAACATAGTGTACTTTCAAAAAGCTACCTATATTATGTAGTTACTGTGGAACTGAATGTGAAATTATGTTCAAAAGGCTTTTCTCTCTCAAATGTCCCTCTTCTGGTAATACTTCAAGATTTTGAACACCTGGGAGGCTGCTATTCAAGGAGTCATTCTTTTTTACTCTATTGCAGTCTTAAGAGCATTGTCTCTAGAACCAGACTACCTGGACTCAAATACTTGCTGTACTGCTTGATAGCTTTGTTGTCTTAGGAAATTTAATTAACCTCTCTGTTTCTTGGTTTCCACATCTCTAAAATGACAATAAAAATAGCACCTCCTTCATAGGATTGTTGTGAGAATTAAATGAGATAATCCCTATGCTACCATGTATTATTATGTTTTTATGTACATGTACTGTTTTCGTAACTAGATTGTAGCACATACCATTGAGAGAAGGAACTGTGCCCTATTTATCTTTGGAGTCAATGTCCATGGACATATGCTGTTGAGTATGAGGAAACTTAAAGTAATATTTTTCTTTAATACATAGATTTTCAAAGGCTACCAAAGGTGGTTTTAGTTGACATTTTCTATTTAGACTAAAAGTAGGTCCGTGAAATGGGTCATCTGCCACTCTAGCTTTATAAAGCAAAACCAGACAGTTCTCATATAATAATGGGTGTCTTAACTACACTTATAATCCAATGTGCAGCATAAAGTTTTTGCCTTTATTTTGAAGAAATCCCAAAAGATGAAAGTGATTTTTGCAAAGTAAAGGATTTCTGCTGTAGCTATGGTATTGTATGGGACTTTTAGGCTTGCTTTCTAAAGAGTCTTTTTCTGGAGAGCATGTAATTGGCCACATTTGGATCCATCCTGATTTGTTGCCTAGCGATGGCCAAAGGAAGTCACCCTATGGTGAACCACAAGTCTGTTTGCCATTTTGGTTTCACACAAAGTGGCTTTGTAGCAATGTTTAGCAAAAACAACACAGTGCTCATTCGATCTCAAAACAGTTACATTGGGAGGATTCTATATTCTGATTCCCTGGTTTGCTCTGGGGCGCCCTAGGACCACTGTAAGATTTGGTTTAAGAAAGGGTCCAGTGACTCCAATAAAACCCCCTAGTTACTTAGCATCACTCTCTACAAATCTGGGTTTTTCAGAAACTCCAGGGGGAACTGATGATTCTGTATACCCCTTCAAGATTTCCTAACTGGCTTCAGGGGTCTGGACTCAATTAGAGTCTACTCTCTTATCAACTCGTATCCTTCAGGCTCTTTGACAGCCTTACTCTCCATATACCTTGGATTAGTTTTCTAGGGCTTCTGTTACAAAATACCACAAAGTAGGTGGCTTAAAATAACATAAAAGTATTGTCTCACAATTCTGAAGGCTAGAAGTCTGAAAGTGTCAGCAGGATTGCATTCCCTCTGAAACCCCTAAGGGAAATTCTTCCTTGCCGCTGTTTTAGCTTTTGGTGGTTGGCTGGCAATTTTGGCATTCTGTGGCTTGTACATGCATCACTCCAATCCTTTGTCTTCACATAGTATTCTCCCTGTGTGTCAGTCACATCATCTTCTCTCTGTTGCATATCTGTCTGTGTCCAAATTTCCCCTTTTTATAAGGACATATATTATAAAATCATATTGGATTAGGGCCCATACTAATGACCTCTTTATGGATTATCACTGTAAAAACCCTATTTTCAAATAAGGTCACACTCTGAGAATGTGCCTGGGAATTAGGACTTTAATATATCTTTTTTGGGGGGATGGGGTGGAGAAGAACACCTCAACCCATAACATACCTGCTTCTTGTTGTTTTGGTTTGTTTTTTAAAATTCACCAGATTTCAGTTCCCTGGCCCTTCCATGTTGTTCTAGTCAATTAACCCTTATCTGTCTTTAATTCTTTCCTGATCTAGACTAGACCTGTGGTACATTATTCAATGACTCTATCCCCGTTATACTTCCATTCCACTTTCCAGAAAAACTCTAACCCTGGGTCAATTCGATTGCACCTGCCTTCTTTGTGCCTTCTTACTCTAGAGTTGCTGAGTGCTGCAAGAGGAAATCCTGCCACCATGTGGATGGGTGCCAGCCACTACACATTCATGATCTCCAATTCCAACTCAGTCCTTGGATGCTGTCCAGGGTCCTCCAGAGATACAGAAACAATAGGAGGGGTGTGTGTGCGTGTGTGTGTGTGTGTGTGTGTGTGTGTGTCAGGGATTTTAAAGATTGTCTAAAAATCTGTGGGGGCTGGAAAATCTAAATTCTGTAGGACAGACCAACAGGCTGGAGACCCAGAGAAGAATTGAGACAAGTTGATACATAAGATTAATCACCATATACCCTCATGCTCCACAAGAACTATTTGAAACATTCTCTACTCTTGTTAACCTTCAGTCATAGTAAAAAGGACTTTGATTCCTACTCTTCAGGGAAAATGGCCATTTTCAGTCAGGAAGTCCCTCACCTTTCTGCCTTCATGCCATTAAAAACCCACCCACCCCAGCCGTGATCCTTGCCTCCTCTCTTCCTGGCACAGAGGAAGGGAAGTCACTCCTAAACCCAGTCTCCCCATCTGTACTCTGGGTTTTAATTATCACTGCATTTTCAGAACCTATATGGTGTAAGGAATATGGTGGTCCTTCCTTAAGCATATGTTGAACGACTGAATGAATCCCTTCCTAAGCCCTTTCTTTCATTCTCCCCTCTTTCCCTCTATCCTCAACCTCTCCTTCCACTCTTTAATATTTCTCTGTAGTATTTAAACAAACTGAAGTCTTTACTACTATGGAATTGGCAACCTTGACCATGTTTCTTCTTTGCAAAATAAAAATTGTATAAAAATTGTATATATTTAAGATGTACAGTGGGATTATTTGATATATGTATACATTGTGAAATGATTACCACAATCAAGCTCATTAACATACTCTTCACCTCACATATTTACCCCTTCTTTTATATGTGGTGAGAACATTTAAGATTTATTCTCTTAGCACATTTTAAGTATACAATACATTTTTTGTTGTAGAAACGAAGTCTTACTATGTTGCTCAAGCTGGACTTGAATTCCTGGGCTCAAGGGATCCTTCCATCTCAGCTTCCCAAGTAGCTGGGACTACAGGCATGTGTCACCACACCCAGATTACAACTTATTATTATTAACTGTAGTCACCATGCTGAAGTGTTGATGGGGAGAGGAGAGGGAAAAGTGTTATGGGAGCACTTAAAAGGAAACATTTAGTTCTACCTATTGGAAAGGAGAGAATCAAAGAAAATAGAGACAGTGAGAGTTTGATTGTGTTGTAGACATCTATGTATTGTGCCTGCACCTAACACTCTCCTGGGCACATGGAAAGCACCCAGCAGTTGATTGTTAGTTCACCATTCTGTCTCTTCATCAGCTAGGCCATTTAACAGATTCATTTTGGCCAAGGAATGCTGTATTAGTTATGCTGTGGTAGCAACACTAAAAATCTCACTGTCTGACTACAACAAAATTTAATTTCTTGCTCTCATAAAATCCATTGCAAGTCCAGGTGACACTCTGAGGCAGCTTTCCTTCATGTGGTGACTCAGTGGTGCCAGTTGCTTTGATTTTGTGGCACCCGAAATCTCTATACATGCTTCCATAATCACTTCAGGCATGGGAAGAAAGAGTGGAGGGTCTCACTCAGACAATTAAATAACGTAATCATAAAATGTATCACTTTATCTCACAATTCATTGGCCAGAATAAGTCACATGGTCTGTCTCAATAGCAAAAGAGAATGGGGGAAGTGGAATCCCTCAGTGTGCTCAGAAGGAGGAGAACCAACTAGACTAACATTAGCTAAGTGAATGCTAAATTTCACTTAAATAGATTTATTTATGCTATGGACTAAACGTTTGTGTCACTCCCCAAATTCATATATTGAAATCTAATCACCAAGGTGATTATATTAAAAGGTCCTTGGGGTTGATTAGGTCATGAAGGATCTGCCCTCCTGACTGGCATTACTGGCCTTATAAATGAGGCCCCAGAGAGCTGCTGTGCTGCTTGCACCATGTGTGAAGACGTATAGAAGGCACTATCTATGAGGAACAGGCTCTTACCAGAAAGCAAATTTGCTGGTGCCTTGATCTTGGACCTCCCAGCCTCCAGGACTGTGAGCAATAAATTTCTACTCTTTATAAATTACACAAAATACTTTGGTTGGTGCAAAATACTTTAGGCTGGTGCAAAAGTAATTGCGGTTTTGGACCATGAATTTTGAATCATTATAACTAGGCTCAAACACATCTTTATTAATCAAAATAGGAACCATTACAATTGATATAGGATTTAAGAAGAAATTACTTAGGTAGATAGTAAGGGTATGGGAGTCCCCAATAAGGCTTTTCTTTTTAATGAAAAGCAGCCCCAAATTATTTTCCTTTCTAATGAAGAGCAGCCTGTAAAATTAAGCTGCAGACACAGATACCAGCAGTTGTGCCAATCATGTTCAAGACGGCAGCTCCATCTCCCCTTCTGTCAGCCACTGGTGTACAGTAAGAAGCAGACAAGATGGCACCGATCAACTGGAATACCCATTTGCATAATAAGATTAGGGTGGGGCGACCCTTCTCCCACGCACTATGTAGACGTCATAACTGATTGAACCAATCTGTGAGAGCTATGTAAATCAGACACTGCCTCCTCAAACTGGACTATAAAACTCAGCGCATTCGCATCAGCAGTCCTTTTTTTTTTCCTCTTGGAGACCCTCTTTTGGGCTTTCTCAACATGAGGAAGCTTTCTCTCTCTTTTCTTCTTTTTCTGTTAAACTTTCTGCTCCAAAACCCACTCCTCTTGTGTGTCTGTGTCCTGAATTCCTTCTCTACTGAGACCAAGAGCTAGGGTATATACCCTAGACAATGGAGCTGTTTCACAATCAACACATTTTTGCCAAAGAGAAATAAGTTTGTCTATTCCTGTAGCATAAAAATCCATGCTTTGGGATTCGATGAACTCTTGGAAAGTATTTTCTGCCTCCTGCTGGTTGTGGAAGCATTTTCCCTGCAAAAAGTTGTCGAGATGCTTAAAGAAGTGGTAGTCAGTTGGCAAGAGGTCAGGTGAATATGGCGGATGAGACAAAACTTTGTAGCCCAATCTGTTCAACTTTTGAAGCATTGGTTGTGCAACCTGTGGTCGGGCATTGTCATGGAGAAGAACTGGGCCCTTTCTGTTTACCAGTGCTGGCTGCCATCATTGCAGTTTTTGGTGCATCTCATCAATTTGCTGAGCACACTTCTCAGATGTAATGGTTTCGCTGGGATTCAGAAAGCTGTAGTGGATTAGACAGGCAGCAGACCACCAAACAGTGACCGTGACCTTTTTATGATGCAAATTTGGCTTTGTGAAGTGCTGTGGAGCTTCTTCTCCATCCAACCACTGAGCTGGTGGTTGCTGGCTGTTGTATAAAATCCACTTTTCTTTGCATGTCACAATCCAATTGAGGAATGGTTCATTGTTGTTGTTATGTAAAATAAGACAATACTTCAAAACGACGATTTAAAAATTTTCGGTCAGCTCATGAGGCAACCACTTACAGAGCTTTTTCACTTTTCCAATTTGCCTCAAATGCCAAACGACTGTAGAATGGTCGACGTTGAGTTCTTCAGCAACTTTTCGTGTAGTTGTAAGCGATCAGCTTCTATGATTGCTCTCAATTGGTTGTTGCCAACTTCTGATGGCCAGCCACTAAGTTCCTCATCTTCAAGTCTCTCGTCTCCTTGGACCACCACCACACTGCACGTTCGTTAACAGTTCCTGGGCCAAATGTATTTTTGGTGTTGTGAGTTGCCTCTGTTGCTTTACAACCCATTTTGAACTCGAATGAGAAAATCGCTCAAATTTGCTTTTTGTGTAACATCATTTCTATAGCCTAAAATAAACAGCAAGTAATAAGACATTAGCAAAAATAAATAAATAAATAATAAAAATAAACCGAGGGCCCATTAAAATGATGTCTAACATAACCATATTATTTAAGAATGTATTCCAATATTAAACCGCAATTTCCAACAATGCAAAAACCACAATTACATTTGCACCAACCTAATATTTTATTATAGCAGCCCAAACAGACTAAGTCAATTCATGATTATTTGTGCTAAGTCAGTCTGTTAGCTATTGTGTTGACAGAGGCAACTACTCAAATATTTGGGCTTAGATGCTTTTGTTACAGTTGTTTTCCCTGACTGGAAACTATGCCATCACCTGTTTAGTGTATTGAGCCAACAATACTGTCATCTGGCGAAACGATTACATTACTTTGAGCCACTGTATTATCGATGATGTCACCATTTGGAAAATGTGGTTTGTATATGTTGCGAATGAAACAAGACAAACAGCCAAGTGACAGATCCAGGACAGATCTACTATGCTCTGTAGGTCTTTCTTATCAGATGAAGATTTTCTTCATTTGTATCCTTTGATGGGCGATTCAGCTATTTCCTTGAATTAGGTTGTCGTGCAACTTAAGTCACATCCATTATCCAGCTCTATCTATATTTCCTATATACAAACTCTATGAAGTTATATACCAAACGTACATCTGGTGTGTGTTCCCAGAATGAGTGTCTAACATGCCAGGCCCTGAAAAATGACCCTAAAAACCTTTTGAGAATATATGCAGGTTATATGGAAGAATGAGAGAGGCCAATTAGCATTAGCTTCCTAATTCACCCCAAATATGGATGCTTAATGTATATTGATTATTGGAAAAATAAGATATCCTTTTTTTGTCTATCCTAGTATGAAAAGTGTAAAAGTTTGATAGTATTAAAGAGGGTGTGAACAAGCCAGCACACTCTGGCTGAAAGTATAAATTGGTATGATATTTTCAAAGGGCAATTTGGTAGTATCTGTCAATTTGGTGGTATCTGGTAAAAGACGACTCATAAGACCCAGTGATGCAACATTTATAGTGCCAGACATTTTTCCTGTAGAAACATCTCCACAAATGTGCAAAGATTTATGTATAAATATATTTATTGCATCATTGCTTATAATAGAAAAAAAATGAAAAGAACTCATATGTCTATCCTTAGAGGAACTGAGAAAAATACACAAAGGTGCATTTTAAAAAATTAGGTGGATCTACATGTACTGATACGCAAAGACAATTTGTGCTGTATAAGTCATTTAATAAAGCAAACTAAAAACAGTATGAATCATTTGTTTAAAAAAATAGTTCTGTAATGTTAGAAAATTTTGGAATCAGTAAATGATATTAAGTTAGAAAAAAGGTAAAACTTTTCTCCAAGAAAACAATATATTTTTATATATGTACTTTATATATGTACATATATACACATATAAAATACATATATACTTTATATATCTATTTTTATATATGTATAAATATTTTTATATATAATAAAACTGTTTGAATAAAAGCTGACTTCTGAGAAAGTCCTGATCTACTCTGTAACTCAGGAAATAGATTTGGCAGCTCTTAATGTGACCAGACAAGTGTAGCAGAGTGGAGCTTAGCAAAAGGCTCTGAGCAATTAAAGCTGCAGAATAATTGACCAGGTGCGGTGGCTCATGCCTGTAATCCCAGCACTTTGGGACGCCGAGGAAGGAGGATTGCTTGAGCCCAGGAGTTCAAGACCAGCCTGGGCAACATAGTAAGACCCTGTGAAGAAAAAAGCTGCAGAATAATTACCAGCCATCAGAGCTTCTGATGGAACCCACTCCTCTGTACTGTCGTCTTTGATCTGCTCTCAAGCCCTAATCCAAATGCTTAGCGCTTTTGGTACAAGAGTACAGTTCTGATGAGATGACTCTCTTTAAAACCATCCTTGGCTACCTACAGAATAAATCCAAATCATTTAGTGTGGCATTCAGGGCCCTATGCTATTTTCCAATTGTAAATCTCAACCCAATCAAAAGGCCTGTACAGCATAATGTTTAAGAGTTCAGGTTTTAGAGTGGGGATGGTTAATGGGTCCAAAAACATAGATATAATGAATAAGATCTAGCATTTGGTAGCACAGCAGAGTGACTACAGCCAACAATAATTTATTGTATATTTTTAAATAACTAAGAGTGGAACTGGAATGTTCCCAACACAAAGAAATGATAAATCCTTGAGGTGATGGATGCCCCAATTACTTTGATGTGATTAGTACACACTGTATGCCTGTATCAAAATGTCACATGTACCCCATAAATATATACAACTTTTTTCTCATTAGAAGATTTTATTTCTTTTTTTTAATCTTTTTTTTGATTTGTTTGTTTGTTTGTTTGTTTGTTTTGGAGACGGAGTTTCACTCTTGTTGCCCAGGCTGGCATGCAATGGCAAAATCTGGGCGCACTGCAACCTCCACCTCCCGGGTTCAAGTGATTCTCCTGCCTCAGCCTCCCAAGTAGCGGGGATTACAGGCACCCGCCACCATGCCCAGCTAATTTTTTTACTTTTAGTACAGAAGGGGTTTTGCCATGTTGACCAAGCTAGTCTTGAACTCCTGACCTCAGGTGATCCACCTGCCTCGGCCTCCCAAAGTGCTGGAATTATAGGCGTGAGCCACTGAGCCTGGCCTTATCTTTAAATTATTATTTTATTTTATTTTATTTTATTTTATTTTATTTTATTTTATTTTATGTTCCAGGATACATGTGCAGGATGCACCGGCTTGTTACATAGGTAAACGCGTGCCATGGATATACACCTATTTTTTTTTTTTTAATTAAGAGTTCAGGCTTTAAATGCTTAGCCAGATCTAGGATTGAGTGCTCTGCCTTATCACCATTTCAACGAATCTTAAACTATTTGTCCTTTGAAGCCAAATTCACCAATCTTTTCTCCATACCCCCTTCTTCCCAGATCCCTGTGAGAAAGCATGAAACTGTCCTTTCCCTGAACTCCCACATGGTTGTGTCTATACTGCTCTCAAGGCACTTGCACTTTTTTACTAAGTAATTTTTTGTTTGTTTTTTGTGACTTCCGTACTAAAATGTCAGGCCCATGAGAGTGGGACTCCACCGCCATCCCCATAGCACCCAGCATATTGCTTGCACATGCCAGGCTGATAGTAAATATTTGTGGAATTAAATGAATAAATGAATGAATGCATTTCCTTTTTGCAACAGTCTCAACAATTTACATATGCTACCAGCAAGTGGCAGTAGTCTCCTTTGGCTGTTCTGCCATTCAGCAAGCTGCTGCTCATTAGAGCCTAAAATCATTCTACAAGTAATGCAATTCCCAGTTTTAGATAGTTTGGCAGAGCTGAAAGTGCTGAAATCAGAATCTAGTAATTTGAGCTTTTAGCCCCAGATCTGCCACTGACAAGATATGTGACTTTCAAATCAGTCCTTTACTTTCTGGATATTTTTCTGCATCTGCAAAATGAAGGATGGGATGATTTCCAGAGTTTGACATTCTGTGATTTTCATACCCTGCAAACTCAAGATAATGAGAGCTATGGATTCTTGGCTTGTTGCCATCGTCATTTTTTATCTCTTGTAGAATGTACTTAAGATAAGGTCATGGACAGAGGTATTTCCTTAGAAATTCTCTCTAAATGATCTTTCCTTGTTTGGATGTAATGGAAGATCACCAGGGCCTAACCATCCCTCCCTGACTAGTGTTAACTCTCACGACGAAAACAGGTAGTGATTCTTAGAAGTGAAGAAAGACGAGGATTAGGGGAGGAGGTTCAGTTCAAGAACCATGGGATCAGGCAATGTGGGAAGGCTGGGAATCTGCTGATTTGATTCCCAGAAGGATCTCTACTGTATCTGTTTCGAAACCTCTGTTTTGATTCTGCATGAATGTGTTTTTAAAATTATATTCTGGGGAAAAGGAGTAATTACTTTTTATAATTACTATGGTAATTTAACTATTTAATGTTTTTAAACCACAGTTCTATTTTCATCAATAAAATACTGTCCCTAAAACACTATTGGAGAGTGGACGGCTCTCGTAATATAATGCTAAGTGAAATAAACCAGATTAAACTTCTATAGACAATATGATCCATTGTGTTTAATTGTAACATATACACATAGAAAAGGAGAGAAGGCTCCCTATCAAGGATAGGAAGCAGGAAGCCAGACACTGGAGCAAAACGGCACACATTTTAGAACCCAGGGTAACTTCAGGTAAGCATCAGGAGAGAAAAAGTCTTGCTGTGTAGGTCGGGTTTTAAAGGCAAGAAGGGACAAAGGGCTGCCACGTTATTTAGAAAAAAAAAAAAGATGCACGTAATTGAGGTTCTGTATTTGATTAACAAATATAATGGATATCACATTCAAAGTTTTGTTACTTAGATGTAACAAAGGTAAATATTATTTTGATAAAGAGTTGAACTTGGTGTAGAAGTCTGGTTCTAGCTACAAGAAAATATCTTCACTCTTTTCTTATTACCTTGTGGCAGAGAGTGCAAATTACTGGAACAAAGAGTAAATTTGGAATAAGGATCTCCTCTGAGAGGGAAACTAATAGGGAAATAAAAATGTTTTCTAGTTACAAGAAACAACTGATTTAACTTTACCTTAACCAATGATATCAATGCATCTTAAGTATGCAGGAGAGACAGACAGAAAGTTTTCTGTGCATGTGCAGCACTGTCTAGGAGAAAGAAACAATCTCGTAATGTAATGCTAAGTGAAATAAATGAGATTAAACTTCTATAGACAATATCATCCATTGTGTTTAATTGTAATGTATACACATAGAAAAATTAGTGGAAAAAAACATACAAAATATGTTCACAGTGTTTATGATGGAATTTTACATAACAGGCAATTTTACTTTTCTTCCGTATAATTTTCTTTAACTTTTGAATTCTCTGTGGAACTAATAGAACGTTTACAATGTAAAAAGTAAAACTGATATCAAGGCTTATTATGTTAATAGTGAAAAAGGCAGGTATGGCTAAGTTTCTCTGGATCCTTGAAGCCCATCTTGCTGCCCATACTCCAACAGATTCCCAAGGGTAGGATATAATCACAAAGACGCCTCAGGAAAGAGCCTACTTATTGCTGAATCGCTTAAAGTATTAGGTTGGTGCAAAAGTGATCACGGTTTTTGCCATTAAAAGTAATAGCAAAATCACTTTTGCACCAACCTAATAGTTACTTACCTTGGTAAACTGGCCTGCTGTGTGTGAGGTGAAAGGACCCTTTTTTCCCCTTGAGCTTAAATGAGCTTAGATGAGAAGTAAAGCCTAAGCAGGTACAAGACAGATGTTTTTTTTTTTTTCTCCTTGGCCCACCCTGGTTTCCTTTTTGGGTAAGGTCAAGGCAGCCTGCTTATAAAGAGGAGACCACCCTGGCCTGTCTTGTCATACCAACCACATGAGTTGCAGGGGCAGGGGAGATCACAGAATGGAGAGAACTTGCACTGCACTGAAGAGGTTAGCCCTAGTCCTGTTCTAACTAAAATCACCTGACTCTTCCCGGAGAAAGCTCTAACACCTAGTAGGGGAGGACATGGGAGAAGCCTGGCCTTCTCCTAAAGCAGGGATTCCCAAACTTTGACGATGACCCCAGTACACACATACCACACACTCCCACACACACACCTGAAGTAAAACTTTCACAAAAAATACGTAATCCTCAGGGCTGGCTTCCTAGGCTTGTGGCCTGTTATAGTAGCACAGGGCCACACGCTCAGAAGAGCCGCATAGTTGGTTTAGTGTTCTACTACCACTGTCTAGGAATCTTTAATAATTTTATTTTTGAACTTGTGTTTTGTAAATGAAGTCAAATGCAACAGTGGAGCACGCACATGAGCAGAGTAGATGCGGAAAATGTGTGTTTCTTGTTCCCTCATTTACATACAGTGTTTGTGATGCCCCCAGAGAACACAACTGCAGTGAACTGGCAGTGCTTGGGAGTTCAGCAAGTCTCAAAGGGAGAAGAAGATGTGTTCCCTCTACAACTAAGGCGGGGTGGAGTAGGGTAGTGACAGACCAAAGAGGTCATGCTTACCTTTTGAACAAGATCTTGTTTCATAGACAGAAAGAATTCAATGCAATGGGATTCTAAGAAATATGAAAACCGGCCAGGCGCAGTGGTTCACACCTGTAATCCCAACACTTTGGGAGGCCAAGGTGGGTGGATCACGAGGTCAGGAGATCGAGACCATTCTGGCTAACACAGTGAAACCCTGTCTCTACTAAAAATACAAAACATTAGCCAGGCGTGGTGGCGGGCGCCTGTAGTCCCAGCTACTCGGGAGGCTGAGGCAGGAGAATGGTGTGAACCCAGGAGGTGGAGCTTGCAGTGAGCCGAGATCGCACCACTGCACTCCAGCCTGGGCCACAGAGCAAGACTCCGTCTCAAAAAAAAAAAAAAAAAAAAAAAAAAAAGTAATATGAAGAACCCTATTATATCCTATGGTGTTACTTTCCTGTATTAGCCAACCAGTTATGCTGAAGATGATGACATAGAAAAAAAGGGAGAAGATACATCAACCCTTTCTCTTTCATCATGCCTTACTCACCAGTAAACCAAAGGCAGAGACTATTTTTAGTATGTGTAGTATGTGCATGTATCGGAAGTGAAACAAAAACACTTCAATTCATTTTGTGCAGTGTTTCCACTGTTCTGGTAAAAGCTACAAAATATAAACTGTGTAGTTTTGGTGATTCTGCATGTAAGTTAAGTGCTTTTATATTTGTGTCTTTGAACTGGCCTTGCCTAATAAAGATTAACAGTAAATTTTATGTTAATAATTTAATTTTTTTTTTTTTTTACTTAGGGTTGGAATAAATAGCAAATAAAAATACACTGTGGCAGTCAGGCGCAGTGGGTCTCGCTTGTAATCCCAGCACTTGGGGAGACCGAGGTGGGCAGATTCCTTGAGTTCTGGAGTTCAAGACCTGCCTGGGAAACATGGTGAAACATGTCTGCACAAAAATTAAAAAATTAGCTGGGCATGGTGTGCACCTGTAGTCCCAGCTACTCGGGAGGCTGAGGTGGGAGGATCGCTGAAGCTCAGGAGTTCAAGGCTGCAGTGAGCCGTGATTGTCCCACTGCATTCCAGCTTGGGCGACAGAGTGAGACCCTGTCTCAAAAAAAAAAAAAAAATCCCCAATATGGCTGGCAAGTCAAGACAGAGACTGCAGAAAAAAGAAAAAAGCTTTATATTTGAGTCCCTCTAGCAACAGTATTTTCTGCCTTTTAATCAAGGAGCCCCATATTTCTATTTTGTGGTGAGCCCCAAAAATTATTTAGCTGGTCCTGCCTATAAGGTATGAGATCCATAATACTTTCTACTCTGGTCTTCTCTGTTTTTAAGTGTTACTCATGGATACAAACACATAGAAATGATAAATACTTAAGGTGATGGATACCCCAAATACCCTGGCTTGATCATTACACGTTCTATGCCTGTGGCAAACAGTCACATGTACCCTATAAATATGTAACACATTATGTATCAGTAAAAGAAAAAAGCCAAGCGTGATGGCTCACGCCTGTAATCCCAGCACATTGGGAGGCCAAGGCAGGTGGATCTCTTGAGCCCGGCAGTTACAGACCAGCCTGGGCAACATGGTGAAATCCCGTCTCTACAAAAAATACAAAAATTAACCAGGAGCACACCTATGGTCCCAGCTACTTGGAAGGCTGAGGTGGGAGGATTGCTTGAACCTGGGAGGTTGAGGCTGCAGTGAGCTGTGATCATGCCACTGAACTCTAGACTAGACAACAGAGCAAGACCCTGTCTCAAAAAAAAAAAAAAAAAAAAGGAAATGGAAAAAACTATAACACATGTAAATACACGAAGAACACAAGAAATAATAATTAATAATGTCATAAAAATAATGCTATCTTTAGTAATCCATATTACTTTAGAATGGTCTAGTCCATGAGTGTGTGAAATAAAAGGAGTCATGTAAATTGGGTTAAAAAATGTTGCTCATGATCCACTAAATTGATTTCATGACCCTTAATGGGTTGTGACAGGCAGTTGGCAGAACCCTGCCCTAGAGGTTAGAGTGCATGGTTAACATTTCCCCAAACATTTTCTCTTCAACTAAACCAAAGTGCTTAGCAGCCAGATCTGGGGTCAGTCAAAGGTGATTTCACTTCCCCTTGAGGGAGACAATTAGAGGTATAAGGAAAGTCCTACCAGCACCTTCGAAAGGCTGCTTGACTAATTATTGTCATGGCTGCTAGAACCAATGAGATGGCTAATTTGGTCCCTCAAGGCCTTATACAAATGTCTCTTTGATCTTACCTCAGAAGTCTCTGTAACCCATCAAAGTAATACTTCAATTAAGTTTATCCCAAGGCTATCCCACGTACTGGGTCAGGAAGTCACCCCCTATTCAATTTCTCATCTAAAATTATGCTCAACTCAGTTATCCAAATAGGGTCACCAGACAGGATTATACAAGGCACGCTAAATATTAACATCCCACAGAGGAAGCTGCATTTCTAACAAAATTAATACTGTGATGGTTCAGAGCATGAGCTTAGAAGTCAATTAGATCAGATACTAATCCTAGCTCTGTCCCTCTCTTGGGCATGTAACTTAACTTTTCTGGGTATTGTTTTACTCATCTGTAAAATGGGAATATTCATATCTATAGTGTTGCTGTAAGGATTGATGTTTGCAAAGTGCCTAATAGCACTTAGTAACTTATAGCTGTTATTATTGCTGCTGTCTTTTCCAACAGAGATATTTAAGTAAAATTATCTAAAAAACATCTTCCTTATACGATTCTGTTTCTGTACTGTTCTGTCCAGCCAGAAGGGTCTTCCTTCAGTACCTGGTTCAGTGATTCTCAACTGGAGGCACTTTGCACACTGGGTGATATTTGACAATGTCTAAAGATGTTTTGGTTGTCATGACACGGGGTGAAGGGTGCCACTAGCATCAAGTGGATAGAGGCCAGGGATGCCATTAAACATCCTACAGTGCACAGCACCCCTTACCCCAGATACACACACAACAAAGAATTATACAGTCCAAAATGTCAAAAGAGCCAAGGTTGAGAAACCCTGCCTTGGTTGAAGCCTGGACCAGCATCTATTAGAAAGTGCATAGCTCCTTCAACACCTCCAAAATTGTTTTTTTCTGATTTTGAACAATTAAATTTTAGATTTTGTGATAATTTAGTCAGACCTGGCCTAAATTTGTCATCATGAAATTTCTAGGCAAATAATTAATAAACAAGATATATGTGTGTGTGTATCTGTGTCTATGTGTGTATATTAGTATAGTGGTGAGGGGTGATGGTGAGAAGTACTTCCTTGAAAGAATTAAGCAATTTTAAGTACTCCAGGAATAAATTACAAATGAATTTTGTCCACCCGTACAATGGAAATCCTATAGGAATCTCTATTAATCTACCTTTTAACCTACTTTAAATTACTGAGTGATTACATGAAATGAAACTGGTGCAAAATTCAACACCTCCAAAATTATATTACTCCAACCCCGTGACTCCTATCTTTCAAAGTTCCCAGAGCTATCACACTATATGGAACGACCAGGGAAAATTTTGATCCATTCATACTACAGAATATGATGCAATCATAAAAGGAATGAGAACGTTAGCATAATAGCTAATATTAATTCAGCATTCACGTGCTTTACATTCAGGATCTCATTTGGTTCCTATGGCATTATGAGGTAGATTCTATTATGATCACCACCACCTCCCACACAGTTTTACAGATAAGGAAACTGGAGGTGGAAGAGGTAAGGTGACAAGTAATTGAGGTTAGTTTCTTGAAACTTGAGAGTTTATTTTTGTTAACCAAAGATAAATAATTGCAGTATGGTGTAAGTCAATTGGGAGAAACAGATTCAACTGGCTTAATATAATTTTAAAGGCCTATATTTCTTCACTTGTGATTTACTTGCTTTAAGATCTTATTTTGAATAGACAGAAACTCTTCTTATTGAATTTCTCATTATTTTGATTTTTTATATATTCACTGGGGAACCATCAGTGCAGGCACCATGGAATGTAATTGAGATATTAAATCCAAGCTAAACATTTGAATACTTATCCTCAAATTATAATGCAGTGCTTCTCAAAGTGTGGTCTATGGACCCATACAATCCCTTGAGACAGTCTCAGGGGGTCCACAAAGTCAAAACTAATATAATATCAAAATATTATTCACTTTTTTCACTATGTTGAAGTTTGCACAGATAGTGCAAAAGCAATGGTGAGTAAAACTGCCAGCCCCTTAGAATGAATCAAGGCAGTGGAACTAAACCACTAACTTGTAGTGGTTTTTGTAGTCTTCAATAACACATTTTATTGTAGTCTTCGATACCACATACTCAGAGGGAAAAAAAGCAGTTTCATTTAAGAATGCCTTTGGAGAAAGAGCAAAAATTATTATTTTTATTAAATCCTTTTATATTGCATAGTAACGAAATGAGAAGTATGCATAACGTAGTTCCACTTTGCAATAAAGTATAGTGGTTGTTTCAGTGGAAAGCACTTGTCTAGTTGTTTGAGTTGAAAGATAAACGTAAAACATTCATTGATATGACTTCACATTCCACATTGCAACTAAACTTTAAGAACTACCAAGCCAAATGACTTCACTGGTGAATTCTACTACTCACTTAAATGTAAATAATAGTAAAACTATATAAACTCTTCCAAAAAGTTGGAGACAATAGAATACCTCTCAACTCATTCTTTGAGGCCTACATTTATCTGACACCAAAACTATGAAAAGAAATTACAAGAAAAGAAAAGGTCTGTGGTTACAAACTAATATCCCTTATAAACTTCGATGCAAAAATTCTTAACAAAATCTCAGAAAATCAAATCCAACAAGATATATTTAAAAAGTGAATACATTGATATCAAGTGTCATTTATGCCAGGGAGGCAAAGTTGGTTTAACATTCGGAAATTAATTCAGTTCACCATATTAATGGATTAAAAAACTAAAAACATATCATTTTCTCAATAGACTTAAGGAAATACTACATCTATTCCCAATTAAAAACAAACCTCTCAGCAAACTAGGAATAAAAAGGAACTTTCCGGACATAAAGGGCACTTACAAAAAAACCTACATATACCATCATATTTAATTAGGAAAAATTAGAGTTTTTCCTCTTAAGATCAAGAACAAAGCAAGGACGTGTGCTCTCACCACTTCTATCCAACAATGTACTGGACATTCAAACCAGTGCACTAAGGCAGGAAAAGAAAAAGCATCCAGATCAGAAAGGAAGAAATTAAACTATCTTTATTTTCAGAAGAAATGATGGAGAAAATCCAGTGTAATCTACAAAGAAGTTACTAAAACTAAGAAGTGAGTTTAGCTTAGTTGCAGGATATAAGATCATTATACAATGTTTTTCTATACTAGGAATGAACAATCAGGAATTAAAATTTAAAATATTATTTATAGTAGCATCAAAAGTATGAAACACTTAGGGATAAATTTGACAAAAAAACGCAAGAGCTGTACACCAAAAACTACAAAACATTGCTGAGATAAATTTTAAAAGACTTAATTAAAGAGGGGAAGAGTGTTTATCACTTGGAAGAATAAATACTGTTAAGATGTCAATCTTCCCCAAATTGATCTGCATATTCAGGGCAACTCTAGACAAAATCTTAACATGCATTTTTATAGAAATTAACAAGCTTGTTCTAAAATTTATATGGAAATGCAAAGGACTCAAAGTAACCAAAACAATTTTGAAAAGAAAAACAAAGCTGGAAGACTTACACTACAGACCGGCCTGCCCCTACATCATCCTGGAGCCTGAGGACAGGCATGCCCCACCTCTGCCACCACCAGTGCTTTTGCATGTCATCTGGGGGCCTGGGGATCACCTGGCCCCATTCACCACAGCTGGCACTTGCATACACGATTGAGATTCCTGTGGGCAGACCTGCACCACCTGCCACTCTATGCAGTTCCCTATACTAGGCTCAAGGCCCATGAATGCCAAGGGGCTCTCCCATGGCTAGGATTGCAGGAATTTATGGTGGTAATGTGTACCCCTGAGGATATCTTGCTTACCTTTTTCCCATGATAGGGAATTTCTCCTGGTTCTGAGCCTATTTTGGTTGAGCCAGCTGCTTTGCCTCCCTCTCTTTCTCAGAGGGTCCCTGTCCCTTCCCTGCGGAATTCCAGTGTTCTCTCTTAGAAGCTCTATTTAACACGTGGTTATCTACTCCTGTTTTGGTTTTTCTTTGTGGAGGAGGCGATTACCAGGTGCCTCTAGTCAGCCATCTTGAAGCCCCCAATCCAATTTCTTAAATGGCAAAATATTTTAACAGACACTTTACCAAAGAATATATATGGATAACAAATAAATACATAAAAATTTCTCAATATCATTATTCATTAACTAAAATCATCATTAATTTTAAATTAAAATAATGAATACTACAACACATTCATTAGAATGGCTAAAATTATAAAAATGTATCATTCTAAATGTTGGTGAGGATTTAGGGCAACTGGAACTCATACACTGTTGGTGGGACTTTAAAATGGCATAACTACTTTGGAAAACAGTTTTACAGTTTCTTAAAAACTTAAACATATACCTACCATATGACCTAATCATTCACTCCTAAGTATTTACTTAAGAAAAATGAAAACATATGTTCATATAAAGACTTGTACATGAAGTCTTTATTTATGTGCAACTTTCTTTGTAATATTTCCAAACTGGAAACCACCCAAATGTCCATGAACAGGTGATTGGATAATTAAATTGTTGTATGTTCTTAAAATTGAATACTGCTTGGCAGTAGAAGGGAATTAACTATTAATACATGCAACAGCATATTATGAATCTCAAAATAATTATGCTGAGTGAAAGAAGACAAACAAGAAAGAGTTTAACTATTGATTCATTTTGTACAAAATTCAAGAAAGTGCAAATGAATCTATAGTTACAGAAATGAATCTATAGTTACAGAAAGTATATCAGTGGTTTCCTGGAACAGTTGGGGAGCTGAGAGGGTCAGAAGGGAGTCATAAGGGTTATAAAGGGTCATAAGGATAAAGGGTCATAAAGTTATAAAGGGTCATAAAGAAACTTTGGCGGATGCTGGATATGCTCATTGTCTTGATTGTGGCAATGGGAGCCCCAAGAGGGTGGATCGGGAGGTCAGGAGTTCAAGACCAGCCGGGCACGGTGGCTCATGCCTATAATTCCAGCACTTTGGGAGGCCGAGGTCGGTGGATCATTTGAGGGCAGGAGTTCGAGACCAGCCTGGCCAACATGGTTAAACCCTTGTCTCTACTAAAAATACAGAAATTAGCCGGGCGTGGTGGCAGGTGCCTGTAATCCCAGCTACTCAGGAGGCTGAGGCAGGAGAATCGCTTGAACCCGGGCGGCAGAGGTTGCAGTGAGCTGAGATCATGCCACTGCACTCCAGCTTGGGCAACAGAGTGAGACTCCATTAAAAAAAAAATCTCCACAAATTCTTTGATATACCTCCCTTCAAGAGACGTAGTTTACTTCTCCTGTTGAGTACAGGCTGGTATTAGTGACTCACTTCTAATGAATAAAATATGACAGAATTTACAGAATTTCACATCCAAGATTAAGTCCTAAAGAGCACTGCAGCATACTGAATGCATTCTGTGTTGGATCACTTATTCTAGAATCCAGCTGCCACGTATGAGAACACTCAAACAGTGCAATGGAGAAGCCCATGTGACAAAAAACTGAGACCTGCTCCCAATAGGCAGCAAAAAAACTAAGGCTTTCTGCTCATAACCATGGAAGAGAACCATCTTTAAGGCAAATCCTCCATCCTCAGTCATGCCTTTGGATGCAGCCCCAGCTGTGGTTGTGACTGAAACTTCATGAGACCATGAGCCCAAACCACTCACACAATTAAGCCACTGCTCGATTACTGGCCCACAGAAACTGTGATATAATAAATGTTTATTGTTTTAAGCCAGTAACTTTGGAGTAATTTGTTACACAGCCACTATATATATATATATATTTGCATTTATGTATTGCATATATATGTATATATATCAAAACATCAAATTATACTCTTTAAATATATGTATTAGTAGTTTATTATATGTCCACCATACTTCAATAAAATTGTAACAAGGAAAAGAAACTACCATTTGTTGAGTTTTGGTGCATATCAACAAAGAATATCCACAATTATCTTCAAAATATAAAGCACTCCTCTTTGTTCCAACTCTGCATCTATGTGAGTTCTGATTCTCTTTCACATACTGCAACCAAAACAACATTTGGCAACTGATTGAACACAGAGACAGATATGAGAATCCAGCTGTTTTTTATTGTTCTAGATATTGAAGAAATTTGCAAAAAATGCAAAACAATGCCACTTTTCTCATTAACTTTTTTTGTTTTGCATAATGTAAAGTTTTAACGTTTATTTTACCAGTTTTGAGAAATACCTAAATTCAATATGAAATTAAAATTACAAATGGGACACAGCCCTCATCACTTACCTGGATTACTATCATATCTAAGAATTATCATTCCGAAAGAAAACATATTATGCATTTTCTAGTAATAATTTAGCTGACTTTTATCATCTGTTTTCTAGAGATGGACACACCTAGAGCAAGACTATGAGGACTTCCACTTTGGGAGGCTGAGGCGAGTCAATCACCTAAGGTCAGGAGTTCAAGACCAGCCTGGCCAACATGGCAAAACCCCGTCTCTACTAAAAATACAAAAAATTAGCTGGGCATGGTGGTGTGTGCCTGTAATCCCAACTACTCAGGAAGCTGAGGCAGGAGAATCACATGAACCCAAGAGGTGGAGGTTGCAGTGACCCGAGATCGTGCCACTGCACTCCAGCTTAGGCAACAGAGGAAGAATCTGCCTCAGAAAAAAAAAAAAAGGTAAATTGAAACTGTATCCTAGTCTACTAATGAAACAATTCAGACTGGAAGTTAACCGATAGGAAACTATTCAAATGTTCATTAACAGAAAGACTGATAAATAAATTGTGATTATTCATACAATGGAATGTTATTTAGCAATAGAAAGAAATACATTCCGGTTATATACAATTTTGAATGAATCTCAACATTATGGTGAGTTTTAAAAGCCAGACACAAAAGAATGTATAAAATATGATTCCATTTATATAAAGTTCAAGAACAGGCAAAAATAACCAATGGTTATTCAGAACAGGGATGTCTATGAAGGGTTTGTTAGGAAGAAGGCATGAGGGAACTTTCTGGAGTTATTTGGATAATAGTAACATAGATGTATACATTTTTCAAAGACCATAAAACTGTACACTTAAGATCTGTGCCTTTAAATGAACTAAATTGTACCTCAAAAAGTAAGTTAACAAACCAATGTATAGATAGATCATGCTTTGAATTAATCCATGTGTCACTGGTTTAACCTAAGATACTTGTTTCTTTCAAATTGAAATGAAGTGAGACTGTCACCAGCTGTGGTGAAAAAGACTCATTTCTCCAGCAAAAATCCATCCACTACTAAATCTGTCCACTACTCCCCATCTCCACTACTCCACTCAAGTACACTAGGAGCCTCCCGTGTGGACTCCTTGCTTACAATCCTGCCCTGCTACAGTCTTCTCTCTAAACAGCAGCAATACCACTCAGAGCATATCATTACCATACTTACACCTTCCAAAGGCTTCCCTTCACATTTAGGAAGAGATCCAAGCTCCTTCCTCTGTCCTACAAAGTCCTACATGAACGGGTCCTGCCCTCCTCACCAGCTACTCTGCCACTTATTACTGTGTTCTAGCTACTCTGCCCATCTTTCAGTTCAAAAGCACCAAGCTCTTTCCTGACTCTAGACACTCACCCAGCCTGTTTCTTCTGCCCAGAAAGCTCTTCCCTGACCCTCTTCAACTAACTGTCCCACATTCTGCAAATCTGCTGAAATGTTATTTATTCAGAGAGTCCATCCCCGATTCTCCAGTCTGTTCGGTTTTCCTGTTATTCATTCTTATAGTACACTGTATTCTTCTCTTTTGCAGAACATATCCTCATTTATAGTTATATATTTATTAGTGTGTTCATTTGTTTATTGTATGTGTTCCCTACTAGAATGCTGTTTCTCCAGAGTCTAGCGCTTATTCACCAATAAATATTTGGCGAATGAATGAATGAATGCACTCATCCTACAACTAGCTTGAAAGGGTTTTATTTGGGACGATTATGAAGGCTGGCCTAACGAGTAAGAAAAGGGAACATTAGTGGAGAATGTTTTTTCTACTGGACAGAGCAGAAAGAAGAGCAATAGTGCAACAGTGAAGGGCATCTGTTGTTTTAATGAGTGCCCCAGGCAATTTTGAGGCAGATGGTCCCCAAATGTAACTCATTCTTTTTGATTCATGCCACACATACTTGATTAGCACCGTGTGTTGGGGAGACAGCAGGGAACAAGGTAGTTCCTGCCTCCATGGAGTTCACATTTTAGTGGAAGGCAAGAGAAAATAAACAAAATAAGAAAAGTGCCACACAATATAATGTCCGGACTGTAGTGATAATCCAAGGCTCAATCTGTAGCAGTAGCTCTACCTACTCCATCTCCACCTCCACACTTAAAGGCCTAGCAAGTACCAAGATGTGTCATCCCAGCCTGATCACTTTGCTTCTCTCTGCCTTCTTGCTATTTTAGAGTGAATTCTGATCATGTTACTACCCTTTCTATTTTCACCATGGTTCCCAACCATAGCTATACAATAGAATTGTTTGAGGAGGTTTAAAAAATACTGATACGCTGGGCTGCCCTCCCCCAGAGATTCTGATTTAGTTGCTCTGGTGTGTGGTCTGGGCATGCAAATGTTTTAAAGTTCCCAAGGTGATTCTTATGTGTAGCCAAGGTTGAGATGCTGTATAAGAAAAAATACTACAAGATACAATAAGACTTGGACATCTGTAACTTTTAACAAGACCTTACTGTCACCTGAAAGCTTCAACCTTAGCCAGAGGCTCTCGCCCTGTGATCCTCTGATTGCCTGAATCTGCTGGGGAGCATGTTAAATGCAGATTTCTGGATTCTACAGATGGAAGTTTTGATTCTTTAGATCTGGGATAAGGCCCATGTTTCTGCACTGAAACAAGCATCCTGCATGGCTCTGAGGCACACTACAGCCTCAGAACCTTGCGTCCTAGAAATTGGCCACGCCCACCAACTGGGGGTACAAAGCCCTGTTCTAGATGATGTGGTGGGGTATGTAAAGAAAGAGTAAATCAAGGACCTCACAGCCTAGTAGGGGAGAGAAAAGCTATACATGAATAACTGAAAGTCATGGTACAGTAAAGAGGGTGCCATGGCAGAGGTATTTAGGTAGAAAATAAGAAATTTCTGATATTTAAACATTATTTTAAGGATTGGTAAAACTTCAATAGGTGGAAATCAGGCTAGAAAGGGTCAGGCCCATACCACCATTCTCATTTCCTAGTCTGGAGCACTGCATCTTAATGTTGCCATGTTTTATTGTTGTGTTTGTTTGTTCGTTTGCTTGTTTGTTTTGTTTTTGAGATGGGGTCTCATCTGTCGCCCAGGTTGGAGTGCAGTGGCATGATCTTGGCTCACTGTAACCTCTGCTTCCCAGGTTCAAGCAATTCTGCTGCCTCGGCCTCCTGAGTAGTTGGGATTACAGGCATGTGCCACCACACCCAGCTAATTTTGGTATTTTTTTCTTCTTTAGCAGAAACAAGGTTTCACCATGTTGGTCAGGCTGGTCTCGAACTCCTGGCCTCCAGTGATCCGCCCACCTTGGCCTCCCAAAGTGCTGAGATTACAGGCATGAGTCACCATGCCCAGCTGGTAGTGCCAGGTTTTAGTGTGGAGATCATTTTTATTTCTCTGGCATGAATGCCCAGTGATGGCACTTATCATGGGTCATATAATTAGTATATGTTTAGTTTTTAATAAATTTCCAAACTGTTTTTCAGGGGCTATACCATTTTACATTCCCACCAGCAATGTATGAATGAACTAGTTTCTCTACATCTTCACCAGCATTTGGTGTTGTTACTATTTTCTTTTAATTTTAGCCATTCTGATAAGTGTACTGTAATGATATTTCATTATTGTTTTAATTTCATTTTCCTACTGATTAATGATGTTGAATAATGCTATGGCTTGCATGTGTCCCCCATAGTTCATGTGTTGAAAAGTTCTTCCTCAATGCAACAGTATTGAGAGGTGGGACCTTTCAGAAATGATGAGGCCCATGCTAGCTCTGCCCTCATGAATGGATTAATGCAGTTATCATGAAAGTAGGTTAGTTATCATTGGAGTGGATTCCTGATAAAAGGATGAGTTTGGGCCCCCTTCTCTCCTCTCTCTCTCACACATGCTTTCTTGCCCTTCCACCTTCCACCATGGGATGATGCAGCAACAAAGCCCTCACAAGACATAGGGTCCTCAAACTTTGACTTCCAAGACTCCAGAAATGTACCCTAGAAATTTGTAAAATCATTATGTATCAATTAAAAATAAATAAAATCAAAAGAAATAAATCTCTGTTTTTTATAAACCGCCCAATCTCAGCTAATCTGCTATAACAGCACAAAACAGATCAAGACAAACAACTTTTTATTGGCTTATTTTCCATTTGTATATTGTCTCCAGTGAAAGGTCTGCTCATTTGGTTTTCTCGTTTTCTAATTGAATTATTTGCTTTGTTACAGTTGAGTTTTAAAAATGCTTTATATATTCTAGACACTTAGTACTGTGTTAGATATGTGGTTTGCAAATATTTTCTTCCAGTCTGTAGCTAGTTTTTTCATCTTTTTCACAAGTTCTTCCACAAAGCAGAAGTTTTTCAATTTGATGAGGTCCAATTTATCAATTTTTTTCTTTTATAAGTCATGTTTTTGGGATCATGAGTTAATTTATGCATATGCTATAAGGTTTAGACCAAGATTAATGTCTTCCCTATGGTATCTAATTACAGTATTACCATTTGTTGAAAAAGCTATCATTCCTCCATTGAATTGCTTTTGCATCTTTGTAAAACAAATCATTAGCTCTTTCCCCATTAAGTATGATGTTAGCTGAACAACATACAGCTAACGTGAAAGGTTGGGGTTGTTTTTTCTCTTTTCTCTTTTTTTTTCCTTTTTCTTTTTTGTAGATGCTCTTTATCAAGTTGAGGAAGTTACCCTCTCTTCCTATTTTTGAGGGTTTTTTAAAAAAATCACAAAAAGATGTTGGATTTAGTCAATTTTTTTTTGCATTGATTAATATAATAATGTTGTTTTTCTCCTTTAGCCCGTTAATATGGTTGATTACATTGATTGATTTTTAAATACCAAACCAGCCTTGCATCTCTGGAGTACACTCCATTTGGTTATAGTGTAGAATTGTTACATAGTGCTGAATTCTATTTGCTAATTTTAAAGTATTTTTGCATCTATGTTATGAGGGATATTGGTATATAGTTACATGAATTTTTTTGTTTTTGCACTTTGTCTGGCTTTGGTATCAGGGTAAAACTGGCCTCATAAAGAGAGTTGAAAAAGCATTCCCCTCCCCTTTTCTGGAAGATATGTGGATAATTAGTGTGAATTGTTCATTAAACACTTGGTAAAAATCTCCAGTGAGACCACTGGACCAGGAGATGTATTTTTAGGGAGATTTAAAATTACAAATCCAATCTCCTTCATAATTATAGTACTATTCAAATTCTCTATTTTACATTGAGTGATTTTTGGTAGTTTGTGCTTTTCAAAGAATTGATACATTTTATCTAAGTTCTCAAATATATGCAAGCACAGTTGTTTATAGTATTCTTTTATGTTCTTTTAATGGCTCTAGAGTCAGTAGTGATACCTTGTTTCATTCCTGGTGTTAGTAATTTGTGTCACCTCTTTTTTTTTTCTTTTTCAGTATTGCTAGAGATTTGTTAATTTTATATACCTTTTCAAAGAAGCAAGTTTTTTTTCCATTGATTTTCTGTACTTTTTTCTATTTTCAATTTCATTGATTTCTGCTCTTTGTTTTTTCTATCCTTCTCCTTGCTGGCTTTGTTTTGCCCTTCTTTTTCTAGATCTTTAAGGTGGAAGCTTAGATTATTGATTTGATCCTTTTTTCTAATGCAAACATTTAGTACAATACATTTTCTCTTTAACTCTACTTCAGTGAGATACCATAAATTATAGTATGTTGTATTTTCATTTTAACTTAGTTCAATGTATTTTTTATTTCCCTGAGGCTTCTTCTTTGATCCATGGATTATTTAGAAATGTGCTATATAGTTTCCAAATGTTTGGAAATTTTCCTGTTATTTTTCTCTTACTAATTTCTAGTTAAATCTCATTGTATCAGGGAATAAACCCTGAGCACTTTTAATTCTTTTAAATTTGTTGAGGTTTGTTTCATGGCCCAGAATACAGTGTATCTTGGTATTACGTTCCATGGGTGCTTGAAAAGAACATGCATTCTGCTGTTGTTGGATAGAGTATTCTATAAATATCGATAAGATCATTTTGGTTGATCAACACCGGTGTTGTTGGGCTCTTTTATGGCTTTGCTGATGTTCTGTGTGGTCGTTCTATCGCTTGTTGAGAGGGGTGTTGAAGTCTCAACTGCAACTGTGGACCTATTTTTCCTTTCAGTTCTATCAGTTTTCGGTTCACAAATTTTTCAGCTCTGCAGTTCAGTACATACACATTTAGGATTCTTAGTGGATTGGCTCTTTTATCATTATATAATGATCCTCTCTGTTCCTGCCTTTCTGTAGATTATTTGAACATTGTTTTAGAATTCAGTTTTGATTTTTCTATATTAGTTTATCTCTTTGTACAACTTTTAAGTGGTTGTTCTAGGTATTACATTATACATACATAACTTATCACAGTCTACTAATGTCATTATTTCGCCAGCCTGGGGGAAAAATAGAAACTTGATCTCTCTTTGTATTCCTTTACCTTCCCTCGTTTATAATATAATTGTCTTGATTAGTCCCCTTGCCTATATTGACAATGAGTTCAGGGTAGTGTTATTGTTTTTGTTTCAACCATCAAAAATAATTCAGAAAATTCAAAAGGAGAAAAAAAATCTACAGTATTCGCTTCTACTTTTATTCATCATATTACTCTTTCTTCCTGATAATCTGAGACTATTTTAGTTATTATTTCTTGTCTGCGTATAGAAGTTCATGAACCATTTTTCCTCACTGGCATCATATTCCCTTAATCTTCATGTGAAGATTCATGTCTTGAATTCACCTTCATTCTTGGAGGATATTTTTGCTTGATATAAAATTTTGGATTGATAGTTCTTTTCTTTCAGCACTTAGGTCACTTTTTTTCTGTCCTCTATGGTTTCTAATGAGAAAATCATAATTATCTGAATTGTCTTCCCCATCTGTAAAACGCCATTTCTCCCTTCATGATTTCAAATTTTCCTTTTTCTATTTAGTTTTCAGAATTTTTATGGTGATTTGTCTAGGCCTGGATATCTTTTGGTTTATCCCATTTGGGTTAGCTCAACTTCTTGATTTTGTATGTTTATTTCTTTTGTCAAATTTTGGAAATTTTACTCATTATTTTTTGAATACTTTTTTCAGCTCTTCGTTTGAGACTCAGGGGGAGTTGACATGAATGCTAGATCTTTTGTTACAGTCTCACATGTCTCTGAGGTTGTGTTCATTTTTCCCTATCTATGTGCTCTCTGTTATACAAATTGGGAAGGTTTTATTGCTCTATTTTCAACTTCAATGATTTATTTCCTCTGTCTTGTCCATTCTGTTGTTAGGCCATCCATTAAATATTTTAGATTCATTTTTGTGTTTCTCAACTCTAAAGTTTCAATTTTGTTTCCTCTTTACATCTTTTTTTTCTGATATTTTCTATTATTTTAATTTTTAGTTTAGGTTCAGCGGTACATGTGCAGGCATGTTATGCAGGTAAATTGCATATCACAGGAGTTTGGTGTACAGATTATTTTGTCACCCAGGTAATAAGCATAGCACCCAATATGTAGTTTTTTGATCCTCTCCATCCTACCACCCTCCACTCTCATGTAGGCCACAGCGTCTGTTGTTTCCTTTTTTGTGTCCATGTGTTCTCAATGTTTAGCCCCCACTTATAAGTAAGAACATACATTATTTGGTTTTCTGTTCCTGCGGTAGTTGGCTTAAGATAATAGCCTCTATCTCCATCTTTGTTGCTATGAAGGACATGGTCTTCTTCTTTTTTATGGCTGCATATGTTGTATGTATGTATGTATTTATTTTAGAGACAGGATCTTGCTCTGTTGCCCAGGCTGGAGTGCAGTGATGTGATCATGGCTCACTGCAGCCTTGAACTCCTGGGCTCAGGCAATCCTCCTGCTTCAGCCTCCCAAGTATCTCGGACAACAGGCTTACACCACCACAGCCAGCTAATTTTTCAATAAAAATTTTTGTAGAGACAGAGTCTTGCTATATTGCCCAGGCTGGTCTTGAACTCCTGGGCTTAACAAATTCTCCCACCTTAGCCTCCCAAAGTGCTGGGATTACAGGCATGAGTCGCTATGCCTGGCCCTTCTAGAAGTATTTTTATAATAACGCCTTTAAAATATTTTTTGGCTAATTCTAACATCTCTGTCATCAACAGTAGTTGGCATCTACTGATTGTCTTTCTTCATTGTTAGAGATCTTTCTGGTTCTTTGTGTAACAAGTGAGTTTTTATTGAATCTTGGACATTCTTATATTATGTCAGAGACTTTGGCTCTTACTTAAACCTTTGGTTTTAGCTGGTTTCCTATGACACTGTTTTAGCAGGGAAAGGGGAGACACAGCCTTCTTACTGACAGATGGAAGAAGTCTAGGCTCACCAGTTGGCCTCCATTGATAACTGTTGGGGGCAGTGGGGTCATTACTGCTGTGAAGCGTTGGCAGTTTTGGGTTCTCATATGGTCTCCTTTATACCCAACTGTTTGGGAGGGGTTAGAATGCCTTAGTACAGCTCTTCATCTGGAGTCACTGACACAGGGCAGGTATAGGAGTGTGCAGTGGATTATTTTCCATTGGGTAGTAATGAAGTCCTGACTCTCCACTAGGCCTCCTCTGCCACCACCCTAGAAGGTACACTGGAGCACCTTTTTACAGCCTGTTAAGGATGGAAGTCTAGGCACCCTACTAGGAATTTACTTGCTTGGGTTCATTAATGCCACAGTATTTTCTATGGGGTTTGGCTGGAGTAGAGCAGTTATTACCTGAAAGTTTCCACTCTTGCTAGATTGCCCCTTTCCTTGTCCTCTAGCTAAAGAGACCAGGCTTTCCTTGGGGCTTTTTTGTCTACACCTTTTGGTACTTGGGGTTATCAGTTTCCCCAGTACTCAGTCTGGGATATATGAGGCAAAAAGGAAACTTACCATCAAGGTCCCTACCTTATTTGCCACCTTCTCTCCACTTTTCAGTGTCTTATGTTTGTTTTATTTATTTATATTTTGAGACATGGTCTCGCTCTGTCACTCAGGCTGGAGTGCATTGGCATGATCATGGCTCACTGCAGTCTCAACCTCTGAGACTCAAGCGACCCTCCCACCTCAGCCTCCCACATACCTAGGACTACAGGCATGTGCCACCATAACCAGCTATTTTTTTTTTGTAGAGACGGGATCTCACTGTGTTGCCCAGGCTGGTCTCAAACTCCTGGACTCAAGTGATCATCTCACCTTGGCCTCCCAAAGTGCTACGATTACAGGGGTGAGCCACCGTGCCTGGCTTGTTCTATTTTTTGAAGTCCAAAGTGTTTAGCTGTACTTAGTGGGAAGAATAGTGGTGGTGGGGGGAAGAATGTCTACTCTATCTTTCTGTATATGGAAGTCTCCAAATTTATTTTGAAATTCAGAATTTGGGGGATTTTAAGATGTTAATGTGATGCACAATGGTTCTCAAATGAGTGTGCATCAGAATTTCCTGGAGGGCTTGTTTAAACAGATTTCTGGGCTCATGTCCCAGATATTCTGATTGAGTAAATGTGGGTGGGGGTTGGGAATTTGTATTTCTAACAAATCCTATCCAATACTGCTGTTTAAGGATCACATTTTAAGACTACTGCCTTAAGATATTTAGCTCAATGATTCTCAACTTTGACTGCTTATTAGAGTCATTTGGTGAGCTTTTTTTTTTTTTTTAAAGAATGTCCAAGCACTACCCATTCTCTACCCCCCAGATATTTTGATTCTGTTGGTGTGGAGTGAGACCTGGGAATTCTGTAGTTTTAAAAGTTTCCCAGACAAGAATGTTCATAGCAGAGTTATTTATAATAGCTAAAAAGTGGAAATAACCTAAATATCCATCAACTAATGAATAGATAACAAAAATATGTTATATTTATACAATGGAATATTTAACCATAAAAAGAAATGAAATATTATACATGCTACAACATGGATGAACCTTGACAACATATGTAAAGTGAAATGAGCCAATCATGAAAGGTCACATAGTATATGATTCCATTTACATGAAATGTCTAGAATAGGCAAATCCATAGAGCCCAAACTTAGACTAGTGGTTGTCAGGGCTGGTAGTGTTGTATGTGTTGGGGGGATGCTATGGTTTGAATGTCTTATCTAAAACTCATGTTGAAACTTAACCTCAAAGTGGTAGTATTGAGAAATGGGGCCTTTCAGAGGCGATTGGATCATGAGGGCCCTCCCATCATGAGTAGATTAATACAATAATGGATTAAATGGTTAATGGATTAATGGGTTGTCATGGGAGTGAGACTAGTGGCTTGCTCTATCTATCTATCTATCTATCTATCTATCTATCTATCTATCTATCTATCTATTTGTAGAGACAGGTTCTCACTCTGTCACCCAGGCTAGAGTGCAGTGATGGGATTAGAGCTCACTGCAGCCTCCAATTCCTGGGCTCAAGTAATCCTTCCAGTTCAGCCTTCCAAGTAGCCAGGACTACAGGTGCATGTCACCATGCCTGGCTCAGTTTTTTATGTTTTGTAGAGATGGGGTCTCACTATGTTGCCCAGGCTGATCTCAAACTCCTGGCCTCAAGTGATCATCCCACCTTGGTCTCCCAAAGTGTTTGGATTACAGGTGTGAGCCACTGTGCCCAGCCGAGACTAGTGGCTTTATAAGAAGAGGAAGACAGACTTGAGCTAGCATGCTCAGTCACCTTGCCATGTTGGGACTCTAGAAAGTGCCCACCAGCAAGAAGGCTGTCACCAGATGCAGTCCCTCAACCTTGGACTTCTCAGCCTCCATAACTGCAAGAAATGAATTCCTTTTTAAAATAAATTACCTAGTTTCAGGCATTCTGTTATAAGCAACAGAAAACTGACTAAGAAGAGGGAAATAGAAAATGACCGCTAGTGGCTATGGAGTGGTTTGCTTTTGGAGGTGAAGAAATATCCTGGACTTAGAGAGTTGTGATGGTTATATGACTTTATGAACATACTAGACACCATTGAATTGTATTATTTAACAAGATGAATTTTATGGTATGTGAATTTTGTTGTGATAAAAAAAAATCCCTCTCAGGTGATATGCAATATATCCCAGTAACTGAAACAACGCAGCATTATACCTCACAGGAAGTTGCAAATGTTGACAGGAATGATTGAGATTTTTAAAGTCCAGGTAAAGGATTTGTAATTATTTCTTTAAGTTAATGTTTTCTAAACTTTTCTGAGCAGAAGAATCACCTGAGAACTTGCTAAAAATGTAGAGTTCCAGACCCCTCCAGTGAGGATTTAGATCTTGGATTGTGATCAGATTTAGGTTAAGAGTGATACTTATAATCTGTTTTTGTTTGTTTGTTTGTTTTAACAATACCTGGAGTGATTTTGTTGGTGGTTTTTTTTTTAAATTAATTTCAGTAGATTTAGGGCTACATGCGGTTTTTGGCTACATGAATTACTTGTACAGTGGTGAGGTCTGAAATTTGAGTGCACCTGTCACCTAGGTAGTGTACATTGTACCCAATATGTAGTTTTTTATCCCTCATCCCCCTTTTACCCTCCCCACTTCTGAGTCGCCAATGTCCATTATGCCACTCTGTATGCCTTTGTGTACCCATAACTTAGCTCCCACTTGTAAGTGACAACATACAGCAGCATTTTGGTTTTCCATTACTGAGTTACTTCACTTAGAATAATGGCCTCCAATTCCATCCAAGTTGCTGCAAAATACATTATTTCATTATTTTTATGGCTGAGTAGTATTCCATAAATACACAATATATACTATATTTTACTTATCCACTCATTGGTTGATGGGCACTTAAGTTGGTTCCACATGTTTGCAACTGTGAATTGTGCTGCGATAAATGTATGTGTGCAGGTATCTTTTTCATTAATGACTTCTTTTCCTTTAGATAGATACCCAGTAGTGGGATTGCCGGATTAAATGCATGGTAGATCTACTTTCAGTCTTTGAGAAATCTCCATTCTATTTCCTGGAGTGATTTTGATGTTCAGGCAAATTTGGGAAACAGCCTTAAGTGATGAGAAGCCAATGAAAGCTTTTTCTCTTTTAATTGAAAATTGTTATTTTCTCAAATATCTCTTTGTTTTGGTAGTTGATTAGACTGGAGTTAATTTAACCAGAATTTTAATTTATTACACCTGTTTGTCAAGGAGCAATTAAGTGTATTTCTGTTGTGTTAAACATTAGGAAATGGTCTATTTGTAAAGTCTATTCGATTTCAAGTCTAATTATGTATCTGTAGTTAGTTCCCACAGTTAACAGATGTGAATTTGTGTCAACTGCAGATTTCTAACTGTTTTCTCATCGTTTCTCCCATGTTGTTCCTTCTTCATTTTATCTATGTGTAGCACATTTCTAACATTTACATCATTTATCCAATGTTTTGCAAAATGGAAAATTTCCCTACTGACAGCTTTTTAAAAAATTCAAACAACAAAGAAAAAAATTAAAGTTATTCACAGACTCTTGTACTTCCCAGAAATAACTTCTGTTAACACTGTGGTATATATACTTCCAGATATTTTATGCACATATACAAAAATGGAATCATACTATACCTTCTGTCTTTTTTAGTTAATATGTTGAAGATCCTTTTGTGTCAATGCTTTAAATATCTACCTTGTCTACCTTAATGATTGCATGGTATTATATTGTATGTATACAACTGTCCCTTGGTGTCCCACCGCAGGGGACTGGTTCCAGGACTCCCTCAGAAAACAAAGTTGGAGGATGCTCAAGTCCCTTATATAAAATGGCAGTATTTGCATATCATCTACGCTCATCCTCCCATATACTTTAAATCATCTCTAGATTATTTACAATAATGAAAACAATGTAAATGCTATATAAATAATTGCTATACTATATTGTTTTAAAATTTGCATTACTTTTATTGTTGTACTCTTATTTTTAAAATATTTTCCATTTGTGGTTGGTTAAATCAGTGGATGTGGAACCCATGGAAATGGATAGCCAATTGTATATTATTACTTATGTAATCAGTATCCTTTTGAAAGACTTAAATGATGGTCCAATACTATACCACTTTTTGAATGAATGAAGTAGATCTGCATGTGCTGCCATAAAAAGATATCCAGGAAGTAATATATGGTTAAAAGAAAACCCTAAACTAAATTGCAGAACAGTATGTGAGCTATGGTCCTATTTTTGTAAAAATGTTTGTGACATGTATGTATATAGACATATACCTACATACCTAGAATACACACATACTCACACCTAGAAAAATGCCTGGAATATAACATATCAAATGTTAACAGTAATTACCTCTGATGAGTGAGACATTTATTTTTTTGGTTACACATCTGTATAATCACAATTCTGAATTTGTTACAATGAATAAGCAAAGCATTTTTTTTGTAGCTATATATATATATTCAGGATATATATGTTTAGAATATATAAATTTGGAATAGATATATGAAATTCCATGTGGAAGTTGTGTTTTTGTGAAAGTTGACAGTTTTAGAGCAGGAGTATGTAAACAATTAGAGCTGAGCCTTAGTTTAATCTGGAGAAAGGCATGTACCAAGGACAAGGATAGTTGGCAGAGACACTACAGAAAGGAAAAACCATAGGACCTGACAACTAATTCTATGTAAGCACAGAGATAAGGGTGAGTTAAAAAAAGCTCACTCAAAGAGCTTTGGAGATAGCATTAACCTGAGTAGGGAAGCCAGAGGAGCTGATTTTAAAAGGAAAATCATGACTTCAGAGCCTAGAAAGATATATTAGTTGCCTACTGTTACAAAATAAATTACCCTCAAACTTAGTGGCTTAAAACACCAATAATCATCTATTATTTATATGGCTTCTGTAGATCAGGAATTCAGACTTAGGCTCAGCAAGGAAAAGTTGTTTCTGTCTCATGATGTCTGTGTCCTCAGCTGGAAGATCCAAAAGCTGAGAGCTGGAAATCATCTGATGGCTCTTTCACTCACATTATCTCACAACTGATGTCAGGCTGGTGACAGGTGTCAGCTAGGGGCCTAGCTGGGACTGTCAGCCAGAACATCAACATGGAGCCTCTTCATGTGGTCTGGCTTCCTCACAACATAGTGGCTGCGTTCCAAAGGAGAGCATCCTGACAGAGAGAGAGAGAGAGATCCAGGTGGAAGCCATATTTCCTGTTAGAAGCTTGCCTTGGACATCACGCAGCATTGCCACCACTGTACACCATGGACCAGTGTGGTTATAAGCCCCCTTCCCCACATTTGAGAGTGGGAAACACAGACCCCACCTCCCAGTGGGAAGAGTGTTAGTCACATTACATTGTAAGGGCATGTGGGGTGGGATAAATGTATAGGTATGGCCATCTTTTAAAAATGAATCTGTTACACTGTATCATACTTTAAGGTGAATTCGACTATTCATGGCTTAATGAATTATCACTTCGAGAAAGACAGGCATTTGGCTAAGGAACCCAGCAGCCCACAATGCCTTAACCTAAATAAATAACTCACTAAAGGTGGGGAAGCTACATTGTTAAGGGGGGACCATGATTTGAGGAAGGGTGCTTTAATCTTTAAAAGGCTCAATATAAACATTAAAAAGACTCAAAAAGTCTTTAACATGGCATACACAGTCCTCTATGATCTGGCTTTTTGCTGAATTCTTGGGTTTCATCTTCCAACTATTCCTTAACTCACACCTTAAGTACAAGGTATGCCAAATGTCTGGAAGTTCTTTGAACATACTATTTGAGGTCAGGTTCTCTAGAAGCAGGGATTCAGGTCCTTGTAATTTACTACAGGAGAGTTTTAGGAAGAAGTGGGTGAGGGAAGCAGGATAGGGCAGGGGAGGAACCTAAGCAAGAATGTGGACTCACTTAGAGAGAGGGTTCGGCTACTTCCCCAAATCTGGAAATCATGAATGGCACCACAAAGATGATCCCATCTTATATAAAATGGCAATATTTGCATATCATCTACGCTCATCCTCCCATATACTTTAAATGGTCCCATCTTTGTTAGGCAGTCATTGGCTGCAGGTTGCGGGAGACGGCGAGGGGGATATGACTTGGTGCCAAAGAGGCTCCCATTCTTGAGGAGAACTTTCCAGAGAAGGGAAGGGGGCAGCCGACATTCACAGCAGCTGTGGGATGGGTGCACTGGCCAATAAAGAGCACCTGAGCAGACCACTAGTTGGGGCTACCACACACATTAATCTGTTTCAAGGCCTCAGACCCTGGCTCCTACTAGTCCCTTTATTTTGGAAGACAACTGCTTCTCTTTTTCTTTCTTTTTTTTTTTTTCATTTTTTTGAGACCAAGTCTCACTCTGTCACCCAGGCTGGAGGGCAGTGACATGATCTCAGCTCACTGCAGCCTCTGCCTCCCCGGTTCAAGTGATTCTCCTGCCTCCACACCCTGCTAATTTTTGTATTTTCATACAGACAAGGTTTCACCATGTTGCCCAGGCTGGTCTCGAACTCCTGACCTCAAGTGATCCACCCACCTCGGCCTCTCAAAGTGCTGGGATTACAGGTGTGAGCCACCACACCCGGCCTCAACTGCCTCTCTTTTTCATCACGAATTCTTCCTTTCAGGTCAAGTTCAGATACCACCTCCTCCAGGAGGCTTTCCCTGATGACTGGCTAAGTCCTACCCTTCTGTGCTCACATAGAACCTTGTGCGTTTCCCACATTGTATTGAAAATATCTGTTTCTATTCTGGCCTTCCCCAGTGGAATAGAAGCTCATCAAGGCAGAAGCCATGTCCTGTTTATCTTTTCACCCCAGGCATTTAGCAAAGTGTCAAGTAGAGCAGGCCTAAATAAATATCTGATGAACTGAACACTAAGTAAGTGATTTCTGTGGCCCTACAAGGCCAGCCAGCTCTGCTATCAATAGTTCTTCATTCTCCATTGGTAGAAGGGAAACAGGCAAAATTGGGAAAATTAAGTTATTTATGACAAATAAGCTAGGTATGGCGGTTCTCACTACACCTAAGTAAAAACATGATTTTACTATTGTTACATTTTAAAGGACCTGTTTACAAAAAAGGGAACAACAGACAGTGGGGCCTACTTGAAGGTGGAGGGTGGGAGGAGGGAGAGGAGCAGAAAAAATAACCATTAGATCCTAGGCCTAGTCCAACATATTCCTGTGACATGAGTTTGCCTATATAACAAACCTTCACATGTACTCCCAAACCTAAAATAAAAGTTAAAATAAAATAAAATAAAATAAAGGACATGTTCAAACATAGTTTAAATGTTGTCATTTAGAAAACATAGCCTTAAGGAGAGGAGGGAAGAATGATGAAACTTATGCTTTAGCAAGAATCAAAATGTTTCTTTTTTGTCAGTGGAAATGTCTTGGTACAGAAGCTGTTTAAGGATTTTTCACAATACTAATCCTCCCCAGAAGTTAAAAGGGAAACTAAAGGCATGTTAGTACTATGGACTAAATAAGATGCAAAGAACCCAGCCAGGAGAAAAGCAGTGAGGGGATGAATTTAAGTGATATAGAAGGTAGAAATTCAACAGTACTTGATGGTCTGTGGATGTGGAGGAGGAAAGAGACAGAAGCATCTAGTTTTCTGGAGGCAAGAGAGGCAGAAGCTGGCTGTGGCAAGGTCCTCCCCACCACCATGCTTAGAATTCACTCTCTGTGCACTGTGTACATCCCTGGTGTTCCACACACAGAATAATGACCCTCTTGCCTGTGAGTTCCACAGGAGGCATGGGCAGTGGCTTCAGGGTGGTGAGGTATGAGGAGAACACCACAGAAAATGTGAAGGGGAAAGACCAAGATTCCAGGGCCTCAGCCCAGAGGCTCCAACACCCTGACTTGTGAGAGGAAGTTACCCAAGTGGCAAGACTCGCTGGGGAGCTTTGTGCGGGCTGCCCTGGGCCAACTTTCATCATCAGCTATTTTTATTTTTAGCCTACACCACCTCTCAGAGTAACCAAGTCTATAAATGTCCATATAACTTGCTGTGCCTGGGCCCTGGGCAGAAGGGAGCCACTAAGAAGGATTGTGCTAGGCGTTTGGCTGCCCTTGATCAACAGATGTTTGGATCTCACCTCAGCTCTCTGGGCACCCCAACATTGCCATCACCCCTCACCCCTCATCAGCCCTTCTCTCATCAGGTTTCAGAAAGGGGATTTCCTGAGCATGGGTAGAACAAGTGTCCGTAGGCACATCACAGCAAATTCAGGTCCCATACAGTCCTACAAGATGGGTTATCCAAGGCCAGTCTTTTGCGGGCTGAGGGAGCCCAGTCTTCATGCCTGGATGACTCACTCGCACCATCCTCTCTCTGGCCCCTCTGCATCCTGCTCTCCTGCAGGGCAGTGCCCGGGTTTCCTGTGCTTCTCTGCCAGTGAGCTGGTTCCATGCTGGGCTTCTTCTAATGCATTTCTGGGCTCTTAGACACCCAGCACATACCCTCTCGCTCTGGTATTGTTCCTGCAGAGTGGAGAAAAAGAGCTTGGGCTGGGGGGTCAGGCAACTGACCAGCGGAGGGACCCCAGTTTCCTCACCTTCACCTGGGAAAAATAGCAGGCCCTACCTCACAAGGTTGATGCCTTGAGATAAGATGCGCAAAGTGCCAAGGCCTTTGCCTTGTACATAGTTAGTGCTTAAAAAAAGAAGCACTCACAACTGTAGTGTATTCCCACAAAATCTGTCTGGGAAGCTTCTGCCTTCTTCAAGGCTTATTTTTATACTTTACTCAGCCAGCTTGCTTCCTAGTAATTTTTACATGGGTGGCCCACAGACAAGTCAAACTCACCTTGCCCCCCTGCACAAAGATTAACTTTTTACCTGACTTTATTTCTTCCATGGTAGTTATCACCATCTGACATACTAGATATTTACTTGTTTATTTATTATAAATGCGCCAAGACAGGGAATCTTGGCCTATGTATCTAGATCTTGGAACAATGCCTGGCACTGCTTAAAAAATATTTGTTGAATAGCCTCCACCTGCTCCAAAATGCATCTCTTCTTTTGTCTTCTGTCTCAGTGAGTAGCCCCACAATTTCCCTATCGCCCAAGCCGGAATGCTGGTCACCCTTAACTCCTCCCTTTCCCTACACCCCATGTTCAGTCAATGGCTAGGACCTGACTACCCTACCGTCTAAATGTACCTGGCACCCATACACTTCTCTCCACCCTCTTGTCACCACTACAATTCAGCCCACCTAAATTACAGAAATAGACTCCTCACTTGTCTTCTGGATTCCATTTTTGTCCTCATCTAACCCATTCTCTGTGCTGAAGATAGAATGATATCACCGAAACCTGATCTGTTGAGAATCATTCAATGGTTCCTTGTTGTCTCCACAATAAAATTCAACTCCTTACAGGGCCAACTAGGCCCTGCATGATCTGGCTCCGGCTCACCTCTTCAAACTCATTTCTATCCATTTCTCCCCTCTTCCTATTCCCCTACTCCAGCTCTTCTGCATTACAGTCATACAGAACTTTCCTTTTTTTCCAAGGGGTGTCTGTCAGTCTCTCTCACCATCTCATCCACATCCCCATTTCCTGCCTGGGACAGTCTTCCTCCTTCCCTGTGTTATTCCTCAACCCCCACCAGCCTCCTTCACCAGGCTAATTCCTAAGCAAAGTCAGATTCTATAAGAAACTTCTCTGTATGCCCCCCTGACATATCCACCCCCTCTAGAATATACTTTCCTTCTTGGTGCTTCCATAACACCCTGTATTTCCTCTCTTATAGCACTCAATATAATATCATATGTATTCTTTTGACTATTTTCCCCACTAGAATGTAAGCTCTACAAGGGCCAGAACTATATCTATTCCTGCTTTTATTTAACAGAAATAGAGCTTACTCTGTGCTTAGCATTTCTCTAAGCTCTTCATGGGCTGGGCATGGTGGCTCACACCTGTAATCCCAACATTTGGGAGGCTGAAGCGGGAGGAATGGTTGAGCCCAGGAGTTTGAGACCAGCCTGGGCAACATAGCAAGACCATGTCTCTACAAAAAAATAAATAAAAGAATAAGTATTCATTCATTTAATCATTAATACAATCCAAAGAAATATTATTATTATTATTATTATTATTACCATTATACAGATGATGAAGCTGAGGCAGAAAGAGGTTAAGTAAACTTGTCCCAGGTCACATAGCTGGTAAATGGCAGAGCTGGAATTTGAACCCCCAAATCCAAGCTCTTAACCACTACAATATGCTGTTTCCCTTTTTCCCACATGCATACTCATTGCCCATCATATAGAAGGTCCACCCAAGAAGTATTTGAATAAAAGAAAGAAAGAAAGAAAGAATGACTAAATGAACAAAGATTGTGGAAATAACACAGTCCTTGTGGAGACAGTGAGAGGAAAGGAGGTAGCCATGGAGTGAGACAAAGATTAAGTTTAAGAGTCAGTGAAGGTGGAAACAAATGGTCCAAGGTGTAGAAAGACCCCAGGTGAAATTGCAGGAGATGAAAAACAAGGTAGTTGGGAGTAGGAGCTCAGGAAGGCATGTAACAAGCTCTGCAATCAACAAAGGACATACAGAACACACCATTGGACTTGGCCAGCCAGAAGTAGGCCATTGGGGACCTCTGGGCAGTTTCCATGGAGTGCAGGGAAAGAAACCAGATTACATGGGCTTGAGGAGACACAGGGTGGTGGAGAAACCAGACAGGGAGATTTTACTGCCCTCTAAACCATGAAAGGTGGGCTTTGGGAGGGAGTAGTAACCAGGTTAAGTAAGGTCTTTTTGTCAAGATGTAGTAATTAGGGCCAGGCCTGGTGGCTTATGTCTATAATCCCAGCATTTTGGGAGGCTGAGTTGGGATGATTGGTCGCATCCAGGAGTTCAAGACCAGCCTGGGCAACATAGTGAGACCCCATCTCTATAAAAAAAATTAAACATTAGCCAGGCATGGTGGCAAGCACCTGTAGTCCCAACTACACAGGAGGCTGAGGTGGGAGGATCACTTGAGCCAGAGAGGTTGAGGTTCTAGTGAGTTGTGATCACACCACTGTACTCTAGCCTGGGTGACAGAGTGTGACCCTGTCTCAAAAATAAAAATAAAAATATAGTGATTAGGGACTGCTTAAAGACAAGAGGTGACAAAACTTAGGAGAGTGAAAAATCAAACTGACTCTCACCAAAACAAAGCATCAGCTGTATGGTGGTGGACCACACCACAACATAAAATGTAAACATGGGGCAAAGTCTGTGGACATTTATGTGAACAGAATGAAGGCCAGGAGAGCAGTATATGAAGAGCAAGGACTTGAAGAGGAAAGAGGAAACTCTTTTCAAGAGCTCACAAGTTGAAAAAAAGTGAGAAAATTGAAAAGAAGATAGGATGGTTAATGCAGGCCATAGAGGCTGAAATTTGGGAGCAGTTGGAAAGAGGATTTGACTGAAGGAGACAAACAGTGAGCAGTGGCCCCAGAAAGAGCCATTTCATAAGGAAGCATGAGTAGAACAAAAGGGAAGTTGCCAGGGTTCTGGGTAAGCAGTAAGGACTGTCAGTTCAATGCTTTGGCCTGAAGGGGCCTCCTGGAGCCCAAATCCAAATGGCCCGGGATCCACAGGGACAGGGGAGCTGGGTCTACCACCCTGCTCCCATGAAAGATGGCAGGCAGGGGGCAACACAGGAGGGCTGGGTAACCCTAGGAAAGGAGCTACAGGATAATACCCCAAGCACCTGGAAAGATGATGAAAGAATGAAAACCACAGCACATTTGACAATTTCTTTCAATAACCATTTATGGAGCAAGTACTTTGCACCAGGCATTGGTTATAGGCTCTAGCTGCTCTCAAGGAGTTTACATTCTAGTGCAAGAAACAAACCCATGGCAGAAATAACCTATAACACGAAGAGGCTGATGTTCTGTAGCAGAGAAAGATGTAGAAAGGGCTTTGTATGGTTTAGTGTTGATGTATGCCAAAGAAACACAGTGGAGAAGTCTACACAATTTCTAGCATAATACAGAACTTACTTTCCTCCAGGAAGTGATGAAGAGAAGGTTCTTGGTGACAGCTTGGGGATTGGTTTAATCTGAATAAGCCCATAAATCCGTTACATCATTTTTGTTTTTGTTTTTTGTTTTTTTTTTGTATATTGCCATTTTTGTAGTTTATACTGAGACACAAATATTTTTCAATTCTATGTTGACATCATTTCAATTCCATTTGCATTTATGCCAGAAAAAATCAATAACATGTCTTGTTAGAAAAAAAAAAAAATTAAAAGGCATTCACCTGCATGGGGAGAATATCTTGTCCCTAGAAGGTCACTCTGTGGCACCATGCATATCCTTGACCACAGGAGCATTGTGTGACTGAGACTATTTGTGTTTCACTAATGCTGGTAAGCCGTTTTTGAAAATTGTCTCAGTAATATTCAAGTTGGAAGAACTTTTTACAATTCTTTTAATGTAATTTTTAACATAGCCCCTTTTCTGATTATAAAAGTAAGGCACACTCATTGAAAAGTTGGGAGGAAAGTATAAAGGAGATATTTTAATGTCATCTTAAAATACCATTTGTAAACTGGGGTATATCATGGCTCAGCAGTCCTTATTCTCCTCTCTCATACACACATACACATATAGATATTCACAAAATAAAATATAAACTCCTCATAGGAAATCTTGTAATTCTTCAACCAAAGGCTAGTCTAAGCAACAAGTCAACCCAATGCATTTATTCGGTGGGCTGAAAGTTTGTACAGTATTACTCAAAATTGACTTTAACAGGCAGGGCACGGTGGCTCACACCTGTAAACCCAGCAATTTGGGAGGCCGAGGTGGGTGGATCGCTTGAAGTCAGGAGTTTGAGACCAGCCTGGCCAACATGGTGAAACTCCATCTCTACTCAAAATATAAAAATTAGCTGAGCATGGTAGCACATGCCTCTAGTACCAGCTACTCAGGAGGCTGAGGCAGGAGAATCGCTTTAAGCTGGGAGGCAGAGGTTGCAGTGAGCCGAGATCATGCCACTGTACTGCAGTCTGGGCGACAGAGCAAGATTCCATCTCATAAAAACTGTGAACTAGGCAAAGTTTGTTTCCAGGAAATAATCACATCCCCATCTTAATAATCCCATCCCTATCTAATATTAGGCACAATTCTTAGCTGGCCCCATGATCTCCAATCCTTGGTGTTACATCCTGTATAATATTCTTTCCTTGAGTGTGGGTGGGACCTGTGACTTGCTTCTAGTTGAGATTATCTACATTACATAAGGCTCCATCTTGGAGTAAGAGATTTCTCTGCTGGCCCTGAAGTAGCAGCTATGTTGTGAACAGCCAATGGAGAAAGCCATATGGCAGAGACCTGCAACAGAAGGTGGACCTGAAGGTGGCCTCTGGTCACCAGCAACAGCCCCAAGGAAATGAATTCTGCCAGAAATCTGAATGAGCCTGGAAGCCAGTTCTTTCCCAGGTGAACCTCCAGATGAAAACAGCCTGGCTGACACGTTGACTGCAGACTTATGAGACTAAGTAGAGAACCCAGGTAAACTTAGACCTCTGACTCATGGAAACTGTGAGATAGTAAATGCTTGTGTTGTTTTAAGCCACTAAATTTGTAATAATTTGTTAAACAGCAGTAGAAAACTAACACACTGCCCCCAACAGTCCTATATTTTTTGTACCCTAGCCCATGTAGGCATTGCCCTTCTACACTGACATTTGTATCGGAATGGAAATGGGGGCTTCTAGTATCTTTTTCATCCTTATTTCTTCATTAATTCCCTACTTTCCACCAGAATGGCCTGAAATGCACCATACATAGTACTATCTTTGGCTGAGTTTTTGTTCATATCATTCCTTCCAACCCAGATTCCCTCTCTTCCCTTTTTGTGCCTTGTTCGTGAAATCCTATGAATTTCTAGACTGGACCATTGTTTCCATAGCACTTTTTAACTTGCATCCTTGTTTGTCCCTGATTCATATACTGCCATATGACTTCTTTTAAAATCGTATTTCTCTGAGAATGTTATTGAATGTGCATATATAATATATGAAACATATACACAGAACATACATATATATATAGAGAGAGAGAGAGAGAGAGAGAGTGTATATAAAATATATAAAATACTTTTTTGAGATGTTATCTCATTCTGTTGCCCAGGCTGGAGTGCAGTGGTGTGATCTCAGTTCACTGCAACCTCCGTCTCCTGGGTTGAAGTGATTCTCCTGCCTCAGCCTCCCAAGTAGCTGGGACTACAGGCGCCTGCTCCCATGCCCGGCTAATTTTTGTATTTTTAGTAGAGACGGGGGTTTCACCATGTTGGCCAGGCTGGTCTCAAACTCCTGCCCTCAAATGATCCACCCACCTCGGCCTCCCAAAGTGCTGGAATTACAGGCATGAGCCACTGCGCCTGGCCAAAATATATAAAATATTATGTATGTATATGTCATCATCTCTCCTCAATGAAACTGCAAACTCATTGAAGTCCTGGATTCCACATTGTCAATAGTAATTGCCAGGAATACACAAGTCCAATTTTTAAAATTGTGTCATATGAAGTAGTCAATCAAGTGTGGTTGGCCACTTACTGAGTCTCTTCACAGAGCCAGACCTGAGAGTATCCGTAATTGTTACCCTAACCTCAGGGAGCTGCATTTTCCTCTACTGAAAATTGAATACAATGCCATCTGCCATAATTAATTCAAAGATTAAACAAGGCTACCGTGGGTGCCTGGCTCTTCATAGGCACTCAATAAATGTGAGTTGAGAGCCTGCCCCTGTGGTCCCAGCTACTTGAGAGGCTGAGATGGGAGGATCGCTTAAGCCCAGGAGCTGGACGCTGCAGGCAGCTATGATGGGGCCACTGCACTCCAGCCTGGGCGATCAAGCGAGATCCTCTTTATTTATTTATAAAAATAAATAAATAAATAAATATGTGAGTTGAATCACAATCTAGGTTTGCAAACCTCCATGTGTAAAGGCTGCGCAGAGGGAACAGTGGTGGAATTATCACAGGCAGGCCAATGTTTCAAAGAGCTTAGTGAAACTGAAGAAGCTTGTGCATACAAAAGGCCAGTTTAGGTAACTGTAACTGTGTTTAAGCTTTAGTTTCCTTTCTAAGTAGATATATGTGGAATGCAAGGCCAGCAACCAACTCACAAATACTGATCAAGACGGGGGAGGGATCTAAAGGAATGTGAGTACGTCCTGCCAGGAAAGAAGTTTGCTGCTTCTGAAATATTTTCGTCTTCGCCACTGGCAGGATTGATCGATTGCAGTTAGCGAAGAATTTTCTGTGCAAACTGTCCAAGCATCTGCTTCTGTACTTCTGTACAACTGTTGCTCAAATTCACTCTTCTTTTCGAATCACCATCTTTGAAGAGAGACAGAAAAATCCATTTAAACCACCCGAACTAATCATTCGAACTGCTTCCAAGTCCTTTAAAGGAGAATCCTAGCGAGGGTCCGTAACACTTCCCCTTACCCTCTGCCTGGGTTCAAACTTCAACTCCCAGGGTTCGCCCAAGTCCCTCCCCTAGTCCTGTCATCTAATGAATATGCAAATACCACATAATTGGCAGCCAATGGCATGGGTTCTGGTCACATGGTGCCGATGGTAGGTGAGCAGACAGAAGTTGTCAGTGAACAGAGACGGCGCTCAGTCTGGGGCGAGCGCTCTAGTGAGCGCGGACGGATGCTTAGGCAGTAGTCCTGGCAGCGGCAGTAGTGGTGGCAGCAGAAGAGAGGAAGGGGGAGGGCCCCGAGGGCTACACACGCTCACACTTTCAAGTTCCCTTGGAGGGAGAGGAGGTGGGGCTGCAGAAAGAGGAGGCCAGGAGCGGTCCCATCCGTCCCGTCCCGTCCCGTCTCCCCCTCTTCCTCTTGCTCCTTGCTCCCCGGCTCTGCGAGAGTTGAGGGTTCAGGTGGCCGTACGCGGCAGTGAGGGCAAGAGGGCCGGGAGAGTGGGGAGCGGAGGCAGGAGTGCGGGGGAAGATGCCCATCCTGCTGTTCCTCATAGACACGTCCGCCTCTATGAACCAGCGCACTGACCTGGGCACCTCTTATTTGGACATTGCCAAAGGCGCTGTGGAGTTATTCTTGAAGGTAAAGGGAGGGGAGGGGAGAGATGGGGAGAGCTCCCGAGGGATTTCAGGGTGTGGATTGAGGTGCTTCTGTAACGTTTGTATCGCCCTCCCCCCTCCTTTCCTACGCGACCCCCTCCGTCATCCCTTGCCCCGCAGCTGCGCGCCCGGGACCCGGCCAGCCGTGGAGACAGGTACATGCTGGTCACCTACGACGAACCCCCGTACTGCATCAAGGTAAAGGGGCTACGGGTGGGGGGACAGGCGGGAAGCGGGAGCAAGTCGGCGGGGGCTGCTTACCCCCCTGCCCCCGCCTAAGGCGGTCCTGCGTCGCCCGGCGGGGCGGGCGGCGAGGGGGTGCGCAGAGGGCGGGCGGAGTGGTGCCGTCGGCGGCTTCGGAGTAGCTGTCGCGCCTGGGGTCGGGGAGAGGGGACCGGGGAGGAGCAGCCCCGGGGAGAAACCGCAGGAGGGCCGAGCTCGTGGCGCGACAACCGCAGCCGCCTCGGAACATGGCGGACATTTTGCTTTTGTATGAGCCTGCGAGAGGGAGACTGAGGGCGCTGCTGAGATGGAAAGGAGGGAGGGGAGGGAGGAGCGGGGAAGGAGGGCCCGAAACCCGGAGGGAGGCTGCGAGGCGGGCCCGCCCCTTCGAGGCGCACCGCGCGAGGGTCGCCGCGCGGGGGGCCGGACGGAGCCTGCGACTCCGCCCCGAGGTCCTGCCGGCCGGGCGCGCGGGCTTTCCCGGAGCCTGGGCTCCTCCTCTGGCCCCTCCTTCCTCCCCCGGTCTTCCTCCCCCTCCTTGGGCTCTTCGCTGCATCTCCTCCTTCTCCCCCTCTTCCTCCTGGTCCCCTCCCCTTCCTGCTGAGAGCGTGGCAGAGCCAGCCGCCGGCCTTCAAAGACTAGACAACCGCCTTTGCACTCGTTGGCCTCTCACCACCCCCGCGCAATCGGAAATCTGTCCGCGACGCCAGTCTCCCCACCCCCAGACCCGGAGAAAGTCTTTGCGTTTCTGCTCCGGAATTGGCCAGGTTCAGCCCCGCTCTCAGTTACCTTAGCTACTGTTACTGTTTCATTGGAAATTCCAGCGAAGCAACGACACGGAGGGGGACGTGCCAAGTGCGAACCCACAGGGGCAGAGCTTTTTAGGGATCCGCTCTACCTATTTACATCATAAATTAGGTTTGTGCTAGCCACGTAGGAATTAATCCAGGGACAAGAAAGAAAGGAAGGGGAGGACTCAAATGTGAGCATTTGTAATAGTCAAGTTCGATGATTTGATTCTGACCTACAGGAGAAAAGTAGGGAGGACGGTCTCTGTGGGGTAATTTATGTTCCTATGGTGAGGAGATAAAGAACTGCTGCTTTGCCTGCAGTGGCCAGATAAAATGGAATTTAAACTGTTAAATCAACCTGCATAAGAGTCCTGCTTGCATATTGAAATTTTAAAAATACTACCACAATCCTTGACGTCTTTTGTTAGGCTTTTTCTTTTTTCCTCAGAATAATCGTAATAGTGCTAGGGAGACGCAGTCTGGATGTGTTGTGATCCGTTTCTGTAGAGTGAGGTGTTTTAATGAATGGAACCTACCAAGCTGAATAGTTGGCCAAAGAGTGTTCCTTCAAGCATAAGGAAACCAAAGAGAAACTAATTTTGTAACTCGTAGCTTCGGTTAACTGTTTAATTAGTAGGTTCCCCTTAAAACTGTTCTTTTTTCGATAATTTGTTTTCAGTTTGTGATTCTATCCATTTAGAAAAGTGGAACAAGTAGACATCTTTCAAAATGCCGTAAGCTTTTTAAAAATGTCAGTTTTCCCAAAAGGATGTGATCATTTTTTTCCACATAGAAAAGGAGATGTTTATACATCCTAGGTCTGAATGTCTACACTCTTCGACTGCTAATACAGATAAGAACCGACCATTTGTAGTGTGGCCATTTGAAGACATGCTCCTTAATTCGAAGTAGTAAAAAAGATAAACCACAAAGCAGTGTGCCTTCTTTTCCTTAAAGGAACAACTTATTGGCCGGGTGCGGTGGCTCAGGCCTGTAATCCTAGCACTTTGGGAGGTCGAGATGGGCGGATTGCCTGAGCTCAGGAGTTTGAGACCAGCCTGGGCAACATGGTGAAACCCCGTCTTTACTAAAATACAAAAAAACAAAACAAAAAAAAAAACGGCCGGATGTGGTGGCGGGCGCCTGTAATCCCAGCTACGCGGGAGGCTGAGGCGTGAGAATTGCTTGAACCCGGGAGTCGGAGGTTGCAGTGAGCCAAGACCATGCCACTGCACTCCAGCCTGGGCAAGAAAGTGAAACTCTGTCGTCAAAAAAAAAAAAAAAAAAAAAAAAAGGAACAACCTATTTATCATTTTTCCATATGCCAAGAAGGATTGTTTAAAGATAGTTTTCCATCTGTAAAACTTATCAAAACAGTATTTACAGAAACTTGGGAAAGGAAATAAACCTCATTCTTAACAACCATCATTACATCTTTTAACCTAGCATTGTGATTACAGTGCACATATTACTTTGTATTCTGCTTTTTCTACCGATTTTTATCCAATGAATTATTCCAGGTCGCCACATAGCCTTCATACTTAAAATTTTTAATGGCTGTGTAATTTATCCATGCTATTTTAAAGGCTCCAGATAGTTCTATAGAACGGACAGGAAAAGTTGGATTTTGTTTTTAGTGGAAATTTCATCAGATAGCTCTTTTTATCCTGCCATCTTATATACTACATTTTTTTCCTAAAGCAAAAAGCACGTTTCCAAGTTGAGTTTGATTTTTTTTCCTTATGTAGGTCAGATATATGGGAAGATACTTTTTGTAATATGTTTAATTATTAATCGTTGGTTATCTTCTTCTTAGCCTATCTTTCCAAAGTTTTTCATTTTACTCTTAGGTGATAACTACATGTTCTAGAAAAAGGTTAATGATCTTAATGATGTTCTTGTCATTTTGCTTTCTATACCTGAATTAATAATATGCCATATTTTGGTAGCATTTTCTTTTTCCGAGTCTCTCTTCAATCACTCTCCTGCCAGCCTGCCTCCAACCCTCCTCAGCATGTGGTAACTATTTGTTCTTTTGCTTTTAGGATCTAACCAGCTTGGAAGGTCTGAAATTTTAGAACATCTGGTGATTTTTTTTTCTTAAAATTTAGTCTAGTCTTTCACTTGCTAATAGCTGGGAGCCATAAATGTCTGTTTTCTGTCACACTGATTATCAAATAGGTCTTTCTTTGATTGTCAGCGGGCACCTTAGTTCCTACTTAAAAACTTCACTCTCATTAGGAGTCTGAGGTCTTTTCAGCAAAGTGATGTTGGCTAGGATTTTATTGGTAGCTTATACTTTTGCAGAATATGAGTGTTTTTTTTTTTTATTTCTCTAAGGTTTGAGCGCCATTGTTTCTCTTTTTTCACAGTAACTGCTTATTTCTTAGGTCTTGGTTGTATCCAAGTCTAAACACTGTAAAATGAACTTTATTTTCTACTTGAAGGTTTGTTTCTATTGGTGTTATAACAGACATGAGTTGTGCATTTGGTTGGAAGATTTTTTTCTTAATAGGCATGCAACTCTTCCCAGTATATCCACTTACAAGATCCGACAATAAATCTTGTGAAAAGTTACTGTGACTGAAAATTTTCACTAATGTATACTGTTGAATATGTGACTATAGTATTTCACCAAAGACTTCGGAACGTTTTACTGCATACTCCTCACTATATAGCTGTGTGCTCTTTTAAAATTAGTCATACCTTTTACTTGCAGTCCCGGTTTGCATGGATAGAATTAAGTTTGACTTAAGTACCACATAAAAAGCGTACGAAATGTAAGCATCATGTGCTACATCTGTTATGTTGCTTTCTAGACAAGTTTTATGCATAGTGTTACAAGTGTTGACCCCACCTTTATACCGTGGTATCTTCAGTGTACACAGCTAGTATGAAACCCTGTTTAACATTTAAAAACGTCTAATGTATCCTTATAAAACTAGTATGTGGTTTTTAAAAGTGTTAATGTTTTGGGATTTTTTGGTATAATTGTTGTTTTTAGTCTTGGCTGAGGTTCTGCTGTCTTGTATGTTTTGTTTTGCTATGAATCATAATTTCCTTTTATTTAGTGAATAGAAGAGGCAGGCTTGTCACTACTATTACTTTGAAAGAAAGTAAGCCATTAGAGTAGGGTATATATTAACAAAGGTATTCAAAATAGTTTTATGTTGGAAGCTACTTAAAATTATTTCTTTTTTGTTGAAGGAAATTATCTTTTTAAACATAAAATGGAGTTACTTTTCTAGAAATAGTTGAAACACATGTATAAAATACTGGCCAGAAGATTTTTATAAATAGGAAATGATAATGTTTCAAAGAAATATCCTAAGTCTGTAATTTGAAGACATACATTTGAAAAAGTAAAATTTTCCCTGAGTGTTGCCTTTTCCCATCCTGTAGCTAGCTTTGCTTACTGGTGTCTGCATGCCTTTGACAACATGTATCAGAAAATAGCAAAATTTTGGCTTACAGATTTAGGAAGTAATTTAAGCTTTTAAAATGATATGTGTTACAGGCATTTTTTAGAATTTTAACTAAGACATAACTTTTTCATATGCCCATGAATATATTTTATAGATCTTATTTGCAAAAGGAGTGACTTTTATGGGAGCCTTTCATTGTGGTTAAGAAGCTATGGAAGAGCTTATCAGTGAAATAGTAGCAACATGGCCTGTGAGAGCAATCTTAGACAATGAAAGATGCTTTTAAAACTCAAAAAGCCACACAGGCAGTGCATTGACTTTTACAACGAATTGCCTCTCCCATGATCTTGCTTTCTTATCCACCTTCCTTTACTGGCCATTTGTGGCATGCAGCAATAATTATTTTGAAATAAGAAAAGGAGAGAGTCAACAGTAGAAGACTAGACCTCTGGGCAATACAATCTTCAGACTAAGGACCAGCTGTAAGATGACTAGGGAAGATGCCTGACAAAACTGTGGAGGTCTGTCTGTTCTGTATCCCCAACCTCTCTCGTATCCATTCATTCTTATTTGCTCCTCGTTTCAACCTTCATCATTTCTCACTTGCAAGCAGCCACTCAGTTGTTCTCCCTACTTCCAGTCTTGCTCTCCACTGATTCCTTCCCGTCATTGCCCTCAGATTGGTCATTCTTTAAATAAAATAAAGTCATTCCCCTATGAAAAAAAAATCCTTCAGTGGCACTCCATTACATTTCCCAATAAAAGTAAATTTCTTGGCCTGGCCTCCATGGCCGTTCATGATCTGGCCCTATCTTACCATGTCTCTGCGCCCTCTCTTCTCTTCTCATGGACCTCAGGCTTCACCCACAATGAAAAATTAGGTCCTCCTCTCCAAACACACTATGCCAGTTGCTTCTGTGCCATTGTAAATGTTATTCCCTCTGCCTGGGACACATTGGTTGGCCAGACATACCTCAGTTCTTTATTCTATGTTTTCAAAAGTCATTTTGTCCGTCGGCTTTTTCCCTACTCCAAGCAGTATAACAACTTCCTCTGTGATCCTTTAACATGTTGTCCACACCTTAACTATATAGCATTTAGCATGTTATATGGGGACTATTAGTGTTCATGTTGACTTCCCTAATGTGAGCTCTTGAAGGGCAAATATTTGAACTTCTAGGTATTTGTATCCCTAGTACCTAAGGGGGTGTTTAGATTTTAATATGTACTCAACAAATGGAAAAAAGGTTTCAAGCAATATGTTAAGTGTCAAAGCTACTCATTTCCCTCATGTCAAAGCTTACCTCATTCCCGGTACTCTTCCCCATAGAGTAATCACTATTAACAATTTGATATATTTAATGTTTATTACAGCTAGCATTTTCATATAGGTTCAAGTTTATAATATGGTAGAATCTTATTGTATTTTTTACAAGATAAGTGTATATATTTCTCTTTTTTCTTTTTTATAGAAGTATAATTCATATATAGAAAATACATGAATCCTAATGACTTGATGCATTTTTATATTTATACATTCATGTAACCACCATCCCAGGCCAAGATATATAACGTTTCCATCAACCAGGAAAATGCCTCTTGCATCTTTCTGCAATCCATCTCTCCCCTGCATGTAATTACCGTTCTGACTTTTATCACCATTGTAGTGACATGATCAAAATGGTGTTTCCAAAAGACAAGTGTAACAGTGGGTTGACACTACGGCAGTCTCGGCATTCATTTACCATATACTTCTTGAACATCTCCTCTGCACCAGGCTCTGTTATAGGGGCCTAAGGTGAAACCAGAAAGATCTGGCCTAAGAAGGGACCAGAATAGTAAAAGACATGGTCCTAGTCATTAAAGGTCTTGAGGATAGTCACTGGAAAAAGCTGACTAGAGAAGGTGGCTTAGGATATGGGAAATGTAAAGAGCAGTGGACTCTTAACCAGAGAATTGGAGGTGAGGGAGGAGGATGCACAGGACTCTGAGAATCTGGTGTGTCTCAAGACTATAACTAGTTAAGACTGGACCACAGAAAGGCTTTGAAACTTGTAAGCTAGATTTTGTACATTTCTTCTGGGATGCAGAGCTCTTAGGTAGAATTGAAGAGAAATAGGACAAAGCTTGTTGTCTATATGCTTGTTTGGTTATAATTACCTTTTAAGTGAGCTAAAGGGAGGGGAGAATAAAAGGCTAGGGAGACCCATAAGTTGTAGTTGAAATTGCCTAGTTTTGTTGCTTGCTGCTTGAGAGCTTTTGGCCTTATGGTTGGGATTGGGGTGGGGGTAGGGAGATGGTGAAGGGCAGGGCACAGGTAAGGAAAGGGCAGATATTTTTTCTTTTCAGTTTGCCTTTGCTTTGGGAAGATAATTATAATTTAGAACACAGGGTTCTCAGTTTCACAGAGTGAAAAAATATGATAGTGGTTCCACATCTCAGGAAGAAATGTGTTTTCTAGAGAAGGGTAGGATTGAAGGACCCTCCTTATGGGAGTGAGAAGGGCAGTGAAGAAAGGAAACTACATGTTTCATTTAAGTTCTTAAATGAAAAAGTCTTTGTAAACATGGCCTCCTCCCGGTTGCCTTTTACCGAAAGAGTGTAAATGAGAGACCCAGGCAGTCCCTTTGTAACTGTGTATTGGGAGCTTGGAACACATTATCTCCTGGATACAATGTTGGAAGTGGTGATTATGTTCCCAGACCTTCCTCCCAGGAACCTTTTTAACCCTTCATGTCACTTAGCCATAGACCTATTGTGTTTATAATTGTTTCTAATGGGAAATGGGTTTAAGTTTCCAGCTTGATTTGTTAAAAACATATTCTTTCTCTCTTCTTCCTCACAACTGGGTGTGGACTTTGGTTCCATGAGGGGTGGGGACACTGTAAAGGCTCCGGCAGAGAGGGTGAGGGGCTGAGGTGGCAGTGGAGGTAGGCGGGGCTCTTCACATATGCCAGTTACTCCTATTCATAGATTGGCTACATTTACACGGTTCAGCATAGCGTCCACTTAGCCACGTATGGTTATTGAGCACTTGAAAGGTGGCTAGTCTGTCAGTGGGTGCTTCAACAGACAGTGTAAAATATAATATTTTGGATATATTAAGTAAATTATTAATCTAACTTGTTTCTTTTTACTTTTTCAATGTGGTGAGTTGAAAATTTGAAATTCCATATGTGAAATTTGCACTATATTTCTATTAGCAGTGTTTGTCTATATTCTTTCTTAAGATATTTTATGATGTTCATATCCTAGGAATTGTTTCTGAAGGAGGATCCTTTCTCTGGAAGTTCCGTTTAAAATGAACACCCCCCCCCCCGACCCACCGCAATAAAAGACTCATTTGTGCATGAAAGGTTATCATACAGTTCAGAGTTGATGGCTTGATAACCCTTGCCTGTGGGGCAAAATATGAAAGCATCCCATTCTTATTTGTATTGAAAGCCAGTTTGGTTGCTTAGTCTTTTGGATGCAGTTGGTGATCCAACTGGTTGGGTTAGAAGTCTTTTCCTGGGCTAAGTATAATGGAATATGTATGTGAATGAATGTAACTGCAGTAATTCAGAATTCTGTTTATAATATGTGCTCACCAGTAGTGCTAAATGTTTCATACTTTCAGTGTTATTAGAAATATGTAACATGTCCGTTGTTTGATTTACATAGCTACTTTGCCCAAGAATTCTCAGGAGCAGCATTCTTTAGGAAGTGTAGGATAAAGGAGAAATACTCTAGTTTGTCATAGTGTAAAACTTAACAAAGGGGAATTTGTATCACTGCTGTTTTTGAGAGCTTTCTTGATGTTCCCCAGCGGAGCCCTTGTCTTATATCATGGCAAGTCATCAGTGGCGTTAAAAGGAGGGAGAGGCCACATGACTGGAGGGCTCCTAGGATTCTTACTTCTGACAGTCGTTAACTTTCTCAAAACTTAATCCTCCTAGTGGAGGTTACAGGAGTGATTAATTGTTATTTTTTGGTAACTATAATGGCTCCCATTTAAGGAATAAGCACCAATGTCTAATTCTGAGGCTGGGTGGATTTATAGATATGCTGATGAATAGCATCTATAAGAGGTAGGACCACTTTATAGCCCTAATTTTGGATCCTCCTAAATCCCATCTTATAGTCGAAGGTGTTATCTAGCTTGTATAACTATCCCTGTATTTCAGATATGATTTGACTTATATTTGCTTCCTTGTAATAATGAACAATCACGAAATAGCCTTCAAATAATAGCAGCTGACATTTATTGAGTAATGCTTAGGTACAGGGCAATGTGCTAATGAATGTAAAATGTTTATTTAGTTTCTCTTCCTAGTCAGTCTGTGTACTGGATTACTAGGTACTATTATTATACTCTTTTTATAGATAAGGGAACCAGGGCCCAGAGAGGTTAAGTAACACAGCCAGTAGTAACCTAGGTCTGTCTCTATTCTAGTCTATTCAGTGATTAACCACTTCACTTCTCCTATCAATTGTGACAGAAAATTCCTTTTGATAACTTCTCACTGGTATTTTCTCATTATGATGCATGTCCTAGAGCCATCATTTTTTAAACATAATTATCATGCTGTTATTTATAGCTGCTTTTAATGTAATAGTGCTTGGCATTGTAGCAAGCACTCAATGAATGAAAATTATTACTGCTAGTGTTATTATTTCTAATATTTCTCTGACTGTTGCTGGGTGAGTATTGTGGTGCATATGTTTGTAAAACACTTTTGCCTTTGATGTCCCACAGTTATGCCCCTACTGGTGACAGATATAGAGTTGTTGAGACTCTCAGTTGATGGAGTATGAAATAGTTGAGGACTGGAGGATGTGAACTGGTGGCCTAGGCTGAGGAGGCCCTATAGGAATAGTGGTAGGTTTGTAAAAGCAGCAGGGTAGTCCTTGGCTATTTATTAATAATAGCCACTAAAAACTGATATGCCGTCTTCACTTTACCAATCTCCTGATAAATGCTTTTCTTATGAGGAAAAGAAAGATATTCAGTGTACTCCACAGTAGCCATTTGTTTTTTCTAATCCACAGCCTCTGGAGGAGGTAGACATGGTTTTTAAAAACGTCTGGAATACCATCATGCCTTTGCAGAGTTTTGTGTATCAGCCTGAGCCTTATCTGCTGGTGTGGTCTTCATTTCAACTACTTCTCCCATTTTCCTCAAGCCACACACCTGTCATAGCCAGATCATTGGTTTTTTCCCCTCCTGTGTAGTTAGATGGCCTGGGGTAGAAGAGTGGATTTTATAGAAGAAGTAGAGATGTCAGTCAGTGGGGTCTTAACCAGAGAAACATTGCATGAAGACTTTTGGGTGATGTGCCAGATGTTTATAGAAAAAGTAGAATTCTATATCTTAAACCATTTTCCCCTGGTTATACTACTCATTAATGCCAGTCGCTCTTTTATTATCTATATCCTGCCCTGTAGCTCAAATAGTTCAGTGAACTTAGTACCAGGAGCCAAACACAGGATTTGAATGCAATTGAACAAAAGTCTTGAAACATTTTTGTTTGTGCAACTGAAAAATAGTACTGTTAAGAAAACTAAATATGATTTATTAAGGTCTTAAGATTTACTGTCGAGCTACTTGGGCAAAGTTACTAATATTCATCCTCTTTGTCCTTGACTACATTTGAAACTAACTACTTCTTCCTTCCAGAAACTTATCACTTCCTATATTCTGTTTCTCCACTCCTCTCTCTGATAATTCTTTCTCTATCTTCCAAAGTCTTTCCCTTGGGGAGTGTATCCTGCTTCATTCGTGGTTCCAAATATTCCGACACACACTGATGCTTCACCATCTTCAGCTTCTCACTCAGGCATCTCAGCTGAGTGCAGGACATCTCCACACATCTCCACTGACTGTCTGTCCTGCTGTCAGCTCACAGTCAGACCTCTTCTGTCATTATTCAGCTTTGTTTTTTCTTTTTGCCTTCCATCTTCTCTGGCTTATCTGCCATCCCTTTGAAATTTCTCTTACATGTGTTCCTTTGACTCAATTTCTGTTGCCATCACTTTAATCTAGGTCCTCATGTTTTTATGCTTTGACCACTGTACCAGCCTTCTAACTGGACTCCCAAGTGCCTCCAAAATTCCTGTCTCCACTTACATCAATTGCTAACTTTCGAAAAAAGTTGGTTTTATCATATCACCCTCCCCACCAGCCTGCCATTCTGAGCTCTCTAGTATCTGTTCCACGTGTCGGTAAAAACTTATTTCCCATCATTTCCCACAGAAGCCCTGCACTGTCTCTTCTACCCTCTGAGTGTATCTCCCCATTCCTGATGCCAGCCCTTAGAACATCAGTTAACCAAAGGAAGAAGAGATACAGAGCCAGGAGAGCTGAAGGCCTGGGGGAGGAGAGGAAGTAAACTGAAATCATTCCATTAAGGGTGTGACTTGAGGGTGAGGACATGACAGAACATGCTTTAAAATACTATTATAATGATGAGAAGTTGCAGAAGGAAGGAGGGTGGGAGCTGGAGTATGACCTTTCGTGTTTGATTAGTCTGAACTCTAGACCAAAATGGTTTCATTTAAATTGGCCTGAAGTTGCCTGGAGGCACTGCTGTTTAATCAGAAGGGCCAGTCCCTCTTTGAATTTTTGTCTCTGCCAAAGACAGCCCACATAACTAGACAGTGGACAATAGGATTCCAGGGAGAATATCTAGCCTTTAATATAGCCATGGCATTGGAAAGTGGAGACCCCCTCCTGTTTTATTTCTTGAAGGAGGATGTTGGCGATATGCAGAGCAAAGCTCTCCACTTTTCTTAATAGCTTACGTAGGTGCGTAAACATTGTAAACTCCCTTTCATAGTGATGCCTTTGAGTTGTGTGTTAGAAGTAGATTTAGGCTATAGCTAGGTACTTTTATAAAATCAGATTTTAAAAAGTGGACATAGTACATCCAGTCTAGTAGATCATACCATCTACTGTCATGTAATATGGCAAACTGTATCATTGTCACTTCAGTAGCTCTGTCAAAAGTGCTGGACTGGAAGGCAAGAGATCCATGTTCTTAACCTGAGTCTGTTACTAATTACACACATGACCCCAGGCAAGTCACTTAACCTTTTATGGTGTCAGTTTCCTCATCTGTTAAATGAAGGGATTAGACTAGATTATTTCCAGGACTCCTTCCGAAAAAGTACAGGAGAGAGTTGTATAACTGAAAGGCAGAAAGTGGAATAATTGAGGCTTGGAATTCAGGGTGACTTAAAAATTACTTTAGGCTGGACATGGTGGCTCACACCTGTAATCCCAGCACTTTGGGAGGCTGAGGTGGGAGGACCACTTGAGCCCAGGAGTTTGAGACAGCCTAGGAAACACGGCAAGACCTTGTCTCTACAAAAAATAATTAAAAAAAAATTAGCCTGGCATAGTGGCACATGCCTGCAGTCCCAGCTTCTCAGGAGGCTGAGGTGGGAAGATCACTTGAGCCCAGGATTACAAGACTGAAGTTAGCTATGTTCACACCACTGCAGTCCAGCCTGTGCCACAAAGTGAGATCCTGTCTCAAAAACAAAAACAAAAACAAAAACAAAAAAACAACTTTTAAATTTTAGAAAACAGGTCCTGGATGTGTTTAATGTGCTATATCACACACTTAGTGGTTACATTGGTAAATGCCACTCCATCTTATTGATGTCAATTCTGTTTGCTGTAAACAATTTAATAACGTTCATGACAGAGTCCTATCAATACTTTGGAAGAGTGAGAGTGAGGGTTTGGTGAACAGACAGACTAACTTTGTATTTTGTTGGGATTTTTAACAATGAATGCATGTTACTTTTACCACGTAAAAAGTAGCTCATAACAATTTTTTTGAAATTATTTATTTTCATTAACTTTTATTTTAAGTTCTAGTGTACATGTGCAAAATGTGCAGGTTTGTTAACATGTGCCATGGTGGTTTGCTGCATAGATCATCCCATTACCTATGTGTTAAGCCCAGCATCCATTAGCTATTCTTCCTGATGCTCTCCCTTCCCCCACCCCCATTCACAGGCCCCACCCAGTGTGTGTGGTTCCCCCCATGTGCCCATGTGTTCTCATGGAAGAATTTTTCCTAAAAGAATTAGTCCTGGGGAAAGAGGTGCTGTGTAATCTTCAGAACGTAATAAATGGCCATTCTGCTATCTCATATGTTCAACACTTTCTGCAATGCTTAGGTGGCTTAGTCTCACTCCTGTCCATGTATGTTTTTTCCAAGGCCAAAAATTTTTATTATTTTGTGTATCTGTCCATAAATGAGCCAAAATGTAACTAACTGAATGTGTGATATGCACAATAGCAGTTTTTTTTCCTGATAATAGGTATTAGTTGATAGCTGCAGTTGAAATAGTCTGAGACTGGGAAAGGAAACTTTTCACATTTAAGTATGACCAAGTTTAGTAAGTTCTAAGATGTTTCTGCTTCAGTAGCAGTGCAATTGACTTTTGGAGGGAGGAGAAAAGCTTCTAAAATTATTGGTTTCTACGTGTTACTGTCCACTGGTGAAGGTCAGATTTCTTTGGATATTATCATGTTTTCCAGTAAACTTTGAGAAGTGTGCTGCTTCACAATTTTATCCTAATTCCCTGGGGTAATAATTGAAAACTTCATAAACATATTTTTAAAATTTTCTAGATCCTTATGATTGTTTATATGCTTAAAAAACTTCATACTAGATATTAATTTAAAGAGGTCAGTAAAACAAAATGGTGAACTATGTGTCAGTGGAATCAAACTGTGAATCATTTCTTTGCCCAGTTTCGTTAAAATATGTGATCATGTGAGTCTTTAACTGTCTGCTGAAGATCAGTGCAGCAGGCCACAGACTGTTAAATACATTTCTGCAATATATCGGGGGAGGTCAATTTCTTAATATCTTTGTTAAAAAGTAGAAGACGCAAGTAAACTAGATTTCATACATGTAGTCTTGGTTGGTAGTATCTCCTGAAGCATGTGGAGGAAAATTGGTAGATCGAAACAGAATGATAGCATTCAGAGTTCTCAGGGAGAGAACCGATTTAATCAAATAAAATGGGCTTTGCACATTTCGGCAAGTTCAAGACACTAAGAAAAGCCCTTGGGGAAGTAACTTTTATAAAACTGAATCCAAGAGAACTGGTTTTTCTTTTCTTTTTTTTTTTTTTTTTTTAAATAGAGTCTTGCTCTGACACCCAGGCTAGGGTGTAGTGGCGTTATCGTAGCTCACTGTAGCCTTGAACTCCTGGGTTCAAGCGATTACCACTTGGGGCTACAAACACATGCCACTATGGTTGGCTAATTTGTATGTTAATTTTTTGTAGAGAGAGGAGTCTCGCTGTGTTGCCCAGGCTGATCTTGAACTCGTGGGCTCCAGTGATCCTCTCTCCTCAGCCTCCCAAAGTGTTGGGATTACAGGTGTGAGCCACTGCACCCAGCCTGGCTATCCTTTAAAAAGTAATTTTAAAGCTACACTATACATTTAAAACACAGAACACTAAAATACCTCCTTTGAGCGTTGAAGTATATTAGTACCTTGAGTAAAGTGAGAAAAGCACAAAAAAAGTGAAATCTGGCCAAATTGTTGGAGTATCAGGGAAAAAGTTGTGTCAGGGTCAGAAAATATAAGCAAGAAGGAAGTTTTTAGGGGAGGTACAAGAAGGAAGACAGTTCCATTCTTATAATGATATAATGTATTCTTAGTGTGTACTTTATAATTGTAACAACCTCCTTTATAGGTGTGCTAGCTGTAAAAATCATTTTACAAAGATATTTCAACAGTTTAAGGTGATTCAGCTGTCACAGTGTTCTGTTACCTAAGAGAGCAAGTAAACCTTGTCTTTGTTATCAGAATTGGAGTCCATTTTAATTGTGAGAAGAAAATTCCTGAAGTTGAGAAGTTTTAACTTGCCCAAATATTCAGGGCAAAGACCAAGAGAAAAGTCATTTGTCTCCTCGGGAGACAGAGATGATTGGAAAAGCAGGGCTTCTTATTTTTCATGTCATTCCATCTCACTGGTGAGTTTACCAATGCAGGAACAGTTTGTGATGACAGAGATGACAGAATGCTAAGTTGAAGAAGAAAGTGAGTTGGTTGAAAAATACTGTTGGAATTGATTTATGCAAATTTTCTGGGTTGTTTCAGAGCAAGTTTTCCCCAAACTTATGGAGAGCAGATGGAAAAAGGAAAATAGTTTATCTTTCAACAAGAGAAATGATGGCCCTGCTAAATTTAGACTCTGGCTTTAACTTGTGACATCTGGGAAAATACTCAAATCTGTTAATCATTTAGTTTGTATAACCACCTAGAAGAGCCCAATGTCCAGGATAGACCTCTAACATGGGCTTACAAATGGCAGATATTACCAGGCTGATTTAATTTCCTTTAATAAAAGATAAAAAGTCTTGTCAAGGAGAGGAAAGCAACATGCATTGGCTTTCTGGATGTCAACAAGGTTTTCCTTCATTCATTGTGAAGAGCTTGCTAACAAGCTAGGAAGATTTGGACTGGACTGCACTGCTCCTCAGGGGAATGTCCAGATAGGCTGCAGGATGTATGTGCCTAAAACAGGTCAGTGCAGTGGCTCAGCACCAAGTCAGGGGGACACCACAAATGGAGCCTCCCAGCAAGAAGTTTTGTCACTGCTGTGTGAAGGAGCCTGGCTTGTGAAAATTCATAACGTACAAGGATTCTTTTTACTGTTTGGAAAGATTCATTGCCAGTCCCTTTAAATAGCTACCACCCTAGAGAATATTAATCATTCAACTATTTTTTTTTATTTATAAATAGTCAATTCACATACAGTTTGTAAGGGTTACTTTTCTTGTGGAAAGTTAGGTACAGCTGCCCTAAATATCTTTATCGGTTACCTTGGCTGGGGAAATTAACAGCATGTTTATTAAACTTGTACATTATACTGTGTTATAACATTATACCATTTTCCAAATATTAGTAAGGTCGCTAACATTTTGGAAAAGGATTACAAGTGACCTTTAGAGATAGAACAGGAGTTTTTCAGAAAGGCCTCTAACACCACTCCCACATCCCCTTCGAGGACAGTTGATCTGCTTTTATCTCTTTTACTTGTTCTTAGTTCCTGGCAAGATTTCAATGGAGGAAAAGGCTTCTCTATTTAAAAAAAATAAAAATCAATGAAAATTAATGAATCGGAGAAATGGCCTGGCTAAAATGGGATGAAGTTCAGTATTAGGATACTGAGGGATACTAAAGTTTAGGGGAGCCACTAAATAACACTCCTTCATTTCCCTCCTCCACTTGAAATCTATTGAGAAGTAAGACACAGAAGCCAGCCAGAGTTCCAAATTACAGCTTTATTCCTGATCAAAGCTGGAGGAAAGGATGTAGCCTACATGTGTGTTCTGAAAAGCTTCCAAGTAGTTCACATATTGACAGACCTACCCTATGGGTCTGTTGTAGGGGTGGAACCTACCCCTTTAGCACCACATGTCAGAGAACATACCAGAATATTCAAAAGAGCTTCAGCAACAGGCCTGCAGAGAGCATGCCAGTTTCCTGTTTGCAAACCAACCAGTCAGATGAGAAGGTGGAAATGTGGGTGCAGAGGGTAATAGAAAATATTGCTTTTAGGCTTTGCCCTTCTGAGGAGAAAAGTGCAAATTCTCTCCTTCCTGTGGTGATGTAAGTGGAGAATAAATAGCTAGTGGCTAGTCAGATCAAGCTGGGACAAGAACCCAGGTCACTGATAGAAAGGCCCATGTTTTTCTGTTGGTATGAAAAGACATTTTTAGTTGACTATGGAAACTTAAACCCGATCTGAATTAACATATTGAATTAACATTTATTGAGACAGGAGGTGTTCTCTTTCTGTAAGTCAGATTTACATGAAGGATTGTTACAGGGTGTAGAATTATAAGATACATAAGTCTGATTTATATTAAAGGAACGTATAGAATTATAGGATATAAAAACTGCAAGGGACCTTAGAGTTGGTTTTTCAGCCCTTTCATTCCTTGGGTGAGGAAACAGCCACAGTGGGATTAAGTGACTTACTCTAGACCACTTGCCAAGCGAGTTAGTGACAGCTAGGAATAGACTAGGCCCTTCTAATTCTTAATTCACTGTTCCCCACACCTAATTGTTCTGTACTTAGATGTCAGGGAAAGTAGGCTTAAATTAAAATGAAATTTGAAAAATTTATTAAACTTATAAACTAATCTAACAAGACATATTTGTGAAGTGAATATAGGCTTACCATGAAGATAGTGCAGGTTCAATTCCCAGACCACCACAATGAAGTGAGTCACAAGAATTTTTTGCTTTCCCAATTCATGGAAAAATTATGTTTACACTATACTGTAGTCTATTAAGTGTGCAATAGCATTATGTCTAAAAAACAATGTATACACCTTAATTTAAAATACTTTGTTGCTAAAAAAATGTTAATGATCAACTGAGCTTTCAGCCAGTCATAATCTTTTTGCTGGTGGACAGTCTTGCCTTGATGTTGATGGCTGCTGAGTGATCAGGGCAGTTGTTGCTGAAGGATGGGGGTGGCTGTGGCAATTTCTTAAAATAAGACAACTATGAACTTTACCGCATCGGTGAACGCTTCCTTTCAGGAAAGTTTTCTCTGAAGCATGCAGTGCTTTTTGATAACATTTTACCCACAGTAGAACTTCTTTCTATTTTCTTTTATTGGAGTCCATCCTCAAACTCTGCCACTGATGTATAAACTCAGTTTATATAATATTGTAAATCCTTTGTTGTCATTTCAACAATGTTCACAACATCTTCACCATGAGTAGATTCCATCTCAGGAAACCACTTTATTTGGTTATTCATAAGAAACAACTCATTCATTAAAGTTTTATTATGAGATTGAAGCAATTCAGTCACATCCTTAGCTTCACTTCTAAATCTAGTTCTCATGCTCTTTCTACCACTTATGCAGTTACTTCCTCCACTGGAGTTTTGAACCCCTTAAAGTCATCCATGAAGGTTGGAATCACCTTCTTCCAAACTCCTGCTAATGTTGGTATTTTGACCTCCTCCCATGAATCACGAATGTTCTTAATGTCGTCTAGAATGTTGAATCATTCCCAGAAGGTTTTCAACTTTTCCCAGACGCATCACAGGAATCACTATCTATGGCAGCTATAGCCCTACAAAATGTACTTCTTAATAGCCTTACAAAATGTATTTTTTAAATAATAAAACTTGAAAGTCAAAATGACTCCTTCACCCACGGGCTGCAGAATGGATGTTGTGTTAGCAGGCATGACAACAACATTGATCTCCTTGTACATCTACATCAGGGCTCTTGGGTGGCCAGGTGCATTGTCGATGATCAATAGTATTTTGAAATGAATCTTTTTTCCTGAGCATTAGGTCTCAAAAGAGGGCTTAAAATATTCGGTAAACCATGCTGTAAACAGATGTGCTGTCATCCAGGTTTTGTTGTTCCATTGCTAAAGCACAGGCAGAGTAGATGTAGCATAATTCTTAAGGGCCCTTGGATTTTCAGGATGGCAAATGAATGTTGGCTTCAGCTTAAAGTCGCCAGCTGCATTAGCCTCTAACAAAAAGTCAGCCTGTCCTTTGAGGCTTTGAAGTCAGGCATTGACTTCTCCTTTCAAATTATGAAAGTCCTAGATTGCATCTTCTTCCTATAGAAGTCCGCTTCATCTACATTGAAAATCTGTTGTTTAGTGTAGCCAATCTCATCAGTGATCTTAGCTAGATCTTCTGGATAACTTGCTACAGCTTCTATATCAGCACCTGCTGCTTCACCTTGCACTTTTATGACATGGAAGTGGCTGCTTCTTCTAGCTTCAAAGTTTTCTTCTGCAGCTTCCTCACCTCTCTCAGCCTTCATAGAGTTGAAGATTCATTCCATCAACTCTAGGAAGAGTTAGGGCCTTGCTCTGGATTAGGCTTTGGTTTAAGGGAATGTTGTAGCTGATTTGATCTTCTATCCAGACCACTAAGTCTTTCTCCATCTCGGCAATGTGGCTGTTTTTCTTCTTACTCCTGTGTTTCCTGAAGTAGCATTTTAAATTTTCTTCAAGAGCTTCCTTTGTATTCACAACGTGGCTAACTGGTGCAAGAGGCCTAGCTATCTCAGCTTTCGACATGCCTTCCTCACTAAGTTTAATCATTTCTAGCTTTTGATTTAAAGCGAGAGAAGTGCAACTGTTCCTTTCACTTGAACGCTTAAGAGTCCATTGTAGGGTCACTAATTGGCCTGATTTCAATATTGTTGTGTCTCAAGGAATAGGGAGGCCTGAGGAGAGGGAGAGAGATAGGGAACAGCTGGTCGATGGAGCAGTTAGGACACATACAACATTTATCGATTAAGTTCACTGCCCTCTTATGTGGGTATGGTTCATGGTGCCCCAAAATAATTACAATAGTAACATCAAAGCTCACTGATCATAGATCACCATAAAAGATATAATAATAATGAAAAAGTTAGAAATATTGCAAAAATTACCAAAATGTAACAGAGAAACACAAAGTGAGCACATGCTGTTGGAAAAATGGCACTGATAATACAGGGCTGCCACAAACATTCAATTTGTAAAAAATGCAATATCTGTGTGGTGCAATAAAGCAAAGCACCATAAAATGAGGAATGCCAATATACATAATGTGTGGAAGAGTGGTTTAAATTGGTGGGCTCTGAAGTTAGGCTATCTGGATTCAAATCTTGGCTGTGCCATTTCCTAGTTGTCTGGCCTGGACAAGTTACCTCGCTTTCCCAAGCCTCAGTATCCTCATGTATAAAGTGAAGATAGTAACAGCACCTACCCAGAGGGTGGTTGTGAGGTTCATGTAAGAAGGATGTATATTACATGCTATGCTTAGTATAAGTGAGTTCCTAACATATAAGCACTGATAAATATTAGCTATCATTAGTCATCATCATGATTATTTTACCTTGGAGAGACTTAAAATTTGACCTGTGAAGATAATAAACCCTTAGCTTAGGATTCTACCCATCCTAAGTTACTCCTTTGTCCTAAACCTCCATTCTTTAGGCCTCTTGTAATCATCTTTTACTGTCTATCCTTTGGCCTCATGCTCTATCACCAAGTCTGTCCTATTTGTTTCACATGTTTCTCATTTAACTCTTTCATCTGCATTTCCATCCTAATTCAGGTCTTGATTCCCCAGGTGTGGCTTACTATTCAAGCCTCCTAGCTGCTCCTCCTCCTCCTCCTCCTCCTCTTCCTCCCCCTCCTCCTCCCACCCCCTTTTTTTTGAGACAGGGCCTGGTTCTGTCACCCAGGCTGGAGTGCAGTGGCATGATGGAGTGCAGTGGCATGATCATGGCACACTGCGGCCTCCACCTCCTGGGCTCAAGTGATCTTCCCGCCTCAGCCTTCTGAGTAGCTGGGACCACAGGTGCACATCACCATACCCGGCTATTTTTGTGTGTGTGTATTTTTGGTAGAGACAGGGTCTTGCCATGTTGCCTAGGCTGGTCTCGAACTCCTGAGCTCAAGCAATGTGCCGGCCTTGGCCTCCCAAAGTGTTGGGATTACAGGTGTGAGCCATCGCGCCTGGCCTCAAACCTCCTAGCTTCTTCTGACTACAGCTTCACTTTCCTGCAGGCTGTCCTGTATGTCACTATCAGACTGATTTTCCTGTTTACCCCTGCCTTGGATTCTGTAGTGTGTCTACTGTCTGCTGCTTTAAGGCCAGGCTCTCATACCTGACCTTCAGGTCTTTTAGGAACGTCAGTGTCCAATAGAAATATAATGTCAGTCATACACATAATTTAAAAATTTCTACTAGCCACATTAAAAAGTAAAAACAGGTAAAATTAATTTTACTAAAATATTTTATGTAACCAAAAATATCCAAGACATTATCATTTCAACATGTAATCAATACAAAAATAATGAGATTTTGGCATTTTTTGTTCTGCATCCTCAAAATGCCAAATGCATTCTATACTTACATCACATCTCGATCCAAACTAGCCACACATCAAGTGTTAAATAACCACATGTAGATAAAAGCCACTGTATCAGATAGTGCAGCTGTAGAATGTGACTTGCCACCACATAAACAAGACATAACTATGTTTCACTTCTTCCTTGTTTGTTAAAATAGGGATGTTAATGCCATGCCTATTTTATAGGGTTGTCCTAAGCCAATGTGAAGTGTGAAAGTGCTTTGTAAGCAGTAAAGTTCTGTAAGAATGTATGGAAGTTATTATCAGGAGTGAAGGTTTTTACTAACATAAGAATACAATATCTTTGGAGTAAAGTAATTTAAAAGAAAAACCCATATTAAGGAGGCAAATTAGCTGTCCTGAATTCATTTGTGAAAAAAATTAACTCTAAGCAATGAATGGAGAGTGTAAATGTATACTCACTATCTCTTTATAATTATCTTTTTGGTAGAAATTTATCACATTAATAAGATTCTCTAAATACTTCAATAAATCTGTGGGCCTTTTTTCCTTCAGCATGTTGAGCAATGGACATAGGGACATTTGGTTCTTCTCTTGATATAGGGAGCTGGACCCCTACCAAAGAGTTCATTGCTCTTGGTAGTAAATGTAGCCTACATACTTTGTAGTACTGAGGTAGGAGTGGCATTAAAATTTCCCATATCATCCAATTCATTGCAAAGAATAGGAATTAACCTACAAACAATGTCAGAGATTTAGATACAGAAACTATTAATATTTGGGCCGGGCGCAGTGGCTCACACCTGTAATCACAGCACTTTAGGAGGCCAAGGCAGGCAGATCACCTGAGCTCAGGAGTTCAAGACTGCCCTGGGCAACATGGTGAAACCCTGAATATACTAAAATATAAAAAATTAGCCAGGCATGGTGGCACACGCTTGTAGTCCCAGCTACTCAGGAGGCTGAGGCACAAGAATCGCTTGAACCTGGGAGGTGGAGGTTGCAGTGAGCCGAGATCGTGCCACTGCACCCCAGCTTGGGCTACAGAGTGAGACTCCATCTCAAAAAAAAGGAAAGAAAAAGAAAAAGAGAGAGAGAGAAGGAGAGAAGGGAGGGAGGGGAAGGAAGGAAGGAAGGAAGGAAACTATTAATATTTGTAAAATGCTTTCATTTCATATTCTGTATTCTGACAGATTGGTGAATAGCACCACTAACGATAAGGACACATTATTTTAAATAAAGATGAGTCATAAAGTGGTACCCAAATCTTATCCTAGCCCTTTACCAAACCAAATAGTCCACTAATTTTTAAAAATTATACCTTGAACTACCACATGGCCCTTCAGGTGTTCAAATTTAATATATAACCTTTGTTACCAGTGTGGAAATAAGATTGCTAAACGAAGTGACTCCAAAAACAAGAATCAATTTTATATAATGGCTTCAGGGTAAAGGACCCCCGCCCACCATTTACAAGTTTGCCAAAGCCAGAAACTTCAACATAATGCATGACCTTTTCTTTCTCACCTGTCCCTCTAATTAGCTACTAAATCCTTAGGACTCCTCCTCTGAAATACTTCCTTAATCTGCAACCTCCTCTCCATCCCCACTGCCCTAACTCAGCCTTTCATCACTTTTCTCGTAAGCTCTTTCAGCAGTCTCCAAACCAGTTTCCCTGCCTCAAGCTTCAGCCTCCCCTCCACCCCACAATTTATTCTCCAACTACCAGCAGAGATCTTAGTAAAATAAAGATCTGATCATACCACTCCCCGGATTTAAAACCTTGAGTTCTTCCCAGGGCCAGCAGATAAAATCCAAACTGCTGAGCATGGTGTACAAAGCACTTTATAGTCAGAGCCCAAATTATCTTAATCAGCCTTGCCTCCTGCCATGTGCCCAGAGCAATGATAATCAGATTACTGGTGGTTCTCAAGTAAGTCCTATCCTTTTATCTGTTCTCTTCCCTTGCACAGTCCCCTCCACCCCTCACATCAGTGAGTCTCATGATCTTCACTCCATCCCATCAGTATTTCTCAAATGTCCCACTTTCAGTGAGAAGCCTTCCCTCACTCTCTGGTCACTTGTTCTTTCAGTCTCCATAAGTGCATCTCTTATTCCTTTGTGGCAGGAACCCCTCAAGAGCTAATTCCTCTCTATATCCCCAGCACGTAGCATTCTGCCAAGTATAGCATAGTTTGTCAGTAAAAAATCTGTTGAATAAATACATGAAAAAATTGATCCTCTCCACCCAAATGTACACCTTTCTCTTCTACCCCAAAGAAGAAATCTAATTTCCTAATTCAGTGTGATTTATAATCAACTACTGATAGTTCCAGGTATTTGAAAAGATACTTTAAATCATAATGCTTCCTTTTCACTAAAGTTCAGTTTATCTAGTCCAATAAGATTTTCCTTGGGCCATAAAGAGTTATTCTCATTCCCTATATTTCCAGTACTAAAAGTCATATATACAATTTGGCCAAAGGAGCACCTGGAAAGTTTTAACCTTTAAATGCTTCGACCTATAGGATATGTTAGGAACATTAAAATAAAAGACAACAAACTAAGCACATCTTTAATTTCACAAGAATTGCCAGCTATTGGACCTGGAGTGAATCTTAACCAAGATCACCTTCACCTTGAAGGGTTATGCAGGTTGTGTTCTGTTTAACCCTAGGGGGCGCCACTCTCACAGATTATGATGTGAATGACTGCAAGGTGGTATCATTCTCAGCCTTATACAGTGTCCCTGCTTATCAGATCATCCTCCTTTTCAGCTTAGGTCCTAAGAAGCCAACTGGTTTGCTCAAGGTCACACAGGTATTTCATAACAGGGTTCATAGCCAATAACCTGCCCCCTTTCTTACTTCCCAGTCATTCTACTAATCCAAATTGCTCTGGAAGACCATGAAACCAGAAAAGAGTGTTTGATGTAGTTGCATGGATAATGGACTATATGCCTTCAGCTAAATGTGAAATTCAAATGGTTTGGTTTATCTCGGTATCATTTGCTCTTGTTTTCCACCTCTAGCTGTACTGGCCTGGTTGGCATAACTTCAGCATTTAGCATATCACACTGCTGCTCTCAGGCTCACCGAGACTCAAGTGGCTGTTCCACTCTGTTGCCACGCTGTGCTGTCTTCTCTCTTTCTTGCTGGCCCATTCCTCTGTGACTTCCTGTTAGCTGCCACCTTCTTCTTTTAGCTTCTCTTCTCAGCACTTTTTGCTGCTTTGTTTTTATACCCATCTCAGACCAGTCAGCACGATCCTTTCCTTCCTTCTATTCTACAAACCAATCAATCACAGCATGTTGGCTGTTGACCTTGGATCTTTGGTTGTTTGCTGCTGTTCATAGCTGCTGGGCGTGGCTAGGGGATGCTGCTTCTTTGCCAAAACTTTTTGTTTCTTTTTCTTTCTCCCTTTATTCTAGATCTTGGGCTTTCTGAATGCTTGAAGATACCAGAAGGGTTATATCCAAATAAGTGTGGCTCTATTCCTATTACTCCCTCTTTACTCTTGCTTAAAAGTGAAAATATTGCTTCGGTGGAAGAATCTTGGTTAGAAGAATTAATGTAGCTCAGACAGTCAATATAGCTAATTGTCTTTACCAAGGACAATGCATTTAAAAAATAACTACTCCTTCCTCTGCCCCTTACTCCATGCTCACCATCAATGTGAAGCTAGGGTAACAGGTGTGTTGGCAGGTTTGGTTGAGCCTGAACAGAAAACTGGACCTCTTGAGCCACAGTCCTTCAGCCATAATGGACGAAGTATTTTTTGCTTCAGTTCTTTGCGCTTGATCATTAGAGCTAGCAGGTCTTTCCGAAACTGCTTGCTTTAGTTCTACCTGATCAGTGAAGATATAGAATAGAATTAGGTTAAAGAGTGGTTAATTTCTTAGAGTTTTGATACTTGCTGTTTAGTGATTGTACTTTATATATTGTTCATTGTATAATCAAGAAATTCTTTGTAAATGTTTGGTTTGCAGGCTGGTTGGAAGGAAAATCATGCAACATTCATGAGCGAACTAAAAAATCTTCAGGCTTCTGGACTGACTACTCTCGGTCAGGCTCTAAGATCCTCATTTGATTTGTTAAATCTCAATAGATTAATATCTGGAATAGACAATTATGGACAGGTAAAAATAATTTGAGTGAGTACAGCTAATTTATTTTGGTGGCTTGGGGTAAGAATTTAAAATTGGGCATGATTACTAAGTTTTCTGCTACTTTTCATAACCTCCAAAAATGAGATTCTTATTACCTTTTAAATATATACTTTTTAAAAATCCCTCTTCTTTTGGTTCTTGTATATGGCTTGATAATAGAATAGCTAAAATTGTCTACCATGAGATAATCAGATGTTTGAGAATGATGTGAATAAACGGCTGAGAAATATCGGAACAAGACAATTGGAAAGAAACTTTCAGTGTCCTTAACTCCTCTGCCCCTCCCAATTTGATGAAAAAGCTCTAGGATAAGAAGGCAGAGTAGCATTTGCTGTTGCTCCCATTGTCCTTTCCTCCTCTAAAGTCTGTGCTCACAGTAACCAGAGTCACTCTCCAGGTTGCAGCACGCAAGTCACTAGTGTCCTATCTGTGCCAGGATTTTGACTTAAGTGAATGGATTCATGAGAGTGGATGATAATGCCAGTAATCTTGTAATATTATTTTGTGATTACTTGGAAAGCAGAGTGAGAGAGGTATTTGAATGTTAATGGTTTGGGGAGTTCCTGAATTATAAGAATTCCTCAGTTTATACTGAATGTTACCTCTTCAGGGGTTGTTATTTTTATTCCTACCCATTTCGTTCCCTGGTCATTTCTTCCTTATTTATCCAGACAAATTTTATCATATTCTTGAGAGATCATTGGCAAGGCAAATATAAAAATTTAAATATACTTTTATTACTTTACATGGCTCTAATGCTTTTTAAATGTATTTTAGGGGAGAAATCCATTTTTTTTAGAACCATCTATTTTAATTACCATCACAGATGGAAACAAGTTAACAAGTACTGCTGGTGTTCAAGAAGAGGTGAGATTTTATTTTTTTTTTAATTTTGTTTAAATGGCAGGGAACATGCAGCTATTTCTGTGGGAGGCATTTCCAGTTAACAGTAAGTTTGGTCAAATCATCCATCTTGGTAATCCTTGAAAGACTGCTTAATTTTATTGAGTTACATGAAAGAAAAAGTCAACCCTTTAATTCTTTCTTCATTTTTATATGGTTTGTTATGATGAACCTTTTCACATTTTTGCCTTATCAGCTCCATCTTCCTTTGAATTCCCCTCTGCCTGGAAGTGAACTAACCAAAGAACCTTTTCGTTGGGATCAAAGGTTATTTGCCCTGGTGTTGCGTTTGCCTGGAGTGGCTTCTACCGAACCAGAGCAACTAGGGAGCGTACCAACTGATGAATCTGCCATCACACAGATGTGTGAAGTCACAGGAGGTATTGGCAATATTTAATGTTTCTGAAGGAAAAATTCAGAGCATAGAGTATATTTTTCATTAAATGCCATATCCAGTCTTTACTTGTTTTCCTTCAAAGCCTTTTAACTCTGTTGCTTAAGGTCATCATTGGTATATTTGCTGCCAATGTAGTTATGATTATTTCAAGTTATATTTTAGGATTTTAAAATGCTTATATTATGAAATTATATTTGATCAAACTTGTGCTATTTATTTTTCCTTCTGGGATAGGTCGCTCCTACTGTGTGAGAACACAAAGAATGTTGAATCAATGTTTAGAATCTCTAGTTCAAAAAGTTCAGAGTGGTGTAGTTATTAATTTTGAAAAAACAGGACCAGATCCACTTCCTATTGGAGAAGGTATAGTAGATAACTTTTTTAACCCTAAAGTGTTATATAGGAGAATGAGAAGACATTAAATAAATTACTATAGACACAGTCTTCACTATCCACGTGCATTTGAGTGGTTACAAACATACATCCAAACAACTACCACACATTCACTGCCTATGTATATGTATCAGGTGGCCAAATTCTAACAACTTTAATTTCATGTTGAATGTTCCTAAGAACGTGTTTCCTTTTCCTGGTGCATTTTATATTCCCTGGTCCCAGTCTTTGGATGGCACTGACTCATTCACCTCTCTATTCACAAAATGTCTGGAGATTCACTATGGTGTACACTTAAATAATAATCTTGTTTTGGTTTTGTGAGTGCCAAATATGCTAAGCCATCTTTACGAAATATGTGTTAGTTTCTGCACCTCAGCAAGAAATTATGAATGTTTATCCAGGAACTGCTCATCTTCTCTAAGATCCTACACTAGTATTTTCCCGGTCACTTTTTCACTCTGAAGTTAAGAGTTGAGCAACCTTTTCTCCAAATGAGATTTCACAGAAAGTTCGACATCCAAAACTTGATGAAAGTAGGGTGACTTTTGCATAGGGGAAGTTAAATCGTAGTGAATCTCTAGATGGTTTGTGAATGGATGTTTGTAATCACTTGAATGCAAATGAATTTCAAAGGGATCAGGGAACTAAACAAGCACCATGGCAACGCATTGCAAGACTTCCATGGTAATGCACTGCAAGAACAGAGCTCCTAGAAAGTCTATGTGTATATGTATGTAAATGTGTAAGTGTATATATATATATATATATACACACACACACTCCATTATTATTACCACAGTGATTGTCTAGCCTGATTTATATGTTTTAATTGCCTTGACGAAGAACAAAGGGGTCAAATGCATAAGGGCAGAAAGCTACACATTTCTGTCTGAAGCAGTGGATCCTGTGGCTCCTGATCTTTTGTTGTTGTTGTTATTGTTGTTGTTTTGCTCTTTAGTTCCCCATCCTTTTGAGAAGCTGTTGGAAAAAATATAGACCCCTTTCCCTATAAATACAGACATAAGTGACACATTCACAATTTTGTATATAATCTCAGGGGTTTTTTGGGCCTCCAAGTTAAGAACATCTGCCATAAAAGACTGAGGCCCCACAGCCTATTTTAAATTAACTGTGTAGGAAGGCCATGTTATACTGCTAGCAATCCAAAATTTCGTGCTCACTATCTTAGCATAAACTGGGAACTTACATATTGAAATTCTAGTAGGATTTGGTGTCATGTAAATGGCACAGATTTTTTTTCTAGCTCCAGTTCTCCTTTGTCCAGAGTTCTTAACCTTTCAGGTTCTGATGAAAGTTAAGAACCCTTTCCTCAGAAAAATACACATTGTCAGAATTGTGAGCTCAACTTTGGGGGGATCCTCCAAAGCCATTACACTTTTTTTCCCTACTGCACAGTGGACCCATTAAATCTCCTAGTCTAAAGAAATTACTTGTTTAAAGTAATGCTTAAATAAGTTATTCAAATGACTGATAATTTAAGAAAAATGAGACTCAAATCATTAAAGCATATCTTTTACAAATATTATCATTAAAAGTTTATATAACTCTGCCTTGCCCTGATTTGAGGCGGGGGGAGAAGGAGGAAGGAAATGAAATATGCTAGTTTAAATCATTAAAATGCATTCAGGATACATTATTCAGCATTATACAACACCCATTGTCCATGGAATTTTGATGGTGGATGGAGAAACCATAGTGAATTAGTCCACGATAAACTTGATGTGTTTGCTTTGTGCTCCCCTCAACTATATACACATTGTCTGCATTTCTTCTATCTTTAAGTGAATTTGGCTAGTTTTTATTTTGCCTTTGTGGTCATTGGGTCTAATTGTTTGGCAAAGAACACTTTTTTCTTGTATTTGGAAATAGAAAGAATATATAAATGGAATTTATGATCTATTTTTATCAGACTCCAGAAATGTAAAAACTATACCAGGGAGTGAACAATTTCATTTGCCTAATTTAGTAATTGAATTCTTGAAAAATAACTGTAGTGTTTTGATGTTTTTAATTTATGTGTACGAGTCTCAGAAAATTTAAAACTAGTTTTACCATAGTTTTCTGCATAACTGCATATTCTCTTACTAGGTTAAGAATGGTGGGGTGGGTGTTGGGTTAGAAGAGATGGATTAGACGAAAAGAGTTGCTAGAGAGAACATTTAGAAATCCTAGTAGAGTCACTTTTTTTTCTTCTTCCATTTTTCATGAATCATTGTTCTTGTTTTATTTTGGACTTTGCTTTCAGCTGGAAAATTTGTACAAGAAGATCAGCAGCTGTAAAAAGAAACTCACGCCTTAGTTTGTCTTTTGTTTAACTTTTAGATGGACTTATGGATTCATCCAGGCCAAGCAATTCATTTGCTGCTCAGCCATGGCATAGTTGTCATAAACTCATTTATGTACGACCTAACTCTAAAACTGGTGTTCCTGTTGGACATTGGCCAATTCCAGAATCTTTTTGGCCAGATCAGAATTTACCTTCACTAGTAAGTGTCATAAAATAAAAAGGTAAACATCATTCTGGATTTTCAATTTTCTGATTACAGTGAACCTTTTAAAATAGCTTTGAGGCCTTTATGCCATGCCACAGGCAAGTAAGTCTTCCCTCCTTTGCCTTCTATCTCTTACTGGAAGTCTAGCTTTGTGCCTAAAAGCAAAGGAGGACTTCCTTTATTTTCTGATACTTGTCATTCTTCAGTTGCCTTCGCCACTTGAGCTGCCCTTTTTGGATGTTAAAACATTGCTGTTTTTGATGCTGTTATAATCTGTTACTTGGTTTTCATTTCAGAGCAGCTGACTTGATTTACGTGGCAAACACAACGTCTAAAATGTACTGGCCTTGGTTTTCATGCACAGCCTCAGGAAGTTTGAACATAGTTTACACCTTGGATAGGTTCTGGGAACATATTAAAATCATATTCAAAATTCTACTTCTTCCTACTTTTCATCTTTTTGTAATCAATGGACTTTTGTAGCAATATACCTTTCAATGATGGGTAATTAAGCAATATTTAAAAAATAATCTCTAAGCAAGGACTTGTCTTTTTGGTCACTGCATTTGGTAGGAGAGGCTTTGCTATTACAGTTGCTCCCAGTGCCAGATCAATTGGCTTTTTTTTTTTTTTTTGGAGGGAGGGCAGTGTCTAGTAATAAAGGAGACGGTATGAAACCCACTCTCTTTTGTCTTCTTTCCCCTTCCCCAAATTGTAAGAGGGCCTGAGTAATCTCCCTTGTGTGGGCTCAGGAGGGGACACAAACAAATCACTACTTCTTCTATTTAACATCTTCCTAGTTCAGTTCATCTATATTCTGTCTCAGTTTTAGAAATTTCTGACAGTGAATTGCATTTTCTCCTGGATTACTGCTTTTAGGCTTCTGCCCTTTTTTCAGAAGTGGCCATGAAAGACCTGAATGTAAGACTGAAGAGCCCTTTTGGCCCCTGCTGTGGGTGAGGGTAAACGTCCCACTCCTCTCCTCAGGGCTTCAAGGTGTTACACCTGTGAAACCTCAGCCCTTCCAAACTCGAGTACAGGCTTTATGGCAAATTTACTTCATTTTTGCTAGCAACAAGTCTTCATTCATGTCTTTATGACATTTTTACCTGTTCAAATCTAAGGAGTCAGAAACCTTTCACAAGTTAATTAAAACTAAGTTGGGAAAAAACAAAATAGAATAAGACATTCCAAGTAATTCACACATAGCTCATGTTACCATTCCTCCATCTTTAAAAGTTCATTTAAGAGCTATTTTTCTCAACCCCCAAACATCTTATAATTGTAAACTATAAAGGCAAGTGAATATGTTTTCATTTTTTATAAAGGAAGCAGTGATATTTTATCATATTCATATTAGCTTTACAGGTTTCGCAACAAGAATAGGCTGACCCACTTCTTACTTTGTCTCTGGGACTTGTCCTGTGTCCCTCTCTCTCCATATTGCCCTTGCTGTTCGCCTTTCTCTCTCTGGTGCTCTCCAATCACACAAGCTAAACCTGTTACTTAAATGGCTTCTCCATTAATCTGCTCCAGCACCCCAGGTACACAGGCCTTCGAAGCCCAGCGCAAAGCATCCCCAGCTCCAGCTATTCAAGGCAAACACGTTGGTGTTAGCAATGCTGCAAAAATCCATCTGGGCCCTGGCATTGTGACTAGCTTATTATCAGTCTCTATCTTGCCCTCTCCATCCCTCTACTATTTTTCATCTTGCTTGTTCATGGCTTTAGCCCTCTCATTACCTTATTAGAAAGTTGCATGGATTTCTTCATTCCCAGCATATCTGGACTATCTGTAACCTCATGGTACAAAGGAATGAAGGGCAGGCAATTCTTGGAGGTCATAAAATAGATCTGAAATTCAACATTCATCCTACAATCATAAGCACTTCTTAAACATATTCAAAACAGTTTTTTTTCAATTCACTGAAATTTTAGTTATGAGTGTTGAAATTTACCTTTCCTCTTCCTAATGTCAAGTAGATAGTAAAGAATCTGAGCCCTCTCTCCCATGGAAGCCATTGGTGGTTCCTAGAGATCTAGTAATCTTCTTTCTCAAAATGCTAGTCTGTATTTCAGTGAAAATGTAACAAAATATAAAACGACTTGCAGAATTGTCAGAAATATAAGCTTGCTTTGAGACCTAACCATTTTTTCTGCTTTTTTTAAAAAATTTTTTTTAGCCTCCACGAACATCTCATCCTGTTGTGAGGTTCTCCTGTGTAGATTGTGAGCCAATGGTAATAGACAAACTTCCTTTTGACAAATATGAACTTGAACCTTCGCCCTTAACTCAGTATATCTTGGAACGAAAGTCTCCCCATACCTGCTGGCAGGTACTTATCCTTACCTATTAGCTAAATGTCTGTAACCACTCTAGGATCTGGGAATTGTTTTAAGAAGCTTCAAAGGTTATTCTCAAAATAATTGGACTGACTGTGCTAATGATGTTTCTCATGAATGCTGTCAAATAAGCAACAGGGCCAGGCAAATAATTTCAGACTAATATGAATCATTAGTCTACTGTACATTGCCATTTAAAGCAATAGAGTCTGATGAAACCTATATATTTGAAGATTTGGGGGACCCCTTGAAGTCTACCCATGCACCCCAGCTTAAGAATCCCTAATCTAAAGGTTGTACTTCACTTCAGGTATGGCGTCTGCAGCTGAAACAAGGTGTTTAGCCCTTACTTTGAACTTGACAGATTGGAAGTACAGGATAGTTTAGGCAGAGAACCATAAGTCCTGAAACTAATTTCTGTATTAGTGTAATATAATAAAACTCTTCGTCCTGTGGTACAAATCACACTAAAAAATGTGTGTAATGTGGATTTTGCAACTTGGATGAGACAAATGCATAGAGATATCTATCATACACTGGCTCTTCCAAGTGTTACACTTAAGCCAGAAGGATTTGCTGATTGGTTAATAGAGTCACCTATGGAATTTAATTTGTAAAAATTCAGAGATGGCAGTCACAGCCTTTTTATGTGGATACAACAAAAATGTCCTACACTGTAAAGATGTATGTTCTATTTCTAAACTGTAGAGATGTATGTTCTACTTCTATTAATATATAGGACTCTATAGCAATCAGTAACTGTTAGGCTCTATTTATGCAAGGAACACTTTCAGACTGCCATCTGTTTTATCTTAAAATGTGAGATTATTGCTACAAGTTGTCTGTAAGCTACTTAAATTCTCCCAAGATGCTACAACTAGTTAGAAAAAAAGGAGCAGGATTAAAGCAAGAATGTAAAAGCACAAGAAACAGAATAATCTCACAAACATAATACTGAGCAAAGAAGCTAGACAGAAAAGATTACATATTGTGTGATTCTATGTTATATACTTTCAGAGAGAGATAAAACTAACTTACTCTGTTAGAAGTCGGGATAGTGGTTTCTCTTGGGGGGATGCAAGGTAGTGGACAGAAGAGGACACAAGGAGATGTCTGGTTTTGTTCTCTTTCTTTCTTTCATTCTTTTTGTTTTGTTTTGTTTTGAGACAGCGTCCAGCCTGTTGCCCAGGGTGGAGTGCAGTAACACAATCTCAGCTCACTGTAGCCTCGACCTCCTTGGCTCAAGCAAAGCGATCCTCCCACCTCAGCCCCCCACAGAGGAGCTAGGACTACAGGCACACACCACAATTCCTGGCTAATTTTTTAAATTTTTTTTTTTTTTTTTTTTTTTAGAGAGACGGAGTCTCACCGTGTTGCCCAGGCTGGTCTCAAACTCCTGGGCTCAAGCAATCCTCCCACCTCGGCTTCCCAGAGTGCCGGGATGATGGCATCAACCATTGTGCCTGGCCATATTCTGTTTTTTGACTCGTGTGCTGTTTACACATGTACATTCACTTTGTGAGCATTCATTGAGCTCTATACTTATAGTTTACCCCAAAAGTGCTAGAAATGTAGAGATATGGATAATAGATTGCTAATTTAAAATAAAGATATGACCTTTGAATTTATGGGTTGAAAAACATTTTTATAATGAAAGCAAATAAAATTACAAATTATAGCTTTTCCCTAAAATAACCCCTCTTTTCTATATAGCACATTTCTTGGAAACCTTCTTCAGAGAAACTTAAGAAATGCTGTCCTTGCTTCTGCACTACCCCTTAAATATGTCATATGCCTCTTTCCTGTACTTTATGTTACTTTTTTTAGAGTATTCTTAATGTGATGAATTAGTGTTAGTGAAAAAGAATAAAATGAACCAGTAGCCAGGAAATTTGGCAAAACCACAATGGAGACCGGAGCCTAACCCTAGCTCTGTCACCAACTATGTGGCCTTGCACGAGGGACTTACATTGTCTGAACTAGCTCTAAAGATCCTTTGGAACCCTAAAAATCTATGAATCTGTGGCTGATAAGGAATTTGGAAAAACTCAAGGGGCCAAGGAAGGTAGGAAAGAGAAAGAGAGAAAGAAACAAAATTCAGTGCTTTTCCTTTCATGGGAATCATAGATCTGACCCTTGACTGCCTTGTGCATGTGATTTTTTTTATCTTTCTTTGATGAATTTTTCCTCTCTTCTAATATACACACTTAGGAAATAAAATCCAGCATGGTTTATTGCAGTTATCTGTTTCTATTATCATTCAAATTATGACACAAAATCTAGTAGACTCATGTTTTAGTACAACTCATGTTCTGTGGGGTCATAAATTACATAAATTACATTACATAATTATACCAACTTATTCTTAGTGATAATATTATAAGAAGGTAGTGAATTGGTAGGTGATATTGGTAGTACTGAGAACTAGCAAGGTAAATGGATTCTGTTAAATGTCAAGGTTCGACTTTGTTGTAAATGATTCTGCCGAAGGACTTTGGAAAAGTAAAGGACCAGGTCTCTAAAAGTATATATTGGTGGTTTGGACCAAAGACTCTGAACATGGAACAGAGAAAACATGGCAGCTAGGGGACCCCAGTACAACATATCAACTGTAAGGGGGCTGATGATACAGGAATCACATCAGGAAATCAATAAGGAGTAAGAAAATAGTCATATGGAATTAAGATCAATGTTTTAATCTTCACTGAATGTTTACTCTACCAGCATAACTTTTTTTTTTTTTTTTTTTTTTTTTGAGACAGAGTCCTGCTCTGTTGCCCAGGCTGGAGTGCAGTGGCACAATCTCAGCTCACTGCAACCTCCACCTCCTGGGTTCAAGTGATTCTGCTGCCCAGCCTCTTGAGTAGCTGGGATTACAGGCGCACCACTATGCCTGGCTAATTTTTGTATTTTTTAGTAGAGATGGGGTTTCACCATGTTGGCCAGGCTGGTCTGGAACTCCTGACCTCAGGTGATCCGCCCGCCTCGGCCTCCCGAAGTGCTAGGATTATAGGCGTGAGCCACCGCACTCAGCCACTACCAGCATAATTTATAAGAGAAATGCCTTCCAGGTTGACCCAAAGTATCTCCTTGCTGCCTCAAAATAATTAGCACCAGTGCCTGGCTTATTATAACAGGTTACTCAGTAAATATTTATTGAAAAAAAAATGGATAAATGGGTAGGGGAAGGAGGCAGCAAAGATGCATGGAGCAAAGACTTAATAATAGTACAATGAAGATGGTTTACATAATCCTTTAAGTAGGCTTTGTTTTTGTAATTTCATGCTTCAGGCATGGGACTGTGTTCTATTTTCTTCACAGTCTGCACTCTGATTACCACTTGTTCTTTTGAGAAGTTAATTTGTTTTAGTGGCTGGTTTCCTCTTAGCAGTATTTCAGCTTTATTTTTCATTTTGCTAAGTAAGTAAATATTTGGGTACTGTTGATGTGGCCTGTGGTCTCTGAATGGTTGTTGCATAGTATAGTTTCATTTCTTAATATAATTTATAGGAGAATTGCGATCTGAACATTCATATTTAGTAGGATTTTTTTTGAGACAGGGTCTCGCTCTGTCACCCAGGGTGGAGCGCAGTGGCACAGTCATGACTCACTGCAGCCTCAAGCTCCCTGGCTCAAGCCATCCTCCTGCTCAGCCTCCCAAGGATCTGGGACCATAGGCACGTGCCACCACACTTGGCTAATTTTTTAAATTTGTTGTAGAGATGAGATCTCCCTTTGTCTCCCAGGCTGGTCTCAAACTCCTGGCCTCAAGCAATCCTTCCACCTCAGTCTCCCAAAGTGTCAGGATTATAAGTGTGAGCCACCTGTAATCCTAGTACATGAGCCTGGCCTAGTATAATATATTTTGACATAACCATAGGCTAAAAACACTATTGCTATTTTAAAATTACAATCAAATTGCGCCATAGATGCTGCTATGGAATGTTACAATGGGTTTGGTTTGACATAAAATCCTTATTGTCATCACTGTGCATTACTTCATGTTATTCTCAGGTATTTGTTACTAGCAGTGGAAAGTACAATGAACTTGGATATCCATTTGGTTATTTAAAAGCCAGTACAACTTTAACTTGTGTAAACCTCTTTGTGATGCCTTACAACTACCCAGTTTTACTTCCTCTTTTAGGTAAGTAAAACATGTGCCACTGAATCATCTTTAAAATACAACAGAAATGAAAAATCGATAATAGACTAAGCATTTTAAATGTAGATGACGGTAACAAATTGATTTGAAAGGATAGAATTTGCATACTGTTTTCTGTTTTGTTTGTTTTCTTTTTGTTGTTTTTACATCAAACAGAAGAGAAGCTTGACTTTCAGTGTGTGATTCTTATGCTTGTTCTTCAGGTTGCAACTTCCAATGCACACCCCACCCCCAATCCCCAGTTTGAAGTGCACTTGGCTTTTTTGTATAGTTTGGGCCAAAAAATACCAAAACAGAGCTACCATGGGGTGGGAGTAATGGCTTGTGCTTGTTTCCCCTCAGAAGATAAATGCTCTTGAGGCATCTGTTTTAGGCAGAGTAGTGAGTTAAGAAAATAGGTACCAGAGTAAATTCTGCAATGACTGTGGTTGTAGAAGCTGTGATTTCCATAGCAAGGTTCTAAAAGGAACAACTCAAGAAGCTGTTACTCAGATACTAATGAAAATGTGTGTGGAGATATTTTCCCCTTATTGGAAGAGCCACATCTGTTTAGAGTAATGTAGTACTTACTGCACAGTATCCTAGTTGTAAAGTTGTAAATGTTTTTATTTCGTGGAGTTTCTTAATTTTTGCAAAAAGGGTCGAATCTTTACTAAGTTTTCATACGATCATTAAAACTATGAGACTTTTAGTGCTATAAATACAACATACATTGAATATACTGAAATTGCAATACTTTTACATGTCGATTTAAGAAGTTTAAGAATGAGTCATCGTAAATGTATTAGCATGATTATTTTAAATAACCTATCTACTTTATTTCTTAGTGCAACCTAAGAGGGATGTTCTCTTTCTAAGAGCTGATTATCATTAACATAAGATATAGGTTATATCTTTCAGATTAATAAGACAGCCAGTAAAAAAGTGTCTGTATTTTGCAGATTTATTTATCCCTTTTCTTAAATAAGTCTTTATGACTTCAGTTTCCACAACTATAAAGTGAAGAGATTAGACTATGTAATCTTCACTAACACTGTTAATGATATTATTTTTCTATTTTTAAGTGCACTTTTTTTGATCTACTTTATTGAGTTATGCTTGACGTACAAAAAGCTGTACATATTTAATGTATACAACTTGATGAGTTTGGAGATAAGTATATACGCATTAAACCATCACCTCATTCTATGCCATAAACCTATCAGTCACCTCCAGAAGTTTCCTCCTGCCCTGGTAAGATCTACCCTCTTACTGACCTTTTAAGTACACAATACAGTATTGTTAACTGTAGGTACTATGCTAGAAAACATTATGCTGAGTGAAATAAGGCAGACACAGAAGAACAGATACCACATGATACCACTTACACACTTTTTATTTTGAGATAATTGCAGATTCACATGTAGTTGTAAGAAATAATATAGAAAGAGATGACCTCAAAAGCACAGGCTGCAAAGACAAAACTAGACACATGGGACTATATCAACCTTAAAAGCTTGTGCATCAAGGGAGACGATTAACAGAGTGAAAAGGCAACCTATGGAATAGGAGAAAACATTTGCAAATCATATATCTTATAAGGGCTTAATTTCCAAAAAATATAAGGAAGTCTTACATTTCAATAGCAAAACAAAAACAAAACCCTAAATAGCCTGCTTAAAAAATGGGCAAAGGACTTGAATAGATATTTCTCCAAGGAAGAGGTACAAATGGTTAACAAGCATATCAAGAGATGCTCAACATCACTAATCATTACAGAAATGCAAATCAAAACTACAGTAAGGCATTACATTACACCCCTCAGGATGGTCACTATCACAAAAACAGAAAATGAGAAGTGTTGGTAAAGATGTGGAGAAATCGGAATTCTTGTGCACTCTTAGGAATGTAAAATGGTGTAACCAGTATGGAAAACAGATAGAAGTACCTCAAAAAATTAAAAATAAAATTAACCATATGATCCAGCAATCCCATTTCTGAGTATATATCCAAAAGAATCGAATCCAGAATCTTGAAGATATATTTGCACACCCATGTTCACTGCAGCATTATTCACAATAGCCAAAAAAAAATCCATTGATGGATAAATGAATAAAGAAAATGTGGTAGATATACATGCAATGGAATATTATTTAGCCTTAAGAAGGAAATTTTGTGACATGCTACAATATGGATGAACCTAGTGGACTTATGCTAAGTGAAATAAGCCAAATGACAAATATTGTATGATTCCACTTACATGAGGTATTAAAAGTAGTCAAACTCATAGAAACAGGGGCTGTGTGAGGGGAAAATGGGAACTTGTTCTTCAGTGGGTAATAGAGTTTCAGTTTTGTAAGGTGAAAAGCCTCTAGATATCTGTGGCACAGCAATATGCATACAGTTAACACTACTGGACTGTACAGTTAAAAATGGTTAAGATGGTAAGTATTACGTGTTTTTAAACACAATTTCTTCTTTTCTTTTTTCTTTTTTTTTTTTTTTTGAGACAGAGTGTCTCTCTGTCACCCAAGCCAGAGTGTAATGGCATGATCTTGGCTCACCGCAACCTCCACCTCCCAGGTTCAAGTGACTCTCCCGCCTCAGCCTCCCAAGTAGCTTGGATTACAGGTGCGCACCACCACGCCCAGCTTTTTGTATTTTTAGTAGAGATGAGGTTTCACCATATTTTCCAGGCTGGTCTCGAACTCCTGACCTCAAGTGATTGGCCCACCTTGGCCTCCTAAAGTGCTGGGATTGCAGGCATGAGCCACTGTGCCCAGCCTAAACACAATTTTTAATAGGATTTTTAAAAAAGAAATAACACAGAAATATCCTATGTACTCTTTATTCAGTTTTCCCAAATGGAAGTCTTGCAAAACTACAGTACAGTATCACAATTGTGATATTAACATTGATGCAGTGAAGATACAGAACATTTTCATCACCACAAAGATCCCTTATGAGGCCCTATTACAGCCACATCTACCTGCCTTCTGTACCCATCCCCTCCTTAACCACTGCCAACCACTAATCGGTTCTACATGTCTACAATTTTATTATATCAAGAATGTTATATAAATGGAACCATTCAGTATGTAACCTTTTGGGATTGGCTTTTTTCAGTCAGTGTAATTCTCTAGAGATTCCTTCAGGTTGTTGCAAGTATCAATAGTTTGTTCCTCTTCACTGCTGAGTTTACAAACTATGACATTAATATACCACAGTTTCTCCACCTGTTCACCTGTTGAAGGACATCTGTGTTGTTTATGCTTTTTGGCTATTGTGAATAAAGCTACTGTAAACATTTGCATACAGGTTGTGAACATAAGTCTTCACTTCTATGAGATAAATGCCCAGGAGTGCAATTGCTGGATCCTATGGTAGTTGCATGTTTAGTTATTTAAGAAATAGCCTAAATGTTTTCCAGAGTAGCTATACTATTTTACATTCCCACTATTAGTGTATGAGTGAATCAGTTTCTCTGCATCTTCATCAGCCATTGGTGTTGTCAGTATTTTTAAAATTTTAGCCATTTTGATAGGTGTATGGTGATATAGCACTGTGGTTTTAATTTGTATTTCCCTAATGGCTAACAATATTGATCATCTTTCTATGTGCTGATGTGATGATGTGCCATTGTATATGTTCTTTGGTGAACTGACTTTTCCCTATATTTTAATTAGATTGTTTGCTTTTGTTACTGTTGAGTTTTGAAAGTTCTTTATATATCATAGATACTAGCCCTCTGACAGATAGGTGACTTGCAAATACTTATTTAGATCTTTTTTGATCTTTCATTGGTGTTACGCAGTTTTCCACTTACAAATACGGTGCATATTTTGTTATATTTACACTTACTTCATTTTTTGAGTGATTGCAAATGGTATTGTATTTTTGATGTTGGTATCTACATGTTCACTGCTAGTATATACAAATACAGTTGATTTTTATGTTAATATTGTATCCTGCAACTTTACTGAGCTCACTTATTAGTTGTAGGAGAGTTTTGTAGATTCCCTGGAATTTTCAACATAGACAATTATGTCATCTGCAAATAGAGACAGTTTTACCTTTTCTATTCTTATCTTTATGTTTTTTCTTTTCTTTTCTTGCCTTACTGTACTGTAGAGAACTTCCAGCACTGTGTTTAATGGCAGTGGTAAGATGTATGTTCCATCGGTGCTTGACAACTATGCACTATTCATTCTTACATTAAGCATAATGCTTTTGTAGATTTTCTTCATCAAGTTGAAGAGTTCTGGCTGGGTGCGGTGGCTCACGCCTGTAATCTCAGCAATTTGGGAAGCCAAGGCGGGTGGATCACCTGAGGTCAGGAGTTTGAGACCAGCCTGACCAACATGGCAAAACCCTGTCTCTACTAAAAAATACAAAAATTAGCTGGGCGTGGTGGCACGCACCTGTAGTCCCAGCTACTTGGGAGGCTGAGGCGGGAGAATCACTCGAACCCGGGAGGTGGAGGTTGCAATGAGCCGAGATTGTGCCACTGCACTCCAGCCTGGGAGACAGTGCAAAACTCCATCTCAAAAATAAAAAGTTGAAGAATTCCCCTTCTATTTGTATTTTTCTGAGTTTTAAAAAATCATAAATAGGTGTTAAAGCTTCTCAAATGCTCTTTCTTTTTTTTTTTTCTTTTCTTTCTTTTTTTTTTTGAGATGGAATCTTGCTGTGTTGCCCAGGCTGGAGTGCAGTGGCACAATCTCAGCTCACTGCAACCTCCACCTCCTGGGTTCAAGCGATTCTCATGCCTCAGCCTCCCAAGTAGCTGGATTACAGGCATGTACCACCCTGCCTGGCTAATTTTCATATTTTTAGTTAGAGACGGGGTTTCACCATGTTGGGCAAGCTGATCTTGAACTCCTGACCTCAGGTGATCCATTCGCCTCGGCCTTCCAAAGTGCTGGGATTATAGGCACAAGCCACTGGGCCAGGCCTCAAATGTTCTTTCTGCATCATTTGATATGACCATATGATTTTTCTTCTTTAGTCTGTTAAGTATGATGGATTACACTGACTAATTTTCAAATATTGAACCAGCTTTCTATCCCTGAAATAAATCTCACTTGGTCATGGCATATAATTCTTTTCATATATATTACTGAGTTCTATGTGCTGATATTTTCTTGAGTAATTTTGTGTCTATATTCATGAAAGATATTGGCCTGTAGTTTTCTTTTTTGTTGTTGTCTTTGGTTTTAGTATCAAGGTAATACAAGCTCTTCATAAAATGAATTGGGAAGTGCTTCTCCTATTCTGTTTTCTGGAAAAGATTGTGTATAATTGGTATTAATTATTCTGTAAACATTTGATAGAATTCCTGAGTGAAACTATCTGGTTCTAAACATTCCTGTTGGGAGTTTTCAAATTATTAATTCAATTTCTTTCATAGTTATAGGGTTATTCAAATTATGTATTTCATTGAGTGAAATGTGGTTATATGTCCTTTTGAGGAATCAGTCCATTTGTCCATTTTATCTAAGTTGTGAAATGTATGTGTGTAGAATCATTCTTAGCAATCCCTTATGGTCCTTTTGATGTGTACAGAGTCTTTAGTGATATCACCTATATTATTCCTGGTATTGATAATACGGGTCTTATGTCTTCTTTGTCTTTGTCAGCCTTGCTAGATGTTTGTCACTTTTATTAATCTCATCAAAGAACCAGCTGTTTCATTAATCTTATCAATTTTTTTTTAAAATTTCATTGATTTATTTCCTTTCTTCTTACTTTAAGTTTGTTTTGCTTTTCTTTTTTGATTCTTGGTATGGGATCTTAGATTATTGGTTTGATACTTTTCCTCTTTTCTATTGTAAGTAGTACTTAGTGCCTTAAATTTCTCTCAGCGCTAATTTAGCTGCTTTCCGCAAATTTTACATGTTGTCCTTCATTTTCATTCACTTTACTTTGTCTTTTGATTTCTCCTGAGACTTATTTGACCCATAGATTATTTAGAAGTGTATTGTTTGATTTCCAAGTATTTTGAAATTTACCTATTATCTTTTTGTTACTAGTTTCTAGATTGAATTCCATCGTGGTCAGAGGACACATCTGTATTCGATATCTACTCTTATAAATATGTTGCCATTTGCTTTATGGCAAAGCATATTTTCTATCTTAATATATATTCCAGCAGTGCTTGAGAATAATGTATGGTCTCATGTTGTTTGGTAGGATATTCTACAAGTGTTAAATTGTTCCTGTTGGTTGATGGTGTTCTGCTATATCCTTGTTGATTTTCTGTCTATTTGCTCTATCAGTTTTTGAGAGAGGGTTGTTGAAGTCTCCAACTATAATTGTGGATTTGTCTGTTTCTTTTTCAGTTCCATCAATTTTTGCTTCAACTATTTTGCAGCTTTTACTTGGTTCATACACATTTAGAATCATGGTGTATTCTTCCTTGATTGATCATTATGTAATGTATCTTTGCTAATTTTCTTTGCTTTTAAGTCTGCTTTATCTGATACTAATGTATCCACTTCTGTTTTTCTTTGATGTTTGCATGATATATCTTTTCCCATCATTTTACTTTGAACTTGCCTATAACTGTTTTGTTTAAGTGAGTTTCTTATGGACAGCACATTTTTGGGTCATGTTTTTTAATCCACTCTGCCAATCTTTGTTTTCTAATTGATGTATTTAGATATCTGCATTTAATGTGATTATTGTTATGTTAGGGCTTAAGTATGCCATCTTATAGTATTGTTTTCTCTTTGTTCTATTTTTCTTTTCTCTGTTTTCATTTTACTGGCATCTTTTGGGTTATTTAAACGTTTTTTAGAATTCTATTTTCTTTTACTATAGTACTTTCAAGTATATCTGTTTGGATAGCTTTTTTAGTGATTGCTCCAGGTGTTATTATACACAAATTACCACAGTCTACTCGTTCTCATTATTTTACTAATTTGAGTGGAATATAGAAACTTTATCTCTCATTATATTCCCTTACCCTCCTCTATTTATAATAAAATTATCTGAACTATTTTATGTACAATTAGAAATACATGAGGCAGTGTTATAACTTTCGCTTCAACTGTCAAACATAATTTAGAAAACTCAGGATGAAAGTCCATTGTTTTAAACCATATTTTGGCATATCCTGTTCTTTCTTCCTGATAATTCAAGGTTTGTTCTTTTATGTTTAATTTCTGTTTAAAGAACATCCTTTAGCTGTTTTTTAAGGGTAGGTCTGCTAGTGACAAATTCTCTTAGTTTCTCTTCATCTGAGAATATCTTGATTTCCCCTTCATTCCTGAAATATATATATACATATATATATGTATATACATATGTATATATCCATATGTGTGTGTGTGTGTATATATATATATATATATATATAGCTATATATATAGCTATATATATAGCTAGGTATAGAATTCTCGGTTGACAGTACTTTTATTTTAGCACTAGAAAAATGCTGTGTAACTGCCTTCTGTTCTTTTGGTTTCTAATGAGAAATCTACTTTAATTCTAATTGTTCTTCCTCTGTAAGTGAGGTATTGTTTTTCTTTGCTTTCAAGATTTATTTCTGCCTGTAGTTTTCAGAAGTTTGATTATGATGTGTCTTGGCATGCACTCCTCTGAGATTATTCTGTTTGAGGTTCATTCAGCTTCTTGAATCTGTAGGTTTATTTCTCCTTCCAAATTTGGCCGGTTTTCAGCCATTATTACCTTGAGTACTTTTTCAGCCCCACTTTCTTTCTCTTCTCCTTCCAGGATTCTGTTGACATGAATGTTAGATCTTTTCTTATAGTCTCTTAGGTTCCTTAGGCTCCGTTCATTTTTTTCATTCTATTTTCTCTGTTATTCAGATTGGGTAATTTACATTGTTCTATTTTCCAGTTCATTGATTATTTCCTCTGTCCCCTGCATTCTGTTGTTGAGCCTATCTACTGAGCTTTTTATTTTGGTTATTGTATTTTTTTAATTCTAAAATTTCCACTTAGTTATTCTTTATATCTTCTATTCTTATTCTCTGTTTCTTTGCATGTGTTTTCATTTGTTTCAAGCCTGCTCATATTATTTTTTGAAACATGTTTTATGATGGCCGCTTTAAATTGGATATTTTTAACATCTCTATTATCTTGGTGTTGGCATCCCTTAATTGTCTTTTTAAATTAATTTTGAGGCCAGGCACGGTGGCTCACACCTTAATCACAGCACTTTGGGAGGCCAAGGCAGGTGGATCACTTGAGGTTAAGAGTTCCAGACCAGACTAGCCTGGCCAACATGGTGAAACCCCGTCTCTACTAAAAATACAAAAATTAGCCAGGCATGGTGGTGCACGCCTGTAATTCCCACTACTCGGGAGGCTGAGGCACGACACTTACTTGAACTTGGGAGACAAAGGTTGTAGTGAGCCCAGATCACGCCACTGCACTCCAGCCTGGGTGTTGGAGTGATACACTGTCTCAAAAAAAAAAAAAATTAATTTTGAGATCTTCCTGGTTCTTGGTATGATGAGTGATTTTTTTCCTGTACATTTTCAATATTTTGTTATGAGTCTCTGGATCTTACTTAAACCTTCTGTTTTAACTTACTTCCTCTCACACCCCTCTTGGAGAAACTGGGAGGTGCTGCCTCATTCATGCCAGGTAGAAGTCCAGGCTCGCCACTTGGCCTTCATTGACACCAAAAGGGAGGGATCTCCTTGTTATTGTTGTGTGTGAGTAGGAGTTCTGGATCCTCCCTAGAATGATACCTTCCTGGCTGGAAGAGATAGGAATGCTTCATTATCTTCCACACTTGACCTCCACTGACACCATATGGGTAGAGGTGACCTCATTACTACTGAGCAGTTGTGAAAGTCCTATACAACTATTATGGGCTAAGCTCTAGGGTCCCATCTTTGGTCTAAATCCAGCCTGCCTTCCAAATTATTCCCTGAAAATTCCTTTAACTAGAGTAGCTGGTCTTCCAGTAGCTATCAGGATGTAGAGCACTTTACAATAGCAAGACTCATCCTCTCATCTTTGCCTTTGCTCGTCTTTCAGGTAATGGAGGTCAGATGAAGGCATGACATAATGGTTAAGAGGAATGATTATAGTGTGATCAAGCATTCAGTTCTCCCTTTGCCTAAAACCTTCTGTGCTTAAGTTGCCATGTGGTGCCCTTCCCCAAACTCCTCAGCACTATGCCAAGTCAAATCCTGACACTGTCTTCCTGGTCACCTTTTAGTTTGCATCACTCTATTCCTCAAATGTCAAGTGTTTCTTCTGTTTGAAGTGTCTTCTGTCACCAGTAAGACATGTGTGGCATCTGTGCCTGGTCCTCCTTAGCCTATAACACTAAGACTCCAACCCTGCCTAGAGCATGATGACCTAAATTATTTTGGTTGCCCAACAGCCTTCTGGATGTTTCAAGAGTGTCTTCAAGCCAAGCTGAACTCTTACCTTACCATGCTCTTCCTCCTCTCTTCACAGTTTAGTTAGTGGCATCACCATGTCTATGCAAACATCCCACACCAGAAACTCTGGAGGCATCTTTGACTCTTCCCCTGTTCCCTAATCCCATACATTCAGCTAGGGTCCATGCCAATCTTGACTCAGTTCCCATTCTGCCCCCTGGCTTCAAATATCCATCTCCAGGCCTTTCTGTAACCTGTGTTTTCTGAGGAGTATAGGGTTTTTAACACCCTTTGAGGCTGGAGGTCCTTGAGCTCCTAAAGTCCAAACTTGGGATTCCTTGTGAGTTTCTGAAATAAACAGAAACTCAACATTTCCATAATTACTTAATTCTCTGGGGAGTTTGACATTTATAGTGGTTAAGAGTTTGGGCTGGAGGGCATAGCTGCCCAGGTATGAATCTGGCTCTGCTACTTGCTAGTTTCATGACGTTGGGCAAGATACCTAATCTGTCTATGCCTCAGTTTCCTCATTAGTGAAATGGGGATAATGATAGTACTTACCTCAAAGGGATTTAGTTGGAATTAAATGAGTTAATACAGTTAAATTGTTTAGAACTTGCCTGGCAAATAGTAAGTGCTCAATAAATGCTGTTGTTATTATTACTGTCATTATTAATACCTACATTATCTTAGTAGCTCTCGAAGGCACTGCTATATTATACTAAGAAGGCTATTGTATAATTTTGCAGTTTTAGTGGACAGGGACAGTTAGTAAAAGGGCAAGTTAAGTTACACAGACTACATAAGTCCAGAAGCATCACTATATTACTGCATAGTACAGTAATTGTTCATAACAGTGTCCCTTGTTTTCTTTTTATTAATACCAGATTTCAATCAAATTAAGGTCATGAAAGTTTAATTACTTATGCACTAAAACTTACCAGAAAATATAAAATATCTCATTTTCTGGAATAGATAAACGAAGCTTAATTGTATCAATGAGCTACCAGAATCATTTCATTAAGGAGGTCACCAGATTGTTGTAGTTAGCAAAGGACTCTCTCCCAATTAGGAAATTAGTTTTTCTATTGAGACCTAATAACTGCAGAAATTAGAGCATTTGTAACAACTTTTTTTTTCGTTTTCTTAAATATATCACATTCAATCCACCTGTTCTTTTAAATTAAGAACTGAGGACTTGTGTAAAAAATAAACTTTAGTTCCATATTAAAACCAGTTATGATCAGGAGGAAGAAAGGGAGAGGTATGAGAATAGAGAATAGAAGCAGGATACTTTGATGTGTATCAGTCACTATGTATCTGGTGCTTAACAGCTTACACTGGTTTGTTTGTTTTTCATTTTGTACGGGGCTTTTACACATACATTATGTAGTTCCTTAGAATAGTCTTGTGGTAAGGCAATTATCATCTAACCCATTTTATAGATGAAATGGAGGCTTACAAAAGGCAATTTCTCCAAACTCACTGAGCTAAGGATGTGGCTGAGCTTGAACTCAAACCCAGGTCTTCCCTCTCTTTGAAGAAAGAAATGGGGAGAAAGGAACTGGAAGAGAAAATACCGGTCATTTTTGAGGTGCTGGCAGTATCATTTTACTTTCATTCTACACTCTCATCATATCTTCTTTCAAATGTTGATCAGCTAATTGTTTATGTGACACCTTTACTGTACCATCCTAGAGAGTCCATGTGAATGGGTATTTAATGCCATGGAAATAATTTGCTGAGCTACAGAGGTAGTGACTAAGGCAGTGTCACCCCAGGAGCTCTCTACTCTTAATCTAGACTGCAGAAGATTTTCTTTCTTCTCCTGACTCCCATTTTAAAACTCTGGCAGAAAATAATTAGCCTAAATGAGCTCCTTGGTGGAATCATTGCACTTGGCATTGTTAGAAATGCAAAGAGTATTATTCACTTGATTATCTAATCTATTTATATCTAAAAGTTTCTCCAGTATTTACGTTTGTCCGTTAGTTTCCAAAATCTGCCTAATTCCCAACAGACACAACATAAAGACATGGTATAACAGGATATATCCATGGTCTCTCATTCCTTTCTGTCAAGATATGAATGGTCTTTAAAGGCCCCACTTGCTGCAATGAACCAGAAATATCTTCAAATCTTTAACAAAAGACCTACATTTTATGACTTTGTAAATTCATTTAAATTTGTTTCAGCAGGAGTGAATAATTTATTATAGCTGTAAAAGGAAGGAAATATGTAGTCGCTTTTCTTAACTAAAGTAATTCAGATTTTCAAAGAATAGCCCTATTTGTAAAGAAATTATGCATGTGGGATAGGGATGGTTTTGTCTCTGTAAGTAAAGCATTTTTTTTAAAAAAATCAAAACTACTAAAACCTTAAGACACAAAATAAAGGATGAATTTATAGTGTCTTTGGTACCTATAGTATGTGTGGCAGATTCATGTTGATGTCTGGGGATTCCAATTTTTATATTTTTATTGTATTAGAAAAATGTTTTTTTCTTACACTTGGAAGGAAATAATGAGATGTGAAGGAAATTTTCATGCGTATATAAAATGTATTTAGATTATTAAAATAATTAAATTTAAGTGTGAAAAGATAGGGAATGTCTACTTAGGTAAATATTTTTAGTTCAAATATTTTTAGTACATGGTATTCAAGAAACATGTTTAGTTGTTCTACAGAATTTTAAACTTCAACCTAACATCTGTACTTACTTCTACTAGTGCTTTTACTATCACCCAATGACTTTAGGTCAGTGAGTGACCTAAAGTTTGGCTCAAAATGTGTGATCATGGAAATAAAAAAAAAATGCAGAGGCAGGGAAATATGGCTAAACAAAGCATAGGCTGATTAAAATTTTTATTTTATTATTTTATTTTATTTTATTATGTTTTTTTGAGACACAGTCTTGCTCTGTCACCCAGGCTGGAGTGCAGTGGTACGATCACAGCTCACTGCAGCCTCAACCTCCCAGGCTCAAGCAATCCTCCTGCCTCAACCTCCCCAGCTACAGGCATATGCCATCATACCTGGCTAATTTTTGTTTATTTTTTTTATAGAGACAGGGGTCTCATTATGTTGCCCAGGCTGGTCTCAAACTTCTGGGCTCAAGTGATTCATCCATCTGAGCCTCCCAAAGTGTTGGAATTACAGGTGTGAGCCACTGCGCCTGGCCCAAAATATAGTTTTAGAGCTTGCTCATCACTGCCTAGAAATTATAGGCTTAGCTTTTGTTTGTATATACTTTGTAAAGTCTCTTACCTTGACCTTTCAGCAAAATGGATAACACCCTCTATGTTTAAATGAAATAAATGTTATTCCATCAACCAGTGACCATGGATTGCCCCTGAGGTGAAAATTACTAGTTACCAATATGTAAGAGGTTGGGAAAATATTTCAAGTGGATCAAAATCATTGTTTTAATATTGTATTTCATGTAGCATTGCAGATGAAAGAGGAATATGTAACTTAAGAATTTATTTCATTTTTTAGAAAAAATACTATATATAATTTTGGTAAATAGTACAACCACTAAAAAAGATAATCAAATAAACGCCAATGAAATTTTCATCTACATTAAAAGCTGAAGTTTCTAGATGTGGGTTGCTTGATTATATCTTAGAGCTCAGGACTAGAATGATGTAATATTTTATTTTTCTATTACAGATGACTTGTTTAAAGTTCACAAGCTTAAGCCAAATCTGAAGTGGCGACAGGCTTTTGACAGCTACTTAAAAACTCTGCCTCCATACTACCTATTAGTATGTATTTGTGTGTATATATGTATTAACTGTATCAATGATAATTCTTGTCACAAGAAATGTTAGTGATCAAAAGCTTTTACTGTTGCAATAAGAGAGATATCTTTTTATTTTACAGATATTTGTGTCGTCACTGTCTTCTCAAATCATGTGTAAGAGTTTGGAGATGTCATGGCGGCACAAAAGAGAGCTGTTTTCTCTATTTTATTCCTTTAACTGCCATGGTTATTTTTATAAAACACATCTATGTTTCTCTTATTAAAAGTAACCTTAATTTCATTGGAATTTAAGAATAAATAGATCTGGATTCATATATTACATCAACTTCCCTTTTTAACTCTAGAAATTCTCAGTATGGGGTTTCCCTCTGGAAAAAGAAAATCTGAAGACATTACAGTTGCCTATTGCCTCTTAAATGTGTCCTAGACACAGCATGAAGTTGGGGCACTGGTGGTGAGAGGCGGAATCCAAAAAAATTCAGAAATGACTTGGCCTCATTTTGGATTTCATAATGTGAAGTATTCATGATTTTGAACTGGTAATATAATCTAAATCAAGATTACCAAAATAATTTCAGAGGTTGATGTGGTAACCTTTAAGCGAAGTTTCTAGAGGTGAAAAGGCAGAATCTTAAATGGTACCATTGGTGTCACTGGGAGGAGAAATTGGGGTGTGTTACTGTTTACCATGGCAGTAATGGGGCAAACAATAAAATGCAATGTGAAATGATTTGATGATTTGGGAAATAAGATTGAACGCAATTTACTTGTTTGAATTTGCTGTTACTTGCTCTTCTTATCCCACTCTCTTCTGATTTTTTTTTACTTTCTGCTCCTTACTTCTCTGCTATTTTCATTGCCACTTTTTAATGTTCCATGTTTGGTTTTATGTGCAGCACCTTGACTTCTAAGAAATGAATCATGTCCCTTTGCCCCTTATAACTGAACTTTGAGTATTTTAAGATTTATTCTATTCTTACTGTTGTGTATTTTGTTTCCTTATAGCCATTAAAGAAAGCACTAAGGATGATGGGAGCTCCAAATCTGATATCAGATAATTTAGATTGTGGACTTAGTTACAGTGTTATCTCTTACCTTAAAAAACTCAGCCAACAGGTAGTATTGGTAAAAACAAACAAACAAAAATCCTTTGCCCTCAGAAGTGCATTTCCTTATTCTTTAGTGTAATTGTAATTTTTCAAATTAAATGTGTATATATCTCTACACTTTATGGATTAGTAATAATGTGATTCTCTATGGCTTCTAGCTTCACCATTAAGCTGCAGTTAAGGGTCTGTCAGTATCATTTGATGCTGTGCCATTTCTCCTTTTGCCTGCCAGTTTGTCCTACCCGCAAGCTGGTTGATATGGGGCAGAGGTTTAATAGACTTCTCTCATGGGTCACATTTTGTCTATCTTCAACCTAGTTCCTCCTCAGATCACTCTGGGCTACAGCATCCCTCCTGTTTAGATCAGCACACTGAGGCGTGGTGTGATTAAATGACTTGTCTGAGATTAGTTTTCAGGCATGTGAAGGACTTATACTCACATGCTAGCCCTTGGATAAAGAGCTATATGCTTTTCCCTGGAGAGTGGGGAGATGAGACCAGTGTTCCTCACACTGGAGGGTGATAGACCCCAAGGGGAACTGAAGAGTGGAGCTCAGTTTCCTCTCTTCTCACCCTCCACCTGTTCCTCATTTGCCATTATTCACCTTGTCCCTTGCCTGCCCCTCTCTATTAGTACCTCATCCTCCACTCACCGTTCCTTATCATACTTCTCACCTCTACTTAGCCCATTCTTGTAGGATGGAAATATTTGAGAACTACTGAGTTAGAACTTTACTATCATATGAATGTGTTATGTTATATGACAAATTAATGCAGCAGTTTTACTTACCTTATGCACAAAGGTATTCCCAGGTAGGGGACAATAGTAGCATTCGCAGTGGTGATAATGCTTCAAGGTGGATGTGTTTGGAAGTTTGGCCTTTAGGAAATGGAGAGTAGTGAGCAAAACATCAGATTTCACCAAAGAACCAAAGTGACTCCACAATTGGGATGCCGACACACCTTGCTAGGAACTGACAACAACTTCAGTATGGTCTGGAGCTTACCAGCTCCTACCAGTCCAGTGTGCTTATAAGTGCAAAAGAAAGTAAAGGCAACCCCAGATTTCTAATCTACCAAGTGTCCCCCTAACCTCCTTTCCTCTCTGCTAATAGATTTTTTGTGGTTGTTGTAAATGTTTTGGTTTGGTTATTTATTTATTTATCTATCTATTGATCTATCGATTTTTTTTAATTTGATGTTTACCTAAGCCTTTAAGGCTGTGTCACCAAGGTATGGCCACAAGGAAGAATAGTGTACAGAGATTTTAATTAATGCAAGTTCTGGGACCTTTTGGGGCACATGTATCATTTTACAAATGAGCTTTCAAGACCATTTAAGGAAACAGATGCTTCATTTGCTCTTATCTCATATTTCATGACTTAAGAATTTTTTAGTGATAATAAACATAGACTTAATTCCAATAATTAGGGAAAATTGATAAATATCTGTCACCAAACCACAAGAAATCCAAAATCATTTTAGGTTTACCAAACATTGGTGGAATTCCATCTTTCTGAGAAAAAGGGAAGATCATAGCTAATTTATAATAGCTCAAATTACTAATTTAATAACTGGGTCACCAGTGTTTCTTGAGCCATTTCAGATGTATGTAAAACACAAAATATGCCAAATATATATTGCTATAATACACTCAAGCAGTATTAATCAATATGGTATCACAATGCCTATTAAGAGGCTTTTTACAAATTACTTACTTAGTAATATCTGTTAAATTAAGCATTATCTTCTAAGACCTTTTTTGGATAGTCAAATATAAGAGATAAATAGTTTAATTTTTTCAGACCTTTTTTGGATAGTCCAATATTAGAGATAAATAGTTTAATTTTTTCAGATATAATGCCAGTCGATGTGATCTGAATTTTAGTACTAGTTTACACGTATAAATACAGTCTTAAACCTTTATGTCTGAGTCTGAAATGAACCTGTTCACTTAGACTAGATTTTATAGTAACAAAATGTGCTTTTAAATGTCTATGAATGAAATTCTTATTCATGGTTTTTATTCTCTCCATGATTTTATTATAATTTTGACACTAGACAAGAAAAAAAAATATTATTTGTCTTTCCTGCCCCCTATCTGTTTGCTGTGATAGTGCAAAGAAGCACAGGAAAATGTTTAATTATCCATTTTTCTGTGATTTGTAATTGAAAATTGTTCTGTGGGGTTCTGAAAGTATTATCTTTCTTAAGTAGTAAAAATGACAGTGGTAATGTAGATGTTTTTATAACATACTATGTACTTTCATTTTAGACCAAACTAGAGTCAGAACGAATACTAGCATCAGTGGGGAAGAAACCTCCCCAGGAAATTGGAATTAAAGTGAAAAATCATTCTGGAGGTGGCATGTCCTTGACTCACAATAAAAATTTTAGAAAACTATTGAAAGAAATCACAGGGGAAACTGCACTTAGACTGACAGAATTGAACACCAAAGAATTTGCTGGCTTCCAAATTGGGCTCTTAAACAAGGTAAATTGTGACATAAATAGTTTGTATTTGTTTGAACTTGTCTGATACATTTATGTCTTTCATATTCCTTTAGTTTTGAAATAATGGACAATCCTATTTTGGAGTTAGTAGTTAATAATGGACCAGTTTAGGAATTGTCAGCAGATATCAATATGGAATTAAATGGACAAGATATGTTTTGTGGGTAACGCCCATGAAAGATAAAGGGGAGATGAAGCTGGAGTAGGCAGGCAGAGCTTCCAAGCTACAAAGCTGGCCCATCACCTGTGAGAGGAAGGAGGAATGAAGGAGAATTGGGTGTGAAGAAGCTCAGACACTGGTGTAGCTTGGAGAAAGTCTTGGCCAGCACAGTGGGGACCTCTAGCACCAAGATTTCCTACAGAGGAGGGCCACACTGGGCAGAGCTGGCCAGGCCCTAACACCCTGCCATTGTCTGTTACTGGCTATGGGCAGCCTGGGAAGGGCATGGCCTCAGCTCAGTGCTGCAGCGGATCCCTATGGCACCACAGCAGCGGGAGGCTCTCTGCTAACTGCACTCCTTGCAGGATCAGCCATTGCTTTCCTGAAGGGAGATCCCAGCAGCTCACCTCCCCTCCATGGCTGCCAGAGGAATACATCTAGAGTACGAGCAGTGGTCCTGCAAGGCGGCCACAGGTATCAATCTCGGGATTTGGTGTTTTAAATGACATATTTGAAAAGGGATAGTCCCAGTGGCTTTAATACCCTGTAGGTGTGTTACAATGCAGAACAAGGCTAGCAAGTGGAATTTTGCCACTGGGAAAATTCTACTGTAGTCAGTTGTATTGATATAACACTCTTCAATAACATTTTAAGAGAGATAAGTATGACATTTCTATATTAAAAGCCTTAGGAGTAACTGAAATTATTTGTTTCATTTCAAATAGGATTTGAAACCTCAGACATACAGAAATGCTTATGATATTCCCCGTAGAGGTCTTTTAGACCAGCTGACCAGAATGAGATCCAATCTGCTGAAAACGCACAAGTTTATTGTTGGACAAGATGAAGGTAAAATAACTGTGAAATACTTTTTTTTTTTTTTTGGAAAATGCCAGGCATGACTTACAGGAAGGTGTTTATTGCATAATGAGTAGGCTATTTTATAGTATTTTAATGTTTAAAATGCCTGTTTTCACTGAATCCCTATGTCTGTTTACCAGGCACATTTTTTTTTTCAAGTTTAAGGTCAAGTGTGCATTAATCAGCACGTACACTACACTTGCCATGCTTTAGCTATTGTAAGCTTCAAACAACCCCAGGAAATAGATACTGTTTTTATGTCCAATTCATGGACATGGAAACTGAGAGTGAGGATTTTTAGTAGTTTGCCCAAGTTTAGCCAGTTGGAAAGTGGCAGAACCTAGGTCTGTCAGATTTCCCAATTTGCACACCCAAACACTAACACTCAGCCTACTGTGATAAATTCAGTAGAGAATACCTCATTTAAATGAAAGTAATCAACCTAATGGTATCCAGGATAATTGTGACTATTTACAAATTCCATTTACTCCATTTTGTTAATTTTAAAAAGGCTCACCTGTTCACTAAAATGAGCAAATCTTATTCTGGTCAATTCCCTGAAATTATACACAAAGTTTTGTGTGTAAGAGGGCTTTTCTAGGAAGAGAACCTACAGATTTAATCAAATTTTCAGTGATTAAGACCTACTAACCAAGATTCTCTGGATGATAAGTGAATGCCATAGAGACTAGACTCTTTGAAATGCAGAAGATATGTGGTGATTTGAGTTGGGATGGTGGTGTAGGGTCAGCCCATTCTCAAACCTGGTTTGAAGGCAAGGGAGTTGTTCTGATCCTAGCGATGTGAGCCTGTAGGCAGTAGTAACGGTAGACTAAGTTATGATTGGGATGAAGAGAGATGATTCTAGATCCTAGAATGCTAGATTCGAGACTTTAAATACTATTTGATGCCAAGACACACACTGCTAAACCAAACTATGATCATGTCTTCTCGAAAGGACCATACGCTTCAGCTATAAGCATCAATTTCTTTTCCTGTGATTTTGCAGATTCCCTTCATAGTGTTCCAGTTGCACAAATGGGTAACTATCAGGAATATCTGAAGACATTGGCTTCTCCACTGCGAGAGATTGATCCAGACCAACCCAAAAGACTGCATACTTTTGGCAATCCGTTTAAACAAGATAAGAAGGTAGGATACCTATGCCTATGTCTGCCTAAATTGGGATATTCTTGCTATATAATTATTTTCTTTTTGGCAAGATAAATACAAATCAGAGGTTCTTCATTTGTTTGTTTAAACAATAAAATATGACACTAAGGCTCTTAGTGGGAGCCTCCTGATGCAAGAGTGTGTTGGTTGAATAAAGTCAGAGCTGCCATGTATTGAGTACTAGTAGGAGCTGGTGTTTTAAATGATCTCACTTAATGCTCACAACTGTTCTGTAAGACAAATGTTACTGTTTGTCCTTTAAAAGGGAGAAATCAAAGGCCACAGTGGTCAAACGCCTTACCTGTGACATAGCACATAAGAGCAAGGATTTGAATCCACGTCTTTCTCACTCCAGAATCTATATTCATTCCACCACACACTAATTTCTTTAATATCGAAATCACAGTTTATTTCCTGTTTCCATGATTCATATCTGTAGTGCTTGATCTAGAAAACGATGAATGTGTCCCTTGAAATATGAAGTACTAAGTGATGTTGTTTTACTTGAATGGTCCTACTAAAAATCTAAATGTGGGGAGTGTGTGTGTGTGTGTGTGTGTGTATGTGTGTGTGTGTGTGTTATACTGACTTGCCCATTAAAGCATGAAAACAAATGGGATTATAGCTGCACTCATGGAGGAGACCATTGGTGTTAATTAAGGCTCAGACCACACAATAATCTCTTTTGTGACAAGACTGATTGAAAGGTATTCCACGTCACCTAAATCCTCAATTTATCTTTCTATGCTTCACTTTCCTCATTTTGTAGCACTGGGGATAATAATTACACCTAACTATGCTGGACGAGGTGGCTCACGCCTGTAATCCCAGCACACTGGGAGGCCGAGGCAGGCAAATCACTTGAGGTTGGGAGTTTGAGACCAGCCTGGCCAACATGGCAAAACCCTGTCTCTACTAAAAATACAAAAATTAGCCAGGCGTGGTGGTGGGTGCCTGTAATCCCAGCTACTCTGGAAGTCTTAGGCAGGAGAATCACTTGAACCTGGGAGGCGGAGATTGCAGTGAACCAAGATCGTACCACTGCGCTCCAGCCTGGGTGACAGAGTGAGACTCCATCTCAAAAAAAAAAAAAAAAAATTACACCTAATTAACTAATAGAACTCTGCATAATATTAAGTGAGTACATGCACATTGTTTACAACATGAACAGGCATGTAGTAAATTATCTGAAAATGTTTTCCCCTTTCTGTATTGTTTATGAGTAAAAAATCTTTTGGAAAAGCCATTTATTATTATTTTATTCAACTAATGAGGGCACATATTCTTGGATTATTCCTGGACAAGAACAGCTCTTGGCTAAATTTCTATACTGCTGCCTCTCATCTTTTATCTATCCCCCCAAGAGTGAAAAGCCTCCTCACTGCCTGCCCAGCACCAAAGTGGGCATATTTGAATCTCTGTGAGGCTGCAGATGGGGAGGTGCATTTTCCACCTGCCTGCCTTTCAACACGTACATGTAGCATACTGTACAGTGATAATCAATGTTGTTTAATGATATGAGTTTGGAGCATAAAAAAGGAAATTATTTCCCTTATGAAGAGTTGATGCAAAATAGTTCGTACTTCTCTCCTTTTGGTTGAATAATGCTGCTTATTTGCAAACTTTCTGATTAATCATTATTGTAGTATGTTTTGCTTGGGACAACATCCTGTATGTTAGTTTCCTCCTTGTTCCATTTAAATTGGATTAAAATTGAGTTGCATATTTCTAAGAACAAAGTTGGGGTGGGGTAAGATAAATCTTCGGCCCATGATTAAGGTTTATATTAGTTAATCTGGCATGGGATTTAAAAAAATGAAAGAAAAAAAGACATATTCGTGATATAATGCAAGATTGATTATGTATGCATATTAAGAGTGCTTGCAGTTATATAATAGTGGAATTTTGGTCTTTAATGAAATACGTTCATTTATGTGTTTTTTAGGGAATGATGATTGATGAAGCAGATGAGTTTGTAGCAGGGCCACAAAACAAAGTGAAACGTCCAGGGGAACCCAACAGTCCTATGTCATCTAAGAGAAGGCGGAGTATGTCCCTGCTGTTGAGGAAACCACAAACACCACCTACTGTAACTAACCATGTGGGCGGAAAGGGACCACCCTCAGCCTCGTGGTTCCCATCTTATCCAAACCTCATAAAACCCACCCTTGTACATACAGGTATAGAGTAGTGGTTGTGATTTCCTTATGGCTCCTAGAGGACTAAGACGCTAAACAATTTTATTTCCCTTTTTGTGTTCCTTCCTTTGTGTTCAGTTTGTGTTCATTAAGTAAGCCATTACTAAATCATCTATTTGGTAGGTACAATAAACCCCACAGGGAGCAGAGACCCTGTTTCAAGGATCTCAATCTACATGAGGTGAAAAAAATTATAATTATATAGTAATTAACACACAGTAATTAACAGTAATGAATACATTGCTTAGCAAGTAAATGCCACAGTAATTAATGGAGAAATGGAAAGAGGTGAGCATGTCTGCTGCAACCTTTTGGAGTGGCTGCAAGGGTGAGGAGGATAAAGCAGGTTTCCCTGGCAGTAGGAGCAAGTGGACTCAGCAAGACTGGATCTGCACTTGCTCTTTGTGTTATCACCACCTATGCATGCTCTAATCCGGTGCAGTCTGGTATCTGCCTCCTCGACCCCACTGAAACATTCTCATCAAGGTCACTAGTGTGTGCAGCACATTGCCATTCCTTCTCCACAGCATTTGACACAGTTGTTCACTCCCTCCTCCATGTGTACGTTGGGTGCTCAGACACCATAAGCTTATAGCTTTCTTTTCCCTCTAATAGCAACTCCCTTTCATCCTCTTTTTCTGGTTTTGCCTTTTCTTTCCACCTCTAAATATCATAGGGCCTCAAAACTCAATCCTGGTACCTCTCCTGTCCTTCACTGCGTTCTCTTCCTAGGTGACCCCATGCAGTCTTGGGGCTCTAAATTTGACCTCTAGAATATAAATTGCTCCTCAATTTCAGACTCAGACTTACTTGTGGACATGCATCTCCACTTAGGTGTCTAATAGACAAATAAAACTCAGTAGGTTTCATGAGTTTCAACTGAACTCTCGAACTTGCCCCTCTCCAAAACAGCTCTACTTGTAGCCTTCCACATTGCAGATAATGACACCATCCAGATATGTGCCAGTAAAGCTTTAACATCTGTCAGGGTTGAGGAGGGTAGAGAAGCTCTAGATTGTAGTGTTTGCAGATTTCCTTCATGTAAATAATGCTAATATTTATCAAAGTCAAGCTGTCAACCTGAGGTCATTGAACCAGAGTCGGGAAGAATGCTCTGGAGGGCAGTTGTGCCCTGGCTCCTGCCACACTTCAGCACTATTTACCCAGCGGTTCAGCTGACAAACCATAGAGTCATCATGATTTTTCTCTTATTCTTCCCTCGCTTTGATACCTTTCACAAGTTCAGGAAACTTGATGTTCAACATAATCCCTAAATCCCACTATTTCTCTCTATCCCTCCAGTGCACACTGCTGTGGCCTCTCACCACACTACTACAATACCTTCTTATCCCAGCTTCATGTTTCTAATCTAGCCCCCATCTATCACATACTCTCTAACCCTGTGGCCAGAAAATTATGTCTGCATGTATATCACATCATGCCATGTCGCTCCTGAAAACCTGTCCTCAACTCTCCTGAGCACTCAGAAGGGACCCTGAACCAGCTTTAGTCTGCAAGACTGCACGGCTGGCCTCTGTCACCTTCTCCTAACACGGGAGCCCCTGGGGCTCCCTCTGCTGCTGTCTCCCAAAGGCCTGTAGATGACTTCCCCAACACCAGCCCAATGCTGCTTGTTTCATTTGCTCATTGTGCATGTACTGTCTGACTGCCCCATGAGGATGTGAGCTCCACAAGGGCAGGGAACGTTGCTCTGGCTGTTTACTGCTGATCTCCAGCTCCCGACACACTGCCTGCCACAGACGATGAATAAATGAAAGAGGTGTCAGATCTGGAGTGAAAAGAAAGTACTTTTCTGACACAGAAAAGAAGGATTAGGAAGATAATACACTAAGAGGGATTTTTGGTGATGGAGTGTGTATAGAACTTTCAGCACTAATGGCCGCCTCTATTTTCTCAGAATGTATTTGATGTAAAGAGGAGGCAGGTTGTGGTGTATCCAAGTTGTCTGGCTTCCAGCTCAGTAAAGCATGGCAGGTTGTATGTGAATTTGAGAAATCATGAAATAAAGTGAGACTTGCTGTTTTCAACTTGTAAAGCATAACAAGCTGACACTAACGCATGAGTACCAGGGATCTGTGAATGTGTGTTTAGAGTTGTACTGTCTTACTTGGTTTCCATATGTATTCATAGGGCCAGAAAATAAGAGGTGGTTTTATTGTATTATGTGTCCTGGCCTCAATTTGAGGGGTCTCAGATCGCCACCTGGTATATCATCCTGCTTTATGAGATAATTTCCTAGAAATTGAGCATCAGAGGGATATACCTGTGGGGTTGACATAATACCCTTACCTCACAGCTCAACCTCTTCATTTGGTTTCCAGATGCTACTATCATTCACGATGGCCATGAGGAGAAGATGGAAAATGGTCAGATCACACCTGATGGCTTCCTGTCAAAATCTGCTCCATCAGAGCTTATAAATATGACAGGAGATCTTATGCCACCCAACCAAGTGGATTCTCTGTCTGACGACTTCACAAGTCTCAGCAAAGATGGGCTGATTCAAAAACCTGGTAGTAACGCATTTGTAGGAGGAGCCAAAAACTGCAGTCTCTCCGTAGATGACCAAAAAGACCCAGTAGCATCTACTTTGGGAGCTATGCCAAATACATTACAAATCACTCCTGCTATGGCACAAGGAATCAATGCTGATATAAAACATCAATTAATGAAGGAAGTTCGAAAGTTTGGTCGAAGTAAGTAGTGAAAGAACATCTATCAATAATGCACCAGGAGGTTTCTCTCATTCTGTGATTCACTATAGATTCAAGCTATCCCTTGAGGTACACTGGGGGCAATATTGGGCTTTCACATAGTTTAAGGCAGTTCCTCTTGTTTTAACTAAAAAGGTACAGTCTATATTTTCCTGTTTTTTCCCCTTATTTCTTGTAATGTTTCCTTTTGCTGCCGTAACAAGTTATCAAAAGATTCCTAGCTTAAAACAATACAAATTATTATATTAAGTTCTGGAAGTCAGAATTTTGAAATTATTTTTGCTGGGCCAAAATAGTGTTGGCAGACCAGCATTCCTTCTGCTAGCTCTAGAGAGAATTTCTTTCTTTGCCTTTTCGAGCTTCTAAGGGCCATCTGTATTCCTTGGCCCATGGCCCCTTCCTCCATCTTCATGAAAACACCCTTAGCACTTTTTCTCCTCTCTGACCTCTGCTTCTGTCTTTACATGTTTTCTCTCTGACCTTAACTCTACTGTTTCATCTTATAAGGACACTTGTGCTTACATTGGGCCCACATGCATAAACTTGGATAATCTCCCCATCTCAAGATCCTTAACTTAATTACACCTGCAAAGTAAAGTCTTTTTTGCTATATAAGGTAATGTATTCACAGGTTCCAGGGATTAATATGTAGACAATTTTAAGCAGCTGCTATTCAGCCTGCTACATTTGGTTAGTGTTAACAAGAGTTGCCCTAGTAGATGCATGCAGATATTTTGATAAGAATGTTAAAATACAAACTACATCTAACTTTCCACTCACGAAGAACAATTACTAAGGATGTACAACAATTAAATTTTATTTCCCATTCATCTTTATAAAAATACTGAAGTTTTTTTAAATATCTTCAGAATATGAAAGAATTTTCATTTTGCTTGAAGAAGTGCAAGGACCTCTGGAGATGAAGAAACAGTTTGTTGAATTTACCATCAAGGAAGCCGCAAGGTAGGTATAAACAGGAACTCTTCAATTTTTTGTTTTTGTTTTTAGAGCAGTAGGGCCCAGTGCAGGAAAAAGAGAGGAATAGGCTCTGCCTTGCTTTTTTCTCAAACCCTGGCCCTCACTCATAGTTAAGGCTGTCTCCAGAAGTATTTGGATTTATGTTATCTGAACTCAACTCATTCATCCTTCTACTTTTATCATAGCCTCAGGTAGGCTTGGGCCCTCAATTGCCACTATTGGTACTTGCTCTAAGACATATCTTTCCATGAGGACAATCTTTATATTCCTATGTAGATTGTAAGCTTCGATTTGTATCCCACACAGTGCCTTGAACATCATGAGTACTTTAAGTATCTTTTGGTTCATAAAATTTCTCTTTATTTTCAGGTTTAAAAGACGAGTCCTAATTCAGTACCTTGAGAAGGTACTAGAAAAAATAAATTCCCACCACCTTCACAACAACATTAGTCACATCAACAGCAGATCATCATGTTAGTGCAAAGACCAGTGAGAAAAAAATGACAAGTTTTCTGTGCTGTAGGATGGAACAGGATATTGTTGAAGCCTCCTGGAATGTTTGAGTCAAGGGAATTGCTTTCCAGATGCTAAGAAGCAGCAGTGGGGCTTTTGAATTTTATGATTATCTGGCAGTGAAAGCTGGGCTTTTGCCTTAATAATTTTTTAAAGTATGAATTGTTTTGTTTTGTTTTCCTCAATTGAGGAAGCTGATGTTATTAATTCACAGGCTAAATTCGGTAAACACCACTGCCCCTACCACGGGTAATGAGAGGTCACTCACTTGAACTTTGCCATTCCAGGCATTCTCAGAGTGGCGAGGGGCCACCTGCAAGTGGAGCACAACTTGGTGCTCTTACTGTGTCCTTCAGAAAGAATAGGTGTACAGAAAGGAAATGGCAATCTTATGTGTGCTGAACAAAGTTTTCAACAATTCCTAGTTGTGCCTTTTAAACCATGCAATATTCAGGATAGTTTGAATCAAAGAAGTAAGAAGCTGCTATTTGGGTAACTTATTTCTCTGTGGGAAGGGGCAGGGAGAGTCACCAAACAATCTACCTCCAACTCTCTTCTCTTTTGTCTAGAGACATTACAAAGTGCACTTGAGGCTGCCCCCAACCTCTGACATTTGTTCTTGCATGTGATGATAGAAAGTCTTCAGATGGACTTATACATTCTGTGCTTTGGAAGCACAAGAAGAACAAAATATGTGTATATTTCCTTTAATGTTTATACAAAAGTTTATATGGAGCAGTATTGTTATGTTTGTATGAATTTGCAAAAATTAAAGTGTACAAAGAGATTTTGATTTTGCATATATAAAATAAATCATTTTATTGATTTTCACAAGTTCATTAATGCTGGATAAATTTCTACTTATATGTTTCTTGTGATTTGTTACTCCTTTCAGAAAAAGAGTGTATGCTGTTAAACAAGTTAAGATGTTAACATAAGGATTTAAACTTCAAAACATCACTCACAGAATTGAGTGACGCTAGTGAAAAATCACAGAGTAGAGTACCCACGGACTAGTCACTTTCAAGAAACTTGGAAAACACTGGGGGAAAAAAAAACCTGTCAGAATCAAGTTTTATTGGAACTCTAGAATATAGTAAAAGGTTTACAGCAACCAAGCCAATCCTGAATTAGGAGAGAAGTCATTGAAACATGGTAGGGGAGCTTTGTGGCATTTCAACTCACCCTTGGAATGGCTGAGTAAGAAAGAAATTTGAGGCCAGGTGCAGTGGCCCACATCTGTAATCCCAGCACTTTGGGAGGCCAAGGTGGGAAGACCACTTGAGCCCAGGAGTTCAAGAGCAGCTTGGGCAACATGGCGAGACCCCATCTCTCCAAAATATATGTATTTTTAATTAGCTGGACGTGGTTGCACACAATTGTGGTCCCAGCTACTCAGGAGACTCAGGTGGGAGGACTGCTGGAGCCCAGGAGGTGGAGGCTGCAGTGAACTGTGATCACACCACTGAACTCCAGCCTGAGCAACAGAGCAAGACCCTGTCTCAAATAATAATATATACAAGCTGACTTCTGAAATGGCATGGCTGCTTACTTCCCACCTTCCTACCCCTCTCAAACAAAGAGGGAGTTTTTGCATTTTCTATTCCTGGTTGCAAAACACAAAGGAAAATGGAAAAATAGTTTGTGTGCATTCATGATATGCTTGCTCCTTTGAGACTCTCAAACAGCCAGCACCATCCCTTCCCATAGCCTGCTAGGAGCCAAGATGGCTTCCCAGTGCCTGTTTCTCGACCATTTTAATTTAAAAGCACGGTGAGTAGTATTAGCTGTGCCTTCTCTGCCACAGGAGAGAAAGCCTGGTCAAGAGGTGTGGTTTTGGATGCAATAAGTCCACTGCTTCTTGGAGACGTTCCTGGACATTCAATCGTGTCTTTCCTGGGTCCTTGGAGTAGTTGGTCAGGATGGGCTTCCCACTCAGTCCACGGGCCTGGGGCTGATTCATGGTGGTCCCAGAGACCTCAGCCCTCTGTGTTTGGCTGGAAGCCCAGAATGGTGTACAGTTCCTCAGGCATGAGCCCCAGCAAGTTCTGGACGTCACACAAAAAGCAGCACATATAGCACTTTCCCGACATCTTATGGATGATGTTCTTGTCATGATAGTAGGTAAACCCAGGCTCAGCTTCTTGTAGTTCATCTTGGGCTTATTTTTCCTGATTCCCCACTGGCAGGCAACATTGTCAGGGTTGGCAAGTTTAAACTCCCACCTGTCCCTATTCCAGCTGATGAAATGACTGGCAAGACTGTCTAAAATTCCAGGAAAAACTGCTGTGGGTGAATAGGTCCACTTTCTGTGAAGCCAGACAGCACAGCCACAGGTATAACTGGTTTGCCTTGCTCCACCGGGTTGCTCCTCTCTTGGATGTAATCCTTGAAAGGCATGGTCAACTTTTTGAGGCAGGGGGACTGACTGCAGTTTTCTTTGAAGCTCTCGAAGAAAGGAACCTGCTGCACATCCAGTAAGGATGACTGGTTGTTCCAGGTGCCTGAGCTCTCAAAGCTGTCTGCCTCATGATTTAAATGTTAAAAAAGCAGACAGCTTTAAATGTCTGCACCATTCTCAGGGGATTTGTGGTCTTTAGGCTTCCCAGAATTGTTGGTGAGCAAATTCAAGTTGCCTAGAAAGTCCTGACTGATGGAGCATAGTTGAGGCTGATAGGGCTGAGCTGAGACTTGGAGAACATCTGAAACTCCTGTTCAGAGCTGAGCACGCTGGGTGCAGAAGCTGGACACATGCTGTCCAGGAGGCTGCCTTTGGGGTAATTGTGTGTTTGCATACCATAGGGTACCTGCTTTATGCCAAAACCTAATGTATTGCTGTTAAACCAATGAGGAATTGAGTTCAGGCATGAATTTTCTTTACATTGATCTTTTGTCTTTTCTTGGCTTTCTTCGGTCATCTGGTCCAGATGTTCCCAGAAAATGTCATCCACAAAGTCAAGTACCAGCTCCAGAAAGTACTCCTTGCCAAGGTTATACAATACCTGGCCACTCATGCTAAGCCTCTGGAGATTCACGTTCACCAGACTGAACTTGTTGGTAGTGCAGATAAGCCCCTGGCATACTTACTGCTCCCTCCATAGCCAGGGTTTCTTTGGAAAGCCAAAGCACTATTTCTCCTTTTTGAAGCCACTGAAGGTAGCTTTTAAAGCTTGATTCATCACAGCCTTGCTATACAGCGTTAACAAGGACAATGCACAGTTGGCAAGTCATGAGAAATTGAATCCAAGCCTGTTGGCACTTTTTACAGTGTTTGCTCTTTTTTTAATTTTTATTTTATTATTATTATACTTTAAGTTTTAGGGTACATGTGCACAACGTGCAGGTTTGTTACATGTTTGCTCTTTAGAGAGTGAAACACAGCAGAGACCCATAAAAAGTGTCAAAGGCTGGCTGGTGCCTGAGTGTCCCTCCGTAACTGTTAGCCACAGGAGCTATGTGGTCCATATTCTTGATTCTAAAATCATTCATTGTGCTGCTGCAGGCAAGTCCAGAGCATGATCGGGGTGGTGGCTACTCAGGGCCCATGGCTGTTCGGTGTGCAATGTGTTAGGGCACACAGGTGCAGGCATGGGGCTAGAAAAGGGACAATCAGGGAGGCTGGATGCAGGCCAGGTGGCTCCCAGCACTCAGGGCTGGGGTGACACCGTGCTCACCCGCCATTGGAGCAAGTAACTAGCCCGTCCCCCATGCGGCATGCTCTTCAAGAGTGGGGGAAGGAGGGAGGATGGATGACTGAGGGAAAAGGGAAGGAGGGAGAGGAAGGAAGAGGGGAGGGGAGAGAGAGAAGAGGAGAAGGGAGGAAGGCAGGAGGAGGGGCCAATAGCAGCTTTGATCAGGCAAAAGAAACAATCAGTGAACTTGAAGATAAGTTGATTGAAATTATCCAGTCTGAGGAGTAGAAAGAAAGGAGAATTAAGAAGAATGAACGTAACTTAAGAGACTTATGGGACATCATCAAGTGTAACAACATATACACAATAGGATACCCAGAAGGAGAGGAGGGAAAGTAGCATAAAGAATATTTAAAGAAACATTGGCCCCAAACTCCCAAATTTAATAACAGACATGAATCTACACATGCAACAAGCTCAAGGAATTCTAAGGGAGATAAACTCAAACAGATCCACACTGAAAAGCATTATGTCAAACTGTTCAAAGACAAAGAGAATCTTGAAAGCACTGAGAGAGAAATTACCTGTCAAAAAAGATCCTTACTAAGATTAACAACCAATTTCTCATTAGAAGCAATGAAAGCCAGAAAGCCATGTAATTACATGTTTAAAGTGTTACCAGGAGAAAAAAAAACTGTCAATCAAGAATTCTATATCTGGCCAAACTAACCTTCACAAATGAAGGAGAAATTAAGACATTCTCAGATAAACAAAACTTGAAGGAGTTTGCCACTAGCAGCGTTTTCCTACAAGAAATGGTAAAGAGTTCTTCAGGGTGAAATGAAAGGACACAAGACAGTACTTAGAAGCCTTAGGAAGAAACATAAAGTACCAGTCTCAAGATAACCATATAGGTTACTTTTAGGTTTTAAGTTAGGGCTGGGGGGGTGGGGACGGGATAATGTGGAGTTAATGCTGAATGGTTACAGAGTCTCTGTTTAGGTGATGATAAAGTTTAGAAATAGGTAGTGGTAATGATTGCATAACATTGTGGATGTAATTAAAGCCACTGAATTGAAAAAAATAAATTTAAAAAGGCCAGGTGTAGTGGCTCACATCTATCATCCCAGCACTGTGGGAGACCAAGGCAGGAGGACCACTTGAGGCCATGAGTTTGAGACAGCCTGGGCAATGCGGTGAGACCCCATCTTTATTGAAAAATAATAATAGCCCCTGCAGCCACTGCCACCACTGCCCTGGTGGCTCTCGCCCTTCAGCCTGCTGGTGCCCCCGGCACCCCAGGACCCCTGGCTGCTGCCTGCCTTCCCTCTGCCCCTGCCACCCCCACCACTGCATTTCTTCCTGTCACCACTCTTCTGACGCGGCCCTCCCAGGGTGAGTGGCCTGAGCTCAGGTAACCATGCGGAAGTCCTATCTCAATGGGGTCTTCTACAGAAGCTCAGGAATCTTATCAGGAAGCCAACCTTGACCTTGGGTGACCTCTTGAGAGCTTGGGACCCACCACCAAGAAGGGCAGTGTATCAGTTTCTTGTGACTGCAGTAACAAATTTACACACACTGAATGGCTTTAAACAACAGAAATTTATTCTCTCACAGTTCTAGAGGCCAGAAGTTAAAAATCAAGGTCTGGGCAGGGCCATGTTCCCTTCACAAGTGCTAGTGGGACGCACCTTCCAGCTTCTCTCAGCTCCTGGCAGCTCCAGGCCTTCCATGACTTGTGGCCGCATCTCTCCAATCTCTGCCTCCATCTTCACATCTTCTCCTTATGCCTGTCTCAAATCTCCCTCTGTTTTTATCTTGTTAGAGATTGGACTGTCATTGGATATAGGGCCCACCTGAAATCTAGGTTAATCTCATTTTGGGATCCTTAATTTAATTACATTTGCAAAGACCCTTTTATCAAGTAAGGTCACATTTACAGATTACAGGGCTTAGGGATGGGGGTGTCATTTTGCATGCCCCCATCCAATCCATACAGGCAGTGTCCTCTCCCTTGTGGGACTGGCCTACCTCCTCGGCTGTCTTCCCAGAATTTAATGTCTTTTAGGTCCTGTCTCTTGCTGACCTGGAGCCCTGGGTTCCCCAGTGCAGGAACTGATGGCACTAAGTACCTTGATAAAGCCCTTACTGCCACCGAAAGAAAACAGAGTGACCATCTTTCCCCTTCTCTGAGTTAAGGCCAAGTGCCTCTTCCTGTTGGCTTGCTCCTCCGCCAACCCTTTATGTTGTGCAGCCCTCCTCTCTCAGCTAAGAAACAGGAAGGACTCTTAAAGACAGCATTAACCAAGGGGAACCCCATTTTCAAAGCTTGGGAGCAATAACTGCTGCTGGTTGAAACTGACAATTATCACTGATAATAAATTTAATTTTACCCCCACAAAAATAATAATAATTTTTTAAAGCCACTGAACTGTATATGTCAAATTGGTTAAAATAACAAATTTTATGTTATACATATATTACCATAATTTTAAAAAATTAATAATGTAATATAACAGCCATCTAATTATACACTTTAAATGGATGAATTGCATGGTGTAAAATAAAGCTCTCAGTAAAGCTGTTTGTTAAACATTGACAGAATGATTTACAAAAGTGATCCAACTCTACGTTGTGTATAAGAGATTCACCTTAAAGACAAATTGACAAATAGGTTAAAAGTGAAAGGATGAAAACAGATATTCCATGCAAATTGTAACCAAAAGTGAGATGGATATCTATTACTAATATCAGACAAAATAGACTTGAAACCAAAAATTGTTACAAGAGACCAAAAAGGACCTTATATATTGATAAATTGGCCAACCCATCAAAAAGTTGTAAAAATTATAAATATATGCACCAGTCAAGACAGCCCCAAAATAAGTGAAGCAAAAACGGACATATTGAAGGGAAAATATACAGTTCTACAATAATAGTTGGAGACTTCAATAATGGATAGAAGTACTAGTCAGAAGAAGGATGAGTAAATAGAAGACTTGAACACTATAAACTGATTAGGTCTAACAGACATAAATAGAACACTTGTCCCAACAACACCAGACTATACATTATTGTCAAATGCACATGGAACAGTCTCCATGATGGAAGGTATGTTAAGCTACAGAACAAGTTTGCATAAAATTAAAAAGATTGAAATCACACAAAGTATATCCTCCAACCAAAATGGAATGGAACTAAACATCAATAACAGAAGGAAAATTGGAAAATGTATAAATATGTGGAAATAAAACAACACACTCTTAAATAACTAATGGATTAAAGAAAAAGTCAAAACAGATGCCTATAGAACACTCCACCAACCATAGCAGATCACACATTCTTCTAAAGTGCTCATGGAGTGTTCTCCAAGATCAACCATATATTAGGCCACAAAACAAATGACAATAAGTTTAAAAAGACTAAGTCATACAAAGTATCTTCTTAGAGCATAATGGAGTCAAACCAGAAACTAATAACAGAAGTTGGACCCTTACCTCACAACACATACAAAAATTAACTCAAAATGGATCAACATCAAAATAAAAGAACTACAACCATAAAACTCTTAAAAGGGAACTTTGGAGTAAAGGTTCATGACCTTGGATTTGGCAATGACTTCTTAGATATGACACCAAAGCAAAAGCAAAAAAAAATAGATAATTTGATTTTATCAAAGTTAAAAACTGTGTATCAAAAAACTGTATCAAGAGCGTGAAAATGGCCAGGCACGGTGGCTCATGCCTGTAATCCCAACACTTTGGGAGGCAGAGGCAAGCGGATCACCTGAAGTCAGGAGTTCAAGACCAGCCTGGCCAATATGGTGAAACCTCGACTCCACTAAAAATACAAAAATTAGCCGGGTGTGGTGGCACACACTTGTAATCCCAGCTACTTGGGGGACTGAGACAGTATAATCGCTTCAACCCAGGAGATGGAGGATGCAGTGAGCCAAGATTGCGCCACTGCACTCCAACCTGGGCAATAGAGTGAGGCTCTGTCTAAAAACAAAACAAAACAAAACAAAAGAGTGTGAAAAGACAACCACAGCATGGGAGAAAATACTTGCAAAACATACATCTGATAAGGGTCTAGTATCCATAATATAAAAAGAACTCTCAACAACAAAAAGATGAATAATGGGCAGAGGAGTTGAGTAGACTTTTCTCCAGTGAAGACATACAACTGACCAACAAGTACATGAAAAGATGTTCAACATCATTAATTACTAGAGATACACAATCAAAATCACAATAAAAACCACAATTCATACCTACTAGGATGGCCATAATTTTTAAAATGAAAAACGACAAGCATTGTTGGAGATGTGGAGGAATTGAAACCTTCATACACTGCTGTTCAGAAAGTGAAAAGGTACAGCCATTGTGGAAAACATTTCTTCCAAATGGTAAACATTGGACTGTCATTTGACTGAGCAATTCCATTCCTATGAATGTACTCAAAAGAACTGAAAAAAAGGTGTTCATCTGCATGTTCTCATTTGTAACTGGGAGCCGAACAATGAGAACACATGGACACATGGGGCAAACAACATACACTGGGGCCTTTTGCGGGGCGGGCAGAGGGAGAGCATTAAGAAGAATAGCTAATGGATGCTGTAGGTGATGGGTTGATCTATGCAGGAAATCACATGACATACATTTACCTATGTAACGAACCTGCACACCCTGCACTTGTAAACATGGAACTCAAAACAAAAGTTAATGAAAAAAAATAGGTGTTGACTATTCACAATAGCAAAGACATGGAATGTACTAAATGCCCATCAATGATAGACTGCATAAAGAAAATGTGGTACATATACATCACAGAATACTATGCACCCATAGAAAAGAATAAAATCATGTCCTTTGCAGAAACATGGATGGAGCTGAAGGCCATTATCCTTAGCAAACTAATGCGGGAACAGAAAACCAAATACTGAGTGTTCTGACTTATAAATGGGAGCTAAATGATGAGAAAACATGGACACAAGATGGGGAACAACAGACACTGGGGCCTATCAGAAGGTGGAAGATGGGAGGAGGGAGAGGAGCAGAAAAAATAACTATTGAGTACTAGGCTTAGCACCTAGGTGATGAAATAGTCTGTACAACAAATCTCCATTGCATGAGTTTACCTATATAACAAACCTGTACATGTACCCCTAAACCTAAAACAAAAGTTTAAAATAGGAAGAAAATAGAATGGGTGTTCAAACAAAAACTTGCATGCATTTGTTCATAGCAGCACTATTCACAACAACCAAAAGGTGGAAACAGCCCAAATGTCCATTAATGGGTAAATAAAAAATCAGAATGTGATATATACATGCAATGGAGTAATAATCATCATAAAAGAGAAGTACTAATACATGCTACAACATGGATGAACATTGGAAACATTATGCTAAGTGAAAGAAGACAGAAGAGCATATACCATGATTGATTCAATTTATATGAAATATCAAGAATTGGGAAATCTACAGAGACAGAAAGTAGATTACTGGTTGCAAGGGGCCAGGGAGAGGGGAAAATGGGTAGTGACTGCTAATGGATACAGAGTTTCCTTTTGGGATAGTGATGAAAAATTTCTAGAACTAGATAGTTGTGTGATGGTTGCAGAACATTGTGAATGTACTTAATGCCATTGAATTATACACTTTAAAATTGTGAAACTGATAAAGTTTATTTTGTGTGTATTTTATAACAACAATAAAGCTCTCCAGAGCAGCCCAGCTGCCATCTGGATATCACTGAGTGGTGCCAGGTGATTCCATGTTAAGCAGAATGATTGCCCATCCCAGCCCTGCTCAAATTCCTGAATAGAAAAATCATGAAATGTAATCATGTTTTTATAAGAAACAGCTTACCATCAATAATGGTATTTGTGTTTATACTTGGTTCAAAAATGTTTTGAATGGGACAAGGAAATTATAAAAGAATTCTAAAAGGTGCCTATCTACAATACATCAGCACAGGGAAAACTACCAAACTTTAGAAGCAAGTGGTATAACGAGGCTTAATAAGGGTTTAGTCATTTTCCTGCCTACAGCAATCAAAGTTCAACTAAAGAAGCAGAAAAAGGCTAGGCAGGGCGGCTCATGCCTATAATCCCAGCACTTTGGGAGATAGAGGCAGGAGGATTGCTTGAGGCCAGGAGTTTGAGACCGGCATGGGCAACATAACAAGACCTCGTGTGTACTAAAAATAAATTAGTCGGGCATGATGGCAGGTGCCTGTAGTTCCAGCTAATCAGGAGGCTGAGGTGGGAGGGTCTCTTGAGCCCAGGAGGTCAAGGCTGCAGTGAGACTATGCACCAATGCACTCCAGCCTGGAAAACACAGCAAGACCCTAAATCAAAAAGAAAAAAGAAAAGAAAAGAAAGAAAGAAAGAAAGTAAAGGAAGGAAGGAAGGAAGGAAGGCAGAAAGGAAGAAAGAAAGAAGGAAGCAGCAGCAGAAAAAGTATGTGATATGTAAGTTTGTTGTTGCTGCTGCTGTTACAAAAAAAATCGCCTTATGTAGTTACGGAATGTGGTTACCAAGTCTCTATACGAAGAAAGAACAGGCTATTAATAAAATCCACAAACATGATCTGAAAGCCCATAAGGACAGACAAATATGTCTCCATTCTTCTTGCCTCTGACCTTATTCTTGTTGCCTCTGACCTCGGTGACGAGGGTATTCTGTATAATCCAGGACCCTGCCTAAAGGAGCTAAACTCAAAGACCTTATCCTAAAGATAGAGAAACTGAAGGAGAATCCAGTGGAAGGTAGAAGAATTGCAGGCACAGCTGCTGCTTCATGCCAAAAGGTGAATCAGCAGGTCAGCAACAATGGGTATGAGCTACAAAATCAATGCTGTTTCTCCTCGGCCACATTCTCCAATCTTCAAAGTATCTCCCTGTCGTACAATCTAACTGGAAACACACAGGAAAGGGAATTGTCTGTAATGAATTCACCTAGCCAAGCTGACACATTACAAGGTGTACCTCTTGTCATTTTGGTACCCATGCACATCTCCTTAAGCCATATCTATCGCTAAATAAACACAGTAGCAAAGTTATTTTTCTGCCTAACATGAGAAAGTTTTCCTGCTTACAAATAACATATTAACACTTTTCCTAAAGAGGATACAAAGTCTAGTTTTTGTCTCTAGATATTGCACATTTTTCTTCAACCTGATTCACACTCTACCCTTAATATCCTATATCTCAAATACTGAAAATAAAGTTAAATCTTGGTTAATACATTTTAGATTATTAGCTAAGGGGACGAGAACCAAAAATATTTGCTTCATATGTATGTAAACATCCATATCAAGATAAGGAAGTAATACTCATAGTTATTACAGTCCTTGTTTCTGCATATGGCCATGTGGTCACTCCTTCCACTACCCATTTCATACTCCCTTTGTCCTCAGCAAGCATCTTCCCTGGTGACAGACCTTTTCCTGATGGGGTGACTCAAACTTGAATTCCTGAGGTTCACGGTTCAAGGCCATTAGCAGTCCTGATTGAATTAAGTTGTATTAGTTTCCATTGGCTTTCATCACTGGATACAGGAGTACTAAGAGGTGCTCTATAGGAGCTTCTGCATTTCAGACATATCTCTCATTACTCCCATTTTCATTAAGGGTCCCTGAATCAATCAAATCCCAGACTTGACTTGGTTAAAGACCCAAAAAAGTTTAAGGGTCCCTGAATCAATCAAATCCCAGACTTGACTTGGTTAAAGACCCAAAAAAGTTTATGCATGAAGGGGGGGCTTCTTGAAGAAGGACCCTTCATATGCTGAAATGGTATATACTATTACTTGTTCTCCTGTTCTTACCCAAAGGAGACTGAAGCCCTTTACTAGGGTGATGGTGCATTGGAAAAGGGAAATAATCAGATTTCTCCATGATTACAGGACACCAGCTCTACTGGCACTAATTTCCTAGAGAAATAAATGTCATTCTTGAACTTTCAAGAAACATTTGGCTTACTACTGGGCTTTAGTAGAGGCTGAACCCCTGGCTATGGGACATAATATTACCATGCCAGCTGAGCTGCCTATCCTAACCAGGGTGTTTTCTGACCCCCCAAATCATAGTGATGTGTAGGTACAGAAGCACCCCATTATCAAATTGAAGGGATACATAAAGATCACACTCAGGTCCTGGAGCGATAAGTACTTTGCAAGAGAAAGTGGCCCAAAACTCATGGCTTCAACTCTTGCTATATTTAGCTTCTCTCTCTTTCTTTGGAAGAATTCTGAGATGGTCCCCATGATCTTTACCCTCTGGTGTTAGTCTCATGATTACATTACAGGAAAAAGATAATTTTGCAGATGTAATTAAGCTCACTAGTCACTTGATCTTACGATAAGGAGATTCTCCAAGTGGGTCTGACTTACACACATGAGCCCTTTAAAAGCAGAGCATTCAGTATCATTGATCATTAGAGAAATGCAAATTGCAAATCGAAACCACAATGAGATATCATCTCACAACAGTCAAAATGGCTATTATTAAAAAGTCAGGAAATAACAGATGCTGGTGAGGTTGTGGAGAATAGCAAACACTTAATACACAGTTAGTGGGAGCGTAAATTATTAGGTTGGTGCAAAAGTAATTGCAGTTTTGCCATTACGTTTAATGGCAAAAATAGCAATTACTTTTGCACCAACCTAATAGTTCAACCACTGTGGAAAGCAGCATAGTGATTCCTCAAAGAGCTGAAAGCAGAACTAACATTTGACCCAGCAATGCCATTACTGTGTATATACCCTGAGGAATATAAATCATTCTAACATAAAGACATATGCACGCAAATGTTCACTGCAACACTATTCACAATAGCAAAGACATGCAATCAACCTAAGTGATCATCAATGGCAGACTGAATAAAGAAAATGTGGTACATATATATCATGGAATACTATGCAGCCATAAAAAAGAATGAGATCATGTCCTTTGCAGGGACATGGATGAAGCTGAATGCCGTTATCCTTAGCAAACTAACACAGGAACAGAAAACCAAATACTGCATGTTCTCACTCATAAGTGGGAGCTAAATGATGAGAACACATGGACACAAATATGGGAGCAACAGACACTGGAACCTACCTGGGGATGGAGGGTGAGAGGAGGAAAGTATCAGGAAAAATAACTAATGGGTACTAGGCTTAACACCTGGGTGATGAAATAATCTGTACAACAAACTCCTGTGACACAAGTTTACCCAGGTAACAAACCTGTACTTGTACCCTTGAACTTAAAATAAAAGTTAAAAAAAAAAGTCTGGCATTCATCCAATCAAATTCCCTCACTTTTATGATGAGGAAGTATGAATTGCCCAGGTCTTTTGAGTGGTCAAGGGCAGGACCAGAGCTAAATGTGAGCTCATGTGAAGCTCAGCATTTTTTACCACATACTACCTTCTACATGTTCGTGTATCCTGTGATTTTAATGCAAATAGCAATGTGTTTGGATTAAAATATCAAACATCAAAAAAAGAAAGAAAGATGAGGAAGTTATATTGATATCAGATAAAGGACCAATAAAATGCATTATTTGAGCATAAATAGTCCCTACGTAATGGTCAAAATTTGTTTCTCCAGAAACATTTAACAATTGTATAGTTGTATGCAGGTAATAAAACAGTCTCGAAAATATATAAAGCAATAAGTAGAACTATTGAGGGAAACTGAAAAATCCACCATTATTGTAGAAGATTTTAAATGTAATTATCTCAGTTATTGTTAAGTTGAACAGAAAAAAATAATAAACACATAAATGTGAACAATACAATAAGCAAAGTTAACTTGTGGCCATTTACAGAAACCTGTACCCAATAATTGGAATATAAACTATTCTCAAGCATACACACACACACACAGCTGTGATGAGCACGTGAGGAAGAGTCCCCTGCAGGGCTGAGATATAGCAACCAAGGAATGGTCCTCCCCTATCCGAGGTGGGAAACAGAGCATCCAAGGAAGCTCCTTCACTTCATGGCCGACATAGAGAAACAAAGGAAGGCATCCCCTAACATAATTATGATGAGAACCCAGGGAAGAGCCTTCCAACTGCAGTTATGAAACAACCAAGGAAAAGTCTCCTTCCCAAGGGCTGAGATACAGCCCCTTAGAGTCACCCATCTGGACTGAGATAGAGCATTATGGAAAATCCTTTCCAGGGCTAAGATACAGCACCTCAGAAACAGCCCCATCCAAAAGGGATGTGACAGAGCCCACAAGGAAGCATTCACCTAGGGTTGAGGTAGGGCACCCAGGGAAGCTAAGAGCTTTCTCCCAGGATTAAGTTAAAACCCAGAGGAAGATTCATCACCCCCATGCTGAGACAGAGGAACCCATGAAAGTCCTCTGCAGGGCTTGAAGAGAGCATATGAGGAAACACTCACAACACCACCACCACAACCAAGGGTTGAAGTCCACATATCGGGTAAGCCCAGCTGTTACTCAGTGTATGCCAGAGAACTTGTTGGGCTGCCACATTGGCAGAACTCATTGGAGATCTACCTTTGGGAATTTGAGGTTAGTATACAGGAAAGAATCCCTTTAACCCAGAGCTAAGATAGATTAACTTCCAAAAAGTTTATCCTGAAATACTGCTGAGATACAGTGCCTTGGAAAGAGCTCCCCACTACAGATCTTAAATGGAATACTCAAATAACCTCCCCCAACCCCCCAATGTTGAATGAAATTCTATCCTATTCATCTTAGCACCAATGTTGATATTCTGACCTTGCTGGGCGTGGTTGCTCACGCCTATAATGTCAGCACTTTGGAAGGTCGTGGAGGGTGGATTGCTTGAGCCCGAGTTTGAGACCAGCCTGGGCAACATAGTGAGACCCCATCTCTACAAAAAATAGGTATGGTGGTGCATGCCTGTGGTCCCAGCTACTCGGGAGGCTGAGGTGGGAGGATCACTTGAGCCCAGGAGGTCAAGGCTGCAGTGAGCCCTGTTCACTGCCACTGCACGCCAGCCTGAGAGACAAAGTAAGACTCTGTCTCAAACATAAAAATGAGAAAACAAAAAACAAAAAAAACAAAACCCTGATCTTGCCAGAGGAGTATGGCTGCACCTCACAAAATGGCAATAAAGTTGTTATGGTGCCTCACCACTGCTGGAACTTTCTAGAAACCTGCCCTCTAGGAGTTGTGGGAAATGTGCCCCCTAGGGCGCCCGGGAATGATGCGCATGGGGAGGCGTCTCACCATAAGCACCGATCACTCGTATGGTCCAAGCGCAATGGAAGGAAGGGAAGCTGCAGGCCACCACGTGCCCTGCTCCAACCGAACTCTGGGATCTGTGTGGGGCGCCAGAGTCCCTAGGAGAAGCCTCTCGCTCAGTGGGTGCCAGCCTAGAGAACCTGGAAGCGCAGCCCTCCCTTTCGCTGACTCTGGCGCCCTCTAAAGGCGGCCTTCAGTAACAACTGTACAGCCGACATAGGCGGAGGAACACAGACCCTTCTCACACAGCGGGATAAAAAGGTGAATTTGGAGCTGACAGGAAAATATATCTTGTGACATATTTGTCTGGCTTTGATATCGGGGTGATATTGGCTTCATAGAATGAAGTAGTGTTCCTTCGTCCGTTATTTTTTGAAGACATTGCCAAGTATTGGTATTATTTCTTCCGTAAATGTTTGCAGAATTTACACGTGAAGCCACCTTGGCTTGGCTTGTATTTGTGGGGAGATTTTAAATTACTAATTAAATCCCTTTTCTTTCAATAGTCCTATTTCGATTTTCTATTTCTTCTTGAGTCAGTAATTTGTCTTCTAGGATTTTTTTCTATTTTATCTAAGTTGTTTAGTGTGTTGGCATAAAGTTGTTCATAATTTATTCCTCTGAGTTTCTATAAGGTCAGTATTAATTACCCCCCTTTCATTCTTGATTTTGATAATCTGTGAGTCCTTTCTTTTTTTCCTTGGTCAGTCAAGTTAAAAGATTGTTAGGTTTCTTTCACTTTTTCAGTGAACCAACTTTTGATTTCATTGATTTTTCTGTTTTTTTTATTTTATTGATTTTCTTCTACTCTAATTTCCATCATTCCTCTCCTACTGCTTGTCTGTGTTAAATACATCAATTTAAAACTTCAGGAATAATGAATTACTTGTTTCATAAAGGAGGACTTAGACATACAGAAATGCTTATGATATTGCAAGTAGCAGTCATTTAGACAAGTTAACTAGGAGGAAATTTGCTATGCTGAAACCAGACACGTTTTTGTGTCGGCCTTTATTGATTTTGAAAATATCAAGTCTAGTTTGTAGGAAGGTGTTTATTGTATGAGTAGTTTATTTTTGAATATTTTAAAATTTAGAATGTCCATTTTCACTAAATCCCAGAAGTTTATTTTTTTCAAGCTTAAAGGAAAGTATGTATTAGCCAGCACATACACTATCCTCTTTGTGCTTTATCTCTGGTAATCCTTATGAGAGCGCCATGAGTTAGATACTGTTTTATGCCCATTTTATGGAAATAGAATCGTAGAGTGCATATTTAAGCAGCCCTCACAGGTTTATCCAGTTGGAAAAGTGACAGAACCTAGGTCTGTCAGATTTCAGAGATTGCACACACAAATACTATATGACACTGCCTACCGCTGTGAGTTCAGCAGAGAATTCCTTGTTTATATGGAAATAACAAAGCTGATAGTGTCCAGGATAATTGGCATCAGTTTACAAACCCTCTGTACCCCAATGTTGGTGATTTTAAGTGGGGTCATCTGTCCACTAAATTAATCAGATCTCAGGCTGGTCACACTTCTGAAATTATACACCAAGTTTGTGTGTAAGGGTATTTTTCCAGGGAAAAATATCTATAGATTTCAGCAAGTTATCCAAAGAGGGTTAGGCCCACTATTTAGCGTTCTCTGGATGATAAGAGAATGCCATGGAGCCTACACCCTTTCAATGGGGAGAATAGTGTCGATTTCTTTGCCATTTATGTTCTAGTTTTTAATCAGAGTGTTCTAGTCACACACACATAGTTAGCTATGAGGAATATCTGCAGATGCTGGTTCAAAGGAGTCAGTCACTTCAAATCGGACACTTCAAACGAGTCAGCCAACTCCACCTGAAGAAGTTTATACTTTTGGCTGTGTGTTTATAAATAATGGGCAGGTAAGTTAAGTAGGACAGTGTATGTGCTCATTAATACATACTTCTCCTTTGAGCTTTAAAAAATGAACTTGAATAATTCAGTGAAAATTGGCATTCTAAATATTAAAGTATTAATATTTAGAATTAGATTTTTAGTTGGGATGGTGGTGTAAGGGAGGTCAGCCCATTCTCAAACTGAGCTGGAGGCATAAGGGAATTGTTTAACCTAGTGGTGTGAACCTATAGGAAGTAGTGAGGGTGGACTGAGTCATGACTTAGGTAAAGGGAGATGATTCTAGATCACGGAACATGATATAGATTCTAGATATGAGATTCTAAACTGTGTTTGGTGCCAAGGCACACATTACTAAGACAGTCTGTGATCATGTACTCTCAAGAGGATCATATATTTCAGCTGTGTAGCACTGATTTATGTGCCAGTTATGTTCCAGTTATAAATCAAAGTGTTCTAGTAACACACATAGTTAATTATGAGGACTATCTGCAGATACAGGCTTCTCCACTTCAAACGAGTCAACCAACTCCACCTGAAGAACTTCATACAGTTGGCTACGTGTTTACAAATGATGGGCAGGTAAGATAACTATTTCTATTTCTGCCCTAATTGTGACGTTTTTAGTATAATTACTTTCTTATTGAAAAAATAAACGTGAACTATAGGTGTTAATTCTCTTGATTTAAAAGATAAAACATGACACGGGAATTCTTATGTGAACATAAAATGGGAATTTTTTGAACCAAGAGTGGATTCATTACACAAGGAACTAAGTTTTTAATTATCACATTTAATACTCATAATTGTTCTGCAGATGTGTATTACTATATCCCCTTTAGTAAGAAATAAAGGCTGACAGTGGTCAAATGGCTTGCCCCAAGTGACACATGATAGGAGGTAGAGCCAGGGTTTGAACGCATACCTTTCTGACTCCAGACTCTATATTCTTTCCCACTCCCCACAATAACTCCTTTCATATCGAGATTACAGTCTACAGTCTCTGTTTCTCTTATCCAAGTCTCTAGTGCTCTATCTAAAAAATGACTAAGTATTCCTCGTGGACTATGAAGCACTAGATGATGTTGCCATAATTGGATTGTCCTAATGGAGATCTTAATATGAGTTTTGTGTTGTGTATGAGATAGACATACTAACTCCACCATTAAAACATGAAGACAAAAGAGATTGCATCTGCAGTTGTGGAACAGACCATTGGCCTAAGGACACAGGTAGGCAATAATCTCTTCTGTGACAAAAACAGACTAAAGTTATTCCACCATATTCCCAAAACTCCTCAATTAATTAAACTTTTCCTTAATTTTCTGTGCCTTTATTTTCTCTTTTTTAGCAATAGAGATAAGAATCACACCACATTCATAGAGATTGGCCAAGGATTGCGTTAATACATGTAAAGCATTTAGAACCGTAACTGGATGGTAGTAGATGTTCGGTAAAAATGTTTTCACACATTCTAAGCCCCTATTTTATAGGAAATGAAAATGGTTTGGAAAATTTTAAAATCAACATTATATATAAATATATTTTTATTAAATACTATATTTAATAAAATTTATATAATAAATATAACTATTTTTATTATTATTGATATTTATTAATATAATAAATGTGAATTTTATTAAATATTAATAAATTTGTATAATAAATATAAATATATTTATTTTTAATAATAAAATATAAATTTTATTAAATATGCTCCTGCATATTTAATGCAGGAGCATATTCTTTTTTTCAACTTTTATTTTATGTTGTGAGGTACATATGCATGATATGCAGGTTTGTTACATAGGTAAACGTGTGCCATTGTGACTTGCTGGACCTAACAACCCATCACCTTGGTATTAAGCCCAGCATCCATTAGCTATTCTTCCTGATGCTCTCCCTACTCCTCCCCCACCACCTGACAGGACCCAGTGTGTGTTGCTCCCCACCCATGTGTCCATGTGTTCTCATCATTCAGTTCCCACTCATAAGTGAGAACATGCACTGTTTGGTTTTCTGTTCCTGCATTAGTTTTCTGAGGATAACGGCTTCCAGCTCCATCCATGTTTCTACAATGACATGATCTCATGTCTTTTTATGGCTGCATGGTATTCCATGGTGTATATGTACTACATTTTCTTTATCCGATCTATCATTGCTGGACATTTGGGTTCATTCCACGTCTTTGCTATTGTAAATAGTGCTGCAATGAACATACGCATGCTTGTATATTTATAATAGAATGATTTATATTTCTTTGGGTATATACCCAGGAATGGGATTGCTGGATCAAATGCTATTTCTGCCTGTGGATCTTTGAGGAATCACCACACTGTCTCCCATGTGGATGAAGTAATTTACACTTCCACCAACAGTGTAAAAGCAGTCCTTTTTCTCCACAACCTTGCCAGCATCTGTTGTTTCTTGACGTTTTAATAATCGCCATTCTGACTGACAAGAGATGTTATCTCATTGTGGTTTTGATTTGCATTTCTATAATGATCAATGATGTTGAGCTTTTTTTCATATGCTTGTTGGCCGCGTGAATGTCTTCTTTTGAGAAGTGTCTGTTCACGTCCTTTGCCAACTTTTTAAAGGGTTTGTTTGATTTTCTTTTGTAAATTTGTTTAAGTTTCTTGTAGAGTCTGGATAGTAGACCTTTGTCAGATGGTCAGATTGCAAAAGTTTTCTCCCATTCTGTAGGTTGTCTGTACACTCTGATTATACTTCATTTTGCTATGCATAAGCTGTTTAGTTTAATTAGATCCCGTTTGTCAATTTTTGCTTTTGTTGCCATTGCTTTTGGCATTTTTGTCATGAAATCTTTGCCCGTGCCTATGTCCTGAATAGTATTGCCTATATTTTTTTCTAGGGTTTTTATAGTTTTGGGTTTTACATTTAAGTCTTTAATCCATCTCGAGTTAATTTTTGCATAAGGTGTAAGGAAGGGGTCCCGTTTCAATTTTTGCATATGGCTAGCCAGTTCTCCCCGCACCATTAATTAAATAGGGAATCCTGTCCCCATTGCTTGTTTTTGTCAGGTTTGTTGAAGAACAGATGGTTACCGCTGTGCGATCTTATTTCTGAGTTCTCTATTCTGTTCCATTGGTCTATATCTGTTCTTGTACCAGGAAAACGCTGTTTCAGTTACTGTAGCCCCGTAGTATAGTTTGAAGTTAGGTAGCGTGATGCCTCTAGCTTTCTTCTTTTGGCTTAGAATTGTCTTGGCTATTCTGGCTCTTTTTTGGTTCCGTATGAATTTTAAAATAACTTCTTCTCAACTGTGAAGAATGTCAATGGTATTTTAGTGGGAATAGCATGGAATCTCTAAATTACTTTGGGCAGTATGGCCATTTTCACAATATTGATTTTTCCTATCCACGAGCATGGAATGTTTTTCCATTTGTTTGTGTCCTCTGATTTCCTTGAGCAGTGGTTTGTAGTTCTATTTGAAGAGGTCCTTCACTTCCCTTGTTTGCTGTATTCCTAGGTACTTTATTCTTTTTGTAGCAATTGTGCATGGGAGTTCATTCATGATTTGTCTCTCTGCTTGCCTGCTTTTGGCGTATAGGAATACTAGCAATTTTTTTTTTTTTTGAAACGGAGTCTCGCTCTGTCGCCCAGGCTGGAGTGCAGTGGTGCTATCTCGGCTAACTGCAAGCTCCGCCTCCCGGGTTCAGGCCATTCCCCTGCCTCAGCCTCGGAGTAGCTGGGACTACAGACGCCCGGCTAATTTTTTGTATTTTTAGTAGAGACGGGGTTTCACCGTGTTAGCCAGGATGGTCTCCATCTCCTGAGCTCATGATCCGCCCGCCTCGGCGCGCTGGGATTACAGGCGTGAGCCACTGTGCCCAGCCAGGAATGCTAGCAATTTTTGCACATGGATTTTATATCCTGAGACTTTGCTGAAGTTGCTTATCAGCTTAAGAAGCTTTTGGGCTGAGACAATGGGATTTTCTAGATATAGGGTCATGTCATCTGCAAACAAAGATAATTTGACGTCCTCTCTCCCTATTTGAATACACTTTATTTCTTAGTCTTGCGTGATTGCCGTGGCCAGAACATCTGATACTGTGTTAAATAGGAGTGGTGAGGGAGGGCATCCTTGTCTTGTGCAAGTTTCAAGGGGAATGCTTCCACCTTTTTTCCATTCAGTATGATATTGGCTGTGGCTTTGTCATACATGGTTCTTATTATTTTGAGGTATTTTCTTTCAGTACCTGGTTTATTGAGAGCTTTTAATATAAGGGGATGTTGAATTTTATCAAAGGCCTTTTCTGCATCTATTGATATAATCATGTGGTTTTTATCATTAGTTCTATTTATGTGATGAATTACATTCATTGATTTCCCTATTCTGAAACGACCTTGCATCCTGGGGATGAAGCCAACTTGATCATGGTGGATAAGCTTTTTGATGTGCTGCTGGATTCAGTTTTCCAGAATTTTACTGAGGATTTTTGCATCGATATTCATCAGGAATACCGGCCTGAAATTTTCTTTTTTTGTTGTATGTCTGCCAGGTTTTGGTATCAGGATGATGCTGGCCTCATAAAATGAGTTAGGTAGGAGTCCCTCCTTTTCAATTTTTTTGGAATACTTTCAGTAGAAATAGTACGAGCTCTTCTTGGTACCTCTGGTAGTCAGGAGCATAGTCTTGGGTTATCCTTTGATGAAAATAGCTTTTAGTTAGCCTAGTATACCCTTGAATTTCATGTTTTATCTACCATCAACATTGCAAAGCACGCCCTATCCCTGTCTGTCTCCAAGATCAACATATTGGAATAAAAGATTTGTCATCACTCAACACACATGATGCTCTCATAAAAGGCAAGTTAATTTTAATCTAGTCTCAGTGAAACAAGGGAAGGTAAAATACAAGGTGTTATCCAAAGTCAAACATGGTGCAGTCATGATTAATCAGAATGCTTGGGGAATGAAGCATATAGAAACATATAGATAGTGATACATATAGATATAATGATATCTATATGTATCTATATGATATACATAATGATACATATAGATAGTGAAGGGTAGGATAGATTGAAAAGGTAAATGTTCCCACACCTCCATGGTGGGAACATTTACCTTTTCAATCTATCCTACCCTTCACTATCTATATGTATCATCTAATAAAGTATTTATCAGTGTTTGTTAATACGTAGCTTTAAAGCACTGAAAGATAAGAAAGGTATTTCTTTTTTTTGGTCCCCTAACAAGGGCTGAGACAAAATGATGTGTAATTCATTAGAGATATAACCATATGTTTATTCCTTTGGTTGATGGAAGCCACTCATTCCCCAAACATTCTGATTAATCATGACTGTACCATGTTTGACTTTGGATAACACCTTGTATTTTACCTTCCCTTGTTTCACTGAGACTAGATTAAAATTAGCTTGCCTTTTCTGAGAGCGTCGTGTGTGTTGAGTGATGAGAAATCTTTGACCTGTGACTAAAACTTTATATTAGCGATATAAATGCATGGCTGTGTATGCATATGAAGACTGTGACTTTACAATGGTTGGATTTGTCTTTATTTTTTATTTATTTATTTATTTATTTATTTATTTATTTATTGTTTTTTTGAGACGGAGTCTTGCTCTGTCACCCAGGCTGGAGTGCAGTGGCGCGATCTTGGCTCACTGCAAGCTCCGCCTCCCAGGTTCACGCCATTCTCCTGTCTCAGCCTCCAGAGTAGCTGGGACTACAGGCGCCTGCCACCACGCCCAGCTAATTTTTTGTATTTTTAGTAGAGACAGGGTTTCCCCATGTTAGCCAGGATGGTCTCGATCTCCTGACCTTGTGATCTGCCCGGATTACAGGCTTAAGCCACCACGCCCGGCCTAGGATTTGTCTTTAAGGGAATATGTTCACTGATGTTTTTCAGCAAATGAGGAGTGATGAAGTAAATCAGGTTGCAACAGGGCATCAAAGCAAACAGAAACGTTCCAGAAAATCCAAGAGACACTCTTCATCTAAGAGAGGGAAGAGTATGTCCCTGCGGTTAGACAAACAGGAAGGTGAGGGGGAATCCAATCTTTGGGCCTCAACCATGTCAAAGGACATTTGTAGTCATGTCCTTGAGGGATGAACAGATATGAGCACATTTGCAAGTGGAAGGGCAAGGTTCTAATTAGGTGCAACAATTTGGAGTTGCTGCAAGTGTTAGATGAATGAAGCAGGTTCCTGAGGCAGAAGGAGATGGTGGGCTCAACAAGAGGATGAGTCTGCTCACTTTCTGCCTGTCCTCACATTCCGCTCTAACCCAGTGTGGTCTGGCTTCTTAGTGTACTCCAATGAAACTACTATCATTAAGGTCACCAGTGTTTGCTACACTTTGGCATTAATGTCTCAGCAGCATGCGACACAGTTGTTTACTCCCTCCTGCACGGAAAGCTTCTTGGGTCCCCAGACACCTGGATTTCTTACCCTGTTACTAGAGACTCATTTTCCTTCTCTTTTTTGTTTTTCTCCTCTCCCTTCCCACCTCTAAATATTTCGGAACCCCAAAGCTTAATCCTAGACTCTCTTCTCTTCAGTATACTATCTATTTAGGCGATGCCATGCTGTCTTAGAATTTTAAATGATTCACACTATAAGAATTCTCACCATTATACTTCAGCACTACAACTTGCTCCTGAAATCCAGACTCAAATACAACTACACGCGCGGTATCTCTACTGGGTGTCTAATAGGCATGTAAAATTCAACTGGCTCTACGTGTTCAAATTTCTGACCTCCCTCTCTCCAAAAATACTCTACTTTCATCCTTCACTTTTCAATTAAAGATACTGTCCATTAGGTGAAATATCCTCTAAGTTGTAGCAACCAGCTGTTCACAGGTATCGAGGATTGAGAAGTCCTGGTTTTTGGAGTTTGCAGCTATCCATAGAGCAGATAATCCCACCATGGCCTAGTTCAAGCTGTCAACGTAAGGTCACGGAACCAGATTCAAGAAGAGTTGGCAGCACTCAGCTCTCACAGTCGGTTGCCTAACACCTCCTGAACACCCCGGTGTACTTTTACTTAGTAGTTCAAGTCAAAATACTTAAAGTCACTTATGAGTTATCTTACGATTCTTTTATTACTCTCTCATTTCCCATCTCTTAGCAAGTCTAGTAGTCGATGCCCAGTATAAATTCTGCATCCAACCGTTTCTCTCTGTCCCTCCAGTGCACACTTCCGTGATCTCTCTCCAAGATAGTACAATGCCTTCTTAGCTCAGTGTTTCTAATCTTCGCTCATCTATCACATACTCTAACCCTATGGCTAGATAATTATGTCAGCGTGTAAATTACATCATGCCATGTCCCTCCTGAAAACCCAACCTCAACTCTCCTAAGCACTCAGAACAGACCCTGAACCGGCTTTGGTCTCCAAGCCTCTGCACAGACTGGCCTCTATCACCCTCTCCTAACGCGGGTCCCGTCCATTTCCTCCTGGCTCTCTCTGCCTCTGTCCTTCACCTCTCTAGTGCCCGGTCTATCCCCACTCCATCCCCTAACCTTGGCCTCACCGCAACCTGGAACTCTCCCTCTGCCTCTGCACAGGAGGTTCTGCTTCTTCCTCCAAGCACTGCCCGATGGCACCTTTTCAGAAGGCCCTGCCAACAAGCTGCAGCCCCTGGGGCTACCTCTGCTGCTGTCTCCCACATGCCTGTGGACTGCTTCCCCAAAACCAGCCCAGCACTGTTTGTTTCATTTGCTCTTTGTACATGTTTTGTCTGACTGCCCCATGAGGATGTGAGCTCCACAGGGCAGGGAACGTTGCTCTCTGGGCTGTTTACTGCCGATCCCCAGCTCCTGGCACGCTGCCTGCCACAGATGGTGAATAAATGAAAGAGGTGTCAGACCTGGAGTGAAAAGAAAGTCACTTTTTCTAGACAAAAGGGAAGGATCTGTAGAATCATATAAAAACACAGATGTATGATGATAGAGTGGAGATAAGAGTGTTCAACTCCAATAGCCACCTCTAATTTCTCAGAATATTTGAGGTAGAAAGGAGGCAGGTTAAGGACGGCTCACTTAGTCTGGCTTCCTGCTGCACACAGCATGGCATTTATAGGTGAATTACAACAATAATATCAAATGAGAAATGTAAAGGGCAGCAAGATGATACAAAATGATGAGTACTAAAACCTGTGAATATTTATTCTGCTGTCGTACTTCTTTACTGCATGTATTCATTATGCCAAGAGGTAAGAAGGTAGTTTTACTGTGTTATCTAACCTGATCTCTGTTTGCAAGATCTGAGATTCCCACGTGGTAAATCCTTCTGTTTCATGAAATAAATAATTTCCTAGAAACTGATTAATACATAGCTGTCCCTCTGGGGGAGGATTGGACAAAGCACACCTATCTTGCAGCTCAATCTCTTCATTTGGTTTCCAGATGCTAGCATCACTCACAATGTCCATGAAGAGAAGGTAAAAAATGGCCAGCCAGCACCTGGTAATGTCATCACAACTGTTCCACCAGTGCTTATTAATATGGCTGCAGCTGGTATTTCATCCATGAGTACTAGGGATCAGTGTAAGTTTGCTCACTTGGTATACTGTTCTATTTGATTTCCACTATGCAGTATATGCATAGTCTCATGAGGGAAGAAGGTAATTTTGTTGTATTATCTTTTCTGGCCTCAATTTTAGGGTTCTCAAATTGCTACCTGGTATATCCTCCTTCTTTATGAGATAATTTCCTAGATACTGAGCATCAGAGGGGTATGCCTGTGTGGTTGACATAATGCACTTACCTCGCAGCTCAACCACTTCATTTGGTTTCCAGATGCTGCAGTCACTCACAGCATTCGTGAAGAGAGGATAAATAACGGCCAACCAGCACCTGATAACACCTTGTCGACTGCTCGACTGCTGGTAATATGGCAGCAGCTGGAGTTTCATCCACGAGCACGAGAGATCTGTGTATGTCTGCTTGTTATTTGGACTTGTCCTATTTGGTTTACATAAGCAGGCATATTTTCATGAATGGTGGAAGGTGGTTTTGTTGTATATTATTTCCTAGCCTCAATTTGAGGGGTATCAGATGGCCACCCGCCATATCCTCCACTGATTTTTTAGATAATCTCCTAGAAACTGAGCATCAGAGGGATAGGCCTGTGGGATTGACAAAATGCACTTACCTCACAACTCAACCTCTTCACTTAGTTTCCACATGCTACCGTCAATCCCAATGTCCATGAAGAGAGGAAGGAAAATGGCCAACTGCAAATGGATAACGTCTTGTCAAATGTTCTGTCAGGGCTGATTTATATGGCAGGAGCTTGTATACCAGCGATGAGTACCAGGGATCTGTGTATGTTTGCTTATTGGTTGTAGTGTTCTCCTTGGTTTCCATATGCAAGCATAGTGTCATGAAGGGAAGAAGATGGTTTTGTTGAATTATTTTTCCTGGCCTCAATTTGAGGGGACTCAGATCATTATATGATGTATTCTCCTGCTTTATCAGATAATTTCTTAGAAACTGAGCATCAGTGGGATATACCGGTGAGGTGGTCATAATGCACTTACCTCACAGCTCAACCTGTTCCACTGGTTTCCAGATGTTACCATCACTCACAATGTCCGTGAAGAGAGGATGGAAAATGACCAACCCCAAACTGATAATGTCTTGTCAACTGCTCCACCACAGCTTGGTTATATGGCTGCAGCTCCATCCACAAGTATCAGGGATCTGTGTATGTCTGCTAATTAGTTGTACTTTCATACTTGTTTTCCATAAGCGTGCATATTTTCATGAAGGGTAGAAGTCGGTTTTATTGTATATTCTTTCTTAGCCTCAATTTGAGGGGTCTCAGATGGCCACCTGGCATATCCTCCCTGCTTTCTTAGATAATTTCCTAGAAACAGAACATCAGAAGGTTATACCTGGGGGGTTACCATAATGCACTTACCTCACAACTCAACCTGTTCATTTGGTTTTCAGATGCTACAGTCACCTTCACAGTCCCTGAAGAGAAGATGGAAAATGGCCAACCCCAATCTGAGAACCCCTTGTCAACTGCTCCAACAGGGTTTATTAATATGGCAGGAGCTGTTATTCCATCCATGAGTACCAATGATCTGTGTATGTTCACTTATAAATTGGATTGTCCTGCTTGGTTTCCATATGCATGCATATTGTCATGAAGAGGAGATGGAGGTTTTGTTGTATTATCTTCCGTGAGCTCAATTTGAGGGGTGTCAGATCACCAACTGTCATGTCCTCCTGCTTTATGCAATAATTTCTTAGAAGCTGAGCATCAGAGGGATATACCTTTGGGGTTAACATAATGCACTTACTCACAGTTCACCCTCTTCATTTGTTTTCCAGATTCCACCGTCACTCACAATGTCCGTGAAGAGAAGATGGAAAATGACCAACCCCAACCTAATAACATGTTGTCAACTGTTCAACCAGTGGTTATTTATTTGGCAGCAGCTGGTATTCTGGGCATGAGTACCAGGGATCAGTGTATGTTTGTTTACTAGTTGTAGTGTCCTACTTGGTTTCTATATGAATGCACAGTGTCAAAAAGGGAAGGAGGTTGTTTTGTTAGATTCTCTTTTGTGAGCTCAATTTGAGGTGTCTCAGATCATCACCTGGTGTATCCTCCTGCTTTATGAGATAAATTTCCTAGACACTGATCATCAGAGGGATATACCTGTAGGGTTGACACAATACACTTAGCTCACAGCTCAACCCTTTTATTTGGTTTTCAGATGCTACCGTCACTCACAATGTCTGTGAAGAGAGGGTGGAAAATAACCAACCACTACCTAATAACGGCTTGTCAACTGTTCTACCAGGGCTTACTTATTTGGCAGCAGCTGGTATTCCAGCCATGAGTACCAGGGATCAGTGTAAGTTTGTTTACTAGTTGTAGTGTCCTACTTGGTTTCCATATGCATGCATATTGTCATCAAGGGAAGAAGGTGGTATTGTCGTATTATGTTTTCTGGCCTCAATTTGAGGGTTCTCAGAGGGCTGCCTAGTATATCCTAGTTCTTTATGAGATAAATTCCTAGATAGTGAGCATCAGAGGGGTATCCCTGTGGGATTCATATACTGTACTTACCTCACAGCTCATCCACTACATTTGGTTTCCAGATGCTACCATCACTCACAATGTCCATGAAGAGAAGATAAATAATGGCCAACCAGCCCTGATAATGTCATGTCAACTCTTATACCAGGGCTTATTAATTTGGCAGGAGCTGGTATTCTACCTATGAGTATCAGAGATCAGTGTGTGTTTGTTTACTAGTTGTACTATCCTACTTTGTTTCCATATGCATGCAGTGTCATAAATGGAAAAATGTAGTTTTATTGTATTGTCTTTCGTGAGCTGAATTTGTGGGATCTCAGATCACCACCTGGTATATCCTCCTGCTTTAAGTGATTATTTCCTAGAAACTGAGCATCAGAGGGATATACCTGTGGGGTTGGCATAATGCACTTACCTTACAGCTCGACCTCTTCATTTGGTTTTCAGTTGCTACCATCAATCACAATGTCCATGGAGCGAGGATGGAAAATGGCCAACCGCAACAGGATAATGTCTTGTCAAATGTTCTATTTGGGCTTATTAATATGGCAGGAACTGGTACTCCTTCAGTTAGTACCAGGGATCTGTGTATGTGTTTTATTTTCTTGCACTGTCCTTCTTGGTTTCCATATGCATGCATAGTGTCATGAAGGGAAGAAGGTTGTTTTGTGAATTATCTTTCCTGGACTCAACTTGAGGGGCCTCAGTTCATCATATGATGTATTATCCTGCTTTATGGGATAATTTCCTAGAAACTTATCATCAGTGGAATATACCGGTGGGATTGACATAATGCACTTACCTCACAGCTCGACCTCTTCCTTTGGTTTCCAGATGCTACCATCACTCACAATGTCCGTGAAGAGACGACGGAAAATGGCCAATGCCAAACTGATAACGTCGTATCAACTGTTCCACCACAGCTTGGTCATATGGCAGCAGCTGGTATTCCATCCATGAGCACCAGGGATCTGTGTATGTCTATTAATTAGTTGTACTGTCATACTTGATTTCCATGTGCATACTTATTTTCATGAATTATAGAAGGTGGTTTCGTAGTATATTCTTTCCTAACCTCCATTTGAGGGGTCTCAGTTGACCACATGGCATATCCTCGCCTGCTTTCTTAGATAACTTCCTAGAAACTGAGCATCAGAGGGATATACCTGTAGGGCTGACATAATGCACTTACCTCACAGCTCAACTTCTTCATGTGGTTTCCAGATTTTACCATCACTCACAATGTCTGTGAAGAAAAGACAAAAAATGACCAAACAGCACCTGATAAATTCTTGTCAACTGTTACAGCAGGGCTTATGAATTTCGCAGGAGCTGGTATTCCACCCCTGAGTACCAGGGATAAGTGTATGTTTGTTTAATAGTTGTACTGTCCTACTTGGTTTCCATACGCATGCAGTGTCATGCAGGGAAGAAGATGGTTTTGTTATATTATCTTTTCTGGCCTAAATTTGAGGGGTCTCCGATCACCACCTGATATATCCTCCTGCGTTATGGAGCAATTTCTTAGAAACTGAGCTTCAGAGGGATATACCTGTGGTGTTGACATAATGCACTTACCTCACAGCTCGACCTCTTCCTTTGGCTTCCAGATGCTACCGTCACTCAAAATGTCCGTGAAGAGAGGATGGAAAATAACCAACCATCATCTAATAACGTCTTGTCAACTCTTCTACCAGGACTTACTTATTTGGCAACAGCTGGTATTCTAGCCATGAGTACCGGGGATCAGTGTATGTTTGCTTATTCAGTTGTACTGTCCTACTTGGTTTTTTCAGATTGATACCTGGCATATCCTCCTTCTTTATGAGATAATTTCCTAGATACTGAGCATCAGTGGGGTATGCCTGTGTGGTTGACATAATGCACTTACCTCACAGCTCAACCACTTCATTTGGTTTCCAGATGCTGCAGTCACTCACATCGTCTGTGAGAAGATAAATAACGACCAGCCAGCACCTGATAACATCTTGTCAACTGTTCCACCGTGGATTGGTAATATGGCTGCAGCTGGAATTTCATCCACGAGTACCAGGGATCTGTGTATGTCTGCTTATTAGTTGTATTGTCCTACTTGTTTCCTCTAAGCAGGCCTATTTTCATGAATGGTAGAAGGTAAGTTTGCTGTATATTCTTTTCTATCCTCAATTTGGGGGGTGTCACATGGCCACCTGGCATATCCTCCCTTGCTTTCTTTGATAATTTCCTAGAAATTGAGTTTCAGAGGGATATACCTGTGGGGTTGACATAATGCACTTACCTGACAGCTCAACCTCTTCATTTCGTTTACAGATGCTACGGCCAGTCTCAATGTCCATGAAGAGAGGATGGAAAATAGCCAACCGCAACCGGATAACATCTTGTCAAATGTTCTATCGGGGCTTATTAATATGGCAGGAGCTGGTATTCCAGCCATGAGTACCAGAGATCTGTGTATGCTCACTTTTTAGTTGGATTTTCCTACTTGGTTTCCATTTGCATGCATAGTGTCATGAAGGGGCGAAGGTGGTTTTGTTGTATTATGTTTTTTGCCTCCATTTGAGGGGTCTCAGGACAACGCCTGTCATGTCCTCCTGCTCCATGTAATAATTTCGTAGAAGCTGAGCATCAGAGGGATATATTTGTGGGTTGAAATAAGGCACTTACTTCACAGCTCGACCTCAACATTTGGTTTCCAGATGCTACCATCACTCACAATGTCTGTGACGAGAGGATGGAAAATGACCAACCACAACTTAATAATGTCTTGTTAACTTTTCCACCAGGGCATATTAACATGGCAGTAGCTGGTTTTCCGACCATGAGTCCTAGGGATCTGTGTATGTTTGTTTACTACTTGTACGGTCTTACCTGGTTATTATATGAAGGCATGGTGTCATAAAGGGAAGAAGATGGTTTTGTTTTATCTTTCATGACCTCAATTTGAGGGATTTCAGATCACTAACTGGTGTATCCTCTCCTCCTTTATGAGTTAGCTTCCTAGAAACTGAGCATGACAGGGATATACCTGTGGAGTTGCCAAAATGCACTTACCTCACAGCTCAACATTTTCCTTTGGTTTCTAGATGCTACCGTCAATCAGTGTCTATGAAGTGAGGATGGAAAATAACCAACCACAATCTAATAACGTCTTGTCAACTGTTAAACCAGGGCATATTAACATGGCAGCAGCTGGTATTCCAGCTATGAGCACCAAGGATCTGTGTATGTTTGCTTATAAGTTGGATTGTCCTACTTGGTTTTCATATGCATGCATAGTGTTATCAAGGGAAGAAGGTGATTTGGTTGGTTGTACCTTCTTTCATGAGCTCAATTTGAGTGTTCTCAGATCGCCACCTGGCATACCCTCTCCTGCTTCATGAAATATTTTCCTAGAAACTGAGCATCAGACGGATATACCTGTGGGGTTACCACAGTACACTTATCTTACAACTCAACCTCTTCATCTGGTTTCCAGATGCTACAGTCACTCACCATGTCCGTGGAGAGAAGATAAATAATGGCCAACCAGCACCTGATAACTTCTTGTCATCCGTTACACCAGGGCTTATTAATGTGTCAGTAGATGGTATTCCACCCATGAGTACCAGGGATCAGTGTATGTTTGTTTACTAGTTGTTTCTACTTGGTTTCCTACTTGGTTTCCATATGCATGCAGTGTCATAAGTCGAAGAAGGTGGTTTTATTGTATTATCTTTCATGAGCTCAATTTCAGGGGTCTCAGGTTGCCACCTGGTATATCCTTCTGCTTTATGAGATAATGTCCTAAAAAGTGAGCATCAGAGGGATATCCTGTGGGGTTGACATAATGCACTTACCTCACAGCTTGATGTATTCTTCTGGTTTCTAGATGTTACTGTCACTCACAATGCCCATGAAGAGAAGATGGAAAATGGCCAACAAGCAGCTGATAACATCTTGTCAGCTGTTCCACTGGGGCTTATTAATACACCAGAAGCTGGTATTCCAGCCATGAGTACCAATGATCTGTGTATGTTAACTTATAAGTTGGATTGTCCTACTTGGTTTCCATATGCGTGCATGGTGTCATGAAAGGGAGAAGGGGATTTTGTTATATTATATTTCATGACCTCAATTTAAGGGATTTCATATCACCACCTGGCATGTCCTCCTGCTTTGTGCAATAATTTCCTAGCAAGTGAGCATCAGAGGAATATACCCTGCAGGGTTGATATAATGTACTTACCTCACAGCTCGACCTCTTGTTGTTTCCAGATGCCACCACCACTCACAATGTCCATGAAGAGAAGATGAAAAACAAGCACCTGATAACTCCTTGTCAGTGGTTCCACTGGGGCATATTAATCTGTCAGGAGCTGGTATTTCATCCAGGAGTACCAGGGATCTGTGTATGTTTGTGTATTGCTTGTACTGTCCTACTTGGTTTCCATATGCATACATAGTGTCCTGCAGGGAAGAAGGTGGTTTTGTTGTATCATCTTTCTTGAGCTCAGTTTGAGGGGTCTCGGATAGCCACCTGGTGTATCTTCCTGCTTTATGAGATAACATCCTAAAAACTGAGCCTCAGATGGATATAGCTGTGGGGGTGACATAATGCACTTATCTCACAGCTCAACTTTTTCATTTGGATTCCAGATGCTACTGTCATTCACAATATCCAAGAGGAGGAGATGGAAAATGGTCAAACGCCTCCTAATGGCTTCCTGTTAAATTCTGCTCCACCAGAGCTTATAAATATGACAGGAGATCATATGCCACCCAACGCATTGGATTCTTTCTCCTACAACTTCACTAGTCTCAGCAGATATAAGCTGCTTTACAAACCTGATAGTAATGACTTGTGGTAGGCACCAAAAATGGTCTCTGCAGGTGACCCACCAGTCACAGCAATGTCTTCAGTGGAAACTGTGCCAAATATACCACAAATATCTCCTGCCATGGCAAAGAAAATTAATCATGATATAAAATGTCAATTAATGAAAGAAGTTTGAAGGTTTGGGCAAAGTAAGTAGTGCAAGGATGACTATCAATGAAAGCATGCCAAGTCTCTCATTCTATGATTTAGAACAGAATTAAGCTGCCTCTTGAGCTCATTGCTGGGCTGAATTGGATCTGTATATGATTTAGCATGACTTCTATTTAATTTCACTGAAAATTTCTAACACATCTGCTTAAGTGTTTTGTTTTCCTTTGTTAGTGTTCACAACAGTTTCCTTAGTAATATACAGGTGTTGTGATTTAAGCATTCAAACACAAACACTACGTAACATTGTAACCCATGAAAAATGTATACAGTGGTAGTGGATGCACTAAGATTGAGGTATATTTCATTTTCATAATTCTAGAAATACTAATATTTTAAAATATCTTCAGATTATAAAACAATTTTCATTTTGCTTGAAGAACTACAAGGATCTATGAAAGTCAAGAGACAATTTGTTGAATTTACCATCAGGGAAGCAGCAAGGTGGGTGCAAAAAGGAACTCTGCTGTTGTTTTAAGCACTTGCGCCCAATTTGGGACAGGGGCAGGAAAAAATCATGCCTTGTTCTTCCTAATCCCTGGCCCTCAATCATAGTTCATACTATTTCCACAGGCAGTTAGGTTGATATTATCTTATTCTAACACTTTCTTCCGATGCCATGGAGCCTTCCAAATTTACCATAATCTGGGAGTGGGCGTGGGTCCTCAGTTGAATCACTTTGTATTTTTCTAGTTTGTATCTTTCCATGAGGATGCATTTTCTATTTGCATGTCGATTGTAAACTCTATTTTGTATCCACTACTACCTCTTACAACTCGTAGATCCTGTAGGTATCCTCTGGTTAATGGAATACCTCTTTAATTTCAGGTTTAAAAAAGTTGCCTTAATTCAGCAACTCGAGAAGGTGCTTAAAGATATAGGTTCCTACTGCCATCTCAGAAAAGTTAAGCACATGAGAAAAAAAATAATTGTTTTAGTGCAAAGACCAAGGAGAAACAAGGATACACGCCGCAGGATGGAACAGGTTATTACTGAAGCTCCCTATAATTTTGAAGCGAAGAGAATTCCCTTCCAAAAGCTAAGAAAAAAAGAGGTAACTTTTTATATTTAATAAATCTCCCTTAATAAAAGCTGCACTTTTGTTTGTTTGTTTGTTCTTCCGCCGGAGGAGGGGCATGAGTCAATAACTCAGCAAGGTATTTAGTATTACAGTCCTGGTTTCTGCAGCAGCTCACATTGTTGTAGCTGGTATTTATAACTGCCTTCTTTCTCTACCCATTTCTCATTCCCTTTGCCCTGAGATAGCATGTCAGCTGGTCATGATGCTTGGTCTGGCAGGATGACTCAAACCTTCATTACTGAACAGTCTGGACCAATAGATATCCTGCCTGGATTGGGTTGCTGTAATTTTCCATTAAGTGTAATAAACATGAGAGGACTAAGAAGCTGTCTAGACATATCAAACATACTCTTTTTAGCCCCTGGTGTAGTGCAATTAATCCCCCTTTGGTTGTCAGGTTCATCACCCCCAGCCAGTAGATGACCCCCTCCTTTGCCTCTAGATGGAAAGTGATGAAGAGAACAAAATGGCCTGCTGGCAGTATCGATCTCTTTTCAATGGAGTCACTGTTGTGTCCCTTGTCAAAAGCATTTCTTCCTTTGGAACTAAGACTTCTAGTACAGGAGAGCCTAAAATCAGAAGGACAGGAAGCACTTATGCTAGTGGTTCACGGCGGGGAAAGTGAGTAGAGACACTCCCAGTTATACCCCTTCGTTCTAAGACGAATGAATCCTGACTATTGGAGAGAAAGCAGACTATGTTGGATGCAGACATACAGCAAACACTGCTTCTAAAAGTAATTTCTCAGACCTGCAAGGTATTGCCACTTAGCTAGCACTGTAACCGAGTTGTACAAGACCATTTCAGTTTCTGTTCATCCAGTCAGGTTCAGATTATGGGGGACACATTGGGAGGCTGATTTGGAATCAAAAAACAATGAGGCCAAGACAGTATCATGTCTATAAAGAAGATGATGGGGGATAGGGAGATATAAATAATAAGACCAGTGAATTCCTATGAACACGGGCCCATCACTGCACTTTATTTTCTGGGAAGCGAGTGCCTTGTTTGGAGGTGATGCTGTGTGGAATACCATGATGGTAAATAAAGCATTTTCTAAGTGCACAAATGTTGATTTTCTGAAATTACTGTGGTTGGGAAGGAAGATCCATATTCAGAATAAGTGTCAATTTGAGTAAGAACACAGCCCTGTCCCTTCCATAGTGGAAGTGGTCCAATGTAATCACCTGCCATCTGGTAACTGGCTGATCACGCTGGAGACAGGTGCCATATAAGAGACTCAGTGTTGCTCTCTGTTCTAGCAGATTGTACACTCAGCAATGACTAATTGCAGAATTTTGCTCCTTAGTTCAGTTAAAACCGAGTTCACACGAACGGGGAAGATTAGGTTCGCGGACACATTGAAGGGTGAGGAGCTGAATTTATTGGTTAAAAAAGAAAAATAGGGAGGAAAAAAAATCTCTCGGCAAAGTGAGAGGGAGTCCTGCTAAGAGGCCCCCATCTCACAGATTGATTCCGGGCCACCGCACAGGAACCGAAGAGACCAGGCTCCACACCGCCACCCCTGCACAAGGTGCAAACTTCCCATGGCTCCACACCCTTCCCCCAGTACACACGATGCTAATATTAAGAAAGAATCAGTTGGGAATGGGCTAGCAAACAGTGCCAGTTCTTCTGGCTGCAGGTTTCATTCGGTAGCAGCAGTCTGGTTTCTCAACCTTCAGGCCATTTTAGGCTTGAAGGCGGGGTTTCACCGGGGACCCCTGGCTGTCTCATGTCTCTATCAACTGTAGCCAGGTTGGCCTTGGTGAGTGGAAGTCCATGCTACTGAAGCAAAATCTCTATCCTTGGTCACCTTGGCCACTCTGTGAGCTCACGAGGTTATGACACCAATGTTGGGGAAAGAGGCTGATTAATATCTAGATAATAGGTACTTTATCCTTCAGATTATTAAAATTCTGCTCTACAGAGGTTACCCTTTGCTGAGAACTCTCATGAGACCTAAGTATCTTCACATTGTATATCCATTTGGACTACTCTATCCACATATTTTTTCCCAGACCTCCTTGTCATAAATTTTCAATCATGTGTCCACAAAGTCCTTGATCATACAGCCAATAAACGAGACACGGCCTAAACATGGATACATACTTATAGTCTGGCCATCTCTCCTCCACACAGAAACACTGCTCAAGCATCTTCCCTCTTGGAGGATTTCCCTTCACCACTGTCCTTCAGAGCTATCCCAGTTGGGCCTGTCGTAATGAAGCTGTCCGCTTCTGGCTTTTGTGGTAGACAGGCATTATGAACAGACTGAATATTTGTGTCCTCTGAGAATTCATATGATGAAACCCTAACTCCCAGTGGGATGATATTTGGAGGTGGAGCTTTTGGGAGGTAATTAGGTTTAGATGTGTTCATGATGTTTGGGTCCCTATGATGAGATTAGTGCCCTTATAATTAGAGAAAAGGGAACTTGTTCTTCCATGCCTCTTCAACGTGTGAGGCTACCGCAAGGTGGCTGACTGCAAGCCAGGAAGAGGCCCCCCACCAGAATTTGAGCATGTTGGCACCCTGATCTTGGATTTCTAGCTTCCAGAACCTTGAGAAAGAAATGGGTGATGAAGCCACCCAGTCTGTGGTATTCTGTGATAGCAACTCGAGCTGACTGAGACAGCTGTAGTCTGATTCCCCAGACTCCCATCTCCTGTATACTCGATCAAGCAATAATCCCAATACTGCTATGGTGGGATTTTGCTGGATAACTAATGTCTCAAGCCAGTTGACCCTGAGACACGAATGTGGTGTGGGTGGGCCAGACCTGGCAGGGGAATCCTTGAGAAGCAGAGCATTTTCCTTACCAAGGAGCAGAAGAAGAGGTAAGGGAATCAAAGTGCAAGAAGGATGTGACACAGCAGGCCCGCTTTGAGGATAAAGCAGTGCTCCCAAGAAGGTATAGGATGGCTCTAGGTGTTTAGTGCAGTTTCTGGATGACAGCCAGCAAAAAAATGGGAACCACATTCCTACCACCTTAAGGAACTAGGTCTAAATGAGCAATAACCTGAATAAGCTTAGAAGTGGATTATTCCGCAGTCTCCACATCAGCACCCACCCGGCCTGACATTTTGAGTTGGCCTTGGGAGACAGTCAGCGGAGAGGCCGGTCAAACCTTCCTGGTCTTGACTTGCAGAAGTGTGGATAATTAATGTGTGTTGTTTTAGGCTGCTCAATTTGGGGTAATTTGTTATGTGGCAATAGAAAATTAACAGCGGTGCTGCCAGCCCATTATAAAGAAAGAAAAGTAAGCCAGGCCTAGGGATTTTTTTATTGTTTGTTTTTCTGACAACTCTGTTCCTAAGGAAGCTGCCCTTGGAGCCATAGGTGTGGATTCAGAGAGCTTTTTCTTGTACTAGGCCAAACTCAGAAGTAGCAGATTTTCCGGTCATTAGAAGATAAGTCACAGCAGCACACCTCGATGAGGTACATGTTACCACCATCAGAACCTAAGGAGGCCCACTATATTTTGCGTGTCCCCTTTGAATGGTAGGAAGGGTGAGATGTACCTACTTGCTGTTCACCTGATAAGTACTATGTTGATATTTCACTAAGTTAAAAGGCCCCTGATTTTTTGTGCAAATTAATACTTCGGTTGTCATGTCAGTATGTTACCAGTGTGTCTAGAGTAGTTGCTAGGTCCTGCTCAATCAGCATAACGTCCTCAATGCAAAGAAATGGTGTCACATGGTGGGAAGGAAAGGAGATCAAGATCCCTAAGGACTAGTTTGGGACATAAGTTTATGATGCAGGATACTTTCTTGACCCCTTCACAGGACTCGTGACAGGGGTGCCCAGCCACTTTGGCACCAGCAGGAGCAAACTCCTTTTCCTTGGGCCCACCACACCTCACCTCTCACGGGATGGAGCATGTAGACAAGTGAGTGTGGCAACTGGCCAGCTGCTTTGGCGCTGGCAGGAGCAACCTCCATGCAGGCACTGTGGCACCATCTGGGTAGGAGTGCCTGCAACCCCAAGGCCCCAGAGTGCATGTTACAATGCTCTGTTAGCTCCACCATCCATGGACAGCAGTGTGTTATCAGCTCAGTGGGACCTTTGCCTCATTGCATGGGGTGGCTGCCCTCTATCAGCAAGGGCAAAGGGCCAGTGTGACAGCCTTTTTGGGTACTCATACTTGGTGCGTCCCAAATTCTTGTCTGGTGCCCAAGAAGAATGAGGTCACACAGACTAATTGAAGGATGGTGAGTGCAGAGAATTTTGTTTTGCGATGAAAGCAGCTTTCAGGGGAAAAGGCAGCTGGAAAGGGGACGTGAAGGGCAGGTCACTCTCCCCTGAAGTCAAATCGCCTCTCTGCCTCTCTCCTCCGAAGTCAAATTGCTTCTGCCCGACCTCTAGCTGTCATCTCTGAAGTCAAGTCACTTCTCCTTGATGTCCGGCTGCTTCTCCTCTCTAGTGGCTGAATCTGGGGTCTTTACAAACATGGGACATGGGGCAGGATGGGCCATAGGTGGTTTTGGGAAAGGCAAAATTCGATTGGTAAAAAAATATTATTCAGAAAAAACCAATTGGCAGGGAGTGGCCAAGATGGGATAGAAGTCCTCACTTCAGGCTTTTCAGCTTGAAGGTGGGGTTGCACCAAGGACTCACCCTTGTCTGCCTAGAGTTTCTTTGCCTCCTGCCTGTATCACTTAGAGAGTTGATGTAAGACTGAGGTAGGAAGGAAAAGGGTTTTGCTGGCCTTGCCAGCTGAAAGCAAACAGTTCCTCCTGATCTTTAAAAAACATGTTTAGAGATAGTTTTAGATATGTGGCGTTATTTCTGAGGGCTCTGCTCTGTTCCATTGATCTATATCTCTGTTTTGGTACAAGTACCATGCTGTTTTGGTTACCGTAGCTTTGTAGTATAGTTTGAAGTCAGGTAGTGTGATGCCTCCAGCTTTGTTCTTTTGGCTTAGGATTGACTTGGCGATGTGGGCTCTTTTTTGGTTCCATATGAACTTTAAAGTCGTTTTTTCGAGTTCTGTGAAGAAAGTCATTGGTAGCTTGATAGGGATGGCATTGAATCTATAAATTACCTTGGGCAGTATGGCCATTTTCACGATATTGATTCTTCCTACTAGGTCAACAATTGTGGAAGTCAGTGTGGCGATTCCTCAGGGATCTAGAACTAGAAATACCATTTGACCCAGCCATCCCATTACTGGGTATATACCCAAAGGAATATAAATCATGCTGCTATAAAGACACATGCACACGTATGTTTATTGCGGCACTATTCACAATAGCAAAGACTTGGAACCAACCCAAATGTCCAACAATGATAGACTGGATTAAGAAAATGTGGCACATATGCACCATGGAATACTATGCAGCCATAAAAAATGATGAGTTCATGTCCTTTGTAGGGACATGGACGAAATTGGAAATCATCATTCTCAGTAAACTATCGCAAGGACAAAAAACCAAACACCGCATGTTCTCACTCATAGATGGGAATTGAACAATGAGAACACATGAACACAGGAAGGGGAACATCACACTCTGGGGACTGTTGTGGGGTGGGGGGAGTGGGGAGGGATAGCATTAGGAGATATACCTAATGCTAAATGACGAGTTAATGGGTACAGCACACCAGCATGGCACATGTATACATATGTAACTAACCTGCACATTTTGCACATGTACCCTAAAACTTAAAGTATAATAATAATAATAATAATAAACATGTATAGAGAAAAACGCAGTCACATGATCTCACACACACACACAAACATATATGTGTGTATATATGCATACATAATGTTAAATTTCTATCTAATGTTAAACATCTGTATAAAAGGGAGCTGTTATGTAAAATTGGTCGGATATAGTATTTTTACAGGACTATGCTCTCTGTATAAGGCTATTATCTCAGTATAATACCGGACAAGGAGTGAAACATTTCTGGACTTGCTAAACCATATTTTGTGCTACAAGAATAGAGTGGAAGCACCCAGTGAGGGTGCGTTTGCCAAAATGCTGCCCTCAGTAAGCAGAGAGGCTCTCACCCCAAATACCTGAGGCTCCTGGGTCTGGGCAAGGAGCAGCCCTGTGCAGCAGGCAGGCTGGACATTTGGCTTCTTAGACTCTGTTCCAGCCCTAGCTGCCTATGACCTGAGATTTGTCTTTCCCTTCTTGGGGCCTCATTTGTAATATCTCTGGAAAATGGCAATCCCGGGATAACTGATGTCTGACGTTCCTTGTGGCCTTGACAGTCGTGTCTGGGGAGATTGCTTTCCCTGGCCACAAGAGCGGTGTGTTTCTGTAATTCTTTTATTCTAAAGATTTTTGAAAGCCACTTTGTTGGAACACCAATCATTTCCCATCAGGAGCTTAAAGCAATCTTCAGACACTCGTTATGATGTTTCCTTCATTCAACAAATGTTCCTCAAGGGTTTTCCAGTGCTGGTTCTCTCCTAGACACTGGGGAGATGATGGCGAAAAGGCCACATGGTTGGCATTTCACCATCTTATGCATTAGGGTGCCTCTGGTTGCAATGAGCAGAGAATCTCCCTGCCTGTGGGAGTAGCCGAAGACATCACACATTGAGAAGTCTGCAGGGAAGCAGGCAGGGTAGGGCCAGGACTTGGTTCAGATGAAGGAGGCAAAATTTTGGGGGAAAGCAAGGCACTTGGTAATCAAGATGAGGAGTAGTTTGCCATAATTTTTCAAAAATCAAAATTAATACAAAACATCCACAATGAACAATATATCAAAATTTAAAATAAAGGCAGGATTTGCCCTTGCACCTGCAGAGCCCTGAACATTGTGCACGTGGAGGGGACACGTGGGTGCCACAGTCCTACTACTTAAAAACGTCTCACTTGCAATTTTCTGTGAAGGCCACTGCTTCCTTCTGAGGGAAGCTGGCAATTGTTCTCTTTCTATGCTCATGCAATCCATATTGCCACAGGGTGGAAAAAAGAAATAGTTTGATTTAATTACAAATATGTCTGTGCAATTTTTGAAAATATTCTAAAGAACCCTCAAGTAGGTCGTGAAAATTTTATTCCTTAAAATATTTGACTTTTCAGAAATAGAATTTCATCAAATATGAAACATTTTCTGAAAAAGTATTCTTTCCAAGGAAAATAGCAATTATCAAGAAACTTTTGTACTTTATTCACTGAAGGCAGTTATGAAAATTACACTGGTGTTCACTTCATTTTTAAAAAATTAATTTTTGGCCGGGCGAGGTGGCTCACGCCCATAATTCCAGCACTTTGGGAGGCTGAGAAGGGCGGATCACGAGGTCAGGAGATCGAGACCATCCTGGCTAACACTGTGAAACCCCATCTCTACTAAAAATACAAAAAATTAGCCGGGCATGGTGGCGGGTGCCTGTAGTTCCAGCTACTCGGGAGGCTGAGGCAGGAGTATGGCGTGAACCTGGGAGGTGGAGCTTGCAGTGAGCCGAGACTGTGCCACTGCACTCCAGCCTGAGCGACAGAGCGAGACTCCGTCTCAAAAAAAGAAAAAAGAAAAAAGAAAATTAATTAATTTTCAAGAGTTTTTTAAAGTCAGATTTGTTCAGAAGCCTGGTGTGAAATTTTTTACTCTTCATAACTATTTATTTTTTATCTTTATATAAATTTCTATGTACATCGGTGTAATGACTAAATATTTCAAAAGAATCCATAATTAATTTAAATTACTTGATTATGTGTTAGCACATTTATTCTACATGGACTATATCAATTAAAAGTAAATATTTTTGTCAATTATGCTACAATTATTTAGAGAGTTAAGGCACCAAAGGTAAGTGATGTAATGTTCAAGAATGAAGTAAAATGCATGTGGAAATTCATCAGAATTACAGGATTCACTCAGTTATGAGAGTGACTAGAAGAAAGTATTGCAGCTACTGAAAATAAATGTTTTCCTGTCATTGACATTATTAGAATAGAGTTACCCTCAAATCCACTGAAAACTAAGGAAACTTTTTGAAATCGTGAGAAGAAATTGAAGGAGAGTGTTAGATATTTCAGAAACATGTTGACGTTTGAGCTAATGAAACAAAAGGGGTTTACTGGAAAGAATATGGACAAAACCAAGAACAACATGCAGATTCTAATGTATTCATATAATGACTGGAGATTTTTTAAAATACAGGTGTGTGGCCGGGCACGATATCTCACACCTGTAATCCCAGCACTTTGGGGAACTGAGGCGGGAGGATCACTTGAGCCCAGGAGTATGCGACCAGCCTGGGCACCATGGCGAGACCACATCTCAGCAAAACATACAAAAATTAGCTGGGTGTGGTGGTGCACACCTGTAGCCCTAGCTACTCAGGAGGTCAGGAGGATTGTTTGGGCTCAGAAGATCGAGGCTGCAGTGAGCTGTGATCCCAATAGTGCACTGACTGGGCAACAAGTGAGGCCCTGTCTAAAAAAAAAAAAAAAAAAAGACATTTATTCCAAATAATATATGTCTTTATCTGGTTCTCTGTGAATAATTATTTTTAGCAGTAATACGACAGAATCAGATGCATGAAACTCAAAAAAGTGGGTTCACAGATTGGAAGAATTGAAATAGAATTTGGAAACATGAGAATTTCCTGTTCCAGCATAATGCTTTTCCAAAATGGAGGTGTATTATGGTATGTATATGCAGACTCATAGCTTAATAGATGATGGTTTGCAGAAGGTGATGAAATCAACAAAAGTGGCAGAATATTTTGGAGTGTTGTTGATGGCTGTTCTGAGACATTGGTTCTTGCTTTCTTAGTTTAAATGAATTTAAACAAGAGGCACATAGCAAAGGAGATGCAGCATAGAGTAATTTATTGCAAAGGAAAAAGAATATTTTGAAAGTTAGCTGCAGAATACACACTGAGAAACACAGAGAGGATTCAGGGCTGGCTGGTCATAAGGATGAGACAGCATTCATTATTACTGGGGAAACTCCCTTTATGGGAGTCTTACATGATTATTCTTAAGGAAGTGGGAAGATGTGTTACTAGCAAACATGTTCTGGGTGGTCCTCTGGGTGTACATGCTCATCCATGCTCATTCATACATCACATGTCTCATTAGCATTTTAAATCTCCACCCAGGGGTGTGTTTTTTACTATTACAATAAGCAAAGGGTCAGTTTGAGGACAGGTGAAATCAAAGTGCACATGCTCTCTACAGAGGAAATTCCCTACTGAAGATAGCTTTGCTTGAATGAGCTTAACTACAATGTGAATGCTGAGGCTTATTGTGTTGGCTGTATGGTCCCCACGGTTGCTGCATGCCAAGGGCATGGTCACTTCCTTGACTACTTACCCTGCCTCAATTCCGCCTAAGAGATCTTAGGGCCTATAATCATATGGGAGGTTGAGGGGCTAGGTCATTTCTTCTGAAGCTGCTTCCTGCTGAGTGGGGCGTTGTCCCTGCCTAGCCTGGGCCCTAAAGTCTCTTCCTGCCTGATCTAACGCGGTGTGAACCATGTTGTTCACGGGACTGGTGCACAAGACCTGAGATAGCTCATCAGGAGACCAAGGTTAAAAGCCTTGCAAAACCGTCATGTGGAGCTGAAATTGCTGTAAGCAAGAAACTAAGAAATCAGCATTTTAAACAAAATTGGACCAAAAGTTAAAGCTTAAAATATATTAATGACTGGCAGTGTTAAAGGGAGCAAGGCAGACAATAGCTAATGCTTCCAAATTCCCATTGAATTTACTAATGTGTATTGACTGTTGGGGCTGATATCCCCATTCTGTGGGCCAGTGAGTTTGTCCCTGGAGATGTGTTAGGAGCCAGGCCAGTCTTATAATGGCCCAGATCTGTCATATCCCCAAATTTTGGTATTTATGCAATGTCAACAAGGTTTAGTTAAGTTTTTGTTTGTTTGTTTGTTTGTTCTTGTTTTGAGACAGTGTTTCACTCTTGTAGCCTAGGCTGGAATGCAATGGCACAAACTCGGTGCACTGCAATGTCTACCTCCTGGGTTTAAGCAATTCTCCTGCCTCAGCCTCCCAGGTAGCTGGGATTACAGGCATGCGCCACCACGCTCGGCTAATTTTGTATTTTTAGTAAAGATGGGGTTTCACCATGTTGGTCAGGCTGGTGTCGAACTCCTGACCTCAGGTGACCCACTCGCCTTGGCCTCCCAAAGTGTTGGGATTACAGGTGTGAGCCAAAGCTCCCAGGCCTCAGTTAAGTTTAATAGACTAACAGTATGGTTAATTACTTCCCCAGCAGATAGGCCAGTCTCTCTAAAAGTCATTAGAGTGCAGCAGGCAAGTACCAAGAAATGAAGATGTTACTTATCTTCCAGATGGGCTTTATCTGGAATTGTGTTCTTGAATAGAAGTTTTAGAGCTCCTATGGGCTGGCAGGTGTAATTAGTAGCTTCCTCTGGTTCCTGTAAAGGTTTATTGCAAAGTTGAATTCTGATCATATGAGCCGGAGTTGCTATGTCTTGAAGCTTGACAGCCATTGGGGTGGTTGGTAGTACTTGCTAAGACCCTTCCATTTAGGAAGAAGCAGATCTGCCAGGGTGGGGGGCTTCCTTCCAAGTTTTTAATAGGACCCAGTCTCCAGGCAGGACTTGCGGGATGTTTATCATTTGTCCAGGTGAGGGCAGCACTGTATTGCTATATTCCTGGATAGCCTGCTGTGCCAGGCTTAGATTTTTTATATTTATTTATCTATTTATTTATTTATTTATTTATTTATTTATTTATTTATTTATCTGGATAGCAGAGTGTCGCTCTATCACCCAGGATAGAGTGCAGTGGTGCAATCTCGGCTCACTGCAATCTCCGCGTCTCAGATTCAAGAGATTCTCCTGCCTCAGCCACCTGAGTAGCTGTGATTACAAACCCACTACCTTGCCTGGCTCATTTTTGTATTTCGGGGGTTTTGCCATGTGGCCCAGGCCAGTTTCGATTTCCTGACCTCAAGTGATCTGCCCCCCGTGGTCTCCCAAAGTGATGACAGTACAGCCAGGAATCACCACGCCTGGTCCCTGGCTTAGATTTTGAATCTATTATATAGTAGACTGGGTTTCCAGTTTGATAAACAGGTCTAAGGTAAGGAAGGGTCTCCCAGAAGTCATCTCAAACGGACTAAGTTTTGTCTTTTCTTTGGGTGCCACTCGTATTCTCATGAGGGCTATAGGCAACAGAGTGTACCAAGACTCAGAAGTTTCCTGGCACAGTTTTGCCAGTGTCTGCCTTAAAGTTTGATTAGTCCTATTAACCTTGCTGGAGGATTGTGGCCTCCATGAGGAGTGGAGATGAAATTTAATTTCCAAAGCTTGGGCTATCTATTAGGTTATAGTTGCAGGAAAACAGGGTCTTTTGTCGCTTTGCAAGGAGCAGAGGAGGCCAAATCCTGGTATGATCACTTTTGGCAGTGCCTTGGCCACTTCTGTAACTTTCTCTGTTCTGGTGGGGAAAGCTTCTACCCATTCCAGAATGGTGTCTACAAAAACTAAAAGGTATTAAAAAACCTGAAAGGTGGGTATTTGGGTGCAGTGAATTTGCCAGTAGTCACCAGGATAGGTTCCTCGCCACTGGACTGAGGTTAATAAAGCAGGAGACCCTTGTTTTTTTGTTGTTGTTGTTTGCTTGTTTATTTTTCCAGAGACGGAGTTTCGCTTTATCGCCCAGGCTGGAGTGCAATGGCGCGATCTCGGCTCACTGCAATCCCCGCCTCCCTGGGTTCAAGCGATTCTCCTGCCTCAGCTTCCCGAGTAGCTGGGATTACAGGCACGTGCCATCATGCCCCGCTAACTTTTGTATTTTTAGTAGAGACAGAGTTTCGCCATGTTGGCCAGGCTGGTCTCAAACTCCTGACCTCGTGATCCTCCCTCCTCGGACTCCCAAAGTGTGGGGATTTCAGGCGTAAGCCACCGCACCTGGCCGTTGTTTTTTTGTTGTTCATTTTCCCCCAAGGTAATTTTGAGAGCAAAGTTCACAGGCCAGAGTGACCTTTTTTATTGTGGTTGCCAGGCCTTTACCTGTAAAGTCATGGTCCATCCAGGTGGTCATAGCATCCTGCCCATATGGATGGAATTATGTAAATTTTTGACAATTTATCGTGATGGGACTGAGGAAGCAAGAGCTTTTGGCCTACGAGCCACCAACCCTCAGGTGTTAGGCTCCCCTGATTTTCTTTAGCCCATGCTATTTCTTCCATAGTATAGGACGGATTATACCAAGAGAATGGGATGGGCATGGTGTCTCATGCCTGTTATCCAGCATTTTGGGCTGCCAAGGCAGGCAGACCAGTTGAGGCCAGGAGTTCGAGATCAGCCTGGATAACATGGCAAACCCCTTCTCTACTGAAAGTACAAAAATTAGCGGCATGATGGCATGTGTCTGTATTCCCAGCTACTAGTGTGGCTGAGGCAGGAGAATTGCTTGAGCCCAGGAGGGTGCAGTGAGTTGAAATCAGGCCACTGCACTTCAGCCTGGGTGACAGAGTGAGACTCAGTCTCAAAAAAATAAAAAATAAAATAAAATGAAGAGAATGGGCAGAGAGGAATAAGGCCAGCTGGGCTACAGCTTCCATAGTCGCCATCCTGTCTTCCCTGCCAGCCCTTGCATTGTCCGATGAGACTGAGGAGTTTCCTTTTTGATGTTTCTGATCCTTTTTCTTTTTTGATATTTTTGATCCTCTTGCTTAAGATCATGCACAGCCTCTAAAAGCTGCAGTATTTCTGTTCCATGTTCAATGGGGAATCCCTTGCATTTAAAGACCCCATTCTTTATAGATGGCAGCATATGTATGAAGGACAATGCAGGCATCCTTGGAGTCAATGTATATGTTAGTGTTTTTCCCTGATCTAGAGCCAGGGCCCTGGCCAGGACAATTTTTGTGGCAAGGACAATCTGCTTTTTGTGCTGAGGCACTAGGTGGCAGTGCCTGGGCCTTTGTTGTTTGGTGCACACTAACCACAGTGTATCCTGCCCTTCTTTTTCCATTTCCCATAAAACTACTGGCATCAGTGAACCTTTCATTATCAGGATTCTTGAAAGATGTATCTCTGAGATCTATTCTATCTAAATAGACCTGGTCTATGGTTTTAATACAGGAATGAGTTAGGTTCTCTGAGGAATTGACTGGCATGAGCAGAGCTGGATTGAGGGTGCCAGAAGTTTTTATAGTAACCTTGGGGAGTCCAGGAGGAGAGCCTGATGTTTGGTGAGTCTTCCTCTTGAGAGCCAATAGTGGCTCTTTATTTCTAAAACTCCCTGCACTTGACGCAGAATGAGGACCTCTAAAGTGTGTCTAAAAGTCAGCTTTAGGGCTTCCTCCACCAGAATGGCAGTGGCTGTGACTGCCCTAAGGCAACCAGGCCATCCACAGGCCACAAAGTCCATGTGCTTTAAATGTAGTCAGCTGGATGAGGTGGTTCTCCCAGTTTTTGGCGAGGACTCCCTGTTTCTCTGCCACATATAAGGTGCATAGATTTTCCAAGTCATGAATTTCCAGGGCAGGAGCCTCAACAAGGGCCTTTTTTATGTCTTGAAATGCCCTGGTTTGTTCTCTTTGCCATCGCAGGGCTCAGTGTCAGGCCCTTTAATGGCATCATATAAAGGATGAGCCATTAGTCCAAATCCCAGAATCCAAATTCTACAGAATGCAGACATTCCGAGAAATGTTAAGAGTTGTCTCCTGGTTTGGCGACCAGGCAACTCTGGTATGGCCTGTTTTCTTTCCCCTGAGAGCTTCCTTGTTCCAGGGGTTATAATGTCCCCTAAGTAAGTTACTCTCTGTTTGGTTAATTGTGCCCCCTTTTTTTTGAAACCTTATATCTGCTTGCTCCAAGCAAATTTAAGACTGTAATGGTATTCCTGTCAGGTGTTTCCTGGGTTGGATTACATATTCAGTTGTTACCTAAATACTGTAGGAGGCTGCCTTAACTAAGTTGTAATTCTCAAAGATCTTTGCCTGGGGCTAGTGCAAACAGGTGAGGGCTATCTTGAAAGCCCTGGAGCAATACTATTCATGGGCGTTTCCTATATTTGTCCATTCAAAGGCAAATAGAAACTGAAAGGACAAGTGCACTGGGATACAAACAGATGGCCTCTTTAAGGTCTAGTACGCTACAACATTGGCAATGTCTTGGAATTTGGTTAACAAGGTATAGGTATTAGCTACTAAGGGATGAAGAGGGTTCCTGCCTCGTTTATGATTCTCATGTCTTGTGCCATTGGATATTCTCCATTTTGTTTTATGACTAGCAGAATAGGAGTATTACAAGGTGATTGGCAGGACACTAGTAAGCCATGTTGTAAGAATTTAGAAATTAAGGGCTTCAATCTTTTTTTAGCTTCTAACTTTAGGGGATATTGGTTTTCCTTGGGGTACCTATTGGGGTCCTGTATTTTAATGACCATGGGTTCAGCCCAAAGGGCTCTTCTGAGTACCCTGTCATCCCAGACGGCAAGTTTTACTTGTTCTAAGATTGATATAGGGAGGTGATCTGTTGGCCCTGCAGTGAGGACCATTTGGGAGGGACTGGTGCCTTTCAGTGATTAGATGCCTTCCATGATATTTAATAAATCGCTCTCTAAAAGCAGGGTAGGACACTCAGGAATAAGCAACAAGAAGTGTTACTTAACTGATCTCTTTAGTGACATGTGAGTAAGGAAGTAAAATATTAAGAACGGGGTTTCCTATTGACCCCAGCTATGGTACAATTTTGAAGGTCACTGACCCAACTGAGAAGTTAATACAGAGTAGGAGTCCCCGGTATTGATTTTAAAAATCAGTATTCTTACCTACCATGTCATGGGTCAGCCAGGGTTCCAGATCGGTGACTGGAATGTCCTTTTCAATGGGGGCTGTCTGGATCCCTTAGCCTCCTCCGTCTTGAGTTAGTGCCATCTTGAAGGAGGATGTCCCCTTTCCCCTTCAGGGCTCAGGAAAATCCATTCCCCAGTGGCTATCCTGTTTACAGACTGGGCATGGCCCAGGGGCAGTTGGGTGCACCCTCTTTCCTGGTGCTCTGATTGTTTGCATTTAAAGCAGGCTCCTTGATTGTTTGTTGACCGGCTTCCAAGCTTCAAGGTTCCTGGGGGTGACTTGAGGTTCCAAGACACTACTGACAGAAACAGCTATCTTTTTAGACTGGGCTGTATCTCACCAGTTCTTGTGCTGGAGTCTGCCTTCCTCTTCAGCCAGATTCCTATTACGAAACACTCCAAAAGCCATTTCTAATAATTGAGGTATAGGTGTTTATGGCCCTTATTGTAATTTCTATAGTTTTCTCCTGATATCTGGAGTAGACTGGCCAATTAAGTTTTGTCCTGGTAACACTTGGCATTCAGCAGATGTAGGGTCTATGTTGGTATACTTTTGGAAGTATCCTTTAAGCTCCCCTGAAAGAAGGCAGGGTTTACATGTTTTCTCTGTGGGACTACTTTGACTTTCTCTTAAGAAACAGATTTTTTAACACATTGTCTGATCCCTGCCAGGAGGCATTGCACCATGTAGTCCATCCATATTCTTTATTCCTCCAGATAAAGGAGGAATTCCAATGTTGTAATTCCAATGTGGGTCCTGGGAGAGATCAGCAGTAGCTGCCACTTCATGGGTGGCAGGCTGGTCAGCTGCCCTGCTATCTATGTATCCCTGACTGGCTAGCCAGATTCTCTATTGTTCCTGTGGAGTACAGCAATAAAAAGGACAACTTGTATACCTTTCCAAGTTAAGTCAAAGGCCAAAGTTAGAGCCTTGCATGCGTTGGTAAATGCACTGAGTTCTTCTGAGAAGTATCTGCGGTTTTGCTTTTACTGGATTAGATCACTCATTAAGAATGGAACATGTATTCTAATGGTCCCTTCTCCATTTGGACTTCCCATAAAGGGAGCAGATTCTCTGGCCCTGGATGGTATGAAATCCCACTGCGAGTTATTCCAGCTAGGCTAGTCTGCAACGCACAAGGCGAAGGAGCATAAAGAGGAGCATAAACAGGAAGTGAAATGGGATTATATTCCACAGAAGACTCTGGTAGTGCAGGGGTGCTGGGGACTCAGAAGGAAGTGAGGGTCCCTGACAGCCCCTATCTGGAGCCATCTTTGTGTCATGGGGCCTGGGTTCCCTTCCCTTAATAAAAGAGGATCTTCTAATGCATCTGTGTGGCTTCCTTGCTTACTGGGTTTCAGCCCACAGGTGCCACATAGAGCTGGGTTTTCTTATAAGGCCACAAAAGCCTCCACATAAGGTACTTCAGGGCACTTTCCATGATTTGTACAGAAAAGATCTAGCTGTAGGATGGTAATAAAGTTCACATTTCCATTTTCTGGCCATTTTTCATTGTTAGCTGACTTTTTCCCAGGCTAAACAGTGTTACAAAAGAAGATAAGGGTTTTTTTTCTTTTTTAGCTCATCTCACCCAAATTATTCCAGCTTTTAAAATATACATCCCAGGGGTGTTTCATTGAGAGTATTGGAGATGGCTCCCGTGGTGCCAAGAGAATCCTGCAATGACAGACACATATACAGAAGACCAGGAGGTCATGGCTGTCCCTATTAGCCAAGCTGGACCACGATGCAATACAGGGCATCTGCTTGAATTCCCACAAACCGAGACCCTAGGAGGTCACGGGTGTTTGCCATGCACCATCCTAGGTCTCACCAGAACTGGATATCTACAGCCTTGACCAAGGTGGCCATCACTGCCAGCTGGGGGGCCCAGATGTCTCACTGACAAGACTTTCCCTACTTCACTGGTTTGCCATTCGTTATGCCCAATTATAATAACTGGAATGCCTGGATGCAATCCCTGGGACCAGGCATCTGCTTGACTGCACATCTTTTTTTCAGCATAGAAAGTTTGTTAAAGGACAATCTGAAGTTGTATGAAAATGAACAAAGTCTGGAGGGATAGGGATTCTTAATGTGGCCCTCAAAACTCTGTTTTGTAAACAGAAAATCAGATTAGAAAATAAATCACAATAGCCACTAAGTGGCAGTCAAGTATTGCCAGAGTGACAACAAAGGCGCTGAGTCTGAAATGTGGCCAGAAAGAAGTGAAACTAAGCAGCAAAATAGCCTGAATATTGAACATTGAGAGAAACCCACATGGCTAGTATAATTATGAATAGTACAGAAGTAGCAACAAAAAGGGCAGCTGAGAGAGACAGAGACAAGAGGACTGCTTGAGACCAGGAGTTCAAGATCAGCCTGGGCAAAATAGAAAGACCCCATCTCTACAAAAAATTTAAAAAATATAATAATAAAATAAAATAAAGGAAAATGGACAAAATGGGAAACAGTTATTTTGGCAGAGGAAAGAGCAACTACAAAGGGCCAGCAGTAGACATATGCCTGTCATGTCTGAGGAACGGCATAGAAGCTGGATTGCCTTCAGCACAGGGATGGATGGGAGGGGGACAGGTGGGTGACAATAAGTGAGGTTGGGAATACGAAGCAGGGGCCTCACCATGCAAAGCTCTTCCAACTGCCCCTTCTGTGATTGCATCCTTAGTCCTTCTTGGTTGAAAAGTCTAAGAATATGGTTTGGGTTTTTGTTTTTTGCCCTCCATCCACAATATCCACCCTGCCCATTGTGGAGTTGGGGCTGGCCGAGGAAGAAGCCCATGATTCCCCCAGTTCCTCCAGCAGCTACAGCCTGGCAGCTCTTGCTGCCAACTTGCTAGCTGATGCACAGGGGATGAGCCCTCAGCCTGTGTTCACAGAATTCCTTAAAGCCCTTTTCCCTAGACATGGCCCAGCTTCGTGGGACTGCACTGCTACTCAGTTTCCTTGAAAAGCACTCCTGGACCCTGTAAAACCTGGAGTCTACAGAACATTCCATTCCATATATTTTTCCAAATTCTACAACTTATAAAACCTTGCACATATTTTTCCATAGGAGGCCAAAACCTCCTCTTTATATCTCCTTTTCTTCCCTGTTTCTTAAAGAGATTGCCCAAGGGGCACCAACTGGATTAGATTCTTCCAGTAAGCCTGCTTGTTGGGCTCTAGGCTCTCCCCTTGGAAACTGCAACATCGAGGCTCCAGGGCCTGCTAGCAAGCTCTGGCCTTGTAGATGACAGATTCCGGTGTCCCAGGAGCACCAGTCCATCCTAAGTCCTTCCTTCACAGTTCAGAGAAAACCCACAGTGGCTAAGCTGAGTTCTGATGCAGGCACTAGTTCTTTGGGTTCAAACGTAGTTTTGTACAGCACACTACTGGCTGCATAGCAGACATTGGGAAAAGGCAAATATCTATATTCCCCTTTTTACATTTCCTTGGGCATGACTTTTACTAATCTCTCTCACAAGACTTGCAGAGCACTTGGAACTTTCTCAAATGGAAAGATCTCTGCATACATAATTTTACGTTCTGTAACAACTTATTCAGAAACTTCTTCATTCTGGTTCTGAGACTAATGCATTACATACGTTGGATATCCCACTTGTGAAAGTCAGCTTTAAGCAGAACATCAAGTATATTTGTGGACTGCCTACACATCAGTGGGCAAAACCTTGTGGGAACCATGCTTTTCCACCATCAGAGAAGACCTACTTTAAAGCAAAAGCTCTTTTGAGAATCATCAGGTTGTGTCTGGCATGGCAGCCTGGGCAGGGACATTATACCACAGGTTATTGCCATTCCCCCCTCACCAAGTCTCCTAAAAGCATCTGCTGGCTCTGGTGGCCCTGTCTGGTTGTCCTCAACCGTCAAGATTTGGATTTACCATTTACCGACAGTGCAACTTGGGTCATCACCTCATCTTCTTTGGCCTGAACTTCCTCACCAGTAAAATGGGGTGAGTAACTTCTACTCCATGGAATCCTCAGGAGGAGTGAAAGAGGTGTAACATTCCGAGTGTCTGTACCATGCCTGGGCATAGTTGGCACTCAGAAAATTTGTGGACTAACGATGAGGGCAAAGATGAATGATACTAGCAGGGCTCATCAGTGCTGCGTGACAACTACAGAGAGACAGACTCTGATGACCCCTAACCCCCAGGAGAAACTGAAAAGGTACAGAGATGTCCGCCATGGAGTGCAGCCTGTGGACAGGGCAACAGGCACTTTGGAGGCAGGAAGACAGCCCGATTTAAGATGCTTGACTTGAGCTTTAAGCAGAATCTCCACTGTTTAGTGTGAATTGATTTTTCTGAGTATCTCCCTTGGAAAAGAGACTACTGTTCTAGGTGTAGGTTTTCAAAAGTAAGGACATCCCTTTTTATACAGGCTCCCTGTTGCAGTAATATAAAGCATCTGCCAAGGGACACTTAGCCTTCTGTTACAGTCTCTTGAACCTGGTTCAGAGGTGCATCATACTTTAAGGTGAAAGGAGTTTTTGCCATGGACTTCTTCACTTGGCAACACAAAATCTTCACACTTTTCAGTTTGTGGATTTCAGTTTAGTAAGAAATCTAGCCACCCTTTTGTGTAGTAGACTCACATTGCTGTAGAGTTCTTAGAGCATGGGCAGTGGAATTAGAAACACCTGGGTTTAAATCTGGGTTCAGCTGCCAGCCAGTTGTCTGACCTTGGGCAAATGACTTAATCTCTCAAGGCTCAGTCTCCTCAGGGGTTAAGTAGAAACCATAGCTCCTATCTCAAAAGGTTGTGTGGGGATTGAAGGTGAGCATGAATGTAAGAAGTCATAGGCAATGCCCAGCATGTTTTCATTGCTCATGAGATGTCCTCCCTGGGTTGGTATGGCATATAGGAAATGGTTATGGCCAAGTACCTAATAGTCGTTGCAGCTCTTGGGCAGAGCGAAGTTCAGGATGGGTCATTTGCTGATTTTCAGTGATCTGTTCTGGGGTAAACAGAGTGAAGTCTAGCCCGGAAGGCCAGCAATAAGCTGAGTGAGGGTAATTTGGCCCTGGCAGGAGGGAGCTTCCTAGGAGTACTCAGAGCTGAGAGGCTGTGGCAGAGGCAGAAGCAGAAGATGGGAGCCAAGCCTTCCTTCTCCTGAGAGACCCTATAAGAGACGAGTGAGTGGAGAAAGTTCTGGAATCAGGGTCATGTGATGAGTAGAACAGGATGAGAGGCTGTGTGTCAGGAGGAGCCTAAAGCTGGAGTGTATGGTGAGGCTGCACTGGACAAGTGGAAAGTGCTTTGGGTTCAAGACAGAGCTGGAGATGAGGTGCTGCTGCAGGTATGCACTTACATGCCTATGACCTGGCACTAGTTACTTAACCTCTCTGTGTTTCCATATCCTCTTCTGTAAACAGAGGATGATAACAGCAGCTATTCTCTAGGATTGTGGTGAATAGTAAAAAAAAAAAAATCCGTAATTCATTTATTCAATATTGACTAAAAACTCTCTGAGTGCCAGGTACTTATCTAGGCATGAAAAAAAACAGTGAACTAAACTGTTCTCATGAATCTTACATTCCAGCTGAGGGCAAATGCACTAAAGAAAGAGAGCAACTATGGAATATGTTATTGGCCAAAAGCAGAAATCAGGTGGAGAGATGGAACATGAGTGGATGGTACTTTGAACCTGGTAGTCAAGGAAGGTCTCTCTGAGGAAGAGACATCTAACTTTAGTCAAGTGTAAAGGGCCTTGTGCATTTAGATTTGCTCTGAAGGGCTCAGCTTCTGCAGAGTTCCCTCTCCTCCAAGGTGAGAGAAAAAGGAGGGACACGGATTTTAGTAAGTCTTCCTTCAAAACCCTGTAAGACTAAAGTTTCCACCAGCCCCAAACTAGAGGGTACATGGGTGTGACCCATTAGTAGGCATAAAATTTACCTTAACAACTACTGATTTTTTTAATGCTGATAGGCAGAAACCTAGAGACTTTGTGTGCAAATAGTTCTTGAGGGTGGGGTATGAGGTGGAAGAAAAATTAATTTGATTCACACCAAACTTATTGCTATATAGTCATTAAGCCAAGGGTCATTAAGCCAAGGCTCTGGATTCAGTGTTTCTCTTTGAGAGGATAAGGATGGCTCTAGCAGTTTGCTTGGTTGGTTAGCTAAAATGAGAAACCGAATGTTGACTATCGTCAATTAAGGAGAAGTTCAAGGACTTCCTTGATATACTCCAAAGGCTTAAGGACATTGGAATGTGAGAGTGACTTTATCCTGGAAGAACTGCTCAGCCACGCTGGATGTCCAGATGATGTGACTTTCACCAAGGCTGCAAGAAATTACTTGGTAAGGGGAGCCCAAAAATCTGTGAGGAGATTGTGGTGGCTCTCTTCTTTAATCAGACATTACTGCAGGCTTGCCCTTGAGGAAAGATCATGCTGCACTGCCAAATAACAATGCTGTTAATCCTTGTCCCCACCTTCCCCAACAGACCTGTGGCCAATTATTAGTGTGGCAGGTCATGGTGGAGAAGTAAATAATCAGAATTCTCAGGAATTACTTGATAATGGCTCTGAACTGGTGCTAATTCCAGGATACCCAAAATGTCACTATGCTCTTCTAATAAGAGTTGTAGTTTCTGGTAATCATGTGATTTTACATCAGGTAATCCATGTGGTTTTACATCAGGTCCAACGTACAGTGGACTAAGTTGGTCCATGAATCCACCCTCTGGTTGTTTCCCAGTTTCAGAATGCATAGTTGGGATCATACTCAGTGACTGGCAGAATCCCCACATTGGTTCTATGACCCGCAAAGTGAGGGCTACTATGATGGAAAGGCCAATTAGAAGCCACTAGAACTGCCACAATTATAAAAACTATAATCCACAAGCAACACTACTTTCTTGGAGGGACTGCAATAATTGGTGGTAACACCAAGCATTTGAAGGACACAGGTTGGTGTGATTCTTCAGCCATCCCTTTCAACTGAGCTATTTGTCCTGTGCAGAAATATATGGATTTTTGGCCAGGCACAGTGGCTCATGCCTGTAAACCCACAACTTTGGGAAGCCGAGGCGGGAGGATCACTTGAGGTCAGGAGTTCGAGACCAGCCTGCAGTTTTCTAGAAATTATTTCATGAAGCAGGAGAGGGTATCAGGTGGCGATCTGAAAACACTCAAATTGAGCTCACGAAAGAAGGTACAACCAAACCACCTTCTTCCCTTGATGACACTATGCATGCATATGAAAATCAAGTAGGACAATCCAACTTATAAGCAAACATACACAGATCCCTGGTACTCATGGCTGGAATGCCACGTGCTGCCATGTTAATGTGCCCTGGTGGAAAAGCTAACAAGACGTTATTAAGTTATGGTTGGTCATTTTCCATCCTCTCGTCACAGACATTATCAGTGACGGTGGCATCTGGAAACCAAATGTAGAGGTGGAGCTGTGAAGTAAGTGCATTATTTCAACCCCACAGGTATATTCGTCTGATACTCAGCTTCTAAGAAATTATTGCACGAAGCAGGAGGACATGACAGGTGGCGATCTGAGACTCCTCAAATTGATCTCAAGAAAGATAATACAACAAAACTACCTTCTCCCCTTCATGACACTATGCACACATATGGAAACCAAGTAGGACAATCCAACTAAAAAGCAAACATACACAGATCTCTGGTATTCATGGCCAGAATACCAGCTCATGGTGCAGCAGTTGAGAAGACGTTATCTAGTTGGCATTGCCAATTTTCCATCTCCTCTTCGTGGACATCGTGAGTGATGGTAGCATCTGAAAACCAAGTGAAGAGGTCGAGCTGTGAGATAAGTGTATTATGGTAACCCCATAGGTATATCTCTCTAATGCTCAATTTCTAGGAAATTCTCTCATAAAGCAGGAGGATATATGAAGTGGTGATCTGAGACCCCTCAAATTGAGGCCAGGAAAGATAATACACCAAAACCACCTTCTTCCTCACCTGTCCTTCTTCCCTATGAATGCATATGGAAACCAAGTGGAACAGTACAAATAATAAATAAACATACACAGATCCCTGGTACTCATGGATGGAATACCAGTTGCTTCCATATTAATGAGCCCTGGTAGAACATTTGATAAGATGTTTTGAGGTGCTGGTTGGCCGTTTTCCATCTTCTCTTCATGGACATTGTGAGTGAAGGTAGCATCTAGAAACCAAATGAACAGGTTGGGCTGTGAGAAAAGTGCATTATGTCAACCTCACAGGTATATCCCTCTCATGCTCAGTTTCTAGGAAATTATCACATAAAGCAGGAGGAAATACCAGGTGATGATCAGAGACCACACAAATTGAGCTCGCGAAAGACAATACAATGAAATCACATTATTTATGACACTGCATGCATATGAAAACCAAGTAGGATAGTAGAACTAGAAAAGAAACATTAGGATAGTACAACTAGTAAACCAACATACGCCTATCCCTGGTACTCATGGGTGGAATACCACCTCCTGCCAAATTAACAAGCCCTGATGTAACAGTTGACAAGACATTATCAGGTGCTGGTTAGCCATTATTTATATTTTCTTCATGGACTTTGTGAGTGACTGCAGTATCTGGAAAGAAAATGAAGTGGTTGGGCTATGAGGTAATCGCATTATGTCAACCACACAGGCTTACCCTTCTGATGCTCAGTATCTAGGAAATTATCTCATAAAGAAGGAGGATACAACAAGTGTCAATCTGAGAACCCTAAAATTGAGGCCAGAAAAGGTAATACAACAAAACTGCCTTCTCTCATGACCCTATGCATGCATATGGAAACCAAGTAGGACAGTACAACAAGTGAACGAACTTACACTGATCCCTGGTACTCATGGATGAAACACCAGCTGCTGCCATATTAGTAAGTGCTGGTGGAACAGTTGCGATGACATTATCGGGTGCTGGTTGGCCATTTTTTGTCTTCTCTTCATGGACATTGTGAGTGACAGTAGCATCTGGAAACAAAATGAAGAGGTTAATTTTTAGTTAAGAACATTATGTGAAGCCCACAGGTATATCCCTTTTATGCTCAGTTTCTAGAAAACTATTTCATAAATCTGGAGAGGATATGTCAGGTGGTGATCTGAGAACACTAAAATTGAGCTCATGAAAGATAACAACGTGTCTCCCATGCATGACATGAGGCATGCATATGAAAATCAAGTAGGACAGTTCAAATTACAAGCAAACATACACTGATCCCTGGTACTCATGGCTGGAATACCAGCTGTTGCCAAATAACTAAGCCGTAGTGGAAGAGTTGACCTGACATTATTAGGTTGTGGTCGGTTATTTTCCATCCTCTCTTCACAGACATTGTGAGTGACAGTAGCATCTGGAAACCAAATGAAAAGGTTGAGCTGTGAGGTAAGTATATTACGTCAACCTTACAGGTATATCCCTCTGATGCTCAGGGTCTAGGAAATTATCCCATAAAGTAGGAGGATACACCAGTTGATGATCTGAGACACCTCAAATTGAGCTCACAAAAAAGAATACCACAAAACCACCTCCTTCCCTTTATGACACTATGAATTCATATGGAAATCAACTAGGACAGAACAACTAGTAAACAAAATACACTGATATCTGGTACTCATGCCCAGAATACCGACTGCTGCCAAATAAATAACCACTGGTCGAACAATTGACAGTACGTATTAGGTTGCAGTTTGTCATTTTCCATCTTCTATTCACAGACATTGTAAGTGACAGTAGAACCTGGAAACCAAATGAAGAGGTTGAGCTGTGAGGAAGCACATTATGTCAGTCCCACAGGTATATCCCTCTGGTGCTCAGCTTCTATTATATTATTGCAAAAAGCAGAAGGACATGACAGGAGGTGATCTCAGATGCATCAAATTGAGCTCAAGAAAGATTATACAACAAAACTTCCTTTCCTCTTCATGACAATATGCAGGCATATGGAAACCAAGCAGGACAATTCGACTTATAAGCGAACACACACAGATCATTGGTGCTCATGGCTGGAATATCAGCTCCTGTCATATTAAGACCTGTTGGAGCAGTTGAAAAAACGTTATCAGATTGGGGTTGGCCATCTTCCATCTTCTCTTCAGGGACGTAGTAAGTGATGGTAGCATCTGGAAACCAAATGAAGAGGCTGAGCTGTGAGGTAAGTGTATTATGGTAACCCCACAGGTATATCTCTCTGATACTCAGTTTCTAGGAAATTATGTCATAAAGCGGGAGCATAGAGCAGGTTGCCATCTGAGATCCCTGAAATTGACACCAGGAAATATACAACAAAACCACCTCCCACCCTTTTTGACACTATGCATGCATATGGAAACCAAGTAGGATGGTAATACTAATAAGCAAACTTATTTGTACACGGATCCCTGGTACTCATGGATGAAATATCAGTGGCTGTCATATTAATAAGCTCTGGTGGAAGAGTCAACAACACGTTATCAGGTGCTGGTTGGCCATTTTCTATCTTCTGTTCATAGACATTGTGAGTGACGGTAGCATCTGGAAACCAAAGGAAGAGGTTGAGCTGTGAGGTAAGTGCACTATGCCAACTCACAAGTATATCCCTCTGATGCTCAGTTTCTATGAAATTGTTTCATAAAGCAGGAGGATATATCACATGGTGATCTGAGATGCCTTAGATTTAGGCCAGAAATGATAATACAACAAAACCACCTTACTCCCTTCATGGCACTATGCATGCATATGAAAACCAAGTAGGACAGTACAACTTATAAGCAAACATACAAAGATCTCTGGTACTCATGGCCGGAATATCAGCCGCTGCCATATTAATAAGTGCTGTCAGACCAGTTGACAAGTCGTGATCAGTTGGGGTTGGCCATTTTCCATTCTCTCTTTGTGGACATTGTGAGTGACGGTAGCATCTGGAAACCAAATAAAGAATTTGAGCTGTGAGGTAAGTGCATTATGTCAATGCCATAGGTATGTCCTTCTCATGTTCAGTTTCTAGGAAATCATCCCATAAAGCAGGAGGATATATCAAGTGGTGGTCTGAGATCCCTCAAATTTAGGCCAGAAAAGATAATACAATAAAACCACCTTCTTCCCTGCATTACACTGCATGCGTATGGAAACCATGTAGGACAGTACAGCTGGTGAACAAACATACACTGATAAATGGTACTCATGGATGGAATACCAGCTGCTGCCATATGACGAACCTGTGGTGGAATAGTTGACAAGACGTTATCAGTTTGGGGTTGGCTGTTTTCCATCCTCTCTTCACCAACATTGTGAGTGATGGTAGCATCTGGAAACCAAAGAAGGAGGTTGAGCCGTGAGGTAAGTGCATTATGTCAACCCCACTTGTATATCCCACTGATGCTCAGTTTCTAGGAAACTATCCCATAAAGCAGGAGAATACATCAAATAATGATCTACATCCCCTCAAATTGAGGCCGGGAAAGATAATTCAACAAAACCATCTTTTTCCCCTCATGACACTACGGATGCATATGGAAACTGAGGAGGACAGTACAACTAATAAATAAACATACATAGATGCCTGGTACTCATCAATGGAATACCAGCTCCTGCCATATTAATAAGCCCTGATAGAACATGTGACAAGATGTTATGTGGTTGTGTTTGGCCATTCTCCATCTGCTCTTCATGGACATTGGGATTGACGGTAGCATCGGGAAACCAATTGAAGAAGTTGAGCTGTGAGGTAAGTGCATGATGTCAACCCCACAGGTAAAGCCCTCTGATGCTCAGTTTCTAGCAAATCATATAAGAAAGCAGGGGAGGATATGCCAGGTGGCTATTTGATGCCCCTCAAATTGAGGCTAGGAAAAAATATACAACAAACCATCTTCTACCATTCATGAAAATATGCCTGCTTATGGAAACTAAGTAAGACAGTACAACTAATAAGCAGACATACACAGATCCCTGGTACTCGTGGATGAAACTCCAGTTGCTGCCATATCACCAAGCTGTGGTGGAGCAGTTGACAAGATGTTATCAGTTTGGGGTTGGCCGTTTTCCATCCTCTGTTCAAAGGAAGAGGTTGAGCTGTGAGGTAAGTGCATTATGACAACGCCACTGCTATATCCCACTGATACTCAGTTTCTAGGAAATTATCCCATAAAACTGAAGAATATGCCAGGTGGCCATCTGAGCCCCCTCAAATTGAGCTCACAATAGATAATACAACAAAAGCACCTTTTCCCCTTCATTACGGCATGCATGCATATGGAAACCAAGTAGGACAGTACAACTAATAAACATACACAGATCCCTGGTACTCATGGATGACATACTAGCTTCTGGCCTATTAAATAGTCCTGGTGGAACAGTTGACAAGATGTTGTCAGGTTGTGTTTGGCCATTTTCCATCTTCTCTTAATGGACATTGTGAGTAACACTAGCATCTGGAAACCAAGTAAAGAGGTTGAGCTGCAAGATAGGTGTATTTTTTCCCACCCTCCCCCCAGAGGGACAGCTATGTATGAATCAGTTTCTAGGGAATTATTTATATCATGAAACAGAAGGATATACCGTGTGGAAATCCCAGATCTTGCAATCAGAGATCAGGTGAGATAATAAAATAAAACTACCTTTTTACCTCTTGGCATAATGAATACATGCAGTAAACAAGTACGACAGCAGAATAAACATTCACAGGTTTCTTGTACTCATCATTTTGTATCATCTCGCTGCCCTTTACAATTCTCACTTGATATTATTTTTATAGTTCACCTATAAATGCCATGCTGTACACAGCAGGAAGCCAGACTAAGTGAGCCCTCCTTAACCTGCTTCCTATCTATCTCAAATATTCTGAGAAAATAGAGGTGGCTATTAGAACCGAGCACTCTATCTCCACTCTATCATCAAACATCCCTGTTTTTATATGATTCTACAGATCCTTCCCTTTTGTCTAGAAAAAAGTGACTTTATTTTCACTCCGTGTCTGACACCTCTTTCATTTATTCATCATCTGTGGCAGCCTGCATGCCAGAAGCTGGGGATCAGCAGTAAATAGCCTATATAGCAGCGTTCCCTGCCCTTGTGGAGCCCAGCCAGTATCATTCATCTTTGCCCTCATCATTAGCCCACAAATTTTCTGAGTGCCAACTATGCCCAGGCATGGTACAGACACTTGGAATGTCTCATCTCTTTTACTACTGCTGAGGAACCTGTGCAGTAGAAATTCCCCACCCCACCTTACTGGTGAGGAAGTGCAGGCCAGAGAAGATGAGGTGATGACCTGTGTCCCACTGTCAGTAAATGGTAAAGCCAAATCTTGATGGTTGAGGACAAACAGACAGGGCCACCAGAGCCAGCCGATGGTTTTAGGAGCCTTGGTGAGGGGGGATGACACTAACCTGTGTTCTAATCTCCCTGTCCCTGCTGCCATACCAAACACAATCTGATGATTCTCAAAAAAGCTTTTGCTTTAAAGTAGGTCTCCTCTGAAGGTGGAAAAGCATGGTTGCCACATTGCCCACAGATGTGTAGCATGTCCACAAATATACTTGATGTTCTGCTTAAAGGTGGGATATCCAATGTATGTAATACATTAGTCTCAGAACCAGAATGAAGAAGTTTCTGAACAAGTTACAGAACATAAAATTATATATACAGAGATCTTTGTATTTGAGAAAGTTCCAATTGCTCTGCAAGACCTGTGAGGGAGAATAGTAAATGTGATGCCCTATGAAATGTAAAAAGGGGTACATAGATATTTGCATTTTCACAATGTCTTCTACGTAGCCAGCAGTGGGCTGTACTAACCTATGTTTGAACCCAAAGGGGCAGCGCCTACATCAGAAGTCAGCATAGCCACTGTGGGTTTTTTCTGAACTGGGAAGGAAAGATTTAGGATGGATCGGTGCCCTGGGGACACCAGAATCTGTCATCTACAATGCCAGAGTGTGCTAGCAGGTCCTAGGGCCTCAACATTGTGTTCCCTAAGTGGACAGCTGAGAGCCCAACAAGCAGGCTTACTGGAAGAGTCCAATCCAGGTGGTTCCCCCTGGCCAATCTCTTTAAGAAAGAGGGAAGAAAAAGAGATACAAAGAGCAGATTTGGGTCTCTTATGGAATAATATTTGCAAGGTTATGTAAATTCCAGAATTTAGAAAAATACATGAAAGTTTTGGTAGACTCCAGATTTTACAAGTTCCAGAAGTGCTGGTCAAGGAAACTGAGCAGAAGTGCAGTCCCACAAAGCTGGGACAAGTCTAGGGAAAAGGGCTTTAGGGAATGCTGTGAACACAGGCTGAGGGCTCATCCCCTGTACATCAGCTAGCAGGTTGGCAGCAAGACCAATCCCAGGCTGTGGCTGCTGGAGGAACAGGAGAAATCATGGGTTTCTGCCTTGGCCAGCCCCAACTCCACGATGAGCAGGGTGGATATTGTGGATGGAGGCCCAAAAAACAAAAACAAAAACCCAAATCATAATCTTAGACCTTTCAGCCAAGAAGGACTGATGATGCAATCACAGAAGGGATAGTTGAAAGAGCTTTGCATGGTGAGGACCCTGCTTCATATTCCTAACCACGCTTGGTGCCACCTACCTGCCCCTGTCTTGTCCATCCCTGTGCTGAAGCCACTCCACCTCTTTGATGTTCCTCAAACATGACAGGCATGTGTTTGCTGCTGGGCCTTAGTAGTTGTTCTTTCCTCTGCCCAAATCACTGTTTCTCATTTTGTCCATTTTTCTTTATTTTTTAAAAAATTTTTTGTAGAGAAGTGGTCTTGCTATGTTGCTTAGTCTGGTCTTGAACTCCTCGTCTCAAGCAGTCCACCTGCCATGGGCTCCCAAAGTGCTGGGATTACAGGCGTGAGCCGCTGTGCCTGGTCATCTATTCTATCTCTTTAAATATCACTTCCTCAGAGAGACCTTTTTGTCATACCATCTGAAGTAAGACCCTCAGTGATTTCAGCCCCTTGTTTTCATCGTAGCACTACAACTTGCAGACTATCTATCCGTGTCGTGGTTCAGTGTCTCATTTGTGGGCAGGCATTGCTACCTGACTACCTTAGCATTGCTACCTGACTACTTACTATCTATTCCCCTTTCTCCCTCTCTATTGGAACCCTGATTTTGTTTTGGGCAGACTTTTAAAAAATATTTTCCATCTCAGACTCCTTTGCGGCAAGGGTGGTCCTCTGAACCCAGTTGTTGAAAGTGCGATGTCAGCTGAGATGGTGTGGGAAAACCTCTGCTTTCAGAGCCACCCCTACCTTCTTCCACTTCTCTCCTTTTTCTATTCCAGGAAGAGTCACTCACGATGCTGAATGTGGGGAGCCCTAATCCCCCGCCCTTACTTAGTGCTATGTGGAGTCACACTGGAGCCCAAGGCATGGGGAAAATGTGCACCTTGATAAAAATAATTTCATATATTTATAAACAATTAGTGTTTCCAGAACATTAAAGTTGTCACAAAGATATTGAAAATTTGGAAAGTAGGTGAACAAACCTTACAATATTATTTTATTTATTTTTTTATTATTTACTCTCTCTCTCCATATATATATATATATATCCATATATATATCTCCATATATATATCCATATATATATCTCCATATATATATATCCATATATATATCTCCATATATATATATCCATATATATATCTCCATATATATATATCCATATATATATCTCCATATATATATATCCATATATATATCTCCATATATATATCTCCATATATATATCTCCATATATATATCTCCATATATATATCTCCATATATATATCTCCATATATATATATCCATATATATATCTCCATATATATATATCCATATATATATCTCCATATATATATATCCATATATATATCTCCATATATATATATCCATATATATATCTCCATATATATATATCCATATATATATATCCATATATATATCTCCATATATATATATCCATATATATATATCCATATATATATATCCATATATATATATATATCCATATATATATATATATCCATATATATATCTCCATATATATATCTCCATATATATATCTCCATATATATATCTCCATATATATATATCTCCATATATATCTCCATATATATATCTCCATATATATATCCATATATATATCTCCATATATATAGCTCTCTCCATATATATATCTGTATATATATATACCTCCATATATATATCTGCATATATATATCTCTCTCCATATATATATGTATATATGGAGAGAGATATATATCTATATCTCTGTGTGTGTATATATATATATATATATATATATATCCATATATATATACACTCTGTCAGCCAGGCTGGAGTGTGGTAGCACAATACAGCTCATTGCAGCCTCAACCTCACAGGTTCAAACAATCCTCCTACCTCAGCCTCCCAAGTAGCTGAGATTACAGGCCCACACCACCATGCATGGCTACTTTTTGTATATTTTGTAGAGACGGGTTTTGCCATGTTGCCCAGGCTGGTCTTGAACTCCTGGGCTCAAGGAATCCACCTGCCTCGGCCTCTCATAGTGCTGAGATTATAAGCGTGAGACACTCAGCCCACCTGCAATATTATTTTAAATTGAAATATTTTATTTAAGCTCCAAATAGAATTTATTGACATCTCACTTTCTGGCTCTAATGGAAGCAAGCTCATATTTTGAAAATATAGTACTTTTTAATCTCATTTTCAATTAGAAGAATTGCCATGTGTGTCAATTTCTGTTGACAAAGTGATAATCTGAAGTAATTTTTTTTCAACTTCAGCTTACTGAAAGTTCTTCTGCAGGATGCCACTGTGACCTGGTATTGTTCAATAAAAATCTTAAGGCTAAAGTTGGATAAGACAGTGCAAAGGGAGATGAGTGACTCAGTTTTACAAGATCCAAACATGATGCTGATGTTTTTCAAAGTATTGATACTGTGTTCTGCTTCAAACTAGTTATTGCAGATGAAAATCTACAAGACATATCAACCGAATATTTATAAGTTACGTCAGTGGTTTCTTTCATAGATCAGATGTACTCATAAGAAGTTATATTTCTCCAACTAAAAGATTCCAAACACTTTGTTTACTTTGTCATATCTCCATTATTAATACGAAATTAGGGTAATTATAAATGTTTTACTTTCTATCTGAATTGTACTTTTCCCAAAATATTTTATATTGTTATCTAGTGATTTGAACATTTCTAATTTCTCTACTTTTCTGTTCCTTACATTTTCAAATTAAGGAAATGCATTCATTTATCTTGTTAAACTTTTACCTCCATCAAACATACTTTCAAAGATGCTTTATTCCACTTGCTGTAAGCAAAGGTAGCTTTGCTTTTCTGTATGTATACTTATGGGATTTTTTTTTGAGACAGGGTCTTGCTCTGTTGCCCAGACTGGAGTGCAGAGGCACTATCATGGCCCACTGCAGCCTTGACCTCTTGGGCTCCAGTGATCCTCCCATCTCAGTCTCTCTATTAGCTGGGACTACATGTGTGCACCGGCTAATCTTTATATATTTTTTAGAGACAGTGTTTCACCATGTCGTCCAGGCTGGTATGGAACTCCTGGGCTCAAGTGGTCAACCCACTTCACCCCCTCAAAGTGCTCGGATTACAGGCATGAGCCATGGCACCTGGCCAAGATATGTTCTTTTTTAAAAAATTATAGAGTTTTATTAACTTTTTCTACTTGGTAGAAAATATTATTAAATCAAAAACTTACACAAAAGTTTGTAATCTACATGTGACAAGACACTTGGTGCTTGGCATAATGTTTTATGTCTTTTCATATTATGTGTTTTAATATTTGATAACCATCTTTAATTAGTTTCTAGTGTCTCGATTGCATGTTATCTTGATGTCCAGTATGTTCCATATAAATTATACTTTCCAGATATATTTTGATGTATTATTTCAAACAGACACAAGAACTTCCCTATACTCACTGAAATCATGCGAAAAATGAGCCCAGTGAGTCTTGTGTTTGGCATAATTACTTTTGCATAAATTCTGGCAAGTATGTACCCTTGTATACACCTGCCATAGATGCTCTGTTATATCCCTGGCCTTCAGTACTTTTATGCCCATATTGCCTTCTAATTTGTTGAACATTTTGTAAACGAGACTCTATCCAGCTTTCTTCTTTTAATTTCAATGAAGTTAAAAAAAACCTTTGTTCTATTGTTATAACGTTATTGTTAGTGCAAATATACTTAATCATCTGAAACATTTATTCAGAATTGATCACATCTGTGGTACAACTGAATAGTGAGAATACACGGTTTGCTTGTTTGGTTCTCAAAAGATTTAACATGATTTCCCAGAAGCATTAAATATTTGTTTTGAATTTTTAAAACGAATAAGACCCATGATGGTCTATGGTTAGCTATAACATTATAAACACCTGTAAGTTCACCTAAATTTAGAAATATTTAAGCATTTGGACTTTCAATAATTTCTTGTGATCTTTTATGAGGTAAATTCTTTTATATACAAAATGTATTGATATCTAATCACACTGAGGCAGGATAGGAAGTCAAGGAAGTGACCATGTCCTTGGGACAGAGCAATCATGGTGACCATACAATCAACACCAATAAGGCTCAGCATTCCCATTGTACTTAAGCTCATTCAAGCATAGCTATCTTCATTCGGGAATTTCCTCTGTAGACAGCATGCGTACTTTGAGTTTACCTGTCCTCACACTGACCCTTTGTTCTTTATAATAGTCGAAAACACATCCCTGGGCGGAGATTTAAGATACTAATGAGACATGTGATGCATGAACAAGCATGGACAGCTACTGCAAATATGCACCCAGAGGACCACCCTGAACATGCTTGCTAGCTACACTTTTTCCCACCTCCTTATGAATATTCATATAAGACTCCCATAAAGGGAGTTTCCCCAGTAATAATCAGTGCTGTCTCGTGCTTTCAAACACTCCACCCTAAATTCTCTCTCTGTCTCAGGGTATACTCTCTATTCTGCACTTAGATTTGAAAATATTCTTTTTCCTTTGCAAAAAAAATTGCTCTGTGCTGCATCTCCTTTGCTGTGTGTCTCTTGCTTAAATTGTTAAACTAGGAAAACAAGAACCGAGGTCTCACAGCAGCTGTCAACATTTCTGGTGCCGTGACACAGATAGAAGTTTGTCTGCTTCATTGACTTCAGTTTCCCTGCACCCGTGATGTGTCCTATGGCAGTCCCAAACTACCTGGTTGAGTATGACTGCTTTTTCTAGGGCTTTTTCCTTGAAGTTGTGGGGAAAACGTTTTTAAGTCACCTATATTCTTTATGTGAATATATGTGCTGCTCTACTTTTGGCTGCGACTTCTGCACTATTCATAATTATACTAACCATGCGGGTTGCCCTCAATATTCAATATTCAGGCTATTTTGCTGCTTAGTGTCACATGTTTCTGGCCACATTTCAGACTCAGCACGTTTGTTGTCCCTCTGGCAATACTTGACTGCCACTTTGTGGCTATTGTGATTTATATTCTAATCTGATTTTCTACTGACAAAGCTTTCTGTTTTGAGGGGCACATTAAGAGTCCCTATCCTGCCAGGCTTTATGCATTTTCATACTCCTTCAGATTGTCCTTCCACAAACTTTCTATGCTGAAAAAAAATATGTGCAGTTATGTAGATGCCTGGTACCAGGGATTGCATCCAGGCATTTTTGGTATTATAACTACTGGAATGCCTGGATTGCATCCAGGCATTCTTGGTATTATAAACGGCAAACCAGTGAGGTAGGGAACGTCTTGTCAGAGAGACACCTGGGCCCCCCAGCCAGCAGCAGGGGCTGCCTTGGTTGAGCCTGGAGATGTCCAGTGCTGGTGAGACCTAGGATGGTGCATAGCAAACTCTGGTGACATCCTAGGGCCTCGGTCTCATGGGGATTCAAGCAAATACCCTGTACCACTTCATGGTCTAGCTCGGCTCATGGGGACACCAACAACCTCCTGGACTTTGGTATATGTGTCCATCATTGCAGGATTCTCTTGGCACCATTGGACTCATCTCCTCTACTCTCACTGAAACACCCATGGGATTTATATTTTAAAAACTGGCATATCATTTGGTTAGATGAGCTAAAAAAGGAAAAAAAAACCTCATCTTCTTTTGTCACACTGTTTGCCCTGGGTACAATTAAGCAAACAATGAAAAATGGCCACAGAATGGAAATGTGAACTTTAACACCACAGATCTTTTCTGTACAAATCAGGGTAAGTGGTCTCAAGCACCCTGTGTGCAGGCCTTTATGGCCTTACAACAGAACCCAGCTCTATGCAGCACCTGTGGGCTAAAATCCAGTATGAAAGAAATCCACGCAGAAGCATTAGAATATTTTCTTTCATTAAGGGGAAAGGACCCCAGGACCCACAGTCCAACACCAGTTCCACATAGGGGCTCTCAGGGACTCACACCTCCTTCCGAGTCCAGGGCACCCCCCACACTATCAGAGTCTTCTGGAGAATCTAATCCCATTTCAACTCCTGCTTATGCTCCTCTTTATCCTTCTTGCTTTGTACACTAGGGACTAGCCCAGCTGGAATAACTCGCAGTGGGACTTCATAGCAACCAGGGCCAGTAAAACTGCTCCCTTTAGGGGAAGTCCAAATGGAGAAGGGACCATTAGAGTACATGTTCCATTCCCAATAAATGATCTAATCCAGTGCAAGCAAAACCTCAGACTGTTCTCAGAGGAAGCCAGTGCATTTACCGACACATTCCAGGCTCTAACTTTGGCCTTCGACTTAACTTGGAAAGGTATACAAGTTGTCCTTTTTCTTGCTGTACTCCACAGGAACAACAAAGAATCTGGTTAGCCAGTCAGAGATACATAGATAGCAAGGAAGCTGACCAGCCTGCCACCCATGAAGTGGCAGCTATTGCTGATCTCTCCCTGGACCTACATTGGAGTTACAACAGGTCTGGAGGAATAAAGAAAAGGGATGGACTACATGGTCCAATGCCTCCTGGCAGAAATCAGACAATGTATTAAAAATCCTGTTAACTAAGAGAAAGTCAAAGTAGTCATACAGGGAAAAGATGTAAACCCTGCTTTCTTTCAGGGGTGCTTAATGGAGGCCTTCCAAAAGTACACCAACATAGACCCTACATCTGCTAAAGGCCAAGTGTCACCAGGACAAAACTTTATTAGCCAGTCTACCCCAGACATCAGGAGAAAACCACAGAAATTACAATTAGGGCCACAAACACCTGTCCCTCAATTTTTAGAAATGGCTTTTGGAGTATTTCATAATAGGAATCTGGCTGAGGAGGAAGGCAGAGTCCAGATCAAGAACTGGTGAGATAAGGCCCAGGATAAAATGACAGCTGTCTCTGACAATAGTGTCCTGCCACCTTAAAGTCACCCCCAGGAACCTTGAAGCTTGGAAACCGGTCAACAGCAAGGTAACAACAATTAAGGAGCCTCCTTTCAATGCAAACAATCAGAGCACCAGGCCAGAGGGTTCACCCAGCTGCCCCTGGGCTATGGCCAGTCTGTAAACAAGATAGCCATTAGGAAATGGATTTTCCTCAGTCCTGAAGGGGAAAGGGGACATCCTCCCTCGAGATGGCACTAATTCAAGACTGAGGAGGCCCAGGGATCCAGACGGCCCCCATTGAAAAGGACATTCCGGTCACCAATCTGGAACCCTGGCTGACCCTTGACATGGTAGGTAAGAATATTGATTTTTTAATCAATACTGGGGCCTCCTACTCTGTGTTAACTCCCCAGTTGGGCCAGTGACCTTCGAAAGTTGTACTATAACTGGAGTCAATGGGAAACCCCATTCTTACTATTTTACTTCCTGACTCACATGTCACTAAAGAGATCAGTTTAAGTCACACTTCTTGTTGCTTATTTATGAGTGTCCTAGCTTACTCTTAGAGAGCGATTTATTAAATATAATGGGAGCCATCATATCACCCAAAGGCACCAGTCCCTCCCAAATGGTCCTCTCTGCAGGGCCAACAGATCACCTCCCTATGTCAATCTTAGAATGAGTAAATCCTGACATCTGGGATGACAGCGTGCTCAGAAGGGCTCTTTGAGCTCAACCCATGCTCATTAAATGAAAGGACCCCAATAGGTACCCCAGTGAAAATTGATATCCCCTAAAGTTAGAAGCTAAGAAAGGATTGGAGCCCTTAATTTCTAAATTCTTATAGCATGGTTACTAGTGTCCTTCCAATCACCTTGTAATACCCCTCTTCTACCAGTCTTAAAACCAAATGGGGAATATCAACTGGCACAACACTTGAGAATCATAAACGAGGCAGAACCCTCTTTACTTCTTACTAGCTAATACTTATACCTTGTTAACCAAATTCCAGGGCATTGTGAATGGTTTAGTGTACCAGACCTTAAAGATGCTGTCTTTTTGCATCACAGTGCACTTGTCCTTTCAGTTTCTATTTGCCTTTGAATGGACAAATATAGGAAACACCCATGAATAGTATTGCCCCAGGGCTTTCAAGATAGCCCTCACCTGTTTGCACCAGCCCCAGGCAAAGATCTTTGAGAATTACAACTTAGTTAAGGCAGCCACCTACAGTATGTAGATAACATCTGAATACGTAACCCAACCAAGGAAACACCTGACAGGAATACCACTACAGTCTTAAATTTGCTTGGCACAAGCAGATATAAGGTTTCAAAAAAAGGGGCACAGAGAGTAACTTGCTTAGGGTAACAAACAGAGAGTAACTTGCTTAGGGTACATTATAACCCCTGGAACAAGGAAGCTCTCAGGGGAAAGAAAACAGGCCATACCAGAGTTGCCTGGTCGCCAAACCAGGAGACAACTCTTAACATTTCTCGGAATGTCTGCATTCTGTAGAATTTGGATTCTGGGATTTGGACTAATGGCTCATCCTTTATATGATGCCATTAAAGGGCCTGACACTGAGCCCTACGATGGCAAAGAGAACAAACCAGGGCATTTCAAGACATAAAAAAGGTCCTTTTTGAGGCTCCTGCCCTGGAAATTCCCGACTTGAAAAGCCATTCATTTTATATGTGGTAGAAAAACATGAAGTCACCTTAGAAGTTCTCTCCCAAAAACTGGGAGAACCACCTTGTCCAGTTGGCTACTTTTCAAAGCACATAGACTTTGTGGCCTGTGGATGGCCTGGTTGCCTTAGGGCAGTCACAGCCACTGCCATTCTGGTGGAGGAAGCCCTAAAGCTGACTTTTAGACAGACCTTAGAGGTCCTCATTCCCCATCAAGTGCAGGGAGTTTTAGAAATAAAGAGCCACTGTTGGCTCTCAAGAGGAAGACTCACCAAACATCAGACTCTCCTTCTGGACTCACCCAAGGTTACTATAAAAACTTGTGGCACCCTTAATCCAGCTTAACTCATGCCAGTCAATTCCTCAGAGAACCTAACTCATTCCTGTATTAAAACCATAGACCAGGTCTACTTAGATAGAAAAGAGCTCAGAGATACATCTCTCAAGAATCCTGATGATGAATGGTTCACTGATGGCAGTAGTTTTATGGAAAATGGAAAAAGAAGGGCAGGATACACTGTGGTTAGTGTGCACCAAACAATAAATGCCCAGGCACTGCCACCTAATGCCTCGGCACAAAAAACAGAGCTAATTGTCCTTGCTAGGGCCCTGGCTCTAGATCAGGGAAAAACACTAACATATACATTGACTCCAAGGATGCCTGCTTTGTCCTTTATGGCACATGCTGCTATCTATAAAGAATGGAATCTTTAAATGCAAGGGATTCCCCCATTGAACATGGAACAGAAATATTGCAGCTTTTACAGGCTCTGCATGATCCCAAGCAAGTGGCAGTCCTTCACTGTCACAGACATCAAAAACGAAACTACTCAGTCTCATTGGACAGTGCAAGCGCTGGCAGGGAAGATAGGATGGCAACTATGGGAGCTGTAGTCCAGCTGGTCTTATTCCTCTCTGCCCATTCTCTTTATTTTATTTCATTCTTTTTTTTTTTTTTTTTCAGATAGAGTCTCACACTGTCACCCAGGCTGAAGTGCAGTGGCATGATCTCGACTCACTGCACTCTCCTGGGCTCAAGCAATTCTCCTGCCTCAGCCTGCCAAGTAGCTGGGACTACAGGCATGTGCCATCATGCCGCCAAGTTTTGTACTTTCAGTAGAGAAGGGGCTTTCCGTGTTTCCCAGGCTGGTCCTGAACTCCTCCTGATCCTCAACTGATCCTCCTGCCTTGGTATCCCAAAGTGCTGGATAACAGGCATGAGCCATCATGCCTGTCCCATTCTCTTGGTATAAATCCATCATATATTATAGAAGAAAGAGCATGGGCTAAAGAAAATCAGGAGACTCTAACACATGAGTGTTGGTGGCTCATAGGACAAAAACTTTTGCTTCCTCAGTCCCACTGTGGCAAATTGTTAAAAATTTACATAATTCCCTCCACATGGGCAGGATGCTACGAGCACCTGGATGGATCATGATTTTACAGGTAAAGGCCTGGCAATTACAATAAAAAGAGTCACTCGGGTCTGTGAACTTTGCTCTCAAAATTACCTTTGGGGCAAACAAAACAAGGGTCCTTCCTTTATTAACCTCAGTCCAGTGGTGAGGAACATATCCTGGTGCGGACTGGCAAATTCACTGCACCCAAATTCCCTCCTTTTGAGTTTTTAAATACCTTTTAGTTTTTGTACACACCTTTATAGAATGGGTAGAAGCTTTCCCCACCAGAACAGAGAAAGCTACAAAAGTGGCCAAGGCACTGCCAAAAGAGATCATACCAGGATTTGGCCTCCCTTGCTCCTTGCAGAGCGACAAAGGACCCTGTTTTCTTGCAACTATAACCAAATAGATAGCCCGAGCTTTGGAAATTAAATATCATCTCTACTGCTCATGGAAGCCACAATCCTCCTACAAGGTTAATAAGGCTAGTCAAAATTTAAGGCAGACTCTGGCTAAACTGTCCCAGGGAACTTGTGAGTCTTGGAACACTGTGTTGCCTATAGCCCTCATGAGAATACAAGTGGCACCCAAAGAAATGATAAAACTTAGTCCGTTTGAGATGACTTCTGGGAGACCCTTCCTTACCTTAGACCTGTTTATCAAACTGGAAACCCAGTCTACTATACAGTATAATCAAAATCTAAGCCAGGGGCCAGGCATGTTGATTCATGGCTGTACTGTCATCACTTTGGGAGACTGCAGGGGGCGGATCACTGGAGGTCAGGAGTTCGAGATCATCCTGGGCCGCATGGCAAAACGCCTGAAATACAAAAATGAGCCAGGCGAGGTGGTGGGCCTGTAATGCCAGCTACTTAGCTGGCTGAGGCAGGAGAATCTCTTGAACCTGGGAGGCTGAGATTACAGTGAGCTGAGATCGCACCATTGCACTCCAGCCTGGGTGATAGGGCAACACTCTGCTATGCAAACAAACAAACAAACAAACACACCAACAAATAATTTAAGCCCAGTACATCAGGCTATCCAGGAATATAGCAATACAGTGCTGCTCTCACCTGGACAAGTGAAAAACATCCCCCAAATCCTACCTGGAGACAGGGCCCTATTAAAAACTTGGAAGGAAGGCCCCCTGGCAGATCCACTTCTTTCTAAATGGAAGGGACCTTAGCAAGTACTACTCACCACCCCAATGGCTGTCGAGCTGCAATGAATAGCCAGTCGGGTTCACATGATCAGAATTCAACTTTGCAATAAACCTTTACAGGAACCAGAGGAAGCTACTAATTACACCTGCCAGCCCATAAGGGCTCTAAAGCTTCTATTCAAGAACACAATTCCAGATAAAGCCCATCTGGAAGATAAGTAACATCTTCATTTTCTTGGTACTTGCCTGCTGTACTCCAATGACTTTTAGAGAGACTGGCCTATCTGCTGGGGAACTAATTAACCATACTGTTAGTCTATTAAACTTAACTGAGGCCTAGGAGCTCTGGCTCACACCTGTAATCCCAACACTTTGGGAGGCCGAGGCGAGTGGGTTACTTGAGGTCAGGAGTTCGACACCAGCCTGACCAACATGGTGAAACCCTGTCTCTACTAAAAATACAAAATTAGCCAAGCATGGTGTCACATGCCTGTAATCCCAGCTACTTGGGAGGCTGAGGCAGGAGAATCGCTTGAACCCAGGAGGTGGAGGTTGCAGTGAGCCGAGTTTGCACCATTGCACTCCAGCCTGGGCAACAAGAGTGAAACACTGTCTCAAAACAAAAATAAACAAAAAAACAAAAAAAAAACTTAACCTTATTGACTTTGCGTAACTACCAAAATTTGGGGATATGCCAGACCCAGGCCCTTAGAAAACTGGCCAGGCATCCTAGCACATCTCCAGGGACAAAATCACTGGCCCACAGAATAGGGATATCAGGCCCAACAGTCAACACAAAAGGATTTTACTGGGTCAGGTAATGGGTTCCTGAAGTTCCTCCTCTTAACTATCAACAGTAGTTCAAATGTCCCTAAAGGAAAAATAGTTTCTTACAAACCTTTTATCCATAGCAATTCTCATTCTGGCTTTACAGTAATCATGGCAGTTCTGCCACTTTGGTAAAACTCCAACAGAGTCAGTGCAGCTGAAACTTTGCCACTGGGTAACCAATCTTAGTCAATACCTCTGCAAGAATTAAACTAATAAGTGGACTCCTCACCCAGGCAACCAATTTTTTGCTCTCTATGCCCCCGGACTGGCACCACCTCTATTTCCTATCAAGACAACTAGATCCTGTAGTTTTTGTTGAGGCCATCCTCCCACGGGAAGCCCTTGTTCACCCTATCTCAATATGTCCCCCAGGGACTCTCAACATATCCCATCAAAAGATGACTATGCCTCGTGGTGGAACCCTAAAGGGGGAACATTATTTAAAGATCTTACTAATGCCACCATCAAACTCTACCATTCATTAATGGACCCAGTAACCACTGCCAACTTAGTTGCACATATCTTTCACTTACAGGCCAGAAAATAGGAGACCCCTTTTATAGAGCCTCCACTGCATTCACCACTTTAATGCAAAATACTTTTGCAGCAGAAATTTCACCATCATAAGGAAGTTTTGGGGTTTGTTGATTTTCAGCATATCTACAATTTCTTCCACTATGGTAGGGATGATGCTCCATTGCTTACATCTCCCCTTATCTAACTTTCGAATGGTCTAACACATCTCTCCCTTTCCCCATGTAGCAACATAGCAAGATTCACCTCTGAGCAAGACCCCATATTCCCTTAAATTCAGTACTGCCCTCTCTATTGGGATTATCAGGGTCAGCTACGGGAGGTGGAGGTTGGGAATCCAGCATAAACTGTTTTAGGAGATCACAGTGGCCCTCCCACAAATGGAAATGGGCCTCATTGGACTTCAACAACAGCTGGATTCCCTGGCCAGTATAGTCCTACAAAACTGAAAAGCCAGAATCTTCTCACAGCTGGACAACGAGACACATATTTGTATCTGAAAGAAGAATGCTTTTTTTACATCAATCAGTCTGGTTTAGTCCAAGAAAATATTAAAAATATCTTTACTCAGGCAAACAAAATTAAAACTTTAGGAACTTCCATGGGAAATTGGAAGCATTAGCTATTGTCTGCCTTGCTCCCTTTAATACTGCCAGTCATTAAAATATTTTAAGATTTAACTTTTGGTCCAATTTTGTTTAAAGTCCTGATTTCTTAGTTTCTTGCTTACAGCAATTTCAGTTCCACATGACGGTTTTGCAAGGCTTTTAACCTTGGTCTCCTGATGAGCTATCTCAGGTCTTGTGCACCAGTCCCGTGAACAACATGGTTCACACCGCGTTAGATCAGGCAGGAAGAGACTTTAGGGCCCAGGCTAGGCAGGGACAACGCCCCACTCAGCAGGAAGCAGCTTCAGAAGAAATGACCTAGCCCCTCAACCTCCCATATGATTATAGGCCCTAAGATCTCTTAGGGGGGAATTGAGGCAGGGTAAGTAGTCAAGGAAGTGACCATGACCTTGGCATGCAGCAACCGTGGGGACCATACAGCCAACACAATAAGCCTCAGCATTCACATTGTAGTTAAGCTCATTCAAGCAAAGCTGTCTTCAGTAGGGAATTTCCTCTGTAGAGAGAACGTGCACTTTGATTTTACCTCAAACTGACCCTTTGCTCATTGTAATAGTAAAAAACACACCCCTGGGTGGAGATTTAAAGTGCTAATGAGATATGTGATGTATGAATGAGCATGGATGGGCATGTACACCCAGAGGACCACCCAGAACATGTTTGCTAGTAACACATCTTCCCACTTCCTTAAGAATAATCATGTAAGACTCCCATAAAGGGAGTTTCCCCAGTAATAATGAATGCTGTCTCATCCTTATGACCAGCCAGCCCTGAATCCTCTCTGTGTTTCTCAGTGTGTATTCTGCAGCTAACTTTCAAAATATTCTTTTTCCTTTGCAATAAATTACTCTATGCTGCATCTCCTTTGCTATGTGCCTCTTGTTTAAATTCATTTAAACTAAGAAAGCAAGAACCAATGTCTCAGAACAGCCATCAACAACACTCCAAAATATTCTGCCACTTTTGTTGATTTCATCACCTTCTGCAAATCATCATCTATTAAGCTGTGAGTCTGCATATACATACCATAATACACCTCCATTTTGGAAAAGCATTATGCTGAAACAGGAAATTCTCATGTTTCCAAATTCTATTTCAATTCTTCCAATCTGTGAACTCCCTGTTTTTGAGTTTCATATATCTGATTCTGTCACATTACTGCTAAAAATTATTCACAGAGAACTAGATAAAGACAAACATTATTTTGAATAAACGTCTTCTTTTTGTTTGTTTGTTTGTTTTTTAGACAGGGCCTTGCTTGTTGTCCAGTCTGGAGTGCACTGTTGGGATCACAGCTCACTGCAGCCTCGATCTCCTGAGCTCAAACAATCCTCCTACCTCAGCCTCCTGAGTAGCTGGGACAACAGGTGTGCAACACCACACCCAGCTAATTTTTTATGTTTTGCAGAGATGTAGTCTCCCCATGGTGCCCAGGCTGGTGTCATATTCCTGGGCTCAAGTGATCCTCCGGACTCAGCTCCCCAAAATGCTGGGATTACAGGTGTGAGACACTGTGCCTTGCCATACACCCGTCTTTTTAAAAAACTCCAGTCATTATATGAATACAATAGAATCTGCATGTTGTTCTTCGTCTTGTCCATTTTCTTTTTTTACTATTATTATACTTTAAGTTCTAGGGTACATGTGCACAATGTGCAGGTTTATTACATATGTATACTTACACCATGTTGGTTTGCTGCACCCATTAACTCCTCATTTACATTAGGTATTCCTACTAATGCTATCCCTCCCCCCTCCCCCCACCCCAAGACAAGCTCCAGTGTGAGAAGTTACCCACCCTGTTTCCAAGTGTTCTCATTGTTCAGTTCCCACCTATGAGTGAGAACATGCGGTGTTTTGTTTTCTGTCCTTCCTATAGTTTGCTGAGAATGATGGTTTCCAGCTTCACCCATGTCCCTACAAAGGACATGAACTCATCCCTTTTTATGGCTGCATAGTATTCCATGGTGTATATGTGCCACATTTTCTTAATCCAGTCTATCATCGATGGACATTTGGGTTGGTTCCAAGTCTTTGCTATTGTGAATAGTGCTGCAATAAACATATGTGTCCATATGTCTTTATAGTAGCATGATTTATAATCCTTTGGGTATATAACCAGTAATGGGATGGCTGGGTCAAATGGTATTTCTAGTTCTAGATCCTTGAGGAATTGCCACACTGTCTTCCACAATGGTTGAACTAATTTACACTCCCACCAACAGTGTAAAATTGTTCCTATTTCTCCACATCCTCTCCAGCACCTGTTGTTTCCTGACTTTTTAATGATCACCATTCTAACTGGTGTGAGATGGCATCTCATTGTGGTTTTGATTTGCATTTCTCTGATGGCCAGTGATGATGAGCGTTTTTTCATGTGCTGTTGGCTGCATAAATGTCTTCTTTTGAGAAGCATCTGTTCATATCCTTTGCCCAATTTTTATGGGGTTGTTTGATTTTTTCTTGTAAATTTGTTTAAGTTCTCTGTAGATTATGGATATTAGCCCTTTGTCAGATGAGTAGATTGCAAAATTTTTCTCCCATTCTGTAGGTTGCCTGTTCACTCTGCTGGTAGTTTCTTGCTGTGCAGAGCTCTTTAGTTTAATTAGATCCCGTTTGTCAATTTTGGCTTTTGTTGCCATTGCTTTTGGTGTTTGAGTCATGAAGTCCTTGCCCATGCCTATGTCCTGAATGGTATTGCCTAGGTTTTCTTCTAGGGTTTTTATGGTTTTAGGTCTAACATTTAAGTCTTTAACCCATCTTGAATTTATGTTTATATAAGGTGTAAGGAAGGGATCCAGTTTCAGCTTTCTGCATATGGCTAGCCAGTTTTCCCAGCACCATTTATTAAATAGGGAATCTTTTCCCCATTTCTTGTTTTTGTCAGGTTTGTCAAAGATCAGATGGTTGTAGATGTGTGGTATTGTTTCTGAGGGCTCTGTTCTGTTCCATTGGTCCATATCTCTGTTTTGGTACCAGTAACATGCTGTTTTGGTTACTGTAGCCTTGTAGTATAGTTTGAAGTCAGGTAATGTGATGCCTCCAGCTTTGTTCTTTTTGCTTAGGATTGTCTCGGAAATGTGGGCTCTTTTTTCCTTCCATATGAACTTTAAAGTAGCTTTTTCCAATTCTGTGAAGAAAGTCATTGGTAGCTTGATGGGGATGGCATTCAATCTACAAATGACCTTGAGCAATATGGCCATTTTCATGATATTGATTCTTCCTATCGATGAGCACGGAATGTTCTTCCATTTGTTTGTGTCCTCTTTTATTTTGTTGAGCAGTGGTTTGTAGTTCTCCTTGAAGAGATCCTTCACATCCCTTGTAAGTTGGATTCCTAGGTATTTTATTCTCTTTGAAGCAATTGTGAATGGGAGTTCACTCATGATTTGGCTCTCTGGCTGTTATTGGTGTATAGGAATGCGTGTGATTTTTGCACATTGGTTTTGTATCCTGAGACTTTGCTGAAGTTGCTTATCAGCTTAAGGAGATTTTGGGCTGACATGATGGGGTTTTCTAAATATACAATCATGTCATCTGCAAACAGGGACAATTTGACTTCCTCTTTTCCTAATTGAATACCCTTTATTTCCTTCTCCTGCCTGATTGCCCTGGCCAGAACTTCCAACACTATGTTGAAGAGGAGTGGGGAAAGAGGGCATCCCTGTCTTGTGCCAGTTTTCAAAGGGAATGCTTCCAGTTTTTGCCCATTCAGTATGATATTGGCTGTGGGTTTGTCATAAATAGCTTTTATTATTTTGAGATATATCCCATCGATACCTAGTTTATTGAGAGTTTTTAGCATGAAGGGGTGTTGAATTTTGTCAAAGGCCTTTTCTGCATCTATTGAGATAATCATGTGGTTTTTGTCTTTGGTTCTGTTTATATGATGGATTACGTTTATTGATTTGCATATGTTGAACCAGCCTTGCATCCCAGGGATGAAGCCAACTTGATCATGGTGGATAAGCTTTTTGATGTGCTACTGGATTCGGTTTGCCAGTATTTTATTGAGGATATTTGCATCGATGTTCATCAGGGATATTGTTCTAAAATTCTCTTTTTTTGTTGTGTCTCTGCCAGGCTTTGGTATCAGGATGATGCTGGCCTCATGAAATGATTTAGGGAGGATTCCCTCTTTTTCTATTGATTGGAATAGTTTCAGAAGGAATGGTACCAGTTCCTCTTTGTACCTCTGGTAGAATTTGGCTGTGAATCCCTCTGGTCCTGGACTTTTTTTGGTTGATAGGCTATTAATTATTGCCTCAATTTCAGAGCCTGTTGTTGGTCTATTCAGAGATTCAATTTCTTCCTGGTTTAGTCTTGGGAGCGTGTATGTGTCAAGGAATTTATGCATTTCTTCTAGATTTTCTAGTTTATTTGCATAGAGGTGTTTATAGCATTCTCTGATGGTAGTTTTTATTTCTGTGGGATTGGTGGTGATATCCCCTTTATCATTTTTTATTGTGTCTATTTGATTCTTCTCTCTTTTCTTCTTTATTAGTCTTGCTAGCGGTCTATCAATTTTGTTGATCTTTTCAAAAAACCAGCTCCTGGATTCATCGATTTTATGAAGGGTTTTTTGTGTCTCTATCTCCTTCAGTTTTGCTCTGATCTTAGTTATTTCTTGCCTTCTGCTGGCTTTTGAATGTGTTTGCTCTTACTTCTCTAGTTCTTTTAATTGTGATGTTAGGGTGTTGATTTTAGCTCTTTCCTGCTTTCTCTTGTGGGCATTTAGTGCTATAAATTTCCCTCTATACACTACTTAAAATATGTCCCAGAGATTCTGGTATGTTTTGTCTTTTTTCTCACTGGTTTTAAAGAGCATCTTTATTTCTGCCTTCATTTTGCTATTTACCCAGTAGTCATTCAGGAGCACGTTGTTCAGTTTCCATGTAGTTGTGATGTTTTGAGTGAGTTTCTGAATCCTGAGTTCTAATTTGATTGCCCTGTGGTCTGAGAGACAGTTAGTGATAATTTCTGTTCTTTTCCATTTGTTGAGGAGTGTTTTACTTCCAACTATGTGGTTAATTTTGGAATAAGTGTGACGTGGTGCTGGGAAGAATGTATATTCTGTTGATTGGAGGTGGAGAGTTCTGTAGATGTCTATTAGGTCTGCTTGGTGTAGAGCTGAGTTCAAGTCCTGGATATTCTTGTTAACTTTCTATCTTGTTGATCTGTCTAATGTAGACAGTGGGATGTTAAAGTCTCCCATTATTATTGTGCGGGAGTCTAAGTCTCTTTGTAGGTCTCTAAGGACTCACTTTATGAATCTGGGTGCTGCTGTATTGGATGCATATATATTTAGGATAGTTAGCTCTTCTTGTTGAATTCATCCCTTTACCATTATGTAATGGCCTTCTTTGTTTCTTTTGATCTTTGTTGGTTTATAGTCTGTTTTATCAGAGACTAGGATTGCAACCCCTGCTTTTTTGTTGTTGTTGTTTTCCATTTGCTTGGTAGATCTTCCTCCATCCCTTTATTTTGAGCCTATGTTTGTCTTTGCACGTGAGATGTGTCTCCTGAATACAGCACACTGATGGGTCTTGACTCTTTATCCAATTTGCCAGTCTGTGTCTTTTAATTGGGGCATTTAGCCCATTTACATTTAAGGTTAATATTGTTGATCCTGTCATTACGATGTTAGCTGGTTATTTTGCTTGTTAGTTGATGCAGTTTCTTCCTAGCATCGATGGTCTTTACAATTTGGCATGTTTTTGCAGTGGCTGGTACCGGTTGATCCTTTCCATGTTTAGTGCTTCCTTCAGGAGCTCTTGTAAGGCAGGCCTGGTGGTAACAAAATCTCTCAGCATTTTTTCGTATGTAAAGAATTTTATTTCTCCTTCACTTATGAAGCTTAGTTTGGCTGGATATGAAATTCTGGGTTGAAGAATCTTTTCTTTAAGAATGTTGAATATTGGCCCCCACTCTCTTCTGGCTTGTAGAGTTTCTGCTAAGAGATCCGCTGTTAGTCTGATAGGCTTCCCTTTGTGAGTAACCTGACCTTTCTCTCTGCCTGCCCTTAACATTTTTTCCTTCATTTCAACCTTGGTGAATCTGACAATTATGTGTCTTGGGGTGGCTTTTCTTGAGGAGTATCTTTGTGGCATTCTCTGTATTTCCTGAATTTGAATATTGGCATGCCTTGCTAGGTTGAGGAAGTTCTCCTGGATCATATCCTGAAGAGTGTTTTCCAACTTGGTCCATTCTCCTCATCACTTTTAGGTACACCAATCAAATGTGGATTTGGTCTTTTCACATAGTCCCATATTTTTGGAGGCTTTGTTTGTTTCTTTTTACTCTTTTTTCTCTAAACTTCTCTTCTCGCTTCACTTTATTCATTTGATCTTCCATCACTGATACCCTTTCTTCCACTTGATCGAATCTGCTACTGAAGCTTGTGCATGCATCACGTAGTTCTTGTGCCATGGTTTTCAGCTCCATCAGGTCATTTAAGGTCTTCTCTACACTGTTTGTTCTAGTTAGCTATTCGTCTGATCTTTTTTCAAGGTTTTTGGCATATTTGTGATGGGTTCGAACATCCCCCTTTAGCTTGGAGAAGTTTGTTATTACTGATCTTCTGAAGCCTACTTCTGTCTACTTGTCAAAGTCATTCTCCATCCAGCTTTGTTCCATTGCTGGCAAGGAACTGCGATCCTTTGGAGGAGAAGAGGCATTCTAATTTTTAGAATTTTCAGCTTTTCTGCTCTGGTTTCTCCCCATCTTTGTAGTTTTATCTACCTTTGGTGTTTGATGATGGTGACCTACAGATGGGGTTTTGGTGTGGATGTCCTTTTTGTTGGTGTTGATGCTATTCCTTGCTGTGTGTTAGTTTTCCTTCTAACAATCAGGACACTCAGCTGCAGGTCTGTTGGAGTTTGCTGGAGGTCCACTCCAGACGCTCTTTGCCTAGGTATCACCAGCAGAGGCTGCAGAACAGCAAATATTGCAGAACAGCAAATATTGCTGCCTGATCCTTCCTCTGGAAGCTTCGTCTCAGAGGGGCACCCGGCTGTTTGAGGTGTCAGTCGGAACCCTACTGGGAGATGTCTCCCAGTTAGTCTACTTGGGGGTCAAGGACCCACTTGACGAGGCAGTCGGTCTGTTCTCAGATCTCGAACTCCGTGCTGGGAGAACCACTGCTCTCTTCAAAACTGTCAGACAGGGACGTTTAAGTCTGCAGAAGTTTCTGCTGCCTTTTGTTTATTTATGCCCTGCCCCCGGAGGTGGAATCTACAGAGGCAGGCAGGCCTTGTTGAGCTGCGGTGGGCTCCTCCCAGTCTGAGCTTCCTGGCTGCTTTGTTTACCTAGTCAAGCCTCAGCAATGGAGGGCGCCCCTCCCCCAGCCTCACTGCCACATTTCAATCTTGGACTGCTGCGCTAGCAGTGAGCAAGGCTCCATGGGTGTGAGAACCACTGAGCCAGGCACAGGATATAATCTCCTGGTGTGCCGTTTGCTAAGACTTTTGGAAAAGTGCAGTATTAGGGCAGGAGTGTCCCGAGTTTCCAGGTACCATCTGTCACGGCTTCCCTTGGCTAGGAAAGGGAGTTCCTCGATGCCTTGTGCTTCCCTGGTGAGGTGATGCCCTGCCCAGCTTCAGCTCACACTCTGTGGGCTGCACCCACTGTCCAACGAGTCCCAATGAGATGAACCTTGTACCTCCGTTGGAAATGCAGAAATCACCTGTCTTCTGTGTTGCTCACACTAGGAGCTGTAGCCTGGAGCTGTTCCTATTCGGCCATCTTGGAATAATCTCAGTCTTATCCATATTCTTTCTAGTAAACCCCTTTTGTTTCATTAGCTCAAACTCACATCCACATGTTTCTGAAATATCTAACACTCCCCTTCAATTGCTTCTCACAATTTCAAAAATTTCCTTAGTTTTCAGTGGATTTCAGGGTAACTGTTTTCTAATAATGTCAATGATAGGAACACATTTATTTTCCGTAGCTGCAATACTTTTTTCTAGTCAACCTCATAACTAAGGGACTCCCATAATTTTGATGAATTTCTACATGCATTTTGCTTCATTCTTGAACATTACACCACTTACCTTTGGTGCCTTAACTGTCTAAATAATTTTAGCATAATTTACAAATATTTACTTTTAATTGATACAGTCCATGTAGAGTAAATGTGCTCTCTAACACATAATCAAGTAATTTACATTAATTGTGGATACTTGTGTGATTTAAAATATTTAGTCATTACACTGATGTACATAAAAATTTATATAAAGATACAAAATAAATAGTTATAAAGAGTAAAAAATTTCACCCCAGGCTTCTGAACAAATCTGACTTTTAAAAACTCTTGAAAATAATTTTTTAAACATGAAATAAACACCAATGTAATTTTCATAACTGCCTTCAGTGAATAAAGTACAAAAGTTTCTTGATAATTGCTATTTTCCTGGGAAAGAATACTTTTTCAGAAAATATTTCATATTTGATGAAATTCCATTTCTGAAAAGTCAAATATTTTAAGGAATAAAATTTGCATGACCTACTTGAGGGTTCTTTAGAATATTTTCAAAAATTGCACGGACATATTTGTAATTAAATCAAACTATTTCTTTTTTCCACCCTGTGGCACTATGGATTCCATGAGCATAGAAAGAGAACAATTGCCAGATTCCCTCAGAAGGAAGTAGTGGCCTTCAGAAGAATTGCAAGTGAGACGTTTTTCAGTAATAGGCCTGTGGCACCCATGTGTCCCCTCCACATGCACGACGCTCAGGGCTCTGCAGGTGCAAGGGCAAATCCTGCCTTTATTTTAAATTTTGATATATTGTTCATTGTGGATGTTTTGTATTAATTTTGATTTTTGAAAAATTATGGCAAACTACTTCTCATCTTGATTGCCAATTGCCTTGCTTTCCCCCAAAATTTTGCCTCCTTCATCTGAACCAAGTCCTGGCCCTACCCTGCCTGCTTCCCTGCAGACTTCTCAATGTGTGATGTCTTCGGCTACTCCCACAGGCAGGGAGATTCTCTGCTCATTGCAACCAGAGGCACCCTAATGCATAAGATGGTGAAATGCCAACCATGTGGCCTTTTCGCCATCATCTCCCCAGTGTCTAGGAGAGAACCAGCACTGGAAAACCCTTGAGGAACATTTGTTGAATGAAGGAAACATCATAACGAGTGTCTGAAGATTGCTTTAAGCTCCTGATGGGAAATGATTGGTGTTCCAACAAAGTGGCTTTCAAAAATCTTTAGAATAAAGGAATTACAGAAACACACCACTCTTGTGGCCAGGGAAAGCAATCTCCCCAGACACGACTGTCAAGGCCACAAGGAACGTCAGACATCAGTTATCCCGGGATTGCCATTTTCCAGAGATATTACAAATGAGGCCCCAAGAAGGGAAAGACAAATCTCAGGTCATAGGCAGCTAGGGCTGGAACAGAGTCTAAGAAGCCAAATGTCCAGCCTGCCTGCTGCACAGGGCTGCTCCTTGCCCAGACCCAGGAGCCTCAGGTATTTGGGGTGAGAGCCTCTCTGCTTACTGAGGGCAGCATTTTGGCAAACGCACCCTCACTGGGTGCTTCCACTCTATTCTTGTAGCACAAAATATGGTTTAGCAAGTCCAGAAATGTTTCACTCCTTGTCCGGTATTATACTGAGATAATAGCCTTATACAGAGAGCATAGTCCTGTAAAAATACTATATCCGACCAATTTTACATAACAGCTCCCTTTTATACAGATGTTTAACATTAGATAGAAATTTAACATTATGTATGCATATATACACACATATATGTTTGTGTGTGTGTGTGTGAGATCATGTGACTGTGTTTTTCTCTATACATGTTTATTATTATTATTATTATACTTTAAGTTTTAGGGTACATGTACAAAATGTGCAGGTTAGTTACATATGTATACATGTGCCATGCTGGTGTGCTGCACCCATTAACTCATCATTTAGCATTAGGTATATCTTCTAATGCTATCCCTTCCCGCTCCCCCCACCCCACAACAGTCCCCAGAGTGTGATGTTCCCCTTCCTGTGTCCATGTGTTCTCATTGTTCAATTCCCATCTATAAGTGAGAACATGCGGTGTTTGGTTTTTTGTCCTTGCGATAGTTTACTGAGAATGATGATTTCCAATTTCGTCCATGTCCCTACAAAGGACATGAACTCATCATTTTTTATGGCTCATAGTATTCCATGGTGTATATGTGCCACATTTTCTTAATCCAGTCTATCATTGTTGGACATTTGGGTTGGTTCCAAGTCTTTGCTATTGTGAATAGTGCAGCAATAAACATACGTGTGCATGTGTCTTTATAGCAGCATGATTTATATTCCTTTGGGTATATACCCAGTAATGGGATGGCTGGGTCAAATGGTATTTCTAGTTCTAGATCCCTGAGGAATCGCCACACTGACTTCCACAATTGTTGACCTAGTAGGAAGAATCAATATCGTGAAAATGGCCATACTGCCCAAGGTAATTTATAGATTCAATGCCATCCCTATCAAGCTACCAATGACTTTCTTCACAGAACTCGAAAAAACGACTTTAAAGTTCATATGGAACCAAAAAAGAGCCCGCAACGCCAAGTCAATCCTAAGCCAAAAAAACAAAGCTGGAGGCATCACACTACCTGACTTCAAACTATACTACAAAGCTACGGTAACCAAAACAGCATGGTACTTCTACCAAAGCAGAGATATAGATCAATGGAACAGAGCAGAACCCTCAGAAATAACGCCACATATCTAAAACTATCTCTAAACATGTTTTTTAAAGATCAGGAGGAACTGTTTGCTTTCAGCTGGCAAGGCCAGCAAAACCCTTTTCCTTCCTACCTCAGTCTTACATCAACTCTCTAAGTGATACAGGCAGGAGGCAAAGAAACTCTAGGCAGACAAGGGTGAGTCCTTGGTGCAACCCCACCTTCAAGCTGAAAAGCCTGAAGTGAGGACTTCTATCCCATCTTGGCCACTCCCTGCCAATTGGTTCTTTCTGAATAATGCTTTTTTACCAATCAAATTTTGCCTTTCCCAAAACCACCTACGGCCCACCATGCCCCACGTCCCATGTTTGTAAAGACCCCGGATTCAGCCAGTAGAGAGGAGAGGCAGCCAGACATCAAGGAGAAGTGACTTGACTTCAGAGATGACAGCTAGAGGTCGGGGAGAAGCAATTTGACTTCGGAGGAGAGAGGCAGAGGCGATTTGACTTCAGGGGACAGTGACCTGCCCTTCACGTCCCCTTTCCAGCTGCCTTCTCCCCTGAAAGCTGCTTTCATCGCAAAACAAAATTCTCTGCACTCACCATCCTTCACTTCAATTAGTCTGTGTGACCTCATTCTTCTTGGGCACCAGACAAGAATTTGGGACGCACCAAGTATGAGTACCCAAAAAGGCTGTCACACTGGCCCTTTGCCCTTGCTGACAGAGGGCAGCCACCCCATGCGATGAGGCAAAGGTCCCACTGAGCTGATAACACACTGCTGTCCATGGATGGTGGAGCTAACAGAGCATTGTAACATGCACTCTGGGGCCTTGGGGTTGCAGGCACTCCTACCCAGATGGTGCCACAGTGCCTGCATGGAGGTTGCTCCTGCCAGCGCCAAAGCAGCTGGCCAGTTGCCACACTCACTTGTCTACATGCTCCATCCCGTGAGAGGTGGGGTGTGGTGGGCCCAAGGAAAAGGAGTTTGCTCCTGCTGGTGCCAAAGTGGCTGGGCACCCCTGTCATGTGTCCTGTGAAGGGGTCAAGAAAGTATCCTGCATCATAAACTTATGTCCCAAACTAGTCCTTAGGGATCTTGATCTCCTTTCCTTCCCACCATGTGACACCATTTCTTTGCATTGAGGACGTTATGCTGATTGAGCAGGACCTAGCAACTACTCTAGACACACTGGTAACATACTGACATGACAACCGAAGTATTAATTTGCACAAAAAATCAGGGGCCTTTTAACTTAGTGAAATATCAACATAGTACTTATCAGGTGAACAGCAAGTAGGTACATCTCACCCTTCCTACCATTCAAAGGGGACACGCAAAATATAGTGGGCCTCCTTAGGTTCTGATGGTGGTAACATGTACCTCATCGAGGTGTGCTGCTGTGACTTATCTTCTAATGACCGGAAAATCTGCTACTTCTGAGTTTGGCCTAGTACAAGAAAAAGCTCTCTGAATCCACACCTATGGCTCCAAGGGCAGCTTCCTTAGGAACAGAGTTGTCAGAAAAACAAACAATAAAAAAATCCCTAGGCCTGGCTTACTTTTCTTTCTTTATAATGGGCTGGCAGCACCGCTGTTAATTTTCTATTGCCACATAACAAATTACCCCAAATTGAGCAGCCTAAAACAACACACATTAATTATCCACACTTCTGCAAGTCAAGACCAGGAAGGTTTGACCGGCCTCTCCGCTGACTGTCTCCCAAGGCCAACTCAAAATGTCAGGCCGGGTGGGTGCTGATGTGGAGACTGCGGAATAATCCACTTCTAAGCTTATTCAGGTTATTGCTCATTTAGACCTAGTTCCTTAAGGTGGTAGGAATGTGGTTCCCATTTTTTTGCTGGCTGTCATCCAGAAACTGCACTAAACACCTAGAGCCATCCTATACCTTCTTGGGAGCACTGCTTTATCCTCAAAGCGGGCCTGCTGTGTCACATCCTTCTTGCACTTTGATTCCCTTACCTCTTCTTCTGCTCCTTGGTAAGGAAAATGCTCTGCTTCTCAAGGATTCCCCTGCCAGGTCTGGCCCACCCACACCACATTCGTGTCTCAGGGTCAACTGGCTTGAGACATTAGTTATCCAGCAAAATCCCACCATAGCAGTATTGGGATTATTGCTTGATCGAGTATACAGGAGATGGGAGTCTGGGGAATCAGACTACAGCTGTCTCAGTCAGCTCGAGTTGCTATCACAGAATACCACAGACTGGGTGGCTTCATCACCAGACATTTCTTTCTCAAGGTTCTGGAAGCTAGAAATCCAAGATCAGGGTGCCAACATGCTCAAATTCTGGTGGGGGGCCTCTTCCTGGCTTGCAGTCAGCCACCTTGCGGTAGCCTCACACGTTGAAGAGGCATGGAAGAACAAGTTCCCTTTTCTCTAATTATAAGGGCACTAATCTCATCATAGGGACCCAAACATCATGAACACATCTAAACCTAATTACCTCCCAAAAGCTCCACCTCCAAATATCATCCCACTGGGAGTTAGGGTTTCATCATATGAATTCTCAGAGGACACAAATATTCAGTCTGTTCATAATGCCTGTCTACCACAAAAGCCAGAAGCGGACAGCTTCATTACGACAGGCCCAACTGGGATAGCTCTGAAGGACAGTGGTGAAGGGAAATCCTCCAAGAGGGAAGATGCTTGAGCAGTGTTTCTGTGTGGAGGAGAGATGGCCAGACTATAAGTATGTATCCATGTTTAGGCCGTGTCTCGTTTATTGGCTGTATGATCAAGGACTTTGTGGACACATGATTGAAAATTTATGACAAGGAGGTCTGGGAAAAAATATGTGGATAGAGTAGTCCAAATGGATATACAATGTGAAGATACTTAGGTCTCATGAGAGTTCTCAGCAAAGGGTAACCTCTGTAGAGCAGAATTTTAATAATCTGAAGGATAAAGTACCTATTATCTAGATATTAATCAGCCTCTTTCCCCAACATTGGTGTCATAACCTCGTGAGCTCACAGAGTGGCCAAGGTGACCAAGGATAGAGATTTTGCTTCAGTAGCATGGACTTCCACTCACCAAGGCCAACCTGGCTACAGTTGATAGAGACATGAGACAGCCAGGGGTCCCCGGTGAAACCCCGCCTTCAAGCCTAAAATGGCCTGAAGGTTGAGAAACCAGACTGCTGCTACCGAATGAAACCTGCAGCCAGAAGAACTGGCACTGTTTGCTAGCCCATTCCCAACTGATTCTTTCTTAATATTAGCATCGTGTGTACTGGGGGAAGGGTGTGGAGCCATGGGAAGTTTGCACCTTGTGCAGGGGTGGCGGTGTGGAGCCTGGTCTCTTCGGTTCCTGTGCGGTGGCCCGGAATCAATCTGTGAGATGGGGGCCTCTTAGCAGGACTCCCTCTCACTTTGCCGAGAGATTTTTTTTCCTCCCTATTTTTCTTTTTTAACCAATAAATTCAGCTCCTCACCCTTCAATGTGTCCACGAACCTAATCTTCCCCGTTCGTGTGAACTCGGTTTTAACTGAACTAAGGAGCAAAATTCTGCAATTAGTCATTGCTGAGTGTACAATCTGCTAGAACAGAGAGCAACACTGAGTCTCTTATATGGCACCTGTCTCCAGCGTGATCAGCCAGTTACCAGATGGCAGGTGATTACATTGGACCACTTCCACTATGGAAGGGACAGGGCTGTGTTCTTACTCAAATTGACACTTATTCTGAATATGGATCTTCCTTCCCAACCACAGTAATTTCAGAAAATCAACATTTGTGCACTTAGAAAATGCTTTATTTACCATCATGGTATTCCACACAGCATCACCTCCAAACAAGGCACTCGCTTCCCAGAAAATAAAGTGCAGTGATGGGCCCGTGTTCATAGGAATTCACTGGTCTTATTATTTATATCTCCCTATCCCCCATCATCTTCTTTATAGACATGATACTGTCTTGGCCTCATTGTTTTTTGATTCCAAATCAGCCTCCCAATGTGTCCCCCATAATCTGAACCTGACTGGATGAACAGAAACTGAAATGGTCTTGTACAACTCGGTTACAGTGCTAGCTAAGTGGCAATACCTTGCAGGTCTGAGAAATTACTTTTAGAAGCAGTGTTTGCTGTATGCCTGCATCCAACATAGTCTGCTTTCTCTCCAATAGTCAGGATTCATTCGTCTTAGAACGAAGGGGTATAACTGGGAGTGTCTCTACTCACTTTCCCCGCCGTGAACCACTAGCATAAGTGCTTCCTGTCCTTCTGATTTTAGGCTCTCCTGTACTAGAAGTCTTAGTTCCAAAGGAAGAAATGCTTTTGACAAGGGACACAACAGTGACTCCATTGAAAAGAGATCGATACTGCCAGCAGGCCATTTTGTTCTCTTCATCACTTTCCATCTAGAGGCAAAGGAGGGGGTCATCTACTGGCTGGGGGTGATGAACCTGACAACCAAAGGGGGATTAATTGCACTACACCAGGGGCTAAAAAGAGTATGTTTGATATGTCTAGACAGCTTCTTAGTCCTCTCATGTTTATTACACTTAATGGAAAATTACAGCAACCCAATCCAGGCAGGATATCTATTGGTCCAGACTGTTCAGTAATGAAGGTTTGAGTCATCCTGCCAGACCAAGCATCATGACCAGCTGACATGCTATCTCAGGGCAAAGGGAATGAGAAATGGGTAGAGAAAGAAGGCAGTTATAAATACCAGCTACAACAATGTGAGCTGCTGCAGAAACCAGGACTGTAATACTAAATACCTTGCTGAGTTATTGACTCATGCCCCTCCTCAGGCGGAAGAACAAACAAACAAACAAAAGTGCAGCTTTTATTAAGGGAGATTTATTAAATATAAAAAGTTCCCTCTTTTTTTTCTTAGCTTTTGGAAGGTAATTCTCTTCACTTCAAAATTATAGGGAGCTTCAGCAATAACCTGTTCCATCCTACCGCGTGTACCCTTGTTTCTCCTTGGTCTTTGCACTAAAACAATTATTTTTTTTCTCATGTGCTTAACTTTTCTGAGATGGCAGTGGGAATCTATTTCTTTAAGCACCTTCTCAAGTTGCTGAATTAAGGCAACTTTTTTAAACCTGAAATTAAAGAGGTATTCCATTAACCAGAGGATACCTACAGCACCTGTGAGATGTAAGAGGTAGTAGTGGACACAAAATAGAGTTCACAATCGACATGCAAATAAAAAATGCATCCTCATGGAAAGATACAAACTAGAAAAATACAAAGTGATTCAACTGAGGACCCACGCCCACTCCCAGATTATGGTAAATTTGGAAGGCTCCATGGCATCAGAAGAAAGTGTTAGAATAAGATAATATCAACCTAACTGCCTGTGGAAATAGTATGAACTATGATTGAGGGCCAGGGATTAGGAAGAACAAGGCATGATTTTTTCCTGCCCCTGTCCCAAATTGGGCGCAAGTGCTTAAAACAACAGCAGAGTTCCTTTTTGCACCCACCTTACTGCTTCCCTGATGGTAAATTCAACAAATTGTCTCTTGACTTTCATAGATCCTTGTAGTTCTTCAAGCAAAATGAAAATTCTTTTATAATCTGAAGATATTTAAAAACATTAGTATTTCTACAATTATGAAAATGAAATATACCTCAATCTTAGTGCATCCACTACCACTGTATACATTTTTCATGGGTTACAATGTTACGTAGTGTTTGTGTTTGAATGCTTAAATCACAACACCTGTATATTACTAAGGAAACTATTGTGAACACTAACAAAGGAAAACAAAACATTTAAGCAGATGTATTAGAAATTTTCAGTGAAATTAAATAGAAGTCACGCTAAATCACATACAGATCTAATGCAGCCCAAGAATGAGCTCAAGAGGCAGCTTAATTCTGTTCTAAATCATAGAATGAGAGACTTGGCATGCTTTCATTGATAGACATTCTTGCACTACTTACTTTGCCCAAACCTTTGAACTTCTTTCATTAATTGACATTTTATATCTTGATTAATTTTTTTTGCCATGGCAGGAGATATCTGTGGAGTTTCCACTGAAGACATTGCTGTGACTGGTGGGTCACCTGCAGAGACACTGTAGTTTTTGGTGCCTACCGCAAATTCATTACTATCATGTTTGTAAAGCAGCTCCTCTCTGCTGAGACTAGTGAAGTCGTAAGAGAAAGAATCCAATGCGTTGAGTGGCATACAATCTTCTGTCATATTTATAAGCTCTAGTGGAGCAGAATTTGACAGGAAGCCATCAGGAGGCATTTGACCATTTTCCATCTCCTCCTCTTGGATATTGTGAATGACAGTAGCATCTGGAATCCAAATGAAAAAGTTGAGCTGTGAGGTAAGTGCATTATGTCACCCCCACAGCTATATCCATCTGAGGCTCAGTTTTTAGGATGTTATCTCATAAAGCAGGAAGATACACCAGGTGGCTATCCGAGACCCCTCAAACTGAGCTCAAGTAGGATAATACGACAAAATCACCTTCTTCCCTGCAGGACGCTATGCATGCATATGGAAACCATAAGACAGTACAAGCAATACACAAACATACACAGATCCTTGGTACTCCTGGATGAAATACCAGCTCCTGACAGATTAACAAGTCCCAGTGGAACTGTTGACAAGGAGTTATCAGGTGCTTGTTTTTCATCTTCTCTTCATGGACATTGTGAGTGGCGGTGTCATCTGGAAACAAAACGAAGAGGTCGAGCTGTGAGGTAAGTGCATAATGACAACCCCATAGGGATAGCCCACTGATGCTCAGTTTCTAGGAAATTATCCCATAAAGCGGGAGGATATAACAGGTGGCAATCAGAGAACCCTGAAATTGAGGCAAGAAAAGATTACCGCAAAACCACCTTCTTCCCTTGATGCCACTATGCATGCATATGGAAATCAAGTAGTACAGTACAATTCATAAGGGAACACACACAGATCCCTGGTACTCATGGCTGGAACCCTAGCTCCTGCCATATTAATAAGTCCTCATGGAACACTTGACAAGAAGTTATTAGGTGCTAGTTGGTCGTTTTGTGTCTTCTCTTCATGGACACTGTGAGTGATGGTAGCGTCTGGAAACCAAACAAAGAGGATGACCTGTGAGGTAAGTCCGTTATGTCAACCCCCAGGTATATCCATCTGAGGCTCAGTTTCAAGGAAATTATAAAGCAGGAGAGGATATGCCAGGTGACCATCTGAAAACCCTCAAATTGAGCTCATGAAAGATAATACAACAAAACCACTTTCTTCCCTTCATGACACCACGCATTCATATGGAAAACAAGTAGGACAGTACAACCAGTAAACAGACATACACAGATCCCTCGTACTCGTGGCCAGAATACCAGCTTCTGCCAAATTAATAAGCCCTGGTGTAACAGTGCACAGGAAGTTATCAGTTGCTGGTTGGCTGTTTTTTATCTTCTTTTCACTGACATCGTGAGTGATGGTAGCATCTGGAAACCAAATGAAGAGGTTGAGCTGTGAAGAAAGCGCATTATGTCAACCCCTCAGGGTATATTCCTGTGATGCTCACTTGCTAGGAAATTATTGCACAAAGCAGGAGGACATGCCAGGTGGTGATATGAAATCCCTTAAATTGAGGTCACAATAGATAATACAACAAAACCACCTTCTCCCCTTCATGACACCATGCACGCATATGGAAACCAATGAGGACAATCCAACTTATAAGTTAACATACACAGATCATTGGTACTCATGGCTGGAATACCAGCTTCTGATGTATTAATAAGCCCCGGTGGAACAGCTGACAATATATTATCAGCTGCTTGTTGGCCATTTTCCATCTTCTCTTCATAGGCATTGTGAGTGACAGTAGCACCTAGAAACCAGAAGAAGACGTCAAGCTGTGAGGTAAGTGCATTATGTCAACCCCACAGGTATATTCTCTGATGCTCAGTTTTTAGGACATTATCTCATAAAGCAGAAGGATATACCAGGTGGTGATCTGAGACCCCTGAAATTGAGCTCATGAAAGATAATACAATAAAACCACCTTCTTCGACTTATGACACTGCATGCATATGAAAACCAAGTAGGAAACCAAGTAGAAACAACTAGTAAACAAACAAACATCCCTGGTACTCATGGGTGGAATACCATCTCCTGACACATTAATAAGCCCTGGTGTAACGGATGACAAGAAGTTATCAGGTGCTGGTTGACCTTTATTTATCTTCTCTCCATGGACATTGAGATTGACTACAGCATCTGGAAACCAAATGAAGAGGTTGAGTTGTAAGATGAGTGTATTATGGTAACCCCACAGGTATATCTGTCTGATGCTCAGTTTCTAGGAAAATATTTCATGAAGCAGGAGAGGGTATGCCAGGTGGTGATCTGAGAACACTCAAATTGAGCTCATGAAAGAAGGTACAACCAACCAAATCACCTTCTTCCCTTGATGACACTATGCATGCATATGAAAACCGAGTAGGACAATCCAACTTATAAGCAAACATACACAGACCCTTGGCACTCATGGCTGGAATACCAGCTGCTGCCATGTTAATATGCCCTGGTTTAACAGTTGACAAGACGTTATTAAACTGTGGTTGGTTATTTTCCATCCTCACTTCATAGACATTGTGATTGATGGTAGCATCTAGAAACCAAAGGAAAATGTTGAGCTGTGAGGTAAGTGCATTATGGCAACACCACAGGTATATCCCTGTCATGCTCAGTTTCTAGTAAATTATCTCATTAAGCAGGAAAGGATACACCAGGTAGTGATCTGAAACCCCTCAAATTGAGGTCACGAAAGATAATAAAACAAAACCACCTTCTTCCCTTTATGACACCATGCCTTCATATAATAACCAAGTAAGACAGTACAAGTAGTAAACAAGCATACACAGATCCCTAGGACTCATGGCCGAAAAATCAGCTACTGCCATGTTAACACGCTCTGGTGGAAAAGTTAACAAGACATTATTCAGTTGCAGTTGGTCATTTTCCATCCTCTCATCACAGACATTGTGAGTGACGGTAGCATCTGGAAACCAAACGTTGAGGTCGAGCTGTGAAGTAAGTGCATTATTTCAACCCACAGGTATATCCCTCTGATGCTCAGCTTCTAAGAAATTATTGCATGGAGCAGGAGGACATGACAGGCGGGGTTCTGAGACCCCTCAAATGGAGCTCAAGAAACATAATACAACAAAACCACCATCTCCCCTTCATGACACTATGCATGCATATGGAAACTAAGTAGGAAAATCCAATTAGAAAGCAAACATACACAGATCTCTGGTACTCATGGCTGGAATACCAGCTTCTGCCATATTAATAAACCATGATAGAACATTTGACAAGACATTATCCAGTTGCGGTTAACTATTTACCATCCTCTCTTCATGGACATTGGGATTGACAGTAGCATCTGGAAACCAAATGAAGAGGTTGAGCTGTGAGGTAAGTGCATTATGTCAGCCCCACAGGTATATCCCTCTGATGCTCAATTTCTAGGAAATTATCAAAGAAAGCAATATGCCAGGTGGCCATCTGACATCCCTCAAATTGAGGCTAGGAAGGAATATACAACAAAATTACCTTCTACCGTTCATGAAAATACGCCTGCTTAGAGAAACCAAGTAGGACAGTACAACTAATAAGCAGACATACACAGATCCCTGGTACTCGTGGATGAAATTCCAGCTGCTGCCATATCACGAAGCCATGGTGGAGCAGTTGACAAGACATTATCAGGTGCTGGCTGGTCGTTATTTATCTTCTCCTCACAGACGATGTGAGTGACTGCAGCATCTGGAAACCAAATGAAGTGGTTGAGCTGTGAGGTAAGTGCATTATGTCAACCACACAGGCATACCCCTCTGATGCTCAGTATCTAGGAAATTATCTCATAAAGAAGGAAGATTTACCAGGTAGCAATTTGAGAACCCTAAAATTGAGGCCAGAAAAGATAATACAACAAAATTACCTTCTTTCCTCATGACACTATGCATATAGTGCATAGTGGAAATGAAGTAGAACAGTATACCAAGTTAGCAAACTTACACCGATCCCTGGTACTCATGGATGAAATACCAGCTGCTGCTATATTAATAAGCGCTGGTGGAACAGTAGTGACGACATTACCAGGTGCTGGTTGGCCATTTTTTTTATCTTCTCTTCATGGACATTGTGAGTGATACTAGCATCTGGAAACCAAACGAAGAGGTTGAGCTGCAAGATAGGTATGTTTTGTCCCATCCTCCCCCAGAGGGACAGCTATGTATTAATCAGTTTCTAGGAAATTATTTATTTCATGAAACAGAAGTATTTACCACGTGGAAATCTCAGATCTTGCAAACAGAGATCAGGTTAGATAATACAATAAAACTGCCTTTTTACTTCTTGGCATAATGAATACAGTAAAGAAGTACGATAGCAGAATAAACATTCACAGGTTTTAGTACTCATCATTTTGTATCATCTTGCTGCCCTTTACATTTCTCATTTGATATTATTTTTATAGTTCACCTATAAATGCCGTGCTGTACACAGCAGGAAGCGAGACTAATTGAGCCCTCCTTAACCTGCCTCCTTTCTACCTCAAATATTCTGAAAAAATGGAGGTGGCTATTGGAGTTGAACACTCTTATCTCCACTCCATCATCACACATCTGTGTTTTTTATGATTCTACAGATCCTTCCCCTTTGTCTAGAAAAAGTGGCTTTCTTTTCACTCCAGGTCTGACACCTCTTTCATTTATTCATCATCTGTGGCAGGCAGCATGCCAGGAGCTGGGAATCAGCAGTAAACAGCCCAGAGAGCAACGTTCCCTGCCCTTGTGGAGCTCACATCCTCATGGGGCAGTCAGACAAAACATGTACAATGAGCAAATGAAACAAACAGCGCTGAGCTGGTGTTGGGGAAGCAGTCCACGGGCCTGTGGGAGGCAGCAGCAGAGGGAGCCCCAGGGGCTGCAGCTGGTTTGGCAGGGCCTTCTGAAGAGGTGCCATTGGGCAGCGCTTGGAGGAAGAAGCAGAGCGTCCTGTGCAGAGGCAGAGGGAGAGTTCCAGGCTGCAGTGAGGCCAAGGGTAGGGAATGGAGTGGGGATGGACCGGGCACTACAGAGGTGAAGGACAGAGGCAGAGAGAGCCAGGAGGAAATGGATGGGACCCGCGTTAGGAGAGGGTGACAGAGGCCAGGCTGTGCAGAGGCTCGCAGACCAAAGCTAGTTCAGGGTCTGTTCTGAGTGCTTAGGAGAGATGAGGATGGGTTTTCAGGAGGGACATGGATGATGTGATTTACGTGCTGACGTAATTATCTAGCCACAGGGTTAGAGAGTATGCGATAGATGAGCGAAGATTAGAAACACAGAGCTAAGAAGGTATTCTACTAGCTTGAAGAGAGATCAGTACATACTGGAGGGAAAGAGAGAAACGGTTGGATGCAGAATTTATACTGGGCATCGACTGCTGGACTTGCTAAGAGATGGGAAATGAGAGAGTAATAAAAGAATCATAAGATAACTCATAAGTGACTTTAAGTATTTTGACTTGAACTACTAAGTAAGAGTACACCAGGGGTGTTCAGGAGGTGTTAGGCAACCGACTGTGAGAGCTGAGTGCAGCCAACTCTTCCTGAATCTGGTTTAGCCACCTTATGTTGACAGTTTGAACTAGATCATGGTGGGATTATCCGCACTATGGATACCTACAAACTCTAAAAACCAGGACTTCTCAATCCCCCATACCTGTGAACAGCTGGTTGTTACACCTTTGTGGATGTTTCACCTAATGGACAGTATCTTTAGCTGAAATAGTGAAGGCTGAAAGTAGTGTATTTTTAGAGAGAGGGAAGTCAGAAATTTGAACATGTAGAGCCAGTTGAATTTTAGATGTCTATTAGACACCCAGTAGAGATACCACGCGAGTAGTTGTATTTGAGTCTGGATTTCAGGAGCAAGTTGCAGTGTTGAAGTATAATGGTGAGAATTCTTGTAGTGTGAATCATTTAAAATTCTAAGACAGCATGGCATCGCCTAAGGAGATAGTATAGTGAAGAGAAGAGAGTCTAGGATGAAGCTTTGGCGCCCTGAAATATTTAGAGGTGGGAAAGGAGAGGAGAAAAACAAAAAGGAGAAGGAAAATGAGTCTCTAGTAACAGGGTAAGAAATCCAGGTGCCTCGGGACCCAAGAAGCTTTCCGTGCAGGAGGGAGTAAACAACTGTGTTGCATTCTGCTGAGAGATTAATGCCAAAGTGCAGCAAACACTGGTGACCTTGATGATAGTAGTTTCATTGGAATACACTAAGAAGAAGCCAGACCACACTGGGTTAGAGCGGAATGTGAGGACAGGCAGAAAGTGAGCAGACCCATCCTCTTGTTGAGCCCACCATCTCCTTCTGCCTCAGGAACCTGCTTTATTCATCTAATGCTTGCAGCAACTCCAAATTGTTACACCTAATTAGAACCTTGCCCTTCCACTTGCAAATGTGCTCATATCTGTTCATCCCTCAAGGACATGACTACAAATGTCCTTTGACATGGTTGAGGCCCAAAGATTGGATTCCCCCTCACCTTCCTGTTTGTTTAACCACCGCGACATACTCTTCCTTCTCTTAGATGAAGAGTGTCTCTTGGATTCTCTGGAACGTTTCTGTTTGCTTTGATGCCCTGTTGCAACCTGATTTACTTCATCACTCCTTGTTTGCTGAAAAACATCAGTGAACATATTCCATTAAAGACAAATCCAACCATTGCAAAGTCACAGTCTTCATATGCATACACAGCCATGCATTTATATCGTTAATATAAAGTTTTAGGCACAGGTCAAAGATTTCTCATCACTCAACACACACGACGCTCTCAGAAAAGGCAAGCTAATTTTAATCTAGTCTCAGTGAAACAAGAGAAGGTGAAATACAAGGTGTTATCCAAAGTCAAACATGGTACAGTCATGATAAACCAGAATGCGTGGGGAATAAGTGGTTTTCATCAACCAAAAGAATAAACATATGGTTATATCTCTAATGAATTACACATCATTTTGTCTCAGCCTTTGTTAGGGGACAAAAAAAAAGAAATACCTTTCTTATCTTTCAGTGCTTTAAAACTACGTATTAACAAATACTGATTAATACTTCATTAGATGATACATATAGATAGTGAACAGTAGGATAGATTGAAAAGGTAAATGTTCCCACACCTCCATAGTGGGAACATTTACCTTTTCAATCTATCCTACCTTTCAATATCTATGTGTATCATTATGCATATCATATAGATACATATAGATATCATTATATCTATATGTATCACTACCTATATGTATCTATATGCTTCATTTCCCAAGCATTCTGATTAATCTTGACTATACCATGTTTGACTTTGGATAACACCTTGTATTCTACCTTCCCTTGTTTCACTGAGACTAGATTAAATTAACTTGCCTTTTCTGAGAGCATCATGTGTGTTAAGTGATGATAAATCTTTTATTCCAATATGTTGATCTTGGAGACAGACAGGGGTAGGGAGTGCTTTGCAATGTTGATGGTAGATAAAACATGAAATTCAAGGGTATAGTAGGTAAACTAAAAGCTGTTTTCATCAACGGATAACCGAAGAATATGCTCCTGACTACCAGAGGTACCAAGAAGGGCTGGTACTTTTTCTACTGAAAGTATTCCAAAAATTTGAAAAGGAGGGACTCCTACCTAACTCATTTTATGAGGCCAGCATCATCCTGATACCAAAACCTGGCAGAGATACAACCAAAAAAGAAAACTTCAGGCCGGTATTCCTGATGAACATCGACGCAAAAATCCTCAATAAAATTCTGGAAAACTGAATCCAGCAGCACATCAAAAAGCGTATCCACCATGATCAAGTTGGCTTCATCCCCAGGATGCAAGGTCGTTTCAGAATAGGCCAATCAATGAATGTAATTCATCACATAAACAGATCTAATGACAAAAACCACATGATTATCTCAATAGATGCAGAAAAGGCCTTTGATAAAATTCAACACCCCCTTATATTAGAGGCTGTCAATAAACCAGGCACTGAAAGAAAATACCTCAAAATTAGAAGAACCATATATGACAAGCCCACAGCCAATATCATACTGAGTGGGAAACAGCTGGAAGCATTCCCCTTGAAACTTGCACAAGACAAGGATGCCCTCCCTCACCACTCCTATTTAACATAGTATCAGATGTTCTGGCCATGGCAATCAGACAAGACAAAGAAAAAGGGTATTCAAATAGGGAGAGAAGACATCAAATTATCTTTGTTTGCAGATGACATGACCCTATATCTAGAAAATCCCATCGTCTCAGCCCAAAAGCTTCTTAAGCTGATAAGCAACTTCAGCAAATCTCAGGATACAAAATCCATGTGCAAAATTGCTAACATTCCTATATACCAAAAACAGGCAAGCAGAGAGACAAATCATGAATGAACTCCCATGCACAATTGCTACAAAAAGAATAAAGTACCTAGGAATACAGGTAACAAGGGACGTGAAGGACCTCTTCAAAGAGAACTACAAACCACTGCTCAAGGAAATCAGAGAGGACACAAACAAATGGAAAAACATTCCATGCTCGTGGATAGGAAGAATCAATATTGTGAAAATGGCCATACTGCCCACAGTAATTTAGGGATTCCATGCTATTCCCATTAAACTACCATTGACATTCTTCACAGAGTGAAAAGAAGTTATTTTAAAATTCATAAGGAACCAAAAAAGAGCCAGAATAGCCAAGACAATCCTAAGCAAAAAGAAGAAAGCTAGAGTCATCACGCTACCTAATTTCAAACTATACTACGGGGCTACAGTAACTGAAACAGCGTTTTCCTGGTACAAGAACAGATATAGACCAATGGAACAGAATAGAGAACTCAGAAATAAGATCACACAGCGATAACCATCCGTTCTTCGACAAACCTGACAAAAACAAGAAATGGGGACAGGATTCCCTATTTAATTAATGGTGCTGGGAGAACTGGCTAGCCATATGCAAAAATTGAAACTGGACCCCTTCCTTACACCTTATACACAAATTAATTCGAGATGGATTAAAGACTTAAATGTAAAACCCAAAACTATAAAAACCCTAGAAAAAAATATAGGCAATACTATTCAGGACATAGGCACGGGGAAAGATTTCATGACAAAAATGCCAAAAGCAATGGCAACAAAAGCAAAAATTGACAAACGGGATCTAATTAAACTAAACAGCTTATGCATAGCAAAATGAACTATAATCAGAGTGTACAGATAATCTAGAGAATGGGAGAAAGCTTTTGCAATCTGACCATCTGACAAAGGTCTACTATCCAGACCCTACAAGAAACTTAAACAAATTTACAAAAGGAAATCAAACAACCCCATTAAAAAGTGGGCAAAGGACATGAACAGACACTTCTCAAAAGAAGACATTCATGCAGCCAACAAACATGAAAAAAAGTTCAGCATCACTGATCATTACAGAAATGCAAATCAAAACCACAATGAGATAACATCTCTTGCCAGTCAGAATGGCAATTATTAAAACGTCAAGAAACAACAGATGCTGGCAAGTTTGTGGAGAAAAAGGGCTGCTTTTACACTGTTGGTGGGAGTGTAAATTACTTCAACCATATGGAAGACAGTGTGGTGATTCCTCAAAGATCCACAGGCAGAAATAGCATTTGATCCAGCAATCCTATCCCTGGGTATATACCCAAAGAAATATAAATCATTCTATTATAAACATACAAGCACGTGTGTGTTCATTGCAGTACTATTCACAATAGCAAAGAGGTGGAATCAACCCAAATCTCCAGCAATGATAGACTGAATAAAGAAAATGTAGTACATATACACCATGGAATACCATGCAGCCATAAAAAGGAACGAGATCATGTCTTTGTAGAAACATGGATGGAGCTGGAAGCCGTTATCCTCGGAAAACTAATGCAGGAACAGAAAACCAAACAGTGCATGTTCTCACTTATAAGTGGGAGCTGAATGATGAGAACACATGGACACATGGCTTGGGGGCACACACAATGGGGCCTGTCAGGGGAGGCCTGGGGGTAGGGAGAGAGAGCATCAGGAAGAATAGCTAATGGATACTGGGCTTAATACCAAGTTGATGGGTTGATAGATCCAGCAGACCACGATGGCACATGTTTACCTATGTGACAAACCTGCACATTGTGCATATGTACCTCAAAACATAAAAGTTGAAAAACAAAGAATATGCTCCTGTATTAAATATGCAGGAGCATATTTAATAAAATTTATAATTTATAATAAATTACAATACAATAAATATATTATAAATATATCTATAATAAATATATTATATAATATAATGTAACAATATAATAAAATTATATATTTATTATTAATAAATATATTTATATTTATTGTGCAAATTTATTAATACTTAATAAAATTTACATTTATTTTATTAACAATAAATATTAATAACAGTAAACATATTTATATTTATTATATCAATTTTATTACATATACTATTTAATAAAAACATTTATATATAATGTTGATTTTAAAATTTTCCAAACAATTTTCATTTCCTATAAAATAGGGGCTTAGAATGTGTGAAAACATTTTTACCAAACATTTACTACCATCTAGTTACTGTTCTAAACGGTTTACATGTATTAGCTCAATCCTTGGCCAATCCCTATGAGTGAGGTGCGATTCTTATCTCTATTGTTAAAAAAGAGAAAATAAAGGCACAGAAAATTGAGGAAAAATTTAATTAATTGAGGAGTTTTGGGACTGTGGTGGAATAACTTTAGTCTGGTTTTATTACAGAAGAGATTATTGCCTACCTGTGTCTTTATACCAATGGTCTGATCCACAACTGCAGATGCAATCTCCTTTGTCTTCATGTTTTAATGGTGAAGTTAGTATGTCTATCTCATACACAACACAAAACTCACATTAAGATCTCCATTAGGACAATCCAATTATGGCAACATCACCTAGTGCTTCATATTCCATGAGGAATACTTAGTCATTTTTTAGATAGAGCACTAGAGACTTGGATAAGAGAAACAGAGACTGTAGACTGTAATCTCGATATGAAAGGAGTTATTGTGGGGAGTGGGAAAGAATATAGAGTCTGGAGTCAGAAAGGTATGCGTTCAAACCCTGGCTCTACCTCCTATCATGTGTCACTTGGGGCAAGCCATTTGACCACTGTCAGCCTTTATTTCTTACTAAAGGGGATATAGTAATACACATCTGCAGAACAATTATGAGCATTACATGTGATAATTAAAAACATCAGTTCCTTGTACAATGAATCCACTCTTGGATCAAAAAGTTCCCATTTTATGTTCACATAAGAATTCCCGTGTCATGTTTTATCTTTTAAATCAAGAGAATTAACACCTATAGTTCACGTTTATTTTTTCAATAAGAAAGTAATTATACTAAAAACGCCACAATTAGGGCGGAAATAGAAATAGTTATCTTACCTGCCCATCATTTGTAAACACGTAGCCAACTGTATGAAGTTCTTCAGGTGGAGTTGGTTGACTCGTTTGAAGTGGAGAAGCCTGTATCTGCAGATAGTCCTCATAATTAACTATGTGTGTTACTAGAACACTTTGATTTATAACTGGAACATAACTGGCACATAAATCAGTGCTACACAGCTGAAATATATGATCCTCTTGAGAGTACATGATCACAGACTGTCTTAGTAATGTGTGCCTTGGCACCAAACACAGTTTAGAATCTCATATCTAGAATCTATATCATGTTCCGTGATCTAGAATCATCTCCCTTTACCTAAGTCATGACTCAGTCCACCCTCACTACTTCCTATAGGTTCACACCACTAGGTTAAACAATTCCCTTATGCCTCCAGCTCAGTTTGAGAATGGGCTGACCTCCCTTACACCACCATCCCAACTAAAAATCTAATTCTAAATATTAATACTTTAATATTTAGAATGCCAATTTTCACTGAATTATTCAAGCTCATTTTTTAAAGCTCAAAGGAGAAGTATGTATTAATGAGCACATACACTGTCCTACTTAACTTACCTGCCCATTATTTATAAACACACAGCCAAAAGTATAAACTTCTTCAGGTGGAGTTGGCTGACTCGTTTGAAGTGTCCAATTTGAAGTGACTGACTCCTTTGAACCAGCATCTGCAGATATTCCTCATAGCTAACTATGTGTGTGTGACTAGAACACTCTGATTAAAAACTAGAACATAAATGGCAAAGAAATCGACACTATTCTCCCCATTGAAAGGGTGTAGGCTCCGTGGCATTCTCTTATCATCCAGAGAACGCTGAGTAGTGGGCCTAACCCTCTTTGGATAACTTGCTGAAATCTATAGATATTTTTCCCTGGAAAAATACCCTTACACACAAACTTGGTGTATAATTTCAGAAGTGTGACCAGCCTGAGATCTGATTAATTTAGTGGACAGATGACCCCACTTAAAATCACCAACATTGGGGTACAGAGGGTTTGTAAACTGATGCCAATTATCCTGGACACTATCAGCTTTGTTATTTCCATATAAACAAGGAATTCTCTGCTGAACTCACAGCGGTAGGCAGTGTCATATAGTATTTGCGTGTGCAGTCTCTGAAATCTGACAGACCTAGGTTCTGTCACTTTTCCAACTGGTTAAACCTGTGAGGGATGCTTAAATGTGCACTCTACGATTCTATTTCCATAAAATGGGCATAAAACAGTATCTAACTCATGGCGCTCTCATAAGGATTATCAGAGATAAAGCACAAAGAGGATAGTGTATGTGCTGGCTAATACATACTTTCTTTAAGCTTGAAAAAAATAAAGTTGTGGGATTCAGTGAAAATGGACATTCTAAATTTTAAAATATTCAAAAATAAACTACTCTTACGATAAACACCTTCCTACAAACTAGACTTGATATTTTCAAAATCAATAAAGGCAGACACAAAAACTTGTCTGGTTTCAGCATAGCAAATTTCCTCCTGGTTAACTTGTCTAAATGACTGCTACTTGCAATATCATAAACATTTCTATATGTCTAAGTCCTCCTTTATAAAACAAGTAATTCGTTATTCCTGAAGTTTTAAATTGATGTATTTAATACAGGCAAGCAGAAGGAGAGGAATGATGGAAATTAGAGTAGAAGAAAATCAATAAAATAAAAAAACAGAAAAATCAATGAAATCAAAAGTTGGTTCACTGAAAAAGTGAAAGAAACCTAACAATCTTTTAGCCTGACTGACCAAGAAAAAAAGAAAGGACTACTAAAATCAAGAATGAAAGGGGGGTTATTAATACTGACCTTATAGAAATTAAAAGGAATAAATTCTGAACAATTTTATGCCAACAAGTTAAACAACTTAGATAAAATAGAAAAATTCCTAGAAGACAAATTACTGACTCTAGAAGAAATAGAAAATCGAAATAGGACTATTGAAAGAAAAGGGATATAATTAGTAATTTAAAATCTCCCCACAAATACAAGCCAAGCCAAGGTGGCTTTGCGTGTAAATTCTGTAAACATTTAAGGAAGAAATAATACCAATACTTAGCAATGTCTTCAAAAAAATAACACAGGAAGAAACACTACTTCATTCTATCAAGCCAATATTACCCCGATATCAAAGCCATTTTGTCAGCTCCAAATTCCCCCTTTCATCCCGCTGTGTGAGAAGGTTCTGCGTTCCTCTGCTTACGTCGGCTGTACAGTCCGCTGTACAGGCCGCCTTTAGAGGGCGCCAGAGTCAGCGAAGGGGAGGGCTGCGCTTCCTGGTTCTCTAGGCTGGCACCCACTGAGCGAGAGCCTTCTCCTAGGGACTCTGGCGCCCTGCACAGGTCCCCGTGTTCTGTTGGAGCAGGGCACGCGGTGTCCTGAGGCTTCCCTTCCTTCCATTGCCCTTGGACCATACACGGTGCTTGTGGTGAGATGCCACCCCATGTGCATCACTCCCAGGCGCCCTAGGGGGTACATTTCCCACAACTCCCAGAGGGCAGGTTTCTAGAAAGTTCCAGCAGTGGTGAGGCACCATAACAACTTTATTGCCATTTTGTGAGGTGCAGCCACACTCCTCTGGCAAGATCAGGATTTTTTTTTTTTTTTTTTTTTTTACGTTTGAGACAGAGTCCTGCTTTGTCCCTCAGGCTGACGTGCAGTGGCAGCGAACAGGGCTCACTGCAGCCTCGACCTCCTGGGCTCAAGCAATCCTCCCACCTGAGCCTCTCGAGTAGCTGGGACTACAGGCATGCACCACCATACCTATTTTTTGTAGAGATGGGGTCTCACTATGTTGCCCAGGCTGGTCTCAAACTCGGGCTCAAGCAATCCACCCGCCACGGCCTTCCAAAGTGCTGGCATTATAGGCGTGAGCAACCACGCCCAGCAAGGTCAGAATATCAACATTGGTGATAAGATGAATAGGATAGAATTTCAACATTGGGGGGTTGGGGGAGGTTATTTGAGTATTCCATTTAAGATCTGTAGTGGGGAGCTCTTTCCAAGGCACTGTATCTCAACAGTGTTTCAGGATAAACTTTTTGGAAGGTAATCTGTCTTAGCTCTGGGTTAAAGGGATTCTTCCCTGTATACTCCACCTCAAATTCCCAAAGGTAGATCTCCAATGAGTTCTGCCAATGTGGCACCCCAACAAGTTCTCTGGCATACATTGAGTAACAGCTGGGCCTACCCGATACGTGGACTTCAACCCTTGGTTGTGGTGGTGGTGGTGTGAGTGTTTCCTCATATGCTCTCTTCAAGCCCTGAGAGGACTTTCATGGGTTCCTCTGTCTCAGCATGGGGGTGATGAATCTTCCTCTGGGTTTTAACTTACTCCTGGGAGAAAGTTCTTATCTTACCTGGGTGCCCTACCTCAACCCTACGTAAATGTTTTCTTGTGGGCTCTGTCTCATCCCTTTTGGATGGGGCTGTTTCTGAGTTGCTGTATCTTAGCCCTGGAAAGGATGTTCCATAATGCTCTATCTCAGTCCAGAGGGGCGACTCTTAGGGGCTCTATCTCAGTCCTTGGGAAGGAGACTTTTCCTTGGTTGTTTCATAACTGCAGTTGGAAGACTCTTCCCTGGGTTCTCATCATACTTATGTTAGGGGATGCCTTCCTTGGTTGCTCTATGTCAGCCATGAAGTGAAGGAGCTTCCTTGGATGCTCTGTTTCCCACCTCAGGTGGGGGAGGACCACTCCTTGGATGCTATATCTCAGCCCTGCAGGGGACTCTTCCTCATGTGCTCATCACAGCTGTGTGTGTGTGTGTGTGTGTGTGTGTGTGTGTGTGTGTGTAACTTTCCTTTGATAGTCAATCTCTTCCTCATGTGCTGTATACAAGCTCTGGAGTTGAGGTTTTTCCTTGGATGCTCTATCTCAAGCCTACAGTGGCACATCCTTAATGCTCTAACTCACCATTGCTGGAATTTTTCTTAACTCTGGGGTGTAGAACTTTTCCTTGCATGCTCCATCCTCTAGTGGGGGAGTTATTCTTTGTGGTCTTTTAACTCCACCACCCAGAGGTTCTTACTTGTGTGCTCTGTTTCAACTCTAGGGGAGGGACAGTAGTTGTATTTTGGGTGCTCTATCACTCCTATGAGAGGACTGAGGTCTTTCTTAGGTTCTCTAATTCATCTGTGGAGAGGATTCTTCTGTGGGCTTCTGATTCAGCCCTGTGGGGAAGACTCTTCCTAGGAGCTCTAGCTGAGCTCTGCCATGGTGTGGGGGCGTGGGAGGGGCAGGAACTTGGTCTTGGATGCTCTATCTCAGCCTAGGCAGGATTCATCCTTGGGTGTGCCTTCTCAGCTTTGAGCAGGAAAATCTTCCTTGTGGGATCAAACTCAATCCTTGGGGGATTCTGCATCAGGTGCTTTCACTTAGCTAAGGAGGTGGGTTGGCTTTTTCTTAACTGTTCTATCTCAGCAATGTCTGGGAGGTGGGAGGTGGAGCGTGGAGGACTTCTTTGGGTGCAATATCTCAGTTGAGGATACTGACCACTTCTTATACTTGCTCTTTCTGTATTTAGACTTCTCTTTATTTCTTACTAGCCAGTTTCTTGTTACTCTGTTCCCCTGTTATCGTTAATAATTCTATATGTTCAACTTTCACTGTTTGAATTACTGTGTGGTTTCTCTCTCTTAATTTGATGAGATATGAAACAGAAATGGTACTGTGGATAGTCCTGGGGTAGACCCTTTAGCTGAGATTAGGGAATTTATCTGGTCATGCCTTTGGGCTTAAACACAGCACCCTGCTTCTTGCCAAAGAGAAATGATACGAAAGTATAATCCATGGCATGCATAAACTTCACACCTTGTCAAGGTATCACCATGGATGATTGTGATGAACTGCCAGTTGAACTGCTGGGGAGCCAGTGTATCAATCTGGAGCCAGTGTATCAATCTGGTTCCAACCGCATAGGAGTTGCAGTTGCACCACATCCACACAAAACCTGGTATAGACTGCCGTTAGTTTTAGCTATTTTGCTGGGTGTTTAGCCATATCTCATATGGCTTTCATTTGCCCTTCTCTGATGTGAATGAGTTGAAGCAACTATTTATATATTTAGTAGCCAGCCATTTGTATATGTCCTTATGAAGTACCTTTTCAGGCCCTTTTGCCCATATTTTATTTGGTTATCTTTTTCTCAGTGATTTGTAGGAGTTCTAAATTCAACTCCTTTTTCAGATATTATATATAATATAATATATAATATGTATACATAAAATGAGTATCTTCTGTGAATCTCTGGTTTGCCTTTTCATTCTCTTAATAATGTCTTTTGATGATTAGAAGTTCTTAATTTAATTAATTCCAATTAATCTTTCTTTTTTACGCCATTAAAAACCTTTGCCAACCCCAGAGTCATGAAGATGATATCTCAAGTTTTGTTCTAGATTTCTGACCCATCTCAAATGAATTTTGGTATATGTAATGAGGTAAATGTCAAGGTTCATTTTTCCCCTATGTTTACTTAGTGGACTTATTTGAAAACTATCATTTCCACCAGATATGCAGTTATATTTTTCTGTAAATGTGTATTTCCTTTTTTACTTTCTAAAAATTTTTTTCAACTTTTTTTTTTAATCTTTCCCCTTTTTATTTGCTATGGAGTGGCCACAGTGCTCCATGGAACAGAAATGCGAAGACCATCCCCAAACCAGGTCCAGGCATCTTCTCTGCAGGAGGCCCTAGAGACATCACCATTGACTGGCCAAGTTTCCAAGTATAAGGGAAAGCCACTTTCTTTATGCCTCTCGGTTATGATGTCTTTCCGCCTCTGCCAAGCCCTGGCTCTCTGAGGTCCAGTGTTAAAAAAATAAATTAGGCTTCCCTGGAATGGAACCAGCGTGGGTCTTGTCTCTTTCCTGTGAGTTTCCAGGTACAAGTGCATTCTTCTCCTCTCTCCGAAGGGCAGCCATGCAAGTTGGATCCAGACACTAATACCGTTATCATCATCATCATCATTGTCTGTCATCACTGTCAACAGTCAGGAATCAGTAAGTCCTGTAAGTCAGGCTTAGGGAGCTGAAGGCTGATGGACAGACTTGGAAGGCATGTGCACCCCAAAAGCAACTGCAAGCTGCAGTGCACAGACCAGAGGCAGTAGCCAGCACAGTGTCCACTGTCCCCTTCCAGAGAAGAGATGATGGTGGTTTAGGGAAGGAGGAAGAGGAGAGAAAGCTCCAGGAGTGAGAGCTACTGGGAGCAGCACAGATCAACTGAGATAATGTGAGGAAAACACCCAGCAAGACACCGGCATATGTTAGTTGCTCTGTGAACAGCAGAAGTTTCTTGTGTGTTTTTTTTGTTTTTTGTTTTTTGTTTTTTTTTAAATAAACTGCTGCAGCTGTTGAGAAGCCCCTGCAAGTCTTAGACTATGTGCAGAGGGCCTGGTTTCCTTCATTCACAGACCTGGGCCCCTGGGAGGGATGAAAGAATATAAGAATTCACCTCCAAACCAGAGGCCTGAGTCATGAACTTTAAAGGAGAAGGGGGAAATCCACAGTAAGGTGGAGGCAGCATTCACCCCTGCACGGCTATGTGGGACTCACCATCCAAGGCACACTTTGGTTCCCATCCCAGGGCACCAGGTGCCACCATGGCTGGAGCCCTCAGTCTACACATGAATCAAACAGGTACTACGACAGCTTCTGGTTGATTAATATGTGTTCGTTCTATTTCCCCAGCTGGGCAAGATCAGAAAGTGTTCTAAATGTTGTTTCAAAAAGAGTGAGGCTTTTCCTAGGTCAGGCTCAGTGAGGTGTTGTTTTTATTTTTTAAAACACTTTTTATGTTGAAGAAATTTCACATTTACAAAAGAGTTTCTTGGGGATAGAAGGGAGCTCCCATAAATCCTTCACCTGCCATCAGGGGCTCCAGGCAGGGCAGTAACATGGTCAGAATTCTGTCCTCCAGCAGGTTGCTGGCCAGGGCAATGACAGGCACCAAGATCAGTTAGGGGGTGGATATCAAAGTCCGAGGAATGTTGCCTGAAGTCTGAGCTAAGGCAAGGCGAAGCCTGGTCACCCTCCCAGGGACCAGCAATCAAAATGCCCACAGGCTCCAGGACTACACCAGGAAGAAAGAAGCCAGAAACAACAACAGGTAATGGTTACTGGGAGTCAGCCTGGGCGCAAGCACCACCATGTGCCAGTGGGACCCTGGATGCATCATCTCAGTGCCTGAGGCACTGAGTGCATCCTGAGGCACAGGATCTCTCAGTGCCTCAGTTCCCTTATCTGTAAAATGGGGAGATCTCACTGCCCACCTCACAGAGCCATTGTGAGCATTAAATGAGCTAGTCATGCTTGAAACAGGGTCTTTCCATCTATGTGGTACCAGCTAGTATCATCAATTCAGCATAAAGGGCTCCAAGTGAAGATAATCCTAGCAATCCAGAAGTGGCCAGCATCCACTGGGCACCTCCTATGGGCCAGCCCTGGCTCAGGGTACAGCATGCGTAATCTCACATAATGTTTTCAACTACCATAAGAGGTGGGGATGTCACCAGTCCCCATGTCCAGGGTAGGGCTTAGAGGCACGATGGGTCCAGGGACCAGGTGGGAAAGACTCAGCCAGGACTCCAACTGAGATACTCCAAGTCCAAGTCCACATTTTCAAACCCTATGTCCTCCTGCCTCCAAGGCTGGCAGGGTGACCTTCGAGAGTGACTTGCCCGGTCATCTTTCAGCGTGGACAGCTCCTCTGGGTGTTTAAATGCTGCTCTGCATGTTTTCTGTGCAACCACATGGCTGGTTCATGGGTCCGTGTGGGAGGCGGCCCCAGTGCGTCCTGCTCCTCCTTGGCCCCACTGCTGGTGCCCGCACAATGCTGCTGCTGCCCTCAACTTATTTATTTATTTATTTATTTATTTATTTATTTATTTATTTATTTATTTTTTGAGACGACACCTTGCTGTGTAGTCCAGGCTGGAGTGCAGTGGCGCGATCTCGGCTCACCGCAACCTCCACCTCCCCGGTTCCAGCAATTCTCCTGCCTCAGCCTCCCGAGTAGCTGGGATTACTGGCGCACGCCACTGCACCCGGCTAATTTTTTGTATTTTTAGTAGAGACGAAGTTTCACCATGTTGGCCAGGCTGCTCTTGAACTCCTGACGTCAGGTAATCCACTCACCTCAGCCTCCCAAAGTGCTAGGATTACAGGCTTGATCCACCGTGCCTGGCCTCAGCTTTTATTTTATGTTCAGGGGTACATGTGCAGGATGTGGATGTGCAGGTTTGTTACATAGGTAAACGTGTGCCTTGGCGGTTTGCTGCACAGAGCATTCCATTACCTAGGTATTAAGCACAGTGTCAGTTAGCTATTCTTCCTGATGCTCTCCCTTCCCCCACACTCCTTCTGACAGGCCCCAGTGTGTGTTGTTCCCCCACCCCCCAACGTGTCCTTGTGTTCTCATCATTTGGCTCCCACTAGTAAGTGAGCATATGCGCTGCTTGGTTTTCTGTTCCTGTGTTAGTTTGCTGAAGATAACGGCTTCCAACTCCATCCATACCCCTCCAAAGGACATGATCTCATTCCTTTTTATGGTTGCATTGTATTTCATGGTGTATATGTACCACATTTTCTTTATCCAGTCTATTATTGATGGGCATTTAGGTTGATTCCATGTCTTTGCTGTTGTAAGTAGTGCTGCAATGAACATACTGAATGCTTTATATTCCTTTGGGTATATACCTAGTAATGGGATTGCTGGGTCAAATGGTATTTCTGCCTCTTGATCTTTGAGGAATCACCACACTGTCTTCCACAATGGTTGAAGTAATTTACACTCCCACCAACAGTGTAAAAGCAGTCCTTTTTCTCTGCAACCTCACCAGTATCTGTTGTTTTTTGTCTTTTTTTCTTTTGCTCCTGTCGCGCAGCCCAGAGTACAGTGGAGCAATCTCGGCTCACTGCAACCTCCACCTCCCAGGTTCAAGTGATTCTCCTTCCTCAGCCTCTGACTGGCATGAGATGGTATCTTATTGTGGTTTTGATTTGCATTTCTCTAATGTTCAGTAATGTTGAGCTTTTATTCATATGTTTCTTGGCCGCATGTATGTCTTCTTTTGAGAAGTAAATGTGTATTTCATTTAAGTTTTTGAATTTAATATAAAGTTGTTCATAGGAGTTTCCCTTCCCTTTTTAGAATTTTTGCTGCATCCATAGTTATGTCATTTTTCATTCCTAATGTTACGTATTTGTTCATTATTTTTTTCTTGATCAATCTTCCTAAAGGTTTGTCTATGCTATTAGTTTTCAAAGGACCGACTTTTGGATTTGTTTATTTTCTCTATTGCAATTTCTTTTCTATTTCATTAATTTCTGCTTCATGTTTATTAGCACCTTCTTTCTACTTTCTTTGGGTATATTCTACTGTTCTTCATCCAGTTTCTTATGTTAGACAGAGCTCAATTTTCAGGCTTTTTTTCCTTTTCTAATATAAGCACGTAAGACTATGTATTTCCTCTAAGGACCAGTTTCACTGCATCCAGAAAGTTTTCATATGCAATATATTCCTTATCATTCATACCTAAGTACTTATTAGAAGACTTTTAAAATTTCTGAATACATTTTGTTGTTGTTGCTATTCACTTCTAGTTCAATTTCGTTTTGTTTAAAGAGTATGTATGAAACTAGGTATTTGAACATTGTTGAGACCATGGCCTGTTTTTCCATGTATGCTTGAGAATAGTTTATATTCCGATTGTTGGTTACAGGTTTCTATAAATGGCCACAAGTTAACTTTGTTTATTGTATTGTTCACATTTATGTGTTTATTATTTTTTTCTGTTCAACTTAACATTAATTGAGATAATTACGTTTAAAATCTTCCACAATAATGGTGGATTTTTCAATTTCTCTCAATAGTTCTTATTATTGCTTTATATATTTTCGAGACTATTTTATTAACTGCATACACCTGTACAATTGTTAAATGTTTCTGGAGAAATGAATTTTGACCATTACATAGGGACTATTTATGCTCAAATAATGCATTTTATTGGTCACCTTTATCTGATATCAATATAACTTCCTCATCTTTCTTTCTCTTTTGATGTTTGAGATTTTAATCCAAACACATTGCTATTTGCATTAAAATCACAGGATACACGAACATGTAGAAGGTAGTATGTGGTAAAAAAATGCTGAGCTTCACGTGAGCTCACATTTAACTCTGGTCCTGCCCCTGATCACTCAAAGGACCTTGACAATTCATACTTCCTCATCAGGAAAGTGAGGGAATTTGATTGGATTAGTGCCAGACTTCTTTTTAACTTTTATTTTAAGTTCTAGGGTACAAGTACAGGTTTGTTACACAGGTAAATTTGTGTCACAGGAGTTTGTTGTACAGATTATTTCATCACCCAGGTGTTAAGCCTAGTACCCATCAGTTATTTTTCCTGATACTTTCCCTCCTCTCACCCTCCATCCCCAGGTAGATTCCAGTGTCTGTTGCTCCCATATTTGTGTCCATGTGTTCTCATCATTTAGCTCCCACTCATGAGTGAGAACATGCAGTATTTATTTTTTTGTTCCTGTGTTAGTTTGCTAAGGATAACAGCCTTCAGCTTCATCCATGTTTCTGCAAAAGACAAAATCTCATTCTTTTTTATGGCTGCATAGTATTCCATGGTGTATATGTACCACATTTTCTTTATTCAGTCTGCCATTGATGAGCACTTAGGTTGATTCCATGTCTTTGCTATTGTAATAGTGTTGCAGTGAACATTTGCATGCATATATCTTTATGTTAGAATGGTTTACATTCCTTAGGGTATATACACAGTAATGGCATTGCTGGGTCAAATGTTAGTTCTGCTTTCAGCTCTTTGAGGAATCACTATGCTGCTTTCCACAGTGGTTGAACTATTAGGTTGGTGCAAAAGTAATTGCTATTTTTGCCATTAAACGTAATGGCAAAACTGCAATTACTTTTGCACCAACCTAATAATTTATGCTCCCACCAACAGTGTATAAAGTGTTCGCTTTTCTCCACAACCTCACCAGCATCTGTTATTTCTTGACTTTTTAATAATAGCCATTTTGACTGTTGTGAGATGGTATCTCATTGTGGTTTTGATTTGCAATTTGTGTTTCTCTAGTGATCAATGATATTGAATGCTCTGCTTTTAAAGGGCTCATGTGTGTAAGTCAGACCCACTTGGAGAATCTCCTTATCGTAAGATCAAGTGACTAGTGAGCATAATTACATCTGCAAAATTATTTTTTCCTGTAATGTAATCATGAGACTAACACCAGAGGGTAAAAGTCATGGGGACCATCTCAGAATTCTTCCAAAGAAAGAGAGAGAAGCTAAATATAGCAAGAGTCGAAGCCATGAGTTTTGGGCCACTTTCTCTTACAAAGTACTTATCGCTCCAGGACCTGAGTGTGATCTTTATGTATCCCTTCAATTTGATAATGGGGTGCTTCTGTACCTACCCATCACTAAGATTTGGGGGGTCAGAAAACACCCTGTTTAGGATGGGCAGCTCAGCTGGCATGGTAATGTGCTGTTTCAATGAAATTCTGGGGAAAAAAGTTTTTAAGTCACCTATATTCTTTATGTGAATATATGTGCTGCTCTCCTTTTGGCTGCAACTTCTGCTCTATTCATAATTATACTATGCATGTGGGTTGCTCTCAATATTCAGTACTCAGGCTATTTTGCTGCTTAGTGTCACATCCTTTTGGCCACATTTCAGACTCAGCATGTTTGTTGCCCCTCTGGCAATACTTGACTGCCACTTAGTGGCTATTGTGATCTATTTTCTACTCTGGATTTCTGTTGACAAAACTTTCTGTTTAGGGCACATTAAGAGTCCCTATCTTTCCAGGCTTTATTCATTTTCATAATCCTTCACATGTCCTTCAGCAAACATTCTATCCAGAAAAAAAAAGATGTGCAGTCATGTAGATGTCCGGTCACAGGGAATGCATCCAGGTATTCTAGGTGAGGTAGGGAGAGTCTTGTCAGTGAGACATCTGGGCCCCCAGCTGGCAGCAGGGGCCACCTCGGTTGAGCCTGGAGACGTCCAGTACTGGTGAGATCTAGGATGGTGCATGGCAAACACCGGTGACCTCCTAGGGCCTCAATCTCATGCAGATTCAAGCGAGTGCCCTGTACCACTTCATGGTCTAGGTTAGCTCATGGGAACACCCACAACCTCCTGGACTTCGGCATATGTGTCTGTCATTGCAGGATTCTCTTGGCTCCATGGGACCCATCTCTTCTACTCTCACTAAAACAACCCTGGGATGTATATTTTAAAAACCGGAATACCATTTGGTTAGATGAGCTAAAGAAGAAAAAAAAACTTACCTTGTTTTGTAACACTGTTTGACCTGGATACAATTCAGCTAACAATGAAAAATGGCTGGAGAAAGAAATATGAACTTTAACACCATCTTACGGCTAGATCTTTTCTGTACAAATCAGGGAATGTGGTCTGATGTTCCCTATGTGCAGGCCTTTATAGCCTTACAACAGAACCCAGCTCTATGCAGCACCTGTGGGTTAAACCCAGTAAGACAGAAAACCACACAGATGCACTAGAAAATTATCTTCTATTAAGGGGAAGGGCTCTCAGGGCCCACAGCCCAACACCAGCTCCATAAAGGGGCTCTCAGGGGCCCATATCTACTTCTGAGTCCCCAGCACACCCTACCCTATCAGAGTCTTCTGTAGAATATAATCCCATTTCAACTCCTGCATATGCTTCTCTTTACTCTCCTTTGCCTTGTAAGTAGGGACTGGCCAACCTGGAATAACTCATAGTGGGACTTCATACCATCCAGGACCAGTGAAACTGCTCCCTTTACCAGAAGTCCAAATGCAGAAGGGACCATTAGAATACATGTTCCATTCTCAATAAATGATCTAATCCAGTGCAAGCAAAACCTCAGACTGTTCTCAGAGGAACCCAATGCATTTACCAATGCAGCCCAGGCTCTAACTTTGGCCTTTGACTTAACTTGGAAAGGTATACAAGCTGTCCTTTCCCTTGCTGTACTCCACAGGAACAACAGAGAATCTGATTAGCCAGTCAGGGATACATAAATAGCAGGGCAGCTGACTGGCCTGCCACCCATGAAGTGACAGCTATTGCTGATCTCTCCTATGACCCAGGTTGGAATTACAACAGGTCTGGAAGAATAAAGAATAGGGATGACCTACATGGTCCAATGCCTCCTGGCAGGGATCAGACTATGCATTAAAAAAAAAAAACCTGTTAACTATGAGAAAGTCAAAGTAGTCACACAGGGATTGTCACCAGGACAAAACTTTATTAGCCAGTCTACCCCAGATATCAGGAGAAAACCACAGAAATTACAATTAGGGCCAGAAACACTTATGTCTCAACTAACAGAAATGGATTTTGGAGTATTTCATAATAGGAATCTGAATGAGGAGGAAGGCAGAGTCCAGTGCAAGAACAGGTGAGATAAGGCTCAGGCTAAAATGATAGCTCTTTCTGTTAGTAGTGTCCTGCCACCTCGAAATCACCCCCAGGAAACTTGAAGCTTGGAAACTGGTCGCCAACAGGGTAACAGCTATCAAGGAGCCTGCTTTCAATGCAAGCAATCGGAGCACCAGGCCAGAAAGTGCACACAGCTGCCCCTGGGCCACGCCCAGTCTGTAAACAAGATAGCCACTGGGGAATGGATTTTCCTCAGTCCTGAAGGGGAAAGCGGACATCCTCCCTTGAGATGGCACTAACTCAAGACTAAGGAGGCCCAGGGTTCCAGACGGCCCCCACTGAAAAGAACATTCCAGTCACCAATCTGGAACTCTAGCTGACCCTTGATGTGGCAGGTAAGAATATTGATTTTTTAATGGATAAAGGGGCCTCCTACTGTGTATTAACTTCTCATGTTGGGCCACTTACTTCCAAAAGTTGTACCATAACTGGGGTCAATAATCAACCCCATTCTTACTATTTTACTTCCTTACTCACATACACATCAGTTTATGCCACACTCTTTCTTGCTAATTTCTGAGTGTCCTACCCTGCTCTTAGGCAGAGATTTATTAACTAACATGGGTGCCATCATACCACTCGAAGGCACCAGCCCCTCCCAAATGGTCCTCGTTGAAGGGCCAGCAGATCACCTCCCTATGTCTGTCAATCTTAGAACATGTAAATCCAGCATCTGGAACAACAGCGTGCTCAGAAGAGCCCTTTGGGCTCAACCTGTGGTCATTAAACTACAGGACCCCAATAAGTACCCCAAATAAAAGCAATATCCCCTAATATTAGAAGCAAAAAAGGTATTGAAGCCCTTAATTTCTAGATTCTTACAGCATTGTTTACTAGTGTCCTTAATACTCCTACGCTGACCAGTCATAAAACCAAATGGGGAATATCAACTGGCACAACACTTGAGAATCATAAACGAGGCAGGAACTCTCTTCCTCACTTGGTAGAGAACCGTTATATCTTATTAACCCAAATTCTGGGACATTGCCAATGGTTTAGTGTACTAGGCCTTAAAGATGTCGTGTTTTTAATCCCAGTGCACCTGTCCTTTCAGTTTCTATTTGCCTTTGAAAAGACAGATCCAAATACAGGGAACACCCACCAGTACACCTGGGTGTTATAGTGCCTGGGCTTTCAAGATAGCCCTCACCTGTTTTCACTAGCCCTAGACAAAGATCTCTGAGAGTTACCACTTAGGGAATGTGGTGTCCTACACTATGTAGATAACATCTTGATATGTAGCCCTACCAAGGAAACATCTGACAAGAATACCATCACAGTCTTAAATTCCCTTGGAGCAAGTAGATATAAGTTTTCAAATAAAAGGGCACAATTAAGCAAACAGGGAGTAACTTACTTAGGGTACATTATAACCGCGGGAATAAGGCAGCTATCAGGAAAAAGAAAACAAGCCATACTAGATTGCCTAGTTCCCAAACCAAGAGACAACACAGAACTTTTTTTGAATGTATGGGTTCTGTAGAACCCTGATTCCTAGATCTCTCTCGAGAGGAAGACTCACCAAACATCAGGCTCTCCTCTTAGACTGCCCCAAGGTTACTATAAAAACTTGTGACACCCTTAATCCAGCTCTGCTCATGCCAGTCAATTCCTCGGAGAACCTAACTCATTCCTGTATTAAAACCATAGAGCAGATCTACTTAGGTAGAAGAGATCTAAGAGATACATCTCTCAAGAATCCTGATGATGAATATAGTTTTCTACATTCTGATGGAAGTAGTTTTCTAAAAAATGGAAAAATAAGGGTAGGATGTACTGTGGTAAGTCTATACCAAACAATAGATGCCCAAACACTGCCACCTAATACCTCAGCACAAAAAGCAGGGCTAATCGCCCTCACCCTGAATCCTGGTTCCTCTCCCTAAGGCCCTGGATCTAGGTCAGGGAAAGGCACTTAACATATATGCTGACTCCAAGAACGCCTTCTTTGTGCTTCAACCACATGCAGGTATCTGAAAAAAGCGGGGTCTTCTAAATGCACGGAATTCCCCCATTAAACATGCAAAGGAAACACTGCAGATTTACGGGGCTGTGCATGATCCTAATCAAATGGCAGTCATTCACTGTCAAGAACATCAAAAAGGAAACTCCTCAGTTGCACTGGGCAATGCAAGGGCTAGCAGGGAAGCTAGGACCCTATTCTTCTCAGCTCATTCTCTTTATTTCTTATTTTTTATTTTTTTTGAGATGGAGTTTTGCTCTGTTGCTTAGGATGGAGTGCAGTGGTGCGATCTCAGCTCACTGCAATCTGCACCTCTCTCGCTCAAGCAGTTCTCCTGCCTCAGACTCCCAAGTATCTGGGATTACAGGCACATGCTACCACACCTGTCTAATTTTTGTATTTTCAGTAAAGACGGGGTTTCACCATGTTGGTCAGGCTGGTCTTGAACCTCTGACCTCAAGTGATCCACCAACTTCAGCCTCCCAAAGTGGTGAATTTCATACGGATGTGAGCGACCGTGCACGGCCCCATTCTTTTCTTATAAATCTATCCTATAGGATAGAAAACAAGCATAGGCTAAAGAAAATCAGAAGACCCTAAATCCTGAGGGTTGGAGGCTCATAGGTTTAAACTCTTGCTAGTCCCACCCATGAAAAATTGATAAAAATTTGCACAATTCCCTCCATATGGGGCAGGATGCTATGACCACGTGCATGGACCATGTGTTTACAGGTAAAGGCCTGGCAACCACAATAAAAAGGTCACTCAGGCCTGTGAACTTTGGTCTCAAAATTACCACGAGGCAAACAAAACAAGGGTCTCCTCCTTTATTAACCTCAGTCCAGTGGCAAAGAACTATCGTGGTGAGGACTGGCAAATTGACTGCACCCAAAGGCCCTCCTTTCGAGTTTTTAAATACCTTTTAGTTTTTGTAGACACCATTCTCGAATAGGTAGAAGCGTTCCCCGCCAGAACAGAGAAAGTTACAGAAGTGGCCAAGGCACTGCCAAAAGAGATCATACCAGGATTTGGCCTCCCATGCTCCTTGCAGAGCGACAAAGGCCCCTGTTTTCCTGCAACTGTAACCCAATAGATAGCCCAACCTTTGAAAATTAAATTTCATCTCCACTCCTTATGGAGGCCACAATCCTCCCGCAAGGTTAATAGGACTAATCAAACTTTAAGGTAGACCCTGGTGAAACTGTGCCAGGAAACTTCTGAGTCTTGGAACACTCTGTTGCCTATAGCCCTCATGAGAATACGAGTGGCACCCAAAGAAAAAACAAAACTTAGTCCGTTTGAGATGACTTCTGGGAGACCCTTCCTTACCTTAGACCTGTTTATCAAACCCAAAACCCAGTCTACTATACAATAGGTTCAAAATCTAAGCCAGGGGCCAGGCTGTACTCTCATCAATTTGGGAGACCGAGGTGGGAGGATCACTTGAGGTCAGTAGTTCTGGACCAGCCTGAGCGACATGGAGAAACCCCCAAAATACAAAATGAGCCGGGCGTGGAGGCCTTAGCCTCCCAAGTAGCTGGGATTACAAGTGCATCATAGGTGCCATTACAGGTGCCATCACGCTGCTAATTTTTGTATTTGTAGTAGAGATGGGGTTTTGCCATGTTGGTCAGGCTGGTCTCGAAACCTGGCCTCAAGTGATCCGCCCATCTCATCCTCCCAAATTGCTGGGATTACAGGCGTGAGCCACCACACCCAGTCCATTCTATGCTTTTAAAGCACAAAAAGAGCAAAATATTGTGTGGTTTTTCCTTTAATATTTTACAAATGTTCACATTGATAAGTAATGTTATTTTTTTATTAATTTGCAAGCATTTTGTATAAAAAAGATTTCAACTTTTCATAAATACAAATAAAACATTTTAATTTTCACAAGTCCATTAATGCTGGAGAAATGTCTAGTTGTCTTTCTTTTCTCTTTCTCTCTTTCTTTTCTTTCCTTTCTTTTCTTTCTCTTCTTTCCTTTCTTTTCTTTCTCTCTTTCTTTCTTTCTTTCTCTTTCCTTCTTTCCTTCTTTCTTTTCTTTCTTTTCTTTCTTTCTGACAGAGTTTTGCCCTGTTGCCTATGCTGGAGTGCACTGTCAGGATCTTGGCTCACTGCTGCCTTGGCCTCCTGGGCTCAGGTGATCCTCCCACCTCAGCCTCCTGAGTAGCTGGGACTACTGGTGCACACCACCGTGTCTGGCTAATTTTTGTATTATTATTATTTTTTTTTTTGTAGAGCTGGGGTCTCGCCATGTTGCCCAGTATGGTCTCTAACTCCTGGGCTCAACCAATCCCCCTGCCTCAGCCTCCCAAAGGGCTGGGATTACAGGCATGAGCCACCACGCCCAGCTTAGTTGCCTTTCTTGTGCTTTGTTATTCCTTCATAGAAAAGTAAATTGTACTATTTTCTTTAAGAATATTAAGAACATAAGAATTTAGACTTCAAAACTGCACTCACTGTCAACAGTGGTATTTGTTCATGCTTAATTAAGAAATATTGACCTTAACAGCAAGGATATTTTTAAAAATGGATTTCAAGACAGGCCGTGTGTACTGGTTATCAGCATAGAGTAAAACTATGCAACTCTATAAGCAGGTGATACAATGAGGCTTAATAAAGGCAGTGGATGGATACACAGATTGAATGATTGATTTCTTAAAAAGAATTGGTTTTACACAATTGTGAAAGGTGGTAACACAGTCTTTGTAAGGCTTTTGTCATCTCTACTGAGGATGGTGGCGTAACAAACAGGCTGAAACCCGCGAACATGATCTGGAACATTATGAGGGCAGATGGAGGTACATGTTCATTTTTGTTGCCTCTGATCTTGAAGACGAAAAGCCAAGAAGGCTCTTTGTAACAGAGCTAAACACATACACCTGGCCCAGAAGATAGAGAAGGTAAAAGAGCATCCAGGGGAAGGAAGAGAAATTGCAGGTCTGGCTGTAGCTTCGTACCAATAAGGTGAATCCAGAGAGCAGCAACAATGTGTGTGAGCTAGAAATGGCTGCTGCCTCCTATCCACTGCCCTGCACAATTTTCAAAGAACCTCCACGGGGAACACCAGATACTTCCCAGAAAGAGAACCGTGGCTAATATAATTTGGCCTAGCCAAGTCGACAAATTGCAAGTGATGCCCTTGTCACTTTGATATCCATGCACCTCTCCTTACGCCGTTCTTAATCTCTACGTAGAAACAATAACAAATCACAATTCTCCGTAATGTGGTCCAACTCTCCCACCTGCAACCAAGAAAACACGAACTCTTCTCCAAAAGAGGGCACTAAAAGCCTCACATTTTTCTTAAATCTTGTTCAATCTGCTGCTACCTAATTCATACTGTGCGTTTAATATCCTGTATCTTAAATGTTGAAAAATAAAGTTAACTTAATAACACATGCTAGGAGATCAGGGGATGTCAGGAGGTCAAAACGAAAAATATTTACTATATATATATATATAAACATATATGACACATAATATTAATATATGCAAATGAATTCATTTCAAAATAAAGAAGTGATACTCTTTATTCTGAAACAAAAACAGAAACAAGGTTAGTCTTTGTATCTGCCTATGGTCTTGTAGTCACTTCTCCCACTACCCATTTCATACTCCCTTTGTTTTCAGCTAGCCCCTTCTCTGGTGACAGACCTTTTCCTAGTGGGGTGACTCAAACCTCCAATCTTGAGGTTCACGGCCATAAGCAGTCCTGATTGAATTAGGCTGTTGCAGTTTTCTTTGACTTTCATCACTGGACACAGGAGTACTAAGAGGTGCTCTATAGGATCTCCTGAATTTCAGACATATCCCTCCTTAACCCCATGATGACTGAAAGGTTGTGCCTCAATCAACTTGCAGACTTGACTAGTTTATAGACCTAAAACCTCATGAATCAGGCACATGTACCATAAAACTTAAAATATAATAATAATAAAATAAAATAAAAGGCTTCTTGAGGAGGGGCCTTTCTAGAATGAAAAAGCTTATACCATCACTTTCTCCCATTCTTACTCAAAGAAGGCCTGTAGCCCTTCACTAAGGTGAAAGTACATGCGGAAGAGAAATTATTAGATTTATCAATGACTACAGGACACCAGTTCTGAATTGACACGAATTTCTTGAAGACACAAACATCATGCTGATTCTTTCGAAAAATATGTGATTTATTACTGAGCCTTGGGTGACATTCAATGTTTGACCATGGACGCCAAATTATAATGCTACTTAGACATGCCTGTCTTATCCTAGGTGCTTTCTGACCCACCAAGTTACAGCAATGGGTATGCATAGAAGCACACCATTATTAAATGGAAGTGGTATGTACAAGATCAAGCATGTCCTGAAGGCGAAAGTAAGTTCCATGATGAAGTGGCCAAAATACACATGGATCCTATTCCTGCCACACAACTTTCTCCATCTACGATTGGCAGGATACTAAAATGGTCCCCATGAATTTCACCCCCTGATTAAGTTACCTAGCATGACAAAAGCGATTTTGCAGATGTGAGTAAGGTTACTAACCTGTTAACCTAAATATAGAGGAATTCCTCAGGTGGGCCTAACCCACACACATGAGCCTTTAAAAGCAGAGTCTTTTCTCCAGCTGGTACCACAAGAGGATGAGACAGTTATGAAGAATGAGAAGAATTTGACATGCTGATGCTGGCTTGAAGATAGGGAAGGGACCTCGTGAAAAGATCTGGTAAGCCCCTTTATGAGTTGAGAGTGAGTCCCAGTTCACAGCCAGCCAGAATCAAGGATTTCAGTTCTGCATGGCAAGGAATTGGATTCTGCCAAATATCCAAATGAATTTGGAATTGCATTCCACCCCAAACTTTTTAGATGAGAACACCGCTTGCATACAATTTTGATTTTGGCCTTTTGAGACTCCAAGTAGGGAACCAAGTCAAGACCTCCCAGATTTCTGAACTGCAGAACTGTGAGATAATAAATAATAATTCAGTGTTGCTTTTAGCCATTTAATTTGGAGTAGTTTGTTACAGGGCAATAAAACTAATACATTCTCTCAATCTGCACCTATATCCCTAAGGGGAGTACACTACAACCAGTTGAATGAAGAAGCAGTACCTCAGGGTTAGTTTACCAATAGAGCTGAATGACATGCAGGCACCACTTATATTAGTTTTCATACAGGAAAAAAGAGAGAGAGAATATAAATTAATTACAATCTCATTTGTTGGACTTATATTTAGGTTAAAATGTAACATATAGGAGAAGACTACTGGAATCACGGAGGAAAGACCAGTGAAAATCCACGCTTTTATTTTTTAAAAGTCGCAAATATTGTCAACATAAAGATTCTTGAAATTCCAGGAATTCAACAGTCCGAAGAATATTTATTCAAGAAAAATGGCTAAATCACACTACCAACCATAAGCGTTGTGATGTTTTAACTTGTTCCATTCCCCCACACTCTGCTCTGCTCCAATGTTAGCCTTTAAACTTACACCCTCACAACTCTGGTAGCTCTGAATACCATCAAATTATCAGCCACTTGCAGGGAGCTACTGGTTGGAGCTCCCCTAAAATCTCTATTTCCAGACAATCACTACTTTGAATATTAATATTATTATTATGTTTGAGACAGGGTCTCTCTCTGTCTCCCAGACTCGATGGCACTGGCACAATTATGGCTCACTGCAGCCTCGACCTCCTGGGTTCAAGAGATCCTCCTGCCTCAGCCTCTGGAGTAGCTGGAACTACAGGCATGAGCCACCGCGGCCAGCCTAATCATCACTATTTAGCATGCCACCAAAACTCCCTGAGAAGCACCATTCTCAGAGCTTGTGTTTAATTAAACTGTCTGATAGCTGGCTTTGTGTGAATACCCCATCCACTATCTTCAGGTGTAAGCTAGGAATTCCTGTAGGGCTGTGTTGCACAGAAGTGATGGCAGTGGGCAATGCTGTCCTGTTTTGATTTTACAAGGAATGCATCTAAGATTTCTCCCCTGCGAATAACGTGTGCAGTGGATTTCTGATAGACCCACAGCTAGTATCATACTGAATGATAGAGACCTTTCTTATATGCGTTTACATTTTTTCTCATGAATAGGTTGTTGCATTTTAACACGGTTTATGCTTTAAGTGTGATGATAACATAGATTTCTTTTTGTGTGTGTGTTAATATAGTGTGCCATCCATGAACTTACTGGCGGTCAGGTACAAATTCACCCCATTCTTTTTGAGACAGGGTTTGGTTCTGTCGCCCAAGGTGGAGTGCAGTGGCGGGATCTCGGCTCAAGGCAACCTCGGCATCCCAGGTTCAAGTGATCCTCCCATATCAACTTTCCTAGTAGTTGGGTCCACAGGTGCGCGCCACCACGCCCAGCCAATTTTTGTGTTTTTCTTTTTGGTTGGTTGGCTGTTTTGTACAGCCAGGGTCTGGCTATGTTACCCAGGCGATTTCATCCCGCTGTGTGAGAAAGTTCTGCGTTCCTCTCCCTACGTAGCTGTGCAGTTGTTACTGAAGGCCGACTGTAGAGGGCGCCAGAGTCAGCGAATGGGAGGGCTGTGCTTCCTGGTTCCCCTGGCTGGAGCCCATGGTCTTGCAGAGTACAAGCCTTCACCTCGGGACTCTGGCGCCCCCAACAGATTCCCAGTGTTCAGCTGGGGCAGGACAAGTGGTGGCCAGCAGCTTCCCTTCCATCCCCCTTGGGCTGTACGGGATCAGTGCTTCTGGTGAGATGCGTCCCATGCACATCATTCACAGGTACCCTAGAGGGCACATATCCCACAACTCCCAGAGGGCAAGTTTCCAGAAAGTACAGCCAGTGGTGGAATTTTCGCTGCCATTTTGTGAGGTGCCACAGCCGCTCCTCTGGAAAGGTTAGGACTTCAGGACTGTGAGTGGGGCAGTTTTTCTCTGGATGCTTTAATATCGCCCCAGAAAGTGTCTTTCTGGGGTGCTCTGCGTTGGGTGTGTGGTACGGCTCCCTGGGTGATGTGGTTCCGCTCTGGAGACACCACCGTGGGTGCCTGTGTCAGCCGTCGGAGACCGTTTTCCTTGGGCACCTTGTCTTCGCTAGCAGGGTTTCACTAACTTGTCAATGTGTCACGGTACTGCACAACATTGATAAAACAAGCATCTATTATGCAACTCGCTTCGTGTTCCTTATTTAGTGGTAAGAAAGGCAAGATGTAGGAACTTCCTGTTCACCTTATGAACACCATCTTGACATGCCAGACTACTAGATTGTTAAACGTTTCACTCAGTTAGAAGGTCCCTGATTTTGTGTGGGAATTATTTCTCACATAATGTCTTGTAAGTGTGTCGCTAATGTGTCTGGATTAGTTGCTACCTCCTGCGCAGTCAGCATAATGTCATCAGTGCAAAGAATGGTGTTACATCTGGTTTAAGAGAAAGGTGGTCATGGTCCCTAAGGACTCGTTTAGGATATAAACCTTGAGAGTTGATATAAGGTTGAAAGAGGAGATGATAGTACATTGCTGTCCTTTCTAGCTGGACCCAAACTCTTCTTTATGACAACTACTGAAAGTAAACAAAACATTCACCTAATTAATATTATATATCAGGTTGCCAGGGATGTCACGGTTGCTGACGCAACAAAACCACCTGCAGTACAGCAGCTGCAGTTGGAACAACAATTTGATTAAGTTTATGGTCCGATCTCGGCTCACTGCAACCTCCACCTCCCAGGTTCAAGCAGTTCTCTTGCCTCAGCCTCCTGTGTAGCTGGGACTATAGGCATGCACTGTTACACCTGGCTAATTGTTTGCATTTCTTAGCAGAGACAGGGTTTCACCATGTTGGCCAGGCTAGTCTCAAACTCCTGACCTCGAGTGATCTGCCCACCTCAGACTCCCAAAGTGCTGGGATTACAAGCGTGAGCCACCGCGCCAGGCCCCGGCTATTTTTTGTATTTTTGGTAGAGATGTGGTTTTGCCATGTTGGCCAGCCTTGCCTGGAACTCCTGACCTCAAGCGATCCACCCACTTCTGCCTCCCAAATCCTGGGATTACAGGCGTGAGCCACTGTGTCTGGCGAAAACTTCACTTTTAAGTGAAACACAGAAACAAAATCAGATAATCAGAAAATGAGATACTGCATGTTCTCATTCATATGTGGGAGCTAAACAATGGGTACACATGAACATAAAGGTAGAAACCATTGACTCTGAGGACTCCAAAAGGGAAGTGGAGGGGAGGGAGGGAGCGGGTTGGAGGGTTGAAAAACTACCTATTGGATGCTCTCTTCACTATTTGGGTGATGGGTTCACTAGAAGCCCAAACCCCAGCATTATGCAATTATACCCAAGTGAGAAAACTGTACGTGTACCCTTCTGGTATTTATAATTTTAAAAAGGTTAAAAAAGAAAGCTTCAGTTTTAAATCTTAACCAGATATACATGAAAAGGATTACTACACTTTGACACCTTTACAAGTTTCTATGTTAGTTTTTAGTATTAAAGGTGAAACCTATTCCTTGACCACTTTATTAATTGTATATCCTCTTTGAACAAACATCCAAAATACAAGACTGTCACTTTTCGTTCTGTAACTGTGATTCTTCACTGCAGTCTTCTATAGATTTTACAGAGTTAATGGTCCCTAATATCTGCCATTCTCCAACTGTCCTGGGTGGCGAAATGGCTGCCATAGTAAACTTGTCACTGATAAATAGAGTTTCTGGAAACATGCAGGGCTTGTTATTTAAGAGTGACTCCATTTGGGCATTCTGGTGGATGGCCTACAGGTTTTCTTGCAGAGTATACTAGAGTCTCCAGAATGAATAACCCTAGGAACTTGAGGAACTAGCGCTTTCCAGAATTTTGGAAGCCAAGATACAAATATTGGTTTTCTCAAAAGCAATGCAAGTGGGAAGGAAAATCCATATCTAGACTAAATGTCTGTTGAGGTAAGAAGAAAGCACTTCTCTTTTTACAATAGAAGTGATCTATTGTAATCCACATACCAACTAGTGGCTGGCAGATCATTTTGGAGTCTGGTGCTAAATTGGGGGCTTAGTGTTGGTCTCCATTCCTGGAAGATTGTTCACTCAGCAATGACTGTAGCCAGGTTTGCCATGGTGAGTGGAAGTCCATGCTACTGCGCATAATCTCCATCCTTGACAGTTTGACCACTTTGTTGAGCCCATAAGATTGTGACACAAGTGTTGGGGAAAGAGGCTAATTAATATGTAGATAATAAGTACCTTATCCATCTGATTATTAAATTCTGCTCTGCTGAGGATACCCTTTGCTGAGAACTCTCATGAGACCCCAATATCTTCACATTGTATGTCCACTTGGAAAGGTCTGTCCACATATTTGTTTTTTTTTCTCAGACGTCCTTGACAGAAATTTTTAATCATGTGTCCTCAATGTCCCTGACAATTCAGCGAATGAGTGGGACACAGCCTATGCATGGTACATACTTACACGTCTGGATATGCCTCCTCCAAGAAGGTGCACTGCTCAAAGTTCTTCCCTCTGGGAGGATTTCCCTTCATCACTGTCCTTCAGGGCTGTCCCAGTCAGGACTGTCACATGCAGCTGTCCACTTGTGGCTTGTGTGGTAGGCAGGATTCTAATTAAGCCCCAACAAGATTCCAGTCTCATGGTTATTCAATCAAATACTCATATGAGTACTGCTGTGGTGGGATTTTTTTAATGCAAAAATGAGTATTTCATTTTGATAACACTAGAAGAAACAAACAAAACAACTGTGTTCCTACATCGAAGTGAAAACAATGTTTAAGCTTTCCTATCAATCAAATATATTCCAAAAGAAAATGTGTTCTGTAAAGGTTCTGAAACACAGGCAAATATTAATACAATAGGCTAGGAAGCTATAATACTGAAAATGACTCTCTTCTGACAGGGTACTTAACAAACATAATTTTTAATTTTAATTTTAATTTATTTATTTTAAGACGGAGTCTCCCTTTGTCGCCCAGGCTGGAGTGCAGTGGCTCGATCTCTGCTCACTGAAGCTTGTGCCTCCCAGGTTCAAGTGATTCTCCTGCCTCTGCCTCCCGAGTAGCTGGGATTGCAGGTGCCCACCACCATGCCTGGCTATATTTTTAATTTTTTTTTTACAAACATAACTTTTGAATTACAAAACCAGTGAAGTAATCCCTTCCAAATAATTGTGTCAAGAGTGAAACTGCTTGTTCCATTAAAACTCCAAAACTTTCGCTGTAATATTTTTTGCCACTATGAACAATTCAAGTAAATTTTGCTGCACTTAAAATAAGTTATGAAAGTGGAAAAATGGGCGGGGCGTGGTGGCTCACACCTGTAATCCCAGCACTTTTGGAGGCCAAGGAAGATGAATCACTTGAAGTCAGGAGTTTGAGACCAGCCTGGCCGATGTGGTGAAACACTGTCTCTACTAAAAATACAAAAATTAGCCGGGCATGGTGGTGCATGCCTGTAATCCCAACTTCTGGGGAGGCTGAGGCAGGAGAATCACTTGAACCTGGGAGGCGGAGGTTGCAGTGAGCCGAGATTATGGCACTGCACTCCAGCCTAGGTGACAGAGCCAGACTCTGTCTCAAAAAAAATAAAAAAGGTGGAAAAATATACAAAGTTCCAGATTAAAATGATTAATAGATGCAATATAATAAGGTTTCCCCTCCTTTCTTTTTTTCTTTCTTTTTTTTTTTTTTTTTTTTTTTTTAGACAGTCTCACTTTGTCACCCAGGCTATGCGATCAAAGCTCAATGCAGCCTCAAACTCCTAGTCTCAAGCCTCCTGGTCTCAAGCCTCCCAAGTAGCTGGGACCACAAGTACACTTTCAGCTAATTTTTGTATCTTGTGTACAGACGGGGTTTCACCATGCTGCCCAGGCCACTCTTGAACTCTTGGGCTCAAGGAATCTACCCACCTTGGCCTCCCAAAGTGCTGGGGTACAGGCATGAGCCACCACACTGTGGCCCTCATTTTTCTTATCAATTAACAACTGTTACCTTTAACAGATAGAGGTTGAATTTATATTTATTTATTTATTTATTTATATTTTTAGACAGAGTCTCGCTCTGTTACCCAGGCTGGAGTGCAGTGGTGTGATCTCAGCTCACTGCAACCTCACTTCCCCAGTTCAAGTGATTCTCCTGCCTCAGCCTCCCAAGTAGCTGTTGGGACTACAGGTGCGCGCCCCACGCCCGGTTAATTTTCTGTATTTTTAGTTGAGACGAGATTCACCATGTTGGCCAGGCTGGTCCCGAACTCCTGACCTCAGGTGGTCCAGCTGCTTTGGCCTCCCAAAGTGCTGAGATTACAGGCGCGAGCCACAGCGCCCGTTGGGGTTGACTTTAAAACACAACCCCATCCAATGAAGATTTCAGTTTGTTGATGTTGTCGTTTCTTTCTTTCTTTCTTCTTTCTTTCTTTCTTTTCTTTTCTTTTCTTTTTTTCTTTCTTTCTTTCTTTCTTTCTTTCTTTCTTTCTTTTCTTTCTCCTTCCTTCCTTCCTCTCTCTCTCTCTCTCTTTCTTTCTTTCTTTCTTTCTTTCTTCTTTCCTTTTTTTTTTTTGAGATAGAGTCTCCTCTATGGCCAGGCTGGAGTACGGTGGTGCGTTCTCGGCTCTCTGCTACCTCTGCCTCCTGGGTTCCAGCGATCCTCCCACCTCAACTTCCCGAGTAGTTGGGACCACAGGCGCCCGCCACCATGCCCAGCTAATTTTTGTGTGTGTTTTTTTTTTTTTTGGTTGGTTGGTTGCTCTGTAGAGCCGGGGTCTCACTATGTTACCCAGGCGATTTCATCCCACTGTGTGAGAAGGTTCTGCGTTCCTCTGCTTATGTTGCTGTGCAGTTGTTACTGAAGGTCGCCTGTAGAGGGCGCCAGTCAGCGAAGGGGAGGGCTGCGCTTCCTGGTTCTCTGGGGCACGAGGCTTCACCTCAGGATTCTGGCGCCCCCAACAGGTTCCCAGTGTTCGGCTGGGCCAGCACACTGTGGCTGGCTGCTTCCCTTCCTTCCATCCCCTTTGGACCAAACGGGATCGGTGCTTCTGGTGAGACGCCTCCCCATGCACATCACTCCCAGGTGCCCTAGGGGGCACATTTCCCACAACTCCCAGAGGGCAGGTTTCTAGAAAGTGCCACCAGTGGGGAGGCGCCACAACTTCACTGCCATTTTGTGAGGTGCTGCTGTCTCTCCTCCAGCAAGGTCAGGACTTAAGGACTGTGAGTGGGGCAGTTTTTCCCTGGATGCTTTAATTTCACCCCAGAAAGTGTCCTTTTTCCTCAGAAAGAGTCTTTTCTGTGGTGTTCTCTGTCTGGTGTGTGGTAGGGCTCCCTTGGGGAAGTGGCTCAGCTCTGGGGACACCGCCATGGGCGCCTGTGTCAGCCGCGGGGGAGCGTTTTCCTTGGGCACCTCGTCTCAGCCATGTTGTGAGGCCGGGGGGCTTTTCTTGGGGGCTCTGTCTCGGTGATGCTAGGGACTTTTCCTACTGAAATGACCTGAGCCCGGGGGTGGGGGCCATGCCTTGGTTGCTTGTGTCGGCCTCGGGTGCGGTGCTGTTTCTTTCCCACTCAGTCGCAGTCCTGAGCGGGGGCTCTGCCTTGGGGACTCTATCTGTTCTCATGGAACATGGTGGGGGTGGCTGTGTCCCAGACGCATGATCGCCGCCCTGTGGGATCGCTGACGGGGGCTTTATCTCAACCTGCGAGGGACTCTTCCTTGGGTGCTGATGTCGTCCGTGAGGCACATTTGCCCTTGGATGTCGCTCACTCTCAGCTAGGATGTGTTGGCTTTTCTTTGGTTCTGCTTATCCGCGATGTGGACGCTTACCGGATGCTTTGTCTTGGTGGTGGGTGCTCTCTCCCGGTGCTGCGGGGGAATGGGGTGCTGTTCCTTGGATTCTCTAAGCCTATGGTGGGACTCAGGGAGCTCTGTGTCAGCCATGAGGGAGGCCACGTGACCTTGGGAACTCTGTCTCTACCCAGGTTGGGGTGCTTTTCCTCGGTGGGTTGATCTCAATTCTGAAGGAACTCTTCACCGGGACTCTATCTGACCTTTCGGCCACAGCCTCAGGTGTCTGTGTGGGAATGGAAGTCCAGAAATATTCGAAGGTTCCAGCTGTGCCACATTCGAACACTCGCTGTACAGTTAGTCTTTCATTCCAGCCACTCCGATGGGTGTGCAGTGATCTCTCCTTATGTCTACACTCGCATTTCTCTGCCGATTAATGAGATTGAGCACCTTTTTAAAAAAATTGTTTTTATTTATTGATTTTTGTTTGTCTTTTGAGATGAGGTCTCCCTCTGTCACCCAGACTGGATTGCAGTGCCACCACACCCAGCTATTTATTGTTTTTTTTTTTTTTTGAGCACCATTTTATGTGTTTATTGGTCATTTAACTATGTCTTTCATGAAGTTCCTTTTCAGGTATTTTCCTCCAGCTTTTACTGAGATGTTTGTATTTTAAAAATGGATTTGTAGTTTCCATATATTCTGTATTTGAGTTATATACACATGCACGCAGGCATATATGTACATATATAAAAATACGTATACAATTTTAGTATCTTCTATAAATCTTTTTTGCTTTTACACGATCTCAATAATGTATTTTAGATGAACAGATTCTCTTAATTTTATTAGTCAGTGTATTATTTATGGGTAGTGCTTTTTATTATTTAAGAAACATCTTTGAATCACCCAATGCCATTACTATTATATATATATAATACTTATATATATATAATACTTATATATATAATACTTATATATATATAATACTTATATATATATAATACTTATATATATAATACTTATATATACAATACTTATATATAATACTTATATATTATATATATATAATACTTACATATAATACTTATATATATAATACTTATATATAATACTTATATATATAATACTTATATATAATACTTATATATATAATACTTATATATAATACTTATATATATAATACTTATATATAATACTTATATATAATACTTATATGTATATAATACTTATATATATAATACTTATAGGTATATAATACTTATATATAATACTTATATGTATATAATACTTATATATATAATACTTATAGGTATATAATACTTATATATAATACTTATATGTATATAATACTTATATATATAATACTTATATGTATATAATACTTATATATATAATACTTATATGTATATAATACTTATATATATAATACTTATATATATAAAATACTTTAAGTTCTGGGATACATGTGCAGAACGTGCAGGTTTGTTACATAGGTAGACACATGCCATGGTGGTTTGCTGCACCCATCAACCCATCATCTACATTAGGTATTTCTCTAATGCTATCCCTCCCCAGCCCCCCTCCCCCAACAGATCCCACTGTGTGATGTTCTCCTCCCTGTGTCCATGTGTTCTCATTGTTCAACTCCCACTTATGAGTGAGAACATGTGGTGTTTGGTTTTCTGTTCCTGTGTTATCTTGCTGACACATGTCCCTTCAAACGACATGAACTCATTCTTTTTTAGGGCTGCAAAGTATTCCATGGTGTATATGTGCCACATTTTCTTTATCCAGTCTATCATTGATGGGCATTTGGGTTGATTCCAAGTCTTTGCTGTTATGAATAGTGCCGTGATAAACATACGTGTGCATGTGTCTTTATAGAAGAATGATTTATAATCCTTTAGGTATATACCCAGTGATGGGATTGCTGAGTCAGATGGTATTTCTGGTTCTAGATCCTTGAGGAATCGCCACACTGTCTTCCACAATGGTTGAACTAATTTGCACTCATGATGATAATATTCTAAGTTTTCTTCTAGATCTCCCAATCATCAGAAATAAATTCTCATGGAATGGAGTAAAGTCAGAGTCCAGATATATTTGATGTGATTATTAGCCATTAGAGTATGACTCTTATGAAGTGCATATTCAGCTTTTCCCCCCAAATTTTAGTGGGATGTTTGTTTTTTAGAAATTCATTTGTAGTTCTGGATATATTCTGGATTCCATTCATTTGTTGCCAGATAAATATGTATATATGTGTGTAAGTAATATATATTTTATATATAACCTATACTATATACTACATAATGTATAATCTACAAACATGATTTGGTTTTTCACCTCTTAATAGTGTCTTTGAGGAACAGAACTTTTCCATTTAATTATGTCTAATTAAACAATTCATTCTTTATGGTTAGTGCTTGTTTATCCTCATTAAAAACATCTTTGCCTATACTATAGTTGTGAAGACAGTATCTTAAGTGTTTACTAGATTGTCTATCCATCTTTAATAAAGTTTTGTGGAGTGGGAAGAAGTAAGAGTCAAGGTTTGTATTTTCCCTGCATTTATCAAGTGCATTTATTAAAAGCACTGTCTTTTCCACAATGATTTACAACTCTTCTGTATTTTGTATTTCCAGATTGTTTCTGGCCTCTGTGTCCTCTTCCCTTGGTGTATTTGCCTGTCATTGCTCCAGTACCACACTGTTTTAATTACTCTACCTTTATAGTAAATTTCATATATAGTAGTGCGTATCTACTAACTTAGTTCTTTTTCTTTAAAAAAAACTTTGTATTTTCCTTGGCTTAAAAAAAACTTGGCTTTTCCAAATCTTTAATTTGCATATACTTAAAAAATGATCTGCTTGTGAATTTTCAGAAAAACTTTTGTTAACATGGTGGAATTTTAAATATGATTGCTAGGATCATTCTGAGAGACTTGACAATAATGTCTTTTAATAATGTCTTTTAATAATGTCTTCCAGCCAGGCATGGTGGCTCACGCCTGTAATCCCAGCACTGTGGGAGGCCGAGGTGGGCAGATCACTTGCAGCCAGGAGTTTGAGACCAGTGTGGCTAACATAGTGAAACCCCGTCTCTACTAAAAATACAAAAATTAGCCAGGCGTTGTGGCAGGCGCCTGTAATCTCAGCTACTCGGGAGGCTGAGGCAGGAGAATTGCTTGAACTCAGGAGGTGGAGGTTGCAGTGAGCAGAGACTGTGCCACTCTACTCCAGCCTGGGCGACAGAGGGAGGCTCCGACTCAAAAAAAAAAATGATGTCTTCCATTGCATGGAAAGAATATTTTTCTCCATTTACTGCAGTCTTGAATTTCTCTGAGTGATGTTTTATAATTTTTGTGTAGTGCTGTACCACATCTTGATTAAATTTATTCCTAAATATTTGATGTTTTTGGTACTGTTTTTAATGACATTTGAAATCTCATATTCTAATTATTTGTTGCTATTAATTATACAGAAATGCCATTGGTTTTCATTATATCTAGTAAGTTGACTAAATTTGCTTATTAACTGTAATGATTTTATTCTTCTGCATTTTTCTATGTACAGAACAATGTCATCTGTGAATGACAGTTTTATTTCTTTCCAAATTTTAAACCTATTGTATTTTCCTGATGCTACAGCACTTTTTAGAACCTCCAATAGATTGTTGAATGGATAGTGGACATCTTTGTCTTGTTTTCAAACTCAGGGAGAAAATACTGATACGTCACTATGAAGTATGGCATTTAAAAATTTTTTGTACATATGCTAACCAGAATAGGAAACTTGCCCTTTTTCCTAAGTTGGTGATAGTTTTTATCACGAATGGACTTTAAACATTGACCATGTATGAAAATGATCATGTGGTGTTTCCCTGTTTGTTGCTGTTGTTGTTGTTGTTAATGTGGTGCATTACATTTATCGATTATCAAATGTTAAATCAATGTTGCCTTTCTGCAATATACTCCACCATGATGTATGTCCTTTTTAAGTACTATTGCATTTTATTTGCTCACCCTTAGTTTGGAATTTTTGTGTCTAAGTTCAGGGGTGATATTGGCTTGTATTTTTGGCTTGATCTTGTAGTTTTTCATTCTTCTAAATTCCTTGTCAGATGTTGTTATCAGTTTTGTATCAATCTTCTAATAAGAGTTCCTAATAAGGGTTAATACAGATTGGTTTATACATCTATTTGAATATATAAGTATAAATACTTATATATTAAATACATATTTTGCATAATATAATGTATAATATATAGTTTAAAATATAATGTTTAACAAGGGTTAATACAGATTGGTTTATACAGCTATTTTTCCTAATAAGGGTTAATACAGATTGGCTTATACATCTTCAAATAGGTAATAATATTTTTATCTATTTTTGGTTGATGACAGCTGCTTATTCCACAAGCATTCTGATTGATTTGGTTATACCATCTTTCTTCTGTTTTACTTTGTGTACATTAAAATTAGGTTTCTTTTCCTGAGAACAGAGTGTTTGTTGAGACTTGGTAAATCTTGGCTCATGATTAAAAGTGAAATTAATGATTCAAAGTCTTGGTTGTATACACATATGCAGATTGCTTGCCATTTTGTGATTGTTAGATTTTTGTCATGAATAGAATATATTCATTGATGTTTTTCAGGAAACAATGACCGATAAAACAGAGAAGGTGGCTGTAGATCCTGAAACTGTGTTTAAACGTCCCAGGGAATGTGACAGTCCTTCGTATCAGAAAAGGCAGAGGATGGCCCTGTTGGCAAGGAAACAAGGAGCAGGAGACAGCCTTATTGCAGGCTCTGCCATGTCCAAAGCAAAGAGTAAGTAAGCCTGTCCTCACGTCCTCCTCATGCTCCTGCCTCATCCCCTCCAGAGAAACTGTCCTTGTCAAGGTTAACAGTTTCGGCTGACATTGCCATTAACTTCTCAGCAGCATTTGACAGTTGTTCACTCGCTTCTTCATGAAAACCTTCTAGGATTTCCATTTCCGACAATCTTTTTTTTTTTTAATTTCTTGTCCGTATTGGTGAATCCCTATCATTTTTTTCTTGAGATGGACTTTCGCTCTTCTCAGCCAGGCTGGAGTGCAGTGGCGCGATCTCGGCTCACTGAAATCTCCGTCTCCTGGGTTCAAGTGATTCTTCTGCCGCAGCCTCCCGAGTAGCGGGATTACAAGCACCAGCCACCACACCCAGCTAATTTTTGTAAGTTTAGTAGAGATGGGGTTTCGCCATGTCGGCCAGGCTGGTCTGGAACTCCCCCCCTCAGGTGATCCACCCACCTCAGCCTCCCAAAGTGCTGGGATTACACGCACGAGCCACCGCCCCCGACCCCATCATTGTTTTTTTCTACATTTCTTTTTCTTCTCTTCTCTAAATACTGCAAAAAATTCCTGAACCCCAGCATCTCTCTCTCTCCTTCTATTCCACTCTGCCACGATCAATCACTGAGCTCCTGAGATACCTCCATGTTTCCCATTATTTCCCGCATCAAACACATACCCTCCAACCCTGCAGCCGGGTCATGATGTTGGCATGTAAATCACGTGATGCCATGTCGCTCCTGAACACCCATCCTCAACACTCCTAAGCACTCAGAACCGACTGCGAAGCAGCTTTGGTCTGTGAGGTTCTGCGTGGCCTGGCCTCCGTCACCCTCTCCTCACACGGGCCCCATCATCTCCTGACTCTCTCTGCTACTGTCCTTCACCCCGTAGTGCCCGGTCCATCCCCACTCCAGCCCATATCCTTGGCCTCACCGCAACCTGGAACTCCCCCTCTGCCTCTGCGCAGGCAGCTCTGCTTTCTCCTTCAAGCCCTGCCCAAGGGTACCTCCACAGAAGGCTCTGCCCAACCAGCAGCAGCTCCTGGGGCTCCCTCTGCTGCTGTTGCCCACAGGCCTGTGGACTGCTTCCTTACCACTAGCCCAACACTGTATGTTTCATTTGCTCATTGTGCACGTACTGTCTGACCGCCCCATGAGGATGTGAGCTCCAGAAGGGCAGGGAACGTTGCTCTCTGGGCTGTTTACTGCTGATCCCCAGCTACCGGCACGCTGCCTGCCACAGACGATGAATAAATGAGAGGTGTCAGACCTGGAGTGAAAAGAAAGTCACTTTTGTGAGACAGAAAGGAAGGATGAGGAAAATCATACACTAAAAGGGATTTTTTGTTGATGGAGTACATGTAGAACTTTCAGCAGTAATGGCCACCTCTATTTTCTCAGAATATGTTTGATGTAGAGAGGAGGCTGGTTGAGGTGTGTCCAAGTTGTCTGGCTTCCAGCTTAGTAAAACATGGCAGTTTGTAAGTGAATTTGAGAAATCATGATATCAAGTGAGACTTGCTGCTTTCAACTTGTAAAGCATAACAAGCTGAAACTGTCCCATGAGTACCAGGGATCTGTGAATGTTGCTTTAGAGTTGTACTGCCTTACTTGGTTTCCATGTCTATTCATAGGGCCAGAAAATAAGAGGTGGTTTTATTGTATTATGTGTCCTGGCCTCCGTTTGTCAGGCCTGGGATTTCTCCCTGGTGTATCCTCCCATTTATGAAATAAATAATTCCCTAGAAACTGAGGAGCACATAGATGTACCCAGAGGGGTGATGAAACACACATATCTCACAGCTCAGCTTCTCAGTTTGATTTCCAGAGCTGTCATTCATGAGGTCTATGTGGAGGGGAAAGAAAGTGGTCAAACACCAACTGATGGCTTTTACTCAAAATCTGTTTCACCAGAGCTTATGACAGGACATGCTATTCCACCCAGCCAATTGGATTCTCAGATTGATGACTTCACTGGTTTCAGCAAAGATAGGATGATGCAGAAACCTGGTAGCAATGCACCTGTGGGAGGAAACGTTACCAGCAGTTTCTCTGGAGATGACCTAGAATGCAGAGAAACAGCCTCCTCTCCCAAAAGCCAACGAGAAATTAATGCTGATATAAAACGTAAATTAGTGAAGGAACTCCGATGCGTTGGACAAAGTAAGTAATATAAGAATGTCTGTTTTATAAAACTATAGGAAGTCTCTCTTTCTATGATTCAGAAGATATTCATGTTGCCTGTTGAGTTTCATTCTTTGCCAGAGTTGAGATTGCACATAATTTATGGTGGTTCCTCTTTTCTTTGACTAAAGCATGTACATTTTTTCTTTTTCTTTTCTTACTTGGTTATGGTTAAAGGAGTTACATTCGTATGTATGTGCAGGTGTCTTTTTTATTATTTAGGTTTTGTATGTGCAGGTATCTTGATTTAAGCATTTAAAACATTTCAGCCTCTGAAGCATGATTGCTGAGGTGTAGATTCACTTCTATTCTTCTTTATATTTGATAATACTGAAGTTTTTTTTTTTTCAACATCTTCAGAATATGAAAAAATCTTCGAAATGCTTGAAGGAGTGCAAGGACCTACTGCAGTCAGGAAGCGATTTTTTGAATCCATCATCAAGGAAGCAGCAAGGTGGGTAGAAATAGGAACTGTCCAATTTCTTTAAGCACTTGGGCTCAATAGAGCACTGGGGGTGAGCGTTGGGGAACAGCCCCTGCCTTGCGTTTCTCAAACCCTGGTCCTCACTCACAGTTACGGCTGTCTCCACAGTTACTTAGGCTAATGTTATCTGAGTGTAACTCATTCTTCGAAGACTATGGAGACTTCCATTTTCACCATAGTCTGAGGTGCGCATTGTCCCTCAATTGACACTCTTTGTATTTGCTAGACTACCTCTTTTTAAAAAATTTGTGTAGGCACATAGCAGATGCATATATTTCTGGGCTATATGAGATATTGTGATACAGACAACAATGTGTAATAATCACATCAAGGTAAGTGGGGTTTCTATCACCTCAAGCTTTTATCCTTTGCGTTACAGAGAATACAATTATACTCTTCATTATTTTTAAATGTGCAATTAAATTATTACCGACTATAGTCACCCTGTTTGGCTATGAAATACGACATCTTATTTATTCCATACTTCTACGTATTAATCATCCCCACTTCCCACACCCTCCACCCCCACTAACCTTTGTAGCCTCTGGTAACTGTCATTCTACTCTCTATCTCCATTAGTTCAGTTGTTTTACACTTTTACTCCCAAAAATAAGTGAGAACATGTGAAGTTTGTCTTTCTGTGCCTGGCTTATTTCACTTAACATAAGGACCTTCGGTTCTATCCGTGTTGTTGCAAATGACTGAATCTCATTCTTTTTTTTATGGCTAAACAGTACTCTGTGGTGTATATGTACCATATTTTCTTTACCCATTCATGTGTTAGTGGACACTTAGGTTGCTTCCAAATCTTGGCTACTGTGGATGGTGCTGCAACAAACATGGGAGTGCAGATATCTGTTCGGTACACTGACTTCCTTTCTCTTGGGTATATACCCAGCAGTGGGATTGCTGGATCATATGATAGCTCCATTTTTAGTTGTTTGAGGAACCTCCAAACTGTTCTTCATAGTTAGTTGTTGTAGTAATTTATATTCTCACCAACAGTGTATGAAGGTTCCCTTTTCTCCACACCCTTGCCAGCATTTGTTATGCCGGCTAGACTGCCTCTTACCATGCAGATACATTTCTATTTCCATGCTGACTGTTACTTCATCTTTCTATCTGTCACAGCGCTTCCTACAGCATAGGTTCTTTGGCTATCTTTTGGTTAATGACATGTCTCTTTCTTTTCAGATGTATGAGACGAGACTTTGTTAAGCACCTTAAGAAGAAACTGAAACGTATGATTTGAGAATACTTGTCCCTGGAGGATTATCACACCCCAAATGCATAATCTCGTTAATGATTGAGGAGAGAAAAGGATCAGATTGCTGTTTTCTACAATGGAGCAGGATATTGCTGAAGTCTCCTGGCATATGTTACCGAATCAAATAGCCTTCCAGAGGCTAAGAAATTTCTGTTAGTAAAAGATGTTCTTTTTCCCAAAGCATTTTATTTGAAAGGATAACTTGTGTTTTGGTTATTTTGTATTCCCACCTGTGCTGGTAGATATTATTAACCCATTAGGTAAATACTATTACAGTCGTGGTTTCTGCAGCAGCTCACAGTGTTGTAGCTGGTATTTATCACTACGTTCTTTCGCTACCCATTTCACATTCCCTTTGCCCTGAGATAGCATGTCAGTTGGTCATGATGCTTGGCCTGGCAGGATGACTCAAACCTTCATTACGGAAGAGTCTGAACCATTAGATGTCCTGCCTGGATGGGGTTGCTGTGATCTTCCATTAACTCTAATCGAAAAACACGGGAGGACTAAGAAGCTCTCTAGACATATCACACATACTCTTCCTTAGCCCCTGGTGTAGTGGGAACCCGATCTCAATGTTGAAATCTGTATCATCAGCCTTCAACGAAAAGGCAGAACTAATGGGAGATTTTAATGTGTGTGTGTGTGTATTTTACACACACACACACATTAAAATACACACACACTTTAAAATCTCCCATTATACATGTAATGCACATTATACCTGTGTGTGTGTGTGTGTGTTGGTAGGGGGTATATATACCTACACACACACACTTTGTAATCTCCCATTATACATATAATACACATTATACACATTACACATATTACATATACACCCCTATTCATATATATATACCCCATATATATATATACCATATATAGTATATATATATATATGTGGTATATATACCATATATATATATATGCACGTAGGGTGGTATATCCAATATATATAATAAAGGTAGTTCCTAGATAGGATTGGCCTGATAACAATAATTTGGAGCTTCAGTAGCAGTCCCTTTAAGACTGTTGTCTCCAGATATGACTTGCACATTCTATGCTTTTTATTTTATTTTTTTAAGACAGAATCTTGCTCTGTTGCCCAGGCTAGAGTGCAGTGTCACGATCACAAGTCACTGCAACCTCCAGCTCACCCCAGTTCAAGCGATCCTTGTGCTTCAGCCTCCCAAGTAGCTGGGATTACAGGTGCACCACAGGTGCCATCACGCTGCTAATTTTTGCATTTTTAGTGGAGATGGGGTTTTGCCATGTTGTCCAGGCTGGTCTCGAAACCTGGCCTCAAGTGATCTGCCCATCTCAGCCTCCCAAGGTGCTAGGATTACAGGCATGAGCCACTGCACCCAGCCCATTCTATGCTTTTTTTAAAATTAATTCATTCATTGATTCAACAAATATTAATTGTTCCAGGTACTTTTCTTTTTTTATTATTATACTTTAAGTTTTAGGGTACATGTGCACAACGTGCAGGTTTGTTACATATGTATACATGTGCCAAGTTGGTGTGCTTCACCCATAAACTCGTCATTTAACATTAGGTATATCTCCTAATGCTATCCCTCCCCCCTCCCCACACCCCACAACAGGCCCCGGTGTGTGATGTTCCCCTTCCTGTGTCCATGTGGTCTCATTGTTCAATTCCCACCTACGAGTGAGAACATGCGGTGTTTGGTTTTTGTCCTTGGGATAGTTTGCTGAGAATGATGGTTTCCAGCTTCATCCATGTCCCTACAAAGGACATGAACTCATCATTTTTCATGGCTGCATAGTATTCCATGGTGTATATGTGCCACATTTTCTTAATCCAGTATATCACTGATGGACATTTGGGTTGGTTGCAAGTCTTTGCTATTGTGAATAGTGCCGCAATAAATATACGTGTGCATGTGTCTTTATAGCAGCATGATTTATAATCCTTTGGGTATATACCCAGTAATGGGATGGCTTGGTCAAATGGTATTTCTAGTTCTAGATCCCTGAGGAATTGCCACACTGACTTCCACAATGGTTGAACTAGTTTACAGTCCCACCAACAGTGTAAAAGTGTTCCTATTTGTCCACATCCTCTCCAGCACCTGTTGTTTCCTGATTTTTAAATGATTGCCATTTTAATTGGTGTGAGATGGTATCTCATTGTGGTTTTGATTTGCATTTATCTGATGGCCAGTGATGATGAGTATTTTTTCATGTGTCTGTTGGCTGCATAAATGTCTTCTTTTGAGAAGTATCTGTTCATATCCTTCGCCCGCTTGTTGATGGGGTTGTGTGTTTTTTTCTTGTAAATTTGTTTGAGTTCATTGTAGATTCTGGATATTAGCCCTTTTTCAGATGAGTAGATTGCACAAATTTTCTGCCATTCTGTAGGTTGCCTGTTCACTCTGATGGTAGTTTCTTTTGCCGTGCAGAAGCTCTTTAGTTTAATTAGATCCCATTTGTCAATTTTGGCTTTTGTTGCCATTGCTTTTGGTGTTTTAGACATGAAGTCCTTGCCCATGCCTATGTCCTGAATGGTATTGCCTAGGTTTTCTCCTAGGGTTTTTATGGTTTTAGGTCTAACATGTAAGTCTTTAATCCATCTTGAATTAATTTTTGTATAAAGTATAAGGAAGGGATCCCATTTCAGCTTTCTCCATATGGCTAGCCAGTTTTCCCAGCACCATTTATTGAATAGGGAATCCTTTCCCCATTTCTTGTTTTTGTCAGGTTTGTCAAAGATCAGATAGTTGTAGATATGCGGCATTATTTCTGAGGGCTCTGTTCTGTTCTGTTCCATTGGTCTGTATCTCTGTTTTGGTAACAGTACCATGCTGTTTTGGTTACTGTAGCCTTGTAGTATAGTTTGAAGTCAGGTAGCATGATGTCTCCAGCTTTGTTCTTTTGGCTTAGGATTGACTTGGCGATGCGGGCTCTTTTTTGGTTCCATATGAACTTTAAAGTAGTTTTTTCCAATTCTGTGAAGAAAGTCATTGGTAGCTTGATGGGGATGGCATTGAATCTATAAATTACCCTGGGCAATATGGCCATTTTCACGATATTGATTCTTCCTACCCATGAGCATGGAATGTTCTTCCATTTGTTTGTATCCTCTTTTATTTCATTGAGCAGTGGTTTGTAGTTCTCCTTGAAGAGGTCCTTCACAATCCCTTGTAAGTTGGATTCCTAGGTATTTTATTCTCTTTGAAGCAATTGTGAATGGGAGTTCACTCATGATTTGGCTCTCTGTTTGTCTGTTATTAGTGTATAAGAATGCTTGTGATTTTTTGCACATTGATTTTGTCTCCTGAGACTTTGCTGAAGTTGCTTATCGGCTTAAGGAGATTTTGGGCTGAGACAATGGGGTTTTCTATATATACAATCATGTCATCTGCAAACAGGGACAGTTTGACTTCCTCTTTTCCTAATTGAATGCCCTTTATTTCTTTCTCCTGCCTGACTGCCCTGGCCACAGCTTCCAACACTATGTTGAATAGGAGTGGTGAGAGAGGGCATCCCTGTCTTGTGCCAGTTTTCAAAGGGAATGCTTCCAGTTTTTGTCCATTCAGTATGATATTGGCTGTGGGTTCGTCATAAATAGCTCTTATTACTTTGAGATACGTCCCATCAACACCTAATTTATTGAGAGTTTTTAGCATGAAGGTTGTTGAATTTTGTCAAAGGTCTTTTCTGCATCTATTGAGATAATCATGTGGTTTTTGTCTTTGGTTCTGTTTATATGCTGGATTACATTTATTGGTTTGCGAATGTTGAACCAGCCTTGCATCCCGGGGATGAAGCCCACTTGATCATGGTCGATAAGCTTTTTGATGTGCTGCTGGATTCGGTTTGCCAGTATTTTATTGAGGATTTTTGCATCAATGTTCATCAAGGATATTGGTCTAAAATTCTCTTTTTTGGTTGTGTCTCTGCCAGGCTTTGGTATCAGGATGATGCTGGCCTCATAAAATGATTTAGGGAGGATTCCCTCTTTTTCTATTGATTGGAATAGTTTCAGAAGGAATGGTACCAGCTCCTCCTTGTACCTCTGGTAGAATTCGGCTGAGAATCCATCTGGTCCTGGACTTTTTTTGGTTGGTAAGCTATTAATTATTACCTCAATTTCAGAGCCTGTTATTGGTCTATTCAGAGATTCAACTTCTTCCTGGTTTAGTCTTGGGAGGGTATATGTGTCGAGGAATTCATCCATTTCTTCTAGATTTTCTAGTTTATTTGCGTAGAGGTGTTTATAGTACTCTTTGATGGTAGTTTGTATTTCTGTGGGATCGGTGGTGATATCCCCTTTACCATTTTTCATTGCGTCTATTTGATTCTTCTCTCTTTTCTTCTTTATTAGTCTTGCTAGCGGTCTATCAATTTTGTTGATCTTTTCAAAAAACCAGCTCCTGGATTCATTGATTTTTTTGAAGGGTTTTTTGTGTCTCTATTTCCTTCAGTTCTGCTCTGATCTTAGTTATTTCTTGCCTTCTGCTAGCTTTTGAATGTGTTTGCTCTTCCTTCTCTAGTTCTTTTAATTGTGATGTTAGGGTGTCAATTTTAGCTCTTTCGTGCTTTCTCTTGTGGGCATTTAGTGCTATAAATTTCCCTCTACACACTGCTTTGAATGTGTCCCAGAGATTCTGGTATGCATGGTACTGTTACCAAAACAGAGATATAGACCAATGGAACAGAATAGAGCCCTCAGAAACAATGCCACATATCTACAACTATCTGATCTTTGACAAACCTGACAAAAACAAGAAATGGGGAAAGGATTCCCTATTTAATAAATGGTGCTGGGAAAACTGGCTAGCCACATGTAGAAAGCTGAAACTGGATCCCTTCCGTACACCTTATACAAAAATTTATTCAAGATGGATTAAAGACTTAAATGTTAGACCTAAAACAGTAAAAACCGTAGATGAAAACCTAGGCAATACCATTCAAGACATAGTAGGCATGGGCAAGGACTTCATGACTAAAACACCAAAAGCAATGGCAACAAAAGCCAGAATTGACAAGTGGGGTCTAATAAAACTAAGGGGTTCTGCACAGCAAAAGAAACTACCACCAGAGTGAACAGGCAACCTACAGAATGGGAGAAAAAATGCTCCTCATCACTGGTCATCAGAGAAATGCAAATCAAAACCACAGTGAGATGCCATCTCACACCAGTTAGAATGGTGATCATTAAAAAGTCAGGAAACAACAGGTGTTGGAGAGGATGTGGACAAATAGGAACACTTTTACACTGTTGGTGGGACTGTAAATTAGATCAACCATTGTGGAAGACAGTGTGGCCATTCCTCAAGGATCTAGAACTGGAAATACCATTTGACCCAGCCAGCCGATTACTGGGTATATACCCAAAGAATTATAAATCATGCTGCTATAAAGACACATGCACATGTATGTTTATTGCGGCACTATTCACAATAGGAAAGACTTGGAACCAACCCAAATGTCCATCAATGATAGACTGGATTAAGAAAATGTGGCACATATACACCATGGAATACTATGCAGCCATAAAAAAGGATGAGTTCATGTCCTCTGTAGGGACATGGATGAAGCTGGAAACCATCATTCTGAGCAAACTATCACAAGGACAGATAACCAAACACCGCATGTTCTCACTCATAGGCGAGAAGGATAGCGTTAGGAGATATACCTAACGTAAATGATGAGTTAACGGGTACAGCACACCAACATGGCACATGCATACATATGTAACAATCCTGCACGCTGTGCACATGTTCCCTAGAACTTAAAGTATAATGAAAATAAATGAATAAATAGAAGTTAGACCTGCCAATAACCCAAATGAGCTTGAAAATAATTTCTCTCTGAGTCCTCAGTTAGTCAGCAGCCTGGTTGATAACTTACCTTTGATTTGTGAGATCCTAAGCAGAGATACCAATCTAGGCTGCATGGATTTCTGATCTACAGAACTGCTTATATATTTGTGTTGTTTTAAGCTGCTAAATTGGGGATAATTTCTTTTGCAGTAGTAACAAACTTAATAGACGTGGTGCCGGCATATTCTGAAATAACAAATGAAAATCAGGCATGATGTTTTTTATTTTCTCATCAACTGGTCGCAGGGAACTCCCCATGAGACCGCAGGTGCAGGACTAAGGAAGCTTCTCTTTTTCTGGGCCCCAATCCATGCTAGCAGGGTTTCAGGCACCTGTCAGTGGGTCACAGTACTGCACAACATTGAGGTATATACTAAGACAACATCTATTATGGAACTCGTTTCTGTGTTCCTTATTTAGTAGTAAAAAAGGCAAGATGTAAGAACATGCTGTTCACCTTATAACCACCATCTTGACATGCCAGACTACTAAGTTGTTAGACGTTTCCCTCAGGTAGAAGACCCCTGACGTTGTTTGGGAATTATTTCTCACATAATGTCTTGTAAGTGTGTCGCTAATGTGTCTGGATTAGTTGCTACCTCCTGCGCAGTCAGCATAATGTCATCAGTGCAAAGAATGGTGTTACATCTGGTTTAAGAGAAAGGTGGTCATGGTCCCTAAGGACTCATTTAGGATATAAACCTTGAGAGTTGATATAAGGTTGAAAGAGGAGATGATAGTACATTGCTGTCCTTTCTAGCTGGACCCAAACTCTTCTTTATGACAACTACTGAAAGAAAACAAAACATTCACCTAATCACGATTATATATCAGGTTCCCAGGGATGTCACAGTTGCCGATGCAACAAAACCACCTGCAGTACAGCAGCTGCAGTTGGAACAACAATTTGATTAAGTTTATGGTCCGATCTCGGCTCACGGCCACCTCCACCTCCCGGGTTCAAGCAATTCTCTTGCCTCAGCCTCCTGTGTAGCTGGACTATAGGCACACACTATCACACCTGGCTAGTTGTTTGCATTTCTTAGTAGAGACAGGGTTTCACCATGTTGGCTAGGCTAGTCTCAAACTCCTGACCTCGAGTGATCTGCCCACCTCAGACTCCCAAAGTGCTGGGATTACAAGCGCGAGCCACCGCGCCAGGCCCCGGCTATTTTTTGTATTTTTGGTGGAGCTGTGGTTTCGCCATGTTGGCCAGCCTTATCTGGAACTCCTGACCTCAAGCGATCCACCCACTTCTGCCTCCCAAATCCTGGGATTACAGGCGTGAGCCACTGTGTCCAGCGAAAACTTCACTTTTAAGTGAAACGCAGAAACAAAATCAGATAATCAGAAAATGAGATACTGCGTGTTCTCATTCATATGTGGGAGCTAAACAATGGGTACACATGAACATAAAGGTAGAAACCATTGACTCTGAGGACTCCAAAAGGGAAGTGGAGGGGAGGGAGGGAGCGGGTTGGAGGGTTGAAAAACTACCTATTGGATACTCTCTTCACTATTTGGGAGATGGGTTCACTAGAAGCCCAAACCCCGGAATTATGCAATTATATCCAAGTGAGAAACTTGTACATGTACCCGTCTTGCATCTATAATTTTAAAAAGGTTAAAAAAGAAAGCTTCAGTTTTAAATCTTAACCAGATATACATGAAAAGGATTACTATACTTGGACACCTTTACAGGTTTCTATGTTAGTTTTTGGTGTTAAAGCAGAAAACTGTTCCTCGACCACTTTATTAATTGTATATCCTCTTTGTACAAACATCCAAAATAGAAGACTGTCACTTTTGGTTCTGTAACTGTGATTCTTTACTGCAGTCTTCTACAGCTTTTACAGAATTAATGGTCCCTAGTATCTGCCATTCTCCAATTGCCCTGGGTGGCGAAATGGCTGCCGTAGTAAACTTTTCACTGATAATTAGAGGTTTTGGAAACATGCAGGGCTTGTTATTTAAGAGTGACTCCATTTGGGCATTCCGGTGGATGGCCTACAGGTTTTCTTGCAGAGTATACTAGAGTCTCCAGAATGAATAACCCTAGGAACTTGAGGAACTAGTGCTTTCCAGAATTTTGGAAGCCAAGATACAAATATTGAAGAGTCCAGTCCCAGTTATAATCACCATCAGAAGAGAAAATGTCTGTGCATTCAATCAGTGTCTAATTGCCATCCCAGGTGAAGGCTAGACCCATATCATGCTCTGTGGATTTCCAGGGTCTTTTTTCATTTTTCATTTTTGTCAGTACCTAGTGGGTGTATATATTTATGGATTACATGAGATATTTTGATAAGGCATACAATGTATAATAATCACATCAGGGTAAATAGTCTCCATCACCGCAACCATTTATCCTTCCTTTGTGTTACAAACAATCCAATTATACTCTTTTAGTGATTTTAAAATTTATAATAAATTATTGACTCTAGTCACCCTGTTGTGCTATCAAATGCTACATCTTACTCATTCTACCTAACTATATTTTTGTACCCACGAGCCATCCCCGCTTCCCCCGACACCCCCACTACTCTTCCCTGCCTCTGGTAACCATCCTTCTACTCTCTATCTCCATGAGTTCGGTGGTTTTAATTTTTAGCTCCCACAAAGGAGTGAGAACATGTGAAGTTTGTCTTTCTTTGCCTGGCTTATTTCACTTAACATAATGACCTCCAGTTCCACCCATGTTGTTGAAAATGATGAGATCTCATTCTTTTTTATGGCTGAATAGTACTTCACTGTGTATATGTACCACATTTTCTTTATCCATTCATCTGCTGGAGGACACTTAGGTTGCTTCCAAATCTTAGCTATTGTGAATGGTGCTGCAACAAACATGGGAGTGCAGATACCTCTTCCATATACTAGTTTCCTTTCTTTTCCAAGTTTTTATATGCACTTCATCAGCAGTGCTGTAGAAACTGCAGCTGGCAATGTAAGTCCCTGGAAAGAGAACATCACACCCAGGGCACTCTTGCCACTCTGATAGCTACATCTTTTTGAAGACATGGTAAAAGTCTGGGGTAAAGTAGTGGTTGTTCTCTAGCAAAAATCGAACACCAGCCTACCCCTGAAGTATTTTGAACCTTTCGCATACAAAATGCAAATTACAATACCAAAGTCATTTGATGTGGCCAAATGGGTGGGGATTCTTGGGATTAAGCACCCCATCTTCAAAGCTGCATTCTTCTTCAGGTACCTGAGGCAATGTCTGGGGTTATTACGGGGAAACTCATTGGGGTACCAACAAATGCTGAAAGGAGAGAACATTGGTAGAACCGGACAGCCTCACAGTGGTGGCCTTGGACTGTAGCAGTTGGAGCTGGCTCTGGCAGCTGCCCTCATCTTGGGTCCTGGGGTGCCTGCCCATAGGCTCTCAGCTGCCCTGCACTGCCGGGGCTCCGCATCCTCGCCTGGCAGCTGCAGCTCATCAGACTAGGAGCTGCCAGGGCTCAGTGTCACCTCGGTCCTCCCAGTTCAGCATCCAGGTCTGTCCTGGGAGAAGCCCTGCCTGAGCCCCACCCCAGCCCTCTTTGTTCCCTGTGCTGCCAGCGGACTTGCCTCCTGGGCACACTCATCCATCAGTGGCCAGGGGCCTGCAGGACCCAGCCAAGCAGCCTCTGCCCACTCCAGCAGTGACTGGCTGGGGTGGGCTTTTGCAGATGGCATAAACTCCATATCTCAGTTATCCCTGAGGTGTCCCTGTGGATGGGCCTGCCACACTCAATTGAGTCCTTTAAAAGCAGACAGAGATGGGCGTGGTGTTTCACGCCTGTAATCCCAGTGCTTTGGGAGGGTGAGGTGGGCAGACCACTTGAGTCCAGGAGTTCGAGACCAGCCTGGCCAGCATAGTGAAACCCCTGTCTCCAAACACAATTGTTTTTTTAAATTAGGTGGGCGTGGTGGTGCGTGCCTATAGTCCCAGCTACTTGGGAGGCTGAGGCGAGAGGATCATTTGAACCCAGCAATTTGAGGCTGCAGTGAGCCATGATCACATCACTGCACTCCAGCCTGGGAGACAGAGCGAGACCCTGTCTAACAAACAAACAAACAAATGAACAACACCACTGATGCCCCCCCACCCACCCCAATAAAAACACATAAAAGTCGACAGATTTCTTCACCAGAGAGCAGAAACAGAAGTACAAGATAGTCAAAGGACAAGAGGGATTTGATTGGGCTTTACTGTTTTGAAGATGTAGGAGTACACAACGAAGCTATGCTGGAGGGCCTAGGAGCTGAGAGTAGTCCCTGGCTGTCACCCAGTAAAGAAACCAGGACCTCATTTCTACAACCTTAAACACAGGAATAGATCATCAATGTCCTCAGACATTAAGGAAATGGAAATCAAATCCACAAGGAGATACTACCTCACCTCACTGGGATGAATATTAACAAGTAATTAACAAGTGTTATAGAGGAGAAATTGGAACCCTCCACCATTGCTGCTGGGAATGTAAAATGATGCAGCATCTTTGAAAAATAGTCTGGCATTTCTTCACAGAATTGATAATAAAGTTATTGAACAACCTGCAAATTCCACTTCTAGCTAAATATCCAAGAGAAATACAAGCATATATCCACAGCAAAACTTGCACACAAATATTTGAAGCCAGATCCAATATTATATTTTGTACACCTTCATACCCCAGCCTTAAGAACTACTCTCACACATTTACCAGAGACTACTATATTGGAAAAATCATACAGTTGTTTCGGTGACTATCACACCTCTTGACAGGGCTCAGTGTTTAACTCACTGTTTTGGCCAGCAGGAACTTGAATTTAAGTGCAGGTTAAGAAGCAATGAGGGGTGCTGGTGTTAGTTTCAGAGGAGGAGCAGCGGTGCCCTTCAAGGCAACGATCTCAGGTGAGACCCTCACAGCTCTTCGGGTAAAGGGGAACCTCGGGCAGGAGGAGTGGGAGGGCTGCTTCTATTGACAAAGACACCCGGAGAATTTAGGGATTTGCAATGGACCGAATGTTTGTGTCCCCCGCCACATTCATTTATTGAAATCCTAACTCCTATTGTGATGTTATTAGGAGGTGGAGCCATTGGAAGGTCATGAAAGTGGAGCCCTAATAAATGGGAATATTGTCCATATAAAAGGGACCCCAGAGAGCTCTCTGTGCCCTGGCAACATGGAAGAGGGCCCTCACCAGAACCTGACCATGCTGGCACCTTGATCTCAGACTTACAGCCTCTAGAAATGTGAGAAATACAATTTCTGTTGTTTGTAAGCTACCTAGTATATGGTATTTTATTATAGCAGCCCTAACTGACTAAAACACAGTTCTAAGTGCCCAGATTCATTGGCATAAACCTATACGTTTCCATTCCAGTTTTCAGTATCTGATTTCTCCCTATTAGTGCCCTAACATTAGCAGAAGAGACCCTTTTGAGGTTGTGAATTCAATTTGTGCTGTAATTCAGCCACTGACAGGAGTAGACTTTGGATTTCATTTTCCCAAATCTTGGCCTGGTTGCTATAGGAGATGACAGTTTCTTTCAGGCCAGTCATAGATGTTATCAGGTCCTTCCTTCACACCTTGAGCAAGAACTTTAACGACTTCTTTCTTCATGTTCTACAGTACATTAGAAACAACAAATCAACCACTCAATACTCCTTATTTTGACCAAACCATTCTAAGATATCAAAGCACAAGAAAGCCAACCAGGTCAGGGCCGGTGGCTCATGCCTGTAATTCCAGCACTTTGGGAGGCTGAGGCAGGAGTATTGCTGGAGCCCAGGAGTTAGAGACCAGACAAAAAATTTACAGTTAGTCACCCAGGGACTTGTCTTTTATAGGCACTTCATTATAGGACTCTAAAGGTGTAAATGTGAGTAATTCTTTTGCTATTTCTTACTGTGCACTACCAGTGCTCATTTTACTACTGCAAACTGTTGGGGTGACCAGACCCAGCACCAGGTCGTGGGAGCGACAAAGTCCAGCGGGGTCAAAGGATTGTGAAAAAGACAGTTTGAGAAGGAAAGTGGGACCCGGGGCCATCATGATTGTGGAGGCTGTGAAGGCCCTGAGCTCTGGGAGCCCATGCTATTTATTGGTAATCCAACAAAGAGACAGGTGGTGAGAATGTAAGGGTCAAAAGGGCAGGTGCATGATCTACAGCTGTGACGGTTTAGCATTTATATGGAACATGTTCTGCTACTTGAGATAATGGGAATAGAGTTGATCTAGGAGCCTAGGAGGGCTAGAAGCAAGGAGCCAGCAAGTCTGGACACATTCCAGAGGACATTATGTCAGACATGCAAGCCCTGCCTCAGTTTTTTTTTCCCAACACTCAGCATTTTCCAAAGAAAAACAGGTTCATTAAAGCCTCCAAATTTAATCACAATTAAGAAATATTCCAGAAAACCCAGAATGAATTCAAGGAAGGTGTCATTAAGACTTTCTTTGGAAGCACTCTCAATGTTGAAATCTGTATCAGTCAGCCTTCAACGAAAAGGCAGAACTAATGGGAGATTTTAATGTGTGTATACACACACACACACATTAAAATCTCCCATTTATATACACACTTTAAAATACACACACACACACACACACACACACACTTTAAAATCTCCCATTATACATGTAATACACATTATACCTGTGTGTGTGTGTGTGTGTGTGTGTGTGTGTGTGTGTGTTGGTAGGGGGTATATATACATACACACACACACTTTATAATTTCCCATTATACATATAATACACATTATACACATTACACATATTATATATACACCCCCATATATATATATGTATGTGTGTGGGGGGGGTATATCCAATATATATAATAAAGGTAGTTCCTAGATAGGATTGGTCTGATAAAATAATTTGGAGCTGCAGTAGCAGTGCCTGTAAGGCTGTTGTCTCCAGATATGACTTGCACATTCTACGCTTTTTTATTTTATTTTTTTAAGACAGAATCTTGCCCTGTTGCCCAGGCTAGAGTGCAGTGGCATCATCACAAGTCACTGCAACCTCCACCTTACCCTGGTTCAAGCGATCCTTGTGCCTCAGCCTCCCAAGTATCTGGGATTACAGGTGCACCACAGGTGCCATCATGCTGCTAGTTTTTGTATTTTTAGTGGAGATGGGGTTTTGTCATGTTGGCCAGGATGGTCTTGAAACCTGGCTTCAGGTGATCTGCCCGTCTCAGCCTCCCAAAGTGCTGGGATTACAGGCATGAGCCACTGCACCCGGCCCATTCTATGATTTTAAAGCACAAAAAGAGCAAAATATTGTGTGGTTTTACCTTTAATATTTTACAAAGGTTTACATTTATAAGTAATGTTTTGTTTCTTATTAATTTGCAAATATTTTGTGTACAAAATGATTTCAACTTTTCATATATACAAAGAAAACATTTTGTTAATTTTCACAAATCCATTAATGCTGGAGAAATTTCTAGTTGTCTTTTCTTTCTTTCTTTCTTTCTTTCTTCCTACCTTTCATTCTTCCGTTCATTCTTTAATTCTTTCTATCTTTCCTTCTTTTCTTTCTTTTCCTTTCTTTCTTTCCAACAGAGTTTTGCCCTGTTGCCTAGGCTGGAGTGCAGTGTCAGAATCTTGCCTCACTGCAGCCTTGGCCTCCCAGGCTCAGGCGATCCTCCCACCTCAGCCTCCCGAGTAGCTGGGACTACTGGTGCACACCACCATGTCTGGCTAATTTTTGGATTATTATTATATTTTTTGTAGAGCTGGGGTCTCGCCATGTTGCCCAGTATGGTCTCTAACTCCTGGGCTCAACCAATCCCCCTGCCTCAGCCTCCCAAAGGGCTGGGATTACAGGCATGAGTCACCACACCCAGCCTAGTTGCCTTTCTTGTGCTTTGTTATTCCTTCATGGAAAAGTAAATTGTACTATTTTCTTTCAGAATATTCAGGTAAGAACATCACAATTTAGACTTCAAAACTACACTCACTGTCAACAGTGGTATTTGTTCATGCTTGATTATGAAATATTGACCTTAGCAGCAAGGAAATTTTTAAAAATGGATTTCAGGACAGGCCGTGTGTACTAGTTATCAGCATAGAGTAAAACTTTGCAACTCTATAAGCAGGTGATACAATGAGGCTTAATAAAGGCAGTGGATAGATGCACAAATTGAATGATGATTTGTTAAAAAGAATTGGTCTTACACAATTGTGAAAGGTGGTAACGCAGTCTCTATAAGGCTTTTATTGTCTCTACTGAGGATGGCGATGTAACAAATAGGCTGAAACCTACAAAGAGGATCTGGAACATTATGAGGGCAGATGGAGGTACATGTTCATTTTTGTTGCCTCTGATCTTAGTGATGAGGGCGTCCTGCAGTAGCCAGGAAAGGCTCTTTCAGAACCTAGCAGAGCTAAACATATACACCTGGCCCAGAAGATAGAGAAGGTGAAAGAGCATCCAGGGGAAGGAAGAGAAATTGCAGGTCTGGCTGCAGCTTCATACCAATAAGGTGAATCCAGAGAGCAGCAACAACGTGTGTAGCTACAAATGGCTGCTGCCTCCTATCCACTGCCCTGCACAATTTTTCAAAGAACCTCCACGGGGAACACCAGATACTTCCCAGAAAGAGAACTGTGGCTAATATAATTCGGCCTAGCCAAGCTGACAAATTGCATGTTATACCCTTGTCACTTGAAAATACAAACTCTTCTCCAAAAGAGGGCACTAAAGCCCCACATTTTTCTTAAATCTTGTTCAATCTGCTGCTACCTAATTCACACTGTGCCTTTAATATCCTGCATCTTAAATTCTGAAAAATAAAGTTAACTTAATAACACATCTTGTGGTAGATCAGGGGATGTCAGGAGGTCAAAACCAAAAATATTTAGTTTATATATATATTATAAAACATATATGTGACACATATAATATTAATATATATGCAAATGAATTCATATCAAAATAAGGAAGTGATACTCTTTATTCTGAAACAAACACAGAAACAAGGACTTATGTTAGTGTTTGTATCTGCCTATGGTCATGTAGTCACTTTTCCCACTACCCATTTTATACTCCCTTTATCCTCATCAAGCACCTTCCCTGGTGACAGACCTTTTCAGAGTGGGGTGACTCAAACCTCCAATCTTGAGGTTCACGGCCATAAGCAGTCCTGATTGAATTAGGCTGTTGTAGTTTTCATTGACTTTCATCACTGGACACAGGAGTACTAAGAGGTGCTCTATAGGCTCTCCTGAATTTTAGACATATCTCTCCTTAACCCCATGATGACTGAAAGGTTGTGCCTCAATCAACTTGCAGACTTGACTAGTTTATAGACCTAAAACCTCATGAATTAAGACAAGGCCTCTTGAGGAGGGACCTTTCTAAAATGAAAAAGTTTATACCACCACTCTTTCTCCCATTCTTACTCAAAGAAGGCCTGTAGCCCTTCACTAAGGTGAAAGTACATGCGGAAGAGAAATTATTAGATTTCTCAATGACTACAGGACCCCAGTTCTGAATTGACACGAATTTCTTGAAGACACAAACATCATGCTGATTCTTTCGAAAAATATGTGATTTATTACTGAGCCTTGGGTGACATTCAATGCTTGACCATGGACGCCAAATTATAATGCTACTTAGACATGCCTGTCTTATCCTAGGTGCTTTCTGACCCACCAAGTTACAGCAATGGGTATGCATAGAAGCACACCATTATTAAATGGAAGTGGTATGTACAAGATCAAGCATGTCCTGAAGGCGAAAGTAAGTTCCATGATGAAGTGGCCAAAATACACATGGATCCTATTCCTGCCACACAACTTTCTCCATCTACGATTGGCAGGATACTAAAATGGTCCCCATGAATTTCACCCCCTGATTAAGTTATCTAGCATGACAAAAGCGATTTTGCAGATGTAAGTAAGGTTACTAACCTGTTAACCTAAATATAGAGGAATTCCTCAGGTGGGCCTAACCCACACACATGAGCCTTTAAAAGCAGAGTCTTTTCTCCAGCTGGTACCACAAGAGGATGAGACAGTTATGAAGAATGAGAAGAATTTGACATGCTGATGCTGGCTTGAAGATAGGGAAGGGACCTCGTGAAAAGATCTGGTAAGCCGCTTTATGAGTTGAGAGTGAGTCCCAGTTCACAGCCAGCCAGAATCAAGGATTTCAGTTCTGCATGGCAAGGAATTGGATTCTGCCATATATCCGGATGAATTTGGAATTGCATTCCACCCCAAACTTTTTAGATGAGAACACCGCTTGCATACAATTTTGATTTTGGCCTTTTGAGACTCCAAGTAGGGAACCAAGTCAAGACCTCCCAGATTTCTGAACTGCAGAACTGTGAGATAATAAATAATAATTCGGTGATGCTTTTAGCCATTTAATTTGGAGTTGTTTGTTACACGGCAATAAAACTAATATATTCTCTCAATCTGGACCTATATCCCTAAGGGGAGTACACTATAACCAGTTGAATGAAGAAGCAGTACCTCAGGGCTAGCTTACCAATAGAGGTGAATGATATGCAGGCACCACTTATATTAGTTTTCATACAGGAAAAAAGAAAGAGAATATAAATTCCAATCTCATTTGTTGGATTTATATTTAAGTTAAAATGTAACATATAGGAGAAGACTACTGGAATCACGGAGGAAAGACCAGTGAAAATCCATGCTTTTATTTTTAAAAAGTGGCAAATATTGTCAACATAGAAATTATTGGAATTCTGGGAATTCAACAGTCCGAAGAATATTTATTCAAGAAAAATGGCTAAATCACACTACAAACCATAAGCTTTGTGGTGATTTAACCTGTTCCACTCCCCCACTCCCCTCCTCTGCTCCATGTTAGCCTTTAAACTTACACCCTCACAACTCTGGTAGCTCTGAATATCAGCAAATTATCAGCCACTGCATGGAGCTACTGGTTGGAGCTCCCCTAAAATCTCTATTTCCAGACAATCACCACTATTAATACTAGTACTATTATTATGTTTGAGACAGGGTCTCACTCTATCTCCTATACTGGATGGCAGTGGAGCACTTATGGTTCACTGCAGCCTCGACCTCCTGGGTTCAAGCAATCCTCCTGCCTCAGCCTCCCAAGTAGCTGGAACTATAGGCATGAACCACCTAATCACCACTATTAAGCATGTCACCAAAACTCCCTGAGAAGCACCATTCTCAGAGCTTGTGTTTAATTAAACTGTCTGATAGCTGGCTTTGTGTGAATACCCCACCCGCTATATTCAGGTGTAAGCTAGGAATTCCTGTAGGGCTGTGTTGCACAGAAGTGATGGCAGTGGGCAATTCTGTCCTGTTTTGGTTTTACAAGGAATGCATCTCATATTTCTCCCCTAGGAATAATGTGTGCAGTGGATTTCTGATAGACCCACAGCTAGTATCATACTGAATGATAGAGACCTTTCTTAAATGCTTTTACATTTTTTCTCATGAATAGGTTATTGCATTTTTAACATGATTTATGCTTTAAATGCGATGATAACATACTTCTTTTTTGTGCATTAATATAGTGTGCCATCCATGAACTTACTGGCGGTCAGGTACAAATTCACCCCATTCTTTTTGAGACAGGGTTTGGCTCTGTTGCCCAAGGTGGAGTGCAGTGGCACGATCTCGGCTGATGGCAACTTCTGCCTCCCAGGTTCAAGTGATCCTCCCACGTCAACTTTCTGAGTAGTTGGGGCCACAGGTGCGCGCCACCACGCCCAGCTAATTTTTGTGTTTTTCTTTTTGGTTGGTTGGCTGTTTTGTACAGCCATGGTTTGGCTATGTTACCCAGGCGATTTCATCCCGCTGTGTGGGAAAGTTCTGCGTTCCTCTCCCTACCTAGCTGTGCAGTTGTTACTGAAGGCCGACTGTAGAGGGCGCCAGAGTCAGAGAATGGGAGGGCTGTGCTTCCTGGTTCTTCTGGCTTGCGCCCGAAGTCCTACAAAGCGTGAGGGCTTCACCTCGGGACTCTGGCGACCCCAACAGGTTCCCAGTGTTCGGCTGGGGCAGGACAAGTGGTGGTGGGCAGCTTCCCTTCCATCCCTCTTGGGCTGTATGGGATTTGTGCTTCTGGTGAGATGCGTCCCATGCACATCATTCGCAGGTGCCCTAGGGGGCAGATTTCCCACAACTCTCAGAGGGCAGGTTTCTAGAAAGTTCAGCCAGTGGTGCAATTTTCGCTGCCATTTTGTGAGGTGCCGCCGCCGCTCCTCCGGCAAGGTCAGGACTTCAGAACTGTGAGTGGGGCGGTTTTTCTCTGGATGTTTTAATTTCGCCCTGGAAAGTGTCTTTTCTGGGCTGCACTGCATCGGGTGTCGGATGTGTGATACGGCAGCCTGCGTGATGTGGTTCCGCTCTGGAGGCACCACCGTGGGTGCCTGTGTTAGCCGTGGGAGAGCGTTTTCCTTGGGCACCTTGTCTCGGCTATGTTGTGGGGCCAGGGGGCTTTTCTTGGGGGCTCCCTCTCGATGATGTGAGGGACTTTTCCTGCTGAAATGACCTGAGCCCGGGGGTGGGGACCCTGCCTTGGTTCCCTTTGTCAGACTCGGGTTAGGGGATGTTTCTTCCCCATTCAGTCACAGCCCTGAGTGGGGACTCTGCCTTGGGCACTCTGTCTGTGCTCAGGAGCTGGGGTGGGGGTGACTGTTCTCTGGATGCATGATCGTCGCCCTGTGGGGTTACTCTCCATCGGGGGCTTTATCTCAGCCCGCGAGGGACTCTTCCTTGGGTGCTGATGTCGGCCGTGGGGCGCATTTGTCCTTGGATGTCGCTCGTTCTCAACTAGGATGTGTTCGCTTTTCTTTGGATCTGTTTATCCCTGATGGGGACGCTTACCAGATGCTTTCTCTTGGTGCTGGGTTTTAAAATAATATTATCTGTGGGTTCTCTCTCTCGGTGCCACGGGAGGGTGGAGTGCTGTTCTTTGGATTCTCTAAGCTTATGGTGGGACTCGGGGAGCTCTGTGTCAGCCATGAGGGAGGGCACCTGACCTTGGGAGTTCTGTCTCGCCCTAGGGTGGAGTGCTTTTCCTCGGTTGGTTGATCTCAGTCCTGAAGGAGCTCTTCTTTGGGGTTCTGTCTGACCTTTGGGCCATAGCCCTGGGTGTCTGTGTGGAAACCGGGGTCCAGAAATACTCGAAGGTTCCAGCTGTGCCACTTTCGCTCAATCGCTGTACAGTTACTCTTTCATTCCAGCCACTCTGATGGGTGTGCAGTGATCTCTCTTTATGTCTACACTTGCATTTCTCTGCCGATTAATGAGATTGAGCACTATTTTTTTTAAAATTGTTTTTATTTATTGATTTTTGTTTGTCTTCTGAGACAGGGTCTCACTCTGTTGCCCAGGCTGGAGTGCAGTGGCATGATCTCGGCTCACTGCAATCTCAACCTCCCGGGGCTCAATTGACTCTCTTCCCTCAGTCTGCCAAGTAGCTGGGACTACAAGCGCAGGCCACCAAGCCCGGCTAATCTTTGTATTTTTTGGTAGAGACGGGGTTTCACCACGTTGCCCAAGCTGTTCTCCAACTCCCGGGCTCAAGTGATCCACCCCCTTGGCCTCCCAAAGTGCTGGGATCACAGGCGTGAGCCACCGCGCCCACCTATTTATTGATTTTTTTTTTTGGAGTATCTTTTTATGTGTTTATTGGTCCTTTAACTACAGCTTTTCGGAAGTTCCTTTTCAGGTCTTTTCCCCCAAATTTTATTGAGATGTTTGTATTTTAAAAATGGATTTGTGGTTTACATATATTCTGGATTTCAGTTATACACAGGCATATATGTACATATAGACAAATATGTATACAATTTTAGTATCTTCTACAAATCTGTTTTGCTTTTACACTATCTTAATAATGTGTTTTAGATGAACAGATTCTCTTAATTTTATTCATCAGTGCTTATTTATGGCTATTCCTTTTTATTATTTTAAGAAACATCTTTGCCTCACCCAATGCCATGATGATAATATTCTAAGTATTCTTCTAGATCTCCCATTCATCTCAAATAAATTTTCATGGAATGGAGTACAGTCAGAGTCCAGGTATATTTGAGGTGTTTATTAGCTATTTGAGTATGACTCTTATGAAGTGCATATTCAGCTTTTCTCCCCAGATTTTATTGAGATGTTTGCTTTTTGAAAATTGATTTGAAGTTCTGGATATATTCTGGATTCCACTCAGTTGTTGTCAGATGTATATACAGATGTATATGTGTGTGTGTGTGTGTGATTAATATATATTTACATGTATAACCTATACATATATACTGTATGATATATAATCTACAAATATACTTCGTTTTTTCATTGTCTTAATAGTGTCTTTTGAGGAATAGAAGTTTTCCATTTAATTATGTGTAATTCAACAATTCATTCTATTATTTATTTATTTTTGAGACAGAGTTTTGCTCTTGTTGCCCAGGCTGGAGTGCAATGGCACGATCTCAGCTCACTGCAACCTCTGCCTCCCGTGTTCAAGTGATTCTCATGCCCCAGCCTCCCGATGAGCTGGGATTACAAGCACCCACCACCACGCCCAGCTAATTTTGTATTTTTAGTAGAGACGGGGTTTCTCCATGTTGGTCAGGCTGGTCTCAAGCTCCTGACCTCAGGTGATCTGCCCACCTCAGCCTCCCAAAGTGCTGGGATTACAGGTGTGAGCCACCGCGCCCGGCAAACAATTCATTCTTTATGGTTAATGCTTTTTTATCCTCGTTAAAAACATCTTTGCCTATTCTATAGTTGTGAAGATAATATCTTAAGTGTTTACTAGATTGTCTATCCATCTTCAATAAAGTTTTTGGAGTGGGATGAGGTAAGATTCAAGGTTTGTATTTTCCCTGCATTTATCACATTTATCAAGTGCATTTATTAAAAGCACTGTCCTTTCCACAATGATTTCCAGGAGCTCTCCTGTGGTAAATCTAGCTATTTTGTATTTCCACATTGTTTCTGGCCTCTGTGTCCTCTTCCATTTGTGTATTTGCCTGTCATTGCTCCAATATCACACTGTTTTAATTACTCTACCTTTATAGTAAATCTCATATTTAATAGTGTATATCTACCAACTTACTTCTATTTCTGTTCTTTTTTTTTTTTTTTTTTTTTTTACAGATGGAGTTTTGCTTTTGTTGCCCAGGATGGAGTGCGATGGCATGATCTCCACTCACTGCAAATTCGGCCTCCCAGGTTCAAGCGATTCTCCTGCCTCAGCCTCCCAAGTAGCTGGAATTACAGGTGCCTGCCACCATGCCCGGCTAATTTTTATATTTTTAATAGAGATGGGGTTTCACCATGTTGGCTAGGCTGGTCTCAAACTCCTGACCTCGTGATCTGCCCGCCTCGGCCTCCCAGAGTGTTGGGATTACAGGTGTTAGCCACCACGCCTGGCCACTTCTATTTCTTAAAGATTGCCTGGGGTTTTCCAAATCTTAAATGTCCATATACTTTTAAAAATAATTATCAGCTTGTCAATTTTTGGAAATTTTTTTTTACATGGTGGAATTTTAAATAAGATTGCTATGATCATTCTGGGAGAATTAAAAATAAAGCCTCTTAATAATGTCTTCCATTCCATGGAAATAATATTTTTTCTCCATTTACTGTAGTCTTGAATTTCTCTCAGTGATGTTTTATAATTTTTATGTAGTGCTGTAGCACATCATTGGATTTATTCCTAAATATTTTATGTTTTTGGTACTGTTATTAATGACATTTGAAATTTTATTTTTTTCAGTGTCACATCTACTCTTTTTTTTATTATTATACTTTAAGTTTTAGGGTACATGTGCACAATGTGCAGGTTTGTTACATATGTATACATGTGACATGTTGGTGTGCTGCACTAGAAATACCATTTGACCCAGCCATCCCATTACTGGGTATATACCCAAAGGATTATAAAACATGCTGCTATAAAGACACATGCACACGTATGTTTATTGCGGCACTATTCACAATAGCAAAGACTTGCAACCAACCCAAATGTCCAACAATGATAGACTGGATTAAGAAAATGTGGCACATATACACCATGGAATACTATGCAGCCATGAAAAATGATGAGTTCATGTCCTTTGTAGGGACATGGATGAAGCTGGAAACCATCATTCTCAGCAAACTATTGCAAGGACAAAAAACCAAACACCGCATGTTCTCACTCATAGGTGGGAATTGAACAATGAGAACACATGGACACAGGGTGGGGAACATCACACACCAGGGCCTGTTGTGGTGTGTGGGGAGCGGGGAGGGGTAGCATTAGGAGATATGCCTAATGCTAAATGACGAGTTAATGGGTGCAGCACACCAACATGGCACATGTATACATATGTAACAAACCTGCCCATTGTGCACATGTACCCTAAAACTTAAAGTATAATAATAATAAAAATAAATTAAATTAAATTAAAAAATTAAAAATAAAAAAATAAAAAAAACTTTTAAACAGCCAGTAAACATTGTTTCTGATTCAGCTTATGTAGTGCAAGCCAAACAAAATATTGATTGTGCCTTAATTCGAAATGTGACTGAACAACTTAATTTTTTATTTCATTCTTTACAGCAAGCAGTACAACAAAGGCATTCACCTTTCTATATCACTCATATGAGAGCACATACTAACCTCCCTGGCCCTTTAACTAAACTTAATCAAAGGGAGGATGCATTGGTGTCTGCAGCTTTTGCTGATGCACAAACATTTCATTCTTTAACCCATCTTAATGCTGCTGAAAAAGATATGGTCTATAATGGAAACAAGCTAAAGAAATTGTGCAACACTCTTCTGCCTGCCAAGTCCTGCATTTGTCACATCAAGGAACAGGAGTTAACCCTAGAGATTTATCTCCAAATTCCATTTGGCAGATGGATGTAGCACATATTCCTGCTTTTGGAAAATTGTCCTTTGCTCATTTTTCAGTACATATCTATTCGTATTTTATCTGGCCCACATGTCAAACAGGGGAGGCTACAGCTCATGTTAAAAGACATCTTTTATCTTGCTTTTCTGTTATGGGAATCCCAGAAAAAAATCACAGCTGATAACGGCCCCGGATACTGTAGCATTCTTTCAACAATGGAATATTGCCCATACTACAGGTATTCCATATAACTCACAAGGACAGGCAATAGTGGAAACAGCTAATCGTACTTTAAAAACTGAAATACAAAAGCAGAAGGCAGGAGACCAGGAATATAAAATACCACATATGCAATTGCATCTAGCTTTATTAACATTAATTTTTTTTTAATGTACAAAAAGATCAACCCATAACTGCAGCAGTACAACACCTGACAGGACAAAAGGAAAATAAAAAGGCTGGAGAAGATATATGGTGGAGGGATGCACATACAAAGAACTGGGAAAAAAGGAAAGATAATTATATGGGGAAGAGGATTTGCTTGTATCTCTCCAGGTGACAATCAGGTGCCTGTGTGGGTGCCCACCAAACATCTGAAGATCTATCATGAGCCACAGCATCTAGTGTACCCACCTGTACAGTGTGAATTGAAGGTTTGAAAAGCCTCGATTTGCTTTCCCTGTGCCTTCTGTTAGAAGGGGCCTGTTTCTCATTTTCAGTGGCCTCCCAGCTACAGCTACAAAGGTTTTTGCTTCTGTTTCAGTAGATTTACTAACATGGGGGTGAGGGTGTGCATGTGGATGCCCTCAAGATGTGTACAACCATGGAACAGGAGACTGGAGGGACCCATGGATCCCAACCATGGACCAGGTTCCCCCAGTACGAGCCATGAGCCAGTTGAATCTGAATGTGAAGATGGAACGAAGACTGACCAGAGTCACGATGCTTAATGGACCAGTGCTTTCTGACTCAGCTCCTCTCTACCCTGAATACAAGAGACCCTAACAGTTAGGCAGGAATATCATTGCCCCTATTCAGCATGAAAAAGTTACAGAAGACGGACCTTCATCCTTCTGCAACCCCTAGAATTAAGGGTCCTCTTGTAAAAGGGAAAGGGGAGATATGTGGGAAGCATTCAAATCAGAGTGACTCCAGTTTGCATAAGGGCTAAGAAAAATGAAGCTGGATCACCAACTGGCAATTAAGGGCTGCACAACCTGCAATTGACTTGCAGAATTAAAAGAGGCCACCTTTTATGCTAGTAATAATGATAGCTAGTAATAATGATAGTAATAATGATACCATTTCTTTTACAATAAAGAGAAGCGGGGTATATTGGGAAAAAGCTGAGTGTTGGGAAAAAAACTGAGGCAGGGCTTGCATGTCTGACATAATGTCCTCAGGAATGTGTCTATACTTGCTTGCTCCTAGCTTCTAGCCTTCCTAGGCTCCTAGATCAATTCTATTCCCATTATCTCAAGTAGCAGAACATGTTCCATATAAATGGTAAAGTGTCACAGCTGTAGATCATGCACCTGCCTTTTTGACCCCCACATTCTCACCACCTGTCTCTTTGTTGGATTACCAATAAATAGTGTGGGCTCCCAGAGCTCAGGGCCTTCGCAGCCTCCACAATCATGATGGTCCCCTGGTCCCACTTTCCTTCTCAAACTTTTTCTCAATCCTTTGACTCTGCCAGACTTCATCGCCCCCATGACCTGGTGCTGGGTCTGATCACCCCAACAGTTTGCAGTAGTAAAATGAGCACTGGTAGTGCACAGTAAGAAATAGCAAAAGAATTATTCGAATTTACACCTTTAGAGTCCTATAATTAAGTGTAGGGACCAGCCCCACAGGGTCGGTGGGTTTCTCCCCATGTGTGGAGACGAGAGAGTGTAGAAATAAAGACACAAGACAAAGAGATAAAAGAAAAGGCAGCTGGGCCTGGGGGACCACTACTACCAAGACGCAGAGACCAGTAGTGGCCCCGAATGCCAGGCTGCACTGATATTTCTTGGATACAAGACAAAGGGGCAAGATAAGGAGAGTCAGCCATCTCCAATGATAGGTAAGGCCATGTGGGTCACGTGTCCACTGGACAGGGGGCCCTTCCCTGCCTGGCAGCTGAGGCAGAGAGAGAGAGGAGACAGAGAGAGAGAGACAGCTTATGCCATTATTTTTGCTTATTAGAGACTTTTAGTACTTTCACTAATTTTGCTACTACTATCTAAAAGGCAGAGCCAGGTGTACAGGATGGAACATGAAGGCAGACAAGGAGCGTGACCATTGAAGCACAGCATCACAGGGAGACGGTTAGGCCTCCGGACAACTGTGGGCAAGCCTGACTAATGTCAGGCCCTCCACAAGAGGTGGAGGAGTAGAGTCTTCTCCAAACTCCCCCGGGGAAAGGGAGACTCCCCTTTCCCAGTCTGCTAAGTAGTGGTTGTTTTTCCTTGACACTTATGCTACCACTAGACCACGGTCCGCTTGGCAATGGGCGTTTTCCCAGACACTGGCGTTACCGCTAGACCAAGGAACACTCTGGTGGCCCTGTCCGGGCATAACAGAAGGCTCGCACTCTTGTCTTCTGGTCACTTCTCACTATGTCTCCTCAGCTCCTATCTCTGTATGGCCTGGTTTTTCCTAGGTTATGATTATAGAGTGAGGATTATTATAATATTGGAATAAAGAGTAATTGCTACAAACTAATGATTAATGATATTCATATATAATAATATCTAAGATCTATATCTGGTATAACTATTCTTATTTTATATTTTATTCTACTGGAACTGCTCGTGTCCTCACTCTCTTGCCTCGGCACCTGGGTGGCTTGCCGCCCACAATCAAGTGCCTATAAAAGACAAGTCCCTGGGTGACTAACTGTAAATTTTTTGTCTGGTCTCTAACTCCTGGGCTCCAGCAATACTCCTGCCTCAGCCTCCCAAAGTGCTGGAATTACAGGCATGAGCCACCGGCCCTGACCTGGTTGGCTTTCTTGTGCTTTGATATCTTAGAATGGTTTGGTCAAAATAAGGAGTATTGAGTGGTTGATTTGTTGTTTCTAATGTACTGTAGAACATGAAGAAAGAAGTCGTTAAAGTTCTTGCTCAAGGTGTGAAGGAAGGACCTGATAACATCTATGACTGGCCTGAAAGAAACTGTCATCTCCTATAGCAACCAGGCCAAGATTTGGGAAAATGAAATCCAAAGTCTACTCCTGTCAGTGGCTGAATTACAGCACAAATTGAATTCACAACCTCAAAAGGGTCTCTTCTGCTAATGTTAGGGCACTAATAGGGAGAAATCAGATACTGAAAACTGGAATGGAAACGTATAGGTTTATGCCAATGAATCTGGGCACTTAGAACTGTGTTTTAGTCAGTTAGGGCTGCTATAATAAAATACCATATACTAGGTAGCTTACAAACAACAGAAATTGTATTTCTCACATTTCTAGAGGCTGTAAGTCTGAGATCAAGGTGCCAGCATGGTCAGGTTCTGGTGAGGGCCCTCTTCCATGTTGCCAGGGCACAGAGAGCTCTCTGGGGTCCCTTTTATATGGACAATATTCCCATTTATTAGGGCTCCACTTTCATGACCTTCCAATGGCTCCACCTCCTAATAACATCACAATAGGAGTTAGGATTTCAATAAATGAATGTGGCGGGGGACACAAACATTCGGTCCATTGCAAATCCCTAAATTCTCCGGGTGTCTTTGTCAATAGAAGCAGCCCTCCCACTCCTCCTGCCCGAGGTTCCCCTTTACCCGAAGAGCTGTGAGGGTCTCACCTGAGATCGTTGCCTTGAAGGGCACCGCTGCTCCTCCTCTGAAACTAACACCAGCACCCCTCATTGCTTCTTAACCTGCACTTAAATTCAAGTTCCTGCTGGCCAAAACAGTGAGTTAAACACTGAGCCCTGTCAAGAGGTGTGATAGTCACCGAAACAACTGTATGATTTTTCCAATATAGTAGTCTCTGGTAAATGTGTGAGAGTAGTTCTTAAGGCTGGGGTATGAAGGTGTACAAAATATAATATTGGATCTGGCTTCAAATATTTGTGTGCAAGTTTTGCTGTGGATATATGCTTGTATTTCTCTTGGATATTTAGCTAGAAGTGGAATTTGCAGGTTGTTCAATAACTTTATTATCAATTCTGTGAAGAAATGCCAGACTATTTTTCAAAGATGCTGCATCATTTTACATTCCCAGCAGCAATGGTGGAGGGTTCCAATTTCTCCTCTATAACACTTGTTAATTACTTGTTAATATTCATCCCAGTGAGGTGAGGTAGTATCTCCTTGTGGATTTGATTTCCATTTCCTTAATGTCTGAGGACATTGATGATCTATTCCTGTGTTTAAGGTTGTAGAAATGAGGTCCTGGTTTCTTTACTGGGTGACAGCCAGGGACTACTCTCAGCTCCTAGGCCCTCCAGCATAGCTTCGTTGTGTACTCCTACATCTTCAAAACAGTAAAGCCCAATCAAATCCCTCTTGTCCTTTGACTATCTTGTACTTCTGTTTCTGCTCTCTGGTGAAGAAATCTGTCGACTTTTATGTGTTTTTATTGGGGTGGGTGGGGGGGCATCAGTGGTGTTGTTCATTTGTTTGTTTGTTTGTTAGACAGGGTCTCGCTCTGTCTCCCAGGCTGGAGTGCAGTGATGTGATCATGGCTCACTGCAGCCTCAAATTGCTGGGTTCAAATGATCCTCTCGCCTCAGCCTCCCAAGTAGCTGGGACTATAGGCACGCACCACCACGCCCACCTAATTTAAAAAAACAATTGTGTTTGGAGACAGGGGTTTCACTATGCTGGCCAGGCTGGTCTCGAACTCCTGGACTCAAGTGGTCTGCCCACCTCACCCTCCCAAAGCACTGGGATTACAGGCGTGAAACACCACGCCCATCTCTGTCTGCTTTTAAAGGACTCAATTGAGTGTGGCAGGCCCATCCACAGGGACACCTCAGGGATAACTGAGATATGGAGTTTATGCCATCTGCAAAAGCCCACCCCAGCCAGTCACTGCTGGAGTGGGCAGAGGCTGCTTGGCTGGGTCCTGCAGGCCCCTGGCCACTGATGGATGAGTGTGCCCAGGAGGCAAGTCCGCTGGCAGCACAGGGAACAAAGAGGGCTGGGGTGGGGCTCAGGCAGGGCTTCTCCCAGGACAGACCTGGATGCTGAACTGGGAGGACCGAGGTGACACTGAGCCCTGGCAGCTCCTAGTCTGATGAGCTGCAGCTGCCAGGCGAGGATGCGGAGCCCCGGCAGTGCAGGGCAGCTGAGAGCCTATGGGCAGGCACCCCAGGACCCAAGATGAGGGCAGCTGCCAGAGCCAGCTCCAACTGCTACAGTCCAAGGCCACCACTGTGAGGCTGTCCGGTTCTACCAATGTTCTCTCCTTTCAGCATTTGTTGGTACCCCAATGAGTTTCCCCGTAATAACCCCAGACATTGCCTCAGGTACCTGAAGAAGAATGCAGCTTTGAAGATGGGGTGCTTAATCCCAAGAATCCCCACCCATTTGGCCACATCAAATGACTTTGGTATTGTAATTTGCATTTTGTATGCGAAAGGTTCAAAATACTTCAGGGGTAGGCTGGTGTTCGATTTTTGCTAGAGAACAACCACTACTTTACCCCAGACTTTTACCATGTCTTCAAAAAGATGTAGCTATCAGAGTGGCAAGAGTGCCCTGGGTGTGATGTTCTCTTTCCAGGGACTTACATTGCCAGCTGCAGTTTCTACAGCACTGCTGATGAAGTGCATATAAAAACTTGGAAAAGAAAGGAAACTAGTATATGGAAGAGGTATCTGCACTCCCATGTTTGTTGCAGCACCATTCACAATAGCTAAGATTTGGAAGCAACCTAAGTGTCCTCCAGCAGATGAATGGATAAAGAAAATGTGGTACATATACACAGTGAAGTACTATTCAGCCATAAAAAAGAATGAGATCTCATCATTTTCAACAACATGGGTGGAACTGGAGGTCATTATGTTAAGTGAAATAAGCCAGGCAAAGAAAGACAAACTTCACATGTTCTCACTCCTTTGTGGGAGCTAAAAATTAAAACCACCGAACTCATGGAGATAGAGAGTAGAAGGATGGTTACCAGAGGCAGGGAAGAGTAGTGGGGGTGTCGGGGGAAGCGGGGATGGCTCGTGGGTACAAAAATATAGTTAGGTAGAATGAGTAAGATGTAGCATTTGATAGCACAACAGGGTGACTAGAGTCAATAATTTATTATAAATTTTAAAATCACTAAAAGAGTATAATTGGATTGTTTGTAACACAAAGGAAGGATAAATGGTTGCGGTGATGGAGACTATTTACCCTGATGTGATTATTATACATTGTATGCCTTATCAAAATATCTCATGTAATCCATAAATATATACACCCACTAGGTACTGACAAAAATGAAAAATGAAAAAAGACCCTGGAAATCCACAGAGCATGATATGGGTCTAGCCTTCACCTGGGATGGCAATTAGACACTGATTGAATGCACAGACATTTTCTCTTCTGATGGTGATTATAACTGGGACTGGACTCTTCAATATTTGTATCTTGGCTTCCAAAATTCTGGAAAGCACTAGTTCCTCAAGTTCCTAGGGTTATTCATTCTGGAGACTCTAGTATACTCTGCAAGAAAACCTGTAGGCCATCCACCGGAATGCCCAAATGGAGTCACTCTTAAATAACAAGCCCTGCATGTTTCCAAAACCTCTAATTATCAGTGAAAAGTTTACTACGGCAGCCATTTCGCCACCCAGGGCAATTGGAGAATGGCAGACACTAGGGACCATTAATTCTGTAAAAGCTGTAGAAGACTGCAGTAAAGAATCACAGTTACAGAACCAAAAGTGACAGTCTTCTATTTTGGATGTTTGTACAAAGAGGATATACAATTAATAAAGTGGTCGAGGAACAGTTTTCTGCTTTAACACCAAAAACTAACATAGAAACCTGTAAAGGTGTCCAAGTATAGTAATCCTTTTCATGTATATCTGGTTAAGATTTAAAACTGAAGCTTTCTTTTTTAACCTTTTTAAAATTATAGATGCAAGACGGGTACATGTACAAGTTTCTCACTTGGATATAATTGCATAATTCCGGGGTTTGGGCTTCTAGTGAACCCATCTCCCAAATAGTGAAGAGAGTATCCAATAGGTAGTTTTTCAACCCTCCAACCCGCTCCCTCCCTCCCCTCCACTTCCCTTTTGGAGTCCTCAGAGTCAATGGTTTCTACCTTTATGTTCATGTGTACCCATTGTTTAGCTCCCACATATGAATGAGAACACGCAGTATCTCATTTTCTGATTATCTGATTTTGTTTCTGCGTTTCACTTAAAAGTGAAGTTTTCGCTGGACACAGTGGCTCACGCCTGTAATCCCAGGATTTGGGAGGCAGAAGCGGGTGGATCGCTTGAGGTCAGGAGTTCCAGATAAGGCTGGCCAACATGGCGAAACCACAGCTCCACCAAAAATACAAAAAATAGCCGGGGCCTGGCGCGGTGGCTCGCGCTTGTAATCCCAGCACTTTGGGAGTCTGAGGTGGGCAGATCACTCGAGGTCAGGAGTTTGAGACTAGCCTAGCCAACATGGTGAAACCCTGTCTCTACTAAGAAATGCAAACAACTAGCCAGGTGTGATAGTGTGTGCCTATAGTCCAGCTACACAGGAGGCTGAGGCAAGAGAATTGCTTGAACCCGGGAGGTGGAGGTGGCCGTGAGCCGAGATCGGACCATAAACTTAATCAAATTGTTGTTCCAACTGCAGCTGCTGTACTGCAGGTGGTTTTGTTGCATCGGCAACTGTGACATCCCTGGGAACCTGATATATAATCGTGATTAGGTGAATGTTTTGTTTTCTTTCAGTAGTTGTCATAAAGAAGAGTTTGGGTCCAGCTAGAAAGGACAGCAATGTACTATCATCTCCTCTTTCAACCTTATATCAACTCTCAAGGTTTATATCCTAAACGAGTCCTTAGGGACCATGACCACCTTTCTCTTAAACCAGATGTAACACCATTCTTTGCACTGATGACATTATGCTGACTGCGCAGGAGGTAGCAACTAATCCAGACACATTAGCGACACACTTACAAGACATTATGTGAGAAATAATTCCCAAACAACGTCAGGGGTCTTCTACCTGAGGGAAACGTCTAACAACTTAGTAGTCTGGCATGTCAAGATGGTGGTTATAAGGTGAACAGCATGTTCTTACATCTTGCCTTTTTTACTACTAAATAAGGAACACAGAAACGAGTTCCATAATAGATGTTGTCTTAGTATATACCTCAATGTTGTGCAGTACTGTGACCCACTGACAGGTGCCTCAAACCCTGCTAGCATGGATTGGGGCCCAGAAAAAGAGAAGCTTCCTTAGTCCTGCACCTGCGGTCTCATGGGGAGTTCCCTGCGACCAGTTGATGAGAAAATAAAAAACATCATGCCTGATTTTCATTTGTTATTTCAGAATATGCCGGCACCACGTCTATTAAGTTTGTTACTACTGCAAAAGAAATTATCCCCAATTTAGCAGCTTAAAACAACACAAATATATAAGCAGTTCTGTAGATCAGAAATCCATGCAGCCTAGATTGGTATCTCTGCTTAGGATCTCACAAATCAAAGGTAAGGTATCAACCAGGCTGCTGACTAACTGAGGACTCAGAGAGAAATTATTTTCAAGCTCATTTGGGTTATTGGCAGGTCTAACTTCTATTTATTCATTTATTTTCATTATACTTTAAGTTCTAGGGAACATGTGCACAGCGTGCAGGATTGTTACATATGTATGCATGTGCCATGTTGGTGTGCTGTACCCGTTAACTCATCATTTACGTTAGGTATATCTCCTAACGCTATCCTTCTCGCCTATGAGTGAGAACATGCGGTGTTTGGTTATCTGTCCTTGTGATAGTTTGCTCAGAATGATGGTTTCCAGCTTCATCCATGTCCCTACAGAGGACATGAACTCATCCTTTTTTATGGCTGCATAGTATTCCATGGTGTATATGTGCCACATTTTCTTAATCCAGTCTATCATTGATGGACATTTGGGTTGGTTCCAAGTCTTTCCTATTGTGAATAGTGCCGCAATAAACATACATGTGCATGTGTCTTTATAGCAGCATGATTTATAATTCTTTGGGTATATACCCAGTAATCGGCTGGCTGGGTCAAATGGTATTTCCAGTTCTAGATCCTTGAGGAATGGCCACACTGTCTTCCACAATGGTTGATCTAATTTACAGTCCCACCAACAGTGTAAAAGTGTTCCTATTTGTCCACATCCTCTCCAACACCTGTTGTTTCCTGACTTTTTAATGATCACCATTCTAACTGGTGTGAGATGGCATCTCACTGTGGTTTTGATTTGCATTTCTCTGATGACCAGTGATGAGGAGCATTTTTTCTCCCATTCTGTAGGTTGCCTGCTCACTCTGGTGGTAGTTTCTTTTGCTGTGCAGAACCCCTTAGTTTTATTAGACCCCACTTGTCAATTCTGGCTTTTGTTGCCATTGCTTTTGGTGTTTTAGTCATGAAGTCCTTGCCCATGCCTACTATGTCTTGAATGGTATTGCCTAGGTTTTCATCTACGGTTTTTACTGTTTTAGGTCTAACATTTAAGTCTTTAATCCATCTTGAATAAATTTTTGTATAAGGTGTACGGAAGGGATCCAGTTTCAGCTTTCTACATGTGGCTAGCCAGTTTTCCCAGCACCATTTATTAAATAGGGAATCCTTTCCCCATTTCTTGTTTTTGTCAGGTTTGTCAAAGATCAGATAGTTGTAGATATGTGGCATTGTTTCTGAGGGCTCTATTCTGTTCCATTGGTCTATATCTCTGTTTTGGTAACAGTACCATGCATACCAGAATCTCTGGGACACATTCAAAGCAGTGTGTAGAGGGAAATTTATAGCACTAAATGCCCACAAGAGAAAGCACGAAAGAGCTAAAATTGACACCCTAACATCACAATTAAAAGAACTAGAGAAGGAAGAGCAAACACATTCAAAAGCTAGCAGAAGGCAAGAAATAACTAAGATCAGAGCAGAACTGAAGGAAATAGAGACACAAAAAACCCTTCAAAAAAATCAATGAATCCAGGAGCTGGTTTTTTGAAAAGATCAACAAAATTGATAGACCGCTAGCAAGACTAATAAAGAAGAAAAGAGAGAAGAATCAAATAGACGCAATGAAAAATGGTAAAGGGGATATCACCACCGATCCCACAGAAATACAAACTACCATCAAAGAGTACTATAAACACCTCTACGCAAATAAACTAGAAAATCTAGAAGAAATGGATGAATTCCTCGACACATATACCCTCCCAAGACTAAACCAGGAAGAAGTTGAATCTCTGAATAGACCAATAACAGGCTCTGAAATTGAGGTAATAATTAATAGCTTACCAACCAAAAAAAGTCCAGGACCAGATGGATTCTCAGCCGAATTCTACCAGAGGTACAAGGAGGAGCTGGTACCATTCCTTCTGAAACTATTCCAATCAATAGAAAAAGAGGGAATCCTCCCTAAATCATTTTATGAGGCCAGCATCATCCTGATACCAAAGCCTGGCAGAGACACAACCAAAAAAGAGAATTTTAGACCAATATCCTTGATGAACATTGATGCAAAAATCCTCAATAAAATACTGGCAAACCGAATCCAGCAGCACATCAAAAAGCTTATCGACCATGATCAAGTGGGCTTCATCCCCGGGATGCAAGGCTGGTTCAACATTCGCAAACCAATAAATGTAATCCAGCATATAAACAGAACCAAAGACAAAAACCACATGATTATCTCAATAGATGCAGAAAAGACCTTTGACAAAATTCAACAACCTTCATGCTAAAAACTCTCAATAAATTAGGTGTTGATGGGACGTATCTCAAAGTAATAAGAGCTATTTATGACGAACCCACAGCCAATATCATACTGAATGGACAAAAACTGGAAGCATTCCCTTTGAAAACTGGCACAAGACAGGGATGCCCTCTCTCACCACTCCTATTCAACATAGTGTTGGAAGCTGTGGCCAGGGCAGTCAGGCAGGAGAAAGAAATAAAGGGCATTCAATTAGGAAAAGAGGAAGTCAAACTGTCCCTGTTTGCAGATGACATGATTGTATATATAGAAAACCCCATTGTCTCAGCCCAAAATCTCCTTAAGCCGATAAGCAACTTCAGCAAAGTCTCAGGAGACAAAATCAATGTGCAAAAAATCACAAGCATTCTTATACACTAATAACAGACAAACAGAGAGCCAAATCATGAGTGAACTCCCATTCACAATTGCTTCAAAGAGAATAAAATACCTAGGAATCCAACTTACAAGGGATTGTGAAGGACCTCTTCAAGGAGAACTACAAACCACTGCTCAATGAAATAAAAGAGGATACAAACAAATGGAAGAACATTCCATGCTCATGGGTAGGAAGAATCAATATCGTGAAAATGGCCATATTGCCCAGGGTAATTTATAGATTCAATGCCATCCCCATCAAGCTACCAATGACTTTCTTCACAGAATTGGAAAAAACTACTTTAAAGTTCATATGGAACCAAAAAAGAGCCCGCATCGCCAAGTCAATCCTAAGCCAAAAGAACAAAGCTGGAGACATCATGCTACCTGACTTCAAACTATACTACAAGGCTACAGTAACCAAAACAGCATGGTACTGTTACCAAAACAGAGATACAGACCAATGGAACAGAACAGAACAGAGCCCTCAGAAATAATGCCGCATATCTACAACTATCTGATCTTTGACAAACCTGACAAAAACAAGAAATGGGGAAAGGATTCCCTATTTAATAAATGGTGCTGGGAAAACTGGCTAGCCATATGGAGAAAGCTGAAATGGGATCCCTTCCTTATACTTTATACAAAAATTAATTCAAGATGGATTAAAGACTTACATGTTAGACCTAAAACCATAAAAACCCTAGGAGAAAACCTAGGCAATACCATTCAGGACATAGGCATGGGCAAGGACTTCATGTCTAAAACACCAAAAGCAATGGCAACAAAAGCCAAAATTGACAAATGGGATCTAATTAAACTAAAGAGCTTCTGCACGGCAAAAGAAACTACCATCAGAGTGAACAGGCAACCTACAGAATGGGAGAAAATTTGTGCAATCTACTCATCTGAAAAAGGGCTAATATCCAGAATCTACAATGAACTCAAACAAATTTACAAGAAAAAAACACACAACCCCATCAACAAGCGGGCGAAGGATATGAACAGATACTTCTCAAAAGAAGACATTTATGCAGCCAACAGACACATGAAAAAATACTCATCATCACTGGCCATCAGATAAATGCAAATCAAAACCACAATGAGATACCATCTCACACCAATTAAAATGGCAATCATTTAAAAATCAGGAAACAACAGGTGCTGGAGAGGATATGGACAAATAGGAACACTTTTACACTGTTGGTGGGACTGTAAACTAGTTCAACCATTGTGGAAGTCAGTGTGGCAATTCCTCAGGGATCTAGAACTAGAAATACCATTTGACCAAGCCATCCCATTACTGGATATATACCCAAAGGATTATAAATCATGCTGCTATAAAGACACATGCACACGTATATTTATTGCGGCACTATTCACAATAGCAAAGACTTGCAACCAACCCAAATGTCCATCAGTGATATACTGGATTAAGAAAATGTGGCACATATACACCATGGAATACTATGCAGCCATGAAAAATGATGAGTTCATGTCCTTTGTAGGGACATGGATGAAGCTGGAAACCATCATTCTCAGCAAACTATCCCAAGGACAAAAACCAAACACCGCATGTTCTCACTCGTAGGTGGGAATTGAACAATGAGACCACATGGACACAGGAAGGGGAACATCACACACCGGGGCCTGTTGTGGGGTGTGGGGAGGGGGGAGGGATAGCATTAGGAGATATACCTAATGTTAAATGACGAGTTTATGGGTGAAGCACACCAACTTGGCACATGTATACATATGTAACAAACCTGCACGTTGTGCACATGTACCCTAAAACTTAAAGTATAATAATAAAAAAAAGAAAAGTACCTGGAACAATTAATATTTGTTGAATCAATGAATGAATTAATTTTAAAAAAAGCATAGAATGGGCTGGGTGCAGTGGCTCATGCCTGTAATCCTAGCACCTTGGGAGGCTGAGATGGGCAGATCACTTGAGGCCAGGTTTCGAGACCAGCCTGGACAACATGGCAAAACCCCATCTCCACTAAAAATGCAAAAATTAGCAGCGTGATGGCACCTGTGGTGCACCTGTAATCCCAGCTACTTGGGAGGCTGAAGCACAAGGATCGCTTGAACTGGGGTGAGCTGGAGGTTGCAGTGACTTGTGATCGTGACACTGCACTCTAGCCTGGGCAACAGAGCAAGATTCTGTCTTAAAAAAATAAAATAAAAAGCATAGAATGTGCAAGTCATATCTGGAGACAACAGTCTTAAAGGGACTGCTACTGAAGCTCCAAATTATTGTTATCAGGCCAATCCTATCTAGGAACTACCTTTATTATATATATTGGATATACCACCCTACGTGCATATATATATATATATATATATATATATATATATATACCATATATATATGGTATATATACCATATATATATGGTATATATACCATATATGGTATATATACCACATATATATATATATACTATATATGGTATATATATATATGGGGTATATATATATGAATAGGGGTGTATATGTAATATGTGTAATGTGTATAATGTGTATTATATGTATAATGGGAGATTACAAAGTGTGTGTGTGTAGGTATATATACCCCCTACCAACACACACACACACACACAGGTATAATGTGCATTACATGTATAATGGGAGATTTTAAAGTGTGTGTGTATTTTAATGTGTGTGTAAAATACACACACACACATTAAAATCTCCCATTAGTTCTGCCTTTTCGTTGAAGGCTGATGATACAGATTTCAACATTGAGATCGGGTTCCCACTACACCAGGGGCTAAGGAAGAGTATGTGTGATATGTCTAGAGAGCTTCTTAGTCCTCCCGTGTTTTTCGATTAGAGTTAATGGAAGATCACAGCAACCCCATCCAGGCAGGACATCTAATGTTTCAGACTCTTCCGTAATGAAGGTTTGAGTCATCCTGCCAGGCCAAGCATCATGACCAACTGACATGCTATCTCAGGGCAAAGGGAATGTGAAATGGGTAGCGAAAGAACGTAGTGATAAATACCAGCTACAACACTGTGAGCTGCTGCAGAAACCACGACTGTAATAGTATTTACCTAATGGGTTAATAATATCTACCAGCACAGGTGGGAATACAAAATAACCAAAACACAAGTTATCCTTTCAAATAAAATGCTTTGGGAAAAAGAACATCTTTTACTAACAGAAATTTCTTAGCCTCTGGAAGGCTATTTGATTCGGTAACATATGCCAGGAGACTTCAGCAATATCCTGCTCCATTGTAGAAAACAGCAATCTGATCCTTTTCTCTCCTCAATCATTAACGAGATTATGCATTTGGGGTGTGATAATCCTCCAGGGACAAGTATTCTCAAATCATACGTTTCAGTTTCTTCTTAAGGTGCTTAACAAAGTCTCGTCTCATACATCTGAAAAGAAAGAGACATGTCATTAACCAAAAGATAGCTAAAGAACCTATGCTGTAGGAAGCACTGTGATGGATAGAAAGATGAAGTAACAGTCAGCATGGAAATAGAAATGTATCTGCATGGTAAGAGGCAGTCTAGCCGGCATAACAAATGCTGGCAAGGGTGTGGAGAAAAGGGAACCTTCATACACTGTTGGTGAGAATATAAATTACTACAACAACTAACTATGAAGAACAGTTTGGAGGTTCCTCAAACAACTAAAAATGGAGCTATCATATGATCCAGCAATCCCACTGCTGGGTATATACCCAAGAGAAAGGAAGTCAGTGTACCGAACAGATATCTGCACTCCCATGTTTGTTGCAGCACCATCCACAGTAGCCAAGATTTGGAAGCAACCTAAGTGTCCACTAACACATGAATGGGTAAAGAAAATATGGTACATATACACCACAGAGTACTGTTTAGCCATAAAAAAAAGAATGAGATTCAGTCATTTGCAACAACACGGATAGAACCGAAGGTCCTTATGTTAAGTGAAATAAGCCAGGCACAGAAAGACAAACTTCACATGTTCTCACTTATTTTTGGGAGTAAAAGTGTAAAACAACTGAACTAATGGAGATAGAGAGTAGAATGACAGTTACCAGAGGCTACAAAGGTTAGTGGGGGTGGAGGGTGTGGGAAGTGGGGATGATTAATACGTAGAAGTATGGAATAAATAAGATGTCGTATTTCATAGCCAAACAGGGTGACTATAGTCGGTAATAATTTAATTGCACATTTAAAAATAATGAAGAGTATAATTGTATTCTCTGTAACGCAAAGGATAAAAGCTTGAGGTGATAGAAACCCCACTTACCTTGATGTGATTATTACACATTGTTGTCTGTATCACAATATCTCATATAGCCCAGAAATATATGCATCTGCTATGTGCCTACACAAATTTTTTAAAAAGAGGTAGTCTAGCAAATACAAAGAGTGTCAATTGAGGGACAATGCGCACCTCAGACTATGGTGAAAATGGAAGTCTCCATAGTCTTCGAAGAATGAGTTACACTCAGATAACATTAGCCTAAGTAACTGTGGAGACAGCCATAACTGTGAGTGAGGACCAGGGTTTGAGAAACGCAAGGCAGGGGCTGTTCCCCAACGCTCACCCCCAGTGCTCTATTGAGCCCAAGTGCTTAAAGAAATTGGACAGTTCCTATTTCTACCCACCTTGCTGCTTCCTTGATGATGGATTCAAAAAATCGCTTCCTGACTGCAGTAGGTCCTTGCACTCCTTCAAGCATTTCGAAGATTTTTTCATATTCTGAAGATGTTGAAAAAAAAAAACTTCAGTATTATCAAATATAAAGAAGAATAGAAGTGAATCTACACCTCAGCAATCATGCTTCAGAGGCTGAAATGTTTTAAATGCTTAAATCAAGATACCTGCACATACAAAACCTAAATAATAAAAAAGACACCTGCACATACATACGAATGTAACTCCTTTAACCATAACCAAGTAAGAAAAGAAAAAGAAAAAATGTACATGCTTTAGTCAAAGAAAAGAGGAACCACCATAAATTATGTGCAATCTCAACTCTGGCAAAGAATGAAACTCAACAGGCAACATGAATATCTTCTGAATCATAGAAAGAGAGACTTCCTATAGTTTTATAAAACAGACATTCTTATATTACTTACTTTGTCCAACGCATCGGAGTTCCTTCACTAATTTACGTTTTATATCAGCATTAATTTCTCGTTGGCTTTTGGGAGAGGAGGCTGTTTCTCTGCATTCTAGGTCATCTCCAGAGAAACTGCTGGTAACGTTTCCTCCCACAGGTGCATTGCTACCAGGTTTCTGCATCATCCTATCTTTGCTGAAACCAGTGAAGTCATCAATCTGAGAATCCAATTGGCTGGGTGGAATAGCATGTCCTGTCATAAGCTCTGGTGAAACAGATTTTGAGTAAAAGCCATCAGTTGGTGTTTGACCACTTTCTTTCCCCTCCACATAGACCTCATGAATGACAGCTCTGGAAATCAAACTGAGAAGCTGAGCTGTGAGATATGTGTGTTTCATCACCCCTCTGGGTACATCTATGTGCTCCTCAGTTTCTAGGGAATTATTTATTTCATAAATGGGAGGATACACCAGGGAGAAATCCCAGGCCTGACAAACGGAGGCCAGGACACATAATACAATAAAACCACCTCTTATTTTCTGGCCCTATGAATAGACATGGAAACCAAGTAAGGCAGTACAACTCTAAAGCAACATTCACAGATCCCTGGTACTCATGGGACAGTTTCAGCTTGTTATGCTTTACAAGTTGAAAGCAGCAAGTCTCACTTGATATCATGATTTCTCAAACTCACTTACAAACTGCCATGCTTTACTGAGCTGGAACCCAGGCAACTGGGATACAACTCAACCGGTCTCCTGTTATATCAAACACATTCTGAGAAAATAGAGGCGGCCATTACTGCTAAAAGTTCTATACGCACTCCACCACCAAAAAGTCCCTTTTACTGTATGATTTTCCTCATCCTTCCTTTCTGTCTCACAAAAGTGACTTTCTTTTCACTCCAGGTCTGACACCTCTCATTTATTCATCGTCTGTGGCAGGCAGCGTGCCGGTAGCTGGGGATCAGCAGTAAACAGCCCAGAGAGCAACGTTCCCTGCCCTTGTGGAGCTCACATCCTCATGGGGCGGTCAGACAGTACGTGCACAATGAGCAAATGAAACATACAGTGTTGGGCTAGTGGTAAGGAAGCAGTCCACAGGCCTGTGGGCAACAGCAGCAGAGGGAGCCCCAGGAGCTGCTGCTGGTTGGGCAGAGCCTTCTGTGGAGGTACCCTTGGGCAGGGCTTGAAGGAAAAAGCAGAGCTGCCTGCGCAGAGGCAGAGGGGGAGTTCCAGGTTGCGGTGAGGCCAAGGATATGGGCTGGAGTGGGGATGGACCGGGCACTACGGGGTGAAGGACAGTAGCAGAGAGAGTCAGGAGATGATGGGGCCCGTGTGAGGAGAGGGTGACGGAGGCCAGGCCACGCAGAACCTCGCAGACCAAAGCTGCTTCGCAGTCGGTTCTGAGTGCTTAGGAGTGTTGAGGATGGGTGTTCAGGAGCGACATGGCATCACGTGATTTACATGCCAACATCATGACCCGGCTGCAGGGTTGGAGGGTATGTGTTTGATGCGGGAAATAATGGGAAACATGGAGGTATCTCAGGAGCTCAGTGATTGATCGTGGCAGAGTGGAATAGAAGGAGAGAGAGAGATGCTGGGGTTCAGGAATTTTTTACAGTATTTAGAGAAGAGAAGAAAAAGAAATGTAGAAAAAAACAATGATGGGGTCGGGGGCGGTGGCTCGTGCGTGTAATCCCAGCACTTTGGGAGGCTGAGGTGGGTGGATCACCTGAGGGGGGGAGTTCCAGACCAGCCTGGCCGACATGGCGAAACCCCATCTCTACTAAACTTACAAAAATTAGCTGGGTGTGGTGGCTGGTGCTTGTAATCCCGCTACTCGGGAGGCTGCGGCAGAAGAATCACTTGAACCCAGGAGACGGAGATTTCAGTGAGCCGAGATCGCGCCACTGCACTCCAGCCTGGCTGAGAAGAGCGAAACTCCATCTCAAGAAAAAAATGATAGGGATTCACCAATACGGACAAGAAATTAAAAAAAAAAAAAAGATTGTCGGAAATGGAAATCCTAGAAGGTTTTCATGAAGAAGCGAGTGAACAACTGTCAAATGCTGCTGAGAAGTTAATGGCAATGTCAGCCGAAACTGTTAACCTTGACAAGGACAGTTTCTCTGGAGGGGATGAGGCAGGAGCATGAGGAGGACGTGAGGACAGGCTTACTTACTCTTTTCTTTGGACATGGCAGAGCCTGCAATAAGGCTGTCTCCTGCTCCTTGTTTCCTTGCCAACAGGGCCATCCTCTGCCTTTTCTGATACGAAGGACTGTCACATTCCCTGGGACGTTTAAACACAGTTTCAGGATCTACAGCCACCTTCTCTGTTTTATCGGTCATTGTTTCCTGAAAAACATCAATGAATATATTCTATTCATGACAAAAATCTAACAATCACAAAATGGCAAGCAATCTGCATATGTGTATACAACCAAGACTTTGAATCATTAATTTCACTTTTAATCATGAGCCAAGATTTACCAAGTCTCAACAAACACTCTGTTCTCAGGAAAAGAAACCTAATTTTAATGTACACAAAGTAAAACAGAAGAAAGATGGTATAACCAAATCAATCAGAATGCTTGTGGAATAAGCAGCTGTCATCAACCAAAAATAGATAAAAATATTATTACCTATTTGAAGATGTATAAGCCAATCTGTATTAACCCTTATTAGAAAAAATGGATGTATAAACCAATCTGTATTAACCCTTATTATACATTATATTTTAAATTATATATTATATATCATATATATTTAATATATAAGTATTTATGCTTATATATTCAAATAGATGCATAAACCAACGTGTATTAACCCTTATTAGGAACCCTTATTAGAAGATTGATACAAAACTGATAACAACATCTGACAAGGAATTTAGAAGAATGAAAAACTACAAGATCAAGCCAAAAATACAAGCCAAGATCACCCCGAACTTAGACACAAAAATTCCAAACTAAGGGTGAGCAAATAAAATGTACTAGTACTTAAAAAGGACATACATCAGCCATGGTGGAGTATATTGCAGAAAGGCAACACTGATTTAACATTTGAAAATCGACAAATGTAGTGCACCACATTAACAACAACAACAACAACAACAACAAAAACAGGGAAACACCGCATGATCATTTTCATACATGGATCAATGTTTAAAGTCCATTCGTGATAAAAACTATCACCAACTTAGGAAAAAGGGCAACTTTCCTATTCTGGTTAGCATATGTACAAAAAATTTTTAAATGCCATACTTCATAGTGACGTATCAGTATTTTCTCCCTGAGTTTGAAAACAAGACAAAGATGTCCACTATCCATTCAACAATTTACTGGAGGTTCTAAAAAGTGCCATATCATCAGGAAAATACAATAGGTTTAAAATTTGGAAAGAAATAAAACTGTCATTATTCACAGATGACATTGTTCTGTACATAGAAAAATGCAGAAGAATAAAATCATTACAGTTAATAAGCAAATTTAGTCAACTTACTAGATACAATGAAAACCAATGGCATTTCTGTATAATGAATAGCAATTCTGTATAATGAATGGCATTATACAGAATGGCAATTCTGTATAACGAATAATTAGAATATGAGATTTCAAATGTCATTAAAAACAGTTCCAAAAACATCAAATATTTAGGAATAAATCTAATCAAGATGTGCTAGAGTACTTCACAAAAATTATAAAACATCACTCAGAGAAATTCAAGACTGCAGTAAATGGAGAAAAATTTTCTTTCCATGCATTGGAAGACATTTTTTTTTTTTTGAGTCGGAGCCTCGCTCTGTCACCCAGGCTGCAGTGGAGTGGCACAGTCTCTGCTCACTGCAACCTCCACTTCCCAGGTTCAAGCAATTCTCCTGCCTCAGCCTCCTGAGTAGCTGCGATTACGGGCGCCTGCCACGACGCTGGATAAAGAAAATGTGGTACATATACACCACGGAATACTATGCAGCCATAAAAAAGAATGAGTTCATGTCCTTTGAAGGGACATGTGTCAGCAAGCTAACACAGGAACAGAAAACCAAACACCACGTGTCCTCACTCATAAGTGGGAGTTGAACAATGAGAACACATGGACGCGGGGAGAAGAACATCACACAGTGGGGCCTGTCAGGGGTTGGGGGGCTAGGGGAGGGATAGCATTAGAGAAATACCTAAGGTAGATGACGGGTCAATGGGTGCAGCAAACAACCATGGCATGTGTCTTCCTATGTAACAAACCTGCACGTTCTGCCCATGTATCCCGGAACTTAAAGTATAATTTTAAGAAAAGGAATATTATCGTAATGGCATTGGGTGAGTCAAAGATGTTTCTTAAAATAATAAAAAGCACTATCCATAAATAATACACTAATTAATAAAATTAAGAGAATCTGTTCATCTACAACACATTATTGAGATCGTGTAAAAGCAAAAAAGATTTATAGAAGATACTAAAATTGTATATGTATTTTTGTATATGTACATATACGCCTGTGTGCCTGTGCGTATAACTCAAATACAGAATATATGGAAACTACAAATCCATTTTTAAAATACAAACATCTCAGTAAAAGCTGGGGGAAAATACCTGAAAAGGAACTTCATAAAAGGCATAGTTAAATGACCAATAAACACATAAAATGGTGCTAAAAAAAAAAAAAAAGAAAACAATAAATAGCTGGGTGTGGTGGCACTGCAATCCAGTCTGGGTGACAGAGGGAGACCTCATCTCAAAAGACAAACAAAAATCAATAAATAAAAACAATTTCTTAAAAAGGTGCTCGATCTCATTAATCAGCAGAGAAATGCGAGTGTAGACATAAGGAGAGATCACTGCACACCCATCAGAGTGGCTGGAATGAAAGACTAACTGTACTGCGAGTGTTCGAATGTGGCACAGCTGGAACCTTCGAATATTTCTGGACTCCCATTCCCACACAGACACCTGAGGCTGTGGCTGAAAGGTCAGATAGAATCCCAGGAAAGAGCTCCTTCAGAATTGCGATCAACCAACCGAGGAAAAGCACCCCAACCTGGGTCGAGACAGAGTTCCCAAGGTCACGTGGCCTCCTTCATGGCTGACACAGAGCTCCCTGAGTCCCACCATAGGCTTAGAGAATCCAAGGAACATTACCCCATTCCCCGGCGGCACCGGGAGAGAGCACCTACAGATAATAATTTTAAAAACCCAGCACCAAGAGAAAGCATCCATCCAGTAAGCGTCCACAACGGGGATAAGCAGAACCAAAGAAAAGCCAACACATTGTAACTGAGAGCGAGCAACATCCGAGGACAAATGCGCCTCACGGCCGACATCAGTACCCAAGGAAGAGTCCACCAGAGGTTGAGATAAAGCCCCCGACAGTGACCCCACAGGGCTACGATCATGTGTCCGGGGCACAGCCACCCCCACCACGTTCCATGAGCACAGATAGTGACCCCAGGGCAGAGTCCCCCCTCAGGACAGCGACTGAGCGGGAAAGAAACACCGCCGCACCCGAGACCGACACAGGCAACCAAGGCATGGCCCCCACCCCCCGGGCTCAGGTCATTTCAGCAGGAAAAGTCGCCTTTTCCATCACCGACAGGGAGCCCCCAACAAGAGCCCCCAAGAAAAGCCCCCTGGCCCCACAACATAGCCGAGACGGGGTGCCCAAGGAAAACGCTCCCCCGCGGCTGACACAGGCGCCCATGGCGGTGTCCCCAGAGCTAAGCCACTTCCCCAAGGGAGCCCTCCCACACACCGGACAGAGAACACCACAGAAAAGACTCTTTCTGAGGAAAAAGGACACTTTCCAGGGCGAAATTAAAGCATCCAGGGAAAAACTGCCCACTCACAGTCCTGAAGTCCTGACCTTGCTGGAGGAGAGACGGCGGCACCTCACAAAATGGCAGTGAAGTTGTGGCGCCTCCCCACTGGTGGCACTTTCTAGAAACCTGCCCTCTGGGAGTTGTGGGAAATGTGCCCCCTAGGGCACCTGGGAGTGATGTGCATGGGGAGGCGTCTCACCAGAAGCACCGATCCCGTTTGGCCCAAGGGGGATGGGAGGAAGGGAAGTAGCCAGCCACAGCGTGCCTGCCCCAGCCGAACACTGGGAACCTGTTGGGGGCGCCAGAGTGCTGAGGAGAAGCCTCGTGCCCCAGAGAACCAGGAAGCGCAGCCCTCCCCTTCGCTGACTCTGGCGCCCTCTACAGGCGACCTTCAGTAACAACTGCACAGCAACGTATGCGGAGGAATGCAGAACCTTCTCACCCAGCGGGATGAAATCGCCTGGGTAACATAGTGAGACCCCGGCTCTACAAAGCAACCAACTAATCAAAAAAGAAAGAAAGAAAGAAAGAAAGAAAGAAAGAAACACACAAATTAGCTGGGCCTAGTGGCCTCGCACCTGTGGTCCCAACTACTCGGGAAGTTGAGGTGGGAGGATGGCTTGAACCCGGGAGGTGGAGGTAGCAGTGAGCCACTGCACTCCAGCCCAGGCGGTAGAGGAGACCCCACCTCAGAAAAAAAAAAAAAAAAAAGAAAGAAAGAAGGAAAAGAAAAGAAAAAGAAAAAGAACAACAACAAACTGCAATTTTCATTTGAGGGGGTTGTGTTTTAAAGTCAACCCCGACCCGCCACAGTGGCTCACGCCTGTAATCTCAACACTTTGGGAGGCCGAAGGGGCTGGACCACCTGAGGTCAGGAGTTCGAGACCAGTCTGTCTGACCAACATGGTGAATCCCGTCTCTACTAAAAATACAGAAAATTACCGGGCGTGGTGGCATGCACCTATAATCCCACCAGCTACTTGGGAGGCTGAGGCTGGAGAATCGCTTGAACCGGGCAGGCAGAATTTGCAGTGAGCTGAGATCATGCCACTGCACTCCAGCCTGGGTAACAGAGTGAGACTCTGTCTAAAAATAAAAATCAATCAATCAATAAATAAAGTCAACCTCTATCTGTTAAAGGTAACCATTATTGTTAATTGATAAGAAAAATGAGGGCCCCAGTGCGGTCGCTCACGTCTGTAATCCCAGCAATTTGGGAGACCAAGAGGGGTGGATTCCTTGAGCCCAGGAGTTCAAGAGCAGCCTGGGCAGCATGGTGAAACCCCATCTTAACACAAAATACAAAAATTAGCTGAGCGTGTAACTGTGGTCCCAGCTGCTCGGGAGGCTTGACACCAGGAGGTTGAGGCTGCATTGACCTTTGTTCGCACCATTGCACTATAGCCTGGGTGACAGAGTAAGACTGTCTACAAAAAAAAGAAAGAGAGAAAGAAAGAGAGAAAGAAAGAGAGAAAGAAAGAAAGAGAAAGAAAAAAGAAGGAAGGAAGGAAAGAAAGAACGAAAGAAAGAAAGGAAGGAAGAAAGGAAGGATGGAAGAAAGAAGGGAAGAAAGGAAGAAAGGAAGGATGGAAGAAAGAAGGGAAGAAAGGAAGAAAGAAAGAGAGAAAGAAAGAAAGGATGGAAGGAGGGGAAACCTTATTATATTGCATCTATTAATCATTTTAATCTGGAACTTTGTATATTTTTCCACCTTTTTTATTTTTTTTGAGACAGTCTGGCTCTGTCACCCAGGCTGGAGTGCAGTGGCATGATCTTGGCTCACTGCAACCTCCGCCTCCCAGGTTCAAGCAGTTCTCCTTCCTCAGCCTCCCGAGAAGCTGGGATTACAGGCATGTACCACCATGCCCGGCTGGTATTTGTATTTTTAGCAGAGACGGTGTTTCACAATGTTCTCCAGGCTGGTCTCAAACTCCTGACTTTAAGTGATTCATCTGCCTTGGCCTCCCAAAGTCCTGGGATTACAGGGGAGAGCCACCATGCCCGGCCCATTTTTCTACTTTCACAACTTATTTTAAGTGCAGCAAAATTTACTTGAATTGTCCATAGTGGTAAAAAATATTACAGCGAAATTTTTCGAGTTTTAATGGAACAGGCAGTTTCACTATTGACACAATTATTTGGAAGGGATTACTTCACTGGTTTTGTAATTCAAAAGTTATGTTTGTAAAAAACTTAAAATTAAAATTAAAAAATATAGCCAGGCATGGTGGTGGGCACCTGTACTCCCTGCTACTAGGGCAGCAGAGGCAGGAGAATCACTTGAACCTGAGAGGTGCAAGCTTCAGTGAGCAGAGATCGCGTCACTGCACTCCAAAGGGGCAGAGATCCATTGTCACTGGGGGACAAAGGGAGAGTCCGTCTCAAAATAAATTAATTAATTAAAATTAAAATTAAAAATTATGTTTGTTAAGTACCCTGTTAGAAGAGAGTCATATTCAGTATTACAGCTTCTTAGCCTATTGTGTTAATATTTGCCTGTGCTTCAGAACCTTCATAGAACACATTTTCTTTTGGAATATATTTGATTGATAGGAAAGCTTAAACATTGTTTTCACTTTGATGTAGGAACAGTTGTTTTGTTTGTTTCCTCTAGTGCTATCAAAATAAAATACTCATTTTTTGCATTAAAAAAATCCCACCAGAGCAGTACTCATAGGAGTATTTGATTGAATAACCATGAGACTGGAATCTTGTTGGGGCTTAATTAGAATCCTGCCTACCACACAAGCCACAGGTGGACAGCTGCATACGACAGTCCTGACTGGGACAGCCCTGAAGGACAGTGATGAAGGGAAATCCTCCCAGAGGGAAGAACTTTGAGCAGTGCACCTTCTTGGAGGAGGCATATCCAGACGTGTAAGTATGTATCATGCATAGGCTGTGTCCCACTCATTCGCTGAATTGTCAGGGACTTTGAGAACACACGATTAAAAATGTGCGACAAAGAAGTCTGAGAAAAAAAAAAATATGTGGACAGGCCTGTCCAAACGGACATACAATGTGAAGATATTGGGGTCTCATGAGAGTTCTCAGCAAAGGGTATCCTCAGCAGAGCAGAATTTTAATAATCAGATGGATAAGGTACTTATTATCTAGGTATTAATCAGCCTCTTTCCCTAACACGTGTGTCACAATCTTACCGGCTCAACAAACAAAGTGGTCAAACTGGCAGGGTTGGAGATTATGCGCAGTAGCATGGACCTCCACTCACCATGGCAAACCTGGCTACGGTCATTGCTGAGTGAAAAATCTTCCAGGAATGGAGACCAACACTAAGCCCCCAATTTGGCACCAGACTCCAGAATGATCTGCCAGCCACTAGTTGGTATGTGGATTACAATAGATCACTTCTATTATAAAAAGAGAAGTGCTTTCTTCTTACCTGAACAGACATTTAGTCTAGATATGGATTTTCCTTCCCACTTGCAGTGCTTTTGAGAAAACCAATGTTTGTATCTCGGCTTCCAAAATTCTGGAAAGCGCTAGTTCCTCAAGTTCCTAGGGTTATTCATTCTGGAGACTCTAGTATACTCTGCAAGAAAACCTGTAGGCCATCCACCAAAATGCCCAAATGGAGTCACTCTTAAATAACGAGCCCTGCATGTTTCCAGAAACTCTAATTATCAGTGAAAAGTTTACTATGGCAGCGATTTCGCCACCCAGGGCAATTGGAGAATGGCAGATACTAGGGACCATTAACTCTGTGAAAGCTGTAGAAGACTGCAGTCAAGACAGTTACAGAACCAAAAGTGACAGTCTTCTATTTCCGATGTTTGTACAAAGAGGACATACAATTAATAAAGTGGTCGAGGAACAGGTTTCTGCTTTAATACCAAAAACTAACATAGAAACCTGTAAAGGTGTCCAAGTATAGTAATCCTTTTCCTGTGTATTTGGTTAAGATTTAAAACTGAAGCTTTCTTTGTTAGCTTTTTTAAAATTATAGATGCCAGAAGGGTACATGTACAGATTTCTCACTTGGATATAATTGCACAGTGCCGGGGTTTGGGCTTCTAGTGAACTCATCACCCAAATAGTGAAGAGAGTATCCAATAGGTAGTTTTTCAACCCTCCGACCCGCTCCCTCCCTCCCCTCTACCTCCATTTTGGAGTCCCCAGAGTCAATGGTTTCTACCTTTATTTTCATGTGTACCCATTGTTTAGCTCCCACATATGAATGAGAACACGCAGTATCTCATTTTCTGATTATCAGATTTTGCTTCTGCGTTTCACTTAAAAGTGAAGTTTTCACCGGACACAGTGGCTCACGCCTGTAATCCCAGGATTTGGGAGGCAGAAGCGGGTGGATCACTTGAGGTCAGGAGTTCCAGACGAGGCTGGCCAAAGTGGCGAAACCACATCTCTACCAAAAATACAAAAAATAGCTGGGGCCCTGCGCAGTGGCTCGCACTTGCACTTTGGGAGTCTGAGGTGGGCATATCACTTGAGGTCAGGAGTTTGAGACTAGCCTGGCCAACATGGTGAAACTCTGTCTCTACTAAGAAATACAAACAATTAGCCAGGTGTGATAATGCGTTTCTATAGTCCCAGCTACACAAGGAGGCTGAGGCAAGAGAACTGCTTGAACCCGGGAGGTGGAGGTTGCAGTGAGCCGAGATTGCACCATAAACTTAATCAAATTGTTGTTCCAACTGCAGCTGCTGTACTACAAGTGGTTTTGTTGTGTCAGCAACTGTGACATCCCTCGGAACCTGATATACAATACTGATTAGGTGAATGTTTGGCTTTCTTTCAGTAATTGTCGTAAACAAGAATTTCAATTCAGCTAGAAAGGACAGCAATGTACTATCATTTCCTATTTCAAGCTTATATCAACTCTCTAGGTTTATATCCTAAACGAGTTCTTAGGGAAAATGGCCACCTTTCTCTTAAACCAGATGTGACACCATTCTTTGCAGTGATGACATCATGCTGACTGAAAAGGAGGTAGCAACTAATCCAGACATGGTAGCAACACACTTGCAAGACATTATGTGAGAAATAATTCTCACACAAAATCAGGGGCCTTCTAACTGAGTGAAGCGTTTAACAATCTGGTAGTCTGGCATGTCAAGATGGTGGTTATAAGGTGAACAGCAAGTTCTTACATCTTGCCTTTCTTACTACTAAATAAGGAACATGAAACGAGTTGCATAATAGATGCTTGTTTTAGCATATACCTAAATGTTGTGCAGTACCGTGGACCCATTGACAAGTGACTGAAACCCCGCTAGCATGGACCGGGGCCCAGAAAAAGAGAAGCTTCCCTAATCCTGCACCTGTGATCTCATGTGGAGTTCCCTGAGACCAGTTGACTAGAAAATAAAAAACTTCATGCCTGATTTTCATTTGTTACTTCAGAATATGCAGGCACCACATCTATTAGGTTTGTTACTAATGCAAAAGAAATTGTCCCCGATTCAGCAGCTTAAAATAACACAAATATATAAGCAGTTCTGTAGATCAGAAATCCATGCAGCCTGGATTGGTTTCTCTGCTTAGGATCTCACAAAATCAAAGTTAGGGTATCAACCAGGCTGCTGACTAACTAAGGACTCAGAGAGAACCTGTTTTCAAGCACATTTGGGTTACGGGCAGGTCTAACTTCTTAAAGTTGTGGAACTGAGGTAGCCGTATACTTGCGGTCTTGGCTGAGGCCACTCTAAGCTACCTGAGACCCCTCCATACCTACTTGGGTGCACCCCTCTATCTTCTAAGCAGTAATGGTGCATCATGATTATGGTGGCTGAGATAAAGCTTATTTACGGGTTTGGCAACATGAACTTTCATTTACCAGGTCCATCTCACTACAGCCACTGCTCACTATTCAATCTGACAGCAGCAGAGACCAACACTGAGTCCCCAATATGGCACCATGTCCCAGAGTGGTCAGTCAGCTTCCAGGTAGCACTGTGATTACTTGGGTCTGCTTCCACGATTGAAGGGGTATCACTTTGATCTTCCTCAAATAGACACTTATTCTGCATATGGATTTTCATTCCCACCCATGGAACTTCAAGGAAATCGGTACTGTGGTATGAGGAAAGGCTGTATCCACCGTCGTGGTATTCCACACTGCACCAGTTTTAAACATCAAACTCACTTTACAGGCAATGAAGTATGGGAATGGGCTCATGCTAATGTACTTCACTAGTCTTGTGATGTTCTTCAACATCCTGAAATGGCTGGCTCAATAGAACATTGGAGGACCTTTTAAAGCCTGAGTTGTCATTGCAGCTTTGTGGCAGTGCCTTGTGGGGCTTGGCTGACAATCTAGAAAGTGGCAAAGCTGAATCCTAGCCTCAAGTATATGGAACTATTTCTCCCATAGCCACATTTATGACTTCAAGAATGAAGGAGGCAATATGTGGGCCTTCTCTCACTATTACTCCTGGGTATCTAGTAACAAAATGTTGCTTCTTATGCTCAAGAAGCAAACTGTGCACCAAGAAGCCAACTTTTGGCTCTGCTGGACTAGAGGACTTAGTTACACATTGAGGAATTTTTTCAACAGGGGAAACCAAAGTGATTCCACCAAAATGAAAGTTGTTCCGTATGAACTTTAAAGTAGTTTTTTCCAATTCTGTGAAGAAAGTCATTGGTAGCTTGATGGGGATGGCATTGAATCTATAAATTACCCTGGGCAATATGGCCATTTTCACGATATTGATTCTTCCTACCCATGAGCATGGAATGTTGTTCCATTTGTTTGTGTCCTCTTTTATTTCATTGAGCACTGGTTTGTAGTTCTCCTTGAAGAGGTCCTTCACGTCCCTTGTAAGTTGGATTCCTAGGTATTTTATTATCTTTGAAGCAATTGTGCATGGGAGTTCACTCATGATTTGGCTCTCTGTTTGTCTGTTACTGGTGTATAAGAATGCTTGTGATTTTTGCACACTGATTTTGGAACCAAAAAAGAGCCCGCATTGCCAAGTCAATCCTAAGCCAAAAGAACAAAGCTGGAGGCATCACGCTACCTGACTTCAAACTATACTACAAGTCTACAGTAACCAAAACAGCATGGTACTGTTATCAAAACAGAGATACAGACCAATGGAACAGAACAGAGCCCTCAGAAATAATGCTGCATATCTACAACTATCTGATCTTTGACAAACCTGACAAAAACAAGAAATGGGGAAAGGATTCCCTATTTAATAAATGGTGCTGGGAAAACTGGCTAGCCATATGGAGAAAGCTGAAATGGGATCCCTTCCTTACACTTTATACAAAAATTAATTCAAGATGGATTCAAGACTTACATGTTAGACCTAAAACCATAAAAACCCTAGAAGAAAACCTAGGCAATACCATTCAGGACATAGGCATGGGCAAGGACTTCATGTCTAAAACACCAAAAGCAATGGCAACAAAAGTCAAAATTGACAAATGGGATCTAATTAAACTAAAGAGTTTCTGCACGGCAAAAGAAACCACCATCAGAGTGAACAGGCAACCTACAGAATGGGAGGAAATTTTTGCAGTCTACTCATCTGACAAAGGGCTAATATCCAGAATCTACAACGAACTCAAACAAATTTACAAGAAAAAAACAAACAACCCCATCAACAAGCGGGCGAAGGATATGAACAGATACTTCTCAAAAGAAGACATTTATGCAGCCAACAGACACATGAAAACATGCTCATCATCACTGGCCATCAGATAAATGCAAATCAAAACCACAATGAGATACCATCTCACACCAGTTAGAATGGCAATCATTAAAAAGTCAGGAAACAACAGGTGCTGGAGAGGATGTGGACAAATAGGAACACTTTTACACTGTTGGTGGGACTGTAAACTAGTTCAACCATTGTGGAAGTCAGTGTGGCGATTCCTCAGGGATCTAGAACTAGAAATACCATTTGACCCAGCCATCCCATTACTGAGTATATACCCAAAGGATTATAAAACATGGTGCTATAAAGACACATGCACACGTATGTTTATTGTGGCACTATTCACAATAGCAAAGACTTGGAACCAACCCAAATGTCCAACAATGATAGACTGGATTAAGAAAACGTGGCACATATACACCATGGAATACTATGCAGCCATGAAAAATGATGAGTTCATGTCCTTTGTAGGGACATGGATGAAGCTGGAAACCATCATTCTCAGCAAACTATCGCAAGGACAAAAAACCAAACACCGCATGTTCTCCCTCATAGGTGGGAACTGAACAATGAGAACACATGGACACAGGAAGGGGAACATCACACACTGGGTCCTGTTGTGGGGTGTGGGGAGGGGGGAGGGATAGCATTAGGAGATATACCTAATGTTAAATGATGAGTTAATGGGTGCAGCACACAAAAATGGCACATGTATACATATGTAACAAACCTGCACGTTGTGCACATGTACCCTAAACCTTAAAGTATAATAAAAAAAAGTACCTGGCACAATTAATATTTGTTGAATAATTGAATGAATTAATTTTTTTAAAAAAAGCATAGAATGGGCTGGGTGCAGTGGCTCATGCCTGTAATCCTAGAACCTTGGGAGGCTGAGATGGGCAGATCACTTGAGGCCAGGTTTCGAGACCAGCCTGGACAACATGGCAAAACCCCATCTCCACTAAAAATACAAAAATTGCAGCGTGATGGCACCTGTGGTGCACCTGTAATCCCAGCTACTTCGAAGGCTGAAGCACAAGGATCGCTTGAACTGGGGTGAGGTCGAGGTGGCAGTGACTTGTGATCGTGTCACCGCACTCTAGCCTGGGCAACAGAGCAAGATTCTGTCTTTAAAAAAAATAAAAAGCATAGAACGTTCAAGTCGTATCTGGAAACAACAGCCTTACAGGGACTGCTACTGCAGCTCCAAATTATTGTATCAGACCAATCCTATCTAGGAACTACCTTTATTATATATATTGGATATACCCCCCCACACACGCATACATATATATATATGGGGGTGTATATATAATATGTGTAATGTGTATTATATGTATAATGGGAGATTAGAAAGTGTGTGTGTGCATGTATATATACCCCCTACCAACACACACACACACACACACACACACACACACACACACACACATTAAAATCTCCCATTAGTTCTGCCTTTTCGTTGAAGGCTGATGATACAGATTTCAACATTGAGATCGGGTTCCCACCACACGAGGGGCTAAGGAAGAGTATGTGTGATATGTCTAGAGAGCTTCTTAGTCCTCCTGTGTTTTTCGATTAGAGTTAATGGAAAATCACAGCAACCCCATCCAGGCAGGATATCTAATGGTTCAGACTCTTCCGTAATGAAGGTTTGAGTCATCCTGCCAGGCCAAGCATCATGACCAACTGACATGCTATCTCAGGGCAAAGGGAATGCGAAACGGGTAGCGAAAGAAGGTAGTTATAAACGCCAGCTACATCAGTGTGAGCTGCTGCAGAAACCACGACTGTAATAGTATTTACCTAATGGGTTAATAATATCTACCAGCACAGGTGGGAATACAAAATAACCAAAACACAAGTTATCCTTTCAAATAAAACGCTTTGGGAAAAAGAACATCTTTTACTAACAGAAATTTCTTAGCCTCTGGAAGGCCAGTTGATTCGGTAACATATGCCAGGAGACTTCAGCAATATCCTGCTCCATTGTAGAAAACAGCAATCTGATCCTTTTCTCTCCTCAATCATTAACGAGATTATGCATTTGGGGTGTGATAATCCTCCAGGGACAAGTATTCTCAAATCATACGTTTCAGTTTCTTCTTAAGGTGCTTAACAAAGTCTCGTCTCATACATCTGAAGAGAAAGAGACATGTCATTAACCAAAAGATAGCCAAAGAACCTATGCTGTAGGAAGCGCTGTGACAGATAGAAAGATGAAGTAACAGTCAGCATGGAAATAGAAATGTATCTGCATGGTAAGAGGCAGTCTAGCCGGCATAACAAATGCTGGCAAGGGTGTGGAGAAAAGGGAACCTTCATACACTGTTGGTGAGAATATAAATTACTACAACAACTAACTATGAAGAACAGTTTGGAGGTTCCTCAAACAACTAAAAATGGAGCTATCATATGATCCAGCAATCCCACTGCTGGGTATATACCCAAGAGAAAGGAAGTCAGTGTACCGAACAGATATCTGCACTCCCATGTTTGTTGCAGCACCATCCACAGTAGCCAAGATTTGGAAGCAACCTAAGTGTCCACTAACACATGAATGGGTAAAGAAAATATGGTACATATACACCACAGAGTACTGTTTAGCCATAAAAAAAAGAATGAGATTCAGTCATTTGCAACAACACGGATAGAACCGAAGGTCCTTATGTTAAGTGAAATAAGCCAGGCACAGAAAGACAAACTTCACATGTTCTCACTTATTTTTGGGAGTAAAAGTGTAAAACAACTGAACTAATGGAGATAGAGAGTAGAATGACAGTTACCAGAGGCTACAAAGGTTAGTGGGGGTGGAGGGTGTGGGAAGTGGGGATGATTAATACGTAGAAGTATGGAATAAATAAGATGTCGTATTTCATAGCCAAACAGGGTGACTATAGTCGGTAATAATTTAATTGCACATTTAAAAATAATGAAGAGTATAATTGTATTCTCTGTAACGCAAAGGATAAAAGCTTGAGGTGATAGAAACCCCACTTACCTTGATGTGATTATTACACATTGTTGTCTGTATCACAATATCTCATATAGCCCAGAAATATATGCATCTGCTATGTGCCTACACAAATTTTTTAAAAAGAGGTAGTCTAGCAAATACAAAGAGTGTCAATTGAGGGACAATGCGCACCTCAGACTATGGTGAAAATGGAAGTCTCCATAGTCTTCGAAGAATGAGTTACACTCAGATAACATTAGCCTAAGTAACTGTGGAGACAGCCATAACTGTGAGTGAGGACCAGGGTTTGAGAAACGCAAGGCAGGGGCTGTTCCCCAACGCTCACCCCCAGTGCTCTATTGAGCCCAAGTGCTTAAAGAAATTGGACAGTTCCTATTTCTACCCACCTTGCTGCTTCCTTGATGATGGATTCAAAAAATCGCTTCCTGACTGCAGTAGGTCCTTGCACTCCTTCAAGCATTTCGAAGATTTTTTCATATTCTGAAGATGTTGAAAAAAAAAAAACTTCAGTATTATCAAATATAAAGAAGAATAGAAGTGAATCTACACCTCAGCAATCATGCTTCAGAGGCTGAAATGTTTTAAATGCTTAAATCAAGATACCTGCACATACAAAACCTAAATAATAAAAAAGACACCTGCACATACATACGAATGTAACTCCTTTAACCATAACCAAGTAAGAAAAGAAAAAGAAAAAATGTACATGCTTTAGTCAAAGAAAAGAGGAACCACCATAAATTATGTGCAATCTCAACTCTGGCAAAGAATGAAACTCAACAGGCAACATGAATATCTTCTGAATCATAGAAAGAGAGACTTCCTATAGTTTTATAAAACAGACATTCTTATATTACTTACTTTGTCCAACGCATCGGAGTTCCTTCACTAATTTACGTTTTATATCAGCATTAATTTCTCGTTGGCTTTTGGGAGAGGAGGCTGTTTCTCTGCATTCTAGGTCATCTCCAGAGAAACTGCTGGTAACGTTTCCTCCCACAGGTGCATTGCTACCAGGTTTCTGCATCATCCCATCTTTGCTGAAACCAGTGAAGTCATCAATCTGAGAATCCAATTGGCTGGGTGGAATAGCATGTCCTGTCATAAGCTCTGGTGAAACAGATTTTGAGTAAAAGCCATCAGTTGGTGTTTGACCACTTTCTTTCCCCTCCACATAGACCTCATGAATGACAGCTCTGGAAATCAAACTGAGAAGCTGAGCTGTGAGATATGTGTGTTTCATCACCCCTCTGGGTACATCTATGTGCTCCTCAGTTTCTAGGGAATTATTTATTTCATAAATGGGAGGATACACCAGGGAGAAATCCCAGGCCTGACAAACGGAGGCCAGGACACATAATACAATAAAACCACCTCTTATTTTCTGGCCCTATGAATAGACATGGAAACCAAGTAAGGCAGTACAACTCTAAAGCAACATTCACAGATCCCTGGTACTCATGGGACAGTTTCAGCTTGTTATGCTTTACAAGTTGAAAGCAGCAAGTCTCACTTGATATCATGATTTCTCAAATTCACTTACAAACTGCCATGCTTTACTGAGCTGGAACCCAGGCAACTGGGATACAACTCAACCGGTCTCCTGTTATATCAAACACATTCTGAGAAAATAGAGGCGGCCATTACTGCTAAAAGTTCTATACGCACTCCACCACCAAAAAGTCCCTTTTACTGTATGATTTTCCTCATCCTTCCTTTCTTTCTCACAAAAGTGACTTTCTTTTCACTCCAGGTCTGACACCTCTCATTTATTCATCGTCTGTGGCAGGCAGCGTGCCGGTAGCTGGGGATCAGCAGTAAACAGCCCAGAGAGCAACGTTCCCTGCCCTTGTGGAGCTCACATCCTCATGGGGCGGTCAGACAGTACGTGCACAATGAGCAAATGAAACATACAGTGTTGGGCTAGTGGTAAGGAAGCAGTCCACAGGCCTGTGGGCAACAGCAGCAGAGGGAGCCCCAGGAGCTGCTGCTGGTTGGGCAGAGCCTTCTGTGGAGGTACCCTTGGGCAGGGCTTGAAGGAAAAAGCAGAGCTGCCTGCGCAGAGGCAGAGGGGGAGTTCCAGGTTGCGGTGAGGCCAAGGATATGGGCTGGAGTGGGGATGGACCGGGCACTATGGGGTGAAGGACAGTAGCAGAGAGAGTCAGGAGATGATGGGGCCCGTGTGAGGAGAGGGTGACGGAGGCCAGGCCACGCAGAACCTCGCAGACCAAAGCTGCTTCGCAGTCGGTTCTGAGTGCTTAGGAGTGTTGAGGATGGGTGTTCAGGAGCGACATGGCATCACGTGATTTACATGCCAACATCATGACCCGGCTGCAGGGTTGGAGGGTATGTGTTTGATGCGGGAAATAATGGGAAACATGGAGGTATCTCAGGAGCTCAGTGATTGATCGTGGCAGAGTGGAATAGAAGGAGAGAGAGAGATGCTGGGGTTCAGGAATTTTTTACAGTATTTAGAGAAGAGAAGAAAAAGAAATGTAGAAAAAAACAATGATGGGGTCGGGGGCGGTGGCTCGTGCGTGTAATCCCAGCACTTTGGGAGGCTGAGGTGGGTGGATCACCTGAGGGGGGGAGTTCCAGACCAGCCTGGCCGACATGGCGAAACCCCATCTCTACTAAACTTACAAAAATTAGCTGGGTGTGGTGGCTGGTGCTTGTAATCCCGCTACTCGGGAGGCTGCGGCAGAAGAATCACTTGAACCCAGGAGACGGAGATTTCAGTGAGCCGAGATCGCGCCACTGCACTCCAGCCTGGCTGAGAAGAGCGAAACTCCATCTCAAGAAAAAAATGATAGGGATTCACCAATACGGACAAGAAATTAAAAAAAAAAAAAAGATTGTCGGAAATGGAAATCCTAGAAGGTTTTCATGAAGAAGCGAGTGAACAACTGTCAAATGCTGCTGAGAAGTTAATGGCAATGTCAGCCGAAACTGTTAACCTTGACAAGGACAGTTTCTCTGGAGGGGATGAGGCAGGAGCATGAGGAGGACGTGAGGACAGGCTTACTTACTCTTTTCTTTGGACATGGCAGAGCCTGCAATAAGGCTGTCTCCTGCTCCTTGTTTCCTTGCCAACAGGGCCATCCTCTGCCTTTTCTGATACGAAGGACTGTCACATTCCCTGGGACGTTTAAACACAGTTTCAGGATCTACAGCCACCTTCTCTGTTTTATCGGTCATTGTTTCCTGAAAAACATCAATGAATATATTCTATTCATGACAAAAATCTAACAATCACAAAATGGCAAGCAATCTGCATATGTGTATACAACCAAGACTTTGAATCATTAATTTCACTTTTAATCATGAGCCAAGATTTACCAAGTCTCAACAAACACTCTGTTCTCAGGAAAAGAAACCTAATTTTAATGTACACAAAGTAAAACAGAAGAAAGATGGTATAACCAAATCAATCAGAATGCTTGTGGAATAAGCAGCTGTCATCAACCAAAAATAGATAAAAATATTATTACCTATTTGAAGATGTATAAGCCAATCTGTATTAACCCTTATTAGAAAAAATGGATGTATAAACCAATCTGTATTAACCCTTATTATACATTATATTTTAAATTATATATTATATATCATATATATTTAATATATAAGTATTTATGCTTATATATTCAAATAGATGCATAAACCAACGTGTATTAACCCTTATTAGGAACCCTTATTAGAAGATTGATACAAAACTGATAACAACATCTGACAAGGAATTTAGAAGAATGAAAAACTACAAGATCAAGCCAAAAATACAAGCCAAGATCACCCCGAACTTAGACACAAAAATTCCAAACTAAGGGTGAGCAAATAAAATGTACTAGTACTTAAAAAGGACATACATCAGCCATGGTGGAGTATATTGCAGAAAGGCAACACTGATTTAACATTTGAAAATCGACAAATGTAGTGCACCACATTAACAACAACAACAACAACAACAACAAAAACAGGGAAACACCGCATGATCATTTTCATACATGGATCAATGTTTAAAGTCCATTCGTGATAAAAACTATCACCAACTTAGGAAAAAGGGCAACTTTCCTATTCTGGTTAGCATATGTACAAAAAATTTTTAAATGCCATACTTCATAGTGACGTATCAGTATTTTCTCCCTGAGTTTGAAAACAAGACAAAGATGTCCACTATCCATTCAACAATTTACTGGAGGTTCCAAAAAGTGCCATATCATCAGGAAAATACAATAGGTTTAAAATTTGGAAAGAAATAAAACTGTCATTATTCACAGATGACATTGTTCTGTACATAGAAAAATGCAGAAGAATAAAATCATTACAGTTAATAAGCAAATTTAGTCAACTTACTAGATACAATGAAAACCAATGGCATTTCTGTATAATGAATAGCAATTCTGTATAATGAATGGCATTATACAGAATGGCAATTCTGTATAACGAATAATTAGAATATGAGATTTCAAATGTCATTAAAAACAGTTCCAAAAACATCAAATATTTAGGAATAAATCTAATCAAGATGTGCTAGAGTACTTCACAAAAATTATAAAACATCACTCAGAGAAATTCAAGACTGCAGTAAATGGAGAAAAATTTTCTTTCCATGCATTGGAAGACATTTTTTTTTTTTTTTGAGTCGGAGCCTCGCTCTGTCACCCAGGCTGCAGTGGAGTGGCACAGTCTCTGCTCACTGCAACCTCCACTTCCCAGGTTCAAGCAATTCTCCTGCCTCAGCCTCCTGAGTAGCTGCGATTACGGGCGCCTGCCACGACGCTGGATAAAGAAAATGTGGTACATATACACCACGGAATACTATGCAGCCATAAAAAAGAATGAGTTCATGTCCTTTGAAGGGACATGTGTCAGCAAGCTAACACAGGAACAGAAAACCAAACACCACGTGTCCTCACTCATAAGTGGGAGTTGAACAATGAGAACACATGGACGCGGGGAGAAGAACATCACACAGTGGGGCCTGTCAGGGGTTGGGGGGCTAGGGGAGGGATAGCATTAGAGAAATACCTAAGGTAGATGACGGGTCAATGGGTGCAGCAAACAACCATGGCATGTGTCTTCCTATGTAACAAACCTGCACGTTCTGCCCATGTATCCCGGAACTTAAAGTATAATTTTAAGAAAAGGAATATTATCGTAATGGCATTGGGTGAGTCAAAGATGTTTCTTAAAATAATAAAAAGCACTATCCATAAATAATACACTAATTAATAAAATTAAGAGAATCTGTTCATCTACAACACATTATTGAGATCGTGTAAAAGCAAAAAAGATTTATAGAAGATACTAAAATTGTATATGTATTTTTGTATATGTACATATACGCCTGTGTGCCTGTGCGTATAACTCAAATACAGAATATATGGAAACTACAAATCCATTTTTAAAATACAAACATCTCAGTAAAAGCTGGGGGAAAATACCTGAAAAGGAACTTCATAAAAGGCATAGTTAAATGACCAATAAACACATAAAATGGTGCTAAAAAAAAAAAAAAAAGAAAACAATAAATAGCTGGGTGTGGTGGCACTGCAATCCAGTCTGGGTGACAGAGGGAGACCTCATCTCAAAAGACAAACAAAAATCAATAAATAAAAACAATTTCTTAAAAAGGTGCTCGATCTCATTAATCAGCAGAGAAATGCGAGTGTAGACACAAGGAGAGATCACTGCACACCCATCAGAGTGGCTGGAATGAAAGACTAACTGTACTGCGAGTGTTCGAATGTGGCACAGCTGGAACCTTCGAATATTTCTGGACTCCCATTCCCACACAGACACCTGAGGCTGTGGCTGAAAGGTCAGATAGAATCCCAGGAAAGAGCTCCTTCAGAATTGCGATCAACCAACCGAGGAAAAGCACCCCAACCTGGGTCGAGACAGAGTTCCCAAGGTCACGTGGCCTCCTTCATGGCTGACACAGAGCTCCCTGAGTCCCACCATAGGCTTAGAGAATCCAAGGAACATTACCCCACTCCCCGGCGGCACCGGGAGAGAGCACCTACAGATAATAATTTTAAAAACCCAGCACCAAGAGAAAGCATCCAGTAAGCGTCCACAACGGGGATAAGCAGAACCAAAGAAAAGCCAACACATTGTAACTGAGAGCGAGCAACATCCGAGGACAAATGCGCCTCACGGCCGACATCAGTACCCAAGGAAGAGTCCACCAGAGGTTGAGATAAAGCCCCCGACAGTGACCCCACAGGGCTACGATCATGTGTCCGGGGCACAGCCACCCCCACCACGTTCCATGAGCACAGATAGTGACCCCAGGGCAGAGTCCCCCCTCAGGACAGCGACTGAGCGGGAAAGAAACACCGCCGCACCCGAGGCCGACACAGGCAACCAAGGCATGGCCCCCACCCCCCGGGCTCAGGTCATTTCAGCAGGAAAAGTCGCCTTTTCCATCACCGACAGGGAGCCCCCAACAAGAGCCCCCAAGAAAAGCCCCCTGGCCCCACAACATAGCCGAGACGGGGTGCCCAAGGAAAACGCTCCCCCGCGGCTGACACAGGCGCCCATGGCGGTGTCCCCAGAGCTAAGCCACTTCCCCAAGGGAGCCCTCCCACACACCGGACAGAGAACACCACAGAAAAGACTCTTTCTGAGGAAAAAGGACACTTTCCAGGGCGAAATTAAAGCATCCAGGGAAAAACTGCCCACTCACAGTCCTGAAGTCCTGACCTTGCTGGAGGAGAGACGGCGGCACCTCACAAAATGGCAGTGAAGTTGTGGCGCCTCCCCACTGGTGGCACTTTCTAGAAACCTGCCCTCTGGGAGTTGTGGGAAATGTGCCCCCTAGGGCACCTGGGAGTGATGTGCATGGGGAGGCGTCTCACCAGAAGCACCGATCCCGTTTGGCCCAAGGGGGATGGGAGGAAGGGAAGTAGCCAGCCACAGCGTGCCTGCCCCAGCCGAACACTGGGAACCTGTTGGGGGCGCCAGAGTGCTGAGGAGAAGCCTCGTGCCCCAGAGAACCAGGAAGCGCAGCCCTCCCCTTCGCTGACTCTGGCGCCCTCTACAGGCGACCTTCAGTAACAACTGCACAGCAACGTATGCGGAGGAATGCAGAACCTTCTCACCCAGCGGGATGAAATCGCCTGGGTAACATAGTGAGACCCCGGCTCTACAAAGCAACCAACTAATCAAAAAAGAAAGAAAGAAAGAAAGAAACACACAAATTAGCTGGGCCTAGTGGCCTCGCACCTGTGGTCCCAACTACTCGGGAAGTTGAGGTGGGAGGATGGCTTGAACCCGGGAGGTGGAGGTAGCAGTGAGCCACTGCACTCCAGCCCAGGCGGTAGAGGAGACCCCATCTCAGAAAAAAAAAAAAAAAGAAAGAAAGAAGGAAAAGAAAAGAAAAAGAAAAAGAACAACAACAAACTGCAATTTTCATTTGAGGGGGTTGTGTTTTAAAGTCAACCCCGACCCGCCACAGTGGCTCACGCCTGTAATCTCAACACTTTGGGAGGCCGAAGGGGCTGGACCACCTGAGGTCAGGAGTTCGAGACCAGTCTGTCTGACCAACATGGTGAATCCCGTCTCTGCTAAAAATACAGAAAATTACCGGGCGTGGTGGCATGCACCTATAATCCCACCAGCTACTTGGGAGGCTGAGGCTGGAGAATCGCTTGAACCGGGCAGGCAGAATTTGCAGTGAGCTGAGATCATGCCACTGCACTCCAGCCTGGGTAACAGAGTGAGACTCTGTCTAAAAATAAAAATCAATCAATCAATAAATAAAGTCAACCTCTATCTGTTAAAGGTAACCATTATTGTTAATTGATAAGAAAAATGAGGGCCCCAGTGCGGTCGCTCACGTCTGTAATCCCAGCAATTTGGGAGACCAAGAGGGGTGGATTCCTTGAGCCCAGGAGTTCAAGAGCAGCCTGGGCAGCATGGTGAAACCCCATCTTAACACAAAATACAAAAATTAGCTGAGCGTGTAACTGTGGTCCCAGCTGCTCGGGAGGCTTGACACCAGGAGGTTGAGGCTGCATTGACCTTTGTTCGCACCATTGCACTATAGCCTGGGTGACAGAGTAAGACTGTCTACAAAAAAAAAGAAAGAGAGAAAGAAAGAGAGAAAGAAAGAAAGAAAGAGAAAGAAAAAAGAAGGAAGGAAGGAAAGAAAGAACGAAAGAAAGAAAGGAAGGAAGAAAGGAAGGATGGAAGAAAGAAGGGAAGAAAGGAAGAAAGGAAGGATGGAAGAAAGAAGGGAAGAAAGGAAGAAAGAAAGAGAGAAAGAAAGAAAGGATGGAAGGAGGGGAAACCTTATTATATTGCATCTATTAATCATTTTAATCTGGAACTTTGTATATTTTTCCACCTTTTTTATTTTTTTTGAGACAGTCTGGCTCTGTCACCCAGGCTGGAGTGCAGTGGCATGATCTTGGCTCACTGCAACCTCCGCCTCCCAGGTTCAAGCAGTTCTCCTTCCTCAGCCTCCCGAGAAGCTGGGATTACAGGCATGTACCACCATGCCCGGCTGGTATTTGTATTTTTAGCAGAGACGGTGTTTCACAATGTTCTCCAGGCTGGTCTCAAACTCCTGACTTTAAGTGATTCATCTGCCTTGGCCTCCCAAAGTCCTGGGATTACAGGGGAGAGCCACCATGCCCGGCCCATTTTTCTACTTTCACAACTTATTTTAAGTGCAGCAAAATTTACTTGAATTGTCCATAGTGGTAAAAAATATTACAGCGAAATTTTTCGAGTTTTAATGGAACAGGCAGTTTCACTATTGACACAATTATTTGGAAGGGATTACTTCACTGGTTTTGTAATTCAAAAGTTATGTTTGTAAAAAACTTAAAATTAAAATTAAAAAATATAGCCAGGCATGGTGGTGGGCACCTGTACTCCCTGCTACTAGGGCAGCAGAGGCAGGAGAATCACTTGAACCTGAGAGGTGCAAGCTTCAGTGAGCAGAGATCGCGTCACTGCACTCCAAAGGGGCAGAGATCCATTGTCACTGGGGGACAAAGGGAGAGTCCGTCTCAAAATAAATTAATTAATTAAAATTAAAATTAAAAATTATGTTTGTTAAGTACCCTGTTAGAAGAGAGTCATATTCAGTATTACAGCTTCTTAGCCTATTGTGTTAATATTTGCCTGTGCTTCAGAACCTTCATAGAACACATTTTCTTTTGGAATATATTTGATTGATAGGAAAGCTTAAACATTGTTTTCACTTTGATGTAGGAACAGTTGTTTTGTTTGTTTCCTCTAGTGCTATCAAAATAAAATACTCATTTTTTGCATTAAAAAAATCCCACCAGAGCAGTACTCATAGGAGTATTTGATTGAATAACCATGAGACTGGAATCTTGTTGGGGCTTAATTAGAATCCTGCCTACCACACAAGCCACAGGTGGACAGCTGCATACGACAGTCCTGACTGGGACAGCCCTGAAGGACAGTGATGAAGGGAAATCCTCCCAGAGGGAAGAACTTTGAGCAGTGCACCTTCTTGGAGGAGGCATATCCAGACGTGTAAGTATGTATCATGCATAGGCTGTGTCCCACTCATTCGCTGAATTGTCAGGGACTTTGAGAACACACGATTAAAAATGTGCGACAAAGAAGTCTGAGAAAAAAAAAATATGTGGACAGGCCTGTCCAAACGGACATACAATGTGAAGATATTGGGGTCTCATGAGAGTTCTCAGCAAAGGGTATCCTCAGCAGAGCAGAATTTTAATAATCAGATGGATAAGGTACTTATTATCTAGGTATTAATCAGCCTCTTTCCCTAACACGTGTGTCACAATCTTACCGGCTCAACAAACAAAGTGGTCAAACTGGCAGGGTTGGAGATTATGCGCAGTAGCATGGACCTCCACTCACCATGGCAAACCTGGCTACGGTCATTGCTGAGTGAAAAATCTTCCAGGAATGGAGACCAACACTAAGCCCCCAATTTGGCACCAGACTCCAGAATGATCTGCCAGCCACTAGTTGGTATGTGGATTACAATAGATCACTTCTATTATAAAAAGAGAAGTGCTTTCTTCTTACCTGAACAGACATTTAGTCTAGATATGGATTTTCCTTCCCACTTGCAGTGCTTTTGAGAAAACCAATGTTTGTATCTCAGCTTCCAAAATTCTGGAAAGCGCTAGTTCCTCAAGTTCCTAGGGTTATTCATTCTGGAGACTCTAGTATACTCTGCAAGAAAACCTGTAGGCCATCCACCAAAATGCCCAAATGGAGTCACTCTTAAATAACGAGCCCTGCATGTTTCCAGAAACTCTAATTATCAGTGAAAAGTTTACTATGGCAGCGATTTCGCCACCCAGGGCAATTGGAGAATGGCAGATACTAGGGACCATTAACTCTGTGAAAGCTGTAGAAGACTGCAGTCAAGACAGTTACAGAACCAAAAGTGACAGTCTTCTATTTCCGATGTTTGTACAAAGAGGACATACAATTAATAAAGTGGTCGAGGAACAGGTTTCTGCTTTAATACCAAAAACTAACATAGAAACCTGTAAAGGTGTCCAAGTATAGTAATCCTTTTCCTGTGTATTTGGTTAAGATTTAAAACTGAAGCTTTCTTTGTTAGCTTTTTTAAAATTATAGATGCCAGAAGGGTACATGTACAGATTTCTCGCTTGGATATAATTGCACAGTGCCGGGGTTTGGGCTTCTAGTGAACTCATCACCCAAATAGTGAAGAGAGTATCCAATAGGTAGTTTTTCAACCCTCCGACCCGCTCCCTCCCTCCCCTCTACCTCCATTTTGGAGTCCCCAGAGTCAATGGTTTCTACCTTTATTTTCATGTGTACCCATTGTTTAGCTCCCACATATGAATGAGAACACGCAGTATCTCATTTTCTGATTATCAGATTTTGCTTCTGCGTTTCACTTAAAAGTGAAGTTTTCACCGGACACAGTGGCTCACGCCTGTAATCCCAGGATTTGGGAGGCAGAAGCGGGTGGATCACTTGAGGTCAGGAGTTCCAGACGAGGCTGGCCAAAGTGGCGAAACCACATCTCTACCAAAAATACAAAAAATAGCTGGGGCCCTGCGCAGTGGCTCGCACTTGCACTTTGGGAGTCTGAGGTGGGCATATCACTTGAGGTCAGGAGTTTGAGACTAGCCTGGCCAACATGGTGAAACTCTGTCTCTACTAAGAAATACAAACAATTAGCCAGGTGTGATAATGCGTTTCTATAGTCCCAGCTACACAAGGAGGCTGAGGCAAGAGAACTGCTTGAACCCGGGAGGTGGAGGTTGCAGTGAGCCGAGATTGCACCATAAACTTAATCAAATTGTTGTTCCAACTGCAGCTGCTGTACTACAAGTGGTTTTGTTGTGTCAGCAACTGTGACATCCCTCGGAACCTGATATACAATACTGATTAGGTGAATGTTTGGCTTTCTTTCAGTAATTGTCGTAAACAAGAATTTCAATTCAGCTAGAAAGGACAGCAATGTACTATCATTTCCTATTTCAAGCTTATATCAACTCTCTAGGTTTATATCCTAAACGAGTTCTTAGGGAAAATGGCCACCTTTCTCTTAAACCAGATGTGACACCATTCTTTGCAGTGATGACATCATGCTGACTGAAAAGGAGGTAGCAACTAATCCAGACATGGTAGCAACACACTTGCAAGACATTATGTGAGAAATAATTCTCACACAAAATCAGGGGCCTTCTAACTGAGTGAAGCGTTTAACAATCTGGTAGTCTGGCATGTCAAGATGGTGGTTATAAGGTGAACAGCAAGTTCTTACATCTTGCCTTTCTTACTACTAAATAAGGAACATGAAACGAGTTGCATAATAGATGCTTGTTTTAGCATATACCTAAATGTTGTGCAGTACCGTGGACCCATTGACAAGTGACTGAAACCCCGCTAGCATGGACCGGGGCCCAGAAAAAGAGAAGCTTCCCTAATCCTGCACCTGTGATCTCATGTGGAGTTCCCTGAGACCAGTTGACTAGAAAATAAAAAACTTCATGCCTGATTTTCATTTGTTACTTCAGAATATGCAGGCACCACATCTATTAGGTTTGTTACTAATGCAAAAGAAATTGTCCCCGATTCAGCAGCTTAAAATAACACAAATATATAAGCAGTTCTGTAGATCAGAAATCCATGCAGCCTGGATTGGTTTCTCTGCTTAGGATCTCACAAAATCAAAGTTAGGGTATCAACCAGGCTGCTGACTAACTAAGGACTCAGAGAGAACCTGTTTTCAAGCACATTTGGGTTACGGGCAGGTCTAACTTCTTAAAGTTGTGGAACTGAGGTAGCCGTATACTTGCGGTCTTGGCTGAGGCCACTCTAAGCTACCTGAGACCCCTCCATACCTACTTGGGTGCACCCCTCTATCTTCTAAGCAGTAATGGTGCATCATGATTATGGTGGCTGAGATAAAGCTTATTTACGGGTTTGGCAACATGAACTTTCATTTACCAGGTCCATCTCACTACAGCCACTGCTCACTATTCAATCTGACAGCAGCAGAGACCAACACTGAGTCCCCAATATGGCACCATGTCCCAGAGTGGTCAGTCAGCTTCCAGGTAGCACTGTGATTACTTGGGTCTGCTTCCACGATTGAAGGGGTATCACTTTGATCTTCCTCAAATAGACACTTATTCTGCATATGGATTTTCATTCCCACCCATGGAACTTCAAGGAAATCGGTACTGTGGTATGAGGAAAGGCTGTATCCACCGTCGTGGTATTCCACACTGCACCAGTTTTAAACATCAAACTCACTTTACAGGCAATGAAGTATGGGAATGGGCTCATGCTAATGTACTTCACTAGTCTTGTGATGTTCTTCAACATCCTGAAATGGCTGGCTCAATAGAACATTGGAGGACCTTTTAAAGCCTGAGTTGTCATTGCAGCTTTGTGGCAGTGCCTTGTGGGGCTTGGCTGACAATCTAGAAAGTGGCAAAGCTGAATCCTAGCCTCAAGTATATGGAACTATTTCTCCCATAGCCACATTTATGACTTCAAGAATGAAGGAGGCAATATGTGGGCCTTCTCTCACTATTACTCCTGGGTATCTAGTAACAAAATGTTGCTTCTTATGCTCAAGAAGCAAACTGTGCACCAAGAAGCCAACTTTTGGCTCTGCTGGACTAGAGGACTTAGTTACACATTGAGGAATTTTTTCAACAGGGGAAACCAAAGTGATTCCACCAAAATGAAAGTTGTTCCGTATGAACTTTAAAGTAGTTTTTTCCAATTCTGTGAAGAAAGTCATTGGTAGCTTGATGGGGATGGCATTGAATCTATAAATTACCCTGGGCAATATGGCCATTTTCACGATATTGATTCTTCCTACCCATGAGCATGGAATGTTGTTCCATTTGTTTGTGTCCTCTTTTATTTCATTGAGCACTGGTTTGTAGTTCTCCTTGAAGAGGTCCTTCACGTCCCTTGTAAGTTGGATTCCTAGGTATTTTATTATCTTTGAAGCAATTGTGCATGGGAGTTCACTCATGATTTGGCTCTCTGTTTGTCTGTTACTGGTGTATAAGAATGCTTGTGATTTTTGCACACTGATTTTGGAACCAAAAAAGAGCCCGCATTGCCAAGTCAATCCTAAGCCAAAAGAACAAAGCTGGAGGCATCACGCTACCTGACTTCAAACTATACTACAAGTCTACAGTAACCAAAACAGCATGGTACTGTTATCAAAACAGAGATACAGACCAATGGAACAGAACAGAGCCCTCAGAAATAATGCTGCATATCTACAACTATCTGATCTTTGACAAACCTGACAAAAACAAGAAATGGGGAAAGGATTCCCTATTTAATAAATGGTGCTGGGAAAACTGGCTAGCCATATGGAGAAAGCTGAAATGGGATCCCTTCCTTACACTTTATACAAAAATTAATTCAAGATGGATTCAAGACTTACATGTTAGACCTAAAACCATAAAAACCCTAGAAGAAAACCTAGGCAATACCATTCAGGACATAGGCATGGGCAAGGACTTCATGTCTAAAACACCAAAAGCAATGGCAACAAAAGTCAAAATTGACAAATGGGATCTAATTAAACTAAAGAGTTTCTGCACGGCAAAAGAAACCACCATCAGAGTGAACAGGCAACCTACAGAATGGGAGGAAATTTTTGCAGTCTACTCATCTGACAAAGGGCTAATATCCAGAATCTACAACGAACTCAAACAAATTTACAAGAAAAAAAACAAACAACCCCATCAACAAGCGGGCGAAGGATATGAACAGATACTTCTCAAAAGAAGACATTTATGCAGCCAACAGACACATGAAAACATGCTCATCATCACTGGCCATCAGATAAATGCAAATCAAAACCACAATGAGATACCATCTCACACCAGTTAGAATGGCAATCATTAAAAAGTCAGGAAACAACAGGTGCTGGAGAGGATGTGGACAAATAGGAACACTTTTACACTGTTGGTGGGACTGTAAACTAGTTCAACCATTGTGGAAGTCAGTGTGGCGATTCCTCAGGGATCTAGAACTAGAAATACCATTTGACCCAGCCATCCCATTACTGAGTATATACCCAAAGGATTATAAAACATGGTGCTATAAAGACACATGCACACGTATGTTTATTGTGGCACTATTCACAATAGCAAAGACTTGGAACCAACCCAAATGTCCAACAATGATAGACTGGATTAAGAAAACGTGGCACATATACACCATGGAATACTATGCAGCCATGAAAAATGATGAGTTCATGTCCTTTGTAGGGACATGGATGAAGCTGGAAACCATCATTCTCAGCAAACTATCGCAAGGACAAAAAACCAAACACCGCATGTTCTCCCTCATAGGTGGGAACTGAACAATGAGAACACATGGACACAGGAAGGGGAACATCACACACTGGGTCCTGTTGTGGGGTGTGGGGAGGGGGGAGGGATAGCATTAGGAGATATACCTAATGTTAAATGATGAGTTAATGGGTGCAGCACACAAAAATGGCACATGTATACATATGTAACAAACCTGCACGTTGTGCACATGTACCCTAAACCTTAAAGTATAATAAAAAAAAGTACCTGGCACAATTAATATTTGTTGAATAATTGAATGAATTAATTTTTTTAAAAAAAGCATAGAATGGGCTGGGTGCAGTGGCTCATGCCTGTAATCCTAGAACCTTGGGAGGCTGAGATGGGCAGATCACTTGAGGCCAGGTTTCGAGACCAGCCTGGACAACATGGCAAAACCCCATCTCCACTAAAAATACAAAAATTGCAGCGTGATGGCACCTGTGGTGCACCTGTAATCCCAGCTACTTCGAAGGCTGAAGCACAAGGATCGCTTGAACTGGGGTGAGGTCGAGGTGGCAGTGACTTGTGATCGTGTCACCGCACTCTAGCCTGGGCAACAGAGCAAGATTCTGTCTTTAAAAAAAATAAAAAGCATAGAACGTTCAAGTCGTATCTGGAAACAACAGCCTTACAGGGACTGCTACTGCAGCTCCAAATTATTGTATCAGACCAATCCTATCTAGGAACTACCTTTATTATATATATTGGATATACCCCCCCACACACGCATACATATATATATATGGGGGTGTATATATAATATGTGTAATGTGTATTATATGTATAATGGGAGATTAGAAAGTGTGTGTGTGCATGTATATATACCCCCTACCAACACACACACACACACACACACACACACACACACACACACACATTAAAATCTCCCATTAGTTCTGCCTTTTCGTTGAAGGCTGATGATACAGATTTCAACATTGAGATCGGGTTCCCACCACACGAGGGGCTAAGGAAGAGTATGTGTGATATGTCTAGAGAGCTTCTTAGTCCTCCCGTGTTTTTCGATTAGAGTTAATGGAAAATCACAGCAACCCCATCCAGGCAGGATATCTAATGGTTCAGACTCTTCCGTAATGAAGGTTTGAGTCATCCTGCCAGGCCAAGCATCATGACCAACTGACATGCTATCTCAGGGCAAAGGGAATGCGAAACGGGTAGCGAAAGAAGGTAGTTATAAACGCCAGCTACATCAGTGTGAGCTGCTGCAGAAACCACGACTGTAATAGTATTTACCTAATGGGTTAATAATATCTACCAGCACAGGTGGGAATACAAAATAACCAAAACACAAGTTATCCTTTCAAATAAAACGCTTTGGGAAAAAGAACATCTTTTACTAACAGAAATTTCTTAGCCTCTGGAAGGCCAGTTGATTCGGTAACATATGCCAGGAGACTTCAGCAATATCCTGCTCCATTGTAGAAAACAGCAATCTGATCCTTTTCTCTCCTCAATCATTAACGAGATTATGCATTTGGGGTGTGATAATCCTCCAGGGACAAGTATTCTCAAATCATACGTTTCAGTTTCTTCTTAAGGTGCTTAACAAAGTCTCGTCTCATACATCTGAAGAGAAAGAGACATGTCATTAACCAAAAGATAGCCAAAGAACCTATGCTGTAGGAAGCGCTGTGACAGATAGAAAGATGAAGTAACAGTCAGCATGGAAATAGAAATGTATCTGCATGGTAAGAGGCAGTCTAGCCGGCATAACAAATGCTGGCAAGGGTGTGGAGAAAAGGGAACCTTCATACACTGTTGGTGAGAATATAAATTACTACAACAACTAACTATGAAGAACAGTTTGGAGGTTCCTCAAACAACTAAAAATGGAGCTATCATATGATCCAGCAATCCCACTGCTGGGTATATACCCAAGAGAAAGGAAGTCAGTGTACCGAACAGATATCTGCACTCCCATGTTTGTTGCAGCACCATCCACAGTAGCCAAGATTTGGAAGCAACCTAAGTGTCCACTAACACATGAATGGGTAAAGAAAATATGGTACATATACACCACAGAGTACTGTTTAGCCATAAAAAAAAGAATGAGATTCAGTCATTTGCAACAACACGGATAGAACCGAAGGTCCTTATGTTAAGTGAAATAAGCCAGGCACAGAAAGACAAACTTCACATGTTCTCACTTATTTTTGGGAGTAAAAGTGTAAAACAACTGAACTAATGGAGATAGAGAGTAGAATGACAGTTACCAGAGGCTACAAAGGTTAGTGGGGGTGGAGGGTGTGGGAAGTGGGGATGATTAATACGTAGAAGTATGGAATAAATAAGATGTCGTATTTCATAGCCAAACAGGGTGACTATAGTCGGTAATAATTTAATTGCACATTTAAAAATAATGAAGAGTATAATTGTATTCTCTGTAACGCAAAGGATAAAAGCTTGAGGTGATAGAAACCCCACTTACCTTGATGTGATTATTACACATTGTTGTCTGTATCACAATATCTCATATAGCCCAGAAATATATGCATCTGCTATGTGCCTACACAAATTTTTTAAAAAGAGGTAGTCTAGCAAATACAAAGAGTGTCAATTGAGGGACAATGCGCACCTCAGACTATGGTGAAAATGGAAGTCTCCATAGTCTTCGAAGAATGAGTTACACTCAGATAACATTAGCCTAAGTAACTGTGGAGACAGCCATAACTGTGAGTGAGGACCAGGGTTTGAGAAACGCAAGGCAGGGGCTGTTCCCCAACGCTCACCCCCAGTGCTCTATTGAGCCCAAGTGCTTAAAGAAATTGGACAGTTCCTATTTCTACCCACCTTGCTGCTTCCTTGATGATGGATTCAAAAAATCGCTTCCTGACTGCAGTAGGTCCTTGCACTCCTTCAAGCATTTCGAAGATTTTTTCATATTCTGAAGATGTTGAAAAAAAAAAAACTTCAGTATTATCAAATATAAAGAAGAATAGAAGTGAATCTACACCTCAGCAATCATGCTTCAGAGGCTGAAATGTTTTAAATGCTTAAATCAAGATACCTGCACATACAAAACCTAAATAATAAAAAAGACACCTGCACATACATACGAATGTAACTCCTTTAACCATAACCAAGTAAGAAAAGAAAAAGAAAAAATGTACATGCTTTAGTCAAAGAAAAGAGGAACCACCATAAATTATGTGCAATCTCAACTCTGGCAAAGAATGAAACTCAACAGGCAACATGAATATCTTCTGAATCATAGAAAGAGAGACTTCCTATAGTTTTATAAAACAGACATTCTTATATTACTTACTTTGTCCAACGCATCGGAGTTCCTTCACTAATTTACGTTTTATATCAGCATTAATTTCTCGTTGGCTTTTGGGAGAGGAGGCTGTTTCTCTGCATTCTAGGTCATCTCCAGAGAAACTGCTGGTAACGTTTCCTCCCACAGGTGCATTGCTACCAGGTTTCTGCATCATCCCATCTTTGCTGAAACCAGTGAAGTCATCAATCTGAGAATCCAATTGGCTGGGTGGAATAGCATGTCCTGTCATAAGCTCTGGTGAAACAGATTTTGAGTAAAAGCCATCAGTTGGTGTTTGACCACTTTCTTTCCCCTCCACATAGACCTCATGAATGACAGCTCTGGAAATCAAACTGAGAAGCTGAGCTGTGAGATATGTGTGTTTCATCACCCCTCTGGGTACATCTATGTGCTCCTCAGTTTCTAGGGAATTATTTATTTCATAAATGGGAGGATACACCAGGGAGAAATCCCAGGCCTGACAAACGGAGGCCAGGACACATAATACAATAAAACCACCTCTTATTTTCTGGCCCTATGAATAGACATGGAAACCAAGTAAGGCAGTACAACTCTAAAGCAACATTCACAGATCCCTGGTACTCATGGGACAGTTTCAGCTTGTTATGCTTTACAAGTTGAAAGCAGCAAGTCTCACTTGATATCATGATTTCTCAAATTCACTTACAAACTGCCATGTTTTACTAAGCTGGAAGCCAGACAACTTGGACACACCTCAACCAGCCTCCTCTCTACATCAAACATATTCTGAGAAAATAGAGGTGGCCATTACTGCTGAAAGTTCTATATGTACTCCATCAACAAAAAATCCCTTTTAGTGTATGATTTTCCTCATCCTTCCTTTCTGTCTCACAAAAGTGACTTTCTTTTCACTCCAGGTCTGACACCTCTCATTTATTCATCGTCTGTGGCAGGCAGCGTGCCGGTAGCTGGGGATCAGCAGTAAACAGCCCAGAGAGCAACGTTCCCTGCCCTTCTGGAGCTCACATCCTCATGGGGCGGTCAGACAGTACGTGCACAATGAGCAAATGAAACATACAGTGTTGGGCTAGTGGTAAGGAAGCAGTCCACAGGCCTGTGGGCAACAGCAGCAGAGGGAGCCCCAGGAGCTGCTGCTGGTTGGGCAGAGCCTTCTGTGGAGGTACCCTTGGGCAGGGCTTGAAGGAAAAAGCAGAGCTGCCTGCGCAGAGGCAGAGGGGGAGTTCCAGGTTGCGGTGAGGCCAAGGATATGGGCTGGAGTGGGGATGGACCGGGCACTATGGGGTGAAGGACAGTAGCAGAGAGAGTCAGGAGATGATGGGGCCCGTGTGAGGAGAGGGTGACGGAGGCCAGGCCACGCAGAACCTCGCAGACCAAAGCTGCTTCGCAGTCGGTTCTGAGTGCTTAGGAGTGTTGAGGATGGGTGTTCAGGAGCGACATGGCATCACGTGATTTACATGCCAACATCATGACCCGGCTGCAGGGTTGGAGGGTATGTGTTTGATGCGGGAAATAATGGGAAACATGGAGGTATCTCAGGAGCTCAGTGATTGATCGTGGCAGAGTGGAATAGAAGGAGAGGGAGAGATGCTGGGGTTCAGGAATTTTTACAGTATTTAGAGAAGAGAAGAAAAAGAAATGTAGAAAAAAACAATGATGGGGTCGGGGGCGGTGGCTCGTGCGTGTAATCCCAGCACTTTGGGAGGCTGAGGTGGGTGGATCACCTGAGGGGGGGAGTTCCAGACCAGCCTGGCCGACATGGCGAAACCCCATCTCTACTAAACTTACAAAAATTAGCTGGGTGTGGTGGCTGGTGCTTGTAATCCCGCTACTCGGGAGGCTGCGGCAGAAGAATCACTTGAACCCAGGAGACGGAGATTTCAGTGAGCCGAGATCGCGCCACTGCACTCCAGCCTGGCTGAGAAGAGCGAAACTCCATCTCAAGAAAAAAATGATAGGGATTCACCAATACGGACAAGAAATTAAAAAAAAAAAAAAAAGATTGTCGGAAATGGAAATCCTAGAAGGTTTTCATGAAGAAGCGAGTGAACAACTGTCAAATGCTGCTGAGAAGTTAATGGCAATGTCAGCCGAAACTGTTAACCTTGACAAGGACAGTTTCTCTGGAGGGGATGAGGCAGGAGCATGAGGAGGACGTGAGGACAGGCTTACTTACTCTTTTCTTTGGACATGGCAGAGCCTGCAATAAGGCTGTCTCCTGCTCCTTGTTTCCTTGCCAACAGGGCCATCCTCTGCCTTTTCTGATACGAAGGACTGTCACATTCCCTGGGACGTTTAAACACAGTTTCAGGATCTACAGCCACCTTCTCTGTTTTATCGGTCATTGTTTCCTGAAAAACATCAATGAATATATTCTATTCATGACAAAAATCTAACAATCACAAAATGGCAAGCAATCTGCATATGTGTATACAACCAAGACTTTGAATCATTAATTTCACTTTTAATCATGAGCCAAGATTTACCAAGTCTCAACAAACACTCTGTTCTCAGGAAAAGAAACCTAATTTTAATGTACACAAAGTAAAACAGAAGAAAGATGGTATAACCAAATCAATCAGAATGCTTGTGGAATAAGCAGCTGTCATCAACCAAAAATAGATAAAAATATTATTACCTATTTGAAGATGTATAAGCCAATCTGTATTAACCCTTATTAGAAAAAATGGATGTATAAACCAATCTGTATTAACCCTTATTATACATTATATTTTAAATTATATATTATATATCATATATATTTAATATATAAGTATTTATGCTTATATATTCAAATAGATGCATAAACCAACGTGTATTAACCCTTATTAGGAACCCTTATTAGAAGATTGATACAAAACTGATAACAACATCTGACAAGGAATTTAGAAGAATGAAAAACTACAAGATCAAGCCAAAAATACAAGCCAAGATCACCCCGAACTTAGACACAAAAATTCCAAACTAAGGGTGAGCAAATAAAATGTACTAGTACTTAAAAAGGACATACATCAGCCATGGTGGAGTATATTGCAGAAAGGCAACACTGATTTAACATTTGAAAATCGACAAATGTAGTGCACCACATTAACAACAACAACAACAACAACAACAAAAACAGGGAAACACCGCATGATCATTTTCATACATGGATCAATGTTTAAAGTCCATTCGTGATAAAAACTATCACCAACTTAGGAAAAAGGGCAACTTTCCTATTCTGGTTAGCATATGTACAAAAAATTTTTAAATGCCATACTTCATAGTGACGTATCAGTATTTTCTCCCTGAGTTTGAAAACAAGACAAAGATGTCCACTATCCATTCAACAATTTACTGGAGGTTCCAAAAAGTGCCATATCATCAGGAAAATACAATAGGTTTAAAATTTGGAAAGAAATAAAACTGTCATTATTCACAGATGACATTGTTCTGTACATAGAAAAATGCAGAAGAATAAAATCATTACAGTTAATAAGCAAATTTAGTCAACTTACTAGATACAATGAAAACCAATGGCATTTCTGTATAATGAATAGCAATTCTGTATAATGAATGGCATTATACAGAATGGCAATTCTGTATAACGAATAATTAGAATATGAGATTTCAAATGTCATTAAAAACAGTTCCAAAAACATCAAATATTTAGGAATAAATCTAATCAAGATGTGCTAGAGTACTTCACAAAAATTATAAAACATCACTCAGAGAAATTCAAGACTGCAGTAAATGGAGAAAAATATTCTTTCCATGCATTGGAAGACATTACTTTTTTTTTTTTTGAGTCGGAGCCTCGCTCTGTCACCCAGGCTGCAGTGGAGTGGCACAGTCTCTGCTCACTGCAACCTCCACTTCCCAGGTTCAAGCAATTCTCCTGCCTCAGCCTCCTGAGTAGCTGCGATTACGGGCGCCTGCCACGACGCTGGATAAAGAAAATGTGGTACATATACACCACGGAATACTATGCAGCCATAAAAAAGAATGAGTTCATGTCCTTTGAAGGGACATGTGTCAGCAAGCTAACACAGGAACAGAAAACCAAACACCACGTGTCCTCACTCATAAGTGGGAGTTGAACAATGAGAACACATGGACGCGGGGAGAAGAACATCACACAGTGGGGCCTGTCAGGGGTTGGGGGGCTAGGGGAGGGATAGCGTTAGAGAAATACCTAAGGTAGATGACGGGTCAATGGGTGCAGCAAACAACCATGGCATGTGTCTTCCTATGTAACAAACCTGCACGTTCTGCCCATGTATCCCAGAACTTAAAGTATAATTTTAAGAAAAGGAATATTATCGTAATGGCATTGGGTGAGTCAAAGATGTTTCTTAAAATAATAAAAAGCACTATCCATAAATAATACACTAATTAATAAAATTAAGAGAATCTGTTCATCTACAACACATTATTGAGATCGTGTAAAAGCAAAAAAGATTTATAGAAGATACTAAAATTGTATATGTATTTTTGTATATGTACATATACGCCTGTGTGCCTGTGCGTATAACTCAAATACAGAATATATGGAAACTACAAATCCATTTTTAAAATACAAACATCTCAGTAAAAGCTGGGGGAAAATACCTGAAAAGGAACTTCATAAAAGGCATAGTTAAATGACCAATAAACACATAAAATGGTGCTAAAAAAAAAAAAAAAAGAAAACAATAAATAGCTGGGTGTGGTGGCACTGCAATCCAGTCTGGGTGACAGAGGGAGACCTCATCTCAAAAGACAAACAAAAATCAATAAATAAAAACAATTTCTTAAAAAGGTGCTCGATCTCATTAATCAGCAGAGAAATGCGAGTGTAGACATAAGGAGAGATCACTGCACACCCATCAGAGTGGCTGGAATGAAAGACTAACTGTACTGCGAGTGTTCGAATGTGGCACAGCTGGAACCTTCGAATATTTCTGGACTCCCATTCCCACACAGACACCTGAGGCTGTGGCTGAAAGGTCAGATAGAATCCCAGGAAAGAGCTCCTTCAGAATTGCGATCAACCAACCAACCGAGGAAAAGCACCCCAACCTGGGTCGAGACAGAGTTCCCAAGGTCACGTGGCCTCCTTCATGGCTGACACAGAGCTCCCTGAGTCCCACCATAGGCTTAGAGAATCCAAGGAACATTACCCCATTCCCCGGCGGCACCGGGAGAGAGCACCTACAGATAATAATTTTAAAAACCCAGCACCAAGAGAAAGCATCCATCCAGTAAGCGTCCACAACGGGGATAAGCAGAACCAAAGAAAAGCCAACACATTGTAACTGAGAGCGAGCAACATCCGAGGACAAATGCGCCTCACGGCCGACATCAGTACCCAAGGAAGAGTCCACCAGAGGTTGAGATAAAGCCCCCGACAGTGACCCCACAGGGCTACGATCATGTGTCCGGGGCACAGCCACCCCCACCACGTTCCATGAGCACAGATAGTGACCCCAGGGCAGAGTCCCCCCTCAGGACAGCGACTGAGCGGGAAAGAAACACCGCCGCACCCGAGGCCGACACAGGCAACCAAGGCATGGCCCCCACCCCCCGGGCTCAGGTCATTTCAGCAGGAAAAGTCGCCTTTTCCATCACCGACAGGGAGCCCCCAACAAGAGCCCCCAAGAAAAGCCCCCTGGCCCCACAACATAGCCGAGACGGGGTGCCCAAGGAAAACGCTCCCCCGCGGCTGACACAGGCGCCCATGGCGGTGTCCCCAGAGCTAAGCCACTTCCCCAAGGGAGCCCTCCCACACACCGGACAGAGAACACCACAGAAAAGACTCTTTCTGAGGAAAAAGGACACTTTCCAGGGCGAAATTAAAGCATCCAGGGAAAAACTGCCCACTCACAGTCCTGAAGTCCTGACCTTGCTGGAGGAGAGACGGCGGCACCTCACAAAATGGCAGTGAAGTTGTGGCGCCTCCCCACTGGTGGCACTTTCTAGAAACCTGCCCTCTGGGAGTTGTGGGAAATGTGCCCCCTAGGGCACCTGGGAGTGATGTGCATGGGGAGGCGTCTCACCAGAAGCACCGATCCCGTTTGGCCCAAGGGGGATGGGAGGAAGGGAAGTAGCCAGCCACAGCGTGCCTGCCCCAGCCGAACACTGGGAACCTGTTGGGGGCGCCAGAGCGCTGAGGAGAAGCCTCGTGCCCCAGAGAACCAGGAAGCGCAGCCCTCCCCTTCGCTGACTCTGGCGCCCTCTACAGGCGACCTTCAGTAACAACTGCACAGCAACGTATGCGGAGGAATGCAGAACCTTCTCACCCAGCGGGATGAAATCGCCTGGGTAACATAGTGAGACCCCGGCTCTACAAAGCAACCAACTAATCAAAAAAGAAAGAAAGAAAGAAAGAAAGAAACACACAAATTAGCTGGGCCTAGTGGCCTCGCACCTGTGGTCCCAACTACTCGGGAAGTTGAGGTGGGAGGATGGCTTGAACCCGGGAGGTGGAGGTAGCAGTGAGCCACTGCACTCCAGCCCAGGCGGTAGAGGAGACCCCACCTCAGAAAAAAAAAAAAAAAAAAAAAGAAAGAAAGAAGGAAAAGAAAAGAAAAAGAAAAAGAACAACAACAAACTGCAATTTTCATTTGAGGGGGTTGTGTTTTAAAGTCAACCCCGACCCGCCACAGTGGCTCACGCCTGTAATCTCAACACTTTGGGAGGCCGAAGGGGCTGGACCACCTGAGGTCAGGAGTTCGAGACCAGTCTGTCTGACCAACATGGTGAATCCCGTCTCTACTAAAAATACAGAAAATTACCGGGCGTGGTGGCATGCACCTATAATCCCACCAGCTACTTGGGAGGCTGAGGCTGGAGAATCGCTTGAACCGGGCAGGCAGAATTTGCAGTGAGCTGAGATCATGCCACTGCACTCCAGCCTGGGTAACAGAGTGAGACTCTGTCTAAAAATAAAAATCAATCAATCAATAAATAAAGTCAACCTCTATCTGTTAAAGGTAACCATTATTGTTAATTGATAAGAAAAATGAGGGCCCCAGTGCGGTCGCTCACGTCTGTAATCCCAGCAATTTGGGAGACCAAGAGGGGTGGATTCCTTGAGCCCAGGAGTTCAAGAGCAGCCTGGGCAGCATGGTGAAACCCCATCTTAACACAAAATACAAAAATTAGCTGAGCGTGTAACTGTGGTCCCAGCTGCTCGGGAGGCTTGACACCAGGAGGTTGAGGCTGCATTGACCTTTGTTCGCACCATTGCACTATAGCCTGGGTGACAGAGTAAGACTGTCTACAAAAAAAAAGAAAGAGAGAAAGAAAGAAAGAAAGAGAAAGAAAAAAGAAGGAAGGAAGGAAAGAAAGAACGAAAGAAAGAAAGGAAGGAAGAAAGGAAGGATGGAAGAAAGAAGGGAAGAAAGGAAGAAAGGAAGGATGGAAGAAAGAAGGGAAGAAAGGAAGAAAGAAAGAGAGAAAGAAAGAAAGGATGGAAGGAGGGGAAACCTTATTATATTGCATCTATTAATCATTTTAATCTGGAACTTTGTATATTTTTCCACCTTTTTTATTTTTTTTGAGACAGTCTGGCTCTGTCACCCAGGCTGGAGTGCAGTGGCATGATCTTGGCTCACTGCAACCTCCGCCTCCCAGGTTCAAGCAGTTCTCCTTCCTCAGCCTCCCGAGAAGCTGGGATTACAGGCATGTACCACCATGCCCGGCTGGTATTTGTATTTTTAGCAGAGACGGTGTTTCACAATGTTCTCCAGGCTGGTCTCAAACTCCTGACTTTAAGTGATTCATCTGCCTTGGCCTCCCAAAGTCCTGGGATTACAGGGGAGAGCCACCATGCCCGGCCCATTTTTCTACTTTCACAACTTATTTTAAGTGCAGCAAAATTTACTTGAATTGTCCATAGTGGTAAAAAATATTACAGCGAAATTTTTCGAGTTTTAATGGAACAGGCAGTTTCACTATTGACACAATTATTTGGAAGGGATTACTTCACTGGTTTTGTAATTCAAAAGTTATGTTTGTAAAAAACTTAAAATTAAAATTAAAAAATATAGCCAGGCATGGTGGTGGGCACCTGTACTCCCTGCTACTAGGGCAGCAGAGGCAGGAGAATCACTTGAACCTGAGAGGTGCAAGCTTCAGTGAGCAGAGATCGCGTCACTGCACTCCAAAGGGGCAGAGATCCATTGTCACTGGGGGACAAAGGGAGAGTCCGTCTCAAAATAAATTAATTAATTAAAATTAAAATTAAAAATTATGTTTGTTAAGTACCCTGTTAGAAGAGAGTCATATTCAGTATTACAGCTTCTTAGCCTATTGTGTTAATATTTGCCTGTGCTTCAGAACCTTCATAGAACACATTTTCTTTTGGAATATATTTGATTGATAGGAAAGCTTAAACATTGTTTTCACTTTGATGTAGGAACAGTTGTTTTGTTTGTTTCCTCTAGTGCTATCAAAATAAAATACTCATTTTTTGCATTAAAAAAATCCCACCAGAGCAGTACTCATAGGAGTATTTGATTGAATAACCATGAGACTGGAATCTTGTTGGGGCTTAATTAGAATCCTGCCTACCACACAAGCCACAAGTGGACAGCTGCATACGACAGTCCTGACTGGGACAGCCCTGAAGGACAGTGATGAAGGGAAATCCTCCCAGAGGGAAGAACTTTGAGCAGTGCACCTTCTTGGAGGAGGCATATCCAGACGTGTAAGTATGTATCATGCATAGGCTGTGTCCCACTCATTCGCTGAATTGTCAGGGACTTTGAGAACACACGATTAAAAATGTGCGACAAAGAAGTCTGAGAAAAAAAAAAATATGTGGACAGGCCTGTCCAAACGGACATACAATGTGAAGATATTGGGGTCTCATGAGAGTTCTCAGCAAAGGGTATCCTCAGCAGAGCAGAATTTTAATAATCAGATGGATAAGGTACTTATTATCTAGGTATTAATCAGCCTCTTTCCCTAACACGTGTGTCACAATCTTACCGGCTCAACAAACAAAGTGGTCAAACTGGCAGGGTTGGAGATTATGCGCAGTAGCATGGACCTCCACTCACCATGGCAAACCTGGCTACGGTCATTGCTGAGTGAAAAATCTTCCAGGAATGGAGACCAACACTAAGCCCCCAATTTGGCACCAGACTCCAGAATGATCTGCCAGCCACTAGTTGGTATGTGGATTACAATAGATCACTTCTATTATAAAAAGAGAAGTGCTTTCTTCTTACCTGAACAGACATTTAGTCTAGATATGGATTTTCCTTCCCACTTGCAGTGCTTTTGAGAAAACCAATGTTTGTATCTCGGCTTCCAAAATTCTGGAAAGCGCTAGTTCCTCAAGTTCCTAGGGTTATTCATTCTGGAGACTCTAGTATACTCTGCAAGAAAACCTGTAGGCCATCCACCAAAATGCCCAAATGGAGTCACTCTTAAATAACGAGCCCCGCATGTTTCCAGAAACTCTAATTATCAGTGAAAAGTTTACTATAGCAGCGATTTCGCCACCCAGGGCAATTGGAGAATGGCAGATACTAGGGACCATTAACTCTGTGAAAGCTGTAGAAGACTGCAGTCAAGACAGTTACAGAACCAAAAGTGACAGTCTTCTATTTTCGATGTTTGTACAAAGAGGACATACAATTAATAAAGTGGTCGAGGAACAGGTTTCTGCTTTAATACCAAAAACTAACATAGAAACCTGTAAAGGTGTCCAAGTATAGTAATCCTTTTCCTGTGTATTTGGTTAAGATTTAAAACTGAAGCTTTCTTTGTTAGCTTTTTTAAAATTATAGATGCCAGAAGGGTACATGTACAGATTTCTCACTTGGATATAATTGCACAGTGCCGGGGTTTGGGCTTCTAGTGAACTCATCACCCAAATAGTGAAGAGAGTATCCAATAGGTAGTTTTTCAACCCTCCGACCCGCTCCCTCCCTCCCCTCTACCTCCATTTTGGAGTCCCCAGAGTCAATGGTTTCTACCTTTATTTTCATGTGTACCCATTGTTTAGCTCCCACATATGAATGAGAACACGCAGTATCTCATTTTCTGATTATCAGATTTTGCTTCTGCGTTTCACTTAAAAGTGAAGTTTTCACCGGACACAGTGGCTCACGCCTGTAATCCCAGGATTTGGGAGGCAGAAGCGGGTGGATCACTTGAGGTCAGGAGTTCCAGACGAGGCTGGCCAAAGTGGCGAAACCACATCTCTACCAAAAATACAAAAAATAGCTGGGGCCCTGCGCAGTGGCTCGCACTTGCACTTTGGGAGTCTGAGGTGGGCATATCACTTGAGGTCAGGAGTTTGAGACTAGCCTGGCCAACATGGTGAAACTCTGTCTCTACTAAGAAATACAAACAATTAGCCAGGTGTGATAATGCATTTCTATAGTCCCAGCTACACAAGGAGGCTGAGGCAAGAGAACTGCTTGAACCCGGGAGGTGGAGGTTGCAGTGAGCCGAGATTGCACCATAAACTTAATCAAATTGTTGTTCCAACTGCAGCTGCTGTACTACAAGTGGTTTTGTTGTGTCAGCAACTGTGACATCCCTCGGAACCTGATATACAATACTGATTAGGTGAATGTTTGGCTTTCTTTCAGTAATTGTCGTAAACAAGAATTTCAATTCAGCTAGAAAGGACAGCAATGTACTATCATTTCCTATTTCAAGCTTATATCAACTCTCTAGGTTTATATCCTAAACGAGTTCTTAGGGAAAATGGCCACCTTTCTCTTAAACCAGATGTGACACCATTCTTTGCAGTGATGACATCATGCTGACTGAAAAGGAGGTAGCAACTAATCCAGACATGGTAGCAACACACTTGCAAGACATTATGTGAGAAATAATTCTCACACAAAATCAGGGGCCTTCTAACTGAGTGAAGCGTTTAACAATCTGGTAGTCTGGCATGTCAAGATGGTGGTTATAAGGTGAACAGCAAGTTCTTACATCTTGCCTTTCTTACTACTAAATAAGGAACATGAAACGAGTTGCATAATCGATGCTTGTTTTAGCATATACCTAAATGTTGTGCAGTACCGTGGACCCATTGACAAGTGACTGAAACCCTGCTAGCATGGACCGGGGCCCAGAAAAAGAGAAGCTTCCCTAATCCTGCACCTGTGGTCTCATGTGGAGTTCCCTGAGACCAGTTGACTAGAAAATAAAAAACATCATGCCTGATTTTCATTTGTTACTTCAGAATATGCAGGCACCACATCTGTTAGGTTTGTTACTAATGCAAAAGAAATTGTCCCCGATTCAGCAGCTTAAAATAACACAAATATATAAGCAGTTCTGTAGATCAGAAATCCATGCAGGCTGGATTGGTTTCTCTGCTTAGGATCTCACAAAATCAAAGTTAGGGTATCAACCAGGCTGCTGACTAACTAAGGACTCAGAGAGAACCTGTTTTCAAGCACATTTGGGTTACGGGCAGGTCTAACTTCTTAAAGTTGTGGAACTGAGGTAGCCGTATACTTGCGGTCTTGGCTGAGGCCACTCTAAGCTACCTGAGACCCCTCCATACCTACTTGGGTGCACCCCTCTATCTTCTAAGCAGTAATGGTGCATCATGATTATGGTGGCTGAGATAAAGCTTATTTACGGGTTTGGCAACATGAACTTTCATTTACCAGGTCCATCTCACTACAGCCACTGCTCACTATTCAATCTGACAGCAGCAGAGACCAACACTGAGTCCCCAATATGGCACCATGTCCCAGAGTGGTCAGTCAGCTTCCAGGTAGCACTGTGATTACTTGGGTCTGCTTCCACGATTGAAGGGGTATCACTTTGATCTTCCTCAAATAGACACTTATTCTGCATATGGATTTTCATTCCCACCCATGGAACTTCAAGGAAATCGGTACTGTGGTATGAGGAAAGGCTGTATCCACCGTCGTGGTATTCCACACTGCACCAGTTTTAAACATCAAACTCACTTTACAGGCAATGAAGTATGGGAATGGGCTCATGCTAATGTACTTCACTAGTCTTGTGATGTTCTTCAACATCCTGAAATGGCTGGCTCAATAGAACATTGGAGGACCTTTTAAAGCCTGAGTTGTCATTGCAGCTTTGTGGCAGTGCCTTGTGGGGCTTGGCTGACAATCTAGAAAGTGGCAAAGCTGAATCCTAGCCTCAAGTATATGGAACTATTTCTCCCATAGCCACATTTATGACTTCAAGAATGAAGGAGGCAATATGTGGGCCTTCTCTCACTATTACTCCTGGGTATCTAGTAACAAAATGTTGCTTCTTATGCTCAAGAAGCAAACTGTGCACCAAGAAGCCAACTTTTGGCTCTGCTGGACTAGAGGACTTAGTTACACATTGAGGAATTTTTTCAACAGGGGAAACCAAAGTGATTCCACCAAAATGAAAGTTGTTCCGTATGAACTTTAAAGTAGTTTTTTCCAATTCTGTGAAGAAAGTCATTGGTAGCTTGATGGGGATGGCATTGAATCTATAAATTACCCTGGGCAATATGGCCATTTTCACGATATTGATTCTTCCTACCCATGAGCATGGAATGTTGTTCCATTTGTTTGTGTCCTCTTTTATTTCATTGAGCACTGGTTTGTAGTTCTCCTTGAAGAGGTCCTTCACGTCCCTTGTAAGTTGGATTCCTAGGTATTTTATTATCTTTGAAGCAATTGTGCATGGGAGTTCACTCATGATTTGGCTCTCTGTTTGTCTGTTACTGGTGTATAAGAATGCTTGTGATTTTTGCACACTGATTTTGGAACCAAAAAAGAGCCCGCATTGCCAAGTCAATCCTAAGCCAAAAGAACAAAGCTGGAGGCATCACGCTACCTGACTTCAAACTATACTACAAGTCTACAGTAACCAAAACAGCATGGTACTGTTATCAAAACAGAGATATAGACCAATGGAACAGAACAGAGCCCTCAGAAATAATGCTGCATATCTACAACTATCTGATCTTTGACAAACCTGACAAAAACAAGAAATGGGGAAAGGATTCCCTATTTAATAAATGGTGCTGGGAAAACTGGCTAGCCATATGGAGAAAGATGAAATGGGATCCCTTCCTTACACTTTATACAAAAATTAATTCAAGATGGATTCAAGACTTACATGTTAGACCTAAAACCATAAAAACCCTAGAAGAAAACCTAGGCTATAATACCATTCAGGACATAGGCATGGGCAAGGACTTCACGTCTAAAACACCAAAAGCAATGGCAACAAAAGTCAAAATTGACAAATGGGATCTAATTAAACTAAAGAGTTTCTGCACGGCAAAAGAAACTACCATCAGAGTGAACAGGCAACCTACAGAATGGGAGGAAATTTTTGCAGTCTACTCATCTGACAAAGGGCTAATATCCAGAATCTACAACGAACTCAAACAAATTTACAAGAAAAAAACAAACAACCCCATCAACAAGCGGGCGAAGGATATGAACAGATACTTCTCAAAAGAAGACATTTATGCAGCCAACAGACACATGAAAACATGCTCATCATCACTGGCCATCAGATAAATGCAAATCAAAACCACAATGAGATACCATCTCACACCAGTTAGAATGGCAATCATTAAAAAGTCAGGAAACAACAGGTGCTGGAGAGGATGTGGACAAATAGGAACACTTTTACACTGTTGGTGGGACTGTAAACTAGTTCAACCATTGTGGAAGTCAGTGTGGCGATTCCTCAGGGATCTAGAACTAGAAATACCATTTGACCCAGCCATCCCATTACTGAGTATATACCCAAAGGATTATAAAACATGCTGCTATAAAGACACATGCACACGTATGTTTATTGTGGCACTATTCACAATAGCAAAGACTTGGAACCAACCCAAATGTCCAACAATGATAGACTGGATTAAGAAAACGTGGCACATATACACCATGGAATACTATGCAGCCATGAAAAATGATGAGTTCATGTCCTTTGTAGGGACATGGATGAAGCTGGAAACCATCATTCTCAGCAAACTATCGCAAGGACAAAAAACCAAACACCGCATGTTCTCCCTCATAGGTGGGAACTGAACAATGAGAACACATGGACACAGGAAGGGGAACATCACACACTGGGTCCTGTTGTGGGGTGTGGGGAGGGGGGAGGGATAGCATTAGGAGATATACCTAATGTTAAATGATGAGTTAATGGGTGCAGCACACAAAAATGGCACATGTATACATATGTAACAAACCTGCACGTTGTGCACATGTACCCTAAACCTTAAAGTATAATAAAAAAAAAGTACCTGGCACAATTAATATTTGTTGAATAATTGAATGAATTAATTTTTTAAAAAAAAGCATAGAATGGGCTGGGTGCAGTGGCTCATGCCTGTAATCCTAGAACCTTGGGAGGCTGAGATGGGCAGATCACTTGAGGCCAGGTTTCGAGACCAGCCTGGACAACATGGCAAAACCCCATCTCCACTAAAAATACAAAAATTGCAGCGTGATGGCACCTGTGGTGCACCTGTAATCCCAGCTACTTCGAAGGCTGAAGCACAAGGATCGCTTGAACTGGGGTGAGGTCGAGGTGGCAGTGACTTGTGATCGTGTCACCGCACTCTAGCCTGGGCAACAGAGCAAGATTCTGTCTTTAAAAAAAATAAAAAGCATAGAATGTTCAAGTCCTATCTGGAAACAACAGCCTTACAGGGACTGCTACTGCAGCTCCAAATTATTGTATCAGACCAATCCTATCTAGGAACTACCTTTATTATATATATTGGATATACCCCCCCACACACGCATACATATATATATATGGGGGTGTATATATAATATGTGTAATGTGTATTATATGTATAATGGGAGATTAGAAAGTGTGTGTGTGCATGTATATATACCCCCTACCAACACACACACACACACACACACACACACACACACACACACACATTAAAATCTCCCATTAGTTCTGCCTTTTCGTTGAAGGCTGATGATACAGATTTCAACATTGAGATCGGGTTCCCACCACACCAGGGGCTAAGGAAGAGTATGTGTGATATGTCTAGAGAGCTTCTTAGTCCTCCCGTGTTTTTCGATTAGAGTTAATGGAAAATCACAGCAACCCCATCCAGGCAGGATATCTAATGGTTCAGACTCTTCTGTAATGAAGGTTTGAGTCATCCTGCCAGGCCAAGCATCATGACCAACTGACATGCTATCTCAGGGCAAAGGGAATGCGAAACGGGTAGCGAAAGAAGGTAGTTATAAACGCCAGCTACATCAGTGTGAGCTGCTGCAGAAACCACGACTGTAATAGTATTTACCTAATGGGTTAATAATATCTACCAGCACAGGTGGGAATACAAAATAACCAAAACACAAGTTATCCTTTCAAATAAAACGCTTTGGGAAAAAGAACATCTTTTACTAACAGAAATTTCTTAGCCTCTGGAAGGCCAGTTGATTCGGTAACATATGCCAGGAGACTTCAGCAATATCCTGCTCCATTGTAGAAAACAGCAATCTGATCCTTTTCTCTCCTCAATCATTAATGAGATTATGCATTTGGGGTGTGATAATCCTCCAGGGACAAGTATTCTCAAATCATACGTTTCAGTTTCTTCTTAAGGTGCTTAACAAAGTCTCGTCTCATACATCTGAAGAGAAAGAGACATGTCATTAACCAAAAGATAGCCAAAGAACCTATGCTGTAGGAAGCGCTGTGACAGATAGAAAGATGAAGTAACAGTCAGCATGGAAATAGAAATGTATCTGCATGGTAAGAGGCAGTCTAGCCGGCATAGCAAATGCTGGCAAGGGTGTGGAGAAAAGGGAACCCTCATACACTGTTGGTGGGAACATAAATTACTACAACAACTATGAAGAACAGTTTGGAGGTTCCTCAAACAACTAAAAATGGAGCTATCATATGATCCAGCAATCCCACTGCTGGGTATATACCCAAGAGAAAGGAAGTCAGTGTACCGAAGAGATATCTGCACTCCCATGTTTCCTGCACCACCATTCACAGTAGCCAAGATTTGGAAGCAACCTAAGTGTCCACTAACACGTGAATGGGTAAAGAAAATATGGTACATATACACCACAGAGTACTGTTTAGCCATAAAAAAAAGAATGAGATTCAGTCATTTGCAACAACACGGATAGAACCGAAGGTCCTTATGTTAAGTGAAATAAGCCAGGCACAGAAAGACAAACTTCACATGTTCTCACTTATTTTTGGGAGTAAAAGTGTAAAACAACTGAACTAATGGAGATAGAGAGTAGAATGACAGTTACCAGAGGCTACAAAGGTTAGTGGGGGTGGAGGGTGTGGGAAGTGGGGATGATTAATACGTAGAAGTATGGAATAAATAAGATGTCGTATTTCATAGCCCAACAGGGTGACTATAGTCGGTAATAATTTAATTGCACATTTAAAAATAATGAAGAGTATAATTGTATTCTCCCCGTAACGCAAAGGATAAAAGCTTGAGGTGATAGAAACCCCACTTACCTTGATGTGATTATTACACATTGTTGTCTGTATCACAATATCTCATATAGCCCAGAAATATATGCATCTGCTATGTGCCTACACAAATTTTTTAAAAAGAGGTAGTCTAGCAAATACAAAGAGTGTCAATTGAGGGACAATGCGCACCTCAGACTATGGTGAAAATGGAAGTCTCCATAGTCTTCGAAGAATGAGTTAGACTCAGATAACATTAGCCTAAGTAACTGTGGAGACAGCCGTAACTGTGAGTGAGGACCAGGGTTTGAGAAACGCAAGGCAGGGGCTGTTCCCCAACGCTCACCCCCAGTGCTCTATTGAGCCCAAGTGCTTAAAGAAATTGGACAGTTCCTATTTCTACCCACCTTGCTGCTTCCTTGATGATGGATTCAAAAAATCGTTTCCTGACTGCAGTAGGTCCTTGCACTCCTTCAAGCATTTCGAAGATTTTTTCATATTCTGAAGATGTTGAAAAAAAAAAACTTCAGTATTATCAAATATAAAGAAGAATAGAAGTGAATCTACACCTCAGCAATCATGCTTCAGAGGCTGAAATGTTTTAAATGCTTAAATCAAGATACCTGCACATACAAAACCTAAATAATAAAAAAGACACCTGCACATACATACGAATGTAACTCCTTTAACCATAACCAAGTAAGAAAAGAAAAAGAAAAAATGTACATGCTTTAGTCAAAGAAAAGAGGAACCACCATAAATTATGTGCAATCTCAACTCTGGCAAAGAATGAAACTCAACAGGCAACATGAATATCTTCTGAATCATAGAAAGAGAGACTTCCTATAGTTTTATAAAACAGACATTCTTATACTACTTACTTTGTCCAACGCATCGGAGTTCCTTCACTAATTGACGTTTTATATCAGCATTAATTTCTTGTTGGCTTTTGGGAGAGAAGGCTGTTTCTCTGCATTCTAGGTCATCTCCAGAGAAACTGCTGGTAACGTTTCCTCCCACAGGTGCATTGCTACCAGGTTTCTGCATCATCCTATCTTTGCTGAAACCAGTGAAGTCATCAATCTGAGAATCCAATTGGCTGGGTGGAATAGCATGTCCTGTCATAAGCTCTGGTGAAACAGATTTTGAGTAAAAGCCATCAGTTGGTGTTTGACCACTTTCTTTCCCCTCCACATAGACCTCATGAATGACAGCTCTGGAAATCAAACTGAGAAGTTGAGCTGTGAGATATGTGTGTTTCATCACCCCTCTGGGTACATCTATGTGCTCCTCAGTTTCTAGGGAATTATTTATTTAATAAATGGGAGGATACACCAGGGAGAAATCCCAGGCCTGACAAACGGAGGCCAGGACACATAATACAATAAAACCACCTCTTATTTTCTGGCCCTATGAATAGACATGGAAACCAAGTAAGGCAGTACAACTCTAAAGCAACATTCACAGATCCCTGGTACTCATGGGACAGTTTCAGCTTGTTATGCTTTACAAGTTGAAAGCAGCAAGTCTCACTTGATATCATGATTTCTCAAATTCACTTACAAACTGCCATGTTTTACTAAGCTGGAAGCCAGACAACTTGGACACACCTCAACCAGCCTCCTCTCTACATCAAACATATTCTGAGAAAATAGAGGTGGCCATTACTGCTGAAAGTTCTATATGTACTCCATCAACAAAAAATCCCTTTTAGTGTATGATTTTCCTCATCCTTCCTTTCTGTCTCACAAAAGTGACTTTCTTTTCACTCCAGGTCTGACACCTCTCATTTATTCATCGTCTGTGGCAGGCAGTGTGCCGGTAGCTGGGGATCAGCAGTAAACAGCCCAGAGAGCAACGTTCCCTGCCCTTGTGGAGCTCACATCCTCATGGGGCGGTCAGACAGTACGTGCACAATGAGCAAATGAAACATACAGTGTTGGGCTAGTGGTAAGGAAGCAGTCCACAGGCCTGTGGGCAACAGCAGCAGAGGGAGCCCCAGGAGCTGCTGCTGGTTGGGCAGAGCCTTCTGTGGAGGTACCCTTGGGCAGGGCTTGAAGGAAAAAGCAGAGCTGCCTGCGCAGAGGCAGAGGGGGAGTTCCAGGTTGCGGTGAGGCCAAGGATATGGGCTGGAGTGGGGATGGACCGGGCACTACGGGGTGAAGGACAGTAGCAGAGAGAGTCAGGAGATGATGGGGCCCGTGTGAGGAGAGGGTGACGGAGGCCAGGCCACGCAGAACCTCGCAGACCAAAGCTGCTTCGCAGTCGGTTCTGAGTGCTTAGGAGTGTTGAGGATGGGTGTTCAGGAGCGACATGGCATCACGTGATTTACATGCCAACATCATGACCCGGCTGCAGGGTTGGAGGGTATGTGTTTGATGCGGGAAATAATGGGAAACATGGAGGTATCTCAGGAGCTCAGTGATTGATCGTGGCAGAGTGGAATAGAAGGAGAGAGAGAGATGCTGGGGTTCAGGAATTTTTTACAGTATTTAGAGAAGAGAAGAAAAAGAAATGTAGAAAAAAACAATGATGGGGTCGGGGGCGGTGGCTCGTGCGTGTAATCCCAGCACTTTGGGAGGCTGAGGTGGGTGGATCACCTGAGGGGGGGAGTTCCAGACCAGCCTGGCCGACATGGCGAAACCCCATCTCTACTAAACTTACAAAAATTAGCTGGGTGTGGTGGCTGGTGCTTGTAATCCCGCTACTCGGGAGGCTGCGGCAGAAGAATCACTTGAACCCAGGAGACGGAGATTTCAGTGAGCCGAGATCGCGCCACTGCACTCCAGCCTGGCTGAGAAGAGCGAAACTCCATCTCAAGAAAAAAATGATAGGGATTCACCAATACGGACAAGAAATTAAAAAAAAAAAAAAGATTGTCGGAAATGGAAATCCTAGAAGGTTTTCATGAAGAAGCGAGTAAACAACTGTCAAATGCTGCTGAGAAGTTAATGGCAATGTCAGCCGAAACTGTTAACCTTGACAAGGACAGTTTCTCTGGAGGGGATGAGGCAGGAGCATGAGGAGGACGTGAGGACAGGCTTACTTACTCTTTTCTTTGGACATGGCAGAGCCTGCAATAAGGCTGTCTCCTGCTCCTTGTTTCCTTGCCAACAGGGCCATCCTCTGCCTTTTCTGATACGAAGGACTGTCACATTCCCTGGGACGTTTAAACACAGTTTCAGGATCTACAGCCACCTTCTCTGTTTTATCGGTCATTGTTTCCTGAAAAACATCAATGAATATATTCTATTCATGACAAAAATCTAACAATCACAAAATGGCAAGCAATCTGCATATGTGTATACAACCAAGACTTTGAATCATTAATTTCACTTTTAATCATGAGCCAAGATTTACCAAGTCTCAACAAACACTCTGTTCTCAGGAAAAGAAACCTAATTTTAATGTACACAAAGTAAAACAGAAGAAAGATGGTATAACCAAATCAATCAGAATGCTTGTGGAATAAGCAGCTGTCATCAACCAAAAATAGATAAAAATATTATTACCTATTTGAAGATGTATAAGCCAATCTGTATTAACCCTTATTAGAAAAAATGGATGTATAAACCAATCTGTATTAACCCTTATTATACATTATATTTTAAATTATATATTATATATCATATATATTTAATATATAAGTATTTATGCTTATATATTCAAATAGATGCATAAACCAACGTGTATTAACCCTTATTAGGAACCCTTATTAGAAGATTGATACAAAACTGATAACAACATCTGACAAGGAATTTAGAAGAATGAAAAACTACAAGATCAAGCCAAAAATACAAGCCAAGATCACCCCGAACTTAGACACAAAAATTCCAAACTAAGGGTGAGCAAATAAAATGTACTAGTACTTAAAAAGGACATACATCAGCCATGGTGGAGTATATTGCAGAAAGGCAACACTGATTTAACATTTGAAAATCGACAAATGTAGTGCACCACATTAACAACAACAACAACAACAACAACAAAAACAGGGAAACACCGCATGATCATTTTCATACATGGATCAATGTTTAAAGTCCATTCGTGATAAAAACTATCACCAACTTAGGAAAAAGGGCAACTTTCCTATTCTGGTTAGCATATGTACAAAAAATTTTTAAATGCCATACTTCATAGTGACGTATCAGTATTTTCTCCCTGAGTTTGAAAACAAGACAAAGATGTCCACTATCCATTCAACAATTTACTGGAGGTTCCAAAAAGTGCCATATCATCAGGAAAATACAATAGGTTTAAAATTTGGAAAGAAATAAAACTGTCATTATTCACAGATGACATTGTTCTGTACATAGAAAAATGCAGAAGAATAAAATCATTACAGTTAATAAGCAAATTTAGTCAACTTACTAGATACAATGAAAACCAATGGCATTTCTGTATAATGAATAGCAATTCTGTATAATGAATGGCATTATACAGAATGGCAATTCTGTATAACGAATAATTAGAATATGAGATTTCAAATGTCATTAAAAACAGTTCCAAAAACATCAAATATTTAGGAATAAATCTAATCAAGATGTGCTAGAGTACTTCACAAAAATTATAAAACATCACTCAGAGAAATTCAAGACTGCAGTAAATGGAGAAAAATTTTCTTTCCATGCATTGGAAGACATTTTTTTTTTTTTTTGAGTCGGAGCCTCGCTCTGTCACCCAGGCTGCAGTGGAGTGGCACAGTCTCTGCTCACTGCAACCTCCACTTCCCAGGTTCAAGCAATTCTCCTGCCTCAGCCTCCTGAGTAGCTGCGATTACGGGCGCCTGCCACGACGCTGGATAAAGAAAATGTGGTACATATACACCACGGAATACTATGCAGCCATAAAAAAGAATGAGTTCATGTCCTTTGAAGGGACATGTGTCAGCAAGCTAACACAGGAACAGAAAACCAAACACCACGTGTCCTCACTCATAAGTGGGAGTTGAACAATGAGAACACATGGACGCGGGGAGAAGAACATCACACAGTGGGGCCTGTCAGGGGTTGGGGGGCTAGGGGAGGGATAGCATTAGAGAAATACCTAAGGTAGATGACGGGTCAATGGGTGCAGCAAACAACCATGGCATGTGTCTTCCTATGTAACAAACCTGCACGTTCTGCCCATGTATCCCGGAACTTAAAGTATAATTTTAAGAAAAGGAATATTATCGTAATGGCATTGGGTGAGTCAAAGATGTTTCTTAAAATAATAAAAAGCACTATCCATAAATAATACACTAATTAATAAAATTAAGAGAATCTGTTCATCTACAACACATTATTGAGATCGTGTAAAAGCAAAAAAGATTTATAGAAGATACTAAAATTGTATATGTATTTTTGTATATGTACATATACGCCTGTGTGCCTGTGCGTATAACTCAAATACAGAATATATGGAAACTACAAATCCATTTTTAAAATACAAACATCTCAGTAAAAGCTGGGGGAAAATACCTGAAAAGGAACTTCATAAAAGGCATAGTTAAATGACCAATAAACACATAAAATGGTGCTAAAAAAAAAAAAAAAAAGAAAACAATAAATAGCTGGGTGTGGTGGCACTGCAATCCAGTCTGGGTGACAGAGGGAGACCTCATCTCAAAAGACAAACAAAAATCAATAAATAAAAACAATTTCTTAAAAAGGTGCTCGATCTCATTAATCAGCAGAGAAATGCGAGTGTAGACACAAGGAGAGATCACTGCACACCCATCAGAGTGGCTGGAATGAAAGACTAACTGTACTGCGAGTGTTCGAATGTGGCACAGCTGGAACCTTCGAATATTTCTGGACTCCCATTCCCACACAGACACCTGAGGCTGTGGCTGAAAGGTCAGATAGAATCCCAGGAAAGAGCTCCTTCAGAATTGCGATCAACCAACCGAGGAAAAGCACCCCAACCTGGGTCGAGACAGAGTTCCCAAGGTCACGTGGCCTCCTTCATGGCTGACACAGAGCTCCCTGAGTCCCACCATAGGCTTAGAGAATCCAAGGAACATTACCCCACTCCCCGGCGGCACCGGGAGAGAGCACCTACAGATAATAATTTTAAAAACCCAGCACCAAGAGAAAGCATCCAGTAAGCGTCCACAACGGGGATAAGCAGAACCAAAGAAAAGCCAACACATTGTAACTGAGAGCGAGCAACATCCGAGGACAAATGCGCCTCACGGCCGACATCAGTACCCAAGGAAGAGTCCACCAGAGGTTGAGATAAAGCCCCCGACAGTGACCCCACAGGGCTACGATCATGTGTCCGGGGCACAGCCACCCCCACCACGTTCCATGAGCACAGATAGTGACCCCAGGGCAGAGTCCCCCCTCAGGACAGCGACTGAGCGGGAAAGAAACACCGCCGCACCCGAGGCCGACACAGGCAACCAAGGCATGGCCCCCACCCCCCGGGCTCAGGTCATTTCAGCAGGAAAAGTCGCCTTTTCCATCACCGACAGGGAGCCCCCAACAAGAGCCCCCAAGAAAAGCCCCCTGGCCCCACAACATAGCCGAGACGGGGTGCCCAAGGAAAACGCTCCCCCGCGGCTGACACAGGCGCCCATGGCGGTGTCCCCAGAGCTAAGCCACTTCCCCAAGGGAGCCCTCCCACACACCGGACAGAGAACACCACAGAAAAGACTCTTTCTGAGGAAAAAGGACACTTTCCAGGGCGAAATTAAAGCATCCAGGGAAAAACTGCCCACTCACAGTCCTGAAGTCCTGACCTTGCTGGAGGAGAGACGGCGGCACCTCACAAAATGGCAGTGAAGTTGTGGCGCCTCCCCACTGGTGGCACTTTCTAGAAACCTGCCCTCTGGGAGTTGTGGGAAATGTGCCCCCTAGGGCACCTGGGAGTGATGTGCATGGGGAGGCGTCTCACCAGAAGCACCGATCCCGTTTGGCCCAAGGGGGATGGGAGGAAGGGAAGTAGCCAGCCACAGCGTGCCTGCCCCAGCCGAACACTGGGAACCTGTTGGGGGCGCCAGAGTGCTGAGGAGAAGCCTCGTGCCCCAGAGAACCAGGAAGCGCAGCCCTCCCCTTCGCTGACTCTGGCGCCCTCTACAGGCGACCTTCAGTAACAACTGCACAGCAACGTATGCGGAGGAATGCAGAACCTTCTCACCCAGCGGGATGAAATCGCCTGGGTAACATAGTGAGACCCCGGCTCTACAAAGCAACCAACTAATCAAAAAAGAAAGAAAGAAAGAAAGAAACACACAAATTAGCTGGGCCTAGTGGCCTCGCACCTGTGGTCCCAACTACTCGGGAAGTTGAGGTGGGAGGATGGCTTGAACCCGGGAGGTGGAGGTAGCAGTGAGCCACTGCACTCCAGCCCAGGCGGTAGAGGAGACCCCATCTCAGAAAAAAAAAAAAAAAGAAAGAAAGAAGGAAAAGAAAAGAAAAAGAAAAAGAACAACAACAAACTGCAATTTTCATTTGAGGGGGTTGTGTTTTAAAGTCAACCCCGACCCGCCACAGTGGCTCACGCCTGTAATCTCAACACTTTGGGAGGCCGAAGGGGCTGGACCACCTGAGGTCAGGAGTTCGAGACCAGTCTGTCTGACCAACATGGTGAATCCCGTCTCTGCTAAAAATACAGAAAATTACCGGGCGTGGTGGCATGCACCTATAATCCCACCAGCTACTTGGGAGGCTGAGGCTGGAGAATCGCTTGAACCGGGCAGGCAGAATTTGCAGTGAGCTGAGATCATGCCACTGCACTCCAGCCTGGGTAACAGAGTGAGACTCTGTCTAAAAATAAAAATCAATCAATCAATAAATAAAGTCAACCTCTATCTGTTAAAGGTAACCATTATTGTTAATTGATAAGAAAAATGAGGGCCCCAGTGCGGTCGCTCACGTCTGTAATCCCAGCAATTTGGGAGACCAAGAGGGGTGGATTCCTTGAGCCCAGGAGTTCAAGAGCAGCCTGGGCAGCATGGTGAAACCCCATCTTAACACAAAATACAAAAATTAGCTGAGCGTGTAACTGTGGTCCCAGCTGCTCGGGAGGCTTGACACCAGGAGGTTGAGGCTGCATTGACCTTTGTTCGCACCATTGCACTATAGCCTGGGTGACAGAGTAAGACTGTCTACAAAAAAAAAGAAAGAGAGAAAGAAAGAGAGAAAGAAAGAAAGAAAGAGAAAGAAAAAAGAAGGAAGGAAGGAAAGAAAGAACGAAAGAAAGAAAGGAAGGAAGAAAGGAAGGATGGAAGAAAGAAGGGAAGAAAGGAAGAAAGGAAGGATGGAAGAAAGAAGGGAAGAAAGGAAGAAAGAAAGAGAGAAAGAAAGAAAGGATGGAAGGAGGGGAAACCTTATTATATTGCATCTATTAATCATTTTAATCTGGAACTTTGTATATTTTTCCACCTTTTTTATTTTTTTTGAGACAGTCTGGCTCTGTCACCCAGGCTGGAGTGCAGTGGCATGATCTTGGCTCACTGCAACCTCCGCCTCCCAGGTTCAAGCAGTTCTCCTTCCTCAGCCTCCCGAGAAGCTGGGATTACAGGCATGTACCACCATGCCCGGCTGGTATTTGTATTTTTAGCAGAGACGGTGTTTCACAATGTTCTCCAGGCTGGTCTCAAACTCCTGACTTTAAGTGATTCATCTGCCTTGGCCTCCCAAAGTCCTGGGATTACAGGGGAGAGCCACCATGCCCGGCCCATTTTTCTACTTTCACAACTTATTTTAAGTGCAGCAAAATTTACTTGAATTGTCCATAGTGGTAAAAAATATTACAGCGAAATTTTTCGAGTTTTAATGGAACAGGCAGTTTCACTATTGACACAATTATTTGGAAGGGATTACTTCACTGGTTTTGTAATTCAAAAGTTATGTTTGTAAAAAACTTAAAATTAAAATTAAAAAATATAGCCAGGCATGGTGGTGGGCACCTGTACTCCCTGCTACTAGGGCAGCAGAGGCAGGAGAATCACTTGAACCTGAGAGGTGCAAGCTTCAGTGAGCAGAGATCGCGTCACTGCACTCCAAAGGGGCAGAGATCCATTGTCACTGGGGGACAAAGGGAGAGTCCGTCTCAAAATAAATTAATTAATTAAAATTAAAATTAAAAATTATGTTTGTTAAGTACCCTGTTAGAAGAGAGTCATATTCAGTATTACAGCTTCTTAGCCTATTGTGTTAATATTTGCCTGTGCTTCAGAACCTTCATAGAACACATTTTCTTTTGGAATATATTTGATTGATAGGAAAGCTTAAACATTGTTTTCACTTTGATGTAGGAACAGTTGTTTTGTTTGTTTCCTCTAGTGCTATCAAAATAAAATACTCATTTTTTGCATTAAAAAAATCCCACCAGAGCAGTACTCATAGGAGTATTTGATTGAATAACCATGAGACTGGAATCTTGTTGGGGCTTAATTAGAATCCTGCCTACCACACAAGCCACAGGTGGACAGCTGCATACGACAGTCCTGACTGGGACAGCCCTGAAGGACAGTGATGAAGGGAAATCCTCCCAGAGGGAAGAACTTTGAGCAGTGCACCTTCTTGGAGGAGGCATATCCAGACGTGTAAGTATGTATCATGCATAGGCTGTGTCCCACTCATTCGCTGAATTGTCAGGGACTTTGAGAACACACGATTAAAAATGTGCGACAAAGAAGTCTGAGAAAAAAAAAAATATGTGGACAGGCCTGTCCAAACGGACATACAATGTGAAGATATTGGGGTCTCATGAGAGTTCTCAGCAAAGGGTATCCTCAGCAGAGCAGAATTTTAATAATCAGATGGATAAGGTACTTATTATCTAGGTATTAATCAGCCTCTTTCCCTAACACGTGTGTCACAATCTTACCGGCTCAACAAACAAAGTGGTCAAACTGGCAGGGTTGGAGATTATGCGCAGTAGCATGGACCTCCACTCACCATGGCAAACCTGGCTACGGTCATTGCTGAGTGAAAAATCTTCCAGGAATGGAGACCAACACTAAGCCCCCAATTTGGCACCAGACTCCAGAATGATCTGCCAGCCACTAGTTGGTATGTGGATTACAATAGATCACTTCTATTATAAAAAGAGAAGTGCTTTCTTCTTACCTGAACAGACATTTAGTCTAGATATGGATTTTCCTTCCCACTTGCAGTGCTTTTGAGAAAACCAATGTTTGTATCTCGGCTTCCAAAATTCTGGAAAGCGCTAGTTCCTCAAGTTCCTAGGGTTATTCATTCTGGAGACTCTAGTATACTCTGCAAGAAAACCTGTAGGCCATCCACCAAAATGCCCAAATGGAGTCACTCTTAAATAACGAGCCCTGCATGTTTCCAGAAACTCTAATTATCAGTGAAAAGTTTACTATGGCAGCGATTTCGCCACCCAGGGCAATTGGAGAATGGCAGATACTAGGGACCATTAACTCTGTGAAAGCTGTAGAAGACTGCAGTCAAGACAGTTACAGAACCAAAAGTGACAGTCTTCTATTTCCGATGTTTGTACAAAGAGGACATACAATTAATAAAGTGGTCGAGGAACAGGTTTCTGCTTTAATACCAAAAACTAACATAGAAACCTGTAAAGGTGTCCAAGTATAGTAATCCTTTTCCTGTGTATTTGGTTAAGATTTAAAACTGAAGCTTTCTTTGTTAGCTTTTTTAAAATTATAGATGCCAGAAGGGTACATGTACAGATTTCTCACTTGGATATAATTGCACAGTGCCGGGGTTTGGGCTTCTAGTGAACTCATCACCCAAATAGTGAAGAGAGTATCCAATAGGTAGTTTTTCAACCCTCCGACCCGCTCCCTCCCTCCCCTCTACCTCCATTTTGGAGTCCCCAGAGTCAATGGTTTCTACCTTTATTTTCATGTGTACCCATTGTTTAGCTCCCACATATGAATGAGAACACGCAGTATCTCATTTTCTGATTATCAGATTTTGCTTCTGCGTTTCACTTAAAAGTGAAGTTTTCACCGGACACAGTGGCTCACGCCTGTAATCCCAGGATTTGGGAGGCAGAAGCGGGTGGATCACTTGAGGTCAGGAGTTCCAGACGAGGCTGGCCAAAGTGGCGAAACCACATCTCTACCAAAAATACAAAAAAATAGCTGGGGCCCTGCGCAGTGGCTCGCACTTGCACTTTGGGAGTCTGAGGTGGGCATATCACTTGAGGTCAGGAGTTTGAGACTAGCCTGGCCAACATGGTGAAACTCTGTCTCTACTAAGAAATACAAACAATTAGCCAGGTGTGATAATGCGTTTCTATAGTCCCAGCTACACAAGGAGGCTGAGGCAAGAGAACTGCTTGAACCCGGGAGGTGGAGGTTGCAGTGAGCCGAGATTGCACCATAAACTTAATCAAATTGTTGTTCCAACTGCAGCTGCTGTACTACAAGTGGTTTTGTTGTGTCAGCAACTGTGACATCCCTCGGAACCTGATATACAATACTGATTAGGTGAATGTTTGGCTTTCTTTCAGTAATTGTCGTAAACAAGAATTTCAATTCAGCTAGAAAGGACAGCAATGTACTATCATTTCCTATTTCAAGCTTATATCAACTCTCTAGGTTTATATCCTAAACGAGTTCTTAGGGAAAATGGCCACCTTTCTCTTAAACCAGATGTGACACCATTCTTTGCAGTGATGACATCATGCTGACTGAAAAGGAGGCAGCAACTAATCCAGACATGGTAGCAACACACTTGCAAGACATTATGTGAGAAATAATTCTCACACAAAATCAGGGGCCTTCTAACTGAGTGAAGCGTTTAACAATCTGGTAGTCTGGCATGTCAAGATGGTGGTTATAAGGTGAACAGCAAGTTCTTACATCTTGCCTTTCTTACTACTAAATAAGGAACATGAAACGAGTTGCATAATAGATGCTTGTTTTAGCATATACCTAAATGTTGTGCAGTACCGTGGACCCATTGACAAGTGACTGAAACCCCGCTAGCATGGACCGGGGCCCAGAAAAAGAGAAGCTTCCCTAATCCTGCACCTGTGGTCTCATGTGGAGTTCCCTGAGACCAGTTGACTAGAAAATAAAAAACATCATGCCTGATTTTCATTTGTTACTTCAGAATATGCAGGCACCACATCTATTAGGTTTGTTACTAATGCAAAAGAAATTGTCCCCGATTCAGCAGCTTAAAATAACACAAATATATAAGCAGTTCTGTAGATCAGAAATCCATGCAGCCTGGATTGGTTTCTCTGCTTAGGATCTCACAAAATCAAAGTTAGGGTATCAACCAGGCTGCTGACTAACTAAGGACTCAGAGAGAACCTGTTTTCAAGCACATTTGGGTTACGGGCAGGTCTAACTTCTTAAAGTTGTGGAACTGAGGTAGCCGTATACTTGCGGTCTTGGCTGAGGCCACTCTAAGCTACCTGAGACCCCTCCATACCTACTTGGGTGCACCCCTCTATCTTCTAAGCAGTAATGGTGCATCATGATTATGGTGGCTGAGATAAAGCTTATTTACGGGTTTGGCAACATGAACTTTCATTTACCAGGTCCATCTCACTACAGCCACTGCTCACTATTCAATCTGACAGCAGCAGAGACCAACACTGAGTCCCCAATATGGCACCATGTCCCAGAGTGGTCAGTCAGCTTCCAGGTAGCACTGTGATTACTTGGGTCTGCTTCCACGATTGAAGGGGTATCACTTTGATCTTCCTCAAATAGACACTTATTCTGCATATGGATTTTCATTCCCACCCATGGAACTTCAAGGAAATCGGTACTGTGGTATGAGGAAAGGCTGTATCCACCGTCGTGGTATTCCACACTGCACCAGTTTTAAACATCAAACTCACTTTACAGGCAATGAAGTATGGGAATGGGCTCATGCTAATGTACTTCACTAGTCTTGTGATGTTCTTCAACATCCTGAAATGGCTGGCTCAATAGAACATTGGAGGACCTTTTAAAGCCTGAGTTGTCATTGCAGCTTTGTGGCAGTGCCTTGTGGGGCTTGGCTGACAATCTAGAAAGTGGCAAAGCTGAATCCTAGCCTCAAGTATATGGAACTATTTCTCCCATAGCCACATTTATGACTTCAAGAATGAAGGAGGCAATATGTGGGCCTTCTCTCACTATTACTCCTGGGTATCTAGTAACAAAATGTTGCTTCTTATGCTCAAGAAGCAAACTGTGCACCAAGAAGCCAACTTTTGGCTCTGCTGGACTAGAGGACTTAGTTACACATTGAGGAATTTTTTCAACAGGGGAAACCAAAGTGATTCCACCAAAATGAAAGTTGTTCCGTATGAACTTTAAAGTAGTTTTTTCCAATTCTGTGAAGAAAGTCATTGGTAGCTTGATGGGGATGGCATTGAATCTATAAATTACCCTGGGCAATATGGCCATTTTCACGATATTGATTCTTCCTACCCATGAGCATGGAATGTTGTTCCATTTGTTTGTGTCCTCTTTTATTTCATTGAGCACTGGTTTGTAGTTCTCCTTGAAGAGGTCCTTCACGTCCCTTGTAAGTTGGATTCCTAGGTATTTTATTATCTTTGAAGCAATTGTGCATGGGAGTTCACTCATGATTTGGCTCTCTGTTTGTCTGTTACTGGTGTATAAGAATGCTTGTGATTTTTGCACACTGATTTTGGAACCAAAAAAGAGCCCGCATTGCCAAGTCAATCCTAAGCCAAAAGAACAAAGCTGGAGGCATCACGCTACCTGACTTCAAACTATACTACAAGTCTACAGTAACCAAAACAGCATGGTACTGTTATCAAAACAGAGATACAGACCAATGGAACAGAACAGAGCCCTCAGAAATAATGCTGCATATCTACAACTATCTGATCTTTGACAAACCTGACAAAAACAAGAAATGGGGAAAGGATTCCCTATTTAATAAATGGTGCTGGGAAAACTGGCTAGCCATATGGAGAAAGCTGAAATGGGATCCCTTCCTTACACTTTATACAAAAATTAATTCAAGATGGATTCAAGACTTACATGTTAGACCTAAAACCATAAAAACCCTAGAAGAAAACCTAGGCAATACCATTCAGGACATAGGCATGGGCAAGGACTTCATGTCTAAAACACCAAAAGCAATGGCAACAAAAGTCAAAATTGACAAATGGGATCTAATTAAACTAAAGAGTTTCTGCACGGCAAAAGAAACCACCATCAGAGTGAACAGGCAACCTACAGAATGGGAGGAAATTTTTGCAGTCTACTCATCTGACAAAGGGCTAATATCCAGAATCTACAACGAACTCAAACAAATTTACAAGAAAAAAACAAACAACCCCATCAACAAGCGGGCGAAGGATATGAACAGATACTTCTCAAAAGAAGACATTTATGCAGCCAACAGACACATGAAAACATGCTCATCATCACTGGCCATCAGATAAATGCAAATCAAAACCACAATGAGATACCATCTCACACCAGTTAGAATGGCAATCATTAAAAAGTCAGGAAACAACAGGTGCTGGAGAGGATGTGGACAAATAGGAACACTTTTACACTGTTGGTGGGACTGTAAACTAGTTCAACCATTGTGGAAGTCAGTGTGGCGATTCCTCAGGGATCTAGAACTAGAAATACCATTTGACCCAGCCATCCCATTACTGAGTATATACCCAAAGGATTATAAAACATGGTGCTATAAAGACACATGCACACGTATGTTTATTGTGGCACTATTCACAATAGCAAAGACTTGGAACCAACCCAAATGTCCAACAATGATAGACTGGATTAAGAAAACGTGGCACATATACACCATGGAATACTATGCAGCCATGAAAAATGATGAGTTCATGTCCTTTGTAGGGACATGGATGAAGCTGGAAACCATCATTCTCAGCAAACTATCGCAAGGACAAAAAACCAAACACCGCATGTTCTCCCTCATAGGTGGGAACTGAACAATGAGAACACATGGACACAGGAAGGGGAACATCACACACTGGGTCCTGTTGTGGGGTGTGGGGAGGGGGGAGGGATAGCATTAGGAGATATACCTAATGTTAAATGATGAGTTAATGGGTGCAGCACACAAAAATGGCACATGTATACATATGTAACAAACCTGCACGTTGTGCACATGTACCCTAAACCTTAAAGTATAATAAAAAAAAGTACCTGGCACAATTAATATTTGTTGAATAATTGAATGAATTAATTTTTTTAAAAAAAGCATAGAATGGGCTGGGTGCAGTGGCTCATGCCTGTAATCCTAGAACCTTGGGAGGCTGAGATGGGCAGATCACTTGAGGCCAGGTTTCGAGACCAGCCTGGACAACATGGCAAAACCCCATCTCCACTAAAAATACAAAAATTGCAGCGTGATGGCACCTGTGGTGCACCTGTAATCCCAGCTACTTCGAAGGCTGAAGCACAAGGATCGCTTGAACTGGGGTGAGGTCGAGGTGGCAGTGACTTGTGATCGTGTCACCGCACTCTAGCCTGGGCAACAGAGCAAGATTCTGTCTTTAAAAAAAATAAAAAGCATAGAACGTTCAAGTCGTATCTGGAAACAACAGCCTTACAGGGACTGCTACTGCAGCTCCAAATTATTGTATCAGACCAATCCTATCTAGGAACTACCTTTATTATATATATTGGATATACCCCCCCACACACGCATACATATATATATATGGGGGTGTATATATAATATGTGTAATGTGTATTATATGTATAATGGGAGATTAGAAAGTGTGTGTGTGCATGTATATATACCCCCTACCAACACACACACACACACACACACACACACACACACACACACACACACATTAAAATCTCCCATTAGTTCTGCCTTTTCGTTGAAGGCTGATGATACAGATTTCAACATTGAGATCGGGTTCCCACCACACGAGGGGCTAAGGAAGAGTATGTGTGATATGTCTAGAGAGCTTCTTAGTCCTCCCGTGTTTTTCGATTAGAGTTAATGGAAAATCACAGCAACCCCATCCAGGCAGGATATCTAATGGTTCAGACTCTTCCGTAATGAAGGTTTGAGTCATCCTGCCAGGCCAAGCATCATGACCAACTGACATGCTATCTCAGGGCAAAGGGAATGCGAAACGGGTAGCGAAAGAAGGTAGTTATAAACGCCAGCTACATCAGTGTGAGCTGCTGCAGAAACCACGACTGTAATAGTATTTACCTAATGGGTTAATAATATCTACCAGCACAGGTGGGAATACAAAATAACCAAAACACAAGTTATCCTTTCAAATAAAACGCTTTGGGAAAAAGAACATCTTTTACTAACAGAAATTTCTTAGCCTCTGGAAGGCCAGTTGATTCGGTAACATATGCCAGGAGACTTCAGCAATATCCTGCTCCATTGTAGAAAACAGCAATCTGATCCTTTTCTCTCCTCAATCATTAACGAGATTATGCATTTGGGGTGTGATAATCCTCCAGGGACAAGTATTCTCAAATCATACGTTTCAGTTTCTTCTTAAGGTGCTTAACAAAGTCTCGTCTCATACATCTGAAGAGAAAGAGACATGTCATTAACCAAAAGATAGCCAAAGAACCTATGCTGTAGGAAGCGCTGTGACAGATAGAAAGATGAAGTAACAGTCAGCATGGAAATAGAAATGTATCTGCATGGTAAGAGGCAGTCTAGCCGGCATAACAAATGCTGGCAAGGGTGTGGAGAAAAGGGAACCTTCATACACTGTTGGTGAGAATATAAATTACTACAACAACTAACTATGAAGAACAGTTTGGAGGTTCCTCAAACAACTAAAAATGGAGCTATCATATGATCCAGCAATCCCACTGCTGGGTATATACCCAAGAGAAAGGAAGTCAGTGTACCGAACAGATATCTGCACTCCCATGTTTGTTGCAGCACCATCCACAGTAGCCAAGATTTGGAAGCAACCTAAGTGTCCACTAACACATGAATGGGTAAAGAAAATATGGTACATATACACCACAGAGTACTGTTTAGCCATAAAAAAAAGAATGAGATTCAGTCATTTGCAACAACACGGATAGAACCGAAGGTCCTTATGTTAAGTGAAATAAGCCAGGCACAGAAAGACAAACTTCACATGTTCTCACTTATTTTTGGGAGTAAAAGTGTAAAACAACTGAACTAATGGAGATAGAGAGTAGAATGACAGTTACCAGAGGCTACAAAGGTTAGTGGGGGTGGAGGGTGTGGGAAGTGGGGATGATTAATACGTAGAAGTATGGAATAAATAAGATGTCGTATTTCATAGCCAAACAGGGTGACTATAGTCGGTAATAATTTAATTGCACATTTAAAAATAATGAAGAGTATAATTGTATTCTCTGTAACGCAAAGGATAAAAGCTTGAGGTGATAGAAACCCCACTTACCTTGATGTGATTATTACACATTGTTGTCTGTATCACAATATCTCATATAGCCCAGAAATATATGCATCTGCTATGTGCCTACACAAATTTTTTAAAAAGAGGTAGTCTAGCAAATACAAAGAGTGTCAATTGAGGGACAATGCGCACCTCAGACTATGGTGAAAATGGAAGTCTCCATAGTCTTCGAAGAATGAGTTACACTCAGATAACATTAGCCTAAGTAACTGTGGAGACAGCCATAACTGTGAGTGAGGACCAGGGTTTGAGAAACGCAAGGCAGGGGCTGTTCCCCAACGCTCACCCCCAGTGCTCTATTGAGCCCAAGTGCTTAAAGAAATTGGACAGTTCCTATTTCTACCCACCTTGCTGCTTCCTTGATGATGGATTCAAAAAATCGCTTCCTGACTGCAGTAGGTCCTTGCACTCCTTCAAGCATTTCGAAGATTTTTTCATATTCTGAAGATGTTGAAAAAAAAAAAACTTCAGTATTATCAAATATAAAGAAGAATAGAAGTGAATCTACACCTCAGCAATCATGCTTCAGAGGCTGAAATGTTTTAAATGCTTAAATCAAGATACCTGCACATACAAAACCTAAATAATAAAAAAGACACCTGCACATACATACGAATGTAACTCCTTTAACCATAACCAAGTAAGAAAAGAAAAAGAAAAAATGTACATGCTTTAGTCAAAGAAAAGAGGAACCACCATAAATTATGTGCAATCTCAACTCTGGCAAAGAATGAAACTCAACAGGCAACATGAATATCTTCTGAATCATAGAAAGAGAGACTTCCTATAGTTTTATAAAACAGACATTCTTATATTACTTACTTTGTCCAACGCATCGGAGTTCCTTCACTAATTTACGTTTTATATCAGCATTAATTTCTCGTTGGCTTTTGGGAGAGGAGGCTGTTTCTCTGCATTCTAGGTCATCTCCAGAGAAACTGCTGGTAACGTTTCCTCCCACAGGTGCATTGCTACCAGGTTTCTGCATCATCCCATCTTTGCTGAAACCAGTGAAGTCATCAATCTGAGAATCCAATTGGCTGGGTGGAATAGCATGTCCTGTCATAAGCTCTGGTGAAACAGATTTTGAGTAAAAGCCATCAGTTGGTGTTTGACCACTTTCTTTCCCCTCCACATAGACCTCATGAATGACAGCTCTGGAAATCAAACTGAGAAGCTGAGCTGTGAGATATGTGTGTTTCATCACCCCTCTGGGTACATCTATGTGCTCCTCAGTTTCTAGGGAATTATTTATTTCATAAATGGGAGGATACACCAGGGAGAAATCCCAGGCCTGACAAACGGAGGCCAGGACACATAATACAATAAAACCACCTCTTATTTTCTGGCCCTATGAATAGACATGGAAACCAAGTAAGGCAGTACAACTCTAAAGCAACATTCACAGATCCCTGGTACTCATGGGACAGTTTCAGCTTGTTATGCTTTACAAGTTGAAAGCAGCAAGTCTCACTTGATATCATGATTTCTCAAATTCACTTACAAACTGCCATGCTTTACTGAGCTGGAACCCAGGCAACTGGGATACAACTCAACCGGTCTCCTGTTATATCAAACACATTCTGAGAAAATAGAGGCGGCCATTACTGCTAAAAGTTCTATACGCACTCCACCACCAAAAAGTCCCTTTTACTGTATGATTTTCCTCATCCTTCCTTTCTTTCTCACAAAAGTGACTTTCTTTTCACTCCAGGTCTGACACCTCTCATTTATTCATCGTCTGTGGCAGGCAGCGTGCCGGTAGCTGGGGATCAGCAGTAAACAGCCCAGAGAGCAACGTTCCCTGCCCTTGTGGAGCTCACATCCTCATGGGGCGGTCAGACAGTACGTGCACAATGAGCAAATGAAACATACAGTGTTGGGCTAGTGGTAAGGAAGCAGTCCACAGGCCTGTGGGCAACAGCAGCAGAGGGAGCCCCAGGAGCTGCTGCTGGTTGGGCAGAGCCTTCTGTGGAGGTACCCTTGGGCAGGGCTTGAAGGAAAAAGCAGAGCTGCCTGCGCAGAGGCAGAGGGGGAGTTCCAGGTTGCGGTGAGGCCAAGGATATGGGCTGGAGTGGGGATGGACCGGGCACTATGGGGTGAAGGACAGTAGCAGAGAGAGTCAGGAGATGATGGGGCCCGTGTGAGGAGAGGGTGACGGAGGCCAGGCCACGCAGAACCTCGCAGACCAAAGCTGCTTCGCAGTCGGTTCTGAGTGCTTAGGAGTGTTGAGGATGGGTGTTCAGGAGCGACATGGCATCACGTGATTTACATGCCAACATCATGACCCGGCTGCAGGGTTGGAGGGTATGTGTTTGATGCGGGAAATAATGGGAAACATGGAGGTATCTCAGGAGCTCAGTGATTGATCGTGGCAGAGTGGAATAGAAGGAGAGAGAGAGATGCTGGGGTTCAGGAATTTTTTACAGTATTTAGAGAAGAGAAGAAAAAGAAATGTAGAAAAAAACAATGATGGGGTCGGGGGCGGTGGCTCGTGCGTGTAATCCCAGCACTTTGGGAGGCTGAGGTGGGTGGATCACCTGAGGGGGGGAGTTCCAGACCAGCCTGGCCGACATGGCGAAACCCCATCTCTACTAAACTTACAAAAATTAGCTGGGTGTGGTGGCTGGTGCTTGTAATCCCGCTACTCGGGAGGCTGCGGCAGAAGAATCACTTGAACCCAGGAGACGGAGATTTCAGTGAGCCGAGATCGCGCCACTGCACTCCAGCCTGGCTGAGAAGAGCGAAACTCCATCTCAAGAAAAAAATGATAGGGATTCACCAATACGGACAAGAAATTAAAAAAAAAAAAAAGATTGTCGGAAATGGAAATCCTAGAAGGTTTTCATGAAGAAGCGAGTGAACAACTGTCAAATGCTGCTGAGAAGTTAATGGCAATGTCAGCCGAAACTGTTAACCTTGACAAGGACAGTTTCTCTGGAGGGGATGAGGCAGGAGCATGAGGAGGACGTGAGGACAGGCTTACTTACTCTTTTCTTTGGACATGGCAGAGCCTGCAATAAGGCTGTCTCCTGCTCCTTGTTTCCTTGCCAACAGGGCCATCCTCTGCCTTTTCTGATACGAAGGACTGTCACATTCCCTGGGACGTTTAAACACAGTTTCAGGATCTACAGCCACCTTCTCTGTTTTATCGGTCATTGTTTCCTGAAAAACATCAATGAATATATTCTATTCATGACAAAAATCTAACAATCACAAAATGGCAAGCAATCTGCATATGTGTATACAACCAAGACTTTGAATCATTAATTTCACTTTTAATCATGAGCCAAGATTTACCAAGTCTCAACAAACACTCTGTTCTCAGGAAAAGAAACCTAATTTTAATGTACACAAAGTAAAACAGAAGAAAGATGGTATAACCAAATCAATCAGAATGCTTGTGGAATAAGCAGCTGTCATCAACCAAAAATAGATAAAAATATTATTACCTATTTGAAGATGTATAAGCCAATCTGTATTAACCCTTATTAGAAAAAATGGATGTATAAACCAATCTGTATTAACCCTTATTATACATTATATTTTAAATTATATATTATATATCATATATATTTAATATATAAGTATTTATGCTTATATATTCAAATAGATGCATAAACCAACGTGTATTAACCCTTATTAGGAACCCTTATTAGAAGATTGATACAAAACTGATAACAACATCTGACAAGGAATTTAGAAGAATGAAAAACTACAAGATCAAGCCAAAAATACAAGCCAAGATCACCCCGAACTTAGACACAAAAATTCCAAACTAAGGGTGAGCAAATAAAATGTACTAGTACTTAAAAAGGACATACATCAGCCATGGTGGAGTATATTGCAGAAAGGCAACACTGATTTAACATTTGAAAATCGACAAATGTAGTGCACCACATTAACAACAACAACAACAACAACAACAAAAACAGGGAAACACCGCATGATCATTTTCATACATGGATCAATGTTTAAAGTCCATTCGTGATAAAACCTATCACCAACTTAGGAAAAAGGGCAACTTTCCTATTCTGGTTAGCATATGTACAAAAAATTTTTAAATGCCATACTTCATAGTGACGTATCAGTATTTTCTCCCTGAGTTTGAAAACAAGACAAAGATGTCCACTATCCATTCAACAATTTACTGGAGGTTCCAAAAAGTGCCATATCATCAGGAAAATACAATAGGTTTAAAATTTGGAAAGAAATAAAACTGTCATTATTCACAGATGACATTGTTCTGTACATAGAAAAATGCAGAAGAATAAAATCATTACAGTTAATAAGCAAATTTAGTCAACTTACTAGATACAATGAAAACCAATGGCATTTCTGTATAATGAATAGCAATTCTGTATAATGAATGGCATTATACAGAATGGCAATTCTGTATAACGAATAATTAGAATATGAGATTTCAAATGTCATTAAAAACAGTTCCAAAAACATCAAATATTTAGGAATAAATCTAATCAAGATGTGCTAGAGTACTTCACAAAAATTATAAAACATCACTCAGAGAAATTCAAGACTGCAGTAAATGGAGAAAAATTTTCTTTCCATGCATTGGAAGACATTTTTTTTTTTTTTTTTGAGTCGGAGCCTCGCTCTGTCACCCAGGCTGCAGTGGAGTGGCACAGTCTCTGCTCACTGCAACCTCCACTTCCCAGGTTCAAGCAATTCTCCTGCCTCAGCCTCCTGAGTAGCTGCGATTACGGGCGCCTGCCACGACGCTGGATAAAGAAAATGTGGTACATATACACCACGGAATACTATGCAGCCATAAAAAAGAATGAGTTCATGTCCTTTGAAGGGACATGTGTCAGCAAGCTAACACAGGAACAGAAAACCAAACACCACGTGTCCTCACTCATAAGTGGGAGTTGAACAATGAGAACACATGGACGCGGGGAGAAGAACATCACACAGTGGGGCCTGTCAGGGGTTGGGGGGCTAGGGGAGGGATAGCATTAGAGAAATACCTAAGGTAGATGACGGGTCAATGGGTGCAGCAAACAACCATGGCATGTGTCTTCCTATGTAACAAACCTGCACGTTCTGCCCATGTATCCCGGAACTTAAAGTATAATTTTAAGAAAAGGAATATTATCGTAATGGCATTGGGTGAGTCAAAGATGTTTCTTAAAATAATAAAAAGCACTATCCATAAATAATACACTAATTAATAAAATTAAGAGAATCTGTTCATCTACAACACATTATTGAGATCGTGTAAAAGCAAAAAAGATTTATAGAAGATACTAAAATTGTATATGTATTTTTGTATATGTACATATACGCCTGTGTGCCTGTGCGTATAACTCAAATACAGAATATATGGAAACTACAAATCCATTTTTAAAATACAAACATCTCAGTAAAAGCTGGGGGAAAATACCTGAAAAGGAACTTCATAAAAGGCATAGTTAAATGACCAATAAACACATAAAATGGTGCTAAAAAAAAAAAAAAAGAAAACAATAAATAGCTGGGTGTGGTGGCACTGCAATCCAGTCTGGGTGACAGAGGGAGACCTCATCTCAAAAGACAAACAAAAATCAATAAATAAAAACAATTTCTTAAAAAGGTGCTCGATCTCATTAATCAGCAGAGAAATGCGAGTGTAGACACAAGGAGAGATCACTGCACACCCATCAGAGTGGCTGGAATGAAAGACTAACTGTACTGCGAGTGTTCGAATGTGGCACAGCTGGAACCTTCGAATATTTCTGGACTCCCATTCCCACACAGACACCTGAGGCTGTGGCTGAAAGGTCAGATAGAATCCCAGGAAAGAGCTCCTTCAGAATTGCGATCAACCAACCGAGGAAAAGCACCCCAACCTGGGTCGAGACAGAGTTCCCAAGGTCACGTGGCCTCCTTCATGGCTGACACAGAGCTCCCTGAGTCCCACCATAGGCTTAGAGAATCCAAGGAACATTACCCCACTCCCCGGCGGCACCGGGAGAGAGCACCTACAGATAATAATTTTAAAAACCCAGCACCAAGAGAAAGCATCCAGTAAGCGTCCACAACGGGGATAAGCAGAACCAAAGAAAAGCCAACACATTGTAACTGAGAGCGAGCAACATCCGAGGACAAATGCGCCTCACGGCCGACATCAGTACCCAAGGAAGAGTCCACCAGAGGTTGAGATAAAGCCCCCGACAGTGACCCCACAGGGCTACGATCATGTGTCCGGGGCACAGCCACCCCCACCACGTTCCATGAGCACAGATAGTGACCCCAGGGCAGAGTCCCCCCTCAGGACAGCGACTGAGCGGGAAAGAAACACCGCCGCACCCGAGGCCGACACAGGCAACCAAGGCATGGCCCCCACCCCCCGGGCTCAGGTCATTTCAGCAGGAAAAGTCGCCTTTTCCATCACCGACAGGGAGCCCCCAACAAGAGCCCCCAAGAAAAGCCCCCTGGCCCCACAACATAGCCGAGACGGGGTGCCCAAGGAAAACGCTCCCCCGCGGCTGACACAGGCGCCCATGGCGGTGTCCCCAGAGCTAAGCCACTTCCCCAAGGGAGCCCTCCCACACACCGGACAGAGAACACCACAGAAAAGACTCTTTCTGAGGAAAAAGGACACTTTCCAGGGCGAAATTAAAGCATCCAGGGAAAAACTGCCCACTCACAGTCCTGAAGTCCTGACCTTGCTGGAGGAGAGACGGCGGCACCTCACAAAATGGCAGTGAAGTTGTGGCGCCTCCCCACTGGTGGCACTTTCTAGAAACCTGCCCTCTGGGAGTTGTGGGAAATGTGCCCCCTAGGGCACCTGGGAGTGATGTGCATGGGGAGGCGTCTCACCAGAAGCACCGATCCCGTTTGGCCCAAGGGGGATGGGAGGAAGGGAAGTAGCCAGCCACAGCGTGCCTGCCCCAGCCGAACACTGGGAACCTGTTGGGGGCGCCAGAGTGCTGAGGAGAAGCCTCGTGCCCCAGAGAACCAGGAAGCGCAGCCCTCCCCTTCGCTGACTCTGGCGCCCTCTACAGGCGACCTTCAGTAACAACTGCACAGCAACGTATGCGGAGGAATGCAGAACCTTCTCACCCAGCGGGATGAAATCGCCTGGGTAACATAGTGAGACCCCGGCTCTACAAAGCAACCAACTAATCAAAAAAGAAAGAAAGAAAGAAAGAAACACACAAATTAGCTGGGCCTAGTGGCCTCGCACCTGTGGTCCCAACTACTCGGGAAGTTGAGGTGGGAGGATGGCTTGAACCCGGGAGGTGGAGGTAGCAGTGAGCCACTGCACTCCAGCCCAGGCGGTAGAGGAGACCCCATCTCAGAAAAAAAAAAAAAAAGAAAGAAAGAAGGAAAAGAAAAGAAAAAGAAAAAGAACAACAACAAACTGCAATTTTCATTTGAGGGGGTTGTGTTTTAAAGTCAACCCCGACCCGCCACAGTGGCTCACGCCTGTAATCTCAACACTTTGGGAGGCCGAAGGGGCTGGACCACCTGAGGTCAGGAGTTCGAGACCAGTCTGTCTGACCAACATGGTGAATCCCGTCTCTGCTAAAAATACAGAAAATTACCGGGCGTGGTGGCATGCACCTATAATCCCACCAGCTACTTGGGAGGCTGAGGCTGGAGAATCGCTTGAACCGGGCAGGCAGAATTTGCAGTGAGCTGAGATCATGCCACTGCACTCCAGCCTGGGTAACAGAGTGAGACTCTGTCTAAAAATAAAAATCAATCAATCAATAAATAAAGTCAACCTCTATCTGTTAAAGGTAACCATTATTGTTAATTGATAAGAAAAATGAGGGCCCCAGTGCGGTCGCTCACGTCTGTAATCCCAGCAATTTGGGAGACCAAGAGGGGTGGATTCCTTGAGCCCAGGAGTTCAAGAGCAGCCTGGGCAGCATGGTGAAACCCCATCTTAACACAAAATACAAAAATTAGCTGAGCGTGTAACTGTGGTCCCAGCTGCTCGGGAGGCTTGACACCAGGAGGTTGAGGCTGCATTGACCTTTGTTCGCACCATTGCACTATAGCCTGGGTGACAGAGTAAGACTGTCTACAAAAAAAAAGAAAGAGAGAAAGAAAGAAAGAAAGAGAAAGAAAAAAGAAGGAAGGAAGGAAAGAAAGAACGAAAGAAAGAAAGGAAGGAAGAAAGGAAGGATGGAAGAAAGAAGGGAAGAAAGGAAGAAAGGAAGGATGGAAGAAAGAAGGGAAGAAAGGAAGAAAGAAAGAGAGAAAGAAAGAAAGGATGGAAGGAGGGGAAACCTTATTATATTGCATCTATTAATCATTTTAATCTGGAACTTTGTATATTTTTCCACCTTTTTTATTTTTTTTGAGACAGTCTGGCTCTGTCACCCAGGCTGGAGTGCAGTGGCATGATCTTGGCTCACTGCAACCTCCGCCTCCCAGGTTCAAGCAGTTCTCCTTCCTCAGCCTCCCGAGAAGCTGGGATTACAGGCATGTACCACCATGCCCGGCTGGTATTTGTATTTTTAGCAGAGACGGTGTTTCACAATGTTCTCCAGGCTGGTCTCAAACTCCTGACTTTAAGTGATTCATCTGCCTTGGCCTCCCAAAGTCCTGGGATTACAGGGGAGAGCCACCATGCCCGGCCCATTTTTCTACTTTCACAACTTATTTTAAGTGCAGCAAAATTTACTTGAATTGTCCATAGTGGTAAAAAATATTACAGCGAAATTTTTCGAGTTTTAATGGAACAGGCAGTTTCACTATTGACACAATTATTTGGAAGGGATTACTTCACTGGTTTTGTAATTCAAAAGTTATGTTTGTAAAAAACTTAAAATTAAAATTAAAAAATATAGCCAGGCATGGTGGTGGGCACCTGTACTCCCTGCTACTAGGGCAGCAGAGGCAGGAGAATCACTTGAACCTGAGAGGTGCAAGCTTCAGTGAGCAGAGATCGCGTCACTGCACTCCAAAGGGGCAGAGATCCATTGTCACTGGGGGACAAAGGGAGAGTCCGTCTCAAAATAAATTAATTAATTAAAATTAAAATTAAAAATTATGTTTGTTAAGTACCCTGTTAGAAGAGAGTCATATTCAGTATTACAGCTTCTTAGCCTATTGTGTTAATATTTGCCTGTGCTTCAGAACCTTCATAGAACACATTTTCTTTTGGAATATATTTGATTGATAGGAAAGCTTAAACATTGTTTTCACTTTGATGTAGGAACAGTTGTTTTGTTTGTTTCCTCTAGTGCTATCAAAATAAAATACTCATTTTTTGCATTAAAAAAATCCCACCAGAGCAGTACTCATAGGAGTATTTGATTGAATAACCATGAGACTGGAATCTTGTTGGGGCTTAATTAGAATCCTGCCTACCACACAAGCCACAGGTGGACAGCTGCATACGACAGTCCTGACTGGGACAGCCCTGAAGGACAGTGATGAAGGGAAATCCTCCCAGAGGGAAGAACTTTGAGCAGTGCACCTTCTTGGAGGAGGCATATCCAGACGTGTAAGTATGTATCATGCATAGGCTGTGTCCCACTCATTCGCTGAATTGTCAGGGACTTTGAGAACACACGATTAAAAATGTGCGACAAAGAAGTCTGAGAAAAAAAAAATATGTGGACAGGCCTGTCCAAACGGACATACAATGTGAAGATATTGGGGTCTCATGAGAGTTCTCAGCAAAGGGTATCCTCAGCAGAGCAGAATTTTAATAATCAGATGGATAAGGTACTTATTATCTAGGTATTAATCAGCCTCTTTCCCTAACACGTGTGTCACAATCTTACCGGCTCAACAAACAAAGTGGTCAAACTGGCAGGGTTGGAGATTATGCGCAGTAGCATGGACCTCCACTCACCATGGCAAACCTGGCTACGGTCATTGCTGAGTGAAAAATCTTCCAGGAATGGAGACCAACACTAAGCCCCCAATTTGGCACCAGACTCCAGAATGATCTGCCAGCCACTAGTTGGTATGTGGATTACAATAGATCACTTCTATTATAAAAAGAGAAGTGCTTTCTTCTTACCTGAACAGACATTTAGTCTAGATATGGATTTTCCTTCCCACTTGCAGTGCTTTTGAGAAAACCAATGTTTGTATCTCAGCTTCCAAAATTCTGGAAAGCGCTAGTTCCTCAAGTTCCTAGGGTTATTCATTCTGGAGACTCTAGTATACTCTGCAAGAAAACCTGTAGGCCATCCACCAAAATGCCCAAATGGAGTCACTCTTAAATAACGAGCCCTGCATGTTTCCAGAAACTCTAATTATCAGTGAAAAGTTTACTATGGCAGCGATTTCGCCACCCAGGGCAATTGGAGAATGGCAGATACTAGGGACCATTAACTCTGTGAAAGCTGTAGAAGACTGCAGTCAAGACAGTTACAGAACCAAAAGTGACAGTCTTCTATTTCCGATGTTTGTACAAAGAGGACATACAATTAATAAAGTGGTCGAGGAACAGGTTTCTGCTTTAATACCAAAAACTAACATAGAAACCTGTAAAGGTGTCCAAGTATAGTAATCCTTTTCCTGTGTATTTGGTTAAGATTTAAAACTGAAGCTTTCTTTGTTAGCTTTTTTAAAATTATAGATGCCAGAAGGGTACATGTACAGATTTCTCGCTTGGATATAATTGCACAGTGCCGGGGTTTGGGCTTCTAGTGAACTCATCACCCAAATAGTGAAGAGAGTATCCAATAGGTAGTTTTTCAACCCTCCGACCCGCTCCCTCCCTCCCCTCTACCTCCATTTTGGAGTCCCCAGAGTCAATGGTTTCTACCTTTATTTTCATGTGTACCCATTGTTTAGCTCCCACATATGAATGAGAACACGCAGTATCTCATTTTCTGATTATCAGATTTTGCTTCTGCGTTTCACTTAAAAGTGAAGTTTTCACCGGACACAGTGGCTCACGCCTGTAATCCCAGGATTTGGGAGGCAGAAGCGGGTGGATCACTTGAGGTCAGGAGTTCCAGACGAGGCTGGCCAAAGTGGCGAAACCACATCTCTACCAAAAATACAAAAAATAGCTGGGGCCCTGCGCAGTGGCTCGCACTTGCACTTTGGGAGTCTGAGGTGGGCATATCACTTGAGGTCAGGAGTTTGAGACTAGCCTGGCCAACATGGTGAAACTCTGTCTCTACTAAGAAATACAAACAATTAGCCAGGTGTGATAATGCGTTTCTATAGTCCCAGCTACACAAGGAGGCTGAGGCAAGAGAACTGCTTGAACCCGGGAGGTGGAGGTTGCAGTGAGCCGAGATTGCACCATAAACTTAATCAAATTGTTGTTCCAACTGCAGCTGCTGTACTACAAGTGGTTTTGTTGTGTCAGCAACTGTGACATCCCTCGGAACCTGATATACAATACTGATTAGGTGAATGTTTGGCTTTCTTTCAGTAATTGTCGTAAACAAGAATTTCAATTCAGCTAGAAAGGACAGCAATGTACTATCATTTCCTATTTCAAGCTTATATCAACTCTCTAGGTTTATATCCTAAACGAGTTCTTAGGGAAAATGGCCACCTTTCTCTTAAACCAGATGTGACACCATTCTTTGCAGTGATGACATCATGCTGACTGAAAAGGAGGTAGCAACTAATCCAGACATGGTAGCAACACACTTGCAAGACATTATGTGAGAAATAATTCTCACACAAAATCAGGGGCCTTCTAACTGAGTGAAGCGTTTAACAATCTGGTAGTCTGGCATGTCAAGATGGTGGTTATAAGGTGAACAGCAAGTTCTTACATCTTGCCTTTCTTACTACTAAATAAGGAACATGAAACGAGTTGCATAATAGATGCTTGTTTTAGCATATACCTAAATGTTGTGCAGTACCGTGGACCCATTGACAAGTGACTGAAACCCCGCTAGCATGGACCGGGGCCCAGAAAAAGAGAAGCTTCCCTAATCCTGCACCTGTGATCTCATGTGGAGTTCCCTGAGACCAGTTGACTAGAAAATAAAAAACTTCATGCCTGATTTTCATTTGTTACTTCAGAATATGCAGGCACCACATCTATTAGGTTTGTTACTAATGCAAAAGAAATTGTCCCCGATTCAGCAGCTTAAAATAACACAAATATATAAGCAGTTCTGTAGATCAGAAATCCATGCAGCCTGGATTGGTTTCTCTGCTTAGGATCTCACAAAATCAAAGTTAGGGTATCAACCAGGCTGCTGACTAACTAAGGACTCAGAGAGAACCTGTTTTCAAGCACATTTGGGTTACGGGCAGGTCTAACTTCTTAAAGTTGTGGAACTGAGGTAGCCGTATACTTGCGGTCTTGGCTGAGGCCACTCTAAGCTACCTGAGACCCCTCCATACCTACTTGGGTGCACCCCTCTATCTTCTAAGCAGTAATGGTGCATCATGATTATGGTGGCTGAGATAAAGCTTATTTACGGGTTTGGCAACATGAACTTTCATTTACCAGGTCCATCTCACTACAGCCACTGCTCACTATTCAATCTGACAGCAGCAGAGACCAACACTGAGTCCCCAATATGGCACCATGTCCCAGAGTGGTCAGTCAGCTTCCAGGTAGCACTGTGATTACTTGGGTCTGCTTCCACGATTGAAGGGGTATCACTTTGATCTTCCTCAAATAGACACTTATTCTGCATATGGATTTTCATTCCCACCCATGGAACTTCAAGGAAATCGGTACTGTGGTATGAGGAAAGGCTGTATCCACCGTCGTGGTATTCCACACTGCACCAGTTTTAAACATCAAACTCACTTTACAGGCAATGAAGTATGGGAATGGGCTCATGCTAATGTACTTCACTAGTCTTGTGATGTTCTTCAACATCCTGAAATGGCTGGCTCAATAGAACATTGGAGGACCTTTTAAAGCCTGAGTTGTCATTGCAGCTTTGTGGCAGTGCCTTGTGGGGCTTGGCTGACAATCTAGAAAGTGGCAAAGCTGAATCCTAGCCTCAAGTATATGGAACTATTTCTCCCATAGCCACATTTATGACTTCAAGAATGAAGGAGGCAATATGTGGGCCTTCTCTCACTATTACTCCTGGGTATCTAGTAACAAAATGTTGCTTCTTATGCTCAAGAAGCAAACTGTGCACCAAGAAGCCAACTTTTGGCTCTGCTGGACTAGAGGACTTAGTTACACATTGAGGAATTTTTTCAACAGGGGAAACCAAAGTGATTCCACCAAAATGAAAGTTGTTCCGTATGAACTTTAAAGTAGTTTTTTCCAATTCTGTGAAGAAAGTCATTGGTAGCTTGATGGGGATGGCATTGAATCTATAAATTACCCTGGGCAATATGGCCATTTTCACGATATTGATTCTTCCTACCCATGAGCATGGAATGTTGTTCCATTTGTTTGTGTCCTCTTTTATTTCATTGAGCACTGGTTTGTAGTTCTCCTTGAAGAGGTCCTTCACGTCCCTTGTAAGTTGGATTCCTAGGTATTTTATTATCTTTGAAGCAATTGTGCATGGGAGTTCACTCATGATTTGGCTCTCTGTTTGTCTGTTACTGGTGTATAAGAATGCTTGTGATTTTTGCACACTGATTTTGGAACCAAAAAAGAGCCCGCATTGCCAAGTCAATCCTAAGCCAAAAGAACAAAGCTGGAGGCATCACGCTACCTGACTTCAAACTATACTACAAGTCTACAGTAACCAAAACAGCATGGTACTGTTATCAAAACAGAGATACAGACCAATGGAACAGAACAGAGCCCTCAGAAATAATGCTGCATATCTACAACTATCTGATCTTTGACAAACCTGACAAAAACAAGAAATGGGGAAAGGATTCCCTATTTAATAAATGGTGCTGGGAAAACTGGCTAGCCATATGGAGAAAGCTGAAATGGGATCCCTTCCTTACACTTTATACAAAAATTAATTCAAGATGGATTCAAGACTTACATGTTAGACCTAAAACCATAAAAACCCTAGAAGAAAACCTAGGCAATACCATTCAGGACATAGGCATGGGCAAGGACTTCATGTCTAAAACACCAAAAGCAATGGCAACAAAAGTCAAAATTGACAAATGGGATCTAATTAAACTAAAGAGTTTCTGCACGGCAAAAGAAACTACCATCAGAGTGAACAGGCAACCTACAGAATGGGAGGAAATTTTTGCAGTCTACTCATCTGACAAAGGGCTAATATCCAGAATCTACAACGAACTCAAACAAATTTACAAGAAAAAAAACAAACAACCCCATCAACAAGCGGGCGAAGGATATGAACAGATACTTCTCAAAAGAAGACATTTATGCAGCCAACAGACACATGAAAACATGCTCATCATCACTGGCCATCAGATAAATGCAAATCAAAACCACAATGAGATACCATCTCACACCAGTTAGAATGGCAATCATTAAAAAGTCAGGAAACAACAGGTGCTGGAGAGGATGTGGACAAATAGGAACACTTTTACACTGTTGGTGGGACTGTAAACTAGTTCAACCATTGTGGAAGTCAGTGTGGCGATTCCTCAGGGATCTAGAACTAGAAATACCATTTGACCCAGCCATCCCATTACTGAGTATATACCCAAAGGATTATAAAACATGCTGCTATAAAGACACATGCACACGTATGTTTATTGTGGCACTATTCACAATAGCAAAGACTTGGAACCAACCCAAATGTCCAACAATGATAGACTGGATTAAGAAAACGTGGCACATATACACCATGGAATACTATGCAGCCATGAAAAATGATGAGTTCATGTCCTTTGTAGGGACATGGATGAAGCTGGAAACCATCATTCTCAGCAAACTATCGCAAGGACAAAAAACCAAACACCGCATGTTCTCCCTCATAGGTGGGAACTGAACAATGAGAACACATGGACACAGGAAGGGGAACATCACACACTGGGTCCTGTTGTGGGGTGTGGGGAGGGGGGAGGGATAGCATTAGGAGATATACCTAATGTTAAATGATGAGTTAATGGGTGCAGCACACAAAAATGGCACATGTATACATATGTAACAAACCTGCACGTTGTGCACATGTACCCTAAACCTTAAAGTATAATAAAAAAAAAGTACCTGGCACAATTAATATTTGTTGAATAATTGAATGAATTAATTTTTTAAAAAAAAGCATAGAATGGGCTGGGTGCAGTGGCTCATGCCTGTAATCCTAGAACCTTGGGAGGCTGAGATGGGCAGATCACTTGAGGCCAGGTTTCGAGACCAGCCTGGACAACATGGCAAAACCCCATCTCCACTAAAAATACAAAAATTGCAGCGTGATGGCACCTGTGGTGCACCTGTAATCCCAGCTACTTCGAAGGCTGAAGCACAAGGATCGCTTGAACTGGGGTGAGGTCGAGGTGGCAGTGACTTGTGATCGTGTCACCGCACTCTAGCCTGGGCAACAGAGCAAGATTCTGTCTTTAAAAAAAATAAAAAGCATAGAATGTTCAAGTCCTATCTGGAAACAACAGCCTTACAGGGACTGCTACTGCAGCTCCAAATTATTGTATCAGACCAATCCTATCTAGGAACTACCTTTATTATATATATTGGATATACCCCCCCACACACGCATACATATATATATATGGGGGTGTATATATAATATGTGTAATGTGTATTATATGTATAATGGGAGATTAGAAAGTGTGTGTGTGCATGTATATATACCCCCTACCAACACACACACACACACACACACACACACACACACACACACACATTAAAATCTCCCATTAGTTCTGCCTTTTCGTTGAAGGCTGATGATACAGATTTCAACATTGAGATCGGGTTCCCACCACACCAGGGGCTAAGGAAGAGTATGTGTGATATGTCTAGAGAGCTTCTTAGTCCTCCCGTGTTTTTCGATTAGAGTTAATGGAAAATCACAGCAACCCCATCCAGGCAGGATATCTAATGGTTCAGACTCTTCTGTAATGAAGGTTTGAGTCATCCTGCCAGGCCAAGCATCATGACCAACTGACATGCTATCTCAGGGCAAAGGGAATGCGAAACGGGTAGCGAAAGAAGGTAGTTATAAACGCCAGCTACATCAGTGTGAGCTGCTGCAGAAACCACGACTGTAATAGTATTTACCTAATGGGTTAATAATATCTACCAGCACAGGTGGGAATACAAAATAACCAAAACACAAGTTATCCTTTCAAATAAAACGCTTTGGGAAAAAGAACATCTTTTACTAACAGAAATTTCTTAGCCTCTGGAAGGCCAGTTGATTCGGTAACATATGCCAGGAGACTTCAGCAATATCCTGCTCCATTGTAGAAAACAGCAATCTGATCCTTTTCTCTCCTCAATCATTAATGAGATTATGCATTTGGGGTGTGATAATCCTCCAGGGACAAGTATTCTCAAATCATACGTTTCAGTTTCTTCTTAAGGTGCTTAACAAAGTCTCGTCTCATACATCTGAAGAGAAAGAGACATGTCATTAACCAAAAGATAGCCAAAGAACCTATGCTGTAGGAAGCGCTGTGACAGATAGAAAGATGAAGTAACAGTCAGCATGGAAATAGAAATGTATCTGCATGGTAAGAGGCAGTCTAGCCGGCATAGCAAATGCTGGCAAGGGTGTGGAGAAAAGGGAACCCTCATACACTGTTGGTGGGAACATAAATTACTACAACAACTATGAAGAACAGTTTGGAGGTTCCTCAAACAACTAAAAATGGAGCTATCATATGATCCAGCAATCCCACTGCTGGGTATATACCCAAGAGAAAGGAAGTCAGTGTACCGAAGAGATATCTGCACTCCCATGTTTCCTGCACCACCATTCACAGTAGCCAAGATTTGGAAGCAACCTAAGTGTCCACTAACACGTGAATGGGTAAAGAAAATATGGTACATATACACCACAGAGTACTGTTTAGCCATAAAAAAAAGAATGAGATTCAGTCATTTGCAACAACACGGATAGAACCGAAGGTCCTTATGTTAAGTGAAATAAGCCAGGCACAGAAAGACAAACTTCACATGTTCTCACTTATTTTTGGGAGTAAAAGTGTAAAACAACTGAACTAATGGAGATAGAGAGTAGAATGACAGTTACCAGAGGCTACAAAGGTTAGTGGGGGTGGAGGGTGTGGGAAGTGGGGATGATTAATACGTAGAAGTATGGAATAAATAAGATGTCGTATTTCATAGCCCAACAGGGTGACTATAGTCGGTAATAATTTAATTGCACATTTAAAAATAATGAAGAGTATAATTGTATTCTCCCCGTAACGCAAAGGATAAAAGCTTGAGGTGATAGAAACCCCACTTACCTTGATGTGATTATTACACATTGTTGTCTGTATCACAATATCTCATATAGCCCAGAAATATATGCATCTGCTATGTGCCTACACAAATTTTTTAAAAAGAGGTAGTCTAGCAAATACAAAGAGTGTCAATTGAGGGACAATGCGCACCTCAGACTATGGTGAAAATGGAAGTCTCCATAGTCTTCGAAGAATGAGTTAGACTCAGATAACATTAGCCTAAGTAACTGTGGAGACAGCCGTAACTGTGAGTGAGGACCAGGGTTTGAGAAACGCAAGGCAGGGGCTGTTCCCCAACGCTCACCCCCAGTGCTCTATTGAGCCCAAGTGCTTAAAGAAATTGGACAGTTCCTATTTCTACCCACCTTGCTGCTTCCTTGATGATGGATTCAAAAAATCGTTTCCTGACTGCAGTAGGTCCTTGCACTCCTTCAAGCATTTCGAAGATTTTTTCATATTCTGAAGATGTTGAAAAAAAAAAACTTCAGTATTATCAAATATAAAGAAGAATAGAAGTGAATCTACACCTCAGCAATCATGCTTCAGAGGCTGAAATGTTTTAAATGCTTAAATCAAGATACCTGCACATACAAAACCTAAATAATAAAAAAGACACCTGCACATACATACGAATGTAACTCCTTTAACCATAACCAAGTAAGAAAAGAAAAAGAAAAAATGTACATGCTTTAGTCAAAGAAAAGAGGAACCACCATAAATTATGTGCAATCTCAACTCTGGCAAAGAATGAAACTCAACAGGCAACATGAATATCTTCTGAATCATAGAAAGAGAGACTTCCTATAGTTTTATAAAACAGACATTCTTATACTACTTACTTTGTCCAACGCATCGGAGTTCCTTCACTAATTGACGTTTTATATCAGCATTAATTTCTTGTTGGCTTTTGGGAGAGAAGGCTGTTTCTCTGCATTCTAGGTCATCTCCAGAGAAACTGCTGGTAACGTTTCCTCCCACAGGTGCATTGCTACCAGGTTTCTGCATCATCCTATCTTTGCTGAAACCAGTGAAGTCATCAATCTGAGAATCCAATTGGCTGGGTGGAATAGCATGTCCTGTCATAAGCTCTGGTGAAACAGATTTTGAGTAAAAGCCATCAGTTGGTGTTTGACCACTTTCTTTCCCCTCCACATAGACCTCATGAATGACAGCTCTGGAAATCAAACTGAGAAGTTGAGCTGTGAGATATGTGTGTTTCATCACCCCTCTGGGTACATCTATGTGCTCCTCAGTTTCTAGGGAATTATTTATTTAATAAATGGGAGGATACACCAGGGAGAAATCCCAGGCCTGACAAACGGAGGCCAGGACACATAATACAATAAAACCACCTCTTATTTTCTGGCCCTATGAATAGACATGGAAACCAAGTAAGGCAGTACAACTCTAAAGCAACATTCACAGATCCCTGGTACTCATGGGACAGTTTCAGCTTGTTATGCTTTACAAGTTGAAAGCAGCAAGTCTCACTTGATATCATGATTTCTCAAATTCACTTACAAACTGCCATGTTTTACTAAGCTGGAAGCCAGACAACTTGGACACACCTCAACCAGCCTCCTCTCTACATCAAACATATTCTGAGAAAATAGAGGTGGCCATTACTGCTGAAAGTTCTATATGTACTCCATCAACAAAAAATCCCTTTTAGTGTATGATTTTCCTCATCCTTCCTTTCTGTCTCACAAAAGTGACTTTCTTTTCACTCCAGGTCTGACACCTCTCATTTATTCATCGTCTGTGGCAGGCAGTGTGCCGGTAGCTGGGGATCAGCAGTAAACAGCCCAGAGAGCAACGTTCCCTGCCCTTGTGGAGCTCACATCCTCATGGGGCGGTCAGACAGTACGTGCACAATGAGCAAATGAAACATACAGTGTTGGGCTAGTGGTAAGGAAGCAGTCCACAGGCCTGTGGGCAACAGCAGCAGAGGGAGCCCCAGGAGCTGCTGCTGGTTGGGCAGAGCCTTCTGTGGAGGTACCCTTGGGCAGGGCTTGAAGGAAAAAGCAGAGCTGCCTGCGCAGAGGCAGAGGGGGAGTTCCAGGTTGCGGTGAGGCCAAGGATATGGGCTGGAGTGGGGATGGACCGGGCACTACGGGGTGAAGGACAGTAGCAGAGAGAGTCAGGAGATGATGGGGCCCGTGTGAGGAGAGGGTGACGGAGGCCAGGCCACGCAGAACCTCGCAGACCAAAGCTGCTTCGCAGTCGGTTCTGAGTGCTTAGGAGTGTTGAGGATGGGTGTTCAGGAGCGACATGGCATCACGTGATTTACATGCCAACATCATGACCCGGCTGCAGGGTTGGAGGGTATGTGTTTGATGCGGGAAATAATGGGAAACATGGAGGTATCTCAGGAGCTCAGTGATTGATCGTGGCAGAGTGGAATAGAAGGAGAGGGAGAGATGCTGGGGTTCAGGAATTTTTACAGTATTTAGAGAAGAGAAGAAAAAGAAATGTAGAAAAAAACAATGATGGGGTCGGGGGCGGTGGCTCGTGCGTGTAATCCCAGCACTTTGGGAGGCTGAGGTGGGTGGATCACCTGAGGGGGGGAGTTCCAGACCAGCCTGGCCGACATGGCGAAACCCCATCTCTACTAAACTTACAAAAATTAGCTGGGTGTGGTGGCTGGTGCTTGTAATCCCGCTACTCGGGAGGCTGCGGCAGAAGAATCACTTGAACCCAGGAGACGGAGATTTCAGTGAGCCGAGATCGCGCCACTGCACTCCAGCCTGGCTGAGAAGAGCGAAACTCCATCTCAAGAAAAAAATGATAGGGATTCACCAATACGGACAAGAAATTAAAAAAAAAAAAAAAGATTGTCGGAAATGGAAATCCTAGAAGGTTTTCATGAAGAAGCGAGTAAACAACTGTCAAATGCTGCTGAGAAGTTAATGGCAATGTCAGCCGAAACTGTTAACCTTGACAAGGACAGTTTCTCTGGAGGGGATGAGGCAGGAGCATGAGGAGGACGTGAGGACAGGCTTACTTACTCTTTTCTTTGGACATGGCAGAGCCTGCAATAAGGCTGTCTCCTGCTCCTTGTTTCCTTGCCAACAGGGCCATCCTCTGCCTTTTCTGATACGAAGGACTGTCACATTCCCTGGGACGTTTAAACACAGTTTCAGGATCTACAGCCACCTTCTCTGTTTTATCGGTCATTGTTTCCTGAAAAACATCAATGAATATATTCTATTCATGACAAAAATCTAACAATCACAAAATGGCAAGCAATCTGCATATGTGTATACAACCAAGACTTTGAATCATTAATTTCACTTTTAATCATGAGCCAAGATTTACCAAGTCTCAACAAACACTCTGTTCTCAGGAAAAGAAACCTAATTTTAATGTACACAAAGTAAAACAGAAGAAAGATGGTATAACCAAATCAATCAGAATGCTTGTGGAATAAGCAGCTGTCATCAACCAAAAATAGATAAAAATATTATTACCTATTTGAAGATGTATAAGCCAATCTGTATTAACCCTTATTAGAAAAAATGGATGTATAAACCAATCTGTATTAACCCTTATTATACATTATATTTTAAATTATATATTATATATCATATATATTTAATATATAAGTATTTATGCTTATATATTCAAATAGATGCATAAACCAACGTGTATTAACCCTTATTAGGAACCCTTATTAGAAGATTGATACAAAACTGATAACAACATCTGACAAGGAATTTAGAAGAATGAAAAACTACAAGATCAAGCCAAAAATACAAGCCAAGATCACCCCGAACTTAGACACAAAAATTCCAAACTAAGGGTGAGCAAATAAAATGTACTAGTACTTAAAAAGGACATACATCAGCCATGGTGGAGTATATTGCAGAAAGGCAACACTGATTTAACATTTGAAAATCGACAAATGTAGTGCACCACATTAACAACAACAACAACAACAACAACAAAAACAGGGAAACACCGCATGATCATTTTCATACATGGATCAATGTTTAAAGTCCATTCGTGATAAAAACTATCACCAACTTAGGAAAAAGGGCAACTTTCCTATTCTGGTTAGCATATGTACAAAAAATTTTTAAATGCCATACTTCATAGTGACGTATCAGTATTTTCTCCCTGAGTTTGAAAACAAGACAAAGATGTCCACTATCCATTCAACAATTTACTGGAGGTTCCAAAAAGTGCCATATCATCAGGAAAATACAATAGGTTTAAAATTTGGAAAGAAATAAAACTGTCATTATTCACAGATGACATTGTTCTGTACATAGAAAAATGCAGAAGAATAAAATCATTACAGTTAATAAGCAAATTTAGTCAACTTACTAGATACAATGAAAACCAATGGCATTTCTGTATAATGAATAGCAATTCTGTATAATGAATGGCATTATACAGAATGGCAATTCTGTATAACGAATAATTAGAATATGAGATTTCAAATGTCATTAAAAACAGTTCCAAAAACATCAAATATTTAGGAATAAATCTAATCAAGATGTGCTAGAGTACTTCACAAAAATTATAAAACATCACTCAGAGAAATTCAAGACTGCAGTAAATGGAGAAAAATATTCTTTCCATGCATTGGAAGACATTACTTTTTTTTTTTTTGAGTCGGAGCCTCGCTCTGTCACCCAGGCTGCAGTGGAGTGGCACAGTCTCTGCTCACTGCAACCTCCACTTCCCAGGTTCAAGCAATTCTCCTGCCTCAGCCTCCTGAGTAGCTGCGATTACGGGCGCCTGCCACGACGCTGGATAAAGAAAATGTGGTACATATACACCACGGAATACTATGCAGCCATAAAAAAGAATGAGTTCATGTCCTTTGAAGGGACATGTGTCAGCAAGCTAACACAGGAACAGAAAACCAAACACCACGTGTCCTCACTCATAAGTGGGAGTTGAACAATGAGAACACATGGACGCGGGGAGAAGAACATCACACAGTGGGGCCTGTCAGGGGTTGGGGGGCTAGGGGAGGGATAGCGTTAGAGAAATACCTAAGGTAGATGACGGGTCAATGGGTGCAGCAAACAACCATGGCATGTGTCTTCCTATGTAACAAACCTGCACGTTCTGCCCATGTATCCCAGAACTTAAAGTATAATTTTAAGAAAAGGAATATTATCGTAATGGCATTGGGTGAGTCAAAGATGTTTCTTAAAATAATAAAAAGCACTATCCATAAATAATACACTAATTAATAAAATTAAGAGAATCTGTTCATCTACAACACATTATTGAGATCGTGTAAAAGCAAAAAAGATTTATAGAAGATACTAAAATTGTATATGTATTTTTGTATATGTACATATACGCCTGTGTGCCTGTGCGTATAACTCAAATACAGAATATATGGAAACTACAAATCCATTTTTAAAATACAAACATCTCAGTAAAAGCTGGGGGAAAATACCTGAAAAGGAACTTCATAAAAGGCATAGTTAAATGACCAATAAACACATAAAATGGTGCTAAAAAAAAAAAAAAAGAAAACAATAAATAGCTGGGTGTGGTGGCACTGCAATCCAGTCTGGGTGACAGAGGGAGACCTCATCTCAAAAGACAAACAAAAATCAATAAATAAAAACAATTTCTTAAAAAGGTGCTCGATCTCATTAATCAGCAGAGAAATGCGAGTGTAGACATAAGGAGAGATCACTGCACACCCATCAGAGTGGCTGGAATGAAAGACTAACTGTACTGCGAGTGTTCGAATGTGGCACAGCTGGAACCTTCGAATATTTCTGGACTCCCATTCCCACACAGACACCTGAGGCTGTGGCTGAAAGGTCAGATAGAATCCCAGGAAAGAGCTCCTTCAGAATTGCGATCAACCAACCAACCGAGGAAAAGCACCCCAACCTGGGTCGAGACAGAGTTCCCAAGGTCACGTGGCCTCCTTCATGGCTGACACAGAGCTCCCTGAGTCCCACCATAGGCTTAGAGAATCCAAGGAACATTACCCCATTCCCCGGCGGCACCGGGAGAGAGCACCTACAGATAATAATTTTAAAAACCCAGCACCAAGAGAAAGCATCCATCCAGTAAGCGTCCACAACGGGGATAAGCAGAACCAAAGAAAAGCCAACACATTGTAACTGAGAGCGAGCAACATCCGAGGACAAATGCGCCTCACGGCCGACATCAGTACCCAAGGAAGAGTCCACCAGAGGTTGAGATAAAGCCCCCGACAGTGACCCCACAGGGCTACGATCATGTGTCCGGGGCACAGCCACCCCCACCACGTTCCATGAGCACAGATAGTGACCCCAGGGCAGAGTCCCCCCTCAGGACAGCGACTGAGCGGGAAAGAAACACCGCCGCACCCGAGGCCGACACAGGCAACCAAGGCATGGCCCCCACCCCCCGGGCTCAGGTCATTTCAGCAGGAAAAGTCGCCTTTTCCATCACCGACAGGGAGCCCCCAACAAGAGCCCCCAAGAAAAGCCCCCTGGCCCCACAACATAGCCGAGACGGGGTGCCCAAGGAAAACGCTCCCCCGCGGCTGACACAGGCGCCCATGGCGGTGTCCCCAGAGCTAAGCCACTTCCCCAAGGGAGCCCTCCCACACACCGGACAGAGAACACCACAGAAAAGACTCTTTCTGAGGAAAAAGGACACTTTCCAGGGCGAAATTAAAGCATCCAGGGAAAAACTGCCCACTCACAGTCCTGAAGTCCTGACCTTGCTGGAGGAGAGACGGCGGCACCTCACAAAATGGCAGTGAAGTTGTGGCGCCTCCCCACTGGTGGCACTTTCTAGAAACCTGCCCTCTGGGAGTTGTGGGAAATGTGCCCCCTAGGGCACCTGGGAGTGATGTGCATGGGGAGGCGTCTCACCAGAAGCACCGATCCCGTTTGGCCCAAGGGGGATGGGAGGAAGGGAAGTAGCCAGCCACAGCGTGCCTGCCCCAGCCGAACACTGGGAACCTGTTGGGGGCGCCAGAGTGCTGAGGAGAAGCCTCGTGCCCCAGAGAACCAGGAAGCGCAGCCCTCCCCTTCGCTGACTCTGGCGCCCTCTACAGGCGACCTTCAGTAACAACTGCACAGCAACGTATGCGGAGGAATGCAGAACCTTCTCACCCAGCGGGATGAAATCGCCTGGGTAACATAGTGAGACCCCGGCTCTACAAAGCAACCAACTAATCAAAAAAGAAAGAAAGAAAGAAAGAAAGAAACACACAAATTAGCTGGGCCTAGTGGCCTCGCACCTGTGGTCCCAACTACTCGGGAAGTTGAGGTGGGAGGATGGCTTGAACCCGGGAGGTGGAGGTAGCAGTGAGCCACTGCACTCCAGCCCAGGCGGTAGAGGAGACCCCACCTCAGAAAAAAAAAAAAAAAAAAAAGAAAGAAAGAAGGAAAAGAAAAGAAAAAGAAAAAGAACAACAACAAACTGCAATTTTCATTTGAGGGGGTTGTGTTTTAAAGTCAACCCCGACCCGCCACAGTGGCTCACGCCTGTAATCTCAACACTTTGGGAGGCCGAAGGGGCTGGACCACCTGAGGTCAGGAGTTCGAGACCAGTCTGTCTGACCAACATGGTGAATCCCGTCTCTACTAAAAATACAGAAAATTACCGGGCGTGGTGGCATGCACCTATAATCCCACCAGCTACTTGGGAGGCTGAGGCTGGAGAATCGCTTGAACCGGGCAGGCAGAATTTGCAGTGAGCTGAGATCATGCCACTGCACTCCAGCCTGGGTAACAGAGTGAGACTCTGTCTAAAAATAAAAATCAATCAATCAATAAATAAAGTCAACCTCTATCTGTTAAAGGTAACCATTATTGTTAATTGATAAGAAAAATGAGGGCCCCAGTGCGGTCGCTCACGTCTGTAATCCCAGCAATTTGGGAGACCAAGAGGGGTGGATTCCTTGAGCCCAGGAGTTCAAGAGCAGCCTGGGCAGCATGGTGAAACCCCATCTTAACACAAAATACAAAAATTAGCTGAGCGTGTAACTGTGGTCCCAGCTGCTCGGGAGGCTTGACACCAGGAGGTTGAGGCTGCATTGACCTTTGTTCGCACCATTGCACTATAGCCTGGGTGACAGAGTAAGACTGTCTACAAAAAAAAGAAAGAGAGAAAGAAAGAGAGAAAGAAAGAAAGAAAGAAAGAGAAAGAAAAAAGAAGGAAGGAAGGAAAGAAAGAACGAAAGAAAGAAAGGAAGGAAGAAAGGAAGGATGGAAGAAAGAAGGGAAGAAAGGAAGAAAGGAAGGATGGAAGAAAGAAGGGAAGAAAGGAAGAAAGAAAGAGAGAAAGAAAGAAAGGATGGAAGGAGGGGAAACCTTATTATATTGCATCTATTAATCATTTTAATCTGGAACTTTGTATATTTTTCCACCTTTTTTATTTTTTTTGAGACAGTCTGGCTCTGTCACCCAGGCTGGAGTGCAGTGGCATGATCTTGGCTCACTGCAACCTCCGCCTCCCAGGTTCAAGCAGTTCTCCTTCCTCAGCCTCCCGAGAAGCTGGGATTACAGGCATGTACCACCATGCCCGGCTGGTATTTGTATTTTTAGCAGAGACGGTGTTTCACAATGTTCTCCAGGCTGGTCTCAAACTCCTGACTTTAAGTGATTCATCTGCCTTGGCCTCCCAAAGTCCTGGGATTACAGGGGAGAGCCACCATGCCCGGCCCATTTTTCTACTTTCACAACTTATTTTAAGTGCAGCAAAATTTACTTGAATTGTCCATAGTGGTAAAAAATATTACAGCGAAATTTTTCGAGTTTTAATGGAACAGGCAGTTTCACTATTGACACAATTATTTGGAAGGGATTACTTCACTGGTTTTGTAATTCAAAAGTTATGTTTGTAAAAAACTTAAAATTAAAATTAAAAAATATAGCCAGGCATGGTGGTGGGCACCTGTACTCCCTGCTACTAGGGCAGCAGAGGCAGGAGAATCACTTGAACCTGAGAGGTGCAAGCTTCAGTGAGCAGAGATCGCGTCACTGCACTCCAAAGGGGCAGAGATCCATTGTCACTGGGGGACAAAGGGAGAGTCCGTCTCAAAATAAATTAATTAATTAAAATTAAAATTAAAAATTATGTTTGTTAAGTACCCTGTTAGAAGAGAGTCATATTCAGTATTACAGCTTCTTAGCCTATTGTGTTAATATTTGCCTGTGCTTCAGAACCTTCATAGAACACATTTTCTTTTGGAATATATTTGATTGATAGGAAAGCTTAAACATTGTTTTCACTTTGATGTAGGAACAGTTGTTTTGTTTGTTTCCTCTAGTGCTATCAAAATAAAATACTCATTTTTTGCATTAAAAAAATCCCACCAGAGCAGTACTCATAGGAGTATTTGATTGAATAACCATGAGACTGGAATCTTGTTGGGGCTTAATTAGAATCCTGCCTACCACACAAGCCACAAGTGGACAGCTGCATACGACAGTCCTGACTGGGACAGCCCTGAAGGACAGTGATGAAGGGAAATCCTCCCAGAGGGAAGAACTTTGAGCAGTGCACCTTCTTGGAGGAGGCATATCCAGACGTGTAAGTATGTATCATGCATAGGCTGTGTCCCACTCATTCGCTGAATTGTCAGGGACTTTGAGAACACACGATTAAAAATGTGCGACAAAGAAGTCTGAGAAAAAAAAAAATATGTGGACAGGCCTGTCCAAACGGACATACAATGTGAAGATATTGGGGTCTCATGAGAGTTCTCAGCAAAGGGTATCCTCAGCAGAGCAGAATTTTAATAATCAGATGGATAAGGTACTTATTATCTAGGTATTAATCAGCCTCTTTCCCTAACACGTGTGTCACAATCTTACCGGCTCAACAAACAAAGTGGTCAAACTGGCAGGGTTGGAGATTATGCGCAGTAGCATGGACCTCCACTCACCATGGCAAACCTGGCTACGGTCATTGCTGAGTGAAAAATCTTCCAGGAATGGAGACCAACACTAAGCCCCCAATTTGGCACCAGACTCCAGAATGATCTGCCAGCCACTAGTTGGTATGTGGATTACAATAGATCACTTCTATTATAAAAAGAGAAGTGCTTTCTTCTTACCTGAACAGACATTTAGTCTAGATATGGATTTTCCTTCCCACTTGCAGTGCTTTTGAGAAAACCAATGTTTGTATCTCGGCTTCCAAAATTCTGGAAAGCGCTAGTTCCTCAAGTTCCTAGGGTTATTCATTCTGGAGACTCTAGTATACTCTGCAAGAAAACCTGTAGGCCATCCACCAAAATGCCCAAATGGAGTCACTCTTAAATAACGAGCCCCGCATGTTTCCAGAAACTCTAATTATCAGTGAAAAGTTTACTATAGCAGCGATTTCGCCACCCAGGGCAATTGGAGAATGGCAGATACTAGGGACCATTAACTCTGTGAAAGCTGTAGAAGACTGCAGTCAAGACAGTTACAGAACCAAAAGTGACAGTCTTCTATTTTCGATGTTTGTACAAAGAGGACATACAATTAATAAAGTGGTCGAGGAACAGGTTTCTGCTTTAATACCAAAAACTAACATAGAAACCTGTAAAGGTGTCCAAGTATAGTAATCCTTTTCCTGTGTATTTGGTTAAGATTTAAAACTGAAGCTTTCTTTGTTAGCTTTTTTAAAATTATAGATGCCAGAAGGGTACATGTACAGATTTCTCACTTGGATATAATTGCACAGTGCCGGGGTTTGGGCTTCTAGTGAACTCATCACCCAAATAGTGAAGAGAGTATCCAATAGGTAGTTTTTCAACCCTCCGACCCGCTCCCTCCCTCCCCTCTACCTCCATTTTGGAGTCCCCAGAGTCAATGGTTTCTACCTTTATTTTCATGTGTACCCATTGTTTAGCTCCCACATATGAATGAGAACACGCAGTATCTCATTTTCTGATTATCAGATTTTGCTTCTGCGTTTCACTTAAAAGTGAAGTTTTCACCGGACACAGTGGCTCACGCCTGTAATCCCAGGATTTGGGAGGCAGAAGCGGGTGGATCACTTGAGGTCAGGAGTTCCAGACGAGGCTGGCCAAAGTGGCGAAACCACATCTCTACCAAAAATACAAAAAATAGCTGGGGCCCTGCGCAGTGGCTCGCACTTGCACTTTGGGAGTCTGAGGTGGGCATATCACTTGAGGTCAGGAGTTTGAGACTAGCCTGGCCAACATGGTGAAACTCTGTCTCTACTAAGAAATACAAACAATTAGCCAGGTGTGATAATGCATTTCTATAGTCCCAGCTACACAAGGAGGCTGAGGCAAGAGAACTGCTTGAACCCGGGAGGTGGAGGTTGCAGTGAGCCGAGATTGCACCATAAACTTAATCAAATTGTTGTTCCAACTGCAGCTGCTGTACTACAAGTGGTTTTGTTGTGTCAGCAACTGTGACATCCCTCGGAACCTGATATACAATACTGATTAGGTGAATGTTTGGCTTTCTTTCAGTAATTGTCGTAAACAAGAATTTCAATTCAGCTAGAAAGGACAGCAATGTACTATCATTTCCTATTTCAAGCTTATATCAACTCTCTAGGTTTATATCCTAAACGAGTTCTTAGGGAAAATGGCCACCTTTCTCTTAAACCAGATGTGACACCATTCTTTGCAGTGATGACATCATGCTGACTGAAAAGGAGGTAGCAACTAATCCAGACATGGTAGCAACACACTTGCAAGACATTATGTGAGAAATAATTCTCACACAAAATCAGGGGCCTTCTAACTGAGTGAAGCATTTAACAATCTGGTAGTCTGGCATGTCAAGATGGTGGTTATAAGGTGAACAGCAAGTTCTTACATCTTGCCTTTCTTACTACTAAATAAGGAACATGAAACGAGTTGCATAATAGATGCTTGTTTTAGCATATACCTAAATGTTGTGCAGTACCGTGGACCCATTGACAAGTGACTGAAACCCTGCTAGCATGGACCGGGGCCCAGAAAAAGAGAAGCTTCCCTAATCCTGCACCTGTGGTCTCATGTGGAGTTCCCTGAGACCAGTTGACTAGAAAATAAAAAACATCATGCCTGATTTTCATTTGTTACTTCAGAATATGCAGGCACCACATCTGTTAGGTTTGTTACTAATGCAAAAGAAATTGTCCCCGATTCAGCAGCTTAAAATAACACAAATATATAAGCAGTTCTGTAGATCAGAAATCCATGCAGGCTGGATTGGTTTCTCTGCTTAGGATCTCACAAAATCAAAGTTAGGGTATCAACCAGGCTGCTGACTAACTAAGGACTCAGAGAGAACCTGTTTTCAAGCACATTTGGGTTACGGGCAGGTCTAACTTCTTAAAGTTGTGGAACTGAGGTAGCCGTATACTTGCGGTCTTGGCTGAGGCCACTCTAAGCTACCTGAGACCCCTCCATACCTACTTGGGTGCACCCCTCTATCTTCTAAGCAGTAATGGTGCATCATGATTATGGTGGCTGAGATAAAGCTTATTTACGGGTTTGGCAACATGAACTTTCATTTACCAGGTCCATCTCACTACAGCCACTGCTCACTATTCAATCTGACAGCAGCAGAGACCAACACTGAGTCCCCAATATGGCACCATGTCCCAGAGTGGTCAGTCAGCTTCCAGGTAGCACTGTGATTACTTGGGTCTGCTTCCACGATTGAAGGGGTATCACTTTGATCTTCCTCAAATAGACACTTATTCTGCATATGGATTTTCATTCCCACCCATGGAACTTCAAGGAAATCGGTACTGTGGTATGAGGAAAGGCTGTATCCACCGTCGTGGTATTCCACACTGCACCAGTTTTAAACATCAAACTCACTTTACAGGCAATGAAGTATGGGAATGGGCTCATGCTAATGTACTTCACTAGTCTTGTGATGTTCTTCAACATCCTGAAATGGCTGGCTCAATAGAACATTGGAGGACCTTTTAAAGCCTGAGTTGTCATTGCAGCTTTGTGGCAGTGCCTTGTGGGGCTTGGCTGACAATCTAGAAAGTGGCAAAGCTGAATCCTAGCCTCAAGTATATGGAACTATTTCTCCCATAGCCACATTTATGACTTCAAGAATGAAGGAGGCAATATGTGGGCCTTCTCTCACTATTACTCCTGGGTATCTAGTAACAAAATGTTGCTTCTTATGCTCAAGAAGCAAACTGTGCACCAAGAAGCCAACTTTTGGCTCTGCTGGACTAGAGGACTTAGTTACACATTGAGGAATTTTTTCAACAGGGGAAACCAAAGTGATTCCACCAAAATGAAAGTTGTTCCGTATGAACTTTAAAGTAGTTTTTTCCAATTCTGTGAAGAAAGTCATTGGTAGCTTGATGGGGATGGCATTGAATCTATAAATTACCCTGGGCAATATGGCCATTTTCACGATATTGATTCTTCCTACCCATGAGCATGGAATGTTGTTCCATTTGTTTGTGTCCTCTTTTATTTCATTGAGCACTGGTTTGTAGTTCTCCTTGAAGAGGTCCTTCACGTCCCTTGTAAGTTGGATTCCTAGGTATTTTATTATCTTTGAAGCAATTGTGCATGGGAGTTCACTCATGATTTGGCTCTCTGTTTGTCTGTTACTGGTGTATAAGAATGCTTGTGATTTTTGCACACTGATTTTGGAACCAAAAAAGAGCCCGCATTGCCAAGTCAATCCTAAGCCAAAAGAACAAAGCTGGAGGCATCACGCTACCTGACTTCAAACTATACTACAAGTCTACAGTAACCAAAACAGCATGGTACTGTTATCAAAACAGAGATATAGACCAATGGAACAGAACAGAGCCCTCAGAAATAATGCTGCATATCTACAACTATCTGATCTTTGACAAACCTGACAAAAACAAGAAATGGGGAAAGGATTCCCTATTTAATAAATGGTGCTGGGAAAACTGGCTAGCCATATGGAGAAAGATGAAATGGGATCCCTTCCTTACACTTTATACAAAAATTAATTCAAGATGGATTCAAGACTTACATGTTAGACCTAAAACCATAAAAACCCTAGAAGAAAACCTAGGCTATAATACCATTCAGGACATAGGCATGGGCAAGGACTTCACGTCTAAAACACCAAAAGCAATGGCAACAAAAGTCAAAATTGACAAATGGGATCTAATTAAACTAAAGAGTTTCTGCACGGCAAAAGAAACTACCATCAGAGTGAACAGGCAACCTACAGAATGGGAGGAAATTTTTGCAGTCTACTCATCTGACAAAGGGCTAATATCCAGAATCTACAACGAACTCAAACAAATTTACAAGAAAAAAACAAACAACCCCATCAACAAGCGGGCGAAGGATATGAACAGATACTTCTCAAAAGAAGACATTTATGCAGCCAACAGACACATGAAAACATGCTCATCATCACTGGCCATCAGATAAATGCAAATCAAAACCACAATGAGATACCATCTCACACCAGTTAGAATGGCAATCATTAAAAAGTCAGGAAACAACAGGTGCTGGAGAGGATGTGGACAAATAGGAACACTTTTACACTGTTGGTGGGACTGTAAACTAGTTCAACCATTGTGGAAGTCAGTGTGGCGATTCCTCAGGGATCTAGAACTAGAAATACCATTTGACCCAGCCATCCCATTACTGAGTATATACCCAAAGGATTATAAAACATGCTGCTATAAAGACACATGCACACGTATGTTTATTGTGGCACTATTCACAATAGCAAAGACTTGGAACCAACCCAAATGTCCAACAATGATAGACTGGATTAAGAAAACGTGGCACATATACACCATGGAATACTATGCAGCCATGAAAAATGATGAGTTCATGTCCTTTGTAGGGACATGGATGAAGCTGGAAACCATCATTCTCAGCAAACTATCGCAAGGACAAAAAACCAAACACCGCATGTTCTCCCTCATAGGTGGGAACTGAACAATGAGAACACATGGACACAGGAAGGGGAACATCACACACTGGGTCCTGTTGTGGGGTGTGGGGAGGGGGGAGGGATAGCATTAGGAGATATACCTAATGTTAAATGATGAGTTAATGGGTGCAGCACACAAAAATGGCACATGTATACATATGTAACAAACCTGCACGTTGTGCACATGTACCCTAAACCTTAAAGTATAATAAAAAAAAAGTACCTGGCACAATTAATATTTGTTGAATAATTGAATGAATTAATTTTTTAAAAAAAAGCATAGAATGGGCTGGGTGCAGTGGCTCATGCCTGTAATCCTAGAACCTTGGGAGGCTGAGATGGGCAGATCACTTGAGGCCAGGTTTCGAGACCAGCCTGGACAACATGGCAAAACCCCATCTCCACTAAAAATACAAAAATTGCAGCGTGATGGCACCTGTGGTGCACCTGTAATCCCAGCTACTTCGAAGGCTGAAGCACAAGGATCGCTTGAACTGGGGTGAGGTCGAGGTGGCAGTGACTTGTGATCGTGTCACCGCACTCTAGCCTGGGCAACAGAGCAAGATTCTGTCTTTAAAAAAAATAAAAAGCATAGAATGTTCAAGTCCTATCTGGAAACAACAGCCTTACAGGGACTGCTACTGCAGCTCCAAATTATTGTATCAGACCAATCCTATCTAGGAACTACCTTTATTATATATATTGGATATACCCCCCCACACACGCATACATATATATATATGGGGGTGTATATATAATATGTGTAATGTGTATTATATGTATAATGGGAGATTAGAAAGTGTGTGTGTGCATGTATATATACCCCCTACCAACACACACACACACACACACACACACACACACACACATTAAAATCTCCCATTAGTTCTGCCTTTTCGTTGAAGGCTGATGATACAGATTTCAACATTGAGATCGGGTTCCCACCACACCAGGGGCTAAGGAAGAGTATGTGTGATATGTCTAGAGAGCTTCTTAGTCCTCCCGTGTTTTTCGATTAGAGTTAATGGAAAATCACAGCAACCCCATCCAGGCAGGATATCTAATGGTTCAGACTCTTCCGTAATGAAGGTTTGAGTCATCCTGCCAGGCCAAGCATCATGACCAACTGACATGCTATCTCAGGGCAAAGGGAATGCGAAACGGGTAGCGAAAGAAGGTAGTTATAAACGCCAGCTACATCAGTGTGAGCTGCTGCAGAAACCACGACTGTAATAGTATTTACCTAATGGGTTAATAATATCTACCAGCACAGGTGGGAATACAAAATAACCAAAACACAAGTTATCCTTTCAAATAAAACGCTTTGGGAAAAAGAACATCTTTTACTAACAGAAATTTCTTAGCCTCTGGAAGGCCAGTTGATTCGGTAACATATGCCAGGAGACTTCAGCAATATCCTGCTCCATTGTAGAAAACAGCAATCTGATCCTTTTCTCTCCTCAATCATTAATGAGATTATGCATTTGGGGTGTGATAATCCTCCAGGGACAAGTATTCTCAAATCATACGTTTCAGTTTCTTCTTAAGGTGCTTAACAAAGTCTCGTCTCATACATCTGAAGAGAAAGAGACATGTCATTAACCAAAAGATAGCCAAAGAACCTATGCTGTAGGAAGCGCTGTGACAGATAGAAAGATGAAGTAACAGTCAGCATGGAAATAGAAATGTATCTGCATGGTAAGAGGCAGTCTAGCCGGCATAGCAAATGCTGGCAAGGGTGTGGAGAAAAGGGAACCCTCATACACTGTTGGTGGGAACATAAATTACTACAACAACTATGAAGAACAGTTTGGAGGTTCCTCAAACAACTAAAAATGGAGCTATCATATGATCCAGCAATCCCACTGCTGGGTATATACCCAAGAGAAAGGAAGTCAGTGTACCGAAGAGATATCTGCACTCCCATGTTTCCTGCACCACCATTCACAGTAGCCAAGATTTGGAAGCAACCTAAGTGTCCACTAACACGTGAATGGGTAAAGAAAATATGGTACATATACACCACAGAGTACTGTTTAGCCATAAAAAAAAGAATGAGATTCAGTCATTTGCAACAACACGGATAGAACCGAAGGTCCTTATGTTAAGTGAAATAAGCCAGGCACAGAAAGACAAACTTCACATGTTCTCACTTATTTTTGGGAGTAAAAGTGTAAAACAACTGAACTAATGGAGATAGAGAGTAGAATGACAGTTACCAGAGGCTACAAAGGTTAGTGGGGGTGGAGGGTGTGGGAAGTGGGGATGATTAATACGTAGAAGTATGGAATAAATAAGATGTCGTATTTCATAGCCCAACAGGGTGACTATAGTCGGTAATAATTTAATTGCACATTTAAAAATAATGAAGAGTATAATTGTATTCTCCCCGTAACGCAAAGGATAAAAGCTTGAGGTGATAGAAACCCCACTTACCTTGATGTGATTATTACACATTGTTGTCTGTATCACAATATCTCATATAGCCCAGAAATATATGCATCTGCTATGTGCCTACACAAATTTTTTAAAAAGAGGTAGTCTAGCAAATACAAAGAGTGTCAATTGAGGGACAATGCGCACCTCAGACTATGGTGAAAATGGAAGTCTCCATAGTCTTCGAAGAATGAGTTAGACTCAGATAACATTAGCCTAAGTAACTGTGGAGACAGCCGTAACTGTGAGTGAGGACCAGGGTTTGAGAAACGCAAGGCAGGGGCTGTTCCCCAACGCTCACCCCCAGTGCTCTATTGAGCCCAAGTGCTTAAAGAAATTGGACAGTTCCTATTTCTACCCACCTTGCTGCTTCCTTGATGATGGATTCAAAAAATCGTTTCCTGACTGCAGTAGGTCCTTGCACTCCTTCAAGCATTTCGAAGATTTTTTCATATTCTGAAGATGTTGAAAAAAAAAAACTTCAGTATTATCAAATATAAAGAAGAATAGAAGTGAATCTACACCTCAGCAATCATGCTTCAGAGGCTGAAATGTTTTAAATGCTTAAATCAAGATACCTGCACATACAAAACCTAAATAATAAAAAAGACACCTGCACATACATACGAATGTAACTCCTTTAACCATAACCAAGTAAGAAAAGAAAAAGAAAAAATGTACATGCTTTAGTCAAAGAAAAGAGGAACCACCATAAATTATGTGCAATCTCAACTCTGGCAAAGAATGAAACTCAACAGGCAACATGAATATCTTCTGAATCATAGAAAGAGAGACTTCCTATAGTTTTATAAAACAGACATTCTTATACTACTTACTTTGTCCAACGCATCGGAGTTCCTTCACTAATTGACGTTTTATATCAGCATTAATTTCTTGTTGGCTTTTGGGAGAGAAGGCTGTTTCTCTGCATTCTAGGTCATCTCCAGAGAAACTGCTGGTAACGTTTCCTCCCACAGGTGCATTGCTACCAGGTTTCTGCATCATCCTATCTTTGCTGAAACCAGTGAAGTCATCAATCTGAGAATCCAATTGGCTGGGTGGAATAGCATGTCCTGTCATAAGCTCTGGTGAAACAGATTTTGAGTAAAAGCCATCAGTTGGTGTTTGACCACTTTCTTTCCCCTCCACATAGACCTCATGAATGACAGCTCTGGAAATCAAACTGAGAAGTTGAGCTGTGAGATATGTGTGTTTCATCACCCCTCTGGGTACATCTATGTGCTCCTCAGTTTCTAGGGAATTATTTATTTAATAAATGGGAGGATACACCAGGGAGAAATCCCAGGCCTGACAAACGGAGGCCAGGACACATAATACAATAAAACCACCTCTTATTTTCTGGCCCTATGAATAGACATGGAAACCAAGTAAGGCAGTACAACTCTAAAGCAACATTCACAGATCCCTGGTACTCATGGGACAGTTTCAGCTTGTTATGCTTTACAAGTTGAAAGCAGCAAGTCTCACTTGATATCATGATTTCTCAAATTCACTTACAAACTGCCATGTTTTACTAAGCTGGAAGCCAGACAACTTGGACACACCTCAACCAGCCTCCTCTCTACATCAAACATATTCTGAGAAAATAGAGGTGGCCATTACTGCTGAAAGTTCTATATGTACTCCATCAACAAAAAATCCCTTTTAGTGTATGATTTTCCTCATCCTTCCTTTCTGTCTCACAAAAGTGACTTTCTTTTCACTCCAGGTCTGACACCTCTCATTTATTCATCGTCTGTGGCAGGCAGTGTGCCGGTAGCTGGGGATCAGCAGTAAACAGCCCAGAGAGCAACGTTCCCTGCCCTTGTGGAGCTCACATCCTCATGGGGCGGTCAGACAGTACGTGCACAATGAGCAAATGAAACATACAGTGTTGGGCTAGTGGTAAGGAAGCAGTCCACAGGCCTGTGGGCAACAGCAGCAGAGGGAGCCCCAGGAGCTGCTGCTGGTTGGGCAGAGCCTTCTGTGGAGGTACCCTTGGGCAGGGCTTGAAGGAAAAAGCAGAGCTGCCTGCGCAGAGGCAGAGGGGGAGTTCCAGGTTGCGGTGAGGCCAAGGATATGGGCTGGAGTGGGGATGGACCGGGCACTACGGGGTGAAGGACAGTAGCAGAGAGGGTCAGGAGATGATGGGGCCCGTGTGAGGAGAGGGTGACGGAGGCCAGGCCACGCAGAACCTCGCAGACCAAAGCTGCTTCGCAGTCGGTTCTGAGTGCTTAGGAGTGTTGAGGATGGGTGTTCAGGAGCGACATGGCATCACGTGATTTACATGCCAACATCATGACCCGGCTGCAGGGTTGGAGGGTATGTGTTTGATGCGGGAAATAATGGGAAACATGGAGGTATCTCAGGAGCTCAGTGATTGATCGTGGCAGAGTGGAATAGAAGGAGAGGGAGAGATGCTGGGGTTCAGGAATTTTTTACAGTATTTAGAGAAGAGAAGAAAAAGAAATGTAGAAAAAAACAATGATGGGGTCGGGGGCGGTGGCTCGTGCGTGTAATCCCAGCACTTTGGGAGGCTGAGGTGGGTGGATCACCTGAGGGGGGGAGTTCCAGACCAGCCTGGCCGACATGGCGAAACCCCATCTCTACTAAACTTACAAAAATTAGCTGGGTGTGGTGGCTGGTGCTTGTAATCCCGCTACTCGGGAGGCTGCGGCAGAAGAATCACTTGAACCCAGGAGACGGAGATTTCAGTGAGCCGAGATCGCGCCACTGCACTCCAGCCTGGCTGAGAAGAGCGAAACTCCATCTCAAGAAAAAAATGATAGGGATTCACCAATACGGACAAGAAATTAAAAAAAAAAAAAGATTGTCGGAAATGGAAATCCTAGAAGGTTTTCATGAAGAAGCGAGTGAACAACTGTCAAATGCTGCTGAGAAGTTAATGGCAATGTCAGCCGAAACTGTTAACCTTGACAAGGACAGTTTCTCTGGAGGGGATGAGGCAGGAGCATGAGGAGGACGTGAGGACAGGCTTACTTACTCTTTTCTTTGGACATGGCAGAGCCTGCAATAAGGCTGTCTCCTGCTCCTTGTTTCCTTGCCAACAGGGCCATCCTCTGCCTTTTCTGATACGAAGGACTGTCACATTCCCTGGGACGTTTAAACACAGTTTCAGGATCTACAGCCACCTTCTCTGTTTTATCGGTCATTGTTTCCTGAAAAACATCAATGAATATATTCTATTCATGACAAAAATCTAACAATCACAAAATGGCAAGCAATCTGCATATGTGTATACAACCAAGACTTTGAATCATTAATTTCACTTTTAATCATGAGCCAAGATTTACCAAGTCTCAACAAACACTCTGTTCTCAGGAAAAGAAACCTAATTTTAATGTACACAAAGTAAAACAGAAGAAAGATGGTATAACCAAATCAATCAGAATGCTTGTGGAATAAGCAGCTGTCATCAACCAAAAATAGATAAAAATATTATTACCTATTTGAAGATGTATAAGCCAATCTGTATTAACCCTTATTAGAAAAAATGGATGTATAAACCAATCTGTATTAACCCTTATTATACATTATATTTTAAATTATATATTATATATCATATATATTTAATATATAAGTATTTATGCTTATATATTCAAATAGATGCATAAACCAACGTGTATTAACCCTTATTAGGAACCCTTATTAGAAGATTGATACAAAACTGATAACAACATCTGACAAGGAATTTAGAAGAATGAAAAACTACAAGATCAAGCCAAAAATACAAGCCAAGATCACCCCGAACTTAGACACAAAAATTCCAAACTAAGGGTGAGCAAATAAAATGTACTAGTACTTAAAAAGGACATACATCAGCCATGGTGGAGTATATTGCAGAAAGGCAACACTGATTTAACATTTGAAAATCGACAAATGTAGTGCACCACATTAACAACAACAACAACAACAACAACAAAAACAGGGAAACACCGCATGATCATTTTCATACATGGATCAATGTTTAAAGTCCATTCGTGATAAAAACTATCACCAACTTAGGAAAAAGGGCAACTTTCCTATTCTGGTTAGCATATGTACAAAAAATTTTTAAATGCCATACTTCATAGTGACGTATCAGTATTTTCTCCCTGAGTTTGAAAACAAGACAAAGATGTCCACTATCCATTCAACAATTTACTGGAGGTTCCAAAAAGTGCCATATCATCAGGAAAATACAATAGGTTTAAAATTTGGAAAGAAATAAAACTGTCATTATTCACAGATGACATTGTTCTGTACATAGAAAAATGCAGAAGAATAAAATCATTACAGTTAATAAGCAAATTTAGTCAACTTACTAGATACAATGAAAACCAATGGCATTTCTGTATAATGAATAGCAATTCTGTATAATGAATGGCATTATACAGAATGGCAATTCTGTATAACGAATAATTAGAATATGAGATTTCAAATGTCATTAAAAACAGTTCCAAAAACATCAAATATTTAGGAATAAATCTAATCAAGATGTGCTAGAGTACTTCACAAAAATTATAAAACATCACTCAGAGAAATTCAAGACTGCAGTAAATGGAGAAAAATATTCTTTCCATGCATTGGAAGACATTACTTTTTTTTTTTTTGAGTCGGAGCCTCGCTCTGTCACCCAGGCTGCAGTGGAGTGGCACAGTCTCTGCTCACTGCAACCTCCACTTCCCAGGTTCAAGCAATTCTCCTGCCTCAGCCTCCTGAGTAGCTGCGATTACGGGCGCCTGCCACGACGCTGGATAAAGAAAATGTGGTACATATACACCACGGAATACTATGCAGCCATAAAAAAGAATGAGTTCATGTCCTTTGAAGGGACATGTGTCAGCAAGCTAACACAGGAACAGAAAACCAAACACCACGTGTCCTCACTCATAAGTGGGAGTTGAACAATGAGAACACATGGGCGCGGGGAGAAGAACATCACACAGTGGGGCCTGTCAGGGGTTGGGGGGCTAGGGGAGGGATAGCATTAGAGAAATACCTAAGGTAGATGACGGGTCAATGGGTGCAGCAAACAACCATGGCATGTGTCTTCCTATGTAACAAACCTGCACGTTCTGCCCATGTATCCCGGAACTTAAAGTATAATTTTAAGAAAAGGAATATTATCGTAATGGCATTGGGTGAGTCAAAGATGTTTCTTAAAATAATAAAAAGCACTATCCATAAATAATACACTAATTAATAAAATTAAGAGAATCTGTTCATCTACAACACATTATTGAGATCGTGTAAAAGCAAAAAAGATTTATAGAAGATACTAAAATTGTATATGTATTTTTGTATATGTACATATACGCCTGTGTGCCTGTGCGTATAACTCAAATACAGAATATATGGAAACTACAAATCCATTTTTAAAATACAAACATCTCAGTAAAAGCTGGGGGAAAATACCTGAAAAGGAACTTCATAAAAGGCATAGTTAAATGACCAATAAACACATAAAATGGTGCTAAAAAAAAAAAAAAAGAAAACAATAAATAGCTGGGTGTGGTGGCACTGCAATCCAGTCTGGGTGACAGAGGGAGACCTCATCTCAAAAGACAAACAAAAATCAATAAATAAAAACAATTTCTTAAAAAGGTGCTCGATCTCATTAATCAGCAGAGAAATGCGAGTGTAGACATAAGGAGAGATCACTGCACACCCATCAGAGTGGCTGGAATGAAAGACTAACTGTACTGCGAGTGTTCGAATGTGGCACAGCTGGAACCTTCGAATATTTCTGGACTCCCATTCCCACACAGACACCTGAGGCTGTGGCTGAAAGGTCAGATAGAATCCCAGGAAAGAGCTCCTTCAGAATTGCGATCAACCAACCGAGGAAAAGCACCCCAACCTGGGTCGAGACAGAGTTCCCAAGGTCACGTGGCCTCCTTCATGGCTGACACAGAGCTCCCTGAGTCCCACCATAGGCTTAGAGAATCCAAGGAACATTACCCCATTCCCCGGCGGCACCGGGAGAGAGCACCTACAGATAATAATTTTAAAAACCCAGCACCAAGAGAAAGCATCCATCCAGTAAGCGTCCACAACGGGGATAAGCAGAACCAAAGAAAAGCCAACACATTGTAACTGAGAGCGAGCAACATCCGAGGACAAATGCGCCTCACGGCCGACATCAGTACCCAAGGAAGAGTCCACCAGAGGTTGAGATAAAGCCCCCGACAGTGACCCCACAGGGCTACGATCATGTGTCCGGGGCACAGCCACCCCCACCACGTTCCATGAGCACAGATAGTGACCCCAGGGCAGAGTCCCCCCTCAGGACAGCGACTGAGCGGGAAAGAAACACCGCCGCACCCGAGACCGACACAGGCAACCAAGGCATGGCCCCCACCCCCCGGGCTCAGGTCATTTCAGCAGGAAAAGTCGCCTTTTCCATCACCGACAGGGAGCCCCCAACAAGAGCCCCCAAGAAAAGCCCCCTGGCCCCACAACATAGCCGAGACGGGGTGCCCAAGGAAAACGCTCCCCCGCGGCTGACACAGGCGCCCATGGCGGTGTCCCCAGAGCTAAGCCACTTCCCCAAGGGAGCCCTCCCACACACCGGACAGAGAACACCACAGAAAAGACTCTTTCTGAGGAAAAAGGACACTTTCCAGGGCGAAATTAAAGCATCCAGGGAAAAACTGCCCACTCACAGTCCTGAAGTCCTGACCTTGCTGGAGGAGAGACGGCGGCACCTCACAAAATGGCAGTGAAGTTGTGGCGCCTCCCCACTGGTGGCACTTTCTAGAAACCTGCCCTCTGGGAGTTGTGGGAAATGTGCCCCCTAGGGCACCTGGGAGTGATGTGCATGGGGAGGCGTCTCACCAGAAGCACCGATCCCGTTTGGCCCAAGGGGGATGGGAGGAAGGGAAGTAGCCAGCCACAGCGTGCCTGCCCCAGCCGAACACTGGGAACCTGTTGGGGGCGCCAGAGTGCTGAGGAGAAGCCTCGTGCCCCAGAGAACCAGGAAGCGCAGCCCTCCCCTTCGCTGACTCTGGCGCCCTCTACAGGCGACCTTCAGTAACAACTGCACAGCAACGTATGCGGAGGAATGCAGAACCTTCTCACCCAGCGGGATGAAATCGCCTGGGTAACATAGTGAGACCCCGGCTCTACAAAGCAACCAACTAATCAAAAAAGAAAGAAAGAAAGAAAGAAAGAAAGAAACACACAAATTAGCTGGGCCTAGTGGCCTCGCACCTGTGGTCCCAACTACTCGGGAAGTTGAGGTGGGAGGATGGCTTGAACCCGGGAGGTGGAGGTAGCAGTGAGCCACTGCACTCCAGCCCAGGCGGTAGAGGAGACCCCACCTCAGAAAAAAAAAAAAAAAAAAGAAAGAAAGAAGGAAAAGAAAAGAAAAAGAAAAAGAACAACAACAAACTGCAATTTTCATTTGAGGGGGTTGTGTTTTAAAGTCAACCCCGACCCGCCACAGTGGCTCACGCCTGTAATCTCAACACTTTGGGAGGCCGAAGGGGCTGGACCACCTGAGGTCAGGAGTTCGAGACCAGTCTGTCTGACCAACATGGTGAATCCCGTCTCTACTAAAAATACAGAAAATTACCGGGCGTGGTGGCATGCACCTATAATCCCACCAGCTACTTGGGAGGCTGAGGCTGGAGAATCGCTTGAACCGGGCAGGCAGAATTTGCAGTGAGCTGAGATCATGCCACTGCACTCCAGCCTGGGTAACAGAGTGAGACTCTGTCTAAAAATAAAAATCAATCAATCAATAAATAAAGTCAACCTCTATCTGTTAAAGGTAACCATTATTGTTAATTGATAAGAAAAATGAGGGCCCCAGTGCGGTCGCTCACGTCTGTAATCCCAGCAATTTGGGAGACCAAGAGGGGTGGATTCCTTGAGCCCAGGAGTTCAAGAGCAGCCTGGGCAGCATGGTGAAACCCCATCTTAACACAAAATACAAAAATTAGCTGAGCGTGTAACTGTGGTCCCAGCTGCTCGGGAGGCTTGACACCAGGAGGTTGAGGCTGCATTGACCTTTGTTCGCACCATTGCACTATAGCCTGGGTGACAGAGTAAGACTGTCTACAAAAAAAAGAAAGAGAGAAAGAAAGAGAGAAAGAAAGAGAGAAAGAAAGAAAGAGAAAGAAAAAAGAAGGAAGGAAGGAAAGAAAGAACGAAAGAAAGAAAGGAAGGAAGAAAGGAAGGATGGAAGAAAGAAGGGAAGAAAGGAAGAAAGGAAGGATGGAAGAAAGAAGGGAAGAAAGGAAGAAAGAAAGAGAGAAAGAAAGAAAGGATGGAAGGAGGGGAAACCTTATTATATTGCATCTATTAATCATTTTAATCTGGAACTTTGTATATTTTTCCACCTTTTTTATTTTTTTTGAGACAGTCTGGCTCTGTCACCCAGGCTGGAGTGCAGTGGCATGATCTTGGCTCACTGCAACCTCCGCCTCCCAGGTTCAAGCAGTTCTCCTTCCTCAGCCTCCCGAGAAGCTGGGATTACAGGCATGTACCACCATGCCCGGCTGGTATTTGTATTTTTAGCAGAGACGGTGTTTCACAATGTTCTCCAGGCTGGTCTCAAACTCCTGACTTTAAGTGATTCATCTGCCTTGGCCTCCCAAAGTCCTGGGATTACAGGGGAGAGCCACCATGCCCGGCCCATTTTTCTACTTTCACAACTTATTTTAAGTGCAGCAAAATTTACTTGAATTGTCCATAGTGGTAAAAAATATTACAGCGAAATTTTTCGAGTTTTAATGGAACAGGCAGTTTCACTATTGACACAATTATTTGGAAGGGATTACTTCACTGGTTTTGTAATTCAAAAGTTATGTTTGTAAAAAACTTAAAATTAAAATTAAAAAATATAGCCAGGCATGGTGGTGGGCACCTGTACTCCCTGCTACTAGGGCAGCAGAGGCAGGAGAATCACTTGAACCTGAGAGGTGCAAGCTTCAGTGAGCAGAGATCGCGTCACTGCACTCCAAAGGGGCAGAGATCCATTGTCACTGGGGGACAAAGGGAGAGTCCGTCTCAAAATAAATTAATTAATTAAAATTAAAATTAAAAATTATGTTTGTTAAGTACCCTGTTAGAAGAGAGTCATATTCAGTATTACAGCTTCTTAGCCTATTGTGTTAATATTTGCCTGTGCTTCAGAACCTTCATAGAACACATTTTCTTTTGGAATATATTTGATTGATAGGAAAGCTTAAACATTGTTTTCACTTTGATGTAGGAACAGTTGTTTTGTTTGTTTCCTCTAGTGCTATCAAAATAAAATACTCATTTTTTGCATTAAAAAAATCCCACCAGAGCAGTACTCATAGGAGTATTTGATTGAATAACCATGAGACTGGAATCTTGTTGGGGCTTAATTAGAATCCTGCCTACCACACAAGCCACAAGTGGACAGCTGCATACGACAGTCCTGACTGGGACAGCCCTGAAGGACAGTGATGAAGGGAAATCCTCCCAGAGGGAAGAACTTTGAGCAGTGCACCTTCTTGGAGGAGGCATATCCAGACGTGTAAGTATGTATCATGCATAGGCTGTGTCCCACTCATTCGCTGAATTGTCAGGGACTTTGAGAACACACGATTAAAAATGTGTGACAAAGAAGTCTGAGAAAAAAAAAATATGTGGACAGGCCTGTCCAAACGGACATACAATGTGAAGATATTGGGGTCTCATGAGAGTTCTCAGCAAAGGGTATCCTCAGCAGAGCAGAATTTTAATAATCAGATGGATAAGGTACTTATTATCTAGGTATTAATCAGCCTCTTTCCCTAACACGTGTGTCACAATCTTACCGGCTCAACAAACAAAGTGGTCAAACTGGCAGGGTTGGAGATTATGCGCAGTAGCATGGACCTCCACTCACCATGGCAAACCTGGCTACGGTCATTGCTGAGTGAAAAATCTTCCAGGAATGGAGACCAACACTAAGCCCCCAATTTGGCACCAGACTCCAGAATGATCTGCCAGCCACTAGTTGGTATGTGGATTACAATAGATCACTTCTATTATAAAAAGAGAAGTGCTTTCTTCTTACCTGAACAGACATTTAGTCTAGATATGGATTTTCCTTCCCACTTGCAGTGCTTTTGAGAAAACCAATGTTTGTATCTCGGCTTCCAAAATTCTGGAAAGCGCTAGTTCCTCAAGTTCCTAGGGTTATTCATTCTGGAGACTCTAGTATACTCTGCAAGAAAACCTGTAGGCCATCCACCAAAATGCCCAAATGGAGTCACTCTTAAATAACGAGCCCTGCATGTTTCCAGAAACTCTAATTATCAGTGAAAAGTTTACTATGGCAGCGATTTCGCCACCCAGGGCAATTGGAGAATGGCAGATACTAGGGACCATTAACTCTGTGAAAGCTGTAGAAGACTGCAGTCAAGACAGTTACAGAACCAAAAGTGACAGTCTTCTATTTCCGATGTTTGTACAAAGAGGACATACAATTAATAAAGTGGTCGAGGAACAGGTTTCTGCTTTAATACCAAAAACTAACATAGAAACCTGTAAAGGTGTCCAAGTATAGTAATCCTTTTCCTGTGTATTTGGTTAAGATTTAAAACTGAAGCTTTCTTTGTTAGCTTTTTTAAAATTATAGATGCCAGAAGGGTACATGTACAGATTTCTCGCTTGGATATAATTGCACAGTGCCGGGGTTTGGGCTTCTAGTGAACTCATCACCCAAATAGTGAAGAGAGTATCCAATAGGTAGTTTTTCAACCCTCCGACCCGCTCCCTCCCTCCCCTCTACCTCCATTTTGGAGTCCCCAGAGTCAATGGTTTCTACCTTTATTTTCATGTGTACCCATTGTTTAGCTCCCACATATGAATGAGAACACGCAGTATCTCATTTTCTGATTATCAGATTTTGCTTCTGCGTTTCACTTAAAAGTGAAGTTTTCACCGGACACAGTGGCTCACGCCTGTAATCCCAGGATTTGGGAGGCAGAAGCGGGTGGATCACTTGAGGTCAGGAGTTCCAGACGAGGCTGGCCAAAGTGGCGAAACCACATCTCTACCAAAAATACAAAAAATAGCTGGGGCCCTGCGCAGTGGCTCGCACTTGCACTTTGGGAGTCTGAGGTGGGCATATCACTTGAGGTCAGGAGTTTGAGACTAGCCTGGCCAACATGGTGAAACTCTGTCTCTACTAAGAAATACAAACAATTAGCCAGGTGTGATAATGCGTTTCTATAGTCCCAGCTACACAAGGAGGCTGAGGCAAGAGAACTGCTTGAACCCGGGAGGTGGAGGTTGCAGTGAGCCGAGATTGCACCATAAACTTAATCAAATTGTTGTTCCAACTGCAGCTGCTGTACTACAAGTGGTTTTGTTGTGTCAGCAACTGTGACATCCCTCGGAACCTGATATACAATACTGATTAGGTGAATGTTTGGCTTTCTTTCAGTAATTGTCGTAAACAAGAATTTCAATTCAGCTAGAAAGGACAGCAATGTACTATCATTTCCTATTTCAAGCTTATATCAACTCTCTAGGTTTATATCCTAAACGAGTTCTTAGGGAAAATGGCCACCTTTCTCTTAAACCAGATGTGACACCATTCTTTGCAGTGATGACATTATGCTGACTGAAAAGGAGGCAGCAACTAATCCAGACATGGTAGCAACACACTTGCAAGACATTATGTGAGAAATAATTCTCACACAAAATCAGGGGCCTTCTAACTGAGTGAAGCGTTTAACAATCTGGTAGTCTGGCATGTCAAGATGGTGGTTATAAGGTGAACAGCAAGTTCTTACATCTTGCCTTTCTTACTACTAAATAAGGAACATGAAACGAGTTGCATAATCGATGCTTGTTTTAGCATATACCTAAATGTTGTGCAGTACCGTGGACCCATTGACAAGTGACTGAAACCCTGCTAGCATGGACCGGGGCCCAGAAAAAGAGAAGCTTCCCTAATCCTGCACCTGTGGTCTCATGTGGAGTTCCCTGAGACCAGTTGACTAGAAAATAAAAAACATCATGCCTGATTTTCATTTGTTACTTCAGAATATGCAGGCACCACATCTATTAGGTTTGTTACTAATGCAAAAGAAATTGTCCCCGATTCAGCAGCTTAAAATAACACAAATATATAAGCAGTTCTGTAGATCAGAAATCCATGCAGCCTGGATTGGTTTCTCTGCTTAGGATCTCACAAAATCAAAGTTAGGGTATCAACCAGGCTGCTGACTAACTAAGGACTCAGAGAGAACCTGTTTTCAAGCACATTTGGGTTACGGGCAGGTCTAACTTCTTAAAGTTGTGGAACTGAGGTAGCCGTATACTTGCGGTCTTGGCTGAGGCCACTCTAAGCTACCTGAGACCCCTCCATACCTACTTGGGTGCACCCCTCTATCTTCTAAGCAGTAATGGTGCATCATGATTATGGTGGCTGAGATAAAGCTTATTTACGGGTTTGGCAACATGAACTTTCATTTACCAGGTCCATCTCACTACAGCCACTGCTCACTATTCAATCTGACAGCAGCAGAGACCAACACTGAGTCCCCAATATGGCACCATGTCCCAGAGTGGTCAGTCAGCTTCCAGGTAGCACTGTGATTACTTGGGTCTGCTTCCACGATTGAAGGGGTATCACTTTGATCTTCCTCAAATAGACACTTATTCTGCATATGGATTTTCATTCCCACCCATGGAACTTCAAGGAAATCGGTACTGTGGTATGAGGAAAGGCTGTATCCACCATCGTGGTATTCCACACTGCACCAGTTTTAAACATCAAACTCACTTTACAGGCAATGAAGTATGGGAATGGGCTCATGCTAATGTACTTCACTAGTCTTGTGATGTTCTTCAACATCCTGAAATGGCTGGCTCAATAGAACATTGGAGGACCTTTTAAAGCCTGAGTTGTCATTGCAGCTTTGTGGCAGTGCCTTGTGGGGCTTGGCTGACAATCTAGAAAGTGGCAAAGCTGAATCCTAGCCTCAAGTATATGGAACTATTTCTCCCATAGCCACATTTATGACTTCAAGAATGAAGGAGGCAATATGTGGGCCTTCTCTCACTATTACTCCTGGGTATCTAGTAACAAAATGTTGCTTCTTATGCTCAAGAAGCAAACTGTGCACCAAGAAGCCAACTTTTGGCTCTGCTGGACTAGAGGACTTAGTTACACATTGAGGAATTTTTTCAACAGGGGAAACCAAAGTGATTCCACCAAAATGAAAGTTGTTCCGTATGAACTTTAAAGTAGTTTTTTCCAGTTCTGTGAAGAAAGTCATTGGTAGCTTGATGGGGATGGCATTGAATCTATAAATTACCCTGGGCAATACGGCCATTTTCACGATATTGATTCTTCCTACCCATGAGCATGGAATGTTGTTCCATTTGTTTGTGTCCTCTTTTATTTCATTGAGCACTGGTTTGTAGTTCTCCTTGAAGAGGTCCTTCACGTCCCTTGTAAGTTGGATTCCTAGGTATTTTATTATCTTTGAAGCAATTGTGCATGGGAGTTCACTCATGATTTGGCTCTCTGTTTGTCTGTTACTGGTGTATAAGAATGCTTGTGATTTTTGCACACTGATTTTGGAACCAAAAAAGAGCCCGCATTGCCAAGTCAATCCTAAGCCAAAAGAACAAAGCTGGAGGCATCACGCTACCTGACTTCAAACTATACTACAAGTCTACAGTAACCAAAACAGCATGGTACTGTTATCAAAACAGAGATATAGACCAATGGAACAGAACAGAGCCCTCAGAAATAATGCTGCATATCTACAACTATCTGATCTTTGACAAACCTGACAAAAACAAGAAATGGGGAAAGGATTCCCTATTTAATAAATGGTGCTGGGAAAACTGGCTAGCCATATGGAGAAAGATGAAATGGGATCCCTTCCTTACACTTTATACAAAAATTAATTCAAGATGGATTCAAGACTTACATGTTAGACCTAAAACCATAAAAACCCTAGAAGAAAACCTAGGCTATAATACCATTCAGGACATAGGCATGGGCAAGGACTTCACGTCTAAAACACCAAAAGCAATGGCAACAAAAGTCAAAATTGACAAATGGGATCTAATTAAACTAAAGAGTTTCTGCACGGCAAAAGAAACTACCATCAGAGTGAACAGGCAACCTACAGAATGGGAGGAAATTTTTGCAGTCTACTCATCTGACAAAGGGCTAATATCCAGAATCTACAACGAACTCAAACAAATTTACAAGAAAAAAAACAAACAACCCCATCAACAAGCGGGCGAAGGATATGAACAGATACTTCTCAAAAGAAGACATTTATGCAGCCAACAGACACATGAAAACATGCTCATCATCACTGGCCATCAGATAAATGCAAATCAAAACCACAATGAGATACCATCTCACACCAGTTAGAATGGCAATCATTAAAAAGTCAGGAAACAACAGGTGCTGGAGAGGATGTGGACAAATAGGAACACTTTTACACTGTTGGTGGGACTGTAAACTAGTTCAACCATTGTGGAAGTCAGTGTGGCGATTCCTCAGGGATCTAGAACTAGAAATACCATTTGACCCAGCCATCCCATTACTGAGTATATACCCAAAGGATTATAAAACATGCTGCTATAAAGACACATGCACACGTATGTTTATTGTGGCACTATTCACAATAGCAAAGACTTGGAACCAACCCAAATGTCCAACAATGATAGACTGGATTAAGAAAACGTGGCACATATACACCATGGAATACTATGCAGCCATGAAAAATGATGAGTTCATGTCCTTTGTAGGGACATGGATGAAGCTGGAAACCATCATTCTCAGCAAACTATCGCAAGGACAAAAAACCAAACACCGCATGTTCTCCCTCATAGGTGGGAACTGAACAATGAGAACACATGGACACAGGAAGGGGAACATCACACACTGGGTCCTGTTGTGGGGTGTGGGGAGGGGGGAGGGATAGCATTAGGAGATATACCTAATGTTAAATGATGAGTTAATGGGTGCAGCACACAAAAATGGCACATGTATACATATGTAACAAACCTGCACGTTGTGCACATGTACCCTAAACCTTAAAGTATAATAAAAAAAAGTACCTGGCACAATTAATATTTGTTGAATAATTGAATGAATTAATTTTTTTAAAAAAAGCATAGAATGGGCTGGGTGCAGTGGCTCATGCCTGTAATCCTAGAACCTTGGGAGGCTGAGATGGGCAGATCACTTGAGGCCAGGTTTCGAGACCAGCCTGGACAACATGGCAAAACCCCATCTCCACTAAAAATACAAAAATTGCAGCGTGATGGCACCTGTGGTGCACCTGTAATCCCAGCTACTTCGAAGGCTGAAGCACAAGGATCGCTTGAACTGGGGTGAGGTCGAGGTGGCAGTGACTTGTGATCGTGTCACCGCACTCTAGCCTGGGCAACAGAGCAAGATTCTGTCTTTAAAAAAAATAAAAAGCATAGAACGTTCAAGTCGTATCTGGAAACAACAGCCTTACAGGGACTGCTACTGCAGCTCCAAATTATTGTATCAGACCAATCCTATCTAGGAACTACCTTTATTATATATATTGGATATACCCCCCCACACACGCATACATATATATATATGGGGGTGTATATATAATATGTGTAATGTGTATTATATGTATAATGGGAGATTAGAAAGTGTGTGTGTGCATGTATATATACCCCCTACCAACACACACACACACACACACACACACACACACACACACACACACATTAAAATCTCCCATTAGTTCTGCCTTTTCGTTGAAGGCTGATGATACAGATTTCAACATTGAGATCGGGTTCCCACCACACGAGGGGCTAAGGAAGAGTATGTGTGATATGTCTAGAGAGCTTCTTAGTCCTCCTGTGTTTTTCGATTAGAGTTAATGGAAAATCACAGCAACCCCATCCAGGCAGGATATCTAATGGTTCAGACTCTTCCGTAATGAAGGTTTGAGTCATCTTGCCAGGCCAAGCATCATGACCAACTGACATGCTATCTCAGGGCAAAGGGAATGCGAAACGGGTAGCGAAAGAAGGTAGTTATAAACGCCAGCTACATCAGTGTGAGCTGCTGCAGAAACCACGACTGTAATAGTATTTACCTAATGGGTTAATAATATCTACCAGCACAGGTGGGAATACAAAATAACCAAAACACAAGTTATCCTTTCAAATAAAACGCTTTGGGAAAAAGAACATCTTTTACTAACAGAAATTTCTTAGCCTCTGGAAGGCCAGTTGATTCGGTAACATATGCCAGGAGACTTCAGCAATATCCTGCTCCATTGTAGAAAACAGCAATCTGATCCTTTTCTCTCCTCAATCATTAACGAGATTATGCATTTGGGGTGTGATAATCCTCCAGGGACAAGTATTCTCAAATCATACGTTTCAGTTTCTTCTTAAGGTGCTTAACAAAGTCTCGTCTCATACATCTGAAGAGAAAGAGACATGTCATTAACCAAAAGATAGCCAAAGAACCTATGCTGTAGGAAGCGCTGTGACAGATAGAAAGATGAAGTAACAGTCAGCATGGAAATAGAAATGTATCTGCATGGTAAGAGGCAGTCTAGCCGGCATAACAAATGCTGGCAAGGGTGTGGAGAAAAGGGAACCCTCATACACTGTTGGTGGGAACATAAATTACTACAACAACTATGAAGAACAGTTTGGAGGTTCCTCAAACAACTAAAAATGGAGCTATCATATGATCCAGCAATCCCACTGCTGGGTATATACCCAAGAGAAAGGAAGTCAGTGTACCAAAGAGATATCTGCACTCCCATGTTTCCTGCACCACCATTCACAGTAGCCAAGATTTGGAAGCAACCTAAGTGTCCACTAACACGTGAATGGGTAAAGAAAATATGGTACATATACACCATAGAGTACTGTTTAGCCATAAAAAAAAGAATGAGATTCAGTCATTTGCAACAACACGGATAGAACCGAAGGCCCTTATGTTAAGTGAAATAAACCAGGCACAAAAAGACAAACTTCACATGTTCTCACTTATTTTTGGGAGTAAAAGTGTAAAACAACTGAACTAATGGAGATAGAGAGTAGAATGACAGTTACCAGAGGCTACAAAGGTTAGTGGGGGTGGAGGGTGTGGGAAGTGGGGATGATTAATACGTAGAAGTATGGAATAAATAAGATGTCGTATTTCATAGCCCAACAGGGTGACTATAGTTGGTAATAATTTAATTGCACATTTAAAAATAATGAAGAGTATAATTGTATTCTCTGTAACGCAAAGGATAAAAGCTTGAGGTGATAGAAACCCCACTTACCTTGATGTGATTATTACACATTGTTGTCCGTATCACAATATCTCATATAGCCCAGAAATATATGCATCTGCTATGTGCCTACACAAATTTTTTAAAAAGAGGTAGTCTAGCAAATACAAAGAGTGTCAATTGAGGGACAATGCGCACCTCAGACTATGGTGAAAATGGAAGTCTCCATAGTCTTCGAAGAATGAGTTAGACTCAGATAACATTAGCCTAAGTAACTGTGGAGACAGCCATAACTGTGAGTGAGGACCAGGGTTTGAGAAACGCAAGGCAGGGGCTGTTCCCCAACGCTCATCCCCAGTACTCTATTGAGCCCAAGTGCTTAAAGAAATTGGACAGTTCCTATTTCTACCCACCTTGCTGCTTCCTTGATGATGGATTCAAAAAATCGTTTCCTGACTGCAGTAGGTCCTTGCACTCCTTCAAGCATTTCGAAGATTTTTTCATATTCTGAAGATGTTGAAAAAAAAACTTCAGTATTATCAAATATAAAGAAGAATAGAAGTGAATCTACACCTCAGCAATCATGCTTCAGAGGCTGAAATGTTTTAAATGCTTAAATCAAGATACCTGCACATACAAAACCTAAATAATAAAAAAGACACCTGCACATACATACGAATGTAACTCCTTTAACCATAACCAAGTAAGAAAAGAAAAAGAAAAAATGTACATGCTTTAGTCAAAGAAAAGAGGAACCACCATAAATTATGTGCAGTCTCAACTCTGGCAAAGAATGAGCCTCAAGAGGTAACATGGATATCTTCTGAATCATAGAAAGAGTGACTTCCTACAGTTTTATAAAACAGACGTTCTTACACTACTTACTTCGTCCAAGGCATCGGATTTCCTTCACTACTTGACATTTTATATCAGCATTAATTTCTTGTTGGCTTTTGGGAGAGGAGGCTATTCCTCTGCATTCTAGGTCATCTCCAGAGAAATTGCTGGTAACGTTTCCTCCCACAGGTGCATTGCTACCAGGTTTCTGCATCATCCCATCTTTGCTGAAACCAGTGAAGTCATCAATCTGAGAATCCAATTGGCTGGGTGGAATAGCATGTCCTGTCATAAGCTCTGGTGAAACAAATTTTGAGTAAAAGCCATCAGTTGGTGTTTGACCACTTTCTTTCCCCTCCACATAAACCTCATGAATGACAGATCTGGAAATCAAACTGAGAAGTTGAGCTGTGAGATACGTGTGTTTCATCACCCCTCTGGGTACATCTATGTGCTCCTCAGTTTCTAGGGAATTATTTATTTCATAAATGGGAGGATACACCAGGGAGAAATCCCAGGCCTGACAAACGGAGGCCAGGACACATAATACAATAAAACCACCTCCTATTTTCTGTCGCCTTGAATAGATATGGAAACCAAGTAAGGCAGTACAACTCTAAAGCAACATTCACAGATCCCTGGTACTCATGGGACAGTTTCAGCTTGTTATGCTTTACAAGGTGAAAGCAGCAAGTCTCACTTGATATCATGATTTCTCAAACTCACTTACAAACTGCCATGCTTTACTGAGCTGGAACCCAGGCAACTGGGATACAACTCAACCGGTCTCCTGTTATATCAAACACATTCTGAGAAAATAGAGGCGGCCATTACTGCTAAAAGTTCTATACGCACTCCACCACCAAAAAGTCCCTTTTACTGTATGATTTTCCTCATCCTTCCTTTCTGTCTCACAAAAGTGACTTTCTTTTCACTCCAGGTCTGACACCTCTCATTTATTCATCGTCTGTGGCAGGCAGCGTGCCGGTAGCTGGGGATCAGCAGTAAACAGCCCAGAGAGCAACGTTCCCTGCCCTTGTGGAGCTCACATCCTCATGGGGCGGTCAGACAGTACGTGCACAATGAGCAAATGAAACATACAGTGTTGGGCTAGTGGTAAGGAAGCAGTCCACAGGCCTGTGGGCAACAGCAGCAGAGGGAGCCCCAGGAGCTGCTGCTGGTTGGGCAGAGCCTTCTGTGGAGGTACCCTTGGGCAGGGCTTGAAGGAAAAAGCAGAGCTGCCTGCGCAGAGGCAGAGGGGGAGTTCCAGGTTGCGGTGAGGCCAAGGATATGGGCTGGAGTGGGGATGGACCGGGCACTATGGGGTGAAGGACAGTAGCAGAGAGAGTCAGGAGATGATGGGGCCCGTGTGAGGAGAGGGTGACGGAGGCCAGGCCACGCAGAACCTCGCAGACCAAAGCTGCTTCGCAGTCGGTTCTGAGTGCTTAGGAGTGTTGAGGATGGGTGTTCAGGAGCGACATGGCATCACGTGATTTACATGCCAACATCATGACCCGGCTGCAGGGTTGGAGGGTATGTGTTTGATGCGGGAAATAATGGGAAACATGGAGGTATCTCAGGAGCTCAGTGATTGATCGTGGCAGAGTGGAATAGAAGGAGAGAGAGAGATGCTGGGGTTCAGGAATTTTTTACAGTATTTAGAGAAGAGAAGAAAAAGAAATGTAGAAAAAAACAATGATGGGGTCGGGGGCGGTGGCTCGTGCGTGTAATCCCAGCACTTTGGGAGGCTGAGGTGGGTGGATCACCTGAGGGGGGGAGTTCCAGACCAGCCTGGCCGACATGGCGAAACCCCATCTCTACTAAACTTACAAAAATTAGCTGGGTGTGGTGGCTGGTGCTTGTAATCCCGCTACTCGGGAGGCTGCGGCAGAAGAATCACTTGAACCCAGGAGACGGAGATTTCAGTGAGCCGAGATCGCGCCACTGCACTCCAGCCTGGCTGAGAAGAGCGAAACTCCATCTCAAGAAAAAAATGATAGGGATTCACCAATACGGACAAGAAATTAAAAAAAAAAAAAAGATTGTCGGAAATGGAAATCCTAGAAGGTTTTCATGAAGAAGCGAGTGAACAACTGTCAAATGCTGCTGAGAAGTTAATGGCAATGTCAGCCGAAACTGTTAACCTTGACAAGGACAGTTTCTCTGGAGGGGATGAGGCAGGAGCATGAGGAGGACGTGAGGACAGGCTTACTTACTCTTTTCTTTGGACATGGCAGAGCCTGCAATAAGGCTGTCTCCTGCTCCTTGTTTCCTTGCCAACAGGGCCATCCTCTGCCTTTTCTGATACGAAGGACTGTCACATTCCCTGGGACGTTTAAACACAGTTTCAGGATCTACAGCCACCTTCTCTGTTTTATCGGTCATTGTTTCCTGAAAAACATCAATGAATATATTCCATTCATGACAAAAATCTAACAATCACAAAATGGCAAGCAATCTGCATATGTGTATACAACCAAGACTTTGAATCATTAATTTCACTTTTAATCATGAGCCAAGATTTACCAAGTCTCAACAAACACTCTGTTCTCAGGAAAAGAAACCTAATTTTAATGTACACAAAGTAAAACAGAAGAAAGATGGTATAACCAAATCAATCAGAATGCTTGTGGAATAAGCAGCTGTCATCAACCAAAAATAGATAAAAATATTATTACCTATTTGAAGATGTATAAGCCAATCTGTATTAACCCTTATTAGAAAAAATGGATGTATAAACCAATCTGTATTAACCCTTATTATACATTATATTTTAAATTATATATTATATATCATATATATTTAATATATAAGTATTTATGCTTATATATTCAAATAGATGCATAAACCAACGTGTATTAACCCTTATTAGGAACCCTTATTAGAAGATTGATACAAAACTGATAACAACATCTGACAAGGAATTTAGAAGAATGAAAAACTACAAGATCAAGCCAAAAATACAAGCCAAGATCACCCCGAACTTAGACACAAAAATTCCAAACTAAGGGTGAGCAAATAAAATGTACTAGTACTTAAAAAGGACATACATCAGCCATGGTGGAGTATATTGCAGAAAGGCAACACTGATTTAACATTTGAAAATCGACAAATGTAGTGCACCACATTAACAACAACAACAACAACAACAACAAAAACAGGGAAACACTGCATGATCATTTTCATACATGGATCAATGTTTAAAGTCCATTCGTGATAAAAACTATCACCAACTTAGGAAAAAGGGCAACTTTCCTATTCTGGTTAGCATATGTACAAAAAATTTTTAAATGCCATACTTCATAGTGACGTATCAGTATTTTCTCCCTGAGTTTGAAAACAAGACAAAGATGTCCACTATCCATTCAACAATTTACTGGAGGTTCCAAAAAGTGCCATATCATCAGGAAAATACAATAGGTTTAAAATTTGGAAAGAAATAAAACTGTCATTATTCACAGATGACATTGTTCTGTACATAGAAAAATGCAGAAGAATAAAATCATTACAGTTAATAAGCAAATTTAGTCAACTTACTAGATACAATGAAAACCAATGGCATTTCTGTATAATGAATAGCAATTCTGTATAATGAATGGCATTATACAGAATGGCAATTCTGTATAACGAATAATTAGAATATGAGATTTCAAATGTCATTAAAAACAGTTCCAAAAACATCAAATATTTAGGAATAAATCTAATCAAGATGTGCTAGAGTACTTCACAAAAATTATAAAACATCACTCAGAGAAATTCAAGACTGCAGTAAATGGAGAAAAATATTCTTTCCATGCATTGGAAGACATTTTTTTTTTTTTGAGTCGGAGCCTCGCTCTGTCACCCAGGCTGCAGTGGAGTGGCACAGTCTCTGCTCACTGCAACCTCCACTTCCCAGGTTCAAGCAATTCTCCTGCCTCAGCCTCCTGAGTAGCTGCGATTACGGGCGCCTGCCACGACGCTGGATAAAGAAAATGTGGTACATATACACCACGGAATACTATGCAGCCATAAAAAAGAATGAGTTCACGTCCTTTGAAGGGACATGTGTCAGCAAGCTAACACAGGAACAGAAAACCAAACACCACGTGTCCTCACTCATAAGTGGGAGTTGAACAATGAGAACACATGGGCGCGGGGAGAAGAACATCACACAGTGGGGCCTGTCAGGGGTTGGGGGGCTAGGGGAGGGATAGCGTTAGAGAAATACCTAAGGTAGATGACGGGTCAATGGGTGCAGCAAACAACCATGGCATGTGTCTTCCTATGTAACAAACCTGCACGTTCTGCCCATGTATCCCGGAACTTAAAGTATAATTTTAAGAAAAGGAATATTATCGTAATGGCATTGGGTGAGTCAAAGATGTTTCTTAAAATAATAAAAAGCACTATCCATAAATAATACACTAATTAATAAAATTAAGAGAATCTGTTCATCTACAACACATTATTGAGATCGTGTAAAAGCAAAAAAGATTTATAGAAGATACTAAAATTGTATATGTATTTTTGTATATGTACATATACGCCTGTGTGCCTGTGCGTATAACTCAAATACAGAATATATGGAAACTACAAATCCATTTTTAAAATACAAACATCTCAGTAAAAGCTGGGGGAAAATACCTGAAAAGGAACTTCATAAAAGGCATAGTTAAATGACCAATAAACACATAAAATGGTGCTAAAAAAAAAAAAAAGAAAACAATAAATAGCTGGGTGTGGTGGCACTGCAATCCAGTCTGGGTGACAGAGGGAGACCTCATCTCAAAAGACAAACAAAAATCAATAAATAAAAACAATTTCTTAAAAAGGTGCTCGATCTCATTAATCAGCAGAGAAATGCGAGTGTAGACATAAGGAGAGATCACTGCACACCCATCAGAGTGGCTGGAATGAAAGACTAACTGTACTGAGAGTGTTCGAATGTGGCACAGCTGGAACCTTCGAATATTTCTGGACTCCCATTCCCACACAGACACCTGAGGCTGTGGCTGAAAGGTCAGATAGAATCCCAGGAAAGAGCTCCTTCAGAATTGCGATCAACCAACCGAGGAAAAGCACCCCAACCTGGGTCGAGACAGAGTTCCCAAGGTCACGTGGCCTCCTTCATGGCTGACACAGAGCTCCCTGAGTCCCACCATAGGCTTAGAGAATCCAAGGAACATTACCCCATTCCCCGGCGGCACCGGGAGAGAGCACCTACAGATAATAATTTTAAAAACCCAGCACCAAGAGAAAGCATCCAGTAAGCGTCCACAACGGGGATAAGCAGAACCAAAGAAAAGCCAACACATTGTAACTGAGAGCGAGCAACATCCGAGGACAAATGCGCCTCACGGCCGACATCAGTACCCAAGGAAGAGTCCACCAGAGGTTGAGATAAAGCCCCCGACAGTGACCCCACAGGGCTACGATCATGTGTCCGGGGCACAGCCACCCCCACCACGTTCCATGAGCACAGATAGTGTCCCCAGGGCAGAGTCCCCCCTCAGGACAGCGACTGAGCGGGAAAGAAACACCGCCGCACCCGAGGCCGACACAGGCAACCAAGGCATGGCCCCCACCCCCCGGGCTCAGGTCATTTCAGCAGGAAAAGTCGCCTTTTCCATCACCGACAGGGAGCCCCCAACAAGAGCCCCCAAGAAAAGCCCCCTGGCCCCACAACATAGCCGAGACGGGGTGCCCAAGGAAAACGCTCCCCCGCGGCTGACACAGGCGCCCATGGCGGTGTCCCCAGAGCTAAGCCACTTCCCCAAGGGAGCCCTCCCACACACCAGACAGAGAACACCACAGAAAAGACTCTTTCTGAGGAAAAAGGACACTTTCCAGGGCGAAATTAAAGCATCCAGGGAAAAACTGCCCACTCACAGTCCTGAAGTCCTGACCTTGCTGGAGGAGAGACGGCGGCACCTCACAAAATGGCAGTGAAGTTGTGGCGCCTCCCCACTGGTGGCACTTTCTAGAAACCTGCCCTCTGGGAGTTGTGGGAAATGTGCCCCCTAGGGTACCTGGGAGTGATGTGCATGGGGAGGCGTCTCACCAGAAGCACCGATCCTGTTTGGCCCAAGGGGGATGGAAGGAAGGGAAGTAGCCAGCCACAGCGTGCCTGCCCCAGCCGAACACTGGGAACCTGTTGGGGGCGCCAGAGTGCTGAGGAGAAGCCTCGTGCCCCAGAGAACCAGGAAGCGCAGCCCTCCCCTTCGTTGACTCTGGCGCCCTCTGCAGGCGACCTTCAGTAACAACTGCACAGCAACATAAGCAGAGGAATGCAGAACCTTCTCACCCAGCGGGATGAAATCGCCTGGGTAACATAGTGAGACCCTGGCTCTACAGAGCAACCAACCAACCAAAAAAACGCAGACAAAAATTAGCTGGGCATGGTGGCGTGTACCTGTGGTCCCAACTACTCGGGAAGTTGAGGTGGGAGGATCGCTTGAACCCGGGAGGTGGAGGTAGCAGTGAGCCAAGATCGTGCCAGTGCACTCTCCATCCCAGACCATACAGAAGACTCCATCAAAAAAAAAAAAAAGAAAGAAAGAAAAAGAAGCAACAACAACAACAAACTGAAATTTTCATTTGAGGGGGTTGTTTTTTAAAGTCAACCCCGACCGGGCGCAGTGGCTCACGCCTGTAATGTCAGCACCTTGGGAGGCCGAAGTGTCTGGATCACCTGAGGTCAGGAGTCCAAGACCAGCATGGCCAACATGGTGAATCCCGTCTCTACTAAAAATACAGAAAATTAGCCAGGTGTGGTGGCACGCACCTGTAGTCCCGCTAAGGAAGGAGACCACTACTACTCCTGCTGCCCTCCTCCCCCTACCTTGCCTAGTTCACAAGACAGGAGGAAAGAAAGAAAGCAAAAAGTTGGAAAAAAAAAAAAAAAGTAAAATAAATAGCCAGACAACCTTGGCACCACCACCCGGCCCTAGGAGTTAAAAAAAGTAATAATAATTTCAACCCCTGACCTAAACTACTTGTGTTATCTCTAAATTCCAGACACTGTATGAAAAAAAGCATTGTAAAACTTATTGTTCTGTTAGCTGCTGCATGTAGCCCCCAGTCACATTTCCCACACTTGCTCAATTTATCACGACTCTTTCACGTGGACCCCTTAAAGTTGTAAGCCTCTAAAAAGGCCAAGAATTTCTTTTTCGGGGAACTCAGCTCTTATGATGCAAGTTGGCTGATGCTCCCAGCCGAATAAACCACTTCCTTCTTTAATCCAGTGCCTGAGGAGTTTTGTCTGCGGCTCATCCTGCTACATTTCTTGGTTTCCTGATTAACGGACAGTCGAGGCAGCCCCTTAGGCAGCTCATGCCTGCCCTGTAGAGCATCCCTGCTGGGAACTCTGGCCAGCTTGAGCGATGCAGATCCTGAGAGCGCTCCGGGGTAGGCATTTGCCCCTGTGGAACGCCTTGTCAGAGCAGTGCACAGCAGGCCCCCGCGGAGGATCAACGCAGTGGCTGAACACCAGGAAGGAACTGGCACTTTAAGTCTGGACATCTAAAACTTGGTAAGACTGGTCTTTGGAACTTGCCGACTCCATTTGAGTGGAAGCATGGCCAGATCACCCACGGTGTACCTGTACCAGCCCTTTGGTTTTTGTTTTTGACTTGACTTGAATTGCTTGATAATTTTAGTTTTGATTTTGACTTGACTTGAATTGCTTGATAAAAAGGCGTGCCTTTATTGGCACTTTGGTTTACCTTCCATGGAATGGAAGACATTATTAAGAGACATTATTGTTAATTCTCTCAGAATGAACATACCAATCATTTAAAATTCCACCGTGTTAACAAAATTTTTTCTGAAAATTGACAAACAGATAATTGTTTTAAGTATGTGCAAATCGAAGGTTTGGTAAAGCTAAGACAATCTTTAAGAAAAAGAACTAAGTTGGTAAATACACACTACTAAATATGAGATTTACTATAAAGGTAGAGTAATTAAAACCGTGTGGTATTGGAGCAATGACAGGTAAATACACCAAGGGCAGAGGACACAGAGGCCAGAAACAATCTGGAAATGGAAAATAGCTAGATTTACCACAGGAGAGCTCCTGTAAATCATTGTGGAAAGACTAGTGCTTTTAATAAATGCACTTCATAAATGCAGGGAAAATACAAACTTTGATTCTTACCCCATCCCACTGCAGAAAACATTATTAAAGATAGATAGTGAATCCAGTAAAAAATATAAGATATTAGCTTTACAGCTTTAGAATAGGCCAAGGTGTTTTTGATTAGGATAAAAAAGCTCTAACCATAAAGAATACATTGTTTAATTAGACATAATTAAATGTAAAACTTCTATTCCTCAAAAGACACTCTTAAGAGAGTGGAAAAGCAAAGCATATATGTAGATTACATATTATATAATGTATAGGATAGGTTATATATAAAAATATACATTAATCATATATAAATATATATAGTATATATAATATAATATTTTATATATATACATATATATGTATCTGACAACAACTGAGTGGAATCCAGAGTATATCCAGAACTACAAATCAATTTTAAAAGCAAACATCGCAATAAAATTTGGGGGGAAAAGCTGAATATGCATATCATAAGAGTCATACTCAAATATACCTTTAGTAATCACATAAAATATACCCGGACTCTGACTTTACTCCATTCCATGAAAATTTATTTGAGGTGAATAGGAGATCTAGAAGAAAACTTAGAATATTATCGTCATGGCATTGGGGGAGGCAAAGATTTTCACTTAAAATAATAAAGAGCTCTAGCCATAAACAAGACTGATTAATAAGATTAAGAGAATCTGTTCATCTAAAACACATTATTGAGATAGTGTAAAAGCAAAACAGATTTGTAGAAGACATTAAAATTGTATATGTATTTTAATACATGTACATATATGCCTGTGTGCATGTGTGTACAACTGAAACCCAGAATATATGTAAACTACAAATCCATTTTTAAAATACAAACATCTCAATAAAATTTGGCAGAAAAGACCTCAAAGGGAACTTCCTAAAAGACATGGTTAAATGACCAATAAACACATGAAAAAGTGCTCCGAAAAAAAAAAAACAATAAATAGCTGGGCGCAGTGGCTCACGCCTGTAATCCCAGCACTTTGGGAGGCCGAATTGGGCAGATCACTTGAGTCCAGGAGTTCGAGACCAGCCTGGGCAATTTGGCAAAACCCCATCTCTACTAAAAAATACAAAGATTAGCCAGGCTTGGTGGCATGCGCTTGTAGTCCCAGCTACTGAGGCACGAGAATCGAGCGAGCCTGGGAGCCCAAAAAACAATCAAAAATCGATAAATTAACACTTTTAAAAAGGGTGCTCAATCTCATTAATTAGCACAAAATTGCAAGTGTAGACATAAGGAGAGATCACTACACTCCCAAAGAGTGGCTGGAATGAAAGAATAATTGCACAGTGAGTTGTGTGCATGTGGCGAATCTGGAACCTTCAAACATTTCTGGACCCCGATTCCTGCACAGACATCTGAGGCTATGGCTGAAAGGTCAGATAGAATCCCAGGGAAGAGCTCCCTCAGGACTGAGAACCAACCAAGGAAAAGCACCCAACCCTGGGGTGAGACAGAGTTCCCAAGGTCAGCTGGGTGCCCTCGTGGCTGACACAAGAGTTCCCCGAGTCCCACCACAGGCTCAGAGAATCCAAGGAACAGCACCCCACTCCCCCACAGCACCAGGAGACAGCACCCACAGATAATAATTTTAAAAACCCAGCACCAAGAGAAAGCGTCTGGTAAGCGTCCCCATCAGGGATAAGCAGAACCAAAGAAAAGCCAACACATCCTAGCTGAGAGCGAGCAACATCTAAGGACAAATGTGCCCCACAGCCGAGAACAGCACTCAAGGAAGAGTCCCTCACAGGCTGAGATAAAGCCCGCGACAGAGAGTGACCCCATAGGGCTGTGATCATGTGTCCAGGGCACAGCCACCACCACCCCGGCCCTTGAACATAGACAGAGCTCCCAAGGCAGAGTCCCCCCTCAGGGCTGCCACCGAGCAGGGAAGAAACACGGCCACACCCGAGGCTGACACAGGCAACCAAGGCAGGGTCCCCAACCCTGGGCTTAGGTCATTTCAGCAGGAAAAGCCCCTCACATCACTGAGGGAGCCCCCAAGAAAAGCCCCCCGGACCCACAACATAGCCGAGATGGGGTGCCCAAGGAAAACGCTCCCCCATGGTTGACACAGGCTCCCATGGCGGTGTCCTCAGAGTGGAGCCACTTTCCCAGGGAACCCTACCACACACCCGACAGAGAACACCTCAGAAAAGACACTTTCTGAGGAAAAAGGACACTTTCCCGGGCGAAATTAAAGCATCCAGGGAAAAACTGCCCCACTCACAGTCCTGAAGTCCTGACCTTGCCGGAGGAGGGGCGGCAGCACCTCACAAAATGGCAGTGAAGTTGTGGCGCCTCCCCACTGTTGTAACTTTGTAGAAACTTGCCGTTTGGGAGTTATGGGAAACGTGCCCCCTCGCGTGCTTGGGAGTGATGCTCATGGGGAGGCGTCTCACCAGAAGCACCAATCCGGAAAGGCTCAAGGCGGATGGAAGGAAGGGAAGCTGACCGCTTTCGCGTGCCCTCCCCCAGCCTAACACTGGGAACCTGTGTGGGGCGCCAGAGTCCGGAAGAGAAGTTTTGCGCTCAGCAGGACCGCTGGCGCCAGCGGGAGAACCAGGAAGCGCAGCTCTCCCCTTAGCTGACTCTGGTGCTCTCTACAGGTGGCCTTCACTATCAACTGCACAGCGGGCAGAGGCAGAGGAACACAGAACCTTCTCACACAGCGGGATAAAAGGGTGAATTTGGAGCTGACAGGCAAATATATCTTGTGATATATTTCTCTGGCTTTGATATCAGGGTAATATTGGCCGCATAGAATGAAGTAGTGTTCCTCCGTTATTTTTTGGAAGACATTGCTAAGTACTGGTATTATTTCTTCCTTAAATGTTTGATAGAATTTGCACGCGAAGCCATCTTGGCTTGGCTTGTATTTCTGGGGAGATTTTAAATTACTAATTAAATCTCTTTTCATGCTATAGTCCTAAGTCGATTTTCTACTTATTATTTATTTATTTATTTATTCATTTATTTTGAGACGGAGTTTCACTCTTGTTGTTCGCTCTTGTTGCCCGGGGTGGAGTGCAATGGCATGATCTTGGCTCACCCAACCTCCGCCTCCCGGGTTCAAGTGATTCTCCTGCCTCAGCCTCCCAAATAGCTGGGATTACAGGCATGCGCCACCACGCCCAGCTAATTTTGTATTTGTAGTAGAGACGGAGTTTCTCCATGTTTGTCAGGCTGGTCTCAAACTCCCAACCTCAGGTGATCCGCCCGCCTTGGCCTCCCAAAGTGCTGGGATTACAGGCGTGAGCCACTGCACCCAGCCTGTTTCTTCTTGAGTCGGTAATTTGTCTTCCAAGAATTTTTTCCATTTTACCTAAGTTGTTTAGTTTGTTGGCGTAAAGTTGTTCATAATGTATTCCTTTTAATTTCTGTAAGGTCAGTATTAATAACCCCCCTTTCATTTTTGATTTTGATAATCTGTGTAGTCCTTTCTATTTTTCTTGGTCAGTCAAGCTAAAAGATTGTTAGATTTTTTTTTTCACCTTTTCGGTGAACCAACTTTTGATTTCATTGATTTTTCTGTTTCTTATTTCATTGATTTTCTTCTACTCTAATTTTCATCATTCCCCTCCTTCTGCTTGCTTGTATTAAATACATCAGTTTAAAACTTCAGGAATAACAAAAGATTTGTTTCGCAAAGGAAGATTTGAAATGTTAGACATGTAGAAATGCTTATGATATTGCAAGTAGCAGTCATTTCGACCAGTTAACCAGAAGGAAATTCGGTGTGCTGAAACCAAACAAGTGTTTTTTTGTGCCGGGCTTTTACTGATTTTGAAAATATCAAGTCTAGTTTGTGGGAAGCTGTTTATTGCATGAGCAGTTTATTTTTTTAATGTTTTAATATAGAGAATGCCCATGTTCACTAAATCCCACAAGTTTGTTTGTTTGTTTGTTTGTTTTTTAACTTAAAGGAAAGTATGTATTAACCAGCACATACACTATCCTCTTTGTGCTTTATCTCTGGTAATCCTTATAAGAGCACCATGAGTTAGATACTGTTTTATGCCCTTTTTATGGAAATAGAATCTTAGAGTGTACATTTAAGTAGCTCTCCCAGGTATAACTAGCTGGAAAAGTGACAGAACCTAGGTCTCTCAGATTCCAGAGATTGCACACACGAATACTATATCACACTGCTTACTGCTGTGAGTTCAGCAGAGAATTCCTTGTTTATATGGAAATAACAAAATTGATAGTATCCAGGATAATTGGCAACAGTTTACAAACCCTCTTTACCCCCACTTTGGTGATTTTAAGTGGGGTCATCTGTCCACTAAATTAAACAGATCTTAGGCTGGTCACACTTCTAAAATTGTACACCAAGTTTGTGTGTAAAGGTACTTTCCCAGGGAAAAATATCTGTAGATTTAATCAAATTATCCAAAGAGGGTTAGGCCCACTACCCAGTGTTCCCTGGATGATAAGAGAATGCCATGGAGCCTACACCCTTCCAGTGGGAAGAATAGTGCCAATTTACTTGCCATTTATGTTCTAGTTTTTAATCAGAGTGTTCTAGTCACACACACATAGTTAGCTATGAGGAATATCTGAAGATGCTGGTTCCTCCACTTCAAACGAGTCAGCTAACTCTAGGTGAAGAGCTTTATACTTTGGACTATGTGGTTATAAATGATGGGCAGGTAGGATAACTAGAACAGTGTATATGCTCATTAATACATACTTATCCTTTAAGTCTGAAAAAATGAACTTGTGGAATTCAGTGAAAATTGGCATTCTAAATATTAAAGTATTAATATTTAGAATTATAGATTTTTAGTTGGGATGGTGGTATAAGGAAGGTCAGCCCATTCTCAAACTGGGTTGGAGGCATAAGGGACTTGTTTAACCTAACCTAGTGGTGTGAACCTACAGGAAGTAGTGATGGTGGACTGAGTCATGACTTAGGTAAAGGGAGATGATTCTAGATCATGGAACATGATATAGATTCTAGACATGAGATTCTAAACTCTGGTACCAAGGCACACATTGCTAAGACAATCTGTGATCATGTACTCTCAAGAGGATCATATATTTCAGCTGTATAGCGCCAATTTATGTGCCAGTTACGTTCCAGTTATAAATCAAAGTGTTCTAGTAACACACATAGTTAATTATGAGGACTATCTGCAGATGCAGGCTTCTCCACTTCAAACGAGTCAACCAACTCCACCTGAAGAACTTCATGCTGCTGCCTATGTGTTTACAAATGATGGGCAGGTAAGATAACTCTTTCTATTTCTGCCCTAATTGTGACATTCTTCGTATAATTATTTTCTCATTGGAAAGATGAATATAAACTATATGTGTTAATTCTCTTGATTTAAAAGATAAAATATGACACAGGAAATCTTATGTGAACATAAAATGGGAACTTTTTGATCCAAGAGTGGATTGGTTGTACTAGGAACTGATTTATTTTATTTTATTTTATTTTATTTTATTTATATCTTTTTTTTTTTTTTTGAGATGGAGTTTCACTCTTGTTGCCCAGGCTGGAGTGCAATGGCACGATCTCAGCTCACCGCAACCTCCACTTCCCGGGTTCAAGTGATTCTCCTGCCTTAGCCTTCTGAGTAGCTGGGATTACAGGCATGCGCCACCACACCCAGCTTATTTTTTGTATTTTTAGTAGAGACAGGGTTTCTCCATTTTGGACAGGCTGCTCTCGAACTCCCGACCTCAGGTGATCCGCCCACCTCGCCTCCCAAAGTGCTGGGATTACAGGCATGAGCCACCGCACCTGGCCGAACTGATGTTTTTAATTATCACATTTAATGCTCATAGTTGTTCTGCAGATATGTATTACTATCTACCCTTTAATAAGAAATCAAGGCTGACAGTGGTCAAATGGCTTGCCCCATGTGACACAAGATAGGAGGTAGAGCCAGGGTTTGAACGCATATCTTTCTGACTCCAGAGTCTATATTCTTTCCCACTCCCCACAATAACTCCTTTAATATCGAGATTGCAGTCTACAGTCTCTCTTTCTGTTATCCAAGTCACTAGTGCTCTGCCTAAAAAAATGACTAAGTATTCCTCGTGGAATATGAAGCACTAGGTGATGTTGCCATGATTGGATTGTCCTGATGGAGATCTTAATGTGAGTTTTGTGTTGTGTATGAGAGAGACTTACTAACTTCACCATTAGAACATGAAGACAAAGGAGATTGCATCTGCACTAGGACACAATTAGGCAATAATCTCTTCTGTAACAAAACCAGACTAAAGTTATTCCACCACATTCCCAAAACTCCTCAATTAATTAGGCTTTTCCTTAATTTTCTGTGCCTTTATTTTCTCTTTTTTAACAATAGTCATAAGAATCACACCTCACTCATAGGGATTGGCCAAGGATTGAGTTAATACATGTAAAGCATTGAGAACAGTACCTGGAGGGTAGTAAATGTTCAGTAAAAATGTTTTCACACATTCTCCACTCTGCTTTTATAGGAAATGAAAATGGTTTGGAAAATTTTTTAATCAAAATTATATATTTGAATATAATTTTCATTAAATATGCTCCTGCATATTTAATGCAAGAGCATATTCTTTATTTCTTCAACTTTTACTTTAAGTCCTGGGGTACATGTGCAGGATGTGCAGGTTTATTACATAGGTAAACGTGTGGCATGGTGGCTTACTGCACCTATGAACCCATCACCTTGGTATTAAGCCCAGCACCCAGTAGCTATTTTTCCTGATGCATTCCCTCCCCCAACTCCTCCCCCAACAGGCCCAGTGTGTGTTGCCCTGCCCGACGTGTCCATGTGTTCTCATCATTCAGCTCCCACTTATAAGTGAGAACACGTGCTGTTTGGTTTTCTTTTCTTGCGTTAGTTTCCTGATGATAACGGCTTCTAGCTCCATCCATGTTTCTGCAAAGGACATGATCTCATTCCTTTTTTATTTTTTTTCTTTTTTTTGAGACGGAGTCACGCTCTGTCGCCCAGGCTGGAGTGCAGTGGCATGATCTCGGCTCACTGCAAGCTCCGCCTCCCGGGCTCATGCCATTCTCCTGCCTCAGCCTCCCGAGTAGCTGGTACTGCAAGCGCCCGCCACCACACCTGGCTAATTTTTTTTGTATTTTTAGTAGAGACGGGGTTTCACCGTGTTAGCCAGGATGGTCTCCATCTCCTGACCTCGTGATCCGCCCGCCTTGGCCTCCCAAAGTGCTGGGATTACAGGCGTGAGCCACCGCACCCGGCCGATCTCATTCCTTTTTATGGCTGCATAGTATTCCGTGGTGTATATGTACTACATTTTCTTTATCCAGTCTATCATTGATGGGCATTTGGGTTGATTCCACATCTTTGCTATTGTGAATAGTGCTGCAATGAACATACATGTGCATGTATCTTTATAATAGAATGATTTATATTTCTCTGGGTATATACCCAGTAATGAGATTGCTGGATCAAATGATATTTCTGCCTCTAGATCTTTCAGGAATCACCACACTGTCATCCACATGGTTGAAGTAATTTACACTCCCACCAACAGTGTAAAAGCAGTCCTTTTTCTCCACAGCCTTGCCAGCATCTGTAGTTTTTTGACGTTTTAGTAATCGCCATTCTGACTGGCATGAGATGTTATCTCATTGTGGTTTCGAGTTGCATTTCTCTAATGATCAGTGATGTTGAGCTTTTTTTCATATTTTTGTTGCCCGCGTGAATATCTTCTTTTGAGACGTGTCTGTTCATGTCCTTTGCCCACTTTTTAATGGGGTTGTTTGGTTTTCTTTTGTAAATTTGTTTAAGTTTCTTGTAGACTCTGGATAGTAGACCTTTGTCAGATGGGCAGATTGCAAAAGTTTTCTCCCATTCTGTAGGCTGTCTATTCACTCTGATGATAGTTTATTTTGCTATGCATATGCTCTTTAGTTTAATTAGATCCCATTTGTCAACTTTTGCTTTTGTTGCCATTGCTTTTGGCATTTTTGTCATGAAATCTTTGCCGGTGCCTATGTCCTGAATAGTATTGCCTATTTTTTTTTCTAGGGTTTGTATAGTTTTGTGTTCTACATTTAAGTCTTTAATCCATCTTGAGTAAATTTTTGTATAAGGTGTAAGGAAGGAGCCCAGTTTCAAATTTTGCATACAGCTAGCCAGTTCTCCCAGCACCATTAATTAAATAGGGAATCCTGTCCCCATTGCTTGTTTTTGTCAGGTTTGTCGAAGATCAGATAATTATCACTGTGTGATCTTATTTCCGAGTTCTCTATTCTGTTCCATTGGTCCATGTATCTGTTTTTCTGCCAGCACCATGCTGCTTTGGTTACTGTAGCCCTGTAGTATAGTTTGAAGTTAGGTAGCGTGATGCCTCCAGCTTTGTTCTTATTGCTTAGGATTGTCTTGGCTATTCTGGCTCTTTTTTCGTTCCATATGCATTTTAAAATAGCTCCTTCTAACTTGGTGAAGAATATCAATGATAGTTTAATGGAAATAGCATTGAATTTCTAAATTACTTTGGGCAGTATGGCCATTTTCACAATATTGATTCTTCCTATCCATGAGCATGGAATGTTTTTCCATTCATTTATTTGCTCTCTGATTTCCTTGAGCAGTGGTTTGTAGTTCTCTCTGAAGAGGTCTTTCACTTCCCTTGTTAGCCATATTCCTAGGTAATTTATTCTTTTTGTAGGAATTGTTAATGGGAGTTCATTCATGATTTGTCTCTCTGCTTGCCTGTTTTTGGTGTAGAGGAATGCTAGCAATTTTTGCACATGGATTTTGTATCCCGAGACTTTGCTGAAATTGCTTATCAGCTTAAGAAGCTTTTGGGCTGAGACAACGGGATTTTCTAGATATAGGGTCATGTCATCTGCAAACAAAGGTAATTTGACTTCCTTTCTCCCTTTTTGAATACTCTTTATTTCTTTGCCTTGCCCGATTCCCCTGGACAGAACGTGTAATACTATGTTGAATAGGCGAGGTGAGGGAGGGCATCCTTGTTTTGTGCCAGTTTCAAGGGTAATGCTTCCAGGTTTTTCCCATTCAGTATGATATTGGCTGTGGGTTTGTCATATATGGCTCTTATTATTTTGAGGTATGTTCCTTCAATACCTGGTTTATTGAGAGCTTTTAATATAAGGGGATGTTGAATTTTATCAAAGGCCTTTTCTGCATCTATTGAGATAAGCGTGTGGTTTTTGTCTTTAGTTCTGTTTATGTGATGAATTACATTCATTGATTGGCCTATTCTGAAATGACCTTGCATCCCGGGGATGAAGCCAACTTGATCATGGGGAATAAGCTTTTTGATGTGCTGCTGGATTCAGTTTTCCAGTATTTTATTGAGGATTTTGCATCGATGTTCATCAGGAATACTGGCCTGAAGTTTTTTTTTGTTGTATCTCTGCCAGGTTTTGGTATCAGGGTGATGCTGGTCTCATAAAATGAGTTAGGTAGGAGTCCCTCCTTTTTAATTTTTTGGAATAGTTTCGGTAGTAATATTACCAGCTCTTCTTGGTACCTCTAGTAGGCAGGAACATATTCTTGGGTTATCCTTTGATGAAAACAGCTTTTAGTTAACATACATACTATACCCTTCATTTTCATGTTTTATTTACCACTAACATTGTAAAGCTCGCCCTACCCCTACCTGATTCCAAGATCAACATATCGGAATCTCCATAAGGTTGGAGGTGGGAAAATTTATCTTTTCAATCTATCCTACCCTTCATTATCTATATGTATCATCTAATAAAGTATTAATGATTATTGGTTAATAAGTAACTTTAAAGCACTAAAAGAGGCCGGGTGTGGTGGCTCGCACCTGTAATCCCAGCACTTTGGGAGGCCGAGGTGGGAGGATCAGGAGGTCAGGAGATCAAGACCATCCTGGCTAACACGGTGAAACCCCATCTCTACTAAAAATACAAAATAGCCGGGCGTGGTGGCGGGTGCCTGTAGTCCCAGGAACTCGGGAAGCTGAGGCAGTAGAATGGCGTGACTTGGGGAAGCAGAGCTTGCAGTGAGCCGAGATCATGCAATTGCAATCCAGCCTGGGCGACAGAGCAAGACTCCGTCTAAAAAAAAAAAAAAAAAAAAAAAGCACTAAAAGATAAAAAAGGTATTTCTTTTTTTTTCTCCCCTAACAAGGGCTGAGACAAAATGATGTGTACTTCATGAGAGAGATAACCATATGTTTATACCTTTGGATGATGAAAGCCACTCATTCCCCAAGCATTCTGATTTATCATGACTGTACCATGTTTGACTTTGGATAACACCTTGTATTTTACCTTCCCTTGTTTCACTGAGACTTGACTAAAATTAGCTTGCCTTTTCTGAGAGCATCGTGTATGTTCAGGGATGAGAAATCTTTGACCTGTGACTAAAACTTACATTAATGATATAAATGCATGGCTGTGTATGCATATGAAGACTGTGACTTTGCAGTGGTTGGATTTGTCTTTAATGGAATATGTTCACTGATGTTTTTCAGCAAATGAGGAGTGATGAAGTAAATCTGGTTGCAACAGGGCATCAAAGCAAAAAGAAACATTCCAGAAAATCCAAGAGACACTCTTCATCTAAGAGAAGGAAGAGTATGTCCTCGTGGTTAGACAAACAGGAAGGTGAGGGGGAATCCAATCTTTGGGCCTCAACCATGTCAAAGGACATTTGTAGTCATGTCCTTGAGGGATGAACAGATATGAGCACATTTGCAAGTGGAAGGGCAAGGTTCTAATTAGGTGCAACAATTTGGAGTTGTTGCAAGCGTTAGATGAATGAAGCAGGTTCCTGAGGCAGAAGGAGATGGTGGGCTCAACAAGAGGATGGGTCTGCTCACTTTCTGCCTGTCCTCACATTCCGCTCTAACCCAGTGTGGTCTGGCTTCTTAGTGTACTCCAATGAAACTACTATCATCAAGGTCACCAGTGTTTGCTACACTTTGGCGTTAATGTCTCAGCAGCATGCGACACAGTTGTTTACTCCCTCCTGCACGGAAAGCTTCTTGGGTCCCCAGACACCTGGATTTCTTACCCTGTTACTAGAGACTCATTTTCCTTCTCTTTTTTGTTTTTCTCCTCTCCCTTCCCACCTCTAAATATTTCGGAACCCCAAAGCTTAATCCTAGACTCTCTTCTCTTCAGTATACTATCTATTTAGGCGATGCCGTGCTGTCTTAGAATTTTAAATGATTCACACTATAAGAACTCTCACCATTATACTTCTACACTACAACTTGCTCCTGAAATCCAGACTCAAATACGACTACACTCGCGGTATCTTTACTGGGTGTCTAATAGGCATGTAAAATTCAACTGACTCTACATGCTCAAATTTCTGACCTCCCTCTCTCCAAAAATACTCTACTTTTAGCTTTCACTATTTCAATTAAAGATACTGTCCATTAGGTGAAACATCCACAAAGGTGTAACAACCAGCTGTTCACAGGTATGGGGGATTGAGGAATCCTGGTTTTTACAGTTTGCAGCTATCCATCGGGCAAATAATCCCACCATGGCCTAGTTCAAGCTGTCAACATAAGGTCACTGAACCAGATTCAGGAAGAGTTGGCAGCACTCAGCTCTCATGGTCGGTTGCCTAACACCTCCTGAACACCCCTGGTGTACTTTTACTTAGTAGTTCTAGTCAAAATACTTAAAGTCACTTATGAGTTATCTCATGATTCTTTTATTACTCTCTCATTTCCCATTTCTTAGCAAGTCCAGCAGTAGATGCCCAGTATAAATTCTGCATCCAACCATTTCTCTCTATGCCTCCAGTGCATGCTGCCGTGATCTGTCTCCAGGCTAGTACAATGCCTTCTTAGCTCTGTGTTTCTAATCTTCGCTCATCTATCGCATACTCTCTAACCCTGTGGCTAGATAATTATTTCAGCACGTAAATCACATCATGCCATGTCCCTCCTGAAAACCCATCCTCATCTCTCCTAAGCACTCAGAACAGACCCTGAACCGGCTTTGGTCTCCAAGCCTCTGCACAGCCTGGCCTCTGTCACCCTCTCCTAACATGGGTCCCATCCATTTCCTCCTGGCTCTCTCTGCCTCTGACCTTCACCTCTGTAGTGCCCGGTCCATCCCCACTCCATTCCCTACCCTTGGCCTCACTGCAGCCTGGAACTCTCCCTCTGCCTCTGCACAGGAGGCTCTGCTTCTTTCTCCAAGCCCTGCCCAATGGCACTTCTTCAGAAGCCTCTGCCAAACCAGCTGCAGCCCCAGGGGCTCCCTCTGCTGCTGTCTCCCACAGGCCTGTGGACTGCTTTTCCAACACCAGCCCAATGCTGCTTGTTTCATTTGCTCATTGTGCATGTACTGTCTGACTGCCCCATGAGGATGTGAGCTCCACAAGGGCAGGGAACGTTGCTCCCTGGGCTGTTTACTGCTGATCCCTGGGTCCTGGCATGCTGCCTGCCACAGATGATGAATAAATGAAAGAGGCGTCAGACCTGGAGTGAAAAGAAAGTCACTTTTTCTAGATAAAAGGGAAGGATCTGTAGAATCATATAAAAATACAGATGTGTGATGATGGAGTGGTGATAAGAGTGTTCAACTCCAATAGCCACGTGTATTTTCTCAGAGTATTTGGGGTAGAAAGGAGGCAGGTTAAGGAGGGCTCACTTAGTCTGGCTTCCTGCTGTGCACAGCATGGCATTTATAGGTGAACTATACAAATAATATCAAGTGAGAATTATCATCTTGCTGCCTATCAAGGGCAGCAAGATGATACAAAATGACGAATACAAAAACCTGTGAATGTTTATTCTGCTGTCGTACTTCTTTACTGCATATATTCATTATGCCAAGAGGTAAAAAGGTAGTTTTATTGTATTATCTGACCTGATCTCTGTCACAAGATCTGAGATTTCCACGTGGTAAATCCTTCTGTTTCATGAAATAAATAATTCTTTAGAACCTGATTAATACACAGCTGTCCCTCTGGGGGAGGATGGGACAAAACACACCTATCTTGCAGCTCAACCTCTTCATTTGGTTTCCAGCTGCTAGCATCACTCACAATGTCCATGAAGAGAAGGTAAAAAATGGCCAATCTGCACACAATAATGTCATTGCAACTGTTCCATCAGTGCTTATTAGTATGGCAGCAGCTGGTATTTCATCCATGAGTACCAGGGACCAGTGTAAATTTGCTCACTTGTTATACTGTCCTACGAGGATTCCACTACGCACCATATATGCATAGTGTCGTGAGGGAAGAAGGTAATTTTGTTGTATTATCTTTTCTGGCCTCAATTTTAGGGTTCTCAGATTGCTACCTGGTATATCCTTCTTCTTTATGAGATAATTTCCTAGATACTGAGCATCAGTGGGGCATGCCTGTGCCATTGACATAATGCACTTACCTCACAGCTCAACCACTTCATTTGGTTTCCAGATGCTGCAGTCACTCACAGCATTTGTGAAGAGAGGATAAATAACGGCCAACCAGTAGCTGATAATGTCTTGTCAACTGCTCCACCATGGCCTGGTAATATGGCAGCAGCAGGAATTTCATCCATGAGTATGAAATTCATCCATGAGTACTTATTAATTGTACTGTCCTACTTGGTTTCCATAAGCAGGCATATTTTCATGAATTATAGAAGGTGGTTTTGTTGTATATTCTTTCTTAGCCTCAATTTGAGGGGTATCAGATGGCCAGCTGGCATATCCTCCCCTGCTTTTTTAGATAATTTCCTAGAAATTGAACACAGAGGAATATACCTGTGGGGTTGACATAATGCACTTACCTCACAGCTCAACCTCTTCACTTGGTTTCCACACGCTACTGTCAATCACAGTGTCCATGAGGAGGGGATGGAAAATGGTCAACCCCAACGAGATAATGTCATGTCAAATGTTCTATCAGGGCTTATTAATATGACAGGAGCTGGTATTCCAGCGATGAGTACCAGGGATCTGTGTGTGTTTGTTTATTAGTTGTAGTGTCCTCCTTGGTTTCCATGTGCATGCATAATGTCATGAAGGGAAGAAGGTGGTTTTGTTGAATTATCTTTCGTGACCTCAACTTAAGTGGACTCAAATCATTATATGATGTATTCTCCTGCATTAGGGGATAATTTCCTAGAAACCGAGCATCAGTGGGATATACTGGTTCAATTGTCATAATGCACATACCTCACAACTCAACCTGTTCCATCGGTTTCCAGATGCTACCATCGCTCACAATATCCGTGAAGAGAGGATGGAAAATGGCCAATCTCGAACTGACAAAGTCTTGTCAACTGCTCCACCACAGCTTGTTCATATGGCTGCAGCTGGTATTCCATCCATGAGTACCAGGGATCTGCGTATGTCTGCTAATTAGTTGTACTGTCATACTTGTTTTCCATAAGCATGGATATTTTCATGAAAGGTAGAAGTCACTTTTGTTGCATATACTTTCCTAGTCTCAATTTGAGGGGTCTCAGATGGCCACCTGGCAAATCCTCCCCTGATTTCCTAGATAATTTCCTAGAAACTGAGCATCAGAGGGATATACCTGTTGGGCTGACATAGTGGACTTACCTCACAGTTCAAACTCTTCGTTTGTTTTCCAGATTCAACTGTTACTCACATTATCTGTGAAGAGAAGATAAAAAATGAACAAATGGCACCTGATAAATTCTTGTCTACTATTACAGCGGGGCTTATGAATTTCACAGGGGCTGATATTCCACCCCTGAGTACCAGGGATCAGTGTGTGTTTACTAGTTGTACTGACCTACTTGCTTTTCGTACGCATGCAGTGTCATGCAGGGAAGAAGGTGGTTTCGTTTTATTATCTTTTCTGGCCTAAAATTCAGGGGTCTCAAATCACCACCTGATATGTCCTCCTGGTTTATGGGATAATTTCCTAGAAACTGAGCATCAGAGGGATATACCTGTGGCACTGACGTAATGCACTTACCTCACAGCTTGAACTCTTCATTTGGTTTCCAGATTCTACCGTCACTCACAATATCCGTGAAGAGAGAATGGAAAATGGCCAACCCCAACCTGATAACGTCTTGTCAACTGGTCCCACAGGGCTTATTAATATGGCAGCAACTCCTATTCCAGCCATGAGTGCCAGAGATCTCTGTATGTCCACTTATAAATTGTGCTGTCTTACTTGGTTTTCATATGCATACATAGTGCCATGAAGGGAGTTAGGTGGTTTTGTTGTGTTATCGTTTCTGGCCTAAATCTGAGGGGTCTCACATCACCACCTGATATATCCTACTGCTTTATGAAATAATTTCATAGAAACTGAGCACCAGAGGGATATACTTGTGAGTTGGCATAATGCACTTACCTCACAGCTCAACCTCTTCCTTTGGTTTCCAGATGCTACAGTCACTCACAATGTCTGTGAACAGAAGATGGAAAATGTCCAACCAGCACCTGATAACGTGTTGTTGACTCTTCGACCACGGCGTATTAATATGACAGACACTGGTATTTCACCCATGAGTACCAGGGATCCATGTAAGTTTGTTTATTTGTATTACTGTCCTACTTGGTTTCCATATGCATGCATAGTGTCAAAAAGCATACAAGGTGGTTTTGTTGTATTGTCGTTCCTGGTATTTCACCCATGAGTACCAGGGATCCATGTAAGTTTGTTTATTTGTATTACTGTCCTACTTGGTTTCCATATGCATGCATAGTGTCAAAAAGCATACAAGGTGGTTTTGTTGTATTGTCTTTCCTGGCCTCAATTTCAGGGGTCTCGTATGGCAACCTGGTATATCCTCCTGTTTATGAGATAATTTCCTAGAAACTGAGCATCAGAGGGATATACCTGTGGGGTTACCATAATACACTTACCTAACAGCTCAGCCTCTTCATTTGGTTTCCAGATGCTACCATCACTTACAATGTCCCTGAGGAGAAGATGGAAAAGGGCCAACCCCAACCTGATAACATCTTGTCAACTGCTTCAACAGGGCTTATTAATGTGGCAGGAGCTGGTACTCCAGCCATCAGCACCAATGGCCTGTGTATGTTTGCTTGTTAATTGGATTATCCTGCTTGGTTTCCATATACGTGCATATTGTCATGAAGGGGAGATGGAGGTTTTGTTGTATCATCTATCTTGAGCTCAATTTGAGGGGTCTCAGATCACCACCTGTCATGTCCTCCTGCTTTATGCAATAATTTCTTAGAAGCTGAGCATCATAGGGGTATACCTGTGGGGCTGACATAATGCACTTACTCACAGCTCAACCTCTTCATTTGTTTTCCAGATTCCACCGTCCCTCACAATGTCTGTGAAGAGAAGATGGAAAATGACCAACCGCAACCTAATAACGTATTGTCAACTGTTCAACCAGTGATTATTTATTTGACAGCAACTGGTATTCCGGGCATGAATACCAGGGATCAGTGTATGTTTGTTTACTAGTTGTAGTGTCCTAGTTGGTTTACATATGAATGCACAGTGTCATAAAGGGAAGGAGGTTGTTTTATTGGATTCTCTTTCATGAGCTCAATCTGAGGTGTCTCAGATCATCACTTGCTGTATCCTCCTGCTTTATGAGTTAATTTCCTAGACCCTGAGCATCAGAGGGATATACCTGTAGGGCTGACATAATACACTTAGCTCAGAGCTCAAGCTTTTCATTTGGTTTCCAGATGCTACCATCACTCACAATGTCTGTGAAGAGAGAGTGGTAAATAACCAACCACTACCTAGTAACGCCTTGTCAACTGTTCTACCAGGGCTTGCTTATTTGGCAACAGCTGATATGCCAGCCATGAGTACCAGGGATCAGCGTAAGTTTGTTTACTAGTTGTGGTGTCCTACTTGGTTTCCATATGCATGCATATTGTCATCAAGGGAAGAAGACGGTATTGTTGTATTATGTTTTCTGGCCTCAATTTTAGGGTTTTCAATTGCTCCCTGGTATATCCTAGTTCCTTAGGAGATAAATTCCTAGATAGTGAGCATCAGAGGGGGTATTCCTGTGGGATTGACATACTGCACTTACCTCACAGCTCATCAACTACATTTGGTTTCCAGATGCTACCATCATTCACAATCTGCGTGAAGAGAAGAAAGATAACAGCCAACCAACCCCTGATAACGTCTTGTCAGCTGTTACACCAGAGCTTATTAACTTGGCAGGAGCTGGTATTCCACCCATGAGTACCAGGGATCAGTGTATGTTTGCTTACTAGTTGTACTATCCTACTTGGTTTCCATATGAATGCAGTATCATAAATGGAAGAATGTGGTTTTATTATATTGTCTTTCGTGAGTTGAATTTGTGGGGTCTCAGATCGCTGCCTGGTATATCCTCCTGCTTTATGTGATAAATTCCTAGAAACTGAGCATCAGAGGGATATATACATGTGTGCTTGGCATAATGCACTTAACTCACAGCTCGACCTCTTTATTTGGTTTCTAGATGCTACCGTCAATCACCATGTCCATGAAGCAAGGATGGAAAATGGCCAACGAAAACAGGATAACGTCTTGTCAAATGTTCTATCCGGGCTTATTAATATGGCAGGAGCTAGTATTCCAGCAATGAGTTCCAGGGATCTGTGTATGTGTGTTTTTTAGTTATACCATCCTCCTTGATTTCCATATGCATGCATAGTGTCATGAAGGGAAGAAGGTTGTTTTGTGAATTATCTTTCCTGGCCTCAATTTGAGGGGCCTCAGATCATCATATGATGTATTATCCTGCTTTATGGGATAATTTTCTAAAAATTCATCATCAGTGGGATATATCGGTGGGGTTGACATAATGCACGTACCTCACAGCTTGACCTCTCCCTTTGGTTTCCAGATGCTACCATTACTCACAGTGTTCGTGAAGAGAAGATGGAAAGTGGCAAACCCCAAACTGATAAGGTCATATCAAATGATGCACCACAGCTTGGTCATATGGCTGCAGGTGGTATTCCATCCATGAGTACCAAGGATCTGTGTATGTCTGTTAATTAGTTGTACTGTCATACTTGGTTTACATATGCATGCATATTTTCATGAAGGGTAGATGTGGTTTTGTAGTATATTCTTTCCTAACCTCAATTTGAGGGATCTCAGTTGTCCACATGGCATATCCTCCCCAGCTTTCTTAGATAATTTCCTAGAAACTGGGTATCAGAGGAATATATCTGCAGGGCTGACATAATGCACTTACCTCACAGCTCAACCTCTTCATGTGGTTTCCAGATTTTACCATCACTCACAATGACTGTGAAGAAAAGATTAAAAATTAGCAAAGAGCACCTGATACATTATTGTCAACTGTTACAGCAGGGCTTATGAATGTCACAGGGGCTGGTATTCCACCCCTGAGTACCAGGGATCAGTGTATGTTTGTTTACTAGTCGTACTGTCCTACTTGACTTCCATACGCATGCAGTGTCATGCAGGGAAGAAGGTGGTTTTTTTGCATTATCGTTTCTGGACTAAATTTGAGGGGTCTCAGATCACCACCTGTTATAGCCTCCTGTGTTATGGAACAATTTCTTACAAACTGAACATCAGAGGGATATACCTGTGGTATTGACATAATGCACTTACGTCACAAGTCAACCTCTTTATTTGGTTTCCAGATGCTACCGTCACTCAAAATGTCCATGAAGAGAGGATGGAAAATAACCAACCACAACCTAGTTATGACTTGTCAACTGTTCTACCAGGACTTACTTATTTGACAGTAGCTGGTATTCCGGCCATGAGTACCAGGGATCAGTGTATGTTTGCTTATTCAGTTGTACTGTCCTACTTGGTTTTCATATGCATGCCTAGTGTCATGAATAGGAGAAGGTGGTTTTGTTGTATTATCTTTCATGAGTTCAATTTGAGTGTTCTCAGATCGCCATCTGGCATATCCTCTCCGGCTTTATGATATACTTTTCTAGAAGCTGAGCATCAGGAAGATATACCTGTGGGGTTGACATAATGCACTTAACTCAAAACTTAACCTCTTTATTTCTGTTCCAGATGCTACCGTCACTCACAATGTCCATGAAGAGAAGATTAAAAATGGCCAAGCAGCATCCGATAATGTCTTCTCGACTGTTCCACCAGCATTTATTAATATGGCAGCAACTGGTGTTTCATCCATGAGTACCAGGGATCAGTGTAAGTTTATTCACTTGTTGTACTGTCATACTTGGTTTCCATATGCATGCATAGTGTCATGAGGGAAGAATGTAGTTTTGTTGTATTACCTTTTCAGGCCTCAATTTTAGGGTTCTCAGATTGCTACCTGGTATATCCTCCTTCTTAATGAGATAATTTCCTAGATACTGAGCATCAGAGGGGTATGCCTGTGCGGTTGACATAATGCACTTACCTCACGCCCAACCTCTTCTTTTGTTTCCAGATGCTGCAGTCACTCACAACATCCGTGAAGAGAAGATAAATAACAGCCAACCAGCACCTGGTAACATCTTGTCAACTGCTCCTCCATGGCTTCGTCATATGGCAGCAGCTGGAATTTCATCCACGATTACCAGGGATCTGTGTATGTCTGCTTATTAGTTGTGCTGTCCTACTTGGTTTCCCTAAGCAGGCATATTTTCATGAATGGTAGAAGGTAATTTTGTTGTATATTCTTTCCTAGCCTCAGTTTGAGGGGTATCATATGTCCACCTGGCATATCCTTGCCTTCTTTTATTGATAACTTCCTAGAAACTGAGCATCTGAGAGATATACCTATGGGGTTGACATAATGCACTTACCTCACGGCTCAATCTCTTCATTTGGTTTCCAAATGCAACCGTTACTCACCATGTCCGTGGAGAGAAGATAAAAAACGGCCAACCAGCATCTCATAACTTCTTGTTAACCCTTCCATCAGGGCTTATTAATATAGCAGGAGCTAACATCCCAGCCATGAGTACCAGGGATCTGTGTATGTTTTCTTATAAGTTGTACTTTCCTACTTGATTTCCATATGCATGCATAGTGTCATCAAGGGAAGAAGGTGGTTTTGCGGTATTACTTTTGCTTGCCTCAATTTCAGGGTCTCTGATTGCCACCTGGTATATCCTCCTGCTGTATGGGATAACGTCCTGGAAACTGAGCATCAGCAGGATATCCCTGTGGGGTTGTCATTATGCACTTACTTCACAGCTCAGCCTCTTCATTTTGTTTCCAGATGTCACCGCCACTCACAGTGTCCATGAGGAGAAGATGACAAATGGCCAACAGGCACCTGATAACTCCTTGTCAACGGTTCCACCTGGTTGTATTAATCTGTCAGGAGCTGGTATTTCATGCAGAAGTACCAGGGATCTGTGTATGTTTGTGTATTGGTTGTACTGTCCTACTTGGTTTCCATATGCATGCATAGTGTCCTGCAGGGAAGAAGGTGGTTTTGTTGTATTATCTTACTCAAACTTAGTTTGAGGGGTCTTGGATCACCACCTGGTGTATCCTCTTGCTTCATGAGATAACTCCCTAGAAACTGGGCATCGGAGGGATATACTGTGGGGGTGACATAATGCACTTATCTCACAGCTCAATTTTTTCATTTGGATTCCAGATGCTACTGTCATTCACGATATCCAGGAGGAGGAGATGGAAAATGATCAAACCCCTCCTGATGGCTTCCTGTCAAATTCTGATTCACCAGAGCTGATAAATATGACAGGACATTGTATGCCACCCAATGCATTGGATTCTTTCTCTCACGACTTCACAAGTCTCAGCAAAGATGAGCTGCTTTACAAACCTGATAGTAATGAATTTGCGGTAGGCACCAAAAACTACAGTGTCTCTGCAGGTGACCCACCAGTTACAGTAATGTCTTTGGTGGAAACTGTGCCAAATACACCACAAATATCTCCTGCCATGGCAAAGAAAATTAATGATGATATAAAATATCAATTAATGAAAGAAGTTCGAAGGTTTGGGCAAAGTAAGTACTGCAAGAATGTCTATCAATGAAAGCATGAGAAGTGTCTCATTCTATGATTTAGAACAGAATTGAGCTGCCTCTTGAGCTCATTGTTTGGCTGAATTGGATCTATATATAATTTAGCATGGCTTTACTTTAATTTCACTGAAAATTGCTAATATGTCTGCTTAAGTGTTTTGTTTTCCTTTGTTAGTGTTCACAATAGTTTCCTTAGTAATATACAGATGTCGTGATTTAAGCATTCAAAACAAGCACTATGTAACATTGTAGCCCATGAAAAATGTATACTGTGGTAGTGGATGCACTAAGATTGAGGTATATTTCATTTTTGTAATTGTAGAAATACTAATTTTTAAAATATCTTCAGATTATGAAAGAATTTTCATTTTGCTTGAAGAGGTACAAGGATCTATGAAAGTCAAGAGACAATTTGTTGAATTTACCATCAAGGAAGCAGCAAGGTGAGTGCAAAAAGGAACTGTGCTATTGTTTTAAGCACTTGCGCCCAATTTGGGACAGGGGCAGGAAAAAATCATGGTTTGTTCCTCCTAATCCCTGGCCCTCAATCATAGTTCATGCTATTTCCACAGGCATTTAGGTTGATACTATCTTATTCTAACACTTTCTTCCAATACCATGGAGGCTTCCAAATTTATCAAAATCTGGGAGTGTATGTGGGCCCTCAGTTGACTCACTTTGTATTTTTCTAGTTTGTATCTTTCAATGAGGATGCATTTTCTGTTTGCATGTAGATGGTAAATTCTATTTTGTATCCACTCTACCTCTTACATCTCATAGATCCTGTAGGTATCCTCTGGTGAATGGAATACCTCTTTAATTTCAGGTTTAAAAAAGTTGTCTTAATTCAGCAACTCGAGAAGGCGCTTAAAGAAATAGATTCCCACTGCCATCTCAGAAAAGTTAAGCACATGAGAAAAAGATAATTGTGTTAGTGCAAAGACCAAGGAGAAACAAGGACATATGCTGTAGGATGGAACAGGTTATTGCTGAAGCTCCCTATAATCCTGAAATGAAGAGAATTCCCTTCCAGAAGCTACGAAAAAGGGAGCTGTTTAAATTTAATAAATCTCTGTTAGTAAAAGCTGCACTTTTCTTGTTTGTTGGTTTCTTCTTCCACCTGAGGAGGGATATGAGTTAATAACTCACCAAGATATTTAGTATTACAGTCCTGGTTTCTGCAGCACCTCACATTGCTGTAGCTGGTACTTATAACTGCCTTCTTTCACTACCCATTTCTCATTCCCTTTGCCCTGAGATAGTATGTCAGCCAGTCATGGTGCTTGGCCTCGCAGGTTGACTCAAACCTTCATTACTGAACATTCTGGACCATTCGATATCCTGCCTGGATTGGGTTGCTGTAATTTTCCATTAAGTGTAATCAAAAAACATGGGAGGGGCCAGGCGCAGTGGCCCCTGCCTGTAATGCCAGCACTTTGGGAGACTGAGGCAGGCAAATCACAAGGTCAGGAGTTCGGGACCAGCCTGGCCAGCATGGTGAAACCCCGTCTCTACTAAAAAAAACCAAAAAATTAGCCGGGCATGGTGGCCCGCGGCTGTAATCCCAGCTACTCAGGAGGCTGAGGCAGGAGAATTGCTTGAACCTGGGAGGTGGAGGTTGCAGTGAGCTGAGATCACGCCACTGCACTCCAGCCTGGGCAACAGAGTGAGACTTCATCTCAAAACAAACAAACAAACAAACAAAATGGGAGGTCTAAGCAGCTCTCTAGACATATCAGACATACTCTTTTTTAGCCCCTGGTGTAGTGCAATTAATCCCCCTTTCATCATCAGGTTCATCACCCCCAGCCACTAGATGACCCCCTCCTTTGATTCTGGATGGAAATTGATGAAGACACCAAAATGGCCAGCTGGCAGTATCAATCTGTTCTCAATAGAATCACTGTTGTGTCGCTTGGTGAAAGCATTTCTTCCTTTGGAACTAAGACTTCTAGTTCAGCAGAGCCTAAAGTCAGAAGGATAAGAAGCATTTTTGCTAGTCGATCACTGGGGTGAATAGTGAATAGAGACACTCCCAGTTTTACTTCTTGATTCTAGGACCCATGAATCCTAACTATGGGAGAGAAAGCAAAGTATGCTGGATGCAGATATACTGCAAACACTGCTTCCTAAAAGTAATTTCTCTGACCTGCAAGGTATTGCCACCTAGCTAGCACTGTAACTGAGTTCCACAAGGCCATTCCACTGTTCTGTTGATCCAGTCATTTTAAGATAATGGGGGGCACTTTGGGAGGCTGATGTGGAGTCACAGACCAAGTGGGCAAGACACTACCATCTCTTGAAAAAATGATGGGGGATATGGGGATATACGTAATAAGAACAGTGAATTTCTATGAGCATGGGCCCATCACTGCACTTTTTATATTCTGTGAAGTGAGGGCCTTTTTTCGAGGTGATGCTGTGTGGAATACCATGATGGTAAATAAGGCATTTTTCTAAGTGCACAAATGTTGCTTTTCTCAAAGTACTGTGGGTGGGAAGGAAGATCCATAATCAAAGTAAGTGTCTATTTGAGGAAGAACACAGCCCTGTCCCTTCCATAGTGGAAGTGGTCCAGTGTAATCACCTGCCATCTGGTAGCTGGCTGATAACTCTGCAGGCAGGTGTCATATAAGAGGCTCAGTGTTGCTCTCTGTTTCTGGCAGATTGTACACTCAGCAATGACTATGTTGCAGAATTTTGCTTCTTAGATAAGCTAAAACCAAGTTCTTGTCACACGACCAGGAAAGATTAGGTTCGCGGATGCATTGAAGGGTGAGGAGCGGAATTTATTGGTTGAAAAGAAAAAATAGGAAGGAAAAAAACTCGGCAAAGCGAGAGGGAGTCCTGCTAACAGGACCCCATCTCACATATTGATTCTGGGCCACCACACAGGAACCGAAGAGACCAGGCTCCCCACCGCCACCCTTGCACAAGGTGCAAACTTCCCGTGGCTCCACATCCTTCCCCCAGTACATGTCGCCATTATTAAGAAAGAATCAGTTGGGAAAGGGCGAGCAAACAGTGACGGTTCTCCCTCTGGATCGCAGGTTACATTCGGGACCAGCAGTCTGGTTTTTCAACCTTCAGGCCATTTTAGGCTTGAAGGCAGGTTTCTCCAGGAATCCTTTGCTGTCTCATGTCTTTATTAACTGTAGCCAGGTTGGCCCTGGTGAGTGGAAGTCCATGCTACTGAAGCATAATCTCTATCCCTGGTCACCTTAGCCACTTTGTGAACCCATGAGGTTGTGACACAAGTGTTGGGGAAAGAGGCTGATTAATATCTAGATAATAGGTAACTTATCCTTCAGATTATTAAAATTCTTCTCTGCTGAGGTTACCCTTTGCTGAGAACTCTCATGAGACCCAAATATCTCATAGGCCTGGCCATCTCTCCTCCACACAGGAGCACTGCTCAAAGTTCTTCCCCCTGAGAGAATTTCCCTTCACCACTGTCCTTCAGGACTATGCAGCTGTCCACTTTTGGCTTTTGTGGCAGGCAGGCATTGTGGACCGACTGAATATTTGTGTCCTCTGAGAAGTCATACGATGAAACCCTGACTCCCAATGGGATGATATTTGGAGGTGGAGCCTTTGGGAAGTAATTAGGTTTAGATGTGGTCATGATATTTGGGTCCCTATGATGAGATTAGTGCCCTTATAATTAAAGAAAAGAGAATTTGTTCTTCCATGCTTCTTCAACATGTGAGGATACAGCAAGGTGGCTGACTACAAGTTAGGAAGAGGACGCTCACCAGAATTTGAGCATGCTGGCACCCTGATCTTGGACTTCTAGCCTCCAGAACCTTGAGAAAGAAATGTCTGGTGATGAAGCCACCCAGTCTGTGGTATTCTGTGATAGTAGCTCGAGCTGAGACAGCTGTAGTCTGATTCCCCAGATTCCCATCTCCTGTATACTCAATCAAGCACTAATCCAAATACTGCTATGGTGGGATTTTGCTGGATAATTAAACTCTCAAGTCAGTTGACCTTGAGACATGGAGGTGGTGTGGGTGGGCCAGACCTGGCAGGGGAATCCTTGAGAAGCAGAGCATTTTTCTTACCAAGGAGCAGAAGAAGAGGTAAGAAAGTCAAAGCACAAGAAGGATGTGACACAGCAGGCCTGCTTTGAGGATAATGCCGTGCTCCTGAGAAGGTATATGGGGTGGCTCTAGGCGTTTAGAGAAGTCTCTGGATGACAGCCAGCAAAAAAAATGGGAACCACATTCGTACCACCTCAAAGAACTAGATCTAAATGGGCAATAACCTGAATAAGCTTAGAAGTGGATTATTCCACAGTCTCCACATCAGCACCCACCCGGCCTGACATTTTGAGTTGGCCTTGGGAGACACACAGCAGAGAGGCCGGTTGAGCCTTCCCGGTCTCGATTTGCAGAGCTGTAGATAATAAATGTGTGTTGTTTTAAGCTGCTCAATTTGGGGTAATTTGTTATGTGGCAATAGAAAACTAATACAGGTGCTGCCAGCCCATTATAAAGAAAGAATAGTAAGTAAGCCAGGCCTAGGGATTTTCTGATTGTTTCTTTTTTAGACAACTCTGTTCATAAGGAACCCCCCTCGGAGCCATAGGTGTGGGTTCAGAGAGCTTTTCCTTGTACTAAGCCAAACTCAGAAGTAGCAGATTTTCCAGTCATTAGCAGATAAGTCACAGCAGCACACGCCAATGAGGTACATGTTACCACCATCAGAACCTAAAGAGGCCCACTATTTTTTGTATCCCCTTTGAGTGGTAGGAAGGGTGAGATGTACCAACTTGCTGTTCACCTGATAAGTATGATGTTGACATGCCTCTGAGCGCTTGACCATTAAATATTTCACTAAGTTTAAAGGCCCCTGATTTTTTGTGTGAATTGATACTTAGGTTGTCATGTCAGTATGTTACCAGTGTGTCTAGAGTAGTTGCTAGGTCCTGCCCAATCAGCATAATGTCATCAATGCAAAGTAATGGTGTCACATGGTTGGAGGGAAAGGAGATCAAGATCCCTACGGATTAGTTTGGGACATAAGTTTATGATGCAGGATACTTTCTTGACCCCTTCACAGGACTCATGACAGGGGTGCCGAGCCACTTTGGCACCAGCAGGAGCAAACTCCTTTTCCTCGGGCCCACCGCACACCACCCCTCATGGGAGGGAATACGTAGGCAAGTGAGTGTGGGAACTGGCCAGCTGCTTTGGCACTGGCAGGAGCAAACTCAGTCCAGGCTCTGTGGCAGCATCCAGATAGGAATGCCTGCGACCCCAAGGCCCCAGAGTGCGTGTTACAATGCTCTCCTAGCTCTACCATCCACAGGCAGCAGTGTGTTATCAGCTCAGTGGGACCTTTGCCTCATTGCTTGGGGTGGCTGCCCTCTGTCAGCAAGGGCAAAGGCCCAATGCGACAGCCTTTTTGGGTACCCACACATGGTGGGTCCCAAATTCTTGTCTGGTGCCCAAGAAGAATGAGGCCACACAGATGAATTGAAGGATGGTGAGTGCAGAGAATTTTATTGTGCAATAAAAGCAGCTCGCAGCAGAGAGGGGAGCTGGAAAGCGTATGGGAAGGGCAGGTCGCTCTCCCCTGAAGTCAAGTCGCCTCTCTGCCTCTCTCCTCCGAAGTCAAGTTGCTTCTCCCGGACGTGCAGCCATCATCTCTGAAGTCAAGTCACCTCTCCCTGATGTCCAGCTACTTCTCGTCTCTACTGGCTGAATCTGGAATCTTTATAGGCGTGGGACCGGGAGCAGGGCAGGCTGTAGGTAGTTATGGAAAAGGCAACATTCGATTGGTAAAAAGACATTATTCAGAAAGAACCAATTGACAGAGCGGCCAAACTGGGATAGAAGTTCTCACTTCAGGCTTTTCAGCTTGAAGGTGTGGTTTCACCAAGGAACCACCCTTGTCTGCCTAGAGTTTCTCTGCCTCCTGCCTCTATCACTTAGAGAGTTGATATAAGACTGAGGTAGGAAGGAAAAGGGGTTTTGCTGGCCTTGCCAGCTGAAAGCAAACAGTTCCTCATGATCTTTAAAAAACATGTATAGAGTAAAAGGCATTCGCATGATCTGACACACACACACACACACATATAAATATATGTATGTATATATGCATATATAATGTTAAATACCTATCTAATTTTAAACATCTATCTGTCTACATAAAAGGGAGTTGCCATGTAGAATTGGTCTGGTATAGTATTTTTACATGACTATTCCATCTCTATCAGGCTCTTACCTCACGTATAATACTGGATAAGGGGACAAACATTTCTGGACTTGCCAAACCATATTTTGTGCTTGAAGAATAGAGTGGAAGCACCCAGTGACGGTGCGTTCGCTGAAATACTGCCCTTAGTAAGCGGAGAGGCTCTCACCCCAAATACTCGAGGCTCCTGGGTCTGGGCACGGAGCAGCCCTGTGCAGCAGGCAGGCTGGATATTTGGCTTCTTAGACTCTGTTCCAACCCTAGCTGCTTACGACCTGGGATGGGTCTTTTCCTTCTTGGGGTCTCATTTGTATCTCTGGAAAATGACAATCCTGGGATAACTGATCTCTGATGTTCCTTGTGGCCTTGATAGTCCTGTCTGGGTAGATTGCTATCCCTGGCCACAAGAGTGGTGTGTTTCTGTAATTCCTTTATTCAAAGACTTCGAACTGGTCTCGAACTCCTGACCTCAGGTGATCCCCCCGCCTTGGACTCCGAAAGTTCTGGGATTACAGGCATGTGTCAACGCACTCGGCCCATAATTTTTTAAAAATCAAAATTAATAGAAAACTTCCACAATGAACAAAACATTGAAATTTAAAATAAAGACAGGATTTGCCCTTGCACTTGCAGAGCCCTGAGAGTCATGCACGTGGAGGGGACATGTGGGTGCCACAGGCCTGTGACTTAAAAACGTCTTACTTGCAATTTTCTGTGATGACCACTGCTTCCTTCTGAGGGAAGCTGGCAATTGTTCTCTTTCTATGCTCATGCAATCCATAGTGCCACAGGGTGGAAAAAAGAAATCGTTTGATTTAATTATAAATATGTCTGTACAATTTTTGAAAATATTCTAAAGAACCCTCAAGTAGGTCATGCAAATTTTATTCATTAAAATATTTGACTTTTCTGAAATGGAATTTCATCAAATAGCAAACATTTTCTGAAATAGTATTCTTTCCCAGGAAAATAGCAATTATCAAAAAACCTTTATACTTTCTTCACGGAAGACAGTTATGAAAATTACACTGGTGTTCACTTCGTTTTTAAAAAATTAATTTTCAAGAATTTTTGACAGTCAGATTTGATAAGCCTGGTGTGAAATTTTTTATGCTTAATAACTATTTTTTATCTTTATATAAATTTTTATGGACATCTGTGTAATGACTATATATTGTAAATCACACAAGTATCCATAATTAATATAAATTACTTGATTATGTATTAGAGAGCACATTTACTCTAAATAGATTGTATTAATTAAAAGTAAATATATTCGTAAATTATACTAAAATTATTTAGACAGTTAAGGCACCAAAGGTAAGTGGTGTAATGTTCAAGAAAGAAGTAAAATGCATGTGGAAATTTATCAAAATTATGGGAGTCATTCAATTATGAGGTTGACTTGAAAAAGTATTGCAGCTGCTGAAAAATGATTTCCTATCATTGACATTATCAGAACACAGTTACCCTCAAATCCACTGAAAACTAAGGAAACTTTTTGAAATGGTAAGAAGAAATTGAAGGGGAGTGTTAGATATTTCAGAAACACATAGTCATGAGTTTGGGCTAATAAAACAAAAGGGGCTTTACTAGACAGAATATGGACAAGACCAAGAACAACATGCAGATTCTAATGTATTCATATGATGACTGGAGATTTTTAAAAAGATGGGTGTGTGGCTGGGCATGGTGTCACATTCCTGTAACCCCAGCACTTTGGGAAGCTGAGGCAGGAGGATCACTTGAATCCAGGAGTATGAGACCAGCCTGGGCAACATAGCAAGACCCCAGCTCTACAAAAGATATGAAAATTAGATGGGTGTGGTGGTGCACACCTGTGGTCCTAGCTACTCAGGAGGCTGAGGTAGGAGGACCATTTGAACTCAGGAGATCAAGGCTGCAGTGAGCTGTCATCCCACTAGTGCATTCCAGCCTGGGCAACAGAGCGAGTCCCTCTCTAAAAAAAAAAAAAAATGTTTATGAGAAAATATGCTAACAACTAACAGAGAATGGATTCATCCTAACTGGATTGTTTATTCCAAATAATGTTTGTCTTTATCTGGCTCTCTGCAAATATTTTTTAGCAGTCATGTGACAGAATCAGATGTATGAAACTCAAAAAAAGGGAGTTCACAGATTGGAAGAACTGAAATAGAATTTGGAAACATGAGAATTTCCTGTTCCAGCACGATGCTTTTCCAAAATAGAAGTATTATGGTATGTATATACAGACTCATATCTTAATAGACAATGGTTTGCAGGTGATTAAATCAACAAAAGTGGTAGAATATTTTGGAGTGTTGTTGACGGCTATTCTGAGACATTGGTTCTTGTTTTCTTAGTTTAAAAGAATTTAAACAAGAGGCACACAGCAAAGGAGATGCAGCATAGAGAAATTTATTGCCAGGGAAAATGAATATTTTGAAAGTTAGATGCAGAATACACACTGAGAGAGACAGAGAAGATTCAGGGCTGGCTGGTCATAAGGATGAGACAGCATTGATTATTACTGGGGAAACTCCCTTTATGGGAGTCTTACATGATTATTCATAAGGAGGTGGGAAGAACTGTTACTAGTAAGCATGTTCTGGGTGGTCCTCTGGGTCCACGTGCCCAGTAGCTACCCATGCTTGTTCATACATCACATGTCTCATTAGCATCTTAAATCTCCACCCAGGGGTGTGTTTTTTACTATTATAATGAGCAAAGGGTCAGTTTGAGGACAGGTGAAATCAAAGTGCACATGTTCTCTACAGAGGAAATTCCCTACTGAAGATAGCTTTGCTTGAATGAGCTTAACTGCAATGTGAATGCTGAGGCTTATTGTGTTGGCTGTACGGTCCCCACGGTTGCTGCATGCCAAGGACATGGTCACTTCCTTCACTGCCTACCCTGCCTCAATTCCCCCCTAAGAGATCTTAGGGCCTATAATCATATGGGAGGTTGAGGGGCTAGGTCATTTCTTCTGAAGCTGCTTCCTGCTGAGTGGGGTGTTGTCCCTGCCTAACCTGGGCCCTAAAGTCTCTTCCTGCCTGATCTAATGCGGTGTAAACCTTGTTGTTCACGGGACTGGTGGGCAAAGCATGAGATAGCTCATTAGCAGCTCAAGGTTGAAAGCCTTGTGAAACCAACCTGTGGACTTGGAATTGCTGTAAGCAGGAGAGTAAGAAATCATCATTATAAACAAAGTTGGACCAAAAGTTAAAGTATGTTAATGACCGGCACTATTAAAGGGAGCAAGGCAGACAATAGCTACTGCTTCCTAATTCCCATGGAAGTTCCTAAAGTGTTAATTTCGTTTGCCTGAGTAATGATATTTTTAATATTTTCTTGGACTAAACCAGACTGATTGATGTAAAAAGAGCATTCCTCTTTCAAATACAAACATGTTTCTCTTTGTCCAGCTGTGAGAAGATTTAAGGCTTTTCAGTTTTGTAGGATTATACTGGCGAGGGAGTCCAGCTGTTGTTGAAGTCCAGTGAGGCCCTCTTCCATTTGTTGGAGAGCCACCATGATCTCCTAAAACAGTTTATGCTGGATTCCCAAGGCTCCACCTCCCATAGCTGACCCTGATAATCCCAACAGAGAGGGCAATACTAAACACAGGGGAATATGGGGTCTTGCTCAGAGGTGAATCTTGCTGTGCTGGTACATGGGGGAAGGGAGAGATGTGTTAGCCCATGCGAAAGTTAGATAAGGGGAAATGTAAGCGATGGAGCATCGCCCCTTCCACAGTGGAGGTAATTGTAGATATGCTGAAGATCCACAAAACCCCAAAATTTTTTATGATGGTGAAATTTCTGCTGCAAAAGTATTTTGCATTAAAGTGGTGAATGCAGTGGAGGTTCTCTAAAAGGGGTCTCCTATTTTCTGGCCTGTAAGTGAAAGGTTTTGTGCAGATAAGTTGGCAATGGTTACTGGGTCTATTAATGAATGGTAGAGTTGGATGGTGGCATTAATAAATTCTTTAAATAAAGTTCCCCCTTTAGGGTTCCACCACAGAACATAGTTATCTTGTGATAGAATATGTTGACAGTCCTTGGCGGATGTATTGAGATAAGGTGAATAGGGGCTTCCCGTGAGAGGATGGCCTCAGCAAAAACTAGAGGTTGTAGTTTGGTTGATAGGAAATAGAGGTGGTGCCAGTCCGAGGACATAATAGAGCAAAAAATTGGTTGTCTGGATGAGGTGTCCATTTATTATTAGTTTAATTCCCGTAGAGGTATTGACTAAAATATGTGACCCAGTGATAAAGGGTCAGCTACACTGACTCTCTTGGAGTTCTATGAAAGTGGCAGAACTGCCATGATTAATGTAAAGGCAGAAGGGAAATTGCTCTGGATAAAAGGTATGTAAGAAAGCATTTTTTCCTTTTGAGATATTTGAACTACTGTTGATAATTAGGAGGAGGAGCTTAAGGAACCCAGGACCTGACCTAATAAAATCCCTTTGTATTGACTGTTGGGCCTGATATCCCCCCTCTGTGGGCCAGTGAGTTTGTCCCTGGAGATGTGCTGGGATGCCAGGCCAGTCTTCTCAGGGCCCAGGTCTGGCATATCCCCAACATTTGGTAGTTATGCAAAGTCAACAAGGTTAAGTTTTTTTGTTTTTTGTTTTTGTTTGTGTGTGTGTTTGTTTTGTTGTGTTTTGTTTTTGTTTTGTTTTGTTTGAGACGGAGTTTCACTCTTGTTGCCCAGGCTGGAGTGCAATGGCACAAACTCACCTCACTGCAATCTCTGCCTCCCGAGTTCAAGCAATTCTCCTGCCTCAGTTTCCCAAGTAGCTGAGATACAGGCATGCGACACCATGCCTGGCTAATTTTGTATTTTTAGTAGAGACGGGATTCACCATGTTGGTCAGGCTGGTGTCGAACTCCTGACCTCAGTTGATCCACTTGCCTCGGCCTCCCAAAGTGTTAAGATTACAGGCGTGAGCCACCATGCCCAGGCCTGAGTTAAGTTTAATAGACTAACAGTATGGTTAATTACTTCCCCAGCAGACAGGCCAGTGTCTCTAAAAGTCATTACAGTATGGCAGGCAAGTACCAAGAAAATGAAGACGTTACCTATCTTCCAGATTGGCTTTATCTGGAATTGTGTTCTAGAATAGAAAGTTTAGAGCCTCTATGGGCTGGCAGGTATAATTAGTAGCTTCCTCTGGTTCGTGTAAAGATTTATTGCAAAGTTGAATTCTGATCATGTGAACCCGACTGGCTATTCCTTGCAGCTCGACAGCCACTGGGGTGGTGAGTAGTACTTGCTAAGGTCCCTTCCATTTAGGAAGAAGTGGATCTGCCAGGTGGCCTTCCTTCCAAGTTTTTAATAGGACCCTGTCTCCAGGTAGGATTTGGGGAATGTTTTTCACTTGTCCAGGTGAGGGCAGCACTGCATTGCCATACTCCTGGATAGCTTGCTGTACCCAGGTTAGTTTTTTGTTTTGTTTGTTTGTTTTTGACATCAGACTATTTCTCTGTCACCCAGGCTGGAGTCTAGTGATGCAGGCTCGGCTCACTACAACCTCCGTGATTCTCCTGCCTCGGCCACCTGAGTAGCTGGGACTATAGGATGGCCACCATACCCGGCTCGTTTTTGTATTTTGGGGGTTTCACTATATTGCCCTGTCTGGTCTTCAACTCCTGACCTCAAGTGATCCACCTGCCTCAGTCTCCCAAAGTGATGAAAGTACAGATGTGGATCACCGCAACTGGCCCCTGGCTTAGATTTCGATTATATTGTATAGTAGACAGGGTTTCTAGTTTGATTAACAGGTCTAAGGTAAGGAAGGGTCTCCCAGAAGTCATCTCAAACGGACTAAGTTTTGTCTTTTCTTTGGGTGCCACTCGTATTCTCATGAGGGCTATAGGCAACAGAGTGTACCAAGACTCAGAAGTTTCCTGGCACAGTTTTGCCAGTGTCTGCCTTAAAGTTTGATTAGTCCTATTAACCTTGCTGGAGGATTGTGGCTTCCATGAGGAGTGGAGATGAAATTTAATTTCCAAAGCTTGGGCTATCTATTGGGTTACAGTTGCAAGAAAACAGGGGCCTTTGTCGCTCTGCAAGGAGCAGGGGAGGCCAAATCTGGTATGACCTCTCTTGGCAGTGCCTTGGCCACTTCTGTAGCTTTCTCTGTTCTGGTGGGGAAAGCTTCTACCCATTCAATAAAGGTGTCTACAAAAACTAAAAGGTATTTAAAAACCCAAAAGGAGGGCATTTGGGTGCAGTGAATTTGCAATTCCTCACCAGGATAGGTTCGTTACCACTGGACTGAGGTTAATAAAGGAGGAGACCCTTGTTTTTTGTTTGTTTGTTTTGTTTGCCCCCAAGGTAACTTTGAGAGCAAAGTTCACAAGCCCGAGTGACCTTTTTTATTGTGGTTGCCAGGCCTTTACCTGTAAAAACATGGTTCATCCAGGCGGGTCATAGCGTCCTGCCATATGGAGGGAATTATGTAAACTTTTAACAATTTGCCACGGTGGGACTGAAGAAGCAATAGCTTTTGGCGTATGAGTCACCAACCCTCAGGTGTTACGGTCTTCGATTTTCTTAACCCATGCTCTTTCTTCTATAGTATAGGATGGATTTATATCAAGAGAATGGGACGGGGCATGGTGGCTCATACCTGTTATCCAGCATTTTGGGAGCCTGAGGCGGGCAGATCAACTGAGGCCAGGAGTTTGAGACCAGCCTGGACAACATGGCAAACCCCTTCTCTGCTAAAGTACAAAAATTAGTGGCGTGATGGCACCTGCCTGTAGTCCCAGCTACTCAGCAGGCTGAGGCAGGAAAATTGCTTGAGCCCAGGAGGCAGAGGATGCAGTGAGCCGAGATCATGCCACTGCACTTCAGCTTGGGTGACAGAGCAAGACTCAGTCTCAAAAAAATAAAAAATAAGATAAAATATAGAGAATGGGCAGAGAGGAATAAGGCCAGCGGGGCTACACCTTCCGTGATTGCCCTGCTATCTTGCCTGCCAGCCTTTGCATTGTCCAATGAGACTGAGGAGTTTCCTTTTTGATGTCTCTCACAGTGAATGACCGCCACTTGCTTAGGATCATTCACAGCCCCTAAAAGCTGCAGTATTTCTTTACTATGTTCAATGGGGGAATTCCTTGCATTTAGAAGACCCCGTCCTTTACAGATAGCAACATGTGCATGAAGGACAAAGCAGGCATCCTTGGAGTCAATATATATGTTTAGTATCTTTCCCTGACCTACAGCCAGGGCCCTAGCGAGGAGAATTAGCTCTGCTTTTTGTGCTGAGGCATTAGGTGGCAGTGCCTGGGCGTCTATTGTTTGCTGTAGACTATCCACATTATATCCTGCCCTTCTTTTTCCATTTTCCGTAAAAATACTTCCATCAGTGAACCACTCAGCATCAATGTGATTAGATATCGACACATTTGTATGTGAAATAATTTACCTCACAAAAGATAACAGGAAATTATTGAAAGTCCAAATGTTTTAATATTTCTAAATTTAGGTGAACTTACAAGTGTTTATAATGATGCTATGGTTAACAACAGAGCAATGGTCATGTGTCTGACTGGTCTTAAAAATTCAGAACAAATACTTAATGCTTCTGGGAAATCAAATCTTTTGAAAACCAAACAAGCAAACTGTGTATTCCCAATTTTTTAAATTTTACTTTATGTTCTGGGATACATGTGCAGAATGCGCAGGTTTGTTACATAGGTATACATGTGCCATGGTGGTTTGCTGTACCTATCAACCTGTCATCTAGGTTTTAAGCCCCGCATGCATTAGGTATTTGTCCTAATGCTCTCCCTCCCCTCGGAGCATCTATGGCAGGTGTATACAAGCGTACATACCTGCCAGAATTTAATCAAAAATCATTATGCCAAACATGAGACTCATTGGGTTCATTTTTTTGTGTGAATTCAATGAGTATATGGAAGTTCTTATATCTGTTCAAAATAACACATCAAAATATATCTGGAAAATTATATATTTATATAGAGACATACTGGGCTTCAAGATAACATGCAATGAAGAAACTAAAAACTAATTAAAGATGGTTATCAAATATTAAAAGACATGGCCGGGCGCGGTGGCTCAAGCCTATAATCCCAACACTTTGGGAGGCCAAGGTGGGCAGATCATGAGGTCAGGAGATCCAGACCATCCTGGCTAACACGGTGAAACCCTGTCTCTACTAAAAACACAAAAAATTAGCCGGGTGTGGTGGCAGGCGCCTGTAGTCCCAGCTACTCAGGAGTCTGAGGCAGGAGAATGGCATGAACCCAGGAGGCAAAGATTGCATTGAGCCGAGATCATGCCACTGCACTCCAGCCTGGGTGACAGAGCGAGATTCCCTCTTAAAAGAAAAAAAAAAGACATAGTATGAAATAACATAAAATATTATGCCAAGTAGAAAGTGTCTTTTCACATGCAGATTACAAATATGTGTGCAACATTTTGGCTTAATAATATTTTCAACCAAGTAGAAAAATTTAATAAAGCTCTACAATTAAAAAAAAAACCATATCTAGGCCAGGTGTGGTGCTGAGGTGGGTGGATCGAGAACAGCCTGGCCAATATGGTGAAACCCTGTCTCTACAAAACAAAATAAAAATTAGCCAAGTGTGTTGGCATACACCTGTCATCCCACCAGCTACTACAGAGGCTGATGGGGAAGGATCACTTGAGCTCAAGAGGTCGATACTGCAGTGAGCCGTGATTGTGCCACTGCACTCCATCTTGGGCAACAGAGCGCAACCCTGTCTCAAGAAAAACACACATAACTATACATACAAAAAAGCAAAACTACCTTTGCTTACAGAAAGTGGAAGAAAGTGTGTGTGTATATATATATATATATGTATATTATATATGTATATATATATACACACACGTGTGTGTATATGTATGTGTGTATATATAGTAAATAAAAAAAATAAATTAAAAAATAATATTGTAAGGTTTGTGCACCTACTTTCCAATTTTTCAATACATTTGCAACAACTTTAATGTTCTGGAAACACTAATTGTTTAAAAATTTATGAAAATATGTTTATCGAGGTGCACATTTCCCCCGTGCCTTGGGCTCCAGTGTGACTGCACAGCACTAAGTAAGGGCAGGGGATTAGGGCTCTCCACATCCAGGCATTGTGAGTGACTCTTCCCAGAATATAAAAAGGAGAGAAGTGGAAGAAGGTAGGGGTGGCTCTGAAAGCAGAGGTTTTTCAGCACCATCTCAGCTGACATCTCACTGTCAACAACTGGGTCAGAGGACCACCCTTACTGAAACAGAGTCCAAGACGGAAAATATTTTTTTAAAAGGGCTGCCCAAAACAAAATCAGGGTTACAATAGAGAGGAAGAAAGGGGAATGGATAGCAGGTAGTCAGGTAGCAATGCCTGCCCACAAATGAGACACTGAACCATGACACAGATAGACTGTCTGCAAGTGGAAGTGCTATGATGAAAACAAGGGGCAGAAATTACTGAGGGTCTTACTTTAGATTAGATGACAGAAAGGTCTCTCCGAGACAGTGGTATTTAAGGAGAGATGGAAAAGATGACCAGGAGCAGTGGCTCACATCTGTAATCCCAACACTTCAGGAGGCTGAGACAAGAGGACTACTTGAGACCAGGAGTTCAAGACCAGCCTAGGCAAAATAGAGACTCCATCTCCACACAAAAAAATAATAATTAAAAATAACATAAAATAAAGAAAAATAACAAAATGGGAAACAGTTATTTGGGCAGAGGAAAGAGCAACTATAAAGGCTCAGTAATAGACACATGCCTGTCATGTTTGAGGAACAACAAAGAGGCTGGAGTCACTTCAGCACAGAGATGGATGGGACAGGGACAGGTGGGTGGCACCAAGTATGGTTGGGAATATGAAGCAGGGGCCTCATGAGGCAAAGCTCTTCCAACTGCCCCTTCTGTGATTGCATCATCAGTCTTTCTTGGACGAAAAGTTTAAGAATATGATTTGGGTTTTTGTTTTTGTTTTTTGGCCTCCATCCACAATATCCTCCCTGCCCATCGTGGAGTTGGGGCTGGCCAAGGCAGAAGCCCATTATTCCTCCAGTTCCTTCAGCAGCCACAGCCTGGGATTGGTCTTGCTGCCAACCTCCTAGCTGATGCACAGGGGATGAGCCCTCAGCCTGTGTTCACAGAATTCCTTAAAGCCCTTTTACCTAGACATGGTCCAGCTTTGTGGGACTGCACTTCTGCTCAGTTTCCTTGAAAAACACTCCTGGACCCTGTAAAACCTGGAGTCTACAGAACCTTCCATGTATTTTTCCAAATTCCACAATTTACAAAACCTTGCACATATTTTTCCATAGGAGGCCCAAACCTCCTCTTTGTATCTCCTTTTCTTCCCTGTTTCTTAAAGAGATTGCCCAAGGGGCACCAACTGGATTGGACTCTTCTAGTAAGCCTCCTTCTTGGACTCTAGGCTCTCCCCTTGGAAACTGCAATATTGAGGCTCTAGGACCTGCTAGCAAGCTCTGGCCTTGTAGATGACAGATTCCGGTGTCCCAGGAGCACCAGTCCATCCTAAGTCCTTCCTTCCCAGTTCAGAGAAAACCCACAGTGGCTAAGCTGAGTTCTGATGCAGGCACTACCTCTTTGGGTTCAAACACAGGTCTGTACACCCCACTGCTGGCTGCATAGCAGACACTAGGAAAAGGCAAATATCTATATTCCCTTTTTTACATTTCCTTGGGAATCACTTTTACTAATCTCCCTCACAAGACTTGCAGAGCACTTGGAACTTTCTCAAATGGAAAGATCTCTGTATACATAATTTGATGATCTGTAACAACTTATTCAGAAACTTCTTCATTCTGGTTCTGAGACTAATGCATTACATACATTGGATATCACACTTGTGAAAGTCAGGTTTAAGCAGAATATCAAGTATATTCATGGACCCCCCTACACATCTGTGAGCAAAACCTTGTGGAAACCATGCTTTTCCACCATCAGAGAAGACCTACTTTAAAGCAGAAGCTCTTTTGGGAATCATCAGGTTGTGTTTGGCATGGCAGCAGGGGCAGGGACATTAGAACACAAGTTATTGTCATTCCCCCCTCACCAAGGCCCCTAAAAGCATTGGCTGGCTCCGTTGGGCCCGTCTGGTTGTCCTCAACTGTCAAGATTTGGATTTGCCATTTACTGACAGTGGGACTTGGGTCGTCCCCTCATCTTCTGTGGCCTGAACTTCCTCAC